>NC_000008.11:53427265-55927265 GCF_000001405.40 Homo sapiens
GGTGGGTTTAAAGCAAACAGGCAAAAGTTCCGTGTGGTCATGCTGTGACTGAGAGGTGGTCACTGAGGCATATCTGTGTAGTCCCTGTGGAGTGTGAGGGTCAGCGGAGTGAGTGAAGTTGGCTGCATCTAGCTGTTCCAGAGGGAAGGGGTTCACCAAGAGCAGTTGTATAAGGCAGATGTCTGGATTGACCACATTAAGGAACTGAGAGGAGGCAGAGAACTGGAAACTGGATCAAGGGTGACTAATCCCTGCTTCTAATAGGAGAAAGTTAAAGCTATATTCAAAATGAATACTGAGGCAACATAAAATTACAGACTTTCACTATGTGGGGTTATTTCTAAAGGACACAGGAACCAATGGAAAGAACTCTCGATGGTTGCAACAAAATAAATGAAGTAGAATTTGATTATCACCCAAAGTGTACAATTAATATCCATGAGTCCATACTAATATAAATAAATGATTGGATACAAATAAATGAGGGAGAAAAGACAAGTCTCCCGTGTAGAATTCCAAATAATGTATTTAAATATTCTGCCTTCAAGAAGTTTGAGAATAACTCTCCACTCCTTCAATGTTGTCTGTGCATGGTGACTGTGTTCTAAACAGCACAATATGAAAGGGGGAGAAAAGAGTCACTTTACCATGGAGAAACCTGACAAACTGTCTCAGCCAAGTGATCAAGGTCAACATCAACAGAGATCAATCGTGTTGATAGTATGTACCTTTGATATCATGTGATCAAAACAGCACTTTTCCTCTGTTGTCTTTCTTCCACAAACCCATAAACCCAGTCTCATCAAGAGAAAAATATCAGAAAAATCACAATAGAAGGACATTCTACTAAATACCTGCCCAAGTCCTCCTTCAAACCATCAAGGTTATCAAAAACAAGGAAAGTCTGAGAAACTGTCACAACCAAGAGGAGACTAAGGAGACATGATACCTAAAAGTAATGTGGTGTCCTGAATGGGACCCTAGAACAGAAAAAGGACATTGAGTAAAAACTGAGACAATCTAAATAATCTATGGGCTTGAGGTAACAATAATGTATCAATTCAGGCTCATTGGTATGATACAAATACACCACAGTAGTGTAAGATATTAATAAGAGGAGAAACCAGATGCATGGTATATAGGAACTCCTTGTATTCTCTTTACAATTTTTCTATAAATCTAAAACTAACATAAAACTTAGTGAAATTTGTCCATGTCATTCCAGTGACTTCTATATGAAATTCCTAGTCTTTCAAGTGCTCATCAGGTTCTAACCAACAGAGTTCCACCTAATTCTAAACCCCCATCTCTGGCCCACCCCCATAGCTCTCCATGAACTTGACACCTTAGCCTCCATCAGTCCATGAACGTGCAAGGTCCTCAGCTACTTCAGTCTCACACATACTCACCTCTCCACCCACCAGACTCTTACCTCAGCTTCTGATGAAGGGGCTAAACCAGATCATATTGTCAAGCTTTTACCAATTCAATCATGGTGGACTTAGGTTAAATAATTAGCCAATGCTGGAGGGCTCTGTACAGAGCTAGGTCTCATATGTCCAATCTTTCCTGCAGTAGCTACATTGCCTTTGCATCCTTCCTTGCTAAGTTTGCAGACATTCTAAATAGCATTTTCTTCTCATTTCAATATGGTCTTTATGAAACCAGATACGTAGTTACCGGTTGTTAAAAAATACTTATGGAGAGTCTTGCCTGTTTCACAGTAATCAAACAAACATATGCTCAAAGAATATCATTTCCCTCTTCCTCACACAAGTTGGCCAGATGATCCCATCTGTACTAAGGCAGCAGATGAGCCTTCGGCAAATTCATTCTTCCAAGACCAGCTGCCAAAGCTAATTTCCCCAGTCCTCCGTCTGCTGGAAAGTGGCACTGACTTTGTAGATGTTGCTTATATTATAGACTCTCAGCTATCTATTCTTTTTCCTTTACTATGGCAAAACCTGCATGATTTCTAATTACTTTCTGAAGAAAACTCTCCAGTGAAAAATGAATCAAGTTGTTTGAGATGATATGTTGAGCTAGGGTGCTTTGGGTTTCACAGTCAGTACCTTCATAAAAGTGTAAATGATATACTCTTTCTCCCACTCCCCAAAGAGGCTAGAATAATAGCCTCCCTGGTAGACCTGGCCCGGATTCCTGATGAAGGCATAAAGCCTCGTTTTTCTTCTTTGGGAAACCTACTGAATCTTAGAAGTAGCTCATAATGATCTTAATTGGCTAGAAATCTTAATTATTTCTATACTTAAGTGCATTCCATGATATTTTTCTCGTTGCTCTTAATGAAAGCTATTTTACCCAATGGACTTCAGTTCCTCAAGTCTAGCTCCAAAAAAGTCAGTAAAACTGATCTTTTAGATACCATTCCTTACAAGGCAGCAAATGAGATATTAAAAAGCAATGTTAGGCTCATTATTTTTTATATTATAGTGTTTATAAGCAAACAGTTTGAAGTCTGTTTGCAGAATAAACCATTATTTTAAGTGGTCCTCAAATTTGCAAAAATGTCAGTCTGCCCTCAGCTCCTAGCTTTGCCACTTTTACTAACTTTCTGAAATAAGCTTTGTATTGTTTATTTATAAAGAAAGCCAAGTACATGTGCAAATATCACCCTCGAATTATAGAAAATGGTTTCAAAAGGTTAAACAATTCACCATCAGTGTCAGCAAATACAGCTGCCAGTTGAGAGGAGAATATCTCAACAAAAGAAGGAGTTTTGAATTATGTGATCCCAGGAGGCTCTTACAATAAAAGATTTGAGATTATTATTTACAATTAACCTCAACTAACCAGAACCTGAGGCCTTTAAATAATTGCAGGCTTATACCAACTCCATCATCTTTAGGAAGAAAATATTTTTCAATAACAACTGTTGACATAAAAATGGTTTTTTAACTGCTCTCAGCCATAAATTTCAATTAAACAGAATTACTATCCCAGTTAATTATGCTTCCTACTCATAGCAATGATGAATTCCTTTCAAATGAGTAACTGTGTGATGGTTAATTTTAGGTGTCAATTCACCTGGGCTAAGGGATCCCCAGATAGCTGGTAAAACATTTCTGAGTATGTCTGTGAGGGTGTTTCCAGAAGAGATTTGCATTCAAATCGGTACACTGAGACGAGAATATCCACCCTTGCCAATGTGGACAGGCATCATCCAATCCACTGAGGGCCTAAATAGAAAAAAAAGGTGAAAGAAAGGGAAATTTGCACTCTCTGATTAAGTTGGGACATCCACCTTCTCCCATTCTCAGGCTTGGGCAGGAATGACAGCAGCAGCTTTGCTGGACCTCCAGCTTGCAGAGGGCAGATTGTGGGATATCTAGACTTCTATAACCACAGAGCCAATCCCTCCTGACACATCTCTCTGTATATCTATATATGTCCTATGGGTTCTGTTTCTCTGGAGAACTCTAACAAAAAGTGCAATAATAAAAGTGTATTCATGATGACTGTCTTTCTAGAAAAATCTAGAAGACAGGTTTATCAGTTAGGCACGAGTGACAGAAATCCCAATTCATAGTGTTAAGCAACAATGATAATTTATTGGTTCACATATTTAGCAAGTCTGGAAGCAAAATATGCTGCTTCAGATTAAGCTTCATCTGCAGCAGCTGAAATGGTATCACCAATGGCCCTGGACTCACCATCCTGTGTTGGGTCTATCCTCAGTCTGCTTAAGTGCTCCTCTGGCAGCCCTGGGGATCCCTCCACTGGCTGGGAATGGCTGCAGAGGCTTGGCCCCTCACACCTCACCCCTCACCTTCCAAAACAAGTGAGTTTCTTCTGATGGCTGCCCCAGAAGATAAGAAAATTGTTCTTTCCCTGAAGCCAATATCTCATCATATCTCTATGATTCTGACTGGATCATGTGCCCATCTCTGAGCCAATCCCTGTGACCAGAGAGACTGGATATCTAGTAGGCTTAAGGCAATCTCAGACCAGCCTTGGAATTAATTAGACTAAGACATCATGGCTTTTGGGAGAAAATAAAACAGGAGTTGATACTAGAGAGACAACAAACAAATTGTCTACTATAACAACAAACAAGGAAATCTCAAATTTCAAAAAACAGAAAGGGCGCTGAAGTCAGAAGAAAGACAGGAGTGAGAGCAGAGTTAATGGCATTGGCTACTCTAGTTTTCCAACTGATTGAGGCAGGAAGATACTTTTTACCACATTTTCCCAAGCACTCCAGCTCAGTTAAAAGTCCCTGGATGCTTGAAGATTGAGTGATTGTGGGTCCACATCGAAATAGCTAAAAATAAACCAAACGTCAAAAACTCTGGAAAACAACCACATTCACTTGAGAGGTCTTTGGAGGCAGACAGGTCTGAGATTGCCTCTAAACTGCACTACTTATTAGCTATGTGGTTTTTGGAACATTACTTACACTCCTGAATACAGTTTTCTCATCTGTATAGTAAAAATAATAGGACTTCAAATAATATGTAATTCATACAGGTGTGAGAATGAAAATAAGAGCTTGTAAGCAAAGCATCTAGTAAGGGACTCAGTGCATGGCATGTTGGGGTATAGGATTCCCACCACTGAGGCTTTCTAAGGAGTGGTGGAACCATTTCTGTCCTTCCCAACATCACGAGGCCACATCAGTGCCTCTAGGGCCATTGGACAAAACTAGAACATTGCCAAGAGGTCTGTTTTCTTGTTATTTGGTCAGAAACTATTTTCTGATTGTTGCTTGCTTTATACATTCTTAGATGGCAAATTTCTCATGCACAGACACATGCCTAGGATTATTCCTTTGTCTAAAATAGACCTTTGTACACAAAAAACAATTTTTGCAATGATAAGGAGAAAATTGAGGAAAAGAAGGAGATGGAGTGGACAATTCTTATCACCTTCTTAGTTGAGAAAGTAACCAAACCGCCCACTTCCATAAAATAATCACAGCATTTTTGAGAAATTAGTTCAGCTTCCTGGTTCTTCCATCACTCCTAGTAAAAACCTCATTTTATCAATTTTCTTTTCAAAGAAAGGTAAACATCCTCTTTCTTCCCAGGCCTTTATTTAACTATCATCACATAGCAATTAAGATCAAAACACAGCAGCAATTTGCAAAGTGCCTTGAGATTTCGATAGGAAGTATTATGCATGGACTAGAAAACAGGAAAAATAAGAGAAAATGCAAAACCATGCAAGGCTATATATGGTGGTGGCCTTCGCACGATGGCATGAGTAGCACTGAGTGTAAGTGGTGAGTGTTTCCAACATGGCATTTCCTTGGCTCCCTGCTGCTATCGGAGATTATTCTAAGTGAATACTCCTGTTGGGTGACCAGTGAAATGTATTTGACACTTCAGTGTCTAACAAAGTTGCAAAGGAGGTAACAATATTACCAAACTAATCAGTGCTGAAGGCTAAGAGTGAGCGGGCAAGGACCTTGTTCAGCGTTCTTCTCCCCAGCCAAGAGTGTCCTGCCCTTTCCAGGAGACAACTATCTAATTTGATTGTGACTGTTTGGACCTTAATTAGAATTCTAGTATAAACATTTTTAAACCAATTGGAAGTGGAAGGTCATTAAAACGTCAATACCCCTCAAGCTTTGCTATAATATAGTTGACTTCTTGCTCAGATGATAGATTGAATAGCAATTTTTAATCCATTAAGAGGAGGTATGATGTATTTCTGGTACAGGCACTCACTACTCTGCTGCTAGATTATTCTGAATGTATTACTTTTTTATGTACCTCTGACATATTCCAGTATGGTCTCTAGGAAAAAATTCATGTCTTATATATAGTTTATTTTCCCTTCTGTAATGCACAAATTTTTATCTCAAAGACATAAACTCAATTAAACAACATTTCGTGATAGAATTACCAAACAAGATTCATTATTATCTGCCCAGTACTTAAACAAACAGTCATGACTATGAATAAGTAGTGTATACTGACTGGCCTGTGGTCCAGAAAAGCCGCATTCAGAAACAGAAGTTTAGACCGGATGTGGTGGCTCACACCTATAATCCCAGCACTTTAGAAGGCTTAGGATTGCTTAGGCCATCCTCAAATGAAGGAGGATTGCTTGAGGCCAGGAGTTCAAGACCATCCTGGCCAACATGACAAAACCCCATCCCTACTAAAAATACAAAAATTAGCTGGGCATGATGGTGCATGCCTGTAATCCCAGCTACTTGGGAGGCTGAAGCAGGAGAATTTCTTGAACCTGGGAGGCAAAGGTTGTGAGATCATGCCACTGTACTCCAGCCTGGGTGACAGAGTGGGGCTCCATCTCAAAAACAAAACAAAACAAAACAAACCCTAGAAGTTTATTGTGTTCTGATTACCAGAACCTCTAGTTTCATTTGATGTAAGTAAAAAACACCCATAACTTAAAAGATAGCTAACTCGAGCTCTTGCTATCTGAACTATATGTTCACTTTAATTGTTGAAACCTACATGATATGCACTGTTCCACATTATAAATGTTGAAATATAAATAAGACTGTAGGTGAAGGTGTTGAAAATCAATGTTGAAATATTTTTTGAAACCAAAGTATTTTTTCTGTGAATATGTCTTTCAAGGAATTAGATGTAAGAGTAAAAAAAGACCAAGCTGACAAATTCTGCCCTGTTCTCAGTATTTCATGGTGAAGTTTTTGTTTTTGTTTTTTGGGGTTTTTTTTTTTTTTTTTTGAGACAGAGTCTTGCTCTGTTGCCCAGGCTGGAGTGCAGTGGTGTGATCTTGGCTCATAGCAACCTCTGTCTCCTGGGGTCAAGAGATTCTCCTGCCTCAGCCTCCTGAGTAGCTGGGATTACAGGCACCTGCCACTGCATCCAGCTAATTTTTGTATTTTTAGGAGAGATAAAGTTTCACCTTGTTGGCCAGGCTGGTCTCAAACTCTTGACCTCAGGTGATCCACCCGCCTTGGCCTCCCAAAGTGCTGGGAATACAGGCATGAGCCACCATGCTCAGCCTTCATGGTAAAGATGTTTATTTGCATCATCCTTGAAGAGTATACATCAAAAACAATCCAAAACTTCAATATTTTGATGCCGAATGTTGTCTAGAAAGATGCAGAAACATATTTTTCAAATTGTTAAAATTACTACAAACATATCAACAATCAGACATTTTCCTGGTTCAGAAACAGGTTTTTCATAGTAAAAAGTAAAACCACTAAAATGTGGCTAAATATAGAAGTCAGATTACCAGTGTTTTTGTTTACAACAAAAACTAATATGAAGATAGGATCAACCAAGCACAACTGACATTGGGGGAAAATCAAAAGCATCAAGGAGCAGCCCAAATTAACAAGTGAAAAACACAACCTTGGAAGAAGAGAAATAACCCAGAATTTAGAAAAAAATAATTAAACATCTTCTAATTAGTATACTGTGAGTGAGTCAAGAGAATATTATATCACAAAAATATTGTTCTGTGAAAAAGAGCTAGCTATCCCAGGAGCAGAAAAGTGCTCTTAATCCTTCAAAAATAACCATCAAAATTAAAATGTCAGTGGACATGTTGAATAATAGAATGAACATGGCTGAAGATCAAATAAGTGGTAAAGTGAATCTCCTAAAATATAGAATGAGTAGGCAGAGACATTTTTAAATGAGAGGAGAGTCAAAAAGCATGAGGACCAATGTATGTGGCATTAAGTACATCCGAAGGGGATGGGAGAGGGAATGGAAGGGAAAATTAAAAGTTCATTTTTGCAATGTGAAAACCAAGAAAATTAATTTTTTAAAAGCATGCACACACACACACACACACACATTAACAAGACTCATGTCAACACATCCTAGAAAAAATTGGAGACTTCAATGTAAATGCAAATTTTAAATACTTGTCTCATAAGCTGAAAATTAGACTGACAGCAAATTTCTAGTATCTATTCTCTATTGAATACCAGAGTAATACATAGAGAGTATGTATAGAAAGAGTACTATACTGAATACCAAGTATCTAATGGACAGCCTACTAGAATGTAAGATTTTAGGCTTGGTGATCAGCCCAAGATAGACAGGGATTGTTGTCCGATTTGTTCACTGCTGTAATTCCAGCACCTAAAACAGATCTTGATTTATTAAATGCTCATTTAGGATTTGTTGAATGACTAAAAGTTAGAAGAAAGAAACAATTTTCAAAATAGAATGCTATTATGCTCAGCCAATAAAGCATTTAAATATAAAATTTTTGGAGCATGCAAGACTTTAAATATTATCACTCATATATTAATATCACCCTCTGGAAGAAAATTCAAGTAAGAACTACAAAGGAAGAAAAAGATTGGGGGGACAAGGAGGAGGGGATAGAAAAGGAAGAGGAAGAAGTCAAGGAAGAGGAAGGCATGGAATACAAGAAAGAAGGATAAGTAAATACAACAGTAAAATGTAATCTTTCTTTTTCTTTTTTTCTTTTTCTTTTCCTTTTCTTTTGAGACAGAGTTCCACTCTTGTTACCCAGGCTGGAGTGCAGTGGCACAATCTCAGCTCACTGCAACCTCCGCCTCCCAGATTCAAGCAATTTTCCTGCCTCAGCCTCCCGAGTAGCTGTGATTACAGGTGCCTGCCACCACACCTGGCTAATTTTTGTATTTTTAATAGAGATGGGGTTTTACCATGTTGGTCAGGCTGGTCTCGAACTCCTGACCTCAGTTGATCCACCCACCTCAGCCTCCCAAAGTGCTGGTATTACAGGTATGAGCCACCATGCCCAGCCTCTAAAATGTAATCTTAAAAGGGATCATACACTTAATGAAGGGAATATCCTGTCAAGAGAAGAGAATTAGAAAACACCTGATATCATGAAACTGGGAGGAACTCAGGAATAAATCAACAAACCTACAACCATAATCACTGGTGGTAAGGAGAATTTTATTACTTTACCAGAAATTCATCAATTAGGAATTAATTGAAGTTTGGTTCTTCTATTTTCAATAGAGAAACGAATCTGAGCTGTTGGTGCCAAGGGAGCAAGCTATCCAGAACACATTGCAATATAGCTAGTGCAGAACATCCAGGTGCAGAGGGCAATTCAATTTATTTTTTAACACTCTTGTACATTTTATGTAAGTTCACATAAATGTTTGGAATGACTTGCATCAACCTGCGAACCTTGGAGGCACAATGTGGCATTGCCAAGAGGAGAGGAATGTGATAAAGAGAAATTTATTTCTCACACACTGTATATTTCTGTTCTATTTGACATATTTACAAGCAGATGGTTTTATTCTATTACCTGTGTAAAACAAAATGAATAGATGTTTTTAAGAGTCACACATACACATAAGAAAAGAAAATTAACAGGCTCAGACCCAAAATCTTAGGTGATAGTGGGCTACAGGACAGTAAAATTAAAAGTTTACTTTTTTAAAAATTTTAGAGACAGGGTCTCTTTGTCACCCAGGCTGGAATATAGTGATGTTGTGTCCAGAATTTGTTCCTTCCAGTGGGTTCTTGGTCTCGCTGACTTCAAGGATGAAGGCACGGACCCTTGCAGTGAGTGTTACAGCTCTTAAAGATGGTGTGTCCAGAGTTTGTTCCTTCAGATGTTCAGATGTGTCTGGAGTTTCTTCCTTCTGCTGGGTTCATGGTCTTGCTGACTTCAGGAGTGAAGCTGCAGACCTTCACCGTGAGTGTTACAGGTTTTAAAGGTGGTGCGTCTGGAGTTGTTTTTTCCTCCAGTTGGGTTCGTGGTCTCACTGACTTCAGGAGTGAAGCCACAGAGCTTCGCAGTGAGTGTTACAGCTCATAAAGGTAGTGTGGACCCAAAAAGTGAACAGCAGCAAGATTTATTGTGAAGAGCAAAACAACAAAGCTTCCACAGCATGGAAGGGGACCCGAGCGGGTTGCCACTGCTGGCTTGAGTGGCCAGCTTCTATTCCCTTATTTGGCCCCCCACCCACATCCTGCTGATTGGTCCATTTTACAGGGTGCTGATTGGTCCATTTTATAGAATGCTGATTGGTCCATTTTTACAGAGTGCTGATTGGTGTGTTTACAAACCTTTAGCTAGACACAGAGTGCTGATTGGTGTGTTTTTACAGAGTGCTGATTGGTTCATTTACAAACCTTTAGTTAGACACAGAGTGCTGATTGGTGTGTTTACAATACTTTAGCTAGACAGAAAAGTTCTCCAAGTCCCCTCCTGACCCAGAAGCCCAGCCGGCTTCACCTCTCAATCCCCTCTCTAAACAGGACACCCCAACTGCTGTTGGGAATTGGACAATGACTGCTGTAGCTACTTCCTGCTGGATAGGGGTGAAGAAGGGGCCCTGCAGTTGTAGTATCCTCCAGAGGGGAGCTCTCTAGGTCAGGGAAAGGGCCAGCAGGTCAGTCCAGGGGTCCTTGGTAGAAGTTGTTAGTTGAGTTCATTTGGGGTTCCATTTGTAAGACCATCTGTAGTTGATGGCCTCGATTCTAGAGGAAACAAATTTGACAAGGAGGTTAAAAATACAGGGCCCGAAGGCAAGTAATAGCAAGATGGCTGCCACGTGACCTAGAAAGGGGAGAAGCCATGTTGCCCAACTCCAGAGATTGGTATAAGAGTTTGAAAGGTGTTGTCTCATTTCAGAAGCCTTTTCCTGTAAATGCCGGGCAGCATCTCATGTTATCCCTGACTGGTTAGTGTAAAAACAACACTCTTCCGCTAAGAAGATGCAGAGTCCTCCTTTCTCAGCAGTGAGAGGGTCTAGGCCTCAGCGGTTTTGGAGAATCACTGCTGCCAAAGAGTCCGTTTGGGATTGTAGAGTAAGGATAGATTTCGTTATTTCTTGCAAACTGTCTGAGAAATCCTTTGAGAGTGTGTGGTAGTAGGATAATGAAGTAGATAAGCCTGCTATTCCAGTTCCTGTAGCAGTGGCCATTTCTAACCCTATAAGTAGGGGTATTAGTTGTACGGCCCTGGGTTCATGGACTTGAGCTTTAAGGGGCACAGATAGGGCCTGATTTCATGGGGCAATGTTAATGTTGGGACTTAGAAAGACTAAGGTGCAGGTGCCTGTCCAGTTAGTGGGGAGGCAGATATAGGATGACATTCCACATAAGAAGAATATGCCTTGGTGGGGTAGACATTTAGAAATTTACCCTGGCTTTTAAAGGAATAGGGTACACTGTTTTTTCTTTACTACTTCTCTCTCTTTCTCTCTCTGACTCCCTCTTTGTCTCTGTCTCTTCCTCTCTCTCTCTGACTTTCTGTCTCTCTCTCTTTGACTTCTTCTTTGTCTGTCTCTCTCCTTCTCTCTTTCTCTCTGACTCCCTCTTTTTCTCTTCCTCTCTCTCTCTCCATCTGTTTCTTCCTCTCTCTCTTTCTCTTTCTCTCTTTCCTTTCTGCTGCCTCTGCCAGCTGCTTATGTTGCTGTTCTCCCCTCTCCTTCCCCTTTTGATGGCTTCAGCAGTGTAAGATTGCCACCTCCTTGTGTTTTTGCACTGCATGCAATAACTCATAATTTCCTTGTGGTATTTAATGGGGGTTCCCCCAGAGGTTAGGAACTCCCTTTCTTTCCATATTGCAGCATGGGCATGTAGGCTTAGATAAGCATACTATCTGTATACACATTTATTCTTCTTCCCTTTCCCACTTCTAAGGCTGAGGTAAGTGCCACTAGTTCTGCTAACTAGGTGCTGGTCCCTGGGGAAAGAGGCTTACTTTCAAGTACTGTTACTATGGCATAACCTGCCCTTCCTTTCTCATTCTCCACAAATGAACTTTCATCAGTATATAGGTTAAGGTCAGCATTAGCTAAGGGAACTTCTAAGAGATCATCTCGGGCGGCATAAGTCTGAGATCCTTTCCTTGTATTATTTTGATAGCCTCTGACACTAAGAAGGCCACGGCCACAACTATCCTCAAACAGTGAGACCAGCCTTTTTCTACTACATCAATTTCCTTACTTAGGTATGCCACTGGTTGTGGGGGTGTCCCACGAGTCTCAGTAAGGACCACAAGAGGTATTCCTGCTCACTGTGTGATGTATAAAGAAAAGTTTCTTCTTGTGTGAAGGCTTAAGGCTGGAGCTTGAGTTTGTTCTTTCCAATGTCCAGACTTCAAGGTTGATTCCCTCCTCAAGCAGAGGACAACAAATGGGTAATTTGCTCCCCATATTCATGTAGATAATAGCTCCAGCTTTGGCTAATATGTCCCTCCCTAATAAGGGTGTGAGACTTTCAGGCATAACAAGAAAGGCATGTGAAAAGAGCAAAATCTCCCAATTACAACTGAGGAGGTGGGAGAAATACCTGGTTACAGGCTGTCCCAGGATTCATCAGATGGTAACAGACCTTGAGGACAGTCATTTGGGACAGGAGATTAACATTGAGAAGTCTGCACCAGTGTCCAGGAGGAAGTCAATTTCCTGGCCCTCAATAGTTAAATGTACCTGGGGCTCAGTGAGGGTGATGATATGAGCTGCTGCTTGCCCTGGGCATCATCAGTCCTGTTGTTGGATCATCTGGTTGGGGGCTTCTGGCCCAGAGAACCTTTGCCCTCTGGGGCAGTGTGCCTTCCAGTGATTACCTTAGCATAGTAGACATGGGCAAGGGGGTAGCCTGTTTCTCATGGGACAATCTTTTTCAAAGTGTCCTTGCACACCACACTGATAACAAGCCCTACCAGGTGATTGGCCTGCTCCATTTTCTGTCCTCCCTGAACCACCAATGTTCATTTTTCTGAGGGCCATGACTAAGGTTGCGGCCTTTCTCTGATCTCACTTTTCCTTTTGGGCCTGTTTCTCTTGGTCTCTATAATAGAACACCGCGGTTGCCAGGTTTAATAATGCCTCCAGATTTTGCTCAGGACCCAGGGCTCACTTTTGGAGCTTTCTCCTGATATCTGTGGCTGATTGGGTAATAAACTTATCTTTTAGGATCAATTGACCCTCTAGTGGGTTGGGTGACAGGGGAGTATATTTTCTTAAGGCCTCCCATAACCACTTGAGGAAGACAGAAGGATCTTCTTCCTTTCCCCGAGTTATGGTGGACATCATTGAACAATTCATGGGCTTTTTCCTAATTCTCCTTAGTCCTTCTAGATCACAGGTCAACAGATGTTTGTGACTCCAGTCCCCATGATCTCAGACGAAGTCCCAGTGGGGATCCATACTGGGGATGGCTTGCTGACCGGTAGGGAATTTGTCCCTTTCTTCAGCTGTCATTCTATCATTTACTTGACTAAGATACCAGGTATCTCCAAACTCTTGGGCTGCAGCTAAAACTGCATTCTTTTCATTAAAGGCCAGAGTTTGATCTGACAGTAGCGTGATATCTCTCCAAGTGAGATCGAAGGTTTGCCCTAGACCCTGTAGGACATCTGTGTACCTATCAGGATCATCTGAAAACTTCCCCAGGTCTGCCTTGATCTGCTTTAAATCAGAGAGTGAGAAAGGGACATGTACCCAGGTGGGCCAAATTCCCCTCCTCCTACAGCTTGAAGGGGACATAACCGATAGCCCAGAGGTTTTTGTGGTCCTTTGGAGATTTCTTTGCTGGTTTCCTTCTGAGCTGGGGAGATTAGAGGAGGCTTATCATTAATAGGAAAGAGAGCTATTGGGAGGCTAGGATATGGGGGTAAGCTGAGAGGTCCTCCTGTGGGATGTAAATTGCAAGCTTTGCATAGTTGTGTATTCTCCTTCAATGAAAAGGAAGCTTGGACATAAGTTATTTCACTCCATTTGCCTTCCCTCTTACAGAAAAGGTCAAGCTGCAGGATAGTATTGTAATTTATACTTCCCTCAAGTGGCCATTTTTCACCATCAGAGAGAGAATACTGGGGCCAGGCTATAGCACAGAAAAAAATGAGCTGCCTCTTTTTCAGTGTTTATGGGTCAAATTGGTCCCAATGGCTTGGGATGCATTTCAAGTGTGAGCCTGTTGATGCCTGAGTGTTTCCCATCTGAAAGACAAAACTGCCCATGGTTTTGGTTTGTTTGTTTCTCCCCCTGCCCAAGAACCCACAACAGTCCCTGGACCCTACTGATTGGAATAGTTGCACTCACCAATGCAGCAACAGAAACACCTCTTGCCCAAGAACCTGCAACGGTCCCTGGACCCTGCTGATCAGAATAGTTGCACTCACCGATGCATCAGCAGAAACACTAGTTTTCCTCCTAGACCACAAGGAGGATCAAGAAAAATCAGATTTAGTGGTCCTTCCTGATGCATTCTCAAAAACCTGCACCCTTGCCTGTCCTCCTAGACTTGAAAGAGAATCGAGAAAAATCGGATTTAGTGGCCCTTACTGACACATTCTTGAAAGCCTGTTAGAGTCCTAAGCACTCTCCTGTTAGTATTGGAACTTTACTACTGTCCTATAAAGATGTTATGCTCCAAAAATGAAGTGGAGGGTCATATCCTGAGGGAGGGAAGGGATCTCCAGAGTTGGAAGAGTGATGCTTTTTGTCCTCACTTATATGAATAGGAAAGATACCATTTACGACGCTCCCCATATCCTAGCTTCAGGAATAGCTTTTGTTAGGCCTGCTAGTCTGAGGAGGGATCATAAAATTCCAGATAGGATAGTCCACCACCCCCGACGGGGCTTTGGGCAATAATTATGTCTTTCTGATTGGTGAGCCCGGGTCCCTAAAGAAGGGAATAGAGTCTTGCAGTTTATACTAAAAATCATTCTTATAGGAGAAACTAGAAAAGCACCAGAGACAGGCAGTGGTTTTTAGAAGCGGGACTAGCCTCAGAGAAGAGGCAGGAAGAAGTTTGTCTAACAGGCATTAGGACCCAGGAGGCAAGGGTCAGGATATATAGGATAGATGGTGAGACTTGCTTGGGCGACATGACTTTGAGAGTTCTGTTCATGGCCACAGGGTCAACCAACTTGTTGTTGGGACCCTGGAGCTGAATGGCTTTCCTCTCTGTCAACCCTCAGCTCAGCCCAGAAGTATAGGAAAAGCAGAAGCTGGTTCCAGGCAAACCAACGCTCCCAACTCTGAAGAGTTGGGTGTTGAGAGCCCTTTCCCAGAAAGCCTGACACCCATGTCATTAGTCCGGCAGCCATGCTAGTCGCTTTTAACTGACCAACAGGTGCCTGGTATTTAGCCCCCAAATTCTAAGGAAAAATAGGACAGAATAGCAAGCAAAAGGGGTCCGATGGTACTCACTGCTTGGCAATAGTCAACTGTCCCTTCATGGTCACCAAAATGTGTCCGGAACTGGTTCCTTCTGGTGGGTTCTTGGTCTCGCTGACATCAAGAATGAAGCTGTGTACCCTTGCAGTGAGTGTTACAGCTCTTAAAGGTGGTGTGTCCAGAGTTTGTTCCTTCAGATGTGTCTGGAGTTTCTTCCTTCTGCTGGGTTCATGGTCTCACTTGACTTCAGGAGTGAAGCCACAGACCTTCACAGTGAGTGTTACAGCTCTTAAAGGTCGTGTGTCCGGAGTTGTTTGTTCCTCCCAGTGGGCTCGTGGTCTTGCTGACTTCAGAAGTAAAGCCACAGACCTTCGCAGCAAGTGTTGCAGCTCATAAAGGCAGTGTGGACCCAAAGAGTGAGCAGCAGCAAGATTTATTGTGAAGAGCGAAAGTTCAAAGCTTCCACAGCATGGAAGGGGACCTGAGCAGGTTGCCACTGCTAGCTCGGGTGGCCAGCTTTTATTCCCTTATTTGGCCCTGCCCACTTCCTGCTGATTGGTCCATTTTACAGAGCGCTGGCTGGTCCATTTTACAGAATGCTGAGTGGTGCATTTTTACAGAGTGCTGATTGGTGCATTTACAAACCTTTAGCTAGACACAGCATGCTGATTGGTGCATTTTTACTGAGTGTTGATTGGTGCATTTACAAACCTTTAGCTAAACACAGAGCACTGATTGGTGTGTTTTTACAGAGTGCTGATTGGTGCGTTTACAAACCTTTACCTAGACACAGAGCACTGATTGGTGTGTTTACAATCCTCTAGCTAGACAGAAAGGTTCTCCAAGTCCCCACCTGACCCAGAAGCCCAGCCAGCTTCACCTCACAATGTCATCATGGCTCATGGTAGCCTCAAACTCCTGGCCTCAAGCAACACTCCCACCTCACCCTCCTGAGTAGCTGGGACTACAGGTGCATGCCACCACACCTGGATAATTTTAGTTTTTGTAGAGATAAAGACTCAATATGTTGCCCAGGCTTGTCTTGAAATCCTGGCCCCAAGCAATCCTCTGACCTTGACCTCCCAAAGTGCTGAGATTACAGGCATGAGCCACCATGTCCTGCCTACAGCTTACATTTTCAATTGTTTTCTCATCTCTTATTTTAAAACATAAATTTCAGGTAGATAAATAAAAAATATAGAGTTTTAATATAAAAATAATTACAGACACTTTGGAAAATCTAATTAGGAGAAAACCACTTACACTTATTTACTTATTTAGTCACTATTAGCAACCTGAAAGCTTTTTTCTATATGTCTTTCCCAACAATAGTTTATATTGCTTGAATAACACTTTAACAAAATTTTATAATATTTTTGTCACTTCACATAGCATCTTTATAAACATCATGTTTAATAATCTAATTATACTCCATCATAAGTGTATACCATAGTTGCTTAATTATTCCCCTACTGTTGAATATTTTGATAGTTTCCTATTTTATTTTAGGCGGGTCAAAAATCTTCCTGTATATAAATTTTCCCACAGTTTCCATTATTACCTGTTAATCAAAAATATAATTCTAAGCTCCCCAATCGTCTGAATGGGCCCCTTCTGTCAGCAAAGCATTCCAAAGTTAACCTAAGAAACTAGTTCAGGCCATGCTGGGAAGGGGGAGCCAGACATGCCTCATGATACCCTCCTCCACTTTGGAATTACTGACAGAACAGACTCTTTAAGTCTGATAAGAAACATTTACAATCTATTTTCTCTGAAGCCTGCTACCTGGCAGCTTCAACTACATGATAAAACCTTGATCTCCACAACCCCTGTTTTAACTCAGACATTCCTTTTTATTGATAATAACTCTTTCAACCAATTGCCAGTAAAAAAAACTTTTAAATCTACCTGTGACCTGGAAGCTGCACTTACAGTTATCCTGCCTTTCTGGACTGAACCAATGAACATCTTAAATGTATTGATTGATGTCTCATGTCACCTTCAAATGTACAAAACTAAGCTGTACCCCAACCACCCTGGGCACATGTCGTCAGGACCTCCTTGGGCATTTAATCACTATTAGCAATCTGAAGGCTTTTTTCTATACTTGGCAAAGTATAGAAAACCTTGGCAAAATTAACGTTCTAAATTGATTGAGACCTGTCTCAGATACTTTTGGTTTACATATCTAAGGATAAATTCCCAGAGGTAAAACTGGAGTGACAATGGGCTTTAATATTTTAGTGACTTTTGATAGTATAAATTGCAAAACTGCTTTCCTAAATAGTTGTATCACTTTATTAAATCTCTGTGTTGCTCTGCTCCCTACAGGAAACTTGAAATGCACACCAGCTCAGAGCAACGTCCAAGGGATCCAAGTGTGGTTAAGATTATGCCAAGGTATTTTATGTATTGTACCTACAATGAAGTTATTTCTCTTAACTTCTACTGTGTTTTCTAGTTAGTCATTCCTGACATATGATAATGAATTCGATGTTTATATATTAATCATTTTGTTTATCTCTCATATTACTTTTCATTTTCAATTGATTGCTTTGATGTTTCTAGTCATAAAATATTTTCAACTAGAAAATAATTCTTTTCCTTCTAAAATGGTTATACTTATTTCTGTTCCATGTCTTATTGTAAAAGATAGAGCTTCCAAGCTAATGTTTGAAGAACAATGATGAGTGACCATCTTTAGTTTGTTCCTGATTTTAATTGTAATTTCTCTGAAAACTCTGCCTTGCATTTAATTTTGACATTGTTATAGAAAGTATATTTCTGTTCCAACTTTCTCTGTCATTTTTATCAGGATTGGGTGTTGAATTTTAGAAGTTGTCTTTTCATTGTTTATTGACATGATTATATGTTTTGCTTATATTGAGTCATCATTACAGTCTTCTGTTAGTCATGTTTATAGGAGACAGTTTTGCCTCTGTATTTTAATATGCAATGGAATCATATTTACTAATAATTTATGTAGGTGTTTCCAGAATTTATTTATGCATCAACATTTTTGTTTTTGTAGAATAAAAGTAATTTCTCATCTCTTTCTACATTATGAAACAGTTTTATGGCAGGAAATAATTTATCCCCTAAATATTTGAAATAATTTGCCAAGAAAATTTTCTGTGCCTAGAGACTTTTGAACAATAATTCCTTGCTAAGTTGACTTCATCTATGATGATTGGTTTATTTAGAGAGGTAAATAAAAAGGGTATCAAAAAATAATAAGTAGAATAAATGAAACCAAATCCTGGTTCTTTAAAAAAAGACTAAAAAATTAACCAAATTTTAGCCAGACTAAGAAAATAAGGAAAAGATGCAAATAATTAAAATTAGAAATAAAAGTAGAGACATTACTACCAACTTTACAGAAATAAAAAGGGTTATAAGAGAACACTATGAAAAATTGTATGCCAACAAATAAGTTAACCTAGATGAAATGGATATATTCCTAAAAAGACACAAATTACCTAAACTGACTCAAGAAGCAATAAAAAACCTGGACAAACTTAAAAGATTGAATAAAAGACCTCACAACAGATAAAAGACCGTGAGCAGATGGCTTCACTTAGAAATTCTACCAAACATTAAAAAAATTGATTTTAATCTTTTCCAGGTTCTTACTTAAATAGAAGAGGAGGAAATACGACCTAATTCAGTCTATGAGGTCACTATTACCCTGATGCCAAAACTAGACAGAGACATCACACAGACACATGAAAAAATGCTCATCATCACTGGTCATCAGAGAAATGCAAATCAAAACCACAATGAGATACCATCTCAAACCAGTTAGAATGGTGATCATTATAAAGTCAAGAAACAACAGGTGCTGGAGAGGATGTGGAGAAATAGGAACAGTTTTACACTGTTGGTGGGACTGTAAACTAGTTCAACCACTGTGGAAGACAATGTGGCAATTCCTCAAGGATCTAGAACTAGAAATACCATTTGACCCAGCCATCCCATTACTGGGCATATACCCAAAGGATTATAAATCATGCTGCTATAAAGACACATGCACGCATGTGTTTATTGTGGCACTATTCACAATAGCAAAGACTTGGAACCAACCCAAATGTCCATCAACGATAGACTGGATTAAGAAAATGTGGCACATATACACCATGGAATACTATGCAGCCATAAAAAATGATGAGTTCATGTCCTTTGCAGGGACATGGATGAAGCTGGGAACCATAATTCTGAATAAACTATCACAAGGACAGAAAACCAAACACCGCATGTTCTCACTCATCGGTGGGAATTGAACAATGAGAACACGTGGACACAGGGTGGGGAACATCACACACTGGGGCCTGTCATGGAGTAGGGGGAGGGGGAGGGATTGCATTAGGAGATATAACTAATGTAAATGACGAGTTAACGGGTGCAGCACACCAACGTGGCACATGTATACATATGTAACAAATCTGCATGTTGTGCACATGTACCCTAGAACTTAAAGTATAATAATAAAAAAAAGAAATTCTACCAAACATTAAAAAGTTTGATTTTAATCTTTTCCGAATTCTTACTTAAATAGAAGAGGAGGAAACACTTCCTAATTCGTTCTATGAGTTCACTATTACCCTGATGCCAAAACTAGACAGAGACATCACAAGAAAAGAAAACTTCAGACCAATATGTCTGATGAATATGAACATAAAACACTACAACAAAATACCAGAAAACTAAATCAAACAATATGCTAAAAGGCTTACACACCAGGATCATGTGGGATTTATCCCAGTAATGTAAGGGTGTATCAATATAAGAAAATCAATCAATGTAATGCATCAAGTTGATAGACCAAGTAGAAAACACATGATCATCTCAATTGATGCAGAAAAATGTCTGACAAAATCAAATACTATTTCATGATTTTTAAAAAACATTCAGAAACTAGAAATAAAAGGGAAATTCCTCAACATGTCTAAGGGTATTTATGAAAAACCCACAGCTAACATCATACTCAATGATCAGACTGACAGTTTTTCCCCGAAAGATAAGGATGCTTGCTTTTACCCCAGCTATACTGCATTATACTGTAAGTTCTAGCCAGAGTAAATAGGCAGGAAAAATAAATGAAAGACATACAAATTGGAAAAGAAGAACTAAAACTATCTCTATTTGCAGATGACATTTCTATGTATAGAAAATACTAAAGAATCCACAAGAAAAACTGGAGTTAAGAAATTCAGCAAAGCTGCAGTGTGCATGAACAATACTCAAAACTTAATTGTGTTTCTATGCAGCAGAAATGAAAAATCCATAAGGAAACTAAGAAAAAAAGTACATTTACAATCACATCCAAGAGAATAGATATCTAAAAAATAAAAATAAACAAGGCTGTGAGAGACTTATACATTGAAAACAGCAAAAATGTAAAAGAAATAAAAGGCGATCTTAATAAATGGAAAACATCTCAATCCAGGGGTTGGAATAGTAAATATTGTTAATATGGCAATACTTTCCAAAGTGATCTAGAGAATTAATGCAATTCTTATCAAAATTCCAACAGCCTTTTTTGAAAAAACAGAAAACTTGATCTTCAAATGCCTATGGAATTTCAGAAAGCTCCAAATAGCAAAAGCAATATTGTAAAAAAGAACAAAGTTGGAAAACTCACACTTCCTGATTTCAAAACGTATTTCTAAGCTACAGTAATAAAAACAGTGGGATTTGGGCCTAAGGAAATGGAATCAAAAGTCCATAAATAAATCCATATATCTATGGTCAACTGGTTTTTTTACAAAAATGCCCAGACCACCTAATGGAGAAAGAAGAGTCTCTTCAACAAATGGTGCTGAGTCCACTGCATATTCACACACAAAACAATGAAGGTGGACCCCTAACTCATACCATATGCAAAACTTAACTCGAAATGGATCAATGACCTAAATGTAAGAGCTAAAACCATAAGGGAAATAGAGGAGTAAATCTTCATAGCCTTGGATTTGACAATAGATTCTTAGATATGACATCAAAAGCATTAGCAGCAAAAAAGTAAATAAATAAATTAAATTTCATTAAAATTAAAACCTTTCATGAAAGACATTACCAAGAAAGTGAGAAGAAAAACTACAGAATGGTTGGAAGTGTTTGCAAATCATTTATCTAATAAGGGTCTAATATCCCAAGTATATAAAGAACTCCTACAACTCAGCAAGATAAAAAGACAACCTAAATTCAGAACTGAGTAAAGGGCTTGAAGACTTCTATCCAAAGAAGATATACAAATGGCCAATAAGTACATGTAAAGATGCTCAACAACATTAATCATTAGTAAAATTCAAATTAAAACCATAACTTGATACCACTTCACAACAACTAGGGTGACTATAATTTGTGTTAAATGGAAAATAATAGTAAGGATGTGGAGAAATTGAAACACTTGTAAATTGCTGATGCTGGAAATGTAACATGGTACAGCTGTTTTAGAAAACAGTTTGAAAGTTCTTTTAAAAATTAAATGCAGAATTACTGTATGGCCCAGAAATTCCAATCCTAAGTATACACCCCAAAAAATTGAAAACAGAGACTCAAACAGATGTGTGTACATCCATGTTCACAGCAGCATTATTTACAATGGTCAAAAGAGAGAAACAACTCAACTATACATCAATAGGTAATGGATAAACATACTGCGATATATACATACAATGGAATATTATTCAGCCATAAAGTGAATGATGTGCTGCCATATGCTGCAATGTGGATGAACCTTGAAAACATTATGTGAAAAAATTCAGACACAAAAGATCACATATTATAGCATTACATTTCTATGAAATATCAAAAATAGGCAAATCCATAAAGACAGAAAGCTGATTGGTAGTAGCCAGTAGCTGGGAGGAGAGAGAAATCTGGGGAGTCACTGCCTAATGAGCATAACATTTTCTTTGGGGATGATGAAAATTATTTTGAACTAGATAGTGGTGGTGGTTGCACAGGATTATGAATGCAGTAAATGTCATTGAATTGTTTACTTTAAAATGCATAATTTTATATTATATGAATTTCAGCTTTATTGAGTTTTTAAAATGTCTAGAACAATGACAGTTTTCAAAATAGAAGATTTGTTGTGGGGGGAACATTTTGAAAGCAATACTTTTTTTAACCTATGGCAGACATTTTCTCTTTTTTCACTATCTTTTTCTGCCTTGTTTGTAAAATATTAGATATGTTTTTTGCAAATATTTCTCCAAGTTTTTGTCTTATGTTCCTTAATTATACCTTTAGAAAGAATTAAAGTTTTTAATTTGATGAGGTTTAATGTATTACTTTGTTTTTGTTGTTGTATTTATGAAATATATGTCAAACACAAAATTACTTATATACTTTTAAATGTTTTCTTCTAGAAGTTTTATAGAATTAACTTTTACTTTTAAGTCTGTAATTCATTTTAGTTAATTTTGTGTATGGATTGAAATAAGGTTATAAGATAAATTTTTTGCATATAGATGTCCAATTGTAGTGTATCATTTGTTTAAAATAATTACCTCAGCAACTTTGCTAAAACTCAATTGATTATAAATATGTGAGTTTGTTTCTGTGTTCTCTATTCTGACTCACTGATCTTTATGTCTGCCCTTACATTTATGCCTACACACTCTTTTTCCTTAGCTTTATAGTAGGTTTTGAAATTAGGTCACATGAGAACTTCAACTTTGTTCTTTTATTCAAAATTTTTGGGTATTCTGGATCATTTACATTTCCAAATATGTTTGGGGATTAGGTTTCAAATTCTACAAAGGCATGCTAAGATTTTGACAGAGATTGCATTGACTCTTTAGGTAAATTTGCAAAGAATTATCATCTTTTACATATTAAGTCTTTTAACCCATGGCATGGACAATTTCTTCATTTATACAGGTATTCTTCAATTTTTATCAACAATGTTTCATTGTTTTCAGTGTACAAGTCTTACGTTTCCTTGTTTAAATTTTTTTCTAAGTATTTCACTTTTTAAAATGCTATTGTGAATACAATTGTCTTCTTAATTTTAATGTTCAGATTATTTTTTGCTAATACTATGAATACAACTGATTTTGCCTACTGATCTTGTATCCTGCATCCTAGGTAAATTTGGTTGGTTTTTTTTTTTTTTTATGTAATGGGTTTTGTTGCTGTTATTATAAATTCCTTTGGATTTTCTCCACACAAGATGATGTTGTCTGTGAAGAATGAGTTACTGATTCCTTTTCAACCTAGAAATTCCCTTTTTGTCCTTACTGTACTGGCTAAAACCTCCAATACAAAGTTAATAAATGTGGTTGATGCTGACATCATTTTCTTGCTCCCCAGTCTTAGAAGAAAGCCTTTATTCTGCAACATTTCCTACCATCTTAGTTGTAGGCTTTTTGTAGCTACATTGTCAGGCATCTCTCTTCTGTTTCTAGTTCACTGAGATTTTTTTATCATAAATAGATATTCAATTATATACAGTTTTTCTGCATCAATTGAAATAATCGTTGGTTTTTAAATGATTAATTTATGTTTAATTTTTAGTTTAAGTTTAAATTAATATTTAGTTGGTGTTTGTTTTGTTTTAAATTATTTTTCTTAACTGATTTTTTGAATGTAAAGTCAACTTTCCATTCTCAGAACAAACTCCACTTTGTTGTGGTATATAATCATCTTAGTCTGCTTTGTGTTGCTATAACAGAATATCACAAACAGTAATATATAAAGAAAAAATACTTCCCACAGTTCTGGAGGTGGGGAAGTCCAATATCAAGATTTCAGCATCTGGCTAGGGCCTTTGTGCTATGTCATCCCATAGGAGAAATCAGAAGGACAAGTGAGGTTAAGAGCAAGGGAGGGTTGAACTCATTTTTATAACAACCCACTCCCACAATAACTAACCCACTCCTATGATAACAGCAATCCATGCATGGGGGCAGAGCATTCATAGACTAATCACCTCTTAACAGTCCCACTCTTAATACCATTACAGTGGCAATTCAATTTCAACATGAGTTTTCAAGGGGAAAGTCAAACCATAGCAATAATCTTTTTTTAATGTTGCTGAATTTGGTTTGCTAATAAAACAGAATCCAGAGTGGCTTCAATATACAAAATAAAATATCCAGTTTTCAGCCAAAACCTGAGGCATGCAAAGAAATGGAAATATGACCATACTCAGGGAAAACCAGCAGCCAATAGAAAATTACTTTGAATTGGCCCAGATGTTTGATTTGGCAAAGAGAGTCTTCAAAGCAACTGTTATTAAAATGTTTAAAGAATGAAAAATGAAACAGAATGATAATAACCCAATAACAGCAATTCTTAATGAAGAGCTAAACATTATAAAAGAGAACCAAATACATATTCTAAGCTAAAAAGTTCAAAACCAAAATGAAAATTCACTAGTTGAGCTCAACAACAGATTTGAGATATCAGAATACACTGAAATAAAAGTGGGCAGTGGAATATCTAATTTGAAAAATGGGAAGGAAAAAGGCTGAAGAATAATGAACAGAGACTCGGAGACCTATGGATAACATCAAATTCATCAATATATACGTAATTGGTGTCCCGGGAGGAGAGGAGGGACAGTAAGGAGCAGAAAAGTACTTGAAGAATTAAGAATTGAAAGTACCCAAAATTAATGAGAAACATTAACAGAAAAATCTAAGAAGCTCAACAAACCAGAAGCAAGATATACACAAACACAAATAGAATCACTCCTAATCACATCCAATGAAGCTGGTGAAAGTCCAAAGAAAATTCTGACAGTAAGTAATTACATATAAGGTAAATACAATATGATTAACAGTTGACTTCTTGTCAGAAACAGTGGGACCAAAAGGCAGTGAAATGACATATTCAAAGTGTGGAAAGAATGTCAATAAGTAATTCCAGATCCAGTACAACTATTTTTCAAAATAAAGGTGAAATAAAGGAATCCGAAGATAAACAAAAAATGAGAGAATCCATTGCAAGTAGACCTTCCATACAAAATATATTAAAGTAAGTCCTTCAGACAGCAAGAAAATGTTACTAGACAGGAACTTGGCTGCAGTTTACCACCAGAAATCCTAAGTATATGGGTAAATATAAAATTATTCGTGCTTCTGTGAGTGTAAGTGTGTGTGTGTGTGTGTGTGTGTGTGTGTGTGTGTCTGCATGCCCACTTTTGATCAATTCCCGATGCCCTGAGAATATTGTTTTTCACAGTATTGTCCAGTTGATCTCCATATTACCAAATTCACTGGTCAATGATCAGCCTTCGTCTGATTTGACCTGTCAGCAGTGTTTAATACAGTTAATCACTCTGTCCTTGGAACACTTTCTTTGCCTTGCATTCAGTACATGACTATTTCTTGGTTCTCAGCCTATCTCACAGCCACCCCATCTCAGCTTCCTTTGTTGAGTTGCTCTCTTCTCTTTCAGATCCTGAGAGGTAAAATACCCCAGAATTCTGACTTTTCTCTGGTCTGTTGATAATCATTCCTTAGAGTAATAAATCTATCTATTAATATATGTTGACAACACCCATTCTTATATCTTCAGTCCTAAACACTCCTCTTAAGCAAATTAACTAAGGCACACAATATATATTTTAAAAATTCTTTATTTTTCTTCCAAAATTTTTTTATCCCATATCTTTGCCAAATTGGCATAATCTCCATCCTTATAATTACTCATAACTAAATCCTTGACCCATCTTCTTAGACAATATATCTAAATCTGATTTGTAGCCACCACTTACACTGCTTCCAACCTGATCCAAGCCACAGTCATATCTTACCTTCGCCATTGCAACAATCTACCAGTTGGCCTTCTCAGTTTTAATTCCTGCCCTGTGTAGTCTATTCTTCAGCAGCAAGAGTGGTTTTCTTCTATGTAAATCAAATCACATCACTCTTGCTTAAAATTAGACTCAAAGTAAAAACCAAAATCTTTAGAAAAACCTGTGGGTCCCTGCAAAACCTGCACCAACTACACCCACTCATATCCTCCTCCCTGATTTTATGTGCTATCGTGCCTTCCTTGATCTTTTGATTCCAGATCCACTGATCTTTCCTTTTCTCAACAAAGCATGCTCAAGATATACATACGACTCATTTCATTCTGATCTCTACTAAAATCCCACCTCATCAGGGAGGATTCTCTGTATCTTAGAAAGCATACTCTACTTTTGTCGCTCTCTACTCCTTTGAGATTTCTTCACTTTTTTTAAATTAGCATAAACCACCATCAATAATCTACTTATCTGTTTGTTTATTGTATATATCAAACACACACACACACACACACACACACACACACACACACAAATGTAAACCCCAACAGAGCTGGGATTTTTTTTGTTTTATTTTCGGACTTGTCCCAAGTAACTAGATAAGACCCTAGCTCAAGGTAAACTCTCAATAGATATTTGTTGAATAAATAAAGAAAGCCAATTTTTCCCCAAGTATTTACTAAGTGTCTATTAGGTACCAAGCACTGTCCTAAGTATAATAATATGTCCTATAATTTTATAAACAATCCTAAAAATTTTTTAAATTAAATATAATTATCCTTATTTTACTGATGAGATACCAAAAGATTAAGGACTTACTTAAGGTTACACAGCATGTTAGTGATAGAATTGGATTCTTTTTGTTCTTTTTAATTGGTATTTTCAGTAATTGTGTTATGTCTATTACACCAGTTCTCAAGAATACTGGGTACATTTTGTAACTACAGAAGAATCCATGGAGATAAGATTGGAATTAAGACACAGTGAGAACCATTTTAAGTAGCTTGTAACATCTAATTTTATAAACTTTTATCAAATTTCAATGACCAGTACTCAAACTATATTATTAAACTTCTGCAGAATGTTGTCACTCATAAGTAGGAGTTGAACATTGAGAATGTGTGGACACAGAGAGGGGAACAACACATGGCAGGGCCTGTTGGGTTATGGGGGGATGAGGGGAGGGAACGTAGAGGATGGGTCAATAGGTGCCGAAAACCACCATGGCACATGTATACCTACGTAACAAAGCTGCACGTTCTGCACATGTATCCAATTTTATTTTTTCATAAGAAATAAAGAAGAAAAAATAAAAATAAACTCCTGCAGAAAATGCTTCTTTCTGATGTTCAGGGCTAGTACAGCAGCTTTTCCACCAGAAAGACATGCTCACAATCAGTCTAAACACTTGGGATTTCCAAACAGTTCTGTCACATGTATTGGAATATTTCTGGAGAATTATTTAAAGCAAAGTTATTGGTGTAAAAACATTCATATGTGTCTGCAGATATTCACATAATTTCTTCCAACTGTGCATTTTCTAATTGAGAAATAAATATGGTATATGATGAATGGCAGATATGATCTGCTTATTCCCTTTGGTTCTTCATTTGGCAGGTCAATTTTCAGAGTGAACAAACAGAAAACACTTCTCTAAAGCAAGACTTTCTTCTTACTCTGCATCCAAGCCTTAAATAACTCAATTCTAAAGAATATTTTTGCCAAGGCTAATCCTCTTGTGAGCTTAGCTTAGAAGTCGTTCCATAAAAGGAATAGTGAGTGTATAACAGAAGGTTAAGCACTGTTGAGAATGGTCAGTTTTGCTTCATTTCAGGAAAACCAGGTATAGAAACCCAGTATGGAAAACAAAGTTCTTATTTGGCCAGATTGGAATACTCTGACCAAAAAAAAACAATTTTTGATGGGGTTGTTTTTTTCTTGTAAATTTGTTTAAGTTCTTTGTAGATTCTGGATATTAGTTCTCTGTCAGACGGATAGATTGCAAAAATTTTCCTGTATTCTGTAGGTTGCCTTTTCACTCTGTTGATAGTTTGTTTTGCTGTGCAGAAGCTCTTTAGTTTAATTAGATCCCATTTGTCAGTTTTGGCTTTTGTTGCCATTGCTTTTGGTGTTTTAGTCATGAATTCTTTGCCCATGCCTATGTCCTGAATGGTATTGCCTAGGTTTTCTTTTAGGGTTTTTAAATTTTAGGTATTACATTTAAGTCTTTAAGTCATCTTGAGTTAATTTTTGTATAAGGTGTAAGGAAAGGGTCCAGTTTCAGTTTTCTGCACATGGCTAGCCAGTTTTCCCAACACCATTTATTAAATAAGGAATCCTTTCCCCATTGCTTATTTTTGTCAGGTTTGTCAAAGATCAGATGGTTGTAGATGTGTGGCATTATTTCTGAGGCCTCTGTCCTGTTCCATTTGTCTGCATATCTGTTTTGGTACCAGTACCATGCTGTTTTGGTTACTGTAGCCTTGTAGTATAGTTTGAAGTCAGGTAGCGTGAGGCCTCCAGCTTTGTTCTTTTTGCTTAGAATTGTCTTGGCTATACAGGCTCTTTTTTTTTTTTTGTCCCATATGAAATTTAAAGTAGTTTTTTCTAATTCTGTGAAGAAAGTCAATGGTAGTTTGATGGGGATAGCATTGAATCTATAAATTACTTTGGCCAATGTGGCCACTTTCATGATATTGATTCTTCCTATCCATGAGCATAGAATGTTTTTCCATTTCTTTGTGTCCTCTCTTATTTCCTTGAGCAGTGGTTAGTAGTTCTCCTTGAAGAGGTCCTTCACATCCCTTGTAAGTTGGATTCCTAGGTATTTTATTCTCTTTGTAGCAATTGTTACTGGGAGTTCACTCATGATTTGGCTCTCTGTTTGTCTATTATTGGTGTATAGGAATGCTTGTAATTTTTACACATTGATTTTGTGTCCTGAGACTGCTGAAGTTGCTTATCAGCTTTAGGAGATTTGGGGCTGAGGCAATGGGGTTTTCTAAATATACAATCATGTCATCTGCATACCAAGACAATTTGACTTCCTCTCTTCCTATTTGAATACCCTTGATTTCTTTCTCTTGCATGATTACCCTGGCCAGAACTTCCAATACTATGTTGAATAGGAGTAGTGAGAGGGGGCATCCTTGTCTTGTGCTGATTTTCAAAGGGAATGTTTCCAGCTTTTGCCTATTCAGTATGATATTGGCTGTGGGTTTGCCATAAATCATTGTTGTTATTTTGAGATACATTCCATCAATACCTAGTTTATTGAGAGTTTTTAACATGAAGGGGTGTTGATTTTATCAAAGGTTTTGGCTGGTAGGCCATTAATTACTGTCTCAATTTCAGAACTTGTTATTGGTATATTCATGGATTTGACTTCTTTCTGGTTTCGTCCTGGGAGGGTGTATGTGTCCTGGAATTTATCCATCTCTTCTACATTTTCTAGTTTATTTGCATACAGGTGTTTATAGTATTCCCTGATAGTAGTTTGTGTTTCTTTGGGACCAGTGGTGATCTTCCCTTTATAATTTTTTATTGTGTCTCTTTGATTCCTCTCTCTTTTCTTCTATATTAGTCTGGCTAGTAGTCTATTTTGTTAATCTTTTCAAAAAATCACCTCCTGGATTCATTAATTTTTGAAGGGTTTTTCATGTCTCTATCTCCTTCAGTTCTGCTCTGATCTCAGTTATTTCTTGTCTTCTGTTAGCTTTTGAATTTGTTTGCTCTTGCTTCTCTAGTTCTTTTAATTCCGATGTTAGGGTGTTGATTTTAGATCATTCTCACTTTCTCCTGTGGGCAATTAGTGCTATAAATTTTCCTTTAAACACAGCTAAATTCTGGTACGTTGTGTCTCTGTTCTCATTGGTTTCAAGGAACTTATTTATTTCTGCCTTAATTTCGTTATTTACCCAGTAGTCATTCAGGAGTAGGTTGTTCAGTTTCCATGTAGTTGTGCAATTTTGACTGAGTTTCTTAATCCTGAGTTCTAATTTGATTGGACTGTGATCCGAGCGACTGTGCAGCCAACAAACATGAAAAAAAAAAAAACTCATCATCACTGGTCATTAGAGAAATGCAAATCAAAACCACAATGAGATACCATCTCACACCAGTTAGAATGGTGATCATTAAAAAGTAAGGAAACAACAGATGCTGGAGAGGATGTGGAGAAATAGGAATGCTTTTACACTGTTGTTGGGAATGTATATTAGTTCTTAACCATTGTGGAAAACAGTGTGGTGATTCCTCAAGGATCTAGAACCAGAAATACCATTTGACCCAGCCATCCCATTCCTGGGTATACACCCAAAGATTATAAATCATTCTGCTATAAAGACACATGCACATGTATGTTTATTGCAGCATTGTTCACAATAGCAAAGACTTGGAACCAACCCAAATGCCCATCAATGATAGACTGGATAAAGAAAATGTGGCACATATACACCATGGAATACTATGCAGCCATAAAAAAGGATGAGTTAATGTCCTTTGCAGGGACATGGATGAAGCTGGGAACCATAATTCTCAGCAAACTCACACAAGAACAGAAAACCAAACACCTCGTGTTCTCACTCATAAGTGGAAGTTAACAATGAGAATACATGGACACAGGGAGGGGAACATCACACATTGGGGACTCTCGGGGGGTTGGGGGGCTGGGAGAGGGACAGCATTAGGAGAAATACCTAATGTAGTTGATGGGTTGATGGGTGTAGCAAACCACCATGACACGTGTATACCTATGTAGCAAACCTGCACGTTCTGCACATGTATCCCAGTACTTAAAGTGTAAAAAAAAAAAAGAAGAAGAAGTAGTTTAGGAAGAAGGTAATGAATTAAAATTAGGAAAGAGGTAATCGTCAAACCGTACACAGACTTGCAAGAACCAAACATTTCTACTTCTATTTCAGTGTGCAACTGCAAAGAGTCTGGGTGGGGTGGGGGAAGCAACCCTGTAAATGAAAAGAGAAAAGTGTGACATTTGCTTAACCAGAAGTGGCTTAAATTGGGAAGATTAAAGTTTAAAGAACATTTTGTTTAATCTCATTATAATGAAGTCAAGGAAAGAAAGATAAAGATTAAGGATAAGCTTCAATCTCTCGTTATTAAAGATATAGTTGTGTTCATTTTATTTTGATATATGATAAAAGTAATTTCAACTAAATTTGTATTGCTTACCAATTGATTAGAATTGGTTTGGATTTCCCAGATTTTATTTCATGAGCTCATTTTTCTTTTGCTGAGTAAGTTGTGCTTTTTGTAGACACTAAAATAGATAATTATCTTGCATGAATTATAACAAGTTATATTATGTAACAGCTAAAGATGAAACACAATTGAAATAAAACTAGTCCATGACTAAATATGGATCAAAATATTTCTGAAGAAAAAAGCAAGACAAAAAGTTATAGGAAGACTAAGGACTGAAATTCTACTTGGAACATATATTAACACAACTTTTTGCCCCAACTTTTTTATTAAAATGTAATAGAAAATACTTGCTAGTAAAAGAAACAAATGTCAAATTTTGTTCTTAAGTTGACTTCAGTCCTACCTGTTTTGGAGTTTTTCTTCCACCAAGATAGTCTTTTTCTGGAAAAAACATAGAATAATCTCATTTAGTTTTCTATCTCTAGTCCTTCATTCAAAGAAATCCTGCACTGTTGTGTGTAGAAATATGGTACAGGAATATTTTAAACAAAATTAGAATGAGTAGTGTAGTATGAAACATATTTAGCATTTTTCCCTTGTTTCTGTCATGGAACTCCTAAAACCCTTGGAATTTCCAGGGTGATAGGAGTGTCTTTTGTTATTCATAAGGAGCCAATTTTGATCTGAGTTTATGCTAAGAAAGCATTTTGGGGTGGGGCTTCTAGATAGCCATGGTATAGGGCTGGTCACCAGAAAGACTAGAGGATTGGGTTAGAGGATTGGAACTTTCAGTTTTACCCACTGACCTCTGGGAAAAGAGATAGGGGATGAACATTAAGCTCTATTAAACTCTATTTAAAAACTCTTGAACAACAAGATTTGATGAGCTGTTGGGTTGCTGAACATGTGGAGGTGCTAGGAGGGTGATGTACCTAGAAAGGACCTGGAAGCTCTGTGCCCCTTCTCTGTGTACCTTGCCCTATTTCCTCTTCCATTTGTTCACTTGTATCATTTGTAATATTCTTTATAACAAATCAGTACACATAAGTAAGTGTTTCTTTGAGTTCTGTGAGCTGTCCTAGTGAGAGGTGAAGCTGGCTGGGCTTCTGGGTGAGGTAGGGACTTGGAGAACTTTTCTGTCTAGCTAAAGGATTGTAAACGCACCAATCAGCACTCTGTAAAAATGCACCAATCAGTGCTCTGTGTCTAGCTAAAGGTTTGTAAACACACCAATCAGCACTCTGTAAAAACACACCAATCAGCATTCTGTAAAATGGACCAATCAGTGCTCTGTAAAATGGACCAATCAGCAGGACGTGGTTGGGGCCAAACAAGGGAATAAAAGCTGAACACCTGAGCAAGCAGTGGCAACCTGCTTGGGTCCCCTTCCATGCTGTGGAAGCTTTGTTCTTTCACTCTTCACAATAAAACTTGCTGCTGCTCACTCTTTGGGTCCACACTATCTTTAAGAGCTGTAACACTCACTGTGAAGGTCTGCAGCTTCACTCCTGAAGCCAGAGAGACCACAAACCCACTGGGAGGAACAAACAACTCCAGACGCACCACCTTTAAGAGCTGTAACACTCACTGTGAAGGTCTGCAACTTCACTCCTGAAGTCAAGTGAGACCATGAATCCACTGGAAGGAAGAAACCCTGGACACATCTGAACATCTGAAGGAACAAACTCTGGACACACCACGTTTAAGAACTGTAACACACAACACGAGGGTCTGTGGCTTCATTCTTGAAGTCAGCGAGTCCAAGGACCCACCAGAAGGAACCAATTCTGCACACATTTTGGCAACCACGAAGGGACTATCACCTATCACCAAGTGGTGAGTACCATTGGACCCCTTTCATTTGCTACCCTGTCCTATTTTTCCTTAGAATTTGGGGGTTAAATACCGGGTGACTGTTGGCCAGTTAAAAGCGACTAGCATGGCCACCAGTCTAAAGACACTGGTGTCAGGCTTTCTGGGAAAGGGCTCTCTAACAACCCCCGACTCTTTGGAGTTGGGAGTGTTGGTTTGCCTGGAACCAGCTTCCGCTTTCCCCGTACTTCTGGGCTGAGCCGAGAGTCAACAGAGAGGCAAGCCATACAGTTCAGGGGTCCCGACAACAAGTTGGTTGACCCTGCAGCTATGAGCAGAACTCTCAAAGTCATGTCGCCCAAGTGAGACTCGCCCATCTATCCTATCTATCCTGACTCTTGCCTCCTGGGTCCTAATGCCTGTCAGACAAACTTCCTCTTGCCTCTCTTCTCTGAGGCTACTCCTGCTTCTAAAAACCACTCCCTGTCTCTGGTGCTTTTCTAGTTTCTCCTATAAGAATGATTTCTAGTTTAAACCCCAGGACTCTGTTACCTTCTTTAGGTACCCAGCCTCACCAATCAGAAAGACATAATTTTTGCCAAAAACCCCATTGTAGGGGGGACTATCTGGAATTTTAGGATCCCTCCTCAGACAAGCAAACCTAACCAAAAGCTATTCCTGAAGGTAGGATATGGGGAGCATCAGCAATTGTATCCTTCCTATTCATATAAGTGAGGACAAAAGGCACCACTCTTCCAACTCTGGAGATCCCTCCCTTCCCTCAGGATATGGCCCTCCACTTCATTTTTTGGGGCATAACATCTTTATAGGACACAGGTAAGATCCCATACTAACAGGAGAATGCTTAGGACTCTAACAGATTTTCAAGAATTCGCCAGTAAGGGCCACTAAATCTGATTTTTCTCAGTCCTTTTTGTGGTCTAGGAGGACAGGCAAGGGTGCAGGTTTTCAAGAATGCATCGGTAAGGGCCCATAAATCTGACCTCCCTCGGTCCTCCTTGTGGTCTAGGAGGAAAACTAGTGTTTCTGCTGATGCATTGGTGAGCACAACTATTCTGATCAGCAGGGTCCAGGGACAATTGCAGGTTCTTGGGCAAGAGGTGTTTCTGCTGCTGCATGGGTGAGTGCAACTATTCCAATCAGCAGGGTCCAGGGACTGTTGTGGGTTCTTGGGCAGGGGGAGAAACAAACAAACCAAAACCATGGGCAGTTTTGTCTTTCAGATGGGAAACACTCAGGCATCAACAGGCTCACACTTGAAATGCATCCCAAGCCATTGGGACCAATTTGACCCACAAACCCTGAAAAAGAGGCAGCTCATTTTTTTCTGCACCATGTCTTGGCCCCAACATTCTCTCTGATGGGGAAAAATGGCCACCTGAGGGAAGTATAAATTACAATACTATCCTGCAGCTTGACCTTTTCTGCAAGAGGGAAGGAAAATGGAGTGAAATAACTTATGTCCAAGCTTCCTTTTCATTGAAGGAGAATACACAACTATGCAAAGCTTGCAATTTACATCCCACAGGAGGACCTCTCAGCTTACCCCCATATCCTAGCCTCCCAATAGCTCTCTTTCCTATTAATAATAAGCCTCCTCTAATCTCCCCAGCTCAGAAGGAAATCAGCAAAGAAATCTCCAAAGGACCACAAAAACCCCTGGGCTATCGGTTATGTCCCCTTCAAGCTGTAGGAGGAGGGGAATTTGGCCCAACCTGGGTACATGTCCCTTTCTCACTCTCTGATTTAAAGCAGATCAAGGCAGACCTGGGGAAGTTTTCAGATGATCCTGATAGGTACACAGATGTCCTACAGGGTCTAGGGCAAACCTTTGATTTCACTTGGAGAGATGTCATGCTATTGTTAGATCAAACCCTGGCCTTTAATGAAAAGAATGCAGCTTTAGCTGCAGCCCAAGAGTTTGGAGATACCTGGTATCTTAGTCAAGTAAATGATAGAATGACAGCTGAAGAAAGGGACAAATTCCCTACCAGTCAGCAAGCCATCCCCAGTATGGATCCCCACTGGGACCTCGGCTCAGATCATGGGGACTGGAGTCACAAACATCTGTTGACCCACGTTCTAGAAGGACTAAGGAGAATTAGGAAAAAGCCCATGAATTGTTCAATGATGTCTACCATAACTCAGGGAAAGGAAGAAAATCCTTCTGTCTTCCTCAAGCGGCTATGGGAGGCCTTAAGAAAATATACTCTCCTGTCACTCTACTCACTTAAGGGTCAGTTGATCCTAAAAGATAAGCTTATTACCCAATCAGCCACAGAAATCAGGAGAAAGCTGCAAAAGTGAGCCTGGGCCCTGGACAAAATCTGGAAGCATTATCAAACCTGGCAACTTTGGTATTCTATAATAGGGACCAAGAGGAACAGGCCCAAAAGGAAAAGCAAGATCAGAGAAAGGCCACAGCCTTAGTCATGGCCCTCAGACAAATGAACCTTGGTGGTTCAGAGAGGACAGAAAATGGAGCAGACCAGTCACCTGGTAGGGCTTGTTATCAGTGTGGTTTACAAGGAAACTTTAAAATAGATTGTCCACAGACACAAGCTGCCCCCTCGGCCATGTCCACTATGCCAAGGTAATCACTGGAAGGTGCACTGCCCCAGAGGACAACATCCAGAGCCCCCAGACCAGAAGCCCCCAACCAGATGATCCAACAACAGGACTGAGGGTGCCCAGGGCAAGCGCCAGCTCATGTCATCACCCTCACTGAACCCTGGGTATGTTTAACCATTGAGGGCCAGGAAATTGACTTCCTCCTGGACACTGGCACAGCCTTCTCAGTGTTAATCTCCTGTCCCAGACGACTGTCCTCAAGGTCCGTTACCAACTGAGGAATCCTGGGACAGCCTGTAGCCAGGTATTTCTCCCACCTCCTCATTGTAATTGGGAGACTTTGCTCTTTTCACATGCCTTTCTTTTTATGCCTGAAAGTCCCACACCCTTATAGGGATGGACATATTAGCCAAAGCTGGAGCTATTATCTACATGAATATGGGGAAAAAGTTACCCATTTGTTGTCCCTGCTTGAGGAGGAAATCAACCCTGAAGTCTGGGCATTGGAAGGACAATTTGGAAGGGCAAAAAATGCCTGCCCAGTCCAAATCATGCTAAAAGATCCCACCCCTTTTCCTTATCAAAGGCAATATCCCTTAAGGCCTGAAGCTCATAAAGGATTACAGGATATTGTTAAACATTTAAAAGCTCAAGGCTTAGTAAGGAAATGCAGCAGTCCCTGCAACACCCCAACTCTAGGGGTACAAAAACCAAATGGTCAGTGGAGACTAGTGCAAGATCTTAGACTCATCAATGGGGCAGTAATTCCTCTATATACAGTTTACCCAACCCCTATACCCTGCTCTCTCAAATACCAGAGGAAGCAGAATGGTTCACAGTTCTGGACCTCAAGGATGACTTCTTCTGTAATCCCCTGCACTCTGACTTCCAGATTCTCTTTGCCTTTGAGGATCCCACAGACCACAAATCTGAACTTATGTGGACAGTCTTGCCCCAAGGGTTTAGGGATAGCCCTCACCTGTTTGTTCAGGTACTGGCCCAAGATCTGAGCCACTTCTCAAGTTCAGGCACTCTGGTCCTTCAGCATGTGGATGATTTACTTTTGGCTACCAGTTTAGAAGCCTCATGCCAGCAGGCTCCTCTAGATCTCTTGAACTTTCTACCTAATCAAGGGTACAAGGTGTCTGGGTAGAAGGCCCAGCTTTGCCTACAGCAGGTCAAATATCTAGGCCTAATCTTAGACAGAGGGACCAGGGCCATCAGCAAGGAATGAATACAGCCTATACTGGCTTATCCTCACCCTAAGACATTAAAACAGTTGTGGGGGTTCCCTGGATTCACCGGCTTTTGCTGACTATGGATCCCCAGATACAGCAAGATAGCCAGGCCCCTCTATACTCTAATCAAGGAGACCCAGAGGGCAAATACTTATCTAGTAGAATGGGAACCAGGGGCAGAAACAGCCTTCAAAACCTTAAAGCAGGCCCTAGTACAAGCTCCAGCTTTAAGCCTTCCCACAGGACAAAACTTCTCTTTGTACATCACAGAGAGAGCAGGAATAGCTTTTGGAGTCCTTACTCAGACTCGTGGGACAACCCCACAACCAGTGGTATACCTAAGTAAGGAAGTTGATGTAGTAGCAAAAGGCTGGCCTCACTGTTTAAGGGTAGTTGCAGCAGTGGCCATCTTAGTGTCAGGCTATCAAAAGAATACAAGGAAAGGATCTCACTGTCTGGACTACTCATGATGTAAATGGCATACTAGGTGCCAAAGGAAGTTTATGGCTATCAGACAACCACCTATTTAAATTCCAGGCGCTACTCCTTGAGGGACCAGTGCTTCAAATACGTACATGCATGGCCCTCAACCCTGCCAATTTTCTCCCAGAGGATGGGGAACCAATCGAGCATGACTACCAACAAATTATAGCCCAGACTTATGCCACCCAAGATGATCTCTTAGAAGTCCCCTTAGCTAATCCTGACCTTAACCTATATACCGATGGAAGTTCATTTGTGGTGAACGGGATACGAAGGGCAGGTTATGCCATAGTTAGTAATGTAACTGTTCTTGAAAGTAAGCCTCTTCCCCCAGGGACCAGCGCCTAGTTAGCAGAACTGGTGACACTTACCCGAGACTTAGAACTGGGAAAGGGAAAAAGAGTAAATGTGTACACAGATAGCAAGTATGCTTATCTAATCCTATGTGCCCATGCTGCAATATGGAAAGAAAGGGAGTTCCTAACCTCTGGGGGAACCCCCATTAAATACCACAAGGAAATTGTGGTGTTATTGCAAGCAGTGCAAAAACCCAAGTAGGTGGCAGTCTCACACTGCCAAAGCCATCAGAAAGGTGAAGGAGAAAAGGCAGAAGGAAACTGTCAGGCAGATGCTGAGGCCAAAATTGCTGCCAGGCAGAACATTCCATTAGAAATACCTACGGAAGGACCCTTGGTATGGAACAACCCCCTCTAAAAAATTAAGCCCCAGTATTCACCAACCGAAACAGAATGGGGACTTTCACAGGGGATTAGTTTTATCCCCTCGGGGCAGTTAATGACAGAAGAAGGAAAGGTACTTATACCCAAAGCCAGCCAGTGGAAAATACTTAAACCCTCCACCAAACTTTTCATATGGTTATTGAAAACATTCATCAAATGGCCAAATCCCTATTTACAGGGCCAAATCTCCTCCAGACCATCTGACAGGTAGTCAAAGTCTGTGAGGTGTGCCAAAGGAATAATCCCTTGGTCCATCGTAAGGCCCTTTTGGGGGAACAAAGAATAGGTCACTATCCCAGAGAGGACTGGTAGTTAGACTTCACTCATATGCCTAAGTCAAAGGGATTTCAATACTTGTTGGTCTGTGTTGATACCTTTACAAATTGGATAGAAGCTTTCCCCTGCAAGACAGAGAAGGCTCAGGAAGTGATTAAAGTCCTAATTCATGAATTAATTCCTAGATTTGGGCTTCCCCAAAGCTTACAGGTGACAATGGTCCGGCTTTTAAAGCCATGATAACTCAGGGAATTTCCAGGGCGCTAGGGATACAATATAATCTTCACTGCGCCTGGAGGCCACAATCCTCAGGGAAGGTCGAGAAGGCAAATGGAACACTGAAGAGGCACTTAAGGAAACTAACACAAGAAACAAGAAACTCATCTCCCATGGCCTACTCTTTTGCCCATGGCCATGTTGAGAATCTGAATTTCTCCTCACAATATGGGGCTCAGTCCATATGAAATGCTGTATGGACGACCTTTTCTCACAAATGACCTCCCACTTGATCAGTAAATGGCCAACTTGGTCAAAGATATAACTTCTTTGGCAAAATATCAACAAAACCTTAAAAACCTACCTGAAGGATGTCACAGAGAAAAGGGAACAGAGTTGTTTCAACCAGGAGATCTAGTGTTGGTCAAATTTCTCCCCTCTGCCTCCCCATCTATGGACTCTTTGTGGTAATCCTCTCTACCCCCACTACAGTTAAGGTGGCAGGAGTGGAATCTTGGATTCACCACACCCAAGTTAAATTTTGGACACCCCCTGAGGAACCTGTGGGGCCGTCAGCTCAGGAGTCCCAAGATCAGCCAGAGCAGCCTCAATATACCTGCAAACTGTTGGAGGACTTGCATCTCCTATTTTGGAAGGAAACATCCCAGACTGAAAAGGTTCCTACCACTGATCCTGAAGAAAAACCCCTTCCTCCTTAAAACAGATAAGTGAAAACCTGCATAATCTTTAACAACTCTCCTTGCCCCTTTAATAGAATCCTTTTACTATTTCATCACATTATTAAGTAGCATACTAACCATACTCTTTGCAATAGGACTATATACTGTAGCTCCTGGCAGGATGAAAATCCTAATCACATCAACCTTCTTTCTATCTTCATTCCTTCTAACAGCAATTTACTCCTACCTTTAACTCAGACTGGGTAAAATAATCTCATCTTCCAGAGCACCCTCTTTACCTTCCTATTTACTCTTTGCCTATCTATCCCTCCCGCTTCCTTGGATACCTAATACAATCACCCCTCCCCTTCCACTAGCTCCTAATTACCTCTACAAGACTCTCAACTTAACCCAATCTCTGTTAAACCAGTCCAATCATTCCCTGGCAAATGATTGTTGGCTTTGAATCTCTCTATCAACATCTGCTTATGTTGCCACTCCCATTCCTGCAAAAAAAAATTGGGTCTTTACCAACTTAACCTACCACCCTCGTTATGAAGGAAAAGACCCTTTCCGACTTCTAAATATGCAGTCACTAGCCAACTTCCCCATCTCTGATAGGACCAAGAATACCCTAACAGGACGTGCAATCCAACTTTTACATTCTTACATTTCCAACCACACCTATTACACAAGCAATGAAAAGCCCATACATGGCCCTGTAACTGCGAATACCATCTTAACTTTCCAAGCCCCTTTATTCATCCAACGCAACCTGTTTGTTATCAGGCCTGCCCCTGGGGCAGCTACTACCCCATCAGTGTAATTACACCCTACAACTTCAAGCCCCAACTGATTATAGTAACTTCCGAGTCACCCAAACAGCCCCATTCAGATGGCTTGTCTGCTTCTCAGGGCCCCCAAAAATCATCACCTCCTTCCTGCTTAACAAAAAGTCAAGGTTTTGTAATGGCAAACATACTCCCTGCATGACCATTCACCCCCCGGACCCCCTGCAACAGCACCCCCACCACTAGTGAATGCCTTCTCATCCCCTCTTTCAATCACTCTCTCAAATGCTTCCTAGTAGATACAAAATGGTTTTTTCTCCAATGGGAAAATAGAACTCAGGGAGCCACTCAATTGGCTCCCAACACCCCTTTCCAGCCACTCACTGGAGCTACCTTGGCAAGTACTCTAGGAATATGGGAAAATGAAAACAACAAACTCACACATGTTTTTAACATACACAACCAGTTCTGTCTACCCATCCAAGGTATATTCTTATGTGGAATCTGGACCTATAGCTGCCTCCCCACAAACTGGACAGGCACCTGCACCTTAGTCTTTCTAAGTCCCAACATTAACATTACCCCAGGAAATCAGAACCTATCAGTACCCCTCAAAGCTCAAGTCTGTCAGTGCAGAGCCATACAACTAATACCCCTACTTATAAGGTTAGGAATGGCTACTGCTACAGGAACCAGAATAGCAGGTTTATCTACTTCATTATCCTACTACCACACACTCTCAAAGGATTTCTCAGACAGTTTGCAAGAAATAACGAAATCTATCCTTACTCTACAATCCCAAACAGACTCTTTGGCAGCAGCAACTCTCCAAGACTGCCGAGGCCTAGACTCCCTCACTGCTGAGAAAGGAGGACTCTGCATCTTCTTAGGGGAAGAGTGTTGTTTTTACACTAACCAGTCAGGGATAGTACGAGATGCTGCCCGGCATTTACAGGAAAAGGCTTCTGAAATGGGACAATGCCTTTCAAACTCTTATACCAATCTCTGGAGTTGGGCAACATGGCTTCTCCCCTTTCTAGGTCACGTGGCAGCCATCTTGCTATTACTTGCCTTTGGGCCCTGTATTTTTAACCTCCTTGTCAAATTTGTTTCCTCTAGAATCGAGGCCATCAACTACAGATGGTCTTACAAATGGAACCCCAAATGAGCTCAACTAACAACTTCTACCAAGGACCCCTGGACTGACCTGCTGGCCCTTTCCCTGACCTAGAGAGCTCCCCTCTGGAGGATACTACAACTGCAGGGCCCCTTCTTCACCCCTATCCAGCAGGAAGTAGCTACAGCAGTCATTGCCCAATTCCCAACAGCAGTTGGGGTGTCCTGTTTAGAGAGGGGATTGAGAGGTGAAGCCGGCTGGGCTTCTGGGTCGGGAGGGGACTTGGAGAACTTTTCTGTCTAGCTAAAGTATTGTAAACACACCAATCAGCACTCTGTGTCTAGCTAAATGTTTGTAAATGCACCAATCAGCACTCTGTAAAAACGCACCAATCAGCACTCTGTGTTTAGCTAAAGGTTTGTAAACGCACCAATCAGCACTCTGTAAAAATGAACCAATCAGCATTTTGTAAAATGGACCAATCAGTGCTCTGTAAAATGGACCAGTCAGCAGGCCATGGGTGAAGCCAAATAAGGGAATAAAAGCTGACCACCTGAGCCAGCAGCAGCAACCTGCTTGGGTCCCCTTCCACGCTGTGGAAACTTTGTTCTTTTGCTCTTCACAATAAATCTTGCTGCTGCTCACTTTTTGGTCCGCACTACCTTTATGAGCTGTAACACTCACCACAAGGTTCTGTGGCTTCACTCCTGAAGTCAGGGAGACCACGAACCCACCAGGAGGAACAAACAACTCCAGATGTGCCACCTTTAAGAGCTGTAACATTCACTGCGAAGGTCTGTGGCTTCACTCCTGAAGTCAGCAAGACCACGAACCCACCAGAAGGAAGAAACTCTGGACACATCTGAACATCTGAAGGAACAAACTCCAGACACACCATCTTTAAGAATGGTAACACTCACTGTGAGGGTCTGTGGCTTCATCCTTGAAGTCAGTGAGACCAAGAACCCACCAGAAGGAATCAATTACAGACACACTAGCAAATTAATTAAACCCAAGAATGAAGTAGTGGGAACTTTGATTAATAGCTTGTCAGTCAGAAGTATAGATGACAGAGCCTACTTGTGATTGGTGTCTGAAATGGGGAGAAGTCTGGTGGGACTGAGTCCTTAACCTGTGGGATCTGATGCCATTTCCACGTAGTGTCAGAACAGAAATAAATTATAAGGCCGGGCGCAGTAGCTCATGCCTGTAATCCCGACACTCTGGGAGGCTGAGGTTATCAGATCACGAGGTCAGGAGATTGAGACCATCCTGGCTAACACGGTGAAACTCTGTCTCTACTAAAAAATACAAAAAATTAGCCAGGCGTGGTGGCGGGTACCTGTAGTCCCAGCTACTCGGGAGGCTGAGGCAGGAGAATGGCCTGAACCCAGGAGGCGGAGCTTGCAGTGAGCAAGATCATGCCACTGCACTCCAGCCTGGGTGACAGAGTGAGACTCTGTCTCAAAAAATAAAAAAAATAAAATAAAATAAAAATTATAAGACACCCAGTTGGTGTCTGCTAGAGAACTGCTTGGTGTGTTGGGTGTGAAAGCTGTCAGAATCAAGATGGAGTCACTTATGCCACACCCTAACAAAAGGATTCAGGAGGGGCTCTCACATGCACACATCTGTGATAAAAAGTATTACAAAAATGGTCTAAAAATCACAATCTTGCACAAAGACCACCACAACCACGGTAATCATTTTGGAACAACTTATATAAATTTTTTCATTTTGTCTTTAAAAGTTTCAGCTTACCTCAACTTCCCTGAATATGCCTGTGATCCATCATAGCACACACTTCCTGGTTTGTAATCCCCTGTCATTCATTCCCAAGTAAACTCATTTATTTTGAGATCCACTCTCCCTGTTGTTATTTTAGGCCGACATAATCTTGTGTCAGAAGTGGGATCTGAAGTAAGATCACCCTTGGAAGCAGTTGGTACTGCTTGGACTAGTGTACAGTACCCACTTGAGCCCTTTTGAGGATTGTGTTTTCACAGCTCACCTTTTCTGCCCTGGGCAGTCTTCTCTCAGGTTGAGCTCCCTCTTTTTGATAGGAGCTCTTTGACTGTATTTGAGATCTAGCTTGAATGAGACCACCTTAATAAAGGACCTTGCATCCCTCCTGGGGCTATAAAAGACTTTTTGTCTTTTCTGGCAAGTCGTTTCTGGTATAAAGGCAGTTTGTCTTTCTGTTTCTGTTGAGTACCTTGGTTTTGTTTTTTTAGGCATTGTCTGTAAGTAAATTGGCTCTTTTTTTTCCTTGTTTGTTTCTGAACAACTTTGCAGAGCAAAAGGGAACATACCAATGGTGGACACAGGTTGATGAGTTAAAACCCATTAGGATGGTAATCACCATTCTATGAGGGAACAAAGTCTCTCATGTGAGGATACACTGGGTCACAGATAGGCAAGATCACCACTAAGCCATGTGCCAGTCTTGAGAAAATCTATCTGCAACAGGGAAAACTTGGTCACAGGTTGGAAAACTAGGGCAAAGGTTGTCAACCAAGCAGAAAAAGCATCCCATGCCATGTCAAAACAAAACACTTTACCCAAACTCTTAAAGTTCCTTGACAGTGATTACAGGATTTTCTTTTGCTCTTGAGAAATTAATGAGAAATGAAATGAATGCTCAAATTCTAAAACATGCCAGATTTTCAGGGGCTCCAGGTGGTTATAAGTTCAAATACTATGACTTCTTTATGCACACTTTTGAACCAATGGATATGTTACACCAAGGATAATTTAAAGCTCCCATGATCATTATGAGGATTATTCAAACTCCCCAAGCTTATGTGTGTTAGAACTAAAATTAGAAGACCATGTTACAGTATTAAACAGTTCAAATGAGACATACATTTTTAATTGGCATCTTAAGGTTTCAGAGAGCACATTCAGGACTTTAAAAAAGGCCTCACTGCAAAGTACTGCCTGAAAGCTGGCTGAATTTCCTTCTCCAGAGTTTGCCCCTCACCTTCCTATAATTCCTCCTTCTCTTTATCCTTGTCTTTATCCTTGTCTAGCTGAATTCCCTTTTTTCCCAAAATTTGTTGACTACTTGCCTATTTCATCTCTCCACAGCCACCAATTCCGATTTTTTTTTTTTTTTTTTTTGGGACAGAGTCTCACTCTGTAGCCCAGGCTGGAGTGCAGTGGCACTGATCTCAGCTCACTGCAAGCTCCGCCTCCGGGTTCACGCCATTCTCCTGCCTCAACCTGCCAAGTAGCTGGGACTCCAGGTGCCCACGAGCCACGCCTGGCTAATATTTTATATTTTTAGTAGAGACAGGGTTTCACCGTGTTAGCCAGGATGGTCTTGATCTCCTGACCTCGTGATCTGCCCGCCTCTGCTGGAAAGGCAAGATTTTTATCTTCTTGGACACGAACTTGAAACTGAAAGAATATTTGTAAACCTTGTAGAGTAACTTGTCTTTTAAGCCTCCTTGGTCACATTTTCAGTTTACTCTTCCTTGTGCAGTCCAGATATTGGTTAACTGACTACCTCTTTTGAGTCTCCACTTTCTTATGAGGGCTCACCGGCCATGTAAAACTTGTATTATACTTCTGTTCTGATAATCTATATTACGTTGATTTCATTCCCTGATCCAGCCAGGACCCTATAGACTGTGGCACCCCACTGGCTTCATAGTCTACAGATGGGATCCTGAGAGATCTGACAAAAGCCAGCAAAAGGTAAAAATTCTTACCAAAATCAGCTTTCCCGGATCTCTAGCTGTAGTACCTGGTTGACAAGGGAAGGTAAACAACTTCCCTTGTCCCTTCATTGTTTCTTTCCCCTGCTAAATGGAGATTGGCAGGAGAAATAACTATTTGTAAGAATTCGTAATTTGAATTGTGACTTTTTTTTTTTGAGATGGAGTCTTGCACTGTTGCCCAGGCTGGAGTGCAGTGGCGCCATCTTAGCTCACTGCAAGCTCTGCCTCCCGGGTTCGTGCCATTCTCCTGCCTCAGCTTCCCAAGTAGCTGGAACTACAGCTGTCCACCACCACACCCGGCTAATTTTTTGTATTTTTAGTAGAGATGGAGTTTCACCATGTTAGCCAGGATGGTCTTGATCTCCTGACCTCGTGATCCACCTGCCTTGGCCTCTCCAAGTGCTGGGATTACAGAGAATTGTGACTCTTTTGAATATGGTTCCAGGTTCCCACTGGTTTTTGATCCACAGCCTCTCAAAAACAGTCCTTGTGTTTTTCTTTTGTGTGATTTGTCATAAGGATAAAAATCACTGAGATCTTGGCTTTGTGACCAGTGAGGATATTCTCTCTGGTATCTGCCAGCCAGAGAAACACAAGTTGTCAGGTTGGCTTCAGACAACCAGCCATCTAGCTAGGAGTTCAACAGGCAAAAGTGCCTCTGTCCAGCTGTGGTTCTCAGGTAAATCTACATTTAATTGTCTCAGCCTTCATTGCCTTGTTAACACTTAGAGTGTTCACTTTTTTAGGGTATCTTCGGGAAAAACTTTGGATCTTGACTTTTGCACCCTCTTTGGGGATGCCTCTTTTGCAGCCTCTTTGGGGATGTCTTTTGCACCCATGGTTAAGCCATAAAAGCCTTATTAATTTTGAATCACAATTGAAAACATTTGGTTTGAAACTTTGGTTTATATTTGGAGCATGATAGAAACTTTTGGTTTGTTTCTTCGACCTTCTCTTCTAAGCGAAAATGAAATTACACACTCAGAAAGAAAGGGAGTTCAATACTACCAGGAATATTTGTTGTTGTCCCAGCTGAATCCTAATAACAAGATATTTTTGAATAATTTTTTAAGCACTGTGTGGTGAGAAGTCAACTTAATTGGAAGCTGATGTTCGAGCTACAATTTTTTAAAGCCTCTCTGTTTTCTCTGTTAGATCCTGCTTCTCTCTTGGGAATTTCTCAGTCAACTGAAACTCCTTTTCTCAGAACCCCGCTAACTATATGTTCTGCTCCTCTGCCCACTTTCTTGTTGGCATGCTTTTTGACTATTTAAAAATTGAGCAAATGAAAAATTGTAAAGCTCTTTTCTACTAATATTAATAAAAGGCATCATTCAAATTGACATAGAGGGCCAGGCACGGTGGCTCACACCTGTAATCCTAACACTTTGGGAGGCCGAGGCAGGTGGGTCACGTGAGGTCAGGAGTTCGAGACCAGCCTGGCTAACATGGTGAAGCCCTGTCTCTAATAAAAATACAAAAAGTAGCCAGGCATGGTGGCGGGTGCCTGTAGTCCCAGCTACTCGGGAGGCTGGGGCAGGAGAATCACTCAAATCTGGGAGGCGGAGGTGGCAATGAGCAGAGATCATGCCACTGCACTCTAGCCTGGGTGACACAGCAAGACTCTGTCTCAAAAAAAAAAAAAAATTGACATAGAAATAAGTGAGCATGTCTAAAACTGTCAGAAAAGTAGAAACTAACCCAAATTTTTTAAGGCTTATGTAATCTGAGACAATTTTTGGTGGATAAAATGATAATTAAAGATGTGTTGACAGTTGTTAATATTAAATATAATGCAGACACACAACGTTTATCTCTGTTAGATATTTAAGATCATAAGAATATGAGTGTGACCTAAGAAACACGTGCAAATGAGAGTACAATGCTGTGTCCATTACTTCATATATATCAACCACAGCAGTAAAATAAGATATTCATATATTTAACTCTTCAGGTTCTTGTTTTTGTGATGCCTGCCTGATATTGACCCCCTATAAAAGTGGTTAATACAGAAATAACTTGAAATGATGGCTAGCTTTATCTAACGCCTCAGGAAATTTTTCATGAGTAATCCAAATAAGTTAAAATATCGAAACATTAATTGCTAAACATTAGTTTAAGTTTATTCTTGGCTTCTTAAAGTTTATAAAAAATATATATTTGTATTTGTTCATAAATATGTCCTCATCCACATTGAAAAAGTGTTCTCTGAAAAAAAAAATGCTCCTAAAAATCATGAAATGTGTATTTATCAAATCTTCATATGTGTCAAGACAGTTCAAAAATTGCTTACTTTCTCAATTTTTTCTAAAAATTAAGGCTACTAAGAGTTAATATTTTTAATTAATATATGTAAATCCATATACAAAGTGTATAAGAAAAACCAAGATGTGTTTTTGATGAGAAAAATTGTAAAAAGACATGAGGATATATTTTTTGTTTAAAAAGAGTGATTTTGTATAAGTCTGAGGTTACTTAAAGGTCATTTCATAATGTGAATTTATAAAGAAAATAAGAAACCAGTGAGTAAGAGAGACAAATGCAAAGAAAGTTATAAGTCTGGGAATATATTTTTGGTAAGGAAAATAGAAAAGAGAAAGGTGGAAAATTATTCTTTGTATGACAGACAATCTTGTATGGTCAAAATGATGAGGGAAAAAGAAAAGTAAAATTTTTGGTAGAATGACTGGTTGCTTCAATATAAAACCAGGGACAGTACAGGAAAAAAAACTAGATTTGAGCAAGTTATAGAAGGTCGGAGCAATTTGTAAAAGGTTTGTGAAAAATGAATCTTAAAGGGAATGTTGCATGTGATCAGGTTGGCTAAAACTAAAAGGGAATTGTTTGTATGTTTTTCTAAAGGTTAAACATTGATATCAAAATAATACTGACATAAAACTAAAAATTCGTCCTGTGTTAAAACAACAAGTTTTTCTTGGAGTACTGATCTACTCTTAATTTTAAAAATAGTAAAAGTTCTCTACCTTTTTGGTAATTGGCCTAGGAAATAAAGGTTCTATGGTTTATCAAGAGAATTTCTTGTGTTTTGTACTATCTTTTTAGGTCCTTGATTACTGAAGAAAACTAAACCTTCAAGGAGTTAAGATTCTTTTTCTTTCTACTTTGTAGAAAGTACTATGTACTTTTCTGTATTTGATTTTCAAGTCTTTTAATTATCACTCTGGTTAAATGAATTACTTTCTCACAGTGACCTGTGATCCTATATTGATCAAATGTTTTAAACTTTTTGACATTTTACAAATTCTAAAATCAAATTCTAAATTGAGTCTACTCGATCTCTCTCATTTTGTAAAAATAGAGATACTAAACTAATTAGGCTTATTTACTATATTAAATCATATGAGAAGCATTCTCAAAATAAGAAATGATGCTTAATCTTTTAAAGTTATATTTGTATGAAAATGTTATTGACATGACTGTTCCAAAAATTATGTAAATTTTTAGAATCTAATAGTTATCAGTCACAATTTTAGTTATTATGTTAAAATGTTATATGACACAAAATAAAACAAATTTTCTCATCAATTTCTGGTTATAATACATTCTCATTAGATTCTTAATACTGGCTATTCTAAGTCTTTGTCCATAGACATTTATTGTTTTGGTTTTTCTCTAAAAGCACTTCCAATTAGATACAGTCTAAAACTACTTCTCATGGAAAAAACTCTGATGAGTACTACTGAATGCAGGTTTCTAATAACTTTAATATCATACCATTGGACTGGGTAAAAATTTCCAAAACTCTAATGCAGAAACGGATAAATTCATGAAATTGTTCACCAAGATCAAGCAGCACAAGAATTTAGTACATGAGATAATAACTAATAAAAATAATGTTTATAACTTTTTACTTAAAATTTTGTTGGTTCTTTACTTTAATACTTTGTTTTCCAGATTTAAGGAAGCTTTCCTCTTAAGCTCTCTGTAGCTTATGGCAATTTGGTAAAGTATATTTTTATAAACAAAATTCAAAATATTCACTTTTTTTCTTCTGATCCCTCCAGAATTCAGAAACTATTCATGGGTACCTTTATGACAATATATAGCTATGTGCATAAGTTCAATAAGAATCTATTTCCTTTATAACAGGATACAATTGAAAACATTGATTATATCACTGAGGTTTTGACTAGGATGTCATATTTCAATTGTTTAAACATACTGCAGGTGAAATCTAAAGTTTGCCTTGATTCAGCTTTTTAGTCTCAAGAGTTTTTAACCTATGAAATCAATCATCATTCTTTCTGGACTTATATAAATAATCAGGTCAAGTTTGCAAACAAATTAGTCTTGCTTTGATTATCTACTTTGGTAAAAATAGAGATAGTTTTTTTAAAAAGTTATAATACACCTGTTATTACATTGTAACCCTGTTCATTGTATTTTAAAATTTTTTATTATCTATCTGTAGACTGGACCCAATCCTAAATTCTTCTAGTTTCCTCTAATATCTGGCTATACAGCAGGTCTCACTCCCTTCTCCATGGTCAGTTTATTTGTTTTGTTGGTTGCCTTCAGGCCTAGATTCATGGCTCAAAACCATTATACAAACCTGGGACATCATATTGCTGTCATTTTTACTCTGTATTATTCTCTTTAAACATTGTGACTGTTTCCTATCAAATTTCTGTAGAAGTACAACACCTAACCGAATAATGCTGGTCCAGTGCTTCAGAATAATACCTCCCATACCTATGGAACTGGTAAAATTGAACTTGACAACGAATTTGGGCAAACTTAACCTGGGAGCCCATCCTTCTAAACCTCCTTGTTGCCCAAATGTAGCCAAAGCATCTTGATATTGATTCATAATTGCTGGCTATTTCCTCCACACAGGATGAAACCAACCAGAACAGGTCCATCCAGTATGAAGGGACAATCAAACCTAACTCCCAGTTAATTAATCAACAATCATTTCAGAGATAAGATCTTGATCGAATGGGAAAATGTGAAAGTTGTCAGAATCAAAATGGAGTCACTTGTGCCAAACCGTAACAAAATGAAGTCAGAAGGTCATAATAGAGGGGCTCTCATACACACATGCCTATGATAAAAACTATTACAAGAATTGTCTGAAAACCACAATCTTGCACAAAGACCACTGCAATCTTACACAAAGAACACTTCCACATTGACATCTGCCTGGAAATCACCTATTTAACCTCCTATTGATGCTACCCTTGTTATTAATCCTTATTGCCAATGATAATTATTTCAAAACAACTTGTGTGCACTTCTTCATTTTGCCTTTAAAAGTTTCCCCTTGCCTCACCCTCCCTGAATATGCCTGCAGCTCCTCATAGCATACAAATTCTGGATTATGCTCCCCTGTCATTTATTACCACATAGACTCCTTTATTTTGTGAGCCACTCTCTTTGTTGTTATTTTAGGCTGGCAGAGGTAACACCCCACGTCCACTTTGGTAATCAGAGGTGAAGTATTATAGCAAGTGTTACATGTGAGAGTAGAAAAAACATTTTGGTCTTTCTTCTCTCTTAAAGAAGGTAAATAATAAACTAAGCAAAATGTCTGTAATATATATGAGGCTTAATATCCTACAAAACAATAAAAAGAAGAAAAGATACCACAGAAATGTGGGTAAAGGACACCAGATAATTCAAAAAGAAAAGGAATAGTAAGTGTATTTAAATATGAAACAGTTTAGTTTAAAAATGAAATGCTATTTTTGCCTACTAAATAGGCAAAGATATTTATCTTTCCAGGAGAGAAATTGGCAATGCAATTTTTAAAAAACAAAATGTTATATAGTATTCAATTTCTAGAAACTTATGCTAAGAGAATAGTTATACATATATTCAAAAATAAGCTATCAGAATGTTCTTTGCATTGTTTTAAGTAACAAAATATTACAAATAACCTAAATATCAAACTGCACAATACTTGACAAAAATTATAAAGCATATATACTATAGGATCTTATGAAATCATTAAAATATTCTGGAGAAGATTATTTAGTGATTTTTTAAAATATGAATTCTATTTTATTGAGCAGAAAAGTAGACTGCCAAACAGTATAGTAAATAATTCCTTATTTAATAAAATAGGTGAGAGTTTTCTAAAGTTTCTATAATAAATACTTACCAATAGTATGAAAAATATGCTTAAAATTAGGGAGAATTTATATATATATATATTATGTAAACAAAAAGTCTTTGTCTCTCCATTTTCCCCCACAATGGAGACACTGACAATTTCACTTGTACTTGGCATAAAAATTTTTTTTTTCATGTGGCAAATAAAATATTCTAATCCATAATTAGGAAAATGTTTTTTTTAAATCATGACCTTTGAGGTTTCTGTTGCTTTCTGGACATTCTCAATATTTCTTTTTTTTTTTTTAATACTTTAAGTTTTAGGGTACATGTGCACAACGTGCAGGTTTGTTACATATGTATACATGTGCCATTTGGTGTGCTGCACCCATTAACTCGTCATTTAGCATTAGGTATATCTCCTAATGTTATCCCTCCCCCCTCCCCCCACCCCACAACAGTCCCCGGTGTGTGATGTTCCCCTTCCTGTGTCCATGTGTTCTCATCATTCAGTTCCCACCTGTGAGTGAGAACATGCGGTGTTTGGTTTTTTGTCTTTGCGATAGTTTGCTGAGAATGATGTCTATGCTCATAAATGTTCTCTATACACATATATTATAATATGAAATATAAGTGTGCTTTCAGAGGAGTCATTTTAACTTAATTTATCATTCAGAGTAGCTTCCTACATGAATATGAAATTAAATTTTTGTCTATATGACTTAGATGATTAAACAAGGACATGAAGCTAGCCTCTTAAAATAAATGTTCAGAAGTTAACTTTTTCTCAAGCCAGCTGCCCTCTACTCCAGCACTACCACTTTTCATGTATCAGAAACACTCAAAAACTTAATCATCTTTACCCCAGAATCCCCCATTACACTCTGTTATGGTTTGGTTTGGCCCTCTCAAAACTCATGTTGAATTTTGATCACCAATGTGACGGTGTTAGGAGGTGGGGCCTAGTGGGAAGTGTTTGGGTCATAGTGGGAGATTTCTTATGAATGGTTTGGTGTCATTCTCATGGCAGTCAAAGAGTTCTCACTCTGGTGAAACTGGATTTGTTCTCCTAGAAATTGATTAATTTCCATGAGAAAGCCAGGATGCCCTTCAGGTTTTATCTCTTTCAAGTGTCCACTTCCCCTTGGACTTTCGGCATCATGTTATAATGCAACATAAAAGCCCTCACCGGAAGCCAGGGGCCTGCTCTTGAACTTCTCAGCCTGCGGAACTGTAAACTAAATAAACCTCTCTTCTTTAGAAATTACCCAACCTCAAGTATCCTGTTATAGCAACACAAAATAGACTAAGACATATCCTATATAAGTAGTTACCACATCCCACCCATGTCACCAATAGTGTGCCTCCCTCTTCATGTCCACTGCCACTGCCTTGTTCTAAGCACTCATACCCTAAATTCCAGATCATCTGAATTTCCTAATAGTTGACCTTCCTAGCTTTAGGCTATACCTATCCAAATATTCTTTTATAAACATCCCTTCACTCAGGTCATTTATTTGCATTATAACATTAAAGAGCTTTCGAATTCTTCCCAGTGAAAGCTAACAGTATACTAAACTGTTGTTTATTTCATAAGCTCTTTTTTGTTTCAGTGCTGCACATTTTGATTTCTAAATTCCGCAGTATAGGCCTAGCCTTCTGGTCCAAATAATAGTCTATCTATTCACAAACTTACCATGTTCTCTTGCACTTCTGGGCTCTCTGTCAGGATACTTGTTTCACCTCCTTCCTTTCTCGCTGCTTTTCAAAGCATACCCATTTCTTCAGCCTCAGCTTGTTACAGTTTCTCCTGTCTCTTTTAACATCCCTTGTTGATTTCCTTCTTCAAATTATTTTAGTACTGAGTCTGGATCACAAAATTTAGTATATAACATTCTTTATATTATTTGGGTCCTGTCTCAGGTATGTTACTCATGTTTCTTAAACTTGAATGTAAACTTTAATCATAGAGACTGTGTTTTATATTTTCTTATTATTACATATAATACCTGACACAATGGAGATCACAAAAAATATGCGAAGCACCTTTTTGACTGGTAATAAAATGCAACAGATTTAGTATAAAATAAACTTGCTAAAGTCCTGCTTTTTTCTTTCTTTCTTTCTCTTTTTTTTTTTTTAGGATGGGGTCTCACTCTGTCACCAGGCTCTGCCTCCTGGGTTCAAGTGATTATCCTGCCTCAGCCTCCTGAGTAGCTAGGACTACAGGCACACGCCACCATGTCCTGCTAATTTTTGTATTTTTAGTAGAGACGGGGTTTCCCCATGTTGGCCAGGATGGTCTTGATCTCTTGACCTCGTGATCCACCTGCCTCAGCCTCCCAAAGTGCTGAGATTACAGGCATGAGCCACCACACCTGGCCGAGTCCTGCTTTTAAAATGTGCCCTCCTTAAATAGCAAATTCAAATCAACTTGGTTTTCAGAATCCTAGGAAACTTGGCTGCATGTCACCTGCCATGAAGCAATGGCTCAAATCCAAATGAGAAGAGTATATTTTCACATCAGATTCTGCATTCCTCTTTATCCCACTATCTGCCATCCTTCTAAGTTATTTCAATGTTCACATCAGAGATACGTCCCATATTCTAGTGCACTGGGGGTTGACTTAATCACCTTCGAAGTCTACCTCCTACTTACCCCACCTATCCACTTCTAAGATCATACCCTAGATTGTATTATTTAGTGAAAGGTTTTTATCTTCAAAGTAATATTTCAGATATTCCTCACCACAACCTTCTATCTTTACAGCTTCCCTGTTTAACAAGTCTCACTATCTTTGTCTTTGTTCTCTTTAGGGATCCCACCCTCTAGTTTATAATTTCTCATCAAATTGCCCTACTGTATTCATTTTCCTCCTTATCTGTTATAAGATTAACTGTGTTCTCCCAAAATTCATGTGTTGAAGTTCCAAACCCCAGTGCCTCAAAATGTGACTGCACTTGGAAATGGGCATTTAAAGATGTGGTTAAGTTAATAAAGCCATTAGGGAGGACCCTAATCGAAGCTGCTTGGTGTCTTTATAATGGGGGAAATTTGGACGCACCAGGAAACACCAGGAATGCATGCACAAAGGGGAGACCCTGCAAGGACACAGGGGAAAGGCAGCCTTCTGAAAACCAAGGAGAGAGGCCTTAGAAGCAACCAGCATTGCCCACATCTATACCTAGGACTTCCAGCCTTCAAAACAGTGATAAAATAAATTTCTGTTACCTAGTCTGTGGTATTTTGTTATGGCAGCCAAAGCAAAAGAATGCCCATCTTGGATTTATCATTTCACCTCACTTTCTGCCAATATGTTCTACTCCCTTGGCCCTTTATCCTTTAGTGCCCAGCTAAACCCTACAAATATTTCACAGTGCAAACCAAAACATGCCTGGCAAATTACATACTGATTCTGGGACTCTCAGCTTTGCCTGGAGAGGAGTACTTGTTCCAGGAATGGCTGGACAGAGCAGGAATTGTGTTCCTGGAGAAGAACTCCCATCCCCATGCTGCTCATCCTTTATGCAGGGACTTTGAGATCACCCAATCAATTAACAACATAGGGAGCTCTTGTGGTTGTGAAAGTGCCATTGATAGTAGATCTGGCAGCTGGTTTGCAATTGCTTAGGAGAACCTCATGCTACTGCTGATAGCTCCTGAAAGACTTTGCAGTAAGTTGAAATTCTACAGAGTCCCTCCCAAGTGGGGTTGAGAGCGGCTCTAGTCTCAGTTAACTTGTTGCCAGGCAACCCAAGTGACTCAACAGACAATTTGGTTTTATCACTTTTTGCTTTCACTGCAAATGGCTAGCAAATCCACATTCTTGGATGAATACATGCATCTTCTCCATGACTGCAGTAGACATCTGAATTCTGTTGTAGAAAAAAAGAAAAGAAAGGAAGAAAAGGGTGTAACCTAGAGTTAGGAATGTCACCTATTAGGCAATGCAGGTGATCCAGAATTGAGGCTATAAGAGCTTAGAATAAGGCAGTGGCAGTAGAAATGGACAGGGAGGCAGGCACACTATGGGTGACATAGGTGGGATATGGTAATTGATTACATAGGGTATGTCTTAGTCCATTTTGTATTGCTATAACACAACTGTACAAATCAATATTTATCATAAATTCTCAGATGTCAATCTGCATGATGTTGGCAGTGACTACAAAGCCCATTAGGATTCCTAGTCCTCTCATATTCACCATTGGCATATGCCCCTTATCTAATGGACAAAAATAGGAAGCATAGAATAAAATCTAACAGTGCTCTGCACAAGCAGACGGCACATGGTCTCTCCTCCTTTCCCCTCCTTGTATCTGAAGTGAGCCTCCTCCTGTCAATGCCCCTCCACCTGGCACTATCCACTTTCCTCTCAGTTGCAGTAACTTCAAGTGCTCTATCAAGTTCTTCTAACCTCTTCAAATTAGTGATTAAATATGCTCAGGTGTTTTCCATGTTAAACAAGTGCCAAGAATTTAAGCTTTATTATCAAGGCTTCTGCTGAGCTTCAGAGTGGGAAATGGGACTTAAGTACATTAAACACCACAAAGTTTGCTGTTGTTGGCAAGATTTAGCTTTTTTCTTGAATAAGCTTTCCCTGGGTTGCTGCAAGCATTTGGTTATTTCCAGAGTCCCAAAAATGTTGATTCTTACACTTTTTGCCAGTTTTTTATTGCTTGCATGGAGAGTGGAATTTCAGTTTTCCTCCTTCACCATTTTTGTTGACATAACCTACTTTGTGCCTGAGCCCCTCCATCTACCATCCAAACTCTGTCCTCTTCAATCATAATTTGATTATTTGAGATACCATTGTAAGGAACATGGCTGTGCTTTGGTCAAAGATAGGCCAAGGTAAACATCCAGAGTGACTCAGTGAGTTTAGAGCACAGGTGTATAACTCCATTTGTTATCATAGCCATGTAGACATAACATAGGGAATCTCACCACCATAGCCATAACATAGGGAAGGCTCATCACCTCTAAGCCACTATTGCCTGTAAAAGGTATAATTGCCCTGTTGACACTATACAGGCACTGGCGCCCAGAGAAAGAGAGAGTCAGAGCTGTCCATCTTTGCAGACAGACAGAGGGGAGCCAGAACACAGCTCAGCTCGCTCATGCCCAGAGAGAGAGTTAAGCTGCTGACCCTGAAGGCAGGGGAGAGCCAGCTGTGTAGCTCTATGTGGGAGCTGCTTGCTCAAGCAGCCAAGACAGGGCAGACAGTGTGAGAAAGCTGTTGACGAGAGTTGCTGCTGATGAATAAAATCATCTTTCACCTGCCTACAGCCCCCTGAGTTCTTTCTGCTCATCCACCCACTCCCTTCGGACCTCAACATGACATTTGGCGTAGTCGTGAGCTTGACAACTAGCGTAGTTGGCAGAATGAGGCAAGTGGGTCTTCAGCCTTTGGGGATACCGGGGTTGGCTTTGTGGCGGCAGCATGGGCTGTGATACCCGGTGGCAGTAGTGCTGCTTGGATGAGCCCCAGTGGAAACATGGGAACCAGAGGACAGGTCTCCTTCGAGGGTGGAGAAAGCACGGAAGCAGCTGGAAGCTCAGCACAGAGAAAGAACGTACCTTTGCAAGCAGAGTCGGATGGGCATTTCTAACTGCACTGCAGGAAGTACATGCTCAGTGCCACAGGTAAGGGACCTTCCGGAGCAAGCCGCATGCCTGGGGGCCCAAGTGCACAGCTTTGAGCAGGACCTGGGGGTGAGAGACCTCCAGGCGCAAGCAGGGTACTTGGAGGCCCAGATAAACAGCCTGGAACAGGAGTTAGCAAGAGCTGTTAGTGCGACCTTGAGCCGGTCCTTCAGGCAGGACACTCCCTTTAGGTCTGATGCTGAGGAGGAGGAGGCTCCTCCGCTGCAGGCTCCTCCTGTGATCCGTCAGAAGGTAGAACATAAGCAGCTGATGGGACCCTAGGGGAAAGCCCAGGGACCCCGTCCACAGTGGTGGAACACGCCTCTTATTATGCTTATAACCCCAGTGAGTTGTGGGAATTAGGTAAATAGTGCCGGCAGCGTCTGAGGGAGCTGATAGCATTTTTTGTTCCGCCTCTGAGATGGAGAAGCTGACTTCTATCACAACTCACCCCTCCCTTCGTCAGCAGCTGCAGCTGTGCCAACGGTTGGCACAAGAGCAAGGTGGCCACACATTAATCAAGTGGCTAATGACAGTCATATGGACTGTTTTCAATGATGCCAGAGAGATACTACAAACTGTGAGTAAATGGCAATCACATACTAATTTGGTGCAGATACTCTTGGAGATAGGTATGCGGCAGGCTATGTTTGGTCTGATTACCATGGGGCCAGATGATGAACGCTTTACCTCCCACATGAGGGATCTTGTGCTGAGTTCAGCACCCCGAACCCTTATGGCTTTCTAGCCGCTGTTCTCACCCAGTATGTGGGGTGCCGCATACATGAAGTGACTACTGCTCTGGCAGCCCTCAGGGAGGCAGAAGGCCATTCGCAGGACCGGAGAATCCGCACCGTAAGGAGGGAGAAAATGCCTCATCCGCAGTTAACCACCCCACCAGATAAAAAGGGGCTCCAGGAGGTGACCTGCATGCAGATGTGGATTGATTTACTTGCAGCTGGGGTTGCTCGGGAGAAAATTGACGGGCAACCCAATGGAATGTTGTTGACTCTGTGAAGGCAATTGTCCCGGGAGCAGCAATTCCAGAAAATGCCTAAGGTGTGGGGGGCAAAACAATGTTGTTCAACCTAATCCCTCCCAGACGCTGCAACTCAAGGACTATTTGCAGACAGGCAGAGATACAGAGCCTTTCTTGTTTGATTAGGGAACTGGCCGAGGTCGCCAGCTTGGCAGGGGGAACTAGACAACCAGAGGCTATATGTGGAGCTGGCAATCCACTGGTCCCCCACTAATGTACCGCGGGTCCTAGCACTGATAGATACTGGTGCAGACTGCAGTCTAGTTTATGGGAACCCAGATAAATTTCTAGGCAAAGCTGCATTTATGGACGGTTATGGGAGCCAGTCGGTGAAGGTGAAGCCTGTGTCTCTGCATCTTGGCATTGGCCGCTTGGCTCCCCACCTGTACACTGTGTATGTTTCTCCTATACCTGAATATATTCTGGGGGTGGACATTTTGCATGGTCTGGGCTTGCACACCACGGCCAGAGAATCCAGATTCTGAGTCCATGCAGTAAAGCCAGTACTGGGTGAACATACACATCACCAGCCCCAAGTTCTGCCACAACCCTGACAGGTTACTTCCACTCATCAGTACCGTTTGCCAGGGGGGAATACAGAGGTAACTGAGACTATTAAGAAGTTAGAGGAGGTGCAAATAGTGTGTGGCATCCATAGCCCCTACCATTTTCCATTATGGCCAGTCAGAAAGCCTGATGGGATTTGGCAGATAACAGTGGATTATCGGAAACTGAATAAAGTAATACTCCTTCTGCATGTATCTGTACCTTCTATCATGGATTTGATGAACTTCTTGACAACAGAACTGAGACAATGCCACTATGTGGTGGAATTGACCAATGCATTCCTCTCAGTCGACATTGTTCCAGAGAGGCAGGAACAGTTTGCTTTCATGGGAGGGTGACAATGGACTTTCACAGTGTTGCTGCAGGGCTATATTCATAGCCCCACCACGTGTCATTATTTTATTAATGATGTCATGTTAACCTCTGATTCTCCTGCAGATTTAGAAGTGGCAATGTTCTTCTTGCCTGGGATTGGGATGATGCTCCTGAGACAGTCTTTCTGGTAGCCTAGCGGGCTATTTAGCAGGCACAAGCCATACGGGTAGTGGACCAGAGGTGCCCATTTAAACTAGATGTGCCTGTGACAACAGAGTTTCAGTTAGGGCCTATAGCAGTGCATAGAGCACCTGAGTATGCCAATAGGCTTTTGTTCCCAGCTGTGGAAGGGAGCTGAGCCCCAGTATTCCTTGATAGAGAAGCAGTTAGTAATTGTGAGATTGGGCATTCATGGGAAACAACCCCCTGGATAGGGAAGGCACAGACATCCACTTTAGCGAAGTGGGGCACCTACTTAGAGCAGCAGAGTACACTGAGTACTGGTCTCTTAGGAGTAAAATTACAATAGGTCTTGAAGCCTATAGTCCTAATGCAAGATAAAGTCATGGGGTCTGAGGCACCTCTAGACCCTGAGCCTTTACCATAAGGAAGGGCATCCTCCCATTCCTAATGAGGCATAGTATACAGGTAGGTATAGCCAGAGTACTGCTGCTGCCTGGATTGCTGCTACAGTCCAGCCTAGTACTGACACAATATGGTTTAAAACCAGGTGTAAATAAAGTAGCTAATAAGTTGAACTCAAGGCAATATGGACTGTGATCACCAAGGAGATGACACCTGTGGTAATCTGTACTAGTAGCTAGGCAATTTATCAAGGCTTAACTTTGTGGTTAATTACCTAGAAGTTACAGAATTAGCTAGTTAGTCATCGACCCATGTAGGGCCAGGCCATGTGGCCAGATCTATGAGAGGAAGAACAACCTTCTCCAACCAGGTACAGGGTTGAACAGTAATCTGTTATTGCCTGCCCCAGTACCCCTAAAGGCAGGGGAACAGAAAAACCTGGTGTTAGCCATGGACCCTCCAAGCACCTCATTGCAGATGGTTGGCTATCATAGCCCCCTGGGGGGAGGGGCTGCAGTATAACTTACATGTTACTCCTTGGGTATTTAATGTGTGGCCTCCACAATTAACCATGCATAGGGGAACGGCCAGGGAAGAGACTCTCCTCCAGAGGGCATGTGTACTGTCTGTGTGGCTTAGCATAAGCTCCCCTGTGTGTTTGGCATGGGTACAGCACCCAAAAGGACCACAGGGAGCTGATAAGGTGTGGTATCATCACCCAGGGCAAATGCCCTTGGTGGCTGCACTGTTATCGAGAGGTGAAAAGTTGGCCTGTATTTTGCCTGAGGGACATGATTTACCCCTGTTAGTACCTGTGCTTGCTTTGTCATTCCAGCCATAGGTGGCATGCTCCAACAGCATCATGTTCTGGGCCCACACCTACACTGAGGTGACCAATGTCTTCAACTGTTGTATCTGCACCACCCTTTCAGCAGCAGCTGCAGGCAGCTTGCCCTGGAACGTGCATCCAGCTTCTGTGCAGAACTGGACATGGCTAGAGACTTGGTGTTCAATAGACAATGCAATGGTGGGCTTTGGATAGGGGGACGTCCCAAAACCCATGGCAAGCCTGCCACTGGCTGACTTATAGTGTCCATGATGGATGGGGCTGGCTAACGGGAAAACATGTGGTGCCCCCATTGCAGGTACCATGATGTATAGGGGAGCACTGGGGTAAAGTCACTGAGGGATTATTGCTGAGGTTTGTGCAAACATAACACATGCCGCGAAACCAAGGGTGTGGTGGAATAAGTTGCCTTACCAAGGCTGGACCTTCATGGACTTTATGCCCCCAGGGAGTTTATGGGTCTGTGGGGACACAGGATGGCCATATCTACCAGCCAATTGGACTGGACGTTGTACCTGGGGGTGGCTTTCTGTGCCTGCCACTGTGTTTCCCACATTGCCTAGTCATCCACCTAACTGGAAGGTGCTATGTTCCTGGTTTTTACGAGTTCAGCAAGCCCCCTAGTGACTCTACCCCTAAGCGATAACTATCCCTAGAGCAGGTGTCGCTACTGTAGAAATGCAAGTTACAGCCCTTGCAGAGCACACAGTTTGGGCCCTGAATTACACCCGAGTTGCTCTCCTTTTTGTTAACTGATGAAGTCAATCAGATCAGGAAGTTGGTTCTGCAAAACCGGATGGCCTTAGACATGGTCAGAGCTGCCCAATGTGGCAGCTGTGCCCTTGTAGAGACGCAATGTTGTACATTTATTCCTGACAACCACCAGAACATAACAGCAGCCTTATAAGGGGTGTCACAGGATATTAAGGTGATTGAGTGCCTTACTGATGACCCCCTGCAGAGACGGTGGGCTTCTCTAGGCTCTGGCCTATGTTGGGCTCTAATAATCACAGGTAGCATAACAGGAACGTTAGTGGTAGTCTGTTGTTCCCTGTATTGTTGCTGTGGCCTATGGGTCCAAGGTGCTGCCCTATGTGCATGGGTCCCCACTAAGGACTCCCTTAGCCTAGGGGATAGAATGTAAGGCCTGTGTGCCAAACCTGTTTATCAAGCCTATGTGCCCCAAACTTATGTATAAAGCCCATGCCTGTGTATATTGAGTCTATGTACCCAAAGTTTATGCATATAACCTGTGTATCAAGCCCTACGTCTCCCTCAGCCCAGGGGGTGGAGTGTAAGGAACAAGGCTGTGCTTTGGTCAAGGGTAGGCCGAGGTAAACATCCAGAGTGACTCAATGAATTTAGAGCGCAGGTGTACAACTCCACTTGTTATCACAGCCATGTAGACTTAACATAGAGAAGCTCACCACCATAGCCATAACATAAGAAAGGCTCATCACCTGGCTCTAAGCCACTACTGTCTGTGAAAGGTATAATTGCCCTGTTGACACTCTATAGGTGCTGGCACCCAGAGAAAGAGAGAGTGAGTCAGAGCTGTCCATCTTTGCAGATGGACCAAGGGCAGCCAGAACATAGCTCAGCTCACTCATGCCCAGGGAGAGAAAGAGTTAAGCTGCTGACCCTGAAAGCAGGGGAGAGCCAGCTGCGCAGCTGTATGTGGGAGCCACTGGCTCAAGCAACCAAGACAGGGCAGACAGTGTGAGAAAGCTGTTGATGACAGTTGCTGCTGAATAAAATCATCTTTCACCTGTCTACGGGCCCTTGAGTTCTTTCTGCTCATCCACCCACTCCCTTCAGACCTCAACATGACATTTGGCATAGTCGTGAACCTGACAACTCTTCACATTCACTGTCACCCTTGCTTACCTCTCTCTCCATCCTCAAGCCTCTGCCATCTGGCTCCCACTCTCACCACTCCACTGAAACTTCTCTTTCTAAAGTCACCAATGACCTCATGTCCAAAACACATCACTTGACCATTTTCTAGTTTTAAAAACACTCTTTATTTTGTGCTTCTGTGATGCCACTCTCCAAATACTCAGCTCTTAACACATAGTAGTCTCTAGCACATAGTAGGGACTCAAAAATATATGTTGAATGAATGAATGAATAAAAGAATTGCTTCACTTATCTTTTTGCCACTCTCACTGTGCTGTAGATGCCTCTTTCTTGGTCCATCTCTTTGCCGCCTGTGGTTGCTCCTCAAGATGCAGTGACAGGCAATCTTCTCTTCTTATTTTACACTGTATACCTAGATGCCCTTACCCATTTGCAAGCCTTCATTTGTCCTCTGTGGGCAAACTCAAGACATCAAAACCTAAATCATGGAATGAATAGATGGATCCCAGAGGATTTTAAGAGCAGTGAAACTACTCTGCATGATACTACAAGGGTGGACACATGTTATTATAAACATAACCAAATCCATAGCATGTACAAAATCAAGACTGAACCCTAACATAAACCATAAACCTTGGGTGATGGTGATGTGTCAGTGTAAGTTCATGGATCGTAACAAATGCACTAGTCTGGTGGGGTATGTTGAGGGAAGGTGAGGCATGTGCAGAAACTAGAGATATACGGGAAAATTCCATATCTTATGCTCAATATTGCTATGAACCTAAAACTGCTCTAGAAAATCAAATCCATTGAAAAAAAAAACACTAAATCACCATCTTCCCCAATAAATACTAAAACCACTCACCAGGCTTCTTAGCCAGAAGCCTAGGAGCCACTCTCAATTGATATCATTCTTTCCACTAATAATGTTTCTACCAATAACACTGGTAGGAATGTTATTAAAGAAATCAATATTATTGGTAGAGAAGATACATGCATGTATTGGCCATCTACTAAAGTTTGTATAGTATAGACTAACTTCCCTAGGGAACTCCAGAAAGGTAAAACAAAAAGCAAGTGAAATTGCAAACTCCCACTGGAGCCAACTAGAAGAAAAAAAGTAAACTGGATTCAGATTGGAGACATTTCAGACACTGGCTGACTGGGCACAAAAGTGGCTTGTATGCCGCAGGATTAAAGATGAATCTTACATTAAGAGAGAAAAGGCATTTTGGCCTTTGTTATCAGGAGAAAACTCACTGCCCTCTGTGAGAGCTTCTCTAGGTAGAGGATGATGAACCCTTGCTAGATATGTTGCCTTTGCAATACTGGACAGAGCCTGGACACTGAATATAGACTAAAGTCTACAATGAGACCAACACAGATCCCTGCTAACAGGGATGTTGTGGAAAAGCAGGCTCTATAAAATTTTATATTAAGAGAAATGCAATGAATCAAAATGATGTTAGTAACTTTCACTAAAATATTGCATACTGACATTATATCTCTTGAAGCTATATTTCTCTGTCAATTTTTATGTTCTATATAATCTATGGCCAAATTGTATTGTTTAAAATGGAAAAAAAAAACATATATGTTCCGCCTTCTTAACTGCCAGCTTCTTATATAAGACATTTATTTTTCAGGAAAAAAAATCTCAAATGTGCTCTAGCAGTTACCTAGGAGACAAGAAAGGACAGGACATGATTTGGACATATCTGAGACTCTAACCCCCAAAATTCTAACATTTCATACCTAAATAATTAGATGATGTATGCTATATCCTTTCTCTAAGTTCATTTCACATTTAAGAATCAGGTGTTTATTAAGATTTTAGAAGCTTCTGATCACCTTGTTTGGGTAGATTTAAAAAAATAAAATGAAAAAAGTGTCAGTGGCCTCTTAATAAATTAACTGACAAAAAATAAAGCAGGAAAATACTACACAAAACAAAATGTTAATATCTTCACCGGGATTGAATAAGATTTCATTAGAAATCCACTTTACATATTCTTTACCTTCAAAGGTCATCCTATTGAATTCAAAAATTCTCTTGAAGTATCTTTTCCAGTCCTAACTCGATAGAGAAAGAAATGCAATCCCTGTGTAATGGTAGAACATAAACCTCAAAGACTCCCTTCGCTTTTTTCTAAGTAACATGGACTGGCAAGTACAAGAATGGACTAAGAACAACAGGAGTTGAAGTATCCTAATTATCTGGGGGGTGTAGGTCGACCTAAACACACCTGTGCTCTTCTTCTCATCTAACCTTACCTAAGTCACTTACATGAGGACAGAAAATGAAGCCAAGTCATCACACTTCTCAAAGAATCCAAGAAGAATTATTGGAAAGGAACACCAACAGACCACCAAATCTAGTTTCTACTATCCGGCCACTACAGGACATGACCAGGGAGTCTCTCTTTTTAGAATTCTCCAGAGAGAAATACCCATCAATTTCCCTCGGAAACTTTCAGTTTCCTGAGTCACATATAACAAATTATGACACAGGTAGGAGCTTAAAACAACAGACATTTATTCTCATAGTTTTTGAGGCCAGAAACCCAAAACCCAGATGTCATCAGGACCATACTCCCTCTGGGGGCTCTGCAGAAAAATTCCTTGTCAAGCTTCCATAGTGGTGGACACAACACTCCAATCTCTGGCTCCTGCTCACGCTGCCTCCTTTGCCTCCGTGCATGTCATCTCCCTCTGCATCTCTCACAGATGCTTGTGATTGGATTTAGGGTCCCCCAAATAATCTAGGATAATCTCCCCATCTCAAGATTCTTAATCACATCTGCAAAGACCCTTTCTGCCATATAAGGTAATACACACAGATTCCAGGAATTTGAATGTGGATATCTTTTAGGAGGAATGATTATTCAGCCTACCACAGAAACCCATGAAGTTTGTTACACTCAACCCATATAAACTTTTGGATGAGTTTGAGACAACCTGATTTAGTAGTTGGGTGGTTTATTTATTCATTCAGTTAACTGATATCTAGCCTGCACTAACTGCGCCAGATATGCTAAGCCTGGGAATACAGCTGTGCAACAGACAAACATGGTCGTGGTTTGCAGAAAATGAATTTGAACTCAAACACTTGCAATGTCATGGAAGTTGCAAATGGCAGATCCATGGTGAAGGGTCTATTTATAATTGGGAAATGAAGTAATGTGGCTTTTTTTTAAATAATATGTCATATTACTTCATTTCCCAATGAAGTAATCCCCATTTTCCCAATTAAAAATTCCACTGCTATTGAGAATGCCCAGAGGAAGGACTGGAAATGCCCAAGCAAGACAGGTAGGCAAAGAGCTCCCATGCAATGTCAAAGGTACATACATACAACCCAAGCTGGATTTCTTTCTGTCATTCCACCCCATATCTCACTAGAATATCATGCAGGGGAGAAGCTTAGGGCTAGGAGCTAGAAAAAACTGTCAGGGTCTCTCATCTTGCAGGCATCAGATCCTCTGCCTCATAGCCTGTATTTTGATAGGTTTCATTATTTTTTTCAGGTGTGGTGAAGCCAACAGATCAGGGGACAACTACCATTGAAAAGATTGTGCATTAAACTCACAGATCCCAAGAGAGGGAACGTGCATCACACCACAGGGCCACATGGGGACTCCCCAGGGTCGCTGAGAAGGCGGTGGAAGAGGTCACTGTGGGCAAGAGCCTTTATTATGGTTTCCAAGGGAAGCAACGGGAGGTAGGGCAAACAAGCTCAGGATGGGCTAGTTTAAATAATTCCAGGGGCTATCTGGTATCTGGTATGGTGATAACGGCAGGGGGATGGTGGTTCAGAGTGTGAGAGCCAGATAAGGGAGGTGGTTGGGGGTGCAGACTCTGGATTAGGTGGTTTGCCTTTGAAAAGCACACTTCAGGAGAAGGACTCCTCTTGATGTGGAGGGTGGTGATGAGGGAGGCGGGAGGCCAAGACAAGGTGACTCAGGCTGTCCAGAACAAGGCGTCGGGTATCATCACAGAGGCAGATGTTAAAGTATCAAGTTTATAGGTGCTACAGACATGGTTAAACACCACGCCTATCAGTTCAAAGGACCATGACATATATTCCTGAGAGGGCTTCAGCAATGTTAACTGCTATACAAATTCACAATATGTGTGGTTGTAAGAAGGACAAGTACCCTGCTGGCCTGAGTGCAGCTGGTCCCACGTCCGTGTTTCCTTCTGAAATTGGAAGGGAGGCAGCCTATATCCTCACCATCGCATGATCTGCTTCTGGTCAGTGCACTCCCACTTTGTCAAAGTTGTCTTGGTAACAATATTTCACCATCTCATGGGCTAACATTTAAATGATTATTATTACATAATTTCAACATTTATTTTAGATTCTGGGGGTACATGTGCAGGTTTGTTACATGGGTATATGGCATGATGCTGAAGTTTGGGAGTATAGATCCTGTCACCCAGGTACTGAGCAAAGTACCCAATAGTTAGTGTTTCAATGCATTCCCCCTCCCTCCTTCCCTGCTGTAGGAATCCCCAGTATCTGTTGTTGACAGCTTTACGTCCATGAGCACCCAGTTAGAACATGCAGCACTTTTCTGTTTCTGCGTTAGTTAGCTTAGGATTAAATATATATAAATCCCCAAAGTAATGACATCTTATTTGACTGATTACATGGCTTTTTTTCTTTTGGTGCTTTTTTTTTTCTTTTTTTTTGAGAAGGAGTCTCGCTCTGTGGCCTAGGCTGGAGTGCAGCGGCTTGATCTCGTCTGGTCTCATTGCAAGCTCCACCTCCCGGGTTCACACCATTCTCCTGCCTCAGCCTCCCAAGTAGCTGGGACTACAGGCACCTGCCACCACACCCATCTAATTTTTTGTATTTTTTTTAGTAGAGACGGGGTTTCACCGTGTTAGCCAGGATGGTCTCGATCTCCTGACCTTGTGATCTGCCTGCCTTGGCCTCCCAAAGTGCTGGGATTACAGGCGTGAGCCACCATGCCCGGCCATGGCTTTTGTTTTTAATGACGATTTGGTTTGGGGTATATTGTGAACAATATCCGTGCTCCCCTTCGTTCCAAGTTGACACAGTGCCAATGTGCACAACTCATTCCTCTTCTCTGCTAATTTGTCCTTTGGGTAATAGTGCTGTTTTTTAAGATGGTGATGTAAGTCAAAAGAAGAACCTCTCTCTGGTCTGCAGAGATAAAATAAGAAAGTGATCTGTAGCCCTGGATAATGCCAAGGAGAATATTTTTTAACATTGTTTAAAGTCCTGCTGCTGTGAAATGTCTCATGAACAGCATGATGTGAAAACTGACATCTGTCAACCCTTGGAAAGCTAACCCTGTGGAGCTCCCTTTACAGCTCAGCTGGCAGGTGTTAGAAAGGATAAATGGCACATGAAGAGAGCCTCCTCTTCAACAGAGACAGAAACATACTTTCCATTCCAACCACAGAAACATCAACCCTAATTTCTAAAGTGAAACAGCTCCAGCAAAACTCTAAACAGCTAAAGAAGGTATTATCCAATTTCCAATTGCTAGTCTCCAACCCCAGCTACTTACCACCCGGTTATACACATTCTTACACAATGAAGCATAGAATCTGAGAGCTAGGAAAGTCTTCAGTGTCCTCCAGTGTAGATGTAATTACCTCTTCATCTGAGACAAGATCACTAAACCTAGAAAATAAGAACTGGGGCCAGGCACAGTGGCTCACACCTGTAATCCCAGTACTCTGGGAGGCCGAGGCTGGTGGATCACCTGAGGTCAGGAGTTTGAGACCAGCCTGACCAATATGGTGAAACCTCATCTCTACTAAAAATACAAAAATTAGCCGGGTATGGTGGTGCACACCTGTAGTCCCAGCAACTCAGGAGGCTGAGACAGGAGAATTGCTTGAACCCAGGAGGTGGAGATTGCAGTGAGCCGAGATTGCGCCATTGTACTCCAGCCTGGGTGACAGAGCAAGACTCCATCTCAGAAAAAAAAAAAAAAAAAAGACACTAGAATGCTGTGTCTGATTCGAGGGTCACACTCACAGAGTGGCGCTGATGGACAGGCAGGAGTGGACAGGCGGGGAGGAGGCTGGCGTCCAGTGCAGGAAGGCCTAGAGGAGGGAGGAGGGGCTGAGCTGGCTCTGCTGTTCACTGCAAACTTGAACAAGTCAGCCACCTCCCTGGGCCAGGGTCCTCATAGATTAAGTTAAGATGTTGTAATTGGATGGATAAATACACAAGAAAATCACAATAATAATAATTGGATGGGTGAAATAATGTCTATGACACTGCAGGAATAGACTCTTGGCAGGGCCTGCTGAAACTGATGACCTCCCCAGCCACAAAGTCTCAGCAAGACCGTGGGCTGCTTTCCGGACTTCATTTGTCCCCTGAGCACCTATCAGAGCCCCCACTACACCCACGTGGAAAAACAAGCCATAGGCACAAACCTCCTGGAGGCCTCCACTGTGGGGAGAATCCTGATGATGTGCCTCTTGTACCTGGACCACAACTTGATCCAAAGGACCACCATCCCCACGGGGGGGTCCTTTGGCAAGCCTGCAGCCCTGTCTTCATCTGGAACATCCCAGGCCAATCCCTGCTTTATCCAGATATTCCCTGAGTTTCCTGTCCTTGTTATTTAAAAAAATGCACATCTTCCACAGTCTTCTGCCATCTTCCTAACACATCATGGTTCTGTGGCAATGACCACATGATACCTGCATCCTCCAGGTCTCTGGGAGTCTATGGGTCCCTTTGGGTCCCCTATGGGTCCACTGGGGAAAGAAGAGAGAAGATTCAATATGCAACACTAGAGCAAGCTACATCGATTTCATGTGTAAAGAAAATTAACCTCTTATGAGAATAAAAAGTGACTCAATTTAAGAAAGCCATTTCAAGCCTTCAGACAAGTTCGCTCGGAACAAAATTCTTCTGCATTGCCACAGAATCTGCAGCAGAGGCTGATGAACTCCTGGGGGTGAGACTGGAGGAAGGAAGAAGCATTGGCTGGGAGAGAATGAGGAGGAGAGGGGCCAGAGACATCCGGATAGCTTCCAAATGTTTGAGTCTTGGAGTCTGTTAGAAAAAAATGAAAAGGAAAGAAAGAAAAAGAAAGCCAATAATTAACCATAAAAACGAGCCAGTAGCCACCAAGGAGAAAACAAAGTTTGCCAAAAGAGCCGGCTGAATAGATTGTATATATCTGCTTGTCACCAGCTTTTGGAAGCAGGAGTGGTGACACAGTGCAGCCTGGAACTGCAAAGCGTGTCCCCACCAAAAGGAGAACTGACTGCCAGCAGCTTCTCATGTCCTCTTTGCCAAGAACATTGTCAAGGTCAGGGCTCAGCAATCTTTCCCACTTAAAAAATTTTAGTATACCATGTTTTTGCCAAGCCAGCATCTCTTTCCATGAAAACCCAAAAGAATGAAGTTGGCAGCACAAAACCCTGGGCCTGGACTGGCCCACCAGCCGCTAGTTTGGGTTTTTGTTAGAGAAACAATTAGTGACTTTTATGCTTGGACCTGGAGAATCCTCAACACATTTGTTTAGGCTAACAAGCTGCACACATCAGCAGTGTGCATGCTGGAGTGAGACTAGCCTGGAGCAGATGCATGGGAACCAGTCCTCCCACCCACACAGAAGGAAGGCCAGGTTGTGGGTATTTACTACTTACCAGCCCACAACTGCCCTGCACCCACCTAGTGCAGAAAGCGGTAGAGTTTGGTGGCTGAGACCAGGCGCTGGATTCATGCATTCTGCAAATAGCTATGCAGCCCCAGTGTGTGTCAGAGGCTGCACTAAGCCATGAGATTCCAGTGGGAAACAATATATGCATGGCTTCATCCCAGTGAGTTAGGGAGACAAACACTTAAAACCAATCACAAGGCTGTACTCAAGGGTTGCACGCTGCCGTGAGTGTTAGAAAGGACACACCTACAAGAGCTGCAAGGGACTTGCACATGAAAGAAGGCGAGCTACTGAGTGAGGAAAGGAGGGAGGAGGGAAACTGTCCAAGGGTAGGTGCTACCACCCCTCTGCAGAGCCTTGGAAGCTTCCTTTGCTCCTGGAACAAGAACAAGAACAGCATGTGCGTCCCATGGTGTGGCCCCAAGCTTCGGGCATGGCAGTACATGGACACTGAGCACCTGCCTTCTGAGAGTGCCAGGGGTGGGTTAGCACCAGGAAGTGCCCTTCCAACTCCAAGATCTGATGCATCAGTACACAAAGATGTTTATTCACTTTGCATACTTAACAGGCAAATCACTCTCAGCTATAAGATGCACTGAACTCTTTAAAGAAAACAAAACCAAAATTAAAAAAAAAAAAACCCTTGAGACTAAAATGCTGTTTATTTCCCTCTATCATTATGGTAAGTCATGTAGAATGGCAGGAAGCTTGAAATGGTAACCTAGAAGCAGCCCAGGACAATGAGACAGGGCATGGGCCTGGGCTTGATTTGGCCACTGGGTCTCCTGGTACCTCGGCAAGTCCCTTTGCCCTGCAGAGCCTCAGCTTCCTCTCCAAGCAAAGACAGCCGAAGGGGGTGTTCTCAGGGCCTCTGTGTGGTACTTCTCAGGCTTCTCTTTCTGAGATACGGTTTCCTCCTCAGTAAAATGGAGATAGGCCCCATGCCTTGCTCCCGGGGCTGTTGTGGGGATTAAGTCCAGGGACCCATCATGCCCCGTGACAGTACAGTTAATGCCAATAATGAAGGTGAGCTGAGAGCAGTGCTGCGACCCCACGCCAAGGACCTTCGAGATGGCAGGAGTGTGAGGCGTACAGGAACACACCTGGAGTGGGTGGACGCCCGTTCCTACAGGGCCAGCCCTGCCCAGGAGCCTGCTCCTTGTTCTTCAGTGCCCAACATAATAGAGGGAGTAAAAATCAGCCCTGTGCATGGCAAAGTAAATCAAGTGTAGTTTATCATAAGGGTAAAATGCAGACATATATATGTAGAGGCACCTAAACCAAAATAATAATAAAGGACATGATATAAAAACAAGAAAAGAAAAAACAGGCCAAGTATGGTGGCTATGTTTGTAATCCCAATACTTTGGGAGGCTGAGGCAGGTGGATCAGTTGAGGCCAGGAGTTCGAGGCCAGCCTGGCCAACATGGCAAAATCCCATCTCTACTAAAAATACAAAAATTATCCAGGCATGCACCTGTAATCCCAGCTACTTGTGAGGCTGAGGCAGGAGAATTGCTTGAACCTACAAGGGGGAGGTTGCAGTGAGCCAAGATTGCATCATTGCACTTCAGCCTGGGTGACAGAGCGGGACTCTATCTCAAAAAAAAAAAAAAAAAAAAAAAAGAAGAAAAAAAGAAAGAAAAGAAAAGAAGAAATGCACACAAGTACCCAGCATTTTTTCTCAGAAATTCAAGTTGGAATGCTATCCTCTGGCTAAAACATGAACTGGACAGCCCTCCAGACTCTAGCACACCCTTCACCAAGGCCCGTCTGCTCCTGGCTCTTGCATGGGGTGATTTCTACTTTTTTATAAGCCCGCTCTCTGTACACACTATAAATTCCTCCTCCTGGAAGCCCTCCTTGGTTCTCCCAGGCAGAGGGTATTACTTGCTTCTTTCCCCAGGGCACTTTGCTCCTATCTGTCTTACAAAAATTGACTATGATTACTTGTTGGTACTTCTGTTCAATGTGCTAGAACTTTGCAGAGGTGTGCTGAATAAACACTTAATAAATACTATTTGTTATGGGTTGGGTTGTGTCCCCACAAATCTTTATGTTGAATCCTAACCCCCAGGACCTCAGCATGTGACCTCATTTGGAATAGATATAATTAAATTAAGACAAAGTCACTAAGGTGAGCCCTAATCCAGTATGACCAGTGTCCTTATAAAAAGGGCAACTCAAACACAGCTACACTCATGGGAAGAAGCCCATGTGAAGATGAAGACAGAGATCAGGGCACTAGACCTCTACAAGCCAAGGAACATCAAAGATGTTCAGCAAACCACCAGCAGCTAATGTGTGCTGCTCATTAGCCTAAACAGGAGACGCATGGAACAGAGTCAGCCCCGGAGCCTCAGAAGGACCCAACCCTACCCACACCTTGATTGCTGGCATCCAGCCTCCAGCACTGGGAGGCAATACGCTTCTGTGGTTTAAGCTATGCAGTTTATGGTACTTTGTTATGACAGCCCCAGTAAACCAATACACTTAATAAGCAAACTGGATCAGTATGGGAGTCTTAAGGGCTCTTTTTTTCCAACTCACAAATGAAAAAAGATAAATTCTGAAAGATTTTTTTAAGACTTTCAGGCTCTATCCATGCAATAATTTTTGCTCTAAATATTTAGGGAAACACTTGTGCATGGCAAATGTGCCATTTGCATAAGTACATATTTTTATAAGAGCATGAATACTGTTTGCGCAAGAATGCATCCGTACCTCCACAGTATGCATGAGGCATCTCAGAACAGGAAGAACAAGGACCCAGGAGCCAAATGACTCAGGCTGGTTCTGCAAAGATGTCCCTGAGAGCTTACTGGTTGTCACTGGGGCACTTCCACCTGGGTCTCCATGTAGTTTCTCCACGTGGCATGGTGCCCCCAGTATAGAGCTCTACTCTAAGAGAGAGGTACTGCAGGGCCTCTTATGACCTAGTCTCAGGAGGCACCTGACATCACCTCCACTATATTCTTTTTTGTTTGTTTGTTTGTTTGTTTGTTTTGAGAGGAATCTCGCTCTCTCCCACAGGCTGGAGTGCAGTGGTGCAATCTGGGCTCACTGCAAGCTCCGCCTCCCAGGTTCACGCCATTCTCCTGCCTCAGCCTCCCAAGTAGCTGGGACTACAGGCGCCCACCACCATGCCCGGCTAATTTTTTGTATTTTTAGTAGAGATGGGGTTTCACCGTGTTAGCCAGGATGGTCTCGATCTCCTGACCTCGTGGTCTGCCCGCCTCGGCCTCCCAAAGTGCTGGAATTACAGGCATGAGCCACCACACCCGGCCTCCTCCACTATATTCTAATAGTCAATGTGGTGGAGATGATAGCCCAGATTCAACAGTCTGCCCTGCCTGAGAAGACCCAGCCTCAGCTTCCAAAAATGGAAGGTGTTGATTGATTGTGGCCATTTCAGAGAATATCTGACACACACTGTCATCCTGTTTCCTTCCCTGTTGATAGGGGAAACTTTGAGAATTAAATAAATTAACAAAAAGGAAGGTCATTACTAAGTATTGGTAAAGACACTGTCGTACTTTCTCCTCTGGTGTCTCTTTCTCCTCAGTGTCATTTGTGCTTTCTCCACATCCCTCTGGCTTAGTGATTGCTTCTCCTCCCTCCTCTAAATGCTTGCAGGAAGAGACTATCCACTTCTGCAGATGAAGAATCAGTTCCACAGAGCTGCTTTCTCAGACTGTGTCTCCTTCCCCAACTCCTGCTAAAGTTCCAACTCACCTGTCCAAAGGCTAGATGTTCTGAGGCCTCCACACCTGCGTCTCACCATCCCACCACACTACATCCCACCATCCCACCACAACATTTCACTATCCCACCACACCTACATCTCCCCATCTCACCACAGCTACATCTCACCATCCCAACACACCTACATCTCACCATCCCACCACACCTATGTCTCACTGTCCCACCACATCTCTGTCTCCTGGGGTCTTTCTGTTTCACCTACTTCTCACCAATGACTCCATCCTTTCTTTATCACTCCCACCGTCACCTCCCTGTGAAATCTCCCTATCTCTCTTCTGGGTGTGTGCAGCACCTTTCAAATCTATCTTTCACCTTAATCCCAGAATGATCTTTCAGAAGTAAAATCTGATGAGTCTTACACCTCTGTTTAAAATCTTTGGATGGCTAGCCATTGCCTAGAAGATACCATCCGAGCTTGACATATTTAGGAACATCTGAGCTCTTCCCAACTCACCAGTATCTCTGTCCTCATTCTTGATTACTCTCTTTTCAAAGATTCAGCTTCGAGGAGCTAGCATGGCTCCAGAACCTCAGGCCTCACCTCCATGTAAGATGGACCGCTCCTAATTACACAACATTAATACATATCAATTTCCACTGCCACATTCTCAGCCTTATGTCAACAGAGGCCATGATGTTGCTCACATTTGTATCCTCAAGGTGTACAACAGTACCTCTTGCATAGCAATCACCCAACAAATATTAATTAAATGAGGAAAGGAAATCAATTCTTTGTTCCTGGGCCCTGAAAGAGGAGGAAAGTAATATCTTTTGGAAAAGGATCAGGAACAGAAAAGATCATATCTATTTTATGACGGTCTCTATAAACTCTAACTTATGTTTCAATAAAATTCAACACAAATAATAGCACTTTATTAATCCTGTGCAAGGCAATTAGTAATTTTACCATATTTGGCCTAGGAATAGTCAAGGTCCCACTGCTGCTTCCTGACTTAGTACCATATGGTCCTTGATTAAGGTAAGATAAATAAACCTCCCCCAACACACCAGGTATTCCAGACCATAATTACTGAGGCACTTTGCAAAGAGTATCAGGATTTTCAGTTTGCTGGGGCATTTAGTCCTTTGATAGTGCTTAGTGTTTCTCAGTCCCAACATCTGCTACTTCCAAAAGACACTGACGTTCTTTGGGATTCGTCTGTGAACTAAGACAACCTAGTTTATCATGTACAAACAACCAAGAGCAGCTTGGTCTTTTAAACCTGAAGCACTGGCTGAATTCACTCTGTTCAAGTCAACCTCAGAGTTGACTTTAATTTAGATTGTGCAGAGACCATGTATTGACCAACTAAGTGTTCCCTTAGGTATGACTCACCCAGGTGACATTATTTAAATTTGGAGCTGCCTACAGCTGATTATGATGAATTGAACTGAGCTTATGAAACAGGAAAAAAAAATGAGAATGTAAAAGCAAATCAAAGGTGCTTCTTAGGAAAGGCAGGAGCATGGATTCTACAAATGAGTATTTAGGCACAGAATGGATAGTTATTTAATTCCAAGACTTCACGTTGGCTTGCCAAAGACAGTCAGCGAGTGGAACATGCAGCTCCTCAGTCTTGGTGTGACTCAACAGCAGCTAGATTGACCAGAAGGCTGTCATGTTCAGACCAAAGAATCAATCACAGTCACACAGCGATTCTTTAAAGACCTGCACATGCCTCTAGTCATATAAAAAAGGAAAAAGAAAAAGAAAATAAAGTTGAAAGAGCTTATCCGAAAATTGTGTTTGGAGAGCATATTTTTTAAATGAAAAAGGCCCATCCTATTCCAAGTTCTGAGGACCTGGACTACACACAGTAACCAGCTGATAAAACAGCTCCGCATCATGGAGGTGAGCAGGACGGCGTGGGGGCAGATCCTGGCTCAGTGGAGCACCCCCATACGGTCAGGGCATGAGGCTGAAGTAGCCACGTGTGCAAAGACCCAACTGGTGGAAACCCCACTGAGGCAAGTGTGGGAGGGCTTGAGTGAAGTGGTGGCTGGCACTGAAGGTCAGCAGAGCCCCCAGTAGAAAGGAGCTGGGTTTAGAGGATTTCTTCTGTCCAGCAGGCTGCTAGCTGTGGCTGTGCTGTGGGAAAGAGCAGCAAGCCAGCCCTGCTTCGGGGGAAGCAGCCAGACCCAGGCTGGGCTCGGGAGAGTCTTAGAAGGAGGCTGGGAATCGTGGTGTGCTGGGGAGTGTGGAGTCCCTTGGATGGCTGAACCAATTTGCTAACTTCAATCAAATGGCACCTCTTGATGATGCCTTCCAAAATAAAATCCTCATCCCTGGCTACTTCCCTGAATTTCAGACTCACAGGCACAAATGCCAGCTCCATGTTGCCACTGGGATGTCTCATCCTCACATACACCATGACATGTCTAAAAGAGAACACTGGGTTTCCCGCCCCACCTCCCACTGCTCCAACCCCAGCTTCCCATTCCAGTGAATGGCTTCACCTCCACCCAAGTGCTGTGCTGAGAGGCACCCTTGGTTCCTCTCTTCCCCTCTCCCACCCCCAAGCATCCAGTAGCAAGTGCCGTCTGCTCCACCTGCACCATGTACCTCAAATCTGCCCACCTTTCTCTACTCTCTGCCACTGTCATGGGGATCCAAGCCACCGTCATCTCTGGAAGGGACTGACCACCACCGTAGCCTCTTAACCTCCCTTGCTTCTACCTCTGCCTCCCAATCTGTCCTTGAATAGAAAATCAAAGCAATATAATTTGCATTTTTACAAATGCAAATCAGGCCCCACATCTCTCCCCTGCCACAACCCACCACTAGCTCTCTTGGGCCAAGAGAACAAAATCCCACAGCCCACAAGGCACCTGCTGACCTGCCAGACTTGGCCCCCAACGTCCCACCTTCCTCTGCCCCCAGGCTGTGCTGAACAGCCTGTCCCACCCACGCCTGCCCCAAAGCCCAAGGTCTAAATACATGTGCCATGTTTCTGGAATGGTCTCCTAGATCTAGGGTTCTCAAACCAGCAGCAGCAACACCTCCTGGGAGCCTGTCGACAACGCAACACGCTGAGGCCTCACCCCAGACCTACTGAGTCAGAAACTGCGCAGTGAGCCCAGTCATCTCACAACACCCTCTGTGCAACATGGTCCCAGGTGAGCACAGGCTAGCTCCTCCTAGAGAGAGGCCTCACTGGCCATGCTGTCTTTACCTTGTCCCTCCTCTCTCTCTCTACTTCCCTCTCTCTGCCTCTCTACCTTCCTCTCTGTCTCTTGTCTCTCTCTCTCTCCCCTGTCCTCCCACCTGGCTGTTTCCTTTGATTCAGAGCCATTACTCTGCCACTGTTTTACCTGCTTTTCCCCCCTTCTTATTGTCATGCCACCCTCCATCTGGAATGCAGGCTTTTTAAAAGCAAGGCCTCTGTCTATACTGCTCCTCCTAGCTGCCCACCTACCTAGAAGAGCTCAGTAGGAATGTAATATGTGCAATCAAGGAAGCAGGTTCTGAACGGTGCTGAGCACAGAAATCATGGGTTCCTGTTAACATGCACATTCTGCTTCAATACGTCAGTGGGACCTAGAAGAGCCAGGCTGTGTTCACCTACAGCAAACTCAAATGTACATCAGAATCACCCAGAGGTTCAAACGCAACAGCTGGATCCACCCTAGAGTTTCTGACACAGTAAGTCCAGGGTAGGACCTAGTGTGATGCATTGCTAAGGAGCTCCCAGGTGAGGCTGGCATTGCTGGCACTTGGACCACAGTGTGAATATTAAGGCATTACATTCTAGCCTAAAGGGGTGGGGAAGGGGTGGGAAAGGACACTAAGGGGTTACACAGACTTCCAGCGCCCACACCTGGCATTGCAGCATAGCATCTGGTTACGGCAAGACCTCGTCCCAAACCTCACCAGGCAAAGGGCTGGCATCCCTCCATCTCCTTGGAAAGAACCATGCACACCACACCTAGCCCCAGCAATGGGACCCTCAGTGACTTGGAGACTACGAGACAGCATAGCCACATGAGCATGGGACACACACTTGGAGGTGCGCGTGTGTGCATGCCAGCGGCCTGCTGAGTTGGGAATGGGCTGAAAGGACATTTTCTATCATGTTAAAATGCCTTGTCCATAGGTAAAGGGAAGCCTTGGAAAGATTGTAAGCATCAGAGATGATAGGGTCAGACCTGGGTTTTAAAAAATCACTTCAACGAACAATACGTAAGGAGGGGAAAGCAAGTGCAGACCCTCAGATGAATCTTTATTCAAACCTCGTGCATCTGTTTTGGAAGTCTAGATTTTTATTCCTTGAGTTTGTTTGAAGCTGGATGCAATTGGCATTACATTCTAATCTGATATAACAAAGAAAGGAGCTCAACGCCTCAATATTTGTTTCATCTCTGCTGCTAGAAAATGTCATTACGAAAATAGCAGCATCTGTTGGGAGTCCATGGGCACATCACAGATATGCAAGCATGTCCTCTAAAATGGTCTCATCACAAAATATTGACTTTATTTAAGGCTTTAACAAGCAACAGAGCTCGCTGAAACAGGCCGCAGGAAACAGGCTGCAGGCAACGAGACCACAGATCCCCAGGACAAAGTGCTTTCTTTGGGTTTTTTCTTAGTTCTTTGTAAAATGTAGAAAATTCTTTTTTGAGGGGAATTAAAAGCATACAACAAATGTCAGCCAAACTTCACAAGGGCCTAACTATGCAAAAACAGAAGAAAAACTGAAAAAGAGAAGGATGGAAAGAACAATAGCTTATGCTCTTACAACCACCAGCACAGGCCAGGCGCGGTGGCTCACGCCTGTAATCCCAGAACTTTGAGAGGCCGAGGTAGGTGGATTGCTTGAGTCCAGGAGTTGGAGGCCAGCCTGGGCAATGTGGTTAAACCCTGTCTCTACAAAAAAATACCAAAGGAAAAAAAATTAGCCAGGAGTGGTGGTGCATGCCTGTAGTTCTACCCGCTCAGGAAGCTGCAGTGGGAGGATCGATTGAGCCCAGGATGGGGAGGCTGCAGTGAGCCATGATTGCACCACTGCACTCCAGCCTGGTTGACAGAGCTGTCAAGAAAACAAACACACAGGCACTTATTATAAATCCAACCATAAATAGGTTTATGTAATTTTTAACAATTTATTTCAGGAGGCTCCCAAGTCCTTTCTGTTTTCAATATCATGATTAGCCTACATTGTGTCAATTTATTTTGTTCTTTCCTGGGTAAGCCCAGAGCCCCATGAAAGAGGACAGCTTTGATTCTGGTTGGCTGCTGGAGCTGCTCCTTAGTGAGGCAATGTCACCCACAAAACAAGTGTGTAGAGTGATGTCTACCTAACAGCATTGTTTGGACATTTTTATAGAATCATCTATTTACACATTATTTTTGTAAAATGTGCAAACAAATAGAACTCCAGCTTATGTTTTAATGATAGAATAGCACTGAACAAGTTGGATGCTATTTGCTGACCCAGAACTAGGCACTGACCTAGGGCATGGCTGGTAGCTTTTATTCCTATATCCCCAGCCTCTAGCATATGGCTGGGCACACAGCAGGCACCCAATAAACACTTGATGAGGAGATGAAGGAATTTTTCTTACAATGTCTCAGATTCTTCTTTTTTTTTTCTTTAAAGATGGGGTCTCACTCTGTTGCCCAGGCTGCAGTGCAGTGGCGCATCACAGCTCACTGTAACCTGGAACTCCTGGGCTCAAAGGATCCTGACACCTCACCTTCCCAAGTAGCTGAGACTACAGGTGCGGCCACCATGACCTCAGACACATCATTGCAAAATAACTTATAAATCATGCTCCAGACCTATTATACTCAAGAATTCTGGAATTATGTTTCACCATATCAACTCATATATTTCAATGTTTATAAGTGTCTTATTAAAGTGTCTAAGCTTATGTGTGGCAAATACACAGACACAAACTAAAGTACAGCCTTTTAAATGTGTTTTTCTGTTCTAGCTTGACACTAATCGAACGGGCTTTTTAAATGAGCATTCTTATTATCCCAAAATTTCATTTGAATATTTTGTAATGACTGTCTCATTTATGTTTCAACTCATTCAACCTCTTCCTGACATTTCCATTAAAATCAATGTAGCTTCTCCCTTTCTTTCTCTACAGATAGAACATATACTTATAACTCAAAGAGATATCATCAAGCTAGATTTATTTAGAACCTACTGGATCTCACCCAGGTGTTCCTCTCTCAACATCAGCACAGTAAATACAAATCATATGTAGCATTTCCTAACCATGTACTGCAGAGACAGATATGGATATCTCAGATCTGCCTGTATCAATTCTCTCTCATTCATTGTTATTCATTAGAAATCTAGGTTTTCCTGCAAATTAAAACAACTGGTCCCAAGGTTAGCTTTTCTCTTCTCTATTCAGATAAATAGAAACAGTGGTTTTCCAAACTAGAGGCAAACTTTAGAGGCCCTTCTAATAAACCAGACATTGTGATAACAAAACCCCTAATCCTTAGGGCTCTCGTGGTGGTGATGACAGCAAGGCACTTAGAAATAGACAAGGCACTATATAAATGTACATTGCAAGAAGCTGATTCTTCTGGGCTGCCCCCTGGAATGCTTTCCTTGTTGGTTTACTTGGCTGTCTTCTCATCATTTCAACATCTGCTTAAATGTTAGACCCAGAGAGTTCTTCTACTTTGGCCTCCAATCTAAGACATGGTACTCCCTCCTTGAATTCTCTTCACTTTCTGGGTCATTCTTCTACTCTGACCTCCAATGTAAGATGTGGTCCTCCCTCCTTGAATTCTCTTCGCTGTTTGGGTCATTCTTCTACCCTGACCTCCAATCTAAGATGTGATACTCCCTCCTTGAATTCCCTGCACTGTTTGGGTCACTGTCTGATATTTTACTTCTCTATCAGTTTCCAGTTGCTGCTGGGCTTCCCCACAGGAAGATCAGCAGGGCGTGGTCCGTTTCCTTTACCACTCAAACCCCAGATCCAGAGAGAATGCCGAGAACTCTGAAGCTCCCCATAGATAATTGCTGGGTGATTGCAGAAGTCTACCAAAAAGCTGATATTTTAAAGATTTCTTTATTACTAGGGCTCATGACTCCCTGGGCTTATTGATTTTTCAATAAATATTTGTTGAGTACCTGGCCTGTAAGAACTATTCTGCATATTAACAATCCATTAGTAACAAACTAGAAAACCAAAACCCCTACTCCCATAGAGCTTGTATTGTAGTGCAGAGAGGCAGATGATAAGTCAACACAGCAGGTAAATGCAGGTTGTTAGAAGATCTGGAAGAACAAGGTCGGGGTGCTGAGAGAGAGAATGAATGTCCATTTTAGATGTTCTGCTTATTTTAAGTCTTGCTTTTAACTTTCCAAAGAATCTTCAAAATGATCTCGTTTCGACCTCCCCATAACCCTGTGCATATACATTCATGAAGACTAGAATAGTTCTAAGTCTTAGCATCCCTTGTGCAGTTTCTTCTCTGTGCCTTTAGCCAATTCGACAGATTTGGTGGAAAACTCTGTCAGGGCCTCAGTTGCTTCACCGGTAAAATGAGAGGGTGAAACTAGACTCTAAAATTCTTTCCAGCCCTAGAAATATTATAATGACAATGTTAAACTTTGCTTGAGCCCTTGATCCTGGGAAACAGAAAATGTCAAGAAATCCCACCCCACCTCCACCTCCCACACCTAACCCCACCTCCCACCCTCCACTTCCCACCCCCCACCCATCTCCTACCCCCAACACCCCCCACCACTCACCCTCCACCCCACCACCCACTTCCCACCCCTCACCCCACCCACCACCCATCCCACCACCACCCACCACCACCACCACCCATCACCCATCACTACCACCCACCCCACCACCCACTTTAGCCCAGGAGTTCAAGACCAGCTTGGGCAACATAATGAGACCCCCTCTCTACAAAAAATTTATAAACTTTCTAGGTGTGGTGGTGCACACCTGTAGTCAGTCCCAGTTCCTCAGGAGTCTGAGGCAGGAGGATCGCTGAAGCCCAGGAGTTTGAGGCTGCTATGATCATGCCACTGTACTCCAGCCTGTGTGCAGAGTGAGACTCTGTCTCTAAAAAAAGAGAGAAAAATTCTTGCCTAACTCTAGAGGTTCTCAGAGATCTTAAGTGTAGAGCACTCTCCCTATTGCAATAGTCCCCTGCCCCAGCAATGGTTCCCTTCCCCCAACTTGCAATAATACTTTCAAATACTTTCTCCGAAGTTTTGATTTGCTTTTTATTGGACAATAACTTGGATACAACTGAGCTAATTTATGATTACTCACAACCAGTCACATTCAAAACAGCAGCCTACCATCTGAAAAAGGCCTGAAAAGTATCTTAAATGTTGATGGAAGTCTCCTAAAGAAGCACCATACCAGGCATGCAGACTAAGTTACACAGAGGTAACAAATGGCCTTCAACTTTGATTTTGGCTAACTTAATGTGTGGATTTTAGAATCTAAATAAGAAGACATGATGCCTCTGTCAATAAACTGAAATTTCTATCTGCTTGTCTATCACTACAGGACACAAAACAGCCAGATGGGGTTTTCTGCATTTTGTTCTAAAGAATTTGGAGGGTTCCTTGATGTCAGGGTGAGTGTGAGAGAGGCATCAGAAGGAGACATTATCTTCCAAAGCTGTAGAACCCAGCACAAGAAGAGGCTCCTGTCTTCCAATTAGGAGGAATGGGAGTATGTGTCAAGATATAATAGCCAAGGACAAGCTGCAGTGGCTTTCAATTCAAACCTCAAATCAAAAGTCACCCAAGCTGCAGGTGTTGGTGCTGTTACCATGGTAACTACACTGTAACGCACTGCACTTCCTCAGTTTGTTGATGTGTGGGCAGCTGATGACCCTCCCAGGCACCCAGATAGGACAGATGCCACAGCAGTGTCCCACTGGGGTCACCAAATGCTGCTGAATACCTACAAGTGAACATTTGTGTTGAAATTCACAGCTTATAAATCATCTCATGGGATGATTTGTGATCTAAAGATCTATGAAATCAGGGATTTTTTCTCTTTTTTCAATTTTTTATACCCTGTGCCTAGAATAGAAACAAAGGTGTTGTTGGTGGGTCCACAAATATGTGTTGAAAGAATTCTCACAACAATCCTTTGAGATAGTGCCCCTATTTTTAAGTTTGGAAGCTGGAGGTTTAGGGAACAAATGCAGCTTGTCCAAGGTGATTGTAACAGAGGGTGACACTTCTGAAGGAATGTTAGTAGTGTCACTTTCGGTCATATGGAACTTGAGATACCTGGGACATATCCAGTTTCAGGTGTCAGCCTCTCCCGTATCCAGAAGAGATTTTTTTCCCCCATCAACTCCTAAAATACTTTTTGATGCCATGTCCCCATTTCAGGCAATTGTCACACACTGCCTGGTTTCACAATGGTCTCTGTGTAGATCATACTCTTCTAACTGGCTCATGGGTGTGGGTACAAGCGGATCATCTTCATTCTTAAGCCTTAGTAGTCTGGCTTCACTAGGGACCAGGACGTCTGTGAGTTTTATTATCAGTAAAAATTAAGGGTGTGGGTGAAAATGAAAACATCTCCATCACTGAGACCAGAAAAGGATTCTCATTTGCCACTCGACAGCTTTACCAGGACATGCTGCATGAGAAGACAGCTAGGAAGGTCAATGCCATTTGCGTAACTGGCTTTTGACAACTCAGCTATGGCTAGGACTGCCAGTAAAGCTCAGCACCAGAAATGCTGCTTCATGCCTGCTGCCACATTTTTACTCTGAAGCAAGTCAAGACAAGGCTGGTTGGGTCAGGAAAGTTTCAACATCCCTACAAGCCAATGAAACACCCAAACTTAACAGCACTTTACTGCATAAGCTCCAGCACCCTACAGTTCCTGCCCCATTTTTGTGGTTGGGAGCACCTCCTTTCCGGGGACAGCCATCAACCTGGAGCACCTCCAAAGGGGTGGCTCTCTGCCTTTTGACTTAAGCTTCTTCACGTAATTCTCACACTATCCATCGTGAGATCCATGAAAACAGGGACTTTATCTCCACACCTCCAACCTGTAGAACAGTGCCAAGGATGTGCTCAATAAATGTATTTTGAGGGAATTTACATGAGTGAATTTGCTTCATCAGCCTTCAGCACTCTGGCTCTGCATGGAACTGTCCACTGTGTGTAACACCTCCACTCTCGATTTTACTCCATGATGTCACTATTCCACAACACCTTAGACAATTATCTCTCAGGACACGGAGCTGTATTGGATGATTGGAATCTACCCCTCCATTTCAGCAGTTCTTGCTCCATTGTCATAATCTGGAGCACCTCCTTCCAGGGACAATCAACCTGGAGCACCTCCAAAGGGGTGGCCAAGCTTTGAAACTGTCATTGACAAAAAATGGTAACAATTCTGGGGAGTAGAGAAACAGAAATCAGCAGATCCTCATTATTGACAGCATGCAAAATTGGGAAACTCTATCTGCTACATATTGATTTGAAGCAGCCCAACTCATCTCGATGGAGCCACAGGGGAATTGTTGCCCTAAATCCTGTCAACACCAATGCTTGGTCAGGATGGGAACACATGCTGCAGATAAGCTAATGTCACCATGGCTTTGGGGCTTCCCACACCTGGAAAACACTTGACAGAATTCTCTAAAAATTGAAAACTTCTCTAAAAATTCTCTAAAAGTCAAAAAATGACAGAATTCTCTGTCACAAGATTTTAAAGTAAAATTTTCCTAAAGTTTAGCACAGATATCAGAAACAAAAGTGTCACGGGGTTTTAGGGGAAGCAGCAGGTCCATGGAGCTCCCTGTTCTTTCATTCCTATTATTAACACATTGAGTCTTGATGTCTTATGCTACGTTATTCAGTGCAGCACTGCCCAGATCCCCATGTCCTTACAGGAACATGCGTGCCTCGCTGAGGGCCTGTCTGAGCTCCAGGAGCTCCCTGGTGAGAGACTGATTATGCAGATCATTCTTCTCAGCTCTGTGGAAACTTCAGCCTGGAGCCAATTTGAACCTGTTCTCATCTGTCACAGACTGTGCCTGTTGGAGGACACAGAGAAGAGGGCAGTTGGGAGAAAGAAATGTTTGCACCTCGGCTTGTGAAGTGCTCCAAAGTCATCAATCCTGCTGATACTTGGTCTATCAAAATGCTCACACTTTTGGCTTGACAATTCTCCATCCAGGATTCTAGACTTGCATAATGACACAAATGTGCAAGATGTACATTAAGTTTTATTTAAAACAGAAAAAAAAATAGAGACAACCTAAATGTTGGTTGTCATGGGGATGGTTAAATAAATGATGATATGCTCACATTATGCTATACCATGCAGCCATTAATGTTTATGCTACAATATTGAGGGGTTTTTTCTTTAAAAAAGGAAACATACTGCATATTCTGTGAGAGGAAAGTCTTGGCATATAAGTGTATGTTTGAACAGACGAAGCAGTTCATTGTGGTTTCCTCAAGGGAGTGAAAAAATGGGGATGAAGTTAAAACAGACAACTTTTGCCTTTTACTTTAAATACATCTTTATTGTCTGAATTTTTTACATAAGAATATATCATTTTATAAATTAAAATAAAATTTCAAACTAAGTGGTAAGAGTTTTAAAATCTCTAAACTGTATAGATGATAGAGAGAGAAAGATCTAGATTGGTCCATAGTTATATCTAAGATACATTTACTGAAAGTTGACACTATAGGATTTGGCTGACATGACAAGAAGAACATGAAGAAAATTATCCTTTTAGGATTAAAAGAAAAAAGCAACTAATTTCGAATCATCTAGGTAAAGTGAATTAATATACCTTGATGGAAGTCCACACCAATTTCAAATTGGCTGGTACTTCATCTGCCCTCTCTTCTTTGCTAATTGGCAATTTGCTAAGGATGAACAAGACACAAGATGCCTTTTATCAGCAGGAAATTTCACCTACCCTTTTCAGGAACTGCCTCAAATAAGGTTTCAACCAATTTAGCACTGCCCTCAAAGAAGCCTGAAGCTGGGAGATCTGAGGTTTTTGGACACACCAACAAATACAAAAGGAGAGAAATGGTCTCCAGTCACAGAACCCCGCCTTCATTCAAGATCAAGTCTGAGCTGGCAAACTTAATGGTTGGAACCTCAGGCCAAAGCTTTTATCACAACAGAACTTTGTTCTTACCATGTCTAGCCTAATTCCTCGGAGACTCTGTTTCCACAGACCAGGAAAACAGCACTTGGTTTTGGGGCTTTTCTTTTAGAAATGAAATAATACAGAATCAGAACAAAACTTCAGATGACATATAATGGTGTAAAGAGGGAAGCACCTGCAAAACTCCCAGAAGATAAAAATAAGCCATTACTGTTTGATATATATACTTTTTCATATTTCCTGTGCAAAATATGGCCATGTAAATATATAACTTATGTCCATAAGAGACTTTTACAAAATAATTATAGTATTCACTAGCCTGCTTTCTTTTCAATAATGCTATGTCCCAGATACTTTTTACGTTTATCAGTCTGTAAATATAATTTACACCATCATTTTTACCAGCCACATGGTATTTGTGTGTATACATAAACTATCATTTATTTAACCCATTCTCCATGGATTTACTACTTTTAACGGCAAAGACCACAATTACTTTAGTACCAACATAATACATTTAGGATTTTCCTGCTTGCGATTTACTATACTGTAATAAACATCCTTGCACTTTTTTTTTTTTTTTTTTGAGACAGAGTCTCACTCTGTCACCCAGGCGGGAGTGCAGTGGTGCGATCTCTCAGCTTACTGCAACTTCTGCCTCCCGGGTTCAAGCGATTCTCATGCCTCAGCCTCTCTAGTAGCTGGGATTACAGGCATGCAATACCATGCCCGGCTAATTTTTGTAGTTTTAGGAGAGAGGGGGTTTCACCATGTTGGCTAGGCTGGTCTCAAACTCCTGACCTCAAATGATCCAACACCTAGGCCTCCCAAAGTGCTGGGGTTACAGGCATGGGCCACCGCTCCCAACTCAGTAATTACTTTCTGTTATATTCATGGGAGTAGAATTGCAAGGTATATTCTGCACTTTAGTGCACACCAAACTGCCTTCAGAAAAGATGTACCTGTTTACACTTTCATCATTTTATCTGTTTTATATGTTTTCAGACACTTTATCCTGCAACTTTGACTACTTAACGGTGGGTTCCAATAGTAAAAATAGTAACATATGCTTTGTGGTCATGTTAGCACTGATTAATTAGTAAACCTTCCACGTTTTCCAGTCAGTATCAACGTGGTCTTCCGTTTATTTTCCTAATCTCACTTTTCGTAACCTCCCTTTCTCTTCTTGTCTCACTTCCTTACATTTCTTCTGAACCTCCGTATACCTGTCTCATTAAATTTAATGATTAAACTTTTTAATTACAATTGTAAAAGTATCTCTAATCAATTAATACATCTCAACCAAAGATAAAAATATGGAACTCTTATAAACTATTGACTAACCAATGAGAAGAGCACTGTATTGAGAGAGTGAAGAATGATACGTGGCAGTATAAAATGATTTCAGTGATAAAGTTTTTAGCTTATGAATAAAAAGAAAAATGCTAGTTTGTGTTGCAAATAAAATAAGCTGGGAAATGTTTGGATGTTTTGAAATTTAGAAAGAGAATGAGTTAGGGCATGGTGGCTTCCAGAAGGAGAAATAAGAGTGAAATGTATGATGTTACTTCTATTTTATATTATGTGAAATATGATATACTCATCTCAGTGTGGTATACATGGCTGATAAGAGCTTAAACTGTTACATTTGTGAAGTTATTTGGGCTTTTGCAGAGTACACTGTCTAGGAAATGACTCATATGGAGGACAGCTGAACTCCTTCAATGGCCTAAAATCGCCTCACGCACAAAGCAGTGGGCTACATACAGCACAATTGTAGTCCACTCACTATATACTCAAAAGTCCTGTAATTCACCATCCATCACATTTATGGGGCCTGAGAAATGTGCCCGTAACTCTAAAAATCACACTCGGTAATTCCAAGGACAGTGGTGCCAGCAGCTTGGAGCCATCGATGCTTCCAGGACACTGGTCCGTGGTCCTTGATCATCCCACAGTTCTTGGCATGACTCAAGGATGTATTGACATAAGTCAGAACCAGTCATTCACCCTAAAAGCTAGGCTGCCTGGAACATTACTCACAAATTCCTTTCCCAAGATTCCCAACAGACAGCCAGCAGAGGAAGGGAGAAGATACATCAGGGAGAGGTGAGGACACAGGGAACGAACATACTTTGTGTGCTAACTCAGGTCCTCAGAGAAGTGGATGGCACGGTGCGATTAACCATGCACGGCGCATGTGGGCGGAAACGGCTGTGAAGGGGAAAGGAGGGGCAGCCGTGGGCAGGGAAAGCCTGCAGACAGCTAGCTGGTCTAAGGCCGGCGCAAGGAGCGGGGGCAGGAAGGAGAATGGGGAGAATGCGCTCAGACCAAAAGCACAGTTCTCAGCCTCAGCAGAGCCACAGTGGAGTCTCTGAGAAGTTTGCCTCTTAGAGGAGCCCAGCTTCCCCACTGCAGGTAGAAATGGGCCTCCTCCAGAACCCCGCTACCTTGCCACTGACTGGGAGCCGCCCAAGGGAGCAGTGGGCCTGGAGGCGCAGACACCGGGAGCTGCCAGCCAACTGTGCTCCCCTGTAGGGTCTCTTGGAGGGAGATGTGATGGGTGCATGTCACAGCTGCCACCCCATGTGTAAGTAATAAGAAGAACTTTGATGCGATGGGAGTATCTCCATAGAGACAGAGGGAGATAAGGTGAAAAGAAATATGTCTGCCCAATTGCAAAGTCTTGCAAGTCCCACTAGAGATTGGGCATTCACCCACTATCAGAGGCTCCAAGAAAACAGGGTCTTATGTGCAAATTCATTTCAGAAACACATTTTATAAGATTTCCTGCCTGGAGATTCATACAGCAGAGTAGCATATTAAAGTCTCTGAAACATCTTGCAGTAAAGAAACCTATTTAACTTTTTTAAACTCAGTATATTCCAGACCCACCTAACCAGATACTCACAGAATTCTGGCAGAAGATGCTTTAGCAACCTTGTGCTGTAGACCACATGATCCCAGCAAGGTTTCCCATTAGGGACACAATTGAAGTTCTGCCCCTCGGGTGGCAGCCTCCAGAAATAAATTGAGAGATGAATATATTAGAAGCAAAAACAACTGCAAAGGCCCAGCAATCAATTAAAAGGGCCTGAACTGGGTGAGAAGCTGTAACAAAGTGCCACAGGCTGAGCGGCCTAAGCAACAGAAATGTACTTTCCTGCGGTTCTGGAGGCCAGAAGTACAAGGCCAAGGTGTCGGCAGGGTTGGTTCCTTCTGAGGGTTGTGACAGAAGGGCTGTGCCTGGCATCTCCGTCTGGATTGGAGACAGTTGCCTTCTTCTCGTCTTCACATGGTCTTTTCTCTGTGTGCTCACATACCTAGTGTCTCTCCCTGTAAGTCCTAATCTCCTCTTCTCATAAAAACACCAGTCAGAGTACCTTAGGGCCCACCCTAATGACCCTGCTTTAACTTAACTACCTCTGTAAGGACCCTATGTCGAGATACAGCCACATTCTAAGGTGTGGAGGGTGAGGCTGGCAGCATATAAGCTTGGTGGGGTGGAGGGCACAGTTCAGCCCACAGCAGTGCAGTGGAGATCGCTGCAGCCCGGGAACACCTGCCTCTGCTCCCTCTCCTGATCTGTGGATGACTACGCTGCCCAGCACCCCTGCAAGTAGGAGGGATGATGTGACTTGTTCTGACCACAAGGCTGTGAGCAGAAGCATCTTATGTCACATCCAGGCCCAGCACTGAAAAGCCTCTGCTCAACCCCTTGCCTGGAAAATCCTGAGCCATGTGCAGAGGAGGTGGCCAGATAAGACAAGGGGGCCTCTTCAGCCTGAGTCCCTGAGGGACAACGCACAGCAGAGACCCTGCAGACCTGCATTGGGTGCATTGCAGAAGGGAGAAATGGACTTTTTCTGTACTGAGCCAGAGAAATTTGGAGATTAACTTCATACTTCAGCATAACCTAGATGATTCTTACTAAGTGATGGGAATGGACAGAGTACACTGCCAAAACATGATCATGTCGTGAGCAACTCACTTATCTTGGAAGAAGGAAGGAGGGGGTGATATTTCTGAGTATGTTGATCGAATGGATAGCAACATCATTACAGAGAACAAAGGAGATGAGACAGCTTTGGAAATAAATTGAATTTGGGCCATGTTATGCTAGGGATCCTCAGCCAGCAATGTCTAGTAAACAAGTCAAACCTCACATCTGCAATCCAAGAACAATGTCTAAGCTGGAAATAATAATATTGGCATTCATCGGCGTATAGTGACTGGTAGATGGGAGTGGACTGAACTACCTGGGAAGAGTTTGTGGAGTGAGAAAAAAAAAAGAGCAAATACCCTCTTGGAAGTTAGGCAACTCCAACTTGGCAAGAGTAAGCCGAAGAAGAAAATGCAGGAAGCGAGGCTGGCAGTGGTCAGAAGTCATTGCAGTTTTCCTCTCTCATGACTGTCTCGCCTCAGGACCATAAGAAGCTGGCAGAAATGATGCTTTCCATCCTTGTATTCCAGGTGCCAAGTCCAGATGACTGTACTTCGTGGCCCTTCAGTGTATGCAGCAGAAAGCCTGGGACCGTAGAAGGCCTGCGGGAGAGGGTGGGGAAGGTTGGAGAGTCATGTGTGTCCTGAGCTGCAGACAGTCAGAAAGAGCACTAAGAAGAGGGCTCGGCCATGGCAGGTGTGGGAGTCATTCAGGGCCAACCTTTAAGACACGAGCTTCAAAACATCATTCAAGAAAAAACCCATGCTTGACACATTGGGGAATGCAAAAGGAAAGGTCAGAAGTGCAGATTGTTTTTGTAGACTATTCTTTGAAGAAGCTTTGTTATATCAGAAAGGAGAGAAATCAAGTGGTAACTCAAGAAGACAGCAAATTTAAGAACTCATGTTTTTGGAAGGAAGACCCAAAAGCATGGCTATTGATGACAAACAGGGGGCCTATGGAGAAACACTGAACACATACCAGAACAAGGAGAATAGTCTCTGCAGCAAGCCTGAAGGAGGCGTGGGAAGAACTGACCCAAAGAACAAGCTGAGCTGACAGACTTAAAATGAAAATAAAATGACAGACAGACAATTCAAGGAGTGCCATGTGGGACAGCAGATCTCTAGAGCTTCATCTTGCTTGGCTGAAACTGTATGCTCACTGATAGTAACTTCCATGGCCCCTCTCCAGCCCCTGGCAACCACCATGCCAGTCTTCACTATATGATCACTGACATTTTTATTTATATTATATTATATTATATTATATTATATTTTATATTGTGCACTTAAAATTTGTTAAGAGTGTGGATCTCATGTTAAGTGTTTTTACTAAAATAAAAATTTTTAAAAGAAAAGACCAAAAAGGCCAGGCGCAGTAGCTCACACCTGTAATCCCAGCACTTTGGGAGGCCGAGGTGGGCTGATCACCTGAAGTCAGGAGTTCGAGACCAGCCTAACCAACATGGTGAAAGCCCATCTCTACTAACTACAAAAAATTAGCTGGGTGTGGTGGTGCATGCCTGTAATTCCAGCTACTCAAGAGGCTGAGGCAGGAGAATCACTTGAACCCTGGAGCCGGAGGCTACAGTGAGCTGAGATCATGCCATTGCGCTCCAGCCTGGGCAACAACAGCAAAACTCTGTCTCGAAGAAAAAAAAAAAGAAAAAAAAAAGAAAGGACCAAAATATGAAAGCGATCATCCTTTCTTTGAGAGAGGAAAGAAGGGAACAATGGAGAAACACATGTGCCTGAAGCTAGAAAGCACCAGCAAAGAGAACTCATGTCTGGTGATGTGTGTTTTTGCCAGGAAATAGGAGGAAGGGTCAAGTGAAGGAAGGGGAGAGGTGGGATGTAACTTAAAGGGTGGTGATTAGGATTTAGAAGCATTGCTATGAGGAATAGAATCAGAGGCCAATTTAAAACACAAATTATATATATTTCAGAACAGCATTTAGAATCCTGCTGAGTTTTGTTTTTGTTTTGCTGCATGTTCTAAGGGATTTGGTGCAATCTTTTGAAACTAATTTAGACTTTTAGAAAAATACTTTCAGCTGTGAAATCACATTTAAATAAATGCACCACATATATTCTCCACAAAGCCATGCTTTTGTGCAACCGACACACAAACCTGCAAGAGGATTGTTAAGGGCTGAACATTTGTGTCCTTCTGTGATATAAGAAAACATATTTGATCTCTGCCCTTGGTTCCTGACACAGAACTTCTAAACCCCTTAAAATTACCAGGGTAATACAGGTGTCTTTATTCTAAGAGGTAACCCTTGGTGGGCTCCTGGAGAGCTTCAGGATAGGGACTTCTCATCAGAGATAACAAGCCATGGTGAGAAGCTTGAAACATTCAGCCCTACCCCCTTATTTTCAGGGAGGGGAGAAGGATTGGAGACTGAGTTAATAATTGATGATGCCTACCCAATGAAGCCTCCATAATATCCCTAACCTATGGGGTTTGGAGAGCTCCCTGGTTGGTGAGTGCATCCATATGTCTGGAGGGTGGTGTGGCCCAACTCCATGGGACAGAAGCTCTTATGCTTGGGATCACCCTAGACTTCACCTTAGGTACCTCTTCATCTGGCTGCTCATCAGTATTCTTTAAAACATCCTTTATAATAGACCAGTAATTGTAAGGAAGTTGTTTTCCTGAGTTCTGTGAGCTATTATCGCAAATTATTGAAACTTAGGAAGAGGTCATGGGAACCACCAATTTGTAGCCAAGTCAGAGAGAAGTGTAGGCACCCTGGGTACCCATTACTTGTGATTGGCATCTGAAGTGGGGCACAGGTTTGTGGGATTTACCTCTTAACCTTGGAATCTGCACTCTTGGTAGTTAGTGTCAGAAGTGAATTAAATTGTAAAACATTCACTGGTTTCTGCAGAGATATGGATAACTGCTTGGTGTAGAACTGCTTGTTCATTCACTATTCACAAAACCAAAGACATGGAATCAATCCAAATGCCCATTAATGATAGCCTGGATAAAGAAAATGTAGTACATACACACCATGGAATACTATGCAGCCATAAAAAAGAATGAGATCATGTCTTTTACAGGGACATGGATTAAGCTGTAAGCCATCATTCTCAGCAAACTAACACAGGAACAGAAAACCAAATACTGTGTATTCTCACTCATAAGTGGGAGCTGAACAATGAGGACACATGGACACAGGGAGGGGAACAACATACACCACAGCTTGTCAGGGTTGGATGGGGGAGGGAGAGCATCAGGGTAAATAGCTAATGCATGCTGGACTTAATACCTAGGTGATGAGTTGATAGGTGCAGCAAACCACCATGGCACACGTTTACCTGTGTAACAAACCTACACATTCTGCACATGTATCCTGGAACTTAAAATAAAATTTTAGTAAAAAAGAAAAAAGAAAAGCTGTTGTTTGGTTTCAAAAGTGTTGTGGGTAAATCACTTTCCTTTACCACTCCACTCAAATTCAAATGTCAAAATCTTAACTCCTAATTGATGGTGGTTGGAGGTGGGGTCTTTAGAGAGTGATTCATGAGGGTGGAGTCCTCATGAATGGGATTAGGGACCTTATAAGAAAACACAGGAGTACTTGCTCCCTCACTCACTCTTTATCTCTTTCCATCTCTCTGCTCTGTCTCTGTCTCTTTCTCCTCACCTCTTTCTCTCTCTACTCTCTGCCATGTAAGGGTACTATAACAAAATGGCTGCCTCACCAGACAGTAGATATGTCAGCACCCTAATCTTGAACTTCCCAGCCTCTAGAACTATGAGAAGTACATTTGTGTTGTTTAAGCTACCCCATCTATGGGATTCTGTTATAATGCCCAACATAGATAACATAAGGATCAATCAAAGGAGTTAGGAGCTATCTCATCCCTGAAATTCTTCTAAAGCTCTGCCAGTTTTATTAGTGATTATTTCTAAGACAGCCTGCAACCATATGATTTGATTGAGCATGTAGATGGGGGTTCAGTATCCTTATGAGCCATCTTGTGCCCACATGGCTGGCCTATAGTACTGTACAACTTTTCCAGGGGGCCACTTATTATCTTTTTAATGTTTTATAGCTATGCTTTTTTTTTTTTCTTGGAAGGCATAGACAGGGAAACTTAGGAGCTCACCTGTTTGTAAAAGCCTTTTCCTAGCAAGCAACACAGTATTTCTTAATAATAGAAGTTTTTATGAGCCAGACGCTTGAACTTGTGGGTGTCTGTTTGGGGAAAGAGTCAGTTAAAGTAAAAGTAAAGTTATCTTGAGGCATTAACTTTTTTGCTTCTCAAGGCCATTGGTCTCTTATGTTAGCCTTTCTACAAACATAACATAAGGAAAGGCCTAGGCTGCTGGCAATGTTTTCAGCTAGCTGAATAAATAGGTTTGTTTTGTTTGGTTGGTTTTTTTGGTTTTTTTTTGGTTTTTTTTTTTTTTTTTTTTTTTTTTGCTAAAGGAGGAGGCTCTGGTAACTTCTAGTTTATATGCTCAGAGAATGACTTAAAGGCTCAGAATTGTTGCTGGGCCAGACGGGTTTGGGTTCCTTGACCAAGTAGTATGTGTACAGTGGGGACACCTTTCTATAGGTGTTTCTTTTAGCATAGTTAAGGGGGGTAACAACAACAAAGCAATGTACAGCATATTTATATCCAGCAAGGACAAAAGAGGTCCTTACCTGAGAAAAAGATTGAGCACAGTGACAGAACAATAGTAAAACAGTTAGTATACAGGAAAACCACTAGTCCTAAGATTTCTAACTACATTATTTGCTTGACAAGTCCTCAAGCTTCAGCCATGCTTAGACTACTCAGCTTCTGGTGTATGACTAATGCAGGGCTTATTGTTTCTTCAAGCTTCAGCCGTACATAGACTGGTCAGCCTCCAGAGTAACCAGAGCAGGGCTGTTGTCCTCAGCAGCAGCTTGGTCTCATCTCAGGATTAGCCGGGTTGGATATCTGGGTCTTGCTGGCTGGTTTACCTGTCCCGAGCTGATGGTGTTAGCCGATGGTGGTGGATCCAAGACATAACACCTGCAACTTTAACAGCAGTGGGAGTGGACAAGATTACAGTATAGGGCCCATCCTATATGGGACCTAGAGAAATTAGATTCTACTTTTTAACTGAAACAGATTTACCAGATTTAAAGGGGTGTCAGGCTTATAGGCATTTTCATATATTTAATTATCAACACTTTGCATGGCTATTTCTAAAGCCTGCATTTGCTTTCTTAAGGTTAATTCCTTTAGTTCCTGGAGGTCATCTTTAATTTGACCTATGATTTGGGAGTGGCTGACTGAACAAAATCTTATGGGGCAAATACCCAGTTTGTTTGGTGGGGGTGCACCTGACTCGGAGGAGGACCATAGGCAAAAACCTGATTCTACTTCAAATGAATTTCCTGGCAATATTTCCTCAGTAGCTGCTTGAGTGTCCAGTTCATGTGTTCTACTTTTTCCTGAACTTTTCGGCTGATAGGCTGTATGCAACTTTTATTTTATTTTTAACAGTCTTGTTAAATCTTGCACTATTTCAGCTACAAATGCCGGCCTATTGTCTGACTTTAAAGTTAGAGGCAGTCTAAACCTGGGGATAATGTTTTTTAACAGTACTTTAGTCACTTCTCATACTTTTTCTGTCCTGATAGGGAAAGCTTCAACTTACTCTGAAAAGCAGCAAACAAGCACTAGCATGTACCGATAGCCACCAGCACGGGGAAATTCTGTAAAGTTTATAAGCAAGTTTTCACAAGGCATGGCTCCTTCTCCTGTTCAGTTTCCTAGAGGAGGGTTTTTTTTTCTTTGTTTCTTTGTAATTTTATCTAGTGGCTTAGCTATCAGTGAGAAATTGGAATCCAGATACGGCAGAATTTTGCTGCCTTTGACTTCTAATGTGACCATGGGCTCCTGGGAGCCTAATGAGAAGGTGTCCAGTCTGTCCTAGTCCTTACATCCTTTAGCTCCTGCCAGCCTGATCAGATCAGTATTTGGTTCCTCCAAGGTGGGGCAGCACTTGGCCATTTCCCTCATTGTCTTCTGAACATTTATCCTTCCAGTGTCCTTTTTTCATCTCACACATTAATTTCTTTCTAGCCTTGTCTGGCTCTTGAATCCCTGCCTAACTTGATTTCTTCCACATCTACATCTGCGTCTACATCCTCTGACATTGCTAATCTCTCTTTCTATAAGAGCCGTTGCCAACAGATTGGCCTTTTTCTTAAGCCTTTAATTTACTTTCCTTTTTCATTCCTGAGTTCTCCTGCTCCTTCGGCCAGCCGGCAGGGCCGGGCAATGGCAGGGCAGGGCAACAGCACGGGCCTTGCCCCTTTGCACTGCTGTCTGTCTCTCATTTCTTTCTGATTTGTTTACCTTTTTTTTTTCTTTCTCACACTTTTATTTTTTTCCTTTCTTTTTCCTTTGTTCTTCTCCTAATACCGGTCTCCAGCCCCCTTTTATTCAGATACAGCCGGGCTGGGGAGAGGGATTTAACCCTTGGCGTTCCTAGCTGCTGCACTTGTTGCTTTTGCTTTTTCTTGTTTTGTTCCCTGGTCACAGTTAAGACAGACCTTGGTAGCTACTTTTATAGACTGGGTGGTATTCATGCCTGCAGCTTCTGCTTGATGTCACCCTGGGCTTGCCTTACAAATGAAGTATTTACCATATGCTGATTTTCAGCAGTCTCAGGGTTAAATGGGGTGTAAACCAGAATGCTTCACAGAGTTTTTCATAAAACTGACTTAGCCTTTCTTCAGCTCCCTGAAGCACTTCTGAAATCTTCCTTATATTAATTGCTTTCCTTCTACTAACTCTTAGCCCCTGCAGAAGTGCCTCTTGGTACCTCTGCAAACGTTGAAGCTGAGTTGCATCCTCCGGGTCCTTTTTGTCCTTCCCCCAGAGTTCAACAGGCCCTTTTTCTTTATATAATGCTCCATGCACTTGGAGGGTTAAAAAGGCATACCGAGAGTCAGTGTAAATGTTTATAGTCTTACCTTAACTGAGTTCTAAGGCCCAAATTAAAGCAATGAGCTCATCTTTCTGGGCTGAAGTGCCTTGGAGCAACGATCTGGCTTCAACGACAGTGTCCAGGGTTCCACCACATATCCCGCACATCTCTCTCCTTGTGGGTTGATGAAGCTGCTCCTGTCCACATATAGCTTCCAGTCTACTGATGCCCAAGGCTGGTCCCGGAGATCAGGTCTGCTGGAGTAAACCGAGTCCAACACTTCTACACAGTTATGCACGACAGGGCTCTCTGATACCAGGAGCAAGATGGCAGGGTTCAGAGTGTTTCCAGTTTAGTAGATCAGTGGTTGAAAAGGGCTGATAGATGAAAGTCTGTTGCCCCCTCCGGATGTGGCCCTGGTCATCATAATAGATAGGTCCTCGCATCTCCGTGAGAGGCATTTGCATAGCTCGAGCACAACCAGATCTGAGACGACCCCCGCTTGACTACCTTGATCTCCTTCCCTGGCCTCTGGAGTCTCTGATCCTCGTGAGACCTGGGGCATGTTAGCTCCTGAATCTGGTTTCTGAGGCGGCTGTTGGCCTCGGTAAAGTGGGGGTAGGCTGGGACATAGGGAGAAAGAATTTCTGTTGCCTTTGGCAGTTCCTGTACAACTGGCTTCTCTTGCTGTCTCTGGGACTCCCCTTTTAACTCTGTGTCTGCTGGCAAAGCTGCTCTTACTTTCACTTTTGGCTTTTTTGCAATAAGCCATTAAACAGGGCTGGATCTATGCTGGTTTTGTCTATATTATATTTAGCCATGAGTCAATATAAAGGAATTTGATCTGGGTACACTGGCTGTCCTCCAACCCTTGTCACCACCTTAAATACATGGCCAATTGTTCCTTGTTTAAAGTTCCTTCAGTCAGCCATCTAACACCAAAAGAAGGCAATTTTAATTCACAGAGAGTTCTCAACCTCTGGGGGGTTAACTTAACTCTATAATCCCCTCCAAAACCTTTCTTAAGGTTCTGTAACATGCACTCCAATAGAGTAAGTTTTGATGTTTTGGTGACTTTTCTTCTATTCCTCCTTTTATGACGCAGCACATTCACTCTTGCACACTCACTCTTTCTCTCGTTTTGGCCGACTACACCATCTCCTATTATGGGAGTTTTTAGATGCTGCTTGCCTTTGGAGAGGTCCTTATTCCCACTACAACTCTGAGCTGTAGGGCAGCTCCTATTAGCGGTATGTAGATTGCCACTAGTCTTAGTCAGCCCCACACTTTCACGGAGCACACAGTTCACACTAAGAGATCTGTGACTCCCCACTTCTCAGCTGATGAGCCTAATTAGGCCCCTCCATTCACACACTTTCACACACTTTCAGTTCCTATGTTCATAATTGGGGTGGTGAGCCACTCTTGCCACAAGAAGGGAAAAAGGGCAAAGGGTAAAAGGTCACTCACTCATCAAGAAATTCACACCAAATCAGAATCAAAACCAAAACCAAAGTGCCGATAAATGCATACCTGTTCATCAAGCAATTCAAGCCAAGTCAAAATCAAAACCAAAACCAAAGTGCAAATAAAGGCACACTGTGGGTGATCAGGCCACGCTTCCACTCAAATGGAGTAGGCAAGTTCCTAAGACCAGTCTTACCATATTCCAGATGTCCAACTCCAAGCATCAGTTCCTTCCCAGTGTTCAGCCACTGTGTTGATCCTCCACGGGGGCCTGCGGCACACTGCTCTGATGAGACATTCCACCAGGGCAAATGCCTACCTGGGAGTGTTCTCAGGATCTGTGTCACTCAAGCCAGCTAGGGTCACCCAAAGGGATGCTCCACAGGGCAGGCAAAAGCTGCCTAAGGGGCTGCCTCACCTTGCTTCCTGGTCAGGGAACCAAGAAATGTAGCAGGACGTGCTACAGACAAAACTCCTCAGACACCGGGTTAAAGAAGGAAGCGGCTTTATTCGGCCGGGAGCTTCAGCAGACTTGCATCTTAAGAGCTGAGCTCCCCAAAAAAAAATTCTTGGCCTTTTTAAGGGCTCACAACTTTAAGGGGTCTACGTGAAAGGGTCACAAGCATGGGGAATGTGACTGGGGGCTACATGCATCAGCTAACAGAACAGAAAGTTTTACAATGCTTCCTCATACAATGTCTGGAATTTACAGATAACACAAATAGTTGAGGTCAGGGGTTGATATTATTATTATTTTTATTATTATTATTATTATTTAACCATCAGGGCAGGGTGGTGGCCCCAAGGTCATCTGGCTATTTATCTTACTTTTTTTCTTTTTAACTTTTTGCTTTCTCCTTTTTCTCTTGTTTTATAAACTAGGCAAGGCGGAGAGCAGCAGGAGAACTGGTGGTCTCCTTCCTCACTATGACTTAAAAAAAAAAAACAAGAGTCCCTTCAAAATATTACTGCTCATTGACAATGCACTTGGTCACTCAAGAGTCCTGACAGAGAGGTACAAGGATATTTTCAGACCTGCAAACACAACATCGCTTCTGAAGCCCATGGTTCAAGGACTAATTCCAACTTTCAAGTCTTGTAATTTAAGAAATACATTCCCTAACACTATAACTGCCATAGATGGTGATTCCTCTGATGGACTAGAAAAGGAAATTGAAAACATTCTGGAAAGTATTCATTCTTCTAGATGCCACTCTAGAACATTCATGATTCATGACATCAAAATATCAACATTAACTGTAGTTTGGAAGAAGTTAATTTTAACCTTCATAGGTGATTTTGACGGGTTCAAGGTTTCAGTGGAGGAAGCAACAGCAGATGCGATAGAAATAGCAAGAGAACTAGAAGTGGAGCCTGAAGGTGGGACTGAATTTCTACAATCAAGGTGGGACTGAATTTCTGCAATCTCATGATAAAACTTGAACAGATGAGGAACTGCTTCTTATGAAGGAGGAGCAAAGAAAGTGGTTTCTTAAGATAGAATCTACTCTTGGTGAAGGTGCTATTTACATTGTTGTAATAACAATAAAGGATTTAGAGTACTGCATAAACTTAGTTCATAAAGCAGCAGCAGAGTTTGAGAGTGTTGGCTCCAATTTTGAAAGAAGTTCTATTGCAGGTAAAATGCTATAAAACAGCATTGCATGCTACAGAGAAATAAAAGGAAGAGTCAATTGCTTCCTTTCTTTCATAAAAGGAAGAGTCAATTGCTCTGGCAAACTCCATTGTTGTCTTAACAAACTGCCACAGCCACCACAATCTTCAGCAACCACCACCCTGATCATTCAGCAGCCATCAACATCAAAGCAAGACCCTTCACCAGCAAAAAGATGATGGTTTGCTGAAGGCTCAGATCATTGTTAGCATTTTTAGCAATAAAATATTTTGAATTAAGATATGTACATTATTTTTTACACATAACACAACTGCACACTCAATAGATTACAGTGCAGTGTAAGCATAACTTTTATATGAATTAGGGAAAAAATGTATGTGACTCATTTTATTGCAATATTTGCTTTACTGCAGTGGTCTGGAATGGAACCCACAATATTTCTGGGGTGTACCTGTCACAATCTGAGCTTATATAGTACTTCATAGTTGTAATTTATTTCATTATTACAATGGCCTTATGATGTTAGTATATTATTGTCCCACTTTCACAGATAAATGAATTGATGCACAGAGAGGCTAAACATATCATCCCTGAAAGTCACACAGCTATTAAGAAACAGAGCTGATTTGGAACTCAGGATATCTGGCTCCAGAAACTGTGCTCTTAACACTGGGCAAGGTGTCATTTATTGACCAACAGCTGGTCTCCCTCACCACACCTTGCTTAGTTTATCATTTGCCTTCAGAGTACTTCACAGTCTCCTGCAGGCACCTGCCCACCTCTCTAGGGGGCTGTTGGTGCCTGGGCCGACTGGCCCACATGAAGGCTCTAGGATCACACCACTGGTGACTGGTTAAGGGGCCCACGTGATGTGGTCATTAAAATAAAACTTGGCTTCTGGTGCTGGCCTCATAATATACTCTAGCTCCTAGCAAGACAAGTTTCTCTAGGCCAGGACCCCCCTTACATTTTACCCCCAGAATCTAGAGAGCTGTCCCCATTCTCAGACTTTCCACTAATGCTGGGTTCCCAAGCACCTTTCAAGGGGTGAGGGGAATTAAAGGAGATGTGCTCATGAAAGTAGTTAAAAATCTGTAAATCACAAAGAGACTATATGTTATTATAAAAGTTTTATGTTTTTATAAAGCCTCCAGAATAGTAGAAAACATGTATTCTTACAAATATTTGTTCAATAATGAATCAATACATATATTCACCATGAGCTGAAAATGCTTCAAAACTTTTAAAAAATCTAAACCGCAATCAAGGTCTTGTGATAGCAGCAACAGAGCTCTAATGCGATTTGGGTGACTTTGGACTACCTATCTTTACTAACATTTACCAAACTCAGACTCACATCTTAAGAAATTAGAAAATACACTCCATCTTTGCTATTCGCTGATTCAAGGTTTGTGAATTCATCTGCTTACTAAAATGTATTTGTCACTCCAAAGTCAATATTCACAGTGTTTGTACAGTCCTTGCAGACATGGATAGAGAGGCAAAAAATTTGAGAAACCCAATGCACACTCCCAGCTGAAGTCAAACCCTCTGCCTTCTTGTTTCAGCTCTCACACTGCAAACAAGTATCCTCCCCACATTCCATTTGGTGCCATGTTTTTTGCATTTTGGGGGGCTTTTTGTTGATGATTCTGCTGTTTAAAATAACACCCTAACTATGGTGCTGTCTATGGTTCCTAAGTGCAAGAAGGCTGTGATGTTATTCAAGGGGAAAAATACATGCATTAGATAAGCTTCCTTCAGACACGAGTTACAGTGCTGTTGTCCATGAGTTCAATGTTAATGAATCAATGATATGTATTAAGCAAGGTGTCTTTAAATAGAAACACACAAAAAACAAGCTCATGTATTGATCAGTGGACAAAAATGTTTTGACTAGTGGCTTGCAGTGACCTAACCCTGTATTTTTCCTGGGAGCAATGCTTCTGAATTTACTAATTCAGAGTTCACAGCGACATTATAGAATACAACTGCCACTAATAAGAAGAAGCAACTGTATATTTCTAAGATAATAATCACATAACAGAAAACACTGATTTTTTAAAATCCCAGTAGCTAGCAAGAAGCCTTTTCTGGACAAAATCTATAGTTCAAGCATTCAAATCTCCATGTCATAATTTATCCCAGGATTTATTTCATCGGCCCCAAGCCACCCAGAAAATAACCTGCTCTATAGTGTTCTGTGGCTGATGCCCAATTCATGAGAGTCCCTGTTATACAGCTACTTAGAGCTCTGAGTACTGATAGGATAAAGAGCTGCAATTATCCAGGCATGGTGTCTCATGCCTGTGGTCCAGCTACTCAGGAGAGAGGCCAAAGGATCACTTAGGTCCAGGAGTTCAAGGTTGCAGTGAGGGATGATCTGATGGTGCCACTGCACTCCAGCCTGGGTGACAAAGCATGACCCCATCTCTTAAAAACTAAAATAAAATAGCTATAAACAGTATTTTATAATTTATCATAATCTCAAAGGTAGTGGAATAAAAAGTTAACATTTAATTCAAAGCCCAAGTAAAGGGCAATATTTGATGAGCTGTTTTCTTCATGAGACTTGGATCTGGTTTTCAGATGCCTATTTCTCCTCTTCTCTTTCTAGTCAACACCCCATACACCTGGAATCCTCTGAATCCATCCAACATTCAATCCACCTATAAAGGCTCAGCCCAAGCCCTCCTTTCATCTTTCCTCACTCCATCTTTTCCTTCCTTCTCTTCTCCAGCGAATGATTATTGAGCAGCTAATGGATGCCAAGCCCTGCTCTAAGCACTAAGGATACAGAAAGTGAGGCCCCTGAGCTTATGGGCTTCATTCCATGAGAGGCAGACAGTAAAAAGTGAGGGCCATAAAGGAAATGAACAAAAGCTGCAGGTGGGGAGGGGAGGAGGGGACACAGCAGATGACAGGTCAGGCTGTGTGATGAGGTGATAGAAGAGGTCCGCTTTCGGGGTTGGACGAGGCCAGAGGCAGGAGAAGGACACTCCAGGAAACATCAAGTGTCAAACCTCAACGTGGGCAGGAGCTCACAGTGCCCACGGCATGGTAAGGAAGCCAGGGCGGTGGAGCACGTCGGTGAGGGCGAGACCAGACTTGCAGTACCACAAAGGAAACAAGCTTCCCGCCGCAGTTCCATCCACATGTCCAATCCCATCCTGACCGCGACTGCGCGGCGGAGAACTGGTTAAGCTGCCCCGGAGTACCAGGGTGAAATGTCAATTCTGATGGGTGTATATTTTGGTCACAGCTTCATTACCATGGAAACATGTGGACACTGTGTTCTTACTTTGAGCCTGGCAGCGGGGGTGTATGAGGCCAGCTCCGGGGTAGGTGCTGCTGCATCTGCCTGGATGCCTGAAGACTGCCCTTGTTTTCAGCGAGGTTAATGACTTCGTGAGGATTGAGTTCAGGGTCAGCAGTTCTTTATCTGCTTTCCCTTGAGCACAGCGTGATCTTTAACCCACGCACCTGGCTCTTCATTAAGGAGATTTTTGTTTTATTTTATACTCACATGATTATTTTTCTGTCCCATTTGGTGAACTCTGTCCTCCCAGCACTGTTTTAGCTGGATTATTTTGTCTTCTCTATCAATTACTTTTTGCTCTCAATGAATTCATCTTTTTCAGTTTTCTTTGGATTCCTGTTGATTAGCTCAAGCCAGTTATTTATCATTTTGTGTTCAGCTGTGCCTATTTTCCTCTTAGTTCTTCTCAGTATAGGTAATAGTTCTGGGATGATGTTGTTTGGGTTCTTAACCTGTTCCTTTAGTTCTGTTATATTCATCCCAGTTTTATCAGCTTTTTTTTTTCTTTTTTTTTTTTTTTGAGACAGAGTCTCACTCTGTCGCCCAGGCTGGGGTGCAGTGGCGTGATCTCCGCTCACTGCTGCAACCTCCACCTCTCAGGTCCAAGCAATTCTCCTGCCTCAGCCTCCCGAGTAGCTGGGACTACATGCGCATGCCACCACGCCCGGCTAATTTTTGTATTTTTAGTAGAGACGGGGTTTCACCATGTTGGCCAGGATGGTCTTGATCTCTTGACCTCATGATCTGCCCGCCTCGGCCTTTCAAAGGGCTGGAGTTACAGGCATAAGCCACAGCGCCCAGCCCTTATCAGCTTTTCTTTAAGGCCTTACCTTATTGAATGTAAGCTTTCCAGGGTTTTCTATAGTGTAAATTACTAGAGTGGAATGTCCCCTGTTTTTGGATTTTCCAGATGATAGGCTGACCCCTCACTGTCCTGGTGCATTTTTCTTCACATTCAGAACTTGTCTCTTGGTGCTCCTCCTGGGCAGGGTGCTCATGACCAGACTCTGCTTGCTGATACACAGTGTGGGAGGCATCTCTTTGTTATCCCCCTCAGCACTATAGTTTGAAGCCTAGGAAGATCTAGCTGTACACACTTTCCTCTAACCTGAAGGCACAGGAGAGCAGATGGAGAAGCCCAGCAGAGGCCCAGCGCAGGCTCTGTGAGGACGCCTGGGCTCCACTCTCTCTTCAGAGGATAACTGCAGATGGTGGATCATTCCCCTAACTCAGGGAAGGGCCTGAGAATGTGCTTCTCCCATTTCTCCAACATTTCTGCTGCCCACCAAACAGAAGAGAGCAAAAACAATAATGCGCATGTAGTTCACTTTTATCCTGAGTCTGAGATGGGAGTAGCTGACCCTCACCTTGGGGTACTACATGCACATGCTGTCTTAATTACTTTAAATATATTAACCAATTTTAACCATTACAGCTTCACTTTGAGGTGGGAGCTGTTTTCATCCCCATTTTACAGATGAGGAAGCTGAGTCACTGAGAAGTTAAGTTAGAAGTTAGGTTATGCCCAAAATCACATAACTAGAGGTAGAAGCTGTCTGACTTCAAAATCTGTGCTCTCAGATATTATCCTAGACTGGGTCCCAGGTTTCATGTTTCTCTTTCACTAGCCACAGTCAGTGCAGGAAGCCTCATCCCCCCATCAGCCAGCCTGCTCCTGGATCTTAGTCAAGATACTCCTAGGAAGCAGCTCCCCAGGACGGAGGTAGTAGCAATGCCCTCTACTCCGTCATTTTTCAGACTAACTTCACTAATTCTTCCTCCACCTGCCACTAAACTTTCTCATCATCTGCATTCCCTATACTCAGTGGTTTCACGTGCTCCCCACTTAAAGTAGAAACTAGAAACAATAGAATAATCCTTGATTCAGATTTCTACTACACCTTCCTGAATTAATCACCAAGTGCCAAATATTTTACTTTCTAAAATTTTCTCAGATTTATCCCTTTCTCTCCATGCTTGGTACAACTATGTTAGTAGAAACCTTCATGAGTTACCATTTGATTATTGCAACTGTTTTTCTGCCTCTTGTGTCTTGCAAATCTGTCTTTCACGCAACAGCTGGTGTAATCTATTTAAATAAAATCTGGAGTCCCTTGATGAAAAGCCTTCAATGGTCTCCTATAGCCGGCACCTTCCCTAGTGTGGTGTGTGCAAGGCCAACCTCGACCCGTCCTCTGTATCTCTCTAGCCTTATCTCCTTACTCAAGTGCTCGGCTTTGGGATCTCTGGAATAACTACAGTTGTTGTGGGGTTTTTTGTTTTTGTTTTTGTTTTTAATTAGACAAGGTCTCACTCTTTCACCCAGGCTGGAGAGCGGTGGTGCTGTCACAGCTCACTGCAGCCTGGAACTGCTGGACTTAAGTGACCCTCCCTTGGAAGGACCTTCTTCCTTCCCCTGTTCATCACTTTCTGAAGTCAGTAGTGTTAGATTTTGTTCATTGTTTGACTTGTGGTGGTAAATTTGGGGGCAGGAAGGAAGAGAGTTTAGGGAGTCTGAGCCTTTGGGGTTTATTTTACAATTTTTGACCATTTTACCAGGTACTAAGTGACAGAGATTCTATGATCCATTTTCATTCTGCCGTGTTTGCCCAGATGTTTCTGAGCGAAGTCTTTATCTTTTTTGAGGGCATAATAGGGATACATGGGATAAAACAGAAGCACAGAGGCAGGGCTCCTACTCCCTCGGTTCTGATTAGGAAAGGCTTCTTACAGAACATTGACTTTTGAGTTGAGACTCGAAGGATACATGGGAATCAGATAGGTGAAACCATTGCAGAAATGTATTTGAGAATGATGTACAAGGCAGAGAATCTAGAAATAGCAGTTGTATAAACAGAACTAGGCCAGGTATGGTGGCTCACACCTGTCATCTCAGCACTTTGGGAGGCTGAAGCAAGAGGATTGCTTGAGGCCAGGAGTTCAAGACCAGCCTGGGCAACACAGTGAGACCCCCTACTCTCCAAAAACTTCCAAAATTCACTGTGTGTGGTGGTACATGCCTGTGGTCCCAGCTACTCAGGAGGCCGAGGTGGGAAGATCACTTCAGTCCAGCAGTTCGAGGCCGCACTGAGCCGCGATGGCACCACTACACTCCAGCCTGGGTGAAAAAGCAAGACTTTGTCTAATTAAAAGCAAAAACTGGCCTTTCAGCTGGAACCACCATCTTCCAGTAATTTACCAAAATGACGAACACAAAGGGAAAGAGGAGAGACACCTGACCCGTGTTCTCTAGGCCTTTTAGAAGACATGGAGTTGGCTGGGCACAGGGGCTCACGCCTGTAATCCCAGCACTTTGAGAGGCCGAGGCAGGAGGATTGCCTGAGCTCAGGAGTTCATGACCAGCCTGGGCAACACGGTGAAACCCCATCTGTACTAAAATACAAAAAATTAGCCAGGCTTGGCAGCGTGCGCCTGTAGTCCCAGCTACTCAGGAGGCTGAGGCAAGAGAATTGCTTGAACCCAGGAGGTGTAGGTTGCAGTGAGCCGAGATCATGCCACTGCACTCGAGCCTGGGTGACAGAGTGAGACTCCTTCTCAAAAATACAAACAACAACAAAAAAAAACATGGAGTTGTTCCTTTGGCCATGTTTATGCAAATCTGTAAGAGAGGTGGTATTATAGATATCAAGGGAAGGGGTACTGTTCAAAAAGGAATGCCCCACAAGTGTTACCATGGCAAAACGAAGAGTCTGCAGTGTTGCCCAGCATGCTGTTGGCATTGTTGTAACAAACAAGTTAAGGGAAAGATTCTTGCCAAGAGAATTAATGTGCGTATTGAGCACATTAAGCACTCTAAGAGCCGAGATAGCTTCCTGAAACGCCTGAAGGAACATGATCAGAAAAAGAAAGAAGCCAAAGAGAAAGGTACCTGGGTTCAACTGAAGCGCCATCCTGCTCCACCCAGAGACACGCACTGTGTGAGAACCAGTGGGAAGGAGCCTGAGCTGAGGAAGCTATTCCCTATGGATTCATGGCATATTAACTGTTTAAATGAAATAAAAGACTTCTGGACTGTAAAAATGTTTCTCTTCATTGAGTAGAAGTGTGGCGTCTCCTCCTCCAAAGAAATATTTAAAGCAAATTTGAATTTTGTCCTAATTCATTCTGTAATTTACTATTCAAATTTAATGTATTTCTTGCTGAAAGATGTGAGGTGGCTTACTGTGCAACAAATTACTCAATTGATTAGAAAACAGCCAGATATTAATTATGAAATATTTGTATTGATTTGAAGATAGTCCCTCTAAATCATCATGGAAGCACTAAAATAATTTACAAAAAGAAAAAAAAAACATAGTTCAGAGATCCTAAATCCTAGATCTTAAGTAAGAAGACGAGGCTAGAGAAATAAAGAGGACAGGTCGAGGTTGGCTTTGTACACAACATAGCAGGGAAGTTGCCGGCTATCAGAAGCCATTGAAGACTTTTGATCAAGGGACTTCAGATTTTGTCTAAATATATCACACCAGCTGTTATGTGAAAGGAGATTTTGCAAGGCACAAGAGGCAGAAAAACTAGTTGATAAACTATTGCAATAATCTAATGGGTAAACTCATGAAGGTTTCTATCAAGATAGTTGTGCCAAGTATGGCGAGAACAAAATAGATCCGAGAAAATTTTAGAAAGCAAAATATTTGACATTTGGCGATTAATTCAGGTACAGTAGGAATCTGAATCAAAGATGACTCTATTATTTCTAGTTTCTAATTTAAGTGGGTAGCAAGTGAAACCACTGAGTATGGGGAATGCAGATGATGGGAAAATTTAGTGGTAGGTGAAGGAAGAATTAGTGAATTTAGTTTGAAAAATGTACAATTTGTGTTGCCTATTGTATATGAAATAACTAAGAAGAAATATCAGCCTCTATCCAGAAGAGATTTCTTTCTCCAATAACATTTTTACATGCATACTCTTCTGGTATTTACCAAAAACTTTCTTATATACACAATGTACATTTGAGTCTAGTTTTTCTTGCTAGATTGCAAACTTGATAATAGGAGGCATATTGTGTAATTTATTTTTATAAGCTCCAGAGTGCCTGTATAGCACAAATACTTGCATGTAATTCGTGCTTAATTTATGTGATGAGTTAAAAGATGGCTAGAAGGATAAATGCATGGATGGATGCATGGATGGATGGTTGGATGGATGGATGGTGGCTCATGAATGGATGCATGGATGGATGGGTTGATGCATGGATGGATGGATGGATGGATGGATGGATGGATGATGGATCATGGATGGATAGATGAATGCATGGACAAATGGAGTAATGACTTCAAGCAGACTCTACAGATATAAGGTGACAGAAAAAAATATGAAAAATGGAACCCAAGTAATAGAATTCTAAACCGATATTTGCTACCAGAAAATATGAGTTTTGTTTTATGTTTGTTTAAATTTATAAGCTGGATGTCTTTCAGAGACTTAAATTTATCAAAGAATCAGAAAAAAGAGTAGTCTTAAACTATAAAGTAAGATAGATTTATGTAGCTGCTAGGAAGCATTTAGACTTATGAAACACATTAAAAGTGAGGCAACATGATTAGCAGTGTTAATAGTACTGAAGGTGATTTCTATGGTAACTCAGTATATCAATTATGTGCACATTATTATTTCAAAAGATAATTTTTCAAACTACAATCTCATAGCCTGTAAAAATTAAAATATCCATTAAACAGCTCAATTACCTCTGCTGTTTAATGGGTAGCTAGGTTTCCATTAAGGATTCATGTTCAGTTCATTCTTGTTGATGATTTACCTCTTGTACTTCTTCACCCTCCTGCAGCTTCAGATTACACTCGTGACAAGCTCCCTTTCTAGCATGAATGTACATTTCCTAATTATTATTATTACAGAAATTATGTTTGACCTGATTGGTCTGTAGGAAATGAACTGCTCACCTTTTAGAATCAATAGCCATTTAATACATCAGCAAACTAATTAGCTAAAGAGCAGCCCAATACCCTGAGGCTAATCATCCACCTCTAAAAGGTAGAGAATTTATTCCCTCTCTACTAGTGAAGTGAGCCCTAGTATTATTTACGGAGAGAAATCCTTAGATTTCCCAGCAATTAAATTCAACTGTTGCCCTTTAGAGTCAAAGTTAGTATTTCAAGTGAAAGCACATCCCACCCTCCTTCCCAAAACAACCACCTTTAGAACAACTTGGGCTTGAATTTTCCACACTCTTTGACCTTGAACAAGTTTCCTAACATCTCTGAGCCTGTATTCGTATCCATAAAATAATCTTATAAGGTTATTGTGTGTGTTCATGAGACAATACGTGCAAAGACCAGCATATATATTAGAAATGATCCATCAGTATCACCTTGACTAATGATGGATTGTGAGATTAAATCTACAAGACAGACTTTCCCTTATGGAAGCAGTGCCATTCCACTATCAAATTTAGCTGATGCAATTTCCTGGTTTCCAATTTCCACCTGCAGCACAAACATAAAGTCTTCTAGCCTGGTTTGGTTCTGGAAGCATCAACCAAAGCTCCCCACAGATACAGAGAGTCTACTTCCACCCCACGCAATCCTCCCCTGCCCACCAAAGAACACACATTTAAAAAAGACCAGAGTTGGGTCGCGGTTATACGGCAGCGACTGTGGCAAAGTGAGAGCCTGGAGACCTGAGCCGACACTGGGGGCTGTCCGCCAGCCCCGCATTCTCTCGAGGAGTCGGAGAAGTCCCATTGTATCAGAGTAAGATGGACAGTAGCTTTGATTGTGAGTGTGCTGAGCTGGAGCCTCCTGATCACTAACAAAAGACATCTTCTGTTAAGCAACAGCCGCCAGGGCTTCCTGTTGAAATATACAGCAACAAAGAAAGCAAAGAAGCAAAACGGAAATGGTGCCTACCGGCTCCTTAGAACAACACTGCTCAGGACTAGTCCAACACTGAATGGATCTGCACTGTAAGGAGAATGTTCATAGAAGCCTGTTGTGTGCATATTTATTCACATGTTTGTTAAATGTTAAATCGTTTAGCACAGTAATATGAGTGCATAGTATGTCATTTCATTCCATTTGAATTTCTTGAGTGTTTTCTTTAAATGTCTGTAGAGTTGCTGCCCCTTTCTTGAACTATGAGTACTGCAATCTTTTTAATTCTCAATATGAGTAGAGCTTTTTGATTTCAGTCTAAGGGGAACTCAACAGGCCTGTTTGGCATATGCAGTGAACATCAAGAAACCATCTTGCTGTGGAAGCATAATTATTTTTCTTCTCCCTTTTTGAAAAATATTTCCTTTTCATGCCAGTTTTCTTCCTTGTTTACACAAGTTCAACATTTTGAAAAGAAAAGGCAATAGTAAGGGTTTCAAAATGGCAGAGAAATTTCAAAGTTTCATGAACATTCATGGTTTTGATCTGGGCTCTAGGTATATAGACTTAAAACCATTGAGTTGTAGAGGCAATGGCTTGGTTTTTTCTGCTGTAGACAATGACTGTGACAAAAGAGTGGCCATCAAGAAAATTGTCCTTACTGATCCCCAGAGTGTCAACATGCTCTACATGATATCAAAATTATTAGAAGACTTGACCATAATAACACTGTGAAAGTGTCTGAAATTCTTGGTCCCAGTGGAAGCTAATTAACATACAATGTGGGCTCTCTTACAGAGCTGAACAGTGTTTACATTGCTCAGGAGTACATGGAGACAGACTTGGCTAATGTGCTGGAGCAGGGCCCTTTACTGGAAGAGTGTGCCAGGCTTTTCATGTATCAGCTGATACTGGGGCTCAAGTATATTCACTCTGCAAATGTACTGCACAGAGATCCCAAACCAGCTATTCTTTTCATTAATACTGAAAACTTGGTGCTGAAGATAGGTGACTTTAGTCTTGCACGGATCATGGATCCTCATTATTCCCATAAGCATCATCTTTCTGAAGGATTGATTACTAAATGATACAGATCTCCACATCATTTACTTTCTCATAATAATTATACTAAAGCCATTGACATGTGGGCTGCAGGCTGCATCTTTTCGAAATGCTGACTGGTAAAATCCTTTTTGCAGGTGCACATGAACTTGAACAGATGCAGCTGATTTTAGAATCTAGTCCTGTTGTACATGAGAAAGATTGTCAGGAGCTTCTCAGCATAACTCCAGTTTACATTAGAAAAGACAAGACTGAGCCAAACAAACCTTTAACTCAGCTGCTTCCAGGAATTAGTTGAGAAGCACTGGGCTTCCTGAAACAAATTTTGACATTTAGCCCCATGGGTCAGTTAACAGCAGAAGCGCTCTCCTGTCCTTACATGAGCTGTTGTGGGAAGTCAGGGACCCCGAATGGAGGGACCAGCTGGAGCCCTGGCAGAAGAATATAAATTGTGAAGATTTCATGGACGTTTATTAGTTCCCCAAATTAGTATTTTTATAATTTCTTACGCCTGTCTCTACTGCAATCTCTGAACATAAATTGTGAAGATTTCATGGACATTTATCACTTCCTCAATCAATACTCTTATAATTTCCTATGCCTGTCTTTACTTTAATCTCTTAATCCCATCATCTTCGTAAGCTGAGGATGTATGTCACCTCAGGACCCTGTGATGATTGTGTTAACTGCACAAATTGTTTGTAAAACATGTGTGTTTGAAAAATATGAAATCTGGGCATCCTAAAAAAGAACAGGATAACAGCAATTTTCAGGGAATAAGGGAGATAACCATAAGGTCTGACTGCCTGTGGGGCTGGGCAGAACAGTCATATTTCTCTTCTTGCAGAAAGCGAATAGGAGAAATATCGCTGAATTCTTTTCCCAGCAAGGAATAACCCTGGGGAAGGAATGCATTCCCAGGGGAGGTCTATGGACGGCCGCTCTGGAAGTGTCTGCCTTATGCGGTTGAAGATAAAGGATGAAATATGCCCTGGTCTCCTGCAGTGCCCTCAGGCTTGCTAGGATTAGGAAATTCCAGCCTGGCAAATTCTAGTCAGACCAGTTGTCTGCTCTCGAACCTTGTTTCCTGTTAAGATGTTTGTCAATGACAATGCATGTCCAGCTGGACATGGAACCTCATCAGTAATTCTAATTTTGCCCTGGCCTTGTGATCTTGCTCTGCCTCTCTGCCCTTGTGATCTTTTATTGCCCTCTGAAGCATGTGATCTTTGTGACTTACTCCCTGTTTGTACCCCCCTCCCCTTTTGAAATCCCTAATAAAAACTTGCTGGTTTTGTGGCTCAAGGGGCATCACAGAACCTACCAATAGGTGATGTCACCCCTGGAGGCCCAGCTGTAAAATTTCTCTCTTTTGTACTCTTTCTCTTTATTTCTCAGACCAGCCGACACTTAGGGAAAATAGAAAAGAACGTACGTTGAAATACTGGGGGCTGGTTCCCCCGAAAATGAGCATATGTTCTTTTCCAATGGATGAGCTAATTTCAAGTCATCCCTTTCATGTTGAAGATAAAGTTGATGATGTTTTACTTATGGATGAAACTCACAGTCACATTTATAACTGGGAAAGGTACCGTAATTGTCAGTTTTCAGAACATGATTGGCCTATACATAACAACTTTGATATTGATTAAGTTCAGCTTGATCCAAGATCTCTGTTTTATGTCACTGATGAAGAAGTACAATTTGATCCCTGAAAATATTTGAATGGAGATCGGGAAAAGTATCTGGAGGATCCTGCTTTTGATATCAATTATTCTACTGAGCCTTGTGAGCCAGATCATCATGAAAACAAATACTGTCATCTGGAGTGTAGCCATGTTTGTAACTACAAAATGAGGTCATCATCATATTTAGATAACTTAGTTTGGAGAGAGTGAAGTTAACCATTACTATGAAGCCAGGCTTATTATAGATCTTTCCAACTGGAAAGAACAAAGCAAAGAAAAAATCTGATAAGAAAGGCAAATCGGAATGTGAAAGGAATGGATTGGTTAAAGCCCAGATAGCACTAGAGGAAGCATCAAAGCAACTGGCTGGAAAAGAAAAAGAAAAGAATCAGTGATTTGACTTTGATTCCATTATTGCAGGAACCATTCAACTTAGTTCCCAAAATGAGCCTACTGATGTTGTTGATAAATTAAATGACTTGAATAGCTCGGTGTCCCAACTAGAACTGAAAAGTTTGATATCAAAGTCAGTAAGCCAAGAAAAACAGGAAAAAGGAATGACAAATCTGGCTCAATTAGAAGCCTCGTACCAATCATCTTGGGACAGCCAGTTTGTGAGTGGTGGGGAGGACTGTTTTCTCATAAATCAGTTTTGTTGTGAGGTAAGGAAGGATGAACAAGTTGAGAAGGAAAACTGTTAGACCAGTTACTTGGACAAGTTCTTTAGCAGGAAAGAAGATCCTGAAATGCTAGAAACTGAGCCAGTAGAGGATGGGAAGCTTGGGGAGAGAGGAAATGAGGAAGGATTTCTGAACAACAGTGGGGAGTTCCTCTCTAACAAGCAGCTCGAGTCCATAGGCATCCCGCAGTTTCACAGTCCAGTTGGGTCACCACTTAAGTCAACACAGGCCACAGGAACACCTTCCGCTGTGAAATCTTCCCCTCAAATTCCTCATCAAACATACAGCAGCATTCTGAAACATCTGAGCTAAAACATTCATCAGACATTTATCTTTGAATTCTTCATGAAATGTGTTTTGCCTTTTTTTATTACTAGTGTTTAAGTCACTTTTTACTTTAATCAGATGGTGTCATTTAGTAAGGGTTTTATTAGTTGGTTTATTTTATTATTGGTTTTTAAAATCCAGACTTTTTTTCTACATGTGAGATGGTTTTCATTTTAACTGGCATGTCGTTTGCACACAAAATTAAAGAATAAAGCAAAATAATGCAACACAAGAGGAGATGAAATTCGCTAAGACGAGTAAAGAACATTCCCTCATAGAACGATGATCTGTTTTACAGGAAACAAACCTTGCCTTGAAATTTACACAGTAAGACTCTACATAATTGCATGAAAATATCTATTTTTTTCCAAAAACATTTTTCACTCATGAGTATTTTCAAGTTTTTCATACCGTACACATTTCTTAAAAGACATGATACCAGCAGCAATTGAAAATGAATGCCAAATTTGATACACATGTGTTATCTACCTCAAGGTGAGAAGAGTAATTAGCAAAACATATACCACCCACAGTGCTTCACAATACGCACTTCTATTTAGCCAGTGTTTATTGTAGTAAACTATTCTTAATAAGACTCACTCACTGTTTATAAACGCTCTGGTATGCATTCTTTATAGTGAAGTGTTACTATATCACATCTTATTGATTTTAGCGTATCAGTATATTTTCTTTAATTATAAAAATTAATTTGGTTTTAAAAATTTATTTGCAAACACACTTTTTCAATTTGACACTATGGTTTGTTGCCTACCTAGCTTAGTATATAATGTCAGCTTATCCTAAGGCTGTCCAAGTACTTAATTTACTTAAGTGTTCATTTTAACTAACGTGCTCACTGTGTATAGGAATTTGTATTTTGTAGGTGCTTGGTCTATCTACAAAGAAAAATTAGGAAATGCTTTATTATAAAATGCTCCTAGAAGTCCTAATTGTGTTTATTTAAAAAAAAAAAACTAATGTTAGACTTGTGTGCATGGAAGTAATTAAGGTATATCATTATTGTAGTTTAAAAGTTGTACATGATAAGATATTTTGATTTTAGTAATGTATATTTTTAGTGAATGATCTATTCCCCATCCCAAGGCAAGCATGAATAAAATTAGGTTAAATGTAGCATGTGGCATCACAGTCTCTTAGAATTTGTTTCATCTATTTTATTTTATTGCATACTATCTGCATCTTCAGTTAACCTATTTGAAGAAAAAGAACAAATAAAACATGGCCAGCAAAAATGAAATAAAATAAAAGATCAGAGTCGGTGAAAGAGAGAAACACTAAGGATGGTAATAAGTGAAATGGGTCAGATTTCACTGCTTGCAGATTTGACTGCTGTCCACGCAGACTGTGCTTCTCCTTTAGCCCAACACAATGTAGTTTTCTCTTCCCACCTCTCTGCCTGAACCTGTTCTATTTCATTATTCTTTAATAGCCAGTCCTGCTAAGCTGAACTTATCATCGTTTATAATAAACAATGTTGTCTATATCTTTATTCATTCTGAAAACTTCTATCAAGCAGCTACTTTGGGCCAGGCTATAAGTAGATATGGGTCCTGCCCTCCAGCACTTACCCACGAGAGGGGAGAGCCTAGGTGCACACAGAAAAAGGACAATACAATACTGAGCATGCTTCGGGATTAGGAACATAAGAGCTTTGCACCCACTCACCACTGGTACCACCTACAGCCACTCCTGCAAACTGAAGTCATCTCAGGGAGGCGGTCACTTGCCAGCTGTCTAATCCGTCCTGCCTGCTCTCAGCCAGCTCTTCCTCACTAAGCTCTGCTGTCTTTGATACCCTCTTCTTTTCAACCAGAGCCTGCTGCCCTTGGCTTATCAGAGGCTCCTCCCTGCTGTCATCTCCAGCTCTGCCCACAGCACCTGCTTGTGCATTCAGTGTCTGCATGGACTGAATGCTTGTGTCCTACCAAAATTCAAATGTCAGAATCCTAACCCCCCATGAGATAGTATTAAAAGGCGGGGCCTTTGGAAAGTGATTAGATCCTGAGGGTGGAGCCCTCATGGATGGAATTAGTGCCCTTAAAAAAGGGACCCCAGAGACACCCTCTTCTTTTCTACCATGTGAGGACAAAGCAGGAAAGTGGCCATCTATGATCAGAAAGCAGGTTCTCACCAGACCCCAAATCTCCCACTGCCTCTATCTTGGACTTCCCAGGTTCCAGACCTGTGAAAAATAAATGCTGGCTGTGTAAGGCACCCAGGCTATGGTATTCCGGCAGCTTGCACAGGCTAAGACAGCACCTGTGCTTGGGTCAGTTGGGGTTCATGGCTCTCCTCTTGACCATTCCACAGCTCTCTCCTCCCCAGCCCTTCTTCCAGGACCAGGGTGCCAAAACACTCAGGCCACTCCACAAGCACTGAGAGGGTGCTGAGACCCTCTAAGAGGTCTTGCAAGATCAAAACTATTTCCTTTTTTTTCACTTTTAGTTTAGCTTCCGGGGTAGATGTGCAGGTTTGTTACATGGGTAAACTCATGTCACCAGGGTTTGTTGTACACATTATTTGATCACCCAGGTACTAAGCCTAGTACCCAATAGTTATTTTTCCTGATCCTCTCCCTCCTCCCACCCTCTATCCTCGAAAGGCTCCATTGTCTATTGTTCCCGTCTTTGTGCCTATGTGTTCTCATCATTTAACTCCCATTTATAAGTGAGAACATGGGGTATCTGGTTTTCTGTTCTGCATTAGTTTGCTAATGATAATGGGCTCCAGCTCCAACCATGCTCCTGCAAAGGACATGATCTCGTTCTTCTTCGGCCATTTGCACTAATGGTGGGTTAAATTGCTGGTGTTTAGCAGGAATCAGACAATGACACCAAACTGTGCTAGAAGTCAGTGAGCTCAAAGCTGAAGTTTAAAAAAATTGCCAGTTTTACATAAGCACTTCACTTTATTGATGAAGCTGTAACAATTATTAACTTTAAGTCTCTACCTTTGAGTATGCATCTTTGTAATATTCTGTGTGATGAAATAGGAAGTATGTATGAAGCACTTCAGCTGCACGGGAAAGTATAACAGTTGTGCCACACAAAAATACATGTGATCATTTGAGTCGCAAGCTGTACTAACCACTTCTTTCATACGACACCATTTTTACTTAAAGAAATATTGCAAACCACCTATTGCTATTCAGAATTGGGTCTTATTTTTTCCAAGATGAACCAAGTGAGCTTGTCACTTCAAGGAAAACAACTGACAGTATTTCTTGCTGATATAAGATCCAATCTTTCAAGCCAAAACTTAAATTTTAGAACATTCCAAAATAAAGACTTTCATGGTAAAGTCAGTAGTCCTTCTAACAAATATAATTTTTTGATATCATGTAATGAAATGCATTGACATTTGGAAAATCTGCATAACTTGGTGAACCAATGTTTTCCAAATAACCAATGCATGAAGGTTCAGAAGCATACATGGGTTATAAAGCTCCATCCAAAGTGAGAGAACCCATTGGATTTGAATGTTATGGAGTATAAAACGATATTGGCAGGGTTTCAGACTTCACGCTGCAATTAGCCTTTAAGAAACTGTCACTGGTCCAATCTGGTATAGTATCAAAGACAAATATCCACAATTTTCTGAAAAGCCTTTTGATATTAATATATCCATTTTCTAACTACATATATGTGTGAGACTGGGTTTTCTTTATATACTTCAATCAAAACAACACATTTGTAGCAGACTAAATGCAGAAATAGATATGAGAATCCAACTGCTTTCCTATTATGCCAGACATTAATTAGCAAAAGTGTAACACAACCACAAAAAAGTAACACATGTCACTTTTTCCTTCTTTTTTTTTTTTTGGTTTTGTTTTGTTTGAGAAATTATAGGGTTTGTTTTTGTTTTTGTTTTTGTTTCTTGAGACAGAGTCTTACTCTGTCGCCCAAGCTGGAGTGCAGTGATGCGATCTCGGCTCACTGCAACCGCTGCCTCCCAAGTTCAAGCGATTCTCCTGCCTCAGCCTCCCGAGTAGCTGGGACTATAGTCACCCGCCATCGTGCCTGGCTAATTTTTGTATTTTTAGTAGAGACGGAGTTTCGCCGTGCTGGCCAGGCTGGTCTCGAACTCCTGACCTCAGGTGATCCACCCACCTCGGCCTCCCAAAGTGCTGGGATTACAGGCGTGAGCAACCACACCTGGCCTATAGGTATTTTTATTAAAATGTATTATGTATATGTCATATAATTGTCATTCTCATTTTTAAATGGATTTAATAAATATATATTTTTAATCTTCTCGGGTTTATTCCCTAACTTGGAAAATATAGATATCACCCACATAAACACACACTCTTTGTGTCCTCAACAGTTTTTAAAAATGTAAAAAGGATCGGAGACCAGGAAGCTTGAGAACCACCATGCTATGTGTCTCTGGCTTACCCCAACCATGAGACATTAGTGGGAAACCAGCTTCAGGGGGAGCCCTAGGAACACTGCAATCTTTCAGTAGTCAGGGAAGGCATCATAAAGAAGGCCTCTTATGAGCTGCCACCTGAAGGATGTACAAATTATCTAAGGAGTTTGTGTTCTCCTTAGATAGCTCTCTAAAAGAGCATAATAATGCCTGTTGAGTAGTATGATGGAAGAACTCTGGACCAAGAGTCATAAAATAGGATGTTACTATTCTATAATATAGAGCCATTGATTTATCATATATAGGTTTCCTGACCTATAAAATGCAGACATTTCTCAGCCTTCCTTGCACATGGGTGTGGCCACATGACTGCTACTTAGTTAATAAAGGCAGGCAGCAAGTTATGTGCAACTTCTGCATCACGCTAGGAAGTTGCTTACATCCACTTTCTCTTTCCCACTTTTCACTGGCTGGAAAATGGCAACTGCTAGAGAAGCCTGCTTGGACCCTGAGATATCTACTTGTTGAGGATGGCAGAGCCACCTAAGGAACCTGGTAACAGGGTGGCCTCAGAGAGCAATGCCACTTAATCTACCCTGAGCTATCTGGTTAGCTCTGGGCTGTTATGTGAGGGAGAAATAAATGTCTAGATTATTGAAACAACTTTTCTATTCATCTCTTTGTTGCAATTTTTGCTTCTACCAAAACTGATGCAGAGCTGAAGACAATTTCTTGGTCCTCAACTAAGTAGCAAACATGTTGGTGTTTCTGCATTCACAAATTCAACTCTCAGAAATGCAAGGGCTAATTCATCATCAAGAAACAAAATCAATGCACATTATAACCCTGTCTAAAAGCACTGAGACAGGTATGATTTTCAGTTATTTTTCTGCAGGCATTTAATTACACCTTGACTGAACATGCAAATGTCCCCATTAGGATTGTTTTCTTTGCTAGTAAAATATTTTGCTCAGTTATAACCACTTATTTTTTCTTGACATCATTTATTCCTCTGACTGAATAGAATCTGAATTCACTGATTGGGTGGATGTCAAGTTGAAAGCCCATATAGTTCAAAAACAGGATAACCGTTTTTCTTACAATTATATAGTTCATGAACACAGAGGCTTTGGATAATGTGTCATATAGGTCACTCCTGAGACCAATCAATATAAACAGAAATGGCAAGAGAAATAAGACAGAGGTGTAGAACAATAGGAGTTTCTAAAGTTCAATGAAGTAGAAAAAGGTTTGACTGTAGGCTTTAAACTGGCTTGTCATAAAAGACAATCCTTTTAGAGTCTCTGAACTAGAAGAAGTTTGGCAAGTAATATAAAAAGTAGAGTATGCCCACACAGTCCAAAATTAGATAGAGAACTACCTGGTGCATTTGCTCTACAGAGACCTCTACATGAGAATAAAATCTAAGGTTTTTCTTTTTATTATTATTATTTTTTATTTCTATTTTTATGTTTTTTTTTTTTTTTTTTGAGACAGAGTGTTGCTCTGTCACCTAGGCTGAAGTGCAGTGGTGTGATCTTGGCTCACTACAACTTCCGCCTCCCAAGTTCAAATGATTCTCGTGCCTCAGCCTCCTGAGTAGCTGGGATTACAGGCACCTACCACCACGCCCAGCTAATTTTTTGTATTTTTAGTAGAGACAGGGTTTCACCATGTTGACCAGGCTGGTCTTGAACTCCTGACCTCAAGCAATCCACCCACCTTGGCCTCTCAAAGTGCTGGGATTACAGGCATGAGCCACCAAAAATCAAAGGTTTTTCTTAATCCTTTTGAGAATATAATCATTTTGTGTTTTGATATTAGAATCAACCATGATATCTTGGTCTGAAATCTCAGCTATCTTATTTAGGATCTTCTCTTTATCCTTAAAGTCCAACTAAACAGGTGGAAAATGGAGAATGACTGCATATCATGATGAGATGGTGTTAAATTTCCTCAGGCTGTGGTTGCATTTGTCACTGGATGAGACAGGAGGGCACCCAGTAACATGGCCAATCTCAGTTGCCTGTGCTTCTCAATTTCCCCTTGCAGGTCACGCTATCCTGGAGTCCTTCTCCACAGCAGCAGTTCCTCCCATTTGGGAAGCCAGGGAACCTCAGAGGACCTGCAAAAACATTCTCTCACACACCCGAAATCCTCATATACACCGTTTCTCGCACAATTTCAGGTGGTTAAGGGACCTTCTGAAACCCATTCCCTCATCTTGAGCTTAGATGATTGCCAGGCCCCAGTCTCACTGGGTGGAAACCCTCAGCCTTCATGCATAAAATTACCCTGCTCAGGAAGTCCCCCGGGAGCACAAAGGAGGCAAAGTCGAGGCACAAGGAGAGGCCTCCAAGTGTCTCTATGACTGGGGTAAGAAGTGCAGGCAGAAACCACACATCGTCACAGATGCCTTCAGACGAAGCCATCCACTCAACAAATGAGGAGACCACAAGCAGGTCCAGGGAACGCCTGGGACCATGGAGCAGACCTGGGCCTCTGAGTGGCCTGCCCAGAGCACTCTGCATCCTACCACACGTGTGGACAAGCGCTGGTGATGCTGGAGGACAGGAGACAGCAAACAGCATTACTTTCTTCTCCAGTGCCATTTGTAACCATTGAGAAAGGAGGCAACTGGACACCCACTAGATGGAGGTCATAATGGCACCTTCATTACTGATGAGTTGATGTGAGGGTGTGGTTCTATGTATGTCTCCCAGGGGCCTGGGAGGAAATCAGGGGGCCACACAGCTGGGGTGCCCAGCCAGGACTGCTGGAGGAGAGAAGGGAACAAACCTCCAGTGCTTTCAGATTGTTCATAGATTAGCTGCACCCAGTAGGGGAAGAAGGTCAGCAGCCAATTGGGCAACTCACTCCTTCACTGGAGGGGAAGCAGAAGGGGAAAGGAATGTCCCTGGAGTGGAAGTCTCTGCACTTGGAAACACAAAGCCAGGTGTAGAGTGCACATGCATTTGAGTTACATCTCTGACTCCCAGGGCTGGTCACAGCTTTTTATCATGCCAGTACACGACAGCAGTCACACCTGGTGAGGGCTGCCCTATCTCATGAGGATCCACATGATAGCGTGCGTAGCTTACATACATGGGAAACCTAGTATCACATGCATATAAGCACGCACAACATGCACTAATTATATCTGGGATCAACATTGGGTTCACATGGTATAAAAACACTGAACTTGCATAATTCAATGACGCTGTGTTCCTGAACTTGCATAATTCAATGCTGGTTTCTCCTCATGCTCTGAATCCAGTCTCTGGCCAGACACTAGGCCCTCACTCAGACACTCGCTCTTGCATGGGATTCATTTGACAATGATGGTACCCGCGGTCATCAAGAGAGGAAGTCTCTACACCCAGAGGGTGCCTCAGGGCCCATCGAGGGAGACTCATACCTAGATGTTAGGGCCACGGCCTTCCATGCCTCTCCCATAGGACTCTGTGTGTGACCAACAAGCACATGAAAAGTGCTCAACATCATTAATCATCAGAGAGATGCAAATTAAAATCACAGTGAGACACCACCTTACACTGGTCAGAATGGCTGGCTATTATTAAAAGGTCAAAAAAACAGCAGATGTTGGTGTCGATGTCAAGAAAATGGAATGCTTAAATGCTGTTGATGGGACTATAAATTAGTGTAATTTCTATGGAAAACATTATGGAGATTTTTCAAAGAATTAAAATAGAACTACCATTTGACTCAGCAATCCCACCACTGGGTATCTGCCCCCCAAAAAAGAAATCATTATATCAAAAACAGACCTGCACTCATATGATTATTGCAACACTATTCACAATTGCAAAGATATGGAAACAACCTAAGTGTCCATCAGCCAATGATTGGATAAAGAAAATGTGGTACATATATACTACAGCATACTAAACAGCCATGAAAAAGAATGAAATTATGTCTTTTGCAGCAACATGAATGGAACTAGAGGCCACTAAGTGAAATAACTCAGAAACAGAAAGTCATATACCACATATTTTCACTTATAAGTGGAAGCTAAATAATGTGAACACATGGACATTGACTGTGGAATACTAGCCATTGGTGCTCCATTAGGTAATTTCTCAACCCTCACTCCGCTCCCACCCACCCACTTTCCCAAGTCTCCAATGGGTGTTACGCTCAGCCATTTTAGTGTAACTATCATCCAAATAGTGTAACTATCATCCCAATAGTGTATACATCCATTAGAAATTACCTAATGCATACATACACTATTTGGATGATACTTACACTAAAAGCCCAGACTTCACCACTACACAATATACCCATGTAACAAAACTGCAATTGTACCCCCTAAATCTATAAAAATAAAAATATACAAAAATATTTTTAAAGAACTCTGTGTGTGTGTGTGTGTGTGTGTGTGTGTGTGTGTGAGAGAGAGAGAGAGAGAGAGAGGTGTGTATCCATAGGAAGGCCTAGTTGTAATTGTGCTATAAATAAAAGTAATTTGAGCAGGTTACCTCTGGTTGGTTTCTGCATTCTCATATCTACTCCACTGGAGTGAAAGTACTGAGGTGCAGTATTGGACTTTGTATTAATTACATTTTCTTATTTTCTGTGTTCTTGATTCTTTAGCATTTAGGGCCTTGCTGACCCTGGAGACACTGCCCCTCCCAGAGTTTGCTCTCCTAGAGAAAGCAAATAGCTCACCTAGGAGCGCGCCTTTCAAATGCAAAGAAACCAATCCAGGGCCCACTCCCACCACCTCCTCTATGTGGCTCTTACGCTCTGTCTCCTGTCCCCCTGCTCTGGTCACCCCAGACCAGGGACAAGATATCTAGGAACAACCCCTAAGTCCCAGAGGCCGCTGAAATGATTCAAGTCAGCAAGTGCTAAACCTGCTCACCCTTTCCTTCCCAGGACAGCACAGTTAAGGCTTCCACCAGCAGCCCCCTCTCTCCACCTACTCATCTCGCCTCGGTGCTTCCCCAGGTGGGCCCCCATGGAGGGAGGGCCACCACACCCAGTTAATTTTTATATAAAGGACTGGCCTCATGTCTTGTCATACTCGATTAAAACAAATCCCAGGTATCATTAAAACAAGTTTGAATTCCCTTCTATCCGCACCCTACCTACACTCCAGCCATAAATAGCTTTAACACAAGGGAAAGGATCCCTCCTTCTCCATACCGGCCAGGCTGGGGAAACTTAGAAGCAGAAGATACTCCATGAAGAGATAAAATCCAGCATCAGGGGTCACAATGCCTCGCAATGCTGGGCAAGTTCCTGTGGAGAGAGCACCGGCCGAGAATAAGAGAGGCACCATGCTCACTGGGAAGTGAGTTGTTCGGTTATGGTATTTTAAACATATAAGACAGAACATCAAGATAATGCATTCCAAAGATACCATCCAGAAGCAAATCCTGTCATCAGAAAGTACTATCAGTAGTGAAAACAATGGTGTGTGTGTGAGAGAGAGAGGGAAGGGGGAAGAGAGAGAGAAGGCCTCCCAGCCAAGGTCAAGTTAAGTTGGAGGCATCATTAAACTATATTTCAACATAAACTTAAAACATCTCTTGGCCAAGTGTGGTGGCTCACACCTGTAATTCCAGCACTTTGGGAGGCTGAGGTGGGCAGATCACTTGAGGTCAGGAGTTCAAGATCAGCCTGGGCAAAATGGCGAAACCCTGTCTCTACTAAAAATACAAAAATTAGCCAGGCGTGGTGACACATGCCTGTAAGCCCAGCTACTTGGGAGGCTGAGATGGGAGGATAACCTGAGCTCAGGAGACTGAGGCTTCAATGAGCAGAAATCACACCACTGCACTCCAGCCTGAGCAAAAGAGTAAGACCCTGTCTCAGAAAATAATTTTTTAAAAAAAATCTCTCATCTTACCTTCCGGAATTAAAAATTAAAGGTATAGTTCCTTCCCATGAGCTTCTAAGGCAACTAACATAATCAAAATAAATATTTACACAATAATCTAGAGATTTCAGCAGATTAGAAGATATATTTTATATATTACTCTTAAATATAAATTTGTTTATAAAATTTATTCACTTTTATGCCAATTTTGCAGCAAATTATTTTTATACAAAGATATCCAAATGGAAAACTGCAAATAGTTAGCCTTTTTTACCTAATTTACATATGAAAAAGTCTAAGTTAAAGTGCATATTACACATGCTCTGACTTCAACAGGAAACAGATTAGTACACTTTATAAAACATTGATTATTTTTATTATAAATATAATAAGTGCTCATTAAAGACAATTTGAGAAATATCTTAAAAGTATAATAAATAAAGCTTTACTCATATTTTAATTTTTCAGTTACAACCAATATTAAAATTTAGATGAATTTCTATAATTTTATGCATAAATTTTTGCATCTCCTTCAATTTACCTATATACTATTTGCTCGTCTCACATGACACTGATGGCAGAGATGGCCAGTCATCCAACTTCTACAGAGAAGAGATGTTGCTGCAAAGTGATGACATGCCCTAGGGAACGCAGCATCCAGGTGTCAAGGGATGAGATTCAGGCTTACAGGACATGGTGAAAGTGAAGATGCCACCTCCAAGTCTGGTCCAAGTAAACCTCCCATGTGATCCTCTCATACTTTCCCTTCTCTCCCTTTTCCCTGTTGGACATCAGCACCAGGCCAGCCATAAATGCCATGCATCGAAACATCAGAGCCTCGTTCAATCCAAGTGCCTGGATCCCAGCTACATGGAGCAACCCCCTTGTCCTCATCAGCTTCAGGTGAGACCTGTGTGAAGGGACAGGACTGGGAGTCTCATTCTTATAGTGGCTGATGTTAACAAGTAGAACTGCCCCACCTCCAAAAAGAAGGTTAGCACAAAATTAACAAATGCCATTTAAGTAACTCTTTTAATGACAAGGTTCATTTGTGCAAGAATCAAATGAAAGATACTTCATTTCAAACACTGACCTGCTCTTATGAACAGATGAAATAACCACAATGATTGCATTGCTTTCAACTTGACCTATAATTTCAGAGATCACAGATATGTAAACAGAAAGGATGACAGAGCCAGGTCTGCCATGCTTGTGTTGCTATAATAGTCTTGTTTAAGCCATTTTAAAAGGCGTTTATTATCAGACATCTTTCTTTTTGCAAGTTAAACTGGGATTTGAAAGAAAAAGTGACATAATAGGCCTTTTTCAGATCACAATCATTGGCCTACCCTAAAAGCACATGTCACTTCCTTGCTCCCTTTCTCTATCTTGAATAAAGCCATCCTGTGAATCACTCATCATGAGCAATAGCTGAAGACATATGGAGTCCCAGCCAGATGCAGTCCAGCCAGAATGAAGAAACCTTGCATCCTTACTTCATTTACAGCAGTGGCATTTGTAGCACTCTTTAAAATAGTCTGGATCAAAGCACTTTGCAACCTTTTGTGTGTTATTACAACACCCATTGTCCTCACTGTTTGTATTCCTGGCACCAGATGTTCCCAGCATCCCAAAAGAACCCACATTACCTTTGTGAGAATGATCTCCATTATCTGCCTTAAATTCCCTCTGAGAAGTCCAAAGGAATAAACCTCACAGGAGATCTCAGTTATAAAGGCAACTTTAAGGTTTTTGAAAATTTAACAACCACATTTCACTTCAACTGTGGTGAGAGGTCTCCCAGGCACCATCACCTGCCCCCTCATTCTCTCAGAGCCTCCAGACCACATAGAGTCCCAGTCAATACACTGGAGGCTGGTCTCCACCCTCAGACAACTAGATCCATTCAGCCATAGAGCATCTGTCCTGACCTTGACTTCATTATACACAGTAGAATCATTTATCTGAAATGTTCAAGACCTGACATTCCAAGACCAGATATCAGGGACTGAGACCTCTTAACATCAAAAGAACACAATGATTAAAAGAAAGAAAGAAAGAAAAATACTTCAAAAAACCCATATAAATCTTTAGGATATGGTCTCACTCTTGCCTTTCCAGAGAGAACAGGTAACAATGACCTGTCCTGGCCTCTGCCAGCTTGTATATATGACTAGGTATTTGCCTGAAAACTAACTCCAATAATAAGAATCTTATGCAAAGACCACAAATCATTTTCAATCATTACAATACCTTTTTTAGATTTATCCATTAAAATGATGTTATTTGTAAATAATCTTCTACTATAATTCATTTAATTGATCTTTCTAAACAGCTGTGATCAAAGTTCTCAAGAGTGGATCGAAATTAGAGCATCAAAAGAGCTCAACTTGTGTGTGTGTGTGTGTGTGTGTGTGTGTGTATTGACAAAACCTTCATTATATCAACACTTAGATGTACTGTTGTCATTTTCAATTCGTGAGTTCTAATCAAATGCTTTATTCTTTCCCACAAACTTTTAGTTTCCCCTTCCTGATGGTGAACAGAACTCTCATTCAGTAATCACTGAAGCCAGAAACACAGGACTCAATCTCACCTACTCCACCCCTTCCATGCTATTCTCATTCCCAAGCTGAATGCTTTTTGTTTATTCTGTTTATTTAATATCTCTTCCTTCAATATCCTTCTATTCATTTGCACTACCATTCAGTCAACAAATACTAAATGTTTATTGAGCACCTAGTAATGTGGTAAGTAGGTACTATCCAAAAATGAATTCGATTTAGTCCCTACCTTCAAGGAGGTCACAGTCTACAAAGAGAGAAAAACACACAAAACTAAGCTCAAAGTTAATCATTGTCATAGTTAACATTTACTGAGTATTTATAATGTGTCAGATTCTATTACATCAAATTCTTCAAATGACCCTAACAACTATGTGCTGTCATTATCATCCTAAATGTGAAATCACTGAGGCTTAGACAAATCAGTTTGTCAAGGTTACAGAATACAAGAGCAACAGACAAAAATCGATTTTGTTTCTGTATGCTAACAACAGACTATTAGAAATTAATCTTTAAATGCCATTCACAATAGCGTCAAAAGAATATGAACTGCTTTAGGATAAATATGTCAAAAGATGTGAAAGACCTGTCACAGTAGGAGTAATTCTAAAATTATCCCCAATCAGCCATGACTTTGTATAATTCCCTCCCCTTGAGTGTGGGCAGGACCTTTAACTGGCTTCTAACAAATAGGATGTGACAAAGGTGAAGGGGCTTTTCAGATGGATTTAAAGTCACTAATAAGTTAACTAAATTAATCAAAAAGGAGACTATCCTAAATGGGCCTGACCTACTCAGGTGAGTAGTTTAAAAGCTGGTCTCTCTTTCTATGTATATCTATCTTTCTATCTCTCTCTCTTTCTCCCCTCTTCCTTGCTGGCTCTGAGAAGCAAGCCACCATGATTTCCACAGCTGCAATAAAAGGAACATAGAGAACAATGAGCTAATCTTCAAAGAGACATTAGAACCTCAGATGAGACTGCAGCCCAAACACACAACCTTGGGAACCCCTGACCAGATTCTCCAACTAAACTCTACCTAGATTCCTTTTACCAGATAATAAATGTGTGTTGTTTTAAGTAGTTAAGTTTGTAGTACTTTGATGTGTGGCATAGAAAACAAATATGCTTGCATGGAAAACTATAAGATATCATCAAGAAAAATTTTAAAAACCTGAATGAATGGAGAGATATACTAGGTTTATGGTTCAGAAGACTCATTATTAACATTTTAACTCTCCCTAAACTGATCTATAGATTCAATGCAATCACAGTCAATATCTCAGCATGCTTTTGTATAGAAATTGACAAACTGATGCTAAAATTCACAAGGAAGTTCCAAGGACCTAAAATAGCCAAAACAACTTAAAAAAGATTGGAGAACTAATTCAGTTTGCTATCAAGACTTCATATAAAGTTTAAATAACTAAGACATATGTATTGGTGTTAAGACCAATGTGTTGGTATCAAGATCAATTGAAGAGAATAGTCAGAAACAGATTGGTACATATGTGAGCAAGTGATTTTTAACAAGAGTGCAGAATAATTCAGTGGAGAATAGATGATTGTCTTTCCAATATACGCTACTGAAAGAATTGGATATTTTACGTGAAAAAAAAAGAACTTCAATACATAATGCCCACTATATACAAAAATTAACTCAAAATGGATCATACATCTAAATGTAAAACTTAAAACTACATAAAATTTAAAAGAAAAAATAGCAGAAAATGTTATGGCCTAAGTAAACTTTTTTAATATAACACAATAAAATAACACATTGATAATTTGGGCACCCCAGAATTAAAACCACCTACTCATTGAAAAACACTGTTAAGAGGATGAAAAGACACCCTACAAACTGAGACAAAGTATTTTCAAATATTATCTGATACAGGATTCATAATAAGAAAAAAATGTTTAAAAAATGGGCAAAGAATCTGAATAGGCATCACACCAAAGACAATATGTGTATTTCCCATAAACACATGAAAAGACATTCAACATCATCACTTATAAGGGAAATGCTAATAAAAATCACAGTGAGGTACCACATATGCCTATTAGAAAGACTAAAATTTAAAAGGCTGATCACATTAAATGTGGGGGACTCTACAGAAGAACTCAAACTCTCATCACTGCTGATGAGAATGTAAAATGGTACAGCCACTTTGGTAGTTATTTTAAAAGTTGGGCACACACCTATCATATGGCCCAAGCATTCCACTCATAGTTACTTACCAAAGAGATGTGAAAGCATATGTCCATGCAAAAAATTATAAAAAATATTCGCAGCAGCTTTATTTGTAAGAGCCAAACACTGTGAACATCTCAGATGTCCATCAACAGGTAAAAGGATAAACTGTTGCATATCTATACCATAGAATGCTACCCAGCAACACAAAGAAATAACTATTGATGTATGCCACAACATGGATGTATCTCAAAGTAGTCTTGCTTGGTGAAAGAGGCCACACACAAAAGAGTACATTCTGTGTCATCTTCTTTATATAAAATATTCTAGATATTGCACATTAATCCAAAGTGACAGACAGCAGGTGAGTGGTTGGCTGTGGACAGGTGTGCTGGGAGAGGAGGTTAGAGGAGGAGATGGGTGTGAGGAAGGGATTACAAAAGGGTGGCAGATATGTTCACTATCTTGGTTGTGGATTGTGGTGATGGTGTAATAGGTATATACATATGCTAAAATATGTCGCATTGTGTCCTTTAAATATGTGCAGTTTATTGTATTAAATTACACTTAAATAAAACTGTCTTTACAACTCTATAGTAACACCACATCCCACTTGGAATAAAATTCAATCTCCTTTACATGCTACAAAGCATTACACAATCTGGTCCTCAAAGCTCATCTCCCACCCACTCTTCCCTCTGCCCACTCGTTTGCAGACATATTGTCTTTCTTTCTATTCTTCAATAGATTACATTTATTCTCACTTCAGGGCCTTTTTTTGGATTTGATTTCCTTCTCCCTGGAACACTATTTCCCTGACTCCACTTCCTTTCAGATCTCTGCTCAGATTCCCACTCCTCACTCAGTCTAAAATAGCACCCCAAACCATATATTACTGTTCATTTTTAACATTTAGCCCTGCTCATACCAGTGTCTATTACATTGTCAGTGAGAGTGTCTGGGAAAGATGTTCATGGAGCTGGGTCTGGAGAGATTATTAGATTAATAGCAATAGAAGTAATAGGGAATGAGGAACCCATTTTAGGTAGAAAGAGCATAGGCAGAGATAGGGAGAAGAAAAACAGCATGGTACATTCCTGGAACTAAAAGCGTTACCTGCATTTGTGGAACTACAAGTGTCCATAGCAACAGAAATGGAGCAACCAGCAGATCTGCAGAGCCTTATGTATAATGCTTAAGAGCCAAGACTTCGCACTGAAGAATTTTAAGTAGGATAGTGAAAGCCAACATTTTTGGTTTGGATTATGCACGCTGGTGGCGGAGACAAAATAAGAAACCCCAATGATAGAGACAGAAAAAAAGTTGAAACTTTTATGACATATATTTAAGAGATAAAGTACACAGCACTCAATGACTGAGTAATGTTAAAACAGAAAGTCAGCTGTGTTCCTTGTGCTGTTAAGTTGGCTTCACTAGGTAGAGGATGAGACACTTAACTGAGAGAAAAAATGTAGAGAAGCCAGTTTAGATGAGTTGGGAACATGCTGGATTTGAGAGTTGTCTCTCATGTCCGAGAAGAGATATCCAGCAGTCAAAGTATACATAAGTCTAAAACCTGGGGAAGTAGACTAACTTGAAATCATTAGATGGTGAAAGGAAATTTGTAAGCCACAAGAATAACTGGAGTTATTTACAGAGAGTCTTTGGATATAGAAGAGCATTGAGCCAAGGGGGAACCATGGAGAACACCATCATCACCATCCCTCATATTGATTCCCACTTGCTACATGACAGGCACTGGGCTATGAGCTTTAACTATGTTGGTTCACTTAACCTGTTATGCTATTATGAGTCTGCCTTCCTGACATTTTCCTTCCAACCATCTACAGCCAGCTCATAATTAAAGAAGCACTGAATAATTCAAAAATAAGCCCAACATATACAGATTGATATTGCTCTCCTGCTTCTCAATGGCATAGGAGGGTCAAATGTCACGTATGTGTGAGCACTGAAGGTTTTCATCAAAAAGAACATTAAAAATGATGACAATTTGGCAGGGCACGGTGGCTCACACCTGTAATCCAGCACTTTGAGAGGACGAGGCAGGTGGATCACGAGGTCAGGATTTCAAGACTAGCCTGGCCAATATGGTGAAATCCCTTCTCTACTAAAAATACAAGAATTAGCTGGGCATGGCAGTGCATTCCTGTAGTCCCAGCGGCTTGGGAGGCTGAGGCAGGAGAATCGCTTGAACCCAGGAGGCAGAGGTCGCAGTGAGCCAAGATCGCGCCACTGCACTGCAGCCTGGGCTACGGAGTGAAACTCATCTCAAAAAAAAAAGAATGAAGACATTTTAAAAGTAAAGTACCATGTGGTTATAGAAAACAGTAAAGGGCTGGAGGAGGGTTTCTAGAACAAGATGAAGAAAATAAACTGGAATGTCAGCCACAGAAAATTTGGGGGGAGCAGGGGCTGTGGGGTGGTGTAGCTGTCCAGGGCTCTGATCAAAAGTAGTCTTATGGTTCCAGAATGAATCTATTATTTAAGAACCTGGCAGGAAAGGGAAACATGTGTTGAAATAAAATGACAATCTGAGGATTTCAATGTCAATTAAATCAACATAATAATAGATAATTGTAAGAAAAGAACATTCAATTACAAAGAGATCCAACAAAACAAGAACTAAAAGAACCTGTTGGCTGTGTACAGTGGCTCATGCCTGTAATCCCAAGAGTTTTAGAGGCCAAGGTTGGAGGATCACTTGAGCCCAGGAGTTTGAGACCAGCCTGAGCAACACAGGGAGACCCCCATCTCTACAAAAAGAAAATAAAAAAGCAGATGGCCGACTTGAAGCAGCCAGTGTGTGATACTCTTACGGAGAGAAATAAAACAGGAGAGTAAATACTACAACTTCAATACTACAACTTCATCCAGGGGCATGCATTGGGATTCACCAAGGAAACAACTTGACGCATGGAGAATGGACAGGAGCAAGACAGGACGACTGCCCACCTGGGAGTGACTCGGAGTCCGTGGAGGCTCCCTACCCAGGGAAATGGTGAGTGAGTGAGAGACTCCGGGGGCACACACTCTTCCACAGATCTTCACAATCTTTAGGTCAGGACACCCATTTGTGAACCCACTCCACCAGGGTTTTCATTCTGACATGCAGAGCTACAAGGAGATTGGCAGAACTGCCCATCAGGCATATGTGGAACCCTGGGAGCCTTGGATCCAGGGGAATCCCAGCAATGGCAGCTGCAGCTTCAGGAAAGGAAGAAGTTAGGCCCCCTCACACTCCCACCCAGGAAAGGGAGGAGGTCAGGCTCCCTCACACACTCCCAGGAAAGAGGGGGTCAGGCTCCCTCACACACCCGCCCCCAGGAAAGGGGGAGTCGGGCTCCTTCACACCGCTTCAGGAAAGCAGGGAGGTCAGGCTCCCTCACACACCCAGAGAAGGGGCTGAGTCCAGGGGGCTGAGCAGTGAGGGTCTGCGGCCTCACTTCCCCGGCACCCCACGGGATAAGATCCACCGGCCTGGAACTCCAGCCACCCACAGCAGGTGCTCTCAGGCCTGTTCTCGGGCAGCAGCTCCAAGCCTTGGCTGAGATGGAGCTCCTGGAGGGAGGTGGGCCACCATCTTTGTGGTCTCACAGCCTCTGTTATTGCTGCCTTCAGGCTCTAGAGAGTCCGAGGTGACTAGGTGAGCAGACCCCACTCTATGGAAAAGCAGCCGGACTGCTTTTTTTACGCTGCTGTCAGAACTCATTTCTCCTTACTGGGTGAGACCTCCCAACTTGGGACTCCAGCCACCCCGTACTGGTGTTCTTGGGCTGGCAGCAGCTCCGCACCTCCCTGGGCCTGAGCCACCAGAGGGAGAGGTGGGTGCGCATCTTTGCTGTTTCACGATTTCACTGCTGCTGCCTTCAGGGCCTGGGGAGCCCAAGGTGACCAGGGACTGGATCGGACCCCAGCGCAGTGCAGCCGCCCTGCGGAAAAGGAGCCAGATGGTCTCATTTCTCCTCCCTAGGCAGGACTTCATGAGCTGGGACTCCAGCCACCCACTGCTGGGGCTATCGAGCTTTAAGCAGCTCTGCACGTCCCTGGGACAGAGCTCCCAGAGGAAGGGGTGACTGCTATTTTTGCTGTCTTGCAGCACTCACCTTTGCTACCTCTAGGCTCTGGAGAGTCCACAGGGTCTAGCGGCTGGTCCAGACCCTGCCAGCACAGCCACCCTGCCCTGCCTGATCACTTCAATTAGAAGTGGTTCAGCGTTTCTCCCAGGAGGAAATCCCAGGGTCAACAGGCAAACAACCCTTCCACCATTGCAGCTGCAGTGCTAGAGAAGGAACAAAGGTCCTAGTCTCTGTGCTGAAACCTTCAGCACACAGCAGCCACCTTACAGAAAGGAGTACAGTCCCTTTACCCTGAGAATCCCATCCCCGACTTTTCACCAGGCAAGGCCTGGGATCAGGACCACAGAACAGCTGCCCCACCCATGGCTGAGCATTCCCACTGCTAGTGGCTCTAAATTTCCCTGGGAAGAGGTTGGTTCCTAGGAGCGACTGACAGCCCCTCTGCCACTGCCACAGCAGCGATTCTGTGCCAGCTACCCTCTGCCTGGGGAAGAAACGAAGAGCCTGAGGGCTACAGCTGGGCTTACAGCACACCACAGTCACTATGTGGAGAGGAGCCCAGTCTCCTCCCAGTGAGCCCTCAACCCTCCTGCTCCCCAACAAGCAGAGCCCTCCAGCTAAAGCCAGCAGTGCAGCTGCCCCACCCTCTGGCTGAACACTCCCAGTAGCAGTGGCTCCACAATTCTCAGAGGTGGAGCTCCCAGGCACAACCAAAAGCCCCTCTCCCACTTCCTCAGCAGTGGTACTGCCCCTGCTGCCCTAAGACTGGCAACGGAGCAAAGAACCTAAGTGCCTCTTCCACACCTCCAGCAACTTGGAGTTGCTGTAAGGAGAGGCCAGTCTGTCTCCCAGAAGTCCCACCCACCATCTCCCCCACTCATCAACAGTTGGGTCCCCCAGCTTGGGCTCACAGCACAGCTCCCCATTCCCAGGCTGATCATACCAAATGATTGCAGCTTGGCATCTCTCTAGGGTGGAGCCCTAGGAGACAAGTGAAAGACCCCTGACCACAACCACTGCTAGGGTCCTTTCTTCTACTGTCTCCAACTTAGAGAGGAAATATAAGCCCTGAGATCACCCCAGAGCTGTGGTGTGTAACCCAGGAATGCAAAGCTGAGATCTGTAGCCAGTATTCAGATGGGAGAAGAGCCCACACTTTCAGAGCATTGAGAGGGGGCATGGCTGTAACTGTGAAGAAATTAATACAGAGGAGTCACATGGCTGAGTAAGAGCCTACTTACTGACCATTACACCTAAGCACCACCTACTGGATCACACCCCAAAACTTCAACACCAAAAATACTTTGCTAACATACCCCCCTATGAAACAAAAAACAAGAAGTCAGCTACAAATAAAGTCCCTGCACAAAGCCTCGGCTCTCTGGAAACATCCAGAAAAGAAGTCTACTGACTGTACTCAAACTATACTGCAGTTTAAGGAACATCCACACAAAGAGATGAGAAAGAACCAGCACAAGAACTCCAGCAATTAAAATGGCCAGAGTGTTTTCTGTCTTCCAAACGACAGCATTAGGGTTCCTAACTGGCCTCAGATGACTGAAAATACAGAAATAGAATTTAGAATATGGATAGGAAAGAAGACAATTGAGATTCAAGAGAACATCAAAACCCAATCCAAGGAATCTAAGAATAACAATGAAATGATACAGGAGCTCACAGACAAAATAGGCAGTAAAAAAAAAAAAAAAACAAAAAAAAAACCTAACACCCAATAGAGCTGAAAAACACACTATAAGAATTTGAAGGCTGGATGCGGTGGCTCACACCTGTAATCCCAGCACTTTGGGAGGCTGAGGTGGGCAGATCATGAGGTCAGGAGTTCAAGACCAGCCTGGCCAACATAGCGAAACCCTGTCTCTACTGAAAATACAAAAAATTAGCCAGGCATGGTGGCATGCACCTGTAGTCCCAGCTACCTGGGAGACTGAGGCAGGAGAATCACTTGAACCCGGGAGGCAGAGGTTGCAGTGAGCTGAGATGGTGCCACTGCACTCCAGCCTGGGCGACAGAGTGAGACTCCGTCTCAAAAAAAAAGAAAAAAGAATTTCAAAATGCAATCACAAATATTAACAGTAAAATAGACCAAGCCGAGGAAAGAATCTCAGAGCTTAAAGCTTGGCTTCCTGAAATAGGATAACTAGACAAAATAAATAAAAAAGAATGAAAAGGAATGAACAAAACCTCTGAGAAATATGAGATTATATAAAGAGGTCATATCTCTGAATCATTGGTGGCCCTGAAAGGAATGAAAAGAAAGCAGACAACTTGGAAATCATATTTCAGGATATGGTCTATGAAAACTTCCCCACCCTCACTAGAGAGGCTAACATACAAATTCAAGAAATGCAGAGAACCTCTGCAAGATACTACCCAAGAAGATCATCCCCAAGACACATAATCATCAGACTTTCCAAGGTCAAAAATTAAAGAAAAAATGTTAAAGGTGTCTAGAGAGAAAGAGCAGGTCACCTACTAAGGGAATACCATCAGACTAACAGTGAAACTTTCAGCAGAAACCCTGTAAGCCAGAAGAGATTGGGGCTGGGGCAGGGGGCAGCTATGTTCAACATTCTTAAAGAAAAAAATCTCCAACCAAGAATTCCATATACAGCCAGCCTAAGCTTCATAAATGAAGGAGAATAAGATCATTTCCAGACAAGCAAATGCTGAGGGAATTCATTACCACCAGACTTGCCTTACAAGAGCTACTGAAAGGCGCATTAAATATGGAAAGGAAAGACCATTACCAGCCAATACAATACCACACTTAAGTACACAAACCAGTGACACTATAAAGCAACCACACAAACAAGCCAGCATAAGAACCAGCTTACAACACAATGACAGGATCAAATATACACATATCAATACTAACCTTGAATGTAAATGGGTTAAGCACCTCAATTAAAAGGCACAGAGTGGCAAGGTAGATAAAGAAGCAAGAGCCAATAACATGTTGTTTTCAAGAGACACACCTCACATGCAATGACACCCATAAGCTCAAAATAAATGAATGGAGAAAAATCTGCCAAGCAAATGGAAATCAGAAAAAAGCAGAGGTTGCAATCCTAATTTCAGACAAAACAGACTTTAAACCAAAAAGACAAATAAGGGCCTTACATAGTGGTGAAGGGTTGAATTCTACAAGAAGACCTAACTATCCTAAATATATACGCACCCAACACAGGAGCACACAGATTAATAAAGCAAGTGCTTAGTGACCTATGAAGAGACTTAGACTCCCACACAATAATAGTGGGAGACTTCAACAACCCACTGACAGTATTAGACAGATCATCAAGACAGAAAATTAAAGTATTCAGGACCTGAACTCAACACTTGACCAAATGGACCTAATAATGTCTGCAGAGCTCTTCAACCAACAACAGCAGAATACACATTTTTCACATTACCACATGGCACATACTCTAAAATTGACCATACAATCTGACACAAAATAATTCTCAGCAAATGCAAAAACTGAAATCATACCAACCACACTATCAGACACAACACAATAATAATAAAATACAAGACTAAGAAAATTGCTCAAAACCATACAATTACATGGAAATTAAACAAGATGCCCCTGAAATGACATGTAGATTAACAATGAAATTAAGGCAGAAATCAAGTTACTTGAAACTAATGAGAACAAAGATACCATATACCAGAATCTCAGGGACACAGCTAAGGCAGTGTTAAGTGGAAAATTTATAGCACTAAATGCCCACATAAAAAAGTTAGAAAGATCTCAAATTAGCAATGTGACATCACAACTAGAAGAACTAGAGAAGCAAGATCAAACCAGCCCAAAAGCTAGCAGAAGAAACAACCTAAAATCAGAACTGAACTGAAGATTGAGATACAAAAAACCATTCAAAAGATTAATGAATCCAGGAGTGGTTTTTTGAAAATAAATAAATAAATAAGAGAGAGAGACTTCTAGCTAGAATAATAAAGAAGGAGAGAGAGAAGATCCAAATAAACACAACTGGAAATGACAAAAGGGAAATTACCACTGACCTGGCAGAAATACAAATAACTATCAGAGACTACTATGAACACTTTTATGTCCACAAACTAGAAAATCTAGAAGAAATGGATACATTCCCGGACACATACACCCTCCCAAGACTGAACCAGGAAGAAATTGAATCCCTGAACGGACCGAAAACAAGTTCCTAAATTGAATCAGTAAAAAAATAGCCTACCAGCCAAAAAAAGCCCAGGTACAGGTAGACTCACAGCCAAATTCTATTGGATGTACAAAGAAGAGCTGATACCATTCCTACTGAAACTATTCCAAAGAATTGAGGAGGAGTGACACCTCACCAACTCATTCTATGGGGCCAGCATCATCCTGATACCAAAACCTGGCAGAGACGCAATAAAAAAGGAAAATGTCAGGCCAATATCCTTGATGAACATAAATACAAAAGTCCTCGATAAAATACTAGCAAATGAAATTCAGCAGCACATCAAAAAGCTAATTCACCACGATCAAGTAGGCTTAATTCCTGGGATGCAAGGTTAGTTCAACAAATGCAAATCAATAAATGTGATTCATCACATAAACAAAACTAAAGACAAATACCACATAATTACCCGAATAGATGCCAAAAACTCTTTTGATAAAATTCAACATCCTTTCATGTTAAAAAGTCTCAATAAACTAGGTATTGAAGGAACATACCTCAAAATAATAAGAGCCATCTATGATAAACCCACAGCCAACATCATACTGAATTGGCAAAAGCTGGAAGCATTCCCTTTGAAAGCCGGTCCAAGACAAGGATGCCCTCTCTCACCACTCCTATTCAACGTAGTATTAGAAGTTCTGGCCAGAACTTCTAATCAGGCAATCAGGCAAGAGAAAGAAATAAAAGGCATTCGAATAGGAAGAGAGGAAGTCAAACTATTCCTGTTTGCAGATCACAGAATTCTATATCTAGAATACTCCACAGTCTCTGCACAAAGGCACCTTCAGCTGATAAACAACTTCAGCAAAGTTTCAGGATACAAAAATCAATGTAGATCTGGTTGTTTAGAAGCGTGTAGCACTTCCCTGTTTTCTTTTTCTCTCCTGCTGGCCATGTAAATATGTGCCTGTAAGTTTATGAGGCCTTCCCAGAAGCAGAAACCTGTACAGCCTGCAGAACCATGAGCTGATTAAATCTCTTTTCTTTGTAAATCACCCAGTCTCAAGTATGTCTTTATAGCAGTGCGAGAACTCACTAATACAGCAAGCAGACAGAACTGGTTCTGGGGACAAAAAAACCTGCTGTGACTCAAATCTGCCAGTTACTATTTGTAACTTGGTTTCTTCACCTGTAAAATTGAGACAATATTCATATATATCCCAGGTTTCTTTTGAGAATTTCTTCATTGTATATTCTCATACAACTTAATACTGCAAGTGTTTATTTATTCATTCATTTATTCAGCCAGACAGTATTCGGCACCTCCTACTAGCCAGATGCAGTACTGCCAGCTGTGGAGGACACAGTGCTGAAACACAGGCAGATGCCCCAGCTAAAGACACTTTCAGCCTAATAGTGACAGAAAGCATGAGCTCTGGAATCAGAAAGGCACAAGTCCAAATCCTGTTCTACCATTTCTGGCATTTGAACTTGGGCAAGTTCCCTACCCTCCCAGCCTTGTTTTTTTATTTTCCATCTATAAAATGCCAATCACCCTTAGCCATATAAATGGTATTCTATGGTTTTTAAGTGGGATAATAAATATGAAGCCTAATCAAGAATATATAGTTTTGTAGAGAATATATGTAAACAACTCTAAAGTCTATTCAGGAAGCATGAATATGTAAGAAAATGTCTACTATGACCTTATGGTGATAAATTTAAAAATCAGTGTATGTACAGCTAACCAAGTTAAGATTCATGGTAATTATAAATGTACTTGAAACTCATAATTAAACAAACCCAGGAGAAATTAAGCATCATGAAACTCACCCTGAGTGATTAAGCTACAAACCCATCCAAAGTGCAATTTGGTGTTTCTATAATAATTTGACTCCATGGAACAGATTTTTAATTTGTTAAAGCACAGAGTAATTTGCATATGTCCTGCTAAAAAGCAGACCTCTAAAACATTCTTAATTAAATTCATTTTGTGATATATTTGAGAGTAAAAACACAATCCTTACCCATATAATTAACAGCTCTTCATGAAATACACAACAAAGCACTCTAGAAACAAATGCAGATACATAAGTGAAATAGAGGCTTAATGTTATGGTAAAATAATCAGCCTATATAAGGAAGTTTCTCATGTATTCAAAGAAAATTAACTCTTCCAGACCAAGCAGGCAGTATAGAATGAATTTCATGGATTTCAGAGCCCAGGAGACCTGGTAATTTACATCATCTAATAGAGTAGTTGACTTAAAAACTAGTTTACTTATTGAAAGAGTAATAGCATTTATAAAAAAGCATGGCTCAGTAGACTTAGTTTCAAAGGTAAGTTCTGATTAATTATATTTAAACATTTGCTGAAAAAGTAACACAAATTTATTTCTCTAAATTGCATCAGATTCTAATCCTGAAAGATAGGTATAATATTTCAGAGCTTTAAAAATTCTCAGACATGACAGCCTTGGAGTTGCTTTGAACCTAATCTTGTTCTGGCAGCTGCCTGATTTGAAAATTGTTCTTTGCTCAATTTAACTTTGTTAAGTTGAAAAAAATTCTGAGAAAGTCTGATAATAAATTATCTTACTAAATATAAAAGCTTGATGTTCACTTAAATGTGTCTTAATTAATTCATTTATCAAATACTACCGAGAGCCTGCAATATACCAGGCATGTCTAAGGCCCTGGGGAACCGAAATCTAATAGGTAGCTACTCTGACCTGTCAGTCTAGTAGGTGAGTCAGTTACATGAACCACTAATTGCAATACACTGTGATAATTTTTTTCGAAAGGATTCAGTGTTGACATGAAGAAGGGGATGACCAGCTCAGACAGTTAGGGTTAGGGTAGATTTTACCAATTTTCTTGAGCTTGGTATGGTGGCTAAGAAGCGGGGCAGAGATGGACATTCCAAGAAGAGGCAACCACATGTTCCTAATCATGAAACCACCAAATACAAGAGTAAGTTCAGGTGACTGAATGAAATTTGCTGTGTCTGCAATGTTGTTTTCTGGAGTTGGAAGGAATTTGGGTTTTTATCCTTAGGACAAAAGGCAACTACCGAATATATATAAGCAGGAGAATAACATTATCCAATTTTCATTTTGGCAGGATGTGTTTGGAAGCTATGGGAGGTGGTGGACCAAAGGGTGATCACAGTCTCATTTTAAAGCCTGAATATAACATTCTCCTAGATGTTGTGTGATGGTCACAATCCCCTTATTTTTCTTTAGGATCGGATATTGTGACATGACCCCTTCTCTTCGAGTCTGCCCCTCCCCTATTTTCTTTGGGGACTTTGCCACATTAATTATCTCAAAGAAGTATTTTAAACTCAATGTTTCCAATTTCTATTCACTATTAAAATTTTCAAAATAGTTTAAGTACAGAAATGTATAGAAAACAAATACAGACCTCCATGTACTCACCACACAGTCTTTTTTTTTTTTTTAAGGCAGAGTCTCACACTGTCACCCAGGCTGGAGTGCAGTGGTGTGATCTTGGCTCACTGCAACCTCTGCCTCCCGGGTTCAAGTGATTCTCCTGCCTCAGCCTCCTGAGTAGCTGGGAATACCAGCACCTGCCATCATGCCTGGCTAATTTTTGTTTGTAGAGACGATGTTTCACCATGTTGCCCAGGCTGGTCTCAAACTCCTGACCTCAAGTGATCCACCCACCTTGGCCTCCCAAAATGCTGGGATTACAGGCATAAGCCACCATGCCTGGTCACCAGACAGTCTTAATAAAAGTAACATTTAACTGTCTTTGACTCAAAATTTTTGGGATGAAAAATGCACAGTTACAGCTAAAACATCCCTTTTCTACCTTTTCCTCTTCCTCTCCAGAGGTAACCACTGTCCTGAAGTTGATATGTGTTCCTTATATGTACATTTTTACTTCTCTACATAAATACACACCTGCCAATTTTACTAACATTTTCTATGGTCACTTACTAATGCCAATGAACAGTCTGTTTCTTTCTTTCTTTCCTTTTTCTCTTTCTCTCTTTCTTTCCTTCTTTTTTGAGACAGGGTCTTGCTCTGTTTCCCAGGCTGCAGTGCAGTGGTGTGGTCACAGCTCACTGCAGCCTCAGCTTCCTGGGCTCAAGTGATCCTCCCACCTCAGCCTCCCAAGTACCTAGGACAACTGGTGCACGCAACCATGCCTGGCTTTATTTTTTAATAAAACTTTCATTTTAGGTTCAGGAGTACATATGCAGGTTTTTTTATACAGGTAAACTCATGTCATGGGGGCTTGGTGTACAGATTATTTTATCATTCAGGTACAAAGCATAGCACTGGATATTTTTTTCTGATCATCTTCCTCCTCCCACCCTCCACCCTCAAGTAGACCCCAGTGTCTGTTTTTCCCCTCTTTGTGTCCACGTGTTCTCATCATTTAGCTCCCACTTATAAGTGAAAACATGTGGTATTTAGTTTTCTGTTCTTGTGTTGGTTTGCTAAGGATAATGGCCTCCAGCTCAATCCATGTTTCTGAAAAGGACATGATCTTTTTCTTTTTTATGACTGCATAGTATTACATGGTATATATGTACCACATTTTCTTTATCCAGTCTACTGTTGATGGGCATTTAGGTTTATTCCGTGTCTTTGCTATTGTGAATAGTGCTGCCATGAATATACACATGCATGCAGCTTTATGGTAGAACAATTTCTATTCCTTTGGGCATACACCCAGTAATAGGATTGCTGTGTTGAACGGTAGTTCTGTTTTCAGTTCTTTGCAGAATTGCCACACTGCTTTCCACAATGAGCTAATTTACATTCCCACCAGCAGTGTGTAAACATTCCCTTTTCTCTGCAACCTCACCAGCATCTGTTAATTTTTGACTTTTTAATAATCACCATTCTGACTGGTGTGAGATGATATCTCACTGTGGATTTACATTTCTCTAATGATTAGTGATATTAAGCATTTTTCAATATGCTTGTTGGCTACATGTATGTCTTCTGTTGAAAAGTGTCTGTTCAAGTCCTTCGCCCAATTTTTAATGGGGTAGTGTGGTTGTTTTTTCTTGTACAATTGTTTAAGTTGCTTGTAAATGGTGGATATTAGACCTTTGTCAGATGCATAGCTTACAAATATTTTCTCCTACGCTGTAGGTTGTCTGTTTATTCTGTGGGTAGTTTCTTTTGCTGTGCAGAAGCTCTTCAATGTAATTAGATCCCATTTGTCAACTTTTCCTTTTGTTGAAATTGCTTTCAGTGTCTTCAACATGAAATCTTTGCCCATTCCTGTGTACTGAATGGTAGTTCCTCAGCTGTCTTCCAGGGTTTTTATAGCTTTTGGTTTTATATTTAAGTCTTTAATCCATCTTGAGTTGATTTTTGTATATGGTGGAATGAAGGGGTACAGTATTAATCTTCTGCCTATGGCTAGCCAGTTATCCCAGTGCCATTTATTTACTAGGGATTCCTCTCCCTATTGCTTTTTTTTGTCAGCTTTGTTGAAGATCAGATGGTGTGTGGCATTATTTCTATGCTCTCTATTCTGTCCCATTGGCCTATGTGCCTGTTTTTATACCAGTACCATGCTGTTTTGGTTACTATAGCCCTGTAGCATAGTTTGAAGTCTGGTAATGTGATGCCTCCAGCTTTTTTTTTTTTTTTCTTAAGATTGCCTTGGCTATTCAGACTCTTTTCTGGTTCCATATGCATTTTTAAATAGTTTTTTTCTAGTTCTGTGAAGAATGTCATTGGTAGTTTGATAGTAGCATTGAATCTATAAATTGCTTTGGGCGGTATGGTCATTTTAACAATATTGATTCTTCCTATCCATGAGCATGTAATGGTTTTTCATTTCTTTGTTATCTCTGATTTCTTTGAGCACTGTTTTGTAATTCTCATTGTGGAGATCTTTCACCTCCCTGGTTATCTGTATTCCTAGGTATTTTGTTCTTTTTGTGGCAATGGTGAATGGGACTGTGTTCGTGATTTGGCTCTTGGTTTGGATGTTGTTGGTGTATAGGAATGTTAGCGATTTTTGCCTCTCCAAGCTGTGCTTTGTGATGCTTTCCTGTAGTGCAGGAAAATGAACTTCAGGTGATATGGTTTGGGTCTGTGTCCCCACCCAAATCTCATGTGGAATTGTAATCCCCAGTGTTGGAGGACAGTCCTGGTGGGAGGTGACTGGATCATGGGGGCAAACGTCCCCCATGCAGTTCTTGTGACAGTGATTGATTTCTCACAAGATCTGGTTGTTTAAAAGTGTGTAGCACTTCCCCCTTCTCTCTATCTCTCTTTCCAGCAATGTGGAGATGTGCCTGCTTCCCCTTTGCTTTCCACTATGATTGTAAGTTTCCTAAGGCCTCCCCAGAAACAGAAGCCTGTATAGCCTGCAGAAGCATGAGCTGATTAAGCCTATTTTCTTTACAAATTACCCAGTCTCAGGTATGTCTTTACAGCAGTGCGAGAACTGACTAATACAGAAAATTGGTACTAGAGAAGTGGGGCACTGCTATAAAAATACCTGAAAATGTGGAAGTGACTTTGGAACTGGATAACAAGGAGAGGTTGGAACATTTTGGAGGGCTCAGAAGAAGACAGGGAGAAGGGAGAAAGTTTGGAAATTTTGTTGACTTGTTGAATGGTTGTGACCAAAATGCTGATAGTGATATGGACAGTGAAGTCCAGCCTGATGAGGTCTCAGATGGAGATGGGAGCTGGAGTAAAGGTCACTCTTGCTATGCTTTAGCAAAGAGATTGGCAGCATTGTGCCCCTGCTCTAGAAATCTGTTGAACTTTGAACTTGAGAGAGATGATTTAGGGTATCTGGTGGAAGTAATTTCTAAGCAGCAAGACATTCAATATGTGGCCTGGCTGCTTCCAAAAGTCTATGCTTGTCCTGGTGTGGTGGCTCATGTCTGTAATCCCAGCACTGTGGGAGGCCAAGGCAGGTGGATCACCTGAGGTCAGGAGTTCAAGAACAGCCAGACCAACATGGTGAAACCTTGCCTCTACTAAAAATACAAAAATTAGCTGGGCATGGTGATGCATGCCTGTAGTCCCAGCTACTCAGGAGGCTGAGACAGGAGCATCACTTAAACCTGGGAGGCAGAGGTTGCAGTGAGCTGAGATGGCACCACTGCACTCCAGTCTGGGCAACAGAGCAAGACTCTGTTAAATAAATAAATAAATAAATAAATAAATAAATAAATAGCAAGCCTGTGCTCATTTGCATAAGCAAAGAAATGGCCTGAATTTGGATCTTATATTTGAAAGGGAAGCAGAGCATAAAAGTTTGGAAAATTTGCAGCCTGACCATGTGGTAGAAAGGAAAAATCCATTTTCTGTGGAGGAATTGAAGCTGGCTGCAGAAATTTGCATAAGAGGAGCTGAATGTTAATAGCCAAGACAATGGGGAAAATATCTCCAAGGCATTTCAGAGACCTTTGCAGAAGCCCCTCCCATCACAGGCCTGGAGGCCTAAGAGGGAAAAATTGTTTCATGGGCCAGGATCAGGGTCCCACTTCTCTGTGCAGCATCCAGACATGGTGCCCTGCATTGTGGCCACTCCAACACCAGCCATGGCTAAAAGGGCACCAGATATGTCTCAGGCGACTGCTCCAGAGGGTGCAAACTGCAAGTCTTGTTGACTTCCGTGTGACGTTAAGCCCATGAGTGTGCAGAGAGCAAGAGTTGAGGCTTGGGAGCCTCCACTTAGATTTCAGAGGTTGTATGGAAATGCATGGATGTCCAGGCAGAAGTCTGTTGCAGGGGTGGAGCCTTCATGGAGAACCTCTATTAGGGTAATGCAGAGGGGAAATGTGGGGTTGGAGCCCCCGTATAGAATCTCTCCACTGGAGCAGTGCTTAGTGGGGCTGTGAGAAGAGGGCCACCATCTTCAAGACCCCAGGATAGTAGATCCACTGACAGCTTGACTGTGTGCCTGGAAAAGCCACAAGCACTCAACACCAACCTGTGAAAGCAGCTGGTGCAGGTTGTGGGGGAGGGCTGTAACCTGTGAAGCCGCAGAAGCAGAGCTGTCCAAGGCCTTGGGAGCCCACCCCTTGCATCAGTGTGGCCTGTATGTAAGACATGGGGTCAAAGGAGATTATTTTGGAGCTTTAAGATTTAATGACTGCCCTGTGGGTTTTGGACTTGCATGGGGCCTGTAGCCCCTATGCTTTGGCCAATTTCTCCATTTTGGAATGGAAGCATTTACCCAATGCCTGTCCCCTCTTTGTATCTTGGAAGTAACCAGCTTGTTTTTGACTTTACAGGCTTATAAGCAGAACAGACTAGGCTTGTCTCAGATGAAACTTTGGACTTGGACTTTGAGTTAATGTTAAAATGAGTTAACACTTTGGGAGACTGTTGAGAAGGCATGATTGTATTTCGAAATGGGAGAAGGACTGAGATTTAGGAGGGCTGGGGCAGAACAATATGGTTTGGGTCTGTGTCCCTGCCCAAATCTCATATGGAATTGTAATCCCTAGTGTTGGAGGAGGGACCTGGTGGGAGGTGATTGGAATCATGGGGGTGGACTTCCTGCTTGCTATTCTCATACTAGTGAATGAGTTCTTACAAGATCTGTATTTGATGCAAAAAGAACGTTTATTATTATTATGCCCTTTCTCAGGTCTCAAGGTCTCCTGCTAGTCTGCCTTCTTCTTTCCATTTTGTTAGCCTTCTTATATCTATGTATAATGTGCAGGATTTTAAGTTGTAGTTAGCAGGAGGAATAAGGAAAAGTATGTCCATTCCATTTTCTTGGAAGCAGCATTCACTAATTTTGTTTTATCATTATGCAAAAAAATTTCTATGTTTCTGAAGTCAAATATTCAAAGTAAATTGTATTCAACTAAGACTACCCTGTATTCCTGTTGCCTCCACCTTGTCACCTCTTCTCCTTTAGATAATGTTTTTTTTTTCCTTCAGTTTCTGGTTTATATATCCGTGTGTGTGTGTGTGTGTGTGTGTGTGTGTGTGTATTCTCCCACTTTCTAGAAAATGATAGACTACTATATGCACTTCTCTACACCTTGCTTTTCTTCACTTAATAGGCTGTGGGGTGACTTTATGGTATTTATAGGGATATTCCTCCTTCCTTTCACAGCTGCATAGTACTCCTTTGTGTGGATGTGTATAATTTATTCAAGCACTCTTCTATTGATGGACTTTTGAGTTGTTTGCTGTCTTTTGCCAGTTGGGCACTTTTCCAATGTCAATAAATTTATTTAAAAAGTAAACGATATCACTAGCATAAAATGGAAAATAAATATTTCTTACTATGTAAATAAAGTAAATGTAAAATTGCATGGAATGAAAACAGAACATTTAAATTAAATTCTCACCTATTACTCTTGCCTATTAATACTCTGGCCTTATAATACAGCTGAATCTTTCTTTGTTAAAAAAGTGACATGAACAGGCGATTCTGTTAAAAATGACTGGAGACTTTCTTTTTGGTGTGATCATAAGAATTTAAAGATCATTGAAATGAAAATAGCTCTTGAAGACTGAAATGCATGTTACTAATGTCTTGTCTTTGTACTACTAACATTGAAGTTGTATGTCACTAGTGGTATGAGATTTCCTTATTGGGGGCTCTATTCTTTTGCCAAAAGAGTGTATAAAATAATATGTGATGTGTACTGAGTTCTAACTCTGTTCTTGGGGAGCTAGTATACTATCTCATATAATGCTCCCAACAATCTCATAAGGTAGGAACTTCTACTATTCACATTTAACCAATGGGGAAACAAAGCCTTATTGCTCTAGATCCCATAACTCTTAAGTGGGGGTTTGGATCTTGATTAGAGTCAGATCCAAATACTGCAGAAGCTGGCAACCTAGAAATTCCAGTGGAAACAGACAAAAAACTTCTCCAACAAGAGCCTGGTTTTCAACTCAAAGGACCAGGAAAGGGACAGCCTGGCAAGAGAGAAAATATATTTGACAATAACCACTCTATTCCAGCCCAACACTACAGAAAACAGCCCCACTCACACCCACCAGCAAAAGCCAACTGGAGACCTAGACCTGTACCATGCTGCAATGAAGCACACATCTCCCCTTCCTCCAGGGAGGTGTTAGGGAAGGATGAATCAGGAAATGGGACTTTTGTCCCTGCTGCCTTCCCCATCCCGTAGTACCAGTGGAAACCACATGGGGAGCCTGGACTCCAACCCACACCAGTAGCAATGAGGTTCCCCACACTCTCCAGGTTGGAGTGGGATCAGAGAAGGTTCACTGGAGAGTCAAGACTTTTCATCCCTGCTCAACGGTAAAGAACACTGCCCACCCACCACCACGGTATTAGTGGCGACCACATGGGGAGATGTATCAAGATGCCCCTCTTCCTCTCAGACACGGTGTTATCAAAAGAGATCCAGTGGGGAGCTTGAACCTTCAGCCCCACCCAGCAATGGCAAGGATCCCCTTCTTCCCAGATGTCAACAGTGTCTGACTGGGGAACATGGACTTTTACCATCATTTGGCAATAACAGGACAGTGCCCCCTCCCTTAAACATGGAGCAGTGTTACAGAGACCTAAAACACAAGATTTCAGTAAGATTCAGAATCTTATAATACCCAACATTTCCAGGTCTTAACTGAAAATCACTCATCCTACCAAGAACCAGCTATTTCTTCAACTGAATTTAAAAAGACAATCAAAAGAGGAAAACACTAAGATGACATAAGACTTTAGAATTATGTGACAAGGATTTTAAAACAAACATCATAAAAGTGCTTCAAGAGCATATATAAAATCACTTAAATGAGAAAATATTAAGTCTCAGCAAAGAAATAGAAGATATAAATAAGAACCAAATGGACATTTTAGAATCAAAAATTATAATAACCAAAATACAAAAAAAAAACTCAAAGAGGAGACTCAACAGCAGACTGGAAAAGACAGAGGAAATAATTAATTAACTGGAAGAAAGAACAATAGAAATTAACCAATCTTAACGACAGAGAGAAAATAGACTGAAAAAAATGAACAGAGCTTCAAGGACATGTGTGGCTATAGTAAAAGATCTAATACTTTTGTCATGGAAGAGTCAGAAGAAGAAGAGAAAGAAGGTGAGGCTGAAAAGGTGCTCAAAGGAGTAATGGCTGAAATTTCCCCAAACTTGGCAGAAGACATAAACCACCATAGTAAATAATTGAAATCCAAATGGGAGAAATGCTTTCCCCACATGATCAGGAAAGAGGCAAGGATGTCCACTGTAACCACTGCTATTCAAAATATTGCAAGTTCTAGCCAGACCAATAATGTAAGAAAAGGAAATAAAAGTTACACAGATTGGGAAGGAAGAAATAAACTGCCCCTATTTGCAGATGACATAGTGGTCTACATAGGGAATCCCAAGGAATCTACAAAAAAATGCCATATAGAACTCATAAGTGAGTTCTGCAAGGTTATGAAATATAAGATCAATATACAGAAGACATTTGTATTTCTCTGCATCAGCAACAAACATGTGAAACCAAAAGTAAAAGCACAATACCATTTATAATAGCTCAAGAAAAATAAAATGTAATAAAACACATTCAGAACTGTTATGCTGAAAACTAAAAGAGAAGATAAAAGAGAAGATCTAAATAAATGGAGAGGATACCATATTGACTGTGTAACTTAAAGACATCGATTCTCTCCAATATGAAATACTAGTTTAACACAATATCTGTCAAAATAACTAGCAAGATTTTTATGGAGATATAGACAAGATTATACTAAAAAAATATTTTTTTTGAGACATGGTTTCACACTCACCATGCCCAGGCTGGAGTGCAATGGTGCAATCTCAGCTCACCGCAGCCTCAACCTCCCAAACCCAAATGATTCTCTCACTTCAGCCTGCCAAGTAGCTGAGACTACAGGCTTGCACCACCATGCCTGGCTAATCTTTTGGGTGTTTTTGTTTTTTTTTTTTGAGAGATGGGTTTTGCCGTGTTGCCAGTCTGGTCTTGAACTTTCAAGCTTAAGCAATCTGCCTGCCTCAGCCTCCCAAAGTGCTAGATTACAGGTGTGCACCACCATGCTGGACCTATTCTAAAATTTATATAGCAAAGCAAATTAACTAGAAGAGCTTAAACAATTCTGAAAAAAGAAAAGTGAGTAGTCACTCTCCTTGACTTAAAGACTTATGTAGTCACAGCAATCAAACAGTGGGCTGTTGGCTGAGGATCATTTGATCCACAAAGATTAATGGAACTGAACAGAAAACTCAGAAATACAGCCATGCAATATAACCAACTGATTTTTTACAAAGGCATAAAAGCAGTTTAATGAAGGAAGGATAGGGTTTTTCAACACATAGAGTCACAGTAGTTAGACATCCATAGGTTAAAAAATGAACCTCAACCTGCACTTCACACCTTCTCCAAAAATTAACTCAAAATTAATCATAAATTTAAGTGTAAAATGTAAAACCATAAAAAATATTAGAAGATAACATAGGAGAACATCTTTAGGACCTAGGCTTTTGTTGAGCATTCTTAGACATGAAACCAAAAGCATAATCCCTAAAAAAAAAACTAAATAAATTAGACTTGAAATGAAAACTCTTTGCTCTGAGAAAGATCCTGTAAGAGGATGAAAAGGAGAAAATATTTTCAAGCTACATCTATGACAAAGAGCTCATATCTAGAACTCTCAAAGCTCATCAACAACAACAAAACACACAATCCAATTAGAAAATGGGCAAAAGACATAAATAGGTACCTCACCAAAGATAATATGCAGATGGCAAATAAGCATCTGAAAACATGTTCAGTGTCAGTAGCCATTAGGGAAATGCAAATTAAGACACAATGAGATATCACTATATACTTCTTAGAACAGTTCAGCAAAAAGTAGTGACAACATCAAATGCTGATGAGGATGCAGAAAAATTGGATCTCTCATACATTGCTAGTAGGAATTTAAAATGCTACAGCCACTCTGGAAAAGTTTGGTAGGCTTCTTAAAACTAAACATGCACTTAGCATTCAATCCAGCAATTGCACTATTGAGTGTTTATCCCAGAGAAATGTAAACTCATGTCCACACAGAAGCCTGCACACCATTGTTTATAGGTCCTTTATTCATATAGTCCAAAACTGGAAATAGCCAAAATGACCCTCAGTAGGTGAATGCTTAAACAAACTGGAGTGCTTTCATATCATGGAATAACACTCAGAAATAGAAAGAAACCAACTATTGATACACACAACTTGAATGTATTTCAAGGACATTATCCTGTTTTTTAAGGCCAATCCAAAATATCATGAGGTATAATTCCATTTATATAACATTCTCAAAATGAACAAAATTATAGAGATGGAAAACAGATTAATGGTTGTCAGAGTTAGGCATGGTAGTGGGAGGACGTGGGCCTAATTATAAAGGAGTAGCATTAGGGAGATCTTTCTGGATGGAATAGTTCTGTATCTTGATTGTGATGTTGATTACACAAATCTATCCATGAGACAAAATAACAAAAAACTATACACACACGTTTTATCAACGTCAAACCTCTGACTTTGATATTGTCCAAAAATAATGTAAAGTGAAACTGGATAAAGAGTACTTATGACATCTCTATGCTATTTTTGTGAATTTCTGTGAATCTATGATTATTTCAAAATAAAAAGTTAAAAATACAAAATTAAAGGGAAAAGAAAATTCCTAAAACCCTACAGCAAAATGAAATAAGTGAACCTAACTGCATGTCAAATTGGTGGCACAACCACATGTAGAGATTCTCTCAAGAGACTTCATAACCAATAATTTGATCACATACCCTTAGAGAGATATATCCTAAAGATAAAAATATTGTCCAAAAGTAAATCTTCAACTTTCTTCAATAATCATATGTTTGGTGATAGTGTTAATTTTCTGAGAAAGTTGTTCTATATGTATTATGGAAAAAAGCAAATGCACTGTTGTATTAACGTCATTGGTAATTGATATTTTCAGAATGAGAGAAGAGAAATAGACATTTAAGATCAATAAGGCTGAATGAAAACCTGTAGTTCCAAATTTCAGTTGGAAATATTGGTATAAACTAGATATACTTTATCATTGACATTATGTCCAATAAAAAGTATAGAAACAATGAACAAGCCAATAGCAGTGATCAACTCTAGAATACAGAATATGCTTCCTAAATACCTTTTCCCACACTAAGGAACCAAGGCTCCTTGTAGAAGTGGAGCATAGTAACATACATCATCATAAATATATATCTTCATATACGTGATAAATATAAATATACATGGTGAAGCTGAAATATCTTTACACCAGAGGCAAGAAAACTATCAAGGACTATTGGGGTCATGTCAAAAGGATTCAGAAGTGGCTCTGAATGGCCAAAAATAGAGCAATTTGAGCCATTGATGATAATGATGATTGCAATGGATTGAAACACATCAAAAATCTTTAGATCTATGAAATTGATAATGATAATAATAAAAATTCATGGGTCATCTTTGGTGGATGCTAAGAAAGCAACTCATTATTTTTTAAAAGTGGTAAATTTGAAAAAGGGATTATCCATTTATTTGCCTTTCCTATATAATTTTACCTCAGGTCATCAAATAATTGATCAAAGGAAGTTTTTTTAATAGACTTGCTCTAGCTATTAATGAAGAAAGAATGACAGAATTAGAATATCACCATTTTGCACCCCTTAATGGAATAATGAAGCAAGGTAATGATTGTCAATGAGCATCGCAATAAAAGAGACAACCAGATGAAATAACATAACACCGCCTGGGAAATATTCTTGGGTGAAGTACTTCTGAATTATTACAAGTGTAAGGGACTGAAAAGGGTCTTTACTTTAGAATGTAATCAGCAAAATTCAGATTGAAGGAATCACTACAAGACAAATTCATCATTTATTAGCAACAAATAAATTGTGAGGAAAAAAGTAAGAATGTATGGAATAAAGAAATTTATGAGACATATGAACCAATTGCAATGTATAGACATTTTGAAATTTGGATTCAATCTGTGGAGACTATGAGACTATTTGCACATTGACTGAATATTTGATATTACAGAACATTACAAAATTGCTACAATTTTTAATGTAATAATGCTAGCATTGTTGCAGGACAGGCAACCTCAAAAATTCCAGGCTTAGCCCAAAAAGGTTCTTGGTTTTGTCTAGGAAAGGACCAGGCACAGTGGTTTATGCCTATAATCCCAGCACTTTGGGAGGCTGAGGTGGGTGGATCGCCTGAGATCAGGAGTTTGAGACCAACCTGGCCAATATGGTGAAAGCCTGTCTCTACTAAAAATACAAAACTTGGCTGGGCATGGTGGCGGGTGCCTGTAATCCCAGCTACTCAAGAGGCTGAGGCAGGAGAATTGCTTGAACAGGGAGGCAGAGGTTGCAGTGAGCCGAGATTGTGCCACTGAGCTCCAGCCTGGGCAACAGAGCAAGACTCTAGTCTCAAAAAAAAAAAAAAAAAAAAAGTCAAGAGCAAGCCAGTCGTGTAAGACAGTAATCTTTGAGGAAGGGTACTGCTCTTTATGGAGCATGGCTACCTCACCACCGGCAGTGCACCAGGGTTGGCAAGGTCTGGGTTCTCAGCAACTACATTTATAATCAGACTCACTTTCAATTACATGCAAACTAAGTGGTGGGTGAATGCAAATAACTGAGTGGGTTATTTAGAATTTTCTAGGAAAGAGGCAATAACTTCCACGTTACTGCCATGGAAAGGGTGGTAACTTCCGGGCTGTTGCCATGACGTTTGTAAACTGTCATGGCCTGGTGGGAGTGCCTTATGTCAATGAGCAATGAAAGCTGCTAGGGATCACTTTTGTTGCCTTTTGCTGTTTTCTGCGGGTTTCTTCACTTTATCCTGTCTGGACCATATCCTGTTTTGGTCAGCAGGGTTGTGACCAGAAAACAAGTACTGCCCGTCTCCTACCTCAGTATAGTTATGAATTTTTAGAGAGCTTTCTTTTTTGGAGATATATGTTTTTTTTTTTTTTTTTTTTGAGATGGAGTCTTGCTCTGTTTCCCAGGCTGGATTGGAGTGCAGTGGTGTGATCTCAGCTCACTGCAAACTTCACCTCCAGGGTTCAAGTGATTCTCCTGCATCAGCCTCCTGAGTAGCTGGGATTACAGGCAAGCACCACCATGCCCAGCTAATTTTTGTATTTTTAGTAGAGACAGGGTTTCGCCCTGTTGGCCAGGCTGGTCTCGAACTCCTGACCTCAGGTGATCTGCCCGCCTCGGCCTCCCAAAGTGTGGGGATTACAGGCGTGAGCCACAGTGCCTGGCCTACATACTTTTATTTATTTATGGATGAAATGATAGGATGTCTGGGATTTACTTCAAAAAATGCAGAGGAAAGAGGGTATGGGGAGAGAAGAAACAGGATTGACCTCAAGTTATTGATTGTTGAAGTTTGCTCTTGATACATGAGGGTTTATTATGCTAATTTTTCTACTTTTATATGTATTTTTAAATTTTCCATGATAAAAACATTAAAAATAGCTTGAGTTCACTTTAAAACTATCTGCTAACAATAACACACATGGTACCTAATTATAGCAAATATCATGAAGGTGAGTTTGACACAACAGGTTTGGGAAACAGCTATAAACACAGTCACAATATTACACTATGTTTATTGAACACTGTTTAACCACTAAGGCAATTTTGAGGCAGAATTATTGTCTTTGATCTGATTTATATTTACATAGTCACCATTCTTCCCAAGAGCTCATCCCATCAACCGTTTCCAGATTCCCAAAAGGTAGGTAGACAATCTCATCTCCATCCATGATAACTTAAAATTTCAGGCTCCATTAAGTTGCTGCTTTAAAATGCAGCCAGTGACTATGTGCCCCAGACTTCTCATGAATCTGTGGACCATGGAAGATGTTGACTGATGAGACTGCTGAGGGTCTCAGCCCTAACCCGAGGCTCAGGAAATAGTGGCAGTGATTCAGCAGGATGACTGGGCCAACATGGAAACAATAGCAAACGGTATATCTTATTTTTGCATCTGTCAACATCTTTCAGAACTCAGGTCATGTGCCAGGGTGTTTAGCTCAGCTTGACTCTAGACAAAACAGAGTCCTACTAATCTCATTCATTACTTTCCAGCTCAGTTTACCCCTTACCCCACACCACTATCACCTATTTTTCAAAGACAACAAAATTACCTGCACCTTCGCATAATTGTCACAGTGTTTCCAAAGATGCATCCACTTCTAGAGTCCACGTTTTCTCCAAATGCAGGCAAGCTTACTGCAGGATAGGTTGTTGATAAACTTTGGAGCCAGTCTAAGGTTATATTTAATTAATATTAATGTGATAGATACCTTGCTCATGTAGAGCACTTCATAATTTTCAAAGGACTTGTTCATTGAATAAGTTATATCAAATATGATTGCTACTCTTATTATGGTATACATACACACACAGAAATATGTAAGTAATACACACTATTCTTTAAAATATAAACTGGACACTTGCTCTTCTACTATGCAGAAGAGTTTAAACAACCATCTTATGCACTGTAATTCATTTATCTACCACATCATTAATTCAGCATGTACTCTATGCCAGAGGAAACAGCGGTGCATAGATTTACAAAGTCCTTACTCTTGTACCTCATGTATTTTGGTAATAAGAATAGAAACAATTATGTTAAACTCTATATTGGTAAAATACAATTTGATAACCTAATAAGTATGATGCTTAGTTCACAAACTAAAGTGTATGATAAATATTACACCATTATTTTACAATAAATGCAATTAATTTCTATTTTGAGTCCCTACTCCCACCAAACAAGCAAAAGAAATTAACCTCAGTCATGTGGGGAGTTTTTTTTCCATCCTTCTGCAGGCTCATGTCCTAAAAGAATCTTTTAAGTCCAGGAAAACCCTTCCCCCTTCATATTTTTACCTCAGCCACTTGTCTATACCATGGAACTCTCTCCAACATGTTTACTTCTTTTGCAGGCCCTCCACATTCACATCAAGAGTTATGGTTTTGGAAAATAAAAGGCATAGGATCTTACAGGTTATTTCTGATTTTCACTTTACCAAATAACTTCCCTCAGGCAACAAAGTACAGAGCTGGCTGCACACTTAACCCTAGAGAAACGGATAAGAAAATAGTTGGAGAAAAAAATAGTATGCAAAACAGTATCCTCGCATGTTCTCCAACTAGTAAATCTTTGATTCTTCACTAAGAAAAAATTACTTCTAATACAGATCTCTTCCCCAATTGAAGGACTCTGACTACGATGTTTTAGCCTAAGAATTACCCTGTCTTTATTTAAAATGTTGTATTTTGAAGATCATGGGCTTTTTTGGCATTGACTTATTTTAAACTTCGCATTGAAACAGGATTTGTCTTGATGCCTTAGTTCTGTCTGCTCTGTCTCCAGTTGTCCAGGGCAATGTTCAGACTTTTCTGTCCTATGGAAATAGAGTCCAGGAAGAAGCTCAGAGCCAACACCAGTTAGCTGTGGATGACAATTTATTTTCACCTCTGGTAAACAGCTAACTCTCCAATTAACTTCATCCAGAAAGTGTGTTTTTCCCCAACTAAGTTAACAGGACTTTCTGACAAGCAGTAACAGTGTTAGCACCTCTCAATTACACTGTTCAGGATCACTGCTCCTTGAAGTTTACATCTTAAAAGGCTCAGGGGAAAAAAATTATTCAAAAGGCAGTTAGCCCATCAAATGTGTTCAAGCTCAAGAGTTCACTGCATTTTAATTATTCAGGCAACCACTTTTCATGTAAAAGCTTTGAAAACTTAGAAAATAAGCAAGGAAAGGGAATGTGTAACATTGTGCCAAGATTTTTTTAATTTTTAATTATATTTTTATAGAAGGCATTTTTTAAACTGTATATTTCAAAGAAGAAATAATCTTAATGAAGCAAAGCTCTTTTTCCTAAAAGAGACTTTCAGAAGAACATTCTTATAACTATAAATCCCTCTTCAGGGTTAGAAATATCCACAGCAGCAATAACATGTGGCTGCACAATAAAATCAGGTTCAGAAATACAAGAAATAAGGCCGTGTTTAAGTTCAGAGATATTAGGTGATCAATCAAGACACCATGACATCATGTATTTTAAAATGCATTCCTTGCCTTGTCTAGGAAGGATTTATGATAACCTAAAAGGGCACACAAAATCCAACCAGATAATACAAGTCAAAACAGGAGACAAAAAGGGAAAGGAAAACAACTTTCCAGACATAAAAGGAGCCAAGGAGGAAGCTAAAATGTGTCCCCAGAACACCTAATCATGAACAGAACCACGTCTAATATACTCTGGCCTCATCATTGGCAGAAATGTTGAAATAGATACTGAAAGGGAAATTTAGAAAGACCCTCAGGGGTTATCTGTTACTAAATCCTTGAGTTGTAGAAATGGAAACCCAGAGACAAGCACAGTCTCCCCAGCTGGGTAGAAAGTTGGTCTTCTTTCCGTCTAGCTTCACGTTCTTTCTACTTTTGTTGCTTTAACCCCAGATCTCATCTCTCCTTTTCCTTTTGGGTGAATCCTCAATGGATAACCAGTGCGGAGAAACAAGAAGATGGAGACTTAGAGACAATATACTGATAGGTATTGACAGAAGCTGATTAATAATAAATCAGGCCAGGCATGGTGGCTCACACCTGTAATCCCAGCACTTTGGGAGGCTGAGGCAGGTGAATCACCTAAGGTCAGGAGATCGAGACCAGCCTGGCCAACATGGCAAAACCACGTCTCTACTAAAAATACAAAAGTTAGCCGGGTGTGGTGGCGGGCACCTGTTATCCCAGCTGCTCAGGAGGCTGAGGCAGGGAATCGTTTGAACCTGGGAGGCGGAGGTTATAGTGAGCCAAGATCACACCACTGCACTCCACCTTCAGCAATAAGAGCAAAACTCCATCTCAAAAACAAAAATAATTATCAGTTAATCAGCAAACACAGTAAGTACTAATTGCTCACCAGTCACCATGCTAGTCATTGGCATGATGGGGAAAGCAACAAAAAGGGGTACCAACAAGACATGACCATGAGTGTCAGTCACACCATCACTTTGCTGCTGATTCCTACATCATCAAAAGACAAAGATTTCTAAATCTTTATGGATCTATTGGTGATTTTTAAGTGCTGTCATATTTTTCATCTATGATCCTAGAAAGAAAATTACATTCTCAATCTAGCATTAAAACTTTATAATTGCAGCTCACATATTCTTAGCACATTTAGGAAGAGATATATGCTAGATATGAAAGAGGAATACAGATGTTATCATTATGTAATACTGAAGTTGACCACCTGGCTGTACTGTGTGATCCCCATTGGTAGGGGAGGAGATGACAATATATTTTTTTGAAGTTTCTTACTTTTTCCTTTTAAAACATATTCAAGTAAAAAAAAATACTCAAGTGGATGAGACCATATATGATCTTGTATGTTTATAGAAGCAGTAGCTAGTCAGAAAAATAATCCCACTGTTGCCATGGTGATCATAAATTATGGAGCCATTCCACCAGAAACCTCATTCACTTGAAAATTGAAGTCCCTATGTGACAATAAGCTGAGAAAATTGTCATGTAAGTTGGATGAAGAGGACATCGCAAAATCTAAGACACCAAAAAGCATGTGACAAGGGGTGAGTGCCTCGGTTCACTTTGCCTCAATCACAGGCAGGTGGATACCCTCTCTGGAACCTCCTGTTAGAGATCAGATAACTTCTACAGCCGAAAGACACATCTGTAGCTTTATTTTTTTTAATGTACTTTTAAGAAAGTACATGAGATGAAAAAGACACGGTGGCAAGTTTGTCTTCCATAGAAATGACCTGCTTAATCAAGTGGTGTTACCTCCAAAATGGAAGCAGTGTCTTTAATAAACTTAATTGTTATGGAATACTCATTTAAACACTTACTGGCTCCAAATAAGAAGGAAAGGGCCAAGCGCAGTGGCTCGCACCTATAATCCCAGCACTTTGGGTGGCCGAGGTGGAAGGATCACTTGAAGCCAGGAGTTTGAGACCAGGCTGGGCAACATAGTGAGACCCTGTCTCTACCAAATAAATAAAATAATAAAATAAAAGGTGGCTGTTACTGTCCAGGCTGCAATCGTGGACCATGTGAACAGTGCTCCTTGGAGGCCTCCTCCGAGAAGTGTGATAGGCTCTCTCCTTGGTGTTGCTATTACATGACTCATACACGACTTATAACACTTCCTCATGCCCTGTTGATACTAAGTGACTCCCATCTCCTCTGCCAACGATGAGGGCCTGTGGGTGAGGGCAAAAAATGTGAGCATCACCATATGGCAGAGCAATAGCACACGCACTGGGAGTTGCTGGTGGCCATCTTCCACTCATCCAATCAACCAAGGAGCAGCAGAGGTCATCTGCAGAGTGAGAACCCTGAAAAAGAAGCGGAGAGAGAAAGAGAGAAGAGAGGAGAGAATACCCCACGAATCCCAGCAGCCTCCCAGCGCCCTGTCCCATTCTCTCCTGAGGCCCAGCTGCCCACTGCCCTCAGGTCTGTAAGTCATTCCCACATCTTACAGTCAATTCCCTGCTACGCACACCAGCTGACACTTAAAATAAAATGGGCTTAAGCAACCAACTCCATTCACACAGCGATAAGGAAATTCTTCAGCCCTTGTCAACTTCAACCTGTTATAATGTCACCATCTCCTCTTCCTTCTTCCTTTTTGCCTGAGGGGACTGCCCTTGACATTGGCATTTTCTATTGCCTGCTCTCATCTCATAATACTGCCTGCCCAACAGAACATATGACATTTCCCTTGGTGATCACTCAGCTGGCTGTCTGGTTTAAGCTTTATTTCTTAGTGGCTGGCTGTCTGCATCAACTCCCTGATGTCTCTCAGTAAGTAATAGTTAACTAACTTTTATTTTTGAGCATTTACTATATGTGGCATCCCGTTCCAAGTAATGTATCATTATTAATTTATTGATTCAATTAGTCTTCACAACAACCCTATTGGGTAGGTATCAGAATATCCCCATTTTACAGCTGGGGAAAGTGAGGAAGTGAGTGGTCAAGCCATTTTCCCAACCTCATACCACCAGTGGGTAATGGAAGAAGTATTCGATTCCAGGCAGTCTGGCTTCAGAGCCTTAACACACAACCACCAGCCAGCACGGCCTCCCTGGCAGATTCAAGTCCATGTGTGCACTGAAAGGCATTCAGCAATATCCCCCAGGAGACGCTACATTTTGAAAAGAGCTCCTGGCTTTTGGAGTGAAATTGCTTTAGGCAGCTTCAACTGTCTTCAATGATGTGCACACTCACACACATACAATCCACACACACAAATATACAAACACACATGCAATCACACACACAAATATGCACATACACACACACACACCCCTCAACTCGTAGCTAAAATTGCACTGAAAGATCACATCAGCTTGAGGAAGCTGTTAAAGCTCTGAGTCTGGAGACCAAGACAAACACAGCCTGAGACAAAACATGCCACAAACCTGCAGCACTAGGGGAACAGCCAGCTAGCAGCAAGCACACCACTCTCCACCACCCTTACTTATTCCTATACTGTTCATTGAACTAATAAATACACTAGACCTTGGAGGGTTAATAGAACTTTGAGAGGGTTGGTTTTCTTTTTTCTTTTTGTTTTTAATGGAAAACCAATCCCACCCCAGAAAAACCTCTTGCTTCCAAATTGGGGGCTGCCAGTGTTGAATGAACTTCATACCCGTGGGAGAGAAAGGCAGCTCCCAGTGACTGCACACATGTAAAGCAGTGGGTAAATGGAATAGGTCTCAAATATACCAGATCTATAGAAATTGCAGGCTCATACAGAAAAAAATATGGTTTGCAACAAGAAATGTAAAATGTGTAGGAGGAAATTGAGCTCTTGACAGAGAAGTGAAACATTTTCTTAGAATTGTTGGAGACAAATAGTTTCCCACCTAATATAGCCTCCTCCCTATCACTGTAGAAATGCATCCAATTTCTTTTTATGTTAAAGCAGTTGACATGCTAATTTTCACATCTTGTATAATCTTGAAAATAAGAACAAAATATTTACCATCCACAGAAGTATCTCATTTCATTGGCCCTATATATGAGAGTTAAAGAAATGGAGTAACCATGAGCTATTACTTGTCCTCAACTCTACTGTTCTAACATAAACTTAAAGAGTTTAAGAGGCGACAAAGTGATGCTATGAAATAATTTAGATTGAGAGTCAAGAAATGTGGACTTTGGTTTTGAGTCTAACATTTAATTGGAAAGCAATTTCTCCAACCTGTACCTCAGTTTCCCAAATAGAGAGTAAAAAAGCCTTAGATTCTATCATCTCAGCCATTTCCCAGCACTGGAATTCAGTGATTCTCTCCCAAGATGTTACCTTGAACTTACTTGTGAGAGACAAAGGCCATGGGGCTTGGAGTTTCAGACCTGCTAAGAATTCTAACTCTCCTGCTTACCAGCTACGTTATCTTGAGCACCTTGGCCTTAATTTCTTGCTCTATAAACTGGAAATAATGGTGCAAGCATTGTGCAGATTGCTGTGAAAAGAAGTATGGAGAATGGAAAAGCATCTATCACAATATCAGGCTAATGGTTGTCACAGGGCAAAAATGGAAGAAAACTCTGTGAAAGTGGTGAGTGGTTGAAAACAGATGTTTTGCAGAAAAGTGGAGGAGAGTGGAGGGAAGCCTACGGGGGCTGGGTAGAGGGAGGTGAGGCTGGGAAGGGCAGTGGTTGGGAGTACCATGGAGTGGAAAAACAGCTCACTTCAGAATTGTACTAATATTCTTTCCTATCTAAAAAATTTGAGGAGCAGAGAATTTGAATATCTCATTTGGTATAGCCCAAAGATTTGGTCAAAATGAATAAATACATGAATACAAAAATAAAAGCTACTCTAGAAAACCTGGAAAGTCCTAAATCATGAGATGCTAAATCATGAGCTGTGGTTCCATATCGAGATATTTGGCACATTGTTCTCCAGAGCCAGGGTTTCCCAGACACTGATCTTCAGAATCCTGCTGCAGAATCATCTGGAGTGTTTGTTAAATATGCAGAATCCCAGGACCCACCCAGACCTTTCAATGCTGAATTTCTAGGGTGGGTACGAGACTGTGTGTTTTCAAGCAGCTTCTTAAGTGACTCATGCACACTCCACTCTGAGAATCACTGTAGGACAAGATTAAGGAGTTCCTACTGATCAAGCAGAGATTTCCAATAGGCATTGTTGCCCTTATTGCCTGTCCCTTTTAGTACAGGAATAATGAAGGATTTTCCCCAGAGTAACAAGCCTTTGCAGTCTTTTTCTAAGCATGCAGTGCTGCAAAAGCTCTCTATCCCTGGAATTTTTATCTGTGAGCTTGTCCAAGAGAACTTAATGGTTTTCCAGACCTTTAAAGTCAAGTTTGCCCTCTTTCTCTCAGATTAACACATATGAGCATTTAGGAATAAATAGTTAACAGAAAATTCAGAAATGCTAACAACAGGGAGAAATAAATTATTTACATTATCTCTAAATGCTAGATAACAGAGATTTCTACAATTCTGCTGGCTTTGTGTGGGTTTTACAGATAACCATGCATGGAGATTTTGTTGGAAACCCAAAGAGATACTCATAGATCATAGCCCATATTTCCGTCTCTGCCATCATGACAGAAAGCCAGTGTTGTCCAGCAGGCGGCACAAGGAAGCACTAAAGTCTCTAGAGAATGGTGAGTAATCTCCAACTGAACAGAGGCTGACAGCAACCACTTTAAAAGGCTAATCTAAATGTATGAGCCTTCACCCTTTGCCTGTTCTCTGAATGTTGATTCCAGAAGATGTGCAGCAGAGATGTGCCACCTGCACTTCCTAGATGGATGTGGAAAGGTCAAAGCATTTGTGGCAGAAAACAGTAACTCTCGGGATGAAGCCGATTTAGAAATTACAAGATGTCCTCTAACACTCTTTCCTTTTAGCCAGATGAACACCCTGGTTTGTTTTTCTAAACCCCAGTTAATACTTTGTAGCCTTCAAAGTGCCTTGGGGGAGTTATTCAAGTTCCCTATCAAGGGACTTCCCCTAAGAGTGAGTGGGAAGATCGTTCTGGAAGAAGCACAGAAGCTAGTTTGCAGAAATTTAAGGTGAGTTTAGAAGATGAGGTACTGAAGAGCAAGCCTGATAATTTTCAAATCATTCACAGTAGATAAATAACCATGGGTAGCAACTGATTATGGAAAACCATGCAGGTGAGAGGTTGGTGTCACACACCAAGTTCATGCACAGTCGCCTCATGTGTGGAAAGGATCTCTTCCGACTATATTTTACATCTCATCAGTGGAATTCTTCCTCCAAGTTTTAAGATGAAAAACCTCCCCAGAATCACCAAATCATTTCAAGTTTACAAATTCCAAAATGCCAAATAAATGTTTCTTAAGGAACAATAAAGCTCTGATTAATTTTTGATGACAAAATATTAGGAATCACCATTGTGATAATTTTAAGCCTATCTGAAAGGCTTAAAGATCGTCATTCATTACATCACGTCCAGTTTATCCAATCTTATGGAAGAAAAATTAAGAAAACATTAATTCTTAAATATAGAGAAGTGACTTCAAATCAACTCTCAATAATCCAACCAATGGGATATAATAATTTGGGAAATTCAAAATAGCAGATAATTTTTAAAAATCTATTTACTTTTGTATTTTATCAGGCTTCTTTTAAATTAGTGCATATAACACATAAAGTATAATAAAACTCTTTAAATTACATATTATTCCCCTTATCAGATAGTAAGAAACTGTGAATAAATGAAGAAGAAAAAAAGATTTCTCAACTTAGAAGGAGATGATACTGAAATGCTCTTCATTGTATTATCCAAAAATAAATGTGGGGAGCTGAATGCTGCAGACTCTGAGGAGAAATTTCCTATTAAACAACAATCCAATAGTTATTAGGAAATATTCTGGCAGCATTTCCAGTTTTCAGCACATATACATATAGATATGTTTTATGAGCATAGCACACAGGCCACACAGCCATCCTGAGCAAGAGGCACACCGAGCGTTACCATCTTCTAAGATTTGAGGTGGTTGCTGCTAGGCTAAGACTGTAGAGCGAGAAGTGCCTGGCCAAGACTCTGCACCAAGTTCAGCCTGGGATCTGGCACTCACTGCACTGTGGCGGGTATGTTTGCATTCTCATTTTGCCAAGAATATTATCATTCTCAGCCAAGACATTCACAGGGAACATCAAGGACTGTGGAAAAGTTAAGATACTCCAATGCTCGCTGTTCCATATCTTTGTCCTGACTGTGTTTTATTCATTGAGCTCCGTGCTTGTGCTAATAAAAATAAATCAAGTGAACAGCTTTCACTGAAACTGTAGTGAGAAATAGCACGTCTACAAGTCATTGATATTGCTTAAACTTTGAGTGCATTTCTTAAAGCTTTTTAAGGCAGTTGAGAAGTAGATTGCAAAGTTCTTACTTCAGTCCCCCAAATCAGACCAGCTGGCAATGTGACTCTCTCCCCTAATAGGTTCTGTGTGGGGGATGAGCTTGTGCTTACACCCACTTCGCCTTGCTGGAAGTAACAGTTTCAGGCTTCTTCAACATAGTTTCTCCTTGGATGAGAAGGATGGAACAAAAGATTCACAAAGCAGATGGCACAAATCCCAGGATGCCAGGCAAAACTTGTGGCCATTGCTTCCTCTCCTGTTCCGTCCCCATGATGGGCGAAATGCACAGCTGTCACTCACCACAGGCCACTAAGTAAACCTCTGTTCTTTGTTACATTGGCCAAATTTGCAAAGACACACAGGGAACACAAACACATCCTTCAAAATATCAGGATGGGCATTTGCCTCAACAGCCTAACAGCAAATGCCCACAGACAAACTGTTCCACCACAGGGGCCTCTGGAGAGAGCTGGCAGAGGTTTGTTGAAGATAAATCGGAGAGGCAGGATGAGATTTTGTTCCAAATGGCTAGATTAGGCTGGGTTCTAATTCATTCTCAAATGCCATTCCCCTGCCTCAAAATTGAGCGTAAACACTACATAGCACCACACTGCACTCAATACCACAAGTCAGGAGCCTTTGAAGCAGGAGGAGAGGAAGGGATGGTGAGAGATTGTTTATTATTTCAGATGGAGAAAGAAGGGTGGGAGATGGCTGATCCCCCTCACCTCCACTAAGGCCGGAAGAGTCTGCGTTCTCCTGCTCAACCCAACGCAAATATTACACTCCCTGGCATATGCAGCTTGGTACCTTTTTTTTTTTTTTTGAGATGGAGTCTCGCTGTGTCACTCAGGCTGGAGTGCAGTGGTACAATCTCAGCTCACTGCAACCTCTGCCTCCTGGGTTCAAGCGATTCTCCTGCCTCAGCCTCCTGAGTAGCTGAGACTACAGGCACGAGCCACCATGCCCAGCTAATTTTTGCATTTTTAGCAGAGACAGGGTTTCACCATATTGGCCAGGCGAGTCTCGAACTCCTGATCTCATGATCCACCCACCTCAGCCTCCCAAAGTGCTGGGATTACAGGCATGAGCCACTGCACCCGGCCTGCAGCTTGGTACTTTTTAATAGCAGATAAAAGAGCACATTGCATGGCTTGTCTTACAATGCAAATTTGCCAAGTTCGTGGCCTCAGCCTCCAGGAAATCTATTGTTTCAGAAAAACCTTTCTCAGCTCTTGAGAATGATAGTGACTTCATGTGTTGCATCCAGATATCTCTCTTGGTCACCCTGCAGCTTCCTGGTCCCTGGCTCAACCCTGTCTTTGGCCATCACTCCTCCTGTCCGCAAATCAGCCTTAAACAAATAAAGCTCTACTTTTGAAGGATATTGCAGGAAAAATCTACCAAGTTGCTTTATGAGGAAAATGCCAGCGAATAATGATTTAGATAAATTTCTTAAAACGGGATTGTCGACAATTTGGCACTCAAAAATGTTAGGGAAAGAAGGGGAATAGGGGCCAAGGGGAAGATCTCTAGGAAAGGATTTTCACTGACCAACCCCTCCAGGACCTCTGCGATTAAACGAACACCCAGCTCAAGCTGTCATGCGGACCCCCTCCCTCAACACTCCTGGGTTCCTCCGAGTACCTTCAGGACATGATGTGCTACTGCAGAAAGCACATAGCGATGGCTTCATAAAATCACAGACTTTGAAAGTGACTAGGGAATGTAGAGACCATCCATCCAAATCTTTCATGTTATTGGTAGGGAAACAGGTCTAGAGAGATAAAGAGACTCACCCAAGGCCACAGAAGTAACTGGAAAAGATCATAGATGTCAGTTTCATCTTGACCGTAGGGGCTGGAAGCTCTGCCAAGCCACCTACACACTACCAAACTCAATTCATTGCAATTGCACTTTAGCTCAGCTAGAGCTCCCAGCTGCAACTTGGTAGCACCTGGGAGAAACAGAGACAAGCTGGCAGAGATTACCACCCCCTCCCCTGCCGCCACCTGCTAAGGTCAGCCAAACTCTCAGAATAGAGCCCAGAAGATTGCACCTGTTTTTCCTTGTTTTTTTAGACATCCACTGTTTGACCTAATATTTTCTGAAATGGCTGTATTTTACCTCTGTCCTTTCTCATTCTCTACGGTGAAGTCACTGAGGCTGTCAACTGGATCACAGCACCTTTCTGTGAACACTTAGCACACGGTATGGAGGAATGAAGAAGTGCTTGTGACTCTGAGCCACCCTAGCAAATGGGCAGTGCCCTAACTCAGGAGTCCAGAAATGAGTGAAATTTGAAGACCTTAGAAAGTGGCCCAAGGAGAAGGACAAACATAATTGGGAGGAAATGAGCCAGCTGAGAACAATTGGAGAGAATGGGGAGTGCTATATTCTCTATTGAAATATCAGGGCCTACGAGGACTCCAATAAATGTCTCCAAGTTGTATTGCTGGTAATGAGAAGCTATTTCTCACTCCACTAAGAATGAAGATAGAGATGCGAAAAGAAATAAGAACTGAGATGAAGAGGGAGAGAGGACTGAATGGAGCCATATGTCTGTGTCTGTTAGAGTGGTTTTAAAGTTGGCTGCTACAGTGATTTGGAAACTATTGCCCTGGTTTCAGGAGTGAAGGAGGTCAAGCTCCAGGGCATGCTATTCTCACTTAGACTCAGAGCCAGCCCTGCCTCAGTAGCTCAGCACCCAAGGCCTTCTGGAATCTGTCAGCTGAATTCGTCCTGCTGTTCCACGCTATGCACTTAGTCTCTCTCTCTCTCAATCTCTCCCTCTCTCTCAATCTCTCTCTCTCTCTCAACCTCTATCTCTCTCTCTCTTTCTCTCTCTCTGTCCCTCTCTTGCCCCTCACCCCCCAACACACACACACACACACACACACACACACACACACATTCCTTGGAAACTATTGCATAAAAATAAGAGAATAAATTCTATTTTTCTGAATTGTATTTTTAAAGACACAGGAAAAAATATAAGATTTGGGTACTTTTATACCCAACAAGTGATTTTATAAAGAGTCAAAATAAAAATGAAATTACTTTCAAGAAGAAAGATCTGATGGAATAAATGAATTAGAAGGGAATTGCCAAGGGAAATCCTAGTTAGAAAGATCCCCCAAATCCAGGAGCTGAAATAATTAGCCAAGATATGAGCTGAGGTAGCTCCATTGGGATATTCAGTTCACAGTCACGAGAAACTACACAGGGGTCGAGAGCTCAGTCTCACCACCCAGGTTGGCATATTCTTGGAGAAATGGAAAAAGTGGTGAGGAAACAAGGATAGAAAATCTCAGATTTAGAAACAGAGTGTTGAGGCGGCAGTTGACATTTTCACTTTGATGACTAACTTGAGCCGCATGTCATGAGCAGGGTGGGCTGTCAACACATCTATCTGTAGGTTTGTTTTTAATTTTTTCTTCAATTGTTGCATCAAAGGCTTATCAGAAAGTAGTATTTGATTAATATGTGTCATTTCAGTAAAGATGCATATTTTCCTGGAAAAAACAGGACCCCAGTTGGTCTCAGGCACCGTACTGAATTGAGCCTACTTCGGAGCTCACATATGGCAGGAAGGGCACCGGCACCATGCCCCACATGCAAGCTGGTCACTCGCCACAGCTGGAAGGACAGTGCACCAGACAGCGGTGTTTTCTGGAACACTTTTCTTCCTTCACTCTGCTCAGCTAAATTAGCCTCACCCTTCCAACTCGAAGAAAGTCCCACCTTTCCCAGAAGTGTTTCCACTCTGGCACACATCGAACCTTCTTTCTGTAAACCTCTATACACGTATGAAACTCAGAATGTCCTGGTAATGCTTAGCTGTGAGGAATCTCATCTTCCCCTCAGTAAGCCAGTTCTCTCAAAAGGCAGCGACCAGTCATACCGATTCTTATACCCCTTGAGTATCTCCCATGGAACATGGCCTGGTGCTGAACCTGTGAATTTGCAGTGAACACACAACACACAAGACTCGCCACATCACATACACCACACACACAATACATACAATACACCACACATACATACATATAACATGCACAACACACCACCTACAAACCCACACAACACATACACATGCTACACAAAACATACATGTCCACACACACCACCCACACAAATATACTCACCACACACACAAACACAGCAATGCCCCACCCACAGTGGCTGCGATGGTTCCTGCATTTCTCTTTAGTCTCTCGCAGCCCTGCAGCCGGTCCTGAGCGTTACTCAGCTGGGGGATAACAGACCTGATGCGTCCGCCTCCAGCCCAGCCCTACCAGCCCCAGGCGAACTCCTCAGGCCCAGATCCTGCTCCAGGAGCCCAGCCTCAGGAGGGCCGTGTAACCCCCAAGGCCCCACTGATGCGGCGCTGAGCCCCACGGCGCTCCCGACAGCCCTGCCCACTTGGCCAGGTGCAGGTGCCCACCCTCCGTGGACCCTGGGGTTGGCATGGAGGGCCCCACCCAGGCAAACTCGTTCCCCACAAGTCCTGTCCCAAGCCTGGTGGGGCCCAGTTCCTTCCCGGCCGGGGGCGCCAGCTCCCGCCTTGCCCTGCAGCTCAGCATCCCAAGGGCGGCATGGCTCAGACGCCCCGGTCCGATGGGCTAGGCTCATCTTAGAGAAGTTGCCCAGCGAGCCCCACCCCATGCGGCCGGGAAATCAGGCACTGCGGGGGGCGCCGTGTGGCTGGTGGATGCCGTGGACGTGAAGGCGACGAGGCATGGGTGACGGGTTCCCTGGTGTCGGGAAGCCACGCCCCGTGGCTGTGCCGCGCCCTTGCAGCCAAGCTTCCCAGCCTTGGGGGTGCAGGTCTGCCTGCGATTGCCTCTGCCCACTCGGATCCTTCTTGAAGGCCAACCTCACCAGCACTGGAAGCATCCTGAGCACGATGGAGTAGGGGATGAGCCCAGCCAGGAAGCTTAGGACTCTCAGTGCAGCTTGGCTGGCGCTCCTCTGCTCAGCCTGCCCTCACTCTGGGCAGAGAGGTCCCCAAAGCTGCGGCCTGCTGCGCACGGCCTATTTGACAGCTCTTCTTGTGCCCTGGAGAGTCACCCCATGCCCAGCATTTCCGGCCATCAGAGAGAGGGCCTGCCCCTCAGGGCAGTGTGCACCAGCCCAAAATGCCCATCCCAGTGCTGCCCACCCCACGCCCCCCTAGTGCAGACCTCCTGAGCTGAATCCCTACCTGAATCAGGCCCCAGCTCCTCAGCTTTCTCAGATGGTTCTACTCGTCCAGTCTCTGGCGGGCCCTGCCTTTTCTCCTATCCTCAGTGGCTGTGCTTCTGGGCCCCACCTCAGCTGCACGGACCCAGGAGAGCAATATGGCTAGAGGCTCTGGCACTGGACTCAGACCTCTGGGGTACAAATCCTGGATCTACTAAATAATTCTCACTGTGTTGATTTGGGCAAACCATATAAACTCTAGATATCAGTATCCTGCAAAATAGAAGTATTAATAGTACCAACTGCGTTAAGTTATTGCATAAATTAAACCATCAAATTCACATAGAGCATCCAGCCCTGGTAACTAGTATTGTTATCACCAGCTACATCTTGACTTGGGGCATACTAATGTCTGTTTTTATCCCTTTGTCTCCCTTTCTTCAACTGCCTCTATGTCCCCATGGCCAGGCCTCCCTGTTAATGTCCCCATGCCCTGGATCTTTCAAGAAACCCACCCCCACGGTATAAATGACCTGCTCAGGACCTGACCCTCTCACATCCTGTCCTGTGCTGTTTTCTTCTTATCTGATAAGTGGACCTCCAATGAGGACGTTTGTGGCTGACAACATAATGTTCTGACCTGCAGTATTTTCAGCTAAAGAAGTACCCGAATGAGCCATAACATCGTCACCCTGGCTGCATGTTGGCCCCATCTGGAAACTCTTAAAAGCATGGATGACTGGGTTGTAGCTACAGTTTGCAAGTTCGTTGGTATGGACAGCAGCCAAGGTGTCAGTAATTTTAAAATTCCTCAGGAGCTTCTAATATGCAACCGAAGTTGAGAACCTATACCTTAGCTCAGAGGATGGATCACCTGGAAAAGAATTTTGAGCACAGTGGCAGCTGGGCAGGGTGATATCCCAACCAGGCCATGAGTGTGCTGGGGAAAGGTTTGGTATCGGGAGACCTGGCTTTGAATCTGTTTCTGTTAATTATGAACGAGTTACTTCAGCTATCCAAGCCTCAATGTTCTCATCTAAAAATGGGGTAGTAACACACACTTCATTAGAGTTTGGGGAGATTGCATTGAGCTGATGCACATGAAGTGCCGGGCATGGTGCGTGGGCCTGAGTAGTCTCTGGAATATAGTAATTTTTTTACTTTTTCCCTTTTCCCACAAGCCACATGATTGCAGCAATCCCATCTCTATGAAGGTTGCAAGAGCCAGTCTACAAGATTTGAGGTCAAGTGTGCTAATCCGTGGGGAAATAGACTTCACCCTTGTTTCTTGCCATTTGGCTCTCACTGCCTGCAGGACCACACTGTGACTTTACTGCTCATGGCCATGCTCTCCCTCCCCATCTGATACTTCTTGCACTAGCTTGTAGTCATTTAAAGATGGTCCCCTGTCCACTCATCTACTATTGCACATCAATCAATCATTCTTTTCCTTCCTACAGTCCAAACTTTCCCTCCCGTGATTTATGGCACACTTACTGACAAGTGCACTGTCAATCAATTGTCAAAACTCACAAATACAGACAGTCTGTGTCTTTGTTTATGCTGCTATAACAAAACACTGAAGACTAAGTCATCTATAAATAACAGAAATTTATTTCTCACAGTTTTGGAGGCTGCAAAATCCAAGATCTAGGCACCAGAAGGTCCAGTGTTTTCTGCTTCCAAGAAAGCACCCTGAATGTAGTCTCCTGACAGGGCAGAAAAGCAGAAGAGAGTGAACCCATTCCCTCAAGCTGCCCCCACTGGCTTTTTTTTTTTTTTTTCTGGAGACAGAGTCTCACTCTGTCATGCAGGCTGGAGTGCAGTGGCATGATCTCGGCTCACTGCAACCTCCGCCTCCCAGGTTCAAGCAATTCTCCTGCCTCAGCCTCCCAAGTAGCTGGGACTAAAGGTGTGCACCCACCACACCCCGCTAATTTTTTGTATGTTAGTGGAGACAGGGTTTCACTGTGTTTCCCAGGTGAGTCTCAAACTCCTGAGCTCAGGCAATCCGCCCACCTCAGCCTCCCAAAGTGCTAGGATTACAGGTGGGAGCCACTGCACCCAGCCCCCTCAAGCCCTTTTATAAGGTCCCTAATCCCATCATGAGGGCTCTGCCTTCATGACTTAATTATTATCTAAAGGCTCCACCTCTTAATATTATCATCTTGATGATAAAATTACAACATACGAATTTTGGAGGACACATTCTGGGAGAGAGGATTTGTGTGGTTCACGGACAATGTCTACCAAGTGTCCTTTCTCTTGCCTTTCCCTGACTTTGCTTGTTATTTAGAAGAGAAACTATGCACGATTCATCAGGAGCACCCTCACCTAACCAATTCCCTGCTGTAAGTTGGGAGGCTGGCTTCCCCTTCTGGGCATGGGGATCACTTGCTGACCTCCAGAATTCCTGTCCCACTGTCACCTCCAATCTCTCCTGTCTCTGACTTCTCTCTCCTGCTTTGAAACTTCCATCAAACCTCACGCAAGCTCGGTTACCCACCATCCTCAAAACACTTTTTCTCATCCTCTCTGCTTTCTTCCCTTTGCTTTCAAACACCTTAAGGGCACAGTCTTTCTGCTCCCTCCCTCCTCCTTCTCACTTCCTAGCCACTTCTCTACCCTTAGATTCAGGTATTTGTACCCACAAATGAAACTGTTTTCAAAAAATTCACTAAAAACTATCTAGCTGCCAAACCTGATGCATAATCCTGCATTTTGGCATTTGAGCTATTGCTCATGCAGATGGGTAGAAACTTCACAGTCATTTTCTGTTGCATGGAGTAAGCCCTTATGGTAGGAAGAGCCAGACAGAGGCCACTGAAACTGCCCCCTCCCAGCCAAGATAATAAATCAGAATCAATACTCTGGTTGACGGTCCCTAGCCTATCCCTATTTAACTCACTTGCATGGCCCCTGCAAAACCCAGAAAGAGTAAGGTAAGAATGGCGTGTGTCTCAGTCTGTTCATGCTGCTATAACAAAATACCTGAGACTGGATAATTTCTTTTCTAAAAAACAGAAATTTATTTCTCACAGTTCTGGAGGCTGGAAATTCAAGATCACGGCACCAGCAGGGTTGAGGTCTGGTGAGGACTTGGTCTCTACTTGTTGCTGCATCCTCTGGAGGGGATAAACTCTGTGTCTCACATGGCAGAAAGATGGATGGGCAGAAGGGGCCTCACTGGTTCCCTCCAGCCCTTTCATAAGGTTGTTAATCCCATTCATGAGTGCTCTGCCCTCAAGACTTAATCTCCTCCTAAAGGCCCCATGTCTTAAAACAATTGCTTTGGGGATTGAGCTTCAAGTTGAATTTTGGAGGGAAAACAAACATTAAAACCATAGCAGCACACTACCATGAACTTAACCAACAGCCCTCATCATTGTTGCTGGGCCAGATATAGCATATTTACTTGAACAAATAGCACAGCCTCTGGCAGTTGGTACAGAGCTATGGTCTGGATGAATATGTTCTTTTCAATCCTCATCACTAAAGGAGACCAAAAGTCATTGACATTCATGGTAATGAGAGAAGTGCACATTCATTCTCTTGCCCCAGGTCTGGGTGAGCTCTCCTGGCCCATTCCAAAATACTTCACAGGGACCTGGATCACCCAACAATCCACATAGCTTCACAAGGTCCACTACATTGGCGAGATCATACTTACTGTACCTGGTGCACAGGAGTGGTAAAAGCTATAAGTGCAATGATAAGAAACATGCATTCCATAGTGTGAGAGATAAACCTCAAAAAAACTCAGGGTCCTCCCACATCTGTGATGCTTTCAGGGGTCCAATAGCCTGGAGAAAGGTCAAAGGTAAGTCATTGCCTCCCATACCAATAAGAAAGAGGACTAGAACTTGATCTAGATTTTGGAGGAAACATATACTGCACTTGAGCATTCAATTTCAGTCTCTATATTAGGTGCTCCCAGAAGGCGGCCAAGCCACAAGGGTTCTGTAGAAGGTCCAGGTTCCAGGGCCAGCTTCCAAAGCAAACCATGACCTGACAAATCCAAATGAGCTAGAGGTTTCCAAGGCAGATTAGGAGACCACATGGAATCTCTAGCAAGCCCCAGTAGGAAAATCACAGCAGAGACCCCAGGTATCTGGAATAAGGCCACGCAGAGGACTTCAAATAGCAGCCCCTGTGCATCACTGGGCCCTACTAAGGAGTGAGCACCTATCCACACAAACAACTGGAGCTGCCCATCATGAGCTAGGTGTTGTTGGTATTTGTTGCATAGCAATAGCCATGTTTCAGTTATCTATTAGTATGTAACAAACTCCCCCAGAAGTAAGTGGCTTAAAACAACAATTTTACTGCCTCACAATTTTGTTGGTCAGAGTAGTGATTGTCTTATATGAAGGCTCAGGGTTCCCAAAAATACAAAAGTGGAAGCTGCTAAGCCTACTGTAGACCTTAATGATCCATGTCGCAAATCTACTCCCTGCTCTCAATGTACCTAACAGTTTTGTTCCATTATAGAATCAGGCTCAGTCTTGAGGTCCAAGTGTGAGCCATTCCTCAGACCCAGAACCCACTGCCTTCATCTCAATCATCATCAACTCAATCAGGGCTGGAAGCAGCCCTCCAGAAGCAGTTCCTCCTGATCAAAAGATCTGTGAACTCCAAAGACAAAGTATCCACCCCAGATGCACCCAAAATACGGTGTCAAGGCAATCAGGGGAGAACCACAACAGACATTTCCAATCCAAAAGAAAGAAAATGGAAGACACAAAGCAGTCACTCTATGCCTATACCCATTATGAAACCCAGCTGGGCACATGGTCCTCAACAAAAGCCTAGTTGCAGAGATGTGAGGATGGGCCTTTGGGACTTCAGGGCACACACATGTGGGTCTTCCTGTCTCCCATCAGTGCCTACTGGAGAGCATGTGCCTTAGAGGAGACAACAAGGTAGACAGAGTAGTTTATCCAGGAAATGTCAGCTTCTGTCCTCAGCTGCCTAGTACATGGACAGTGGCCCACGAGTGGAGCAGCCATGGTGGCAGTACAGGAGGAACACTGCTCATTGACAAAACCACATAGCCTCCACTCACTATGGCCTACCCAGTTACCCAGTGAACCAGCAGTAGAGCATTGGAGCAGACAAGCCAGCTACTGGTAATTAACCTGCTGCTAGGTTAACTACCTTGCATATCTCCCACCCTGGAGGGAGCAGCAATTCATTCCTACGGAATTGACTATAGATATTGATTTCCTTTCCCTGCATGCTGTGCTGCTGCCAGCACCATTATTTGAAGACTTAGTGTGCCTTTTTATCACTATTGATCCTGACATATGGGATAGCATGATCCCTTATCACCTCAGACTAAGGGACCCGGCTTATAGTGAAGGAGGTGTGATAAGGATCACATAATGCATCACTCTTAAGCAAATGTCTGGACCCATTGCTCTACTTCCATTTATTTTCTGTACTACTGTAGTTTTTTCCTAAATAAAAATCTGATACTTGCCATCCCAGACTAAAACCCTCTGATCATTCCCCAAAGTCTGCAGGTTATAGCCTGAGCCCCTCAGTACACTGTATAAGGCCTTTTACAATCTGGCACCAAACCCTTTCTCCACCCACATCTCCTGATGTTCCCCACATTTTTCACAAAAAGCTGCACTAAACTTGCCCTGTTTCCTGACAGTACATACCCCCTAAGGCCATGTCACTTGCATTTGCTACTCCTTTTTCTGGAATATTCTTGCTTTAACTCTCCCCCTATAACATTCCCCAGCCCCTTTAAGATCTGTATTAGCAATCTATAGCTGTGTAACAAATTGTCACAAATGTAACAGCTTGAAGGTGCATCCATTTATAATATTCCAGCACCTGTGGGAGGGATCCACCTATGGCTCAGGTGCATCTTCTGTTCCAGGGTCCTTCACTAGCTGCAATCAAGGTATTGGTTAGGGCTGCAGCCTCATCTCAAGGCTCAACCAGGGAAAGATCTGCTACCAAGCTTCTGTGGTTGTTGGCAGAATTCAGTTCCTTGCAGGCTATTGGAGGAGGACCTAATTTTTTTGCCAGCTGTCCAGCTAGAAGCCACCCTCAGCTCCTGGACACATGGGCCTCTCCACAGGGCAACTCACAACATGGCATCTTACCTCATAAAAGCCAGCAACAGAGAGAGTCTGCTTGCAAGACACAAATCACACTCTGATGTGACATAATCACAGAAATGCCATCGGATCACCTTTGCCATGTTCTATTCACTAGAAACGAGTCACAGGTCCTGCCTACATTCAAGGGGAGGGGACACAGGGGCATGGACACCAAGAGCTAGGGGGCGTTGAGACCCTCTTAGTGTCCCCAACCATAGGACCTGATTGTACCATCGCTGGGGTCTCCCTGAGCCACTCTGTCCTGCATCTTTACAGCACATGTCTCAGATGGAGTCTTATGTATGCACTCTCATGGCATTCCTGGTAAAAATCCCTCAGCAGGCATCCTGCTCACTATAGATATCCTGCACAGTGGCTTTTCATGTTGGGGCAGGGAGGACACTGGTACAACCACCCTCTTCCAGGTATGCCTTCACTTTCCAGAGCAGGAGGGGATGGGAGGTTTACAAAGGTGGATTTCTATAAATTTACTCCTTTATAGCTTTCTGCTTCTCCTAAGAAAAATGCTCATAGATTAGACAATCCAACCAAAAAATTATTCTGTTTGAAAGTGAAATCAAGGTTTAGGTTTTATCAGTACATGGTATCACTTAAGGTAACTTACATGCCAAAACAATTTTAGCCACTCTTTCCACTGAAATTTTTAGCCAAGGGAAAATAGATGTCATGAATTTCTGTGCACAATACTTCAAATCCCCATGAACTCCCTGTAGAATAAGTATTATTGCCTCTATTTTGCAGATGAGGAAATGGAAGCTCAGTTTGAGTAATCTGTTATTGATAGAATCAGAACTCAACATTTGGGTCCCAGATGCCTCCATCATTATACCTGCCTTGTACTCAGTGCCTGGTGGAAGCTCAAGGTCAGGGGGTGCATGGCCCCACCCTGCTTCCCCATCAATGCATACTCACCTGCAGCCGTTAACTGCAACACACTCTCCCATGGCCCCTCCAGCCACCATTGGAGTATTGTTGCCAGCAAACTGGGAACATCTCAGCCCCTCCAGCACAGCAGGTGCTTTACCTTGAAGGGCCAGAAAACAAAGCCATAAGCCTGAGTTAGAGTGTGCAGCTCAGGAGTGCTGAGCGAAGCCTTGGCCCCCTGAAACCATCCAGAAACAAAGCCAATCAACTAAAGCCAACTTATACCAGTTAAGCCCTCAAGGGCATCAAAGAATATAAAAGCAAAAAGCCCCATCCAAAGGACGGCAACTTCAAAGATTAGAGAAACATCATCCCACAGAGATGAGAAACAACCAGTACAAGAATTCTGGAAACTCTAAAAGCCAAAGTGCCTTTTTACCTCCAAACAACCACACTAGCTCCCTTGCAATGATTTTTAACCAGATTGAAATGGCTGAAATGACAGACATAGAATTCAGAATCTAAATGACAAGGAAGCTCAACAAGATACAGGAGAAGGTTGAAATCCAATATAAGGAAACCAGTAAAACAATCCAAGAGTTGAAAGACGACATAGCCATTTTAAGGAAGAACAAAACTGAACTTCTGGAAATGAAAAATTAACTATAAGAATTTCATAATGCCATTGGAAGCATTAACAACAGAATAGACCAAGCTGAGGAAATAACCCCAGAGCTCAAAGACTACTCTTTCGAATTGAGATAGGTAGACAAAAATATAGAAAAAAATGATTTTTTAAAATGAACAAAACCTCAAAGAAATATGGAATTATGTAAAGAGGCCAAACTTATAACTCATTGACATACCTGAAAGAGATGGACAGAGAGCAAGCAACCTGGAAAACATATTTGAGGATATTATCCACAAAAATTTTCCCAAACTTATTAAGAGAAGTCAACATGTAAATTCAGAAAATTCAGAGAACGCTTTCAAGATACTACACAAGATGCCCATCCCCAAGACACATAGTCATCAGATTCTCCATGGTCAATGTGAGAGCAAAAACCTTAAAGGCAGCTAGAAAAAAAGGGGCATGTCACATACAAAGGGAACCACATCACACTAACAGAACTTTCAGCAGAAACCCTAGAAGACAGAAGAGATTGGGGGACTATGTTTAGCATTCCTAAAGAAAAGAAACTGCAACCAATAATTCCATATTCAGCCAAATTAGGCTTCATAAGAGAAGGAGAAATAAGATCCCTTTCAGACAAGCAATGCTAAGGGAATTTGTTACCACCAGACCTACCTTCTAAAAGGTCCTTAAGGGAATGCTAAACATGGAAATGAAAGACCAATACCTGCCACCACAGAAACACACTTAAGTACAGAACCCCCGACACTAAAGCAACTATACAATCAAGTCTATATAACAACCAACTAACAACATGATGACGGAATCAAATCCTCACATATCAATATTGACCTTGAACGTAATCAGGTTAAATGCCATTTAAAGGCACAGAGTGACAAGTTGGATATAAAGCAAAACCTAACTGTATGCTGTCTTAAAGAGACCCATCTCACATGAAATGACATCCATAGACTCAAAGTAAAGGGATAGAGAAATATCTATGAAGCAAATGGAAAGCAAAAAAGAGCAGAGGTTGCTATTCTTATTTCAAATAAAACAGACTTTAAACCAACAACAATCGAAAGGGACAAAGAAGGGCATTACACCATGATAAAGGGTTCAATTCAACAAGAAGACTTAACTATCCTAAATATATATGCACCCAACATTGAAGCACCCAGATTCAGAGAGACCTGTGAAGAGACTTAGATAACCACATAATAATAGTGGGAGACTTCAGCATCCCACTGACAATGTTAGGCAGATCATTGAGGCAGAAAACCAATGAAGACATTCAGGACTTAAACTCAACACTTGACCATTTGGATCTAACATATATCTACAGAATAGTCCACCCCACAACAACAGAATATACATTCTTCTCATCTACACACAGCACCTACTTTAAAATCAACCACATGCTCAGCCATAAAGCAATTCTCAACAAACTCAACAAAAATGAAATCACACCAACCCCATTCTTCGACCACAGTGCATTAAAAATATAAATCAATACCATAAAGAATTCTCAAAACCATATAATTACATAGATATTAAACAACCTTATCCTGAATGACCTTTGGGTATAGAATGAAATTAAGGCAGAAATCAAAAACTTATTTGAAAATAATGAAAATTAAGATATACAAAAATCTCTGGAACACACTAAAGCAGTATTAAGAGGAAAGATTATAACACTAAGTTTCTACATCAAGAAGTTAGAAAGATTTCAAACTGACAACCTAACATCATGCCTAGAGAAACTAGAAAACAAGAGAAAACCAACTCCAAAGCTAGGAGAAGAAAAGAAATGACCAAAACCAGAGCTGCCCTGAGCAAAACTGAAACAAAAAAAATCGACACTAAATATCAATGAAGCCAAAATCTTGTTATTTGAAAAAATAAACAAGATTAATAGACTGCTAGCTGGATTAATAAACAGAAAAAAATGAGCTCCTAATAAACATAATCAGAAATGACCAAGGTGACATTACCACCAACCCCACAGAAATACAAAAAACCCTCAGAGACTATTATGAACAACTTTATGATTAGAAACTAGAAAACCTGGAAGAAAATGGACAAATGCCTGAAAACATACAACCTCACAAGATTGAACCAAAAGAAATTAACACCCTGAACAGATCAATAACAAGTTCTGAAACTGAATCCATGACAAAACACCTACCAACGAGAAAAAGCCCTGGACCAGACGGTTCACAACCGAATTTTACCAGACATTCAAAAAAGAGCTGGTATCAATCCTACTGAAGTTATTCCAAAAAATTAAGAAGAAGGGACTCCTCCCCAACTCATTCTATGAGGCCAACATTATTCTGATACCAAAGCTTGGCAGAGACACAATAGAAAAAGAAAACTTCAGGCCAATATTCCTGATAAACATAGATGCAAAAATCCTCAATAATATACTAGCAAACCAAATCCAGCAGCACAAGAAAAAGCTAATCCACCAGGATCAAGTAGGCTTTATTCCTGGAGTGCAAGGTTGTCTCAATATATGCAAACCAACCAATGTGATTCATCACAAAAACAGAACTAAAAACAAAAACCACATGATCATCTCAATAGATGGAGAAAAAGCTTTCAATAAAATTCAACATCCCTTTATATTAAAATCCCTCAACAAATTAGGAACCAAAAGAACATACATCACAATAATAAGAGCCATCTATAACAAACCAACAGCCAACATCACACTGAACAGCAAAAGCTAGAAGCATTCCCCTTGAGAAACAAAGCAAGACAACAATGCACACTCTCACCACTCCTACTCAACATAGTATTGGAAGTCCTGTCCAGGGCAATAAGGCAAGATAAATAAGTAAAACGCATCCAAATAGGAAGAGATGAAATCAAACTATCTCCCTTTGCAGATGATATTATTTTATACCTACAAAACCCCACAGTCTCTGCCCAAATCCTCCTAGGAAACCAGTAAAACAATCCAAGAGTTGAAAGATGATATCGCCATTTTAAGAAAGAACCAAACTGAACTTCTGATAAACAACTTCTGTAAAGTTTCAGGATACAAAATCAATATACAAAAATCAGTAGCATTTCTATACATCGATAAAGTCCAAGCTGAGAGCCAAAACAAGAATGCAATCTCATTTATAATAGTCACAAACAGAATAAAATACCTAGGAATACAGCTAAACAGGGAGATGAAAGATCTCTACAATGAGAATTATAAAATATTACTGAAAGAAAAAATGGAAAAAACATTTCATGCTCATGGGTAGGAAGAATCAATATTGTTAAAATGGTTCTACTGCCCAAAGCAATTTACAGATTCAGTGCTATTCCTATCAAACTGCTAACCTTATTTTTCACAGGATTAGAAAAAGCTATCCTAAAATTCATATAGAACCATAAAAGAGCCCAAGTAGCCAAAGGAATCCTAAGCAAAAAGAGCAAAGTTGGTGGCATCACATTATCCAACTTCAAACTATACTATAAGGCTATAGTAACCAAAACAGCATGGTACTGGTACAAAAACAGACCTGTAGACCAATGGAACAGTTTAGAGAGCCCAGAAATAAAGCCACACACCTTCAACCATCTGATCGTCAACAAGGTTGACAATAACAAGCAATGGAGAAAGGACTTTACTCAATAAATGGTGCTGGGATAACTGGCTAGCCAAATGCAGAAGAATGAAACATGACCCCTTCTTTTCACCATATAAAAGACTTAAATGTAAGACCTAAAACTATTAAAAACCCTAGAAGAAAACCTAGGAAACACCAATCTGGACATAAGAACTGGCAAAGATTCCATGAGAAGTCTCCAAAAGCAACTGCAACAAAAACAAAAATTGACAAATGGGACTTAATTAAACTGAAGAGCTTCTCACAGCAAAAAAAAAAAAAAAAAAAAGTATTAAGAGAGTAAACAACTTACAATATGGAAGAAAATATTCACAAACTATGCATCCAACAAAGAATCTTTAAAGACTTAAATCAACAAGCAAAAAACAAGCAACTCCATTAGAAAATGCACAAAAGACATGAACAGACACTTCTCAAAAGAAGACATACATGCAGCCAAGAAGTATATGAAAAAATGTTCAGCATCACTAATTATTAGAGAAATGCAAATCAGAACCATAATGAGATACCATCTTGTATCAGCCAGATTGCCTATTATTAAAAAGTCAAAAAATAACAGGTATTGGTAAGATTGTGGAGAAAGAGAATATTTATACATCGCTGGTGGGAATGTAAATTAGTTCAGTCACTGTGGAAAGTAGTTTGGTGATTTCTCAAAGAACTTAAAACAGAACTACCATTTGACCTGGCAATCTCACTACTGGGAATATACCCAAAGGAATATAAATCATTCTACCAAAAAGACATATGCACCCATATGTTTGTCACAGCACTATTCACAATAGCAAGACATGGAATCAACCTAGGTGCCCATTAACAGTGAACTGGATAAAGCAAATGTGGCACATATACACCATGGAATACTGTGCACTGTTAAGAAGAGATCACATCCTTTGCAGCAACATGGATGCACCTGGAGGCCATTATCCTAAGGGAATTAATGTAGGAACAGAAAACCAAATACTGCATGTTCTCACTTATAAGTGGGAGCTGAACACTGAGTTCACATGGACACAAATATGGGGACTACTTGAGTAGGGAGGGTGGGAGGAGGAGGGTGAGGGTCAAAAAACTACCTATTGAGTATTATGCTCACTACCTGGATGAGGAAATCATTTATACTCCAAACCCCAGCAACACACAATTTACCCAGGTAACAAACATGCACATGTACCCCCTGAATCTAAAGTAAAAGTTGGAGAAAGAAAAACAATCAGAAGGTGGCTGCTGGACAAGGAGGGGAGCTCCCAGGCAGCTCTGATTCCACATCCAGGCAAACATGCAGCATGGTGGATTTCAGCTCCAGAAGCTTCTCCCTGACTGCCCCATCTAGTGGGGTCGAGTGGCCTCAGATGCAGCCACAGCGGCAGTGAGGACCCCGCAAGCGGAAGCCAGGGCAAAACTTGGGGTCTAGAGAACTGTCACTTGATTAGCTTATGAGCTCCTCTAATATCCTAGGTGCTAAAGGTAACAACTCTTACCAAAAGAAAATTCCCTTGAAAGTCTGCTTTAGTCAACTGCATTCATGACATCTGTGCAGTTTCACCATTTTGCCTCAAAGACAATCACATTCCTCAAAAATGCCCAATTACATGCAAAATCCTGGCAACTACCAATTTACTGTATTCACGATCCTCCTCTTGGCAACTCCAAATCTAACAATCAAGTCACATTCCTGTGAGTCCACCAGGAGAAGCAGGAGGCACGCAGCCTCATCTCCTTCAGGGGGATTTCACAGCCAGTGGATGGTGAGGGCCTCTGGGCATGGGGTCTTTCTGGGACAGAAGAAGGCAAGGGAACCCTTAGCAATGACATGATTAACCTGGGCTCTGTCTCTAAGTATTATCCCATAGAACTCGGTTTACCGCTATCAGAAAAATTTTGTTTTGTGTAAAATGCCCCCAAATGTCACTAGTTCATTTGTGAATGATTCATTTTTTAAAAAAATCCTTACTGCATGCCTGCTTTTCCCCAGGGCTCTCTTCTCATCACAGACTTCCATCATCTTCCGATTCCCTCCCTGATGAAGGTGTGTGATGTACTAGAAAGTGCTACAAACCATTCTTCAAAGTCTCCACTAACAAGGTACACGGCTCTAATTCTAATGTGCTTATTTTAGTCCTCCTGGCCTTAGGACAATGAGAGGAGGGAGAGAGAATAGATGGTCCCAGGGTTTGTTTCCACTCCTGAGGGGAAGTAAATTGAACAATCTTTAATCAGCTTATTTTATCAGCTTTAAATATGACTTTTACTAACTTGCCTTGGATTAAGTCCCTCCAGGGGGCACTTAAAAAAAAAAAAGAAGAAGAAGCATAACTGGGCACAGTGGCCTGGGCCTGTAATCGCAGCTACTCAGGAGGCCCAGGAGGGAGGGTTGCTTGAGCCCAGGAGTTCAAGACCAGCCTGGGCAACATAGTGGGGCCCCTGTCTCTAAACAAAATTAAAATATAAAACAACAAAACAAACATAAGAAATAAACAAGCTTAGCCTTTTCTTCAGAAATCCCATGTCATTTCTCCCAGATTGTTTCTGTTTTATGGGTAACAAAACCACCTCTCAGCATGTCCTCTGGGTTGGATGTAAGTATGCTCAGCCAAAGTATTTATAACACAGTATCTTTCAACATTCCTCCCCCTACTTTTCTTGTCTCGTCCCCTAATTTTGTCTCTTACCTTACATTTCTAAGCCCCCACAAGGCAGGTAATGAAGTATTTTATCCTAAGAAAAAGAAAGAAAGAAATCCCATGTCATTAGGAGTAGCTGAAACTAGTCTCTCTCAAAAATAAATGAAATAGGTTTGTATGAACTCTAAGGACGGACTGGGCTTAGCAAACCCTGCCCCAGTGCCATGCTGCGCTCACACCAGAGACTTGATGGGGCCCTGGGGCAGTGCCCCAGGAGCGCAGGGCACAGCCCAGCACACGCTTGGCACTCGGAAGCATTCCTTAGGCAGAGACCCTGCACCAGTGATATGTGTGGGTCACTGCTTTGCTCTCCAGAGAGAATCCCAGAGGCCTGGGGAGAGCCCAAGCCACTCCGCTCAGGCAGGCGAGACTTTGATCCTGTGTCTTTAAACTGCAGCCCTGGAAACGTTCACCTAAAAAGACAAGGCCCCTGGGAGTGAACCCTGCAAAGCCAGGGAGCCTGGCAGTGTCTGCGGGTTCGCGATGTATGAAGAGCCTCTGGCAGGTCAGTGGGTGCGTGCACCGTGCACCAGTGAAGCAGGGCGAGGCATTGCCTCACTCGGGAAGCGCAAGGGGTCAGGGAGTTCCCTTTCCTAGTCAAAGAAAGGGGTGACGGATGGCACCTGGAAAATCGGGTCACTCCCACCCGAATACTGCGCTTTTCCGACGGGCTTAAAAAACCGCACACCATGAGATTATATCCGGCACCTGGCTCAGAGGGTCCTACGCCCACGGAGTCTCGCTGATTGCTAGCACAGCAGTCTGAGATCAAACTGCAAGGCGGCAGCGAGACTGGGGGAGGGGCACCAGCCATTGCCCAGGCTTGCTTAGGTAAACAAAGCAGCCAGGAAGCTGGAACTGGGTGGAGCCCACCACAGCTCAAGGAGGCCTGCCTGCCTCTCTAGGCTCCACCTCTGGGGGCAGGGCACAGACAAACAAAAAGACAGCAGTAACCTCTGCAGACTTAAATGTCCCTGTCTGACAGCTTTGAAGAGAGCAGTGGTTCTCCCAGTACGCAGCTGGAGATCTGAGAATGGGCAGACTGCCTCCTCAAGTGGGTCCCTGACCCCTGACCCCCGAGCAGCCTAACTGGGAGGCACCCCCACAGCAGGGGCACACTGACACCTCATACGGCAGGGTACTCCAACAGACCTGCAGCTGAGGGTCCTGTCTGTTAGAAGGAAAACTAACAAACAGAAAGGACATCCACACCAAAAACCCATCTGTACATCACCATCATCAGGGACCAAAAGTAGATAAAACCACAAAGATGGGGAAAAAACAGAACAGAAAAACTGGAAACTAAAATGCAGAGCGCCTCTCCTCCTCCAAAGGAACGCAGTTCCTCACCAGCAATGGAACAAAGCTGGACAGAGAACGACTTTGACGAGCTGAGAGAAGAAGGCTTCAGATGATCAAATTACTCTGAGCTACGGGAGGACATTCAAACCAAAGGCAAAGAAGTAGAAAACTTTGAAAAAAATTTAGAAGAATGTATAACTAGAATAACCAATACAGAGAAGTGCTTAAAGGAGCTGATGGAGCTGAAAACCAAGGCTCAAGAACTACGTGAAGAATGCAGAAGCCTCAGGAGCCGATGCGATCAACTGGAAGAAAGGGTATCAGTGATGGAAGATGAAATGAATGAAATGAAGCGAGAAGGGAAGTTTAGAGAAAAAAGAATACAAAAGAAATGAGCAAAGCCTCCAAGAAATATGGGACTATGTGAAAAGACCAAATCTACGTCGGATTGGTGTACCTGAAAATGACGGGGAGAATGGAACCAAGTTGGAAAACACTCTGCAGGATATTATCCAGGAGAACTTCCCCAATCTAGCAAGGCAGGCCAACGTTCAGATTCAGGAAATACAGAGAACACCACAAAGATACTCCTCGAGAAGAGCAACTCCAAGACACATAATTGTCAGATTCACCAAAGTTGAAATGAAGGAAAAAATGTTAAGGGCAGCCAGAGAGAAAGGTCGGGTTACCCTCAAAAGGAAGCCCATCAGACTAACAGTGGATCTCTTGGCAGAAACCCTACAAGCCAGAAGAGAGTGGGGGCCAATGTTCAACATTCTTAAAGAAAAGAATTTTCAACCCAGAATTTCATATCCAGCCAAACTAAGCTTCAGAAGTGAAGGAGAAATAAAATACTTTACAGACAAGCAAATGCTGAGAGATTTTGTCACCACCAGGCCTGCTCTAAAAGAGCTCCTGAAGGAAGCACTAAACATGGAAAGGAACAACCGGTACCAGCCACTGCAAAATCATGCCAAAATGTAAAGACCATCGAGACTAGGAAGAAACTGCATCAACTAACGAGCAAAATAACCAGCTAACATCATCATGACAGGATCAAATTCACACATAACAATATTAACTTTAAATGTAAATGGACTAAATGCTCCAATTAAAAGACACAGACTGGCAAATTGGATAAAGAGTCAAGACCCATCAGTGTGCTGTATTCAGGAAACCCATCTCACGTGCAGAGACACACATGGGCTCAAAATAAAAGGATGGAGGAAGTTCTACCAAGCAAATGGAAAACAAAAAAAGGCAGGGGTTGCAATCCTAGTCTCTGATAAAACAGACTTTAAACCAATAAAGATCAAAAGAGACAAAGAAGGCCATTACATAATGGTAAAGGGATCAATTCAACAAGAAGAGCTAACTATCCTAAATATATATGCACCCACTACAGGAGCACCCAGATTCATAAAGCAAGTCCTGAGTGACCTACAAAGAGACTTAGACTCCCACACAATAATAATGGGAGACTTTAACACCCCACTGTCAACATTAGACAGATCAACGAGACAGAAAGTCAACAAGGATACCCAGGAATTAAACGCAGCTCTGCACCAAGTGGACCTAATAGACATCTACAGAACTCTCCACCCCAAATCAACAGAATATACATTTTTTTCAGCACCACACCACACCTATTCCAAAATTGACTACATACTTGGAAGTAAAGCTCTCCTCACCAAATGTAAAAGAACAGAAATTATAACAAACTATCTCTCAGACCACAGTGCAATCAAACTAGAACTCAGGATTAAGAAACTCACTCAAAACTGCTCAACTACATGGAAACTGAACAACCTGCTCCTGAATGACTACTGGGGACATAACGAAATGAAGGCAGAAATAAAGATGTTTTTTGAAACCAATGAGAACAAAGACACAACATACCAGAATCTCTGGTTTGCATTCAAAGCAGTGTGTAGAGGGAAATTTATACCACTAAATGCCCACAAGAGAAAGCAGGAAAGATCCAAAATTGACACCCTAACATCACAATTAAAAGAACTAGAAAAGCAAGAGCAAACACATTCAAAAGCTAGCAGAAGGCAAGAAATAACTAAAATCAGAGCAGAACAGAAGGAAATAGAGACACAAAAAACCCTTTAAAAAATTAATGAATCCAGGAGCTGGTTTTTTGAAAGGATCAACAAAATAAATAGACCACTAGTGAGACTAATAAAGAAGAAAAGAGAGAAGAATCAAATAGATGCAATAAAAAATGATAAAGGGGATATCACCACCGATCCCACAGAAATACAAACTACCATCAGAGAATACTACAAACACCTCTACGCAAATAAACTAGAAAATCTAGAAGAAATGGATAAATTCCTTGACACATACACTCTCCCAAGACTAAACCAGGAAGAAGTTGAATCTCTGAATAGACCAATAACAGGATCTGAAATTGTGGCAATAATCAATAGCTTACCAACCAAAAAGAGTCCAGGACCAGATGGATTCACAGCCGAATTCTACCAGAGGTACAAGGAGGAACTGGTACCATTCCTTCTGAAACTATTCCAATCAATAGAAAAAGAGGGAATCCTCCCTAACTCATTTTATGAGGCCAGCATCGTTCTGATACCAAAGCCTGGCAGAGACACAACCAAAAAAGAGAATTTTAGACCAATATCCTTGATGAACATCGATGCAAAAATCCTCAATAAAATACTGGCAAAACGAATCCAGTAGCACATCAAAAAGCTTATCCACCATGATCAAGTGGGCTTCATCCCTGGGATGCAAGGCTTGTTCAATATATGCAAATCAATAAATGTAATCCAGCATATAAACAGAGCCAAAGACAAAAACCACATGATTATCTCAATAGATGCAGAAAAGGCCTTTGACAAAATTCAACAACCCTAAGAACTCTCAATAAATTAGCTATTGATGGGACGTATTTCAAAATAATAAGAGCTATCTATGACAAACCCACAGCCAATATCATACTGAATGGGCAAAAACTGGAAGCATTCCCTTTGAAAACTGGCACAAGACAGGGATGCCCTCTCTCACCACTCCTATTCAACATAGTGTTGGAAGTTCTGGCCAGGGCAATTAGGCAGGCGAAGGAAATAAAGGGTATTCAATTAGGAAAAGAGGAAGTCAAATTGTCCCTGTTTGCAGATGACATGATTGTATATCTAGAAAACCCCATTGTCTCAGCCCAAAATCTCCTTAAGCTGATAAGCAACTTCAGCAAAGTCTCAGGATACAAAATCAATGTACAAAAATCACAAGCATTCTTATACACCAATAACAAACAAACAGAGAGCCAAATCATGAGTGAACTCCCATTCACAATTGCTTCAAAGAGAATAAAATACCTAGGAATCCAACTTACAAGGGATGTGAAGGACCTCTTCAAGGAGAACTACAAACCACTGCTCAATGAAATAAAAGAGGATACAAACAAATGGAAGAACATTCCATGCTCATGGGTAGGAAGACTCAATATCATGAAAATGGCCATACTGCCCAAGGTAATTTGTATATTCAATGCCATGCCCATCAAGGTACCAATGCCTTTCTTCACAGAATTGGAAAAAACTACTTTAAAGTTCATATGGAACCAAAAAAGAGCCCACATCGCCAAGTCAATCCTAAGCCAAAAGAACAAAGCTGGAGGCATCACACTACCTGACTTCAAACTATACTACAAGGCTACAGTAACCAAAACAGCATGGTACTGGTACCAAAACAGAGATATAGATCAATGGAACAGAACAGAGCCCTCAGAAATAACGCCGCATATCTACAACTATCTGATCTTTGACAAACCTGAGAAAAACAAGCAATGGGGAAAGGATTCCCTATTCAATAAATGGTGCTGGGAAAACTGGCTAGCCATATGTAGAAAGCTGAAACTGGATCCCTTCCTTACATCTTATACAAAAATCAATTCAAGATGGATTAAAGACTTAAACGTTAGACCTAAAACCATAAAAACCCTAGAAGAAAACCTAGGCAATACCATTCAGGACATAGGCATGGGCAAGGACTTCATGTCTAAAACACCAAAAGCAATGGCAACAAAAGACAAAATTGACAAATGGGATCTAATTAAACTAAAGAGCTTCTGTACAGCAAAAGAAACTACCATCAGAGTGAACAGGCAACCTACAAAATGGGAGAAAATTTTGCAACCTACTCATCTGACAAAGGGCTAATATCCAGAATCTACAAAGAACTCAAACAAATTTACAGGAAAAAAACAAACAACCCCATCAAAAAGTGGGCAAAGGACATGAACAGACACTTCTCAAAAGAAGACATTTATGCAGCCAAAAAACACATGAAAAAATGCTCATCATCACTGGCCATCAGAGAAATGCAAATCAAAACCACAATGAGATACCATCTCACACCAGTTAGAATGGCAATCATTAAAAAGTCAGGAAACAACAGGTGCTGGGGAGGATGTGGAGAAATAGGAACACTTTTACCCCGTTGGTGGGACTGTAAACTAGTTCAACCATTGTGGAAGTCAGTGTGGCAATTCCTCAGGGATCTAGAACTAGAAATACCATTTGACCCAGTCATCCCATTACTGGGTATATACCCAAAGGACTATAAATCATGCTGCTATAAAGACACATGCACATGTATGTTTATTGCGGCACTATTCACAATAGCAAAGACTTGGAACCAACCCAAATGTCCAACAATGATAGACTGGATTAAGAAAATGTGGCACATATACACCATGGAATACTATGCAGCCATAAAAAATGATGAGTTCATGTCCTTTGTAGGGACATGGATGAAATTGGAAATCATCATTCTCAGTAAACTATCGCAAGAATAAAAAACCAAACACCCCATATTCTCACTCATAGGTGGGAATTGAACAATGAGATCTCATGGACACAGGAAGGGGAACATCACACTCTGGGGACTGTTGTGGGGTGGGGGGAGGGGGGAGGGATAGCATCAGGAGATATACCTAATGCTAGATGACGAGTTAGTGGGTGCAGCGCACCAGCGTGGCACATGTATACATATGTAACTAACCTGCACAATGTGCACATGTACCCTAAAACTTAAAGTATAATAATAAAAGAAAAAAAAAAAAAGAAGAGCCTCTGTGCCCCATCCCCCACCCCCCAACGCCAGATTCGCAAGCTCATCTGCAGCCCAGTTCATGCACTGCCCTGGAGCATGAAGGGTCCAAGGGGTCAGGTGAGATGGCCCTGGGTCCGTGGTGACCTGACTTTCTGAGACATGGGAGACAGTCCCGATGTTACAGCAAGAAGCCCCTCAGGCCACTCTCCCTGAAGATGGAAACCGCTGCTGAGGGAGAAGAAAAGGAAAAATCAGTTAGGTAAACAGTTAAGGCTGGGCCAGGAGAAGCTGCCTGCCTGAAAAGTTGCAGCTGCTGCAGCTGCACAGATAAGCTGGGACAGATAAGGAGCCAGTAAAGCACAGAAGCCTTTTATTCTTTGTATAAATAGTGAGCTCCCAGGAAAAAGTTTCCTACCTTTTTCAGGAATATATATGGTGGGCTCCATGGGAACTTTCACAGGGAGGAGGGGGCTTACCTAAAACAAACCCACAGTTACACAAAAAGCAGCGCTTTATACTTGCCTGGAGACATACCCACAGCAGCATAAGATAAAGGGAGTTGCACAGACAGCTTTACTGGTAAGAGAAATTACTCAAACTGCTACAGAGATGAGAGGAGTTTCTTATAAAAGCTTTTGAATTCAACAGTAACCTAGTTCAGACAACGAGAAACGGCTACATTAAAGTACATTGGTGAGACTCACTGCATCCCCAGCTCTGGCTCAGAGAGCATCCAGGGAGCCGGCCTTGTCAGCTTTGTCCCTTCCCAACTACAGATGTTGAGAACATGCCTCAACTCTGTGCCTCCACTTCTGCATCCACAAATAGGAGTCACAACAGTCTGATTACAGTAAGAGCTACATAATTCAACATGCATGGCATGCTGGGGACAGAGTCTGCAACATAGACTGTGCTCAAAGCCTGTTCACTGGGGCCTGGCAGCACGGGTCCAGGGAACCTCCAGGAGGGGGGAGTCCGGGCACCACTGAGAAGAGGCAGGAACACAGTATGTCGGTTGGATGCTGTGATTTCATCTTACCCACTTCTATGAAAAATGTTAGCCATTGGGAAAATGCCCCCAACACTACCTGGGGGAATTAAAATTGCTGTTATTAATCCTGGAGTTCCAAGAAAAGAAACAGAACTGGCATCCGTGCACCCAAGCTTAGTGTCAAAACCTTAGATCCCAGGGAATCTGTGATCCAAAGTTCTCTGACCAAGCAACAGTTTTACTGCTTCTGTCTAATCCTAGGTGCAGATATTGTATTTACTGAACAAAATGACTAATCAGTTTATTTCCTTAATAGGCACAGTAAATGGTCAGCAAACATTTATTAATTAAATCAAATAAATGAAATAAATGGATACTTGGTGTTTTTGCAAGGTATTTAGAGGGAATAAAATTTAGAGAGACATAAACAATGTGTAATCTATTTGGAAAATAAAATTTAATATACAACCAGAGATTATATGTGGAAAGACACTTGAGTTTCATAATGTAGTCTCTACCTCTCCCCTCAAATTAGTTTAAGCTATTTTAAAGATTGTTGGGAACAGGTCCCCAAATCTGGCCATAAACTGGCCCCAAAACTGGCCAGAAATAAAATCCCTGCAGCACTGTGATATGTTCTTCATGGCCATGATGCCCACGCTGAAGGTTGTGGGTTTACCAGAATAAGGGCAAGGAACACCTGGCCCACCCAGGATGGAAAACTGCTTAAGGAGTTCCTAAGCCACAAACAATAGCAAGAGTGATCTGTGCCTTCAGGACATATTCCTGCTGCAGATAACTAGCCAGAGCCCAACCCTTTGTTTCAGCCCATCCCTTTGTTTCCCGTAAGGAATGCTTTTAGTTCATCTATAATCCATAGAAACAATGCTTATCACTGGCTTGCTGTCAATAAATATGTGGGTAAAACTGTTCGTGGCTTTCAGCTCTGAAGGCTGTCAGGCCCCTGATTTCCCACTCCACACTCAGTATTTCTGTGTGTGTGTCTTTAATCCCTCTAGTGCCGCTGGGTCTAGGGTCTCCCTGACCAGGCTGGTCTCGGCAAGTGGCACTCATATGTGGGGGCTCGAATCCAGGTCAAAGGGTTGCCAGAGCAATGGCTGGAAAATGTGGAACTAAGCTGGAGGACACCCGAGTACTCTTAAGCAATCCCCGTGGTGAGTAAGAAGGGAGCTCGGAAGCATCAGAGTAACAGTGGGACAAGTGTGGGCTCTGGTTCGTTCCACCTCGGAACCTTTCCACACTGATGATGAGGAGGAAGGAGAATATTACAAAGTAACAGAAGAGGTGACAGAGCAGGTTTGTTTGCCAGCTAAAGCTAAAGTGGCAAAGGAGGGAGAGGTTCATTCCTACCCTTCTGCACCCCCTCATTATTTTGAAGAAAAAGAGTGGCCTGATCCTCCAGATCTTCCTTTTCCAGAGGACACAGGGCAAAAGGTAGTTGCCCCAGTGACTGTTTGAACAGCACCTCGAGCAACCACTCTCAGTTCTATTCATGCAGGAATCCAGCAAGCTAGAAGAGAGCGTGATTTAGAGTCTTGGCAGTTCCCTGTTAGAATACACACACCCGATCAACAGGGAAATATTACACCTACATTTGAGCCTTTTCCTTTTAAGTTACTTAAAGAATTTAAAGAAGCTATTAATCAATATGGACGAGGTTCTCCTTTTGTAATGGGACTGTTAAAGAATGTTGCTGTTTCCAGTTGGATGATTCCCACTGATTGGGATGCTCTCACTCGAGCTTTTCTGACTCTTGCTCAGTTCTTACAATTTAAAACTTGGTGGGCAGATGAAGCTTCCATTCAGGCTGCTCACAAGGCCCAGGCCCAATCTCAAATTAATATAACTGCAGACCAACTTTTGGGGGTTGGCAGCAGGGCTGGTTTAGATGCACAAGTGGTCATGCAGGATGATGCCATAGAGCAGCTTGGAGGAGTGTGCATCAGAGCTTGGGAAAAAATCACTTCAGGTGGAGAAAAATACCCTTCCTTTAGTGCTGTAAAACAGGGACCAAAAGAACTGTACACAGATTTCATAGCTCGGTTATAGGAGTCTCTTAAAAAGGTGATTGCAGATTCAGCGGTTCAGGATATAGTGTGGTGGTTATTAGCTCTCAACAATGCTAATCCCGAGTGCCAGGCTGCTCTGTGACCTATTAGAGGGAAAGCACATTTAGTTGATTATATCAAGGCCTGTGATGGTATCAGAAGTAATCTGCATAAAGCTACTTTGTTGGCGCAAGCCATGGCAGGACTGAAAGTGAGTAAAGGAAACACTCCATTTCCTGGAACTTGTTTTAACTGTGGGAAGCATGGTCATACTAAAAAAGAATGTAGAAAAAATCAGCTAGTCAGGCTGCCAGTTGAGGGAAAAAAGAAAACTGCTGGGCCTGGAATACGTCCAAAATGTAAAAAAGGAAAACATTGGGCTAATCAGTGTCACTCTAAGTTTGATAAAGATGGGAACCTGATTTCAGGAAATGCCATGAGGGGCCCGTCCTGGGCCATGTTCCAAACCTGGGCATTTCCAGCTCAGGCTACTCCCTCACCCCTGTACAATGTCTGTCCCCCACCACAGCTGGTAATCCTGCAGTAGATTTATGCTGCACAGAAGCTGTGAGTCTTCTTCTGCCTGGGGAACCCCCGCAAAAAGTTACAACAGGGATCTGTGGACCCTTGCCAGCAGGGACTGTAGGATTACTTCTAGGTAGGTACAGTTCAAATTTAAAAGGAGTGCAAGTACATACATGTGTCATTGATTCATATTACAATGGGGAAATTCAAATTGTTATATCTGCTCCTGTTCCCTGGAAAGCAGAGCCAGGAGAGCATATTGCACAGCTCCTGATTGTGCCATATGTGGAAATGGGGAAAAGTGAAACTAAATGAACAGGAGGATTTGGAAGCACAAATAAACAAGGCAAAGCAGTTTATTGGGTAAATCAAATTACTGAGAAAAGTCCTACCTGTGAAATAACTATTCAGGGAAAGAAATTTAAAGGTTTGGTAGACACAGGAGTGGACATTTCAATCATTTCTCTACAGCACTGGCCATCCATGTGGCCAATTCAACCCACCCAATTTAACATAGTTGGAGTTGGTGAAGCCCCTGAAGTATATCAAAGTAGTTATATTTTGCATTGTGAAGGGCCTGATGGACAACCTGGGACTATTCAACCAATTATAACTTCTCTACCTATAAATTTATGGGGGAGAGATTTATTACAACAATTGGAAGCACAAGTTCTAATTTCAGAGCAATTATACAGCCCCCAAAGTCAACATATGATGCACGAAATGGGATATGTCCCTGGTATGGGACTAGGAAAAAATTTGCAAGGTTTGAAGGAACTGCTTCAAGCGGAAAGACAAAATTCCTGCCAAGGTTTAGGATATCATTTTTGATGGCGGACATTGTTAAGCCTCCAGGACCTATACCTTTAAAATGCTTAACAGATAAGCCAATTTGGATAGAACAATGGCCACTAAGTAAAGAGAAACTGGAGGCTTTAGAGGACTTAGTTACTGAACAATTAGAAAAAGGACACATAGCTCCAACATTTTCCCCCTAGAATTCTCCAGTTTTTGTTATTAGGAAAAAATCAGGTAAATGGAGAATGTTGACAGATCTTAGAGCCATTAATTCAATTATACAACATATGGAGACATTGCAGCCAGGACTGCCTTCTCCTGCTATGATTCCAAAAAATTGGCCTTTAATAGTCATAGATTTAAAAGACTGTTTCTTTACTATCCCCTTAGCTGAGCAAGACTGTGAACAGTTTGCATTTACAGTTCCTGCGGTAAGCAACCTGCAACCTGCTAAATGTTTTCACTGGAAAGTGTTGCCACAAGCCATGTTAAATAGTCCAACAATTTGCCAGACTTATTTAGGGTAAGCAATTGAACCTACTCATAAAAAATTTTCACAGTGTTACAGTATTCATTATATAGATAATATTTTTTTGCGCTGCCCCCACTCAAGAAATATTACTCCAATGTTATGATCACTTGCAAAATTCGATTTTTCATGCTGGTTTAATTATAGCTCCTGACAAAATTCAGACTCCTACCCCTTACTCCTACTTGGGGACCTTAGTAAATGACACTACAATTGTGCCACAGAAAGTAACCATACATAGGGATCAATTAAAAACATTAAATGACTTTTGAAAATCACTAGGGGACATTAATTGGATATGACCTGCTCTAGGCATTCCTACCTATGCCATGAGTAATCTATTTTCTATCCTTAGAGGAGACCCTAATCTCACTAGCCCTCGGCAATTAACAAAGGAGGCTGAGGCAGATTTACAGCTGATTGAAAAGCTCAGATAAATAGACTGGGTCCATAGAAGACTCTAGATTTACTGATTTTTTCAACTCAGCATTCACTTATTGTTGTTATTGTTCAAGAGCAAGATCTTGTAGAGAGGCTTTTTCTTCCACATACTAAGTCATGGACTTTGACTCCTTATTTTGATCAAATGACTACCATGAAAGGAAATGGGAGAACTCAGATTGTTAAATTACATGGATATGATCCTGGAAAAATTATCGTCCCTCTCACAAGGCACAAATACAGCAAGCTTTTATAAATAGTCTTACTTGGCAAACCCATTTAGCTGATTTCCTGGGTGTTCTTGATAATCACTTTCCAAAAACAAAATAGTTTCAATTTTTGAAATTAACTAATTGGATTCTCCCTAAAATAACTAAATTTAAGCCAACTGAATGTGGTAAAAATGTCTTCACAGATGGGTCTAGTAATGGTAACGCTTCTTATTTTGGCTTGAAAGGTAAAGTTTTTCAGACGCCCTATACTTCAGCTCAAAAAGCAGAGCTTGTAGCTGTAATTGAGGTATTGACTGCTTTTAATACGCCTATTAATGTGATTTCTGATTCTTCATATGTGGTTCATTCCACACAATTAATTGAAAATGCTCAGCTATGATTTCATACAGATGAACAACTGATGACTTTATTTACCCAATTGCAAATAGCAGTTAGGAGTAGAATGCACCCTTTTTACATCACTCATACTAGGGCTCATACACCTCTTCCAGGACCTTTAACTGCAGGGAATCATATGGCTGATCGCCTAGTTGCTACTGCAATATCTAATGCTAGACACTTTCACAATTTAACCCATGTTAATGCCTCTGGTCTCAAACACAGATACAAGATTACCTGGAAAGAAGCTAAAGCTATTATCCAGCAATGCCCAACTTGCCAAATGGTACATTCTTCATCTTTTACAGGAGGAGTTAATCATTGAGGATTAGAACCTAATTCTTCTTGGCAAATGGGTGTCACACATGTTCCCTCGTTTGGGAGACTAGCTTATGTACATGTATGTGTGGACACCTTTTCTCACTTTGTCTAGGCTACATGCCAATCAGGAGAGTCTTCTGCCTCTGTTAAATGTCACCTTTTGCAGTGTTTTGCAGTGATGGGCATTCCAGCTTCTATTAAAACAGTTAATGCCTCAGGCTATACTAGCCAAGCTCTAGCTACATTTTTCTCTATATGGAATATTAAACACATTACTGGCATGCCATGTAATTCTCAAGGACAAGTGGAAAGAATGAATCTCTCCCTGAAACAGCAGTTACAAAACCAAAAAAGGGGGAGAAATAGGGACTATGGGACACCACACATGCAATTTAACCTAGTATTATTAACTTTAAATTTTTTGAGCCTGCTTGCCTAAAGGCCAGATGCTATCAGCAGCTGAACAGCATCCACAGAAACCAGCTGCAAAGACAGAAGCAGAACAACTGGTTTGGCAGAGAGATTCCATAACAAAAAGTTGGGAAATAGGTAAAATAATAACTTGGGGTAGAGGTTATGCTTGTGTTTCTCCAGGATCAAATCAACAGCCGATTTGGATACCATCAAGACACCTGAAACCTTATCATGAGCCAGATGCTGAGGAAGAGATTCCGGGAGGAACTCGAGGACCCCTCAGTTGCAGCCATGTCGAGACTGACACTGAGGAGGACCCCAACTGTCATGAGCAACACCTGTCAAACACAGCCACCCACCTGGGGACAGATCAAGAAGCTGTCACAGATGATGGAAGAAAACCTGAGGAAAGCAGGACAACCAGTCACAATGAGTAATTTAATGGTAGCTATGATAGCAGTAATCACCATTCCCATGAGTATTCCTTCAACAAGGGCTGACACAGAGAACAATTATACTTATTGGACATATTTATCAATCTTGGCTGGCAATAATGCCTGGATGTAATCACTCTATGACACAGTTACACATGCTTTCTGATCTCAGTATTTTCCATAATAAATCTGCTCCTATAATGGAGGCATACCGCCCTCAAAAACCTATTTGTAAGCAGAATTGGACCTGGCCAGAAAAAATGAATGTACTTGTTTAGGAAGATTGCATTGCAGAACAGGCAGAGGTGCTGTGCAATGATTCTTATGGAATCATTATTGATTGGTCCCCTAAGGGGATGTTTAGCTTGAATTGCACCTCTCAGTCTGCATTCCATGGCCACACTATGTTCAGCTGGTCTGAACAAAATGGTCAGATGGTAGAAATGGTAAGAAGTATGGCAAGAGTTCCTATTATCTGGAAACATGGTGGCATAGTGGCACCTCAGCCTCAAATGATATGGCCCACTGTAGGAGCTAAACATAAGGATTTGTGGAAACTATTAATAGCTCTTAATAAGATCAAAATTTGGGAAAGAATAAAAAGGCATCTAGAAGAACACTCTACAAACTTGTCTTTGGATATTGCAAAATTAAAAGAACTAATATTTAAAGCATCCCAGGCACACCTGACCTTAATGCCAGGAACTGGAGTTCTTAAAGGAGCTGCAGACAAATTAGCAGCTAGTAACCCATTAAAATGGATTAAAAACACTTGGAGGCTCTGTGATTTCAATGATGATTGTGCTTTTAATCTGTGTTGTTTGTCTTTGTATAGTCTACAGATGTGGATCCTGACTCCTGTGAGAAGTAGCTCACCGTGACAGAGCTGCCTTTGCTTTTATCACTTTGCAAAACAAAGAAGGGGGAAATGTTGGGAACAGGCCCCCAAATCTGGCCATAAACTGGCCATAAACAAAATCTCTGCAGCACTGTGACATGCCTTGTGATGGCCATGACATCCACGCTGAAGGACGTGGGTTTACCGGAATGAGGGCAATGAACACCTGGCCACTCCCGGCAGAAAACTGCTTAAGGCATTCTTAAACCACAAACAATAGCATGAGCAATCTGTGCCTTAAGGACATGCTCCTGCTGCAGATAACTAGCCAGAGCCCATCCCTTTATTTCGGTCCATCCCTTTGTTTCCCATAAGAAATACTTTTAGTTAATCTATAATCTATAGAAACAATGCTTATCACTGGCTTGCTGTCAATAAATATGTGGGTAAATCCCTGTTCAAGGCTCTCAGCTCTGAAGGCTGTGAGACCCCTGATTTCTCACTCCACACTGTATATTTCTGTGTGTGTGTCTTTAATTCCTCTAGTGCCTCTGGGTTAGGGTCTCCACAACTGAGTTGGTCTCGGCAAAAGATGTAAGCATGTTCAACACACCATAAATACATTTGTCCTCTGGATTGGGAAGACTGCAAGCTGGTGGGTGGGGACACACAGAGAGGACACTCTGGGCACAGAAGCTATGGGTTTGCTGAACTCCAGAACTGAAAGCAGACAGAAGCAGACAGGCATTCTATCACTGCAGGATCAGCTAGAATCAAAATAGTTCCCTGCATGGCTATTCCCAGAGCCACGCTCCTCGTAAGAAACCAGGAGCTGAAATAAGAATTCTACCCCTAAGAAATGACACCAACATATCTGCAGCAATTACTGCCCATGGCTGTGCCTAAATAGAATCAAACTAAATAGAATCAAACTGGGACCAAACTTCTCATTTCTCAATCCATGATCTCTCCCACATCAGCCCCAGGCAAGAACCCCAAATCTGCCAATACAACAGCTGGTTGCAGACCAGGCTTCCAGGGAGATGAGAGGAAGCAACCACCCAATAGGCTCTTAGAGAGAAGAAAATTTCCCACTCAGGATAAAGCTACAAATGAAACCTCCAAAGCACATAAGAAAAAATTTGTAAGAGACAGCCAACAAATGCAACAATCATGATATAAATTTACTGCTCTCAAAATCCAAGTAGAACAAACCAAAAATAACTTTAAATAAGTATAGGTAATACTCTTAATGGTAACAAAGAAGAATAAAAATATGATTAAAATAGAGAGTTATAATTAAGAACAGATGGATATGAAAAATATAAAAATAGAAATTCTGAAAGTAAAAACCAGAATCATTAAAATAAATGGCCCAAACAATAAAAAAGAAAATAAATAAAAAGATAGAAAAAAAAACAAAAAAAATCTTTAAAAGGAAGAAAAAATAACAAAAAAATAAATAAGAAATAAGAAATGGCTAATTAGCCAAGCATGTCTAGACTAGATTCAATAAAATAGAGAATTAAAATTAACATAAAGACAACAAATAATTCAGTGTTAAGTAATATTGTCTAGAAAGACTATCAGAGCCCAGAGAAGGGAGAGATCTCTGTGGGTTGAAGTAGCTTCAGGGAGTTTCTGGAAGAGGTTACTTGAACAAGTCCTTAGATGCTCCTAACAGAAAGACGCCTAAAACTGAATGAATTGCAGGTGTATGTTCCGGAATGCTGCCTGCCATCCCAACCATGGCTTCACAAATCCTTTGCAAAAAAATCCTCTAAGTTCAAAAAAGGAATAAAACTCTTTAAATTAAAAAAGAAAATGCACCGAAGATGGGGAGAAATTTGAACCCTGTGTATTGCTGGTGAGAATGTAAAAAGGTACAGCTGCTATGGAAAACAATATGGCAGTTCCTGAAAAAAATTAAACATCAATCACCACATGATCCAGCAATTCCACTTCTGGGCATACATCCAAAAGAATGTTAAGCATCAACATAAACAGATATTTGCATGCCAGTGTTTATAACAGCATTGTTCACAATAACCAAAAGATGGAAACAACCCAAATGCCCATCAACACATGACTGGGTAAACAGCATGTGGTATACATACAAAGGAATATTTCATAAAAGGAAGGAAATTCTGACACATGATATAACATGAATGAACCTTGAAGACACTATGTTAAATGAAAGAAAAACAGATACAAAAGAACAAATATTCCACTTATATGAGGTATGTAGAGTAGTCAAATTCATAGAGACATAAACTATAACGATGGCTGCCTGGGAGTGGGGAGTTGGTGTTTCACGGTACAGAGTTTCAGTTTGGGAAAATGAAAAAGTTCTGGAGGTGAATGGTGGTGATGGTTGCAACACAGTGTGAATATACTTAATGCCACTGAAAATGTATATTTAAAAATGTACACTGGGCTAGATGCAGTGGCTCACACCTATAATCTCAACAATTTGTAAGGCCAAGGCAGTAGGATTGCTTGAGGCCAGGAGTTTACAACCAGCCTGGGCAACATAGGAGACCCCCATCTCTACAAAAACAAAATTGTCATAATTAGTCTGGTGTTGTGGTGTGTTCATGTAGTATTAGCTACTCGGGAGGCTGAGGCTGGAGGCTGCAGTGAGGTATGATTATGCCACTGCACTCCAGCCTGGGTGGCAGAGAAAGACACTGCCTCTAAGAAACAAAAGAAAGAAAGAAAAAACGCACACTTAATGTACACTTAAAATGGTTAAAATGGTAAATTTTATGTTATGTATATTGTACCACAACTGTGCAAAAAAAAAAAAAAAAAAGAAAACAGAAAATGCCCACAAAAAATCACTAGATCACAAATAATTCTAGGTGATGTGTACTGAGCTACCTCCCTTATCTGCCTCAGTGGTCTTCTGTTCATGAACCTGACTTGCATCTCACTTAAGCCAGCATCAGTAAAACGTTTACTGTTATGATAAATTTCAAAGGAGGCCATATGTGAAAAAGCCTGCTACAGTGTGGAATCTTTCTTTTTTTTTTTTTTTTTTTTTTTTTTGAGATGGAATCTCGCTCTGGAGTCCAGGCTGGAGTGCAGTGGCTCAATCTTGGCTGGCTGCAAACTCCGCCTCCTGGGTTCACACCATTCTCCTGCCTCAGCCTCCCGAGTAGCTGGGACTACAGGCCCCCACCACCATGCCTGGCTAATTTTTTGTATTTTTTAGTAGAGACGGGGTTTCACCGTGTTAGCCAGGATGGTCTCGATCTCCTGACCTCATGATCCACCCGCCTCGGCCTCCCAAAGTGCTGGGATTACAGCCGTGAGCCACGGCGCCCAGCCTACAGTGTGGAATCTTAACACCTAGTTATAAGACAACAGGTAGAGTCTTAAAATTTAATATGATAGTCAACTCTTGTATAATTTTTATTACATATAATGTGTACATATTTATACCTCATATCCTGTACATGCATAGTCTAAAATAAAAATGAAAGCATATTTTTGGGCAGAAAAATAAAAATAGGTGTGCTGGATATTATACATAAGAGGCAGATTATTCTTTAAAATTGTAACCAGGGCAATTGTGGCACAGCGAACAGGACTGTCTGGAAGCAGCTCTGAGGGCTTACTCTGAACCACAGCCAGTTGGAACCTGGAACTCTCCCTTCCCCCAAACAGAGGGAGCTGAGGTCAAGCTCAGCTTCCCACATGCCGTGAACTGGGTGCTGGTGCCCCTCCAAAATTCCTCTGTTGCCATTCTAACCCCCAGGGCAATGGTATTAGGAGGTGAGTCCTTTGGGAGGGGATTAGGTCATAAAGTGGAACCCTCATGGTTAGAATCGGTGTTCTCATAAGCCGCCAGAGAGCCAGCCAGCCATCTCCCCACTAGGCTAGGATGCAATAAGAAGGCAGCCATCTGTGAACAAGGAACAGGGCTCTCCCCAGGACTCAACCCTGCTGGTACCCTGATCTTGGACGTGCAGCCTCCAGAACTCTAAGAAATAAATGTTGGAATCCAGCTCAGCCTATGGTATTCAGTAACAGCAGCCAAAACAGACCAAGATGCCAGAGAATCAGTGGCTCCTGTCTGCCAGCACATGACCTGCTCATTCCCAAGGACACTGCAGACTCCAGTTTCTGGATAGCTAGTAATCCAGACAACCATCACTGGGGAAATTCACAGACCTCAAGCTTACCCTCTAAAAACATCAAATAAAAGGGTAAAGCCCCTTCTCTGAAACACAAACCCAGCCTGGAAAACCCACTGGGGGCCCAACTCGTTGTGGGACGACAGGACACACAGGTCTCTTCTTTTCTTGCTGGGCCTTGGTCTATTCACAAGTCCCTTTCTCCTAATCTGCACCTCGTGACCGTGGAGTTCCTCCCACCCCCAGTGTGTGATGCTGAGCCGTTTGGACCTTGACTCTCTCCTCTGTCAGTATTACAGGTTGGGTTCAGAGACAAGGAGTGACACTGTGAGAAGAAGTCCTGAGAGACAGCCACGTCCCTGCTTGCAGATTTGTGAATCTAACACACACTCACTTGGCATTATAATTACACCAGAAATTGATGAGAATACTAATAATCTCAAACTCCAACATAATTACTGCCGACTCATCTCCTACTTTTCCTTTACTTGCAGCAGGCTTAAAATTAAAAATATATTGAAATAAACATACCATGGCTCCTAAGAAGAAGGGAGAAAGACCACAAAAAAGAGAACATTGACTGTTAATTATAAGCCAAAAAGTAAGACATGTTTCCATTATTTCTGTTATTAGTTATAACATATATGCAGAAAGGCACATAACAGAATAACAGTTTAAAGAACACGGTGTTTCTTTAAACTGTAAATACTGTGTACTATATAATATACAAATTGTAACCTGTAAATATCCAGCTTAAATAATAATTATAAAGCAAATCCCTCTGTAAGTAACACCAGGTCAAGCAATCCTGTGCCAGGGCCCAGAGCTGCCCCTCCCTCCTGTGTCCTTCCTAGACAACCACTGCTCTCTTCTTTCCCTTTGGTGGTTGCACTCCCACTAATTCTTATGGTAATGGCTTTAGTTTTACCACTTCTGTATATATCTGTAAATAATGTACTCTGATTTTGCCTAGTGTTGAATGTTATATAAATGGAAACATACCATGTGATTTTTGTGTATGTGCTTGTGTTCCTATGTGTCTTGCTAGTTTAACATGATATTATGTTTGTACATTCATCCATGTTGCATTCATATGGTTTGTTTATTTCATAACTATTTAAGATTTCGTTGGAGATATGTATGAATGAACTTGGTTCTTAGGTATGAGTATGTTGAACTTCAGTAACCAATGAAAAATTATTTTTCATAGTAGTTGCATACATGTTGCCTATCATTCAGTAGTGTATGAAGTTGTTGTTTCATAATCTCATCAACACTTGGAATTATCAGTTATTTTAATGTTGCCCATCTGGTGGGTATGTAACGGAATCTTACTGTGGTTTGAATCTGCATTTTCCTGATTCCCAATAATTTGGATTTTCTTTTAGTCTCTACAGGTTATTTGCATATCCTCTTTTTTAAAAAATCTATTCAAGCCTTTTGCCCATCTTTCCTTTGGCTTTTCTTTCTTTTTCCTTTTCTTTTCTTTTCTTTTTTTTCTTTTAATTGAAATGGAGTCTTGCTCTGTCGCCCAGCTGGCGTGCAGTATCATGATCTCAGCTCACTGCAACCTCTGCCTCCTGGGTTCAAGCAATTCAATTCTTCTGCCTCGGCCTCCCAAGTAGCTGTGATTACAGGTGCCCACACCATGCCCAGCTAATTTTTGTATTTTAGTAGAGACAGGGTTTTGCCATATTGGCCAGGCTGGTCTTGAACTCCTGACCTCAAGTGATCTGCCTGCCTTGGCCTCCCAAAGTGCTGAGATTACAGGAGAGAGTCACCTCACCTAGCCTCCTTCGGATTTTCTATCTACTGATTTGCAGGAGCTCATTACATGTTCTTGATACAAGAATATATAATGAGAACTTGATACAAGTTCTTTCTCAGATAACATATGTCAAAAATATCTTCTACTGGCTTATCTTTTCAGTCTCTTTAATGGATTCCTTTGATGAAATTTGCACTGAATTTTTGGATATTTATTTTATTTTATTTTTTGAGACAGGGACTTGCTCTGTCACCCAGGCTGGAGTGCAGTGGCACAATCATAGCTCACTGCAGCCTTGAACTCCTGAGCTCAAGGGATACTCCCACCTCGGCCTCCCAAGTAGCTGGGACTGCAAGTGCACACTACTGTGGCTGGCTAATTGTTAAATTTTTTGTAGACACAGGGTATTGCTATGTTGCCCAGGCTGGTCTCAAACTCCTAGCCTCAAGCAATTCTCTTGTCTCAGCCTCCCCAAGTGCTGGGATTACAGATGTGAGCCACCACATCCAGCCTTTTTACCAAGGTAAATTTTATTTACCAATACTTTCCTTTATGGCTAATGGATTTTGTGTCTCTTTATGAAATTATTCCCTGTGTCCTGGGTTATGAAGAGTCTCACTTAAGATTATTTTTGACATGTTTTGTTTGCTTTTTTCATTTTGTTGTTTAACCCACCCAGAATTTATTTTTCGAATATGGTGTGAGTTAGAGTCCACTGGGCTATCCAACTGCCCCAGCATCATTCACTAAAAACAATATTCTTTCCCCACTGCTGTGTAGTACCAACTCTGTCATATATCAAGTGTCCATAGTGCCTTGGTCTCTTTCTGAGCCCCCAAAGTCTAATTTTTACCCCAAGCCTGGCCCTGCACTGACACTTCCCTTACCATTTACCGTGCCTTTATAATGTCCTAACATCTGGTAGGGCCAGTTACACCACCTCCTCTGTTTCTCCATGTGTGTCTTAGCTATTCTTGATCTTTGCATTTATTATGAATCTCAGAATCAGCTTGCTGAATTAAAAAAAAAAATTTGGCTATATTTTTATTACAATTACTCAGACTCTGTATCAATATTGAGTTTTCTGATCCACAACTGTAGCATATCTTCCCTCTGATCTAAGTCACTTTGGACCATATCTCATACTTTTCTGCATGGAGGTCTCCCACATCTGTTGCTAGATTTATTTAAGTGCCTTCACACTCTTAACACTTTGATATATGACACTCTTTGTTATTTAATTTTCCAACTCTTTAATCTGGTAGAGAGAAAATAATTGATCTTTAGAAGTGTATTTACTATGCCAGGAACCTTGAAAACATTTTTCTAATGATTATTGTTAGATAAAATGTTCTCTCATAAAGAAACACAATAAAAATATATGAATGGCTATATACATAATTTGTTTTTAATATTGATGGAAGGTGCTAGTTTTAACTAGTAAGTCTCCTGATGGTCTAATGTCAAGGCTAATGTGCTACATTGTTAACCACTTTCACAAAAATGTCAGGTACATACACATATCACATCTTACATAATTTAATTTTTCTTTATGTGAATGTGGCCTGCTAATCAGCTTTTTATAATAATGCAGCATTCTTCCCTACCTGGCAACCATATTTCATTTGGAGGATTGGTAGAACAAGCATCGATTGAGAGTCTATGATGAGCCAGGGACATCACATGCCTCCTCTCATTTAATTTTAACAACAATCAGATGAGGAAGCAACAATAAGATAAAATACATTTATGGGTAAAGAAATTGAGGTTCAAAGTTAGAATATAACTTGTTTAATGCCTCAAAGCTAGCAAGTGGCTAGGTAGGATTTCAGCTACTAATAGCCCTAATCCTCTTCCACCATCATGAGCCTCAGAGGAGAGGGCATGTATCAACTCCTTGGCAGATACTTGGCAGAATATCACAGTGCCCAGCTCCCTGCCCCACCTTCTACATGCACTGCTGCATGTCAGTCTTTCTATATGAGGTATTAAGGACATGCTAACTTTGAATGGTATTTCAATGTCCTATCCAGATAGATAGATAGATAGATAGATAGATAGATAGATAGATAGATAGATGATATATGTTTGACCTTGTTTTAAGCGTAGGTTTCATTATTATTCAGGTATAGTGAGGTCAATAGACCAGGAGATGACTGCCATTGAAAAGATAGTTTATTACTCACAGACCGCAAGAGGAAGGGCCTTTTCCCATGGGGTGGGAAAGGGCCACAGGAGGAAGCACCAAGGTGGGCCAGGAGGCAGAGGGAGAGGGAAACTGTGGGTAAGAGCCTTTACTGTGGTTTCCAGAGGAAGGAATGAGAGAGGCAGGATAAGCAGGCTCAGGATTGGCTGACTTGAGTAATTTCAGTGGACTCTGGGGCAAAGAGGCTGTCCTTAGTTGTCTGTTACCTGGCCCTGGGGTGATTAGGACAGGGGAATAGTGGCCATGAGTATAAGAGCTCAATAAAGATGTGATTGGGGTGTGGGCTCTGGATTGGTTGGTTTGCATATGAAGGGTGAGCTTGCAGGTGAGTCCTTTACTCTTTCTAGGAATTGGCTACCCTAGGAGGAGCAGTCCCTCCAGGGTCAGCAAGATTCCAGATGTGTCAAAGCAATACAGCATCAGCCAGAAACACAGGATTACTGCAGGCTTATATGCAAAAAGGGTTAGCATAGCAGGCCTGATTGCTGTCCTTTGAAAGATCTGCTTATGAGGTTGTCCCTCAGCTGATTTCTGGGAACTTGGATTTTAGGGAGGTCAGGGTTTTCACTGCCCTAATTAATAAGAGATCACTGTGGACCACTGTACAATGTGGTTTATACTGAATAAATGCTTTCCTTTTAGGAGTCTGAGATTTTGACATGTGCTAGGCAGCACACAAAAACCTTGGGCACTGAGTGTCTAGTGAGCTTCCCTGGCAGGCAACAGTTTACATGTGTTGTCATAACGCATCATAAAGGGGAATTAAATGCATCCCCCATGACTCTATCAGGACAGGATTCCTGGAAGCTCATGCCTGCTTTCCCCAAAATGTTGCCCCATATGCCTTTTCCTTTTGATGATTTTACTTTGATCCTTTCACCGTAATCCATTATAGTCACAAGTATCACTGTATATGCTGTAAGTCCTCCTAGTGAGTCAGAACCCAGGGATGATCTGGGAAAGCCCCAACACAGCCAGTATTTCTATCCAGGGAATACTGAAGCACAATTGTATTTGTCCATTTTCATACTGCTATGAAGAAACACTCAAGACTGGGTAATTTATAAAGAAAAAGAGTTTTAACGGACTCAGTTCTACATGGCTGGGGAGGCCTCACAATCATGACAAAAGGTGAAGGGGGAGAAAGGCATGTCTTTCACGGTGGCAGGCAAGAAAGCATGTGCAGGGAACTCCTCTTTATAAAACCATCAGACCTGTGAGACTTATTCACCATCAGGAGAACAACATGGAAAAAACTCACCCCCATGATTAAATTACCTCCCACCAAGTACCTCCCACGACACATGGGGATCATGGGCACTACAATGCAAGATGAGATTTGGGTGGAGACACAGCCAAACCATATCACTAATATATTTGTTAGTGTCTTTGTTTCTAAAGAATCAGGGGGTTTTTTTGTCTGTTTGTTTCTGAGACAAGGTCTCTCTCTGTCACCCAGGCTGGAATGCAGTGGTCCTATCATGGCTCACTGCATCTTTGACCTACCAGGGTCAAGCAATCCTCCTGCCTCAGCCTCCCAAGTAGCTGGGACTACAGGCACACTCCACCATACCCAGCTAATTTTTAATTTTTTTTGAGGAGATGAGGTCTCACTACGTTGCCCAGGCTGGTCTTGAACTCCTGAGCTCAAGGGATCCTTCTGCCTTGGCATCCCAAAGTGCTGGGATTGCAGGGGGTGAGTCACCATTAAACCCATCTTAGAATCAGGGTTTTTTAAACAATAGCCACCATTAAATTTTTGACATACGAAATAAAGGTTACTCTTCTGACAGGCTAACCCATGAGGGGTCATGTGCTTATTCAGTACATGTTGCCCCCACATCTGTTTTGAAGGCAGGTTTAGCTTTCTTGTGTCAGAGGCAGGGCTCAGTCACCCCCAACATAGTTCTCAGCTCTGCACCACCCAAATGGTCTTAGCCGGTGGTCAGCAATAAGAACACAATGGCACGTCTTCCACCTAGTGGACTGGCTCCTAGCTTTCCCCACCACTCTCTTTAAAGGCTCCATTTGAGCATTTGCCCATGAACTTACCATGACCCACACCTTGTTCCCCAGTATACACTGCTAGTTGCCACAGCTTTTTCCTCTGTCTCCCTGCCTGTGCTCCCAGCATGCAGTGTATGTCCCGGGGTCCATAGGTACTGGAAACTCTTAAACTTTCCTATTACAGTTGTGTCATTCAAGCTATGCCTGCAATCCAATCCCTGCCAGCAAGACCACCCCAAAGGGGCCCATGCAGGTGGATCCCCTCCTGAGGCTCTTAAAGAGTTTCAATCAAAGCCACCGCATAACATGATGAAGCTGTTGTCCAGCTCTCTGAAGCCTTAGCTTTGATCCTTCATTTAGCAACTCAAGGGAGTTCCTTTCATGCCCCTCCTGTCACAGCCTCTTTTGCTCCATCCACACTTTTCTCACATCTCTGGACTTTGTAGAATGTTAGTTGACTTTTAAATGTTTTTCTGGTTCTTTGTCTATTTCTTTTCAGATAACTATATATTCACATGCAGTTCTAAGACATGATACAGAGAGGCCCCTTTTACCCTTTATCCAGTTTCCCCCACTAGACACATTCTGCAAAACTGTAATACAATATCACAGCCAGTATCTTGACCCTGATAGAATCCACTGATCTTATTCAGATTTCCCCAGTTTAATTTGGACTCTTTGTGTGTATTAAATCCTACACATTTATATCACCAATATAGGTTTGTATATCCACAATTACCAAACAGTTCAAACTACACAAGGACCCCTTGGGTTGTCCTTTTATAACTACATCAATTTCTCTTCCCTGGCAACCATTAATCTGTTCACCATTTGTAAACTGTTATACAGCATGCAACCTCATACAGTATGTAATATTTTACATTCAGCATATTTCTCATCCAGGCTGTTTCATGTATCAATACTTTGTGCTTTTCATTGCTAAATAGTATTTCATGGTACAGCTGGACTACACCATTCACCTATAGAAGGACACCAGGTTCATTCCAATTTGGGCACTTACAAAGAAAGCTCCTTTGAACATTTGTGTGCAGACTTTTGTGTGAACATGCATTTTCATATCTCTAGATAACTGCCCAGGAGTACAATTGCTGGGTCACACTGAAGTTGCAGGTGTCATTTGCTGAGAAGGTGCCAAGCTATTTTTCCAGTGGGAGTGATCCACTTACTTCTCCTATTGATTTTTCATTACCCCAGATTTCCATTTTCACTGCTATGGAGGTAGTTACAAGACACCCAAAACAGTGTTTCTCCTCTTGAAAACTTTATACCTAAGTGCTTCTAAATGGGTCTAACATAAATATAGAACACAAGATACCATGGCCTCTCCCATGCCATTGCAAACACCATCTTCCTATTTCCTCTCTGCCCCCACAAATCCTTGACCATTGCTTCCTACAGGGAACTGTCCAAGACCCCCTAGACCAGGTGAGATGTTTCAACTGTGCCCCACCTGTCCTCACACAGCATTGCCCCTTCTATTGGAATTACTGGATTAATTGTCTTCTTCACCACACTTCAAATTCTCTGAAAGCAAGGACTGGGATATTCTATCTGCTATCTCACTCTCAATGTCTAACTTGGTGCCTACACATAGTGGGTCCTTAATTAATATTTTTGTGGTTGAATGTGCTGCCTCCAATCTGAAAATCCCATTCAATATAGTATTCCAGGTATCCCTTGCTAATTAAAGTTGAAAGACTAGGTCAATGAGAAGGCAACACTCGCTAATTGTGAGTGACATGAATCAATGTCTTTTAAGTATTTCCAACTAATAAATGTTAATGAATTAATCATTTCATCTAGAAGAGGAAATGGGCTTATTGTGTGCCTTGTTTTGCTTGCTGTGAGAAAATCAACCCTTTATTATGATTACAGATGCGGACAGAATCTGAATACATTCACACATTGATCTGCAATACTTAGATCTCCACACACTCTCTAATAACCTAATTTAACTGCTTGTTAAAAGTCCCTAGAATTAGTAATTTCTAACACAATTGTTGCCTGGATTTTCAAGCCCCATTTTATGTTATTAAGTTCCTTTTAATGCTAGGAGACATACTCATATTTCCAAAGGAAATAATTCAATATCACCCTAGAGATGTATATAATTGAATGCACAATCTAATTTCTTCCCAGGGACTTGGACACTTCTAATTAGTCTGAGTGCCTAAACCCCAGGCCAGTAGTTCATCCAAGGCAAGATCGGGCCAGGCTGCTACCTATGCCTTCCAGAGAGGGCTGTGTCCTCTGTCTCTCCACTGATCCCAGAAGGTCTCAGATCCCAGTGAGGGTAAGATGAGTTAATAACCACAAAGTACCTAAAAAATGACTGGAAGATAGTAAGTGTGTGTATTCATCTGGGGTCCCCAGAGAACCAGAACCAATAGAATGTGAATATAAACAGGGAGATTAGTTTTAAATAACTGGCTCATGTAATTGTTGGGCTGAGAAGTCTGAATCTGCAGGATAGACCAGCTGACTGGAGACCTAGGGAAAATTTGATGCTGCAGCTCAAGTGTGGAGGCAGAATTTCCTGTTCCTCCTGGGACCTCAGTCTTTTCTTTTAAGGCCTTCACCTGATTGGATAAGGCCCATCCACACTATGGAGGGTAATCTACTCAAAGTATACTGATTAAGATGTTATTCACATCTTTAAAAATACCTTCACAGCAACATGTAGGCTGGTGTTTGACCAAACACTGGATACCATGGCCTAGCCAAGTTAGCATCAAATTAATCCACACACCATGGTATAGGTGTAAGCAAGTGATATCTTTCCTGTGGGATTCTCTGGGCATAAAATTTGCTATAGGTCTCAAAGCCCTAAATTTTTTTTTTTTGCACTAAGATATCTACATTTGTGGTTAACTGTGTAAATATGTACTATTTGATTTATAAACAGGTTGGGGTGCATACTTTATTAAACTGTATAGCCATCAAAAGCTTAATTGCTAACACACATCATTGAAATAACTATAGTTCCCTTCTTTTCACTCTTTTTTAAGACTTTTTTTTTTTTAAACTTTAAGCTAGGGATACATGTGCAGAACATGCAGGTTTGTTACACGGGTATACGTGTGCCATGGTGGTTTGCTGCACCTATCAACCTGTCATCTAGATTTTAAGCCCTGCATGCATTACCTATTTGTCCTAATGCTCTCCCTCCCTTCTCCTTCCCCCCTCCCACCAACTGACAGGCCCCAGTGTGTGTTGTTCACCTCCCTGTGGCCATGTGTTTTCATTGTTCAATTCCCACTTATGAGTGAGAACATGTGGTGTTTGATTTTCTGTTCCTATGCTAGTTTGCTGAGGATGATAGCTTCCAGCTTCATCCATGTCCCTGCAAAGGACATGATCTCATTCCTTTTTTGTGGCTGCATAGTATTCCGTGGTATATATACCACATTTTCTTTATCCACTCTATCACCGATGGGCATTTGAGTTGGTTCCATATCTTTTCTATTGTGAATAGTGCTGCAATAAACATATGTGTACATGCATCTTTATAATAGAATGATTTATATTCCTTTGGGTATATATTCAGTAATGGGATTGCTGGGTCAAATGGTATTTCTGGTTCCAGATCCTTGAGGAATCACCACACTGTCTTCCACAATGGTTGAACTAATTTACATTCCCACCAACAATGTAAAAGCATTCCTATTTCTCCACTGCCTCACCAGCATCTGTTGTTTCTCGACTTTTTAATAATCACCATTCTGACTGACGTGAGATGGTATCTCATTGTGGTTTTGATTTGCATTTCTGTAATGATCAGTGATATTGAGTTTTTTTCATGTTTTTTGGCCGCATAAATGTCTTCTTTTGAGAAGTGTTTGTTTATGTCCTTTGCCCACTTTTTGATGGGATCATTGTTTGTTTGTTTTTTTTTCTTGTAAAGTTGTTTAAGTCCTTGTAAATTCTGAATATTAGACCTTTGTCAGATGGATAGATTGCAAAAATGTTCTCCCATTCTGTAGGTTGCTTGTTCATTCTGATGATAGTTTCTTTTTCTGTGCAGAAACTCTTAAGTTTAATTAGATCCCATTTGTCAATTTTAGCTTCTGTTGCAATTGCTTTTAGCGATTTCATCATAAAATCTTTGCCTATGCTTCTGTCTTCAATGGCACTGTCTAGCTTTTCTGCTAGGGTTTTTATGGTTTGGGGCTTTATATTTAAGTCTTTAATCCATCTTGAGTTAATTTTTGTATAAGGTGTAAGGAAGGGGTCCAGTTTCGGTTTTCTGCATATGGCTAGCCAGTTTTCCCAGCACCGTTTGTTAAATAGGGAATCCTTTCCCCATTTTGCTTGTTTTTGTCAGGTTTGTTGAAGATCAGAGGGTTGTAGATATGTGGTCTTATATCTGAGGTCTATATTCTGTTGCATTGGTCTATGTGCCTGTTTTGGTACCAGTACCCTGCTGTTTTGGTTACTGTAGCCTTGTAGCATAGTTTGAAGTTGGGTAGCATGATGACTCCAGTTTTGTTCTTTTTGCTTAGGATTGTCTTGGCTATGTGGGCTCTTTTTTGGTTTTATATTAATTTTAAAGTGGTTTTTTCCAATTCTGTGAAGAATGCCAATAGTAGCTTGATTGGAATAGCATCGAATCTATAAATTATTTTGGGCATTTTCACAATATTGATTCTTTCTATCCATGAGGATGGAATGTTTTTCCATTTGTTTGTGTCCTCTCTTATTTCCTTGAGCATTGGTTTGTAGTTCTCCTTGAAGAGGTCCTTCACATCCCTTGTTAGCTGTATTCCTAGGTATTTTATTCTCTTTGTGCAATTGTGAATGGGAGTTCATTCACGATTTGGCTCTCTGTTTGTCTATTATTGGTGCATAGGAATGCTTGTAATTTTTGCACATCGATTTTGTATCCCGAGACTTTGCTGAAGTTGCCTATCAGCTTAAGAAACTTTGCGGCTAAGATGATGGAGTTTCTAAATATAGTATCATGTCATCTGCAGACAGAGGCATTTTGACTTAATCTCTTCCTATCTGAATACACTTTATTTCTTTCTCATGCCTGGTTGCCAGAACTTCCAACATTACGTTGAATAGGAGTCATGAGAGAGAGCACCCTTTTCTTGTGCTGGTTTTCAAAGGGGATGCTTCCAGCTTGTGCCCATTCAGTATGATATTGGCTGTGGGTTTGTCATAAATAGCTATTATTATTTTGAGATATGTTCCATCAACATGTAGTTTGAGTTTTTAACGTGAAGGGATGTTGAATTTTGTCAAAGGCCTTTTCTGAATCTATTGAGATAATCAAGTGTTTTTTGTCACTGGTTTTGCTTATGTGATGGATTACATTTATTGATTTGTGAATGCTGAACCAGCCTTGCATCCCAGGGATGAAGCCGACCTGATGGTCATGGATAAGCTTTTTGATGAGCTGCTGGCATGAGATGGTATCTCATTGTGGTTTTAATTTGCATTTCTGTAATGATGTGCTGAACTGGGTCCAGTTTGCCAGTATTTTATTGAGGATTTTCTCACTGATGGTCATCAGAGATATTGGCCTGAAGTTTTCTTTTTTTGTTGTGTCTCTGCCAGGTTTTGTTATCAAGTTGATGCTAGCCTCATAAAATAAGTTAGGGAGGAGTTCCTCCTTTGCAATTGTTTGGAATCATTTCTGAAGGAATGGCACCAGCTCCTTTTTGGACCTTTGGTAGAATTTGGCCGTGAATCCATCTGGTCCTGGGATTTTTTCATTGGTAGGCTATTTATTACAGCCTCAATTTAGGAACTCGTTATTGGTCTATTCAGGGATTCGACTTCTTCCTGGTCTTGGGAGGGTGTATGTGTCCAGGAATTTACCCATTTCTTCCAGATTTTCTAGTTTATTTGTATAGAGGTGTTTATAGTATTCTCTGATGGTAGTTTGTATTTCTATAAGGTCAGTGGTGATATCCCCTTTATCATTTTTTATAGCATCTATTTGATTCTTCTCTCTTTTCTTCTTTATTACTCTAGCAAGTGATCTATTTTATTAATTTTTTCAAAAAAACTGCTCCGGGATTCATTGATTTTTTGAAGGATTTTCGTGTCTCTATATCCTTCAGTTTCACTCTGATCTTAGTTATTTCTTGTCTTCTGCTAGCTTTTGGATTGGTTTGCTCTTGCTTCTCTGGTTACTTTAATTGGATTTTAGGGTGTCAATTTGAGATCTTTCTAGCTTTCTGATGTAGGCATTTAGTGCTATAAATTTTGCTCTTAACACCACTTTAGCTGCATCCCAGAGATTCTGATATGTTGCCTCTTTGTTCTCATTGGTTTCAGAGAACTTCTTGATTTCCACCTTAATTTCATTATTTACCCAGGAGTCATTCAGGAACAGGTTGCTTAATTTCCATGTAGTGGTGTTGTTCTGAGTGAGTTTCTTAATACTGAATTCTAATTTGATTGCCCGGTGGTCTGAGAGACTGTTATGATTTCAGTTCTTTTTCATTTGCTGAGGAGTGTTTTACTTCCAATTAGGTGGTCGATTTTAGAGTAAGTGCCATGTGGCACTGAGAAGAATGTATATTCTGTTGTTTTGCAGTGGAGAGTTCTGTAGATATCTATTAGGTCCACTTGATCCAGTGCTGAGTTCAAGTCCTGAATATCCTTGTTAATTTTCTGTCTCATTGATCTGTCTAATATTGACAGTGGGGTGTTAATGTCTCCCACTATTATTGTGTGGGAGTCTAAGTCTCTTTGTAGGTCTCTAAGAATTTGTTTTATAAATCTGAATGCTCCTGTATTGGGTGCATATATATTTAGGATAGGTAGCTCTTCCTGTTGCATTGATCCCTTTACCATTATGTAATGCCCTTCTTTGTCTTTTTTTATTTTTGTTGGTTTATAATCCGTTTTGTCAGAGATGAGGATTGCAAACCCTGCTTTTTTCTGCTTTCCATTTGCTTGGTACATTTTTCTCCATCCCTTTATTTTGAGTCTATGTGTGTCTTTGCACATGAGATGGGTCTCTTGAATACAGCACACTGATGGGTCTCTTGAATACAGCACACTGATGGGTCTGGATTCTATCCAATTTGCCAGTCTGTGTCTTTTAATTGGGGAATTTAACCCACTTACATTTAAGGTTAATATTGTTATGTGTGAATTTGATCCTGTCATCATGATGCTAGCTGGTTATTTTGCACACTAATTGATGCCATTTCTTCATAGTGTCATTGTTCTTTATATTTTCATGTGTTTTGTAGTGGTTGGTACTGGTTTTTCCTTTGCACATTTAGTGCTTCCTTCAGGAGCTCTTGCAAGGCAGGCCTGGTGGTGATGAATTCCCTCAGCATTTGCTTGTCTGAAAAGGATTTTATTTCTCCTTGGCTTATGAAGGTTAGTTTGGCCGGATATAAATTCTGGGTTGAAAATTCTTTTCTTTAAGAATGTTGAATATTGGTCCCCACTCTCTTCTGGCTTGTAGGATTTCTGCTGAGAGATCTGCTATTAGTCTGATGCGCTTCCATTTGTAGGTGACCTGGCCTTTCTCTCTGGCTGCCCTTAACATTTTTTCCTTCATTTTGACCTTGGAGAATCTGATGATTATGTTTCTTGGGGGAGTATCTTAGTGGTGTTCTCTGGATTTCTTGAATTTGAATATTGGCTTATCTTGCTAGGTTGAGGAAGTTCTCCTGGATAATACCTTGAAGTATGTTTTCCAACTTGCTTCCATTCTCCCCATCTCTTTCAGGTGCTCCTATCAGTCATAGGTTTGGTCTTTTTACATAGTCCCATATTTCTCAGAGGGTTCATTCGTTTCCTTTCATTCTTTTTTCTCTAATCTTGTCTGCCTGCCTTATTTCAACAAGATGGTTTTCCATCTCTGATATTCTTTCTTATGCTTGATCGATTCAAGCAGCTATTGATACTTGTCTATGATTCATGAAGTTCTCATGCTGCTGCATTTTTCATCTCCATCAGGTTATTTATGTTCCTCTCTAAACTCATTATTCTAGTTAGCAGCTCCTATAACCTTTTATCAAGGTTCTTAGCTTGTTTGCATTGGGTTAGAACATGCTCCTTTACCTCAGCGAAGTTTGTTATTACCCGCCTTCTGAAGCCTACTTCTGTCAGTTTGTCCATCTCGTACTTCATCCAGTTCTGCACTCTTGCTGGAGAAGTGTTGTGATCATTTGGAGGAGAAGAGGCATTCTGGCCTTTCGGGTTTTCAGCATTTGTTCGTTGTTTCTTTCTCATCTTCATGACTTTGTCTAGTTTCAATCTTCGAGGCTGCTTGCATGAGGTTTTTATGGCGACTTTTTTTGTTGATGTTGTTGTTGCTTTCTGTTTGTTTGTTCTTCTTTCAATAGGGAAGTCTCTCTTCTGTAGGGCTGCCACGGTTTGCTGGGGATTCACTTCAGGCCCTATTCATCTGGTTCACTCCCACACCTGGAGATGTCACTCAAGAAGGCTGGAGAACAGCAAAATGGGTGCCTGCTTCTTCCTCTGAGATCTCTGACCTTGAGGGGCGCTAAACTGATGCCAGTAAGAATGCTTCTGTATAGGATGTCTGACAGCCCCTGTTGGGGGGTCTCACCCAGTTGGGTGGCACAGGAAGCAAGATCCATTTAACAAAGCACTTTGGCTGTCCCCTGGTGGAGGGGGTGTGCTGCGTTGTGGGGAAACCTACGCATCTGGGCTGCCCGGATTCCTCAGAGCTAGCAGGAGGAAAGACTAAGTCGGCTGGTCCGCTGAGCCCCTCCCGCTAGGGGCTCAGGCCCAAGGAGATCAGAGTTTTGTCCCTGAGTCCCTGGCTGGAGTTGGAGCTCCTGCAAAGAGGCCCTGCAGCCCCACTGTTGGCTGCCGCCCCTCCCCCAAGGAGTTCGGGATGGCTTAGACCACAGGCAGTGCAGCTGTGGTGTTGGGCGCCCCTCCATTCGGGGAACTAGGCAGGCTGAGGCCAATTCTAGCCCAGAGGCTGATGAGAATCTCTGCGGCTCTGTGGTTGAGACCCAAGGGCCCGATAACATGGGCTCCCACGTGGGATATTCTGATCCGTGGGTTGCGCAGTTCCATGGAAAAAGCAGGGCTTCCCAGGCTGGGTAGCACGCTCACTCGCGGCCTCCTTTGGCTGAGGGCTCCCTTGCCCTGTGTGGCTCTCAGGTGGGCTGCAGCACCACACTGCTCTTCTTTCCTCTGGGGTCACACCAGCCACCTAGTCAGTCCTGGTGTTAGAAACTGGATACCTTGGTTGCCGGAGCAGGATTCACATACTGTTTTGGATCTTTTCCATGGGAGCGTCTGACCACAGCTGCTTCTAGTCAGCCATCTTGGCCCTGCCCCTCAGTCCTGAATTTTATACTCCTAACTCAACTTCCTTCTGCTCTCCTCTCCCCAAGACCTTTCCAGTAGCCCCTACTCCAAAGCAAATAAACACCAGTAAATCCATTGTCCAAAGTCTTCCGTCCCCTCCTTTTCTCCACTGAGTCCCAACCCCCCTGATAATTCCCCAAACAGGCCTCTGCGTCATTCCTGTGTGTGCGCCAGTGCCCCACAAGCCTGCAGTGGGGGATGCCTGAGCCTTCTCTGTCACTCTCTCTCTCGGGCTGAGACTCCTCCACCCTCAGTGAAAAGCCTTTTTTCTTTTGGGTTCCTGCTATTCACCTATACCACCTCCTCCCTCCACCCCAATTTTTTTTTTTTTTTTTTAGATTGAAGGGGTGGCATGTGCAGGTTTCTTATGTGGGCATATGGAGGAATGCTGAGGTTTGGCCTTCTAATTATCCCATTGTGCCAGTAGGGAACATAGTACCTGACAGACAGTTTTTCAACCCTTGCCCCACTCCCTGCCTCCTCCTTTTAGAGTCCGCAGTGTCTACTGTTTCCATCTTTGTGTCCATGTATAGCCATTGTTTAGCTTGTAAGTAAGGATATGTGGTATTTGTTTTTCTGTTTCTACATTAATTTGCTTAGGATAATGGGATCCAGCTGTATCCATGTTGCTGCAAAGGACATGATTTTATTCTTTTCTATGGCTGTGTAGTATTCCATTGAGTATATGTACCACCAAATTTTCTTTACAAAGATTGAGACATGAGCTCAGAACCTCTCTACACCTCAGCCCCTCCATCCTGCTGTACCTCATGTTGTGGGTATGCACGAGGCCAGCCGTCAGCAGGCTTCTCAGTACTCTAACCTAATTCCCAGCCCTTCCCTCTTCCTCCACTGCCACCCTCATGCTCATGAGACTCCTGAGAATTGTCAACACTTGAGACAATCCGCCTTTGAAACTGTAAATTGATTAGAAGTTCTGGCTGTGTGAACTTCATCTCCATTATTTCCACTGCACCTCCAGGATGCTGACCCCTTTCACTTAATCCAGTCTACGAATCCTCTGCCAGCTTCACCCCCTTGTTTGTCCAGCCACATCCTTATTTCAACCCCTCTGCTGTAGCTCCGCCGTCTCCCTCCTTCCTCATTCTTAGCTGCCTGCCTTCCTTCACCTGCTGAGACAGAGCCACCACAGGGACGTCCCTCGCCTCACCTGGCCCCGCAGCCCTGCCTGGGAGAGCTGTGCGCGTGCCCTATTTGCACAGGATGCAGCCGGTTCATTTTTCTCTTGCCCAGTTATCCATCTGCATAGATTCTTTGTTGATGTACTGTTTTTAAGTTATATTTCTCTCATTTTTAGAAGTTTTGCTTATCTGCTTATCACTGTTGATTGTGTATGAAATTTGGTGTCTAATAGAAACAAGCTGAATTCTCTCTAAGTCAATTATCAATTCCAAGTGAGAAATGAAGAACATCTGGCAAGCTCAGGGTCCCAGAGTTTCAATTTAACACATTATCATGTTACAGTGTAGCCTTGGACAGGACAGCCACACTTTCTCCGGTTGACTCCACATGTGGAAAATTTAAGTTGGGGACAGAAATGGGGAGGGAGAGCAAGCAAAATGTGTTGCCAAGTTACATACAAATGTGAAGTTGCCAAGCTATCCAAAGCATTGCAGTTATTCTGCTGTTGTCGCCCATGGTCCTCTCTGTAGAATCTGAGGAAATGATTAACCTTGAGAACTCTGATAAACTTGCAAAAGATGAAGAAGCTCACAGGTAGTATATCAAGGCTACATGTATATTTGAAGATAAGTACCACCAGGACTACTGTAATAGAGCAATCAAAAGAAACACTGCATCTGCAAAAAGAAAGAACTATCTGATGTGCTTCAAGGGCATTGAAAATATCCAGCTAAAGTATTTCACAAGAGTTCTCTCTCTCTCTCTCTCTCTCTCTCTCTCTCTCCCCCCCGCCTTTCCCTCTCCCTCTCCCATCTCTCTTTCTCTCTCTCTAGATTTTTCAGCCAGAAATCACATCTGTTTTGGGCAGAAGCCAGCACTACACACAGTTTCTACACGATGGAATGTCCTTTACACTCCTGATGAAATGGGCGCAAAATTTGCTCTCAACGTAGGAGGTTGTGTTTCCTGAATCTAGAGGATGCCAATAGGAGGTATAATTCCCACATGGGTTAGTAAGCAGAAACCAGATTCTTGCATTTTCATGGCCATAGTCCCGGTGATGGGCCAGTCTGCCCATGACCTTGCCCCCTCCAGCAGGGCTTGCTCCAGCTGCACTGCTTTCAGCTCTCAATTCTGTCTCTTTAGACAGTGAGTTCTTCTCACACTGTGGAAATGCCTCCCTTAGCCTATAAGACAGCAGACACCCATGGGTCATATGAATATGACCTCCTGAATCATTTGTAAATTATAGAAATGGACTTTCTCTAATTCAAAAGGAATTTAGCAAATGACATTGAGGTATTCAAAATATCTCTCAGGGCCTAGAAAGCCAGCAGCTGAGGTTACATAGCCAGGCAAAATTATGCCACAAACTTGCCCTAGGGAAACCTCCCCACTACCATCTCCAATTCCAGACTGTGGACACTGCTAGAAGCCCCTCCCTGAACCAGCTGTCCCCAAGAGTAGTCACCGCCCTTGCTGCCATCCTCATCAGTAAGGGGTCCCTGTAGCCCCTGCTTCTTTAGGACACCAGCTCCTAGGCCAAGGCTGCCCAGGTGCTTCTGATGAAGGGAACTGGTTCACTGTGATGGACAAGTTTGGTGTGAACCTGGCCAGGCTATAGTACCCATTTCAGTACCTGCTCAAACACCATCTATAACAGATGTTGCCTTGAAGGTATTTTTACATGTGATTAACATTTACATCAGTAGAGTTTGAGTCAAACAGATCACCCTTAATCACGTGGACAGGCCTCATCCAGCCAGTTGCATGCCTTCAAAGATGAAGGTTCCCCGAACAGGAAAGAATTCTGCCTCCAGACTGCAAAGTAAAAATTCTGCCTGAGTGTCCAGCCTTCATACTCAAGACAGCAACCTCAGCTCTTACATGAATCTACAGCCAGTGCAATCAGTTGAGCCAATTCCTTAAATTAAATCTCAGTCTCTCTCTCTCTCTGTCTGTCTTTCTCTTTCTCTCTCTCTCTCTCTGTATAAACTGTTGGTTCTGTTTCTCTAAAGAACCTTGACTAATATAATCGCTTACCTGTGCATAGCTGCAAGGAGGGTTGGCTTCCCTTATGTGAGGGAGTCAGCCTCTCACCAAGATTCTGAGGAGAGAAGTGTGCTAGCAGCCAGAGAGAATAGCAAATTGTACTACTTTTATTCTCATATATTTTTATATGAAAAAAGCTCAGTCTTTTACTTTGCAAGGTTTGCAGGTACTGCTTTTAACAAAGTTTCTAGAGTGACCAAAAATGAAGGATTGTCATCTTTCTCGAAGCACAGGTGTGCTTCGAGAAATCCCCATGAGGCTGCAGGACTGACTTGCACGGTGGGGAGCATGCACAGGCCAGTAAGCACATGCCGCGTTGGCCCATTGCTCTTTACCAATCGCCAGACTCAGTGACCCTTGTGAAGGAAAATTTGGTTTCTTTATGAAATGACCTTCAAAAGAAAACCAGCTTTTAGGCTGTTGATGGGAAAGATGAGGTTTGGTAACTAGATAATTCACAGTTTACAGAAAATTGAAGCTTTAAATAAACTAAAAAATAGGATTTTGGCATTGACCATGACTTATGGTTCTCCCCTAAACATAGTCACCACATACTCTAGAAAGACAAGAAAATAGAATTATTGAACTGGATGAAGAAATCCTCAAGCCAAGGAAAAACCTGCTTATCAAATGAAAGATTAAAACATCAGAGAAACTTGAAAAGGTCATCAGTTGGTGATGTAAGGGAACATGTGACTCCCAACCAAAGTGTGATTCTGACAAAAGTCAACCATTTGTTATGAAATGTGGGATGGACAAGTGTTCCAGTGCATTATAATCAGAGCTATACAACAGACATAGTGCTATGGGCTTCACTTGGATTTGCCCACATAAGCCTCCCAACAGACATGGGGCAAATATTACTGTCATCATCATCATCATCGTCATCATCATCATCATCATCATCATTTCTGATAAGGGATCTGAGGCTCAGAGAAATTAAGTCAATTTCCTAAGATCACTAAGCTAATCAATGGTAGAGCCTAGATTTAAACTCAGCCAGTCTACACTCTGACCACCACATTGTACAATCTCTCAAAGTATCTCTGGAGAATGTCTATTGCAGCCAGCTTTCTGGCTCATTTTGTGTGTTTGTTTGTCTCATTAAATGTAATTGTGTAATGACTACTATCTAAGTCAACTTTGGTGTCAACTATTTAAGTTTTGATCCCAAGTTATCTGAAGTTTATGCAACACTTCTCAAGGTATGCAAAAATGACACTTCACAACTGTGAATGCATCTTGACACTCTGAAATCAAAGATGTCTGCCATCATAGGTATGTCCTTATACAGATATGTGTAGCTACGCCTCCACTACATGGATAGATAGGTAGAAAGGTAGGAAAGTAGGTGTAGGTAGATAAGTAACCTCCCAACATTATTTTTAAAACTCCATCCAGGTTAGAATGTGACCTTTATCTATGGAAAAACTTTATCTTTGTCCTGAGAGGGACCATTTTTATAAGCAATTTTGCCTATACAGGTATAAACTTGTCTCTAACTTTGTTTTGTTTTGTTTTTTGGAGAGGGGATCTCACTCTGTCATCCAGACTGGAGCACAGTGGCATGATGACGGCTTACTGCAGCCTCGACTTCCCAAGCCCAAGTGATCCTCTTGTCTCAACCTCCTAGGTAGCTGGGACTACAGGCTCACTCCACCACACCTGGCTACTTTTTAATTTTTTGTAGATATGGGGTCTCATTATGTTACCCAGGCTAGTCTCAAACTCCTAAGCTCCAAAAATCCTCCTGCCTTTACCTCCCAAAATGCTGGGATTACAGGCGTGAGCCACCATGGCTGGCCTTGTCTTGAACTTTGGTGAAATTATCCAAATGCAGATGCTTCTATATTCACTTCATTATGATTAAATACAGGAAAAGTTCCCTCTATTATGGGTGGAATGTGTCTCTATAGGGATAATTATGAGGTAAGGGATTTGTGGTTCTCAAATTTGGGGTTCCCACTAACAGGCTTGCAATCATAAAATTTGGGGTCCTAGTGTTCTGTGGAGAGGAAAGACATGAATCAGGAGCCACACAGCCCATCCCTGCCACCCCCTAACTGCCCTGTCCCCCAGGAGATGCAAGTCAGTAACATAACAGGAAGATAGTGAGGAAAAGGGGAACTTGGTAGGCAAAGACTCTGCAGGGTGCAGGCAATGCCTATGAGGCTAGCGAGGTGTAAGCTGTTTCCTGTTCTGGATTCTAATTCTGCTCTCACCTCCTGGCCTCCACACCAGCTTTGTGTTCATTTGCTCTGTTTTGTGAGGTATGGGGATAGAGTTGTTTCAACATTTGAGTTGAGGATGAAATTCACAATACCAAGCAAAGTCAGTGACATTGTGCATGGCCAGAGATGGCAAATAGCAGAAGCCACTCGAAGCAAGAGGAAACAAGCAAAAACCAGGGTTGGTGGGGGTAGGGGGGAGGCAGACTAAGAAGAAACCAGGATCTTCAGAGGCACCCTTAGGGTCTCAAACTCTAAGACAAGATCTCACTCTGTTGCCCAGACTGGAGTGCAGTGGCTGTATTGTACCTCACTGCAGCCTTGAACTCCTGGGCTCAAGGGATCCTCCTGCCTCAACCTCTTGAGCAGCTGGGACCACAGGCACCCACCACCATTCCCTGGCTTATTTTTTTATTTTTAATTTTTTGTGGAGACGGAGTCTCCCTATGTCGACCAGGCTGGTCTCAAACTCCTGGCCTCAAGGGATCCTCCCACCTTAGCCTCCTGAGTAGCTGGGATTACAGGCATGAGCCACCATGCCTGGCTAATCTTTCTAATTTGTTTTATAGAGACAGGGTCTCATTATGTTGCCCAGGCTGGAGAGACACTCTTTGGTAAAGGGACTGATTCGCCACAAATCATGGAAGATAAAGGCTCATTATTTTGATTAGATATTCAAGAGGAAGGTGACTCCCAAGGGCTGGAGAGTTCAAGGACAGAGACTCTAAGGTACATGTAAAGGATGAGTTTTTAGGGAGAAAGCTAATAATTGTAGTAATTAAAAGTTGACAACCAACTCTTGAGAATAAAAATGGTAAGACTTAACATATTTTCAGATGTGCAAATGGGAAATGAGCTTTTTAGAATTAAATTTTCTCTAAAGCAATGATACTATACCAAAACTCACTGCAAGAACAAAATTCCCCTAAGTTATTGCTTTATTAAAGTTCAGTGTATACCCCTGAGGAAATCTACAATGGGATTATGGCTAAAATACCCATTTAGCCCTCATTTTCATTTCACATTAATGAGTAAGGCTATGAGATATATACTGTATAACTTGAAAAGATTTTGACTAGTCATTCTCAATTGTTTTAGTAACATGTCAAGACACTATATGCAAATAAGAAATTGATTGACTTTTTGTCTAATCTCCTCTTAACCCAGAATCACCCAAGGCCTTTGACTTGGAGAGGATGAGTTAAATAGTGGGTAATTCACCCAATGTCCTTTTAAAGTGGGAAGCACAGTGGTTTCTAAAGCACAAAAAAGGGGGGGCAGAGGGAGAAAAGAAAAACAGAGGAAACTGCATTTTCAGAGGGCAACATGTATACCGCATTGTTACTATGCAATCTTTAGGAAAGCTTTACATGTGATAGATCTTCATTTGGAAAGGTCTTTGAAATGAGGACATGAAAAGCTATTGAAGAGTCAGTGATTTCAGATTTCAAATTTAAGAAGACAGCTACACAGTTTTTCACATTTTCTGCTGAACACTTCACATCGTCTCCAAGACTCCTGGTATCCTTGTTTCTCTGGTTTGACCCCTGCCCTGTTTAAGGCACTCGTAGTCAAGAAAGCTTTGCCCAAGCTCTGGCTTAAAATTTCTCTCCAAACTGAGCTCCTCAGAGCACCAAGTCCTCTTCCTCCATGTCAATATTCCCTAATATCCCACTTCCTCAATGTGGCAGCCAAGATTGGAGACAGACCAGGAGCAGGGGCTGCCCCCAGACAACATCGTGTAGCAAGGGTGTCTAAATGGCTTCCATTTGCCACCTCCTGCTCTACCCCAGGACATATGCACTGATTGTGAATTAGTATCCATAATGACTTCACTTCAGCTCCTACTTACTTGCTGAGAGCTCTCAGTAGGACTGTCTGCACCCACTGTGAGCTACCAGAGGTCTTTATATGGCTTTTTGCATAAGAGGGCTTAAGGTAGCTTTAACATGATTCCTTTTAACACTTAGATACTGAAAAACAAATAGGGATAGATATCACCTACAAGGTCATCCTCATGAGTGTACTTTGAGGTTTTTAAACCTATTATTCCTTTAATAAACAAATATTTTACGCACACTTCCTCTCACCTCCCCTGGTTAGAAATCACTGTATATTATTGGAATACTATAGTCTTGAAAACTAAAAGGCAACCTAAAAGCATCCAAATGACTTATCCACCACCATTCATGTCTTGGCTGCCTGCCTCCCACCGTCTCTTGGAATGCTGGTTTCCACTCTGCTTCCTGTTAGCCTCTCCAGAGGAATGGGGAAGAAAGCTGCTTACATAGTAAAGTTAAGGCAAAGGGCAGCCCATGTGGAAGACCCCTTTCCTTCACACTGTGCTCTCCATATCCAGTGTGGAGCGGCTTCACAGACTTAATTGGCAATGTTCACTGTATCTTCTGAGTGGCCACGAAAAACAATGTTATACCATATGTATGAATAAATGCTACCAAAGGAAGCATTTACATTTTATCTATACTGAGCAAGTTAGGGAGAAGGAAAAAGATCGATGGATTTGGAATGAGAGAACAGACCCTTTCATCTTAAAAAGAGGTCTTAGTGGCTTATAATATCAAAATATAGAACTAATTTTTACACAAAAAATGTCCATGAACAAACAATTTAAACCTCTCAAAAAGCTAAGAAAGACTTCCTGTTTCCTTAAACAGAAAGGATTTTTGAATCCATTATAATGGGTGCATTTCAAAACCCAATAAGCAATTAGATGGCACTATTTTCTAGGTGAGCATTTTCCAGTACAAACATAATACAAACCACATGTATAATGAAATTTTCCAGTAGCCACATTTTAAAAAGCAAAAAGAAGCAGGTAAAATTATTTTTAATAATTTAAGTAATCAATATAACCAAAACATCATTTCAATATGTAATCAATATACAAAGTATTAGTAAGACATTTTGCTTTTCTCATACTAAACCTTGAAATTGTTACATATTTTACATTTGCAGCACATCTCAATGTGACCTTAATGGACCAGCCAAGGTCCCAGTACCCAGTAGCCACATGCAGCCAGAGGCTACCTATTAGACAGTACAATTTTAGGTGATTAAAACAGTAAGATAATATAGACTTCATAAAAATGCTCAATTCTTAGCTACAACTGTTAGCTACCTTAATTACACAAATATGTTGCTTTTGTTTAAAACAGACAGAAATAATGTTTCCTGAAATGGCCATTTTCCAAACTATAATATGCATTTGCATTGAGAATATTCAGCCTATCAGATTAATAAATGTGTAGTTTGTCAAACATAAGCATAACTTTTTAAGATGTTTTAAAGGGATAAGAAACTGGAAAGCAAAAATATTGTTGAACATAAACAGAACTCATAAGATGTGTTAAGCACAAGATTAGCAGTTAATCAGTAGACCATGTGTGCTAAACATAGACAGAAGGAAGGATAAAAATATATCTAATAATCATGAGGCACCACTTGGGTACTAAATAGTCATAATGTAAAAAGTGTAGAAGAGACACTAGGTATTTGGGATATGCTAAAGATACACGAGTACTTAATATTCATGAGTCTTCATTTGGCCACCCACGAATGACACCCATTCGGGTCTCAGGTGATCTGACATTGAGTGCCCCAAGATTCAGAGAGGAATCTTTCCCTCTTACTGCACCTCAACCAAGTGTGTTAACTGGCCCTTCTCTTCTCCTTTGCTCTCACTGTGTGATTTCAATTAAGTTAAAAATATGATTCGAGCATTTTAATTGGGTCCATGAGCCCATCTGTTCTGTGTGTAGAACAGAACAACCTGCCTCGGGTAGTGTACCTGAGTGATTTTCCACATACCACAAGCTATGCTTACTCAGCCACCAAGGGATGGGAACGAACACCACCACTTCTGATGTCTGCTACACACAGACCCCAACTTAAAATGGTCTGACTTTACAGTGGTGCAAAAGCGATACACATTAAGTAGAGTACCCATACAACCATTCTATTTTTCACTTTCAATACAGCATTCGATAAATTACATCAGCTATTTAACACTTTATCATGAAATAGGCTTTACATTAGATGATTTTGCCCAGTGTGAGCTAATGTAAGTGTTCTGAGCACATAAGGTAGGCTAGGATAAGCTATGATGTTCAGTAGGTTAGGTGTGTTAAGTGTATTTTCGACCTATGATAATGTAGGATGGATTTATTGTGATGTAACTTAACCATAAGTTGAGGAGCATCTGTACTAAGGGAGTAAGAAAACAGCTGAAATGAATTTGAAATTATGGTATCACTGCCACTTTTTCAAGGAATAAATCAGTCTTCTTCCTGAAGTACTCTATAGCAGATAAAATACTGTTGGCATTAAATAAGTCAGAAAGATTTATAACAATTTGAAAGCCTACATACAAATAAATCCCAGCCAAAATTCCATAAGAAATCAATGACAGCATTTTTTTTTTTTTTTTTTTTGAGACGGAGTTTCCCTCTTTCACCCAGGCTGGAGTGCAATGGCGTGATCTTGCCTCACTGCAACCTCCGCCTCCTGGGTTCAAGCGATTCTCCTGCCTCAGCCTCCCAAGTAGCTAGGATTACAGGTGCCCACCACCAAACCCAGCTAATTTTTGTATTTTTAGTAGAGATGGGGTTTCACCATGTTGCCAGGCTGGTCTCGAACTCCTGACCTCAAGTGATCCACCGGCCTCAGCCTCCCAAAGTGCTGGGATCACAGGCATAAACCACCATACCTGGCCCAGTGACAGCCTTATATAAAAAATAAATGTTGTGTCTTCTCGTATTTTCCCTTTTTCTTCCTAAACCCCTGCCTGGTTGAATGTGTGTGGTGCCTGAGTCCATGAGGGTGGTGTAGTGTTGGCTTACCTTCCCAGCAAGCTGTGGGACCCTGAATGAGATTCTTACCCCTCCCACGCCTCAGTTCTCAGGTGTGAAACTATAGTAACTACTTCATAAGATTGTTGTAAAGATTAAGTAATAGAAAGTTCTGGTATTTTAGTAAGCTCGTTCATCTATAAGAGCACAATTTAAAAATTAACATGTTATCTCCATTTATTGAGGTTTTCTTTAATGTATGTCAATAAGGTTTAAATTTTTATCATAAATAAGCAATTAATGAATCAACACTAAATGTATTCTTCAGTATACCAGTTAGAACAGCACAAATTTAAGAAGAGATATGTGGCCAGGTACGGTGGCTCACACCTGTAATCCCAGCACTTTGGGAGGCCAACGGGGGCAGATCACTTGAGGTCAGGAGTTTGAGATGAGCCTGGCCAACGTGGTGAAACCCCGTCTCTACCAAAAATATAAAAAAATTAGCCAGGTGGTGGTATGTGCCTGTAATCCCAGCCACTCGGGAGGCTGAGGCAGGAGAATCACTTGAACTTGGGAGGCAGAAGTTGTAGTGAGCCAAGATTTCGCTATTGTACTCCAGCCTGGGTGACAGAACAAGACTCCGTCTCAAAACAAATAATAATAATGAATTTTTTAAAAAAGAAGAGATATGTGGCTGTACCAAGTTTAGGGAAGACAAAGAAACCAGAATTCATACACTGGTGGTTTAAGTATAAATTGGTACATTCATTTTGGAAAACAATTTGGCAGTATTTTGGAAGTTAAACATAAACACAACCTACAATTCAGCAGTTCCATTTCTAAGTTTGTACCCTAGAGTAATGGTTGTCAAAGTGTGTTCTACAAAACTCTGGGGGTCCCTAGAGATATTTTTTGAGAGGTCTACCAGGTCAAAACTATTTTCATGATAATACTAGTACATTATTTGCTTTTTACATTGTGCTGACATTTGCACTGATGGTGCAAAAGCCATGGTGGGTAAAACTGCTGGTGCTTAGCGTGACCCAAGGCCATGGCACCAAACCACACTAGCAGTCATGTGACCACCACCACCAAGCATTTGCAGCTAAAAAATAAACACCCAGTTTCACTTAACCATTTCACCCCAGTGAAATTGAAACTGAATTGATTTTACAAAATCTAGGGCCTGATTACATGTCTTTTTAATATTCTGTGTGACTAAATAGGAAGTACAGGGCACCTGTGTGTGCACAGTGATTATATTGAGGAAAATTCTCTGAGCAACTCTTTGAGCTGTGAACTGAACTAGGTTTTTTTTTTTAAACTAACTGTTTTTTCATTTTTTCATTTTAATCGAAAGAATGACTGGCATCTTTTTAAAAACCACCCAGCGAGCTCATCCCTTTAAAAAAAAAAATGGTGGCCAGGCACAGTGGCTCATGCCTGAAATCCCAGCACTTTGGGAGGAGGCTGAGACAGGCGGATCACCTGAGATCAAGAGTTCGAGATCAGCCTGATCAACATGGTGAAACCCCATCTCTATTAAAAACACAAAAATTAGCTGGGCATGGTGGCGTGCACCTGTAATGCCAGCTACTCAGGAGTCTGAGGCAGAAGAATTGCTTGAACCTGGGAAGCAGAGGTTGCAGTGAGCTGAGATCATGCCATTACACTCCAGCCTGGGCGAGAAGAGCAAAACACTGTCTAAAAACAAAAACAAACAAACAAACAAAAAAACCTGTCATATTTGTTGTAAATAATTAAAAATTTTGAGCTTTTTTTTTTTCTGTTTACCAACATGCAGAATTTGAGCTTTCAAGCAAAAATTAGAATTTTAGAAAACTTGCAACTGCTACTATGAAGGCTTCAAAATTCCCAAAGACTTAAAAGAGTTCTCTAATGAGATTGGAGGTGATGTTAATTGATGTAATATATTTTTGTATTGCTAAGGAAATGTGTCAACATTTACAAGACCCACATAACTCAGTGAGCTATTATTTTTCAAATGACCAATGCATGAAAATCATGCTTGAGTATGAGATCCACTCAAAGAGCTACGGATTTTAATGTAACAGAATGCAAAACATTTATTGAAATGTTTCAGATTCTTCATTAGAATGAACCTTTAGGAAACTATCTCTTATCTAGTTTTGATGTAGTTTCAAAGAATATCCACAATTCTCTAAAAAGGTTATTAAGATGTTTCTCTCTTTCCAACTATATATCTGCATGAAGCTGGATTTTCTTCATATATGTCAGCCAAAACAACCAATTGCAGCAGACCCAATGCAGAAGTGGATATGAGAATCTGGCCATCTTCTATTAAGACAGACATTCAAAAGATTTGCTAAAATATAAAACAATAGCACTCTTCTCATTTTTTGTTTTGAGAAATATCTCTTCATTAAAATGTTATTTCTGATCACATGCAATTATTGTTTGTAATGAATTAATGAATATTTTAACAATCATTCACTGTTAGTTTTCCATACAGCAAGTGTTGACAGACGTAACCCACATAAACAAAAGTCCTTTTGTCAATAATTTTAAAGAGCATCAAAGAGTCCTGGGAGGCCAGGCGTGGCAGCTCATACCTATAATCTCAGCAGTTTGCTAGGCCTAGGCAGGCAGATCACTTGACCCCCGGAGCTTGAGACAAGCCTGGGCAACATGGTGATAACCTGTCTTTACAAAAAATAAAAAAATTAGCCAGGCATGGTGGCAGCTATAGTCCCAGCTACTCAGGAGGCTTAGGTGGGAGAATCCCTTGAGCCACAGAGGTGAAGGTTGCAGAGTGCCGAGATCGAGCCGCTGCACTCCAGCCTGGATGCAGAGCAAGACTCTGTCTTAATAATAATAATAATAATAATAATAATAATAATAATAATAAGGTCCTGAGAACAAAAAGTTTAAGAACTGCTGCCCTCTGCACAGGAGTTCTGCAAGTTTGGCCAGACCTACACTGGTTGGAGGAACAAGAAAATAGAGCTAAACCCAATAACTACCAATAGGAGAACAGATGAGTAAATGCTGGCATACTCATTCCATAGATGAGGTTAAAAAAAGGAAGGAACTCAGGTATACTCATCAACATGGATAGACTTTTGGAAAATAATATTGATATTTTGGAAAACAGGTTGCAGAAAAATACTTAGTGTGATTCTATTTATATAAAATTTAAAGGTATGTAAAATTGAATAATATATTAATTAATAACAGACCTGAAGTAAACCATAAAGAAAAGCAAAGCCCAGGCACGGTGGCTCACGCCTGTAATCCTAACACTTTGGGAGGCCGAGGCGGGTGGATCACGAGGTCAGGAGATGGAGACCATCCTGGCTAACACAGCGAAACCCCATGTCTACTAAAAATACAAAAGAATGAGCTGGGCGTGGTGGCACGCTCCTGTAGTCCCAGCTACTCGGGACGCTGACGCAGAAGAATCGCTTGAACCCAAGAGGCAGAGGTTGCAGTGAGCTGAGATGGCGCCACTGCACTCCAGCCTGGCAACAGACAGTGGTTACTGGAAAGATGGGGGAGGGGCAGGGATTACAGAGGGGCCAGAGAGCCTGGGAGGGCCTAACATGAGCTTTTCCTTAAACAGGTGGGGATGGAGGGAAGTGTCCAGGTGTTCATTTGGTGATGATGAGGACTACAGTATTATTTATATCTTTATATATGCAAATGTGTTTTAGTAGGTATTCAATATTTGATAAACAAAAATGTTTAAGGTTCAAAAGCAAAGAGAGACACAGAGAGACACAGACCTCATGCTGGTGAAGGGATTGTGTTGGCTCCTAGCACTTTGGCTACATCATTAGCAAGGCAGAAAACACTAGTGTCTTCTGCTTGGCTCCCTTGTCAGCAGACATCCTGGCCTCTTGTTTTGCTGACCAAGTGAGAGGGGTCGGGTCGTGCTCCATAAATGAGGTTGAACCCGCGAAGAGGAAACGCAAACCCATCTGACTGATTACCCCGCACGCTGTCCGCAAGCGCCTGTGGGGGCTCCTGCCCTCGGTCGGCTCTGTGCGTTTGAGAAAACAAATATTAGAACAGTCGTAAACACTATCGGTCTCTTCCGACAGAGAAGGCGATCCCATGGGTGCTGCAGAAGGAGGGGCAGAGCCAAGGTGCGCCCTACAGACCGCCCTGCCGCGTCGGAGACGCGCGCAGTGAGGATAGACTGAGGCAGGCTCAGCCTCGGGGGTCCGCCACGGCTGCGGCAGTTTGTGCAGAATCCGAAATAAAACGGTTGCCTTGCAGCTTTCATTTGTGTTAAGGCCACAACAGTTTCTGGGCTGAAAACCTTTTCCACAAACTCATCAAAGGACCCTTCCCCGTACATCCTACCAGGCAAATTTTCGGGACTTCTGGGCTCGGGGCCACACCAGCAAGGCGCTTGCCGTCATCCCTCTCTCTCTCATCAAGGCAGGAGCAAGGAAAGGAGACCCTCAGAGAAGACGAGGCCAAAGGCTGATCTGGGAAGGCTAGGGTAGCCCCCAACTGCCTAGGCGGCAGCACAGCCGCTGGGGACGCAGCTCCCACCCGGCCTCCCCTCCGCAGAGCTGGGACCGTCCCCCCACCCCCCATCCTTGCTCTGTGGGCGCCGCCTGCACTCTCTGAAGCGCGAGGCTCTGCACGGTGTGGGGCTGGGGCCTTTCGCTCCCCTTGGCTGGCTCTCTCCTCCTTTGTCATTTGCCTTTGTTTGCTGTGTGTGTCTGGTTCAAAGGGCACGCCTACCGAGCTGGATAGAGTAAAGGAAGAATCAGAAAGAGAAAGCGCTCAGCGCGTGTTGCTTAGCAGCACAGACTCAAAACAGGACAAAGCAATTAGAGAAAATTATCACGGGCGGAAGGGGCGGATCGGTCCCCTGAGATTTTCAGATCATCCAGACAGATTACCCATTGGAAATGGCCTAGAGACACACAGAAAGGGGAGGGAATAAAACGGCTGCTGGAAACACAGCCCTGGATTCTGGGGCTGTATGAAAAAAGAACATAGATTTATCTCCCGGTGAAACTCAGATTTTCCGCCCAGAACGCTCACATTTCTTCTGCGCTGGAAGTGCCAGCTGGTATTGATGATGTTGTCTGTTTGGTTATACTTCAATCCAAAAACTGGCGGGGACATTAGGCACTAATGGATGGGATGTATTTAAAACATCTACAACTTATGATGTGCTCAGCTCTATCCTAAGGCCATATCTCACACATTCCTAAAACAGCCTACCAGTTAGGTACTCTTTGTTATCACCATTTTACGGAAACAGAAACAGTGGCACAGAGAGGTCAAGTTGCTTGTCTAAGGCCTCAGAGCTGGTGAGCGAGGGGCAGAGCCAGGACTTGTGCCCATGCCCTCTGTCTCCCTAGCCCAGCCTCTGACCGCACCACAGAGTGTGGTGATGCAGGTGAGGGGGAGGGCAAGAAGATGGTCCTCTCTCGGCAAATGCTGGCCACCTGCAGGGCTGTGAGTCACAGGACTTTAGGGATATTAAGCTGTCTGAAGAGGCCCAGGATCTCAGGGCTTATTTTGTGCATGCTCCTGAGGGTTTCTGAGTGGGTACAGTGAGGAATCCCTCACACAAAGCAAGTGAAGCACATCTAGCTGAGCCTCCCTCCCTTGGCTACCCAGAAAGACCCTGGTCCTGAGCGTGCAGAATGTTTTGCATTCCAGCTGCTGTGACCTGGGAAGGACCGCTGGCCCCATCCTGGCCTTTTGAGCACAGCCATCCCACTCACCCAGATCCCACAGCAGCCTCCAGGGCCCATGCCCCACCCCAGGTGTCCCCTTTCTCCTCCCTAATTCTCAGTCTCTTGGCCTCAAAAGCTGAATTTCCTGGACATGTTTCCCTGACACTTTAAAGACCCATTTAGATACCATTTCCTGGCTTTATGATTTCTGTTATCCCCTATGCCCACTCCCCTGCAAAGACACACACACCAGCTTTACCTAATCCCTTGATTATTGTGGCACCTTGTCCACATCCCAGCCCTCCCCACCACTGCCCTGTGGTCATCTGTGCTCACTAAAGGAGTGAATGAGACAACCTCAAAGATACCAGAGATGCCCCATAAACACTCTACAGCACTGAGGATGGGTGTGGTGGGCTGTATTTTATTTTGTTGTTAGAAATTATTTCATGTGCTGACTCATAATTTGTCTCTGTGAGTTGTTTGCTTATGAAGTAGAGCATTAGCTAAGAATCTCAAGCCAGAACAAGTGATTCGGCCAAGAACCTGCCATCTTTACCTCCGCCTTCGTCTGTCCTCATGTCTTTCACAGGAAAATCTGACGGGAACAGGAACATGACTCAGCCAGACCATTTCTTACATTGGTTTGCCCCAGTTTTCTATCTGTGCTGCTCACAATTTTTCTTCCTCTACTGTAAAGATTGACTTAACAATTCAAATGATGTTTATCTTCAATGTACCTTGGAAAATTTTAAGAAAGTGCTGCTTTCCACTCAGCTTTCAACTTGTCCGGATGTGCACATAAAAGCAAGAAAGCAAGAGCACAGAGTGTCATGCCATTGTCTCTCTCACTGAAAGGAATTGCAGAGGCTTCACTTGTGGGGTCAAAGTTCCAGAATAAAACAAACCTGCTATTGGAAATGACATTTCACAATGTCCACCCACAAATCGGTGACCAAAACAAGGCCATGATATTCACTTCCAGAAACCCATTTGCATTAATGGAAATTTTAAAAAGAATTCTTTTGTGTTTTTTCACCTAAATTAGCATAGCAATGGTAATTGCCGAGGGGTATTCAAAAAGCGGATATTGGCAGGTAACTTGGAAAACAACCACTCCTTTTGAAAATTTAGGGCAAGAGGAAAGTATGGACAATTACAGGCCGGTGAGTGCTTCAAGGCAATGGCTCCCAAACTGGATTCTAACTTGAATTGTACAGCACAATTTTGGAGTGCCTTCTCATCCTGGGAAGCCTCTCTCTTGTAGGGAGATGACCCAACAGAATTTGTTCCTGGTTACTGGAGTAAGTGAGCACTGACTATGCATCAGGACCTGTAATAAGCGCCTAACTAAAATACACGATCTCATTTCATCTTCCTATCAAAGCTGCCAAATAGGCACTATTAACACCATTTTATAGATGGAAAAACTGAACCTCCAAAAAGGGTTTAGCAGTATGAACCACGGCTCCAATGTAAATCACCACCCTTTATCAGGAGGCATCCCACCAGACCCTGGCACTGCCTCCCAGGCCCTCCTTGCGTACACTCTTGAAGAAATCAAGCAACTCATTCCCTACCTCTTGACTACTTTTTTAAAAGGCTGATTTAACCCCAAAGTGCCTCTTACTTTTCGTCGCTCAACCTCCCTGCTATGCCATAGCTGAATTTGTCCATTCTTCTCCAGAGCCCAAGGGCCTTGGGGCACCGAAAGAGCTCAGCTCAGCCTCCACTCACTATCACCCAGGAGCCCATGTGCCTGCAAGGACTACCTCCATTCGGACCTTTCTGTGGTTCTGCAAGCGACGTGCCCAGAATCCTGGAATCCGTCCTCCCTTCACTGAAACCTCAGGAGGTGGCCGTTCTTTCCTTGGCCTTTCTTTATTTAAGGCTTTTCTCTGATCTCAAAATTAATTAATTCTCACTGAGAAAAATTGCAAAATACAGAAATATATAGACAGGAAATTAAAATCAGTCCTGATCCAACCTGCCAGAGACCAATGTTGTTGAACACGCTTACCAAGGCCTCGCCAGGGCCTGTTTACTGTCCACTCCACGTGCACATTGTTCACACACACATTGAGCATCTACTGCTTACCAGGCACCGCGTGAGGAGCCGGGTGCAGGGAAGTGACTCTGGCCTCCTCTGATTTGCCGTGGGGAGGCCACAAGGCAAGCAAAGAGCCACAATAAAAACCTCATAAACAGTCATCAAGTTACTGAAGGAAGGGTGTGAGACATTGCTGTGAACAAGAAGAACGAGGGAATACCAGTTAGATGCGGGTCAGAGAAGGCCTCTGGGAGGAGGAAGCAGACTCCGAGGAGTCCAGCGCTGAGGTCAGGGTGCCTGGCAGCTGACTCCAGGGGAGACCTGAGAGGCGCGGGCCACAGCGTGGAAGGAAGCTCTTCAGCCTTGAAGAAAGCGCCGGGGCCAGGTCCGCCAGCCCAAAGTCTATGCTCCTCAGCCGAGAAGGCTTCCTGGGGGAGGACAGGCAGGGAGTGGCCCGCACGGAGCCCAGATTCAGAAGGTTCCCGGCCAGCGTGAGGAACAGGAGAGAAACCCGGCAGGAGAAAGGGGTGGGTGTGGCCACAAAGAGGCCACATCTCAGATATATTTTGCAGGTAAAATTTCACGGAATGTAGATGTGTATAAAGAGGGAAACGTGAGCTCCAATACTTGTTCAGCCTTGGTTTAAATCAAGCTTGTCCAACTCTCGGCCTGAGGGCCACTTGTGGCCCAGGATGGCTTTGAATGTGGCCCAACACAGATTTGTAAACTTTCTTAAAACATTATGAGATATTTTTGTGATTTTTTTTAAAGCTCATCAGCTATCATTAGTGTTAGTGTATTTTATGGGTGGCCCAAGACAATTCTTCTTCCAATGTGATCCAGGAAAGCCAAAAGAGTGGACACCCCTTGTTTAAATCATCATTAAAACCCAACGCCACAAGCTCTGAGAGCAATTACGGTGGAGCTTTATAACTCTGAGAGGGTGCAAAGCGCTGACCTACCCATTAAAGAAAAGAGGTAACCTGGGAGAACATGAGAAGAGCCGTTGAAGACACTAAAAATTGTTCGAAGAGCCAAATCCAGCAAAGATTGTTTGAAGTCATGTGTATTTTGTATTTTCCACCATGAAATGGAGTGATTTATTTACAATCAATACCATTGTGAGTTTATACTGTAGTCAAAATGGTTTTTGTAAAACCCTTGATCTTGAGACTATAATATCTGTTCTACTTGTTTGTGAGAAATTTTATGTATTTATTATATAGGGTTATTACAACTTAAAATTACTATGTAACTGAGTCCAAACTCATTCTGCTCACTGCACCAGCCAAAAATTGAGAGACAAAAGTTAAAGCAAGGAAGGCAACTTTATTTTGACATGCCAGCAAACTGAGAAGATGGTGACCAATGTCCTAAAGTAACATCTGAAGTCAGTACAATTTCAGGGTCTTCTTATGTTATAGGCAGGGGGAAGAGGAGGAAATTGGGATTGCAAGGTAGTCGATGACTGCAGACATCTGGGCTCCAGGGAGGGTCCGAGGAGGCTGGGAAGTTTTTTGTCCTTGGTCAGGTCATAGTGCGCCCATAAATCTTCAACAAAACATTGTTAGTCGTTTACATACTTCCCCTTTAATCCCAGAGTTAGCTTCAAAAACTATGTAATTGCTGTTTCTGTATTTTATCTCAGTGCTCTTCAATTATCCTAGCCTATGTGCAGGGATGAGTAAAAGCTCCTTAAACAAAAATGGAATTAGTTATGTTCATTATTTTGCTGTTTCACTGTGACACCTGTGAAACATGCAGTACTTAATTCAACTTTGACCTTACTGGCCTTGTTTTAGTTGACCCAAATCACAGTATGAACATGTATAGATTCTCTTAAAGTTATGAAAACCCATTTGTGAGGTTTCTTTCTTCCTAACATAGGATTCATAAGTAAAAGTAACTAGTAATCATAGCACATACAAATTTTAAATACAACGTATTATTGTACTTAAGATTTTAAAGTAAATTATGATCTTAGTAGACCCAAATTTTAAATACAATGCAGAAACCTGTTATTCTACAAATATACATATACAAGCACTATCAATTCACCTAATCAAAATTATAATTTATTTTATCCTTTTTTTTACTTAAAATATCTTGAAAAGTTGTCTTGTATCATTAAGAATTCTTAAACAAATTGATTTCCAATGTCAGCATAGTAGCCTTAAATATAAATATGTCTGACTGATGTATTAATTATCTCATTAATCATTTAGAGTTTTTTTCCAATCTATATTGGACTAGCTATTCCCTGAATAGTTACATGAATCTCTGTGAGCATCACTTAGGATTTAATTAAACTAGACTCCTATAAATGGAGTGACAAAATTAGAAGGTTTATTTTTAAAGATCTTGAAACTTATTGCTATATTGCCTTTTAAAACAGGATCATCTTACATATTCTGGATATTACACCTTTGTCAGATGCATTGTTTACAAATTTTTCTCTCATTCTGTGGGTTGTCTCTTCACTCTTGATTATTTTGTTTGCTGTGCAGAAGTTTTTAGTGTGATGTAATCCCATTTGTCGATGTTTGCTTTTATTGCTTGTGCTTTTGAGGTCTTATCCAAAGCATCCTTGCCCAGTCCAATGTCATAAAGTGTTTTCCCTGTGTTGTTTTCTAGTAGTTTTATAGATTTGGGTCTTACATTTAAGTCTTTAACTCATTTTGAGTTGATTTTTGTATATGGTAAGAGATAGGATCCTAGTTTCATTCTTTTTCATGTGGCTATTCTATTTTCCCAGCACCATTTATTGAAGAGACTATCCTTTCTCAATGTGCATTCTTGGCACCTTTGTCAAAAATCAGTTGGCTATAGATGCATGGGTTTATTTCTGAGTTCTCTATTCTGTTCCCTTGTTCTATGTGTCTAATTTTATGCCAATATCATACTGTTTTGGTAATTATAGCTTTGTAGTATATTTTGAAGTCAGGTAGTGTGATCACTACAGCTTTGTGTCTTTATTTATCAAAAGAAAACATACAAATGGCCAACAGGTATATGGAAAAATGCTCAGCATCACTAATCATCAGGGAAATGCTAAACGAAACCACAAGGCACTATCACCTCACTCCAGTTAGAACGGCCATTATCAAAAAGACAAAAGATAACAAGTGTTGGTGAGGATGTGGAGAAAAGGGAACCCTTGCATACTGTTAGTGGGAATGCAAATTAGCCTTTTTGGGAAACCACATGGAGGTTCCTCAAAAATTAAAAATAGAACTACAATATGATCCAGCAATCCCACTTCTAGGTATATATCCAAAGGAAATAAAATCAGTACTATCTGACTAAGAGTTATCTGCACTCTCATGTTTATTGCAGCACTATTCACAATAGCCAAGATTTGGAATCAACCTAAGTGTCCTTCTACAGATGAATGGATTAAGAAAATGCAGGACATATACACAATGGGATACTATTCAGCCTTAAGAAAGAACGAAATCCTGTCATTTGTGACAGCATGGATAAACCTGGAGAACATTATGTTAAGTGAAATAAACCAGGCACAGAAAGACAAATAGCACATCTTCTCACTCATACGTGGAATCTAAAAAAGTTGATCTTACAGAAGTAGTGAATAGAACGGTTGTTGCCAGACACCGGCTGGAGTGGTGGGGGGTGAGAGGTTGGTCAATGGGTACAAAGTTACAATTAGGAGGAATAAGCTCTGGTGTCCTATTGTACAATAGGGTGAAAATAGTCAAAATAAGGTATTGTATATCTCAAGATATCTAGAAGAAAGGATTTTGTAAGTTCCCACCACAAAGAAATGATCAATGTTTGTGGTGATATGTATGCTAATTATCCTGATTTGATTATTATGCAATCAAATATACGATGTGATAATTACACAATGTAGACATGTATCAAAACATCACACTGTACCCCTAAATATGTACAATTATGTGTCAATTAAAAATTTTAAAAATTATTTCAAAATAAAATATATATTTAAAAATTTAATTAAAAATTTAAAAATCAGAAAGCATTAAACATTTTTTATACACAGGGTCACCAATTAACCTTACCCTACCCCACCCCACCCCCACAGTCATGAGCATCAGCTCATCTTGCCCTTACCTTCTCCTCCATCCTCCAAGCTGCTGGTGCTTCCCTTCCATCCCCTTGATGCTGTTCTGGAGACAATGAGTTAGTCTCCCAAGACCTGGTTGTTTAAAAGTGTGTAGCACCTACCCCCTATTCCTGCTCCCTCCATGTGATGTGGCTGTTCACCTTCACCTCCCGCCATGATTGGAAGCTTCCTGAGGCCTCTGCAGAGACAGAGCATATGCCAACATCACGCTTCCTGTACAGCCTGAGGGACCCTGGGCCAATAAATCCTCTTTTCTTTATAAATTACCTGGTCTCCATTATTTCTTTATAGCAATGCAAGAGTAAACTAATACATTGACAAATCCCATGAAATAGTACATAAATCTGTGTGTGTGTGTGTATGTGTGTTTGTGGCATTTTGGGAGGAATAGGATTCATGAAATCTATGCTATTTTCAAAGGGGTCTGTGACACCATAAAATGCTGAGAAGCCCTATTTAGATCCATCAATTCTGTGTCTTTACTAAATGGGACGACTTGCCTGAAATAAATGTGGCAGATAAACAACAGATTTAGACAGCAGAGATGAAGAGACAGGCTTCAGAAAGTTTCCACAAGTTGGAAAAGAGGACCAGGAACACAGGGAAGAGTTCAGATGGCCCTACCTCCTGCGCACCCATGGGAGAAAGGCCCAGCCCCAGCAGGGCGCACAGAAGGTGGAGGCTCAGAAGGGAAGAACTGACCTCGCCATAGGCTTGCAGGATCCGAGAGAAAGTGTTGCCCATGAAGGGCTGCCAGGTGTGGCAGGTTCGCAGGGAAGCTCTCTGCCCTCCTCCATTTGCCTAAAAGCAGGACAGAAATTTACAAAGCTAAAGGCATCCCCTCCTCTCCACCCTCCACCCTCCCACTTCCCCAAGAAGATCAAAGTTTAACCACTGAGCACAGCTTTGGACCTTCCTTGTCTGGAGACAATGTCTGGAGACGATGTCAGAGGACTCTACATTAACTAACCTTTATCTGCCCTGTGTCTGCCTCCCCAGGTGTGGGGCAGCAGGACTGCCATGGCAGGAAAGGGACTGCGCGGCCCAGGCATAGCGCAGAAAGCACCTAAGTGGCTCATTGCCCAGCAATGAAGAAAAAATGAGTACCAAAAATGGGACTCCACCACAGTGACAGGGAGGGCCGGCAGGCTGGGGTGGCCGCATCTGAGGACCCAGAGTGAGCAGGACCGCGGCCCTTCTTTGCAGATGCCAGCACAGGGGGAGGAGATGACCACTGCTGCCCAGGGGAGAGCAGCTCCGAAGGGAAGGAGAAAGGGGATCCCTGCACGGACCCAGAAAGCCTGAATGAATGGCCTTGAGCTGAATTTAATTTTCTGCCTCAGTAGAAGAAAGGCTCAAAACAGAACTGAGTTATTTTAAGAGTACAGGATTTACACCCTGAGTTTGTGGCTGTGAGTGGCCAGCTTGGTCCAGACCCTCACCACCACCCCTTCCACACCACAGAGTGAAATAATTAGCAATCCACATCTGAATCTGAGATTCTTATTGTACCAGAGAAAGGTGAGTGCTGGGAATGTCAAATGATTTGTCCAAAGTACATTTAATGGCAAAGCAAGAACCTTTTACTTGAAAACTAACAGCATAATGCATGCTATCTGCAGGTGAGTGCACACCAATTATATCCCATCTCTTACTCCAGAGACCTATCCTGTACCAAGCTTCTCTGAATGTCATTAACACAACCCAGAGCCTAATGGCCCACTTCAATCTTCAGGCTCAATTCCCATTCGATTGTCTAACCAAAGTGTCTGGCATGTAACAGACATTCAAGAAATGTCTTAAGGAATGAGTGAATGAATTTTATACAGTATTTTTTCTATAATTTTCCTCTTTTCAGACCTTTATTCCATATACAGCATTGATATCTGGGTGTCTGATGACACTGCAAAGAAGTTGGGTTCCAAATGCATGCCTGGAAAAGCATCCATGGACAATGGCCAGGGCGTCGCTGTAGAGAGTACAATGACGGCCCACTGCCTATGCTGTGCGCTCACTTGAGTCTCACAGTCACCCTCTGAAGTCAGTACAATTATTATCCCCCAAGTTCTAGGAGACAAAATGAACATCTGACAAAGTGACGTGGCTTGCCTGAGGTCACAGGCTGGGAGTTGCCAAACAGAGACTCGGCCTCAGGCCAGTCTGTTTCTGAAGGCCGCCTCCAGGCTGCCATCCCTGTTAGAGCTCTTGAAATTATATTATGGTCAAGTATGTTCTGACTTTATGCGCAACTGATGCGGTGGACTACCTGCCCTACACTGCAAGGCACCTTCCGTGGCTGGCCTCTGACCATTTCCAGTGGGGAGAAACTGCACCATCATGAAGACAGCAGGGGACCCAGTCTTGTTTGGCGTTTCCTACTTTCAGCAATCTGTGCTGCAGTTCTGCATCCTCGACACAGACAGCCAGGAATCCACTGTATCATACAAGAAGGATTAGCAGCCAGTTTTTATTGCGATATAATACACATAACATTTACCATCTTGACCATTTTTAAGTGCACCATGTAGTTTTTACTTTTAAATGTAGATAAGCTGCTTAAATGCCCCCTACCTTGAGCAGGCTGACTCCTCATAGCAGAGAGAGACTCAACCTCACTTCTAGTTTACAGTGCAGAGGACAAGCCAAAAAAAAAAATCATATCCCATAGAGATGTCAACGTAGCAAAGTCCATTGAGTTCAGGAGAAGCCAGGAACTCCCCTTCATGGTCCAGCGTCAGACTGAGCACAGCACACAGCAGAATGGTCCCCAGAGGTGGGAGAACAGTTACCTGCTGCCTGCAAGGGTCACCTCCTGAGAGTTCATCCAGCAAGCCTCAGAGACCTCACCAACAGATGGGAGGCTGAGGGATGGCGGATTCCCCTCTATGCCATTCTTTCCAAACAGTTCATGGGTTTCTCTGTTTTAAACTTGCAGAGTAACCTAAATTCCAGTTACTTTTTCTGATAAAGTTTGATTCTGGAATTTGTATCATCTCTTTTTGAAGCTACAATAAAGTTAAGAATAAACTCTATGTTATAACTTATAAATTATAAGCTATATAAGTTACAGTTGAGAATAGGGTTTAAACTTTTCTTAATTAAGACTATGCTCTTATCTAGCCTCCTTACTCTTACTGCAAAAAGAGATAAGAGTAAGAGGTGTCCCATAATCCCCACAAGATCAAGATGAATCTTATGTGTTGCAAACATGCGGGATGAAATGACTTATGAGGAGTGTAACACTTAGTACCTCCAGACAAAGCTACAACTTACTAAGAGAGAATCCTAACAAGCTATGTTCTTTATTTGGAAGGTTAGGAACCGGAATCTTCACTTTAAAATTCAGGAAAGATCTACACTGCTCACACAATCTGCATATGAATCTAAAACAATCCCTCAAATGCTTCCTTGACTTGGGGATTAATCAAGGAGCAAAAGGATGCATTGAGAAGCTAGAATCCACACTCAGGGTTTTACATGCTTATATTAAAGTAAACAAAGAGCAGTGGTTTGCCAACATTTTTGCTTACACACCTCCTTCTTCATTTGTTGTGGTGCTGTAACAAAATAACTGAAACTGGGTCATTTATGAAGAACAGAAATTTAGATCTCACAGTTCTGGGGGCTGGAATTCCAAGACGGAGGTGGCAGCAGGTTTGGTGTCTGGTGAGGGCTGCTCTCCACTCCCAGATGGTGCCTTGTGCTACCTCCTCAGGAGTGGGGGGAATGCTGAGTCCTCACATGGCGGAAGGCAGGGGGTGAAAGGGAGAAATTCCCCCTCCAAACCCCTATAAAAGGCTACCTAATCCCATTCACAAGAGAGGAGCCCCCCTGGCTTAATCACCTCATAAAGGCCCCAACTCTTAATTAACTGTGATTAGTTTTCTGAAGTTCAAGCCTAGTTCATTATATCCCAGACTGAGTATGGGAGATATTTTGCATCTAACCACATAAGGAGATCTGTTCTTAAGAGTATAATTTAGGTCGGGCGCGGTGGCTCATGCCTGTAATCCCAGCACTTTGCGAGGCCAAGGCTGGTGGATCACTAGAGGTCAGGAGTTCGAGACCAGCCTGGCCAAGATGGTGAAACCCTCATCTCTACTAAAAATAGAAAAATTAGCCAGGCATGGTGGCGGGTGCCTCTAATACCAGCTACTCAGAAGGCTGAGGCAGGAGATTCGCTTGAACCCGGGAGGTGGATGTTGCAGTGAGCTGAGATCACGCCACTGCACTCCAGCCTGGGCAACAGAGCAAGACTCCATCCCAAAAAAAAAAAAAAAAAAAGGAAAGAGAGAGTATAATTTAATCTTCTCTGTGGAAATAAACAGCAAAAAGAAGAGGTACTACTGTGTTACAAGTAGCTATGGAACTTATAAAATATGTATTAGTAATTCTCATTAAGTGTAATATACTCTCAGTCTCCAATAATCTGGCAAACATGAATGTAAATATTTTTCCCTTGGGTTTGAATAAAGGTTTGTGAAAATATAAAATAATTATGTGTATGTGCTCTACGTGACTTTTTTTTGCAAATTTATAACGCCAGAAGTAAACATGTATCTTTTCACCTTCTCCTCTTTGAAACCATGCGAAATTGGAACTGAGTCACAGTCCAAGAAATAAGCCCATGAGAGGGGTCTGTCTCATGTCTGAGGGGAGGAATTGCAAAGGGCTCCTTTAGGGGCAGAGAGATGCTTCCTTGTGCGCTTTTTACGAATCTTTTGTACTTGATTCCATGGATACTTCAAAGAAGGCCTGGAGCTTTGCTGTGAGCCTGTATTCAGATGGATAAATGTCTTGCCCTCACGGCCTTCATGCTTTTACTGATACTTGCCAAGCTTTGCTGTCAGGAAACTGTCCCTAAAGATGGGCACACTGCTCAACAACAGTCAGGGCAGAAAAGACGAAATCACAGAATCAAAAGTGGCTTTCTGCACCGCCCCACTGGGCAATATCTCAGAACTCAGAACCTCCCAACAGTGACCAAATGCTGTTTCTAATGTCTTCTTTACTTTGAACAGAAACATGTTTAAGACAGCAGTGCAGATGACAGTATCTCAGATCGTTCCTTTGTTTTGTAAAGTGGAAGAAAGGCTGTCCTTAAAGGGGCAGGGAGAATGAAGAAGAGCTGTGACTCTCAAAGCAGGACCCGTGGGAAGGGTGCTGTCCTGAAGGACGCAGGTAGATGCCAAGACACCTGCTGGTTCCTCCTCCCCAGGGAACTATTTGCTCTTTCACCTGTTGCTGCGCTGGCTCAGTCTGAACCCCCTTCTGTGGGTTCCACGGTGGCCCCATCCCAGATGGTCTGGTCTGATCTCCAGAATGCCCATTTCTATTGATGTATTTTTTCTAGGTGCCATTTTTCATAGCTGCAGCTTTGCTAAGTGATCTCATGAGTGGCTCTGCAAGGCTCCAACAGGATGTCTCTCTCCTGAGTGCAGCCGCCCCTTCTCTCCTGAGTGGGTGGGAAAGTCTCATCCTGGTAGGACCAGAGGCAAAACTGAAAATGGAGCATCCTTCAAAGAAAGCAGGGATAATGAAGTCTGGTGGATAAGGACCAACAAGTACCTGTTGAATTTAGCAGCAAGGTAAAGTATTTGAGAGCAGTTACATCCGAGGAGTGCCACAGGAGGCAGCTGGCAGTGAGCTGAGCACGTGCCAAAAGATCCCTGGAAAGGCTGAGTGGATCTCCAATCTCATCCTTTCCTCTGTGAAACTTTCCCCAGTTTCTCCAAACCACAGCTATGCATCAGTCCTGGCAGCCATATGAAACATTTTTTATTTTTCTTAAAATAGTCATCACATTTTGCCTTAGGTTGAAGCCATGATTTATCTCTCTTCCTGTATCATAAACTCTCCGAAGACAGAAAGTAGCATCAATCACATGTTCTCTTATTCACCCATGACACACACACACCATACACCACACCCACACATATATATACACACCACACACCACAAACACACACCATACACTCTACACATATACACATTACACAACACACACATCACATCACACCACACACATATACACACTACACACACTCTGCATATACACACCACACACTACAACACATCACACACACTCTACACATACACACACATCACACACCATATACACACCACACACCACAAACACACACATACACATACTCTACATTTATACACATACACACCATACACATCACACCACACACATATACACACTACACACACTCTTCACCTACACACCACACACAACACATCACACACACTACACACACATACACATCACACACACTCTGCATATATACACACACTCTACAATACACACCACACACGTTACACACACTATACATCTCACACATACACATTGCACACACCACATAGCTCACACACACCACATACACTATACACACACTACACTCATACATACATACACAGCACACACACCACAAACATCATAAATACTTCACATATAGACATACACACCTCACACATACAAACCACACACACACACACACACACCCCAAACACACACAGGCATAAGTGCCAACACTCATTCCAACACACGGTAGTTGGTTTAAAATGTTAATTTAAATTGAGTTAAAGTACTCTACATCAAAAAAAGCTTCCTACCATTTTTTAAAATACTCTATTCCACTGGTTTATTGTTGAATTATACAGTGGTGATACAGAAACTCCTTTCTGATCATTTGATTTATTTCCATCTCAGTGTCATGTTTTCACCTCTAAATAAAACTCGATTTGAATAAATTGACACCCAGCATTAATCACGTGCTTACTAAATATTCATTGGAAGCATGGATACACACAGCATGTCTTTTAGAGCTCAATGCTTGAGTTAGTTTTCGCTTGGGATGTCAACTGAATTTTAACATCCTTGGCAAACAGTGACTCCGTGTATAATGTGAAGATTCATCACACACGTCTCAGCTTGGAGCAGAGCTTTGTCAAGGGAGACGGGCCTCTCCTAGGCTGCCCCTCTGTTGGGTACCCATCTGCTCCTCAATTTTCTAGTCCCAGAGCCATGATATTACCAAAAGAATGAAAGCTGATCAGCTTTTCAGACGCTCTGCTGAACAGAGTGTCATATAAGCAAAACACTAATTCACCCATTTAGGAAGTGAGTGTGGCTATCCAGGATGCCACACCCACGCTGTGTGACCAGCTCACATTGCCCAGCACAGAGGAGCAAAGACACCAGGAAGTGGGGTGTGCCTCAACTGCATCTTCCAGATCTCGTCTAACAGGAAATCCTCATTCTCATCCAGAACACTGGCAGCAGGTGCTTTAAATATAGTCTATTAATAGAAAATTTGAGGTATAGTAAGGCCAACAGATCAGGAAATGGTTGTAGTTTGGAAGATAGTTTTTTACTCACAGTTCCCAAAAGGATGAAGCATGCCATGCCGTGCAGAGCCAAGAAGAATAACACCGAGGGTGGTCAAGGGTTGGGGAGTGGGAACTGTGGGAAAGAGCCCTTATGGTGGTTTCCACAGGAAGGAATGTGTGAGGCAGGGGGAGCAGGCTTAGGGCTGAATGGGTTGAATAGTTTCAGTAGATTCTGGGGGGATAGGGACTTTCCCTAGCTGTCTGAGGTCATTAGGGTAGGTAGATAGTGGCCCAGATGTGAGATCCCAATAAAGCAGGCCTTTGAGGTGTGAACTCTAGATTGTTGGCTTGTATTTGAAAAGCATTCTCATGGCAAGTGGTTTGCTATCTCTAGGAATTGTCAAGCCTGAGAGGGGCAGTCTCTCCAGGGTCAGCAAGGCTCCAAATGCCAAAGCATCAGAACACAAAAAACAAAAAATATGCTGAATACAGCAGGGAGTCTGGAGAAGGTAGCTTGGGCTTTTCAGCCTCTGACATGAGGGCACCATTGGCAGTCTCAGTGGATACTGAAGGTCAGGGGACCTGTTCGATGCAAGACCCTTTGCAAGGCTCAAGGTAAACACGACTCTCATGCTCAGACACAGCCAAGAAAGAGACAAGAGACAAAACAGCACACAATACTAATACAAGGCAAAGTGAGACAAGGGACACTCAAGTGACAGAGGTACCTACATGAATTACTGAAAGCAGTGAGCACACTCCGCTGGGGGGACCAGGAAGGCCATGGCAATCGCACTGAGCTAGATTTTGACAGATTGGTAAGATTTGAAAGAATGAGGACAACAGGAATTTCAGATGAAAAGAAGAGGTAGTGAGGGGTTAAGAGAGAGTGTGTTTAGGGAATGGGGCTAAGTGTCCTTTGACTCATAAGCTGGCATGAAAGAAGAACATAAACTCTAGGCTAGATCTAGAGTTTGAAAAAATCTTCTAACAACAACATCTGGAATTGACTGGAGTAGTCAATTCAGACACCTCTCCAATTAACCAATTGACAGGTCATGAGACCCAAACTATAAGAGTGGCAAGTGAAATGGAATTTATAAAGACAGGCTATTTTTTAAGTTGAAATAACAGATCTTGGTGGCCAGACTAGGAATTCTTCATAGACACGGATTAAGTCCTATGTATCTTATTAATGTCCCTGCTTTGCACAGTGCCTGGAGAAGAAGTGCAAGATATTGTAAAATAGGATCTACATGACTTGGTATGTTGAAGAAATGTTGACAGTGAGTCAAAAGGTTGTGAACCTTAATGGCAGAATGCTGTGCTCCTGACTGTGGCCACAGAGAAGCCACAGGGATGTCTGAATGAGAAGTGAGCCTGACTTGCTGAGATCAGGGGAGTAGCAACATTCATACTAAATCTGAGAAAGATCACAGGCAACAGTTTGGGAGCGAAATATGAAGCAAGAAACAGAGAGTAGAGGGAAGCTTTACAGTACAGCCTTGAAGTGAAGGAAGAGGAAAAACCAGGAGCAGACAGAGCCAAAAGAGGGCCTGGATCAAGCAGCATCCTGGAAACCAGAATCTGAAGGCCAAGAAAGACGTCCTGTACCATGTCACAAAAGGCTTAAGGGACCGTGGGGAAAAGCAATTGATTCTGTGCCTGGGAGGTGATTGGTGATGTCTGAGTGAGCACTTGCAATAAAGCAGTAATCCCCAACCTTGCGTTGCTCACTGTAATCTCCTGGAAATTTAAAAAGTTTCATGCCTCAAGTCCATCCCTAGAGATCCGTGTCTAACAAGCCTGGGCTAAGATCTGGACATCAGGATTTTTAAAGCTTCTCAGGAAATTCTAATGAGCTGCCCAGCTAAGGTTGAGAATCATAGCAGTAGAATATTGACAGAAGAAGCCAAATTACCCGAATTAAGAAGAATATATCTGGAAGGTGCCGGCCTTGTGCAAAGCAGTGTTCCTCAGACACGAGGGTGCATCAGAATCACCGCAGAGCTTGTCCACCACAAAGGGCTGGGCTTCAGCCTCACTCGCCCAGAACTTCTGATTGAGTAGGTCTGAGTGGGGACCCAGGAATATGCATTTCTAACAAATTCCTAAGTGATGCTGATGCTTCTGGTCTGGAAATCACACCATGAGACTCACTGGTATAGAGATTACTCTTTCAAAAACTTTAGTGGTGAGAAAATAAGAAAAACATTGTAGCCAGTGGATGAGAAGATTGACTCAAAAAATTTACCTCTGTAAAATAGCCCTAAAATCTGTTACTTGCTAGTTCAGCGGGCTGAGGCAAATCATTTCACCCAGTCCCGTTCGATGTTGCCTTACCTCACTATCACCTGGGAAACCTTAAACACATGCCCGTGTTCAGGCTTCACTCACAGAGATTCTGATTTTCTGACCTGAATTGGGATCCAGGGTTTTATTTATTTTTAATTTTTTATTTTTAGAGACACAGTCTTCCTATGTTGCCCAGGCTGGAATGCCATGGCTATTCACAGGTGCTATCATGGTGTACTGCAGCCTCACACTCTTGGGCTCAAGTGATCCTCCTGCCTCAGCCTCCCAAGTAGGTAGGACTTAGAGGCACATGTCACCATGCTTGGCTGTGTTAGACATTTTTTAAAGCTCATTAATTCAACTTACCAGTCTCACTTTTCTTGATGAATAATAAGAATCATATCACTGTGTGGTCAACTTTCTTATTTAAAAACTAAAGGTAAATTATACTTAATGGTGAAAGATTAAATACATGCTCCCAAAAGTGGGAACAAGACAAGGAAGTGTGCTGTCACCACTTTTGTTAACAGAATGCTTGACATTCTGGTCAGTGAGTAAGGCAAGAAAAGAAACTAAATAGCATATATATCAGAAAGAGAGAAATAAAATTGTTTCTATGTGCAGATGACATGACTGTCTCCATAGAAAATCCCAAGAAGTCTTTCTAAAACTATTAAAACTAATAAGTGAGTTCAGCTGGATTGCAGGACACAAAATCAACATTGAACATTAATTATATTTCTACATACTAGCAATGAACATATGGAAACCAAAAATTAAAAACACAGTACCATCTATATTCACCCAAAGAAAGTGAAATACGTAGGTGGTATAAATCTAACAAAACATATATAGATTCATATGCTAAAAATTACAAAATGCTAATAAAAAACAAATAAGACCTGAATAAATGAAAATATAAATTATGTTTACAAATTGTAAGACCCAACATCACAGAGATGTCCATTTTCCCCAAATTGATACACAGATCTAAAGCATTTTCTATGAAAATCTAAGCAAACTTTTGTAGATATTGACAAGATTATCCCACAATTTATATAGAAAAGCAAAAAACAAAAAACCTAGAATCCCTACAATTTTGAAAACGAAGAATAAAGTAGGGAAAATGAGTTCACCCAATTTCAAGAATTACTGTATAGCACTGATAATCAAGATTGTGTAGTATTTGTGAAAAGACAGACTAAGATCAATAAAACATAATAACAACAACCAAACGTAGGCCTAAACAAATGTGCCAATTTATTTTTGGAAATGGTACAAAAGTAAATCAGTGGGAGAAAGATTGTCTTTTTAACAAATGGTCCTGGAGGAGTTGGACATTTATAGACAAAAAGAAATAAATAACCTCAATACAAATCTCACACATTATACAGAACTTAACTCAAATTGGATCACGAACTGAAGTGTAAAATGTAAAACTATTATTTTCAGAAAAAAAATAGAAGAGACATCGTAGAAAATGGTGCAGTAGAGAGGACCAAGATTTAGTTTCCTCATTGCAGCGACCATTAAGTTGGCAAAAAAAAAAAAAAAAAAAAAAGAGAGAGAAAGAAAGAAACAACTTTTTCAGAACTTGGTAAATCTAATTTTAAAGAGCCAGGTGGGGCATGGTGGCTCACGCCTCCCTTTGGGAGGCTGAGGTGGGCAGAATACCTGAGGTCAGGAGTTCAAGACCATCCTAGCCAACATGGCGAAACCCCGTCTGTACTAAAAATACAAAAATTAGCCAGGCATGGTGGGTCTCACCTGTAATCCCAACTTGGGAGGCTGAGGCAGGAGAATTGCTTGAACCTGGCAGGCAGAGGTTGCAGTGAGCCAAGATCGCTCCATTGCACTCCAGCCTGGGCGACAGAGCAAGACTCCAAAAAAAAAAAAAAAAAAAAATCCAGAGAAGTCCGAAATAAATAGAAAAAGGTTGCTAAATTTTGGCATTTGGGGAAAACTCTGTTGGGTCACAAACTTGCTGCTAAAATAACCGGAAAGAGACCAGTGACTACAGATGACAAGGAATGCAATTTTTGCCAAAATAGTTTAGAAAGGTCATTAAACAAATGGACTATTGCAGCCCTCGACAAGAACCAACAGCAAATGATGGAGAGGGCAAAAATTTGATTTCCATACTTACCACGTGATAACATTCAAAATGTCCAGTTTTCAGCAATTACAAGACATAAAAAGAAACAGAAAAGTATGACTCGTGCGCAGGAAAAAAATCAAAAAGAAATGGACAGAAACCACTCCTGAGGAAGTCGAGACATTGGACTTATTAGACAAAGACTTTAAATCAACTGTCTTAAACATGCTCAAAGAACTAAAGGCAAATAACCACAGGAAACAGAGAATGATATGTGAACAAATAGATGATATTAATAAAGATAGAAATTATTAAAGGTAACCAAATAAAAAATGTTGTGCTAAAAAGCACAATAACTGAAATAAAAAATCTATAGAGAGGTTTAACAGCGGATTTGAGCAGACAGAAGATTCAATAAACTTAAAGATACAACAATTAAAATTATCCAGTCTGAGGAGCAGAAAGAAAAAAGAGTAAGAAAAGTGAACAGAGCCTGAAGTACCTGTGGGAAACCATCAAGTACACCAACATGCACATAATAAGAGTCCAAGGGGAGAAGAGAGAGGAAAACAGACAAAACGAATGTTTGAGGAAATAATGGCTCAAACCTTCCCAAATTTGATGAAAGATGTGAATCTATACAACCAAGGAGCTCAACAAGTTTCAGGTAAGATAAAGTCAAAAAGAAGCACACTGACACAAATTATAATTAAACTCTCTAGAGACTAAGTCAAAGAATCTTGAAAGCAGCAAGAGAAGAGTGATTCATTGCATAAAAGGGATGCTCAATAAGATTAACAGCCAATTTCTCATCAGAAACTATGAAGGCCAGAAGTCTGTATATGACAAATTTACAGTGCTGAAAGAAAGGAAAAACAAACCTGTCAAGCAGGAATTCTATCTCAGACAAAACTATTCTTCAAAAATGAAAGACAAATTGAGATTTCCAGATATAACCTGAAGAGGTTTATTATAGGAGAATTGTCTTACAAACAACATTTAAGAGACTCATTCAGGAAGAAATGAAATGACACTAGACACTTATGTGAATTCATATTAAAAAAAAAAACTAGTAAAGGTAACTACGTAGGTAAATATAAGGCCAATATTATTGGATTCTTTGTTTTTAACTTCTCTTTTAGTTTTCTATATGTAAAGATATAATGTATGACCACAAAAATACAAAGAGGGAGTGTATGGAGTTGTACAGAAGCAGTGTTTACTGCTACTGAAAATAAGTTAGTATCAATGCAAACTAGATTGCTGTAAATTTAGAATATTAACTGTAATTCCAAGAGTAACCATTAAAAAAAAAAAAACGTAAAATATACAGAACAAGGAATGAGGAGAGAATCAAAATGGTATACTACCAAAAGAATCAATCAAACACTAAATAAGGCCATAATGGAGCAATTGAGGAACATAAAAGATATGACATACAGAAAACAAATAGCAAAATGGCAGAATTAAATGATTCCTTTTCTGTAATCATTTTAAATATAAATAGTTTAGACTCTGCAATTTAAAGACATTGATGGAATGGACAATAAATATGATCCACCTCTAAGCTGTCACTGTAGATCCAAAGACATAAAGAAGTTGAAAGTAAAAGGATGGGAAAAAGTCTTTTTCCATGCAAATAGTACTATTTCTTTTTACTATGAAAATAGTAACCAAAATGAAGTTTGAATGGCTGTGCTAATATCAGACAAAGTAGACTTTTAGTCAAATATTGTTACAAAAGATAAAGAAGAACATTATATATGGATAATTATAAACTTACATACATCAAACAGCAGAACCCCAAAATATATGAAGCAAACATTAGCAGAATTGCTGGGAGAAGCAAACAGTTTTAAAGTAATAGTTGGAGACTTCAATACCTCACTTTCAATAAATGGATAAAACATTGAACCAGAAGGTCAATAAGGAAACAGAAAACTTGAACAATATTATAAAACAACTAGACCTAACAGACTGCTATAGAGCACCACACACCAAGAGCAGAATAAACATTCTTTTCAAATGCACATGAAACATTCCCCTGAACAGCCCATATGTTAGGCCACAAAACAAGTCTCAATAAGTTTTAAAAGACTAAAATCATACAAAGCATGTTCTCCAGCCACAATGGAATAATAAGAGAAGGAAGAACTGGAAAAATCAAAAAAGGAAAGAAATTAAACAACACACTCCTAATCAACAAGTCAAAGAAGAATTCACAGGGAAATTAAGAATATACTTAGAGATGAGTGAAAATAAAACACAAAATCCTAAACTTACGGGATGCCGCAAAAGCAGTGCTCAGAGGGAAGTTCATTGCTATAAACACCTACATCAAAAAGAAGAAAGATCTTGGATCAACAACCTAACTTTATTCTGTAAAAGGAGAATAAATCTTGGGGCCCTCAAATCACTAAGCTAAAGGGAAAACTTAAGCTAGGAACAACTAGGGCAAACCAGCCTCCCATTGTATTGAATGTCATCCCTGTGCTCACCAAGATAAATGCATATCTGACTGCCTCCTTTAAAAAGGCTAATCAGAAAGCTAAAAAAATACGACATGTCTCTTATCTACCTGTGACCTAGAAGCTCCCTCCCCACTTTGAGCTGTCCCGCCTTTGCTTCAAGTTGTCCCGCCTTTCCAGACCAAACCAAAGTTCAACTTACATATATTGATTGCTGTCTCATATCTCCCTAAAATGTGTAAAACCAAGCTGCACTTGGACCACCTACGGCACATGTTATCAAGACTTTTGAGGCTGTGTCACGGGTACACATCCTTAACTTTGGCAAAATAAGTTTCCTAAATTAACTGAGACCTTTCTCAGATATTTGGGGGTCATGATATCTTCAGAAACTAGAGGGAAAAAGAGTAAATTAAATGTGGAGCCAACAGAAAGAAGGAAATGACAAAGATTAGAGACACAGTAAATGGAATAAGTACAGAAAAACATCTCACATGCAGAGAAACACATAGGCTCAAAATAAAGCGATGGAGGAAGATCTACCAAGCAAATGGAAAACACAAAAAGACAGGGGTTGCAATCCTAGTCTCTGATAAAACAGTCTTTAAACCAACAAAGATCAAAAGAGACAAAGAAGGCCATTACATAATGGCAAAGGGATCAATCAATTCAACAAGAAGAACTAACTATCCTAAATATACAGGCACCCAATACAGGAGCACCTAGATTCATAAAGCAAGTCCTTAGTGACCTACAAAGAGACTTAGACTCCCACGACTCCCACACAATAATAATGGGAGACTTTAACACACCACTGTCAACATTAGACAGATCAACGAGACAGAAAGTTAACAAGGATATCCAGGAATTGAACTCAGCTCTGCACCAAGCGGACCTAATAGACATCTACAGAACTCTCCACCCCAAATCAACAGAATATACATTCTTCTCAGCACCACACCACACCTATTGCAAAATTGACCACATAGTTGGAAGTAAAGCACTCCTCAGCAAATGTAAAAGAACAGAAATTATAACAAACTGTCTCTCAGACCACAGTGCAATCAAACTAGAATCAGGATTAAGAAACTCACTCAAAACCGCTCAACTACATGGAAACTGAACAACCTGCTCCTGAATGACTACTGGGTACGTAATGAAATGCAGGCAGAAATAAAGATGTTCTTTGAAACCAACCAGAACAAAGACACAACATACCAGAATCTCTGGGTCACATTCAAAGCAGTGTGTAGAGGGAAATTTATGGCACTAAATGCCCACAAGAGAAAGCAGGAAAGATCTAAAATTGATACCCTAACATCACAATTAAAAGAACTAGAGAAGCAAGAGCAAACACATTCAAAAGCTAACAGAAGGCAAGAAATAACAAAGATCAGAGCAGAACTGAAGGAATAGAGACACAAAAAACCCTTCAAAAAATCAATGAATCCAGGAGCTGGTTTTTTGAAAAGATCAACAAAATTGATAGACTGCTAGAAAGACTAATAAAGAGAAGAATCAAATAGATGCAATAAAAAATGACAAACGGGATATCACCACTGATCTCACAGAAATACAAATTACCATCAGAGAATACTATAAACACCTCTATGCAAATAAACTAGAAAATCTAGAAGAAATGGATAAATTCCTGGACACATACAGCCTCCCAAGACTAAACCAGGAAGAAGTTGAATCCCTGAATAGACCAATAACAGGTTTCTGAAATTAAGGCAATGATTAATATCCTACCAACCAAAAAAGTCTAGGACCAGACAGATTCACAGCTGAATTCTACCAGAGGTACAAAGAGGAGTGGGTACCATTCCTTCTGAAACTATTCCAGTCAATAGAAAAAGAGGGAATCCTCCCTAACTCATTTTATGAGGCCAGCATCATCCTGATACCAAAGCCTGGCAGAGACACAACAAAATAAGAGAATTTTAGACCAATATCCTTGATGAACATTGATGCAAAAATCCTCAATAAAATACTGGCAAACAGAATCCAGCAACACATCAAAAATCTTATCCACCATGATCAAGTGGGCTTCATCCCTGGGATGCAAGGCTGGTTCAACATATGCAAATCAATAAACGTAATCCAGCATATAAACAGAACCAAAGACAAAAACCACATGATTATCTCAACAGATACAGGAAAGGCCTTTGACAAAATTCAACAACCCTTCATGCTAAAAACTCTCAATAAATTAGGTATTGATGGGACATATCTCAAAATAATAAGAGCTATCTATGACAAACCCACAACCAATATCATACTGAATGGACAAAAACTGGAAGCATTCCCTTTGAAAACTGGCACAAGACAGGGATGCCCTCTCTCACCACTCCTATTCAACATGGTGTTGGAAGTTCTGGCCAAGGCAGTCAGGCAGGATAAGAAAATAAAGGGCATTCAATTAGGAAAAGAGGAAGTCACATTGTCCCTGTTTGCAGATGACATGATTGTATATTTAGAAAACCCCATTATCTCAGCCCAAAACCTCCTTAAGCTGATAAGCAACTTCAGCAAAGTCTCAGGATACAAAATCAATGTGCAAAAATCACAAGCATTCTTATACACCAATAACAGAGAAACAGAGAGCCAAATCATGAGTGAACTCCCATTCACAATTGCTTCAAAGAGAATATAAAATACCTAGGAATCCAACTTACAAGGGATGTGAAGGACCTCTTCAAGGAGAACTACAAACCACTGCTCAATGAAATAAAAGAAGATACAAACAAATGGAAGAACATTCCATGCTCATGGGTAGGAAGAATCAATATTGTGAAAATGGCCATACTGCCCAAGGTAATTTATAGATTCAATGCCATCCCCATCAAGCTACCAATGACTTTCTTCACAGAATTGGAAAAAACTACTTTAAAGTTCACATGGAACCAAAAAAGAGCCCACATTGCCAAGTCAATCCTAAGCCCAAAGAACAAAGCTGGAGGCATCACGCTACCTGACTTCAAACTATACTACAAGGCTGCAGTAACCAAAACAGCATGGTACTGGTACCAAAACAGAGATATAAACCAATGGAACAGAACAGAGCCCTCAGAAATAATGCCACACATCTACAACTATCTGATCTTTGACAAACCTGACAAAAACAAGCAATGGGGAAAGGATTCCCTATTTAATAAATGGTGCTGGGAAAACTGGCTAGCCATATGTAGAAAGCTGAAACTGGATCCCTTCCTTACACCTTATACAAAAATTAATTCAAGATGGATTAAAGACTTACATGTTAGACCTAAAACCACAAAAACCCTAGAAGAAAACCTAGGCAATACCATTCAGGACATAGGCATGGGCAAGGACTTCATGTCTAAAACACCAAAAGCAATGGCAACAAAAGACAAAAGTGACAAATGGGATGTAATTGAACTAAAGAACTTCTGCACAGCAAAAGAAACCACCATCGGAGTGAACAGGCAACCTACAGAATGGGAGAACATTTTTGCAACCTACTCATCTGACAAAGGGCTAATATCCAGAATCTACAATGAACTCAAACAAATTTACAAGAAAAAATCAAACAACCCCATCAAAAAGTGGGCGAAGGACATGAACAGACACTTCTGAAAAGAAGACATTTATGCAGCCAAAAAACACATGAAAAAATGCTCATCATCAATGGCCATCAGAGAAATGCAAATCAAAACCACAATGAGATACCATCTCACGCTAGTTAGAATGGTGATTATTAAAAAGTCAGGAAACAACAGGTGCTGGAGAGGATGTGGAGAAACAGGAACACTTTTACACTGTTGGTGGGACTGTAAACTAGTTCAACCATTGTGGAAGTCAGTGTGGCAATTCCTCAGGGATCTAGAACTAGAAATACCATTTGACTCAGCCATCCCATTACTGGGTATATACCCAAAGGATTATAAATCATGCTGCTATAAAGACACATGCACATGTATGTTTATTGTGGCACTATTCACAATAGCAAAGACTTGGAACCAACCCAGATGTCCAACAATGATAGACTGGATTAAGAAAATGTGGCACATATACACCATGGAATACTATGCAGTCATAAAAAAGGATGAGTTCATGTTCTTTGTAGGGACATGGATGAAGCTGGAAACCATCATTCTCAGCAAACTATCGCAAGGACAAAAAACCAAACACCGCATGTTCTCACTCATAGGTGGGAATTGAACAATGAGAACACATGGACACAGGAAGGGGAACATCACACACTGGGGACTGTTGTGGGGTGGGGGGAGGGGGGAGGGATAGCATTAGGACATATACCTAATGCTAAATGACTAGTTAATGGGTGCAGCACACCAACATGGCACATGTATACATATGTAAGAAACCTGCACATTGTGCACATGTACCCTAAAACTTAAAGTATAATAATAAAGAAAAACAACACAAAGAATCAATGAAACCAAAAGTTGGTTCCTAAAGATCAACAAAATTGACAAATTTTAATGAGACTAATTTAAAAAAAAAGAAAGAAGACACAGATAATTAAAATCAGAAATGAAAATGGGGACATTACTACAAATATTACAGAAATAAAAAGAATTATAAGAGAATACTGTGAACAATGCTACACCAACAAATTGGATAACCTTGATAAAAGAGCCATATTCCTAGAAACACACAAATTGCCAAAAGTGACTCAAGAAGAAACAGAAGATCTCAGCAAACCAATAACAAGTAAAGATATTGAGTCAGTCAAAAACCCTTCTGACAAAGAAAACTGCAGGACCAGATGGCTTCTTGTGAATTCTACCAAATCTTTCAAGAAGAATTGAAATTAATTCATCTCAAACTCTTCCAGAAAATAGAAGGGAGAACACTTCCTAGCTGACTCTATGGTATGAATATTAACCTTACATCAAAGGCAGGCAAACAGACCACATGAAAAGAAAACTGAGACCTATACCCCTTATGAATATAGATGCAACAATCCACAACAAAATATGAGCAAACTAAATCCAGCAGCGTATTAAAAGGATTATGCAATATGACTAAGTGAGATTTATCCCCAGAAAGCAAACATGGTTCAGCATACTAAAATAAAGCAATGTAATACCACCACATTAATAGAATGAAGGGGTTTAAAAAAACACACATGACCATCTCAAATGACACAGAAGAGGCATTTGACAAAGTCAACAGCCTTTCATAGGAAAAGCACTCAGAAAACTGGAAATATAGAAGATCTTTCTCACCATGATAAAGGGCATTTATGAAAACTAACAGTTAACATTCTACTCCAAAAAAATTAATTCCATTTACTTTATACAGTATCAAAAATAAAATAAAATACCTAGGAATGAATTTAACCAAGGAGGTGCAAGGCTTATACACTGAAAACTATAAAACACTGATAAAAGAAATTTTAAAAGACCTAAGTAAATGGAAAGACATTTTGTGTTTATGAATTGAGATAATAAATATTATTAGATTGACAATACTCTTCCACAAAACAATCCCCTACAGAGTTAATGCAATCCTCACCAAAATCCTAATAGTTCATTTTGCAGAAATGGAAAAGCTGATCTTTAAATTTATGTAAGTGTGTAAGAAACCCTAAGTAGCCAAAAGAACCTTGAAAAAATAACGCAGTTGAAGTTTTCACACTTCACATTTTCAAAACTTACTATAAATCTACAGTAATCAAGACAATGTGGTACTAGTATAGACATAGATATATAGAGCAATGGAGTAGAATTGACAGCCCAGAAACCATACTCTATGGTCAGTTGATTTTCAATAAAAGTGCCAACACCATTCAATGGAGAAAAAATAGACTTTTCCAACAAATGGTACTAGGACAACTGGATATATCCACATGCAAAAGAATGAAGTTGGACCCTTATGTCACATGATACATACAAAGTGACTCAAAAAGTACCAAAGATCTAAATATAAAGTAAAACCATAAAACTCTTAGAAGAAAGCATTAGGCAAATCATGACCTTGAATTTATCAACGGTTTTTTTAGACATGACATCAAAAGCACAAGAAACAAAAGTAAAAACAGATAAATTGGACTTCACTAAAATTAAAAACTGTTTTGCTCCAAAGGACACTTTCAAGAAAGTGAAAAGACAACCCACAGAATGAAAGAAAATATTTGCAAATCACATGTCTGATAAGGACCTAGTATAGAATATATAAAGAACTCTCACAAAAACAAAATAACAAACAATCCAATTTAAAAATGGCAAATACTTGAATAGTCATTTCTCTGGAAAAGTTATAAAAATGGCCAATAAGTACGTGAATTGAAAGCAGGTATTCAAGCAAATACTTGTACACAAATGTTCATAGCAGCACTATTCACAATAGCCAAATGCAGAAACAACCCAAATGTCCATCAATTGATAAATGGAGAAAGAAAATGTGGAACACCAACATGGCACATGTATACATATGTAACAAACCTGCACGTTGTGCACATGTACCCTAGAACTTAAAGTATAATAATAAAAAAAAGAAAATGTGGTACACCCATACAATAAAATGGTGGTCATAAAAAGGAATTAAGTATGACACATACATCAATATGGATAAACCTTGAAAACATTATGCTAGGTGAAATAAACCAGACACAAAGGCCACATATGATATTGTTCCAATTATATCATATGGCTATATATAAGTATCCAGAGCTGGCAAATCCATAGAGACAGATAAAAGATTAGTGGTTGCCAGAGGCTGGGGGAAATGGCAGTGGAGCGTGACTGTTTAATGGGCATTGGGTTTCCTTTTGGGGCAATGAAAATGTTTTGGAACTGGATAATGGTGACTGTTGCAAAACATTGTGAATGTACTAAATGTCACTGATTGTAAATTTTATACTATATGTATTTTAATTGCACCCTAACAACCCACCCCCCGCCCCCAATAAAATAAGAGACAGCTTCAGGATATAGGCCTAGGAAAAGAGTTCCTAGATGTGACACCAATAGCTTAATTTATAAAAGGAAAAAGTCATAAATTGGACTTCATCCCAATGTAAAACATTTGCCCTGTGAAAGACCCTTTTAAGAGGATGAAAAGACATGCAAACCATATACCTGACAAAGGACTAGTATCTAGAATATACAGAGAACTCTTAAAACTCAAATTGTTTTTAAAAATCCAATTAGAAAATCAGTAAAAGACATGAAGACATCTCCTGGAGAGGCTATACAGATGGCAAATAAGCACATGAAAAATGTTCACCACCACTAGCCATTAAGGAAATGCAAATTAAAACCATGATGAGATACCACTTACCCACCTATTATTAAAGTGGCTAAATTCAAAAACAGTGACAATACGAAACGCTGATGAGGATGTGGAGAAACCGGGTCACTCACACATTGCTGATGGGAATGTAAAATGGTGCAGCTACTCTGGGAGCCAGTTTGGAAGTTTCTTTAAAAAACTAAACAGGCAACAACCATTTGATCCAGCTATCAATTGCACTCTCCTAGACAATTATCCCTGAGAAATGAAAACTTATGTTCATACAAAAGTCTTTGCATGAATGTTTATAGCAGTTTTATTCAAAATAGCTCCAAACTGGAAACATTCCAGATATCTTTCAATGAGTAAACAGTTAAAGAAACAAAACTATTGATACAGGCAACAACCTTTATGAATCTACAGAGGATGATGCTGAGTTTAAAAAAAAAAAGCCAGTCCCGAAAGGCGACTTATTATATGACTCCATGAAATGCAAAATAAAAGGAATGGAGAACAGATTAAAGATTACCACAGGTTAAGGAAGGAGAATGGAAGGAGGTGGGTGTGGCTACCTAAGGAGGGATCCTTCAATGGTGGAAATGTTCTTGACTATATCAACATCAATCTCCTGGTTTTAATATTGTACTAGAATTTTACAAGGTGTTATCCTTGGGGAAAACTGGGTAAATTGTACACATAATCTCTCTGTATTCTTACAATTGCACATGAATCCACAATTGCTTGGGAAAGAAGTTTAATTAAAAAAAAAAAAATCCTTCAGCAGCCTGGGCCATTGAATTCTGACCTCCTTGGTTGCTTTCTAGCTTTCTCCACCTGAGTCCTCTTGCACCACTTCTCATGCCCATAAAAACCACAGGATTATTAAAAGTCACCTAATTCAGACGTTTTTCAAACTTTGCACAGTTAAGTCCTAAGGATTTTCAAAGGTGCTTGAGGTTCAGGCAGCATAGGGGGCTGGGGAAGAAGGTGCACTGTTATATTCTGTTAATACAGAGCAAGTCCACTCTTGTCTGTGATAAATACTGGGATTCCACTCAGTCAGGCTTTACTGCACTATAACCTTTGAAAGTTGCTCATTCCATAAAATCTGATATTTATTTTGATTTTAGAACGTCTTTGACATGTTGCTATCCCTGATTTTCCTGATCCCAACCAAGTAATTGTGAAAGTTAAATTCAAATCCTGTCACCTTGGGTAAGTCACATCAGCTTGCTAAGACCCATTTCCTAATGTCTAAAAAGAACATCAGAATCATATGCTCACAATACAGCTGCTCTGAGCTTTAAGTGAGATAAGGTATATAAAGCATTTCACACACTGCCTCCCACAAAGTAGGACTCACTGTGTACTAGCTAATTTCAGAAATACTACCTCTCAGCACCACTTTATTCTACACAACTCTAGTAGAAATTTCCTTCTTTACATAGGGCCAAAAATCTATTACCTGACAATACTGACGAGTTCAACCTTCCCTAATTTCTTTCGTCCCCTTTTGTATGACCCAGTTTTAAATGCTGCTCTCGCATCACTCAGTGTTCTCTGGTTTCCAGCGTTTCTCACAAATCACGATGCCCAAGCCTGAGCACAGTGCTCCCAATGTTACCATGCCAGTCTACAGGATGCCAGTTCCCTCTCCTTCTGCATCCGCATGCTCTACTGCACTCGTGTAACTCACATGGCACTGTCATTGACAGCCACGCGCCACTTGCTGATTCATGGCAGGAATGCTCTTCTTGAAAGTCCCTGAGCCTGTTTCCCACATCTCACTGTCAAGACACATCAGCCCACGTCTATAATCCTAGCACTTTGGGATGCCAATGGGGGGTCGATTACCTGAGGGCAGGAGCTCAAGACCAGCCTGGCCAAGATGGTGAAACCCCATCTCTACTGAAAATACAAAAAAACTAGCCAGGAGTGTTGGCAGGCAACTGTAATCCCAGCTACTCGGGAGGCTGAGGCAGGAGAATCGCTTGAACCCAGGAGATGGAGGTTGCAAGTGAGCCGAGATCGCGCCATTGCACTCCAGTCTGGGCAACAAGAGCAAAACTTTGTCTCAAAAAAAAAGACACATCAGCCCAGTTATTTAAGTTGCTGGGAATTCTTGGACTATGAGTCTCAGGTGAGGGCCACAGTTGAATGTAGAAAACAAAGTCCACTCCACACACTTACCTCTCCAGCCTCATCTTACATGTCCCCCAGTCCACCTCACCTCTTAGGAAGCTTGCATTATTTGTTCCTCACACAAATAGGGCTGTTTCTTGACTCCAGGCCCTTACACAATAATGCGCTCTCAGGCAACAAGAGTCCTCACACCCTCTCTCCTCTCCTCTTGGCTGGTGAATCTCTGCTCATGCATTAAGGTTCAGGTCTGGGATCATGCTTTAAAAAGCCTTCCCTGAGCCCTAGTCTAGGTTAGGGGTCCCATTTCTGTTCTCCCGTTGTAGGTATTCTTACTGTAGGTATCTTTGAGGGCCCTGATAAATGACATTCCTTTCCCTAACAGATACTGAACCCATTGAAAATAAGGCCAAAAATCATCTTTATTACTAATGAAGCTGTTGTTGGAGGCTTTGAGCAAGAAGTTTCACAATTCCAAACTCCAGAACTTGGCGGGCTCATCCCCAGTCACGGCTGTGATAAGCCAACTCCTCCCAACACGGGCAACTTCCCTGCACCCAGCTTCCTCCAGTTAATTGGAAAGGAAGGACCTGAGATCCACATGGCAAGTTTCTCCTCCCAAATTCACTGTTAGCTAAATCACTCCCTCTCTCCTGGGTGAAGTGAGTGAAGGGCCCAAGAGAGGCCAGGTGACTTATCACTTGGAAGAAGTACCTTGCTTGTTTTCCTCTTAGAAAAACTAGTGTAAATTTTCATCTAAAGCTGACTCTTCTCAATGGACTGTAAGCTACTGAAAGACAGTGTCCATTGTCTATGCAGGCTACACACAGGGAAGTTGCCCAATAAGGGTTTACCGAGCTAAACAGGGCGGGATTCCCTCCCACTGAGATTTGTCTCCATACCCTCTGCTCACTGATACAGATCAGGGATTCTCCAGGTGAGCCTACCCCATCCTCAAGGAGAGAAGGCTTGCCACCTAAGAGATCCCTTCTTGGAAGGGCTTGTGTCCACTTTGAAAAGGGTAACAAAGTAAATAGATATTTATATGTGATGGTGACAGTTAAATTATCTGGTGATAAATAATGTGAATCATCATTGTAGGGCAGGCAAATAACGTTGAGGTAGGATTCTACATGCATGACAATTCCAATGGTCATTGAGGTCCTACTCCCTGCTTAATCCAGTTTGTCAAAAAATAAAGCCACACTGAAATGCAACCTCTGTACATGTGTTCATTGTGTTCTAGATCAATGGCAAAAATGAGATTGCCTTGGCTGGGTGTGGTGACTCACGCCTGTAATCCCAGCACCTTGGGAGGCCAAGGCAGGCAGATCATTTGAGGTCAGGAGTTCGAGACCAGCCTGGCCAACATGCTGAAACACGATTTCTACTAAAAATACAAAAATTAGTAGGCGTGGTGGCGGGCGCCTGTAATCCCAGCTACTCGGGAGGCTGAGGCAGGAAAATGGCTTAAACCTGGGAGATGGAGGTTGCGGTGAGCCAAGATTGCACCACTACACAACAGCCTGGGTGACAGAGTGATACTCTGTCTCAAAAGAATAAAAATGAGATTGCCTCTTAAAGTTGGAATATGATCACAAAATATCCACATGAGAGATAGAACAGAGTAGAGAATAAGCTTTAAGTTAAAAATCATATATACTGTAAAAGGGAAGATAAAGTGTTTTCGGAAAGGGGAAATAGTCATTTTCAGCAAATTAGATTGTAAAATTAGTACAGAAACTTAAAAATCACAAACTGATTTCAACATTTAATGACAATTCAAACATTTCCTTTGTAATACTCTGCATTAAAGGATGAAAGTATATTGACGACAACACTATCTTGGGCCAAGACCATATCTGAAGTCCATACATATGAAAGTGTCTAGACCATCTCTCCTTCCAATGCTCAAGATTTCAGATGTCAAGTGTCCCTCTTTTTCATCTGTTTACCATCTTCTAAGTCTCCAGAGGGAAAGTTAGGAGCTGCTGTGGTTTGAATGTATGTGTTTCCTCCAAAATGCATGTGTTAGAACCTAAACTCTAAGGTAACAGTATTAAGAGTTGTTAGTATTAAGTAACTAATAGTATCAAGAGGTGGAGACTTTAGGAAGTGATTAAGCCCTGAGGGTAGCACCCTCACAAATGAGATTAGCACCCTTATGAAAAGGTTCAACTAACGAGGCCCCTTTTGCCCTTCCATCTCTGCTGCTGTGTGAGGACACAGTGTTCCGGCAACAAGGCTCCATCCTGGAAGCAGAGACCAAGCCCTCACCAGACTCCAATGCCAGTGCCTGGTCTTGGACTTCTAGCCTCCAGAGCTGTGAGAAATCAATCTCTCTTCTCCATAAATGACTCCATCTCTGGTATTCTGTAATAGCAGCATTAATGGACTAAGATAGGAACCAATGTAGGAACATAAGCTCCGGGCCTAGCCTTTGAGGTGCTGAGAGGGAAAAAGGCATGCAGAGGAGGGGCCGTGGTGCCTGTGGTCAGAGGAAAATAAGTAGACTTTAAGTACTCACTCAGAAATGTGATGGTTTCAGGTTTCACATTCAGGTCAATAATTTAGCTTGAGTTTACTTTTTAAAAAATGAATATCCAATTGCTCCAGCAATATTTGTTAAAAAGATTGTCATGTCTCCACTGAATTGCCTTTGCACTTTGACAAATAATTGCCATATCTGTGTGGGTCTGTCTCTGGACTCTCCCTAAGAATAGAGATTTTTAAATCTCTATTGCATTGATTTCTATACTTATTCTTATGCCAATACCTTCCTGATCAATTGCTGTATCTTTAAAATAAGTCCCTACATCAGGTACTGTAAGTCTCCAACTTTGTTCTTCCTTCCCAAAATTGTTTTGGCTGCTCTAGGTCCTTTGCATTTCCTTATAAATTTTAGCATCAGGTAGTCATGAGTTCACTCTAACTTTTTCCTAACTTAATATATTTTGTTTCCCAAACCCTGCCTTTCATATAGCATGTGTGTCATTGATTGCTAAGACTTTAACATGAGTTTCATTGATAGCTAAGGCTTTGGCATGAGGAATATCAAGGAACTTTTGAGTCCATGGTACTATGCAAAAGGCTGTGTAAGTACCATATTAATCTTTTTGATAACGTGTATTCAAAATCCAACTAACCTAGCATTTATTATCTCTTCCATGCCAGGTATTTTGCATGTATGATCTACTTCAACCCTCAGAACAGTCATAAGCAGCTATCATGGTGGCACTGCTTATCAAAGGTGATGCCACAAACCCACCAGCAGTAAGTCTGTGTCTTGCAAAGCTGGACCCAACAACTCAGGCTAGGGGATTCCGAAGGTGGAAATGAACCTGTACAGAGGCAGTGGACAGCTTTCAGCCATCATCCCCCTGCTCTTCTGCCTGTCCTCTGGCTGCTGCAGACAGGTTGGCCTTCATCAGGATGGTGCCCGTGACCCTGGCCACACAGGCAGCATATCTCACCTTGTGTCCCTGAACCTCTCATAATCATAATTATCTAGGAAGCTTCTGGAAAAATAAAATTAAAAAAAAAAAAAACGGATTCCTGGGCCTCAGACCAAATCTATTAAGTGTGAATTTCTGAGGATGGAATACCCAATCATAATCTAACTCCGGTACTGAAGGGGAAATATTGCTATAAGGGATATTAAGTCAAACTAAAAAACTTAGATACGGACAGTAAATCAGATAAAAGTAAATACAGACTTATTTAGTTGATCATTGTACTGTGGTTACGTAAGAGAACAGTTCTATTCTTAGGAAATACACATTGTAATATTTAGGGCTAAAAGGTCACCATTAAATGGTTTAGGAAAAAAAAATTCGTGTGGAGGGAAGGAGAGAGAGAAGAGACAGAATGTGCAAATAATAATTAAGCAAATGGAGTAAAATATTTTTAAAAGGTGAATCTATGTATAAAGGTTCTTTGTACTGTTTTTGTTTTTTGCAAACTTGAAATTATTTCCAAACAATTTTTTAAATTAATTTCATGTTAATTTTTAACACCCCTTTGCATCAGTCAAGCTCTTCACTCTGAATAAACTCAGAATCCCTGGGAAATGTTCTCCATCCTAAAGGAATTAAACGGAACCACAAGTTCCTGTGCAATACACTTGTATAAATAGAACAGTGTGAGGTTACTAAGCAACTCAAGGCACCTTGCACTCACTCTATTTAAAGGCTAAGTCAGGTTTTCCTTTTTAAAACCTATTTAAATAGAAACCCAACTGTTTTGTGCACTTCGACTCTTTTTTCTTATTTCCAAATCCTCCAGAATCCTTCCCGAGGGCTGATTTGCAGATACACATCTCATAAAAACCACCAATATTTACTAAGCGACTACTGCGTGTAGGATCGTGCGAGGCCTGGAAATACGAGGCCTCTCAACAGTCCGGCGTGCACACTCTGTGAGGAGACCTGCTCGGAGGGCCTGCCCGCCCGCCTGGACAGTCAGGCCTGGAGGACAGGGACAGGCGTGCAGACACACACACGCACACACACACACCATCGGAGAGTAAACTTGTGCAAGGCTCAGAGGATCAGCACTCTCCTTCATTTACTAGAAAATCCTGGAAGGGCCTTGGCAGCTCAGGAAGGAGCCCAGCAGAGAGCACCGCAGGGGGGGCCCGGAGAAGCGGCCAAGGACCAGCGCTCCCTGCGCATGCGCCAGGCTCTGAGCTAACTCCTCCTGCCTGGCCGTCACCAGCCCTGTCTTATTGGAACACGTTGTGGGGACCAGGTCTCAAAGCTGATGGGCGGGGGAGCTGGAATTTCAGCTTCTCTCTATCTGACCTCGACAGTCATGGCTTGGTTTTCTCTTATTTTTATTTTAAGAATTACCCTAAATATGTCACCATGAATATTTAACATAAAACTCAAAAGTTAAGCAACATTTATTTCCTCCTTCCAAGCAAAGTGAGGACCTTAGAACACAAAGTCAGAACACAATTCTTGAAAACTGATCTATGATTGTCTGAATTTTTTTTTTTTTTTTTTTGACAGAATCTTGCTTCCTTGCCAAAGCTGGAGTGCAGTGGTGCAATCTCGGCTCACTGCAACCTCCGCCTCCCAGGTTCAAGAGACTTTCATGCCTCAGCCTCCCGAGTAGCTGGGATTACAGGTGCACACCACCATGCCCAGCTAATCTTTGTATTTTCAGTAGAAATGGGGTTTCACCATGTTGGCCAGGCTGGTCTCGAACTCCTGACTTCAAGTGATCCTCCTGCCGCGGCCTCGCAAAGTGTTGGGATTACAGGCATGAGCCACCACACCTGGCCTCCACATAAATTTTTAAATCAGCTTGTCAGTTTCTTTTAAAAAAATGCATTTCTACCGAGATTGTATTGAATCTATGGATTAATTGGGGAGAATTGACATCTTAAACATACTGCATCTTCCAATCCATGATCATGATATAATATCTCTCTTCATTTATTTCATCTTCTTTAATTTCTCTCAGCAATGTTTTATGGTTTTCAATGTACAGGTTTTGCATCTATTTTGTTGAATTTTGTTGAGTATTTCATCTTTTTACACTCTTACATTTCAATTTCTAATTAGCAGAAATAAATGCATTTGATTTGTTTTTGTTTTATTATACTTTAAGTTCTAGGGTACATGTGCACAACGTGAGGTTTGTTACATATGTATACATGTGCCATGTTGGTGTGCTGCACCCGTTAACTTGTCATTTACCTTAGGTATATCTCCTAATGCTATCCCTCCCCCCTCCCCCGACCCCACAAGAGGCCCCAGTGTGTGATGTTCCCCACCCTGTGTCCAAGTGTTCTCATTGTTCAATTCCCACCTATGAGTGAGAACATGCGATGTTTGGTTTTCTGACCTTGCGATAGTTTGCTGAGAATGATGGTTTCCAGCTTCATGCATGTCCCTACAAAGGACATGAACTCATCATTTTTTATGGCTGCATGGTATTCCATGGTGTATATGTGCCACATTTTCTTAATCCAGTCTATCATTGTTGGACATCTGGGTTGGTTCCAAGTCTTTGCTATTGTGAATAGTGCCGCAATAAACATACATGTGCATGTGTCTTTATAGCAGCTTGATTTATAATCCACTGGGTATGTACCCAGTAATGGGATGGCTGGGTCAAACGGTATTTCTAGTTCTAGATCTTGAAGGAATCACCACACTGTCTTCCACAATGGTTGAACTAGTTTACAGTCCCACCAACAGTGTAAAAGTGTTCCTATTTCTCCACATCCTCTCCAGCACCTGTTGTTTCCTGACTTTTTAATGATCGCCATTCTAACTGGTCTGAGATGGTATCTCATTGTGGTTTTGATTTGCATTTCTCTGATGGCCAGTGATGATAAGCATTTTTTCATATGTCTGTTGGCTGCATAAATGTCTTCTTTTCAGAAGTGTCTGTTCATATGCTTGGCCTACTTTTTGATGGGGTTGTTTGACTTTTTCTTGTAAATTTGTTTAAGTTCTTTTTTTTTATTATTTTTTTTTATTTTTTGGTAACTTTAATATATGATTTGACAAATATTCAGAAATTATTAGAAACATCTTTTTTTAAATTTTTTTTTAAATTATACTTTAAGTTTTAGGGTACATGTGCACATTGTGCAGGTTAGTTACATATGTATACATGTGCCATGCTGGTGCGCTGCACCCAGTAACTCGTCATCTAGCATTAGGTATATCTCCCAATGCTATCCCTCCCCCCTCCCCCCACCCCACAGCAGTCCCCAGAGTGTGATGTTCCCCTTCCTGTGTCCATGTGATCTCATTGTTCAATTCCCACCTATCAGTGAGAATATGCAGTGTTTGGTTTTTTGTTCTTGTGATAGTTTACTGAGAATGATGGTTTCCAATTTCATCCATGTCCCTACAAAGGACATGAACTCATCCTTTTTTATGGCTGCATAGTATTCCATGGTGTATATGTGCCACATTTTCTTAATCCAGTCTATCATTGTTGGACATTTGGGTTGGTTCCAAGTCTTTGCTATTGTGAATAGTGCCGCAATAAACATATGTGTGCGTGTGTCTTTATAGCAGCATGATTTATAGTCCTTTGGGTATATACCCAGTAATGGGATGGCTGGGTCAAATGGTATTTCTAGTTCTAGATCCCTGAGGAATCGCCACACTGACCTCCACAATGGTTGAACTAGTTTACAGTCCCACCAACAGTGTAAAAGTGTTCCTATTTCTCCACATCCTCTCCAGCACCTGTTGTTTCCTGACTTTTTAATGATTTCCATTCTAACTGGTGTGAGATGGTATCTCATTGTGGTTTTGATTTGCATTTCTCTGATGGCCAGTGATGATGAGCATTTTTTCATGTGTTTTTTGGCTGCATAAATGTCTTCTTTTAAGAAGTGTTTGTTCATGTCCTTCACCCACTTTTGATGGGGTTGTTTCTTTTTTTCTTGTAAATTTGTTTGAGTTCATTGTAGATTCTGGATATTAGCCCTTTGTCAGATGAGTAGGTTGGGAAAATTTTCTCCCATTTTGTAGGTTGCCTGTTCACTCTGATGGTAGTTTCTTTTGCTGTGCAGAAGCTCTTTAGTTTAATTAGATCCCATTTGTCAGTTTTGGCTTTTGTTGCCATTGCTTTTCGTGTTTTAGTCATGAAGTCCTTGCCCATACCTATGTCCTGAATGGTATTGCCTAGGTTTTCTTCTAGGGTTTTTGTGGTTTTAGGTCTAACATGTAAGTCTTTAATCCATCTTGAATTAATTTTTGTATAAGGTGTAAGGAAGGGATCCAGTTTCAGCTTTCTACATTTGGCTGCCAGTTTTCCCAACAGCATTTATTAAATAGGGAATCCTTTCCCCATTGCTTGTTTTTGTCAGGTTTGTCAAAGATCAGATGGTTGTAGATGTGTGGTGTTATTTCTGAAGGCTCTGTTCTGTTCCATTGGTCTATATCTCTGTTTTGGTACCAGTACCATGCTGTTTTGGTTACTGTAGCCTTGTAGTATAGTTTGAAGTCAGGTAGCATGACGCCTCCAGCTTTGTTCTTCTGGCTTAGGATTGTCTTGACAATGCGGGGTCTGTTTTGGTTCCATATGAACTTTAAAGTACTTTTTTCCAATTCTGTGAAGAAAGTCTTGGTAGCTTGATGGGGATAGCACTGAATCTATAAATTACCTTGGGCAGTATGGCCATTTTCATGATGTTAATTCTTCCTATCCATCAACACAGAATGTTCTTCCATTTGTTTGTGTCCTCTTTTATTTCATTGAGCAGTGGTTTGCAGTTCTTGAAGAGGTCCTTCACATCCGTTGTAAGTTGGATTCCTAGGTATTTTATTCTCTTTGAAGTAATTGTGAATAGGAGTTCACTCATGATTTGGCTTTCTTTTTGTCTGTTATTGGTGTATAAGAATGCTTGTGATTTTTGCACATTGATTTTGTATCCTGAGACTTTGCTGAAGTTGCTTATCAGCTTAAGGAGATTTTGGGCTGAGAAGATGGGGTTTTCTAAATATACAGTCATGTCATCTGCAAACAGGGACAATTTGACTTCCTCTTTTCCTAATTGAATACCCTTTATTTCTTTCTCCTGCCTGATTGCCCTGGCCAGAACTTCCAACACTATGTTGAATAGGAGTGGTGAGAGAGGGCATCCCTGACTTGTGCCAGTTTTCAGAGGGAATGCTTCCAGTTTTTGCCCATTCAGTGTGATATTGGCTGTGGGTTTGTCATAAATAGTTCTTATTATTTTGAGATATGTCCCATCAATACCTAGTTGATTGAGAATTTTTAGCATGAAGGACTGTTGAATTTTGTCAAAGGCCTTTTCTGCATCTATTGAGATAATCATGTGGTTTTTGTCTTTGGTTCTGTTTATATGCTGGATTACGTTTATTGATTTGCATATGTTGAACCAGCCTTGCATCCCAGGGATGAAGCCCACTTGATCATGGTGGATAAGCTTTTTGATGTGCTGCTGGATTCGGTTTGCCAGAATTTTATTGAGGATTTTTGCATCGATGTTCATCAGGGATATTGGTCTAAAATTCTCTTATTTTGTTGTGTCTCTGCCAGGCTTTGGTATCAGGATGATGCTGGCCTCATCAAATGAGTTAGGGAGGATTCCCTCTTTTTCTATTGATTGGAATAATTTCAGAAGGAATGGTACCAGCTCCTCTTTGTACCTCTGGTAGAATTCAGCTGTGAATCTGTCTGGTCCTAGACTTTTTTGGTTGGTAGGATATTAATCATTGCCTCAATTTCAGAGCCTGTTATTGGTCTATTCAGAGATTCAACTTCTTCCTGGTTTAGTCTTGGGAGGGTGTATGTGTCCCGGAATTTATCCATGTCTTCTAGATTTTCTAGTTTATTTGCATAGAGGTGTTTATAGTATTCTCTGATGGTAGTTTGTATTTCTGTGAGATCAGTGGTGATACCCCTTTATCATTTTTTATTGCATCTATTTGATTCTTCTCTCTTTTCTTCTTTATTAGTCTTGCTAGCAGTCTATCAATTTTGTTGATCTTTTCGAAAAACCAGCTCCTGGATTCACTGATTTTTTGAAGGGTTTTTTGTGTCTCTATTTCCTTCAGTTCTGCTCTGATCTTAGTTATTTCTTCCCTTCTGTTAGCTTTTGAATGTGTTTGCTCTTGCTTCTCTAGTTCTTTCAATTGTGATGTTAGGGTGTCAATTTTAGATCTTTCCTGCTTTCTCTTGTGGGCATTTAGTGCTATAAATTTCCCTCTACACACTGCTTTGAATGTGTCCCAGAGATTCTGGTATGTTGTGTCTTTTTTCTCGTTGGTTTCAAAGAACATCTTTATTTCTGCCTTCATTTCTTTATGTATGCAGTAATCATTCAGGAGCAGGTTGTTCAGTTTCCATGTAGTTGAGTGGTTTTGAGTGAGTTTCTTTATCCTGAGTTCTAGTTTGATTGCATTGTGGTCTGAGAGACAGTTTGTTATAATTTCTGTTCTTTTACATTTGCTAAGGAGTGCTTTACTTCCAACTATGTGGTCAATTTTGGAATAAGTGCGATGTGGTGCTGAGAATAATGTATATTCTGTTGATTTTGGGTGGAGAGTTCTGTAGATGTCTATTAGGTCCGCTTGGTGCAGAACTGAGTTCAATTCCTGCATATCCTTTTTAACTTTCTGTCTCGTGGATCTGTCTAATGTTGACAGTGGGGTGTTAAAGTCTCCCATTATTATTGTGTGGGAGTCTAATTCTCTTAGTAAGTCTCTAAGGACTTGCTTTATGAATCTGGGTGCTCCTGTACTGGGTGCATATATATTTAGGATAGTTAGCTCTTCCTGTTGAATTGATCCCTTTACCATTATGTAATGGCCTTCTTTGTCTCTTTTGATCTTTGTTGGTTTAAAGTCTGTTTTATCAGAGACTAGGATTGCAACTCCTGCCTTTTTTTGTTTTCCATTTGCTTGGTAGATCTTCCTCCATCCCTTTATTTTGAGCCTATGTGTGTCTCTGCATGGGAGATGGGTCTCCTGAATACAGCACACTGATGGGTCTTGACTCTTTATCCAATTTGCCAGTCTGTGTCTTTTAATTGGAGCATTTAGCCATTTACATTGAAGGTTAATATTGTTATATGTGAATTTGATCCTGTCATTATGATGTTAGCTGGTTATTTTGCTCGTTAGTTGATGCAGTTTCTTCCTAGCAGTGATGGTCTTTACAGTTTGGCATGTTTTTGCAGTGGCTGGTACCGCTTGTTCCTTTCCATGTTTAGTGCTTCCTTCAGGAGCTCTTGTAGGGCAGGCCTGGTGGTGACAAAATCTCTCAGCATTTGCTTGTCTGTAAAGGATTTTATTTCTCCTTCACTTCTGAAGCTTAGTTTGGCTGGATATGAAATTCTGGGTTGAAAATTCTTTTCTTTAAGAATGTTGAATATTGGCCCCCACTCTCTTCTGGCTTGTAGAGTTTCTGCCAAGAGATCCACTGTTAGTCTGATGGGCTTCCCTTTGAGGGTAACCCGACCTTTCTCTCTGGCTGCCCTTAACATTTTTTCCTTCATTTCAACTTTGGTGAATCTGACAATTATGTGTCTTGGAGTTGCTCTTCCTGAGGAGTATCTTTGTGGCATTCTCTGTATTTCCTGAATTTGAATGTTGGCCTGCCTTGCTAGGTTGGGGAAGGTCTCCTGGATAATATCCTGCAGAGTGTTTTCCAACTTGGTTCCATTCTCCCCGTCACTTTCAGGTACACCAGTCAGATGTAGATTTGGTCTTTTCACATATTACCATATTTCTTGGAGGCTTTGTTCATTTCTTTTTACTCTTTTTTCTCTAATCTTCTCTTCTCCCTTCATTTCATTCATTTGATCTTCATTCACTGATACCCTTCCTTCCAGTTGATCGAATCGGCTACTGAAGCTTGTGCATTTGTCACGTTGTTCTCGTGCCGTGGTTTTCAGCTCCATCAGGTCATTTAAGGACTTCTCTACTCTGGTTATTCTACTTAGCCATTTGTCTAATCTTTTCCCAAGGTTTTTAGCTTCTTTGCAATGGGTTTGAACTTCTTCCTTTAGCTCAGAGAAGATTGGTCATCTGAAGCCTTCTTCTCTCAACTCTTCAAAGTCATTCTCCGTCCAGCTTTGTTCCATTGCTGGTGAGGAGCTGCATTCCTTTGGAGGGGGAGAGTTGCTCGGATTTTTAGAATTTTCAGCTTTTCTGCTCTGTTTTTTCCCCATCTTTGTGTTTTTATCTACCTTTGGTCTTTGATGATGGTGATATACAGATGGGGTTTTGGTGTGGATGTCCTTTCTGTTTGTTAGTTTTCCTTCTAACAGTCATGACCCTCAGCTGCAGGTGTGTTGGAGTTTGCTGGAGGTCTACTCCAGACCCTGTTTGCCTGGGTATCAGCAGCAGAGGCTGCAAAATAGCGAATATTGTTGAACAGCAAATGTTCCTGCCTGATCGTTCCTCTGGAAGTTTCATCTCACAGGGGTACCCAGCCGTGTGAGGTGTCAGTCTGCCCCTACTGGGGGGTGCCTCCCATTTAGGCTACTTGGGAATCAGGGACCCACTCGAAGAGGCAGTCTGTCAATTCTCAGATCTCAAACTCCATGCTGGGAGAACCACTACTCTCTTCAAAGCTGTCAGACAGGGACATTTAAGTCTGCAGAAGTTTCTGCACCTTTTGTTCAGCTATGCCCTGCCCCCAGAGGTGGAGTCTAAAGAGGCAGGCAGGCCTCCTTGGGCTGCGGTGAGCTCCACTCAGTTCGAGCTTCCTGGCCGCTTTGTTTACCTGCTCAAGCCTCAGCAATAGCGGGTGCCCCTCCCCCAGCCTTGCTGCTGCCTTGCAGTTCCATCTCAGAATGCTGTGCTAGCAATGAGCGAGGCTCCATGGGCGTGGGATCCTCCGATGCCTCGCCCTGCTTCACGCTGGGTGCACCTCACCCACTGTCCTGCACCCACTGTCCGACAAGCCCCAGTGAGATAAACCCAGTACCTGTTGGAAATGCAGAAATCACCCATCTTCTGCGTCGCTCATACTGGGAGCTGTAGACTGGAGCTGTTCCTATTTGGCCATCTTGGAACCGCCCCAAGGGTTTTTATAATGAGTTTTATCAAATGCTTTTTCAGCATCAACTGAAATGATCATATAGTTTTTGTCCTTCATTCTGTTAGTACAATGTATCACACTGATTGATTTGTGTATGTTGAACCATTCCTGCATTTCTGGGATAAATCCCACTTGGTCATGATGAATGAACTTATTAATGTGTTGTTGATTCAGTTTGCTGGGATTTTTTTGAGGACTTTTATATCAATTTTCATTAGGGATATTGGCTTGTAATTCCATTTTTTTGTTTTGCTTTTTTGTTTGTTTTTTGTCATTGTTTTTGTTTTTTGATGTGTCTTTGTCTGGTTTTGTTATCAGGGTAATACTGGCCTCCGAGAGTGAGTTTAGAAATATTCTCTCCTCCTCTGTTTTTTGGAATAGTTTGCAGAAAATTGGTATTAGTTCTTCTTTAAATGTTTGGTAAAATTTGGCAATGAAGCCATCAGGTCCCAGGCCTTTCTTTGCTGAGAGACTTTTTATTATGGCTCCAATCTCATTACTTGTTATTGGTCTGTTCAAGTTTTAAATTTCTTCTTGATTCAGTCTTGAAGATTGTATGTGTCTAGGAGTTTATCCATTTTTCCAGGTTTTCCAATGTATTGGCATATAGTTGCTCATAGTAGTCTCTGATGATCCTTTGAATTTCTGTGGCATCCATTGTAATGTCTCATTTTTCATGTCTGATTTCATTTGGGTATTCTCTCTTTTTTTCTTGGTCTGGCTAAAGGTTTGTCCATTTTATCTTTTCAAAAAAACAACTTTTCATTTTATTCATCTTTTGGGTTTATTTCATTTCAATTTCATTTATTTCTATTCTCGTCTTTACTATTTCTTTTTTTCCACTAATTTTGGGTTTAATTTGCTCTTGCTTTTCTAATTCTTTAAGAGGTATTGTTACGTTGTTTATTTGAAGTTTTTCTGCTTTTTGATGTAGGCACTTATTGCTATAAACTTTCCTCTTATTACTGCTTTTGCTGTATCCCACAGGGTTTGGTATGTTGCGTTTCCATTTTCCTTTGTTTTAAGAAATTTTTAAATTTCCTTCTTAATTTCTTTATTGACCCTTTGGTCATTCAGGAGCATACTGTTTGTGGAGTTTCCCAAGTTTCTTTTTCTCTTTTCCTTTTTTTTTTTTTTTTTTTTTTTGGACAGAGTCTCACTCTATCACCCAGGCTGGAGTGCAGTGGCATGATCTCAGCTAACTGCAACCTCTGCCTCCCAGGCTCAAGCAATTCTTCTACCTCAGCCTCCCGAGTAGATGGGATTTCAGGTGCCCATGATCACACCTGGCTAATTTTTGTATTTTTAGTAGAGACAGGGTTTCACCACATTGGCCAGGCTGGTCTCAAACTCCTGACCTCAAGTGATCCAACCACCTTGGCCTCCCAAACTGCTGGGATTACAGGTGTGAGCCACTGCACCTGGCCTTTTTTTATGATTTCTACTTTTATCCCATTGAGGTCAGAGAAGATACTTGATATGAACTTCAGTTTCTCTGAATGTCTTAAGACTTGTTTTGTGGCCTGACATGTGGTCTGTCATTGAGAATGGTCCATATGCTCAGGAGAAGAATGTGTATTCTGCAGTTATTGGATGAAATGTTCTGTAAATATCTATTAGGTCCATCTGGTCTATAGTGCAGAATAAGAAACAGCATCTGATGTTTTTTCATCTGCACTATAGACCAAATGGACCTAATATTGCATATTAAGAAGCTGATGCTTCTTTGTCAAATTTCTGTATTTGCAATCTGTCTAATGCTGAAAGTGGGGTGTTGAAGTCTCCAGATATTATTGTACCAGGGTCTATCTCTCTCTTTATCTCTAATAATATTTGCCTCCATCTGGTGTCCCCTCTTTCCCCATGCTGTGCTCACAGTGGTGCGAAATGAGCATTCTAGAATGGAATCCAGGCCAGTGATGGGGGGATTGTCCTTGAGGAAGCCACTGGAGTCACACCTGCCAAGGACAGTATGTGTCCTCTTTGCAGAAAAGAATGTTAAGAGCCTAGTCCAGTGAAACATTTAACATTGATGGGTTATATTCCTCTAGCCTGAAATGTACCACTGAGTTGCTTCCCAGAAACCTGGGAACCGATTTTCCTCATTTAAGTGCATTTTGTAAAAGACTTCAAAAGTTCAGACTAGCATTTTAAAAAACAAAGCCTCCAGCCTGGAGACACGCAGCCCCCGCCCAGCAGGGGCATTCAAGGAGCACCCTTCTTGGGGCCGCCTGTTTGTGACAGGCTTAGGAAAAGCAGGCAGGGCCTATGGAATCTGCTTCTAGGGCACCAACATCAGCTTCTGACTGTGCTCACAAAGGGACTCAGTCTTCCAAGGCCCAGGGCAGGTGCAGTCATCTTCAGGGTGAGCTGATATGCTGGACCCATGCCCATTGCAGGGCTCTCCTTCCAGAGCACCTTCCTCCTGGACACCCACACATCACTCTCCTAACCCCTGGCTCCCCAACAAGCCACCCCGACAGAGAAACAGAGGAGGTACTTTAGGGGAGCCCAACAGAGCCAAACAGGCAGACTCACACTGAAAATCCCATGGGATTTCTTGCCCGAGATGAATACAGCATGTACTGAATGATAATAAGCATCTCTACAGAATAGCGATTTCATCTGACTTGCTGCCAACATAGGCTTGCTGGAGAAGGGCTGGAGAGCACAATGGCATTCCCTTTAAGTAGGGATTGTTTTGGTGCTTTTCTTACACTGGCAATGGTGTACATCCCAATCCAGGCCTCATGCAGAACCCTGACAGAGGCTCCGGTTCCTTCCAGTCCTCCAAGGTCTCTGGGAGGTTGCCCTCTGCGCCACCCCAGAGTCAGAGGGGCTTCTGGATCCAGCTCTGCTGCCTTGGGATTCTTTGCCGGTGGAACCCTGCTACGTTCAGACACCTCTGCTCCTCCACCTGCTTCAGAGGAAGGTGGTGCTTGACCAGATCCTGACTGATATGGTTTGAATGTGTGTCCCCCTCAAATCTCACGTTGAAATGTGATCCCCAGTGTTAGAGGTGGGCCCGGTGGAAGGTGTCTGGGTCGGGGGGACGATGGGTCCCTCAGGAATGGGATGGTGCTGTCCTCTTGGTAATAAGTGAGTTCTTGCTCTATTAGTTACCACGAGGGCTGATTGTTAAAAGGAGTCTGACACCTCCTCTTCTCTCTCTTGCCATGTGACACACCTGGTCCCTGTTTGCCTTCCACCAAGAGTAAAAGCTTCCTGAGGCCTCACCAAAAGCCAAGATGATGCTGGTGCCTGCAGAATTTGCCTGTACAGACTGCAGAACTCAGAGTCAAACAAAACTCTTCTCTTTATAAATTACCCAGCCTCAGATATTACTTGATGGTAACACAAAACAGACTAACCCACCAACTGTAAAAGTGTGCAAGGCCTTCCTATTTAACCTCACTGCCCTGCCATTGACTGTGCACTGCTTTCCACCCATGAGAAGCAAGTGGTTTCCTGTAGGGACCTGTAGATAAAAGACATGGAGAGAGGCTGAAATCTGGTGTCTGGGCCAGAGGGGAGTTGGCTGCAGCACGCAGTCACAGGGCTGTGGGCCCAACTGAGAGTCCAGAGACTGACATACCTGGGCTTCTTGTAGGGGACTCAGGTATTGTCTTTAAGTTATTTTCAGTCAAGTTTCCTACTGCTTGCAACCAAAAGTATCTTAAAGGATACACTTTTGTAAGACTTAGAGGACTAGACCTCATCACTCAACACTAAATACTCTGCAGGCCAAAGCTGTTATAACAAACCCCAAATTCCGATTCTGTTTACTATAGCCTTACCAATAATGAATTGTACAATAAAAAGTGAGATGAATCATAGAATTGAAGTTCTAACCTGAATATTTGGGTTCCCTTCATCTATTTATATGTTCATGGTCTGGTATTTTAATCAACTACTTGGATAAGGACATAAAAGTTATAGTTATTAAGTACAATGCAGATTGGCCAGGTGCAGTGATTCACGCCTGTAACCCCAGTGCTTTGGGAGGCTGTGGAAGGAGGATAGCTTGAGGCCAGGAGTTTGAGACTAGCCTGGGCAATACAGCAAGACCCTATTTCTACAACAAAATTTTTAAAAATTAGCCAGGCATGGTGGTACACACCTGTCATCCTAGCTACTCAGAAAGCTGAGGCAGGAGGATTGCATGAGCCCAGGAGTTTGAAACTGTGGTGAGCTATGATTGTGCCACTGCACTCCAGCCTTGGCAGCAGAGCAAGACCATGTCTCAAAAGAGTAAAACATAAAATAAAATAAATGGGCAAGTGGCCAAAGCTGAGAGGCATTGACAATAAACTAATCATAGATTAAGGATTTGAAAATATGAACAGAATTTATTTGTATATTATAATAATAATTTTCCATGAGCAAATATAATTTATTCAACAATTGTAAAGGTATCTTAGTATTAGGAAACTCATAGATTAATTTGGAGGTCACCTTAGGAGATTACATCGATAAGTCAAATATGAACGTCTACAGAATTATTTCAATAGATGCCACAAGGGCATGGAGATAATTCAACATCTATCACTGATGGGGAGAAAACTCAACTCAAAGTAGACCAGGAGCAGCTGTATCTCTCCTTCACATAAATATCTCAGACCGACAGTTGTATCTTGCATAAGAGTGAAACACCACGGGCATCACCTTTAAAATTAAGCGCCACAAAAGATGCCCCACTAAGCAGCAATGTCCTGTGAATTCAGACCAATACGATAACTAATAAGGAACATTTTAAGTGCTTGTTATTTATGTACAGAGTGTTCCTTAACCTTCACAACTCTATGACATAGGTACTGTCATTTTTCTATTTTACAGTCAATGAAGCTGAAGTCTAAACAAATCTGATAATATCGAATTCACAGTATGAGGCAGAGCTTACTGAGCCTAGATCTCTCTGTTACTAACATAAAACAGAAGTGAATTGCATTCCTATTGGAAAGGAAATGAAACTGTCATTACTTATAGAATATGTAATTGTATACCCAGAAAAAAAAAGACTAAAAACTGTTAAAGTTAATAATAATATGGAAAAATGACTAGATACAGGATAACTATTTATATATAATTATAAATAATGTTCCTATATGCTAGCAATAGTGGTTAGAAAATATATTGAAAACTCCTTTCACAACGACAAAAAAATTAAAATACAAGTAGAAATCACTTTAACAAGAATTCATGGAATTTATATGCTGAAACTCCAATAACTTCAGACACATTGACTAAATGAAGACACATTCAATTTTTTTGGATGGGAAAAGTTGGTACTATAAAAATCTTCCCAAATTAATGTACAGATTAAAATAAATCGCATCAAAATCTCAATGGAATCTTTTAAGACCTGAAAAAATAATTCAAATCTCATCTAGAAAAAGGAACCGACAAAAAATAAAAATTCTAAAAAGTGTTAAGGGGAAAAAAGTTATCAGAGATGGGCCTACCAGATCTTACAAGTTATCATAAAACATCAGCAATAAAGCCAGCATGGGCCCAAGGGGAGGCACACGGGAGCTCTTCTTACTCTTCTTGCTACTTTTCTGCATGTGTGAAATTACATCAAAATAAGGAATGACATTGTATCAAAGTCAATATGGGTGCCCACAGCACCTGAGTCTATTACACCAGGGGTCCCCACCCCCGCCTCCACCACGGACCGTGGCCTGTTAGGAACCAGGTTGCACCGCAGGAGGTGAGCAGTGAGTGAGCAAAGCTTCATCTGTATTTACAAGCACTTCCCATTGCTCACATTACTGCCTGAGCCTCACCTCCTCTCAGCTCAGTGGCAGCATTAGATTCTCACAGGAGCGCAAACCCTATTGTGAACTGTATGTGAGGGATGCAGGTTGCATGCTCCTTATGAGAATCTAATGCCTGATGATCTGTCACTATCTCCCATCACCCCCAGATGAGACCATCTAGTTTCAGGAAAACAAGCTCAGGGCTCCCACTGATTCTACATTATGGTGAGTTGTGTAATTATTTCATTATGTATTATGAGGTAAAAACAATGGAAATAAAGTGTACAATAAATGTAATGTGCTTGAATCGTCCCAAACCATCCCCCTCCTGGCCAGTTCATGGAAAAATTGTCTTCCACAAAACCAGTCCCTGGTGCCAAAAAGGTTGGGGACCGCTGTATTACAGCACAGAGACTTATATCTCTGAATAGATCCCAACTGCAAGTCCCTGGAAGAGGGTCCACTGAGGCCCGGTCACCTCTGGGCAGGGTGGCAGGCTCTGGGAGGCCAGGGTTTCTGTCTCAGGTGGGGAGAGCTCCTGGAGAGAGGGACCTGGAAGTCAGTTCAACCAGGCAAGGCTGACTGGACACTCACTGGGATAAAGCACTGTATTCAGGAGTTAGGTCAGAAAGTCCACCTTTTAATCAGCCTAAGAAGACTGGAGACCAACAAGTTCATCTTCACAATCACTGAAATGTCTCTGAAGCACTGAGGTCTCAGTAGCAATAAAACAGAACTATGATAAGATGATGCAGGGGAAGGATGAGTGAATGGACAGATGGACGGGCAGATGGGCCTGTAGAAAGAAGGGTGGATTGACAAGGGAATAAACCTACCTGGATGGCCAGGAAGGATTTGGAACTCTTTCTACTCTGACCTTGCATACTTCACTCTCCTTCATAACTGGCCTGACCCTTCCATTTACAAATACCAAAAATGTTTTTCCCAGACAAGCTTGTCTCTTCTTTCATCATGCAAGCTTCACTGCAGCACCTTCTCCTCTGCCAGTGGGAATTAACTCCATACAAAATGCACTCTGTGTGCATCTTTCAGCAGGCCACCCGAGACGACAGTCAGCATCTCCTGTTTGCTGCCTGTGGGTCAGGCCCTGCCTGTGGGTCATGCCCTGTTTGATACCTGTGGGTCAGGATCCAGCCAGCAGTGCTGGCACGGAGGGTCACAGAGCAACCTGGGTGACAGCGCCACACAAAGCCCAGCCAAGCCCACTCCTTCAAGGGCAATGAAGGGCATGGCTGCCCCCCAGAGGGCTGGCCCTCAGAGGGTCAAGTCCAGCACACACAGACGTTGTGTTGTATGATCGTTTTGCAGCAACCAGCCAACTCAAAACCTCACTTGTGTGATCGTTTCTCCAAACACTTCAGGAGGCGGGTCACAGCCACATGGTCTGATTGACATCACATGACACACATTTGCCTCACCTCCTTATGCCAAAATAAGGCATATTCAGTTTTATCTCCACTAATGGCTCTTTAGCTTTACCTTGTAATTGCAGTTTATTGTTTCATGGTTGCTGTAGATAATTAAATATGCAACCTTAACCTAAAATGTGACCTAAAATATTTAGCATTGAAATAGAAATATTTTACATGACAAAAATTAACAATTATGGTTTTAGAATAAACATTTTTAAAAGTAGACTGTTAAATTTAACCTTGTTCTATATTCCAAAGGTAGGATTTGGCTCAAATATTGAAAATTACCAGAAAGTGATGCTGGTTCAAAATGAGAAACATTCTAACTGGACAGGTTGCCTGTTGCTGGCATCAATCAAGTAGAAGCAGGATATTCACCTGCTACATGAAATTATCATATTAAACTACGTATAATTGTTACAAATTGTTTGTAATCCTCAACTCACACTAATTTTAATTCTCACAACTGCAGATGCTAAGCATTGTTGGAATGAATGGCCTTTATAATCTTTTCAACTGCGAGTCCATATACTCTGGTACATCTGCCCCCCCTTATTCCCAAATTTAATCTATGCTTATTCTAATATGGACCTTATACATCAACAATGATTAAAAATACCACCTTATAGGCTGGGCCCGGTGGCTCACGCCTGTAATCCCAGCACTTTGGAAGGCTGAGGTGTGTGGATCACCTGAGGTCAGGAGTTTGAGACCAGCCTAGCCAACATGGCAAAACCCCATCTCTACTAAAAATACAAAAATTAGCTGGGCGTGGTGGCAGGCACTTGTAATCCCAGCTACTCAGAAGGCTGAGGCAGGACAATCGCTTGAATCTGGAAGGTGGAGGTTGCAGTGAGCCGAGATCATGCCACTGCACTCCAGCCTGAGTGGCAAGAGCGAAATTCCATCTCAAAAACAACAAAAACAACAAAAAAATCCTTTGAGATTTCAGTTTAATCATGATGAACTAAATACACATATTCATTTCTGCTTCCTCTGCAACCCCACTTGAAAGGCTAGAAGGGATTTTTTAAAAAAGGTTGGGTGGGACAAACAAAAGAAAAACAGAAGGAATGAGCCCATGAGGACAAAGAAAACAAGATGACAGCAAATGCTCTCAGGAAAATTTTGGTAGCAGGAGAGTTGGTGAACAAATGATAACAGGTTTCTGCTTTTTCCACTCTATTAGCAGCCTGTGAAGAGCTGGGTGTTTGGGAGTGGTGACAGAAATAAGCCATGTAGCACGCCAGAAAACGTCCTCTCCACAAATCTGAGACCTAGAAACAATGAGTTTCCTGGAGGTGGCCATGCTGAAACACTTACAATTCTGGATGCCTAAGGGCAGGAGTCCTGGATCCTTGCCAGTTACTGTAGCTATTGTTATTGGTGGGCTTAAAGTCTACTTTGTTGCTACTTATTTTTTGTCTTTTCTTTTCTTTTTTTTTTTTTTTTTGAGACTGAGTCTTGTTCTGTTGCCCAGGCTGGAGTGCAGTGGCGCGATCTTGGCTCACTGCAACCTCCGCCTCCTGGGTTCAAGCGATTCTCATGCCTTAGCCTCCCAAGTAGCTGGAATTACAGGCACATGCCACCTCGCTCGGCTAATTTTTGTATTTTTAGTAGAGACAGGGTTTCACCACATTGGCCAGGCTGGTCTCGAACTCCTGACCTCAGGTGATCCACCCATCTCAGCCTCCCACAGTGCTGGGATTACAGGCGTAAGCCACCATGCCCAGCCTCCTTGCTACTCATTTTCTGTGTGTCTTCTCTCTCCCATGTTCTTCTCCTGCACTCTTTTGGGTTAATCAAGTATTCTTTGTATTCAATTTTATCTCCATCAGTGGCTCTTTAGCTAGCTATACCTTGCAATTTCAGTTTGTTTATCATTTCAGTGGTTGCTCTAGGGAATTAAATACATATCCTTATCACAGTCTACTTCATATTCCTGTTATATCACTTCCTATCTAATGTAATCTGCTGTCTTAACAAGAGCAGAAGTTCGTTGCCTCACCATGCAACCTTTGTGCTATTGTTTCAAATATTTTATTTCTACATGTTACAAACATTATTATTTGGTGTTCTTTGTAGATTGGTTCTTTCAACCGACTTCCTGGATATATTTTTTCCTCCTTTGTAAAGGGAAAAAGACACAGGTCTACATAGTACTGAAAGATAAAAGCATCTCAGACTAGTATTCCTTCAATCACGGAAGTGTTTCTTCCACTTTTATCCTATTTTTGGAAGAGTAATCAACACTCTAAGAACTAAAAGAGAAGGGAACTCGTGTCAGATGTGCATACAATGCTAAAGGAATTTAAAATTATTTACAGCTCCTTCTTCTTTCCAACTGACTTTTTCATTGGAAATTTGTTCACAAAGTTAAAGGCACATCTCTTAACCAGAACAGAACATTTTGTACAGCAAAACAAGAGAGAAATTTCAAACCAAAAAGAGATTTCATCACAAGGTTCGTATTTGGGAAGTAACTTTGCCATCTACCAACTTTGAGTGGTTTCAAAATTTAGTCTAAAATATTCTCATTTTCAAAGGCAAAGAATGAGAACAGAGAACTTTTAATTTTCAGATAAATCAAATGCATCAAAATTTGGATCTGTGCTTTCCAAGATTTAAGAGCTAGAGGTTAGAAATTATTTAAATTTTAATTATATGAAAATTAACACCAATTACTCTGATGCGGCTAAATAGAAAGTAGAAAAAAATTTTAACTGGAGACATTCTGTAAATTTACTATTTGTGCCTGGCTAGGAACGATGTGTGGGAATGAGCTTCACCTGCCAACGGGAGGTGCATCTTTTTAAAACATGCATCTTTTTAAAAATTAGAGTCAACAAGACCCAAAATAAGAGTTTTCTAAGAAAGCAAGATATAATTTCATTCTCCCTTTTATGAGAATGTCTGTATGCTTCTCAAAATCTAAAAATCAAAAGTTTTCTTTTTAAAAGGTACTATGTATACCTGCTGAGACTGGATATTTTAGCAATTGGTTTATTTAGTTTGGTTACTGGTAAACTTTGTATAACCTATTATGCCGTCAACAAAAAAAAGCCAATAAAACAATACCTCAACTCTACATTGTTTTTTTTCCCAGTGTATTTTTAGTGACATTATTCCTGACAAATTGAGAACAGAGGGTCAATGAGACACAATAGGATTTTAAGACAGAAAGGGAAGAAATTGCCTCCTATTGGAGAAGGCATACAATACTTAACTCAGGGTTTTATATGTCACTGAGATGAGCAATATCCAACAACTTAGAAAGCTCCCTCATATACCGGCTTGCAAAAAAGAGACACGTAGGTGACGGATTCAAACCCAGTCGAAGAGCATGGACTTTTAACTCAACTGACAAAAAAAATAAAAAATAAAAAAATAAAGCGGGCGCAGGTGGAGACTGACCACAAAAAGAAATGTACCCCACCAGCATCTGGATTGTCACACCCAGGTCCTAAGACTGCCAGTCTCAAGGTTTGTTGTTTAGCCCCTGTGAAAGCCTCACACGGTCACCACAAAGTGTCACCTCAGTTCTGTGATCCATAGCAGTTTTACTCCATTAACCGTGGCTGGCCTGAAATGCCCGGTCCTGGTCTTGCTTAGATGAGGACTTATGAAACCAAGGAAAATGTCAAAATAAGTATAGAGAAAATGAAACTCAACAATCCTATACTGATCACATTGTGTAAATTGTGTTTACACAGGTGTAATAACACATTTTGTAATAACTGGGCTCTTTGTTTAGGCTGATTTAAAGATGCTTAAAAATGCTTAACAGTATTTTTACTACCTGTATCCCTAGGTCGAGTTACCTGCATTTGACTCATAAGCAATTTCTAAGATTTGGTTTGTCATATTATAAGTCTGCTCCATTAGGTGTCTGCAGTTTAATTGAACATGTAGGTGGTATTATAGTTTAAGGAGGGTTTAAGCATTGAATGTTAATCAAAAACATTGATAAGCAAAGGAAAAATGAAAGTGACTCCTTTCATGACTGTTGTATGCTCTGTAAGTTGGGTGTAAAGGTTTAAGGTGGAAAAAACGTACCTCGAGGGAATTAATTTTAATATACGAGATAATAATTAAAGCATGATTGGCCGGGGCGCAGAGCAGCAGGTCCGCTTTGTCTCCCCGGGGCGCCGCGCGGTGCAGTTGGGGCGGCGCGGCGAGCGGGGCGCCCGGGCGCGGGTGCGGGGTGTCGGGGCGCGCGCGCCTGTTGGCCGCTCGCCGATTCCTGCCGAGTGTAGAGAGGAGAGGGAGTGAACAGGGAGCGGGGCTTTTGTCTGTTGGTCTCTCTGGACTGAAAACAGGGAGAATAGAAGCCCAAGACTAAGCTTCTCAAAATGGTTTACTACCCAGAACTCTTTGGGTCAGTCAAGAACCATTTCCAAACAAGGACATGGAGGGAAGGTTTCCTAAGGGAAGACTTCCTGTCCCAAAGAAAGTGAACCGCAAGAAGAACAATGAGACAAACGCTGCCTCCCTGACTCCAATGGGCAGCAGTGAACTCCGCTCCCCAAGAATCAGTTACCTCTACTTTTTTTAATCGTAACACCTCCATTTGTATTACATATGGTGTATGGGTATTGATGAGGTCATGGTATTATATATGGGATTTTTTTCTGTGTAAATCATTAAGTATAAGAAGAAACTATGTGACTCTGAGCCTTGCTTTAGAGAATTTACAGTGGACAAATAGGTATCATCAAACCAGTTTTTAATCATTCTGACTCAAGTGAAAATGCTCAGAATTTCACACCGTGAATCCACGTTTACAACCCTTACAGGTGGGCCTTCAGGCCTGGTTCGCTACAACGTCTTCCACAACTCAAACTCCCACCGTGCTCACACAACTGGTCCACTCCTGAGTCCCCCCTTTTTTTTTCATTTAGAATGTAACAAACCTAGTAGTTTATGCAATTGTCTGTATATCTCTATATTTTATCCATGTACTCTTTTGATGTATAGAAGTAGTTTGAAACTCATTGTTTCCTTGTGGTAACTGACCGAGATGCTGCCACAGGACCTGAGACACTGATGAATGGTGCTATTTTGGACTTTCAACATGCTCCTTGGCGAGGTAGCTCTGATGGAGTTATTTTTTATTTCCATGTTCTAAGAAGGTGTTGGTACTCTGTTTCCCTGAATGTTGTTCTCTAGACTGGATTGACTTGTTTTCCTTGTGTCTTCAGTGTGGCTTTCTTCCTCAGTGTTGTAGGTTGAGTGAATGCTACCAGAGTGTGAGAGACGATTGTCTCGTCGGCTGGCACCCACAGACATGCAGTCACGGTAGTGGGAGCAATCACAAAACTGTAATTTACTTACCAAATCTCTTCCTTTCCGTTGCCTCGCCTGCCTGACTTAGAGAAAGAAAAGCAATAATTTTACAGGCATTTTGAGGTGTCTCTTTGGGTTCTTTCTGTTTGAAACGGTATTTGTGGAAAAAAAGAGCAAAACCTTTTTAAATAAATTCCCCCTGAAAAAAACCCAAAACACTGGCATCTGAGTAGGAATATGAAAATGACACCTTTTCCAAATATTAAATTGGAAAACAATGTCTACAAAATCATGGTACTTTTTTAAAAGGCAGAGCATTCTTTTTTGGCAATTTTGATAAGCAAGGTGTAGATTTACATCTTTGTCCTTGCTCCCAACGAAATGGATAAACAAAAATAAATTACCATCTACTCATGGAATGTTGTTGTGTTAGCCAGTCTGAAAGCCCACCTTAATTTTTATATAACTGTCTTTTAGCTCTTCTTTTGACAGGGCAGGCCTTGTTCTGAACTGTTTCGCTTCTGACTGTTAAACACCGATGACGCATGCACTGCACTTCTTTGTTTTCTTCTTGCTCCCCCATTGGCCTGAGTTTCTTGTGCATTACTCCTCTCCCTCCTTTGTTAGAATAGGTATATCAGCTGTGTAAATAGAGCAAGAAAACAGTATTCTGCATCTGTGGCATTTATGTAGAGTTGCAGCTGTATACTGCTGAAAATGCAGGCTTTTGTAACAGTGTGATCTTTACCGATGCACTCATGACAAGTACCCAATGTATTTTAGCTATTTTAGTAGTATTTGTTCAATAAATATGCAAGCTGTAAGGTAAAAAAAAAAAAAAAATTAAAGCATGATTACATGGGAGTGTTGCTTCCCATGTACAAAAGCACTTCTTAGGAACTAAAGCACTAATACTTTCTGCAAGAACAATTGTCACTGATTTCTACTTTAGAACTATAGGGCTGTGCAAAATGAAACTAAAATCAGAAACTATGACACCAAACAATCCATGTATTCTTACGAAATTCAGAAGATGGCCGTGTCTCTGGTTACTAGGACTTCTAGAAATTGAGTGCCTTAAAATCCTAAAAATTTTACAGACCATTAATATATTAACATGAAACCTGATCTTCTGCTAATGTAGTATCTGTAATTACTATGAGAAACGTTCTATTTAATGATTTTCCATGTTTCTAAAAGTAAACTACACATAAGCAATTTTTAAACTTTTAGTAAAAGAAAAAATTGGTTTGATCACACTACCTCTATTCTGGCAAACATGAACCCCTTTAAGGAAAATCATTCAAGTCATATGAACCCATTGACTAATTTATGCATCATTTTAACTAATTTCTTCCATAGGATTTCTATGTTGAAAATGAAACAATCTTCGATTCTTAAACAGGAGATGGATTCTACGAGTGGCTTTCTATAGGAGAAAAAACTTACTAGAATAAATGTTTTATTAGCTTTAGCACATCTACTCAACATTCATAGAACTGCTAGGAATAAAAAGTGAAAAAACATGAAAATGAATGAAAAATGAGACTCAGAGAGATTAGCTGACGTGGTTCAAAAACAAAAGCCTCAGAGGAGGCCTGCATGCCATGTATGTACTGCTAAAGGGATGTGGTTCTAGAAACGAAAGGGGAGAGAATAAAATATATATTGGCAATGCTTAAACCAAAATGTATTAAGACAAAACAAACTTAAGGCACTAAAAACCAAGGATAAAAGTACTGAAAATAAATCTAATGCTAAAACTTCTCACTGAACTCCAAAAGCAAATCTTTTGAACCACAGTATCATGTTAAAAACTAAGATTTTACAGCTGTGCTACTACTAATAGTGTCTGTGTGTGTAGATACACAGATGATATATAGATGAACAGAGAGCTGCATAGAGACATAGATTGATAGAGCGATAGATTTTAAAACATTTATTTGCCATTCACTACTTTGCAACAATTCTCCCAATTTGGTTTGAAAAGAGACAACAGTTGACTTTTGTTCAAAGTCCAAGTAAAGAGAGAGGCCATGTTTGGAGTGAGAATCCTTTAATAACTATATTTATTTCCAGAGAACAATAAATACAGAAATTGCAAGCAGTATATGTAACAGTAATATTTTCTTTAAATACAGAATCACCTACTTTTATACAACTTAACAGGCAAACATGTTATTTTGTTGTTGTTGTTTGGAAATTAGCATTGGGAAAAGCTATATAACAGAGGAAATTCCAAGTAAAATCAAACAGTGTTCACTCTTAACTCTAAACACAGTGCTCCCACTACTGGTTCTGCATTGAGGCGGAGGGGAAGGCCAGAGGCAGGCTTAGCTTCGGGCGGCAGCGGTCTGGGGCTGCTCGGACTGGAGCTGCTTGCCAAGGTATTCCCTGAAAAAAAAGAATGAAGTAAGGAGAATGAGAATTTCAATAGCAAAGAATCACTTCCAAAATTGAAACACATTATGCACTGTCATATATACTTACTTTAACATCCAAAAATAACTAAAAAGTCCTAGAAAATTAAACTTTTCCAAATTTCCAAAGTACTTGTGCTGTATGAATTCTACTTCATGTATCATACACAAACAAGTTATGACAAAGACAAACTAGTCATTCTCCTATTTTTATGAATAACTTGTAAAGTTATTACGATTACACAAACAGGTGATTACAAGGAAATGTAATTACTTCCTGGGGAAAGACTACTTTCCTGTTCAGATAAAGGTCTTGTTTACTGCTACTGCCATTTCTGCAATCTAAGAAGTTCAACATCACCTCAATTACGATTCTGAATGACCTCATAAATGAAAAACAAATGTCCTGCTATTAGAGAATATGTGTATCTTCACCCTGGGATGACACAAGAGTACGTGAAAATAAATCACCAAAAGTAGCATTGGGAGTCCCCACACCATCAGGAGCTACTGGTCTGGGGCACTCACTCTGCACCAGCACAGTCTAAAGCCCACACAGAGACGGTCAGCCCAGAACCACAGAACAATCCCAGGAGCTGAGTAGCAGCACTCACTCCACAGATGGGGCAATGGGGCTCAGAGCAGTGGTCCCCAATCCTTTTAGAGCACTCTCATTCAGAAAATAAGCATGTGCCCACAGTATGTGCATATTTAGCTCTAAAGTACATACAGACACCACTGTGAATTCCAGGACAGAAAACAATCTTGTCCCTATTTTCCTTTGAGGCACTTGCCGAAACTTTTGTTTTAGAACCAATTAGGAAGAAGAAAAAGAGGCTTTTTAAGAAAAAACTATTTAAAAGTTTTCCTCTTATAAAAAAGCATGAGTTTTGGAATAGAGACGTGGGTTTACGTTCCAGCTCCATGACCTCCTGGGTATTCCCATGGGGGCTCTAGGAGGCACTGGGTATGGAGGCCCTGGCTGGGCTGCAAGCATCAGGTACACTGTCAATACCATCGTCTCTTGCCTATCGCCTATCAACTGTGTGAGCATCGCCAAGAAACCACCTTTGGGGGCCACCGATGTACACAGGTAAATATGACTCCGCCTCTCTCCACAGTGGTCCAGAAGAGGGCAAGCATTTCACCTGAGCTGCTCTCCCCCTGCTACTGCCGCCTAGGCCAAAGCAGCAAAGATTTTAAGACAGAAAAGACAGAAGCACTGGGAATGAGGACAAGAAGGAAATGTCACGCAGTGGCGGAGCAGCAGGGAGGAGGAACTGGTGGCCCAGAGCATGTGAAGTGTCACGCACCACTCCCCCCAATCCAAAGGCTGTTCATTTTTTAATACCATGAGACTGAATGAAGCATCCCAGGACATGAAAATGGGTTATGATCTTTTCCATCCTTCAAGGAAAGTTCTTATAACTGACTCATTAATTTTGGATGTCACATTAAAGTGTTTAATATTCTTGTGCTACCAGGAACTACGCTGACATAATTTAGACAATGGGATCTTATTTCCAACCAGAAGTTAAGTTCACGCAAAGGCTGAAAGGGAAGCCATCCTATCATCTTTGTTAGACAGGAAAAACAAGAGTTTACAGTCACTATCAATGCTGCTCCTCTGGGAATGCCTGCAACTTGGGAGCATTTGTGGTCACACAGATTTGTTTTCTTGGTGGTGGAGGTAATAATATTTATGGCAAATTTCCAGAACTTATAAATATATTTTTCCTACATATATGTGAGAAATCAAGCCTGAAGTTAGATATGCTTCATTTTAAGGAGGTCTTCAAATATTTCAATTTTAGACTCTTTAGTGTGGAGCCTTAGAAAACATTTTAAAAGTGTACTCAAAGACACTGTGCCACTCTCCAATGACAGTAAGACGTGGTTCTCTCCCTAAAGCACCAATGTCAAGGACCAACTTCTAAATGTAAGTTTCCAAAAATGACTAATAAGAATGTATGGGAAAGCCTCCAGGAGCTCAGGCAGGGAACTGGTAAGTTATCACAAAGGGTCCTGTGCGTCTGGTCACAGACAGGCTCCCACCTGCTCCATCCCTTCCAGAGGCCTGAGGGTAGTTCATTCCCCATATCAGACTTCACTAATACTTAGCAGACAACAAGTGGTGAAGATAATTGATTTCTTCACAAAAGAAACACTCTTGAAGTGGGGCCAAAGTAGGACAGTAAAACCTAGCACAGGTGCGCTGTTCCAGCAGAGAACGTAAAGACACATGCAGCCACAGCTTCCACCCTACCATCTTCCATTCATTTTTTTCTTCCTGGTCAAAGATATAAATTACAGGTAACATCCTCTCCTACACAATTTTTTTTTTTTTTTTTTTTTTGAGACAGGGTTTTGCTCCATTGCCCAGGCTGGAGTGCAGTGGTGCAGTCACAGCTCACTGCAGCCTTGACCTCCCTGGGTTCAAGCCATCCTCCCACCCCAGCCTCTTGAGAAGCTGGAACTACAGGTGCTCACCACCATGCCTGGCTAATTTTTGTATATTTTGTACAGACAGGGTTTCGTCATGTTGTCCAGGCTGGACGCTAACTCCTGGGCTTTAGTGATATGCCTGCCTCAGCCCCTAAAGTGCTGGGGTTACAGGCGTGAGCCACCATACCCGGCCAGGCTCACTCTCGTTTATTCGTACATACAAGGTAGCCCGGAGGCATCTACTTCTTCCTGACCTAAGTACGTGACACATAGAAAAATCAGCACCTCCTTTCTTCTGCCTAGTTGACAGTTCATGTAATTTGGATTTGGGGGAAGAACAAGGACTCATATAGATGAAAAAGGGTCCAACTAAGAACCTGCACATCAGGGGCCCCAGGTGGAACTTTGTGAGCCTGGTTTGAGTATTGTAGGTCAAAATGCCAAAAGCCCAGCAAGAGAAGAGCCCAGACAGGATTCATGGAAAGAAGAATACAATTTCCTCCTCAAGCTTTCTTGAAATTGTTGTTTGTTATGGCATGTGGGGTGTTAGATGGCTTTCTAACATACCAGGAGGAACTGAACTGTGGCTCCACTGAAAAGGGTATTAAAAACACCTAACCTATACGAACTTTGGGGAAAATCCACTCCTTCGAACTTGGCTTTTATGTATTTTATTCTATTTTTATTTTTTTAGAGACTGAGTCTCACTTTATTGCCCAGGCTGGAGTGCAATGGTGTGATCTCAGCTCACTGCAATCTCCACCTCCCAGATTCAAGTGATTCTCCTGCCTTGGCCCCCCGAGTAGCTGGGATTACAGGCACGCACCACCACGCTCGGCTAATTTTTGTATTTTCAGTAGAGATGGGGTTCTGCCATGTTGGCCAGGCTGGTCTCGAACTCCTGACCTCGTGATCTGCCTGCCTTGGCCTCCCAAAGTGCTAGGATCACTGCACCTGGCCAGCTTATAAAATACTATAGCTTGCTCCCCTGAATGTCGAATGACATTATGTAGTCAATGAAAACATTCCCAAGACTGGGGGACACAAGCCTGCCTCTGAATCCTCTGTGCCAGGCACAGGGGGTCCTGCCATCGAGGGCCTGAAGCTGGGAACACAGGATGGCTGTTGCCATCTGGACCGCGTTCCGAGCCACCATGGAAGCTTTATCACAGGTATGCCCACACATTCTCCCCTCTCATTTTAGAGCACCCTGTGAGCTGGGTATTATTAATATCTTCTCCCTTTTACAAAAGAGGAAACAGGGCCTCAGAAAACTTCATTAACTTGCCCAAGAGCTAAGTGAGCAAAGCGCCTACTCAGGGCTCTGGTCCTATTCTATTCCAGAGCTGCCTGGCTTCCAGTAAGAGCTCAGAAAGGTGCAGAAGGCAGACACTTCCTTTTTCATAAATTAGAAAACAACAAGTGGGTGTGAAAAATTTCTTCAGGTTAAAATTACACTACTGTCAGGCAAAAGCAAAAACTAGTATAGATTTTACCTCAGGGGATAATAATATATCTAGAACAAAGGATGCAAGGAGATCTTTTGTGAATTAATCTGGGTATTGAGTCATCCTCAATACATGAAGATCAATACAATAAAATTTCAACTTATAATTCAGTCAAAAGGTGCCTGACTTATACAAGCAATCTATAGGAATGTGACATTAAATCTTTGCTTCTGCCACCTAAGATGCAAAATTTGTGAGGTGCAATATTTTTCTTCTCTTTAACTTCATCCACACCTGAAATCTCCTGGGATCTCAACATCTCTGAAACTGAAAAAAGGGCAGTCTGAAAACCTACTCCCCTTTTTAAAAACCCAAGTACATAAACGGCTCACAAAAGAGATCATACTGCTGCAAAAGAGTTTACATCTGATGAAGAAACACTGAAAAACTGACTTCCACTTCCCACAAGGCACAAGGTGCCTGAGGCTTGACAGGGGCATTCTGAAGGTGACTGACTATCTAGCTTCTATTCTGCTAGGAGCTAGGGCACCAGGAAGCACTTACTTAGCTATAGTAACTCTTCAAACAACAGGAAGACCATTACCCATTCTAATCAAATGCCTTACCTTCACAGTGTATTTAGTTGCTTAAAGACTCAAACATTACAAATGTTTCTTTAAAACTATAATTGAAGACACTGACTATAATAGTGTTTCAACATGCTAACTTTACCTATATAACTTGACACATGGTAACTTCAGCTGTGTAACTTAGTGATAGGAAAAAAGTGATTTTCTACTGACAAATATATTAATCAATGAAAACTACTAAGTCTCTTTTATTTTCCTTTTTTGGCCTTGCCTGTCCACAAAGCCAAGTAGAAAACCCACTGTTAGCAGCATTTTTGTACTGTTTTCTCTAGTCTTCCTTTAGTGTGCAAATTTTTCATAACTAAAATCATAATGTTCTTGGAATTCTATAGCCTACTTCTGTGGGTTTGTCATAACGATCATTAAAACTACAACTGAGTCATAATTACGTTTCTTAATCTTTACCTATCCTGTTGTGGAAAACAAGCTGGTATAATGTAAATCATTAACAAACTATTCTTTTCTAAATATATAAACACAATTTATCTTAGAAAATATAAACTTTATAGTTGTTTATAATACAGATTTATATTTGGTAAAGGGGAAAAATAAATCATCAATAATTTTACATAGCTCTGCTTTCTTTAATGCTAACTCACTATAGTTTAGTTATAAATTTAGCGATTCCTCTGGCTTTTATCATGATTTTGAACTCAAAGCAAACTTTGTTTTTATGAACTGAAAAAAAACAAATTTTGTTTTTCCTACATAACAGCTGAACCATATAAAAACCACAGTGCCCTCTCTCATCTGTATCTAATTTACAAAAACATTTAAATTCCAAGAGTAAGTACTATATAGTCCAACTCTTTCTACAGTATTTTTATGTCAGCCTAGGAAAAACAGTATTTAACATCACAATATGTACCATTTTTTAGTGCCTGCTAGTTACTAAGCACTGCACTAGCTGCTTGACATACATTTTCTTATGTACTCTTCACAAGAATACCCATAAAGGTACAGATGAGCCCAATTTATAGATACGTAACTCGAGTTTAGCAATGATAACTGACATGTTGTAAGGTTAGGACAACTAGATTAGTGGGGAGTGTACTGGTACCAAGTCTAATTTCAAAATTCATAGTTTTAACGACTAATAGTACTACCTCATGGTACATTATTCTACCTCTCACTGGGTGGAGACATATTATTGTACAGCTGGGAGAATAAAAAAGATTAAGAACATCACAGTGCAAATCCTCAATTTATTTTCTCAAACATATTTTCATAATCACTAGACACTTCACCTTCTAACAGCATCTGAATTCAAAGACTAATAGATTAGCAGTCTCCCTAAAGAGGTGATCCATGAAATTAAAAAGGAAAAAGAGATCAGTGATTCTAAAAGTCTATTCGAGTCTATTTATAGGAGTTGTAGTCCTAAGAAACAAAAATGTACATTTTAAAAGAAATTGCGTTAAAGAGTGTATTCTAAAAGCAATTTATGTAAAATTTGCAATAACAAAGTTATTTTTTCCTACAGGAATTCCACTAATCAAATCTTTTCCTTTTTAACAAGCTGTAAAATCTAAATGCCACTAAACAAAGTGTGCGTTTCTTTATCTCTGGCTATGCTCAAGAGTTGTCCTCTTCCCCTGCTACTACCAGCCCTGTCACAGATCGGCAGCATCTTCTGTGCTTCATGGCTTTTCCAACGTGTGGTTATGATGGGCAGGCAACGCACTGAGCCACTCAAAGCATTGGAGTTGGCAGCAAACACTCCTTTACCTTTTAAATGCTGGTTCCTGATCAGCAAGTGGTTATAATCAAAAGCAGCCTGCACAACACAGGGCATGACCCTAGCCAACTGCACTACATACAGATCCAGTTATGCAACGTGCAGTGTGGGAGAAATGCCTGTGCAGTTATGAGGACTTCTAATAAGAACGTTTATTTTCTATTTATTACAAAGATAGCACGTAAGCAAAGTCCACATTTAAGACTTATTGCAGACCTCTTTTTCTTGAATTATATTTAGAAAGACTGAGAGCGTATGACAGTGGAGATGGTGTCCCATTTATATCACCTTCCACTTTTCAGATCAGTTCCTGGTATAAACTAAGAAATCGATGATTGTTGAATAAACGGTAGTTGAAGAGTCCTACAGGAGAGTTAGACCTGGAAAAGGATGCATCTTTCTCCTAAAGGAAAATGTGCTGCAACAGCAGTAGAGACAAAGTCTTCAGCAGTTAAACCTACCAACTACTCCATAATCTAACTGCGGAATTGCTCAAACAAAATTTAAAGTTATTTTTCATTAGAATCTGCGTATAACATAAGAAAGCTCAACTAAATCCACAGTGAAGAAACAATATTTTAGAAGACTAGTTCAATGTTTTAATGATATGTAGTAGAAAGTGAATTAAATCAGCTTTATAATTATACTTGAAGAATCTCCTAGCCTACAAAATTATTCTTTAGAGAATCCATTTTCCCACAAGATATGCAAAAACTAAAACAAACCACAACACGTGGGCCAGATGTTTCTTCAATATGAATTATAATCACCTGAAATGAGTCTCAGAGCTACTTAAAAGAATAAAGCAGATTATACAACTTTGGCACACTACATAGAAGGTGACAGAGGTTTTTAATTTGTGTGTGTGATTTTGTTTGGTAACTAAGAATGTCAAGGATAAACCTGGGAAGTTGTTGGCCTCCTCCCTCTGATTTCTCCTCCACATCCAACTGGTATACAAGTCTCACAGATCCTCTCTCCTCCATATACTGAATCTCTCCCACCCTCCTCACCCCTGATCCCACCTCTCACCATGGCTGGATTGGATCTGCAGCCTCCTTACTGGTCTTTTCCCTCTAGTCTTTTACAATCCAAAATCCAGTACCCTCCCCACAACCACTGTCTCTAAAATGGCCTTGCTAAAATGACACTGTTATTTTACCCCTCGGTGGTTTTCCACAGCCTTCAGGAAAGAATTCAGAACATCAAGGCAAAGATGGTTTATCGTGATGTGGCCACTATGCATGTCTCCAACTTTATTTTGGCTTCATAACAGACTCCAGCTGTCTGGTAATTCCCCTGCTGGGTGAGGATCTCCCTACCTGGATGTGTTTGCATGCACAGCTCTCCCCCACACTTCCTCCTTCTGTTCACAGTCCCCATCTCCTCTCTGCCCAGAACCCTCCTAGGCCTAAGCCTGCTCTCCACGTGGTCACGTGGCCGTTGAGTCCTTCCCATGGGGTCACAACGCAGTATGTGCTTGCTGCCTCACCGTGGGATGAACCATCTAGCTCTAGCTTTACTCAAAACAGTAAACAGAAAAGTTAGACTTGTTTAAATTTGTAAATCCAATATAAACTTTACAAGTAGGTGATGAATGGACCTACTATCACCAACCCCCTCTGTCAAAAACCAGTTTTTAAATTAAATTAAATTTCATTTAAATGCAATCTACAATTTACTATTTTCTAAGTAAGCTAACAAAAGTAGTATAACTACTTCAGTTGTTTCATTTTCTTAAACATTTCAAACATTAAAACAAAAATCCTGGGCAATGCCTATGCCATCCGAATTATCAAATATTAACTTTCAAAAACCTACAAACAAGGGATTACAAGACTTTTCTCAAACTCTGAAAGGAAGAAGGGCATTAAAAGGTCCGGAAACCCAAGCACAACCACAGCATTCTGAATTATCTGCCAGTGGGGTAGGTCATATGGCCCCCCAAAACCTAAGAATTAAAATCAAAGCAATTATTTATAATGTAGTACAGATGAGTATAGATTTATAACTCCTGGGGAAGAGATTGCTAATGTTCCCTAATATCCTTTTTCTCTCCTTCTTCCTCAATAACAGAACCCTTTCATCTTAGTATGCCACATAGCCTATCAGAGGAAAGATTTCATTTCCCAGTTCCTTTGCAGCTACATATGGCCAGAAGACTGAGTAAGGGCCATACGATATAAGATGGAAGTGTTGAGAGGCAACTTCCAGGAGCCTCCCCACGGCCTGGAACACCCCTCCCTCCTCCCCCCTCCCCCTCCTCCCCGCCCCACCCCGACAGCCAAGAGGACGAGGCCACGCCCCAGGGACGGCAGTGCGCTGAGCTGAAGAAGCCTGGATCTCTGCGCATGTCTAGTTCTGGTCTGCCCAGCCCACCCCTGGATGTAAGATAAAAACAAATCTCTCTCTCATTTAAGTCATGGTATTTGGGGTTTCTGTTACATCATTAGATGAACCTATCCTTCCGATTACTGTTCTCTTGAACAAAAATAACTATCCTTGAGACATAACCTTGTCTGCAAGAAAAAAAAAAAAATAACAGCACCTATACTAGATATACTTGCATTAAAGCCAGTGTATATGTGACTAGATCAGTCAACCTGGATTTAAAATATATTTAGGTAACAGCTTACCTACAAACTTAAATAAATCTAGACATATGACAATAGAACTAATATTTTTTCCCAAATATTGGAATTCTGAAACTTTCTGCTATGGTTTGAGTATCTGTCCCCTTCAAACCTCATGTTGAAATTTAATCCCCAATGTGGGAGTATTGAGAGGAGGGGCCTTAAAGAGGTGACTGGGTCATGAGAGCTCTGCCCTCATGATCGGATTAATCCATTCATGAATTAATAGATTAACGAGTTATCATGAGAGTGGGACTGTGGCTTTATTAGAAGAGGAAGAGAGACCTGAGCTAGCATGAGCGGGCACTCAGCCCCCTGGCCATGTGACGCCTGTGCCACCGTGGGACTCTACAGAGTCCTCACCAACAAGAAGGCCCTCAACAGATGCAGCCCCTCAACCTTGACTTCTCAAACTCCATAACTGTAAGAAATAAATTCCATTTCTTTAGACATTACCCAGTTTCAGGTATTCTATTACAAGCATCAGAAAATAAACAAAGACACTTTGCTCAGTGGTTTGTCTGTGGTTTGTCTAAGCACGCAGCAGTCTTGACTCAATTTCCACCTGACAGCTAATCTGTCATCTAGGATGCCCCATCTAATTCCCTTACACAAAGATGAGTGGAAAGGCAGATTGTGATATCAGGCCAGAACCAACAAAATAAAGTTTAACAACATATGACAGAGAAAATCTTGAGTGCCCAAAAAGACAGTCAGCAAGGTTAAAATACATTAGGACCACATAATACTATCATCTACCCCAACTGGGAGATTAGCACAATTTAAACAAAGAGAAGGAAGAAAGGAGAGGGAGACAGACAAAAACAGCTGGGAGAAAAATGCCAGAGTATGATGACTTGCTTGTATGTTCTCCTTTATAAAGAGCTCTAAGTTTCAAACTGCATGTTAATGATGTTCCTAAAAGCATAATATATGAACAATTTGGTCTGAAGGGCGCTGACCGTTGACAAGAAATCATTTAGTGGGAAAAAACTAGGCAAAATTTTTAATTAGCAAAATGTAAAATAAATCAAAACTCTGTTTTAAACATTTTAGACCACAACTTATACTCAAAACCATCCAAAGATTATTCCATTAAAAACATTAATACAAGCCACATAATACAAGTTGCCTATTCTTTGAAAAAGTTGTTACTCTTTCTAGTGCTATGCCACAAATAAGAACACTTTCAACAACAGTAAACTGCTGTATAGACATCCCTTAACATCTACTTTTATATTTAATAATCAACCTTGATTATATACCCATACTTTATATTTGCTCTCATTTAACATGACATAATGGCAAAATAATTTCTAACAATTTTTTCCAAATTGGAAGCTTTTTTCCCTTAAAGCTTCAAATTAAAAATTTATTTCAGGAAACTAACTGGTCCTTAGCTGCCACATTATGAAAAGACTATTCTTATACAGTAACAATTTTTTTAAGTATATAATATTTTAAATCTAAGGTACTTAAAATTTTTGATTTTGACAGAGATTTCAACAAGGTTTCAACAAGATTAAAGTAAATCATGACTATCAAGTTCTGAATAGATACTATTCTACCCTGCTACCCAGAGGAACTTCAGAACATTATTTGAAGAACAGAGATTCAAACAACAAATGCATTCTATCACCGCCAAGTTAGTTCTGTATATTTGAAACCCTAAGGCATAAAAAAGAGAAGTATCTCTAAACAGGAGAACATCTACCCATCTACTGTAGAGATGTGTAAAGATTCAAAAGATAACATCCCTTGTTAGTGCCTCAATAATGCTAATTCTCTTCCCTCCATCATCTGAAATAGGACTGTCTCCCTCCGCTCCCTCCTGCTATCTGTGGCACACAAGATCATGGAGAAAGACCAGGGAATACTCTGACCATGTTTAAAGAATGGCTCTGCTTCGTCCCCACTATCTAGCCCCACTTCCACTCCCAAATCACAAGTTTGGACCATAACAAGTCAAATCTTTAGTTATGAGGAAAACACTTATTCGGCATGAATTGGACACCTCACCCCACCTCTGAATTAGCAATTCCTTTCAATAAACATGTATTTGCTAAGTTAGTTGATCTGAGCTAGTCTGGACAGATGTTTTAGTCTCACTAGTAGAAGGAGTATCGGCAGGAAAGTTTTCCACGCTTTTAATGGTAGACAGTCCCACCTGGTTACTTTCCCTAAGTAACCATCCCATCCTGGCTCTTCAGGGCCTTGCCTCCATCAATTACCTGGCCCAGGTGGCCAATGGCCTTCTCGCTGCTGCACCCACTGCATACTTTTCAGTCCTTCCTTCCTCATCCTCTCGGCTTATTTTACACTGCTCACCACTACTCCATCCTTCCTGAAATATACTTGTTTTCCTTTCCTTCCCTAACAGCACATGTTCCTGGTTTTCACCTAATTTTCCAGCCAGTTCTCCCTAGAGTTAAGCAGTTAAGGTCTTAACTGCTACCACCCCACCCTCCCTGGGTAAAATCTACTCCTCTTCTGTCAGCCCATTCCATGTTTTGTCAGAGTCCATGGCAGCAGGTGGTTCTCAGCCTTTCTTGGATCACACAGCTCTTTGAGACTCCTGTGGAAAGCATGCGCTCTTCTCCTACTGCATACAATTGCAGGGAGTTAATCCAAAACCTCCCCAGTGAAGAGCTCCTGTTCTACACACATTTTTTCAGGTAATCTCATCCCCTTCCACGACTTCCACTCTCACTCCACTGATTACTTTAAATATGTCGCTCTAGCTTACATCTTACTCCTGAACTCCAAACCTATATTTCCAGCTTTTGAATTTCTCCTTGGCTAGAACGCAGAAACATAAAATTCAATGTGTCTAAAAAATGAACTCCTCAGTGCCACCCCAATCCTGTTCCTCCATCTACATTCCTGTGTGAGTCAATGGAACACATCCAGCTGCAGTTCGGAAGCCAGACTGCCAATCTTGATGTGACTCATTCGCCACCAGCTCCATGCAATCATTAAGTCCTGTCACTTCCATATTTTTAATAACTAAAAAAACTGGTCTTCTTTCCTCTGTCCTTGCTATCACCATTATTACCTAGGGAACAACTGCCTCATCTCTAGAGTGATCTAAGAGTTCCCACCTGGTTTCCTTGCCTTTGAACTTGCCACGCAGCAGGCAGGGTGACGTCAAACACAAGCCTTCTCACGGTAGCCGCCTGTTCAGTCCTCTAATTGCTTCCATTATTCCGGGAAAATGTCCTCACTCCTTAATGTGACAAGGAAGGTTCCCCTACCTCAGCAGCCACATCTCTCCCAACTCACCCCTTCAGCCTCCATCCTCAGCCTTACAGGGGCCAAGAGCCACTCGGCATGGGTGGCTACTGAGCCCCAGGAAGGGGGCACATGCAGACTCAGCTGTGCTGAGTGTGAAACACTTGCCAGATTTTTCAGACTCAGTGTGAAAAAAATGGAAAATATCTCATTAGAAAATTTTACACTGATTACTCGTTGAAATAATGTAGAAATATTGGGTGAAATAAAATATTATTAAAATTAACTCCACTTTTTTTAACTTTTCAAAATATGGCTACTTGAAATTTTTACATTTCTCCTGTGTTGCTCGCATTACAATTTCACTGGGCTGTGCTCCTCTAGGCAACAGAATTCCATGCAGATCCCCTGCTTTGTCCCTTCTGGCAACGCCATCCACTCGACGGCATTTGTTAGGTGCTACCTTGAGGTGGGCAACAAATGTGAGCTAACAGAAGGCCAGCAAAGCACAAAGCCCTGCCTTCCTCCTCCTCATCACATGGGTCAGCTCCTGCTTAAGGCCTCAGCACAGGCCGCCTGCCTCCAGGAAGACAGTCCTGATTTCACCACAACCAAGATAAACACTTCACTCATCTTTCCCCAACGGATGCAGAGCTCGGTCCTATCTAAGCATGCAACACACTGTGCTGTCATTTTCTGTACTTGTTGGTCCTCCCACTAACAGATTCTAGCTCCATGAGGGCAGAAACGTACATCACCATAGCCTAGAACAGGACTGGACACAAAACAAATGCTCAATAAACCTTTAATGAACAAATTAATAATTAATACAATTAGTCTTGTTGTTCCAGTTCCGCTCTTGGCTGATGACCGACAGCTGGAGATTCGAGGGCAGAGGCTGAAAACCTTTGGGCCAGAGCAGCTGCCCTCCTCAAACCTCCCCACAACAAACATAAGAGACTAGCACCACATGTTTTTTTTGGCCAGCCCAGTTTTTGTTGTTTTTTTTTAAGTTATACTTTTTGTCTTTAAAATTAGGATGACCAGACCAGAAAAAAGTGAAGTTGATATTTTGGAAGAGAGGAAGAAGAAAATATGAAACAGGTTCACTGTGCACTGGTTACCAACTTGGCTGAATTTGGAGAAACAGAACACCCACACCCAAGAGGCTATATGAAGCAGATTTATTACTTACAGATAGGAAGCAAGGGACAACAGAGGCCTGGGATCCATGGCAAGCCAGTCCCCCAACGTGCAAGAAAGCAGCCCAGGGCAGATGAAGTCTCATCTGTGCATGCCTCACTTCCAAGGCAGCTGAAGGACCCCAGGAAGTAGCCCACCCTGAGTTTTACACCCTGGGGGCCACATGATGTGCTGGGCTAATGTGCTGAAGCTCACCCTGCTGTGGGGAGGAAGGGAGTGTGGAATGGAGCCCAGGCTATTCCAGGCTGTCCTTCCCTATCTGGGGATATTACATTCCCGGCATATCCACAGTTATTCTTGTAAACTACAAGTGAGAAAGGAGACAGAATTGGGTCTGTCCAAGGCTACCAGGAGAACTGCCCCGCAGACAGGGCAGAAAGTCCAGCCGCAGCTCTGTGGAAGTCCTTCAAAGTCCTCTGAGGAATGGGCCTCAGGTACTGTACTAGCCCAGGTCATCCTCCCACTCTGGCTTCACTCAGCAGGTAAAGGAGAGACAACTGGCCAATGAACAGGCCAGGCAGGAAGCAAGGGAGCTTCCTGCACCCAGGAATTTGGAAGGGCATACCCAAACCATGTCAGCTGATGCGGAAAGCTGAGCTAGAACATCATGATGACACAGCTCAGCCTATGCCTCTAGAGCAATCATGACAGGGTCTTGGGCAGGAAAAGCAGTCTACAGAGAAGAAGTGAACAGCCTGGCTATGAATGTAGAAACCACGCAAGAATGGGAGGTGGAAAACACTACTGCCTGGCTCACTTCCCACCAGCTTTCTGGTCTCCAGTTTCAGTGGACTGTGTGACTTCACTTAACTTAGATTCTGTGAGCCACCTGATATCCTTGTCACATGTCTCCTTATATTTAAGCTAACTTCGGTAGGTATTTGTTTCTTGTAAACAAACTATTCTTGGAGAAGAACAAGAAAAACATGTCTAGACTTCGTTCAACTAAGATATTCTCACTAGCAGTATCAATTACATTCCTGTTTTGTTCTGATGGATCTTCTAGTGGCTAACTTGTTTCTATAATAGATCATTTACATTATTTCTTAAGGTATAGCTTCTTGAATTTATTAAAATATTGCAAAGTTTTTTTAGATTATCATTTAAGAATCAATTTTACCAAAACCATGAGTCTGAGTACGCACTATATATTGCATCAATGGACCTCAGTTACGTAAGAGAACATCCTACCTCTGAGGAGATCTGTGCCCACGTATTCAGGGCTGCAGGGTCATAATGTCTGCCACTTATTCTCAAGCAGCTCAGAAAGAGAGAGAAAGAGAACACATACAAATGCAGCATAATGTCAAAGCTGGTGACTACAGATGAAAGCAGCTTTTCAGTAGTTAAAATTCTTTCCAATTAAAAAACTCAAAAACAAAGACTCATGAGAACATTTTTTCTTTCCACTCTTCCCTTTTCCACCTCAACCAGGAGGACGAAAGCACCATACTGTGGGAAGGGGAGCAGTAGGATGAAGGGCTCTGGCTCTTTCATGATTTTGTTAGGCTCTGGACTCACCGACATCCACAGTCCACATGACATGAGAAAGATAAACCCCTTACTTATTAAAATAAAAATCCAAAAAGAAGTAAAATTAACATTCAGGTGACTGTAATCTTATTAAGCCTCCACGCGACTTCAAAGGATGCCTTCTGGTGTTAGTTCCGCTACTGCTAGAATCCCAGTTCCACTTCTGACAACACTGCTGTGACTCCCGACACACAGCAGGCTCACAGGGTGCCTTTGCCTGAAGTCCTCCTGGTACCCCAGCCACATCTCCACCAACTCACTCCTTAACCCTTAACACCTCTAGCACTGCCTGATCCCGCCTGTTCCCAAGCTCCTGTGACACCTACATACACTTCTGTCACAGCTCTCACGATAAGGAAGGAGACCACCTCTCTTATTGTCTCATACCTCAGAAAAAGAAAGAGGAAGTAAAAGCTAAAGAAAGGCAAAAATGAGATCAATAGTCAGACAGCCCAGCGCCACACCCCAGGCCTGGTCTGGTAGTTAAAAATCAACCCCTGACCTAACCACTGTATTATCTACAGATTCCAGGCATTGTATAAGGAAGCATTGTGAAGCTTTCTGTTCTGTTCTGTTCTGTCTTGATTGCTGATACATGCAGCCCCAGCCACGTACCCCATGCTTGCTCAATTGATCATGACCCTTTCACATGGACCCCCTTAGAGCTGTAAGCCCTTAAAAGGGCAGGCATTTCTCTCTCGGGGAGCTCGGTTTTGGGACGCAAGTCTGCTGAAGCTCCTGGCCAAATAAAGCCACTTCCTTCTTTAACCTGGTGTCAGAGGGGTTTTGTCTGCAGCTCGTCCTGCTACATTTCTTGGTTCCCTGACCGGGAAGCGAGGTAATTAACAGATGGTAGAGGTAGCCCCTTAGGTGGCTTAGGCCTGCCCTCTGGAGCATCCCTGGGGGGGACTCCAGCCAGCTTGAGCGACGCAGATCCTGAGAGCGCTCCGGGGTAGGCATTTGTCCTGGTGGAACACCTCATCAGAGCGGTGCATGGCAGTCCCCCACGGAGGATCAATGCAGTGGCTGAACACTGCGAAGGAACTGACGCTTGGAGTTGGACATCTGGAATATGGTAAGACTGGTCTTAGGAACTTGCCCACTCCATCTGAGTGGAAGCGTGGCCTGATCACCCACAGTGTGCCTTTATTGGCACTTTGGTTTTGGTTTTGATTTTGACTTGGCTTGAATTGCTTGATGAACAGGCGTGCCTTTATCGACACTTGCTTTGGTTTTAATTTTGATTTAGTGTGAATTAGACAAGTGAGTGACCTTTTACCCTTTCCTTCTTGTAGTGTGAGTGTTGTTTTGTCTCAAAAAATAAAAATAAAAAATAAGTTAGACAGAAAGTAAGCCCACCCTGCTAGGAACTATGTTAAAAAATATACATATACAAAAAAATAAGAAAAAAGTCATCAAAACATCCAAAATTTACTCTATTAAAGTGCACGTTACAGAACCTTAAAAAAGGTTGTGCAGGGGATTACAGAGTTAAGCTAACCCCTCACAGGTGAGAACTCTCTGTGAATGTAAATTAGAATTGCCCTCTTTTGGTGTTGGATGGCCAACAGAAATAACTACAGACAGGGAACAATTGGCCATGTATTTCAGGTGGTGACAGGGGTCAGAGCCAGTGTACCCAGACCAAATTCCTTTAGAGTGACTCATAGTTAAACATAATATAGACAAAACCAGCATAGATCCAGCCCTGTTTAACAGCTTATTGCAAAAAAAAAAAAAGAAAAAAAAAAGTAACAGTAAGAGCAGCTTCGCCAGCAGACAGAATTAAAAGAAGAAATCCCAGAAACAACAAGAGAAACCAGTTTTGCAGGAGCCGCCAGAGGTAACAGAAATTCTCCCTCCATATGTCCCAGCCTACCCCCGCTTTACAGAGGCCAGCAGCCCCCCAGGAACCAGGTTCAGGAGCTAACATGCTCCAGGTCTCACCTCAAAGGGGAGGATCAGAGCCGCGAGAGGCCAGGGAAGGAAGTCAAGATAGTCAAGCAGGCAGTCTCAAATCTGGCCGTGCTCGAGCTATGCAAATGCCCCTGACGGAGCAGTGATATACTGGGGTAGACAAGGACGGGCATATGGTAGAAAGGTGTGCCTTTGTGTATCAACCCTTCACCTCTGCTGATCTCCTCAACTGAAAGAATACCCCAGCTTATACTAAAAAGCCTCAAGCCTTAATTAATTTGCTCTAAACTATTATCCAGACTCATAACCCTACTTAGGCTGACTGCCGCCAGCTGCTCATGTACTGAGGACAGCTGGTTCACCCGCCTGGACTTGAAGGACGCTTTCTTTAGCATCAGACTAGCTCCTGAGAGCCAGAAATTGTCTGCTTTCCAGTGGGAAGATCCGGGGTCAGGTGTCACCACTCAGTACACTTGGACCTGGCTTCCCCAAAGGTTCAAGAACTCCCCCACTATCTTCAGGGAGGCCCTGGCTCAAGACCTGCAAAAGTTTCCCGCCAGAGACCCAGGCTGTGTGTTGCTCCAGTGTGTCGACGACCTCCTGCTGGGACACCCCACAGCAACTGGGTGCGTCAAAGGAACAGATGGCCTGCTCCGGCACCTGGAGGACTGTGGGTATAAGGTGTCCAAAAAGAAAGCTCAGATCTGCAGACAGCAGGTACACTACCTAGGATTTACTATCCGACAGGGGGAGCGCAGCCTAGGATCAGAAAGAAAGCAGGTCATTTGCAACCTACCGGAGCCTAAGACCAGACAGCAGGTGAGAAAATTCTTAGGAGCTGTGGGGTTCTGCAGGTTATGGATCCCAAACTTGGCAGTACTGGCCAAACCTCTGTACCAAGTCACAAAGGGAGGCGACCACGAACCTTTTGAATAGGGGTCTCAACAGCAGCAAGCCTTCTGTGAGTTGAAAGAAAAACTCATGTCAGCCCCAGCCCTGGGTCTGCCTGACCTGACAAAGCCATTTACACTATATGCATCAGAGAGAGAAAAAATGGCAGTTGAGGTTTTGACCCAGACTGTGGGACCCTGGCCGAGGCTGGTGGCCTACCTCTCTAAACAACTAGACGGGGTTTCTAAAGGTTGCCCCCCATGTTTGAGGGCCTTAACAGCAACTGCCCTGCTAGAACAAAAAGCAGATAAACTGACTCTTGGGCAAAACCTGAACATAAAAGCCCCCCAATGCTGTGGTGACTTTAATGAATACCAAAGGACATCATTGGCTAACGAATGCTAGACTAACCAAGTACAAAGGCTTGCTCTGTGAAAATCCCCACATAACCATTGAAGTTTGTAACACCCTGAACCCCAACACCTTGCTCTCAGTATCAGAAAGCCCTGTCGAGCATAACTGTGTAGAGGTGCTAGACTCAGTTTACTCTAGCAGACCTGACCTCTGGGACCAGCCTTAGGCATCAGTGGACTGGGAGCTGTATGTGGATGGGAGCAGCTTCATCAACCCACAAGGAGAAAAATATGCAGGATATTGAGTGGTAACCCTGGATACTGTCATTGAAGCCCAATCATTGCCCCAGGGTACTTCAGCCCAGAAGGATGAACTCATTGCTTTAATTCAGGCTTTAGAACTAAGTGTAGGTAAGACTGTGAACATCTACACTGACTCTCAGTATGCCTTCTTAACCCTCCAAGTACATGGGGCATTATACAAGGAAAAAGGCTTGTTAAACTCCAGAGGAAAAAACATAAAACATCAGCAAGAAATCCTGCAACTATTAGAAGCAGCGTAGAGGCCCCAAAAGGTGGCAGTCATGCACTGCAGGGAACACCAGCGAGCTCCCACTACAGTTGCTTTAGGGAACTCCTGGGCTGACTCAGAGGCTCGGAAAGCTGCATCCACCCGCTACCGGGCGTCAGTCACAGCCCTCCTTCTCCCTCAAGCACCTGACCTTGTACCTACTTATTCTAATGAAAAAAAAAAGGACTTTTGCCAGACAGAAGGAGGACAAATAATAGAAGAAGGATAGATCCAGTTACTGGATAAAAGGATAGCTGTGCCACAACTGCGAGGAGCCACAGTTGTACTGGCTGTGCATGAGATCACCCACCTAGGCCAAGAGTCACTTAAAAAGTTGTTAGGCCAGTTATTCTACATCTCACATTTATCAGCCCTTGCCAAAACAGTGGCACAGCAATGTATTACCTGCCAGCAGCACAATGCGAGGCAAGGTCCAGCCGTTCTGCCCGGCATACTAGCTTATGGAACAGCCCCCTTTGAAGATCTCCAGGTGGACTTCACAGAAATGCCAAAATGTGGAGGTAACAAGTATTTACTAGTTCTTGTGTGTACCTACTCTGGGTGGGTGGAGGCTTATCCAATACAAACTGAAAAAGCTCGTAAAGTAACCCATGTGCTTCTCCGAGATCTTATTCCTAGCTTTGGACCACCCTTACGAATCGCCTCAGATAACGGGCTGGCGTCTGTAGCTGACTTGGTACAGAAAACAGCAAAGTTATTAAAGATCACATGAAAACTACATGCTGCCTACCAGCCACAAAGTTCAGAAAAAGGTAAAACACATAAACTGGCACTCAAGCAGCTACTGAAGAAATATTGCCAGGAAATTCATTTAAAATAAAATCAAGTTTTTGCCTATGCTCCTCCTCCAAGTCAGGTGCACCCCCACCAAACAAACTAGGTAGTTGCCCTATAAGATTTTGTTCAGTCGGCCACCCCGCAAATCATAAGTCCCCCAAATTAAAAGTAACCTCCAGGAACTAGGGGAATTAACCTTAAAAAAAGCAAATGCAGGCTTCAGGAATAGCCATACAAAGTGTTCATAATTAAGCACACAAAAATGCCTATAAGCCTGACACTCCTTTAAATCTGGTGACTCTGTTTCGGTTAAAAAGTAAAATCTAATTTCTCTAGGATCCATATAAGATAGGCCCTATACTGTAATCTTGTCCACTCCCACTGCTGCTAAAGTTGCAGGTGTTGTTTCTTGGATCCACCACAGTCGGCTAACACCGGCATCTCAGGACAAGTGAACCAGCCAGTAGGACTCAGATCATCCAACCCAGCTAATCCTAAGATGAGACTGCGCTGCTGAGGAAACAACAAGCCCTGCTCTAGTCACACACCAGAAGCTGACTAGTCTACCCACGGCCGAAGCTTTAGGACTCGTCAAACAAGTAATATAGTTAGAAATTTTAGGCCTAGTAGTATTCTTGTATACTGTTTTACTATTGTTCTGTCACTGTACTCAATCTTTTTCCCAGGTAAGGACCTCTTTTGTCCTTGCTAGCACTTATATATAAGTGTCCCCACTGTACACATACTACTTAGTCAAAGAACCCAGACCCGTCTGGCCCAGCAGCATTTCCAAGTCTTTAAATCATTCTTTAAGCATATAAACCAAAAGTTACCAGAGCCTCCTCCCTTAGCCGAAAACATTGCCGGCAGCCTAGGCCATGTTATGTTTGTGGAAAGACTAACATAGGAGACCAATGGCCTTAGGAAGCAAAAAAGTTAATGCCTCAAAATAACTATACTCTGACTAATTCTTTCCCCGAACAGACGCCCACAAGTTCAAGCTTCTAGCTGTTAAAAACTTCCATTATTAAAAACCAAACCCCCATCTACATGCTCAATCAAATCATACAGTTGAAATAATCATACAGTTAGAAATAATCACTAATAAAACTGGCAGAGCTTAACTTGCTTGCTGCTGTATTACCCTTATTCCTTCAAATAATAAAAAGTTTTGTTGCTAGCTTAGTTCATCAGAAAACCTCGGCACAAATGTATTACATGAATCATTATCCATCTGTCTTGCAGGAAGACCTAAGTAGTGAAAATGAGAATGAGAACTCCCACTAATAAGTGAGATTCTCACAGGGGGGAATAAGGAAGGAGACCACCTCTCTTATTGTCTCATACCTCAGAAAAAGAAAGAGGAAGTAAAAGTTAAAGAAAGGCAAAAATGAAATCAATAGTCAGACAGCCCAGCGCCACACCCCAGGCCTGGTCTGGTAGTTAAAAATCAACCCCTGACGTAACCGCTTGTATTATCTATAGATTCCAGGCATTGTATAAGGAAGCATTGTGAAACTTTCTGTTCTGTTCTGTCTTGATTACTGATGCATGCAGCCCCAGCCACATATCCCTTGCTTGCTCAATTGATCACAATCCTTTCACATGGACCCCCTTAGAGCTGTAAGCCCTTAAAAGGGCAGGCATTTCTCTCTCAGGGAGCTTGGTTTTCGGGACACAAGTCTGCCAAAGCTCCCAGCCGAATACAGCCACTTCCTTCTTTAACCTAGTATCTAAGGGGTTTTGTCTGCGGCTCGTCCTGCTATGACAGTGCACTGAAATTGTGTGCTACGCCTTTATTTTCTACTTTGTATTTCTCTACTTTAGCACAAATTGAATTTTCTAACAAGTATTCCTGTCTGTAATTAGAGACAATTACAGAGATAAAAGTAAACACTCCCATAACTCTCTTAACTGAGAAAAGAGCTGGATACAAATGGAACAGCATAGTGTTCAAACCAGACACTGAAATGTTTTCTCAGAATACATTTCTGGGATATTTAGCAAGGCAGGAAAAACTCATCCAAGAGACTGTTTTCATTTCAGGCTTCTAAATGCCTAACCCTTAAGGAAAATAAGGCAAGAAGAGCACAGCTCCTACCAGTGTGAGAGGTGCCTCTAGGAGAATGCAGTACAGATCTGATACCGTGTGGTGGGAGAAATCTGGTCTTTTAGGAAAACCTCTGGCCCTGTACTAACACTTTGGCACCTTTATGCTGAATTCCTTTTTTAAAATGTAAGTAAAAACAGATGATAAACTTCATCTAATTCATCTAAGAGGATTTAGATTTAAAAATGTAACTGCTGCACTGCTGCACAATTCTTTTAAAATTTAAATGGAATAAAAATTCAATTAAAGAATATTTACATCAAAAGGTACCTTTCTTAAGACAATAGGCTGATACTCTTCCTCCTCTTTTTGGTCAATTCCTCAGGTTTTTACTACTGACAAAAACCTGTCAATTCATTTCCATTAGCTATAAAACATTTTTTCCCCCATCATGACTTAACATCTGGGTGACATACATAAAGGGAAACTGAGAAAATAATTCAAAAACTTAAATATCTTAGAGAGTGAATATAAAGTTTGCTTTATCTTAATTAAATTTTTAGTATACTCTGCCAACCATTCTATTGAGTTTATTGGATTTAAAAGATGTTTCATCTCTACTAAAAATATAAAAAATTAGCTGGGTGTGGTGGCGGGCACTTGTAATCCCAGCTACTTGGGAGGCTGAGGCAGGAGAATTGCCTGAACCCGGGAGGTGGAGGTTGCAGTGAGCCAAGATCACGCCACTGCATTCCAGCCCAGGTGACAGTGCGAGACTCTGCCTCAAAAAAAAAAAAAAATGCGTGCACGTGCACACACACACACAAAGCCCATGAAATGAAATATGCCAAGGGATCACAGATGTAACTGCCCCACCCACAGAAGGAAGAGAAAGCAATGAAAACCAAAGCAAGTTAATTCGTTTTTCTCTACCTCTCCTTACTAGACCAGGCTTTTCTTTCGTCTACACTTTATTGATCCTTTAAATCCCACTTTAGGTACCTGTTTGTCTACAAAGCCAATCGTAAGCAAACAAAACCAAAACATGAACTAGATCCACAGATCCCCACACTTAGTCATGTGCACCTATGTGTGAAACCTGTAATTGATTTTATGTTTAATTATAAAGTCCACAGACTACATTATCCATCAGGGGTTTTCTTTACTGTCAAAATGCTTATTTTCCAACTCTTCTGAATATTTATTTAGGCTGATACTTTGCAACAATCTGAGGTTTATGTTATGCCGGCATTTGCAATTCAACTGTAATTCAGTGGTGCATACTGTCCAGAAAAGTTAATACAGTCTTAGGAAACATTTCTAACTTGCAAAGAAGCAGCAACCTTCGATTGGGAGGCTGAATTACCAGTTGATAGTGAGATAACAGCTGTAAAAAATTCCTCTTTACCTGGAATGGGTTTTCATATTTTTAAAAATCCAGTTATATTTGTTTTTTTCAAATACAGAAAACATATGACATTAAAGACATTTTCAAATGTTCCTCCACTAAAAATGTCATAATAATGTGGAAAATTCCAGGTACCCAGAAACAGACCAGGTACCCAGAAAATTTCAGGTACCTAGAAAATTCCAGAGACCCAGAAAGAGAATCTAGAAATTAATTTAGAAATTAGAATTCTAATTTAGAAATTAGAAATTAGTTCTGGAAAACGTTAAATCTAGAAATGTTATGTTTATTAAAAATCATGTGGAATGTTTTGGTAACTTGATTATTATCCTAAAAATTAGCTAAAACACATAAGAGGTTTTTTTTTCTTTAGTTCATAAGTAACTATTTTAATCACTGTATTTATGGCTCTGCACTTACAGAATAACTAAAATATGCAAAGCAGATAGAAACACCAGAGAACAAAGTAATATCCATACCCTTGGCCTGGTGAGTTTTTCTGTTATATTAATTTACCTAAGCATAAAAAATCTAGATGGTAACACTCTTATAACTTATTATGCTGCTTAAGAAAGGGCTGAACAAGAATCTAGAGACAAAAATGAAAAATTCTACGTGAGATCCTCTACCTACAAAAGTCAGTGTTTCTTTCCTGAAGTCCTGAGCTGTCCATATGCACATATCGTTGCTTCTGCATTAGAGGCTGATTACATTTAAAATCATTCTGTAGGAGAAAAACGATGACATCTTATGATGTGAAACGGATGAATTAGGTGTATATACACAAGTTCTCTTAGTTGTCACTGTTTATATATTCTGCCAAATTTATGAATATAAAAATCCAGCACTGCACAAAAGAACAAAGGGCACACCAGGAATGCCATGGTGGGCACAAAAAGATAAGAGCTGCAGAGGCCCGCGAGTAGGACTGGCCTGCTCAGGCCTCCCAGCTGAGGGCGCCCAGTGGGTGCCACTGTCCCCTCCCTCCCCAGCAACTCTATTCCTCCTCCACCGCTCCTCACCCACTCTCAGTCAGGGTTATTTATAATCCATTGTTCCACAGAAATACAGATGTGATGTGGAAGGGGAGAAACGCTGGTATTCTAACACCTACAATTCAAGGATACAGTTTTGAAATCAATCATAAAATAAATAAGTATTTTCCCATTATATAACTCCATACTCCATATGATATAAACTCAAATGTATCTCTACATTATCAAGAAACTTAATATTTAACTCCTTATAACAGAATCAAAATCAAAATCCAAATCCATATCTGACCCAGTTCCATGATTTCATAAGTAACATAAATTACACTTAAAATGTAATTTTGAAATTATACCTAAAATTTTTTAAATTCATGGCAGAAAGTAATAAATGTTAATTTTATTGTATCCAAAGTTACAATTTAATCTGATAAACAAAAACTTCAGGAATAATGCAATATCAAAAACCTAAAAATCCTTTAGGGCAGAAAAACCCAGGGATGCAGGCAAAGTGCCGCTGCTGCTGCCTGTCACGCAGACCTTCATGCTTTCATCTGTGCTTGCATTTTAATTATGTTAAAATAATTATTTCACTATGGAGGGCTAAAATACACCATTTATAATAACTCGTTTCCATTTAAATCGAGCCAATGCTAAAAGAAAAACTCCACTGTATTTTCAAGTTTTCACTTGGTAGAAAAGAAAACAATTTAGAGAAATTTACAAGATTCTTTAGAACACCAGCAGCATATTTTAGGTTAAAAAGCCCCTATTTTAGGCAGGTAGAAAGGTAGTCTTTATGAGTTTAGTATAGACAACTAGGTTACCTGAAAAAAGGTATTGATCCAAACTTCTTTTACATTTGGGGATATACTTTGCAAAAGATTACTTTCCAAATGGTATTCTATTTAGTCTCAAATTAAACTGGTATTGTAATAAATTATTACTTGAGCAACTTTCATTCTCTGGCACAGGGAGCCACAGAAATTTATAAGTCACAATCAAATACAGAGATCACAGGTGAATTTTAATCTTCCTTCATACAAAAATTTCTCTATGAAGGAAGTGTGGGAAAATACTAAGCTTCTCCATTAAATGCAAAGGAGATAATCGTAGTTAAAACATTAAAATTTAAAAAGTTTGCCATATAATTAGAAAGAGAGAGGAAAAAAGAATACTCTCTCATAAAGAGCAAATAAACCAGTATTTCCCTGTAAAGACAGAATACACTTCCTCTTATAATCACACACAGAAAAATGTACTATGAGACTACATCAAGTTCCTAAATTCAAGAAAAAAGTCAAATTTAAAAATTTCATCTTCAATACATGATCATCTGAACAACAAAAATTCTCAACTAAAAAATTTCCTCCACTGGCAAAGGGAAAAGGTCAACATCCTATTTCACACACATCTTGCCTTTCATATTAGGAATATACATTTTTTAAAACAAGAAAACCACTAACCCAACAAGAAAGACTTCAAGAGAAATACGCTAATAAAATAATAACTGTATTTCAATAGCCCTAATTTCAACACAATGGGAAAATAAAACTTTGACTTTCACAGAAACTTTAGAAAAACATCTGGCAACTATAAGCTCATTGGTTGCAATGGCCTGAAATTCTATTAAATGCCAACATCCTTTAAATTAAATTCCTGAAAGAGATATAAACAAACCATAAGATATGAAATTACTAAATAAATGATTTATGTTGAAAAATCTGGCTTGGGGTAAAGTGAAGTAAGGAGAGAAATCCTGTGATGTATCCTATGTTTTACTGACAGACCTGAAGTTTTTCCTCCTGCTAAACTGATAAAAACCATTCTGGGGTTTTCACCTTCTGTTTTGATCCCATTCTTCTTGCACTGAAGTTATGGAAAAAAGTAAAAAACATTTTCAGCCCATCAAGTGCTGTCCACACTAGCTCTGAATCTACCCCAAGTCCATCTACTTCTTATCTCAATGTTTATCATCTAGGCCAAGCCACCAACTACCTCAGCCCCAGACTACCATGAAAACCAGCTCAAATGCTCTTCATGCTTTCTCACTTACCCTTGCACAACCCGTTCTCCAGGGAGTAGCCAAAGTGACCCTTTCAAAACATAAACCACATCTTGTCATTCCCCTATTTAATATCCTTGCAATGGTTTTCAACTCATCTTACAGGAGTCAAATTATAGCCTACAAGGCCCTACACGATCAGGTCTCTGCCTACCTCTCCTGAACCATGTTTTTCCCCTCGTACCATCCTTCATGTCAGAGTTTGCCCTTGACCATCCTTCATATCAGAGTTGCCCAACATTGGCACTCACATATACTTCTTTAATTCTAGGGACTGCCTGCATTACAGGATATTACCAGCACTCCAGCTGTCTATCCACTAGGTGCCAGTAGCACCTCCACCCCTGAGTGTCACAACCACATAATTCCCTGTACATTGCTTTAAACAAGCCAAGTTCGTTACTACTTCACAGCCTTTTCACCTCTCATTCCCTCCACCTAAAATGCTTATTCACTCCAGTAATAGAGCTGTATGGCTGGTTACTTATCATTATTGTCAACTTAGCTATGTGGCCTACTCAGGGAGGCTTTCTCTAATCATCCTATGTAAAGTTGCACCCACTTTCATCATACCTAACATCATTTAACTTATCAGGGTACAGATTTGTACACTTATCAGGGTACAAAGCTAGCACTCAAAAAGCACTTGTAAGAATTTACATAAATGTCATTATTTATGATAAAAGTGTTAAGTGGCAGGAACGTAATATGTAACACATGATACCACAGCAGTACTCCTGGATATTCTCCTACACTGTATGTGCCTGCATCTTCAAACGCACTCATGCTAGTGCATCACTAACCCTCTCCTTTGGAAGTGCTGGTAGCATTACTGTCAGTTACAAGCAATGTATATTTGTTCCTGATGCCTTAACAAAAAAACAGAGCATCCTTCCAGAGGCTGGGGAATGGAGAGGCATTTGAACTGTTTAGGATACTGCTGAAGGCACTGAACACCCAACCTACAGCTAAAAGCAGCTATGTCAAGGGGAATCTTCATTTCTTCTATTATGTACACAAAGGGCTCACCATGTCTAAGTAGTTACTCTTTAATTGATCTTGTTTTAAGTGGGTACAAAAAAGTCACTAATTTTTATTTTAAAAATAAAAACAGGCAATAAAGAAGCATAACTTTAGTTACTTCAAAAGCAAAAACTATAGTGAATGAAATGTGAGAGCTGAATCTAAGTTGATTTATCAGCTTTTAGTGTTTTTATGTGAATTGGTAAAATTCATCCAGTTTACCATATGCTGAATAGGTAAGCCTTGCAAAATTGTGGCGTCTCTAAAGGAATCAGTAGTCCAACTGCATTCAGCTCCAAAAAGGACTGACTGACTTATGTCACAGGGTCCTTTTAGTTACTTCTGGAGTCGTTTTTGAAATTATTATTTTGAATATACACTCCTTGAGACCTTTAGTGCAGTCCGTCTTTATAAAACTAATGTGTCATTGCTCTGAATTACTAAAATATATTTCTAAATTTTGAATCAAAATAACTAATTTTAAAAATGATCATTCAAAGCATTTGCATAAGAACTTTTAGAATGGCAAGTGAGAGTTTGCAGACTAATGTACAAGTGTGAGCAAAAAGCCGTGGCATACCAGTTGTGCACCATGAGCTTCTGCACGGCCAGCAGAGCATTATAGCGGACCTGCTGGTCTTCATGATGCATGTGGTTCATGACCAGCTGCTTCCCACCGAGCTGCTCGATGACCCTGCAAACGGGAGAGACGTGGTGAGGAAGATGCAATTACTCTCAAATTCACAGTTTGTAAGCAGGCAGCTCAAATACCAACACGCTAAAAAGGAAAGTAACAATGTACGTAAATAAACCAAACGTGTCTTTTTTTACATCATTTTCCCTGAACCATAGATTTACAGTATTCAAATACTTTCGTTTTTGAATTCCTAATGATAAATCCAACAGTTGTTCTCATTTCTCATCTCTAATCCAGAAACATATGATCTGCCTAGATACCACCCAGGCACTAGTATTTTAGATCATTGTTTTCTAAGTGGCTGAGTATTAACGTTTTTATTATCAGTATTTCTTGCTTGTTTAATATCAGTATTGAACACCATCTAATTTTCATAACAACATACAATCAATATCAAGCCCACCAGTGACCGTGCTGCGTGAAGATAGGGGCTTAGATGTAGATAGCAGGGAACAGGGGGTTAAAGAGCACCCATGCTAATTTCCTGGAAAAGACTACTGATTTTAAGATATCCACCCCTTTGTAATAACAATGGGATATGCCATGTGACTTGGGCAGTGAGACGAAGGAGAACATTCATATCTTCGAGACCACCGAGATGACTGACAACCGACACTGCTTTCTATCACCACACTTCCGACATCCTGAAAATCCACTTATTACAAACACAAAGGAAAGTAAAAATGGCTATTTCTTCATGCATAGAAATTGGTCCTCTGTTTCTTTGCAAAGGTGTGGTTACAGACAGAGCTGTGGAGTCTCAGCTTCCACACAACAGTGTGGACTGCCCTGTCCATTCTTCAGCCACCAGTCCTGTCTAGTGGAGGATACCTACAATATAGTCAGTGACAAGCGGCACCTTAATGCAGTACAGTGTTTGGTGGTTTAAGACAATCTCACAGATCAGTAATGTTTCTGGGGTCAGGAAGAAATAAGTAGATGGGGGTCGGAGTGAGAGGGAAGCTTTTATCTGCATACCTTTTCATATTTTATTCTTTAAAGCATGGTTTTAAAAAAAATGCACTGAACTGAGGGGAAAAAAAAGAACATAATGTAACTATCATCAAACATTAACTGAGTGCTTACTGCAGGCCAGGCACTGTACTTTAAAACATTATCTAATATATCAGCTCAGCCATTTATCAAACATGTTAATTAGACAAGTCCTTTACCTGGTAAATTCCTCCCTGACAAATAGGGAAGACAAGGACATCTTCACAGCGTTGCTGTGATGATTAAAGGACATAAAGCCTATGTCCCTGCAGGACACTAAGCCCAGCTGTGCAGCGATGATGATACAGGCTGCTCTCCCGCCTCCCATTCTCACTGTAGTCAAAGGAATCTTGGCAAAACTCTGCATATGATTTTTACTACTTAAAACAATTCAGTGGCTTCTACTTGTCTTAACAAAAGGACCCAGGCCAGGCACAGTGGCTCATGCCTGTAATCCCAGCACTTTGAGAGACCAAGCTGGGACAACTGCTTGAGCCCAGGAGTTCGAGACTAGCCTGGACAACACAATGAGATACTGTCCCCACAAAAAAATTAAAATAAAAAATTAGCCAGGCATGGTGGTGTGTACCTGTAGAACCAGCTACTTGAGAGGCTGAGGTGGGAAGATTGCTTGAGCCCAGTTCAAGGTTACAGTGAGCTATGATTGCACCACTGCACTCCAGCTGGAGCAACAGGGTAAGACCCTGTTTCTTAAAAAAAAACAAATAAAAATAAAACAAAGGACCCAAATCCTTAAAATAGCTGACAAGGTCCTTTCACAGTCAGCTTTGGAGCCCCACTGAGCTTCACAGAGCACGGTCACAGGCTGCTTGTTCTCTAGACTGCCTCTGAGGCCTGAGCTAGCAGCCAACAGCACCATAGCTCCTGGCTGAAGGAACCTTCTCTAACACACGAGTTTTCTCCATAGGCACGTAACAGCCCCTTCTTGTGCTTAGGAACATTACACAGCACTCCAGAAGGTTTGGGGGCCATTTTAAACAGGAAAATCACCACACACACACACACAAAAACCCCACAAAAATGCAAAAAAAAAAAAATATGGTACTAAACAGACCACGTAAAGGACGCTTGTTTCTAGCGTAAGAGACAACATGGGATGGCAGAACGCTGCCTTGTTCCCCCACAGCTGGGGATGTGTCCATTAGCGACTCCAATTATTCACCACTCTACACATGTCCATGGATAACTACAAAAGCGCCTCTAGTATTGACACAGCTGTTGAAAATAAACTTTTTAGTAGGTGGGCAAATTCACAATTCTGGAACCTGTGAATAATGAGGACCAAATACAATCTCAGAAAACTGCCATGTTGTGAGCAAAATAGGACTGATTAAAAACATACAGCTCACACACCACTTACAGTAATATCAAATGTGAGCACTTTCCCCCACGTTGGGCACTGTGCTAAATGTTCATATTTTTCATCTCATGTAATTCTCACAACAAATAATACTGCCTAGCAAAAGCAGTGTTTTTGACATTCTAAACCCTTGTTCTTATTATCACCAGCCAATAAAATTTTGAAAAGCTTTTAATGATTGATATTATTATGTTTATTTCTTTTTTTTTTTTTTGAGACAAGAATCTTGCTTTGTCAGCCAGGCTGGAATGCAGTGGCAGGATTTCGGCTCACTGCAACCTCCACCTTCCAGGCTCAAGCAATTCTCCTGCCTCAGTCTCCCGAGTAGCTGGGATTACAGGTGCTCACCACCACGCCCAGCTCATTTTTGTATTTTTAGTAGAGACGGGGTTTCACCATGTTGGCCAGGCTGGTCTCAAACTCCTGACCTCAGGTAATCCACCCGCCTCAGCCTCCCAAAGTGCTGGGATTACAGGCATGAGCCACCGCACCCATCCTATTATGTTTATTTCTTAAGCATTTAGTAAACTACATTTTATTACTCTCCACCCCAGAGCCCAGTGGGTCTCATACCAAGTGGATGATCTCGCCCCACTGAAACTCACAGTGCTATTGAAATAAACAGACATTTCTCATCTTCTCAAGATGCAATTGAAGCACCAATTATTTTCAGATTATACAAATGCCCAATATCATGAATGCTTGAAAAAAAGGTGAGAAAAGAATCTTTCCAGCTGGTGGATTACAAAATATCATTAAAAAGACAAGATATTTGATGATTTTTTAGAACTAGAGTCAAGTACTTCATTTATGAGCTATTGTCTAATAGGGGTAATCTTGCTAACCATATTTCAAAACAAGTTAAGTCAATAGCATGTTAAGCTTTAAGAACTTGGAATATTCTGAAATATGATTAACAAGTTCAGCACTGGTACATACATTTAAAGAATGCAGCAGCTGATGAAACCAAAAAATGTAATTTGAGAGTAAACTTTTAAATATTCTAAAACATACAGAACTATTTTTGTTTGTTCTAAAGGTCTTTTTCTATCTTAATATAAATAATTCAGATGAGTTTACATAAAATATCCTCATAAGAATTCTATTTGTTTAGTATTCTAAACATGGCTGTTTAGAAGCTAATAAAATGATATCACACTATAACATATTATGATTCCACTCATATTGCTAAAAATGGTTAAGTTGCACAATGCTACTTATATGAAAGTCAATATTTTTTAATCTGTGTAGCAATATACCCTCTAGAGTTATAAATTCAATGAGCACAGAAACCATGCCTATTTTCGTTTCCTTAATTAGGAAGGTCATTACCGTTTTTAAAAATAAAAAGATAATTTTGGAGAATATTTATCAGATTTCTAAGTGAGGAAGCTCACTCTTCTCACTCTTTTTTATTTTTTTTACTTACCTGACTAAAGGAGGAATAAAGAGAAAGCTCTTTTTTTTTTTTTCCTTTTTTTTCCTTTTTTGAGATGGAGACTCGCTCCATTGCCCAGGCTGGAGTGCAGTGGCATGATCTCAGCACACTGCAACCTCTGCCTCCTGGGTTCAAGCAATTCTCCTGCCCAAGCCTCCCGAGTAGCTGGGATTACAGGTGCATGCCACCATGCCCGGCTAATTTTTTGTATTTTTTTAGTAGAGACAGGGTTCCACCATACTGGCCAGGCTTGTCTCAAACTCGTGACCTCGTGATTCCCCCTGCCTCAGCCTCCCAAAGTGCTGGGATTACAGGTGTGAGCCACTGCATCCGTCCAAGAAAGCTCTAAGCACAGAAGTGGTGGGAGAGGCCAGGCTCTGTGGGATTACAGAGCTCACGCCTGTAATCCTAGCACTTTGGGAGGCCAAGGTGGGTGGATCACCTGAGGTCAGGAGTTTGAGACCAGCCTGACCAACACAGTAAAACCCCGTCTCTACTAAAAATTAGCTGGGTGTGGTGGTGGGCGCCTGTAATCCCAGCTACTCAGGAGGCTGAGGCAGGAGAACCGCTTGAACCGAGGAGGTGGAGGTTGCAGTGAGCCGAGATCACGCCATTGCACTCCAGCCTGGGCAACAGAGTGAGACTCCATCTCAAAAACAAAAAAAAAAGTGGTGGGAGAGACAGCAAAGGTTTCAGTAAAATGTAAGCTCCATGGGGCAAGACTCAACAAATATTCCTACGGATCATGTAAGTGATTAAAATATAAACTAAAAGCACCAGATGCCATAAAGAGGTAATGATAGTATTCAGTGCTGCTGAAAAGGTGGTGTAAATGGTATTCCTATATACTGCCAGGGGGACTCTGAATTAGTCTATATTCAATAATGTTTATTAAAATCTCAAAAGTACTCATATCATCTCATTAAATCTATTTGAAGGGGCCAGCAAATAACCAGAAATGTTCACACAGATGTTAATTCTGTTTTCTTAATAATGAAAATTTGGAAACTAATTGCATGCCCAGTAGTAAGATTTGAGTGAACTAGAGCATGTGTACCTATACATAGCATTAAACCATATTTTTAAAACTCTGTAGATGGAAAATACCCATGATAAATGAGGAAATGCAGGAGATAAAATAGGAGATGTCACATATCACAGTTTCAGAAGAAAAAATACATACTATATATGCATGGGGAAAAAACTAAAAAATCATTTTTATCTCATACTTTGTAGTATTAAGGGTGTTGCTTTTTCCTCTTTATTCTTTTCTGTATTTTTCAAGTTTTCTATAATGAGAGTTTGTTACTTTTCATGATGACTATAAGTTAAAATAGAAAAATTAAACCAGTTTGGTCAATAAAAGGTTTGTGCCACTATCAACACAATTTAATTTGTATTTACACATGCTGTGCTAGGCTTTGAACAAAGGAACACAGAGATATTTACCAGATAAAAAAGTCTGTATTTTAACAGAACAAACATGATTCTTTTGGTAGCTCTTTCCTTCAGCAAGTATTATGCCCTACTGTGTGGTGAACACTATGTCTAGTCAGATACAGGTGGCTCTTTTGAGAAGTTCACAGTCTAGTGAGATAAACAGACTTCATCACATTATCACTGTACAAAGTGAAAAGTGTTACATAATGGAAGCATTAATATATTCAGAATCCTGTGGGAGCACAGAAAATTGGACATTTGTATTTAGATTCAAAGGCAGTACAGTTTGTCAGATTAAACAGAGAAGAATCTCTTATATCAGTGAATATGTTTAGTTACAAGTAACAAAAACTTTACCCTGCCTGATAATTCTCCAGCAAAATAATTTATTGAAAGGTAACTGCATATGGCTTGGAAGACTGGACAATTGTACTCGAGGGCTGGCCAGGCTGAATCACCATCAAAATCAAGTAGTTCAGTGAGGGTGCTGTTTCAGCTCGGCCCTTGACCCCACAGCTTACTTTGTTCACACCCAGCTACCCAGAGCTGCCACCTCTTCTCCTCCTCATGGAGCTGGCTATCCCTGCTTCCCCAGTCTCTCGTTCCTGCTGGAGGTCTGGGGTAGCTACATCGGCTTATAACTGAGCTTTTAGGCCACGGGCAGGTGGCTAAATGTAAGGGAGAAGAGCAAAGTGAATTTGTGGCATTTTTAATCTTCTATAATGGGAGGGATTACAAGCCTTGTAAAATGGGGAATTCCTGGAATATAGAAAGGTGGTTTAGATGCCAGACTCCTTTAAAAAAAAAAAAAAAAGTGTAGCTGTACAAGCCATGTAAGAGAGTCTGATAGAGCTTTGATATTGTCACAATGTTTTAATTATTAGAACAACATTCATTATGCCAGACTTGTGCTATTAAGTCATACATGCAGAGGGAGCACATTCCCTAAGGTGAGTGTCAGGCATTAATCATCAGGGTGTGATTTCTGGACTTCTATCAGGGGCCACAGGTGTTTTGTGCCTCCTGAAGAAAAAGCAATGGAACAGTTTTATTCCTGAACATCATGTATTTTTGAAAAGTAAGATTAATGCTAAATTGTGTTTGATTCTCAGAATCATGTTACCATATTAAAGGTTACAAGTCCATTAAAAGAACTCAACTGGCCAGTACAGTTGATAAGGTAAATTCGTTTTATTTTTGTGTCATTGCATTTATTGAGGACAAGTATTAAATTTGCAACTGGGGGGCAATTAACTGTCACGTTATGCTCTCCACCCAATCTTACGAAAACAAGTAATTGGATCAAAAGTGTTTCTTAAAACTACAAAAGCAGTCATGAAAATAACACACATGTAAAACAAGAGTGAAAAGGGTTCCACGTTAAAAACTAGATGTAAACATGCACACTGAGAAAAACCTGATAGTGATCAAAGAAAAGGATGGATAGGAAATGTGATATTCAGTACACTAAATCCTCACTTAACATCAATAGGTTCTTGGAAACTGACTTCAAGCAAAACGACATAAAACAAGCAAAGGACATTATTCGAGGACCTGCTGTCACTTAAAGTCTCAGTTTCCAAGAACGTATGGATGATGTTAAGTGAGGGCTTACTGTATCTAAAAATGTATCAGTGGACCAGCAAAACATTTACTTGCATCTCCAGAATATTTTTGTTATAAAATGTTGTCAACCGACAAAGGTTACTGTTTGATGGAGATAGAGATGGGAGAAAAGGACAAAACTGCAAGAGACAACATTCTGACACTTCATTCCTGAGAAACTTGTAAAAACAAAAAAGTCCACCGAGAAGTTAATGACAAACATGTTCTTAGAGAAGCAAAATTTAATGTGAAAAATCCCATGATAACAAAAAGAGTGTAGAAGAACAACTGCTATTGCTTGAAGTAGCAGACACTTTACTTGACAATTGAACAATCTACTGATTTACTTGCTTCAGCAAACACCTAAAGAGTGCTTACTATGTAGCAAGCATGACTCTAAGTGTTTTACATTATTATTATCAATGAGTATTAACTCACTCACTCTTCACATTCACAGAGGAGGAAACCAAGGCACAGAGAGGTAAAGGGACTTGCCCAATCTCACAGTTACTAGGTGGCTGAGCTGGGATCTGAAAACCAAGCAGGCGAGTTTAGTCTGGGCACTTACCCACTGCATGACTCTGCATTGGTGTCCGTGTTGCTAAGTAACTATCCATATATGTACTGTGTAAACATGAAAAAAACAATATGTCTGATGAAGTGCTGAGGTAGACTTCCATGACAAGTCCACATATAATCTGAATATCTCAAACTCTGGACAAGTTTCTAACTCTTGCATGATCTGGACTGGAAGCAGTTTTTTGAACTTGGCACTGACAAAGGACTAGCTATGTGCAGCAGAGTTACGGCTATGTGGATAAAAAGGCTGTACTAACCGAATTGGAAGTCCGTGATGTGCCTATTCACCATGCTACTGTTGAAATAGTCCAAAGTGCAAATATGACATTAGAAGCATATGAGAAGCTGTTTGAAGGAAGGAATAGGGAGTATAAAACTGCTTTTCCAATCAGAAGTGCACGACTTTTTTTAAATAAGAACTTGAAACTCAACTTCTTCACTGGCATTATTTTTACTGAGGTAATAGAAAATGGTCACTGTTAGCTTTACCAGAATATAATGCAGGAGACAGACTTTTACTGATAATGCCAATAAAGATAATTTCTTTTTTTTTTTTTCGAGACAGAGTCTCGCTGTGTCACCCAGATTAGAGTACAGTCGCGCAGCCTAGGCTCACTGCAACCTCCGCCTCCTGGGTTCAAGCGATTCTCCTGCCTCAGCCTCCTGAGTAGCTGGGACTACAGGCTCATGCCACCATGCTTGGCTAATTTTTGTATTTTTAGTAGAGACGGGGTTTCACCATATTGGTCAGGCTGTTCTTGAACTCCTGACCTCGTGATCTGCCCACCTTGGCCTCCCAAAGTGCTGGGATTACAGGTGTGAGCCACTGTGCCCGGCCAATAAAGATCATTTCTATCACCTTAAGTGACTTTAAGTGGCATATCTTAGCAACAGTTGCTGTCTTGAATAGGTTAAACCTATCATTTAAGTTCCAAATATCAACCTCAAATTTGAGATACCACAATTATTTTTTAAGATAACTGACTTGTGGTGAAAATGGATCTATCACAAAGCATGTGAATTTTTCTAAGTGTTAAAGTTTTATTTTTATTCATAAGGAAAAAAAATTAATGAGGGCTATGGTAAAAAATCATATCAAAAAGCTACAACTTTTGAATATGAAGAAATGCTTTTATATTACTGAATGCGACCAACAAGTAGGCTGGGAATCCTTCTCCTGATACCTCACTAGAGGCAACACTCTATTTTCTTGCTTTTGTTTGAATGGGCTGGTCAACTGAGTGTCTGATGAAGTGCTGAGCTGGGCTTCTGTGAGAAATCCGCATATAACCTGAATATCCCAAACTCTCTGGCCAAGCTTCTAACTCTTGTAGCCATTCCTGCCAAATGATAATAGTAAGTTAGCATTTTCTAATTCAGTAGCAATAAAGGGTAAGAAAAGAAACTGAGTATAGATACTTTCTTTTTTTTCTTTTTTTTGAGATGGAGTCTTGCTCTGTTGCCAGGCTGGAGTGCAGTGGCACAATCTCAGCTCACTGCAACCTCCACCTCCTGGGTTCAAGCGATTATCCTGCCTCAGCCTCCCAAGTAGCTGGGACTAGAGGCATGTGCCACCACACCCAGCTAATTTTTCTATTTTTAGTAGAGACGGGGTTTCACCATGTTGGCCAAGGATGGTCTCGATCTCTTGACCTCGTGATCTGCCCCCCTCAGCCTCCCAAAGTGCTGGGATTACAGGCGTGAGCTACCGCACCCAGCGATCCTTTCTTATGACTCAATAAGTCTATTCTAGATAACCTGGTAAAAGATCAAAAACAAAATAATTCCAATACTTGACATGAAAGAATTATGTAATTTAAAATGTTTGAGTATTATGATTAATCTTTTAGAAAACTTAGTTCAAATTGTTGATCTGCAAATCCACTGAACACCCATAAAGTTTGGGGGGAAAAAAAAAACAACAACCCTATAACCATGAGAGAAACCATGCCTTTTTTTTTTTTTTCTGAGAAGTTTCAAAAAGCAGAGTCTTAATGAGGAGAAAATAATTTGAAAACATATCTCAAAGCAGAAGGATCCAGAGCTTGCACAGAAAGTAAGTTATGCTGGTGAGAGGCTTCAGAATAAAGAATGACTATATTGGTCCATGATGTAAATATAAGCCACTGGAAGGACATAGAAAAGAATTAGCATGGCCACAGTTTTGGGCCAAAAAAGACTATTTTAGGAAAAGCACGGAGGATCGACTGCAGCAGATATTGGTGATAGGAAGTCAAATGAAGGTACAGCATGATGGGAGAGATCATTCTTCTTAGGGAGAGACAGTAAGGCAGGGAGAAAGAAAGGAACAGGGCAGTAGAGCAGAATTACGTGAAGGCATAGCAGGCTTCTGCCTTGGCAGCAGGTCAGGTGTGCACAACATATCCAAAAGAAACATTTGAAACACCAGCTGAGGCAGTGCTGTGAGAAGATGAATTCTTCAACATGCTTTTCACTTTCAGCGTTTTAAAACTATCATATTTTTATCTTCATTCATTTTTTAGCAGCTATAAATCTAAGAGGGCTCTATATACCATCTATCCATCTGTTTTTCATATTTAACACATTTTAAATGAGTTATAGACCTTGACTATTATTAGCTAAATTTATATTTGCCTTATCTAAAGATCTTTAATTTTCCATAGTAAAACCAATTATTTTTTAATGATATTAATTTTGGACAGCTCTTGATATTACAGTGTCAACAACTATGAGGGTCTTAGTTTTTACCCTACTTGCAGCTAACAAGTTAGCCTGCCACAGTTTCATGGATCCCGGTAGAACACATGAGACTCCTGGGTCCGAGACAAAGGATAGTTTATTGCTCACAGCAACAGAAATAGCAAGATACTAGCATTTTAGTGCTAGTCCCCCAAGCCTCAATTTCCACAAGTGAACATAAAGGAAGCCAGATGAGCCCTGCACACTGCGCATAAGAGGAACCCTGAACTTAGAGAAACCCCAATCTCTCATATGGCAGTAAGCACATCTGCCCATTGCTCTTAGGCAGACAAACCTCTCTGTAAAGGGCATTTAGTGCCTCGTCTTGCAAGAAGTTCAGAAAGATGAGAGATAGGAGTGCAAAAGGCTTATTGGGAAACAAAGAAAAAAGGAAGGCATGAGAAATGTCTTCCTACAGTATCAACCCCTCATTTCTACACCATCTTGCCTTCCAAAAAATGTATCTATAAACACAACACTTGTGGGTGGTTCTGATGAATCTGGCTGGCACAGGCTGGAACCAAGTCCACTTAATTAGTTTTATATGCCATTTCATGAAGGCTACTACCTACAAGACTCCAAGCACCAGGATAAGGCCAACCTGCAGCACTGACCTCACCACCCATGTCCCCCAGGGCCCTGGACTCAACCACCTAAACAAATGGAACGAATCATCAGAGTCTACAAGGACAGCCTCCTTTTACAGAGCTCTCTACACTTGTCTGAGGACTACATAATCTACTGGTAGCGTTTCCTGAAATACTTGAAGGTTCCTTATGACCACACCCCTAAAGCGCAACTTATTGTCTCTTTGAGAAGAAGATGAGTTAATGCCTGGCTTCCATGAAGTATAATACCAGGGTGCTCATTGTGCCCCTGGAAAGTGGTTTATCATTGCTGGGGCCACCCAAGTGGGACCTTCATGAGTTAGTGAAACAGGCTGAGTGGCCTCCTAGCTGGATGATAAACCTTAGGAGTCTGAGTTCAGTTCAAATAATTGAGTCCTTATTTTAAGGCGAGACTGGCCTATTTGTCTATGCCACCAGCCAGAGGACATTTGTCCGTACCATGGAATGGCTGAGGGATAGCTTTGGAATTAGGGAAGTACAGAGCCGTTGACTGGCATTTTGCTTAGGGGGTGCAGGGGCTACCATTATCTCTTCTGTTCCCAATAAATTTTTCAGTAAGGTTAAAGGGAGTGGCCATGGTATAGCAGTGAGAGCTGCCTCGCAGTGGGTGACAGGCCCAGCACTCAATTAAACAGAAGGCACTGGCAACAGCTTGGGAGATCTCTCTGTTTTCCTTTGAGGAAAGCTCTAGAGGCAGTTCACTGGAAACAAAGATCATTGATGTCCCTACCTCCCCTGTATCTCCAGGGTCTGAGGTATTCTTCAGATGCTGAGGTTGCTGTTATCCTTCCACTGCTACAAAATCTATGTGCCCCATTCCAATAGCTAACTTCACTATTTTTTAACCATCCCTTAATTGTATCCAGGTATTTGGTCTGAAAGGGCCAAGTACAAAAGGGACAAGCGTACTTCTGCAAAACTTACAGAAATCCATTAAGTTTCCGTCTTTAGTGTGCGTGAGTCACTACACAGAGACTTGGCAAGCACTAACCAAGCAGCCCTTTCCCTTATGATTAGGTTACGGGGGGTGGGGGTGGGAGTGGCGATTCTTTTCCTAAGGGCCAGATAAGTAAATATTTTATGCTTCATTCATCTCTGTAAGTACAAATAGTAAGACAAAAAATAGCCAGTGCTCGCAAAATGGCTACCAAATCATTAACATGAAATATCTAATGTGATCTACACAGTAGTATTATACCAGCGTACATATATATATATATATATATATATATATATATATATATATATATATATATATATATATATTTTTTTTTTTTTTTTTTTTTTTTTTTTTTTGAGACGGAGTCTCGCTCTGTCGCCCAGGCTGGAGTGCAGTGGCGGGATCTCGGCTCACTGCAAGCTCCGCCTCCCGGGTTCACGCCATTCTCCTGCCTCAGCCTCCCAAGTAGCTGGGACTACAGGCGCCCGCCACTACGCCCGGCTAATTTTTTGTATTTTTAGTAGAGACGGGGTTTCACCGTTTTAGCCGGGATGGTCTCGATCTCCTGACCTTGTGATCCGCCCGCCTCGGCCTCCCAAAGTGCTGGGATTACAGGCGTGATATATTTTTATACTATTCTTTTTCTTTTCTTTTTTTTTTTTTTTTTTTGAGACACAATCTTGCTCTGTCGCCCAGGCTGGAGTGCAGTGGCACGATCTCAGCTCACTGCAACCTTCGCCTCCTGGGTTCAAGCAGTTCTTCTGCCTCAGCCTCCTGAGTAGCTGGGACTACAGGCGCGTGCCACCATGCCCAGTTAATTTTTTTCTTTTTTTTTTTTTTTTGTATTTTTAGTAGAGAAGGGGTTTCACCATCTTAGCCAGGATGGTCTCCTGACCTTGTGATCTGCCTGCCTCGGCCTCCCAAAGTGGTGGTATTACAGGCGTGAGCCACTGCAACCGGCCTATACTACTCATTTTTAACTGGGTTTATCATAATTCTCACTATTGTGGCAATCTTGATTTCATTTGCTTTGTTAGTTCCTTTGCTAACCTACTCCATTTTAGATAAGTACATTATTTAGGACTCTACACTGAAGGTTTCAAGAAACCAAATGAAATGAATGGCTTTCTCTTACCGTTTGCCTCGTGGATAATGCCGCACATATTCTCCAACATCGTGAGCAGCAACAGCTAAGACTTGGGGATCATCTGACACTTCCAAAAGTTTTGTCAAGATTCTGAAATAAATTTTATCCAAAGAGAGATCAAGTTCTAATTTTTCTATAGACTACAACAGAGCACAGGTATAATGAAGATATCTTCCTGAAAATAGACATTTATTAATATATTCATATTCTTCTAAGGATTTCACTATTAGACATAAGTTTGCAGTTTTCAAACCTTCAAACATATATAACAAGTTTCTTTCAGATTCACAATGTACACCATGCACAATTTCCAAAATATCAGGGACTCCCCCCTCAAGAAAACTAGAACATGAATAAAAGTTATTTTAACACAAAACTACCAATAGATCTTTTCCAATTATATATATTTTCATAAGCCATTTATAAACCCTAGGACCTACTGGTACTACTGGGACAAGTGACTTTCAGTGCTCGATGATAAGAGGGTGGACTGAGCACTAAGCACACACGTCTTCCCCTCTCTCTTGCCCCAACTCTAACAGAAGAGTGGAACATATACTTTCCAAACAGTGAAGTCCATAACAGCAAGAGAAAAGATGGCAGCCCAAATCCACCATCCTGTCACCTTGCCCTTCTGGTACTTTCTCCAATACAACCACATAAATTGTCACTGGAGCCTGACGGGTACTTCTGAGAACAGGAGCCAGGAACCAGCAGCAAAGAAGGCTCCCCCTGCCCCGGCTTCTGCTACCCTCCTCAAGGACCACTGAGGGTGGGTGCAGCTACCCAAGATGTGCATGTGCCCTTGGGAGTGAAAGGGGAGGGAGATGGTGCTGCTCAGAATCCAAGGAGCTTGGAAAGGACTACCTTCCTCATGTGTGCAAGCAGAGATCATTCAAGGAATAGGTTGCTCCTCTGTTATTTTAATGCTCAAGGGCCTAGAAATAGATGGAAAACTTCTCAATTCATTCTAAAAGCAGAGCGTAACTGTGATAACCAGTCAGAATGAATGTTTTTTAAATGGCTTGGTAGAAGACCAATATATAAAAACAACTCTTTCTAATACCCCAGCAACTCAGAAATAGATACACACAAACTTAAATTAGCCAACTGAACCCACTAGTACACTGAGACACAATATTCAGTTTTCAGCTCAAATGTCATCTCTTGTATAAGAGCCCACGATTACCCTAAGGCAGTACTCTCCCCACCATTCTCCTCTCCTACTCCACTGTTCTTCATAGTACTAATCACCACCTGCCATTGTAATATGTATTAAGACAGTCATGTTAAATGACTTCAAGCCATAGGAAGTAAAAATGACAGGTCACAAATTAATACATTTAGTCTGATAACATGTATAAGTAAAGGTATATAAAGATGTAGGTAAGGTATGCCTAGGCACCGGAAGAGACTATGGCCTGCTGACCCTAGTTCCTCCTCAGGAAGAGTCTGAGATTGAAGAGCAGTGAAGAAACCTTTCCACTTTAGTTCTCTCTGCCTTCAAGATGAAACAAGACATATTCAGTTTTTCATATATCTATTAATATTTTTAACATTTCAAACTATGTGTGTTTTTAAAAGGCTAACTTGCAAATTATTCTAAAATTACATTAAATTTAATTCAACTGAAACATTTTGATAATTTCAAAAAATTACTTCTTTGTTTTTATTTCAATAATTTAAATATTAAGAAATTTTATGAAATTATAAGCAAATTGCATTAACGAAAATTATTTAAAATATAACATTTGTTCTCAAGAAAAGAAAAATAGCTCAGAGTCGTCAGAGCTATGTGAAATATATAACATTTTTCACACCCAGAAACAAGAGTGTGGGTCCAAGGGCAATTATTTAAAGGCATTTTGTCCCTAACTATCCCACTCATTACCCTCGTGTTCCTGGAATTTGTGATACAAAGATCAATGTACAGCTAATCAACAGTTTATGTCATTTTAATGTAAATTCTTGGCAAACGACTTAGGAAGTGCCTCTTCTTTTTCCCTTAAAAGCCCACTTGTAACTGCTACTAATTGGAGTGCATATTCAAGGCAAGTTGAATCTATGCTCCCAGGTAGCCATCTTCAAGCTTTGAGCTTGAACAATCTCTGTATTTAATCTTATTTTCAGAATTTCGTTATTTAAGACTGACATTCTGAATACATCAAACCAGAAGTCAGGAAATAACAGCTCAAGTCCAAACCCAGATGCCATCTGTTTTTGTAAATGTTTTACTGGAACACAGCCAGGCTCATTAGTTTACTTGGTGTCCATAGCTGGCACTGCAATGGCAGAGTTGAGTAATTTGGGACAGAAACAAAATGGTTCAAAAAGTCTAAAATATTTACTACCTTGGTCTTTCCCAAATCACGTTGCCAATCCCTGCCTTAAACTATTCTCAGTGACTTAAGCCATTCTCCATATGGCTGAGACCCTGATACCCAAAATATGGTGTACACACCAGCAGCATGGGCATCACCTGGTTACTTAGAAATGCTGATCACAGACCCTAATCTAGGACTACTGAATTAGAATCTGCATTTTAACAAGATCTCCATTAACATTTGAGAAGCACAGCCTTAGAGTCAGATAATGTTAGAACTGGAAGGAATCACAGGCTTTCTAGTCAAATCTGCAAAATGTGGACATGATTTTAATTGTTACCCTTCAGGACCATTAAGTCCACTGAATATCTTCAGCAACAATGAAAACATTTTTGTATTATTAGCTGTAAACCTGCTGAGCATGCTATTTCTGTGTCAAATCGTCAATTAAAATGTTCTTCAAAAGAACAGGTTCAAAAAAAGACATTTTATGGTATGCAATGAGAGAACTCCCTCCAAGATGTCTCTGAATACAGTTAAGTCAACAATAGATTCATCAACCACAATCCAAACCTCTATTGCCACGTTAACCACAACCCATGATTCTATCAAATAGTCCAATGGATCCAGGCAGCAACACACCACAGCTCTGTAGTTAGACCAAATGTGAATTCTGCCTCGACATTAGCTAGAAATGTAATCTTGAAAAGCATCTGTTCAAATCAAATTAGAATTTACATTATTATTCTAATTGATCATTCAACAAATATGTTCATTCTCTTTCACAATGTTTTCCTCAGTTTTAGAAACTTGTTTTCTCTCTCAGTTTTTGCTTTTCTTCTATCTCCACGGCTTCTTATATTTCAGAATATTTTCTTACTCAAAATATATATTTATTTCAAAACTACTAACATACAAGCTACAAGGTATTTTCTGTATACTTCAAAAGTGAGAGGGAAAAATTAACTTTTATACTTGCTAAGTGTGGAATTACCTGACGTAAGTGTGGTTATCCACAGATAAAAGGAAGACCAGTATGCATGATGCTTTTTAAACAGCAGAATCAAATAAAGATTTCATCCAGATCTATCTTATTGGGCAGCACTAGTACCTGTCATTCATCTCATGCATATAATTTATAAGAATGTAAAGAATGTCAGGTGACCATCAAGTCAGGGGGTTGTTAAGCTGCCACTCTAAGATAATAATTGGTTGCAGCTGGTGCCAGGGAACGACAGTCTTCCAACAGATAGAAAACACCTGAAGCTGGTGATCAGCAGCTTCCCAATAATATCTCAAGAGTGGGGTGGGCAGGCTCAAGCATGCACAGTAAGGTGCAAAGTGGCAGAGTTTAACCAGTATATGACCTTCCTCTAGGAATGCTCAACTGATAAGGGAAAAATGCCTCAAGTGAGCATGCACACAACTTCAGTAAACATACTGTGCATGTGGCCCCTCCCAAGTGCTGGCAGGACACTGAACATGACAGCCCAGCCCAAGGGAAACATCGAGGGAAGAGAAATGGAAACCCCGGAACTATGCCAATGTATAAAACCCCAAGTCAAGGGCAGAACAGGGCAGTTGGATCTCCCAAGTCATCCACTTGGCCCTCTTCCAAGTGTACTTTATTTCCTTATATTCCTGTTCTAAAACTTTTTTAATAAGCCTTCACTTCTGCTCTAAAATTTGCCCTGGTCTCTTACTCTGCCTTAAACCTATTTCTGCCCCTCAGCAGAATTATTTCCTCCAAGGAGGCAAGGATCACGTTGCTGCAGACCCATACAGATTCACAACTGGTAACAACCCCACTGACAGAACAGACTCCCTTCTGGGCCAAGGGGACCCCAGAGAAACCTCAAAAACTGAGTTTCAGGCTATGATGGGAAGAGGGATCAGAAAAAACTCATAATACCCCTTCCCTTTCGGAGTTTAGGCACAACTGGCCACCATTAATGTAAAACAGAAATCAGCTACACTTTCTCAGGGCTCCTTAAGACTGTTTTTCCCAAGATGGTGGTCACTCATATTGGCTCAGAAGAAGCCTCTTTAAAATATTTCACGGAGTTTGGTTTCTCCATTAACAAGAATAAAAACTAAAGACAAACAAACAATAATTTCAAATTTCTCATCATCATATAAACATAAAAGAAAAATACCATATACTAGCCAGGCGCGGTGGCTCACGCCTGTAATCCCAGCACTTTGGGAGGCCGAGGTGGGCAGATCACGAGGTCAGGAGATCGAGACCATCCTGGCTAACACGGTGAAACCCTGTCTCTACTAAAAAATAGAAAAAATTAGCTGGGTGTGGTGGCAGGCACCTGTAGTCCCAGGTACTCGGGAGGCTGAGGCAGGAGAATGGCGTGAACCCAGGAGGTGGAGCTTGCAGTGAGCCGAGATCGCGCCACTGCACTCCAGCCTGGGCAACAGAGCGAGACTCCGTCTCAAAAAAAAAAAAAAGAAAAATACCATATACCATTGTTCCTGGTTATTCAGAAAAATCACAGTGTCATACAAAGGTAAAGGGAGTAATCTGAAGAAGCCACAAAAATTAAAACCTAACACCAGAAAATAGAAAGTACCCTTTTCAAAAGTCTCTTTAAGTGTATCATAATAAAGATATGCATAATGCTTTTGTAATAACTTGTAAAACGTTCCCCTCCACTATATTCAAGTTTTCTAAACACTAGATTTAAAAAAAACCTCCAAGCTCTTTCTGTTGTTAAAACTCAAAGTCATAAGGTAACAGTGAAAAACTAATCCACTCCTTCCCACTTCCTATTCTGTCAGTCTTGCTGACATCAACCACTCACTTTGATTTGCCATTTTGTTTAAATGAGAATAATGTATCATTTTCAGTAATACACAGAAAATGGAGTCTAAACAACAGAGATAGGTGGGCCTAAAAATGCTCCATCTGGATGCCTCATTTAAATGACAATAAGAGGATTTCTTAAAAGTATAAATCTATAAGGAAGGACAAAATGGGAAGTGAAACAAAAACAATAAAATATTGAAGCGGAAAGTCAGAAGAACAAATGTTAAACATGAGAAAACCAAATACCAAGCTGGCAGGGAGGTAAGCCAAGGAGCAACCTGATTTACAACACAGAACTATTTATACCGGTATTTTTAGATACCAGACTCAAACTTTGCTGCCTCATATGACAACCATTAGCCACATGTGGTTTGTTTTAAAGTTAAATTGATAAAAATTTAGTTTCTCAGCTACCAAGAACATTTCCAGTGCTCTTTAGTGACAAACTATTGTATTGAGCAGCACAGATATAAACTACTTCTATCATCACAAAAAGTTCCAATGAAGTTGAGGTAGAAGGTGAAAAACTGTAATACAAGATCTATAGGAACACTAAAAAAAAAAAATCACACACAAAGGAATAAATTTAATGAAAGACAACAGTGTAACATTATCCAAAGGAAATCCTACATGAATGAAGGGATATACTACCATGTTCATGGATTGGAGGACCCTCCTTCCAAATTAAAATAATATCAATTCCCCCTAGAATAAACTATGGCTTCAATCCCAATCGAAATACCCGTCAAACCATTTGTTTGACAAGCTGATTCTAAAATGCATACAGAAATGCAGGAGTCCAGAAAGCACCAAGACACCTTGGAAGAACAGGCATGCTCATGCTCATACTATCAGACACCAAGACAGAAAATAATGAACAGCAATTAATATAACATAGTATTGGAGTAAGAATAAACAAATAGATGATGGAATAGAACAAAGAATTCATAAACACATTTGCATAGGAGAGGTTCTAACCAGGGCAACTGGGCAAAAAAAAAGAAATAAAAGGCACTCAGATTGAAAAAGTGAGAAGTAAAACTCTCTATTCACAGATGACATAATCTTGTACAGTTGACCATTGAACAGCACAAATCTGAACTGCACAGGTCCACTTACACATGGATTTTCTTACACCCATTTGCCACCCCTGAAACAGCAACATCAACATGTTCTCTTTCTCAGCTTACTCAACATGACGACAAGGAGGATGAAGACCTTTACAATGATCCACTTCCACTTAATGGACAGTAAATATATCTTCTCTTTCTTATGATTTTCTTAATAACATTTTTTCTCTAGTTTACTTTATTGTAAGAATACAGTATATAATACATGTAACATTCAAAATATGTGTTAATCAACTGTTTCTTATCAGTGAGGCTTCTAGTCAACAGGAAGTTATTAGTAGTTAAGTTTTGGGGAAGCTAAAAGTTATACACGGCTTTTTGACTGTGGGGGAGGAGGGTCGGCATCCCTAATTCCTGCATTTTCAAGGGCCAACAGCAGACAGAAGATGCAAAGGAATCCAATAAAGACAAAGGTTTCATAAGTTCAATCTACAAAACTCAATTGTTTTTCTATAAACTTGCAATAAATAATTGAAAAAGAAGAAAACAACTTCATTTACAATAGCATCAAAAGGACAAAATATTTAGAAATAAATTTAACAAAAGACATGCAAAACTTATTTTCTGAAATCTACAAAACACTGTTGAAAGAAATTAAATACGATGTAAACAAATCAGAAAACATCCCAGGTTCATGGATCTGAATACCAAATACTCCTCAAACTGACTTACAGCTTCAACAGAATCCCTATTAGTCCAAACTGGGTTCCTTGTAGATTTTAACAAGGTGATTCTAAAATTCATATAAAATGTTAAGGGACCCAGATAGCCAAAATCATCTTGGAAACAAAAGAGCAGACTTCCAGTTTCTGGTACAGCATGTAAAGAGCTTGGAAATCATCACTCCAATCCTCACAGCAGGAAAAAAAAAAATGCTGAACAAAACAAGTCTTCTTAGATCCATCAGGAACCATCAGAGAACTGAGGTCCCAGGACAAACCATCTCCCTGGAAGCTAGAGAGATGGGTGACAGAGAATCAAAGCTTATTGGCAGCAGAAACTGCTGTTGGATCTATCAACTGGTAGAAACACTTAAAGGGTAACTGACTCATTGCTAAAGATTTAACAAGAACTAGCTAGAGAAATAAAAACCCCAAGGAGTCCAGTCTTATGGAAGTTAGGTGGCCTTCACAGTGCTCACCTAAGGAGAAGTGGATAATCTGAATAGGCCTGTATCTATTAAAGAAATGAGTAATTAATAACCTTACAAAACAGAAAGCAACAGGCCCACATGTTCTCACTGGTAAATTATGTCAAACATTTAAGAAGTAAACAATACCAATTCTCTACAGTCTCTTCCAGAAAAAGAAGCAGCGGGAACACCTCTTAACTCATTCTATGAGACCAACATTACCATAATCCCAAAATCAGAAAAAAACATCACAAGAAAGGAAATTTACAGAGCACTATCTCTCATGAACATAGATGCAAAAATCCTCAACAAAAATATTGGCAAATCAAATCTAATAACATATAAAACGAATTATAAACTATGACCAAACAGGATTGAGTCCGGGTATGCAAGGCTAGCGTAATATTTGAGAATCAATTAATGTAGCCCATCACATCAACAGGCTAAAAAAGAAAAATCATATCAATAGAGTCAGGAAAATTATTTGACAAATTTAACATCCATTCATGATAAAAACTCTCAGCAAATTAGGAATAGAGGGAAACATTCTCAACTTTATCAGATAAAGATGATGTGCAAAAAAAAAAATCTATAGTTAGTATCATACTGAATAATGAGAAACTAGATGCTTTCCTCCCTAAGATCAGAAGCAACGCAAGGATGTACCCTCTCATCACTCTATTCACCATCATATTGGAAGTATCATTAAGTGTAATAAGACAAAAAAGGAAATAAAAGAAATAATTACAGCAAAGTCGCAGGATACAAGGTACATCTATGAGTCAGTTGTTTTCCCATACACTATCTCTGAACAACTGGAATTTCAAATTAAAAACACAGCACTAGGCCAAGCATGGTGGCTCATGCCTATAATCCTAGCATTTTGGAAGGCAGAGATGGGAGGACTGCTGTGAGGCCAGGAGTTCGAGACCAACCTGTGCAACAGAGTGACATCCCATCTCCACAAAAATTTAACAAAAACAAAATAGCCGGGCATGGTGGTATGTGCCTGTAGTCCTAGCTGCTCAAGAGGCTGAGATGGGAGGATCTCTTGAGCCCAGAAGTTTGATGTTACAGTTAGCTATGATCGCACCACTTCACTCCAATCTGGGTGACAGAGCTAGATCCTGCCTCTTAAAAAGGCGGGGGAAGGCCAGGCATGGTGGCTCCCATCTGTAATCCCAGGACTTTGGGAGGCTGAGGTGGGCAGATCACGAGGTCAGGAGTTAGAGACTGGCCTGGCCAACATGGTGAAACCCCGTCTCTACTAAAAATACAAAAATGAGCTGGGCGTGGTGGTGCGCGCCTGTAATCCCAGCTACTTAGGAGGCTGAGGCTGGAGAATCTTGCACCCGGGAGGCGGAGGCTGCAGTAAGCTGAAATTGCGCTATTGCACTCCAGCCTGGACAACAGAGTGAGACTCTGTCTCAAAAAAAAAAAAAAAAAGGGCAGGGCGGGGAGGGTGGTGGACAACAACAACAACAACACACACACACACACACACACACACACACACACACACACACACACAAGACCATCAGCATTAGCACCAAAAAAAAAGAAAGAAAGAAAGAAAGAGAAATACTTAGGTATAAATGTAACAAAATATGTGCAAGATCTATAAGAGGAAAACAAAAGCCAAATGAAAGAAATCAAAGAAAATTGAAACAAATAAACAGATATTCCACGTTCACAAGTAGAAAGACTCTATACTGTCAAGATATCAACTGTTCCCAACTTGATTTACAGATTCAATGCAATCCCAATCAAAATCCTGGCAAGTTATTTTGTAGATACTGACAAACTAATGTTTGTTTCCATATATTCTAAAGTTATGGAAAAGCAAAAGACTCAGAATGGCCAGCACAATATTAAAGAACAACAAAGTCAGAGGACTGACACTACCAACTTCAAGATTTACTATAAAGCCACAGTACTCAAAAGAATGTGGTATTGGTAAAAGAATAGACAAATAGATCGCTGAAACAGAACAGAGAGCCCAGAAATAGACCCACACAAATATAGTCAACTGATCTTTTAACAGAGCAAGGGCAATTCATTGGAGCAAAGATAGTCTTGTCAAAACCCACAGAGCTATACACAAAGTTGAAAAGTTCATAATGAGGAAACTACACAATACAAAGAGTGAATCCTGTTGCGGGAAGTCAGGGACCCCAAACGGAGGGACCGGCTGAAGCCATGGCAGAAGAACGTGGATTGTGAAGATTTTATGGACATTTATTAGTTCCCCAAATTAATACTTTTGTAATTTCTCATGCCTGTCTTTACTGCAATTTCTAAACATAAATTGTAAAGATTTCATGGACACTTATCACTTCCCCAATCAATACCCTTGTGATTTCCTATGCCTGTCTTTAATTTAATCTCTTAATCCTGTCAGTTGAGGAGGATGTATATCGTCTCAGGACCCTGTAATAATTACGTTAACTACACAAATTGTACAGCATGTGTGTTTGAGCATTATGAAATGTGGGCACCCTGAAAAAAGAACAGGATAATAGCAATTGTTCAGGGAATAAGAGAGATAACCTTAAACTCTGACCACTGGTGAGCAGGGCAGAACAGAGCCGTATTTCTCCTCTTTTAAAAGCAAATGGGAGAAATATCGCTGAATTCTTTTTCTCAGCATGGGATATCCCTGAGAAAGAGAATGCGCACCTAGGGGTAGGTCTCTGAACTGGCCCCCCCAGGGTGTACCTGTCTCTTATGGTTGAGACTGCAGAGGTGAAATAAACTCCAGTCTCCCATAGCGTTCCCAGGCTTATTAGGAAGAGGAAATTCCTGCCTAATAAATTTGGTCAGACCGGTTGATCTCAAAACCCTGTCTCCTGATAAGATGTTATCAATGACAATGGTGCCTGAAACTTCATTAGCAATTTTAATTTCGCCTTAGTCCTGTGGTCCTGTGATCTTGCCCTGCCTCCACTGGCCTTGTGATATTCTATTACCCTGTTAAGAACTTGATGTCTGTCACCCACACCTATTCGCACACTCCCTCCCCTTTTGAAACTCCCTAATAAAAACTTGCTGGTTTTTGTGGCTTGTGGGGCATCACGGATCCTACCAACGTGTGATGTCTTCCCCGGATGCCCAGCTTTAAAATTTCTCTCTTTTGTACTCTGTCCCTTTATTTCTCAAGCCAGCTGACACTTAGGAAAATAGAAAAGAACCTACGTGATTTTCGGGGCAGGTTCCCCAAAAGAATCCTAATGCAAACTATGTATGAATTTTAGTTAATAATAACATATCAATATTAGTTCATCAATTGTAACAAATGTACCACACTAATGCTAAAAACAGGATGTTAGAAACAGGAAACTGTGTGTTGGTGGAGGTAGAGGTAGCATATGAAAGCACTCTACTTTTTGCTCAATTTTTCTGTGAATCTAAAATTGTTCTAAAAATTAAAGTCTATTTTAAAAGTTGTAGTAAAGTATATATTAGTAATTCTCACACTGTGTGTGACAGCAAACTCTAGTAACAATTTAAAATATCTACCAATTAGAGACTCATTAAATAAAGATACACTCTTTTTTTTTATAAAAAGAAAAAAGGTATAAGAGTCATACTTCCTGTTTTCCAAACTGACTATAAAGCAACAGCAATCAAAACAGTGTGGTACTACTATCACAGTAATCTTACTGACCAACAGAGAGTTCAGAAATAAACCCATGTCTATAGTCAATTGATTTTCCACAAGGATGCCAAGATAATTCAATAGGTAAAGAACAATCTTTTCAACAAATAGTACTTAGGACAACAGGATAGCCACATGCAAAAGAAAGAAGTTGGAACCTTACTTCATACCATATACAAAAATTAACTCAAAATGGATCAAGAACCCAAATGTAAGAACTAAATCTATAAAAATATTGTGAAAACATGGGAGTAAATCAGTTTTGGCAACAGACCAAAAGCATGAGAAACTAAGGAAACAACAAATTAGACTTGATCGAAATTTTAAAACTTTTGTGCTTCAAAGGACACTATCAACAAAGTGATAAGATAACCCACAAAATGAGACAAAATATTTGCAAATCACATATATGATCTTGGACCTGTATCCAGAATATATGAAGAACCCCTACAACTAAGTAATAAGAAGACAATCCAACTAAAAAATGAGCCAAGCATCTGAACAGACATTTCTCCAAAGTAGATATACAAATGGCCAATAAGCACATGAAAAGATGCTTGACATTATCAGCCATCAGGAAATACAAATAGACACCACAATGAGATATCACTGCACACTCACTCAGTGTGAGTGGCTAGAATCAAAAAGGTCATAATAAACGTTGGCAAAGATGTGGAGATATCAGAACCCTCATTCACTGTTGGTGGGAACAGAAAATTGTGTAGCCACTTTGGAAAACAGTCTGGCAGTTCCTCAAATGGTTAATCACAGAGTTAACATATGACTCAGCAATTTCACACCCAAGTATCTAACAGCAAGACAAATGAAAACATACACCCACACAACAACTCATACCACAAGTATTATTGGCAATATTTATAATAACCAAAAGGTAGAAACAACCCAAAAGTCCATGAACTGATGAGTGAATAAATAAAATGTGGTCTTATCCACAACGGAAAATCATTCAACCATAAAAAGGAATGAAGTAGTGATAAATTCCACAACATGGATGAGCCCTGAACACATTACAGTACATGAAAGAAGCCAGTCACAAAAAAAAATCTATTATATGATTCCATTTACATGAAATTTCTGTAACAGGCAAATCGAGATATTGGTGGTTACTTAGGGCTAGGTAGATGGGTGGATAGAGAGGTGACGGCCAAAGGATATGGGGTTTCTTTTTGAAGCAATGAAAATGTTCTAAACTGATTTTGTCAATGGGTACAAATATCTGAATATACTAAAAACCACTGAATTCTACGGTTTAAACAGATGAATTGTATGCTATACAAATTATACCTCACTAAAAAAAGAAAGAAACCTACACATATTAGTCATCTTATTATGACAAAGGTAAACCTGGAGGGCACTGGTGGAAGTGTTTTCAATAAATGGGGCTGGTTCAATTAGATATCTATGGAAAGAAAAAAATAAATCCTGTTTCCTACTTTATCCCTTACCCAAAAATCAATTCCAGATGGACTGGGTATCTAAATATAAGAAGTTAAACAATAAAGCTTCTAGGAGATATCACATAAAGACATCTTCATGACCTTGAGTAGGCAAAAACTTCTTAACCAGGACACAGAAAAGCACTAGCCATACAGGGAAAGACTGATGAATTGACCTACATCGAAATTTAGAGCATCTCTTCATCAAGACACCATTAAAAAGTAAAATGGCATGCAACAGAGTGGGGACAAAATGGCTGTGATGAAAATATATATATGAGACAACAACTTCATGTTCAGAATACATATAGAACTCCTGTAGAAGGAAAGAAAATAGACTTGAACAGGCACTTCTCCAAGAAGAGATGTCCAGATGGTCAAAAGGATATGAAAAGGCATTCAACCACATTAGTCAGCAAGAAAATACAAATTAAAACCATAGAATATCTAAAATTTAGAGTGACAAAAACGAGTGTTGGTGAGGATTTGGGATAACAGATATTAAGAGTGTAAAGTAGAACAAAAAACTTACTTCAAGAGTTCATAATTCTTCTCATTTAACCTCACAGCATTCTCTCTCCAAAATTTCTCAGATTTGTGCACAGGACTCCATTCCAACCTTCCAGATTTAAGTTCTGAACTGTATTCATCAAATGAACTATAAAAATGTTCAAAAGAATTCAAGGTTTATAAGAATCTGACAGTACTCCAAAATTAAGCAAAATAAAATGTCTTCACTTATTATTTAATTACAAAGACTGACCATCCTTTGTACATTAAAAAACTACCACCAAACGAACTTTAAACAGTTTAAATAATCTTTAATAAATCATGTGAAATTTTATTCAGTGTAGTAAGGTCCAACCCTCCTGTCAAATTTGAATGCTGGGTATGAGACATAAAAATCAGCACTTGCTTTCAAAATCCTTACTCCAATATATACATGAATGTGTATAAGCAAAAAAATTGATAATCAGAATTTCTACCATGACACTTGAAATACTGTATTTCCCAGACCAACAGGCAAAATAATATGTTATGTAAAAGCATAGTACTTTAACATAATAAACTCATATTATACTATAAATATCATAAACTGTAATAATACATCACAAAAACAAAATCACACTTATTGGCACAATATTTTACAATGTGATTACAAAGAGTGTAGACATAATTAATTGAATTAATCCATTACAGACTAAATACAAAAGCCTCTGTACATATAACAAACTGCAATTCACCTTAATTTAAAAACCATTCACTGGATAGTAACTTGATTATTCCAAGCTTTACAGTAGGAAAATGTTTAATGTGGTTAGCCAGTAGACAAACACAGTCAGAACATACTTGGACTTTCTCTGAAGTAAAAATTTATAAAAGATGTAACCATTCAAATACTACTAGTAATTCGGTATAACCAGGATGTACTAGATAAGTTGATCAGAGGGTACCATTTGAATAAAGTAGTACAATACTTTAATGTAGGGCCAGTTAGTATAAGAAGTAAACAAGTATTTTTAATATTCATATCCTAATCCTGTAACAGCAAAAACAGAGAAAAGCCTCTTTTAGCTGCACCCATCACCCTATTAGCTTTATGTAAATAGTATTTTTCAAATTACCAAATTCAAGATAATCAATAATAATTAGCTAAAATTGATTAAATCATTTAGAAAGCTATCACTAATCTTATTTTTTGCAAAAACAGGCCTTAAATGATTATTACGGAGAACCAGTCATCAGTTTTTAATAAACATAGGAACAGAATGTATAGCTGTGAAGCCTATTCCTGGCCTGCCTATTATAATCAATGTATCCATATTTGAAATATTTGAAAATCTAGAATAATAAAAATCATTTTTCTTCCTCCACAAAATCCATTACAAACCACTGATACAGATAACACCTCCCATCTCTGGGAAATCTTTGGGCCTTGGGATTACGGCTGTACTGAATCATCTGGTAAATACATTTCTGGAGCACATACTATGCTGAAGGCATTTGCAGGGCAGACGGAACCTCACAACAAATCCTGCAAGGTTAGCATTTTTATTACTGTTTTACCAAAAGGAAAACAGACTTGAAAAAGTCAAGACACTTGTGCAAGGCCACACAGGGAAAAAGTAGCCAAACAATTCCAAGAATCAGCCTGGCTCCAAACCCCAATCCACCCAAGAGAAGTTTCTATTTCCAGAGAGTAACTCTTTTAAAAACATGCCAGTGGTAATTTAAAAACAAAGAATATGAGTGTTAATGGAAAAGATCATCAAGATATTATGTACGAAACAGAAAAAGAACAAGATCCAAAAGAATATGCAGAGCCCAATTTGTGGGTTGTAGGGGGCAGGCAGAGAGGGGTTAGAAGGCTTTTTGGAAGCAAACACAAGAGACCCGAGGGAGAGTGAGGCGAGGCAGTGAAGATGGTGGGAGTGGCATGGAGTCCCTTCCATAGTGGCTAATTCTTTACTGTACATACATTATTTACATTATTTTTAATATTAAAACATGAGCCAAAAGGCCTTCAAAAAGCAGGAAAACAAATACTTTCTCCATATACAGGCAAACCTCCTCCACTAATTAACAAACTACCTTTGTTGCTTAAAAAGACTCTAAGAGAAGACTCGAGGAGCTCCAGGGTGGAGTCATCCTGAGGGAGTAAAGCCGGTCAGAGTTTAGACGGCAGAAAACAGTGGGAATCTCCGTAAATAAGAAGAGATAACACACAGTTCTGACCAATTGTTGCCATGTCAGAATGATGTCTTCTCAGGAGACATTAACGTATTTTAGTGGACTCTCTTGATTTGTATAGGTGACAACAAATTCAGGTTTTCTTAAAATGCTATGCAAGTCAAACAAAGCCCAACAGATCCAGCACATGAGAATTAAAAAGAATAACACACCTAAGGTCCTGGACACTCTCTCCAAGTTTTTCCAAAAGAAATTTGATATCTTCGCTGATATCTTCATCATCGTACTTCTGCTGTTCCAAGTTCTCCAACTGTTTCAGAACTTTGCACTGAATCATAGCCAGGGCATATTCTTGGCGAGTTTCTCTTTCAGTTGATTTTTCTAAAAAGTTCTGGGTTAGACAAAGTGATAGTGAGAAACTATACAATTTGTCATGTGATGGATTCAGAGACCTCTGCACATTCTTTTATAGTCTCTCTCCTCCTCCTATTCTCAAGTTTAACTATCACCTTTAAGTGGATGACTCTATCTCAAATCCTTACTTCGCTCCTGAGTGTCTGTCCCATATCAGAAGCCTACTTCTGATCATTTTTGTATTTCCTGGATTACTAAACATCTTTAATTTTTGACCCAGATGAGCCCTACAACACTGAACACGTTTACAATGAAATCCACCACAGTCCTTTTTCATGGACTTGCTCTGGCTGTGAGCTCTCATTTGTTGCCCACCTAGAGCACATACAATACTAAGAGAGAGTGTTTCTTCAAGTTTGCAATCAAGCCAAGTTCTCCAGTTCCCAGTCTGTCACCATTTTCCCCCATCTCTAATCAACCTGTAAGCACAAGGGACAACAATTTTTAAAACTCCCTTGTTTGAACAATTATCAGAAAAGTTTTGCGACATTCGGGCAAATTCCCGAGTTCTCTTCTAGGATTTTCTATTTTTAAGAGTACTTAAGAAAATGGCAAAATAATCCACAAATTTATAACAATAAGCTGTCATGGAATTAAGCAATGTTTCTGAGTAAGGACCAGGCTAAACTCTTGGAACAAGAAGCAACAAGACAGACCTCTGTTTTAAAAAAAAGCTACTTTCACCAAGCTAGTTTAAAAAGCCTATCAAATGCAAAAAAAAAAAAAAAAAAACAAAACAGTAACAATTAACTCCAATTGTAAAAAAACTTGAATTTTTTTTTCTTTTTACAAGTAAGTTCTATCCCTAATAATAAGGCTGAACAAATGCAAAAAGTGATTTAGCTTAGTATGTGGAAGTCAGTGAAATCAATGCCCACCAATCTTCCCTTTATGTTTCTACCAGATTTTAAGTACCCTGAGAGTAGTTTGCCTTATTTTTCTTTCTATCACAAGTGCTTGGCTCAGAGTTGATATTCAATAATAAAATATTTGTGAACCTAATATTCCTACTCAGTGCTTACATCTATAGATATCAGAAATTACTTGCAATCCTCCTTATTATGAATAGATAATGAATAGAGTAGCAGCAACAGTATAAATTAATTTGCTTTTAAAATTACTTCAAAACTAAAACATGAATGTCCACTCAGGTACGATGGATTTAAGAACCTACTGAACCAACCTCTCTCTGGCAGAAAACAACTATAAAACCTGAACAGACTGAAAAGGCAACTACTTAAAAAAACAGTAAATAGAAGCAGACAGAATCTGGTATGAAGTTCATACTCACATACAGTAGGGAAGTCAAGGAACAATACAAATACGTTCCTGTCACTGCAATTTTTATCCTGAAGCTAAGGCACAGTGGCAAAGAAGCCACAGAAAAGCCAAAAATAGTCTTTCTGGCCTGGGGAACCAGAAAAGTGAAGCTGGAAAACCATGAACACTGAGGGCTAAGGCTGGGGGGAGCCCCAGAAAACAAAGAGCAAGAAAGGAGACCCAAATCCTATCTGAATACAGCTCCAGAATGAACCAGATACTAGAACACACAGACTTCAAAGCAATTATTATAAAAATCCTCAATGAAATAAAATGCTTTCAATACATGAAAAATTTCAAACAAAAAACTTATAAATTATTTAAAAAGAAACAGAAATCCTAGAAGTAAAACTACAATTTCTGAAATAAAAAAATATCAGCTGATGGACTTAAGAACCAAGTGGAGATAAAACAGAAAAAGAGTAAGTGAACTTGAAAATAGGTTAAAGTTATCCAAGGAGAAGAATAAAAAGATAAAAGATTTTTTTAACAAATGAATAGAGGCTCAGTAATCTGTTATGTATTATCAAATGGCCCAACATATGTGCAATTGGAATACCAAAAGGAGAGGAGGAAGAGAATGGGGCTGATATTTTATTTGAAGAAATAATGGCTGCAAGTTTCCCAAATTCAATCTCAGAGAAATTTTCAGACACAAGATGTCCAGTGAACACCAAGCCCATGCAAAGGCATAGCATTGTCAAGCTGACAAAAAGTTTAAAGAATATTTTTGTTGCCTATAGAATTCTGAGTTTATAATTCACAGACAAACACACAAAACTAAAACATAAGAACCAAAGTGACCCTGGTAAACTTCGAGACTATTAAAGTTAGCAAAGCTTCCATCTACTTAAAGTAGAAAGTATTCATTTCAGAGAGAGAGGACAGTTCAGTTTGAACTGTTATCTTAAGTCAGAAAAACAAAACTACGATTCTGTGATATTTTCATCAGGTTACTTCTGAATTTCTATCATGTTACTATTTTATCCTTTCATGTAAAACATTGTGAACAAAGTGTATATTTACTGGTTCAATTTTAAAATATATTCCAGAGACTCCACTTCCAGGAATGATAAAGTGGCTTCTATCAGATCAACCCTTCCACAGAAACCAACTATAAAATCTGGATGAAATATAAAAGATTACCTGAACGAACAAAAGGTAGCAGAAACTAGAATGGAGTCTAGATATGAAAAAAAAAAGGAATGGCACTAGAAAAATTTCTACTTTTACATATGGCTCTCCTCCTGAAGATACGCCCCACTCAGAAAAATTCAGGTAAAACTCAGCCGGAAACCACAGCCTCAATGACCTAAGGAGACAGAGGACAATTCAGAGTGACTACAGCGGCTAGAAAGTGAGAGGAGAAATCAGAGAGAAACATAAAGAAGACCCAAATTCTGCATATGAACTCTGCCCAAATCTCTAGCTGACCAATGACCTATGCAACGCAAGTGTGTCCGCAATTGGTGGGTTCTTGGTCTCACTGACTTCAAGAATGAAGCCGCGGACCCTCGCGGTGTTACAGTTCTTGAAGGCGGCGTGTCCGGAGTTTGTTCCCTCTGATGTTCAGATGTGTTCGGAGTTTCTTCCTTCTGGTGGGTTCATGGTCTCGCTAGCTCAGGAGTGAAGCTGCAGACCTTCGCGGTGAGTGTTACGGCTCTTAAGGCGGCGCATGTGGAGTTGTTCGTTCCTCCCGGTAGGTTCATGGTCTCGCTGGCTCAGGAGTGAAGCTGCAGACCTCCACGGTATTACAGCTCATAAAACCAGTGTGGACCCAAAGAGTGAGCAGTAGCAAGATTTATTGCAAAGAGCGAAAGAACACAGCTCCCACAGTGTGGAAGGGGACCGGAGCGGGTTGCCAATGCTGGCTCGGGCAGCCTGCTTTTATTCTCTTATCTGGCCCCACCCACATCCTGCTGATTGGTAGAGCCGAGTGGCCTGTTTTGACAGGGCGCTGATTGGTGGTTTACAATCCCTGAGCTACATACAAAGGTTCTCCACGTCCCCATCAGATTAGTTAGATACAGAGTTTGGACACACAGGTTCTCCAAGGCCCCACCAGAGCAGCTAGATACAGAGTGTCGATTGGTGCACTCACAAACCTTGAGCTAGACACAGGGTGCTGATTGGTGTGTTTACAAACCTTGAGCTAGACATAAATGTTCTCCAAGGCCCCACCAGAGCAGCTAGATACAGAGTGTCGATTGGTGCACTCACAAACCTTGAGCTAGACACAGGGTGCTGATTGGTGTGTTTACAATCCCTAAGCTAGACATAAAGACTCTCCACGTCCCCACCAGACTCAGGAGCCCAGCTGGCTTCACCCAGTGGGTCCCGCACTGGGGCTGCAGGTGGAGCTGCCTGCCAGTCCTGCGCCATGCGCTCGCACTCCTCAGCCCTTGGGCGGTCGATGGGACTGGGCGCCGTGGAGCAGGGGGCGGTGCTCATCAGGGAGGCTCAGGCTGCACAGGAACCCACGGAGGCGGGGAAGGCTCAGGCATGGCAGGCTGCAGTCCCGAGGCCTGCCCCGCGGGAAGGCAGCTAAGGCCCGGCAAGAAATCGAGCGCAGCGCCGGTGGGCTGGCACCGGTGGGGGACCCAGTACAGCCTCCGCAGCAGCTGGCCCGGGTGCTAAGTCCGTCATTGCCCAGGGCCAGCAGGGCCGGCCGGCTGCTCCGAGTTTGGGGCCCGCCAAGCCCACGCCCACCCAGAACTCCAGCTGGCCCGCAAGCGCCGCACGCAGCCCTAGTTCCCGCTCGTGCCTCTCCCTCCACACCTCCCTGCAAGCTGAGGGAGTGGGCTCTGGCCTTGGCCAGCCGAGAAAGGGGCTCCCACAGTGCAGCGGTGGGCTGAAGGGCTCCTCAAGTGCCGCCAAAGTAGGAGCCCAGGCAGAGGAGGCGCTGAAAGCAAGCGAGGGCTGTGAGGACTGCCAGCACGCTGTCACCTCTCACAAGGACAGACTCCCAGCAGCCCAGCTACATCTAAAAGAACTGAAAAAAGATTTAAGCTGCTTCTCCCCACAGGAAGAGAGAGCTTGGAGCTGGAGCCCAGCCAAGTTAACTGCCTGCTAAACAACCTCAATGTCCTATGGAGAAACATAACAGAAGCCAGTTCTAGGATGTATCATTTACAACATTCAGAATACACTCCCAAATTAATAAGCCTATGAAGAAACAGGAAAATGTGACCAACACTCAAGAGAAAAGTCAGTCAAGAAATACCAACCCTGAGATGAATTAGATGTTGGAGTTTGCAGAAAAAGATTTAAAGTAAACATTACGACTATGACCAAAGAAAAAAACGGTACCAATAAAAAAGCAAAAAAAGAAAGTTCAGTGGAGACACAGAAACTAAATTCCCAAATGGAAATCCTAGAAATAAAAACACAGATCATTTGAAATTTTAAAATTTACAAATGAGCTCAAAAGTGGACTGGAGATGACAAAGGAGTCAGTGAACATGAAGACAGAGCAACAGAAATTATTCAATTTCAGAGACAGATACAAAAAAATACTGTTTCTTCCCTCCCACAAACAAAGTGAACAAAGGCTCAGTGACTTGCAGTGCAATATCAAAAGGTCTAACATAAGTGGAATTAGAATGCCAGAAGGCAAGGATAAGTAAAAAGGTGCAAATGTATACCTGAAAATATAATGGCCAAAATTTTCCATCTTTAGCAAAAGATGCAACTCTACAAATCTGTAACTTCAGTAAATACTAGGAAATGTAGATACAAATAAAACTAAATCCAGACACATCAAAGTCAATCTTCAGAAAACCAAATATAGTAAAATTTTCAAAGCAACCAGAAAAAGATAACACATTATATACAGGGGAACAAAAATACAAAGGAAAGCTGACTTCTCATCAGAAACGATGGAGATGATTTTGCTGAGAGAGAGCATTAAAAAAAGAGAGAGAAAAATAAAGGAGAGAGGTCAGAAGTGGAACGATATCTTGAAAGTACCGAAAGAAAAAAAAAACAGAACTATATCCAGCAAAAATATCCTTCCAGAATAAAGGTAAACTAAAATCATTTTTTATAATAACCTGAGATAATCAGTCACCAGCAGACATACACTGGAAGATATCCGAAAGCAGGGATTGGCTAACATTTTCTGTAAAAGGGCGAAGAGTAAATATTTTAGGCTTTGCAGTCTCTGTCACAACTGCACAATTCTACTACTACGGTGCAAAAGCAGTCATTAAAAACCATAAACAAATGAGCAAAGCAGTGTTCCAATAAAGCTTTATTGATTAAAAACAGGTGGACCACATTTGGCCCATAGGCTTCCAAAGTTTGCTGATCCCTGGGCTAAAGAAAATTCTGCAGCTAAAGGAAAGTGATACCACAAGTGGAAAGCTGAGTGTCCAGAAAAGAAAAAAGAACTGTAGATATCATATTAATATATACCTGGATAAATATAAAACACTGTTTTTCCCTCTTTACTTCCATAATATACATGAGACTGCTTAAAGCACAAAACCCTGTATTGTAGGGCTTATAACATGTAAATACAGTAACATGACAACTGTAGCATAAAAGACTACAAGTGCTTACATTTTACATAAGGTAGTACAATAGAAAGGATGTGTATTGTGACTCCAAAATCACCTCTAAGAAATAAAATAGTGCAAAAACAAATAGTTAAAGACCCCAAAGAAATGTTATGATAGTTTTTAAAAATTTATTAATATATAACAGATGGACCTATTTGGGGAGTACATGTGACATTTTGATACAATCATATATAATCTATAATTATCAAATCAAGGTAATTGGGATGCCCACCACTTTAAACATTTATCTTTTCTTTATGTTGGGAACATTTGAATTATTATCTTCTAGCTATTCTGAAATATACAGTAGATTACTGTTTACTATCAACCTACTGAATTGTACAACATTAGGTCTTATTTCTTCTATATAACTGTATTTTTGTACCCATTAACCAATCTCACTTCATCCCCTCCTACCCTGGTACCCTTCTCAGCCTCTGACAACCGAAGACTATTCAGCCATAGAAAAGAATGAAATCCTGTCATCTGCAGCAACATGGACAGAACTGGAGGTCATTATGTTAAGTAAAATGAAATTTTTTAAAGGATGCACTTAACCCAAGAGAAAGCAAAAATGGAAGATAGAAGAACAAAAAACAGATAAGCAAACAGAAAACAAAGAGTAAAATGGTAGGCCTAAATCCAATCATATCAATAGTTATTGTAAATGCCAGTGAACTAGATACTCCAGTTAAGAGGCAGAAATTATTTGAATAGATAAAAGTTTAAGACCCAAGGATGTGTTGCCTAAAAGAGACAAACTAAATATGACACAGGTAAGTTGAAACTAAGAAGGAAAAAGATATAGCATGCAACCATAAGCGTAAGAATGCTGGAGTGATATTAACTTCAAATAAAGTAAACAAAGAGCATTACCAGTGATAAAGAAGGATATTTCACAATGATACAAAGTCCAGTTCATCAGGAAAATGTAGCATTCATTGTGTTTTAATTACAGAGCTTCAAAATTCATGAAACAAAAATTGACAAAACTGCAGGAAGAAATAGACAAATCCACAATAATAGCTAGAGATTTTAACAGCTCTCTCAGCAATTGATAGAACCACTAAACAAAAAAATCAGTACATAGAAGATCTAAATAACACTGTCAACCACCCTGACCTAAATGACACAGAACACAACTCCACTGGCAAAATATGCATTCTTTTAAGTGCACTTGGTACATCCACTATGACAGACTATAAGACAAGCCATAAAATGAGTCCCAAATTTCAAAGGATTGAAATCTTACAGAATATGTTCTTAACCGTAATGGAATTAAGCTTAAAAAGACCAGTAACTTTCTAATTTCTATTTGGAAATTTAACAATGCACTCCTATGTAATCCATAGTCAAAGAAGAAATCATGATATATGACACTAATATTATTACATGCTTGTCTCCTTTACTAAAGTGTGAGATCCTAGTAAATAGGACATACTAGATATCACAGATTATTTATAATTCTTCTCTTAACCCCCAGTTCCTTGTATAACTACTTCTACAAACTATTCTGTTTCAGAACACCTGTTATTTCTTTCTAAACAAATTATTTTCTGAGAGGGGAGGTGTAAATCTGTTAACCTCTTACTTATAAAACTCTTCCCCTCTTCCTTTCCTTTTGTGAGATTTCACTTATTTCTCTACTAAACTTTCGATGGTCTTTCCCAGTTACTTTTCCTATTACCTATCCTCTCCTCTAACTTTAGAAACATATCAAAGCTCTTTTGTTTATATGGTTTTGTTAATTTCATTACATGTATTTGTTGACCAGAGAATTAAACTCCATCTTTAAGATATTGTCGGCTGGACTTGATGGCTCACACCTATAATTCCAGCACTTTGGGAGGCCAAGGCAGGCGGATCACCTGAAGGCAGGGGTTCTAGACCAGCCTGGCCAACACAGTGAAACCCCACCTGTACTAAAAATACAAAAATTAGCCAGGCGTGGTGCTGCATGCCTGTAATCACAGCTACTCAGAAGGCTGAGGCAGGAGAATCACTTGAACACAGGAGGTAGAGGTTGCAGCGAGCCGAGATCATGCCACTGCATTCCAGCCTCGGTGACAGGGTGAGACTCCATCTCAAAAAAAAAAAAAAAAAAGACATTATCATAACTAATGGCTTCAACTATAACTTCAACACATTCAATAACTAATGTAGAACAACCCTATGGTATTCTTCTAAAACCAACTTCCCTCTAAATTGTCCAAGATAATGGCATTTCAAAGATTAGTCATTTTTGATTTTCCCTTTTTCGTCAACTTTGTCAAATCAATCATTAAGCCTTCTCTATTCTTCTTTAAATACATGTTCTCATTTCATTGTGTCATCTTGCTATAAAAAATGAAAAGAAGGAATGAATGGGTTATAAAAAGTAGTTAAGAAACTGAATCTGCCAGAAATAATCTACTTAATGTGGCAGCAACACATTTTTTGAAATATGTTATATTTTTTTTTCTTTTTTTTAATTTTATTATTATTACACTTTAAGTTTTAGGGTACATGTGCACAACGTGCAGGTGTGTTACATATGTAGCCATGTGCCATGTTGGTGTGCTGCACCCATTAACTAGTCATTTAGCATTAGGTATATCTCCTAATGGTATCCCTCCCCCATCCCCCACTCCACAACAGCCCCCGGTGTGTGATGTTCCCCTTCCTGTGTCCATGTGTTCTCATTGTTCAATTCCCACCTATGAGTGAGAATATGCAGTGTTTGGTATTTTGTCCTTGTGATAGTTTGCTGAGAATGATGGTTTCCAGCTTCATCCATGTCCCTACAAAGGACATGAACTCATCATTTTTTATGGCTGCAGAGTATTCCATGGTGTATATGTGCCACATTTTCTTAATCCAGTCTATCATTGTTGGACATCTGGGTTGGTTCCAAGTCTTTGCTATTGTGAATAGAGCTGCAATAAACATACGTGTGCATGTGTCTTTATAGCAGCATGATTTATAATCCTTTGGGTATATACCCAGTAATGGGATGGCTGGGTCAAATGGTATTTCTAGTTCTAGATCCCTCAGGAATCGCCACACTGACTTCCACAATGGTTGAACTAGTTTACAGTCCCACCAACAGTGTAAAAGTGTTCCTATTTCTCCACATCCTCTCCAGCACCTGTTGTTTCCTGACTTTTTAATAATCGCCATTCTAACTGGTGTGAGATGGTATCTCACTGTGGTTTTGATTTGCATTTCTCTGATGGCCAGTGATGATGAGCATTTTTTCATGTGTTTTATGGCTGCATAAATGTCTTCTTTTCAGAAGTGTCTGTTCATATCCTTTGCCCACTTTTTGATGGGGTTGTTTGTTTTTTTCTTGCAAATTTGTTTGAGTTCATTGTAGATTCTGGATATTAGCCTTTGTCAGATGAGTAGGTTGCAAAAATGTTCTCCCATTCTGTGGGTTGCCTGTTCACTCTGGTGGTGGTTTCTTTTGCTGTGCAGAAGTTCTTTAGTTTAATTAGACACCATTTGTCAATTTTGTCTTTTGTTGCCATTGCTTTTGGTGTTTTAGACATGAAGTCCTTGCCCATGCCTATGTCCTGAATGGTATTGCCTAGGTTTTCTTCTAGGGTTTTTATGGTTTTAGGTCTAACATTTAAGTCTTTAATCCATCTTGAATTAATTTTTGTATAAGGTGTAAGGAAGGGATCCAGTTTCAGCTTTCTACATATGGCTAGCCAGTTTTCCCAGCACCATTTATTAAATAGGGAATCCTTTCCCCATTGCTTGTTTTTGTCAGGTTTGTCAAAGATCAGATAGTTGTAGATGTGTGGCATTATTTCTGAGGGCTCTGTTCTGTTCCATTGGTTTATATCTCTGTTTTGGTACCAGTACCATGCTGTTTTGGTTACTATAGCCTTGTAGTATAGTTTGAAGTCAGGTAGCATGATGCCTCCAGCTTTGTTCTTTTGGCTTAGGATTAACTTGGCAATGCAGGATCTTTTTTGGTTCCATATGAACGTTAAAGTAGTTTTTTCCAATTCTCTGAAGAAAGTCATTGGTAGCTTGATGGGGATGGCACTGAATCTATAAATTACCTTGGGCAGTATGGCCATTTTCACGATATTGATTCTTCCTACCCATGAGCATGGAATGTTCTTCCATTTGTTTGTATCCTCTTTTATTTCACTGAGCAGTGGTTTGTAGTTCTCCTTGAAGAGGTCCTTCACATCCCTTGTAAGTTAGATTCCTAGGTATTTTATTCTCTTTGAAGCAATTGTGAATGGGAGTTCACTCATGATTTGGCTCTCTGTTTGTCTGTTACTGGTGTATAGGAATGCTTGTGATTTTTGCACATTGATTTTGTATCCTGAGACTTTGCTGAAGTTGCTTATCAGCTTAAGGAGATTTTGGGCTGAGACAATGGGGTTTTCTAGATATACAATCATGTCATCTGCAAACAGGGACAATTTGACTTCCTCTTTTCCTAATTGAATGCCCTTTATTTCCTTCTCCTGCCTGATTGCCCTGGCCATAACTTCCAACACTATGTTGAATAGGAGTGGTGAGAGAGGGCATCCCTGTCTTGTGCCAGTTTTCAAAGGGAATGCTTCCAGTTTTTGCCCATTCAGTATGATATTGGCTGTGGGTTTCTCATAGATAGCTCTTAGTATTTTGAGATACGTCCCATCAATACCTAATTTATTGAGAGTTTTTAGCATGAAGGGTTGTTGAATTTTGTCAAAGGCCTTTTCTGCATCTATTGAGATAATCATGTGGTTTTTGTCTTTGGTTCTGTTTATATGCTAGATTACGTTTATTGATTTTCGTATGTTGAACCAGCCTTGCATCCCAGGGATGAAGCCCACTTGATCATGGTGGATAAGCTTTTTGATGTGCTGCTGGATTCGGTTTGCCAGTATTTTATTGAGGATTTTTGCATCAATGTTCATCAAGGATATTAGTCTAAAATTCTCTTTTTTTGTTGTGTCTCTGCCAGGCTTTGGTATCAGGATGATGCTGGCCTCATAAAATGAGTTAGGGAGGATTCCCTCTTTTTCTATTGATTGGAATAGTTTCAGAAGGAATGGTACCAGCTCCTCCTTGTACCTCTGGTAGAATTCGGCTGTGAATCCATCTGGTCCTGGACTTTTTTTGGTTGGTAAGCTATTAATTATTGCCTCAATTTCAGAGCCTGTTATTGGTCTATTCAGAGATTCAACTTCTTCCTGGTTTAGTCTTGGGAGGGTGTATGTGTCTAGGAATTTAACCATTTCTTCTAGATTTTCTAGTTTATTTGCATAGAGGTGTTTATAGTATTCTCTGATGGTAGTTTGTATTTCTGTGGGGTCGGTGGTGATATCACCTTTATCATTTTTTATTGTGTCTATTTGATTCTTCTCTCTTTTCTTCTTTATTAGTCTTGCTAGTGCTCTATCAATTTGTTGATCTTTTCAAAAAGCCAGCTCCTGGATTCATTGATTTTTTGAAGGGCTTTTTGTGTCTCTATCTCCTTCAGTTCTGCTCTGATCTTAGTTATTTCTTGCCTTCTGCTAGCTTTTCAACGTGTTTGCTCTTGCTTCTCTAGTTCTTTTAATTGTGTTGTTAGGGTGTCAATTTTAGATCTTTCCTGCTTTCTCTTGTGGGCATTTAGTGCTATAAATTTCCCTCTACACACTGCTTTGAATGTGTCCCAGAGATTCTGGTATGTTGTGTCTTTGTTCTCATTGGTTTCAAAGAACATCTTTATTTCTGCCTTCATTTTGTTATGTCCCCAGTAGTCATTCAGGAGCAGGTTGTTCAGTTTCCATGTAGTTGAGCGGTTCTGAGTGAGTTTCTTAATCCTGAGTTCTAGTTTGATTGCACTGTGGTCTGAGAAACAGTTTGTTATAATTTCTGTTCTCTTACATTTGCTAAGGGGTGTTTTACTTCCAACTATGTGGTCAATTTTGGAATAGGTGTGGTGTGGTGCTGAAAAGAAAGTATATTCCGTTGATTTGGGGTACAGAGTTCTGTAGATGTCTATTAGGTCCACTTGGTGCAGAGCTGAGTTCAATTCCTGGATATCTTGTTAACTTTCTGTCTAGTAGATCTGTCTAATGTTGACAGTGGGGTGTTAAAGTCTCCCATTATTATTGTGTGGGAGTCTAAGTCTCTTTGTAGGTCACTAAGGACTTGCTTTATGAATCTGGATGCTCCTGTATTGGGTGCATATATATTTAGGATAGTTAGCTCTTCTTGTTGAATTCGTCCCTTTACCATTATGTAATGGCCTTGTCTCTTTTGATCTTTGTTGGTTTAAAGTCTGTTTTATCAGAGACTAGGATTGCAACCCCTGCCTTTTTTTGTTTTCCATTGGCTTGGTAGATCTTCCTCCATCCCTTTATTTTGAGCCTATGTGTGTCTCTGCACGTGAGATGGGTTTCCTGAATACAGCACACTGATGGGTCTTGACTCTTTATCCAATTTGCCAGTCTGTGTCTTTTAATTGGAGCATTTAGCCCATTTACATTGAAGGTTAATATTGTTATGTGTGAATTTGATCCTGTCATTATGATGTTAGCTGGTTATTCTGCTCGTTAGTTGATGCAGTTTCTTCCTAGCAGTGATGGTCTTTACAATTTGGCATGTTTTTGCAGTGGCTGGTACCGGTTGTTCCTTTCGATGTTTAGTGCTTCCTTCAGGAGCTCTTGTAGGGCAGGCCTGGTAGTGACAAAATCTCTCAGCATTTGCTTGTCTGTAAATGATTTTATTTCTCCTTCGCTTATGAAGCTTAGTTTGGCTGGATATGAAATTCTGGGTTGAAAATTCCTTTCTTTAAGAATGTTGAATATTGGCCCCCACTCTCTTCTTGCTTGTAGAGTTTCTGCCGAGAGATCCACTGTTAGTCTGATGGGCTTCCCTTTGTGGGTAACCCGACCTTTCTCTCTGGCTGCCCTTAACATTTTTTCCTTCATTTCAACTTTGGTGAATCTGACAATTATGTGTCTTGGAGTTGCTCTTCTCGAGGAGTATCCTTGTGGCGTTCTCTGTATTTCCTGAATTTGAATGTTGGCCTGCCTTGCTAGATTGGGGAAGTTCTCCTGGATAATATCCTGCAGAGTGTTTTCCAACTTGGTTCCATTCTCCCCGTCACTTTCAGGTACACCAATCAGACGCAGATTTGGTCTTTTCACATAGTCCCATATTTCTTGGAGGCTTTGTTCATTTCTTTTCACTCTTTTTTCTCTAAACTTCTCTTATCACTTCATTTCATTCATTTCATCTTCCATCGCTGATACCCTTTCTTCCAGTTGATCACATTGACTACTGAGGCTTGTGCATTCATCACATAGTTCTCGTGCCGTGGTTTTCAGCTCCATCAGGTCCTTTAAGGACTTCTCTGCATTGGTTATTCTAGTTAGCCATTCGTCTAATTTTTTTTCAAGGTTTTTAACTTCTTTACCATTGGTTTGAACTTCCTCCTTTAGCTCGGAGTAGTTCGATCTTCTGAAGCCTTCTTCTCTCAACTCGTCAAAGTAATTCTCCATCCAGCTTTGTTCCGTTGCTGGTGAGGAGCTGCGTTCCTTTGGAGGAGGAGAGGTGCTCTGAGTTTTAGAGTTTCTGGTTTTTCTGCTCTGTTTTTTCCCCATCTTTGTGGTTTTATCCACCTTTGGTCTTTGATGATGGTGACATACAGATGGGTTTTTGGAGTGGATGTCCTTTCTGTTTGTTAGTTTTCCTTCTAACACTCATGACCCTTGGCTGCAGGTCTGTTGGAGTTCGCTGGAGGTCCACTCCTGACCCTGTTTGCCTGGGTATCAGCAGCGGTGGCTGCAGAACAGCGGATATTCGTGAACCACAAATGCTGCTGCTTGATCGTTCCTCTGGAAGTTTTGTCTCAGAGGAGTACCCGGCTGTGTGAGGTGTCAGTCCACCCTTACTGCGGGATGCCTCCCAGTTAGGCTACTCGGGGGTCAGGGACCCACTTGAGGAGGTAGTCTGCCCATTCTCAGATCTCAAGCTGCGTGCTGGGAGAACCACTACTCTCTTCAAAGCTGTCAGACAGGGACATTTAAGTCTGCAGAGGTTACTGCTGCCTTTTGTTTGTCTGTGCCATGCCCCCAGAGGTGGAGCCTACAGAGGCAGGCAGGCCTCCTTGAGCTGTGGTGGGCTCCACCCAGTTCAAGCTTCCAGGCCGCTTCGTTTACCTACTCAAGCCTCGGCAATGGCGGGCACCCCTCCCCCAGCCTCGCTGCCGCCTTGCAGTTTGATCTCAGACTGCTGTGCTAGCAATGATCGAGCCTCCGTGGGCACAGGATCCTCCGAGCCAGTTGCGGGATATAATCTCCTGGTGTGCCATTTGTTAAGCCTGTTGGAAAAGCGCAGTATTAGGGTGGGAGTGACCCAATTTTCCAGGTGCCGTCTGTCACCCCTTTCTTTGACTAGGAAAGGGAATTCCCTGACCCCTTGCAGTTCCCGGGTGAGGCGATGCCTCACCCTGCTTTGGCTCACGCACTGTGCGCTGCACACACTGTCTGGCACTCCCCAGTGAGATGAACCTGGTACCTCAGTTGGAAATGCAGAAATCACCCGTCTTCTGTGTCACTCACAATGGGAGCTGTAGACTGGAGCTGTTACTATTGAGCCATCTTGGCTCCACTCCCTGAAATATGTTATTCCTTCTCTAAAAGTAGATGGTATCTTCACCTCAACAAAAGCAAAAGTGACAAATCCAGTATAAACATCATTTTTGCCTTTGGCAAATTAATGGTGCAGAGGGATGTTGACATTTCTAAGAACAAGGTGGAATCAGGTGACAATTCAGATCTTTCTGTCAGCAAAACTGAACTGCTGGCCTTGTAAAATATATGTGAAAGCAGTGTTTCGAAAACCATCGGTGGTGAAGACCAGTTTTGCTTGTTTTTTGATTTTCAATCAGTCATGAGCAAATACTTTTATGAAACACAGTAAGAATGAATTTCAAGACATGTAAAATACAAGTTCAATTTTCATATTATAAAATTCAATAAATCATTATTCTGTCAAATTCCTACAAGTTTCTAAATGCTGACTTTCACTTTCTGTACTTATCCATTGCAGGTTACTAACAAACAGTTCACTGCACTGCACTGATAATGTGGACCACACTTTTAAAAATGCTGTATTAAAGGACTCACCCCAAAATTTAAAAAGTCTCAGTCTTACCAGACCTCATCCAAACCTAGTATCTACTAAGCAAGATAGAAGTTAGGCAAAGACGTTGAGGCAGAATTCCTGAAACAGGGGATAAGGGATAGACTCCAGAATAAAATTTCTTCATGGCAATATTTCCATGCCATAGCAGTGGTCAGAACAGCCCCACACACACAGACTAGAGCTAGCCTCTTTGAAAGGGTTATGAGTATGAACTGCCTGCATGGAAAAATGCATGTACATGCGTGTGCATGTTTATGTCTAGTGAGTATACATGTGTAGATGTGAATTAAACATCATGATTAATCTATCTAATGAAAAGAACAACTCAATTTGGCTGTAATTCTTAAGGCTTTCTGATGAAAAGTATATCACTGTAAAAATACAATTCACTTTATCTGACATATAATGTAGGCTTTTGACTAAGCAGAGCCCAGAAGAGAAATCAAATGCACAACAAACAGATGTAAAACTCTAGGCAACAAAGATGATCTTCAATGTCTTTATCAGTCACAGCCCCAAAACATCCTAATTTATTTTAGGACCTAAAGATTGACAAATCAGTTTAACCAACAGCAGTAATATATGCAGAGACCTGGAGTACAGCATGCACTATGAATAAGTGAGATTGACATTTTCAAAAATAAAATTCATCCAGCCAAATGGAAAAATAATAACAATCATTAGCAGCTGCTAGATTTGTTCAGCTCACAGTAGCTCAGCAAGTTTTCTAAAGCCTCCCACAAAAAAAAAATTTCCCTGAGTTTTAGGATGTGTCTATACTATCTTCAAATAACCTCATCAGTAAAATCTTTTTTAAAGGTTACAGGAATTTGAAAATTACTTTAAAAATCATCATTGTTAAAATCAGTTTGATGGTATAAATCAAATGGCTTTACTATGTCTTTATCAATGGCTCAATTTTAGTTCCACTGTACATATCAAAATTGTGGATGTCTAAAGATGTTCTTCTTTCTGCTCTCAGCATATTCACATAATAAGTGCATTACCCCAAATTTAGCATATGAGAATCTAAAAAAAACTAATATTTCTGCCATTGGACTGGGTCTATTTTAAATATTCTGAAACCCAAAATTAGACAATAGAAGCCCATAAATTATTAAATTCTATGCATTATAAGTAAAAATTTGAAATTATAAATATAGTTTAAATGAGATTTTTAAATCTTGCTAAATATTAGTAACATATTCATGCTGTCTCTTTTAAATCAAACAAAACAGCACTAGATCTTTACCTGGGCTTAATATTAACTTAGCAAGAATCCAACTTACAGAGATAAAGAGGAAAACTGTTATTATTCCATGATTTTATGGAGAAAAGGGCAGGGAAATAAATACATACTGTATATTTACTATTGCAGACACTTTAACTGTTATTTCATGGATTCCTTACCTAATGTTTAAATGAGTTAAGTACCATCTACCACCTTTCACCATAAAGAAACTAGCTCTGGGAGTTCAAGCCACTCTCCCAACACTAAACAATCAAGTGCTGGAATTCACACCTAGGTCTATCCACTCCAGAGAGACTCTTGTCTATCCTTCTACTGCGCCATTATGAAACAGTTACACTACTCTATTTCTCAGATTTCCATAAAGGTACATAATTAATTCAGAAAGCTCCCAAATGAGGTCAAAAGAAAAAACTTAGGAATCTCAGTCTGGCTCTACACTTATGGTGACTTTTTGAGCTTTGTATACCGTAAACACAGTGACTTCATCAAGTTACGCTATCAAAACAAAGGTTTAAACAAAATGCAAAGGTTCTGAGAAAAGGTATTCTATCTTATGCATCTTTCCATATACTCAGTAACCAACAAATTGCCTTACATATATTTGGTCTTCAATAAACATCTGATGCACTGATAGATGAATAAATACAAGAGGAAGAATGGGAGAGAAAAGGAGAAGGAAGAACTTAAAGGCAGGATTCAATTAATATCAACTAATATCTCTCTTCTGTGATATTACAGTATTAGATACATGCTTCCAATAACCTTTTTATTTTACCTAATGATTCAGTGAAAAACAAAGGAAGAGAGGAGGAACTAAGTGGGGACAAAAAAGTAGGGTATGTGGGAAGCTTGGATAGAATATCATATAATGATTAAAGCAGCTTTTGCTGGGCTTTAGATTAAATCTCAGCCCATTATTAAAAATTAGTACCTGGGCCAGGCACGGTGGCTCACACCTGTAATCCCAGCACTTTGGGAGGCCGAAGCAGGCACTCTAGCCTGGGCAATAGAGCAAGACTCTGTCTCAAAAAGAAAAAAAATTATTAATACCTGGTTTTTCATAGAAACTTGCAGCACTTAAAATATTCTAAATAATACCTTTAAAAGCCATGTAGTCTCTTGAAACTGAGAGGAAAAGATATAAGGGAAAGATACATTCTTTGAAACAACAGGACAGCTAAAATAAGACCCTGACTTCTATTACAGCTCTTTCCCATACGTCTATTTCACCTTAAATAGACAAGTTATTAACAAATTATTAAAAGCCTATAACAAGAAATAATTATAAATTTTTACAATCTTTTACAATTTGAAAAATAGATATTTTCATTTCAAAAAATATATAACATACAGAAAAGAACAGGTAGAGGTAAATGGAAAAATAGTACTATTCACTTCCACATTAACTAATTAGGAAACTGCTGACCTTTCTATTGCCCCTAAGGGAAAGTCACACAAAAGATAATAAAAACAATAATAATTCATCTTTCTAGGATAATCTAATAGCAAAGACATTGAGTCAAATGTAACCATCTTTCCTAACAGTTTAGCAGTTACAAAATATATCTCCTTTTCTGAAAAAAGCTTTCAGTACCAAGTTTATTAACAACTTCCAATTTAGACAAAAGTCCATGTGCTAACAGAAAACAGGGACCCTCTCTCTCTAGTCTTGCTTTCTGTTATATGTTCATCTAATTAAGTAAACATGTTTTTACTTCTCTCTTAATTTTTAAAATGTGAACATTCAGTAACTGGGCCAGTCTTTACCTCCAGGTTAACTTTTTCATTGGATGGCAATTCCCTTGTAAATAACACACTTGCGTTCCAAAAGACTTTTCACTATTCTTTCTGTCTAGGTAACATCCAAAGACAAACCCCACAGAGACAACTATATGAACCCAGTGTTCACATAACCTGAAGTAAGTTTACCATGACTGCTGTAGCCCTGGTGCCAACAACCACCCCACGACCAGCCCTTTATACAGTCACAAATATTTACTGAGGGTCCATTAGGCACCAAAGGTTCATTTAGCACATATTTTTCGAAGGGTATTATCATGTGAGTATCAACAAAGTAATAGATGTAGGAGAGATGATATTACTCTCACAGGACACACGAAAAAAACTAAAGCACGGAGAGGCTAAGCAACTTGGCCAAAGCCTGGAGGCCAGCCCAAGAGCCCAGCGAACCTGACTGCCACTGCACATGCCAGCACACTCACTACAGGCCTGAGTGCATACAGACTTTGTAGTGAGGAGGGCCAAGCATGATCCACCCAAATCATGAAGAGATGAGATTTCAAAGACTCCTTCAGCTATTTAGTGCCTATCGTAATTCATCCAGAGTTGAAGCCTAGTTGTAGTAAAGGAACAGAGATTATAAACTGCAGGTTTTAAAACGTCAAGGGGGCTCCGTATGTGGGAGTGATATTGTGGGTAATTTACAATTTTACTTAATATTTTTCTATTGTATCTTTTTAACCATAAAACCACATTATTTTTATAACAGTAAAAGATCAAACTAGCTCTATTTTTGCAAATGGTAGATGCTTAATTTACACTAAAAGATTTTGGCAAAATAAAGGCTCCTGTGACAATGGTAGAATTAAAAAAAAGGAAAGACAAGGGAGAAACTCAAAACTAAGACAAATGGAACAGAAGGAGCATTAAGCCCTCAGAGAATAAATTTATTGAGTTGAAAAGATGCAATATCTATTTTGCCACAGTGAACAAATTTAAAAGAAGAATCAGCTCTTATTCCATGTTCCCTCAGAGCAGGAGAGCACAGAATAAAGTGCTAAAACTAGATCTGACAAAGGGTCTTATTAGAAGGTGCCATGCTTCAGTGAGTGATGCCCAAGAGTGTGAGCACAAGTTAGTGTCAGGTGATAACCAGGATGACTGAAATATTCATGTTGGCCCCACTAGTTCTATGCCCAGAGTGGTAGGGGCAAAAGATCCATTCACAGAACAAGTCTGTGCCTTCAGAAAGTAAACAGCCACAAATCCCAGGATTGCATCTTCAAGAGCCAGATTTATGTGCTCCATTTACTCTCTCAGAAGTCACCTGGGTCAGGGAAAGGAATAACAAGTCCTACAAGCACAAACTACTGATGATTCCAGAAGATTCTTTCTTCACTTGTTAACATTCAACCTCTCCCCACCGTTGCACTTCCAAGATAACTATTCCTGGTTCAAAAGGCCCCTTGAGCCCTCTCTTCTCCTCACATCCCCGTTCAAAAGGCCCCTCGGGCCCTGTCTCCTCCTCACACCCCTCCTCTGGCTGTCCGCCTCTCTTCTACTGCCTTTCCTCCCTTCGTCACTCATCACTGCATTGCACTGGCATTGCTTATTCACGTCGACTGTCTTCACCAAACCATAAGACCTTCGATGTCCAGCTCTATGTTGGTCATCTGTGTCCCCGAATAATTAGCACAGCCCCTGGCACATACATGGAACCCACAACTGTTTTGTGATTTAGGAGAGATTGGCAAAAGACTCCATTTCTGAAAATTTTTGCTTTTACTAAATAAATACGAATATGGATAATGAAGCACTTAAGTAGAAGAAAAAAATACATTCAGTTTACCTACTAAAATACTCCAAAGTAAAGCCTCATTAATACAACCTACTTTGACTTAAGAACTGATTATTATTTTAGCTGGACTGAAATTTACTGTGACAACTCATGTGGACAGAGTGTGCAGGAAACATGAAGAGCAGAGCCACCATGGTGAGGGAGAGAAGTAAGGAGGCTCCGCATTTGCCTGTTTCTCAAGAGTGAACTTCAAGGACCACAGAATGATTTTTACATGAAAAAGACTGTTACTTTCATAAATAAACATAATCGAAAGAAAATCTAATGCCCAGCCCAACACCTGGTCAATAGCTGGTCGGTGTTTATCACACCCAGCAGGCCACACCTGGATCTCACTGTACACTCTCCCAGAATCCACACTGAACACCACTCCTCCATGCCGTCCCTCACTCACTCAGCCCTTGCCAGGCAGCCAGGAAATACACAGGGCTTAACACATCCAGCTGGTATTTTAAGCAAAGAAATCTTCCCCTGATATTAGCTTTGGTTTTCCTTTTCACGTTTCCCCCTTTTTAATGCCAGTCTTAAGGTTCCTGAGAAAATGCATCGAGACAAGAAAAAAAGGAGATAGCAGGGTGGTTAAGAGGACAGCTTTGGAGCTGGCAGATCTCAGTGAAATTCCAATCTTTTCACTTACTGGGGAATTATCTCCGAGTCTTGGTTTCCTTATCAATAAAAATAGTAATAGAACTTACTGGGTAATCATGAAGCTTAAATAAGGCAATGCATAAAAATTACTTAATAAATTTTAACAATTATTATTCTCAGCATCAAAGACAGATTAGCATGATGGTTAAAAGCACGCATCATATTGCCTGAGTTTAAATCCCTGGTCTGCCACTTCCTAGCTATTTTGGCAAATTACTTAACCTCTCGTGTCCTAGTGACCACTAAATGGAGTTCCTGGGACAATTATATGTGGAATACATTTAAAGTAATTAGGACAGTGCCTGACACAGAATAAGCTCTCAATAGACATTAGCTGTTATTAACTACCGACACCTAGAAAAGAGTTCCTACACATCAAATTTTAAAATTTGGAAGGTGACAACTGCTATGAATAAGCAATTTATAGAAAGAATATAAATAGCCAATAATATTAAAAGATGCTCAGCCTCATTCATTATTAACGGAATGCAAATTTAAAACAATGATTTAGTTTTTAAACCAAGATTTTGTAAAAATTAAAAGAAGGGTAATATTATAGTGAGCAGAAAAATATGCACTCCCAATATATAGGTGATGGAAATGTAAATCTGCACATTTTTGAAAACTGCATGACATTATCTACCAAAAGTGCAGGCCAGCTGCTGTGGCTAACACCTGTAATCCCACAATTTTTGGGAGGCTGAGGGAGGAGGACTGCTTGAGCCCAGGAGTTCAACATCATCTTGGGCAACAAAACAAGATCCTGTCTCTACAAAAGATTTTATTTTTTAAATTAGCCAGGCTCGGTGGCATGCACCTATAGTCCCAGCTACTTGGGAGGCTGAGGCAGGAGTATCCCTCAAGCTGAGGAGTCCGAGGTTGCAGTAAGCTATGATCACGCCACTCCACTCCAGCCTGGATGACAGAGTAAAAACCCTGTCTCAAAAAAAAAATGGTGGGGTACAGTGGCTCATGCCTGTAATCTCAGCACTTTGGGAGGCCGAGGCAGGTGGATCACTTGAGGTCAGGAGTTCGAGACCAGCCTGGGAAACATGGTAAAACCCCATCTCTACTAAAAACACAAAAATTAGTTGAATGTGGTGGTGCATGCCTGTGATCCCAGCTACTCAGGTGGCTGAGGCACGAGAAACGCTTGAATCCAGGAGGTGGAGGTTACAGTGAGCTGAGATTGCACCACTGCACTCCAGCTTGGGCAACACAGTGAGACTGTCTTTAAAAAAACAAAAAAAAGTGTACAAACACATTCATTTGACTCGGCAGTTCCATCTCCAGAACTAAATCCAAAAGAAATATTCATCAAAGTGGGCAAACATATGTAAAAGAAACTAGAAACACCACCACATGGCCATCAATAGAGCACTGGTTAAATAAATAGCTCTACACCAACACAGCGGAAAATAGCCATTAAAAAAAATACTGAATATCCACATATACAGAAATGAAAACATATTCACTATATATTAAGAATAAAGTTATAGACCAGTATAATATGTCATTTTTATTTTTAAATACAAAACAAAATTATACATCTATTTATTTATCTCTGTGCTTGCAAACATCTGAAAGATGCTAGTAACTATATTTGGCAAATGTGTTATCTACATTAAATTTTGCAATACATCTGTACCACTTTTTATTTTCATTTTACTTTATTTTTTTTGATATGGAGTCTCACTCTGTCGCCCAGGCTGGAGTGCAGTGGCGCGATCTCGGCTCACTGCAACCTCCGACTCCCTGGTTCAAGCGATTCTCCTGTCTCAGCCTCCTGAGCAGCTGGGATTACAGGCACATGACACCACGCCCAGCTAATTTTTGTGTTTTTAGTAGGGACGGGGTTTCACTGTGTTGGCCAGGATGGTCTCGATCTCCTGACCTCAGGTGATCCGCCCACCTCGGCCTCCCAAAGTGCTGGGATTACAGGTGTGAACCACCACACCCAGCCCCACTTTTTATTTTTTACTTGTTTTTTAAAGAAAGTATAAGAACAAAAATGGTTAAAAGCACAGATTCTACAGCCAACATTCTGGATTTGCATGTCTGCTACCTATCAGCAATGTGACCTCTACGCCTCAGTATTCCCAACGTATAGCAAAGATACCTATATACTAACAGTAACAACAATAACATGTTATAGAGCTCTGGTGAGCATTAAATGAATTAAACAGAAAAATCTTAGAACAATGTATAGCAGAGGGTAGGCACTATATGGGACATGTCCACTATTACTAACCTTGAATAGCATTCTTAGAGAGATTACTTCAACCAAGCCATCCCATAGAAGCCCATCTAAAGTGACCAACAAAATTATCAGTAGACAATTGGCACAGCAAATACACTGGCTCTCGGTAGCCAATTAGCAACGTGAAGTATTAAAACCACCTGGCAACCTAGGATTTCGATTCTAGCTAGGCTTTCTCTTGTCCTCAACTTCCTCATCTGTTCAAAGGAGGAAGATGACTTAGGTAACTGACAAATCTAATATCCTAATAGGATAACTTTACTGTTTAAATAATGATAGATCTTTATAGTTGCCTCAAAAATGTACTCCAGTCAGTAGATCCAGAACCTGAAACACAACTCCATACTAACATACATGCTCCATAAGAGAGAAACTCCTTCAAAAACAGTCTCTTGGAATACACTGCAACAGAAAAGGACTTCCTCCATCTGAACATAATCCAATTGCATTTCCCTACAAGCATACTGTAACTCACAGATTTCATTCATAGATAGTTTCCTCTCACCTATCCCACTGCCCACACCATAAATACAAATTAGTGATATTTTACTCTATATTCACCAAGACTCTATGGTTTCATAACCACAAGAAGAACAAGTAATTTTTTCCCGCCTGCTAAAAACTCAAATATACTGCACAGTGAAAAATGCCTCACATACACACAAACCAACATAAAACACTTACACGAAATGCTGCAAGAATGATTCTTGTTACTTTCTCTTTGACAGACTCCTGAAGGATATCAGACAGAACTGGAATGATATTATAGCGCCGCAGGTGTTCACACATTTGAGGACTGAATGCCAGGAGCCATATTGAAAAAATCATTTGATACTGGAGCTGAAAGCCACACTTGTTACTCAACACTCCCATTATGCTGAAAAACAAACAAACAAAAAAAACACATTTACAAAACATTTAGAAAGAAGAAATAAGCAATTATTCTCTTTTTGCACTAATGGAACAGGTCTCTCTGAATTATGTCCTGTTTCTTTTCTGCCAGCAATAACAAGCAGCTAGATTGCTACTCACAGAGAACCATTTCCAGTACAGCTCCACTTAACCCTCTCTCCAAAAGTCACAGGATCTCAGGAAGCAGGAGCTCCTGCTGTGCGGCAAGAAGAAAGGGAACAAAGACTTGTAATATGGCAACGGGAATGGAAAGAGCAATCGGACAGACAATAGAGCCAAATGTTACATGGAGATTTTGAGTCTGGGCAACCAATAAGACCACCGATAGCTTTAAAATAAAGGAAACAGAGAAAAGAAGGGAAGCGCTTGGTGAAAACCTGTGATGGGTTCAAATTTGACATAGCCAATTACTGAATTCGGGGGTCAGGAAAAACCTCAGTTTGATCAAGAGATCAAAAACCTCAGTTTGATCAAATTTCTAGTTTGATCTCTTACTTTACTGATAAGGAAACTAGGAAAATGACATGGACATGAAGGAGGTTACACCAAGAGACAGAATATATACAATAGAAGAAAAGCTAAGGAAATTGCCCTGGGGAATACCTACATTCAAAGAATAGAGTTCAGAAATCATCAAATAAAAAAAAAAACAGAAATCATCAAATAAGACCATTAAAAGTGACCTTCATATTGGAGCAGAGCCTACCATTTAAAAAGAAAAAAAGACCAAAGGGGTTAAGAGCTCGAAGACCATAGAATGTACAACACAAAGAGTGAGCCCTAATATAAGCTATGGAAACTTACTAATAAAAATCTATTAACATTGGATCATCATTTGGAACAAATATACCATACTAATGCAAGATGTTAATGATAATGGAAATTTGAGGCGGGAGAGGAGAGGATGTAATGGAAACTCTCTGCACTTTTGGTTTTTCTGTAAAACTAAAGCTGCTCTAATAATATAAATGTTTAAAATGCTAAGCCTGATTTTACAATCTAAACTTACTGTAACTTACTGAAAGGCTTTTATCTGTGTCATTTCTTCATTTGTATGATTTGTATATAGTTCAGTTCACTAATTGTTTTTAATGTTCTCATGCATGGCTTTTGCCTTGTCTTCTCTATTTTTGGATGTTATGTAAAACTTGCTTTTTAATTAATATTGATATCAGTACATAAACTGCTATAAAATCATGTCACTTTATACTGTAAACACCCTAGTCCCTGGTTTCCTTTGCTGTCTGTTCCAGTTATTAAGCCAAGCCTTCTGCACTTGGCTTTGTGATGCTGTGGCTGAGACCCTGAAAACCACATTTCTGTTCTACCAGTTGGCTCCATGTTAGGCTATGCCAAGAACAGGAGCTAGAGGCTGACTTCAAGGAAGGAAGAACAGACTTCCTCCTGTTGGCTTCCTGATCCTGAGAGCATTACCCCAGTAACACTCCTTCAACCCGGCAGCAGCAGTTCTTTCCCACAGCAGCAGCCAAATTCAGTTTGCAGTTTTTCCAGCTCTAGCAGAACAAGCCTCATCACATTTCCTCAAAGATGTCAGCACTAGCCAACTGGCTCCCCTCCCCAGAGTCCTGGGTTCCAAATCCATGAGGCTTTTCCTCGGAGTTCAGAGACACCAATATCAGCTGGGCAAAACCTCCTCCTCAAATGTCTAAATTTCAGCTGTACTCAGCCCCTCCTCCAAGCATGCAAATTTTAATGATTCCAGTCTCTTACCATTGCCCACCTATTTTACATCACCCACCCCACCTTATGGGTGGTATCTGCACTCACTACCTTTCTGACACTCAAGAGTCATTTTTTTTTTTCCACTTTAAACAAAATTAGTGGTTGGGCATGGTGGCTCAAGCTGCTAATCCTAGCATTTTGGGAGGCCAGGGTGGGCGGATCTCTTGAGCCAGGAATTTGAGGCTAGCCTGAGCAACATGGCAAAACCCCATCTCTATCAAAAAAACATAACAATACCAAAAAATTTCCCAAAAAAATACAAAAAGGGCAAATGTGTACTTAGTTAATAATTCTTCATATCAAATTATATTAAAATAAAAAAGAATGCCAATGGTAGTTTAATGGGAATAGCACTGCATCTATAAATTACTTTGGGCAGTAGAGGCAATTACCCCCAGCAAAGGCCCACTTATAGCTCCAATATTTAGGAAGTTAATGTTAACCTTCAGACTTTCTTGTGAGGCTAACAATATATAGCACAATATAATGTAAATTTTTCTATCTTACATAGGTATACAAATAAACAGTGTTGTATTATGTATATAATAGGCTTTTTAACAACAATAAAAAAGTCAGCAAACTATATAGATTAAAATGTGCTGGGTTTTTTTAAGACCTCAGTTATCGGCCAGGCAAGGTGGCTCATGCCTATAATCCCAGCACTTTGGGAGGCCGAGGCAGGTGGATTACGAGGTCAGGAGTTCAAGACCAGCCTGGCCAACATGGTGAAACCCCATCTCTACTAAAAATACAAAAATTAGCTGGGGGTAGTGACGCACACTTGTAATCCTAGCTACTCAGGAGGCTGAGGCAGAATTATTTGAACCCAGGAGGCGGAGGTTGCAGTGAGCTGAGATTGCACCACTGCACTCCAGCCTGGGTGAGACTCTGTCTCAGAAAGGAAAAAAAAAGACCTCAGTTATCTTCCTCTCTTCAAATGGGCTATACTTGAAAATTTTTCTCCTCACATTATTCCTATTTGCAATGTGAGAAACACACACACACACACACACACACACACACAAATTCAATGCTAAGCAAAAACTCAAAAAGTAGAAAGTACATATTTCTGAAAAAATGAAAAGATTAAATGACTTTTTGAAATTGCTATACTTTCAGCAAGTTATTATACTTTTATTAATGCCCATTTCTCCACCTAAAGGTTTATCTGATTACTGCTAATCTTATTAGTGGTCATTAGCATATCAAAATATATTGGTTGAACATGAAATAGTCTAGATTATATTTATCCTGATCTTTTTGCTGCTAAATGGTTAACATTGCTGAATGGTCTCTAAAATACTAAGGTACTAGCCATCAGAACAGCAGCATTTGTTGTACTCAGTATACCATGAGAGTTCAAAGGGACCAAATTTTGGTATTTGAGTTTATTTTATAAGCAATTATAACTATTTGTAGAGATTGCTATTTCATGACTTTGATTCTTTCTTACAGGTCCTCCATAGGGAGAAAAAAATCTAATTTTTGGTTAGTAGAATTAAAATTCATTTTATCTTACAATAACCCTAATTGTAAGATAAAATGAATTTTAATTCTGCCAAACAATTCTACTGGACTCTTTTATAAACCACATATTATTGAATTTTAGTTGTCTTATGCTGTTTTATCATCCTATATATTATTTTATCATTATTCATTGATTATAACCAATTATACTAAGAAATCAAAGACTAAAATAATAAGAAAGTTAGAGATTGATGGAATCACCTAGGAAGATGATATAATAGTGAAATAAATAATTACCCTTTATTGCACTGCCCAAAATACTGCATTATCTTTTATGGAGGTAAAAAGACTGGTAACACCATTTTTGTAGTTCACCTTTACGTTTCTGTGCAGAAAAGAGTTAACAGCAAAGTCCTAAGGCTGCTAGCCTCAGAAAGACGTGCTTACAAGGTTGGCCTTTGGCTGGCTTCTGGGAATTTGGCTGGTAAAGTTTCCTAAATTGATCAAACTAAACCATTTGTACAAACATGTGGCTTATGCTGAATTCCTACTGCTATTGTCTAAATGTCTGTGTCCCTCCAAAATTCACATGTTCAAAGACTAACACCCAAGGTGATGGTATTAGGAGGTGGGGCCTTTGGGAGGTGATTAGGTCATGAGGGCAGAGCACTCATGAATGGGATTAGTACCCTTCTAAAAGGGTCCTGAGAAAGACCCCTGTCCCCTCTGCCATCTGAGTTTACAGTGAAAAGATGGCCATTTATGAATGAGGAAACAGGCCCTCACCAGACACCAAATCTGCTAGTGCCTTCATCTTGGACTTCCTGGCCTCCAGAAATGTGAGAAGTAAGTTTCCATTGTTTATAAGCCACCCAGTATTTTGTTAAAGCAGCCCAAATAGATTAAGACACCTACTTTATTTCAGGAGTCTGAAATTTTGGTGTGTTTTAGGCACAGTGTGTCTACATAACTAACTTCTAATAAAATCTTCAGAGCTGAGTCTCTGATGGGTTTCCGGGACAGAAACCTCACACAAATGTTGCTGCATTTTCAATGCTGGGAGAAGATACCCTGTGCGACCCCTCTGGGAGGAAGAGAGCATAAGGGAGCCTGCACGTGGATTCCTCCATACTCAGCCTGTGTCTTTGTCCCTTATGATACAGCTGTGCGTCCTCACTGTATCTCTGTAATAAATCTTATCTGTGAATAGAACTATATGCTATGTCTGTGAGTCTTTCTAATGAATCTCCTGACAAGTGTGAACACAGCTGAGAATTCAGAATTTTTTATTTTCTGCCCATAATAATGACCAACAGAGGAAAGTGTTTCACAATTATTAGATTATTCAGAAGATGAAAACAAAGAGATAGATTGCACTCTATTCTCTAACAATAATGGTGAAATGGGTCAAATAAGTGAAATCTTAAACTGTGAGTCTCTAGATAGCTATATCATAAATGCATTTACTCAAACTCAGGAACTGATAAATGAGGAATATATTTCTAAGGACAAAAAGGAAATATAGTATTCTCAACTAGTTAGCCACTGAACATGAAAGACTTCCAGACAGTATTCTGCAGCAAGAACCTAGATCATTTCGCTCAAGGACATGTGATGATTTTCTGTAATCTTTTATGATATTTGTGTATCAAAATGTACTTTTTACAAAAAGGTTTGCTATATTTTAATTTTTATTGAAATTTCTAATAGTTGTTTTTCACTCTCTTTATTCTTAGTTCCGTCAATTTTTCACAAAATGACTAAAAATATATTTTTAAAGGGTCTGTTGGACCCAGATGACAAACTGTGATGGCTATTTTTCCTGGCAAACTGAGGATTAAATAAACAAGAATGGACTGAAATTTTATAGATTAATAGAAAAATAATTAGTAACTTACTGAATTGATGGATATTGAATAGTTGTGACAATTCAAATAACAACTCACAAGAACAGCTATTCGCAGAAGTAACCCATTCTAAGAAATTGCATACAAATACTGACTGAAAAGACCTAGAATATTTGGGTCCCTTCACAGGTATATCCTACACTGGAGATACAGGGTAAGAGTCCAATGCTTGCTTTAAATCCTCACCCACCAAGCAACTTACTGTTGATAACCTAAACTCCTCTGTAGATTTTCTAACAGAGAAACAATGCCTTGCTAAATGAAAAGAATATTTGGTTTAAAAGCAGTTAGATCTCTCATGAACAAATAAATTGATTTTCTGATGGTAAAACAAGATTTCCATTGTTTTGGAGGTTTTCAGGTGCTTGTCTGTATAAGCCTGAACAGGCAGCTCCTCAAAGTTTCTATACCTGCAAATTAGGATCCCACAAAGATTGGGCTAAATTATATGGCATTAGAAAGAAAGGCTTATATTCACTCTTTCCTGGGTAAGAACTTTTCTTGTTGATTTTTGCCTACATTCATCATCAATTATTTTCTAAAATTTTTTATATTCTGAGTACCTGGAATCTGTCTTGTTAAGCATTAGGTTCTTAAGAGGCCTTAACCTCTTATAAAAGAACAGATCAAGCAAGGAAAGGGGCTCAGTTTGATAGTTACTAACTTCTAAAAAGCTTAGCATAGTCAATTGTTAAACAGATATGAAAAAAATAAAATATTTCTTTTAGATGATTACATATTTCTTTGAAAATGTCAAGGAGAGATGCTTGTAAATGTTATTTTACATTAAAAGGAAAGGGCACTCACCAATTTACCCCATCTGCTTCCACCCAAGCAAAGCGGTACTCATTGACCCGGAGCATCAGCTGCAAACACCCGGCCACGCACTGCACATACTGCGAACTCTGCACAAGAAGAAGTGTTGAGTTTTTAAATGGGAAGCATTTAAAGTCATGCGATCAGACACACATTTCTAAATGAAAAGTCAGATTACCTACTGGAATTACCATCTGAGCATCCAAAATTCCCTAATCTCTTTTCAAAAGTTAATCCTCATGTTTGCTTTAATCTCTACCTCTTAGAAATGAACAAGATTTTGTCTCCTGAATTAAATCTACACAAGTCAAGACTACTTAACACACAGGGAAATCCGGAACAAAATAATTTATATTTGATACAGTTTGATAAATAAGCACACTGCCTTGCAATGTTTCACATATCCCTGAATAAAGATACTATGTATAGAGAATACTGTTCCACATAATTACAGAACTATCAAAGAACAATAAAATTAACAAAAAGAAGAGTAAATACTTCAAGATAGGCCTATATGTAAATGACCGTGGACAAGTTCCTGAACTTTTTCAATATGAAATTTCTTCATCCTCATGAGAAAAACACTGCCAAGCACCCTGAATATTGTTAGATTTAAGAAAAATAATTTAGGCTATGCACAGTGGTTCATGCCTGTAATCCTACCACTTTGGGAGGCTGAGGCGGGGGGATTTCCTGAGCTCAGGAGCTCGAGGCTAGCCCGGGCAACCTGGTGAAACCCCATATCTACTAAAAATACAAAAAATTAGCTGGGCCTGGTGGCGCACACCTGTAATCCCAGCTACTTGGGAGGCTGAGGCATGAGAATTGCTGGAATCCAGGAGGCAGAGGTTGCAGTGAGCCAAGATCACACCACTGCACTCCAGCCTGGACGACAGAGTGAGACTCTGTCTCAAAAAAAGTAAATAAATAAATAAATAATAATTCATTTTACAACACAGCTAGACAAACATAGGAACTCAATAAATAAAAACTTTATTTAAAAACCCATATGGCATATAAAAAGTCTGATTAAACACTTGAAAAAGACTATGATTTTTAAAACCATCAGTTCAATAACATTGTCCCTTAGAAATTGTGCTTAAACCTGAAACTTAAAATAAACAGGAGTAATACTCCCAGAAAGTTGCAAGCCCCTTCATTTTACCAAAGCTAGTGGGAACATCTGACCTGGGCTTTTCCTTAAATATGTACAATAAGCCTTAAGACTTTAAGAAGTAGAGAAAGGAGGCTGGGTGCGGTGGCTCACGCCTGTGATCCCAGCACTTTGGGAGGCCAAGGCGGGTGGATCACTTGAGCTCAGGAGTTCAAAACCAGCCTGGCCAACATGGCGAAACTCCATCTCTACTAAAAATACAAAAATTAGCCAGGTGTGGTGGCGTGCACCTGCAATCCCAGCTACTCAGGAGGCTGAGGCAGAAGAGTCACTTGAACCCAGGAGGCAGAGGTTGCAGTGAGCCAAGATCACGCCACTGCACTCTAGCCTGGGTGACAGAGTGAGACTCTATCTCAAAAAAAAAATAAAAACAGAAGAAGAAGAAGAGAAAGGAAAAGAAATTTCAGACAACAGCCTTCAAAATGAACATGCTAATTTCAAAAAGAATTTCTTAAGGAAAGAATCACAGGTGTTATATAAATTCACAGAACCTAACATACATGATGCTACTAAACTTTGTTCCAATTTAAATACCGTTCATAAAAACCTAACACTTCAGAGAAATTCCAGGCACTTTAATACAAAAACAAAACAATATAAGTACATTTGGTGGAATAGTCTAATGTATCAAGAAAAGGTGATCTTGGGTTGTACCTAAAAAGCAGTTAATTTAGTTCCACAAAAACACAATATATCTAGTAATATAATTAGCCTGAAAACTCGAAACATTAGCAAAAATTAAAGACAGATAAATAGTGCATTTTCAGTTCTAAAACAACATTCCATAATGAAAAAATATTTTTTTTTCCAATTAAGTCATCAGGTAGAAACTTTTTCTAAAGAAGAGGAATCCCATCTTTCCTGCTTAGAGAGATAACCAAGCAAGATTTCTAGACAAATGAATAAAAAGGCAACAGAGAGCACCCTCTTCTCTTCCATTTACCATCAGTTTCCTCTCATCACAAAAATTCTTTGTTTCAGGGTAAGTGTTTCTTTTCTGTGGCTACTCACCATGCTATGTTGAAATACATAACACACTACAAGGATGGATTCTTGGTTGTTATTTATAGCTTCAGTATTCCCATTACAAATGAGCATATAAAAAGTGCTGGTCCTAAATCTGACATACTCTCTCCTATTGCACACTATCAGGCAGTAGCCATACCATTCCAGAGATTACTTTCATAGTATAGAGAGAAACAGCACTGGTAAATGATTAAATTATTGCCTTCAATTACGCAAAGTAGAGTGCATTACTTCCTGGTCTTTCACTTAAATTGAAGTTAAAGATGAAATAAAAATTTCCCCTTTTATGATACCAACAGCGTATTATTATGATACTCATTTTTTCAGAAGAGGAATCCAAGACATAAAAAGGTGATATAATTTGCTGAAATGAAAATACTGAGTTGGCCAGGCACAGTGGCTCACACCTGTAACCCCAGCACTTTCGGAGGCCGAGGAGGGTAGATCACTTGAGGTCAGAAGTTTGAGACCAGCCTGGCCAACATGGCAAAGTCCTGTCTCTACTAAACATACAAAAAATAGCTGGGCAGGTGGCATGCACCTGTAGTCTCAGTTACTCAGGAGGGTCAGGCAGGAAAATCGCTTGAACCCAGGAGGTGGAAGTTGCAGTGAGCAGAGACGGCATCACTGAACTCCAGCCTGGGCAACAAAGTGACACCCTGTCTCAAAAAAAAGAAAATAGCGAGTTAATCTTAGATTGGCAGTAGAAGTCAACTCTCTTCATGCTTGAGCTAGTATTCTTTGTACTGTGCCAAGCATTCTGAGCTAAGAACTTGCTACAACATGCACTTTCTATACAGCAAACCTCAATGGCAGAGAAAAACACTATTTTCACTTCTCAACACATTTAAGAGAATGTCATTTAGATAAATTCTTCAATGTTGCTGAAAATGCAAGCTCTTACTATATTACAGTGAAAGTCACAACACAAAGATAATAGCAACTACAGTATTCACCTTCCTGGTGAATGTGGTCTCAGAGATCCATATACTACAGAATTACAAATTCAGTAATTGAGGAACTGCAAAATAAGTATGCAATAAACGAAACATAAAAACATCAATGATACTGTATGTACAAAGTAAAACTAATGTTATAAAAATGTTTACAAATTTTCAATATTCATCTTCATAATGCTAGGATTTAAGTGCAAACTAAGTGAAAAAGAATAAAGACCGTATTCATCTACATTCTGGAATTATCCGCACTTGAGAAAACAAGTCTGCTTGGAGTAAAAGGCATCTGTTCCACAGATTCATGGTGAAAATGCACAGCACATTGGTATCAGTGAACCACAAAGATGAACTTTTCAAACATACAATTGACTAAAATAAGTCCCAGAAAGCAGTTTTAAGTGAAATGAAAAGATGCTGATCAAAGTTCTAAAAGTAATTAATATGTTTCATGACTATTAAACTTTTCTTTTTCTTTTAAAACTAAAAGGTGATTGTATATGTGTGTATGTGTGATTTTTGCTTCAATATAGACACTTAGAAAACACAGGACAATATCAAGTGTCAGTAAAGAACTGAAACAAATGGAATTTTCATGCTTTGTTGAAGGGCACACAAACTGAAAAAACAGGCAAGATCCACTAAAACTAAATTTACATACATCCCATTAATCAGCAATTCTATTCTAAAATTAGGTGCTGCAGACATAAAGGTATACATCTGCCAAAAGATATGTACAAGAATGTTCACAGCAAAATTATTCACAAGAGTCAAAAAACTAGAAGCAACCCAAATATCCATCAATAAGAGAATGAGTAATATTCATATAATGAAATACTACATTGCAATGAAAAAGAATTACTGCTAAATGCAATGAATGAATTTCATAGACACAATATTAAGCAAGAGAGCTCAGACACATAAGAATTTATACTGTATGATTCCATTAAATGGAGTTCAAGATCAGACAACACTACTCTATGGTAATAGATGTCATAATAATGATAACCTTTGTGCGAGTTGAGGTGAAGGCAGTAGGAGGAATTATGAGGTATACATTTATCTCGCTGAACATTTAACATCTGTGCATTTTCCTTTATGTAAGTTATGACATAATTTTAAAAAAGAAATAGAGAAAAGAAAGTAAAAGAGGAATAGAGAGGGAGAAGGACAGAGTAAAAACTAGAACAAGAATCAGAAGTTTTGTCACATAATGTTGGGCAAATCACTTAATCTCGAAAATTGTTTTCTCGTTAGCAAAGGAAAAGAAAAATAATATCTCTACCACTGGGAAAAATAAAAAAAAACTGTCATGACACTGAAATCAATTTCTACAAAACACTAAACAATTGTAAAATATACTATTATTATCAATATTCAGGAATTAAAATACATATATACCCCAAGAATTCTCTTGAAGTTGGCTGATTAAAAGAGATCCTCTAGTCAACAGTCATAAAATATCTAAATGAAGATAGTTTCACCAAAAAAAAAATAGTTTTACTATTGGTTTACAAATTTATAAATCTTCAAAGTACTGCTTTCAATCTAATGTGCTTAATCCAGTAATTCAATTACATGACTAGTGGGAATCTTTATTACAGAAAAAAAATTGTCAGCATAACTAAAAAAAAGTGATTTTCTTTATAAATTATTGCTTTGTATGCAACTTCCGAGAACATAACTGATAAATACATAGTATTAGGTTAGCTTATTATTGTTATCAGTGCTATACTTTGAAAATGACATGTAAAAGAAAGTCTTAAATTTAAATACTTTACCAGTTAATTTTCTTTTGCATTTCAGAATATATCTCCAGGCAATCCTTCCAAAAATCAATACAAAGCCCATTTTATAATCAAGTGTTGAACAGCTCGTGTAATTTACTGAATACTGTGCTGAAAGTGAAAATCATAATGGTCATATGGATACTTCATGTACTATTTCTACCAAATGTATATGCTTTTCACACAACTGTAAAGTTGAAAAATCATAAGTTGGACCATCGTAGGGCAGGGACTGTCTGTAATTGCCTGTGAGTTACTCCAGGTCCCCACAAACTTCACAACTCACCAGCTACAGCAGACTACAATTTAATAACAGGCCTGCAGTATGTGAATAACTGATGTGGCCCACTGATTTCTGCTACTTAATCAGCACTTTTGATGGACTTATAATCAAAGCAGTAAAGAACTAAAGCAAAGAAGTCTTCCACCTCTTCTGAAGGGGTGACAAGTATTACATCAGCACAGCATTAAATTAAAAACAAACTAGTCTCTCATTAACAAGAATATTAGAACTGCCAGAGAAAACAATTTAAGGAATCTGGTCAAAAGCCAAAAAAAAACTAAGTCCTAGGCCAAGTGTGGTGGCTCACGTCTGTAATCCCAGCACTTTGGGAGGCCGAGGTGGGCAGATTACCTGAGGTCAGGCGTTCGAGACCAGCCTGGCCAACATGGCGAAACCCCCATCTCTACTTAGAAAAAAAAAAAACTAAGTCCTTTTTCCTCTCAATCTAAAATACTGTTACTGCACACTAAAACACGGATGAATCTTGAAAACATTATGCTAAGTGAAGGAAGCCAGTCACAGAAGACCATGTATGATTTCAGTTATATGTAATGTCCAAAAGAGGCAAATCCCAAGACAGAAAGTAGGTTAGTGGTTGCCAGGGCTTGGAGGCAAGAACAGGAATGGGGAAGACTGTTAATGTGTACAGGGTTGGTTGGTTTGTTTTTCTGAGATGTTGAAATGTTATGAAGTTAGACTGTGGTAATGGTTGCACAATTCTGTAAATTTATTAAAAATCACTGAATGGCAAAATGATGCATTTTATAGCATGTGAAATATATTTCAATAAGGCTCTTTTTAAAACTAAATAAAATTGAAAATTTACTTCCTCACTCACACCGGCAACACTTCCAAGGGCTCCAGAACCACATATGGTTAGGGGCTGCCACAATGGACAGTACAGCTATCGTGAGCATTTCTACCATCACAGAAATTTCTACTGGACATGGATTGCTCCACTAAATCAAGAGGCAAGATGAAACAAGCAAGAAGGACCTGGCAACTTAAGTCACTACTAGTGACACAGCATTCATCTAGCAACTACTCATTCCAGACTGCTTCTGCAACACAAATCACAGAGAACAGGACACGGAAACATGTGGGCTCTCTCATGAATCGTTCTCTTGCCTATGCGTACTGTAAAAATGAAGCTAGGGAGGGGAAAAATGAAAACAGAGAAAGAAACAAATCCCCAGGTTCTTTCTAAATCTTCCAAAGTTTGTGGAGGAATCACAGTATTCTTTCATCAGGGCATCAGCACAGCAATCCACTTCCACGCTGTCCTGCCTTCCTCAGAAGAAAAGACTTACAATCCATGTTTAAGAATCAGTAAACAACTCAGACAGTCTAAAGTAAGTACATATAATCTGATGTCTATTTTCACAATTAGGAGAAGACAAATAATGCACTTTAAGGAAATTCCACTTATCTAATGTCATTTAAATAAAAATGTTTCACTGGGTACAGTGGCTCACGCCTATAATCCCAACACTTTGGAAGGCCAAGGCGGGTAGATTGCCTGAGCTCAGGAGTTCAAGACCAGCCTGGACAACATAGCGAGACCTTGTCTCCACCAAAATACAAAAAAAATTAGCGGGGCATGGTGGCTCGTGCTTGTAGTCCCAGCTACTGGTGGGATGGGGGTCAGAGGTTGGTGGTGGTGGTTGGGCTGAGGCTGGAGGATCGCTTCAGCCTGGGAGGCAGAAGTTGCAGTGAGCTGAGATCGCACCACTGCACTCCAACCTGGGTGACAGAGTGAGACTCCATCTCAAAAAAAAAAAAAACAAAATGTTTGTAATGATCCACTTATAACTTAAAATGATGCTTCTGAGGCCATTTTAAAAAAGGTAAGACTGTTGAATCATGTTTATTTCACATTTTGCAGTGTAAAACTTGTTTTATACTGACATCAAGTGGCAATAATTTGTAATGCAGTTTACCAAACTGCTTTTCTCCACTCTGAAAAGATATGATTTAAAGATGTGATACTGATACCTTAAAAAGTCTGAGTAAGCAATGCAACTTGAGGAATGCCTAAAGATGCAATTCCAACTCAGCTGCCTCACAAGTAATTCTCTAAGCAATCCATTTCTTCAGAGTCTCTGTGTGACCTCGGGCATGTTGGTATGTTTTTCTGTTTGGTCTCACTACTCATCCATAAAATGCGGCTAATGATATGACCTACATTGAACAGGGAGTGTAAATATTCAAGGAGATGTAAATGTAAAATGAGTAAGCGTCAGGCACATAGTTAAGTGCTCAATGAATATTAGCTGCTATATTAAGATTCCCCTATGGAAATATAAGAATCAAAGGAAGGGCTGACACCCTACTCTCAACACATGGAGGTCTGCTTTTCAAGTAGACAGCCATCTAAAAAAGTAAGAACTTCAGGAAGAGTCCAAAAATATGTTCAGGGTTGAGAGTCACTAAAGGGAAGAAGGTAGGAAACCAAAGGCCATCTTTTCCTAACTCACAATCACTCCTGATGTGAATTCCATTTGGGATGTATATGAATCTACCAGGTAAATCACTTAGACCAACACACCACCAATTCAGTTAATTTTGTTTTTCTAATACACTGCACAGAAAATAGCAAAATAAGGATGTCATGTCAGCAGAGTTTGCATTTCCTTATTTAAGCTTTAATAACTTAAAATACTTTGACAACCACTTAAATAAGTTTGTAAGTCTAAAATAAGCTAAATAATTTTTCAAACTGGTAGAAATTCAAGACACATGAAATGAAGACTCTCAATTTAAGCAAAATAAAGATTCTCAATGTAAACATCTGCTTCTGATTGAGAAACGAGGCTTCTTACCTACCATTTCCTCAGCCCACCATGGCCCCAGGATCGCGTATCTAGTTCTATACCTTGTTCTGATTCCACTTCAGAAGGCTAATAGCCATTTTCTGGCCTAACATATGAGTCATCAAACACTTCAACCCATGCTCCAAGAGAAGCCCAGCTTCAAAATGGATTTTGCTGCCATCTATGGTCTTGGAACATACATACCCGTGACATTCATTCAGATTATGGGAGTACCAGCAACCAATATGGATATTAAATGGCTCCTACAGAGCTTCACTTGGGTCTATTGCAGGCAGGTTACAGAAACTACCCTCTAAAGATACTTCCTAGTTTCCTAGTGATACTTTCAACAAAGGAAGCTAGACACACTTCTGTTTCTGTCTCCGTTTTCCCTAACTTTCTATCAACTGGCTCTCATCATGAACATCGTTAACTTGTCCAAACTTACTTCCAGTTCCTGAGCTATTCCTAGAGCACAGCAAAGTTCAGCCATTCCCAAATGGAAAACGTAACTTTAGCCAAGAAAGGAACTTGGGGAGCCATAATTAATCTTAATTATGTAGATTATTTATGTATTTATGTAGAGCCTTTTGGCTCTACAAAAATGTGGAAAGAAGGCCTGGCGTGGTGGCTCATGCCTGTAATCCCAGCACTTTGGGAGGCCAAGGCAGGCGGATCACGAGGTCAAGAGATCGACACCATTCTGGCCAACTTGGTGAAACCTCATCTCTACTAAAAATACAAAAATTAGCTGGGTGTGGTGGCGGGCGCTTGTAGTCCCAGCTACTCGGGAGGCTGAGGCAGGAGAATTAATTGAACCTGGGAGGCAGAGGTTGCAGTGAGCTGAGATTGTGCCACTGCACTCCAGCCTGGGGGATAGAGCTAGACTGTGTCTCAAAAAATAAATAAATAAATAAAAGTAACTGAATTTCTTTCAAATGTTTGACGCTTTTGTTCACCTTTTGATTAGACAGATATTAGACAGTTTAATCAGATAACTGAAGTTTAAAGAGAAAACTTTATGATTATTTGCTCCAGTTGTGCTTCTGAATTCTGATTTTTGCTTTGTTTCTCAGGTCTGAAACAAAAGTCACCTGGAAAAAAGAGCAACGGGAAAGAACAAGTCTTATGTCTACCACAGAAAAGATGATCTCCACAGACCATCAATATTTATATATAGTTTATAATACAATTAACCTAACTGGAGGTGACCATGGATTTATAGTTGGGGAACTAGTAAACACCTTCAAAATTTTAAGTGTATATGACTCAAAATAATTTATTTTGGGGATGTTTAGGCCAGTGAAGGAATATACTTACATCACTTGAAGAGACTGTTCCTGTTTCAACAGCAACACCGCTACCACGCAGTTTCTATTACGAAATAAATAACTCATTATTTAGTTTTGTTTTGATTTTATCCTAATGTATCAGCTTACAAAAGGGAGCTAAGCAAACTTTTCCCCTAATTCTATGTAATAATTTTTCCCCTATAATTTTATTCCTAATCCTACTAAATAAAAAGCAAGGGGATGACATAAAATGTTCTAAATATCGTTACATTCTTCCAGATAATATATTAATCAGTAAGTAGCTAAAAATGGAACAATAATAAACTGACTACTAAGCTCCAGGTAAATTTCATGGGTAAAGCTAGTGCAAATTTCCAAGTCTTAAGATTTACTTACTGAATTGTTTTTCCAGTAAAATGACTGCCTTAAATTGAACTATCCACACTATATTCTGTAGCAAAGCTTTCAAAAATAGGTGCCTGATGTCAGGAAGGTACAATATGTGACTTGGTTATCCACAGCAAAGCTAATGAATTATAATGACAATCAAAATCTCAAATGTCATATAGAAATGACCAAAGAAAATTTAAAGAAAGTCAGAGGCTGAAAGTGCAAGAGAAAAGCAATAATGAATTTCTGAAAGGAAATGTTAACTTTGTATCATTCAATAACTACTATCTATGAAGTACAGGCATGAGTCCCCACAACCCAAGTGCAACGCTCCAAACTACCCAAAAAGGCTTCAAAGGCCACTATAAGGTCAAAGAACAAAACATCTAAACTTGCAGCTAACTTGGACTTTTGAAAGTTTATTTCTATTAGAATCATGAAATTGTGGTACTTTTTGTGAGAGAGAAAAACACTTGTGACAGAGAAAAAAGAGACACTCTAGATGTAGCACTATCGCATGACAATTGAGCAAAGTAGCAAGTAATATCACAAATAATTGTTACTTTTTAAAACGAAGAGTCTGAATTTTAATCATGATAGAAGGCTATGAAGAAGTGCCTGCCCACAGCAAGAGGGACAGTGCAATGAGAGCCAAGCAGAAGCAGTAGCCAGACTAAGAAGCAAGGCCAGGCTAAGCCTGGGTACCCTGAAGAGTTCCCCTGCAGCAGAAGGACCCGCAAAGCAGAGGCACTGCACAATTTAAAGTCCACAACTTAAAGCCAAACACTCTGTGATAAAAAAGAGTGCACTAAAAAGATGCAGAAAATACTTGAAGAGCATTTATCTATAAAAAGTTCAATTCTAATGAAAACTATTCTAGACATTGAAATATTTACTTCCACTAGTGATGAGAGAAATATTCCTCCCAGTTGTTGCACATCATTACAAGCATAGTCAATCATTCCAGAAGTGACAGTCACCTGAGAGGCACAATGTATCTGTTATTCCTAGGAGGAAAAGTTTAAGGTAGAAGTGCCCAAAAAGCTAGTAGCACGCCACGGCATCCATTCTTCCCTACCAATTTTCATTTTATGAATTCAGCTACAGAGCCTTATTACCACTATACCTGAAAGCTAACATTACCCAGAATGAAGTTTTGTTTTTGTGGGGTTTTTTTTGTTTTTTGAGACAAGAGTCTCATACTGTCACTCAGGGTGGAGTGCAGTGGCACGATCACAGCTCACTACAGCCTCAACCTCCTCAGGCTCAGGTGATCCTTCTGCCTCAGCCTGCTGAGTAGCTGGAACTACAGGTGTGCACCACCACGCCCGGCTAATTGTTCTATTTTTCGTAAAGACGGGGTTTTGCTATGTTGCCCAGGCTGGTCTCAAACTCCTGGGCTCAAGTAATTGGCCTGCCTCAGCCTCCCAAAGTGCTAGGATTACAGGCATAAGCCACCACACCAGGCCTGGAATGAAGTTTATTTAAAGGGAGAGATCATTTCAAAGCAGGAAAAAAGGGAGAAGTGTATCCTATTTAACTAACATTCTGATCCCAACCAATATGCTACATTTAGAAATTTTAAATCTCACTTTCACAAGCATGTTTCTTACATGTTTTAAATAGCTTGTTTTTGAAATATCTCACAAACTCAATAAAATGGTGGCTCTTGTAAAAACGCTTTTTAAAACCGAGCCCCAAACCAGTTAAAATTGATGCTATTAACATAAAAAAGATTTTGATCAAGAAACTCTAAAATATCTCCATCCAAATACAAATGGCAATTAGGCTCCCCTAAAAAAGGCAGGCAACAAGACAAAAAGTAAATCTAAGCAAAATACAGTGTCTTTCTTATGCCTCAAACTAAAATCTATTAAAATAATAAAGTCACCTGAAATCTAAATGGCAACTTTCAAAAAATTTCAAATAGACATTCATTTGTAATCTAACAACCTAATAATATTGTTTCTCCTGGTCCCATTCCTCCTCTAGGTCACCCTCACATCAAAATCTCATTCCCTTCTACCTTTTCATCTCCAGAATCCTCCTCCCCTGTCCACCTTCAGTTCTCTCCTCTTCTGAGTATCAATCCCACCAAACCTCTTCATACCTACACTTCAACCCTGTAAGCCTGAAACTAACACTCCACAGAGCCATCATTCATGTCCTATCTTTTGCCCTGTTCTGAGGAAACATGAAGACAAAACAGAAAACTTGTCATTTTCCAAGGCATTACACCTGCAGGCTATCTTCCTCCACGAAGACATAGAGCTAGAAAGGCCTGCAAGCAACCAACATGACCAGTAGGTTCGTTAGGCCTAACTAATCCCACCCTGAAACTGTGAAATTGTGAGAACGAGCCACCGTGTGGGACAGTGTCCTTTCACAGCTGGACCAGGTAGCTCCAGGCTCACCCCTTTCGCAGCTGGACCAGGTAGCTCCAGGCTCACCCAGAGGCAGCTGGAAGCACGGGAGGGACTTGGCCAGACAAGGACAAGCAGGTTAGCTAATAATGATCTAGAACATGCTGTTTGCAGTTTGAAATGCCCCTGGTGGCACCCAGGACCAGTTTGTTTATTAGTGTAATCGGTTAGACAGCTTAGCCTGGTTATGTAACCAAAAGGGCATAAAAGATCTCACTCGAATCTTTCAGAGAGCTCTCCAAAAACCAAGATTTCTCGCACAAATCTTGGTGGTTCACAATCCTGGGGCAGCCAAGGGAGCTGCGCCTGGAAATCTCTCGGCCCGAGGCATGCTCTCTCCTGCTGTACCGTTTGTTTTCCTTTATCGAAGCCTCACACGCACGTGCTCTTTGGAGCTGTGTGGGTCCTTTCAGTTCTCCAGCCTGTATCATCTTGGCAGCCACCTAGAAGAAAGGTACTCCCTGACCCCTGAAAAGCATGACTAAGAAACCCCAAGTGGCAGAAAAGACAGAAAGGATTGAAATGAAGCCAGTCAAAGAAAGAAAAAGCAAAGCACACTACCATATCTGAGAGTAGTTTGGTTTACTTGACAAGTTCAAAACGGCATTATTTTAATAAAACATTTTTGTAATTTAACATATTTACTATAAATAGCTTAAAAGAACACGGATGTTATATTCCTTTCAAAGGTACTTTAAAAAATTTTCTTTTACCTGTGAACTCAGCTGAGTTTTTATCCAATTGAAATAGTAATTTAAGTCACTGCCTTCCATCAGTTCTTTTCCCCAAGCTGCTAACTTGGCAATAATTCTTGCTGCCTGAAAACAAATAAGAGATACATTTAACGCAACATTAATTCTAAAAATCACATCATATACCTTAAAAAAAGGATTTGTAACAATTTTGCTACACAATTTCTTAACACTCAACCCCTCTAAAAATAATAGTTTATATTTCATTTTTTAAAATATATTTTGAAACAAACATTAAAAATATATTTTTAAATATTTCCATCAAAGTGAACCCAAATTAGCTGGGTCTTAGGAATTTCTTGACACTCCCTGTATTATTTTGAGTTTCAAAAGTAAGATTGGAATTCATTATATGACCAGCAAAAAACAGAACACAAAAATCTTTCTTAGAAGCAGACTGTCACCAAACCACTTGCCAGAATTCTAAGCAATCTCTTCAACAAACTGCCAGCCTCTCCCACACTCATTCCAAGCCACTTGGGAGTTTTAATACTTAAAAATCCATTTCTTAGGATAATATACATCCTAGGTATTAGTCGTCTCTCCCAACATAAACAAATATCCTTTCTCCTGAAAGATTTCTCCATTTTCTTCAAGCTATAAAACTAACCATTTTTAAAATTAAATAGGCAATATAAAGTACTAGTTCTCCATACACAAACCAATTTAATAAATATTCTATCAGTACTGAGAGCAAATCACTGTCTTAAAACTCCAAATCATTCAGCAATAATTCATCCCAGTAGAGAATGAAAGGCTACACTAGCTAACCTCAAAATAATTTCCTGTGCTGGTAGACTCATGTTTGTTCTTACATTTGAATACAGCAAACCAGTCTGACAGGTACACTTCCAAGGTCAGAATGTCAGACACTTAAGTGTTCTGGTGTATTTGGAATTCTACAACATAGGGACTAATGGGGCGCCTTTACTTGCTCATTGAGTTGTGACATGCTGAGGTTTTCACATGCCCAGCTAAATGAATTTATAAATACATTATCTAGTTTAAACTCATCTTACTGTCACAAAATAGACAACTGACTTAAAAAGATTACTGTTAGGAGGCCAAGGATTGAAAATATTATCAGCAGTGCATGCACAAGACAAAGGAACAAGAGCATAAGCTAGCATAAGCTCTTTATCAGCACATGGTTAAACCAATGGGAGTCTGCCCCTCAGAATGTGAAAGATTGGCCAAAAGTAAATGAAATTACCAAGAAGTTAACATGGATTTGGCTGCACAGTAATAATGAACCATTTCCTAAGTGTATATTTGTTTAATATATTTGTCAGTTTTGTTGCTATACCATTAGGAGGACATTTAAACCAAACAGTGAAGAAAACAAGCCTCTACAATTTTAAAGAAGGAAATATATTACTGGCTTTTTGAAAAGTATTCTTTAAAATACAGTTTATTTCATCAGTCCTCCTTAATTTCTTTTTATAGATATTTCATAATGTCCACAACATATAAATATACTATATGAATACAATATATAACTATACTGTATGAATACATATACATGTGGAAGGAGGGAGGGAGGGAGCAAGATAACATACATGTTCAAAAATGTTTCACGGCCAGTGGCCCTTGATTTGAAAACTTTAAAAACATCTACTGAAACAAGCAGCCTCTGGAGCTACCACATGCCCCCAACAGCTCCTGCCATCCCCAACCCGTAGCCCACTCCCCAGTGGAAATAGAGAAGTCTTGTTTGTACAAAGGTTTATTCTCTCAACCCTGCTTTCAGATTCCATGAAAAATTCTTCAGTACTAGGGCTTCCAAACATAGCCTAAGTTTAAAACAGGAGTGTAGGCCGGGTGCAGTGCCTCACACCTGTAATCCCAGCACTCTGGGAGGCCGAGGCAGGCAGATCACAAGGTCAGGAGTTCAAGACCAGCCTGGCCAACATGGTGAAATCCCGTCTTTACTAAAAATACAAAAATTAGATGGGCGTGGTGGCGCATGCCTGTAATCCCAGCTACTCAGGAGGCTGAGGCAGGAGAATCGCTTGAACCCGGGAGGCGGAGGTTGCAGCAAGCCGAGATCGCACAACTGCACTTCAGTCTGGCAACAGAGTGAGACCCCGTCTCAAAAAAAAAACCAGAGTGTATTTAAGATATTGAAAAGCAATCAGGTAACTACTTAAAATAAAAACGAAACACAGTAGCTGCTTCAAAGTAAAATTTAATTTCTATATAGTAAAATGTAGTTAACCCCACTACAAACACTGTAGAGCTGTTTACATGTGAGAATTCTCCACAGGCTTTGATGCACTCCTTGTAGTCTACAAAACCTCAACTGCATCAGAGCAACCCTATCTCCTTCCAACTCCCAATGTCCTTTCTCTACTGAACACCAATATGGAAAGCTATGTCATAGTAGTTACTCCTATGGGAACGGACAGGTTACTATGTCATAAAAGGCCCAGGTTTCTTTCTTACCTGAATGAGAATGTAATCACAATTCTATCTGTCAATTTTAAAATAATAATAAAACAAAAATTTTAAAATAAAAACCTTTCTTCTTTGTATTTAAAAAAAAAAAAAAATCCAGCTGGGTGCAGTGGCTCACACCTGTAATCCCAGCACTTTGGGAGGCCAAGGCAGGCGGACTGCTTGAGCCCTAAAGTTCAAGACCAGCCTGGACAACATAGTGAGACCCTCTCTCTTTAAAAAAATTTTAAAAAAAGAATCCAATCAATTCAAAATTTACCATATGAACAGTGAAGGGATCCTGGCGATTCAACATTGGCAGAAAGTAGGGCCACGCAGTGTTCTTGCTACATCTTGCATAGTCAAAGAAAATGCTAACACGCTGATGATTTTCCTAAAAAAGAAAAGAAATGATATCACCAGTCAGAACACATTTTGCTAAAGAATGTAACGACTGTGCACCACTTCTCAACCTCCCATCAGTCTGTGTTCTTTTTTCAGTGTGTGTGTATGTGTGATTTGTCTGTCATTATTACTACGGGGCAGGGGGTAGGGATGGTAGTAGGCACAGATATTTTACTAAAAAAATCACCTTTAATGATTATGATTATTTTAAATCACAAAGTGTAAGACTACAAGTTACACTTCTCGGCCTGCACCTCTGACCTGCTACTCCCAATGTAACAGGTCTACACCCACCACCGATAACCAAGTGTGAACACCTGGCTGCCATACGAGGGAAATCAAAATCGGAAAGGGAGCAGGAAGAGCACAAATTAGGTCTAGATGCACCTCGAACTACTAACAAATAGGCAAGGGAAACAGGGAATTAAATGAATCGCAAATGTTCAAGTTACTTCTTAGCATATCATGGTAGAAAACTTGGGATAAAGACAGCAGAAAACAGCATATACTACCAGTGGACATAGGATCTGAGTAAGAGAAAATTCTTAGTTCCAATCATTAAAACTTCACCTCTCATCTAAATTTTCTCTATCACTGGCTGAGATCCACTTTCTGATTCATTATGTGAATATAGTTGTTAAACAGCAATACTTTTTTAAAAATTTTTTTACTACACCACCATATCAGCAGTAGCAATACTTTTTCTGATTAAACTTTTATTAATTTATTTATTTATTTTATTTCCATAGGTTACTCGAGAACAGGTGGTATTTGTTATGTAAGTTCTTTAGTGGTGATTTGTGGGTCATAATACTTTTTAAAAGCACAAATAACCACATAAACAAAAAATTCCTATTTTCAGATTAACATTTAATTATTTTTAAATATAGTGGGGTTTTTTGGTTAATATTGGTCTACACTAATAATTACCCATCAAGGAATAGCCTACTGTCTCCTTAGGTAATGAGTCATTATTGTTTAGAATAACAATTGAAATAGTTGTGATAATGATTTTATCAAGGAATCCAAAATTCAGATGAGCCATCATTGCTTCATTGGTAGAGGTATCCAGGTTACAGACCTTTAAGAGAATAAGGATAAAGAAATCTTTCCGGTCAGGTACACTTAGCAACTGCTGTTGATATCCATGCAAAGAAAACAATTTAATCCTCAAAATCAGGTGCTAAAAACTAAGCATGTGAGGAAACATAAGCAATTCTGTCCAAAAGCATTTTGTTCAGAAGTGATAAGGATGAAATGATAGGATTAAAAATAGAAAAAAAATTATTATAAATAGCACAAGGAATTATGATAAAGGTATATATAAACTTTTCCATGCAACTAAAATTTTACAAATAAAATCAACTGCTAAACTATAATGAGGGCCAGGTGCAGTGCCTCACACTTGTAATCCCAGCACTTTGAGAGGCCAAGTGGGAGGGCTGCTTGAGCCCAGGAGTTCAAGACCAGCCTGGGCAACATAGTGATACCCCATCTCTACAAAAAAATAAAAAATTAGCCAGGTGTGGTGGCACACGCCTATGGTCCCAGCTACTCAAGAGACGGAGGTGGGAGGATCACTTGAGCCCAGGAGTTCGAGGCTGCAGTGAGCTGTGATCACACTACTGCACTTTAGCCTGGGTGACAGAGCAAGACCCTGTCTCAAGAAAACAAAAATAAAATTAAAAAAATAAAAATATATACATTGGGCCAGGCACAGTGGCTCACGCCTGTAGTCCCAGCACTTTGGGAGGCTGAGACAAGCAGATCACTTGAGGTCAGGAGTTCGAGACCAGCCTGGCCAACGTGGTGAAACCCCATCTCTACTGAAAATGCAAAAATTAGCCGGGTGTGGCGGCATGTGCCTGTAGTCTCAGCTACTTCGGAAGCTGAGGCAGGAGAATCGCTTGAACCTGGTGGGTGGAGGTTATAGTGAGCTGAGATTGTGCCACTGCACTCCAGCCTCAGTGAGAGAGCAAGAATCTATCTCAAAAAAAAAAAAAAGCATATATATATATATATATATATATATATATATATATATAAAATACACACACATACACACATTGTATATACATATATACATATGTATATACAAATGTATATATGTATATACGTATATACATATATACATATGTATATACAAATGTATATATGTATATACGTATATACATATACTTTGTATATATATAGTATATAGTGTGTGTATATATACACACATTTGTATATACATAGTATATATATATGCTTTGTATACAAAGTATATGTGTGTGTGTGTATATATATACACACACACACACATACATACATACATACATTGAACTGGTGGATGAGAATAATACCAGCTACCTAAATCTGAATCTCTCCACTGATCCTTCATAAATAAAGGTCGACAAAAAGATCAACTAAAAACTACACAAAACCCATGCCCTCAGGATAACAAGACAGAGAATACACATTTGTAATTAACCATAATAAAAGAAACACCAAATCCCAACAAAAGCTATCTCTCATACTCCATCACAAGCTTTTGTGGATGATAAAGTGCATCTGAAAAATGTGTGTAGAAGGAAGGATATGGGCACAGGAAGGAAGAAGTTCTAAGGTGGATCTACAATCGCCACCATAAAATAAAATAAACTCTAACTATGAAGAAACTGAAAAAGAGTACTGGTAGACCAGAGCACGAGCTACAGGGAGCAGGGAGCAGTCTTGGAAAGGCATCATTTTTGAGAGATAATAAGGTTTAAAAAAAAAGAAGAAGAAGAAGAAGAAGCATCTTTAGGAGATTGGGTGGCAAAAAGAAAAAGGAACAAAAGAGGAAACTTTAGGGTTCTGCAAGACAAAATGAGACCAAAAAAAAAAATCCAAGGGCATACAATCTGCCCCCCACCAAAAGAAAGTCATCTATTAAAGAAACTGCCAGCCTTGGCATATAATGAGACCCTAATCTCTACAATTAAAAAATTTTTTTAATTAGCAAGATGTGGTGGTAAGCGCCTGTAGTTCCAGCTACTCAAGATGCTGAGGTGCGAGGATCGTTTGAACCCAAGAGTTTGAGGTTACAGTGAGCTATAATGGCGCCATTGCATTCCAGCCTAGGTGACAGAGTGAGATTTTATCTCAAAAAAAAAAAAAAAAGAAAAGAAAACAAAAGAGGCCAGGTGCAGTGGCTCACACCTGTAATCCCACAACTTTGGGAGGCCAAGGCTGGCAGATCACCTGAGGTCAGGAGTTCTAGACCAGCTTGGCCAATGTGATGAAACCCTGTCTCTACTAAAAAAACAAAAATTAGCCAGGCGTGGTAGCACACGCTTGTAATCCCACTACTCAGGAGGCTGAGGCAGGAGGATTGCTTGAGCCCAGGAGGCAGAGGTTGCAGTGAGCCAAGACTGTGCCACTGCACTCCAGCCTGGATGACAAGAGCAAAACTCTGTCTCAAAAAAAAAAAAAAGAAAAAGAAAAAAGAAAAGAAAGGAAGGAACAGGAGAGAAAGAGAATAAAACAAACAAACTGCATCTCACCAGAAAAAAAAAAAAGAGAGAGAGGCCAGGTGCAGTAGCTCACGCCTGTAATTCCAGCACTTTGGGAGGCCGAGGCAGGTGGATCATTTGAGGTCATGAGTTTGAGACCACCCTGACCAACATGGTAAAACTCCATCTCTACTAAAAATACAACAAAATTAGCTGGGTATGGTGGTGCATGCCTGTAGTCCCAGCTACTCAGGAGGCTGAGGCAGGAGACTCATTTGAACCCGGGAGGTGGAGGTTGCAGTGGGCAGAGATCATGCCACTACACTCCAGCCTGGCCAATGGAGCAAGACTCCATCTCAAAAAAAAAAAAAAAAGAGAGAGAGAGAGTCCAGGTGCGATGGCTCACACCTGAATCTCAGAATTCTGGGAGCCAAGGCAGGCAGATTTCTTGAGGCCAGTATTTCGAGACCAGCCTGGGCAACATGGCGAAATCCCATCTCTACTAAAAATACGAAAATTAGCTGGGCACGGCGGCACACGCCTGTAATACCAGCTACTACTACTCTGGAGGCTGAGGCATGAGAATCACTTGAACTTGGGAGGTGGAGGTTGCAATGAGCTGAGATCGTACCACTGAACTCTAGCCGAGGCAACAAAGTGAGACCATGCATCAAAGAAAAAAAGAAGAAAAAAAAATGGTACTCTTGAGTGAGGAGTATTATAAACCACCCAAATCCATGATATGAATAGATGAAAGAACCCCACACAGATACAAAACTACCATAAAAAGAAACCAAAAGATGCAAATCAAAATATCTCAGGTGATGAAATTCCTCTCCCAAGAAAACAACTGCAAAACAAAACTGTAACGTAACAATGCAAACTGAATTAAATATCCTCAAACATCTGGAAAAATAAAATACCACCTTGAATCAGAAATTCAAAACCAAAACTGAGAAATCTGCCCCTAATAAAGGAAAATTTAAAAATAGCTGATTGAGTTCAAGAAAGAAATGAAAGAAAAGAGCAAAATGGTCTCAAAAAGTAAAACTAAATTATAAGGTGTTCAACAGAGAACAGACTCAAAAGTCAAAGAACTGTGAATCAGAGATCCTCTATCAGCCAAGCTGCTCTTCAAGTATGAAGATTACAGGAAAAAATTTTAATGCAAAAATTTAGAGACTACTGTACACATAAGACATTCCTGAGGAACCTACTAGCAGATAAGCTTCATCTAATTAAGAGATCCCTGGGAAAACTTTGGCAAAAGAACCAGTGGTGAAAATTTAATATAACAAAACAAAGGTGGGAACAAGTGTAGAATAATAATATATAAATGTTATATGTTCTGACAAAGTAAAAAATAGCCACTAAAAAATGAGAAGAGAGGAAAAGTAGAATAAGTTCATTGACTGTTGCAAATAAAAAAATACTATTAAAAATGACAAGTGAAATTATAAATGAATAAAACAGGGGATTAACAGCATTAAAGGGATATAAATACAAAGATAACCAACAGAACAGACAGAAAACTTCCTAAATGCCAAAAAAGTTTAATAAAAATGCAAACAAAACACATAATGAAGAATAAAATAGTAATGCACACAGTAATCATAACACAGTATGACAGTTGAGATCAAATTTCTTAGTAATATTCATAAATGTGGATGGTTTAATTCACCTATTAAAAAAAGGGGTTTCAACTCACAAACAAGACCCGAATCTATACTGTATACAAAAGACTTACCTAAAACAAAATGATTCACCTAAAAAAGGGACAGGCAAAGATATGCAGACAATCAGAAACAACAAGAAGCCATGAGTTGCTATACCAGTATTAAAGTATAATTTAAGCCAAAATGTATTAAGTATGATAAAAGGGACACTTTTAATGATAAATGCCACAATTCACTGTAGATATAACACTAATGTGTATATATGCACCAAATACAGCATCCACCTTTATAAAGTGAAAAGTACAAAAGATATTAGAAAAGTAAAAAATGCATTTATAAGGGGGAGACGTTTAACATACCACTCTTAGTACAAAAAAAACCAGACCGAGAAAAAAGTAGACAAAAAGTAAAGGTATAGAAAACCTGTATCCTAAATAATAACATAATCAATAAAGTAGATCTGATAAATATAAATCAAACTTATACCCCTTAAGAAAGAATACATCTTCTCAAGGACACCTGGTATATTTATAAAATTGATCATATACTATAAAAAAAGTATCAGTAAATTCTATAAAGTAGAAATGTTTTTAAAACATGATATTTTGAAATCTATAACAAAATGTTTTAAGCATTTCTGCCTGAAAATTAAAACATAAATATTAAACAACCCTCTGTGAAAGGGAACGCAGAAACTGGATTAAGAAAAACCTAAATCACTACATATCAGAGCTGAAGGATATACTTTAAGCAGTAATCAAAGGAAAATGCATATATTTAAATACTTAATTTTTGGGGGGGCGGGGGAGATAGTTTCACTCTTTCTGCCCAGGCTGCAGTGCAATGGCACAATCTCAGCTCACTGCAACCTCCACCTCTCAGGTTCAAGTGATTCTCCTGCCTCAGCCTCCCAGTAGCTGGGATTATAGGCATGCGCCACCACACCTGGCTAATTTTTTATTTTCAGTTGAGATGGGGTTTCACCATGTTGGCCAGGCTGGTCTCAAACTCTTGACCTCATGAACCACCCACCTCGGACTCCCAAAGTGCTGGGATTACAGGCATGAGCCACCATGCCTGGCCAATATTTATTTCTTGTTAATAGAAGAATGGAAATAAATTAAAATTCCCAGTTCAAAATGCTAGTAAAAGAACAAAGTAAACAACAAAAAAGAGTAAAGGAAGAATATAATAAAGGCAAAAGCAGAAATTAAGGTAGAGAAGAGAAAAACTATAGATCAATTAATATGAAAATCCTGACTCTGAAAAAAATTAACAAAATGGGGGAGAAACACTGGTTAATCAAGAAAAAAAAAAAGCAGAAAGCACAAATAAACTAAGAAATGACATGGGGGACATAATATGCAAATAGAGAAAAAAATTTGAAGCATAAGATTTAATAAGATTAGTCTTCTATGAAAGTAAATGTAAAAGCTTCAATACAATAATTTCCAGAGAAAATACAGATTACCAAAATTACCACCATTTGAGATAGAAAGCTTCAAATGAACAATTTCTGTAGAAGACATAGAGAAAGCTATCAAATAATTACCCCACCAAAAACAACAGGTTCAGATGTATTCACAAGGGAATTTTACCAAAACTTAGCCCTTGTAGTCCTAATGCTAAATAAATTGTTGCAAAGCATAGCAAATAAAGAAAAACCTCCAAATCCTTTTTATCAAGCAAGTATAATGCTGATACCTAAACCAAATGAAGAAAACAAAAAATAAAATAAAATTGTAAACCAATTACACATATGAACACTGAGGCAAAAATCCTACATAACAGAAAAGAGAATTCAATATCATATCAAGAAAATATGACAACATGACCAAGTGGGATTTAACCTCGAATGCAAGGTTGGTTCAGTATTATAAAATCCATTACTATAATTCACTATATTGATATATCTAAGGAGAGGGGAAAAAAAGTCATTCAATTATCTATGTAGATGCCCAGAAAATAACAGCCTTTGACAAAACTCAACACCTATTCTTAATAATAGCACTCAAAAACTAAGAATTGACAAGTTCTTATAAGCCATAAGAATTAAAAAAGTGAAATTATCTGTTTTATAACCCATAAGAATTGAAAAAGAAGTAAAATTATCTGTTTTTGCAAAAATAGAAAATTATAAAATTTTAATTAAAATTTATAATTTACAACTTTTATAAATTAGAGAAAAATTCAATCACAAAATTAATTCAAATAAAAGAATTCACTAAGGTACCAAAACAGAAAATATACAGAGATCAATGACTTTCATATACATTAACAAACAAAAGTTCAGAGATAAAATGGAAGAGAAATGCTGTTTTTAACAGTATAATTAAGATAAAATATGAAGGTATAAACTTAACAAGAAATGTTGCAAAACCATTATGTGAAAATTACAACACTCCTGAAGACGCAGACACACCTAACAAACGGAAAGGTATACCTTGTCCTTGGACAGAAAAATTCAGTAATATAATGATGTCATTTCTCCCTAAGTTAACTTATAAATTTATTATTAGTTTTTTAAATAGAGACAGGGTCTCACTATGTTGCCCAGGCTGGTTTCAAACTCCTGGCTTCAAGCGATCCTCCCACCTCAGCCTCCCAAGGTGCTAGGATTACAGGCATGAGCTACTGCCAGGCCTTGTTTTGATTTTTTTTTTTAAATAGTAACTTACAGATTTAACACAACTTAGTAAAAACACCAACAAACTTTTTCATAGATCAAATAAGCTGACATTCCATTTCATACAAAAAAAACAACATTCAAGAAAACCTAGGTAAATACTGGGGGAAAAAAAAAACTGCGAAGGGAACTAGCCATAAGATCCTCTATCATTAAACTGGGTGGTGCTGGAGCATGAATACACAGGCATTCCAGAAGCAAAGTATAAAAGGTACAGAAATAAATCTAGTTATATAGGGAGGTTTGATGTTAAAGGCAGCATCTCCAACCACTATGGCAAAGACTGACATTTTAATAAATGGTGCTAGAACAACTGAATGGCCATTTGGAAAACATAAAATTAGACACATACCTTACACTATAGACAAGAACCAACTCTAAGCAGGCCAAATGTCTAACTAAAGATGAAACTATACAAGCACTAGAAAAAAACCTTGGTGAATTCCACTGTAAACTTGGGTATAAGGAAAAGCTTTCTATTACTCAAAATCTAGATTAAAAAAATTTTTTTTTATAAATTAGACTATATAAAAAATAAAAATAAATTGTTTTACCCTGTGAAAAATGTTATAAGCTAAGACAAAAAGGTAAATAACAAACTGGGAGAAAATATTTGCACTTTGTTCAGAGATATATGCCTAATATATAAAGAACTCCTTAAAATGGGCAAAGACATGAGCAAATAATTCAGGGAAAAAAATGTAAAAGCAACCTTTAAGGTCATCTAAAGATGTTCAACCTCGGACACCATTCTGATAGGCAAAAATGTAACAGCTTGACAATGCCCTCTGTTGAGAAGGTTACAGGGAACCAGGCACTCACACCCTGCTGATGAAAATGCAAAATGGAATGTCTGGCAATATCTTAACAAAAAAAACTACATATGGAGTTACCTCTTATCCAGCAATCCCATTTCTAAGAATTTACCATGAAATATACACCCAACAACACAAAAATATATTTGCACAAGGTTATTCTTTGCTTCATGATTTCTAATTCTAAAATTTGGAACCAACCACAATGTCCATCATTACATCAGAGGCTGAGTGAACTATGGTACATCCACTAATGGGGTACCATGTAGCTGTCAAAAACAGAACAGGGAGATGAGATCTCTATGAACTGACACGTAATGATTTCTGGCATATTCTGTTAAGTGAAACAAGCAAAAAATAAGAGATTATATCTAATAAGTGTTTTATAGAAATAAGAGGGGGAAATAAAAAAATATACATGTGTCTGCCTGTCTATGTTCACAGAAAAAAAAAATTAAAAACCAATGATATTGGGCTGAGCGCAGTGGCTCACACTTGTAATCCCAGCACTTTGGGAGGCCGAGGCAGGCAGATCACTTAAGGTCAGGAGTTCAAGACCACCTTCGCCAACATGGTAAAACCCCGTCTCTACTAAAAAAAAAAATATAAAAATTAGCCAGGAATGATGCCGGGTGCCTGTATCCCAGTTACTCTGGAGGCAGAGGCAGGAGAATTGCTTGAACCCAGGAGGCAGAGGTTGCGGTGAGCGGGGGTTGCACCACTGCACTCCAGCCTGGAGGACAGAACGGAATTCTGTCTCAAAAAAAAAAAAAACTATGATATTGGTCACCTACGAGAGGGAGGTGGGAATGGGCTAGGATTAGTGACATTTCTCTGAGTATACCTTTCTGCATAGTTTTGACTTTTGGAAACATGTTAATGTTTTACATACTCAAAAATAAAATGCAGGCTGGGCATGGTGGCTCACTCCTGTAATCCCAGCACTTTGGGAGGCCGAGGTGGGCAGATCACCTAAGGTCAGGAGTTTTGAGACCAGCCTGGCCAACATGGTGAAACCTCGTCTCTACTAAAAACACAAAAATTAGCCAGGCATGGTGACAGGCACCTGTAATCCCAGTTTCTCGGGAGGCTGAGGCAGGAGAATCACTTGAACCCAGGGGGCAGAGGTTGCAGCGAGCCGAGATCACGCCACTACACTCCAGCATGGGTAACAGAGCAAGATCCTGTCTCAAAAAAATAAATAAAATAAAAATAATAATAATGAAATGCACAAGGATGAGGAAAAAACTAAAATAGAATACAACAGAAACAAATGACTCTTACAGTATTTCATGAAAAATAATCACTCTGAAACTTGAACACAGTATTCTGACTATATACCCTGAGTTTAAAACAAAAAACTGCAAACAAATACTGAACTCCAGGTAAAAGACTTGTTTTTTGTGTGTATGTGTTTTTTTCAACTCGTATTTTAGGTTCAGGGGTACATGTGCCGGTGTGTTATATTGGTAAACTCATGTCAAGGGGGTATGTTGTACAGATTATTTCATAATCCAGGTACTAAGCCTAGTACCCAATAGTTATTTTTTTCTGATCCTCTCTCTCCCCCCACCCTCCACCCTTGAGTAGACCCCAGCTTCTGCAGTTCCCCTCTTTGTGTCCATGTGTTCTCATCATTTAGCTCCCACTTATAATTGAAAACATGTGGTATTTGGTGTTCAGTTCCTGTGTTAGTTTACTAAGGATAAAGACCTCCAGCTCCATCCATGTTCCTGCAAAGGACATGCTCTCATTCTGTTTTATGGCCGTATAGTATTCCATGGAGTATATGTACGTTTTCTTTATCCAATCTGCCATTGATGGGCATTTAGATTGATTCCATGTCTTTGCTAATGTGAATGGCGCTGCAACGAACAAACACGTGTGTGTGGTCTTTACAGTAGGACGATTTCTATTCCTTTGAGTATCTACCCAACAATGGGATTGCTGGGTCAAATGGTAGTTCTGTTTTTAGCTCTTTGAAGAATCACCACACTGCTTTCCTCGATAATTGAGTTGTATGGGTCCACAACTCTGAAACTATTTTCTGTGTATTTTAGGGTAGAACAAACAAGTAAACACACTGAGGATAAGAGGAACTCACAATCTCACTGTTACAGAAGAGGTACACATACGGAAAGGAGAGACAAAGAACCCTGTGGTGCTGCGCTGAAATGTAATGGGAGCTACCAGCATGTCATGGTGTTAATTTATAGATATGAGCATATGGACAGTAATTAAGGATATGAGCAACCACGGTCCGCATGCCGACTCACAGCTCCCTCATTCTAGGTACAGTCCCATACAGTAACAAGATAACCATGGCAGATCATAACATTCACATTTTTCTAAACTTTACTGTTTTACATGAAAAAGTGCTCAGAGAGACTGAGGTCATTCTCAAGACAGTCCTGATATTGATCCTTCCTCACATTATAAAATCACTAGATTCCTATAAAGGACATGATGACCCCTAGGAAGACAGCACCATTCTGCCCAACCTTTGTATTATCAATAATAGTACAGTGCTTGGTGAAAATTAGGCCATCAATAAATGTTTTTTTCCTTATAAGTTAATAGAACAACCCTCCCTAAACACCCAGACTGACTCTTTCCTTCAAGTCTCCTGAGACACTCAGCAGCTGGAAGGCCGATCTCATAAGAACTGCTCTACATACCAACCATCTAAGCCTAGATTATACTCTAGTGTAAAATACATAAATATGAATAAAGGAGGCCTCTCCTTTATTCATAATTGGGTTCAGGGATGGTAACGCAGTAAACAGAAACTGTATGCAACTGGAAACGTTTTCGATGATAAGCAAAACTGTTCCCAAAAGGAACAAAAGCACCGAACCTCCAGGGCCCGGCACTGGCCTAGAACATATGAGCACTGAAATGTGTTGACTGATTGAATGAGAAGGAGCCATATCATCCATAAGTACACAGAGCATCCAGAAAGCCTCAGGTGATACAGCAAGCTTTGCTGGCGTTCAACAAAAAACTCTGAGGTATCTCAGAAAAATATACATATTGATTACTTGGTGTTCTGAAAAACAAAAACAGCCTGTGTGTGGGTATCTCTGTCTTTAGCTCTATTAGCAAATTACAACCCACATAAATGAGAAAAATATATTATTATGCTCTAGAAGAGAACAAATGTTCTAAGTGAAATCTCACCAAAAATGCTGCTACTGTGAGGTATGCAAAAAAATGAAGTCACCAAATGTGTTAAGTAAAGAATATACCTACCTGCAGCATATCATCCACCATAGTTAGTATATACTGAACGGTCTGTTCTTTGCAGATATGAGTCATCAGATTTATAAATGTTTTAGCACACTAAAAAAAAAAATGAAATTAAAGTTATTGTTTTTATTTGCAGACACATTTCAATGGAACTTCAGTAAAACATTGTCTCTCTTTCATAAATTAGGATACAAATATTACTAACAAATTTTACTTACAGAAAACATATACCTTTTATAAATATTGTGATGAAGTATGAGAGGACCTTACTATGGCTTGTATCAGCTTGTGAACATTTCTAGTGATAAGTTTCAGAATGTTTACTATTTTTAAATAGATATACTTAGCCACTAATAACTCTTGATTACCGACGACGGCATAAAGTTATATAGGCAATCAAAAATTACAATTGGTTTTGAGTATTTTATTTGTTGTACTTAAAGGGAACAGAAGACAAGAGCAACAAGAGTACCAGAGATTGGAATCAGAAGGCCCTGACTAGTCTCCATTCTACAGTGTATCAACTACATGACAACCTCTCCATAATTCAATAAAAACTGCAGCCAACAATATATTACCTACCAACTTCCCCATGACTGTTGTAAGAATCAGACCAATTTGTATATGGGCTCCTTCAGCCAATGAGGCCCCCCGATAGGCAGCAGAATTGAACCTTATTATGGGGCCAAGTTCTAAACTCAGCATATAAATCAAATAGGGTACAAATCAAAACACTCTATAAAATCCCTTAAATCACCCCCCAAAAAACATAGTTTTAAGTATGCAACAGCATTCAGTAATAGGTTTGGAGTCATACATTGAAAAACTTCCCCACCTTAAGGATGTATAAATTAAAGTGTATTTCACTTGGTATTCACTCATTCAATAAATCCCCAATGTAACAAACAGCATGTGATAAAAACCATGCTATAAAAAAATGGAGACCTTATCAAAATCATACTTATCCTAGAACTTACGCCTACCTATGAATCATGTCTTCCATGGATAGACAGCCCACTCACCATACTGAATGTAAACAGTTAACAGTAACAAATAGTTGGGTTTTTTAATCAAAACACTAAAGTGGAAACACTTTAACCTATTTAAGCAAAATTAAAAAAAAAAAGATATAAGTTGCCCACGGTATTTCTGTCAGAACTCTTTTTCAGATATACTGCCATTTTGTTTGGATAAAAAGCTTCCTGGCAACTGCCCCATAAAAGGCCCATCACACCAGACACTGCTATTAAGAAAGAACTGTTTTTGCACACTTACTAAGAAACAGGTTTAAAAAAAAATGAGAAAAAAAGAAAAGAAAGGGCTGTTTTAACTCCTAACTCCTTAAGGGAAAAGTCTTGTCTTATTAACACACATCCCCAGTCTCACCAGGCACATGGCAGGGACTCAGTGTGTATGTGCTGAAAAAACAGTGAATCAGCTACATGTTCCATTGCACATGCGGTTGGGGTGGGGAAGCTTTTTCAAAGGATGACACCAACAGCAGACATCACAAAGGAAAGGAAGAACTAGATTTCATCGCACAACTTAAACTTCAATATGGCAAAGACCCCATAAACCAAGTTAAAAATTCAACAAACAAGCTGAGGAAATATGGCATGCACAAAGCTGGTATACTTAAAACATAAAGGAAACTGACAAATCAATAAGATTATAAACACTTCCATAGAAAAGTAAATAAAAAACATACAGCCATGTGTCACTTAACAATGGGGAAAGTTCTGAGAAATTCATCATTAGGCAATTTCCTTGTTGTGTGAACATCCTAGAGTGTACTTACACAAACCCAGATGGTAGTGTCTACTACATACCTAGGCTATATGGTAGAACCTATGGCTCCACACCTGTACAGTCTGTAACTATACTGAATACTATAGGCAACTGTAACACAATAGTAAGTATGTGTGTGTCTAAACATAAACATAGAAAACGTGCAGTAAAAACATGGTAGTATAATCTTACAAGACCGCTATTACATACACAGTCCAACACTTACCAAAACATCTTTATGTAGTCAGTGCATGACAGTATAGAAGCAATCGATATGGATACAAAAGGTGCCAAAAACCATCTGAAAATGTGTAACACTATTACGTTAAGATACTATCTTTCACCTATCAAAATGACCAAAAGATGAATGGCTAGACCCAGAGGGGGTGCTGGAGCAGGGGCATGGGCCCTCTCATATACTGCTGGCAGGATCTGCAAACTGGTACAATCTATCAAGACAGCATTTTCATCATATCAAAACTCTCACACGCTCAAATAGTTTAATCAATAATTACACTCTTTTTTTTTTTTTTTTTTTTTTTGTATTTTTAGTAGAGACGAAGTTTTACCATGTTGGCCAGGCTGGTCTCGAACTCCTGACCTCAAGTGATCTGCCCGCCTCAGTCTCCCAAAGTACTGGGATTACAAGTGTGAGCCACTGCACCCAGCCAGATAATTGCACTTCTCGAATTAATTATGAGATTACTAACTGTTCGCCTCAAAACAGAAAAAAAAGGAAGTAGCCAAAATATGCAACAGTATAGAATTAGTTTAGATCATTATGGTTCATCCATTAAATGGAAAATTACACAACGGAACTTTCCATAAATGGGAAATAATAATAAATTAATTATTTTAAATACCACAGAAATATCTTTACAGGCATAGTAGGGAAGGGAAGAATATACAGTTAAATGAAAAGAACAAAGATATGTACATATCACCCCTTTTTGTAAAAAGTTCACATTTGTAGAAATAAGTGTATAAGTTATTTTATGCACAGAAAAATATCTAGAGAGGTATACGCTAAGTGTAAACAAGTCACCTTGAACAGAGAAATATTAGGTAGAATAACTTTTTTCTTTTGCTTAATAGTATTTTATTTTTCTACAATAAACTTACCATGAAAGAATGTAAAACATCAATATATGTAACTAAACATTTTAAACCACTGTATATGAAAAAACTCCACAACCCTTCAAAGATAAATAGTAAAAAAGGAAACTATGTTTGCTATAAATATGGCAAACAGTAATAAATTTTGTATGTAAAAAGACTGTTTATCAAAAAGTAACAAAACCTTATATATTAAAATAAAAAGAATGCCACCGCCAAAAAAATTTCAAAGGACATATAAATACTTAATAAATCAACAGGAAAATAATGTAATCCCATGTCATCAAAGTGATATCCCTTTTAACTTAGCAAATTCAAACATTTTCAATTATATTAGGTATTTCAAACATTACTAGTAAGAATACCAAGTGGAAAAAATTCTCTTAAAAAAAGAAAAGTTAAGCAACTTTTAAAACTTAACATACTCTGAAACAGTAACTTCTTTTCCAGAAATTTGTCTTCCAGGTGTATATTCTAAGAAAATATTCAGAAATACAGAAAAGGATGAAGGTAAACATGCTCAATATAACGTTCTTTCCAAATTAGCAAGAAAACTGGAAGTCACTTATAATCACTAAGATTTTTCTAAACTTTTGGATGACACGGGGAAGTGTTCATTATATAATGTTTATTCATCACCTGGCTGCCTTCAGTTTGAAGCATCTCTTGCTTCTCTTCAGGGCTTCGTTTCATTTCAAACCTCTGAATAAACTCACAATCTTCAGCAGAAATCATCTGTCCCCTAGAAAGTAAGAATAAGATGTTTTGTTCAGTAAGAGTTGAATATGTAAGCAAGCGATAGAGGAATTTTCAGTCCTTCTCTTCTCTCCTTGGCAGCAAACCACAAGGGCTGACGCAAGGGCCCTGGCATCAGACAGACCTGGATTCAATGCTTAGTTTCTCCACAAATAAGACAGTGTGAACTCCCTGGAACCTGAGTTAATTTATCTGCAAAATGCGAACAATAATCGCATTGCCTCTAAGGGGCTGTACTGAGGATAAAATTAAATTCACATAAGGTGGTTAGTAGCATGTGGCAAATGGTAGGCACTCAGTAAAATGTCACCTCTCAGCATTACCCAGTGTCTCACCCTTATTCCCCCTCTCAAGCCAAACAATTCACATGGCTATCTAATTTATCAAGTCCAAAGCCACTTTATATGAATTTCTACGACCATTTTTCTCTAGTACATTCTTTCCCTCCAGACAGAAAAAAAAAAAACAAAACTGATTTTCCTCCTCTCTGGAAAATAACTCTCCATCCTGACCCCACACTCTCCTATTTTCCTCCATCTCTTCCAGGGGTCGCTTCATCACTGGCTCTTCGCCCTTCAAGGCTCCTCCCCAGCACTCAATCACTGAAATCTTGCTTTTGATTTCCAAACTCCTTCCTGTGAGAGATTCAATCGAGAGTCCCATCTTCCCTCCCTCCCAATCATTTCCACTGTCTTCTACCTCCAGAGATAGTCTTACCATTTTCAAATTCAGCATCATGTTCCTGTCATCTTCCCTGTCATCCCCAGTGAAGATGATATCCCACTGTCACTTTCCCCGGTGGTGATGCTGCTGAATTTGAAAATGATAAGACTATCTCTGGAGGTAGAAGAAACACAGCTCAACCTTCCCAACTTCTCCACTCCTCAGGGACTCAATCATACAATATAGCAAACCCCCATCCTAATCTCTAAATACAGACCCTTCCTTGTCTAAAAGATGTGTCAGCAGAACAGACCTGCTAGCCCCCTGTAAGACTCTGGGCACTTCAGGATTCATTCAAGTCAGCTCCTTTAAGCCACCAGTATGGTAGGAAAAGCAGAGAATTTGAGTCAATATGGGGAAGAGTTCCAGTTCCAGGTGTGAAAGCTTAGCAAGTCACTATTCATCTGACCACTATTCACACCAGTAAAACAGCAACTATGATACTACCTGCCCTAGCCCACTAGGTGGTTATGCAGATTAAATGAAAAAATATAAGAAAAAGCACTCGCTGTATATTAGAACATGGGTAAAAGCAAGTGTAAAATTAAAAATTTTTGTAATCTATTTTCCTGTTCAAACAACACCAATATAGTTTTTTTGGTTTTTTGTTTGTTTGTTTTTGAGACAGAGTCTCACTCTGTTGCCAGGCTGGAGTGCAGTGGCACGATCTCAGCTCAATGCAACCTCTGCCTCCTGGGTTCAAGCCATTCTCCTGCCTCAGCCTCCCGAGTAGCTGGGACTACAGGCCCATGCCACCACGCCCAGCTAATTTTTTTATTTTTAGTAGAAACGGGGTTTCACCATATTGGCCGGGCTGCTCTCGAACTCCTGATCTCGTGATCCACCTGCCTCAGCCTCCCAAAGTGCTGGGATTACAGGCATGAGCCACTGCGCCTGGCCCCAATATAGTTTTTAACTCAGTAGTTTAAAAAATTGTCCCTCCTCCCCTGACCCCAAATATGTTGAGGAATTGGTGTTCTCAAAACCCACTCAGAGAAACACTGAATGTAAAGCAGGTTCCCACTATGCACAGTTAGGCTAGGTGCAGTGGCTCATGCCTGTAATCCCAGCACTTTGAGAGGCCAAGATGGGGGGACCCCTTGGGCACAGGAGTTTAAGACAAGCCTGGGCAACACCGTGAGATCCCCATCTCTACAAAAAATAAAACAACAAAATAAGTTGGGTGTGGTGGCACACTCCTGTAGTCCCAGCTACTCGGGAGGCTGAGGCACGAGGATCACTTGAACCCAGGAGGCAGAAGTTGCAGTGGGCTGAAATTGTGTCACTGCACTCCAGTTTGTGTGACAGAGTGAGACCCTGTCTCAAACAAAAAAAAAGCATAGTTATAGAAGGATGGCCCACTTTCAGAGCTGCCTCGGGTCAGGCTCCCAGAGCTGGGCCCTGAGACGAAGATTCATGTACAAGTGATTTATGAAAGAAGAGCTCCCAGGAGAAGCCAGGGATAGCATGAAGGGCTCAGGACACTGAAGCAAAAAAGCCCAGCAGGATTCAAGCAAAGAACCCAGGACAGCTTTCCCTGAGCCCACAGGAGAGCCTGGGAAGGTGAGGCACTCAGAACTGTCCCCTCCCCAAGAGAAGGGACCTGAACTTGCATATGTCCTACTACTTCTACCCTTAACCCCACCCTCTTCCAAAGAAGACCTTGATTATTACATATTCAAAAATCTATCAGTGTCCCTTCTGGGTTTTGTACATACTACTGCTATATGCCAAATTGTTTTGTATAGTTCAAATTTGCTTCTGGACTTTGTAATTCACTATTCTGTCTTCTTACATCAGTTTCACACTGTTTTAAGCACTGTAACTTTGTTTTCACACATGCTCATTTTTTAACATTTTAAACTATTCTCATGCATTTATTTTTTTCAACAATTTCTTAATTACCAACCCAAAGGAGAATTCTGTCTTTCTAGATCTCTCTTAGGCAGGTGACACTATGACTACATCTTGACACTCTCTTCCTTAGCTTCCAGATTCTTCTCATCCCACTCAAGTCACTCATCTTCACTGCCTCCTGTGCCTCAGCTACTATGAAAAGCTCTCTTCATTTCTCACTACACCCCCTGCGCTGAACTCTGGCATTATTTCCCCCGGTCCCCACTCATATCCTCCCACAGATGGCAGTGGCACTCCACACCCTACAGGCGCAGAACTAAGATTGTTAATCCCAAAGGCTAGAAGTTGGAAGCAAAAACAGACACTTTGCCCACTTTCCATTCTGGCTAAGCACTTCACGTACCGGTCAGGAAAAAATGCACTCTGCACCCTGGGGTAGACTAAAATAACAAGGTCATCCAGTCTAGATCTGGCCCCAAAATAAATGAAATGTTGAGCACACTGATAAACCTGAACTTCCTAGATAAAAATAATTTTACCCCTAAATTTTGCTATGCTGATATGTAAAGGGATGTCATAACCTCTGTGAAGAAAATCATGTCAAAAGGTGGTGGTTTTTCTACCATGAAGAAGGTATACCATGAAGGCTACACTTGGTAACCTTATAATTTTGCAGCTTTCTTTTCCATTAAAATAACTGTTTCTTATTTGTCTAGCCACTCCCTAACCTTTTTCTTTCCTTGTTTAAGTTATTTTCTCTCTGGGTCTTCCTTTGACATTTCCATAATCCAGCAGGTTCGGGGCTCTGGTATCTTCTAGAATGACCCACAGCTAATCAGGCCCCAGACCTAACAATCTTCCCCTTAAAACTACTCTCCTCTCTACTTCCCTGCCTCTGGAGTAGCTCAGCACTAGGACAACCTTCCACCAGTGGATTTCCCCGCATCCAATTCAACCTTCTTCAAAACCATCTTCTTACCTACTACCAGGCGGCCTTCTCAAGTACATATGGGGTCATATTATTCCCTTGGACTGTGAGTTCTACCTAGCACTTACGCAGAGGCATTCAGTAAAAATATTTAAAATCAATTGACTAACTAAAACCTATATAATCATGCACATGTTACTTAACCCATCAGAACAGTTATCTACTCATCTTTAAAAGAGAATAGGATAGAAGCTGGGCATGGTGGCTCATGCCTGTAATCCCAGCACTTTGGGAGACAGAGCCGGGTGGATCACCTGAGGTCAAGAGTTCGAGACCAGCCTGGCCAACATGGTGAAACTCTGTCTCCACTAAAAATACAAAAATTAGCCAGGCGAGGTGGCAGGTGCCTGTAATCCCAGCTACTCGGGAGGCTGAGGCAGGAGAATCACTTGAACCCAAGAGGCGGAGGTTGCAGTGAGCCAAGAACGCACCATTGCACTCCAGCCTGGGCGACAAGAGTGAAACTCCATCTCATAAAAAAAAAAAAGAGAGAGTGAATAGGATAGAAAAACCTATGTCACTGTATTTCTATGAAAATAATGTTAAATAGGATGTTAGTTACCAAGCATGTTACTTCCTTTTCCAAATACTCATCTCCACCAATTCCTGATAAGCACAATACTCCATTCATAATTTAGTCAACTAATATTAACTGGCAGCCTACTACATGCCAGGCACCTGTAAGAACAGTTGACACATCAATAAATAGGGACCCCTCTTTTCAGCCTGCACTCCAGTGAGGAAAACAGAAAATACGCAAATACAAAAACAAATAATCTTGAAAACACACACACATGTTATAATGCTAAGGCTGTAAATGCTATGGAAAAAAAAAAAAAACCAGTCCGGGTAGGGGGCTTGTGAGATCACCTATACAGCCACACAAATGAAGTGAATGAAGAGGCCAAAGAATCTAAGGGTGGAACTTCTGGAGAGACAGATACACAGGTCCAAGGAGCTGAGGTTTGCTATGTGAGAAAGATCAAGAAGGCGGGAGCTAGAGAGCTGTGAGCGAGGGGGCATGATCAGACTTGTATTTTTTTGAAATCACTCTCGCAGTTCTGTGAAGAATTGCTCCTACTGAGGCAGCAAGGATAGCAGAGACAGACAGCAGGCAACAGGCAATAACAACAGAGCACATGCAAGGGGAACACAACATGCACGAGGCAGGAACCGCAGACACAGGATCGCACTCAGATTCGAGGCATCTTTTGGACGTAGAGCTGGAAGAATGTGTTGATGGGCTGGACATGGACTGTGAGCAAAAGGGAAGCAGCAAGGATGGCCCCAAGGTTTTTGGCCTCCGAAGCTGGTAAATGAAGAAGCCTGGAGAGAGCCACACTGAACTACCTGAAGCTCCCAAGCACTGCATGTCCTCCCAGGCCTCAGCTCCCTGCCTGGACCTCCCTTCCTAGATAACTCCAGGTGTTCCTCGGCCTGGACAACTCCTGTTACTGTCTTTTTTTTTTTTCTTTGAGTCAGAGTCTTGCTCTATTGCCCAGGCTGGAGTGCAGTGGTGCAACCTCGGCTCACTGCAACCTCCACCTCCTAGGTTCAAGCGATTCTCCTGCCTCAGCCTCCCAAGTAGCTGGGATTACAGGCACCTGCCACCACACACGGCTAATTTTTTAGTAGAGATGAGGCTTCACCATGTTGGCCAGGCTGGTCTCAAACTCCTGACCTCAGGTGATCCACCCACCTCGGCCTCGCAAAGGGCTGGGATTACAGGCGTGAGCCACCGCGCCTGGCCACCTGTGAGTGTCTTTATGCGTTCTGTGAAAATTCCCCCAATACTCCCAGCATTTATTTGCTCCCACTTTTTGTTGTGTATTTCCTTTTGTTGTAAATATATATACACTTTATATATTTATATATTTCTCTATCTTAACATTTAGCACAATTTGCTATTTAATTTGATAAAAGTCTGTTTCCTCATGAGATTTAAACTCATGAGCAAGGATGGCATTTTATAATTCTTGTATCCTCAAGGTAGTTTTACCAGATTCCAGTTTGACTAGAACACAGCCATACCCATTCATTTATGTATGTCTATTTATTAAGAAAAAAGCTTAATCAAATATAAATACATGTTTCAAATACTGTATTTTCATAACATATTAATTTGTGAAGAACAAAAGCATATTGGGCTCTCGACACTGGGGGACGCTTCCACAGGTCTTATTATCTCAGTACAGAATGTGATAGAAGATTCACTGATTCTTCATGTGTTGGTTCCAGCCCCCAACAATCTGTAAGCTCTTTTATATGAGACACATTTCACACCCACCAGCACCCACACATCAACAGGCTCAACAGGCCCACAGTTAACATTTGGTGAACATTTGCCCACAGGCCTACGGAGTGGAGGGGTTTTACAAAAGAAATTTGTGAGATGGACATCAGAACAAAAGACAGATATATAGGAAAACGGGAAAACACAACATGTCATAGACCATGGGTAACGAAGAACAGAAATAAAGCAATTTTAAAAGCTCCATGTAACTACAAACATTCCAAATGCCAACGTTAGGCGGAGCTCTGGCCAGTCCACCAGTGCTTTATGATCAACAATATTATTCTATGTAGGCTATAAACAGATCCAGGCTTTATAAACATAAAACTCCCTGTCCTCTAGTCTAAATGCACTCTGGACTAAAGAAATTAGGAAACAGAGCTCAGAATCCTAATTTCACAGGGAATTTAAACAATTACACAAACACTGATGAACAGAGAAAACATCAGCAAGTCTCCCCTCCTCCTGTCCTTCAGTCAGTGGCCCCACAATAACCCAGTTCCTTAAAGTAGGAATCCAGAAGTCATCCAAGACTTCTCTTTCACCCCCACACACCAAATCAATCACTAAGACTCTCTCAATCTAACCAATTCTATCTATTCCAATACCTTGGTTACTGCTATAGCTTCTCTCTACCTCTAGACTTATCACCTACAAACTCACCCTTCATGCTGCTAGTAGAACAATTCAATCAAGAGGCAGATATGGTCTTCTAACTCCCGGCTACAAGATTCATTGGTTTCCAACACCTACAGCTCCTTGGAAAATGGTGAATGGTCTCAAAAAGAGGGCTCTGGGACACACACTCCCACCTCCATTCTATCATTTTCATCTGTTTTACATGCTAACTTCATATCAATCATGGGCTTCACAGCTTAAAAATCAGCTTGAAAAGCACTGACTGATAGGATCAAGTCCAAACTCCTTCCAACCACACACCCACACACAGCATCTTCACGATCGGCCCCTGGCTGCCTCTCTAGCCTCAGCTCTCTGCATTGCCTGCCTCCAAAACATGTATGACTCCCACCCAGTGTGCTGTTTTTGCTTCCCTGCCTTTGCTCACATTATCTGTTCTATTCCCAAGGCTGCTCCTACTTGCCACATGGCTAAATACCCATCATCCTCAAAAACTCAGTTCAGGGACCAGCCCCTTCAGGAAAATTTCCAAGGGGTAGAATTACTTGTCTTTTTTATGTGCACCTGCCAGACCCTGTGCATCTTTCTATTGCCACAGTTAACATACTGAATTAGAGCCGGGCACGGTGGCTCACGCCTGTAATCCCAGCACTTTGGGAGGCCAAGAGGGGCAGATCACGAGGTCAGGAGTTCGAGACCAGCCTGGCCAACATGTTGAAACCCTGTCTCTACTAAAAATACAAAAAAATTAGGCGGGCAAGGTGTCAGGTGCCTGTAATCCCAGCTACTCGGGAGGCTGAGGAAGGAGAACTGCTTGAACCCGGGAGGCGGAGGATGCAGTGAGCCAAGACTGCCCCACTGTACTCCAGCCTGGGCAACAGAGTGAGACTCTGTCTCAAAAAAAAAAAAAAATAGTGAATTAAAATGATCTATTAATACATCTGACTTCCCTACTAGAGTTTTAGTTCCTTCAGGGACAGTACTCTGTATGGAATTTTTGTAGCCTCAAAGCCTGGAAAAATGCCTCAAACTTGGCAGGTAATCAATAAATGTTTGATGAGTGATTAAATTAACAGAAATTAAAGGATCATTTTTGTACATTATAGATCCCTCCTACAACAACACAAACTATTAATACTAATATAAAATTAACACTAATATAAAACTAGATTCCTCAATTTGTTTTTCAAAATGCATATGCAAATCTGAACTGAATTCCTTGGTAACTCAGTTATAAATATACCAAAATAAATATGAAGTCAATAAAATATGGTCAAGAATACATGAATGCTCACTTTATAGATAAATACAAAATACTGAAACATCAGCACATTAAATATTAATACATACAAGAAAGAAGGGGGAACTAAAATGTATTGTATTCAACATACTAATGCTTGTATTCTACTGTGCTAATAAATACATTATTTCAGCAACAAGCCTGTGGGGTATGTCTCCCCATTTCACATTTTACTTTATTGAGCCTCAGAGAAGTTAAGTGATTTGCTTAAGATCACCAAACTAATAGCAAGAACCAAAACTCAAATCCAAGTCTCTCAACTCAAATATCTGTGCTTCTTATTAGTTGTATGCACCACTCTAAAAAGGCCACCTGCCCCCATGCTGATTGCCAGGGCATATCAGACCAGTCTAGCAGGTTTTGCCCCTCATCCCCTTCCTCCCTCCGTTAGCCCAAGGACATTCCTCCTATGTTTCCCACTTATTCCAAAAGTACTTCCCCAGGCAGCCAGAGAAGGTCAAAAGCACCATAAGCCGCTCTGCTTCCCCACTAGGGCGCCAAGCTGTTTCCACCCCACTACACTTAACTCCCTAAGACAGCTAATTATTCTGAAGAGGAAGTGTTTCTTCCACATTTTTCAGTATTTTCCCTGTATTTCTCTCATAGAAGCATGACCATGAAAAAGTCTGATGCAAAAGCATATGACTGTCCATGATTCACAGCAAATTGGTACTTACTGAAGATAGGATTGCCAGTTGACTTTGTTTGCACGAACTTCTGCAGCCTTGGCAGCAATAATATTGGTGGGGACAGCAGCATCCACAGCACCTCGGATATCCATTTTGGTCATCTAAACTTCGTAATCTTGAATGTCTTTCAACAAATCTTCAATTTTGATGCAAGGTAAAAACAGAATACGAGGTGTTTCTTTTTTTTACAACTATTAATATTATGATTATGAATATCGTGATCACTTTAATCTCCCCAGGCATTCAACTCAAATATTAAATGTCCTAAGTCTGAAAGTATCATTATATTTCAAATATTGTCCACTGCTCCATAAAAGAGTTCTTTAGGCTTTTGCTTTTCTAGAAAAATTTTTTTCATTATTGGCACTAACACTGCAGTAAGATTTTTAAAGCAATCACCTAATATACTGAAATCAGAAATCATGATTAAATAGAATAGGTATAAATATGGGAAAAATTGTAAATTTATACAATTGTGGTTAACTTTTCTCATAGAGAAACAATAAGAATATGAATAGTACGGATAAGGCTAGTTTTATAAACATTTACTAAGCATCATTTTGAAGTGGCACATTAAAAATTCTAAGTCCTTTCGAAAATTACTCAAATTAAAATACACAAAGTGGGAACATAATTTCTTAGAAGACAGTGCTTTCCTTTTCAAACAAAATTCATAGTATTTGCAAAATCAAAATTCGGAGAGAAAGTTTTAGAACAAATACATATTACAATTTAGGTAAGCCAACAATGGCGGTCTGGCTGGACGACAAGAACCTACAATAATGAAATTCTATGTAATTCTCACTCCTAAACTTCCAGATACAAACGACTGATTTTAACACAAAGCAAAATACAGGTTGCCACTTGCAAAACATAAATTCACGGCCATGGCCACAAAGAAGTTAAAATCCTACCCAAAATTATATTCCGGGTTTCCAACGATCTTAATCAATTTGGAACTTAATCTCTGTATCTGAAGATTTGCTGTATAAACAACCCTGGGCAGCGCGAACGACAGGGCCCAGGAAAAAACAGGCTTCAACTGGGCCAGGCTGGAACTCTGCAGCCAAGGAGGCTCAGCCTCAGCGGCCCGTCCTGGCGTAGCTCAAGGTGTCTCTAGACAATTACCTAAGTCCCTGAACTACTCGCACCCCCAGCGATCCAGGGCCGTGGCCCAGTCCTGGAGAAGGTATACTTTTTACCCCTCCCCCTCCACTCTCCTGCCCGCCCCTGACGTTTCTTCCCCCTGCGAGAAAGGCTCCAGAATTTCGCTTAATAAACCTGGTTGAGGCCTGGAAGAAAAGCAATCTGGCAACCGGGGGCCGAAGAACAGGAGAGGACCAAGCGGCGAGACACCAGCACGCACCAGGCAAGCTGGAGAAACTGCAAGAGTCGCCTGACCTGGTCTGCAGCCTGAGACCAAACAACGCGAGGGCGGCCTTACCTCGCGAATCCTCGGGACCCCACAACGCACCCAAAGCCGGCAGGGAGGGTGGTCCGGGGCGCCGGGGACACAGCCGGGCTGGGGCGCCGCGTCAGAGCCAAGTAGGCGTCTCCTGTCAGGTCCAGAGGTCTGAGCAGTGGAGGGAGACTCCGGGAGCCGAAAGTGAAGCGGGTCCCGCACCAAGGAGACGTTGAGGGCCGCACAGGTAGAAGGAAGCCAGGGCGGCCGCAGTAGAATGACAGAGGCGCCGGTCACGTGATCGGAGGCACGTGACTGCTGCGGAAGGCGGAAGCCGGGAGACTCCAAAGCAGCAAGAGGAGGGGCGGGCGCTGCGGCGGGGCTTGTTCGGTGCGGACAACTGGATTCCCGAGTCCGTAACTTGGGCCCCGGAGCGACGCAAGGGTCGGGCCCCAGCCAGCCAGGGCAGGTGGGAGGCGGCGAGCGTGGCGGGCACGCTAAGACCCGCCGCCCCCAGACCTAGTGCCTCGCCTAGGGGAGGCCGAGGACCTCCGCCCGGAAGCAGCTAGCAGAGGCCAAAACGCTCTTATTGTAACCGTCATTCTTTTGAAAAGTTTGATTTCGCGCTTTCAAATTAATTTCCATTTGGATTTAACAGCTCCATGAAGCAGGCGTTCTTATTCTGATTTTAAATAGAAAACTCGGGCTGAGAAGTGGGTCTGAAAAGCTCTCTTAACCTAGGGTTGCACATTTAGCAAATAATAAATTCCATTGCAGTATTTACTTTTATACTAAAAAGTTATTCGTTGTTTATCTAAAATTCACATTTACAGGACGTCTGGTATTTTATCCAACAGTCCCATCTGGAGCCCAAATTTTCCCCTAGTCCAGGCCTCAGCAACTGTCTTTGCCTTAAAGTAAGAATGTACTGCCCTGGAGGTGAAGTATATATGATAGCATGTTTTCCTTAAAAAGCAATGAAAGGGGCCGGGCGCGGTGGCTCACTCCTGTAATCCCAGCACTTTGGGAGGCCGAGGCCAGTGGATCACCTGAGGTCTGGAGTTCGAGACCAGCTGACCAACATGGTGAAACCCCATCTCTACTAAAAATACAAAAAATTAGCTGGGTGTGGTGGCGCATGCCTGTAATCCCAGCTGCTTGGGAGGCTGAGGTAGGAAAATCACTTGAACCCAGGAGGCAGAGGTTGCAGTGAGCCAAGACCGCACCATTGTACTCCAGCCTGGGCAGAAAAAGCAAAACTCCGTCTCAAAAAGAAAAAAAAAAAATTCTTTGAAAGGGATTTATAACCAACCCATTTTTACTCGTAAAATTAAAGTCAGAATAATCAAAATCATGCATTGATTATGAATAAAGATATATAATAACAGTGTCAAAGATTGTACTAGGTCACTCATTCTGTCTTAGCCAGAAGTGAAAGTCTGTTGTTTTGAAAGCAAATCTAAGGGGAAAAACTTTCATAAAAGAGAAAAAGAAACCGATCGTGTACTAAGAAACTCCCAAAAGCTGAAACAGCATGTTTTCTGTGTAACTGAGCAAAGCTGGCAGTGAGGCCTGATCTTCGCATTTCCTTTCTGTATCACCTAAGCCACAGACTGGCGTGATACAGCGAGTCTCATCAGATTTCGGGAGGCTCTCCTCTTTTCCTAGAGGCACAAAGTTATGGAACAAAATCAGGAACAGTGCAGTGAGCAGAGGGGACTGCTTCACAGGCACCTGGGCTGGCGTTCTCCGAGCATCACAACATTACCAGACAATTTGCCTGGAGTAGGGAGAAGAGAAGAGGCAGGTACTCCCGGCATTATCTCTCTTAACATTATTTCTGTAACACTTCTATCGGAGATTTTTCTTGGTCCATTCAGGCTCCTGTAACAGTGCTGTAGACTGGGTGGCTTATAAACAACAGAAAGTCATTTTCTCACAGTTCTGGAGGTTGAAAGTTCAGAATTGGGGTGCTATCATGGTGAGGTTCTGGGAAGGATTGTCCCAGGTTGCAAACTGCTGTCTTCTCATTGTAGCTTCACATGGTGGAGAGGTGAGAGAGCTCTCTGGGGTCTCTTTCATAAGGACATTAATTTCATTCATGAGAGCTCCACCCTCATGACCTGATCATTTCCCAAAGGTCCCACCTCCTAATATCATCACCTTGGGAGTTAGGATTTCAACACAGGAATTTTGGGGAGACACAGACCATAGCGGTGATCTCAGTTACCTAATTATATAACATACCTGGGGTCCCCATACCCTGGGCCACAGACTGGTGTGGTCCATGGCCTGTTAGGAACCCGGCTGCACAGCAGGAGGTGAGCGGCGGGCAAGCCCCATTACCGCCTAAACTCTGCCTCCTGTCAGATCAGCAGCGGTAGTAGATTTTCACAGAAGCATGAACCCTATCGTGAACTGCACATTGCAAGGGATCTAGGTTGCACACTCTGTATGAGAATCTAATGCCTGATGAGCTGAGGTGGAACAGTGTCATCCTGAAACCAGCCCCATCACCTCCCACCCTGTCTGTGGAAGAATTGTCTTCCTCGAAACTGGCCCCTGGTACCAAAAGGGTTGGGGACTGCTGTATTATGACATAAGAAAGATAACCTTTGAGCTACTTTGTAATTTCTTTGAAATTGAGCTTCAGATTTGTTATTTAGAAATGACATAAGGGGAAGTTAGATGAATCTATATGGACAGGAGAAAATAATATTAATAATGTATTTATTAAGTTAATGTTCAATTCTTCACTAGAATAGGATTACATGTTTGGAGATGTAAACTAGGAATCTACCACTTAGGAATCATCAGAAGGTAGAAAATATATGACGTTTCAAAGGAATTTCTTCTGTCTGAAATATATGGAATGCTATAAACACCATCATTTCCAATCTTTTCTTTCCAAGTATGAATTGAACTTATATTTGCCCACAGAAGTAGAAGAGTTCTAGTCAAAGAAAATCCTATTCTAAAATATTTGTCATGAAAACTTACCACCCCCAAGTGAAGATTATGCTGCCAGCCTACCTTCAGTTACACAAGGACTTTGAGAAGTTTTTATAGCTGACTGAATAAATTATTAGTTTAATGGAAGAATGGTTTTTCCATTCTTTCACACAGTCTCCTTGGGAACAATAGGCATTTGCAAGAAGCTGGCCTAGTTTGGCCTAATGGTAACACTGAGTAGTGACGTCATGACCCCTTCACAAAGTGCTCTAACCAACTGTCCTAACAACTTCTGATTGCTTTGGTATTGCCAAAGCACATCTATCATCAATCATGCTGGTTTTCACTTACACTCCATACCAGTGTCCTGAATACTCATGGCAACCAAGCTTCAGATTTTTCAGGTAAGTTAATTTCATTGCATTGCACCATCGGCCCCATAAGGACAACCTCCACAATTTGACATTTTAAAAATATGGTCCATGTGGTAGACAGCTTCTGAAATGGCTCTTAATGATCACCACCTCCCAATGACTCATATCCTTGTGAAATCCTCTCTTCTTGAGTGTGGGCTAGATCTACTGATGTTCCTATAAGGACCAGAAAATGGCAAAAGTAAAGGGATGTCACTTCTGAGATCAGGTTACAATGCAAGCTGCCTTGCTTGCATTATCCCAGGTTCTTCTCACTTGCTCACTCTGATGAAGCAAGGTGCTGTGTTGTTAACCATAAAGAGGCTGATGTGACCAAGCTAAGAATAGCCCCAAGTGAACAACTAGTAGAAAATTGAAGCCCTTAGTCCAACAGGCTTCAAAGAACCAAATGTGGACAACTGCATGGGTGAGCCTGAAAGTGAGCCCAGCTGAGCTTTGAAATGTTAGCAGCCAACACCTTCACTGCAGCCTTGCAAGAGACCTGGCACCAGAAAACACAGCTATACTGCAGCTTGGTTCCTGAAATTGCAATGATGTATGAGATTTATTGCCCCACTCGAAAACATTTGGTCAATTTAGGAAGTTGCCTTTCTTTTTAGAAAATTTAACAGCTTTGTTAAGCTGTAATTCACATACCATGTAACTCACCCATTTAAAAGGTACAATTCAATGGTTTTTAGTATATTCACAGCACTATACAAATATCACCACAATCAATTTTAGCCCATTTTCGTCACTCTAAAAAGAAACCTCTTATCCATTAGTAGTCACTTTCTTCCTCTCCAAAAACCCCCCTGCCCTAGGCAAATACTAATTTTTTTATATCTCAAGATTTGCCTATCCAGGAGATTTCTTTAATAAATGTAATCATACAATATGTGGCCTTTTGTGGATGACTTCTTTCACTTAGCATAAAGTTTTCAAGGTTTATCTATGTTGCAACATGTATCTATACTTCATTCCTTTTTATGGCTGAATAATATTCCATTGTATGATGTACCATATTTTGCTTATCTGCTTACCAGTTAATGGGCATGCAGATTGTTTCAATTTTTTAGACATTTGTGTGCAAGTCTTCGTGCGATCGTAGGTTTCATTTCTGTTATTTGAGTAGATACCTAGGAGTAGAATTGCTGGCTTATGTGGTAACTCTATATTTAACATTTTGAGGAACTGCCAAATTGTTTTCCAAAGTGGTCGCAAGGCCTTGCATTCACCCCAGTAATGAATGAAAGATCTACATTTCTCCACATCCTCACCAACACTGTCATTGTCTGTCTTTTTAGTTAAAGCAAATCCATTTGGGTATGAATAGGTATCTCACTGTGGTTTTGACTTCCTTTTCCCAATGTCTAATAATGTTGAACATCTTTTCGTGTGCTTATTTAGCAATTTGTACATCTTCTTGGGAGAAATGTTTATTTAAACACTTCACCCATTTTTAATTGGTATTTTTTGTTTGTTTTTGAATTGTAAGAGCTCTGTATATATTCTGGATTACAAGTCCCTTATTATTTACATGATCTGCAATATTCTCCCCTATTTTGCGGGTTGCCTTTTCACTTTCTTCTTGATGTACTTTAAAGCACAAAAGTTTTTAATTTTGATTAAGTCTAATTTACCTACTTTCTTGTGCTTTTCATATTGTATCTAAGAAGGCTTTGCCTAATCCAAGGTCAGAAAGATTTAACCTTATGTTTTCTTCTCAGAGTTTCATAGTTTTGGCTATTACATTTGATCTATGATTCATGCTGAATTAGTTTTTGTAAAGAGTGAGAAATAGAGGTCCTATGTAATTTTTCTGCGTGTGGATAACCACTTGTCCCCACACCATTTGCTGAAAAAACAATTCTTTCCCCATTGAATTGTTCTGGCACATTGTCAAAAACCAATCGACCATAAATGTATGGGTTTATTTCTGGACTCTCAATTCTGTCCCATTGATCTACACATCTACATACCTATCCTTATACCAGTACCACACAGTCTTAATTACTGTCACTTTTTAAAATTTTTTTATTTTAATTTTTAGGTTCTCAGGTACATGTGCAGGATGTGCAGGTTTGTTACATAGGTAAACGTGTGGTTTGTGGCACCTATCAACCCATCACCTAGGTATTAAGCCTAGCATACGTTAACTATTTTTCCTAATGCTCTCCCTCCCCCAACCCCACCCCCAACAGGCCCCAGTGTGAGTTGTTCCCCTTCCTGTGTCCACATGTTCTCATTGTTCAGCTCCCACCTGTAAGTGAGAACATGTGGTGTTTGGTTTTCTGTTCCTGCATTTGTTTGCTGAGGATAATGGCTTCCAACTCCATCCATATCCCTGCAAAGGACATGATCTCATTCCTTTTTATGGCTGCATAATATTCCATGGTGTATATGAACCACATTTTCTTTATCCAGCCTATCATTGTTGGGCATATGGGTTGATTACATGTCTTTGCTATTGAGAATAGTGCTGCAATGAATATACATGTGCTGCAAGTATCTTTGTAATAGAATGATTTATATTCCTTTGGGTATATACCCGGTAATGGGATTGCTGGGTCAAATGGTATTTCTGGTTCTAGATCTTTGAGGAATTGCCACACTGTCTTCCACAATGGTTGAACTAATTTACATTCCCACCAACAGTACAAAAGAATTCTTATTTCTCCACAACCTCACCAGCATCTGTTGTTTCTTGACTTTTTAAGAAATTGCCATTCTGACTTGTGAGAGATGGTATCTCATGTGGTTTTGATTTGCATTTCTCTCTTCTTTTTTTTTTTCCCTGAGACAGCGTCTTGCTCTATCACCTAGCCTGGAGTGCAGTGGCGTAATCTCGGGTCACTGCAATCTCCACCTCCCTGGTTCAAACAATTCTCCTGCCTCAGTATCCTGAGTAGCTAGGACTACAGGCATGAGCCACCACACCCAGCTAATTTTTGTATTTTTAGTAGAGACAGTGTTTCACCATGTTAGCCAGGCTGGCCTTGAACTCCTGACCTCCTGGCCTCACCTGCCTCGGCCTCCCAAAGTGCTGGGATTACAGGCATTGAGCCACCATGCCCAGCCTGATTTGCATTTCTCTAATGGTCAGTGATGTCGAGCTTTTTTCATATGTTTGTTGGCCACATGAGTGTTTTCTTTTGACAGTGTCTGTTCATGTCCTTTCCCACTTTTTAATGGGGTTGTTTGTTTTTTTTCTTGTAACTTTGTTTAGGTTCCTTGTAGATTCTGGATATTAGTCCTTTGTCAGATGGATAGACTGCAAAAATGTTCTCTCACTCTGTAGGTTGCCTGTTCACTCTGATGATAATTTCTTTTGCTGTGCAGAAGCTCTTTAGTTTAATTAGATCCCATTTGTCAATTTTTGCTTCTGTTGCAATTGCTTTTGGCGATTTTGTCATGAAATCTTTGCCTGTGCCTATGTCCTGAATGGTATTGCCTAGATTTTGTTCTAGGGTTTTTATAGTTTCGGGTTTTATATTTAAGTCTCTAATCCATCTTGAGTTAATTTGTGTATAAGGTGTAAGGAAGGGGTCCAGTTTCAATGTTCTGTATATGGCTAGCCAGTTTTCCCAACACCATTTATTAAATAGGGAATCCTTTCCCAGTTGCTTTTTTTTTTTTTTTTTTTTTTTTTTTTCAGATTTGTTGATGATCAGATGGTTGTAGATGTGTGGTCTTATTTCTGAGTTCTCTTTTCTGTTCCACTGATCTATGGGTCTGTTTTTGTACCAGTACCATGCTGTTTTGGTTATTGTAACCTTGTAGTATAGTTTGCAGTCTGGTAGCATGGTGCCTCCAGCTTTGTTCTTTTTGCTTAGGATCATCTTGGCTATACAAGCTCTTTTTTGGTTCCATATGAATTTTAAAATGGTTTTTTCTAATTCTGTGAAGAATGTCAATGGTAATTACTGTAGCTTTGTTGTAAGTTTTAAAATTGGGAAGTGTGATCCTTCAACTTTGTTCTTTATCAAGACTGTTTTGGATATTTTGGGTCCCTTATAATTTTTTTTTTTTTTTGAGACAGAGTTTTGCTCTGTCACCCAGGCTGGAGTGCAGTGACATGATCTCGGCTGACTGCAACCTCTGCCTCCCGGGTTCAAGTAATTCTCCTGCCTCAGCCTCCTGAGTAGCTGGGACTACAGGTATATGCCACCACACCCAGCTAATTTTTTTGTATTTTTATTTTTATTATTATTTTTTGAGATGGAGTCTCGCTCTGTTGCCCAGGCTGGAGTGCAGTGGCACGATCTCAGCTCACTGCAAGCTCCGCCTCCTGGGTTCACGCCATTCTCCTGCCTCAGCCTCCGGAGTAGATGGGGCTACAGGCACCCGCCACCGCGCCCGGCTAATTTTTTGTATTTTTAGTAGAGACAGGATTTCACCGTGGTCTCGATCTCCTGACCTCGTGATCCACCCGCCTCGGCCTCCCAAAGTGCTGGGATTACAGACGTGAGCACCATGCCCAGCCTTTTTTAGTAGAGACAGGGTTTCACCATGTTGGTCAGGCTGGTCTCGAACTCCTGACCTCACGATTCACCCACCTCAGCCTCCCAAAGTGCTGGGATTACAGGCGTGAGCCACTGCACCCGGCCCCTTATAATTTTATATGAATTTTAGAATCAACTATCAACTCCTGCAAAAGAAAGGAGCTGACATATGATAGCCATTGTGTTGAATCTGTAAAGCAATTTTACAAAAGGAAACTTTTCCAGTTCATAGACCCCAGTAATACACATCCCTTACCTTTGTGCACCCTCAAACCCAACAGAAGCTATTGGGCATTAGTTGCCTCTTGACAGAAAGGTATTCTACCTTTTCCACTCTGTTTAATAATCTTATATTTATAAAGCAGTTTATAAATATGAAGTATAGTGTTAGAAGCCAATTCTTGGCTTACTCATTGGGTACCTAGTCATCTCATAAGAAAATCAATTTAACTTACTCCACATGATGTATGTAAAAAGAATAATAATTCTTGAGTTTAAGTTTGGGTATGAGTTTTGCATATGTTACTAGCTACAAAGATGACTGCTATTAAGATGACCTTTTAAGAAACCTGGAAAGATTAAGCCAACCATCTGCCTGTCAATTGCATAGCCCAAGATTGTCAAGTACTATTGGCTATCACACACCACTAACACAAGAATTTTTGCCAAACAATCTATTTAATTTATCACTATATGCTAAGCTGTATATCACTTGGATCATTTCTTTCCATTTTGATTTAGGATTACATTTTAATTAAGAATACATTTCTGCCTTTAGAGGGCACTCATAACATACAGTACCTAGACATTCAAAATAAGCAGCTCTACCAGGAATAGAACATGAAAGATCTGTGGATAAGCTGCTGATCCACAAAGCAGGTAATCCTTTTGCTTTCATTAGTATAACTTTTGGAGAAGTCTCCCCACAGATTCAGAGCCAGCCCAGCATTAACCAAACAAAGAGAAGCAGAGTGGATCCTGTGCTAATATTGGGAAAACCAGGCAACAGGACTCATTTGGGGCCTTTATTGTGAAAACATGCCCCAGCTTTCCCAAGATAACCAAGAGTGCCTCCAGAAACATTTCTCCAGGCCGTCTATATGGACACAGTTTCTGCCCCTGTTCAGGGCTCAGAGATATAATACAGACATTCACCAAATCACAGAAAATGAAGGAGACCTCAGGGCTGTTCCTGATATCAAGGTAAGGTGATTTCCACAATCCATGATCCTTTCCCGTCAAGGGAAAGTGTTTACCCAGAAAGAATATAAAACTATACTCAAGCTTTAGTGCCATTGCTCACTTATCTTAATGTTTTATCAAAAATGTTTTCAAACCATCCCCAAGGGAAATCTAGAACCTAGATGATAATTACCTGATCTATCTAGTTTTCTCCAATCTAAACAGATTCCCTTTACCAAAATAAATTATTATGTATTGCTTTTTTGTTTGTTTGCTTGTTTCAGGTGATAACATTCAACAAATCTAGACAGATTTTGTGGCTATTAGTGTTAGCCCTAGGATATCTTTCTCCGATATAAATATTACATCCCATATAATAATGAAAGAAAAATTATAGACCGCTTTCTACAAAAAATTCCTTGGGAAAAAATTGATAAACTAAGAACATAAGAACATTAAGGAGCTGAGGGGTGTTTTTTCCAAATTCAAAGTTTCCAAAGGTGAATTTCCTAAGCATGAGTTTCTATCAGTAGGTAATAACATTATTTCTCCAAAAAGTGACAATTTTCCTGCTGGATGTTGTGTGTATATTTGAAAAAAATACAGTTTGAGTCTGTAAATCCTCTTAGCTATTAATAGAACCATCTCATAAAAGGTTACTTGGCATAGAATATGGACATGTGTTAATGTCTAACAAGCAATGAGCACACTCAAAATTAAATGCTGCAAAACTATAAAACTGTTCAAATACTTTAACACCAGAAAATTCACCTGTTCTTTTGCCGCGGCTCATATCCTGATATCATTATTTATTTGCAAATTCTTTACAAAATTCTCTAGGTCTGCCCTTTCTCCTAATGTTATTTTAACCATTTGGCACAAGTGGAGGGGAAAAAAAAAATAAAAAGGGTCAACACAAAGCTTTTTCTGTAAAAATATACGGACCTGTTCTTTTGAGCTTTCAGACATATGTGAACAAATAACACATGAATTCCCACACCGCCTATTATCATCTAAGCACTAAGAGTTTAGCAAGCTGCAATGAAATGGGATGTAGTGTCCAAGAGTCCTGAATTAATGGACATCTTAATGTAGGCGACACATGCAAAAGATATTTCTAAAAGGCAGAATGTGGAGGCTACTTTGAGGAAACAGAGAGCAACAACAACAAATATACCCATTGTATGGTGCATATGTATGCTGTTGTATATGTGTGTATGTATATGCACCCACACACACATATATATAATTTCAAAGTTCTAACTATCTTGAGAAGGTATGCTCTAAGTGGAATCAAAGACAAATAAAATGCAAAAATATTTAAGAATCAGTATTACACCTTCCCATGGCATCCTGGAATCGACCACACATGCTGGTGCTGGGCAGCCTAACTTCTATCCTAACCTCACTAACCTGTTAACAGGTTCCAGTCTGTACAGCAGCAGGTGAGGGTAGAAGGAAGCAATCCAGTTGGGATGCTACTGGCTCCTTCACTCAGTTTTTGCCTTTTGAAAAAATCTTTTTATATTGCATTTGAATACAGAAAGAGGAGACATGTGCCTCATCTAGCAAATGTAAGGATGGAAACACTCAACTCATTTTGAGTCTGCAGATACCATTGAATCCTTACTAACTGCAAAACCTTGGGCTAGGAGCCATAGGGAATAAAGAGAAAGAGCAAGATATGCTCCCTCCTTTCTAGAGACTTACTGTGTATTGAGAAAGACAAACATATAGCATATTATCAGCATGACTCATGTCAATAACATAAGATACCTACATAATTATTGTATATTCTTTCAATCAGTAAGATATTAGGGGAGGAATATGATCACTATGGGGTAAGACAATTGAAGAAGCCCAGTGTTAGAGTGAAAGCAGTGAAATCTAAGGTAGACGTGAAATAATGTCTAAGAACATATATAGAGGCAGAAAGAGGGAACGTGAGCTAAAATGTATCTAGACGTCAAGGGGTCAGTCAGAAATTCTCCAAAAATCCTCAACCTAAGCTTTGCAGTTCATGCAAAAATTACCCCCAAATATAACATGGGCTTAAATTTACAACTACACGGAGAACTATAGAACTTTTAGGAAAAAAATGGGAGAAAATCTTTATGAGGTAGGGCTAGGTGAAGAATACACAGACACCAAAAAATCATGATCCGTTCAAGAAAAAAAATCAATAAATAAGACTTCATTAGAATCTAAAAAACTTTTGTCCTGCCAAAGACTCTATTGAGAGGGTAAAAGACAGCATACAGATGGCAGGAAAATACTTTCACCCCCATGTCTGCCAAACACCTTGAACCTAGAATAATTCTCAAAACTCAAAAGTAAAAGACAAACAATCCAACAAGAATATGGGCAAAAGACATGAACAGCCATTTTACTGAAGAGAATATGCAGATGGCAAATAAATACATGAAAAGATAGTCAACATTGTTAGCCACTAGGAGATGCAAATTAAAGTCACAGTGAAATATCACTACACACCGAGAAGAATAGCTAAAATGGAAAAAAATAGTGACTATAAAAATGGCTAGAATTGCTAAAATGGCTAAAATTGTGACAACACCAACTGCTGGAAAGGATGCAGAGAAACTGAATCATTAATACATTGCTGATAGGAATGTAAAATAGTACAGCCAATCTGGAAAACAATTTGGCAGTTTCTCATAAACCTGAAGATACAACTGCCATATGGTCTAGCAATTTCACCATTAGGCATTTATCCCAGAGAAATGAAAACCTACATTTGCACCAACCCTGTATGCCAATGTCCACAGCTGCTTTATTTGTAATAGTCAAAAACCAGAAACAACCCAAAAGCCCTTCAAGGGATGAATGATTAAACAAACTGTGGTACATCCATACTATGGAATCCTATGAAGCCACTAAAAGGAATGAACTACTAATACACGAAACAACTTGATAAACTTTAGGGAATGGTGCTGAGTGGGGGAGAAAAAGCCAATTCCAAAAAGTCACACACTATATATATGTGTATGATTCTATATAAGCCACTCTTTTTTTTTCTTTGAGACGGAGTCTTGCTCTGTCGCCCAGGCTGGAGTGCAGTGGGGCAATCTCGGCTCACTGCAACCTCTGCCTCCTGGGTTCAGGCGATTCTCTCACCTCTGCCTCCCAAGAAGCTAGGACTACAGGCACGTGCCACCACACCCAGCTAATTTTTGTATTTTTAGTAGAGACAGGGTTTCACCATGTTGGTCAGGCTGATCTTGAACTCCTGACCACAAGTGATCCGCCCACCTCGGCCTCTCAAAGTGCTGGGATTACTGACATAAGTCACCATGCCCAGCCTATATAAGCCACTCTTGAAATAAAATTATAGACGTAGAGAACATATTCATGGTTGCCAAAGATTAGGGATTAGGTAGGGTGGTGGATATAGCTACAAAGGGGTCATACTTTAAAGGGAGCCTGGTGGTGATGAACCAGTTCTGTGTCTTGACTGCAGTGGCAGTTACACACATTACATGTGTAATGTGCTAAAATTGCATGAAACTATACACGTGCACACACAGAAATGAGTGAACTCTGAAGAAGCTCTGTGAATGGTACCAATGTCATTTCCTGGTTTTGATATTGTTCTTCAGTTATGCAGTCTCTATTGAGGGAAACTGGGTGATCAGTACACGGGACCACTCTGTACATTCTGTGCACGTGATTTCCTATGACTATAGCATTATTTCAAAATAAACAATTTTAAAAAGCAAACCTCTAAAGGCAGGTTAAACTGACAATATGACACACAAATCACCTACATTTATTGTTGTGGTTATTCCAGTTGTTCTTTTCATTTGGCTCCTTGGGTTAATAGCATTGATGTGGTCTGACCTGTTTTAGAGATGAGAAAACAAGTTTAGATATACTATTGGTTGCATATGTGAAGTCAGCTGAGAGGTGATTTGAATCTGGATTTTCTGACACTGATTTCAATAAGTATTTGATAGCTTCTGACAGTGATTTAAAAAGTGGACTGTAGTTTCCTGGGCTTGAAGTCAGTCTTCTTCATAGTACTTTCTGTATGATTTCTGCCCAAAATACTCCAACATGGGCCACTAATTTACTACAAAATAAACTACAAAATCCCACGCACCTGCACATACACTCACACACTTGTCTTCATCAGATTATTTATTTATTTTTCAATTTTTTTTTTTTTTTTTGAGACTCAGTCTTGCTCTGTTGCCCAGGCTGGAGTGCAGTGGCGTGATCTCAGCTGACTGCAACCTCCACCTCCCAGGTTCAAGTGATTCTCCTGCCTCAGCCTCCCAACTAGCTGGGACTAAAAACGTCCACAATTACCCCCAGCTACTTTTTTTTGTATTTTTAGTACAGACAGGGTTTCACCATGTTGACTGGGCTGGTCACAGACTCCTGATCTCATGTGATCCACCTGCCTTGGCCTCCCAAAGTGCTGAGATTACAGGCGTGAGCCACCGTGCCCGGCTGATCAGATTTCTTTTTTCTTCCATCAGGATTTTTGTTTCCTTTCAGGGCAAGAATGCAAGTGGGAGGGCGGGTGAACTCTAGCCAGCAGTTTTTCTAGACAATCGACATGAGGAAGAGAAAGCATTACAGCTGCTCTAGTGATAAGTCAACTCTGTCAATATAGATATATATGTTTATGTGTGTGCATTCTTTCTTAATTATAAACATGGTCAGAGCTTAGACAAGAGAGCTGTTTCCACAAGGTTATTTTTCAGCCCATTCCAAAGTCAATGCCCTTCTGAAAGTGTGGGCTTCTGAGTGCTCTGCTGTTCCAGACATGTGATCCCTTGAGCAGCTGATCAAAGCACTTATTTTGAGACCTTATACACAGAAATGAGAAAATAAATCTCAAGGCACCAAAGGGCAGCTACAAAGACAATGGAGCCTTGTGTGATGAAAATGATAGAGGAAAGAAGAAAGGAAAAACAGCTTAGTAAGAGAGCAAGTACGCCTGTTGGCCAAACACCTTACCATAAGTGTATTCAGAAGACAGAATTATTCTGTCCTGCCTCCATTTGTGAAAGAGTAAGTTCACTGAGAAGAATAAAGTTGTTTCTTATTTTCCTGAAGGCGCTCCAAAAATAATTCCATAGTAAGTAGTTTAACACTTGAGATGTTCACAAACCTATTGAGGAAAGGGCTCATTTGGAAGTCAGCCATACTTCTCTCTGCCGTGGCTAGCATGCACATGTTCAGTGGCTGTCTCCTCTGGCACCTGCTGCAGGGTCTTCCCAAGTGAGGCCAAGGGGATGTGGCTCCACAGGCCTTGTGGCTCAGGTCCTTGGGTTCTCAGTGAGCAGTACTTACTTGGTCTTCCTTTGATGGAGACCATAAGGAAGACCTTGGGTATGCTCTTTGGGAAAGTGAAAAAAGGTCTTCAATTATTCAGCCTCTAAGCTCACAGAACCCAGGACAATCCATGTGATATTAAGAACAAAAAAAGAGGGGGGATGGAGAAAGGGAAGATGTTGGTCAAAGGGCACAAAGTATCAGTGAGATGAGAGAAATAAATTTTAGTGATCTATTCTACAGTATGGTGACTGTAGTTAACACAGCTTGAGCATCCCTAATCTGAAAGTCCAAAATGCAAAATGCTCCAAAATCTGAAACTTTTTAAGTGCAGATATGACATTCAAAAGGAATGCTCATTGGAGCATTTCAGATTTGGATTTTTAGATTCGGGATGCCAAGCCAGTAAATATAATGCAAATATTCCAAAAGCTGAAAAAAATCTGAAATCCAAAACACTTCTGGTTCCAAACATTTTGTTTAAGGAATACTTAGCTTGTAATCATGTATATTTCAAAGTTGCAAAAAGCAAATTTTTAACTGTCTCATCACAAAAAAAAAATAGATGAGATGATGGATATGTTAGCTTTATTTAAGGTTTCTACCATGTATACAAATATTAAAACATCACATTGTACCCCATAAATATATGCAATTATTATGTGTGAATTAGAAATAAAAATAAAAAAATAAAATAAAATAGTGTTTCATCTTGTCATAAAAGGTACTTATTATCATCCCAGAGACTATTCTTATATAGCTAACTTGGACAATCCCTTACATTAATTAAGCACCTAAGATACCAGCTAATGCCTTTCAAAGTAAAAAATGAAATGGTGATCAACTTAAAAGTAAATGGCGGCTAGATGTGGTGGCTCACGTCTGTAGTCCCAGCGTTTGGGATTACACTGGCAGCCTTCACCACACCATCCACTGGGCTCTAATCTGAGCACCTGTACACTCCACTTACAATTCTGATTAAGAATCTGAACAGGAAAAATTGAAAACCATTCTATCAATGAAACAGGCTAGTATCTCACTGCAGTAAGGCCCGCAGGAGAGGTCATAATTAGAAAACTCTGGTGACTATAAATAAAAAATAAAGCATTCTTTATATCAGAAATGGATGCATATATATATACATATATATATATACACACACACACACATCCTTTTAAAAACCTCTATGTACACATACCCGAAAGAAAGCATAATGTGTATTTGTGCTTTTCAGATATACATTGGCTTGAAAAAAGTCAATGTAATATTGCAAAGAGCCAGAGGTGGCATTGCTGAAGAAAGAGAGGCAGGGAAGAGTGAAAAGGGCGATGGCACATGATACTGATTCACCCTGGAGGTTTTAGAAACAATTGAGACGCCCCCAAGCAAGGAAGGTGGAGAAGGGTCTCCGGTGATCAGCTGGGGCAAGCTCAAAAGATTATTTGCTGCAGTTAATGTGGCCCCATTTTTTTTAACCTGTAGGCCATGTCCAATGCCTCCTTGACTGTCTGAAAAATATCCAGCAATGGAACTGGGGTTATGTTTAAAAAAAAAAAAAAAAAAAACCGCGGGGGGTGGGGCAGAGGAAGTGGGAAGTACTGAAAGGGTTTTCAGAAGAGAGATGTGGTCTTTGATTTGCCTTAAAATAATCCAGGGGAGGAGGAAAGTAGGAGTGTAAGAGATAATGCAGACTTGACAATGTGTTCTTAATTATTGAAACTGGGTGATGGACATGAGGGTTCATGAAGATAGTCACTCAGATTTTTTGTATTTTGAAAATTAACATAATACATTTGTTTTTAAGAATCCCAAAGACTAGAGCTTACGATGTACCTTTAAATTTAAATAACAAACGAACAAACTTTTCATATTCTATTTATACACCACAATGGAAGCTGTTGTGTATGCTGTCTAGCAAACATTCAGTAACTGCACAAATCATCTTGACCTTTTGGGGAATATTTTAAATGGCAAAAAATATCCCATATGAAAATCAAAGAAGCATACTGCAAAAATCCTGGCTAGCTTTAGTATACTGGTTTGTTTGTCTTTTCATTGATTTTACAACTCTCAGATTTTAAATGGTTTTAATGGTTACAGAAAAATATATCTAGTATCATTACCATTGTTCAAAAGTCTCATAAAATCATGTTGGCTTCCCTGCTGAAATCAAGCCAGTCTTCACAAAGCCACAGAATCACTGCAAATGTTTTAGAAAATTTACATTAAAGTTTTACCCTCTTGCAAGATAAAGATGTGAATAAACTATATTGGGAAACTCAGGGAGTGTATTAGTCCATTTTCATACTGCTGTGAAGAAATACCCGAGACTGGTTGATATATAAAGAAAAAGAGGTTTAATGGACTCACAGTTCCACATGGCTGAGGAGCCCTCACAATCATGGTGGAAGGCAAAGGAGGAGCAAAGGCATGTCTTACATGGTGGCAGGCAAGAAAGCGTGTGCAGGGGGACTGCCCTTTATAAAGCCGTCGGATCTCATGAGACTTATTCACTATCATGAGAACAGCATGGGAAAAACCCACCCCCACTATTCAGTTACCTCCCACCGGGTCCCTCCCATGACATATGGGGATTATGGGAGCTACAATTCAAGATGAGATTTTGGTGGGGACACAGCCAAACCATATCGGGGAGTAAACTTGTTTTTCTAGGTTCTCTAGAAACCATTTATTTCCATTCTATGAGAAAAGGTGATCCAAATCAAGCTTGTGTCACTTAAGAGTTTATTTTAGAAACATCTATAGAATGGTTTTACAGCTCCTGCATTTCAAATGACTGAAAAATGAAATTTTAAGATGAAGCAAATATGTTGAAAGGATAATAGTTTAAACCATATAGTGACAACTGGAATATATTCAAATATTCAAGAAAGAAACCCAAATCACAGACTACAAAAGTAATTTGATTTGACATCAACTATGTAACCAAATATGTTTTCCCATAAGACTATATTTGGCTTATATGATTTCGAATTCTCAACACTAAAAATTGTAAGGATTTATATTCAAGTGATAGATCATTCTAAGAACTTTTATTCAAAATAAGACTGGAAATGAACTAAAATATGCAAGACATTGTCTCAACACGTTTTTGTAACTGTCTGTTCAAATTGCATATGACTAGAAGACAAAAGGAAATAGCAAGGAGGCAGGAGGCTAGCAGCCCAGGAACCTCAGACCAGGAATCTGTGGAAGATAGTTTAACACCAGCAAACTGCCTCTAATAGCTGTGGCTCCATGTTCTCATTCCAAATTCCCAGGAGAGAGGATCTGGCCCAGTATAGATGTGGTCTCTGTCTCAAGATCCATCAGCCCTGCTGAGCGCAGTGGGTCACACCTCTAATCCCAGCACTCTGGGAGGCCAAGACAGGTGGATCACTTGACGTCAGGAGTTCGAGCCCAGCCTGGCCAACATGGTGAAACCCCATCTCTACTAAAAAATACAAAAATTAGCTGGGTGTGGTGGCACATGCCTGTAATCCCAGCTACTCAGGAGGCTGAGGCAGGAGAATTGCCTGAACCCAGGAGGCAGAGGCTACAGTGAGCCAAGATCACACCACTGCACTCTAGCCTGGGCAACAGAGTGAGACCCTGTCTCCAAAAAAAAAAAAAGATCAATCAGCCCTAGCTGTTCTTTAGGTTGTAAGACAATCTTAAGGGGTTGTCCAGCACATATTTTGAGTGATTGCAACTTTAAACCAACTTATGGGATTCCAAAATCAACGATGACACCTGAAGTAGACAGCCCTGATTTAGATATTTGAGGCCTGGCATTTTTATATCTATCACCCACAAGCTTTGTAATCACGCCTCAGAGATAATTCTACACATCTTCTCTGTTTATCTCCTATTCCCACCACCAGACATTCTGCAAAGTATCTGTGGATAAGCCCCACAAAACTAGAGTCAGCAGACCCTCAGCCCCTAGGGGACACAAGCTGTGAAGTTCTTGTGTGACCCTCTGTCCTCTCTTGAGTCAGCGTGACCCAGTGTGGGTCATCGGATAAACACCCACACTAATAAATGAATATTTTTACCTGTAAGTTATCAACAAAATATATAGATTGTGTGAAGTTACATAAAAATAGTTGAGCAAAATATGACCAAATGAAATGAATAAAACATTACTTGAAAGAAATGATCAAAGCAGTTGATACTACCAATGTCACACTGCATTTCCGAATTCTGTAATAAATCTGCTGTCTCTGCTTCTGTGAGTTGTATTTAAGGCTTTCATCTGTGACCATTTGCCCAGAGGATCATGTTCTGAAGGATATATTTTTGAAGTTTTCATTTGAAGAGAAAGTATTATTACCATCAACATCGTATCAGGAGGACATGCAATTAATTTTACAGACAGTTTTGTTGAAGAACAAGTTTGCTGGATTAAAAAGTAAGCTTATGATCAGCAAATAAAATCCAGGTACTATTGCTTCCTTTTTTCTGTTTTTGCCTTGTCTTAAAAATACCTGCACCTGATTATTTTTACCAACTTATTAGCATCATTAAGATCTCTAAGCTTCCCCTTTCCCAGAGCTGCAGTTTTGGAGAAGCCACACATCTCCCATCATTTGTTGGCCCGTGGGGAGTCCAAGCTTTGGGGGGGCCAACCATTGCCCCACATGGATTCTTTGCTACCCTGAAGATAAGCAGAGTGAAGGTGAGGAGGGTGTGAGGAACAGGAGGCAAAGGAGGGTCCCTCAGGCCCCTGGTCGTTAGCCTGGACCAAACTAGAAGTTAAGAGAAGTTTGCCTCCCCTCTCTCTCACCCACCCCTCACCTTGGACTCTTCGCCAACATCCACAGACATACCCTAGGAACCTCATTCTCTCATTCTGGCCTAGTTTCTCCCTTTAAAAAAAGAAACAAAAGTTCAAATTCAAATGCACTTAGATGTAAATGAATTCATACATCACTCCTGCTCATGAAATCTACAGGGAACACTCATATTAGATCCACAAGAATGAACCTGAGTAGTGTAATTTGGACCATATAAAATCTGAGCAGGTGGGAGACTTGGGGTTCAGGGCTACTTCCAGCCCCTCCTCAGAAACCACACTCCAGCGTGATGCAAATCCTGCTGGCTTCTACTTCTGATCACAGAGAAGGTGCAGCGTTCCTTGGTTCTGTCTTCACTTCAAAACCTCCTGCTTTATAAAAAATTAGCTGGAGGGCTAGGCATGGTGGCTCATCCCTGTAATGCCAGCACTTTAGGAGGCCAGTAGTTTGGGGCCAGCCTGGACAACAAAGAGAGATCCAGTCTCCACAAGAAAATTTAAAAATTAGCTGGGTGAGTGGCACATGCCCCTAAGTCCTAGCTACTCAGGAGGCTGAGGCATGAGGATTGCTTGAGCCCAGGAGTTAGAGACTGCAGTGAGCTATGATCATGCCACTACACTCCAGCCTGAGTGATGGAGTGAGACCCTATCTCTAAAAAGAAAAGAAAATCTCCTCCTTTTCTAAGTTGTTTTGGCCAAAAGCCAGGTTATAGTTCTGCTTGGTTTATCCATCAGAAATGGGCTGGGTTTTTAGATACACGAAATCACAAGGGGAGGGGGAAATAATGCCTTTGGGTTTTAGGAAATCGGGAACCAGAGAGCTCATGACATTTTCTTTTCTTTTCTTTTCTTTTGTTTTTGAGATGGAGTTTCGCTCTTGTTTCTCAGGCTGGAGTACAATGGCACGATCTCGGCTCACCGCAACCTCTGCCTCCCAGTTCAAGGGATTCTCCTGCCTCAGCCTCCCGAGTAGCTGGGATTACAGGCATGTGCCACCATGCCCGGCTAATTTTGTATTTTTAGTAGAGACGGGGTCTCTCCATGTTGGTCAGGCTGGTCTCAAACTCCGGACCTCAGGTGATCCGCCCGCCTCGGCCTCCCAAAGTGTTGGGATTACAGGTGCGAGCCACAGCGCCCGGCCATGACATTTTCAAATTCCTTCTCCCTGAGTCAAGATTCAGAGCTCATTGCTCCCTTCTTGGAATACAGCCCTCCACCTCACTCCCAGATGCAATAAGCATTCTCAGGGGCCCAAGAGCAGATGGGCTCTTCTTTGCTAATGCTTTTTAAAGGCAGGGAGTAGAACAATGGCAAATGGTGACATCTGGTGGAAATCCAAGCACTGCAGCACTTCGAACCAGTGCGACTTGAGGCTCAGTTGTAACTAACTGAAGTCTGAGTACTTGAAGATGTCCTTTTTTACCAAGTGAAAAGCTCAGTGATATCACCCTTTTGGCTGACACAGGTACACCCTGCCACCAAGCAAGATGATGACATAAAGGGCAATGTCTTTGAAATGCCAAGAATTGGTTTTTGAATTCAGGTCTAAGTTGTATTTCATTCTCTGAGTCTTTGTTTTATCTTTTTTTTTTTTTTTTTTTGGCAGAGTCTCACTTTGCCACCCAGGCTGGAGTGCAATGGCGCCAACTCGGCTCACTGCAACCTCTGCTTCCCCGGTTCAAGCAATTCTCCTGTCTCAGCCTCCCAAGTACCTGGGACTACAGGCTCATGCCACCACACCCAGCTAATTTGTATGTATTTTTAGTAGAGACAGGGTTTCACCATGTTAGCCAGGATGGTCTCAATCTCCTGACCTCGTGATCTGCCTTCCTCGGCCTCCCAAAGTGGTGGGATTACAGGCATGACATTTTATCTTCTATAAAATCAAGACAATAATACTTTTCACATTCAATTTGAATGGTTGCTTTGAAAAAATCAAATGAGACAAGGCATGTAAAAATGCTGGTAAACTATAAAGACATGGGCTTTTTTAAAAAACTCAGATCATGGTGGCTCACACCTGTAATCCCAGCACTTTGGGAGGCCAAGGCAGGTGGATCACTTGAGGTCGATCAGGAGTTCAAGACCAGCCTGGCCAACATGGTGAAACCCCGTCTCTACAAAAATACAAAAAAAAAATCAGCTGGGCATGATGGCGGGTGCCTGTAATCCCAGCTACTCGGGAGGCTGAGGCAGGAGAATAGCTTGAACCCAGGAGTTGGAGGTTGCAGTGAGCTGAGATTGTGCCATTGCACTCCAGCCTGGCGATAGAGCAAGACTCCATGAAAAAAAAAAAAAAAAAAAAACTCAGATACTTTGAGTTTTTCTTTTAAAAGCCTGCATCGGTGAGTCCAGCTTTCCATTAGCCCTGTGCTGCCTCCCGGGAACCCCTTGGAATCCTATGGGCTGGGTTTGTAGCCAGTTTCTCCCATAATAGTTGTTAATCTAGTTATCTCCATCTGCAGATGGACCTCGTACATAGTGGGCACAGAGTAAGAGCCCAGTTAATATTGATTGGCCAGTTGATTAGTAGATATAGAAATGCATTATTTCCCTAATTTTTTTCCACCATGTGGATGAAACAAGATTTCATCTGATTAAGGTCAGAGATCATATGGTATTTCTTGATGTCTTCAAACTGAAATTGTTAAAATCTTTCTTCAGACAAATGTTTCATATGCCCTGAAAGAAATTAATGACAGTTAAGAATTCTGAATGGCCCCTAAAATGTTTCATATCAAGGCAGTGCCAACCTCCAACTTCCCCAAGAAAACATCCCCTTTAAAATGCCAAGCAAAGCAGTCTAATTCAGTCGCGTCCAACTCAAAGAAATCAATGCCCGCTAACAAGTTCTCCCAGCAGCCAGGCCAGAGGAGGGAGAAAGCCTTAGAACGACAGGGCCCCGCATGGCCTGAACGAGGCTCACACAAAGCCTGGTTTATTAGGAACCACTGGAAAAGCTATAAAGCCCAGGCAGCCTTCCTGGGCCTGTCACAAATTGTCCACTTTGGAGAGAACAATGTCTTCCCTGTTCTTGCCGTCTTGTTTGTTGATTTTCAGGCTCCATCAGTGTGAAATTGAGAGATCCGGCCCAGGTCCGTGGGGACAAATGGAGTGGCCCTCTTGTGTCAGGCCTTCTCTGAACATCCATTTTAACAAACCTCATACCTTCAGGGTCTACTCATGCAATTGCTGCAGCCTCTATCCCACAGTTTCTCGCCTCTGTAATTGAGAAAGAGATGAGATGCATTGTTTAGAAATGTAAAACCACATCTATCAAAAAACATTTTTATTACAAAAGTGTTAGACATAATAGCATAATAAAACCGTATGTGCCCATTACCCAGCTTCAACAATTATCAACTCCAGATCATGACATTTCAAAGTTCATTCATTTAACAGATATTCATTAAGTACATGTTATATCCCAGTACTGCTTAGGTTTTTTTGTGGGGGTTTTTTGTTTGTTTGTTTGTTTTTGAGACAGAGTTTGCCCTCTCGCCCAGGCTGGCATGCAGCGGTGTGATCTCAGCTCACTGCAACCTCTGCCTCCTGGGCTCAAGCTGTTCTCATGCCTCAGCCTCCTGAGTAGCTGAGATGACAGGTGTGCACCACCATGCCCAGCTAATTTTATCCATTTTTAGTGGAGATGGGGCTTCTCTGTTTTGGCCAGGCTGGTCTTGAACTCCTGGCCTCAAGTGATCTACCTGCCTCAATGTTCCAAAGTACTGGATTACAGGCATGAACCATTGTGCCTGGCCAACTGCTTAGGGTTTTGAGACACAGGTCTGAATATTGCAAAGTCCTGAGGCTCACAGAGCTCAGAGCCTGATGGGAAAACAGACTATCACAATACAGAGCATGCAGGCAACCCCAACGTGAGAGAGCTTCCTGAGGGAAATGGCATCTAAGCTGAGACTTGAAGGATAAATAGGAGAGGAGATTGCCCTGGGAGAGAAGAAGAGGTAACTGGAGAGGGGAGTGATTCAGGCAGAAGCAGCAGCTGACACAAAGTCCCAGGAATGAGAATGAACAAGGAAATTTTAGGAACGGAAGGAACATGAATGTATGGTGCTTTGAGTACCAAGGAATAGGTGACAGAAAGATGGGTAGACAGAGTACACATCAGCAAATCGCAGAAGGTCTTCTATGCCATGTGAAGTCACTTGAACTTCATCCTGCAGAGAAATGATGAGCCCCTGTGAGGCTAAAAGGAAGGGAAGAGAAGGACACATTTACCTCTTTTTTTTTTTTTGAGTCTTGCTCTGTCACCCAGGCTAGAGTGCAGTGGCACAATCTCGGCTCACTGCAACCTCCGCCTCCCAGGTTCAAGCAATTCTCCTGCCTCAGCCTCCCAAGTAGCTGGGATTACAGGAGGCACCCACCATCACACGCCTGGCTAATTTTTGTATTTTTAGTAGAGACGGGGTTTCACCATTTTGGCCAGACTGGTCTTGAACTCCTGACCTTAGGTGATCCACCTGCCTCGGCCTCTCAAAGTTCTGGGATTACAGGCTTGAGCTACTTAGCCCAGCCTCACATTTACCTTTTAGAAAGATCCCTCATCTGTAACGTGGGGAATGGAGTGGGGTGGGCAGAGGCGCCGTGTAGGTGCAAAGGCTGGAACTGTTAAGGAGGCCACTATAATTTAATTAAGAGAGCTGGGAAGTAACTGTGGGGATGTTGAGAAGTGCATGCTTGGGGAGGCAGGTTGGCTCTCGCTGGGGATTATGCTCTGCTTCCTCTGTAAGGTGGAAGGTTTGGGGTTTGGACGTGTGTGTGTCCTAAGAGAGGGCATTGGAGACTGATTACGTATCAGAGAATGGGCCCCATGCTGAACCCAAACGTAGGCTCGGCTAGAAGCCCTAGAGACCATCTTCGGCACAGATGAGGAAACTGAGGCCCAGGCGAGTACAGAGATGGATCCAAAGTCACAAAGGAAACTTGTGGTCATGTCTCCCTCTCCTGACCCTTCCTCCATCGCTCTGTGCTTTAGCCAACTGTCTCCCTTCATTTCACCAGTGCCTCAGGAGAGCGGCAGAGCCTGGGAAAACGTGACAACTCAAATGGTGGCAGTGTGAAATTTATCTCTTATGCCACTCAAAAAAGAGAAGTTGTTTTTTAAAAAAAATATTCTGAGCAACTCCATCCCCTACGTTTCTCATGCTACATTTTTCATGCCTGCATTTGCTTCCACCAGCTCTTGGGATTTGGATGAGAGGGTTTTTCATTTCTCATGGCTACTAACATCCATCTTCAAAAAACCTTAGGATGAAATATGACAGTATGAACCTTGTTGACTTGTTTTACAGACTAACAATATTCTGTACTCCATGGATTTAATTTATCAAAGGTGTCTGGCATTACTTGACGCAGATCCTGCTAATATCTTCATTTTGGTGTGCACTCTTTACTGTGTAAAATGTCAGGGGCGTCTGTCATTTCTAATGCCCTGTTGGTATCTAAAACACTGTTTCCAAATCTTAGGTAAATCCAACCATTACGGAAGTAGTCTTCCTTCCTTCCTTCCTTCCTTCCTTCCTTCCTTCCTTCCTTCCTTTCTTTGTTTCTTTCCTTCTTTCTTTCTTTCCTTCTTTCTTTTCCCCAAGACAGGGTCTCCGATCACCAGTGCAGTGGTGTGATCCCAGCTAACTGCAGCCTAAACCTCCTAGGCTCAGGTGATTCTCCTATCTCAGTCTCCCGGGTAGCTGGGACTACAGGCACACGCCACCACACCTGTCTAATTTTTTTGTATTTTTTGTAGAGCCGGGGTTTTGCCACATTGCCCAGGCTGGTCTCAAATGCCTCTGCTCAAAAGATCTGCCCACCTCAGCCTCCCAAAGTGCTGAGATTATAGGCCTTGCCAAAGCTGGGTCATTCTTTTTATTATTTTTGTATTATTCAGAGAACTAATCAATTTACTAAGTAAAGTGGAGAATTAGCAGCCATGTGACTAACTGAGCTAGTACCTACAGAGTTCAAGTCAGTAATTCAACCTCCTGTGTAGGCTTGGAAATATGGGATTAGTAATTAGTCATTGAATTCCTATTTGCTGAGGGTGAGAGGATGACAAATTTAAATTTTGGTCTAAGATGATGAATGTGGTCAAAAGTACTTAATTACTCCTAGAAACTATCATAAATAGGCATTGGGAGAATATGAACCAAGAATATCACTCTCATAGATTACAGTCATCAGCATCAGTTAACAATGACTATGTCTCCTGGATATGGTGTCAAGGAGCGTGACAGCCAGGAGGTGGGTCTGGGGAGCCAGTTCTACTACTTACTCACGCTAACAGAAATCATCCGGCCTCACTGGTCTGCAGTTTACTCATCGAATAGCTGGGGGCAGGAGGGAGTAGTTATTGATATAACGTTTATAGGAACATTTTATAAATGTGTATACCTCAGGGTAAAAAAAAGTCAATATTCTTATAATAAAGATAAGTATACAAAATGTGTTTTTATAGGGTTCTACTATTCTCTAGGAATAGCTTCACTGGTAAATATATATATATATATGTATGTCTATATTAGATATAGATATACTCACTGAATTTTTAAAATTGTAAACCTCCATGATAAGAAAATATAGCAGTTTGGACAAATGCATTTTTTTTTTTGAGACAGAGTCTCCCTCTGTTACCCATGTTGAAGTGCAGTGGGGCGATCTCAACTCACTGCAACTTCCACCTCCCAGGTTCAAGCAATTATTCTGCCTCAGTCTCCCAAGTAGCTGGGATTACAGGTACGCACCACCACGCCTGGCTAATTTCTGTATTTTTAGTAGAGAAGGGGTTTCACCATGTTGGCCAGGCTGGTCTTGAACTCCTGACCTCAGGTGATCTGCCCACCTCAGCCTCCCAAAGTGCTGAGATTATAGGCATGAGCCACCGCGCCTGGAAACAAATACAATTTTTATAGAGCTGGGGATCCCAGAAAAACATTCTAAAACTTCAAAAGTGAGTTTTAAATGTTTCTTTTCAATTTTCTGATATCAAATGTAACAATTCCTGTCCTACTCTTTGGGGATATAGAATGCTACAAGAAAAGAAGCAGGAGCTTTAGTTTATTTCATGTTTGTTTTTCTTTTTAGTTAGCTAGCAAATATAAAAAGTGGGGAGAAAGCACAGGTAGATCTTGGAATCTTAGGACTTTGGCACATGGACTCTTTATATTCCTGTCATTTAAAATGTTGTTTAGTTAATTCACATTTATTTATTAGAACATTCAAAATTAAAATAGGGGCTGGGTGCGATGGCTTACGTCTGTAATCCCAGCATTTTGATAGGCTGAGGTGAGCAGATCACTTGAGGTCAGGAGTTCGAGACCAGCCTGGCCAACATGGTGAAACCCTGTCTCTACTAAAAACACAAAAATTAGCCGGGCATGCTGGCAGGTGCCTGTAGTCCCAGCTACTCGGGAGGCTGAGGCAGGAGAATCGCTTGAACCTGGGATTTGGAGGTTGCGGCGAGCCAAGATCACGCCACTACACTCCAGCCTAGGTGATAGCACAAGAGAGACTCAGTCTCAAAACAAACAAACAAAAAACCAAAACAACACAAAATTAAAATAGCACAGCTTTACAGTTGTCAGGACCGGTAGGCTACACACACCAAGAGAACATGGAAAGGTTTATTGATCACATATTGAGGCCCTCTGAGCAGAACAGGGCAGGACCACAAGCAGGCCCAAAATTGGCCAAGAGAGCAGAGAAAGGAGCGTGGCTTGGGGTTCATAGTGGGACTGAGTGGAGGGTTCTCCTTTGCAATGGCCAGGACTTGTGTGGTTTGAACTTCCTGCAGGTGCTGCCCAAGGAGGGAGCACCTGTGCTTTTGTGTCAGCTTACCCAGATGTTGGGCAGATGGGGGAGTAGGAGTGATGGTAACTAGAAGCTGCCAATGGCCAAACATTTAAAAAAAATGGATTCTGTGTCACAGACTCTTTATTACAACAATATAAAGAATAAAATATATACAGTATAGTCAGTCTCCATCCCACCTTTTCCAACCACCATTCTCTCACCCAAGGCACCAAACCACTCTTCACTTTTTTCAGCTCCTAAGCTCTATGCATCCTTACAGAGATAGTCTATGTATACACAGATATGTGTGTACACACACACACACACACACATCTCATTCCCTTTACAAGGAACAAAGAGTTAGACACCAGCTAGACTAGAGTTTGTTTATAATTCTTCAAACCTGCTCTGCTATTTTCTAGATACGATTCATTGGGCAAGTTTTTTCACCTTTATGAGTTTCTGAAGTCTTTACAGTCTTCTGTAAAGTGCATATGAGACTAATGCCTGCATGCATCATTATCGTATGGAATAAATAATGCATCTTTGGAACAGTATTAGGAACATTATAGATGGTGTCCCTTTTATCTTGTTTTTCTTCAACTTCTTGAGCTGCACTTCATCAGCCTCATTTGAAATTTCCCCTTCCTTTGTTGACTTTGAAATACCAGGAATTTTCTAGGCTTTCCTCCTTGGTCTTTTTCTCATTTCACTTGACTCATTCTCCCTGGCTAAGCTTGGCTGTGTCGGTGGCTTTGAGACAGCCTGTGGACTGATGATTCCACTCAGCTTTGTCTCCTGAGGTCCACACAGAAGCTGCAAATATATGCTAAGTGTCGAGATATAAATGTCTAGCAGCACTTCAAAATTAGCAATATAGGCCAGGTGCGGTGACTCACACCTGTAATCCCAGCACTTTGGGAGGCTGAGGTAGGTGGTTCACGAGCTCAGGAGTTCAAGACCAGCCTGGCCAAGATGGAGAAACTGTGTCTCTACTAAAACTACAAAAATTAGCCAGGTGTGGCGGCAGGAGCCTGTAACCCCAGCTACTCAGGAGGCTGAGACAGGAGAATTGCTTGAAGCCGGGTGGCAGAGGTTGCAGTGAGCCAAGATCGTGCCACTGTATTCCAGCCTGGGTGACAGAGTGAGACTCCATCTCACAAAAAAAAAAAAAAAAAAAAAAAAAAAAAGATTAGCAATATGTTTTCCCCTTTCCCCAGACTCTTCTTTTCCTGAGTTTTCTATCCAGCAAATGGTTCCCTTTCAACCTAGAAACTTGGAGGTATAATTCTTGACCTTGCTTTTGTCCTCATTTGAACCTCCAGTCAATCCTCAAATTTTGACCACACTACTCAGAATTATCCCTTGATCTGTTCATTTAGTTCCAACCCATTTAAAACTTTCCTGGATCAAGTCACAATCACTTCTCAAAACATTATTGCAGGCCAGGCACGGTGGGTTACACCTGTAATCCCAGCACTTTGGTGAAACCCTGTCTCTACTAAAAACACAAAAATTAGCTGGGCTTGGTGGCTGGTGTCTGTAATCCCACCTACTTAGGAAGCTGAGGCAGGAGAATCGCTTGACCCTGAGAGGCAGAGGTTGCAGTGAGTTGAGATCATGCCACTGCACTCCAGCTTGGGTGACAGAGTGAGAGTCCATCTCAAAAAAAAAATAATAATAATAATAATTACAACAGCTTGTCCCTGGTCTCCTTTCCAGTGATGCCTGCTTCTAAATAACACTAGAGGACAGAGAGATCTTTCAAAAACACACACATGATTGTGTTGACTTCCTGACTAAATGTTGTCAAGGGATACCCTTTTCCACCTAGATATGGTTCAAACTCCTTAAATTGATTCAGTCTTCTATCTCTCTGACTCTCCCTCTGTTTCCTGGTCTCTAGGGATCCTATCCAATTCCAGTAGCTTTAAATACCTTTGTATGCTAGTGCTTCCAAATTCACATCTCCTAGACTCCCACCCAGACCTCCCTACCCTAAGCTCAAGCCTCTTTTACATCAACCTGTCTGACATCTCCATTTGAATGACTCATAGGCATCTCAAAAATCTGTCTTTAGCAGGATTCTTGATTTTCCTCCCTAGTCCTCTCCTTTCAGTAAGCCATTCAACTGCTCAAGTAAAAAAACACTAGGAATTATCTTTGATTCCTTTTTTCTCAGCCTGCACTTACAATCCATCTGAAGTCCTGTTAATTCAATCTTTAAAACTTCTGCCAAACCTGTCCATTTATTTATGTTTTTATTTACATGACCTGTCCAAGTCATCATCTTCTTTCTTATTCCTACCCTTGCCCCCTCCCCAATTCACTCCAATACTCAGCAGCCAAAGCAGTCTTTAAAGATATAAACTAGATGTCTCTCTTGCTGAAAAACCTCTCAATGATTTCCCATTGCTTTTACAATAAAATCCAAAATCCTTACCATGATTTGGTTGCCCTTATTCAGGCTATATGGACCCTTAATACCCTCCCATTCACCACACCATGAGAGCAGGTCATGCTCTTTCTCATTCATGGAATCCCAAGCATCTAGGACAGTACCTCATACACAGGAGACACACAATAAATGTTTGTTGAAAGAATGAGTAAGTGAGTGGCTTACAAGACCCTTCCTCGTCTGGTTTCTGTTTCCGCTGTTCTCTTTCTACTCCCCCATGTCACAATATATGTTCCATCAAATGCTAGGAGCAGAATGAGACTAGGCAATGTCTCTCTTACAAGCACTTTGAGTGGCAGCAGCAGAAATCAAGTGAGAGAACCCCAAGAGATAGCTGCAAACTCAATGAGAGAATAAAGAGTAATTAACTCTGCCGTCCTTCCTCCCTGAATGGACTTCTTGGGCGCCTCTCAGCTCACATCTTGAGGGTTTTTTTTTAATTTAGTAAAATATAAACAACATAAAATTCACCATTTTAGGCATACAATTCAATGGCACTATCTATTTCCAGAACTCTTTTATCTTCCTGATGTAGTTCAGATGTTGTCTCCTCTAAATCTCATGTGGAATTGTAATCCCCAGTGTTGGAGGCATGACCTGGTAGGAGGCGATTGAGTCACGAGGGCAAATCCCTCGTGGCTGGGTGCTGTCCTCATGATAGTAAGTGAGTTATCAGGAGATCTGGTTGTTTAAAAACATGTAGTACTTCCCTCCTCTACTCTATTTATTGCTCCCCCTCTTGCCATGTGACAGGCCTGCTCCCACTTCGTCATCTACCATGAATAAAACCTCCCTTAGACCTCTCCAAAAGCTGGACAAATGCCAGTGCCATGCTTCCTGTACAGCCTGCAGAACCATGAACCAATTAAATTGCTTTTCTTGATAAATGACCCAGTCTCAGGTATTTCTTTATAGCAATGCAAGAATGGCCTGATACACGTCTCAAACAGAAATTATGTATCCACCAAACAATCACTCCCCATTCTCCCCTCTTCTCAGCCTCTAGTAACCTCTATTCTATTTTCTGTCTCTTTGAATTTGTCTATTCTTGGCACCTCATATAAATGGAATCATACAATATTTGTCCTTTTGTGTCTGTCATCTTTCACTTAACATCATGTTTTTAAGGTTCATCTATGTCATAGCATATATCAGAATTCCACTCCTTTTTATGGCTGAATGATATTTGAGTTTGTTTTTAATTCATCTATCCAACAAATATTAATTGAGTAGTTTATCCACCCAAGCACTTTTCTAGATTCTATGGAGGGAGCAATAAGTGAAAGAGACAAAATTATTGCTTAGTTCTTACAAATAAACAAGTGAATATATACTATGTCAGATGGTGACAAGTGCTATAGAAAAAAAACTGTATTGCAGAGAGGAACTGTAGAGGAAGAAGAGATCTCAAAGGCAGAGTGGAATCATTCACGTAGTTCCTTGAGAACTAGAGTAAGGATTTTGGATTTTACTCTGAAATGAGAAGTCAATAGAAAGTCTGGAGCCGGGATGGGTGCAGTGGCTCACACCTGTAATCCCAGCCCTTTAGGAGGCCGAGGAGAGTGGATCACTTGAGAACAGGAGTTCAAGACCAGCCTGGCCAACATGATGAAACCCTGTCTCTACTAAAAATACAAAAAATTAGTTGGGCGTCATGGCACACACCTGTAATCCCAGCTACTAGGGAGGCTGAGGCATAAGAATTGCTTGAAGCCAGGCGGTAGAGGCTGCAGTGAGCCCGGTGATCCAACAAAGCAAGACTCCGTCTCAGAAAAAAGAAAAAAGAAAGAAAGTCTGCACCTGTAGAGTGACATTTTCAAGGATAACTGTTTTGAAGGATAACTTTGGCTTCGGTGTTGAGATGAGACTATGACAGGAAATATGGCAAACGGAAGGAGAAAGATCAGTGAAAGGTGTGCATTAGTCAAGGTTCCCCAGAGAATCAGAAGCAATAAGGGGTGTGTGTGTGTGTGTGTGTGTGTGTGTGTGTGTGCGCGCGCGTGTGCTTGCGTGCATCTGTGTGTTACATGGGGAGAGATATACTTTAAGGAATTGGCTCATGTAATTGTGGAGGGTGTCAAGTCTGAAATCTGTAGGGCAAGCCAGCAGGCTGGAAATTCAAGTAAGAGCTGATGTTGCAGTCTTCATTCTGAAGTCCACAGGACAGGACAGAACAGTTGGAAACTCAGTCAGCGTTTCCATGTTGCAATCTTGAGGCCAAATTCCTTTTGAGGTAGAATCTACTCCATGCCTCTTCTTAGCCTCTGGTGGTTTGCTGTCAATCTCTGGCATTTCTTGGGCAGTGGATGCATCAACCCAATTTCTGCCTTACATGGCATTCTCTCTGTGTGTATATCTGTGTCGAAATTTCCCCTTTGTATAAGGACACCAGTCATACTGGAATAGGGTGTCCTTCATCTTACTAATTACATCTGCTGCAATGCTATTTCCAAGTAAGGTCATATTCCAAGGTACTAGGGACTAGAATTTTAATATGTAAATTTTGGGAGGTGCAAGTCAACCTATAACACAGGGTAACAGCTGTGAATATGAAGTAGTTGGATTTGGCCAGAGAATTTTAAAAAGAGAGTCTGGGATACTCCAATGATGTTTTTCGCCTGAACAAAAATAGTTAAACTTCCCATTTGCTGAGCTGGTGAAGACTGCAAGAGGAGAAAGCTCGGAGAAGAATAACAAGGGTTCAGTTTTTTATGTAATAAGTTTTCAAAGCACCATCTCCAGCAGGGCATGGTGGCTCACACCTATAATCCCACCACTTTGTGAGGCCAAGGTGGGAGGATTACATGAGGTCAGAAGTTTGAGATCAGCCTGGCCAACATGGTGAAACCCCATCTCTACTAAAAATACAAAAATTAGCTGGGCATGGTGGCACATGCCTGTAGTCCCAGCTACTAAGGAGGCTGAGGCAGGAGAATCGCTTGAACCCAGGAGGTGGAGGTTGCAGTGAGCCGAGATCACACCACTGTACTCCAGCCTGGGCAGCAGAATAAGACTCTGTCAAAAAAAAAAAAAAAAAAAAACCAAAAAAACCAAAAAAACTAAAAAACACCATCTCCTACCCTAAGTCCCTTACTTGGCTAGTAATACCTATGGCGAGAACAGAGGACCCAGTTATCTCTGCAGAAGCAAGGCAGACAGAGCCTTTGAGTGTTTCCCTTCTCTAGACATACAAGTCATCTAAGTAGCTCTCATTTCTGGCCCACTCCACTTCCCTTTCCAGCCCCTCCTCCCTCGTTATCATTGCCTCCATTACACAACATTTCCTTATGACATCTCCATGTAAGCCTTAGGCATAAATACATTTTAAAAGTTATTAAAAGAATGGAACAAGTCAGAACTGATTATGAGCTGCAGAAATATTCTTTTTAAGAGTTGTATGTTCACAAGGAACATTAAGATTCTGAAGGAACCTTAATAATAGAAACATATTATGAAGAGTTGGGTTCACCTCAAGTTAATATTAACCTGTGACTCTAATAGCCAGGATCTGTTAGCTTATTTATATTGCCACCTTTCAATCTGCATAATTTATGGTCAATGCAGGGAAAGATTTGCCTTTATAGTTTTCACTGTCAGCTAGATTCTTCCATCCAAGTGGAAGAATTACATTTCCAAATAACAGAAAGTTAAAATGTATAATGTGACTAAACTACAGCAAAGTGGAACTTAAAAATAAAGTTCAGGAGAAAATAGGTCATTTCATAAAACTAACTTCAAATTCTATTTGAACTGTGACTTTAATTCTAAAGAGTCTCAGAAATTTTTGGTACAGGAGTCATTTATTCTGCTATGGATATTTCCTTTATGAAATGCTGCTATTTAAGCATGAATGAAAACCTTCCATTTGAAATGGGCAAGACATTGTTCATACGGATTTAGGCTGTGGCGATTTTCGTCTGCATAAAGGCACTCTGGTTGCTGTTCAGTAGCCAACATGATTGATTAGGGAAGTGGTGGTTCAATCAGAATAAAGTATTCCCCAAGTATTCTGGATCCCTAAGGACCAGTGCTTCCAGGAATACGGTACTGATGATTCCATTTTGTGGCTATTTTTTGACAGTCCTCAGACTGTCAAATAGAATCTGGCCTAAAAGGAGGACAAGGCTCTCTGAAGTGCAGCCCTTCGGGCAGCTGAAGGTCTTTCTGCAGATAACTTTTCTCAGATCGAATTTTTTGGCTACATTGATACTCTTCGGCTCTGTCCTTGCCAGAAGTTCGGAAGGATTCCAGCGCCCCACACCTTGCTTGATTCACCCTCATCCCCTCCCCTAACTGGAGAAGCCGCTGGGTCCCGCGCCAGGCTCGCGGTGGCTTCAGAGTAGCAGGGGAGCAGGCGGCTGATCCGGAGGCCAGTGTGGGGCCGGCAAGCGGTGACTGTCTCCAGAGGAGCAAAGGAGCCGAGTCTTGTTTTTCTTGGATCAGGTTTGGGACTTTTATTCTGTCTGACCATTTCCACCACTTGCCTCACAAGAGTCTCTGTCTCGAAGCACAGGACCGAAGCAAAATGCCTAATGAAGCGTGCCTGAGGAAGGGGCAGGGGCTTGCAAGTGACTTGGGAAGAAGGACTGGGGCGAAGGGAGAAAGGAGGTTACGAGTTCGCACGTTCTCACAAAACCATTTGAAAACATGAGCTGGAGACGCCAAATTCTGGGACCCACGAAAGGCTTTGGAGCTCGCTCGGGCTCCTCGAAGTTGGGCGTGCGTCGCAGAACAGTGCTGGGCGCTCTCTTTCAGCATTTTCGGCTTTTTTCAAGCCCTTGCGTAGGGTCGGGAAGGCCGTGGGTGGGCTCAGTCAGGCTTTAGGTCGCCAGGAACCCGGCTGGTCCTCTCTCGACTTCTTAGCGTGGGGTCCCGCCGGCCCTGCCGCCCGTGGCCGCCGAAGTTCCCGCCCTCGCCGAGGGCCCTCGCTCCGGAGTGGGGCGCAGACGCGGCCGCCGGCCCGCAGTCCCCCGCAGGTGCCGCCCAGGACTAGCTGCCCGGCGGAGGCCGAGCACGCTTGGCGGCAGCTGAGCCTCCACCCCAAGCCCCAGCCGGAGGGGCGCGTCCCCTGTCCTCCTCCCGAGCGAGACGAACGCTCAGCAGCTCGTTCCCTGGGCGCCAAGACCGATTTCCAAGTCGCCCACTTTCCCCCTCGAGGGAGCTGTTGGCGCTTCTCCAGAAGCCTCCTCGGCTCCCAGCTCCAGCCCCTAAAATAAAAGCACCTTGCCAGAGAGCGGGGGAGGGGAGCAGCTGAACGAGGAGAATGAAAATACTGGGAGAACGACCCCATTCTCCAGGAAAAGGTAATGAGGGGAAGTGAAACAGTGTGAACTTACTCGGAAATGCAAACCGAGTTCAACTCACCCAGGAGCAAACAAACGACAGCAAGACAAATCAGCCACCGCACTCGCGGCTTCCCAGAAAGGGCCTCATGAATGAGAATGGGTTGCTAGGTTTCCTTCCCTCTCTCCTGACAATCGCTTCCCACAAGACTTCCACCGCCGAAAGAATACAGGCCGGGCCTGGTGACTGCGGAGTGAGGGAACCGCGCCAGGCCCACGAGGCCGCTCGCGACCGCTCCCGCCTTCAGGACCCTGGAGAGCGGCCGCCGCGCCCCTGGGACCCACGCCCAACCCAGAACACCCGCGCTCGCCTCCCGCGCCTCACCACCCCAGCACTTTATTCGCTGCTTCCCGCCTCCACCTTCATTTTTTTTGGCAACCACCGCTCTTGTTTTTCACAGACAGATTAAATTGTTTTTTGTTTGGCATGAGGGGGTGTTTGGATTGGCCGAGCTACATTCCGGTTTGTAACTACACTAAACGTTAGTGTACCAAGAAACTAAGAGCGTCTCAAAGATGACAGTCTGAACGTGGCAGGTGACCTTAAAAAGCCACTGAGTTCAACCCCTTTATAAATGAACTCAAAAAATAAAGAGACATTCCCAAGGTTAGCCATTAAGTTAGTGGCAAGGTTGAGTGTAGAACCGTGGGTTTCTGACTTCTAAACTAGTGCTTCCCTCCACTTTCCAAAAGAAAAAAAATATCTCATTGCTTAGGTCTCCTAAGCAACAAGTGGAAGGTGGAAAGGCCGGTGTTCCCGGGAATAAGAAGGACACATGGAGTTTGGAAAGGAGGTCTGCAGAGGGTTCACTTGTAGTAGCAGCCCTAACATGGAATCCCGGTGTCCCCAGCTCCACGCAACATACCTACAGCCGCACTGGCCAGTCCCTTTTTCCAACCAGCCTGTGGAGGGTCTGAGGCCCTTCAGCCACCTTCAGCCACTATCTGGACCTTCCATAGACAACAATCCCAATAGAATCTAGTAGCCAAGGCCAACTCTGTGCCTCTGGCAGGCAGAGCCCTGGGCACTTAGGGAGATGGGAAAGGGCAGGGGGAACAAGGGAAGACCAGAGAAGGGAGGGGAAGAGCAACAGTTACAAAAGTGAACTAAGATTTTCATCCAAATTCTGAAGAACCAGGCGATGTGAACACAGACCCTTCTGCATACCGCATGTCACATTCAGCGCGCATGGTAGTCCCCTGGGAATGTTACCATGCAGATTCCGATGCATTGGCTGGGTGGGGCTCAAGAGTCTTTATTTCTAACAAGCTCCTAGGTGTTGGCGAAGCTGCTGGCCTACGGACCACACTTCAAGTAGCACGGAGTTAGGAAATACAGGAGTGGGAGGGGAAAGAATCTAACTATAGGCCTTTCCTTCTGCTTTCACCGACCTTCTCTTGCACCCCCAAAGTAACGCTTCAAAATTCTGTAGTAAAGAGCCCCATCTAAGCGGCCGGACACCACAGTAACCGTATGCTGGTTTTGTTTCTCTCTCCCCACCCCAGTCCTTCCCGCCTGCACAGCTCCCAGACTCGCCCGCCGCCCCGAAGCTGTTCGGCCTCCTTTCTAGCCCGCTTTCCAGCCTCGCAAGGTTCTTCTCTCACCTTCTCCGGCGACCCCCTCCCGAGGCTCCCCGGAGGCGCCTGGACTTCTCCCCCCTGCTTCCCGCCCTGCCGGCCGCCCGGCTCTCGAGGGGGCACGAGGAGCTGCCGGGCCGCCTCTCGCTCCTGCTCGGGGCGGCGCTGGCACTGCCCGGCCGACCCTCGGGGGGTCGTCCGCTGAGGCCCCCCCATCCGGTAGCCAAGCCCAGGGAAGAAGACGCCACCGCTGGGCAGAGCTCGCCTATGCCGGTGAGTACCGTGGTCTCCACTACGCCCCACACCCAGCCTCCCCAGGACACCAGCCTCTCCCGATTCTTCCTAACCCCAACTGACCCGCTCCGCTGGGGCTAGCAGTAGGGAGGGTGGCAAGGTCGGGAAGGCCGGGACGTGGCTGGGCAAGTCCTAGGACGGGACATTGGCGGCTCCCGGGACACCGCCCCTCCCCGCGGGAAGACACTCCAAGCTACTTTTTCCTGGGCCATTTCCTTTCCATGGTCCAAGAAAACGGGAGGGAGCCCTCGCTCTTCCCCGAGGCTGCCTTTCAAACTCTCAGCGTGTCGCTCTCCTCCGCCTACTCCGAGCCTCCCCCAAACGCGCCTCCGCCTGCTCCCAGCGCTCGCTCTCCCACTCCCCTGCCCTCTCGGCAGGCAAGGGAGGAAATGACGTGATGTTATTTTTGTGTCAGGTCAGTTTCCAGCTTCAGCTTAGCCCTCCGGGCTCCAGGGAACTAACCCCGCGGCCCCACCGGGTCCCACTCCCGAAGGGACGCTGCGGGCTACGGGGACACGCGGTGCTGCGAGTCCGGAGAGCTGGGCGGCTGGGTTCCCCCTCCCGCTGCCCCCTGGTCTACTCCTTTCCCCGGACTCCGGAGTCCCTGGAGAAGGGGACGCGGAGGGCGACTGCCGAGGGTCTCAGCGGGATCTGGAGTCAGGGGTTAGTTCCCCCCCTTATCCCCCGCTCGGTTGCTGGGTGGGGCCTCCGCGCTCTGGCTAGCTGGGAGGGGGCGAGGGCCGCTTTCCAGGGCGGGAAGACCGGAGGCCTAGGCTGCGCCGGGGTGGGGCGGGGACAGAGCTCAGAGAGGCGCCCCGGGCCGGGGAGAAGGTAGGGGGCTGCCCTCCAGAGACGCGCAGTCCACAGACGCGAAGCTCTGGGGACCAAGCGCCCCCTCCATGCCTGCCGCCCACCCCCGCTCCTTCCTCCCGCTCCCTTCATTCACGAGGTCCGAGCACGCAGTCCAGCACACTCTAGTCTCGCTCGGCCCCGCGCGCCGAGGGGAGGCGATGACACAGAGGGCTTCGCGGACGCCCTCTACGCGCGCCTGGCTTCGCATCCACACTCTTGGGACTTGCTAATGCGGGGCTGGAGCAGTGGGGCTGCGGCCGGGGTGGAGGTCGCGCCCCGCGTGGGGCCTCGGGGGTACCCCTAGCACCCGCGGCGGTGGAGTGCGCCGCCGCTGGAGGGAGGCGAGACGTGGGATTGCCCGGCCGGGTAAAAGGAGTGAGGGGGCGGGGAGGAGGCAGAGCAAGGGGAGGAAGAGGCCGGGAGAAGAGGGCTAGAGCAAAGACCGAGAGCCGGAGAAAGGCGAAAGGCGCGGTGAGCAATCGCCGACGTAGAGAGGGCAGCCCTCCGCGCTGCAATATTGAGAAGGCACCCGCGGGACGCATGCGCACGGCGGACGGAGGCGAGCCGGCCGGGGCTTCCTCCCCGGCCGGCAGGGTGGACGGTGGGCTCGTGAGTATCCCAGTTCCTCGAACTCTCTTTCTTCGTCTCGGGCTCGCCCTGAGGCTTCGTGCTGGAAAGTGGCCGAGGCTGGGAGGGGCGCGCCGCTCGTCCGGACCTCAGGGTGTCGCCGTTGCTGCGGGGCGGGAGCCGGTGCGAGTCGGGGGTTCCTTCCCGCAGTGCGAGTTTGGGGGAGTGGGGCTGCGAGTGCGTCCGCGTGCGAAGAGGGGCATCGCGCCACCAGGATCAATATGTCCCGGGCCTGCCAGGGCGTCCGCGATTCCACCTCTGCGGCTTCGCGTCGGTGTCTTGGTGGGGAACGCGGGAGTCTAGTCTTTAGACCCTAGAAATCGCATTGACCACCCGAAGCGTATTTCGGAAAGACCAGGCGGGTGGAAGCGTCGGCTTTCTCACGGGATAGGGAGAGGACAAGGAAGGGGTTGGGCGCCCGGGGCTGGTGGTTTGAGCGCCGCTGGGAAGGGTAAGGAGACAGAGCCTCCTGGAATCGTAGCGCCTCCTTTTAGGAGAAGTGCAACCAGGGCAGGGGCACCGAGGGGCAGGGTGAGGAAGTGGACGCCCCACGCGTGGACCCTAGAAGACCGACTAGGTATGGGCGTTCACTCGGAGCCTCTGTTCACGCTCTTGAAAACCGAATGAACAGAGAAGTGCCCTCCACCCTTCGCCTGCGCCAGGGCAGTTAACGTGCAGGCGCCGCCGGGATTTTCCTGGAACAAACCCGGGCACTTGATCTTCCGCACCCTCGGAGCTGCCCTGGGAAGTCGAAACAAGTCTGGGCGCCCGGACTGCGGAGACTGGAAAGCAGGGGGCGGAGGGCGGGAGACTGGGGGCGGGAAGTGGAGGTGCAGGCTGCAGCTGGGGACCGCGGTGGGCGTTGGAGGGGAGGGTCTGTGTGCGCGGCTGTCCTCCAGCGCTGGGGGAGCGGACGGGCCAGGGGCCTCTAGGGAAGCGGCGCTCCGGGACCGGGGTGGCTTTCCCGTCTCTGTGTGCGCGGCGATCCCCACACCCAGCTCGGGCGGAGGAGCCCTGAGAGAAGCGGCTAGCTGAGAGTGGGGTGGGCGTTTTGGGGAAAGGTTTGCGTGCGCTGCGGCCCTACCGCTGCTAGAGAAGTGGAAGAGAGAGAGTGGGCGCCGGGAGGGGGTCTATAGGCGCCGCGACCTACCCCATCTCCCTCCACGCTTGTGGGGGAGTGAGTGGGGAAGGGGCTTTGGGAGAGGCGGCGCGCGGGCACTGAGGTGCATCGTGAGCTTCCCGGACTTGACAGCATCAAAGGAAAATCCTGGCGAGCAGCCAGGGCCAGCGAGCGACCCCAGCAGCAGGGACGCGGCCGTGCGAGAGCTCGCGGACAGGCGAGGGGGATCCCAGGGGAGCAGCTGCTGCCCACGGGCCACGGGCGATGCACGGAGTGGAGAAGTGAACGTGGTCTACAGGATTTCTGTCCGGAAGGTGGAGAGCGCTACAGGGGAATCTCCTCGATTCCTGTCCGTCTCGTAACTTGGCAAAAGCTCGCGCCACTGCCCTCCGGCCTGGGCGACAGAGCAAGACTCCGTCTCAAAAAAAAAAAAAAAAAATGGCAAAAGCCTATCGCTCTTTGTCGAACTCCCCACGTTCCCCAGTCACCTGGCTGGGGTTCGTTGGTGTCAAAACCCCAGCCTTGGTGCCCTCGGTGCCAGCAGGACCCTCGCCCACTGGCTAGCGGAATTAGGCACCTGCACGCGGGCTCCTCATTGCCCCGGAGTGTGGGGAGGAAGGGGCTTCTGCATCAGTCTCCAGCCACCCTCCTTGGGACACAAGTGGCAGGGCCCTGGCGTGGCTTGGCTTCATTTCATCCCTAGTGGCTCCAAACCGTGGAATTGACTAAACAAATGTTCAAATTCGCAAAACGGTCTGACTTCCGCCCCAAACTTGACAAGGACATTTCTAGTGAAATTACTCTATCTGTAAGTTTTTTGGCACAACCATAGTTTGCAATTTACTATTTTTGTTAAAATATTTTTTCTCCAAACCTAATTTTTTTGGGGGTCTCATCCTGTTTATCTTCTGTTCGTTAAGTGACATCTTTCTTTCTTTTTTTTTTTTCTTTGAGACTGAGTTTCGCTCTTGTGGCCCAGGCTGGAGTGCAATGGCGCGATCTCGGCTCACTGCAACCTCCGCCTCCTGGGTTCAAGAGATTTTCCTGCCTCAGCCTCCCAAGTAGCTGGGGCTGGGATTACAGGCATGCGCCACCACTCCCGGCTAATTTTTTGTATTTTTAGTGGAGACGGGGTTTCTCCATGTTGGTCAGGCTGGTCTTGAACTCCCGGCCTCAGGTGATCCGCCTGCCTCCGCCTCCCAAAGTTCTGGGATTACAGGAGTGAGCCACTGCGCCTGGCCATAAGTGACATCTTTCTTATCACGTATTAGTAACGCATATGAGAGGCAGTGTTGCCAAACCAGTGGGAGTCTTGAGCTCTGTAACTGGGTTCAGATCCCAACCTAACTGCATAAACTTGGACTAGTTACTTATCCTCTCTGGGCGTTAGTTTCATCATCTGTGAAATGGGGGTAATAAGAGCACCTACCTCGGCAGCTCAGCAGAGCACGGTGGCTCACTCCTGTAATCTCAGCACTTTGGGAGGCCGAGGCAGGTGGATCACGTGAGGTCAGGAGTTCTAGGCCAGCCTGGCCAACATGGTGAAACCCCATCTCTACTAAAAATACAAAAAATTAGCCGGGTGTGGTTGCTGGCGCCTGTAATCCCAGTTACTCTGGGGGCTGAGGCAGGAGAATTGCTTGAACTCAGGAGGCAGAGGTTGCAGTGAGCCGAGATGGAGCCACTGCACTCCAGCCTGGGCAACAAGAGCAAAACTCCGTCTCAAAAAAAAAAAAAGAGTATCTACCTAATGTGCTAGCTGACAGCATTCAGTAAATTAATAACATAGAGCTCTTATAACGGGATGGCACATACCAAGCAAAAGCTGTTATTACTATTATTATATTGATGCTAAATTGGCTAGACTTCAAACTATAAATAAGATCAGTAACAGAATGCATATTTTTGTATACTATAAAGAGTATGCATAATGAAACACATGTCCATCATCCAAATTAGAAAAACAGTCTTTTTTTTTTTTTTTTTTTTTTGATGCTGGGTCTCACTCTCTCACCCAGGCTGGAGTGCAGTGGCACGACTGAGGCCCACTGCACCCTTGAACTCCCAGATTCAAAGGATCCTCCCACCTCAGCCTCAGGAGTAGCTGAGACTTAAGGTGCCTGCCACCGCACCTGGCTAATTTTTTAATTTTTTATAGAGACAGGATCTCGCTGTGTTGCCAGGGCTGATGAACAGCCAGTTTAAGAGAATCTGAAAATGTACCTTAGGAGCTTGAAGTGCTAACTTGTCTGAGATCACTGTAAACGTTTTAGCTGAAACACCCCTTATATCAAAAATACAGAATGATGAAAATCAGGTTACTTATTCTACCTCCTTCGTTTTACAGATGAGGAAACATTCAGAGAGGTTAAGGGTCTGGGCCAGAGATCTCCAGCTAATTAGGGGCCAAAATAGAATGAAGACTTCTGACTCATTCCCCAGGGCTCTTACACACCACACTGCTGATTTCCTGTTTACTACGGATTAATGAACTGTTAACAGATAGAAAGTATAAATAAGGAAAAAGTGTACGAGCATGTGCTATCTCTAGCACCAAGAAGGACCAGGCAGTCATGTCGTGGCTACTGTTGTCCCACAGCTTTATCTTGGTCCCTCACATTATAAGACATGACCACATGACTCGCCTCAGGTAAGGTAAGGTCACAGATCAAGCTATTGTCAGAGCCAGCATTAGCATTTTAGGCCCCACTTGGGTATACATTTGATTGCATATTCTATTAATCTCCTGTAGCAGTTTTAGAAATCATTTTTGAGCTTTTCTTGAATTCTTAAAATATCCTTCCAGCTGGCTTTGAAGGTCTTTCCTATAAGAAAGCCTTTTAGAAAACGCCTTCAAAATTACACAGAAGGAGATTTTATTATTCTAGATTTTATGGACTAGCGAGAGTAAAAGAGAAAAGCTTTCTTATTTTAATGCAGTAGCCTGTAACTGGTTTCATTCCAGGCATTAAGTATTAATTCCTGAAATCCTGCTGTTCTTTTATTTCCGCATGTGGGCATCTAACCACATTCACCTTCCATGGACAGATGCAGATAGTGGCTTAAAGGTCCAGCCCTCACATCCACAGTTTAAGAATTATACAGCAGAGGCCGGGCGCGGTGGCTCACGCCTGTAATCCCAGCACTTTGGGAGGCCGAGGCGGGTGGATCACGAGGTCAGGACATCGAGACCATCCTGGCTAATGCGGTGAAACCCCGTCTCTACTAAAAAATACAAAAAATTAGCTGGGCGTATTAGCGGGCGTCTGTAGTACCAGCTACTCGGGAGGCTGAAGCAGGAGAATGGCATGAACCTGGGAGGCGGGGCTTGCAGTGACCCGAGATTGCGCCACTGCACTCCAGTCTGGGCGACAGAGGGAGACTCCGTCTCAAAAAAAAAAATGAATTATACGGCAGAGACTTTCTAGTGAACATCTGGTCTTACAAAGTTATTTATAGGGATGGTGTGTCTTCCAGGGGAGGTACTTCTAGGAATTATGCCTGCATCCTTGAAAAAGGAAACCGTGGTTTTTTCCAGTGTGTGAACTGGATACTGAGTATCTTACTCTTTTTTTTTTTTTTTTTTTTTTGACTCCAAGAAACCTCTTGCATGAATACCCTACTCTTGAATACTTTGCATCTTGGGATACTTACTACATGTTCTTAGACAGAAGGACAGGGCATTAAGAAGGGAGTGACTTTCTAGCATGCTCCCAAGCCAGTTTGGCAGAACTTAGTTTTGAAATCACATGTGTCAAGTTAGGTCCCAATATGATTATAATGTGAATCACTGTCCAATTGGGAATATTTCAGATTGGTTTTCAGTGCACCACCAGGTGACTCACAATGTGAGCTTCTATTCAAACAAGTACAGTGTCAGTCAGCAACTAATAGGGCTCACTCTGAGTCAGAGCTTAGCATTTAGTACAATAAGTGGGAGTCACTGACTACACGGCACCATCTGAGATGGTCCCTGAATGTTACTTTGCGCAGCTAGCTCAAGAGTTAAGGCGACGCTGCTTGGAGTGAGTCAGTTCATAGTACAATTGAATGGGCTCTTGGAGAGGCCATTCACAATCAAGTTTGATGTGGCTGAGTGCTCAGAGTAATATTACATGATTATAAATTCATGGAGTAGATTACCTTGATTCTAATCCAGCTGATTAGAGTCTAGCTATTTGCATAGGGAATCACTTGTGAAATATGAGTAATATGCTCTGTTGCCCAGCAGTGATATTTTACATGAGTTATTTCAATAGTTATTAAAGCCAGTTGACCTTTTTGATTTTGAAAGCTCAATTTCTAGTTACGCATTTATTTTATTCTAAAGTGTAAAATCCTTTTCATGTGAGCATTTGGGTTTTAGGCAAAGGCATCTCATGCAAAGTTATCTGATAGCTTGGCTTCCTGAGGTGCTGGGTTGTACGATGTGCACCTCCGTCCAACAGTGAAGGAGTGGAGAACGCCCTGCTATCTGGTTTGTCTACATTTGTGCCCCTCTGAAGCTGACTGAATTGTGGTTGTTCAAGGCTGGAGCACAAGTTTGTACTGCTGCTCTTAGACTAAGGACACTGGGGACTTTAACCCTTTTAGGGCTGAATGGCTAGAATCAACACTTATACAGCTGTTGAATTTTTGCAACATTGGAAAGAATTATGTAACCTACTCCTTACCTCACCCTTATAATGGACTTTTATGTCTCAGGGTGGGGTGATAATGTGATTTAAGGGACTCGTAGATTTCTTTCTTTCTTTCTTTTCATGTCTTTTATTAACTAATACACAATTACTTGTCTTCTGGTTTGTTGAAGCAATAAATCAGACAACATTAGCCACAATAATGCCTGTCAGAGTGGCTGGCCATAAAAACTCCAGCACCGCATTCATCTGAAGGGCACTCCCAGCGAAGGCCACTAATTCTGCCATTTTCATCCACCTTATAGTATTTCAGGACACCCACTTCACCTTCTTTCTCTTATGCTTATTCTTGGGAGTCGTGTAAGATTTCTTCCTAGTTTTAGCACTACCATGAAGTCTCAACACAACATAAAAAGAGTAAATTCCTTTTGAATGTTGTAGTCAGAGAAAGTTATGTCCATCTTCCAGTTACTTGCCAGCTTCCAGTCACTTGTCTTTGCTGATCAGGAGGAATTCGTTCCTTATCCTGGATATTGGCCTTTACATTTTTCTGTTGTATCCAAGGGTTCAACCTCTAGGGTGATGATCGTCCCTGTAAGGATTTTTGGAAAAATCTGCATTTTGGTGGAGGCTCCACCTGAGGTTGAGGGAAATGAAGAGATGGGTTAGACTGTGGACACAAGAGAGGTGACACAGGAGAGGGTGCTGGCCAGAGAGCAGCCCAAGAGCACACGCCCATAGATTTCTTAATTTGTATAAAAGTCATGTTGATAATTAATGACAGGAAGTCATTATCCAGAGAACTCAGATTAGACTACTGTTAAAAAGTACATGTGGCCAGGCGTGGTGGCTCACGCCTGTAATTCCCACACTTTAGGAGGCCAAGACGGGTGGATCACTTGAGCCCAGGAGTTCCAGACCAGCCTGGGCAACATAGTGAAACCCCGTCTCTTTAAAAAATGCAAAAAATTAGCTGGGTGTGGTGGTGCACACCTGTAGTCCCAGCTACTTGGGAGGCTGAGGCTGGAGAATCACCTGAGCCTGGGGACACTGAGGTTGCAGTGGGCCATGATCTTGCCTCTGCCCTCCAGCCTGGGCAACAGAGTGAGACCCTGACTTAAAAAAAAAAAAGGTATATGTATATTTTTCTCTATTCATCTTTTGATGACTCCAGAAGAATCTTACATGTATGGGGTCTTCCATTATACATTCATTGTGTTTTTACAAATACTTATTTCTAGTGACTACCCAGATATAATTCATATATCTCCTGCCATAAAGAAAGGTATAGATATTTCTTTGCATTTAAGGGGGACTTTACATACAGAGTTTAATTCTTCCTGACCTACTATAATCCCCGCAAATTTCAGTTGTTAGGACTGTTTAATGAATTAGAGTATTTCTAAAACTGAAACAAAGTTTTTCTGTGTTTGTTAGGTTTCAGTGAGGAGCTATTTGGTATTTTTGTGAGGTTTATGACAGCTTTTAACTTCATTTACTTGAGTTATAACTTACAGTAAAGTTTACACATCTTAAGAGTACAGCTTAGTAAACTTTATGTAAGTGTACCCCCACAGAACCACCATTTAGATCAGGGTTTCTCACCTCAGCACTGTGGAAATTTGGGGTTGAACAACTCCTTATTGAGGGGGGCTGTCCATTGCCCTGTAGGATGTTTAGCAGTATCCCTGATCTCCACCCACTGCATGATGCAGTAGCGCCCCTCCCTGGATGCCATGACCAAAAATGTCTCTAGACATTGCCAAGCGTCCTCTGGGGCCAAAATCACTCACCACGGCTCTAGATGAAGATATAGGATATTTTCAGCCCCCCGTGCTCTCCCAAAGATTCCGTCTCGCTTCCTTCCATTCAGGACTCACTCCCACAGGTAACCACTTTTATAACTTTTTTCACCATATACCAATTGTGCCTGCTTTTAAACTTCATATGTAATTAAACAGTGTATAATATTTGCATCTGGTTCTTTAGCTCAGCATTATGTTTTTGAGATTCATTTGTTGTTGTACGTGTTGTTATTTTTTAATGCTGTGCAGCGTTCCTTTGTGTGAATACACCACAGTGTATTCCATTCCACTACTGAAGAAATTTTAGTTGTTTCCAGTGTGGAGCTATTATGAATAATGCTAATATGAACATTCTCATTCATGTCTTTTGATGAACTTATTTCCTTTGGGTATATGCCCAGGATAAAAATTGTTGGGTAATAAGTCCAGTGTATGTTTAGCTTTAGTAGATACTGCAAAACTGTTTCATAGTCCAAATCAGTTTACATCCATCCCCACCAGCAAAGTGTGTATTGCTTCACATCCTCACCAGTACTTAGTATTGTTTGCCCATTTAACTTTAGTCATTCTGGTGGCTGTGTAGTGGTATCTCATTATGGTTTTAATTTGTATTTCCCTGGCTACTAATGATGTTAAGCATCTTCTTATATGTTTTTGGGTCAAGTCATTTGTATATTTTCTATTTAAAATGCCTCTACAAGCCTTTGGCCCATTTTTCTTTTTCTTTCTTTCTTTCTCTCTCTCTCTCTTTTTTTTTTTTTTTTTTTTTTTTTTTTTTTTTTTTTTTGAGACAGGGTCTCACTCTGTTGCCCAGGCTGGAAGGCAGTGGCACAATTAGCCGTGAAGCTGAGACTATAGGTGTCCACCACCACACTCAACTAATTTTTTTATTTTGGATATTGGGAAGGGGTAGAGATGGGGTTTCACCATGTTGCCCAGGCTGGTCTTGAACTTCTGTTTGGCCCATTTTTCTATTGTGCCGCTGATCTTTTATTATTGTTATTATTGATCTGTCACAGTTCTTTATATATTCTGGATACAAGCCATCTGTCAAAATTCTGTGTGTGTGTGTGTGTGTGTGTGTGTGTGTGTGCACGTGCTGCAAATCTCTTCTTCCAGTCTGGCCTGCCTTTACACTCTCATTCCATTATCTTTTGACTTTCCTAGTTTCTGTTGGAAAGTTATGCTTCTTTGAAGGTAGCCTGTTGTTATCCTCATAAAGTTTTTCTCTCATTTTTGACTTACCACAGTGAATATAATGTGCCTATATGTGGTTTTCATTTTATTTATTCTCCTTTGGGTTAACTGAGCTTCTTTTATCTGTGGATTGACGTCTTTCATCAACTTTGGAAAATTTTCACTCAATATCTCTTCAAATATGGCTTTGTCTGGTTTTCTTTCTTTCTCTCCTGCTTCTGGGACCCAAATCACAGATATGTTGGCCTTTTTCCTTCATGTCTCTTATTGTCTGATCTGTTTTGTTCATTTCGCATATCTTTCTGCTTCAATTTGAATATTTTCTGTTGACCTGTGTTTTAGTTAATTAAGCTGTCTTCCTCTGTGCCTGAGTCTTCTGTCAAATCATCTAGTGAGTTATTAATTTCAGAACTTGTTTTCTTCTAAATGTAGTATGCCAATTTGATTCATTTTAATACATTTAAATTATCTGATGAAATTTCCCATCTTTTCATCAGTTTAGTCCATCTAATTCTTATCTACTAAATCCAATGAGATCATCTGTGTGCCTGTATCCATTTTTTTATTCATCACATTTTTATCTCTCTTCACATATCTAGTAATTTTTATTATATGTAGACATTGTATATAAAGAAACTGTGTAGGTTCTGGTAATTTCTTCCACCAGCAAGGATTGAATCTCCCTTGGAGGGATTTCCTGTCTAAGGATGAAGGACTGAAGGGCTGATCACTTCAGGCCAGCAGGTATTAGAATGGGTCAGATCTGGTAACAGTTTTGGGGGTTTTTTTGTTTTGACATGGAATCTCCCTCTGTCACCCCTAGAATGGAGTACATTGGCACCATTATAACCTAGAATTCCTGGGCTCAAGCAGTCCTCCCACTTCAACCTCCTGAGTAGCTGGGATTACAGGCACTTGCCAATTCACCTGACCATTTTTTACAAATGTTTTGTAGAGATGGGGTCTCGCTATGTTACCCAGACTGGTGGCTGCAGTTTTAATAAGATTTAGCTAATGCCCAGTTCTTTCTTGTTCCTTGGGAATTTTCTCTTGGATTCCAGAATGAAAGCCTGATGGACTTCTATCTCCTTGGTCTCAAAAGAATGGAAGACTCAGTCTTGCCTTCAGAGGTTTTAAGTTTGTTCTTTGCCTCCACCTTCCCCATATGGCCGCCACATTTGATAAATGTCTTGTAGGACCCAGCCATGTGTTTGAGGAAGTCCTTGTTACTGAAGGGGACTTGTTCTGCCACATGAGAAAAGAGTCCCTTTATGTCCACAGCTTGTGCTAACGGTCAGCAAAAGCCCTCAGGAAAAAAACAGCTAGTGACAGACAGCTCAGCTTGGAAGAACTCTCTTACTCAGAAATTTTAGTTTATATAATATTTTTGCTTTCACAGTTCTCTGATGACTTTAGAAATGTAATTTCACTTATTTATCTGAGTTTTTTAGTTGTTGCATAAGAATAGTGATTTGGGCCAGGCGCAGTGGCTCATGCCTTTAATCCCAGCACTTTGGGAGGCCAAGGTGGGTGGATCACTTGAGGTCAGGATTTCGAGACCAGCCTGGCCAACATAGCAAAACCTCATCTCTACTAAAAATGCAAAAAAATTAGCCAGGTGTGGTGGCGTGTGCCTGTAGTCCCAGCTACTCAGGAGGCTGAGGCAGGAGAATCGCTTGAACCCGGGAGGCAGAGATTGCAGTGAGCCAAGATCATGCCAGTGCACTCTAGCCTGGGTGACAGAGCAGGATTCTGTCTAAAAAAAAAAGTGATCTGCCTTGACCTATTGACATTTTTCTTGAATTAATTTTCTGTGTATTACATTGTTATCTTTCTTTTATATCATTTGTTTCCAATGTAATTCAGAAAATGTGTATTTAAAAATTTGCCATTTGTGAGTGTAAAATGTAATACATGTTTTGTCAGTTTGAAAACACTGGAAAGAAAAGAAGTATGTTATAATTTTTGCAACTTTTTTTTTTTGGTCAGTCCCTTCATCTAGGCAGCCTAGGCCCAGATTTTTTTTTAAATTATTATTATTATTACACTTTAAGTTTTAGGGTACATGTGCACAATGTGCAGGTTAGTTACATATGTATACATGTGCCATGCTGGTGTGCTGCACCCATTAACTCGTCATTTAGCATTAGGTATATCTCCTAATGCTATCCCTCCCCTCTCCCCACACCCCACAACAGTCCCCGGAGTGTGATGTTCCCCTTCCTGTGTCCATGTGTTCTCATTGTTCAGTTCCCACCTATGAGTGAGAACATGCGGTGTTTGGTTTTTTGTCCTTGTGATAGTTTACTGAGAATGATGATTTCCAGTTTCATCCATGTCCCTACAAAGGACACGAACTCATCATTTTTTATGGCTGCATAGTATTCCATGGTGTATATGTGCCACATTTTCTTAATCCAGTCTATCATTGTTGGACATTTGGGTTGGTTCCAAGTCTTTGCTATTGTGAATAGTGCCGCAATAAACATACATGTGCATGTGTCTTTATAGCAGCATGATTACACTGTTGGTGGGACTGTAAACTAGTTCAACCATTGTGGAAGTCAGTGTGGCGATTCCTCAGGGATCTAGAACTAGAAATACCATTTGACCCAGCCATCCCATTATTGGGTATATACCCAAAGGACTATAAATCATGCAACTCTTTATGCTTCAGATTGCAGTTATGTAATGTAAAAAGCATGAGTATTGGAATGAAAGAGAACTAGGCTCAAACTTTGACTTTGATCATTAGTTTTGTGAGCCTCTGAATTTGAATGTGTATAGCAGTGATAAGAATACTTGCTTTAACGTAATACATGTACAGCAGAGGGTTCAAGAGAGTATCAGTAAGTGGTACCTCTTGCCAATATTCTCCTAATATTTATCATTATTTTAAGCCCCTGACCATGTATAATTTGATTTTAAACATTTATATTTTGATATATTTCTATTTGGTACAGTTTCTAAAATTTTCACCATTTGAACAATGTTCTTTTAAAAAAACTTAATATAAAAGACCTGTACCATGACTTAATATCCAGGAAAAATATTACTAATAAGTTTATGAATTCATATTTGGCCTAATCTTTGTCACTTGTAGACCCCCAAAAAATGACCTCCTGAAACTGAAGAATTTAGATAAAATTTAGTTGCAGAAAGAATTGCATTCAGAATAGTCACTCTCAGTAAAATCCACATTTAACTACTTCGTGTTATATCAAGTAGGGCTTATAATAAGATATTGGCAATAAGAAAACAATATTAAAAAATATTAAGAAAAGGCTAACAGTATTTTCTGGAAAGAATAGCTGGTTGACCTTTGCAGAGGAAAGTCTATGTGGAGACTGTAATTTTAACATTATCTCCATGAATGATTTAAATATAATTAATTTTCATATTAGATTTCCTGTTGCCAAGTTGCTCTTTTATTTTGACTATGGCATTTGCTTCTTGAAAAAAAAATACTATATTAATATATAGAAATAGTTAGATTCTACTCTAAAGCTGAGATGAAAATAGTAAACCTGGAGGCGGAGTAGCAGGACTCTCCTGACCTGGGCCAGGAGGACAGCACTGATGTGTGTGTCCCCAAGGCCTTGGACTTATCTCAGTCTCACCTGTCATCTCACTCTTATTATCTCAGCCTTTAGTTCCTTACTTTGATGACAGCCAGCTTCAGTGACAGCCGGCTTTGCTCTCTGACCTCCGTATTCTGAGGACTGCTCTCCTTACCATTTGTGGGCAGATTTAAGTCAAAGCATAAGAGTGAGGGGATCTAGTTATGCAACAACCTGAAATTTATCAAATTCTCACTAGAGCTAAGTTTTTGCCAAACACATAAGTTGCCTTCGGCCCCTTGAGTGACTGGTTAGGCAGTGCTGTTCTTTTGGCAAAATGAAATACTTATTAACAAAAACACCAGAACATCATAACCAGACCACATAGAATAAATTTGGCTTAAAGGATGAAAGAGTACTAAGAAGTATAAAAAGGATAAAATTATGCAAAATCTAGTAAAGCGAAAAACTCACCCGAGCATGTTAAACAAATGTCATAAACTAAACAAAAGGCTTTATTTCTTTTCTTTATCTTCTAGTGATCTGTGTTCAAAATCATAAAGGCATTTATGAAAAGTATAAATACTAACTTAGGTAGATAAAACATTTGTTAAAATCTATCAAGTCTGGTCTGATAATTAGGAGGCTACATATAGCTTATATTTTCTTAATTGAAACAGGTCCCCTATGTGCCATTTTACCCAATACGTTAGTATGGAGGTTTTTGTCCTGGGTCTCTGTGTCCAACTGCCTTGTTTTGTCTTACTGAAAGGTTATAAATGCTATGGTTCCCTGCGAAGAGTCCAAAGCGCATAACCACTGAACATTTCAAGTCTGAAATTTCTTCAATTTTAGATCTGTTTGTTCAACATATCTACTATTTGACACTTCACACCAAGGGGGAGGGAGATCTAAAATTCAGTAGATATTTTGGTGCAAACTGTAGAAAACTAAAACCTCGAGGAGCAGAGATTCTCCCATGCACATCCTAGGAACTGCAGACAAAAACATTCTGTCAGCTTAGCCCAGAGAACTGTCTTGGGAATGCTAAGGCCCTGTGGGACAACGTAATGCCCTGGAGTTTCTATTAGCCCACTCGAATCAACAGCAGACCTTCTGGGAAAAGGACTCCAGAAGACTTCACTGATGGGCCTACACAAATAATCCAAATCCATCGAATGTGGCCCATGTGCAGCTGTGGTATGAGGGGCACAGTTCTGTGGGGTGACAGATGCATCCATGCCTTGAACCACATGATCTAGATTCAAGTCTGTTTGGGGCTGACTGAATGTCAGGCACATTAGGCAACCTCCCTGAAGCTGAGTTTTCCCTATTAATAAATGGGATCTCAAAATCTCCACAAAATCATTTCACATATTAAATGTAAGATGTGATACATTTGCTCATGTAAACATAGGGGAAAATTGTGCAATATTTAGACCCTGATAGAGTTTGGATTTTTTCTAGTGTCAGGATTTGCCATTGAAGCCCACAGGAGGGGACTAACAGGATCTGGATTCTATTTTAAAAGAGTTAGTAAATATTTTAGGCTTGTGGGTCATTGCAATTACTCACCTCTGCTACTGTAGCAGAAAGCTGTGCGGGGAGAGGGAAGGAGGTGGATATGGGACTTATCGTAGCCATCGAGACAAGAGATGGGGCCGCCAGCCTAGGAGAAGTAGCGGGGATGCAGTGCAGGCCTGGCGTGAGTCCTGGAGATGCAGTGAGCTTGCTAATGAGTGATGCATGAGGAATCAAGGTGACTTCTTGATGTAGGTGGATGGTGGCAACATGTGTGGCCATGGAGAAGACAGGAGGTGAAACAGAGGGGCTGGAGGAGGAGATGCAAGATTCCATGTTAGACCCTAGAGATGTCCAGGAGAGCTCCAACTGTGGTGCCAGGCAGCTGGTTGGATCTGTGTGTATGGCACCCAGGGAATGGCCTGGGCTAGAGGCAGAAATGTGGATTCGTTAGGCTCTGATGATGTGCAGCCTGCTGTACTGTGGTACGCTAAATGATCATGAAGTTATGGTGGGAAGCCTTGAAAATAATCAGTAGGATCTTACTACTTTAGAATCTGCGCTTCCTTTTCTCAATTATCCATAAACAGTCTATGAAGAATTTCTGTTTATGACAGGGGTCAGCAAACAAGGCACAGGGCCACCTCCAGCCCTCTGCCTGCTTTTGTATGCCCTGAACACTAATAATAGTTTTTCTTTTTATTCCTTTTTTTTTTTTTTGAGACAGGGTCTTGTTCTGTTGCCCAGGCTGGAGTGCAGTGGCGGGATCTCGGCTCACTGCAACCTCTGCCTCCCAGGTTCAAGCAGTTCTCTTGCCTTAGCCTCTTGAGTAGCTGGGACTACAGGCACCCGGAACCATGCCTGGCTAATTTCCTTGTATTTTTAGTAGAAATAGGGTTTCACCATGTTGGTCAGAGTTGTTTCAAACTCCTGACCTCAAATGATCTGCCCGCCTCGGCCTCCCAAAGTGCTGGGTTTACAGGCATGAGCCACCACGCCCAGCCAAGAATGGTTTTTACATTTTTTAATTGTTGGGAGAAAAAGTGAGAAGAATAAGGCCAGACATGATGGCTCATGCCTGTAATCCCAGCACTTTGGGAGGCCAAAGCGAGAGAATCTCTTGAGGTTGGGAGTTTGAAACCAGCCTGGGCAACAAAGCAAGACCCTGCCTCTGCAAAAAGTAAAAAATTAGCCAAGTGTGGTGGCATGAGCCTTAGTCCCTGCTACTCAGGAGGCTGATGCAGGAGGATCACTTGAGCCCAGGAGGTTGAGGCTGCAGTGGGCCATGGATTGCACCACTGCACTCCAACCTGTGTGACAGAGTGAGATGCTGTCCCCCCCAAAAAAAGAAGAATATTTTGTGACACATGAAAATTTTACAGAATTCAGATTTCAGCATTCATAAAGATTTATTGGAGCACAGCCATGCTCATTTGTTTGATGTTTGAGCTGCCTTTGTGATATAGAGGCAGAATTGAGTAGTTGCAGACAGACCAGGAGGCCTGCAAAGTGTGCAATATGTATGCTCTGGTCCCTCACTGAAAACATTTGTCTACCTCTGGACTATAGCATAAATATAAGTGTGGGGTATTACTAAGTTTTTGTAGGAAACAATCTGTATGAAAGTAAATACGAAGTTCAAGCAATGACAGTTTTAATTCTTATAGAATAGTCTACTCTTTAAAAAAATTTCAAAAGACAGACCAGAAAACCAATTAAAGGCAATCTCCTATAGGAAATAAAATCAAAGGACCCAACTTAAGATTCCTTTGGGTATGCACTATTTCAACATTCAGCATTTTCATATTAACAGGAAAACTTAGTAGCAATTAACAAGCCCCAAAAGGACTAATGAAGAAGGACCACAGGGAAATAATATGCACAAAGGTTTTGTGGCTGAGAGAGCTCAGATGGCTTTCAGAGATTTCAAATTACTTACAGCTTGAAAGCTTTAAATAGAATAGGAGCTTGCTATTTCATACCATTATCATAGAAGAATCATCCCAGGATAAAAAATTCTAATAATGGACAAAAGACAAAGTTTGAGGAGCCAATGCTACTGTCCACGGGGGATCATAGAGAATTTTCTATGGGCAAAAGTGGAATTTGTGAAAAAAGAAATGTAGAGGGAAAATTTGCCCAGACATTCCTGTAAGAAGTAGAGAAAGCTAGTTAGTCACTTATAAACACATCTTTTGTACATTTTTATCCTTAATTTGCATGTACGTTGACACATTCCATAACCCATCTGCTGTAATTGATGGAGAGGAACTTCTTCAGCAAATATTCATCCAGGCCTAATGTCTGTTAAGATTTGTGCCCAGCACAAGCAGACTGGGCTAGGGCTGCCCTGGCAGACTGGACCAGACTAGAGGTGGATTCCTGCAGCACTGGGTAAGGCCCTGCTCTCACTTGTGGTCAAACTTGGATGCCCTGTCCATAAGAGTTTCCTTAGTTCCAGCTAATAATTTAGGGGCAATGGTAGGAAGCATCAGTAGAAATGTTATTCATTAAAGACAGTTCAAATAAAAATGAATGTTACTTTTAAGGAACTTATCTTTTACTAAGCATACTTTATAATATCCATATAGTAACCACAATACATTTGTCATACCCAACAAAATTAACAGTAAGCAATTCACATCATCTAATGTGTAACCATAGTACATTCTTTCTTATTAGCCTCTTTACTAATCTTCCTCATCATCCATCTTCTTTTTCATACGCCAACTTGAAGAAATTGGACCTGCTGCCCCGTCGATTGTCCCACATTGAATTCATTTGCTGCTTTCTCAAGTTGCTAACTTGTTCCTGTATTCCCTAAATTTCTGCAAACTAGAGGTTAGACTCAAAGGCTCAAATAAATTCCTGTTGCATCACATCAGAGGGACACAATGTCTGCAAAATTGGCTCGCTTTTAGTTATGGAAAGGACATTATTTCTAAAAGCTTGGTAGGTCAGTCCAAATTATACAGAGCGGCTGATAGGTCCAAGGCATGTGGGGCACACACTGCAAAGGCAACAGGTGCTACTCTTACTACAGCTGCCTTCTGCTTGCTGAAAGAGCTTGAGTGTCCACTCCGGGCCATACTTTGGGAGCTCTGTTCCTCAGCAGGGCTGGAATGCCTCCTTGATGGCTGTGGGGCTGGATCCCACCCGCTCGCCTTGCACCACCAGGAGCTGCTGCTCTGCCTCCCCCTGGCTATAATTCCCTGCCTGACTTGAGGAGTGGTGGTGATGATGATGATGATGATGAGGTTGTGTTTCCCTTCTGCACTGTTAATTTGGAGAATGTTCCAGGTGAGGAAAATGCATCACCTTCAGAGGATACCAGATGTTACCCAGACCACTGTCCTGGTATTGAGGGTACTCAGAGTGTACCTAGAAGTAGGTGTGGCCATTAGGGAGCACAGAAGGAGTGTTACCCTTTTTCTTTTGGGAGGCTGTGTTCCTTCCACCACATCAGAACCAAAGAAGAAACTGGCCTCCTCCTAATGCTCCATTGCCTTCACCATTACTTCCATATAATAACCTTGTGGCACTTTAACAGAAGTGTGGATTTGTGGAGGATTTAAATTCATATCAAATGTCAATTCACATTTTTTAGGGTTATATTGAAGCATGCATAACACATGATATCCTGTGGGCTCTAGATTACTTAGATTTCAAAACCAGAGATAGAAATGAAATATGTATGAGATTGAATACAGTAAGGGCTTATGTGGCATTAATTGCACATATTTATTGTTTTCTCTATTAAATAAAAGCTGAACTGTAATTAGTTAAGCCAGATGCATTTCTGTTTTTCCAGATGCACTGTGGGAACCCACTTTTCCACCTGGTGAATGTTGAAAAGACTATAAATACAATAATTCTCTAGGCCAAGGAGCACTGCAGGTGCTTTTAACCAAGGAAAGAGTTTGCATTTCTGATCTTTGTACTGACGTATGCCTATGAAAGAAAACACTGAAATGCTATGTAACGTGACTGGCATGTTCATTTGCATTTCACACTGTAGCATGATGGTCAGGGAAACTATTTTCATGGCACATTATTGTTCAAATACATATTAAAATTTCTGCTGTTAGGAACTTTATGTTCCCAGCTGTGATGTGTTAACAGCATTTCCTTCAGAAGTCAGGCAGCTGGCCCCCACACTAACTACAATGCTGTGCGATGCTCCTGTGTCTGTCCTCCTGGCACCACAATGCCTGTGTGCCATGTTTGTCACCAGCATGCTACATGTGCTATGTCCACTGCCTTTTGTCTCTCTATTCTCTTTATTGGGTATTTTTTCCTTCCTTTTCTCAGGTGTCTCAGGTTTAAGTCACAGAATCATGACTTTATGGAACAGAAAGGGGAACGACTTAGCCAACAGCAGCCCAGAGCAGGCAGCTGACTTATGTCAGGCGAACAAGTTAGTGACAGAACAGAACTCACAACCTGCATTTCTGTACTTTTTGGTACTCAATCCACTATGCTGCCTTTAAGGTAAATTAAAATACCAGCATTTAAAAACTGTTTTATGACATCCATTCATAGAGATGTGTAACCATCACTGCAATTCATTTTAGAATATTTTCATCACTCCAAGAAGAGACCCAGCACCCCTTAGCCGTCAACCACCAAGTCCCTTCCTCCAGCAGCCCCAGGCAGCCACTGAGCTACTTTCTGTTTCCACAGATTTGCCTGTTCCGAACATTTTATATAGATGGGTTCATATGATACGTGGCCTTTTCTAGCTGGCTTCTCTCACTCAGCATCCTGTTTGCACAGTTCAGCCATGTAGTGGTAGGTAACCATGGCATGTCAGAAAGAGAAGAAAAACTTGGTGGTCATTTTGCCTCCAGTTCAGAAGACAAAACCAAGGCCTAGGGAGGTGGCTTCAGGCTCTAGTCACAAAGCCCAGCAGGGGAAGAGTGAGGATCCAGCTAGACCCCTCACCACTCACCGCCCTCAGCAGACCTCCTGGTGCTTCCCTGACCTGCGTGCAAAGGTGCTCTGCTTGGTGAACTGGCAGATTTACATGCCTGCCCTCTAGTTTTTCTGTTCTCAGCTTTGCCCAGCTATTTTTGTCACCGCTTGCGTGTCCTTGAAGGCATTCTGGGTTACTTCTAGATTTGTGAATGGTTGAGGTGCCAGATGTCTGAGGGTGGGTAAATGGGGTCCCTGCTATTTCAGTCCCTGCTGAATATAGACACAAAGGTACAGGACCAATTTGTTTACAGTCTTTTTTTCCCCTAGGTTAGAATGCAGTGGTGCAATCATAGCTCACTGCAGCCTTAAACCCCTGGGCTCAAACGATCCTCCCACCTCAGCCTCCTGAATAGGTGGAACTACAGGTGTGTGCCACCATGCCTGGCTGATTTTTAAATTTTTTTTAGAGACGGGGTCTCACTATGTTGCCCAGGCTGGTCTCAAACTCCTGGACTTAAGCCATCCACCTGCCTCAGCCTCCCAAAGTGCTGAGATTACAGTTGTGAGCCACTGTACCCAGCCTTGTTTACAATCTTAAAACACCTATAAGGTCTTTCTATATTACTCATCGTATTTTTACATTAAATATCAATGTTTATATAGCAAGAAATGTAAACAAAAAATAAAATATCAATAAGTACTAAATTTAAAGAAATAAGGCACCAGAGTAGCACCTAGTTTTCAGAGACCTTTCACATACATTCTCTCATTTAATCCTCTTAACAAATCTCAAGGCAGCTAATGTTATACACATGAGGACGTGGAGGCTTAGGAAGGTGAAGTAATTTGGTCCAGGCCTCACAAGTGGCAAAGGTCAGGATGGCAGGGCTCCTCTGACTGGACACCCTATGCTCTCCTCCCGCTATTGCACCAGACTGCTGGACATTCCTGGCCCAGTTCTCTGTTTTAAGCGAGTGTTCTCTAGGGACCAGCTGTGGGCCAGAAGGTCAGCACAGCACTCAGAGGACTCCTCCAAGTAAACCCAATATTCCCACTCGGCCCTCTGACCCCAGTCACGGCAGGGCTGTTCACGTCCTGACCTGGCTCCATGGGACACTCCTCCACACCCCTCACAGCATCCCACTGTACTCTCTCGACCTCGGTCTACCAACAGCAACATGCCCTGGCCTTCATACTTGTCTCTTTTTTTTTTTTTTTTTTTGAGATGGAGTCTTGCTCTATCACCCAGGCTGGAGTGCAGTGGCGCAATCAATCTCAGCTCACTACAACCTCCGCCTTGCAAGTTCAAGTGATTCTCCTGCTTCAGCCTCCCGAGTAGCTGGGACTACAGATGCCCGTCACCACGCCCGGCTAATTTTTGTATTTTTAGTAGAGATGGGGTTTCACCATGTTGGTCAGGCTGGTCTCGAGCTCCTGACCTCAAGTGATCCACCCGCCTTGGCCTCCCAAAGTGTTAGGATTACAGGCGTGAACCACCGCGCCCAGCCTATACTTGTCTCTTAATGTCTCTTTCTGTTTCATCTCTCACTGGGATCTGGCTAGTCTTTGAGAACATTGCCTTCCCTATGGCCCTGGTAGTTAGAGACATTTCCCCACAGAAATTCTGCCACTTCAGGGCTTAGAAGTAAGGTAGGTGTCTCTGCTGTCTATTGCCACTTCTAAAACATTCCTTCTCTGAAAAACCGCACCTCTTAAATTCTGACACATGCTACAAAGATGGTTGAACCTTCAGGACATTATGCTGAAGGAAATAAGCCAGACACAAAAGGACAGATACTATATGATTTCACTTATATGAGGTACTTAGAGTAGTCAAAATTATGGAGACAGAGCTGGCACGCACCTGTAGTCCGAGCTACTTGGGAGGCTGAGGCAGGAGAATTGCTCCAACCCAGGGGTTTGAGGCTGCAGTGGTATGATCATGCCTCCAAATAGCCACTGCACTCCACTGTGGGCAACAGAGTGAGACCCTGTCCCTTAAAAAAGGAAAACATTATAGAGATAGAATAGAATGCAGAATGGCAGTTGCCAACATCATTGGTGAGATTAATCCACTTATTGAGGTAGTTGGAGATTGTTCATTCTCATCGCTGAATAATATCCCATTATATAAACACATTCACTTATCCATTCTACTTTTTATTTTTTTTTCTTTGAGTCAGGGTCTCGCTCTGTCACCCAGGCTGAAGTACAGTGATGCGACCTGGACTCACCACAACCTCTGCCTCCTGGACCCAAGGAATTCTCCCACCTAAGCCTCCTGAGTAGCTGGGACTAGGCGCATGTCACCACATCCAGCTAATTTTTGCTTCTTTTTGTAGAGACAGGGTTTTGCCATGTTGCCCAGGCCGGTCTCAACTCCACCCGCTGTGTCCTCCCAAAGTGCTGGGATTACAGGCATGAGCCACTGTGCCTAGCCCCATTCTACTATTGATGAACATTTGAATAGTTTTTGACTATTATGTGTAGAACATCCTAATGCATACTTTTGGTGCAACGTTCTCAGGGAGTATATACCAAGGCCTGGAATGGCTGGGTCAGAGGGTGTGTATGGGGTCAGCCAAAACACATTCTGTGAGTGTTCCTAACTGGTTACACCAATTTACACTCCCATCAGCGGTGCGGGAGAGTTCTGGTTGCTCTCTATCCTTCCTCTCTATCTTTCTCATCACTTGGCATTTCCTTCATTATTTTAGCTGCTCTTTTGTGTGGGGATGTGCATGCCATTCCCTGTCTATGCATAGTTGCAATATTTGCACTGGCTCATTACACTGACCAATAGGTTATGGATACTGCTGTGAAAATGAAGAAAAAGATAAGCTTTTAAATGTAAAAACAAAATGATTGGTTCTTTTTTTTTTTGGAGACGGAGTCTCCCTCTGTCGCCCAGGCTAGAGTGCAGTGGCACGATCTCGGCTCACAGCAACCTCTGCCTCCCGGATTCAAGTAATTCTCCTGCCTCAGCTTCCCGAGTAGCTGGGATTACAGGCCCTCGCCACCATGCTCGGTTAATTTCTGTATTTTTAGTAGAGACAGGATTTCGCCATGATGGCCAGGCTGGGCTCGAACTTCTGACCTCGGGGGATCTGCCCACCTCGACCTCCCAAAGTGCTGGGATCACAGGTGTGAGCCACCCGTGCCCAGCCCAAAATGATTGATTCTTATATTTTTGACAGAGAGATCAGATGGATCAGTTCATACTCTGGCAGTTAATTTTATTTCCTCTAAATAAAAATGGACAGGTTAATTTATTAAGCAGCTGTGTTATCAATATGGTACGTGTGTGTGCTTGTATAGATAGATGTATATGTACATACATAACTATACATTTTTCTGGACACATAATATTTTAGGTGCCTATTGTATGCTAGACACTGTTCTACCATCAGTAAAAAAGCACTGCCCTGTTTTACTGTTGATTAAAAACAAAATTCTGAAAATAGTGAACAATGAGGCTTACAACATTTGTTACAGGATAAGAAATCTCAATTTAGAAAAATGTTGTCAACTTTGACTAACCTGGAATGCTCGTTACACAGTCCTGAAATTAATTTTGATCCTAATCTGGCTATAGCTGCACCCCAGCCAGCCACCTTCCACAGCAGTTAGGTCCCTGACAGGAGACGGCACCCAGGAAGCCACAAAGAGCAAACTGGTTTCTGCCCAGGATCTCTGCCAGCTCTGCAGCCTTGGTGATGTCACTTACACAGCTCAGCACTCTCCATGCTTCTTCCCAGCCTGAGCCAAGCAGCATCAGGGAACTTGTTCTTCTGTCCCTTGGCCTTGCCTACCCCACCTTTCACAATGAAAGGTATTTCCCAAGAAAAGCACACTCACCCTAAAGCCAGGTCCCTCCCTACCAAGTCTCAGCACTAGATGCTGCTTCAGAAGGAGAAGCAGAGCAGAAAGACCATAGAGGGAAGAAGGGTATTTGCGGTCTTCTTACAGCTCCTACCAGAATTTTACCTTTTATCCAAGGTGAGAATGGAGGCAGAGTGAGTGGCTGGGAGACCTCCACCATTATCCAGACCTGAGATGTTAACTAGGGCCATATCACGTGGAGAAGAACAGGGCAGATGTGAGAGGCATGCTGGGAGACAGATTGCCTTTGCCTTTGCCAGGAGTTAGGATTGGGAGGAGTTGAGGATGATGAGTTTTCTTGAACAACTGGAGAGATAGTAACACTGCTTACCAAGAGAGAAAAAACAAGAAGGGGTAGCTTTGTCTGGGGAGATAATAACTTTGCTTTTTTTTTTTTTTTTAACCAAGTCTCACTCTGTCACCCAGGCTGGAGTGTAGTGGTGTGATCTCTGCTCACTGCAACCTCCGCATCCCAGGTTCAAGTGATTCTCCTGCCTCACCCTCCCAAGTAGCTGAAGTAGCTGGGATTACAGGTGCCTGCCACCACACTTGGCTAATTTTTATATTTTTAGTAGAGATGGGATTTCGCCATGTTGGCCAGGCTGGTCTCGAACTCCTGACCTCAAGTGATCCTTCTGCCTTGGCCTCCCAAAGTGCTAGGATTACAGGCGTGAGCCACCACACCTGGCCACAACTTTGATTTTTGACATTAATTTTTCTATGATGTAAGTGATTTGGCTGTTTTTTTCTATAATTTGCAATAACTACGCAGAAATTCTCATTAGGGAGCCTGCTCCTTGCTGGGAAACAGTAAATAGCTGGCCATTCTCATGCAAACCATTAATGATGGCCTCATATATTCCTCAGCCATTTGAAGAGTCCCTAAAGCAGCCCCACAGACAAAGATTTTCCCAAGTGTTTAATACTTTCAGAGGTGCCCTGGGCCAAGTTATCACTGGGAATGCACCCCAGCTGCAATTTTCTTGAGAATGCCACTATTTCCTGGGATAAGCAAAGCTCTTAATAAAGATTTCAATCAGTACTTACAAAATGGTCCTTCGTTGTTGGCTGACATTAGGAAAGAACAAATAAAAACATACATAATTTATTTATTTCCTTCATATCATACTCTCTTCTTTCTAATACTTCCCAAAAGGCCATTGTAAAAGTTGAGTTATATAGGATGTTCATTTAGTAATGGCAGAAGAGAAGAGAAAGACACTCTTATTATAGTCTTAAAGCCTTCACTGGCTTAAAACCTCCTGGGGCTTACACATTTGGCAACGGCTATATAAACAAAAGTGTAAAGATTTCCATGATAAGTCACTGAAAAACAGATGGTAAGATGCTTAAGTGGTTTTTTAAAAGATGAGGACATCTGTAAGCATCCATCTGGAAGTAATTATAATTCAAAAGTCTTTTGTTACTATTAAGCTTCCAGTTGACTTCCCCTACTAGAAAACAATGGACCAGCTTTTTCTTAAAATAGACAATAAAACCCAAATAGTCAGACAATAAAACCAAAAGACAGAAATTTTTGAAAACCCATAGATTTGCCTGGAAGCAAAGTTTAGAATTTCCACAAAAATCCACCAGCTACTAAACTGTTGGCTTTCTGTATCAAACATAGTGGAAATAGAGCTTTGATTTGATTTTTTGGTCTATTTGTGCTGAAGTCAGTGCAAGTAATTCTAGCTCTTCATTAATATTTCATGAGCCACAGTGAGATGGACTTTTGTCTGGTGATGACTATACTGCAGGATAATGGGCCAGCGTCCTCTCAAACTTAGAATCGCCTCATCTCAGCATCCTACTAAACAGAACATCACTGTTGACCAGCATTCAGCTTACGTCTCGGCTGCTAATAGTAACAGGGCCTGTTTGTGACTTCAGCAGCATCTGGTGACCCGGTGTTACTCTTGCAGTACGTGATTCAGAGAAAGCCACATTCCCCTGTTGCTATTTTCAGGTAGGCAGCTAAACCCAGGGAGAGTTTAGCATGGATTCAGCAGGTCTGTTTTTCTAACTTCATTGTGTAAATTCTTGAATGAGAATCTAGCGAGCAGCCAAAAAAAGACTTCCTGTGAACTCATCTTCCTTGAAGCCAAACATCTTCAGAAACTGTTTCCTTCAGGTTCTGGAAGCCTAGAGCCCTTCAAATGAGATTTGTCCCTCTCCCCAACACACTTTATGCCTCCTGTCCCCAGCCAAATGGCTTTTCCATCCTTTTCCTCCTCCCGTTCATTCGACTTCCAGTTCTGTCTGAAGTCAGAGGCATGCATGGGGCTGAGAGGGGCCTGGGTCACAGGGTCCCCCTCCTCCACCCACAAGTGAACATCCAACTTTAAGACCAAGTATTTAAGACCAGAGGATCCTACAAAAAACTCACTCAGGCCAGGCGCGGTGGTTCATGCTTGTAATCCCAGCATTTTGGGAGGCTGAGGCGGGCGGATCACGACCTCGTCCCTACTAAAAATACAAAAAATTAGCCGAGCATGGTGGCACGTGCCTACAGTCCTAGCTATTTGGGAGGCTAAAGCAGGAGAATCACTTGAACCCGGGAGGTGGAGGTTGCAGTGAGCCGAGACAGCACCCCTGCACTCCAGCCTGGGTGACAGAGCAAGACTCCATCTCAAAAAAAGAAAAAAAAACAACTCACTCAACCCTCTGCTACTTTGCTATCGAGTGGCCCCCTAAGTGTGCTGGCAAATGTGGTATCTGTGAAAAATCATCCTCCATCCAAGGCAAAATAGTATTAGAGAAAGATTTCCCAGGCAGGGGAAACCTAGAAGGCAGGACGACCTAGAGGAGGGTAAAATTAGGAGTAAATTGAAACACGTTGTGTTAAATACTCAGAAACATTACTGCAGAGAACAAGGAAATGAGAGTGTCTCTTGAGGCTGCAGTACAGGAGGATATTCCTGGAATATCGCAGTGCTTTTCATGCACCTGGGAACCACAGTCAGTGGGAGCTCAGAAAACAGTGAAATTGAAATGAATGAGGCTCATGAGGAAAGGAGTTTTGTTCTTAATGTGGAACAGCAACAAAGACCCAATCGTTTGAACAGGCTTAAAAAAGTACTGGGAGAGATATGTATAGGGCACAACTGAGGGACTAAGGTAAAATCATAGCATCCCAGTGCAATGCAAGGGGAAGGCTTACAGCTGAGAGTTAGGAGGGAGACTCCCTTGTTTGTGTCCATCTGCTATAGTTGGTATATTGGGGATTACCAAAGCTGTAAAATCCCCAGACATAGCTCTCTGGCTTCACGTTCCACCCCATTTTAATGTCATTAGTCATTTCTTCAATGTGAAAGCAGAAAGAAATGTCCCATCAATTAACTCTGTAGCATATCGTAACAAAAATCTGGGAGAAGCAATGGAGCTAAGTGGCCGGGTGGCTTGGTATCAGAGCTGCCTTCACACTGGTCCCATTCTTCCTTATCTCAGATAACAAAGCATGCAGATTCCTCCTGCTTGTGAACCACATTTTTTTTCTGAAGCATTTGATGTTTTCTATGTCTTGTTAGCCTTCCTGTATCTATTAAGATTTAAAGAATCTTGGCTGGGCGCGGTGGCTCACGCCTGTAATACCAGCACTTTGAGAGGCCGAGGTGGGCAGATCACGAGATCAGGAGTTCAAGACCAGCCTGGCCAACATGGTGAAATCTGTCTCTACTGAAAATATAAACATTAGCTTGGCATGGTGGCACGAGCCTGTAATCCCAGCTACTCAGGAGGCTGAGGCAGGAGAATTGCTTGAACCCAGGAGGCTGAGGTTGCAGTGAGCCAAGATTGCCCCATTGCACTCTAGCTCTGGGTGACAGAGCAAGACTCCATCTCAGGAAAAAAAAAAAGATTTAAAGAATCTTTCCAAAATATTTAAAGAGTAAGAGAGACGCTCTTGGGGATGAGGAGTGGCGGGGCAGGTAATGATTCTCCTGGGAGGCCAGAGGCCAGGCTAACAGGCTCCTGCATCTCATGGCTTCTTAGGATCCCAGAAAATGAATGGCAAGCTTACACTTTGCATTTTAGAGGGGTAGGAAATGAGGGGCCAAAAGATTTAACCAGGATACAGATTAAGTTTAAAGGTCATTACCGGCTACCGTGTCTAAGGGTGAGGTTTGGGATTCCTGCCTTTGTGTCATTGTGCAGCCATCAGAGGTAGGAGGTACGGTCACCCTGACCCTGAAATACTCACAATGCCAGCCCAGAAAAAATCCATCTAGAAGTGCATTCTGCAGGGTAGAGTCTCGGGTTCAATGAAGTTGTGAGGCAGGTGATGAAAGGTCAAAGCTGCCTGACGCATTCATGATGCTTGACAGAGAGCGCTCAATCTGAAGATCATTGACAGTGAAACTATTGAAAACGGCATATGCATATGGAACAAAAAGATGGAAAACGTTGGGAGATGGGATAATGGGTGATTAACTCTTAGAAATGTTCTTTATAGAACATTGAAAGCAAAAAATAAAGGCAGGCACATGCAGACAAGGCAGCTATGGAAAGGAAGTCATGAAAGTTAGAAGCAATAGTTGGAATAAAGCAATAGATAATGGAGATACAGAAAAGTAAAACACTGGACTTGCCGAGCTACTAAAACTTATACAGACTGCTGCTGGGAGCGGTGATTCATGCCTGGAATCCTAGCACTTTGGGAGCCCAAGCTGAGTTGATTACTTGAGCCCAGGAGTTTGAGACCAGCCTGGGCCACATGGTGAAACCCTGCCTCTATTCATAATACAAAAATTAGCCAGGCATAGTGGCAGGTGCCTGTAATCCCAGCTACTCGGGAGGCTGAGGCAGGATAATCTCTTCAACCTGGGAGGCAGAAGTTGCAGTGAGCTGAGATCATGCCATTGCACTCCAGCCTGGGCAACAAGAGTGAAACTCCATCTCAAAAAAAAAAAAATTAGCTGGGTGCAGTGGCTCACACCTGTGGTCCCAGCTACTCAGGAGGCTGAGGTGGGAGGATCACCTGAGGCCCAGGAGGCGGAGGTAGCAGTGAGCTATAATTGCACCACCACACTCCAGCCTGGGTGACAGGGTGAGACCCTGTCTCAAGATAAATAAATAAATAAACAAACTATCATATCAACACAGAAAGTTATAAAGCAGCATTCAAAATCATATATATACTCTTGTAATCATGTAAATAATTTTTGTGAACAAAGGGAAGGAAATGCAAAATAAAATTTAAAATATTGGCATGATGGATTTATGGCATGTTATTCTTTTTAAAAATATACTTGGTAACAGTTGTTGAGCATTTAATAATTCCAGGCACTATGTGAGGATTTTACATGAATTATCATATTTATTCCTCCCAGCAACCCCATGAGCCAGATACTATTATTTTCCTGATTTGACACAGAGAAGTTGGGGTGACCTGCCTGTGGTCATACAGGTAGTGGTGGTACTGGGTCCATTTGATTCTGAGTACTCTATTATCCATTATGGTATGTGTGTATATATATATATATATATATATATATATATATATATATATATATACTTTTTTTTTTTGAGACAGGGTCTTACTCTGTCACCCAGGCTGGAGAGCAGTGGTGTTATCTCAATTCACTGTGGCCTCTGCCTTCCAGGCTCCAGCAATCCTCCAGCCTCAGCCTCCCAAATAGCTGGGACTATAGGCCCGCACCACCATATATGGCTAATTTGTTGTTGTTGTTGTTGAGACAGGGTTTCCCTATATTACCCAGGCTGGTCTCAAACTCCTAGGCTGAAGTGATCCGCCCATGGCCTTGGTCTCCCAAAGTGCTGGGATTACAGCTGTGGGCCACCACACCCAGCCCCTTATGCTATTTTTTTTAAAGGCTGTTATTATAATAGTGTACAGGTAGATATTTAAATGCATGCTTATATTAAAAATTTGGAGATATATTAATGTTCCTATGGCAGAATGATATCATAGTCCTGGTACTTGATATTGGAGGTTTCTTGCTTCTGGTAGAGAAGTAACATTATAGAAAGTAGCAATACAGTGGGAAGGAATTGTTGTGTGAATAATGATGAACCATTTCTGAGAATGGATTAAATGTGTATGATACACTTGTCTTTGACAACTTTTGACTGATGTGGAAGGACAGAGGTGATGGAAACTCTAATGAGGAAGGAAAATGTCTGCTGGGTGTGTATTCTCTCTCTTTCCTTCTAGAGTCCTTTGTATCTAGAGTGTCTGAGACTGGGGAAATGAAGGTGACCAGTAGATAGTTGAAGAGAGCAGGGACAAATGCCTTCCTGGGCTGGGTTCATACATTTTATTAAATTCCCTGTTACATTATCAAACAGAAAGGGTAAAGATGCATTGAGTCATGAGGTAAAACACAGAGGGATACATTATTAGTTCTTTAATCATTCATCACATATGTATTAAACACCTTTACATAAAACAGAATCAATCAAAGCACTATTAGGAACATGAAGAAAGCCATGTAGCCAGCAAAAGTATAGATGCCCTGGTACCAGCAAGAGCACAAAGCTGGTATTTGAGGGGCTCTTGCTTCAGGCTATGGGCCAAAAAAAATTACCAAGACCCTCCACCAAGGAAGAGGTACCCATAGCAGATAATACATGAAAAGATGTTCAACATTATCAGTCAAGAGGGAAATGCAAATTAAACCCACCATGAGCTGCCACTTACGCCTATTAAAATCGCCAGGAAAAAAAAAATCTGACAATGTCAGCTACTGACAAGGATGTGGAACAATTGAAACTCTCATTCATTGCTGGTGGGAACAGAAAAAAGATACAGCTCCTTTGAAAGACAAGTTGGCATGTTCTTAGAAAGCGAATAAACATGCACTTACTATGTGACCCAGTGAGTATTTACCCAAGAAAAATGAAAACATACACCCACACAAAAATCTCTGCACAAATGTTTATAGAAGCTTTATTCATAAGCACCCAAAACAGGAAATAACACAAATGTCCATCAGTAGGTGCCTGGACAGACAGTTATAACCATATAATTGAGTACTACTCAGCAGTAAACAAGAATGAACTACTGATACACACGACCAGGTGAATCTCAAAAGCATTACGCTAAGTGAAAGAAGCCCAGACTCCAAACAATGCATACCATATGATTTAATTTGTATGATATTTTGGAAAAGGAAAAACTATCATATCAATCTACAAAGTAATAATATACCTAAACATGTTAAAATCATACAGGCCACATTTTCTGATCAAAATGTAAAGAAACATACAAACTAGTCAGGCTAGTCAAGAAATTAAAAATAAACTTTAAAAAGGCTGTGGATAAAAAATCTGAGCTGCAATTAGATCTGAGGTATTTGGAGGTGAACTATTAGATCTGAGCTATTTGGAAATAAAAATAGTGCTATCTAGCAAAACTCAGTGGATATGATCAAAGCAGTAACTGGATAAAAATTTGTACTTTTAAACCCACTTATTAAAAACCAGCAGTGACTGAAAGTAAATGAACTAAAACTTTAGTGTGAGAGGCCAGGAGAAAAGTAAGCCATTTTTTAAAAAGTAGATGAAGAATAATGAAAATAAAAGCAGAAATTAATGAAATTTACAGTTAACAGAAAGCAAAATTGATCCATAAAACCTAAAGCCAATTCTTTGGAAACAGAACTACAGACTAACCTTTGGCAAATCTGATTCAGATAAGAGGATAGAAAAGCCCAAACCATCAGAAATGAGTTACGGTGCATAACTGGATCAAGACTTTTTTACACAAAAACCAAATAACATGTACAAGTTTAATGCCAACGTATTTGAAAATCTTAGGTAAGATAGATACTTTTCTGAAAAAATATAAATTTAAAATATAGTCATATGGTAGTAGAAGATCCTAAACTACGTAGAAAAAATCGAAAAGGTGTTATGAGATTTGTCCCTAAGAAAGGCATCAGGCCCTGGCCAGGCACGGTGGCTCATTGCCTGTAATCCCAGCACTTTGGGAGCCTGAGGTGGGTGGATCACTTGAGGTCAGGGGTTCGAGATCAGCCTGGCCAACATAACATGGTGAAACCCCATCTCTACTAAAAATACAAAAAAATTAGCTGGTCATGGTGGTGTGTGCCGGTAATCCCAGCTACTCGGGAGACTGAGGCATGAGAATCGCTTGAACCCGGGAGGTGAAAGTCGCAATTAGCCGAGATTGGGCCACTTAACTCCAGCTTGGGTGATGGAGTGAGATTCTGTGTCAAAAAATACATAAAAATAAAAAGATGGAACATTTCCAACTTTGTTTTAAAAGGCAGAAAAATAAGGATATTTAAACTGGACAAAGATGGCCAAAAAAAGGAAAATTCATGAAGGGAGATCCTATTCATAATAGGAACATAAATCACAAGACTGCAAATTCCTATGCATAGGAATAACCACATAGCAAACATTTATTGAGTGCTATGTGTTGCAAGCACATTTGAAGTGCTTCACCAGTATCGCCTCATTTAATCTTCACCTCCAGGATACTCAGTATCCCAGTTCTATTGATGAAGGAACCAAGACTCAAAAAGATGGAATAACTTCTCTAAGCTCATACAGCTAATCAACAATGGAGTTGAGATTTAAGCCAATTTCCCCCAGTCCTCACAATGGATACAGTTAATCTTGATTTTTTTTTTTTTTTTTGCCAATTTTGTAGGTAAAAATATCAAAAAAAGATACCTGGTTTTAATTTGCATCTCTTTGTTTTGCATGATTTCCTGCCACATAAATTTTAATATTTATTCTTGAATCACATTTAACTTCAATTTTGCATCTTCAGTATTTATGAAATCTTTCATTAGTTACATTCCTCAAATGAATTCATCCCACTGGATTCCAGCTACTGTTCATCTGTCTATTCTGATACTTCATTGAGAATACCAATATTTTTCTAAATTTACTTTTGATAAAACTGAACATTTTTTCATAGGTGATTTTATTTGTGTATATATACATATGTAGTGTGCATGTGTATGTTTGTATATGTGATTTCTTCATCCATGATTTTTTAATTTATTAGTGAGTAAAATGTTTTAAAAGAAAAACTTATCCTTAAACTATTAGGTTACCCTGAAGTATAATTTTTATAGGAAAAGTAGGATAAAAACTTGATTCTTTCCCCTTATTTATCAGTTTTCAAAATTGTTCCCTATCACTGTCTAAAAGTAGTCAGTAAGTTTTTTTAGTATCATTATGAATTCATAGTTTTACACATATTTTATGTGTTTCAATGCACTGCAATTGATTTTTTTTTTTTTGAGGCAGAGTCTTGCTCTGTTGCCCAGGCTGGAGTGCAGTGGTGCAAACTCAGCTCACTGCAAACTCCGACTCCTGGGTTCAAGCAATTCTCCTGCCTCGGCCTCCCAAGTAGCTGGGATTACAGGCACCTGCCACCACGCCTGGCTAATTTTTGTATTTTTGGTAGAGATGGGGTTTCTCCATGTTAGTCAGGCTAGTATCAAACTCCTGACCTCAGGTGATCCACCCGCCTCAGGCTCCAAAGTGCTGGGATTACAGACATGAGCCACCATGCCCAGCCTAAAAATAATATTAATAAATTATCACACTGGTTAGTCAACTCAGCTGTAGATTAAAATGTCCAGTCATCTAATGCACTTGACAGTTCGGGACAGAAGCATTAAAGTGGCTTCACAGGAGATCCTATTCCTCACTCCACGTTGGACATTGTTATGGGTTGAATTGTGTCCCCCCAGAATATATGTTGAAGTTCTAACCATGATACCTGTGAATATCACCTTATTTGGAAACAGGGTCTTTGCATGCACCACCACATCTGGCTAATCAAGTGAAGATGAGGCCAAACTGGATGAAGGCGGGCCTGAAATCCAACGACTGGTGACCTTATAAGGAGGGAGAGCTTCAAAGACCCAGGCAGTCATAGAGGGAAGAAGGGCAAGTGGCAAAGAAGACAGAGATTGGGTTTCTGTTGCCACCGAGGCTGCCAGAAGAGGCAAGGAAGAATCCTCCCCTAGAGCCTTCAGAGGCAGATGCCTGGCCCTGCTGACGGTTTGGTTTTGAACTTTTAGCCTCCAGAACTGTGCAAGAATAAATTTCTGTTGTTTTAAGCCATCGGGTTTGTGGTAATTTGTTATGGCAGCTCTAGGAAACTAATCCAGATGTTAAAGTTTATTCTTACATAGAAATTGAGGTTTCTAATAAAAGGTGTGTGGACGTGGCTACTTCGATCACTTACTGAGCTCTGGCACCATGACTTCTGGCCTTGGCTATATTTTCCTTTTCCTTTCTTTTTTTCCTCTTCCTTCTTTTCTTTTCTCTTTTTTCCAATCTCTCTTTTTTTTTTTGAAACAGGGTCCCGCTCTGTCAGCCAAGCTGGAGTGCAGTGGCACCGTCATGGCTCACTGCAGCCTCAAACTTCTGGGCTAAAGTGATCCTCCTGCCTCAGCCTACTGAGTAACTAGTACTATAGGCATGCATCACCACATCTGGCTAATTTTTAAATATTTGTAGAGATAGAGGTCATGCAATGTTGCCTGGGCTGGTCTTGAACTCCTGGCCTCAAGTGATCCTCCCACCTTGGCCTCCCAAGGAGCTGGGATTACAGGCCCTTCTTAGTTCTTTGATGCCAATCCAATTTTAGGTTCTTAACCTTGGTACTTTGGGTCCACTGTGGATTCCCCATTCTCTCCTTCTTTCTCTTCCTATTTTTGATCTTATCCCTTACAGATCTCCCTTCATGTCCCTGCCCCCAAACTGTAATTTGTGATATTTGCTGTCACCTTTTATCCATTCTTGTGCACTAGATAATCTTAGTTTCTTTATGTAGTTCACTAATTTAACAAGCCAGACTGAACTGAGTGTAAACAGGCAGTGAATTTCTTCTCCTATCACCACGTTCAAACAGTATCGGTTTTCCCCTCCTCTCCCCTCAACTCTATCTCATGCAGATTCTATAGCTTTTCAAGTCAATGTCAGTATTAGAACAGTCTCATTTTCAGGCGTTAAAAAATTTCAGTGCTCACTTCAGCAGCACATATACTAAAATTGGAACAATACAGAGAAATTAGCATGGCCCCTGCGCGAGGATGACATGCAAATTCATGAAGCATTCCATAAAAAGAAAAAAAAAGAAAAAAAATTTTTTTAATGTTTAGTCCCTGCCAGGCACGGTGGCTCATGCCTGTAATCCCAGCACTTCTGGGAGGCCAAGGCGGTGGATCACCTGAGGTCAGGAGTTTGAGGCCATCCTGGCCAACATGGTGAAACTCTGTATCTACTAAAACTACAAAAATTAGCTGGGTGTGGTGATGCACGCCTGTAATCCCAGTTACTTGAGAGGCTGAGGCAGGAGGATCACTTGAACCTGGGAGGCGAGGTTGCAGTGAGCCGAGATCGCGCCACTGCACTTCCAGCCTGGGCAACGGAGTGTGGCTCTGTCTCAAAAAAAAAAAAAAAGTTCAGTCCCCTTGAAATCAAACTTTAGTGCCCTCCATTTCAGTTTCCCCTCACCCAGCTTTGGCCTCTCCAGAGGTTGCGCAGACCAACAGTGGCAGGGGAGAGGAGGATAGCCCTTCCAGTTCCTCTCTGCTTTCTCTCCTTTCCGAGCTCTGCTGCCTTGGATGCAGCACTGCTGAAGACAGAGGTGGTATTGGTCAATGGGAGTTCAGACCAGTTTTTCTTCTACAGGGATCTCCCGGAGTTCAGACCAGTCTTTCTTCTACAGGGATCTCCCCACTCCTGCCTGACCTCTTCAGCTTTGGTCCCAGTCATACAGCTCTGGGGTTCTCCTCCCCAGTCCAACAGTTTTGCACAGGATCTTTCAAGAAGATTCAAGCTTGGCCACCTTCCATGTCTCCCATGGAAAAACTCACCCATGCATGCAGCTGGGTCGCTTCCCTTTTTCCTAGACCTGGCTGTTCCAACCAGGCCCTCCCATTGAGTCTCAGGCAGTCCGGAGGGAAGCTGCAGTCTCTGTACTTCTCATGCTTTGCCAGGTTCTCCCCAGGAGTCTTCTGAATCATCTGAGGACAAGGACAGGGCTGGTGCCCGAGTTTCTTTCTTTTTTAAAAATGTGTTTAGAATTGGAGTCTCGCTATGTTGTCGAGGCTGGTCTTGAACTCCTGGCCTCAATCAAGCCTCTCAGGCAGGTGTGGTTATAGGCATGAACCACCCCACCTGACATATTTACTGACATATTTTACCATATTTTATCGAATTCTAGATTCACTATTGTTTCTTGTATTCCATACTTCCCCTTGGGGTCTACTTTTCTTGGTAAAATATGCTTTAATAATTTTCTTTGCAAGAGTCTGTGAGAGATCAGCAAATATTCATCCGAGGACAGGGTCTCACTCTGTTGCCCAAGCTAACTGCGGTGGTATGACCACAGCTCACTGCAGTCTCCACCTCCTGGGCTCAAGGGATCCTCCCACCTCAACCTCCTAAGGAGCTGGGACTACAGGCATGTACCACAAAGTCCGGCTAATTTTTTATTTTTCGTAGAGACAAGGTTTCACTGTGTTGCCCAGGGTGGTCTTGAACTCCTGACCTCCAGTGATCTGCCTGCCTCAGCCTCCCAAAGTGCTGGGATTACAGGCATGAGCCACTGAGCCCAGCCTAAGACCCATTTTTGCAGACAGTACTTAATTAAATTTACTGACATATTTTATCAAATTCTAGATTTACTATTGTTTCTTGAATTCCATACTTCCCCTTGGGATCTATTTTTCTTGGTAAAATATGCTTTAATAATTTTTTTGCAACGGTCTGTGAGAGATAAGCTCTCTGAGTCTTATCTCAGAGGAAGATATTATCTGTTTTCTTCTGGGATCTGTTGTTGCTGAAGAGAAGTATGGTTGTTGGCCTAATTGTCATTCTTTTGTAGGAAACTTTTGTAGGAAGCTTCTTATCTGTCAATTCCTGATGTTTTAAAGTTTACCATGGTATTTCTAGTAGTGGATTTTTGTTTATTTGTCCTGCTTTGTAAAGAGAGAGACTTTCTGAGTGTCTAGTCAATTCATGTTGCTATAACAGAATTCCATAGGCCGGGTGGCTCAAACGACCAAATTTGTTTCTCACAGTTCTGGAGGCTGGGAAGTCCAAGATCAAGGCACTGGCAGATAGGTGTCTGGTGAGGGCTGCTTCCTGGTTGCCAGAAACCAGGAACTGTCTTCTCACCGCACCCTCACAGGGTAGATAAAGAGGGAGAGAGCTCTGTGAAGCCTCTTTCATAAGGACACGAATCCCTTTCATAAAGGCCCCATTCTCATGACCTAATCACTCCCTAGGGCCCCACTTCCAAATATCATCACCTTGGGGCTTCAATTAATGAATTTTGTGGTAGACATAAACATTCAGTCTGTAGCACTGAGGATTTGTGTTTTTTTCAGTTCTGGAAATTCTCAGAACACCTACTTTCTTTTTGTTTGGTTGGTTTTTTGTTTTGTTTTGTTTTGTTTTTGAGATGGAATTTCACTCTTGTTGCCCAGGCTGGAGTGCAGTGGTGCGATCTCAGCTCATTGCAACGTCTGCCTCCCAGGTTCAAGTGATTCTCCTGCCTCAGCCTCCTGAGTAGCTGGGATTACAGGCACATGCCACCACACCTGGCTAATTTTTTGTATTTTCAGTAGAGACAGGGTTTCACCATGTTGGCCAGGCTGGTCTGGAACTCCTGACCTCAGGTGATCCGCCTGCCTCAGCCTCCCAAAGTGCAGGGATTATAGGCATGAGCCACCATGCCCGGCCTCCTACTTTCTTTTTAACTGTTATTTTCCCATCATTATCTCCATTTTCCTTATATTAAACTCCTGTTAAATGTACATTGAAACTGGTAACTCTACACTCCCTTACTCTTTTACCTTTAAACAGCATTGAGATAAAATTTACACACCATAAAGTTTACTCATTTAAAGAGCACAGGCCAGGCACAGTGTTTCATACCTGTTGTCCCAGCACTTTGGGAAGCCAAGGTAGGAGGATCACTTGAGCCCAGGAGTTGGAGACTGCAGTGAGCTACTATCACACCACTGCACTCCAGTCTGGGCGACAGAGACTGACTCTGTCTCAGTCAATCATAATCAGTAGTTTTTAGTATACTTACAAAGTTGTGCAGCCATCATCATAATCTAATTTTAGGACATTTTCATCAAAAGAAACCTTGTACCCATTAGTAGTCATTCTCCGTTCTCTCTCCCTGCTCCCAACCCTAGGCAACCACTATTCTACTTTCTGTCTCTCTAGACATACCTGTTCTGGGCATTTCATGTACAAGTATTATACAACATGTGGACTTCGGGGTCTTGATTCCTTCAATTAACAGAATGTTTTTAAGACTTAGTCATGCCATAGCATGTATGAGTCCTGCATTCCTTTTATAAAATTGTCATATAAATCATACACCGTAAGGCTCACCATTTTACAATATACAGTTCAGTAGTTCTTAGCACAGTCACAAAGTTGTGCAACAATCACCACTAATTCCTGAATATTTTCATAATTCTGAAAAGAAATCCCACACCCACTAGCAGTCACTCATTCCCCTTACCCCATCCCCTGGCAACCACTAATTTACTTCCAGTCTCTATGGATTTGCCTAGTCTGAAAATTTCTTATAAATGGAATCATACATTATGTAGCCTTTTGTGTCTGCCTTCGTTCACTTCACTTCACATATTTTCTTTTTTTTTCTTTCTTCCTTTTTTTGAGACGGAGCTTTGCTCTTGTTGCCCGGGCCGAAGTACAATGGTGCAATCTCAGCTTGCTGCAACCTCTGCCTCCCGGGTTCAAGCAGTTCTCTTGCCTCAGCCTCTGAGTAGCTGGGACTACAGGTGCCCACCACCACACCCAGCTAATTTTTTGTATTTTTAGTAGAGATGGGTTTCACTATGTTGGTCAGGCTGGTCTCGAACTCCTGACCTCAAATGATCCACCTGCCTCAGCTTCCCAAAGTGCTAGGATTACAGGCATGAGCCACCGTGCCCAGCCTTCACTTAACATATTTTCAAGGCTCATCCATGTTGTAGCAGGATCCAGTACTTCATTCCTTTTCATAGCTAAATAAATATTGCCTCGTATGGACATATCATATTTTGTTTATCCATCAGTTGATAGATATTTGTGTTTTTCCACTTTGTGACCATTATGTATAATGTTTACAACAATAAACAAACAGCATTTGTTTACAAGTTTTTGTGTGGACATGTGTTTTCAGTTTTCTGGGCATATATAGGACTAGAATTGCTGGGTCATTTGGAAACTTCATGTTTAACATTTTGAGGACCTGTCAAACTGTTTTCCAAAGTGGCCAACCCATTTTACATTCTCACATGTAGCATATGAGGATTCTAATTTCTTCACATCCTAACACTAATTGTCTACTTTTATTTTACCCATCCTAGTAGGAATAAAATAGTATTTCATTGTGGTAGAGATTTTATTTCCCTAATGACTGATTATGTTAATCATCTTTTCATGTGTATATTGGCCATTTGAAATATCTAGTCAAATCCTTTCTCCATTTTTAAATTGGGTTTTCTCTCCTTTTTCTTAAGTTGCAAGAGTTCTTTATACATCCTGGATACAAGTCTCTTACCTAATATGTGACTTCCATATATTTTTTCCCACTCTGTGGGTTGTCTTTTCACTTTTTTTTTTTTTTTGAGACAGTCTTGCTCTGTCACCCCGTCTGGAGTGCAATGGCACAATCTCGGCTCACTGCAACCTCCGCCTCCCAGGTTCAAGAGATTCTCCTGCCTCAGCCTCCTGAGTAGCTGGGATTACAGGCACGTGCCACTAGGCTCTGCTTATTTTTGTATATTTTTTTTGTAGAGACAGGGTTTCACCATGTTGATCATGCTGGTCTGGTGTCGTTTGAAGCATAACATTTTTTCTTTTTTTTTTTTTTTTGAGACAGTCTTGCCCTGTTGCCCAGGCTGGAATGCAGTGGTGCGATCTTGGCTTACTGCAGCCTCAACTTCTGGGCAGGAGGATCACCTGAGCCCAGGTGTTATGTTGTCCAGCCTGGGCAACATAGCAAGACCCTATCTCTAAAAAGAAAACAAAACAGGCATCTGGGATTTTGATAGGGATTGCATTGAATCTGTACATTAACTTGAGGAATGTTGCCATCCTAACAGCATTGTCTTATATTTTATAAATATGGGATATCTTTCCACTTACTTAGATTTTTTGTTTGTTTGTTTGTTTGTTTTTGCCCAGGCTGGAGCACAGTGGTGTGATCTTGGCTCACTGCAGCCTCAACTTCTGGGCTATGTGATCCTCCCACTTCAGCTTCCTGAGTAGCTGGGACTACAGGCGCACACCACCATGCCTAGCTAATTTTTTGTACTTTTAGTAGAGAAGGTGTTTCACCCTGTTGCCTAGGCTGATCTTAAACTCCTGGGCTCAAGTGATCCACCCACCTCAGCCTCCCAAAGTGCTGGAATTATAGATGTGAGCCATCATGCCCAGACCTATTTAGATATTCTTTACTTTCAACAATCGTTTTGTGGTTTCCAGTGTATAAATCTTATAATTCTTTTATTAAATTTATTTCTAATTATTTTATTCTTTTGATACTATATTGGAATTATTTTCTTATATCACTTCCAGAATGTTCACTGCTAGTGTACAGAAATACAATTGATTTTTCTTTGTTAATATTGTATCCTGCAACTTTGCTGAACTCATTTATTAGTTCTAATTGTTTTTTTTGTTTGTTTTTAGTGGAATTCTTAGGATTTTTAAATAAGCAAGATCATGTCATTTGCAAATAGAGATATAGAGATAGTTTTACTTCCTTTTCAATTTGAATGCCTTTTATTTATTTTTCTTGCCTTACTGCCGAGGCTGGAGTTCCAATGTAGTATGAATAGAAGTGGTAAAAGTAGATTTTTTTTCTTATTTCTGATCTTAGAGAGAAAGCCATCAGTCTTTCAGTGTTTAATATGATCTTAGATATAGGTGTGTTATAGGTGACTTTGGTCAGGTTTAGGAAGCTTCCTTATATGCCAATTTTGCTGAATATTATTTATCATGAAATGCATTAGATTTTGTCAAATAATTTTTTTTTTGAGACGGGCAGTCTCACTCTGTTGCCCGGGCTGGAGTGCAGTGGTGCAATTTCAGCTCACTGCAACCTCCAGTTCCTGGGCTCAAGCGATTCTCCTGCCTCAGCCTCCTGAGTAGCTGGGATTACAGGCACATGCCATCACGCCTGGCTAATTTTTGTATTTTTTAGTAGAGATAGGGTTTCACCATGTTGGCCAGACTGGTCTTGAACTCCTGACCTCAGGTGATCCACCCACCTCGGCCTCCCAAAGTGCTGGGATAACAGGTGTGAGCCACTGTGCCTGACAAAATAATCTTGCTCTGTCTATTATGATTTTTGTCCATTATTTTATTGGTATGGCTATTATGTTTATTTTTTATGTTAAACTAACCTTGCATTCTTACATTAAATTCTACTTAGTCATGGCATATAATCCTTTTTTTACATGTTGCTAGATTCCGTTTGCTAGTATTTTAAGATTTTTGCAACTGTATTCATAAAAGATGATTATGGTGTCTTTATTTGGTTTTGGTATCAGAGTAATACTGGTCTCAGAGAATAAGTTGGGAAGTATTCACTCCCCTTCCATTTTTTGGAACAGTTTTTGAAGAACTGGTAGTCCTTCTTTACTAAATGTTTGGTAGAATTCACCGGTGAAACCAACTTGATCTGAGCTGAGCTGAGCTTTTCTTTTTTTTTTTTTTTTTAAATACACCAGCCTGAACAGATCTGGGCTTTCCTTTGTAGGATTTTTTAAAATAACTAACCAATCTCTTTACTTGTTAAAGTTCCATTTAGATTTTTTCTTCTTTAGTTAATTTTGTTAGTTTATGACTTTCCAGGATTTTTTCCATTTCATCTAAGTTTTCTAATTAGTTGGCATACAGTTGTTCACAGTATTCCATTATCGTTCTTTTTATTTCTGTAAGATCAGTAGTAATTTCCCATCTTTCATTCCTGATTTTGGTAATTTGAGTCTTCATTTTTCTTCATCAACTAGCTAAGGTTTGTCAATTTTGTTGATCTTTTCAAATAACTAACTTTTGGTTTCATGAATTTTCTCTTTTGTATTTTTCTATTTCTATTTTCTATTCCATTGTGTTTGGAAAACATACTTTGTATTATAATAATGATTTTAAATCTGTTGAGGCTGTTTTACGGCCTATTATATGGTCTATTCTGGAGAATTTTCATGTGTATTTGAGAAGAATATGTATTCCACTGATGCAGGTGGAGTGCTCTATAGATGTCTGTTAGGTGTAGTTAGTTTATAGTGTCCTGATGTCCTCTATTCATATGCTTGTTGATCTTCTATCTAGTTGTTCTGTCCATTATTGAAAGCAAGGTATTGAACTTTATTACTGTTATCATTGAATTGTCGGTTTTTCCCTTCAATTCTGTTAGTTTTTGCTGTATGTATTTTTGTGGTTCTGTTATTGGGTGTATATATATTTATAATTGTTGTATCTTCCTGAGACGTTAGCTCTTTTATCATTATAAAATGTCCCTATTAATCTCTAGTAACATTTTGTGTTTAATAGTATTTTATTTGCTATTATTAGAGCCATTCCAGCTCTCTATGGTTGCTGTTGCCAGATATATATTTTTCCATCCTTTTACTTTCTATCTATTTGCATTTTTGAATCTAAAGTATGTCTCTTGTAGACAGCATATAGTTGGATTATGTTTGTAATCATTCTGGCAATCTCTATCTTTTGATTGGATTGTTTAATCTGCACACTTTTCACATTGTCATTGATCCATTTAGATTTACCTTTGTGTTTTTCTTTTCACTTTCTATATATTTCATGACTACTCTGTTCTCTTTTCCTCCCTTATTAACTTCCTTTGTTTTATGTTGATATTTTCTAGTGTACCATTTTACTTTAGTTATTTTTTCACTGTATGTGTATATTTTTTAATTTTTAATCTTTCTTTGAGACAGGGTGTCACTTTGTCACACAGGCTGGAGTGCAGTGGTGCAATCATAGCTCGAACTCCTGGGCTCAACAGTCCTCCTGCCTCAGCCTCCCAAGTAGCTAGGACTACATGTGTGCACCCTCATGCCAGCTAATTTTTTAAATTTTTTGTAGAGATGGGGTTTCACTATGTTGTCCAGGCTGGTCTTGAACTCCTGGTCTCAAGTGAGCCTCCTTCCTTGACCTCCCAAAGTGCTGGGATTACAGGCATGAGAAAATGTGCCTGGCCCTGAGGTAATTTCTTCATGGCCTCTATAATGCTTATAATACCTTAATGTATCAGAATCAACTTTAGATGTATACTACCTTAATTCTAGTAAGATATAGAAACTTTTCTCTTATATGTAGCTCCTTTCTCTCCCTACTGTTTTGTGGCTACTACTGCTGTACATATTAAGGTGTATATGTATTACAAATCCAATAACATATTGTTATAATTACTGCTTTATATAATCCTCCCAAAGTGCTGGGATTACAGGCGTGAGCCACCGAACCTGGCCAATCCTATGTCTTTTAAAGAAGCTAAGAAAAGAAACAAGAGCAGAAATATACGTATAGAGTTTCTTCTTTAAAAAATATTAGGCCTGGCCTGGTGGCTCACATTTGTTATCCTAGCACTTTGGGAGGCCAAGGAAGGCAGGCTGCTTGAACTCAAGAGTTTGAGACCAGCCTGGGCAACATACTGAGACCCCGTCTTTACAAAAAATATATAAATTAGCCTGGCATGGTGGTGTGTGCCAGTAGTCCCAGCTACTTGGGGAGCTGAGGCAGGAGGATCACTTGAGCCCGGGAGGCAAAGGTTGCAGTGAGCCAAAATCACGCCACTGAACTCCAGCCTGGGCGACAGAGTGAGACTCTGTCTCAAAAAAAAAAAAATTTCCAGAGACTTTAAATGATTGTTTTTTAATAACTCACTAGTTATATGATTATATTTTGCTGGAGAGAGGGTCTACGTCCCTCACGTAGCCATTCGGGAACCAAACTGCAGATGATGCGCTGCGTCTTTTTATCTCTTAGTCTTTCTGAACATTCTAAATTAGTCCTTCAGTACTATTTTCTAATATCCTTGCAACTTTCTACTTGATTCTTTTTCGTGACTACCTGTTCTTATTTTATTTCTATTTGTTTTAGTTTCCTATTTTTTGACATTTTAAATGTAAATGATTTCTTCATTATTATTTGAGCATCGCAACTTTTATTTTTCATTTTCTTCTGCAACATTAAATTCATATTTCAGTGGGTGATTTTAATGACTGCCTTTCTTCATATGTTTTGGAATTTTAGTTTGCAAATACTTTTTTTTTTTGAGAGTGTCTTGCTGTGTTGCCCAGGCCGGAGTGCAATGGAATGATTATAGTTCACTGCAGCCTTGACCTCCTGGGCTCAAGCATTCCTCCAACCTCTGCCTCCTGAGTAGCTAGGACTACAGACGTGTGCCATCAGACCCAGCTAATTTTTTTATTTTTTATTTTTTTTTGAGACAGAGTCTTGCTCTGTCACCCAGGCTGAAGTGCAGTGGTGTATGTTGGCTCACAGCAACCTCCGCCTCCCGGGTTCAAGAGATTCTCCTGCCTCAGCCTCCCAGATAGCTGGGATTACAGGTGCACCACCACGCCCGGCTAATTTTTGTATTTTTAGTACAGACGGGGTTTCACCATGTTGGCCAGGCTGGTCTTGAACTCCTGACCTCAAGTGATCTACCCCCCTTGGCCTCCCAAAGTGCTAGGATTACAGGCGTGAGCCACCGTGCCTGGACTAGTTTTTTAATTTTTTTGTAGAGATGGGGCTTACTATGTTGCTCAGGCTGGTCTTAAACTCCTGGCCTCAAGCAATCCTCCTACCTCTGCCTCCCAAAGCACTGGGATAACAGGCATGAGCCACCATGCCCAGCTGCAAGTTCATTTTAAAGCAATTGTTTCATTCTTTTTTGTTGTTGATCTTTTTTCTGTCCTCCTTAGTTTTTACTTATCTCCATCTAGAAACATTAAGATTTCCTTCACTGATCATCTGGGCAACCTACTAAGAGCCAGATGTTATGATGACAATTCAGAATTTCTGCCCAAGTGATATTGTGAATATGGCAGATTTCAGAACCAGCAGTTCCAGCTCATTCCAGACCATAGAGATGTCTATATGCTCCCATATTCCACATCTAGCCTCAGCAGAGGTCAGCTACAGTTGGTGTTTTTTATAAGCTTCCATCATAAGGAAGAGGAGATTCTTCTCAACTTTTAAAGCACTGACTGTAGCTCCAACTCCACATTTAACCTGGAGCAATTTTAGTCCCTTTTAGCTTCTGGACTGATGTTGCCTCTGCCCATTACTTGGACCTACAGCCAAGCAGGCCCACTGCTTGCACTCTGCCCATTGATTTACACTGCCATTGCGTTTCTGGTTGGAGGTATATTTATCTTGGTTTTGAACTCAACTACATGTTTTTAGACTTTTCTTATCTGTCATTGCTTTTGCTTGGAACAGAATCAGTGATCAAAGTGAGATCATTGCCCCAGCTTGCCTAGAGTCCCAATCCCATCCTGAATTTGCAGTCAGCCATTTCAGGCTGTAGTCTTTAGCTTCTCTGTAACATTCACAATAGCTTTTTGGATGGAAGTGATGGGTGGAATGGATCAGCAAGACACAGAAACCAGGAGTAAAAAAAAAATATGAACCAGAGTTTGGGTAGGGTAATGGTGAGGCCTGTGGCAGGGTTCCCAGCAGGGCAAGATTCTGTGCAGGAAAACAAAGTTAGAAGTTAAAACTAGGTGGCTGGATGTGGTGGCTCATGCCTGTAATCCCAGCATTTTGGGAGGCCAAGGTGGGCGGATCACCTCAGGTCAGGAGTAAAAATACAAAATTAGCTGGGCATGGTGGCACATGCCTGTAATCCCAGCTACTCAGGAGGCTGAGGCAGGAGAATCACTTGAATCCGGGAGGTGGAGGTGCCGGTGAGCTGAGATCGTGCCATTGCACTTTAGCCTGGGCAACAAGAGCGAAACTCAGTCTCAAAAAAAAAAGAAGTTAAAACGAAGTAAGATATTCAAGGTCAGTGTCTAAAGCAGGGAACAGCTAGTACTAAGGAATAATCTAGTAGCACTGTGTTCTGACAAAGATGTTACTAACGGAGGCCCTGTGGGAGCCATGATCTACCCAGCCATACTGCCCAAAGAAAAAATACTTCAAGAGCCAAGGTTTATTAAAGCAAAAGTAGGCCGGGCTCAGTGGCTCACACTTGTAATCTCAGCACTTCGGAAGGCTGAGGCAGGAGCATCACTTGAGCCCAGGAGTTTGAGACATAGTGAGATCCCACCTCTATGAAAAAAAATTGTTAATTAGCTGGGTATGGTGGCACACACCTGTGGTTCCTGCTACTTGGGAGACTTGGACAGGAGGATTGCTTGAACTCAGGAGGTTGAAGCTGCAGTGAGCCGTGTTCACACCACTGTACTGCAGCCTGGGCAACAGAGTGAGATCCTGTCTCAAAAAACAAAAAAGAAAATGGATTTGGGATTTGAGTCTCCTCCAGGAGAATGTGTCCTCTCAAATTTTCTTATATTATTGTCTAACTCTTTCAAGGCCCTAAACTATCCCCTGATGGTAGGATCCTGCTTCTTAGGGTCTTTGAAGAAGGCTTTGAATTTATGTATTTTTGGATTCTTGGTTCTCCTTCATCAGAAGCTTATCTATGATTCTATATCTTTCTGGAACAGGAACTTGAGTCTTAGGCCTTAAGAGATAAGAGATTTTTTTTAAACACAATACTTGGTGTTTCATCGTATTCTCAATATGTAATTCAATAATCGCTATCTTCAGGATTTGGGAACTACAGTGAAAATAAATAACTATTAAAGGAATCTGGCTACCAAGTGTGTTTACCAGAAAATAAGAAAGAACTTCTCTGGGTTGGACATGGTGGCTCACACATCTAATCCCAGCACTTTGGGAGGCTGAAACAGGCGGATCACTTGAGGTCAGGAATTCGACACCAGCCTGGCCAATATGGTGAAACCCCATCTCTACTAAAAATACAAAAATTAGCCAGGTGTGGTGGTGGGCGCCTGTAATCCCAGCTGCTCTGGGAGGCTGAGGCAGGAGAATCGCTTGAACCCAAGAGGCGGAGGTTACAGTGAGCCGAGATCACACCACTGCACTCCAGCCTGGGTGACAGAGCAAGACTCCATCTCAAAAAAAGAAAGAAAGAAAGAACCTCTCTGAGATAATTAGTTAGGTTAAAACTTTTTTAAAAACTAGTTACTGGTTTCAATTCCAAAATACTAAAAGATTGTGATCAAAATTAAGAGTTTGCCTTGGCTTTTAGTTGAATTTTGAAAGGCCTCTTAGATGTTGAGTTCCTAGGAATTTGGAAAAGCCTTGTTTGAGGATTGTCTCTTGACTGAGATCTGAAATGTTTAATAAGCTATCAACCTGTATTATTCCCATTTCCTCAGGATGCTCTTTTTGTTTTTTGGGGCGTTTTTTTTTTTTTTTTTGAGACAAGGTCTCACTCAGTCACCCAGGCTAGAGGCAGTGGCAGAATCACAGCTCACTGCAGCCTCAACCTCCTGGGCTCAAACGATCTTCTCACCTTAGCCCCCCAACCAAGTAACTGGGACTACAGGCGCGCGCCACCATACCCAGCTAATTTTCATATTTTTGTGTAGAGATGGGGTTTCTCCATGTTGCCCAGGCTGGTCTCAAACTCCTGAGCTCAAGCGATCCACCCGCCTCATCCTCCTAAAGTGCTGGGATTACAGGCATGAGGCACCATGTCCAGCCCTCAGGCTGCTTTTGAAATCCCACACATGTTAGCATATGAGGATGCTAACAATGATTTCACATTCTTCTAAGTTCTGAGCCCTAGGACCATCAGGTGAAGGCAGCCAGTACCTGGGGGATGATGTGTGTGACTTACATGGTCATCCCAAAGGACAGTAAAATGATGCCCAGCATTCTCTGCCAAACAGACTAAAAAAGGAGAGAAGAGCACTGTCAAAAGGCATTGATTCCATGTTATTTAGAAAGGACAAATGGAAATGATATGTGCATAGAGTTCTCCCACAGATATGATGAAGGCAAAGGAGAAGATGTATGAAGCTGGTTTGGCTAATTAGATCCTATACCGATGTCTGAAAAGACTAGTGGAATTAACATATACATTGATGGCATATTTTTACAATCTTGTAAATAGGTAGCATTTATATCAGTGGTATAATAAAAGAATAATTATCTTTTAGACCTGAGAAGAGTTTGCTTAGTAAGGTAAGGGTGACTCAACATCAAGAAATGCATTAATTCACTTCATTAACTATTCAAAGGAGGAAATTGATATGCTCACCTAAATAGATTTTTTTTAATCTAAAAGAATTCAACATTTTAAAAACTTTATTAAGGAAATTTCCAACCACACAAATATGTAGAGAGGATAGTATAACAAACCCTGTGTGTTAGTCAACTTCAATAATTATCAAATCAACATTGGCTTCTTTTTAATATTCATGTTTTATTAACACTTTTAGTTCCCCTCAGGCTCTTGCATTTCTCCACAGACATTTATGGTATAAATGATCACTCCCACCACCAAACACTCCAACATTTAGCAAGGAAGTGAAAGCCATTCCCATTAATTTAGAATTTTTTTGTACATAGAGATGAGAGATTGTTAGTAAACTTTTCCAGGAATAGCATGTATTTCTGTACACTTACTTATCGAATCTTTAAATGATTTAAAATGTCAAAATTATAGTTCAGTAAACATGAATACAGTCTTAATAACAGTCTCTTCTAATTTAGTCTGATAAAAGACTTTCATGCTCACCAGGGCGCGGTGGCTTACATGTGGAATCCCAACACTTTGGGAGGCTGAGGCAGGAAGATCACCTGAGGTCAGGAGTTCGAGACCAGCCTGACCAAAATGGAGAAACCCCATCTCTACTGAAAATACAAAATTAGCCGGGCGTGGTGGTGCATGCCTGTAATCCTAGCTACTCGGGAGGCTGAGGCAGGAGAATTGCTTGAACCTGGGAGGCAGAGGTTGCGGTAAGCTGAGATCACACCATTGCACTCCAGCCTGGGCAACAAGAGTAAAACTCCGTCTCAAAAAAAAAAAAAGATTTTCATGTTCGAAAGAAGACAATGTCTTATATATCTAAACTTTTCAGCAACCATCAAAAAGGTCTAAGTCCATCAACAGGTGAATGGATAAACAAATAGTAGTACATCCATACAGTGGAATCCTGCTCAGGAATAACAAGGAATGACTTATTGATATATGCAACAATCTCAAAACAATCATGCTACGCAAAGGAAACCAGACCACAATAAAAGATGTTGTATGGTTCCCTTTATATAAAAATCAAGAAATGCAAATTAATGGATATAGAGAGAAAGCAGATCAGTCAGCACCCAAGGCAGAGGCATAAGAGGGAAGGAACAAAAGAGAAATTCTCAAGAAGCAGGGTTTTGAGAAAACTTTTGAGGGTGAGGATGTGTTCACCATCTTGATTGTGATGATGGCTTCCCAGGTATACATATGAAAACTTATCAAATTATATACCTTAAACATGTGCAGTTTATTGGATGTCTGTTAGACCTCAATAAAGCTGTTTTTAAAAATGTATACAATTCCAGAGCTCTCCAGTCTCAAAAATTTTTTTAAAAATGTATAAGAACAGGCCAGGCGCAGTGGCTGATGCCTGTAATCCCAGCACTTTGGGAGGCTGAGGCGGGTGGATAACCTAAGGTCAGGAGTTCAAAATCAGCCTGACTCCCATCTCTACTAAAAATACAAAAATTAGCTGGACATGGTGGCGGACGCCTGTAATTCCAGCTACTCGGGAGGCTGAAGCAAGAGAATTGCTTGAACCCAAAAGGTGGAGGTTGCAGTGAGCCAAGATCGCACCATTGCACTCCAGCCTGGGTGACAAGAGCAAAACTACATATCAAAAAAAATGTTTAATAACAGACTTTGATAGAAGTTACCTTTGACTTCTAATGGCTATATTTGGTCCTAAGAAACCTTATGATGTTCTCTAAGAGTTAGCTCACTCAGTCATTAAAATTCTTCCAGACATTTACAAACAGATAGGTGTGTATAAACAAATCAAATATGTTAGCTTATGACATAGGGCTAGAGAGTTAAAATTAAAATTTTTTTTAATGTTAATAAGTTAGCACAGCTTATTTTATACCATGTAAATAGTGAAAGAAAGCCTGCTTAACTTGAAATGTTATCTTCCAGAAACCTCCAACACATAGCATACATGTCAGCAAAACACTGTCTGCTCATTAAAGAAAGTCTTGAGGAAGACAAAGGTGCCTAGTACTATTGCTACTTCTCAATATTTACTCAACTTCCTGGCCAATGAAATAAGACCAGGGTAAGAACAGATACCTTAAAAAGGTACAGGAAGCAAAGAGACTAGTGTGATCATGTAGAGACAGTATGATCATCTAATTAAAGAATGAACAGAAAAATTACTGGAACTGTAAGAGAATTCAATATAGTATTCTTAGCCTTCCTATATGCTAAAATATCTACTTAGAAAACACAGTTGGGTACTAGGGGAAGATATCATTTATGACAGCAGCAAAAATCAGCCTACAAAATATTCAGGAGTAAACCTATCAAAAATGTGCAAGACCTGTTTGAAGAGACCCTTACCCCACATGTAAGAGAGGATTTAAGTGAATAGATATTTCATGGACTGATTGGGAAGACCCAGTGTGGCCAAGATGTTGGAACAGGACTCCCCTGAGACCTTGGGACAGCACCATGTCACAGTCCTTCCTACTTCTGGAAATTAATTAGGATATGGTTTTGTTTTTTGTTTTTTGTTTTTTGACAGAGTCTCACTGTTGCCGAGGCTGGAGTGCAGTGGCACGATCTCAGTTCACTGCAACCTCTGCCTCCGGGGTTCAAGTGATTCTCCTGCCTCAGCCTCCCAAGTAGCTGAGATTACAAGTGTGTGCCACCACACTCAGCTAATTTTTTTTGTAGTTTTGGCAGAGACAGGGTTTTACCATGTTGGCCGGGCTGGTCTCGAACTCCTGACCTCAAGTGATCTGCCTGCCTCGGCCTCCCAAGGAATATGTTTTTTTAATGAGGCAAGTTGCATCAACATCTCATAGGAAATAATAGTTACCTGGAGCATCTTTTGTTCAAAACATCTTGGTTTGGAGATTGTGCTGGCTTGTCCTGAGGCCTCAGTGCCCGAATTGAGTGAATGAAGTGAAACCATGGTTAGGCTATCTCCTCCACAGGTGAGGTGAAGACGTGATCCCTGGAGTCACTTGAGCCTAGAGTTTCTGCCTTCGAAGCTGTCTCCCTGTGGTACCCATAAAGCATGACTGTGGCTGACCGTGTGTCTCTGCCTCCACCTTTTGGCTAAGTGAGCCACACCAACTCAGTAACCCCAGCAGAGCACTGTGGGTGGTCTCTGGGTATGTTGGGAGCATTGTTTTCACAGTGGATGAAAGAAGAAAAAAACAGTAAAGCCCTTTGATGGGTCTTTCTTGTGGTCCTGAAACTTACATGCAAGACTAATTAAGGCCAGGTGCAGTGGCTCACGCCTGTAATCCCAGCACTTTGAGAGGCCAAGGTGGGCAGATCATGAGGTCAGGAGTTTGCGACCAGCTTGGCCAACATGGTGAAACCCCATCTCTACTAAAAATACAAAAATTAGCTGGGCGTGGTGGTGGGCACCTGTAATCCCAGCTACTCAGGAGGCTGAGGCAGGAAAATTGTTTGAAACTGAGAGGCAGAGGTTGCAGTGAGCCAAGATAATGCCATTGCAGTCCAGCCTGGGCAACAAGAGCAAAACTCCAAAACAACAACAACAACAACAACAACAACAACAACAACAACAAACAACCTGTGGCTGGCAAACTGGCTGAATAGGAACAGCTCCGGTCTGTAGCTCCCAATGAGATCAATGCAGAAGGTGGGTGACTTCTGCATTTCCAACTGAGGTATCTGGCTAATCTCATTGGGACTGGTTAGACAGTTGGGTGCAGCCCACGGAGGGTGAGCAGAAGCAGTGTGGGGTGTCGCCTCACCCAGGAAGTGCAAGGTGTCAGGGAACTCCCTCCCCTAGCCAAGGGAAGCCATGAGAAACTGTGCCATAAGGGACAGAGCACTCCGACCCAGACAGTACTCTTTTCCCACAGTCTTTGCAACCTACAGACCAAAAGATTTCCTCTGATGCCTACACCACTAGGGCCCTGGTGGTGACAAAATCTCTCAGCACTTGCCTGTCTGTAAAGGATTTCATTTCTTCTTTGCTTATGAAGCATAGTTTGGCTGGATATAAAATTCTGGGTGGAAAATTCTTTTCTTTAAGAATGTTGAATATCGGACCCCACTCTCTTCTGGCTTGTAGGGTTTCTGCAGAGAGATGTGCTGTTAGTCTGATGGGCTTCCCTTTGTGGGTAACCCGACCTTTCTCTCTGGCTGCCCTTAACACAAAACTGGGTGGCCATTTGGGCAGACACCGAGCTAGCTGCAGAAGTGTTTTTCATACCCCAGTTTCACCTGGAATGCCAGCGAGACAGAACCGTTCACACCCCTGAAAAGGGGGCTGAAGCCAGGGAGCCATGGTCTAGCTCAGTGGATCCCACCCCCACGGAACCCAGCAAGCTAAGATCCAATGGCTTGAAATCCTTGCTGCCAGCACAGAAGTCTAAAGTTGACCTGGGATGCTTAAGCTTGATAGGGGGAGGGGCGTCCACCATTAATGAGGCTTGAGTAGGCGGTTTTCCCCTCACACAGTGTAAACAAAGCCACCAGGAAGTTCGAACTAGGAGGAGCACACTGCAGCTTAGCAAAGTCGCTGTAGCCAGACTGTATCTCTAGATTCCTTCTCTCTGGATAGGGCATCTCTGAAAGAAAGGCAGCAGCCCCAGTCAGGGGCTTATAGATAAAACTCTCATCTCCCTGGGACAAAGCACCTGGGGGAAGGGGCAGCTATGGGAGCAGCTCCAGCAGACTTACTGCCTGGCGGCTGTGAAGAGAGCAGCAGATCTCCCAGCACAGTGCTTGAGCTCTGCTAAGGGACAGACTGCCTCCTCAGGTGGGTCCCTGACCCCTGTGCCTCCTGACTGGGAGACACCTCCCAGCAGGGGTCGACAGACACCTCATACAGGAGCGCTCCAACTGGCCTCTGGTGGGTGCCCCTCTGGGATGAAGCTTCCAGAGGAAGGAACAGGCAGCTGTTCTGCAGCCTTTGCTAGTGATACCCTGGCAAACAGGGTCTGGCATGGACCTCCAGCAAACTCCAGCAGACCTGCAGCAGAGGGGCCTGTTAGAAGGAAAGCTAACAAACGAAAGGAATAGCATCAACATCAACAAAAAGGACGTCCACACAGAAACCCCATCCAAAGATCACCAACATCAAAAACCAAAGGTAGATAAATCCATGAAGATGAGGAAAAACCAGTGCAAAAAGGCTGAAAATTGCAAAAACCAGAATGTCTCTTCTACTCCAAAGGATCACAACTCGTTGCCAGCAAGGGAACAAAACTGGACAGAGAATGAGTTTGACGCATTGACAGAAGGAGGCTTCAGAAGGTAGGTAATAAACTCCTCTGAGCTAAAGGAGCATGTTCTAACCCAATGAAAGGAAGCTAAGAACCTTGAAAAAAGATTAGAGGAATTGCTATCTAGAATAACCATTTTAGAGAAGAATATAAATGACCTGATGTAGCTGAAAAACACAGCACAAGAACTTCCTGAAGCATACACAAGTATCAATAGCCGAATTGATCAAGTGGAAGAAAGGATATCAGAGATTGAAGATCAACTTAATGAAATAAAGTGTGAAGACAAGATTAGAGAAAAATGAATGAAAAGGAATGAACAAAGCCTCCAAGAAATATGGGACTATGAGAAAGACCAAATCTACATTTGATTGGTGTACCTGAAAGTGACGGGGAGAATGGAACCAAGTTGGAAAACACTCTTCAGGATATTATCTGGGAGAACTTCCCCAACCTAGCAAGAGAGGCCAACGTTCAAACTCAGGAAATACAGAGAACACCACGAAGATATTCCTCGTAGAGAGCAACCCAAGACTCATAATCATCAGATTCACCAAGGTTGAAATGAAGGAAAAAATGTTAAGGGCAGCCAGAGAGAAAGGTCGGGTTACCCACAAAGGGAAGCCCATCAGACTAACAGCACATCTCTCTGCAGAAACCCTACAAGCCAGAAGAGAGTGGGGTCCAATATTCAACATTCTTAAAGAAAAGAATTTTCAACCCAGAATTTTATATCCAGCCAAACTATGCTTCATAAGCAAAGGAGAAATGAAATCCTTTACAGACAAGCAAATGCTGAGAGATTTTGTCACCACCAGGCCTGCCCTACAAGAGCTCCTGAAGGACGTACTACACACGGAAAGGAAAAACCGGCATCAGCCACTACAAAAATGTACCAAATTGTAAAGACCATCAACACTATGAAGAAACTGCATCAACTAATGGGCAAAATAACCAGCTAGCATCATAATGACAGGATCAAATTCACACATAACAATATTAAGCTTAAATGTAAACAGGCTAAATGCCCCAATTAAAAGATGCAGACTGGCAGATTGGCTAAAGGTCAAGACCCAACAGTGTGCTGTATTTAGGAGACCCATCTCACGTGCAGAGACACACATAGACTCAAAATAAAGGCATGGAGGAATATTTACAAGCAAATGGAAAGCAAAAAGAAGCAAGCGTTGCAATCCTAGTCTCTGATAAAACAGACTTTAAACCAACAATGATCAAAAAAGACAAAGAAGGGCATCATTACATAATGGTAAAGGGATCAACACAACAAGAAGAGATAACTATCCTAAACATATATGCACCCAATAAAGGAGCATCCATATTCATAAAGCAAGTTCTTAGAGACCTACAAAGAGACGTAGACTCCCACACAATAATAGTTGGAGACTTTTACACCCCACTGTCAATATTAGACAGATTAACGAGACAGAAAATTAACAAGGATATTCAGGACTTGAACTCAGCTCTGGACCAAGCAGACCTAATAGACATCTACAGAACTCTCAACCCCATACCAACAGAATATACAGTCTTCTCAGCACCACATCACATTTATTCTAAAATTGACCACATAATTGAAAGTAAAACACTCCTCGGCAAACGCAAAAGAACAGAAATCACAACAAACAGTCTCTCAGGCCACAGTGCAATCAAATTAGAACTCAGGAATAAGAAACTCACTCAAAACCGCACAACTGCATGGAAACTGAACAACCTGCTCTTGAATGACTACTGAGTAAATAATGAAATTAAGGCAAAAATAAATAAGTTTTTTGAAACCAATGAGAACAAAGACACAACCTACCAGTATCTCTGGGACACAGCTAAAGCAGCGTTTAGAGGGAAATTTATAGCACTAAATGCCCAAAGGAGAAAGCAGGAAAAATCTAGAATTGACACCCTAACATCACAATTAAAGAACTAGAGAAGTGAGAGCAAACAAATTCAAAAGCCAGCAGAAGACAACAGATAACTAAGATCAGAGCAGAACTGAAGGAGGACACCAAAAAATCCTTCAAAAAATCAATGAATCAAGGAGCTGGTTTTTGAAAAGATCAACAAAATAGCTAGACCACTAGCCAGACTAATAAAGAAGAAAAGACAGGAGAATCAAATAGACACAATAAAAAATTATAAAGCAGATATCACCACTGATCCCACAGAAATACAAACTACCATCAGAGAATATTATAAACACCTCTACACAAATAAACTAGAAAATCTAGAAGAAACAGATAAATTCCTGGACACATACACCCTCCCAAGACTAAATCAGGAAGAAGTCAAATCCCTGAATAGAACAATAACAAGTTCTAAAATTGAGGCAGTAATTAATAGCCTACCAACCAAAAAAAGGCCCAGGACCAGACAGATTCACAGCCTAATTCTACCAGAGGTACAAAGAGGAGCTGGTACCATTCCAAACAATAGAAACAATAGAAAAAGAGGGACTCCTCCCTAACTCATTTTGAGTCCAGCATTATCCTGATACCAAAACCTGCCAGAGACACAACAAAAAAAGAAAATTTCAGGCCAATATCCCTGATGAACATCAATGCGAACATCCTCAATAAAATACTGGCAAACCGAATCCAGCAGCACATCAAAAAGCTTATCCACCACCATCAAGTCGGCTTCATCCCTGGGATGCAAGGCTGGTTCAACATATGCAAATCAATAAACATAATCCATCACATAAACAGAACCAATGACGAAAACCACATGATTATCTCAATAGATGCAGAAAAGGCCTTCAATAAAATTCAACACCCTTTCATGCTAAAAACTCTCAATAAACTAGGTATTGATGGAATGTATCTCAAAATAACAAGACCTATTTATGACACACCCACAACCAATATCATGTTGAATGGACAAAAGCTGGAAGCATTCCCTTTGAAAACTGGCACAAGACAAGAATGCCGTCTCTTACCACTCCTATTCAACATAGTATTGGAAGTTCTGGCCAGGGCAATCAGGCAAGAGAAAGAAATAAATGGTATCCAAATAGGAAGAGAGAGAGTCAAATTATCTCTGTTTGCAGATGACATGATTGTATATTTAGAAAACCTCATCATCTCAGCCCAAAATCTCCTTAAGCTGATAAGCAACTTCAGCAAAGTCTCAGGATACAAAATCAATGTGCAAAAATCACAAGCATTCCTATACACCAAGAACAGACAAAAAGAGAGCCAAATCATGAGTGAACTCCGATTCACAATTGCTTCAAAGAGAATAAAATACCTAGAAATACAACTTACAAGGGATGTGAAGGACCTCTTCAAGGAGAACTACAAACCACTGCTCAAGGAAATAAGGGAGGACACAAACAAATGGAAAAACATTCCATGCTCATGGATAGGAAGAATCAATATCCTGAAAATGGCCATACTGCCCAAAGTAATTGATAGATTCAATGCCGTCCCCATCAAGCTACCACTGACTTTCTTCACAGGAAAAAACTACTTTAAATTTCATATGGAACCAAAAAAGAGTTTGTATAGCCAAGACAATCCCAAGCAAAAAGAACAAAGCTGGAGGCATCACGCTACCTGACTTTAAACTATACTACAATGTTGTAGTAACCAAAACAGCATGGTACTGGTACCAAAACAGATATATAGACCAATGGAACAGAACAGAGGCCTCAGAAATAACACCACACATCTACAACCATCTGATCTTTGACAAACCTGACAAAAACAAGCCATGGGGAAAGGATTCCCTATTTAATAAATGGTGTTGGGAAAACTGGCTAGCCATATGCAGAAAACTGAAATTGGGTTCTCACTCATAGGTGGGAATTGAACAATGAAAACACTTGGACACAGGGTGGGGAACATCACACACCAGGGCCTGTCGTGGAGTTGGGGGGAGAGGGGAAGGATAGCATTAGGAGATATACCTAATGTAAATGATGAGTTAACGGGTGAAGCATACCAACATGGCACATGTATACATATGTAACAAACCTGCACGTTGTGCACATGTACCCTAGAACTTAAAGTATAATAATAAATAAATAAATAAATAAACATAAAAATAAAATAAAAAAAGAAAACTGAAATTGGACCCCTTCCTTACACCTTATACAAAAGTTAAATCAAGATGGATTAAAGACTTAGACATAAGACCTAAAACCATAAAAACCCTAGAAGAAAACCCAGGCAATACCATTCAGGACATAGGCATGAGCAAAGACTTCATGACTAAAACACCAAAAGCAATGGTAATAAAAGCAAAAATTGACAAATGGGATCTAATTAAACTAAAGAACTTCTGCACAGCAAAAGAAACTATCATCAGAGTGAACAGGCAACCTACAGAATGGGAGAAAATTTTTGCAACCTACTCATCTGACAAAGGGCTAATATCCAGAATCTACAAGGAAGTTAAACAAATTTACAAGAAAAAAACAAACAACCCCATCAAAAAGTGGGCAAAGGATACAAATAGACACTTCTCAAAAGAAAACATTTATGCAGCCAAAAGACACATGAAAAAAAGCTCATCATCACTGGTCGTTAGAGAAATGCAAATCAAAACCACAATGAGATACCGTCTCATGCCAGTTAGAATGGCAATGATTAAAAAGTTAGGTAACAACAGATGCTGGAGAGGATGTGGAGAAATAGGAATGCTTTTACACTGTTAGTGGGAGTGTAAATTAGTTCAATCATTGTGGGAGACAGTGTGATGATTCCTCAAGGATCTAGAACCAGAAATACCATTTGGCCCAGCAATCCCATTACTGGGTATATACCCAAAGGATTAGAAATCATTCTACTATAAAGACACATGTACACATATGTTTATTGAGGCACTGTTCACAGTAGCAAAGACTTGAACCAACCCAAATGCCCATCAATGATAGACTGGATAAAGAAAATGTGGCACATATACACCATGGAATTCTATGCAGCCATTAAACAGGATGAGTTCATGTCCTTTGCAGGGACATGGATGAAGCCGGAAACCGTCATTCTCAGCAAACTAACACAAGAACAGAAAACCAAAAACTGAATGTTCTCGCTCATAAGTGGGAATTAAACAATGAAAACACATGGACACAGGGAGAGGAACATCACACACTGGGGCCTGTCAGTGGATGGGGGACTAAGGGAGGGATAGCATTAGGAGAAATACTTAATGTAGATGACGGATTGATGGGTGCAGCAAACCACTATGGCACGTGTATACCTATGTACCTATGTAACAAACCTTCAGGTTTTGCACATGTGTCCCAGAACTTAAAGTATAATTTAAAAAATAAAAATAAATAAAATAATTAGAACAAAGTCCAGCAGTATAGAGAATTAGGTAATAATCAATAGGAACAGACAAATCTAATGTTGAAATAGAATAATAGATCCAGAAATTAATTCTAAAGTCTTATTTATGGTTCTTTAATGTGTCCTTGATATTAGCTTGCAATTAGCTCCATCAAGTGATAGTATCCAACGTAAAATGGGCTTAGCAATTTCTTGCTTCTCATGCTGCTTTTATATCTCTCTTCTTTCACATTCTTGGAGTCCCCAACAACAGGGCAGAGGCTGAAGGGCACAGATCTTTTGTGTCGTATGGCTTGGCCTCCATTGAAGTAGGTGAGGGTGACCATCCCTGGTACGGAAAGACAGGTCCGGGCAGGCCACAGTCTGGCTCTCCTGCCTGGCTTCCTGGGAATAATTGAGCAATTGCTCTGTACCAGGCGGGGTTCTGAATGCTTCCACGTCCCAATTTCAATCACTTCTGCAAGGTGACGCAGCTAGGAAAGATGTGACTCAGGCCACTCTGGCATCCAGGACTCACCTCCTCTTCTGACCTCTCGTCAGCCTGCTGTATTAGCTGGGCCGCCCTTCCCATGTTGACCTCCTCCCATATCTGAGCGTTGGCCTCACAGGCAGCGTCATGAAGCTGCCACCATCCCTGTCCCCCTTTGGTTCAGGCCACAGGGATGCCTGGAGCTGGGAACGGCCCTGCGTAGCACTGACTGCAGAGTCTTCAGTGCGTGTGTCTCTGTCTCCTTTACTGAACTGTGAGCGCCTAAGGAGGGGCCTTCCATCTGCTAGTTTATCCCTGGAATGTATCTCAATGCTTGGCAGAGGATAAGCGTTACATGTTGGATACATTAATTGATCCTAAGATTCTAAGCACTAAATTTTACGAGAAGTAGCAAAAATGACCTGAATGTAGTCGCACTGTATCTTTTCAATGATCCAAACAGCTGACTCCCTGGGCTTACGCCTTCATAACGCTGGAACCCCCTCCCGCCCGCTTTGTTCCTCTCCCTCTTGCAGCAGATGGGATCAGAGCGGATGGAGATGCGGAAGCGGCAGATGCCCGCCGCCCAGGACACACCAGGCGCCGCCCCAGGCCAGCCCGGAGCGGGGAGTCGCGGGTCCAACGCATGCTGCTTCTGCTGGTGCTGCTGTTGTAGCTGCTCGTGGTAAGGTTTGGGGCTTTTTAATGAATGTGCTCCTGACTGGGAAGTGTAATGTGCTCCTGACTGGGACGTGGCACCCCTGAAAGTGGTGGCAGCTTATGGTTAATTCAATAAGTGTTTTTTAAGCAACTACTATATGCCTGACACACAGGGACACCCAAGAAATAACAACAGGCTGCATCTGTCTAGCTCTCAAGGGGTTTATGCTCAGATCCCTCAAATCAGGCCAACGTGTGTTAAACAACTAAAGAACAACCTCAGGCGGTTCACGATTGACTATCAACATTTGGGCAGAAATGGTTAGAAAGAATTGGACTCGAGGCACTCCTGTGGTAATGAAGGCTTAGGATCTAAGATAGGTCTTAAAGGTTAGGGCGATGAAGTAGAGGGAGCCTGGATTTTACCTTCTGCTGCTTCCATTTCATAAATTTTGTTTTGTAATAAAGAGAAATGTCAAAATATGTGTTTTAAAGAGAGAGAAATATTAAAATATATGCTAACTTACTGGGTAGAGGAAGACACACAGACAGTCATTGCTTTAAAAAGGAAAGAAACGACTTGAATGTAAAACATCTGTGACCCTTTGAGTAGCTGTTAAAGGTCTGGAGAAAAGGAGATAATTTACACCTAAAAATCATGGGAACTTTAGGTTACATCTTTGGAATCTTGGATATGAAAAGTGCTTAGTGCCAGCCAAGTTTGTGAACCACTTTCAGCAATCAAATCATCCTAAATTTATGTAGGCTTGGCAGTAAGTTAGACCAAGACCTCACTGTCTGCTGGAAGAGAAGAAAAACTGATAATGGACTGATCACGAACCGTGAAATGGAACTAACAGAACTGATCCCTGGGGAGGAGAGTGGAGTTGAAAATGAAATGCCCGGGGAAGTTTGGTGGCTCCTGCCCAACTCAGGCTAGTATTCATTTCCAAGAAGTTCCAATCTGGTGGAAGGGACACAGCAATAGAACATCCACCAAGGGGATCCCGATACCGATGGTCTCTTCATTCCCACAGCAAGAGGAAACGTGGCCATGGGGCTGACAAGAGCTAGGCAGTGTCAAGGTGAGACTTCAGCCCCTGGTAGGAATCTGGACAGCTCTGCAGGAAGCCAGAGGAGAGGCGCTGGTGGTGGGCAGAGGAAACACGTGGGTGTCCAGGGCCTGCCCTAAAGGAGGAAGACACCAGTGATGGCCAGACTGCATTTAGGGGCCTATATTCTCACTCTGCCAGTAGGTCTCAGTGGGGAAATGAGACCATCCTCCTAGAGATGTGCAGGATGTCCAGGTGCAGGTGAGACTCCAGCTGACGTTCAAACCTTCCGCTCCCTCCTTTCTCTGCTGCCTCACGCAGGGTGTGGGAGGCGGCTGACATGCTGACCTGAACAACGTATTGTCCCGGGATAGTGTAAGGCTAGAGGGCGGGTCAGGTCCCAGAGCAGGCTCCTCCTACAGGTAACAAGTAGGACGAATAAAATAAGTATCTGTACCTAAGACACTATCATCACCATCATAGCCAACACTTCTGTAGTACTTAGGTGTGTGTAGAAGAGACAATAGAGCAATATCTTCAAAGTGCTGGAGAAAAGTAACTGAAAACTCCGTCAAACCATAATTCAAGAGTGTGGGTAAAATAAGACATTCTCAGACATACGAAGGCCAACCGAGTTTACTGCCTGCAAACCTAAAAGAACCGAAGAAAGGGCCTACTTCAGAGGAAAAAAAGGGAACCCAGAGGAAAGACTCAGGAAACAAGTAACAATCATAGATACAACGGGGTCAAATATTGATATAAAATGTGGCAATGAATTTTGTGTTAAAAAGTGTGAAACCAAAGCTGTAAACAATCTCATGTCAATGACATACAATCAAATAATTCAGACTTTCTTAGAAAAAATTATTAAAAGAAAATTTTCTTTCAAAAGTAATGTTATTCATAATTAGTCCAAAAATACACCCTATAGTTTTAACATCAGTGAAAGACAATAAATCTAGAAAACCTTACCAACACGTGATAAAAGTGACATCAGCAAAGGAGAAAATGAACTATTCAGTAAATAGCAGGATACTTGGTATTTGGGTACCAACTCATCCCCACTGATAGGACTTTCTCAGTTTTAGCACTGAAAGGTCCCATAGCCCAGAAAACCTGAAAACCCTAGGCAAACCAGGAAAATTGGTCATCCTGCTTGGTATCCAAATATATAAAAATGTATTTATATTCCTACATAGCACCATATACAAAAATCAATTCCCACCTTAAAAAAAAGATCAGCTGGGTGCGGTGGCTCACGCCTGTAATCCCAGCACTTTGGGAGGCCGAGGCCGGCAGATCACATGAGGTCGGGAGTTCGAGACCAGCCCTACCAACATGGAGAAAACTCGTTTCTACTAAAAATACAAAATTAGTCAGGCATGGGGGCACATGCCCATAATCCCAGCTACTCAGGAGGCTGAGGCAGGAGAATCGCTTGAACCTGGGAGGCAGAGGTTTCGGTGAGCCGAGATTGCACCATTGCACTTCAGCCTGGGCAACAAGAGCAAAACTCCATCTCAAAAAAATAAATAAATAAAAAATAAAACACAAAAATTAGCCAGGCATGGTGGCGCACACCTGTAGTCCCAGCTACTCAGGAGGCTGAGGTGGGAGGATCGCTTGAGCCCAGGGAGGTTGAGGCTGCAGTGAATGATGATTGTGCCATTGCACTCCAGTGTGTGTAACAGAGTGAGACTCTGTCTGAAAAACAAAAACAAAAAAAAAAGAAAAGAAAAACCTATACCCTGGAAAAACTTCTCACACCCCTGCAAAAAAAGGAGACATGTATGAGAAGATTCACTACAGCATTCATCTGAGTGAGAAAAATTTAAAATGGTTCTAAAGGGTATAGACAGGAGAATGGATGAATATATTGTGGTATAGTTATACAATCCACTACCATACAGCACTTAAATTCATATACTAGAAAAACAAAACTAAACAAATAAATAAGTTAGGCGTGGTGGCTTATGCCTGTAATCCCAGCACTTTGGGAGGCCAAGGCAGAAGGATTGTTTGAGCCCAGGAGTTCGAGACCAGCTGGGGCAACACAGCGAGACCATGTCTCCACTAAAAAAAAAAAAAAAAAAAGTTAGCCCGGCATGGTGGCATGTGCCTGTAGTCCCAGCTACTCTAGAAGCTGAGGTGGAAGGATCACTTGAACCCAGGAGTTCAAGGCTGCAGTGAGCTATGATCATGCTACTGCACTCCAGCCTGGGCAACAGAGTGAGACCTTGTCTCAGAAATAAATAAATTCATATGCTAGAGGGAAAAAAAATTATAAAGCAATACATGTTACATAATTACATTTATACTATGTTTAAAAATATGTTTATGAATATAATATAGTAGCATAATTATGAATTGGAATGGTAAACAGTAAGTTAAAAATGGTGGCTCTCTCTAGGGTAAAGAGAGGAAGAAATGAGATGGGGAAAAGTACACAGCAAACTTCAACTGTTTTAATAGTGAATTTCCTTGTTTTTTTTCACCACACTTTTGAGATTTATCCATATTAATATACATAGTCAAGTCAATTTTCAAGAAAAGTAAATGGCAATTTCTTTTCTAAGTACTTGTGAATCTTTCTCAACATTTTGCTGTAAGGCCTTCTGGTATTTAGTGTTATAAGGGAAGGCATGCTGATTCTTGTTCAGTTGAATATAAAGTTTTTTTCCTTTCTAGTAAGTTTTCTCTTTATCACTCAAAATTTTACCAAAATATATCTGGCCATGGGTCTTCTTTTACTGAAACTTCCTAAAACACAGCGAGCAACTATCTTGGCTACTATAGACATCTTCTAGGTCTGCTGTAACAATAACAGTGGACCGAGGTAAAGAAAACTTCACAAAAAAAAATTCTTCTCTTTTTCAAAACCACATTGTCTCTTTAAAACATTCTTACTTGAAATGAGGGAAAAAGTATATCAAAGCTGAAATAAGTTTGCATTATTTAGTTTGCAGTACAGCTTCTGGTTCTCTGAGGAACTCCTGTCAAATTCATCTCTTTTTTCCTCTGCTTTTTCATACCCACTGAGCAGTAATGTGTTTTGCTTACAAAAGAAGCCTCGGAAGTCATGCAGAGAGCGTACCACTCAGATGCCTCTCAAGTTTTTTTTGGTTGGATTTTTTTTTAAAGAAGCCATTATTTACTGAAACTATTTAGCCCTGACATCATGAAAGAAAGAAGTCAAAAGGGTTCCTGCATTTCTAATGATTTTGCCTTTAAAGAAAAATAGAGCTACACACACACACACACACACACACACACTGAAAATTTATAAAACAGTTGTGCTAAAAACAGGCTGAAAAACTTTTATAAAATAGTGTTAAGAAAAGATATAATAAAGAATATAGAAAATACAGTAGCAACAAGATAAAGAAAACCCAAATTGTCAGTGATAAAATCCATTTTCATGTTGATGGGATGCTGAAAGCATTCCTGCAAAAATCATGAATAAGGCAAAATGTCCACAATCTCTACTACTATTTAACAATGTATTTGGCCAGGCGCGATGGCTCACGCCTGTAATCCCAACACTTTGGGAGGCCGAGGCGGGCAGATCACAAGGTCAGCAATTCAAGACCAGCAGGACCAACATAGTGAAACCCCGTCTCTACTAAAAATACAAAAATTAGCTGGGTGTGGTGGTGCGCGCCTGTAGTCCCAGCTACTCAGGAGGCTGAGGGAGGAGAATCACTTAAACCCGGGAGGCGGAGGTTGTAGGGAGCTGAGATCACGCCATTGCACTCCAGCCTGGGAGACAGAGCAAGACCCCGTCTCAAAAAAAAAAAAAAAGTATTTTAGGTGTTAGCTAATTAGACAAGAAAATTAGAGGCCTGAGAATTGGAAATAGGTAAAATTCTTCCTATTTGCAGATGAAACCCGAAGAGAATTATAGCTATAACTGATACAAATACAGAAGAATTCAGAAATAAGAAGGATATAAAATTATCATTAAAATAATACTCTGTAGGCTTCAGGTCTTAAAATGAAGAACACTTCCATTTCAATAATAAAATGCAAATAAATCAATTTAGAAATGGTCAAAACATCTGAACACACATCTCTCCAAAGATGTACAAATAGCTAGTAAATGCATGAAAAGATGTTCCACATCAGTAGTCATTAGCAAGATGCAAATCAAAACCACAATGAAATACCACTTCTCACCCACTTATGAAGCTAGAATAAAAAAGACAACAGTAACTGTTGGCAAGGACATGGAGAAATTGGATCCCTCAAATATTACCATGTGAAATGGTGCAATTGCCTTGTAAAACAGTTTGGGAGTTCCTCAAAATGTTAAAACTCAAGTTACCATATGACTCAGCAGTTCTACTCCGAGGTTTCTACTTGAGAGAAACACAAATATATGTTCGCACGTACTTGCACAGGAATGTGCATAGCAGCATGATTCATGCAGCCAAAATGTGGAAACAACCCGAATGTCTATCTGCTGATGAATGGACAAACGAAATGTGATGTGTCTATCCAAACAATGAGATATTATTCAACTGGAAAAAGAAATGAAGTGCCGATACATGCTACGGCATGGGCTAAGTGCAAAAACATTACGCCAAGTGAAAGGAGACAGCCAGCAAAGATCACATACGGTATGCTCCACAACAGGCAAATCTATAGAGACAGGAAGCGGATTCGTGCTTGCCTAGGGCCGGTAGAGTGGGGAGATACAGGTGATAAGCAGTGACTGCTTACTGGTGGGGTTTCTTTTGGGGGTGATGACAATGTTCTGGAATTAGATAGTAGGGATGGTTGCACAACTTTGTGAGTATACTAAAAACCACTGAATTGTACACTTTAAACAGATAAACTTGACGGCATATGAATGATAGCTCAATAAAGTGATTAAGAAAGTGGCCGGGCACGGTGGCTCATGCCTGTAATCCCAGCACTTTGGGAGGTCCAGGTGGGTGGATCACTTGAGGTTAGGAGTTTGAAACCAGCCTGGCCAACATGGTGAAACCAAATACAAAAAGTAGCCGGGCGTGTTGGCACATGCCTGTAGTCCCAGCTACTCAGGAGACTGAGGCACAAGAATCGCTTGGTTGCAGTGAGCTGAGATTGCGCCACAGCACTGCAGCCTGGGCAGCAGAGCAAGACTTGGTCTCCAAAAAAAAAAAAATAGCATTCATATTACAACAATAACCAGTTACAAGATGAGATAAAAGTACAAATTCCATTTACGATAACAACAAAAATACTTGGAATAAGTTTACAGACAAATGTACAGAATGTGTATAAGAAAACAAACTCTTTAGAGAAATACAATAGATTTTGATTATGCACTTTATTTTTCTCTACTACTTTTGTATATTTGCCTATAAATATATGAAGCCTCCATTTTGACTGGAAACAAAGCCTAGAGGATGTATACTTTTTAAGATGCAGAAAATGAAATGAAACCCCAATACATTCCTGACAGTCTTACTTTTTTACTATTTTCATTTTTTTAATTTTTGTATTAAATAGAGACAGGGTCTCGCTATGATGCCCAGGCTGGTCTTAAACTCCTGGCCTCAAGTGATCCTCCTGCCTTGGCCTCCCAAAGTGCTGGGGTTACAGGCATGAGCCACCGCGCCGAACCCTTTTTTACTATTTTCTAATGAATGTTTTTATTTAAAAAATCATTATTCTAAGTATAATTGAACACAATAATTTCTAACTCTTTCTCAATAGTAGAAACCACAACGTTTATTTATATTTCTAGTACCTTATTGTCACACTTTTGGTTTGCTTGGGAAAACTAACTGGGGTCATTTTTTTTTCCAAGTAGAGGAAGAAATTCTATTAATACTTGGGGATCTGAAGTTCTCTTTAAAGTATTTGTAAAAAATCTTTTCTTGGCAGGGACTGAGCTGTCAACATGTGAATGTCTTTTTTTTGCAGTCTCACTGTTAGAAACCAGGAAGATCAGAGGCCCACAATAGCTTCCCACGAACTCAGAGCAGATCTTCCAACCTGGGAAGAAAGGTGAAATCACACGTTTTTTTTACCTCACTAAACTAACAGAAATACTAACCTCTTTCTTTTCTTTGCCTTGTATGTTTCAACAGAACACATACTTTCTCTAACTGTAATTTAGTAATATCCAATCATTATGTGGCCTCGCATTCCTCCCCTGCAGAATTCCATTTAATTCATCGTGTGACAGGGAGAGAAATCAGTTCCATTATTAGTCTAATCCCTTTGCTAATTGCAAATACAAATAGATTCTTCCTAACAAAACATATTATGTTATTTTATTTTTATATAATATACTTTTAAAAATAAAAGTATATCATATAATTTTATATAAGATATAGCATATATATTTATATATACTATATATAAAATACAGCATATATACTTATATATGCTATATATATGATATAGTATATATATTTATACACTCTATATAAGATATAGCATATTTATACACGCTATATAAGATATAGCATATTTATTTATACATGCTATATAAGATATAGCATATTTATTTATACATGCTATATAAGATATAGCATATATATTTATACATGCTATATAAGATATAGTATATATATTATATATGCTATATATAAGATAGTATATATATTATATATGCTATATATAAGATATAGTATATTTATATATGCTATATATAAGATATAGTACATTTATATATGCTATATATGATATAGTATATACATTTATATATGCTATATATAAGATATAGTATATACATTTATATATGCTATATAGGATATAGTATATACATTTATATATGCTATATAGGATATAGTATATACATTTATATATGCTATATAGGATATAGTATATACATTTATATATGCTATATATAGGATATAGTACATACATTTATATATGCTATATATAGGATATAGTACATACATTTATATATGCTATATATAGGATATAGTACATACATTTATATATGCTATATATAGGATATAGTACATACATTTATATATGCTATATATAGGATATAGTACATACATTTATATATGCTATATATAGGATATAGTATATACATTTATATATGCTATATATAGGATATAGTATATACATTTATATATGCTATATATAGGATATAGTATATACATTTATATATGCTATATATAAGATGTAGTATATATATGCTATATATATGATATAGTATATATATTTACATATGCTATATATATAAGATATAGTATATATATTTACATATGCTATATATAAGATAGTATATATATTTATATATGCTATATATATGATAGTATATATACTATATATAAGTATATATGCTATATGTAGGATATAGTATATATATTTATATATGCTATATATAAGATGTAGTATATATATGCTATATATAAGATGTAGTATATATATGCTATATATATGATATAGTATATATATTTATATATGCTATATATATGATATAGTATATATATTTACATATGCTATATATAAGATAGTATATATATTTATATATGCTATATATATGATAGTATATATACTATATGTAAGTTATAGTATATATATTTATATATACGATATATGATACAGTATATATACATATGCTATATATAAGACAGTATATATTTATATATGCTATATATAAGACACAGTATATATTTATATATGCTATATATAAGATACAGTATATATTTACATATGCTATATATAAGATACAGTATATATTTACATATGCTATATATGATACAGTATATATTTACATATGCTATATATGATACAGTATATATTTACATATGCTATATATGATACAGTATATATTTACATATGCTATATATGATACAGTACATATTTACATATGCTATATATGATACAGTACATATTTACATATGCTATATATGATACAGTACATATTTACATATGCTATATATAAGATACAGTACATATTTACATATGCTATATAAGATACAGTACATATTTACATATGCTATATAAGATACAGTACATATTTACATATGCTATATAAGATACAGTACATATTTACATATGCTATATAAGATACAGTACATATTTACATATGCTATATAAGATACAGTACATATTTACATATGCTATATAAGATACAGTACATATTTACATATGCTATATAAGATACAGTACATATTTACATATGCTATATAAGATACAGTACATATTTACATATGCTATATAAGATACAGTACATATTTACATATGCTATATAAGATACAGTACATATTTACATATGCTATATAAGATACAGTATATATTTATATATGCTATATAAGATACAGTATATATTTATATATGCTATATAAGATACAGTATATATTTATATATGCTATATAAGATACAGTATATATTTATATATGCTATATAAGATACAGTATATATTTATATATGCTATATAAGATACAGTATATATTTATATATGCTATATAAGATACAGTATATATTTATATATGCTATATAAGATACAGTATATATTTATATATACTATATATAAGATACAGTATATATTTATATATACTATATATAAGATACAGTATATATTTATATATACTATATATAAGATACAGTATATATATTTATTGGTCATTTACAAAAACTTGGATTTAAACATTTGAAAATATATATCCTTCTCAAGCAAACATGAAACAGTTATATTTTAAAAATAAAAGTATATTATATAATATACGGTGGGTGGGCACGGTGGCTCACACCTGTAATCCCAGCACTTTGGAAGGTCAAAGCATGCGGATCACCTGAGGTCAGGAGTTTGAGACCAGCCTGGCTGACATGGTGAAACCCCTTTTCTATTAAAATACAAAAATTAGCGGGGCGTGGTGGCAAACGCCTGTAATCCCAGCTGTTTGGAAGGTTGAGGCAGGGAGAATTGCTTGAACACTGGAGGCAGAGGTTGCAGTGAGCCAAGATTGCACCACTGCACCCCAGCCTAGGAGACAGAGCAAGACTCTGCCTCAATCAATCAATCAATCAATAAAGGGAGAGGGAGAAAGAAAAAGCTATAGATGCTTGCCAAAAATTTAATGGTATATAAGTAAAGAAAGTGGTCTAACCTCTAAGAGAGTAAACACTGTTAACACATTTCTTTTTTTTTTTTGAGATGGAGTCTAGCTCTGTCACCCAGGCTGGAGTACAGTGGTGCAATCTTGACTCACTGCAACCTCTGCCTCCTGGGTTCAAGCGATTCTCATGCCTTAGCCTCCCAAGTAACTGGGATTACAGGCGCCCACCACCATGCCCAGCTAATTTTTGTATTTTTAGTAGAGATGGGGTTTCCCCATATTGGCCAGGCTGGTCTCGAACTCCTGACCTCAGGTGATTCGCCCACCTCGTTCTCCCAAAGTGCTAGGATTACAAGCGTGAGCCACTACGCCCAGCGTGTTAACACATTTCTTTAAGAAATGACCTGGAAGATTTGAAAAGAAATAAAATAGAAGTTTTAAAAATCAAATATTATTGTTCAAATTTTAAAAAAATTGATGATTGAAATAGAAGATTAGATACAACTAAATAAATAATTAGTGAACCTGAAGGTATCCAAAAAGACCCACGTAACAAGGAGATTGAAATACAGTTTGAGTTTCCCTTATCCAAAATGCTTGGAACTAGAAATGTCTCAGATTTCAGATTTTTTCAGATTTCGGAATATTTGCATTATACTTACCAGTTGAACATCCCAAGTCCAAAACTTCAAATTATTCCAATGAGCATTTCCTTTGAGTGTCATGTCAATGCTCAAAAAGTTTCAGATTTTGGAGCAATATGGATTTTAGATTTTTGAATTTTGGATGTTCAACCTATATAAAAATAAGTTAAAATAAATGGAGGATAGAATGATAAGAATTGACATTAATGTTTTGTTTTTTTTTTTTTAGACAGGGTCTCATTCTGTCACCCAGGCTGGCATGCGGTGGCACGATCTTGGCTCACTGCAACCTCTGCCTCCTGTGTTCAAGTGATTCTCCTGCCTCAGCCTCCCGAGTACCTGGGACTACAGGCATGGGCCACCACACTTGGCTAATTTTTGTATTTTTAGTAGAGACGGGGTTTCACCATGTTGCCCAGGTTGGTCTCAAACTCCTGAGCTCAAGTGATCTGTCCACCTCAGCCTCCCAAAGTGCTGGGATTACAGGCCAGAGTCTGTTTTTATCCACTAATCTATACTTCTTCCCCATACTAGCAGTAAACAAAATAGACTTTAAAAAATTTTAAAGCACTTTAGAGACAGAGCAAGTCACTACTAGAACGTTAAATGATTTAGCTTACTAGGAAAGTGTAACAACTTGTATGTACCTAATAAAATAATCTCAAACATCAAAAGCAAAAATTGCTAGAGCAAGACATTTACAAATCTGCTAACGATAGAGGGAGATTGCCACATTCCTTTCTTAGTTACTGATATTTCTAACAGATAGAAATTTTAGACAAATTATAGAAATTTGGGCCAGGCACAGTGGCTCCTGCCTGTAGTCCCAGCACTTTGGGAGACCAAGGATGGGGGAAAGCTTGAGTCCAGGAGTTTGAGACCAGCCTGAGCAACATGACAAAATCTCATCTCTACAAAAAAATACAAAAAAATTTAGCTGGCTGTGATGGTGCGTGCCTGCAGTCCCAGCTGCTCTAGAGGCTGAGGTGGGAGAGTCAATTGAGCCCAGGAGGTTGAGGCTGCAGTGAGCCATGATCACACCACTACACTCCAGCCTGGGCAACACAGTGATACCCTGTATCAGAAAAAAAGAAAAAGAAAAAAAGAAACAGGGAGAAATTAATTAATAAGCTATATTTATTGGTCATTTACAAAAACTTGGATTTAAACATTTGAAAATATATATCCTTCTCAAGCAAACATGAACAGTTATGATAACTGACCAAGCATTACCTTATAAAGTATCTCAATAAATTTCAAGGAACATAATTAATCAAACTGTACTGACACCAATATAATTCAAATAGAAGTTAGAAATTAAAAAATAAAGCCGAGCACTGCGGCACACGCCTGTGATCCCAGCACTTTGGGAGGCCGAGGCAGGCGGATCACCTGAGGTAGGGAGTTTGAGGCCAGCCTGGCCAACATGGTGAAACTCCGTCTCTACTAAAAATACAAAAATCAGCTGGGGGTGGTGGCACCCACCTGTAATCCCAGCTAGTCGGGAGGCTGAGGCAGGAGAATCGCTTGAACCCGGGAGGCAGAGGTTGCAGTGAGCCGAGATCGCGCCACTGCACTCCAGCCTGGGCAACAGAGTAAGACTAAAAAAACAGAAATTAAAAAGTGAACTAAAAATCCTCATATGTTTGACATTTATTTTATTTTATTTTACATCATTATTATTTTTTTGAGACAGAGTCTTACTCTGTCACCCAGGCTGGAGTGCAGTGGTGCAATCTCGGCTCACTGCAACATCTGCCTCCCGGGTTCAAGTGATTCTCCTGGCTCAGCCTCCCGAGTAGCTGGGATTACAGGCACATGCCACCATGCCCAGCTAATTTTTTTTTTTTTTTTTTTTTGAGACAGAGTATTGCAGAGGTTGTGGTGAGCCGAGATCACACCACTGCACTCCAGCCTGGGCAACAGAGCAATACTCTGTCTCAAAAAAGAAAAAAGAAACTTAATGTTGGGTGGAAAAAGCAAGTTGCAGAAGACAACATATAGTCAACCATTTTGATAAACTTAAAAAAAAAAACTGGCTGGGCACAGTGGCTCACACCTATAATCCCAGCACTTCGGGAGGCCAAGGTGGGTGGATCACCTGAGGTCAGGAGTTCCAGACAGCCTGGCCAACATGGTGAAACGCCATCTCTACTAAAAATACAAAAAATTACCCGGGTGTGGTGGTAAGCACCTGTAATCCCAACTACTTGGGAGGCTGAGGCAGGAGAATCACTTGAACCCGGAAGGCGGAGGTTGCAGTGAGCCGAGATCGTGCCATTGTACTCCAGCCTGGGCAACAAAGAGAGACTCTGTCTCAAGAAAATAAAATAAAGAAATAAAAACTAAAGACTACATTTTTCAGGATTACATACATACATTTGAAACTATGGAAACAAGATAAAAGAGATATTAAGGATCATTATTAAGCTATGTTTTCTGATCTCAATATAATTATGACAGAAGTAAGAATTAACTCAAAGGGGTAAGCCCAAAATCAAGTATAGCAGTTCCCTAGAGGACAAAGCCAAGAGACAGTAGCAAGTAGAAGTAGCACGAAAATAAATGCAACATTATCAGTGCTGTTCTGGTTCTTAAGGAAAATGGCGCATTCATAAGTGTTCATTTACACTAGAGACTCGGAAAGGTGGATGGGAGGGTGGGAGATAGGTAAGGGATGACAAATTACCTAATGAGTACAATGTACACTATCCCATTGATGGCTACACTAAAAACACAGGCTTCACCACTGTGCAATATATCCATGTAACAAAAGTGCACTTGCACCCCCTAATTATAGTTTTTAAATGTTTATAAGTTTTTTATAAAGTGAGCCAGACGCAGTGGCTCACACTTGTAATCCCAGCACTCTGGGAGGCCAAGGTGGGCAGATCGCTTGAGCCCAAGAGTTTGAGAGCAGCCTAGGCAACATAGTAAGACCTGACTCTACAAAGAATACAAAAAGTTAGCTGGGCGTGGTGGCACGTGCCTGCAGGGTCTGCTACTTGGGAGGCCAAGGAGAGAGAATCATATGAGCCTAGTAAGTCGAGGCTTCAGTAAGCTGTGATCACACCACTGCACTCTAGCCTCAGCAACAAAGTGAGACTCTGTCTCAAAAAAAAAAAAGTGTTCATTTTGTTGTCACCTTTGGACAGTACAGCGGTGGCATTTATAACTTGCACTTATACTACATATATTCTCTTTCTCAAATATTATATAATTTTAAAATATATTAAACAGACACTTGCTCTATTGTTCCAGAGGTTTAATGTTGTCAAATCTGACTTAGTTCTGTCGTAGTACAGAACTCATCACAGATGATTAGGAAGTTTTGGGTCAGATGGTTGCAGGATTTTTCTTTACATTTACAGTTTTTAAAATATTTCAAGATGTGCCCATTTGTAAACAAGCATGTTCTTAGCATTTATTCTAGCAACTTGGTTTGCAAGCCTTTTGGTATGCAATCCAGCAAAAAATTTGAAAGTATCATATTCATGTGTTTTTCCCAAAGGTTTGAGGAAATGCGAACAGTTCTTTCCCTTCCTAAAAGGGCCTAAATGCATATATTTTTCATTCTTGGAGGAGGAAAAGATATGTTCCTAATGATGAATTCCAATTAACTACCACTAACAGTTCCCTTTTGCCCCCTCTCTTTTGGTCTCCACGAAGCCCTGCTCCTACTCTGGAAGAAGTCAACGCCTGGGCTCAGTCATTTGACAAATTAATGGTCACTCCAGCAGGAAGGAATGCATTCCGTGAATTCCTCCGAACAGAATTCAGTGAGGAAAATATGCTCTTCTGGATGGCCTGTGAGGAACTGAAAAAGGAAGCTAATAAAAACATTATTGAAGAGAAAGCAAGGATAATCTATGAAGACTACATTTCTATACTTTCTCCTAAGGAGGTATGTGACCACGAGATGCCTTTTCCCAAGGCTGTTGGTAAAATTAACTTGGTGCAAAAGTAATTGCCATAGGCCGGGCACAGTGGCTCACGTCTGTAATCCCAGCACTTTGGGAGGCTGAGGCGGGCGGATCACCTGAGGTGAGGAGTTGGAGACCAGCCTGACCAACATGGTGAAACCCCGTCTCTACTAAAAATACAAAAATTAGCCTGGTGTGGTCATGGGCGCCTGTAATCCCAGCTACTTGGGAGGCTGAGGCAGGAGAATCGCTTGAACCTAGGAGGCAGAGGATGCAGTGAGCCGAGATTGTGCCATTGCACTCCAGCCTGGGTGACAACAGCAAAACTCCATCTCAAAAAACTAAACAAAAGTAATTGCCTTTTTTTTTTTTTTTTGAGATGGAGTCTCACTCTGTCGCCCAGGCTGGAGTGCAATGGTGCAATCTTGGCTCACTGCAACTTCTGCCTCCCGGGTTCAAGCAATTCTCCTGCCTCAGCCTCCAGAGTAGCTGGGATTATAGGTGCGCACCACCAGGCCTGGCTAATTTTTGTATTTTTAGTAGAGACAGGGTTTCACCATGTTGGCCAGGATGGTCTTGATCTCTTGACCTCGTGATCCACCTGCCTTAGCCTCCCAAAGTGCTGGGATTACAGGCGTGAGCCACCGTGCCCGGCCTCGCCATTACTTTTAACTTTTTCCAGAAAAATGCACAAAATTTTTCACCAATTTCAGAGGACATTTGGAGCCGCTCTGCAGGTCCACAGTCAAAGGGATCTGAATACCGTGAATGCGGGTGCAGCTGTTTTCTACATTTTGCAGTTGATGTTCTGGGTCAAGCTGAACATGACCAAACAGCTGCACCCACATTCACGGTTTTCAGATCACTTTGACTGTGGACTTGCAGAGGGCTCCAAGTGTCCTCTGAAATCTGTGAAAAATTTTGTGCATTTTTCTGGAAAAAGTATCCCCTGGAGTCTCCATTTGACACTGAACACTGTTTACAAATATTATACCCTAAGACGTTCCTTTAAATAAAATTATCTTGTTATTCTGAGAAAAATCTTGTATTTAGGTATCTTGATGTTATAGAGCAGCAGCATCACAGATGTGATACTGATGCTGAAAAGGTTTTCCCCAGGCTGGCTTTTTCATTCAAGAAATTATCAGATGAATGAGATTGGGCAAGTTTCCACCTGTCAGTGTTTCAGTTTCTTCAAATCTAAAATGTAGGAGGCCAGCCCTGGCACAGTGGCCAACTTCTGTAATCGCAGCATTTTGGCAGGCCGAGGCAGGTGGATCACCTGAGGTCAGGAGTTCGAGACCAGCCTGGCCAACATGGTGAAACCCCATCTCTACTAAAAATACAAAAAATTAGCCAGGTGTGGTAGCATTCATCTGTAATCCCAGCTACTCAGGAGACTGAGGCAGGAGAATCACTTCAACCCGGGAGGCGGAGGTTGCAGTGAGTAGAGATTGCGTCATTGCACTCCAGCCTGGGCAACAAGAGCAAAACTCCATTTCAAAAAAATAATAATAATAAAATAAAATTTAGGAGGTCAGATTGTTCTCAAATTGGGTGCCTTGTAGCTCTAATTATAAAACTATTAGTTATTTCCTACTATGTGCCGACAGGAATGTCAAGTTGAAGAAGCAGGGCCTCTCCTGTCATGGAGCTCCTGGAGATGTGGGCGGACAGACCAGGACCCCTGGCCACACTCTCAGCACTCACTGGGGCTCGGGGGTGAGCCATCCACAAAGGGGTGGGCGAGAATGAGAAAAATACTCAAGGAGGCTACAGATGGACCAAGGATAGTGAAAAGGAAATTTCCACAAACACAGCAGGATGGGGACATCCCAGGAGACAGGACCAGGCGAGCCCAGGGGAAGAGCATGAAGTTGTGTGATCACTGCAAGTATACACAGATTGTGCCAGAAAGGGAGGGTGCTTACCAAACTATTAGGGCTGGGGGCAGGCAGCAGGAGGAGACTTAGAGAAGGGGTAGTCGGAGAGCATGGAGAGGTTTGGGCATCATGGCGAAGTGTCTGGATTTTTATCTTGGGAAGCCCTTGGATTTTAGCCTGTTTATATCATCAAATTTTGATTTTTGAAAGACCAGTAGGGCTGCAGAGTGAATTTGGAGAAGACCAGGGGCAGAAGACGTTAGAAAACTAATTCAGGAGTCCAAAGGGACATGGTGAGGGCCTAGCTAGGCCAGCTGAAGACGCTAGAGAGGAAGAGTCGGATTTGAGGCAAACCCCACCGTCTCAAATGACTCCCATATGTCTGGTGTAGGCAGACCAGGTGGTGGGGTCGTTGGCTTACTTAATTTTGCGTCGTTACGTTTTGCTTTCTTAAGTTTGCGTTGTTAAATTGGTAATATTCAGTTGACATGTTTGAATACTGAGTCCAAAAAGTTATTTTCATTTTGAATTAATAAGGAGCAAGATAATTTTTGTCCTTTAATTTATGGCTTCCACATATTTTTATTTTGTCATGATTTTTTTTAAGGCAAGGTTTTTCATCAATCTTTTAAAGTATTATACAACCAAAAACAGGCCGGGCACAGTGGCTCACGCCTGTAATCCCAGCACTATGGGAGGCCGAAGCAGGCAGATCACCTTGTCTAGGAAGAGCCAAACATCAGAGCAATCAACATCTCCTATGGGCTTAGTGAAATCCAAGCACTTTGTCATTAAATCACAAAAAACCTAAGACATTACCATCATCATCATCCCCACTTCAGGGGAAGAGCTCACTAGGACACAGAGTTTACCTTGCCTGAGGCCCCACAGCTATACAGTGACAGGGATGGATTTTGTTTTGTTTTGTTTTTGAGATGGAGTCTCGCTCTGTTGCCCAGGCTGGAGTGCAGTGGCATGGTCTCGGCTCACTGCAACCTCTGCTTCCCAGGTTCAAGCGATTCTCCTGCCTCGGCCTCCCGAGTAGCTGGGATTACAGGCACCTGCCACCATGCCCAGCTAGTATTTTTTATTTTTAGTAGAGATGGGGTTTTGCCATGTTGGCCAGGCTGGTTTCGAACTCCACAGCGCTGGGATTACAGGCGTGAGCCACCATACCCAGGCAGGGCTGGAATTTAAACACAGGCATTGTCTGCCCTCAGGCCCTGTGATTGGAACCTTCCAGGGTTTTGAGTCAACTTCCACTTCACCCCTGTGCCCAACCCTCCGGGCAGGCCAGCACTCATCCCCAGAGCCCTGCCACTGTGGGCCAGCAGGGGAAGCCTGGGCCTCCAGGTGTCAGCCCCCACGTTACAAGGAAATGAGCAAGGGGCAGTCTGTGCTGCCTGTTTTCTTCAAAGCAGCAGTGTGAGCCCTGCCAGCATCACTTAGAACTTGTGGGAAATAACAAGCATCAGGGGCCCCTACACCTACTGAGTCTGGGGTGGGGCCCAGGAACCGCTCTCACAAGCCCTCTGGAGCCTGCTGATGCCACTGACATTTGAGAACTGCGTTGATTATGCTTTTGGTTTCTCTTTGGCAGTTTGGATTTTTTGGATGATCTTGTTTGGTTTGGGATATTTAAAAAACAACAAGGCCGGGCACAGTGGCTCATGCCTGTAATCCCAGCAGCTAGAGAGGCCGAGGCGGGCGGATAACCTGAGGTCAGGAGTTCGAAACCAACCAACACGGAGAAACCCCGTCTCTACTAAAAAAGTTAGCCGGGTGTGGTGGTGGGTGCCTGTAATCCCAGCTACTCGGGAGGCTGAGGTAGGAGAATTGCTTGAACCCAGGAGGCGGAGGTTGCACTGAGCTGAGATCGCGCCACTGCACTCCAGCCTGGGTGACAGAGTAAGACTCTGTCTCAAAACAAAACAAACAACAAAAAAACCAAAAACAAAAAACAAAAACAACAACAAAAATCCCCACAAGCTCTAGGAGTTTGGGATAGAGATACAACTGAAGTCTCTAATACAGCTCCTACTCGTTTCTGTCGACAGGTGAGCTTAGACTCCCGGGTGAGAGAAGTGATCAACAGAAACATGGTGGAGCCATCCCAACACATATTCGATGATGCTCAACTTCAGATTTACACCCTGATGCACAGAGACTCATATCCTCGATTCATGAACTCTGCTGTCTATAAGGACTTGCTTCAGTCCTTATCGGAGAAATCTATTGAAGCATAGGATTTTTCAAATATATTTATTATTAATAAAATAATAAAAGAATTCATGGGCTACAACTAGCACAGGGAATTTAGAGGTTGTAGCATCTTCTGCTGGAGTAATACTCAGGCTATTCTAATAACAGATGATTCCTTCAACAGACTGCTATATATTCACCATGTAAACTGCAGCCACCTTTAGTGATACTTTTGAAAAAAAAAAATAAAGGGATATGGCTGTTGTAGAAAGATAGCGTATTTGCATTTACAATAACAGTAGCATGTTGTCAGTGGCCAAGGCTACACAGAAGGCTCCCTGCTGCCCGGAGCAGGTACATCCACCAGAGCAAAGGGAACCACTTTTATTTTGCATGAGTTTGGTAACTGATTACTCTCCCCTCAAAGAAAAGACATTCAGGTGTTTCTCAACGACATCTTCTGTCCAGCAAGCTCGGTTTGAATACGTCACTTACCAGTGCCATTGCAGGACCCAAATTCACAGTTCATAAAAGATGTGACCACTACATGTAAAAATAGCATTCTACTTGATCTTACAGTATGTATGTATGTATGTATGGAGACATATGTGTGCGTGTGGATGTCTACATGGTTAATGGAAAGCACTGTGCTCTGAAGTGGATCAGTCTCAAGTGTCTGGTAACAGCAGCAGTGCTTAGAAAATTCTTTTGTTGAAAAGAGTTACTGTTATTATCAGAATTTGCCAACCTAAAGAATGAATTTTTAAATTCATAACTTGGTCATGTTCACAACAAAACTGTCAAATAAGCATATTTCCATTTTTATTACTGAAAGAAATATGGGCATTTTCATTCTTTAAAGAAATAAAGCACAAGAATTTTATCTCAATCTTTATTTTTCCATATGTACGTATTTGGGAAATAGAAGATTAAGAAAGTAGGGATACGTGCAGCCTATCTTTTAGCTCCCAGACTAGGATTCTGTCCTTAGATCCCACTATTTTTATCATAGATAAAAAGAATAACTTCTCACAGGTAAAACTACCAGTTGGTAGACCTAGACCATCCTGAAGAAATCCATCTCTACATAGAATAGGAAACACACTCAAAATCTGGGACGCTCTGAGTAGTGGGAAAGACGCTACTTTGCAGGAGGCGGCACCGTGCTCCTGCCCTCGAGGGGAATGGTTCTCCTCTGGGTCCTTCTCCCTCCCTGGCCCCTCCATAGCCTGCCTGTATCTTCATGACTCAACTCAAGCCCCAAACCCAAGCCCCTCTCCTTCATTCTCAGGAAACCATTTTACCTCCTACTCTACTATGCAAATTGTGTCCGTAAGTCCCCTCAACTTCCCGTGCAACCTATAAATATATATAGATCAGCGTCTATTCTCATCTCCCTCAGTCCAGTCCCAGAGAACAATGTGCTCTCCTCCTTTTTGAGGTGTCAATCCCTTACATGTGCTTCCAAGTTTTCCAATCTCATTTCTTACTAAAAAAAAAAAAAAGGATGTGATTGCAAATAAGACATAAACCCTGCCCTCTAGTAGTTTACATTCAGTAAAGGCAGACAGACATGTCAGTGGCAACTCTGATATAGTAAGAACCACAGCAGGGGAAGAACAGCGCTGTGGGAGTCACGAAGGGTTATGGAAAGATTCTGGTGGAGATGGCACCAAAGTCAAAATCCAGAGAACAAGAAGAATGGATGTGTTGGAGGCAGAGAGGGCACTGGATGAGATGGTATTCATAACTGAGTGACCCCAAAGGAATCGACATGCTGAGAACGAGGGAAGACACACATGAAAGGACATGTTGGAATCAGTTGGATGGAGGGATCTGGGTGGGTGAGTCTAGGCTGGCGTACTGATTTTGGGGTTTTTCAGCACATAGGGGAATAAGATTGCCTGGAGAATTATGCATGAAAAGATAGCTGAGGGTAAATCATTGCAAGGATAGACAGAACTGACAGCCCCAAAGGAGATTTAGGATTCACCTTGTCAATAAAAGTAAGAAGAGTTGGGGAATATGGAAATATGGCAGCAAATGCATGGGAGTGTCTCGAGGGGCGGTGGTGAACAGTGGTAAATGAAAGACTCTTACTTAGAGCTTTGTTCCAGCAGTTTCTCCCCACCCTCCTGTATCACTGAGTTCACCTTGGCTTTTTCCCGCACCGTAAGCATGCTCGATTTCCCGGTTAAAAACAAACGCGCGTTCCACTGTAACAGCTGCCTCCTGTTGCCCCCTTTCTCATCAGACCTTTCACAATAGCCCACACTTGCTGTCTCCATTTCCTCATCTCCCCATTCTCACCTTGAGCTGCTCCAGTGCCCTCAACTTCTCCAAGGAGGCCTCTCCCTGCCAAGTCTACAGCGCAGTTTTCCCAGCCTTCTCAGTGGGCTGCTCAGCTCCTGATATCATGGATGGCTCCTTCCTTGAAACAGCACTTCCCTCAGCTTCTGAGGTGCTCTCCTAGTTCTCCATATTCTCTCTCTTCTTCGTTTCCTTCCCAGGCAGAAGAGCACAGCAGCTAAGGGCTTGGGTTCTGGAATCAGACTCTCGGACTCCTCTACTGGCCATGTGGCAGTGGGAACTCAGCCTTTCTGGGCCTGCTTCCTCATCAGTGAAATTGAGGATAATAATGGTGCTAATCCCTGGTGTTGCTGAGGATTAAAGCGAGTCCATGTACAATACAGTAAGCACTTACTACACGTTAGTCGCTGCTGTTATTACCTGGCCGTTAAATGTGGTGGCCCCTAAGGCATGGACTTGGGTTTCCTTTTCTTGCCAATCTGTATGTTCTCCCTTGGTCCTCATATCCCCTTGTTTAAAATACCTACCAATCTACTGATGGCTACCAAATTGGGATCAAGACTTTTCTCCTGAACTTGAGAATCAGCTCCCAGCTGGCCATCTCCACCGGTGTATCCCACGGAGGGTGGAACACACCACTGCTTGGTTGTGACTCATGACCCCACTGCCTCCATACCCCAAGCCTGGCCCTGCCTGCAGCCCAGTGACCTAGTCAATCACCTAAGCTCTTATCTGGTGTTAACTGTGACTCTTCCCTCCTTTTCTCTTCCCACACATAATCACCCAGCCTTGCCAATTTTACCTCCTAAATATTTCTTACCTGTCTCTTTCTTTCTTCCGACCCCCATCATCTCTTATCTGCATCATTGACAAAAGAGCTTCCTGGTCTCCTGCTCCCAGTCTCAGCCCATTCAAATCCATCTTTCAAATGCCTACAAGGTGGTCATCCTCACATACATTTCTGCTTGTCACCATCCCTCCACTCCTTAACATCTTTCAGTAGTTCCTGATTGCCTGGAGTCAAATACTGAGTTCTTGGCCCAGCATAATAAGCAAGGCCCTCTGCAGTCAGGCTACTGCCTCCCTAGCCAGCTGTTTCTGTTTTAGTCTCTAGAACACAGATGTGTAGAAAAGGTGCATATGCCACTCAGACCTTCATGACTGTTCCTGAAAACTTGGTTTCTGCTCTCCCTTACCTGCTCCCTCTAAAGTTCCACTCTTTACCCAGCGAACTCCTATCATTTCTATAAGATTTGCCTCCTCCAAGAAACCTGACCTCTTAAGTCATACCTACATCCTGTGTTTGGGGGCCATTTTTTAATGTTGCAGGAATATTCTGCACAATATTTATCATTTGAGTCATTATAAATTGAGACTCCCATCTCAAAAAAAAGTGATATGTATATATATGTGTGTTTATACAATGAAATATTAGCCATAAAAGTAAGGAACTCCTGCCGGGCATGATGGCTCATGCCTGTAATCCCAGCACTTTGGGAGGCTGAGGCGGGCAGATCACGAGGTCAGGAGTTCGAGACCAGCCTAACCAACATGGTGAAACCCCGTCTCTACTAAAAATACAAAAATTAGCTGGGTGTGGTGGTGTGCGCCTGTAATCTCAGCTATTTGGGAGGCTGAGGCGGGAGCATTGCTTGAACCCGGGAGGCAGAGGTTGTGGTAAGCTGAGATCGTGCCATTGCCCTCCAGCCTGGGCAATAAGAGCGAAACTCTGTCTCAAAAAAAAAAAAAAAAAAAGTAAGGAACTCCTGCCATATGTGACAGAATTGATGAATCAGGATAATGGACAAATCGTGAGGACATTATGATAAGTGAAAGAAAGACAAATACTGCATAAAATAGTTAAACTCATAGAAGCATAGAATGGTGGTTGCCAGGGGCTGGCGAGAGGGGAAGTAGGGAGCTGCTGTTCAATGGGTATAAAGTTTCACTTATATAAGGTAAGTGCTAGAGATCTGCTGTACAACATTGTGCTTATAAATATAAAAATTTGTTAAGTGGGTAGATCTCATGTTACCTGTTCTTACTCAATAAAAAAATTGAAAAAGATGGACAGATCAGCAAAACATTAAGATAAGTCAGCCTGATATTAACCCATAACCTTAATGCTCCCCTAGGTCTCTTTTGCTTCTGCAGGTTAACTGGAAATCTTAGCAGTATTCTCACAGCTTTTGATGTTTTGTATCAGCTCTTTTATTTAACTCAAATATTCACCCAAAATAATTTAAGATTTTTTTTCACTTGCTTGTGAGAGCAACCTGTTTCAAATTAGCTTAAGCACAAAGGAAAATGATTTCTCCTCATAAGCAGGAAGTCTACAGTAGTTCCAGCTTCCACATGGCTGGGTCCAGATGTCCGATATTATCAGGACTCTCTCCATCTCAACTCCCCTCAGCTTCATCATACACAAAGGATCTCTGCATGTAGTAGGCAAAAAGCTGCAGGGAGCCCCAAACGCAGCTCAAGGTGGCTTAGCTGTCACTGTTCATATGGGAATCTCAAGGACGGGCATGGGGTAGGGGGGACACTGTGAATGAGACCTGCCGGAGTCATGTAGAGAGGAGAAGGGGCGAAGCTGCCCCTAAATAAATTAGGAAAGCATTTGGGAACTAATGCTGAGTTCATTCATGAGTTCACTAATGCTGAGACAGAAGCTATACCTATCACAGTCCAAACTCCAGTGCTCTCAGTTTTTGCTTTTTTAATACCTGCTATACTTTCACATTGGCATTATCACACAAATAACGTTTACTTCAAAGTAGTTCAGTCACCCAATTATAAAAACACTTGGACCAATTTAACCAGACTGTATGGGATATCACATATGAAATGTGTCTCTTTGGAATCATGGCCATTAAGGGGAAAAATAAAAATTAGCTATCTTTATATAGCATCCAGGGAGAGGAATCAGAACAAGGTAAGTCACCTGAGACAGCTCCCTGTGCTTTCAATTTCCATCCTCCAGCTGGATAAACAAGTACCAAGAGTACACTGAAACTGTTGCATCACTTTGCAGAAATAAAGCACCAAAAGGGATCTCCCAACACTCTAACTCCTTACATTCCTTATTTTAAAGTTGGAGTCTAAAACATGACCAACCATTAATTATCCACTCTACCTCTGCAAGTCCTCGACCCATGGAACATTCTTTCTTTCTTTATATCTTAGCTCTTGAACAGCCAAGAACATCATGTAACACATTGATAAAGACATATCCAAGAAAAACTATTTCATGAGCACCTATGTGACAGGCATTCTTCTGGATGCTAGAGACAGCAGTGAACACATTTCCCACAAGAACTTAACTCCACCTCTACTAAGTTATAGCTGTTGATTATCGAATATAGCCATGATTATAAGCTGTTTTTTCCACTCAATTTCACTATTACTTTTTATTGACTTCAACTTACTTAAACATTGTTCAACATAATTCTTCCATTACTTCCTAGGAATTTGTCAGTAACTCTGTCCTATTTCCTGTGAAGTAGTATCCTTAACATTGGTCCTTTGTTTTTCATATGTGGCTTTTTTTTTTCTTTTTATTGAGACAGAGTTTTGCTCTTGTTGCCCAGGCTGGAGTGCAATGGCACGATCTGGGCTCACTGCAACCTCCACCTCCCAGGTTCAAGCAATTCTCCTGCCTCAGCCTCCCAAGTAGCTGGGATTACAGGCATGTGCCACCATGCCCAGCTAATTTTGTATTTTTAGTAGAGACAGGGTTTCACTATGTTGGTCAGGCTGGTCTCAAACTCCTGACCTCAGGTGATCCACCTACCTCGGCCTCCCAAAGTGTTGGGATTACAGGAGTGAGGCACCGTGCCTGGCCTCATATGTGGCTTTCACTAGTAATTCAGTGATTATCCCCATCGGGTTTCCCAGTGGGATATACAATTCCTTTTGAATCATTAATTTTCTACAACTAAATACAACTAAATAAAGGGGAGATAGAAAACAATTTTTTGTTTTTTAAAAATTTTATATAGAGACAGGGTCTCGCTCTGTTGCCCAGGCTGGTTTCAAACTCCTGAGCTCAAGCAATCCTCTTGCCTTGGCCTCCCAAAGTGCTGGGATTACAGGCATGAGCCACCTCACTGGTCTGGTTTGTTTTTTTGTTTTTGTTTTCTTAAGATAGGGTCTCATTCTGTTGCCCAGGGTGTTGTACAGTGGTGCAAACACAGCTCACTACAGCCTCAATCTTCTGAGCTCAAAGGATCCTCCTGCCTCAGCCCCCTGAATAGCAGAGACCACAGGTATGCACCACCATGCCTAGCTAGTTTTTTTATTTTTTGTAGAAACAGGGTCTTGCTTTGTTCCCCAGGTTGGTCTCGAACTCCTGGGCTGAAGCAATCCTCCTGCCTCAGCCTCCCAAAGTGCTGGGATTACAGGTGTGAGCCACCAAGCCCAGCCTGGGAACAACTGTTGAGTGAAACTCTCTAAATCACAACTCTAACTGTAGTTTTTATTTTGAGAAATGGCTGGGCACAGTGGCTCAAGTCTGTAATCCCAGCACTTTGGGAGGCTGACGCAGGCAAACTGCATTAGCCCAGGAGTTCAAGACCAGCCTGGGCAACATGGCCCATCTCTAATAAAAGCACAAAAATAGCTGGGTGTGCTGGCGTGCACCTATAATCCCAGCTACTCGGGAAGCTGAGGTGGGAAGATCACTTGAGCCCAGGAGGTGGAGGTTGCAGTGAGCAGATTGTGCCACTGCACTCCAGTCAGGGTGAATGAGTGAGACCCTGTCTCCAAAAAAAGAAAAAAAAAGAAATAAAGAAAAAAGAAATAAAGTCAATTCAAATCCACAAATTACAATTTGACCCACAAGGACAACGACTATGTAGCTATAATAATTCAAAGCACAGCCTGTTATTTCTTTTGCTGTCTTCTTAATACTTAAAATATTTGCCATTTGTAAGATTACATATAGGTTTAAGTGATTGGGTGAATATAAATATTTCTGAATTTTTGCCACAGCTTAGCAAAATTTATAAACCAATGCTCGTCATCATCCAGGTAAGCTAGAAAACCAAGATTATCATTTTCTGCTTTCCCCAGGATGGTTCTTCATTATCTGCTAGTATATTTGTCTAATTCCTTTGCATGTTCATTTAACAAAGTTACTTTGCCCTCAAAGTAAATATCATAAAATACTACCCTTAATATTTACTTCTGATTACTTTACAAATGTCTAGTATTGGGCCGGGCACGGTGGCTCATGCCTATAATCCCAGCACTTTGGGAGGCCGAGGTGGGTGGATCAGCTGAGGTCAGGAGTTCGAGACCAGCCTGACCAACATGGTGAAATGCCATCTCTACTAAAAAATACAAAAATTAGCTGGGCATGGTGGCGGGCGCCTGTAATCCTAGCTACTTGGGAGGCTGAGGCAGGAAAATCGCTTGAACCTGGGAGGCATAGGTTGCAGTGAGCCGAGATTGCACCATTGCACTCCAGCCTGGGTGACAGAACAAGACTCCATCTCAAAAAAATAAAAAAATAAATAAATAAAGTCTAGTATTTTCCAATAGCAAGACTCACTATTTGGTCTCTCACATTAAATTAAGTGTACACATGGGATGCACTCACGTATTTACTCAGAACCTGCCATTCCATCCATCGCCAGAGGTCCAGGAAAAGATAAGAAAGAAAACATGCTCTGTAATGCTGCTGAATACTAGTTTTTACTGAAGACCAGGCTTCACTTAATTAAAACTGTACTTTAGAAATACCTTAGTAGTTGAGGGGACAGCAGGTGTGTGGTTAAACAAAAGGTAAAGCAAGCTTCATTGTCTAAATAAAATGACAAAATGTGATATATGTTTAACAACAAAAAAAACTTTATTGAATTACAAATTTTAAAATGGATCACTTAAAAGTGAGATTATTTTATTCTGAAACATTATTTCAAAAATGTACTTTGTTTTTGAAATAAAACAAAATCTTCAACTATGAACTGACAAAATAGAGGTGAGTTGGTACCAGTGGGCCAATTCTTAACACGGACATTTAAAAATGCTGCTTTCTGTATTACAACAAAATGATATGCAATAAGAAATTGGAAAAAGGGAGCAAAGGAGAGTGCAAAGCATGTACTGAGGTCTTTCTACGGGTGCCTGACAGAATGCAGATTCAGCATAAAATGTAGACTTTGCAACAGTGGCCTTTAAAGTATGCTAGAGCAAGTGTACCCTAGGGAACCTATGTCAAAACAATTTTTGTCTTACTCCAAACAGAAAAAATGGTACACACTTTAACAAAAGCAAAACTTAATTGTAAGATCTGTACTGTAAAGCTACTTGCTATAGCCCATATATTCAGTTTGTTCAACAATCTCACTCATGACAGAAAAAGTCAGCAAATAAGACTTGGGACAAAATTATTTTCTATCAGTCTCCACATGGAAAGACCACAGCTTTAATGAATTATACAATCCTTAAGATTAATCCTTGGTCAGTATAGATTTCCGAATCAAAATCTAGTCATGAACTGTTTACAATAGCTATACTACACTAAGATGCTAAACATTTTCTTTCCAGTATGTCTTCCTAAGAGGGGAAAAAAATAGTGGGAAGTTTTCATCTTTGCCTATGAGGGGATTTATGAAAAGCCTTCTAAACTACAACAGTGTTCTTCTGCAAAACTAAAACACATTATAAAGTCAAACAGGTAAATTAACAGGAAAACCAAACTGATCTCAATAAAGTCTTGTTTCCAAAAATCTATTAAGAACAAGTAATATACATGTACAAGAAATTACAAGAAATGATGATCACGGTTAGTTACAGATGCAAAATAATATCTAATATTCCAAGCTTGTGAACATAATAATTAAAATCAAATTCATAAGCTACCTCAAAATTATGTACATTTTAGATAAGCTGGTCAAGTATTATTTGAATACACACCATATTTGGTAAACCTAAAATTATATTACCTTTTCTCCTCCTTTAATATTTGTAGCTACATGCCAATATGGAAAAAAATGTATTTTCATTTATGTATTAATAACAGAGAGTAACAGAATTTCTACTGTGTATGTTTCACAGTGTAAAAGAAAAAAAGTTAAGGTATATTTTCCTTTAAGAAAGAAGAAATATTGCCAAGAGTTTAATTAATATCAACTTACTTATAAAAACAGAAAAAATATGTTTTGAAACAGGTACCATAAAATTATTATATGGTCTCCCTACTGATCTGAAACTACAGAAGGCATTTAAGGAAGGGATGTTAGGTCAAAAACAAAGTCTAACCCAAGTTGCTTTAAAAATTTGATTTGCAGGAAAACTAGTTGCTTGGCCTAGTTTAAAGCTAGTTACAAAATCCGTTTTCTTAATGGTCCAGATATTTTGCCAATTCTTCCAACTCAACAGAACTGTCAAAAAAGAAAAAATATTTTGTAAGACCTTTAAATACCAATAAGGTACATTCCCCATTTAATACAGCATACACCTGATATTGCTTTTAAAAAAGATGCATTTTTGAAAAAGATGCTGTATTTTTCACACATAATAATCACCTATCTTAAGTGCCTGACTTTCCCAACTTAGAACTACTAGGAACATACAACTAAAGAACTTGTATAAAACAATTTCAGCATTTTTATTAAATACCTCTTTATAATGTTTTTAAGGTTAAAAAAAAAAAAATAACAATTCCAAAATTGAACTTCTAAAATATGCCACTCTAGGCATCAGCTTTCTATCCTAAAATTGAACTTTCTTAAATTCAATTAAGTACTATGTCAAAACTTGTGTCACAAAGTGCATGTATTCAAAGCAAACTGCACTGTACACCTCATCACCATAATAAAAATGATCCATCAGCTGGGCACGGTGGCTCACACCTGTAATCTCAGCACTTTGGGAGGCCGAGATGGGCAGATCATGAGGTCAGGAGATCAAGACCATCCTGGCCAACGTGGTGAAACCCCGTCTCTACTAAAATACAAAAAATTAGCCAGGCATGGTGGTCCCAGGTACTCGGAAGGCTGAGACAGGGGAATCTCTTGAACCCGGGGCCACAGAACAAGACTCCATCTCAAACAACAACAACAACAAAAAAGATCCATCATGCAAAACAAATCCAAGAGAACAGGCCAAATTTTCTCAACACGATTGAAAAAGAAGGTGAATGTCCCTCTCCTAGACCAATGACAACTTCTGCAACCTGAGATGGGTAGGAAATACTGTTTCAAACCATGAAGACACTTTCAGTAGCAGTAATCTTTCCAGCTCAGAACTAAATCTTTGTACGTAATAAGGGTACTGGGCCGGCCACGGTGGCTCACGCCTGTAATCCCAGCACTTTCGGAGGCCAAGGCAGGCAGATAACCTGAGGTCAGGAGTTCAAGAGCAGCCTGGCCAACATGGTGAAACGCCATCTCTACTAAAAATACAAAAATTAGCTGGGCATGGTGGCACATTCCTGTAATCCCAGCTACTTGGGAGGCTGAGGCAGGAGAATCGCTTGAACCTGGGAGGCGAAGGTTGCAGTGAGCTGAGATAGCGCCACTGCACTCCAGCCTGGGCAACACAGTGAGGATCTATCTCAAAAAAATTAATGAATAAATAAAACAAAATAGGTACTGGCCCCAACCCCTTAAAGTGGAGTTGAAGAAGCCAAATGGATATCTTCGACATGGTTTGGGACTCTGGCCCAAATGGCTTCTAGTTCATTTCTGATTTTCAGAAAGTGCTTTAAGCTAAGTGAATAATTCAAAATGAGCATTAAACTGAAAAGTCTATGTAAGTATAAATGAAAAAAAAAAGAATCTTGTACAAACTTCAGAAAAACTAATAAAAATAGCCAGCATTTTTAGAACACCAACAATTATCAGGCACACTAAATATATTATCTCTACTCTTCATCACAATCCGAAATGTAGGTACTATTTACATTTAATACATAAGAACAATATAGTTCAGTAATGGGAAGTGGCAAAGGAGTTCAAAATCAGTTTGTATGATTCCAAAGACTAAACTCCTACCACGTAAGCCTCCCAAACTCACACCCTTAACATCCTCATCTATAATAATGATTAAAATGTTTTTAGTACTGATATGTATTTCTGCTCCCAAATTTAAATTTTATGCTTTTGTTTCACAAAATCCCTCAAGAATGAATCATTTAAATAATATAAACTTGCCTGTGTGGGACTAATTTCAAGAGCACACAGGCAATATGAAGGCTTAGTGAAAAGCCTACCAAATGACAGCAGTGCTCATCTGTAATTTCTAAAATAAACACTAAAATCATTGGGTCTGATTTCAACAAGGGAAAAAAAATTTTCCAAAATCAAAATCTATTAAAACAAGTAATACACATGTATAGATTTTCTGGAAGTACAAGAGTCAAAACAACTTAATGAATATAGTATAAATAGGACAGTGATATAATAATTGAACAGTTAAGATTCACTCCCCATTTCCTGCACCAAAACAAATAAAGGTGGTAAAGTCAAGTTAATACTCTTTATTTCTAGTAGGGTAACAAGATGGTATATTCCATTACAAGTAGTCAGGGAGTACAAGAGTACTGTATAGTGTGAGCATATCTGTATATATTTAGATATCTAGGCAGACCTATGAAAAGACCAGAAGAAATCTTTCTATTTTAAGTGAGTATATAATATGAATCCAAGAGAGTCCATACCTTCCATCGATTTCCACATTCATTACAGACAACAAATGTTGTCATTGGTTCATCAGCACTACGGGTTTGTACCTGCAGCAAAATTAAATTAAATGTACTTTTTGCAGTACTATTAAAAAACCCAACCCAAATAATGTTATACATAAAGATATATATTTAATAAATATAATGGTACCACAATAAAATGAATAGAAGTCTGAAACAAGTTCAAATAAGCTAAATAATGTCAACAGAGCACGCACTTCCAAACTTCATTTTCCTAAGTCCTTCTTTGTCTTTCCTGTTTAATATATCCCAGATAAGTGGGAAAATCCTCTAAAGTCACACCTTATATTTTTTATAAATAGCTAATAAATATTTTAAAAATTCATCAGTAAGTTATTTCGAATAAGGATCTCAAAAACAATTTCATCAGTAAGAAGCACAGAAATGAATAAATTTAAACATATGTCAATATTCTCTTACAAATTAAGAAGATGTAAAAATTGAGAATATCTCAGTCTGACAAATATAACTCCAACAACCTTTCTAAAAGTTAGGCAGCATTGTCTGTAACCTAGAAACTTGATATCTAATCTATTTCTAAGATGGCAATTAAAAACACAAAAATACAAAGGATGTTTAAAGAGTATAATTTTATAACAGCACAACACTAAAAACAAATATCCAACAGGGAAGTAATGACATAAAGTAAAAGTATATCCATCTGATGAAATATTACACAGCCAGTAAGATGCTTACAAAGGTTTTTGGGTTTTTTTAAAGAAAAGGGAGAGAACTCCAGATGTGTTTGGTTTCTTCAAGCATTTAATGTTCAGCAAGATCAAAAGTTAAAAATGGCAACAAACAAGAAATAATCAGTGACCAACAGTTTAGGCACATTGCAAAGAACCTGAGATTTTGGGAAATGCCAGAAAAGAATCAAAAAGTCAAAATTGGCCGGGCATGGTAGCTCACGCCTGTAATCCCAGCACTTCGGGAGGCTGAGGCAGGTGGATCACTTGAGGTCAGGAGTTCGAGACCAGCCTGACCAACACGGTGAAACCTCGTCTTTACTAAAACTACAAAAATTAGCCAGGTGTGGTGGTGGGCACCTGTAATCCCAGCTACTGGGGAGGCTGAGGCAGAAGAATAACTTGAACCCCTGAGGCGGAGGCTGCAGTGAGCCGAGGTCACGCCACTGCACTCCAGCCCAGCAACAGAGCAAGATTCCATCTCAAAAAAAAAAGTTCAAGTTGAACTATGCTGTGGATAAGAGGGTACCACATTAACCATAGCACTGCAGAGTACTTGAAACGTTTTTATGACCTTTCAGATTCTGATTCTGATCTTTCTGATAAAGATAGCAAAGCAATGAATCAAAAGAAAATACAGAAGAAAAAACTCCAGACTAAAAAAGAAATATTCAAAAAAATCTAGTTGAGAAAAAGAAAGAAACCAAGAAAGCTAATCAAAAGGATTCTGAAAATAAAACTGATATAGATAATTCTGAGAGAATTAAAAAAATGAAAACCATGTAAATCTAAGATAGCTCCCAACATAAGTCCAAAGAAGGAGAGCAAAAAATTTACACAAAAAAGTACAAAAGAGAAAAAAAACATTATTCAACATACTATCAACTCTTCTCTCAAAGAAAGATGAAGGACATTAGACTCGGGCACCTCTGATGTGAAATCTCCCAAGATCAAGTGTTCTAAGACAAGAAGAGAAATGCAACCAGTGGTTCCATCCATAACGGCAAGTGGCAGTGATGGTTATGAAAACTCAACAGACAGTAAAATGTTTGACAAAGATGCTCTAAAGGAAGATTTAGAAAGTGTTAGTAAAACAGGAAGTGATGAGGAATCTAAAAATGAAATTACAAGTATTGGTAGAGCTTCAGGTGATGATGACAATGGAAGTGATGATGAAAATGAAGAGGAGGATGAAGAGAATGGTGAGGATGATGATGCAAGTGACAGCAGCCCTAATCTTGCAAGGGGTAAAGGAAATATAGAAACTAGTTCTGAAAATGAAGATGATATGGCAGATTTGTTTCCAGAAGAATCAAGTTTTGGGCATGCATGGAGAGAATCAGATAAACCTGCTCCTCGTGCTGATGACATTACACATTAATTAGCAGTTTGCAACATGGACTGGGATAGATTAAAGGCAAAAGATTTGCTGACTCTGTTCAACTGATTTAAACCTAAAGGAGGTGTTATATTTCCTGTAAAAATATATTCTTCAGAGTTTGGAAAGGAGAGGGTGAAGGAAGAGCAAGTTTGAGGATCAGTAGAGCTATTAAGTGTTCCTGAAGATGCCCCAAAAAAGGACTGGACCTCTAGAGAAAAACTGAGAGGTTATCAACTCAAATGACTGAAGTACTATTATGCAGTAGTAGACTGTGATTCTCCTGAAACAGCCAGTAAAATTTATGAGGATTGTGGTGGCCTGGAATTTGAAAGTAGTTGTTCTTTCACAGATCTAAGGTTTATACCAGATGATACTACTTTTGATGATGAGCCGAAGGACGTAGCCTCAGAGGTGTATTTAACAGCATATAAACTAAATATATATCATATCTGCTGCAATGGGAACATCAATGGTGGAAATCACTTGGGATGAGACTGAACATGAAAGAATTACAACACTCAACAGGAAGCTTAAAAGGAAGAGCTTTTGGACATGGATTTTCAAGACTACTTAGCTTCCTCTAGCGAAAATGAAGAGGAGATAGAAGAGGAGCTACAAGGTGATGATGAAGTCAATGTAGAAGAAGATGGGAAAACAAAAGTCAGAAGGACGATGAAGAACAAATCACTAAATATAGGCAACTTTTGCAGGTTATTCAAGAAAAAGAAAAGAAAGACAAAGAAAATGATATGGAAATGGAAACGAAGTGGGTTCCAGGTCTTAAAGAAAGTGCAAAGAGATGGTCAAGAACAAATTGAAAGGAAAGGATAAACTGACCCCTTGGGAACAATTTTTAAAGAAGAAAGAAAAAAAGACAAAAAGAAAAAGAAGACTCTTGCTAAAGAGGCCAGTGAAAATTAACTTCCCTCTGATGTTGATATGAATGACCAGTACTTTGCTAAAGAAGTTTAAAAAAATAGGTATAAAGAAAAAAGTGAACAAAATCTGCAAAAGATGGCACATCTCCAGAAGAAGAAACCAAAATAGAAAGATGAAAGGCTGAAATGGCTTTCCTTACTGGATGAGGAGGAGGAAAGTAAGAAACACTTCAATTACAACAAGATTGTGGAGCACCAGAACCTGAGCAAAAAGAAGAAAAAGAAGAAAAAGCAGCTCATGAAAAAAAAGAAATTATTAGAGGATGACTTTGAGGTAAATGTTAGCAATGCATGGTTTCAAGCAATGTACACTTCCCACTTGTTCAATGTGCATCCCTCAGATCCCAATTTCAAGAAAACAAAAGCTGTGGAAAAAACCCTTGAGGAGAAAGCCTGGCAAAGAGAACAGAAAAAACAAGAACTTACTCAGGCAATAAAGAAAAAAGAGGGCCAGGCACAGTGGCTCACGCCTATAATCCCAGCACTTTGGGAGGCCAAGATGGGTGGATCACCTGAGGTCAGGAGTTCGAGACCAGCCTGGCCAACATGGTGAAACCCTGTCTCTACTAAAAATACAAGAAAATTAGCCAGGCATGGTGGCTGGCACCTGTAATCCCAGCTACTCGGGAGGCTGAGGCAGGAGAATCATTTGAACCAGGGAGGTGGGGGTTTCGGTGAAGTCCACTGATCCTGCCTTGTCAATGTTTATTAAATCTGTAAAAACCAAAACAGAGCAGTTTCAAGCAAGAAAAAAAAAGTCAAATAACTGGATGTTATTTCTTTTTGAATTGAAAACATCCCCTAAAATATACAGAAATAGTAGGAGAAATATTTATTGGGAACAAAGCTACCTTTCAAGAATATGAATAAAATCTCATTCTAAACATAGTAAAATTTTTCTTCATAAATAGTTGTTCTTAATTGTGGATGACTGACAAATTTGTATTGTATATTCCTATAGATTAGTCATAATTAAATCAAATTACCTGAATTGTAGGGTTTATAAAATGTTTATATTTTATGAAGTTCAATTCCAACTAGTGGAAAGTTACTCTAGCTTTCTGGTTTTTTTGGGGGGTAGTGGGGGTGGGGGTGGGGGGGGGACGGAGTTTCATTCTTGTCACCCAGGCTGGAGTGCAATGGCATGATCTCAGCTCACTGCAACCTCCACTTCCTGGGTTCAAGCAATTCTCCTGCCTCAGCCTCCTAAGTAGCTAGGATTACAGGCAAGCGCCAACACGCCTGCCTAATTTTTTGTATTTTTAGTAGAGATGGGGGTTTCACCATGTTGGCCAGGCTGTTCTCAAGCTCCTGACCTCAGGTGATCCGCCTGCCTCAGCCTCCCAAAGTGTTGGGATTCCAGATGTGAGCCACCGCACCCAGCCTACTCCAGCTTTTTAAAAGGCTGTTTACAATTCTATGTAAAAATAGAGCAGTATCTACGCTTGTTTGTTTAAAGGTTAGGGATAATTTGAAATATATATATATATAATACATTAATTTCTCTGGGAGCAGGAGGCAGATTTAAATAGCTATTAAAATAATTTATTTTTCTAGCCATAAAAGATGGAAGAACTTTTTGTTGTTTATCATGTTAAGTTTGTTTATGAAATTAATTTGTAAATAAAAGAGCAAAATATTTTTATTATTTTTGTATAGCACTGATTTATTTTATACATCTCAAACTATTCTCTGGAAAAATTTTAAAAGAGAGGGAAATGCTTACATTATGGTAGCTAAGTTAAAAGAAGAGCATAAAATAGTTTTTACAGTACTTAATTCCAACTATACACAGAAAAAAATTCACTAAATATTGCAAACAACAAAATACTGGTAATTGTTCTCTTTGGAAGGCAGCTTAATGGATGACTTAAATTTATTACTCATATTTTTCTGTATTTTCCTAATTTTTCTATAAGCCATTACTACTGCAATTCCACTGTTGGGTACATAACCAAAAGAAAGGAAGTAGAGTCTCAAAGAGGTATCTGTACACTTAAGTTCACAGTAGCATTATTCACAATAGCTAAAAAGTAGAAGGAACCCAAGTGTCCATCAACAGATGAATATACAAAATGTGGTATGAACATACAATGGAATATTATCCAGCCGTAAAAAGTAGGGAAAGTCTGACATATATCACAACACAGATAAACCTTGCAGATATTATGCTAAGTGAAATAGGCCAGTCACAATAAGACAAACATTCTATGATTCTACTTATATGAAGTACTTGGTATAGTCAAATTCTGAGAGTCAGAGAGCAGAATGGTGGTTGTTGGGCTGGGGAGAGGGGAATGGGGAGTTACTGTTTAATGGGTAAAGAGTTTCACTTTTGCAAGAGGAAAAGTGTTCCGGAGACTGGATGTACAGCACTGTGAATGCTCTACTACTGAACAGTACACTTAAAAATAACTGGTTAAGTTGGGAAATTTTAGGTTACATATAAATTCTACCACAACTACTTTTTTTAAAACTTAAAAAGAGAACTCAGCAAGAAAAAAAGCTAATATGATTTTTAAAAACTTAATCTATACAAGATTATAAATTTCTGAAGTTCTAAACTGAAGAGAATTACCAGAATCAAAGGTCTCAAAAACAGAAAGGTTATTTCTCTGAATGAAGATGACAAAGCATTATTAAAGTTAAATGTTATTCTTAAGTTGTGGCAAGAACCTAAATACTAATAATGTTGCAGTTAGAATAAGGTATACTGAAATTCCGTAAGAGATGATAAAATACCAGTTTATCACCACTTCAAAGATCAAAGGTTCATGACACCGGTAAACTATTAACATGCCTTCCAACTCAAAGGCCCAAAGGAAGACAAAGCAGCACCATCCTCAGAACAGCAGCGTTCTACTCACTTAAGGCCTTCAGATGAAAATGGTTTGAAAACTCCTGCTATACTTTATATATACTTAATTCTGATATCCAGGGCCCCAAAAGTGGACATGAATCTTTTGCTCTCTGGGAAAAATTTTAATCTCCTCTTGGGTACGTAGTAATCAAGAGTTACACTTATTTCTTTTACATCTGTTATTTCCATGAGAACTTTGAGAGTTTTCTATCTGAAGCGAACACTTTGTGATTCTAAGAAAATCATACTGGCTCCAACTTTAGGCTGGGTTCCTTTTGCTAAAAGAAACAAACTTGGTATTTATGTTTTTTGTCTTAGCTATTTATAATTTGATTATGTAAGTATATCACTTTTACTTTTTAAAGAAGTTTTAACTTTTAAATAACTATTTATACTTAATACTTTCTAATAGATGGCATTTTTTAGGGTGCAATTTTTATTGTTAAGATATTTCTACCTGATTAAAAGAAAATAGAGCAATTCAAACTCAGAATTTTCTGAGACCACTTTTATCAGTGTTGATGCATTTTAGTAACAATCAGTAGTAAAACTGCTACAAAATGAAACATGGAAATACACAACTGTGACTTAATGAGGCTTCAAACAGGTAAAGGACTTCAGACTAGTTAAATTAAGTATATCTGAAAATAGAGATTACATGTCTGTAAACAGTAGAAAAGAGGCAGAAGCTCATATAACATTTTCCATATGTGTTTAGAAAAAGGAAAACAAAGGCTGGGCGTGGTGGCTCACGCCTGTAATCCCAGCACTTTGGGAGGCTGAGACAGGCAGATCACGAGGTCAGGAGATCGAGACCACCCTGGCTAACACAGTGAAACCCCGTCTCTACTAAAAATACAAAAAAATTAGCCAGGCGTTGTGGTGGGTGCCTGTAGTCCCAGCTACTCGGGAGGCTGAGGCAGGAGAACGGCGTGAACCCGGGAGGCGGAGTTTGCAGTGAGCTGAGATGGCGCCACTGCACTCCAGCCTGGGCAATAGAGTGAGACTCTGTCTCAAAGAAAAAGGAAAACAAAAATATTTGCATGTATACACATAAAATACCTAAGTTTCACAACAAACTAGTAACCTTGCTTTACTTTCAGGGAGGGAGAACGAGGTGGCCACAGGCAAAAGTGGGAATGGAATTTCCTACTCATAAACTTTTGTACTTTTTCAATTTTTAACCACAAAAATAACTACCAACAAAATTTGTTTTAAGTAAAGGCCCCTTTAGAGTTTAGTGATGCTATTTTTTAAGTGCTTAATGTTCTATCGGTGAAAAAATCAATTCCCCAAATCTACTATCTGAAACATAGTAAGTTGTCCCTTAAGGAGACAATCTTGAGTTTACAGCAGATAACATAGCACAAAAACCTATTTGGCAAATGAAATTAAGACAGTGATAAAAAAAATTTTCACATATGCACATGCAACCAAAATAACTATAACACGGTTTTCAGCTGTTAAAGAATAAAAAGGCTAGTCATATCGTACATAAATGTAAGTTATCAATATTACAAAAAGGAACAAATTATCCAGAAGACAGTTAAGCCTAAAGTACTCATAAGCCATGTGGAGGAGCGTGAAGAACTTTCCTTAAATTATATAGTCCTGCAAAATAAAAAGGATTATGGCCAATTTACCTAGTAACCAATACAATTGCTTATGAACTTTTAAAAAAGAACATGGTCATTTTATTAATTCTTATATTTTATAAATTTTGACATAGCTTTCATAGTAACTATTTCTGTGAAAGTATAAATATATCAACTTGGTTTTAGTTAACTAGAATCAGTATTAAGAAAGCATTCTGACAAGGCACAGAGGCTCATGCCTGTATTCCCAGTACTTCGGGAGGCCAAGGTGAGAGGATCATTCGAGTCTGGAAATTTGGGATCAGCCTGGACAATGCAGCAAGACCCCATCTCCGCAAAAAAATAATAATAATTTTTTTTAAAAAAAATCATTCTTACACTTAAGAAAGAAATCTTATCTCCTCTTGAACTAGTCCCCAGTTATCCATGGTTTTGCTTTCCATGGTTTCAGTTATCTATGGTCTGAAAATATTAAATGAAAAATTCCAGAAATAAACAATTCATCAGTTTTAAACTGTACATTGTTCTGAGTAGCATGAAGACAGCCTGTACCATCCTACTCTGTCTCACTTGGAATACAGATCATCCCTTTGTCCAGTGTGTGTCACTGTAATGCTACCTACCCATTAGTCATCCACATCATCAGGGCTCGATGAGGCAGGACCACCTGAAGCAGATGAGCCTCCTTCTGATGGATCATCAGAAGGTCAACAGCAGCCTAACACTTAGTCACAATGCCTACATCATTCACTTCGCCTCATCTCATCAAATGAACAGGGGTGAGTACAGTGCAAGACACTGTGAGAGACAGAAAGACTACACTCATATTACTTTCATAACAGTATCTTGTTATAATTATTCTATTTGATTAAGTTATTATTGTTAATCTCTTCCTATGCCTAATTTATAAATAAAACTTATCAGTACATATGTATCGGAAAAAACGTGGTATACATAGGGTTAGGTACTATCCGTGGTTTCAGGCATCCACTCAGGGTCTTAGAACATATCCCTCCATGGATAAGTGAGGGACTATCATACTGGTAATTATCTTTGCTATTTATTTTAAAACAGGAGTTGCAAGCATTTTTATATAAAAATAAGAATCTATAAACAATCACAAACCTGTGTGTAAGTGCAATTCTTCTTTTTACATTTGCCACATGTGAACAAGTCAGTCTGGGTCCCACCAGTCTTGGCCATCTGATGCTCTCTGATGGCTTCTTTGGTCAAGTTTTTCCGCATCTCTTTCAGCTCATCACTAGCCATTTCCTATGAGGTAGGGGGCAATACCACTCAGTTATAGACACCTTCTATATATATCCTGAATGCTTTTATGCTCAATTAGCCTAATAATAATAAAACCACATATCAACCTTTAAGGTTTTAAAAGCATTAAATTAATATTTTTCCTCAAAGGCTTTGTAAGAGTTTAATTCCTTTTAAAAATTTCTTCAAATACTTAAAAGTTTACATGTGAAAATTGGATTTAAGTACTGTTTAAAGGCTACTAAAACCACCTTTGCAAAGATTATGACAGTGAGAGAAATTGAACATGGCTGACTCCATCTTGCTTCTAGTGTCACAGGCTGGCTGTCTTCCCTCTTTCCTGGGCACAGGCCAAGTTAACCATGGAAGGAATTTAGTTTAACTTTGATGCAAAGATGGTAACAGTCCTTCCCTAAAATCGATCCCTCCTTGTTCAGAGCCTGAGATCACCTTTGTTAAGACTAATGAAATGCCAGAGGATTAGGATTATGGGACAGGCCTGAACTCTGCTAAAATGTAGACATAGTTTCTATAATCCCTCACTGCTCAGGAGTCATGTGGCCAGAGGACACAAAGTGTGTGACTTCCCCAATTGCTCCTATAGGTAACATTATTATTGTAGAACCTGAGATTGGTTTTTTGAGATGTTTTTCAGACTGACCCCTCCAGAACTCAGGCCCCTCACCCAGAGGTACAGAAGGACCAGTTCCCACATCCCTATGATTGCATCCCCAATCAATCAGCAGCACCCATTCCCTAGTCACCTAGGAATAGTTACCACCAAACTATTCTTGTAAAACCCTAACCTCCAAGTCTTCAGGGAGACTAATGTGAGTAATAACTTCGTCTCCTGCATGGCCAGCCTTGCATTAATAAAACTCTTTCTTAACCGCAATAGCGCAGTCTCAGTGAATTGGTTTTGTCTGTGTAGTGGGCGGGAAGAAGCTGTCAGGTGATTACACTATGAACAATGTAAACTTACAACGAGTACCTCTAGTATCCAGATTATAGTTTCTAATAGCATTGCCTACACCCCACTCCCAAAAGAAGTCAGGGATCTCTGGAGGAATGCCTGATTCCAGTTTTGAGGCAAGAAATGTATAGAATATGCCAGGGTCATCTTCTCACGCCAGTTTTTACCAGCTACAGTCATACTTTGCTTTATCTTGCTCTGCGCTATTGTGCTTCATTTTATTGCACTTTGCAGTTACTGCATTTTTTACAAATTGAAGGTCTGCAGCAATGCTGTGTTGAGCAAATCTATTGGCGCTATTTTTCCAAAAGCATGTGCTCATTTCATGTCTCTGTGTCACATCTTGGTAATTCTCACAATATTCCAAGCATTTTCACTATTATTATATCTGTTAGGTAATCTGTGATCAGTAATTTCTTATGTTACTATCACTGTTTTAGGGGCACCACTAACTTTGACCACATAGGACAGTAAGCTTGACAAATGCTGTGTGTGTTCCGACTGCTCCACTCTTTCCCCGTCTCTCTTCCTCTCCTTGGGCCTCCCTACTCCCTGAGACACAACAATATTGAAATCAGGCCAATTAATAACCCTACAATGGCCTCTAAGTATTCAAGGACAAGGAAGAGTCAACATGTCTCACTTTAAATCAAAACCTAGAAATAAGACTAAGTTTAGTGAGGAAGGCATATGGAAAGCTGGGATAAGCCAAAAGCTAGGTCTCTTACACCAGTTAGCCAAATTGTGAATGCAAAGGAAAATTTCTTGATGGAAATTAAAAGTGCTACTCCAGTGAACACATGAATAATGATCAAAATAGCCTTATTGCCGATATGAAAACGTTTTAGTGGCCTAGACAGAAGATCAAACCAACCACAACATTCCCTTAAGCCAAAGCCTAATCCAGAAAAAGGCCTTAACTCTTTAATGCTGAGAGAGATGAGGAAGCTGCCGAAGAAAAGTCAAGAGGCTACCAGAAGCTGGTTCATGAGGTTTAAGGAAAGAAGCTGTCTCCATAACATAGTACAAAATGCAAGGTGAAGCAGCAAGTGCTGATGGAGAAGCTACGGCAAGTTATCCAAAAGATCTAGCTAAGATCATTGATGAAGGTAGCTATTCTAAACAAAGATTTTCAATGTTGATGAATATTGGAAGAGGGTGACATCTAGGACTTTCACAGCTAAAGAGAAGAAGTCAACGCCTGCCTTCAAAGCCTCAAAGGACTTTGAAGGACTCTCTTGTTAGGGGCTAAAGCATCTGGTGACTTCAAGTTGAAGCCAATGCTCATTTACCATTTGGAAAATCTTACAGCCCTTAAGAATTATGCTACCTCTACTCTGTCTGTGTTCTATAAATGAAACAACAAAGCCTGGATGACAGCACATCTATTTACAGCATGATTTACTGAATATTTTAACCCCACTATTGAGACCTACTGCTCAGAAAAAAGATTTCTTTCAAAATATTCCTACTCATTGACAATGCACTTAGTCATCAATATGCCTAGTCATCCAATAGCTCTGATGGAGACATACAAGGAGATTAATGTTATTTTCATGCCTGCTAACAACAACATTGATTCTGCAGTTCATGAATCAAGGAGTAATTCTGACTTTTTTTTTTTTTTTTGAGACAGGATTTCACTCTGTCACCCACGCTGGAGCGCAGTGGTGCAATCTCAGCTTACTGAAACCTCCACCTCTTGGCCTAAAGTGATCCTCCCACCTCAGCCTCCTGAGTAGCTGGGATTACAGGAACGCACCACACCATGCCCAGCTAAGTTTTCTTTTTTTTTTTTTTTTTTGTAGAGATGGGAACTTGCTATGTTGCCCGGGCTAGTCTCCACCTCCTGGACTCAAGTGATCTGCTCATCTCGGCTTCCCAAACTGCTTTGATTACAGGTGTGGCCACCATGCCCAACTGACTTTCAAGTTTTATTATTTCAGAAATACTTTTTGCAAGGCTGTAGCTTCTACAAAAAGTAATTCTTCAGATAGATCTGAATAAAGTAAACTGAAAACCTTTTGGAAAGGATTAACCATCCTAGATGCCATTAGGAACATTAGTGATTCATTGAGAAGAGGTCAATATGTCAACATTTAGAGGAGTTTGAAAAAAGTTGACTCCAATCATCATGGATGACTTTGAGGGGTTTGACTTCACCAGAGAAAGTAACCACAGAGGGGCCAGGCACGGTGGCTCACGCCTGTAATCCCAGAACTTTGGAAGGCCGAGGCGGGTGGATCACCTGAGGTCAGGAGTTTGAGACCAGCCTGCCCAACATGGTGAAACCCTGTCTCTACTAAAAGTACAAAAATTAGCTGGGCTTGGTGGCGGGCGCCTGTAATCCCAGCTACTCAGGAGACTAAGGCAGGAGAATCGCTTGAACCCAGGAGGCAGAGGTTGCAGTGAGCAGAGATCACACCACTGCACTCCAGCCTGGGCGACAACAGTGAAACTCCATTCCCCACCAAAAAAAAAAAAAAAAAAAAAAAATGAAAGTAACCACAGATGTAATGGAAAAAGCATGAGAAGGAAGATTAGAAGTAGAGCTTCAAGATGTGACTGAGTTGCTTCAATCTCATAATAAAAGCTGAATAGATGAGATGCTTCTTGTGGAGGAGCAAAAAGTAATTTCCTGAGATGGAACCTATTCCTGGTGAAGATGCTGTGAACATTGTTGAAATGACAGCAAAGGATTTAGAATAATATGTCAACTTAGTTGATAAGGCAGCAGCAGCATTTGACAGCACTGACTCCAATTCTGAAAGAACATCTACTATGGATAAATGCTATTAAACAGCATCACAGGCTACCAAGAAATATTTCATGAATATTTGCTCCATCAATGCATCAAATCTCACTGTTGTCTTATTTTACAAAATTACCACAGCCACCTCAACCTTCAATAACCACTACCCTAATCAGTCAGCAGCCGTCAACATCCAGGCAATTCCCTTTTCCAGAAAAATAGTATGACTTGCTGAAGACTCAGATGATCATGAGCAATTTTTAGCAAGGTGTACATTGTTTAGCAAGGTATAAGGTGTACACTGTTTTCTTAGATGTAATGCTATTGTACATTTAGTAGATTATAGTATAAGCATAACTTTTATATGTACTGGAAAGTCAAAAAATTTGTGTGACTCGTGTGTCACTTTATTGCAGTAGTCCAATCCAAACTTGCAATGTATCTGAGGTATGTTTGTGTACAGAAGAAAAATTCACTCTCTTCAATGTTCACTAAAACGTTGAAATTGTAGATACAATATAGCTAATATCTATGAACAACCATGTCTATAAATAGCAAGCTATAAATTTCATTTTTTCCATAATTCCCTGTAAAAATTTAAGAAATAATCAATAGGATGGGCACAGTGGCTCACGCCTGTGATCCCAGCAGGAGATTACAGGAGCAGGAGAATCTGAAGCAGGAGAATCGCTTGAACCCGGGAGGCAGAGGTTGCAGTGAGCCAAGACTATGCCATTGCATCCCAGCCCAGGCAACAAGGGCAAAATTTCGTATCAAAAAAAAAAAAGAAATAATCAATATGATGTGACCAATTTTATAGTGTTTAACCACAAAAAAGGTTAGCACTTACAAAGTGTACTTGCAATTAAGAGATTCAACTCTCTGGTTCTACACTAATTCATAAAAAGTAAAAAACACTTGGTGGCCAGCCGTGGTGGCTCACACCTGTAATTCCAACACTTTGGGAGGCCAAGGCGGACAGATCATCTGGAGGTTGGGAGTTCGAGACCAGCCTGACCAACATGAAGAAACCCTGTCTCTACTAAAAATACAAAAATTAGCTGGGTGTGGTGGTGCACGCCTGTAATCCCATCTACTTGGGAGGCTGAGGCAGGAGAATCGCTTGAACCCAGGAGGGGGAGGTTGCGGTGGGCCAAGATCGTGCCATTGCACTCCAGCCTGGTCAACAAAAGCAAAACTCTGTCTCGAAAGAAAAAAAAGTAAAACACGTTTGTTTTTAGAAAATAATTTAGTGTAATCACATTAAAAGCATGGAAACAGTTGGAGGGGGAGCAAAGTACTGACAAAAGACACAATCACCTTAAGTATTTGTCTAGTATATAAATATATCAGAATAACGGAAATTTATTACATATGCAATATTTATATAGTAGTCTATGATGATAATAGGCTTTACACTTCACAACACAGAATCACATTATAGAAACCTCAGATTCACACATACTCACCTCTGCTGTCATTCTAGCAAATAAGTCAGGAGGAATATTCCCACAGAGGACATTTTTCCTTAAATTTGGATTTTTTGCATCTTTAAGATTTGATATCCTACTTCGTACTCTATTTTTGTATTTCATGTCTGTATTCCTTATTTCTTGATATATAGGTACCAGGCCGTTAAGGAAAAAAGGCAAAATTACAAAAGTAAGATCACTTTTTTTTCCTGTTCTGCCAAAATAAGAATTCCTGAGGCCAGGCACGGTGGCTCATGCCTGTAATCCCAGCACTTTGGGAGGCTGAGGCTGGTGGATCACGAGGTCAGGAGATCGAGACCATCCCGGCTAACATGATGAAACCCCGTCTCTATTAAAAACACAAAAAATTAACCAGGCATGGTGGCAGGTGCCTGCAGTCCCAGCTACTCGGGAGGCTGAGGCAGGACAACCACTTGACCTGGGAGGCAGAGGTTGCAGCGAGCTGAGATCAGGTCACTACACTCCAGCCTGGGCGACAGAGGGACACTCCATCTTAAAAAAAAAAACAAACCTGAAATTTCTAAGCAATTCACGACAACTGTTTCCAATTTAGAGTATGTTAAAAACAAGGTACTATATCTAATTCCTTGAGCTGTAATTGGCGAATAATAGTGATATTACTTTTACACTGTAAAGTAGTTGTTTGTTTTGAAGGTGGGTAGAAGGAGTCTCACTCTGTCACCCAGGCTGGACCTCAGCTCACTGCAACCTCCACCTCCCGGGTTCAAGCAGTTCTCCTACCTCAGCCTCCCGAGTAGCTGCTGCGATTATAAGCGCCTGCCACCATGCCCGGCTAATTTTTGTATTTTTAGTAGAGACGGGGTTTCACCATGTTGGCCAGGCTGGTCTCAAACTCCTGACCTCAGGTGATCCACCCGTCTCGGCCTCTCAAAGTGCTGGGATTATAGGCGTGAGCCACCGCGCCCGGCCTAGTCATGTTTTATTTCCTAAATGTTTAGTGCCAGCAGTATGCAAGTCAACAGGGTTTCAAAAAGTAACTCAAGTACTCAACATGAGAAAGCACATGTTTGAAAAGGAGCTTGAACTTATTCAAGCTTTACTTGCCCAAATCCGAATTCTACTAAGGATCCTAAAGTCTCTCTGGTCACACAGTTCCCACAGGGTCTCTGAGAAGAGACCATTCAGCATGGCCGTGAGGGTTCCTCTCCTCCCCCAGCTCAGCAGGAGCTACCTCAGCAGGCTCTTCTTCTCTGCAGAAGAGGCCACTGCCAAAGCTGAACCCTGGAACAGCTCCCTTCCTAATAAGGCCATTTCCTCAACCAGGACAATCTCATGTTACACAGCCACCTAGATGCTCCCTGCCCCTACTCACACACAGTACCCCTCTCCTGGAGCCCTTTCCCGGTGCTTAGCAAGAACACGCTTCCTCTGGGATAATGAGCTCAGGTGACTGTGTGTGCTCTGAGGTCCCCCTAACTGAGAAGTCTTCACATTTATATGTGTGTGCTTTCCATGCCCTTTTGCACAACTTAAATTCAGACACTACAGTCTCAATCTACAAGGCAGAAAAATTTAAATGTCATAAATGCCATCAATACTGTACTTTCCTTTTCAATAACAGGAAAAACAAGACAAATAAAATGACATAGATGTCCCTCTCCTTTCCAAGAAAACAATACAATCAAGATAAAAAGTGAAGAATAAGACTTTGAATTCTATACCAACAGGAAAAATTAAGCTAGCAGATTACTTAAAACAATTATGACCACTTGAAGTTGTGTGACACCAAGAGACCTTTCTGGCTGGTAGCAGAAGTAATAGATGTCACTCCTCAGCAGTAGTTTTGAAAGCCAGTATGCAATTTATCCATTTTACCTTCTGCCACATCACCACTCACAATGGCCAATCCACCTGCCTGGTCCTAGAGGACAATGACCCAAAGCCCAGAGTCCTCAGCTAGCCTGTGATGAACATATAGGACAAATACATTCCTGTTTGTCCAGTTTAATCTGTGAAAGAAACCTCTGTGGTGTTAAGCCACTGAAATTTCAAGGTTGTCACCATAATATAACACAGCCTGTCCTGCCAAGTACATAAAGTCAATCTTGGACACTCATGTTTTGCTAGGAAAGCGAAATTCTTTAGGTTTTCAAATTGCCAACGAGATACACCCAATGTTCTCATGTATTTTGTAATCTCTTCTAATTATGTTATCGGTTTGCCTTTCTTGTTCTCAATCATATTTTCACTCTCCTGCTATCTGAAGCAATTTTACTAGGGATTTATATGTTTCAGTTTCCAAAGAGCCAGGTCCTTTTAAACTTCGCTGTTTCTAGTTCATTCAGCTTCAACATGAAGGAAAAAGTCTAGCGTGGTGGTCAAGGTCATGGGCTTGGAGCCAAATTCCCTACAATGGAATCCCAGCCCTGTCAGTGTCAGGCTGTGTGATCTAGAACAATGACCAATCCTCTTCTGCTTCTGTTTTCTCTCTGTAAAATGGGATGAGAGCACCTAATTCATTGGAAGGACTACTGCATGTAAAACCGTGCCTGGCATTTGCATATGTTCAATAAATATTACTTATTAAAAAAAACAATTATGAATATACACACAAAGGATATCTTCTTCAATTTGAGATCCTAATTCTTCCTCATCAGCTCCAATTGCAATGTAGTCATCTAAAAATAGGCATAAAGAATTGTCAAATTATTGTAACAGATTAAAAGAAAATTCTAATACCAGGTAATTAAACTGCATTCCTATTTCTTAAACCCCATTTGCCTGACATAAAGAAACCGTTCAGTTTAGTTCGTTAGAATCTGATCACTTCACTGCCCGCTAGACTTCTTTTCTGGGCTTCACCTGATACCCACAGTGCTCCTGCACTGATGATTCCTGATCCCTCAGGCACAGGAAGTAACTGATCTAGCAGGCAATTCATTTTTCGTAACTCCATAAATTCTGGCTGCTCCAGCAGAGTAGAGAAAGTTACAGAAAGAACTGTCTAGTCTCCTGTGACTCAGGCTTCAATGCAAAGAAATCATTTAGTTAATCTGCCAATCACATATACAGACACACTCAGAAGACTGCTATACAAATATGCAAGAGGATAGAAGGAAATAAACTAGGCAGAAAAAATAAAAGAGACAGTCAGGAAATCAAAGTAGAAAGGGCAGAGTAAGGAGAAAATCAGGTCAAACTAGCCATGGTGCAGAATGAGAGAAAAGAAAAAGGATGAATTCGTATAAAATAACAAATATTCCTGTATATAAAACTTTAAATCCAAATGTTACATGTTAAGACTGGATACTTTCAAATTAAATTAAGCTCCCATATATAAATCAAGACTCACCCTCCCTTTTTCTAACTAGAAAATGGAAAACATTCATACTATATGTCATACTATTCAACAATTCAGTATTGTTAACTCTCAATATAAGATCAGGGTATGTAGTTTGCAGATTAAATTGTGGGGAAACAAAAGATTTGTGAGAAAAAAGTGTACATTACTATGAAATCAGGGAAAACATCCATGTATTAGAGGGAATCTATTTCTTACAATTACATAGTAATAAGCAAATGCCCCAGTATTCCTCCTCCTCTCCCCCTTAACAGACCCGTATCAGCAACAACTTCTCCCCAAGCTAAGCAGCAGTGGGTGGGCTATCCACAGGGTAACACTCATCAAACAGCAATATGGAGTTGGAGATGGCAGTGGTTGTGGGTGGTGACCAAAGGACTGAGAAATAACATGCACTGGACTTACCCCCTGTTCGAAGAGCTGCAGCAAGCATCTCCCTACACTTCAACCGCACAGAATCAGAAGTGCTTGGTGCCCGAGGAAAGGATGAAACATAAGTATCTCGAGCATTTGTCTCATCCTTTCTGTTGCTTACATTGCCGCTGGAAGTACTGAAATACGCACAAACACCCCAAAAAGAAATCAAGAACAATCCTTTCAAAGTAACAATACTACTATCATGCTGTAAAAACAAAATTTGGGGTCTAAATAAATGACACAGTATCTCAGTGACCTTTATGTGATGGAAAAAAAATTGCCTGCATACAGATTAAAAAGAAGTTAAAAATTTTACAATTTAGTAAAGTGACAAGTATGCCTTTTTTTTGAACTAAACATTTTATCTTTGATTCTCATTTTAAATATTAAGCAATATTTTTAATAGAGAAAATACCCATTATAGCTCAGTACAATAAATGAAAAGCAATGATCTTGGTATAAGGAGAGGGATGAAGGGATGGGACCAGAGAATGACAGCTTTCTTTTTTGAGACGGAGTCTTGCTCTGTCACCCAGGCTGGAGGGCAATGGTGCAATCTCGGCTCACTGCAAGCTCCACCTCCCAGGTTCACACCAGAGAATGACAGCTTTCAACCAAAACTAGAGATAGAGAGAGAGAATGCTTGAAAAACTCTGTTTCACTGGGCATGGTGGCTCACAGCTGTAATCCCAGCACTTTGGGAGGCCAAGAGAGGCAGATCACTTGAGGCCAGTAGAGTTCAAATCCAGCCTGGGCAAAATGGTGAAACCCCGTCTCTATTAAAAATACAAAAATTAGCTGGGCGTGGTGGCACACGCCTGTAATCCCAGCTACTTGGGAGGCTGAGGCAGGAAAATCGCTTGAACCCAGAGGCAGAGGTTTCAGTGAGCCAAGACTGCACCACTGCACTCCAGCCTGGGTGACACAGCGAGACTCCACCTCAAAAAAAAAAAAGAACAAAAAGAAAAAGGAAAACCTTGTTCCACTTAGACAGTGAGTTCCCCAGTGAGACAAATACCATGTGTACTGATGAGTCATGAGGCTACAAAATGGTGTGTTTCTCCCCAGAAACATCACCTCGATATGAACATTTAGGCAGTTTTATAATTTTCCAGTCAACCTAATCCTTTCAATTGCTTCTGAGTAGCTTCTTACGTTGGATTATCACTAAAATGGGTTCTTTCCAAAATAATCTTCATGATTACAATTAAGCTTTATCACATTGAAAACAGCTGCCATAACCCTTTTCAAAGACTGATTAAATCATCCACCATCCATAGATGTGGTTTGCTGCAATGCTACAAGAACATACTCCCTTGCCTTCTCTCCAAAACATAACCACTGTTAAACTTCACAAACAGGTGCCTGTGGGTCAGACGGACATTAGTACCTTTTAAATTTAGTCAGTTCCTTTTTGAAGCCTTCACTGATTTCCCCCTGTATTCCCAAAATATTGATTCACACAGGTTTGTATATGATAACTTTTCATACATTTTCTTCTCTATCAGACTGAGTTTCTCAAGAGCAAAAACTAGGATTTACTTTTCTTTGTATTTTCATTATGTAGCATAATGCCTCTCAGTGATAAATGAATGAGCAAACTAATGCTTAAAAACCCATTTATTATTTTTTTTTTTAAGACTCCAGCCTGAGCAACTGAGCAAGACTTTTCACAGTGGTGAAGAGAGCAAGAGTTGTGCAGTGGTGCCATCACAGCTCATGCAGCTTTGAACTCCTGGGCTCAAGCAATCCTCCTGCCTCAGCCTCCTGAGTAACTAGGACTACAGGTGCATGCCACCATGCCCAGTTAATTTTAAAAATATTTTTTGGCCGGGCAAGCTGGCTCATGCCTGTAATCCCAGGAGTTCAAGAACAGCCCGGACAAAATAGTGAGACCCAGGGTCTACAAAAAGAGTTTTAAAAATTTGCCAAACATGGTGGTATGCACCTGTGGTCCTAGCTACTTGGGGGCTGAAGTAGGGGGCTCGCTTGAGACTGAAAGGTTGAGGCTGCAGAAAGCCTTGACTACGCCACTGCACTCCATCCTGGGTAAAAGAGCAAGACTCTGTCTCCAAAAAAAAAAAATAATCCAACAAACAAACCTTTTTTTTTTGGTAGAGAAAGGGTCTATGTTGTCCAGGCTGGTCTCAAACTCCTGACCTCAAGTGATAATTCCGCCTCGGCGTCCTAAAGTGCTTGAGCCACCGTGCCAGGCCCCAAAACTCATTTCTTTTCTTTTTTTTTTTTTTTTTCTTTTGAGACAGTCTTACGCTGTCACCCAGACTGGAGTGCAGTGAAACAACCATGGCTTACTGCAGCCATGACCCCCAAACTCAGACGGTTCTCCTGCCTCAGCCTCCCAAGTAGCTGGGACCACAGGCATGTGCCATCACACCTGTCTAATGCTTTTTATTACTTGTAGAGACAGGGCCTCCCTATGTTGCTCAGGCTAGTCTCAAACTCCTGGGCTCAAGTGATCCCCCTACCTTGACCTCCCAAAAGTGCTGACATTACAGGTGTGAGCCACCACACCCAGCCAAAAACCCAGTTCTTAAACACTTTGATTAAATGCTTTTGCTTCTGTGTCTGTAGCCAAATGCTCCACAGGAACCAAGGGAAATTGCCCATATGGGCTGAGGGAAACTTTTCCTCACTAGTTTCACTACTGCTGGTCCCACTTCCTACATTCTGATCCTTCCTTTCTAAGCATTTAAACACATTACTTTCTTCTTAAATTCTTGCACCCAAAATATAAAATCCTGCTTAGCTACAAGCAACTTAGATTTAACCTTCTATCTTTCTTTACATGACTCCTCAAAATTCATTTCTCAATCCTCCTGTATTTCTGTGTGTGTTGGGGCGGGGATGGGGTGTAGATAGATACCAATCAGTTACTTTATCAGACTTCACATACAGTAATTTTCTTTTGCAGACAGGCTCTATACCTACACGTCAAGCACGTAAAACTGATAAAAGACAACGAGAGGCCAGGCGCAGTGGCTCACGACAGTAATCCCAGTACTTTGAGAGGCCAAGGTGGGTGGATCACTTGAGGTCAGGAGTTCGAGACCAGCCTGGTCAACATGATGAAACCCCATCTTTACTAAAAGTACAAAAATTAGCTGGGTGTGTTGACGTGCACCTCTAATCCCAGCTACTCGGGAGGCTGAGACAGGAGAATCGCTTGAACCTGGGGGACAGAGGTTGCAGTGAGGCAAGATTGTGCCACTGCATTCCAGCCTGGGCAACAGAGCAAGACTCCGTCTCAAAAAAAAAAATAAAAACAAGGCTGGGCGCGGTGGCTCAGGCCTGTAATCCTAGCACTTTGGGAGGCCAAGGCGGGCGGATCACCTGAGGTCAGGAGTTCAAGACCAGCCTGATCAAAATGGAGAAACCCCGTCTCCACTAAAAATACAAAATTAGCCAGGCATGGTGGCACATGCCTGTAATCCCAGCTACTTGGGAGGCTGAGGCAGGAGAATCCCTTGAATCCAGGAGGCAGAGGTTGCGGTGAGCTGAGATTGTGCCATTGGACTCCAGCCTGGGCAACAAGAGTGAAACTCTGTCTCAAAAAATAATAATAATAATAATAAAATAATAAAAACAAAGACAATGAGAGACTGAGGAACTATTCCAGATTTAAGAAAACTAAACGGATATAACGTTAGAAAAAATTACATAAACTTTATTAACAACTGCTGTTTAAGCCTACCTTTGACTTACCTCTTTTAATATAGTTAATATGTTTAATATATATATTTAATATAGTTAATACAAATACAAAAAAATAACAGTGTATGAGACATTAACATTAACATGAAGAGTACATGATCAATTTTGGGAAAATATTGAGAAACAAAGTTAAAATCGGTAGTTGCCTTAATGTCCTAAATACCTCAACACGGGCTGGGTGCAGTGGCTTACGCCTATAATCCCAGCACTTTGGGAGGCTGAGGCAGGTGGATCACCTGTGGTTGAGAGTTCAAGACCAGTCTGGCCAACATGGTGAAACCTCGTCTCTATTAAAAATATAAAAATTAGCCAGGTGTGGTGGCATACACCCATAATCCCGGCTACTCAGGAGACTGAGGCAGGAGAATCATTTGAATTTGGAAGGTGGAGGTGGCAGTGAGTCGAGATCGTGCCACTGCCTTCCAGCCTGGGTGACAGAGCAAGACTCTGTCTCAAAAATAAAAAATAAAAAACCCCAGGCACAGTGGCTCACGCCTGTAATCCCAGCACTTTGGGACACTGAGGAGGGCGGATCACCTGAAATCAGGAGTTCAAGACCAGCCTGGCCAACATAGCAAAACCCCATCTCTACTAAAAACACAAAAATTAGCCAGGTGTGGTGGGCGCCTGTAATCCCAGCTACTTGGGAAGCTGAGGCAGGAGAATTGCTTTGAACCTGGGAGGTGGAGGTTGCAGTGAGCCAAGATCGCACCACTGCACTCCAGAGTGGGCGGCAGAGCAAGACTCTGTCTCAAAACAGGTATCTGGGCCCCTCCCCACCAGAATTCCTGATTCAGTAGTTACAGGACGAAGTCTGAGAATCTGTATTTCTAACAAGCTGTCAGGTTCTCTCCTCTTCCAGGGACCACACTTTCAAGAACCATTGCTTTAAATCAATGTTGACTGTTAACCTACCAGCTTCCCAAGAACAGAAGAACGATTTGTATTTAACCAACTATGAGTAAGCAACATGTTCAATACTGCATAGTTCGTGAGATATAATAGGAAAGAACACATGCAAAGGCCTCATAGGAGGTGAGGGACAATCTGAACTCTTTGTTAATGAACTTCACATTTTAAGTTCTTATAACAAATGGCTTTTTTTTTTTTTTTAAGATAAGGTCTCACTCCATTGCTCAGGCTGGAGTGCAGTGGCATGATCTTGGCTCACTGCAACCTCTGCCTCCCGGGTTCCAGCAATTCTCCCACCCCAGCCTCCCAAGTAGCTGGGACTATAGACACATGCCACCACACATGGCTACATGGCTAATTTTTTTTTTTTTTTTTTTTTTTTTGGTAGAGAAAGGGTTTCACCGTGTTAGCCAGGCTGGTCTCGAACTCCTAACCTCAAGTGATCCTCCCACCTCAGCTTCCCAAAGTGAGCCACTGTGCCTAGCCACAAATTGCTAAATTCAAAAGGAAGAAAAAAAGCATGCAAAGGAGAATGAGATCAAGGGCCAAAATAAATCTAAAAAAAAAAATGTGGTAAATAGAGGAAGCAACCATTTGAATCCCTAATCACTACCTCCATTATCAATTCCATCAGTGCCTACCCCAGCAATCCCATTCAATTAAACTTGTTGAGTACAATATAAATAACTTCTTATTTATTCAATGTCTTCTACCTCTCAAATGTTCAAGAAATCTGAAAAAAAAATAAATTAGAATACATGGCTACATACATTTACTACTTCCATTTGATTAGAAAACAAAAAAAGGAGTGTAAATAGGGGAACATTAGACAGGGGAATTGATGCAGGAAGTAAAACTATGACTTTCAATATAAATATATGTCTATACTGTGAAGTACCTTTCTTCTCTTGCCTCAGGGCTGTTCTGCGATGTAATTGCAGGTTCTTTCTTCTTTTCGTCAAGGTCTTTCTCAGTTGATGGCCCATCTGAAAATTATGAAATCTCTTAAGTTGCTAGCATTTGTAAAAACTAAAAACTAAAATACTGCGTTAACAGGCTATTTGCACAACATGAACTAAAATCCTAAGTTTCCTACAAGTAGATGAAGTTTGCATAAGCTATTAGCATATGTACTATTTTTCACAATGCAAGTTCAGTCAACACTCCCAAATAAATTCCCTCATTTGGTGGGAACTACAAATTCACATGCCATGGGAACCTAAAGGGAGGAAAGTATATGGAACAAAGAGATGGGAAGAATATGGAAATATCTGCACTGTTACTTTAAAAATGAAAGCACAGGCCGGTGCAGTGGCTCACGCCTGTAATTCCAGCAGTTTGGGAGGCTGTGGATCACTTGAGCTCATGAGTTTGAGACCAGCCTGGGCAACATGACAAAACTCTGTCTCTACAAAAAATACAAAAATTAGCCGGGCGTGGTGGTGCACACCTGTAGTCTCAGCTACTCGGGAGGCTGAAGTGGGAGGATGGCTTTTGCCCAGCAGGTGGAGGCTGCAGTGAGCCAAGATCACACCACTGCATGCCAGCCCAGGCAATAGAGCCAGACCTTTTCTCAAAATAAAGTCAAATAAAATAAAAATTAAAGCATACACAGCAATATTGTTTTTAATAAATTTCCATAAAGTTAGAAAATTTAAGGTGGTATCCAAAATATAAACAAATATTTCTGGGATGGTAAACAAAAAACACTTTCATAGAAAATACCTCAGGATGAGTAAGACCTACCCAGTACCTTCTCTATCTTAAATGAACTATAAAGTAATACAGAGTGCACAAGCTTTAAGACTTAAAGAGGCGGCCAGGCACAGTGGTTCATGCCTGCAATCCCAGCACTTTGGAAGGCCACGGCGGGCAGATCACGAGGTCAGGAGATCAAGATCATCCTGGTTAACATGGTAAAACCCCGTCTCTACTAAAAAAAATACAAAAAATTAGCCGGGCGTGGTGATACGCGCCTGTAGTCCCAGCTACTCAGGAGGCTGAGGCAGAAGAATAGCTTGAACCCAGGAGGCGGAGGTTGCAGTGAGCCGAGATCATACCACTGCACTCCAGCCTGGGCAACAGAACAAGACTCTGTCTCAAAAAAAAAAAGAGGTAAGCAATGAGATATTATGAAATAAGGTACATAAAAATAGGTTGAGTCAGTGCAATATTTCAATAGCCCAAAGAAACATTCACTTTTAAATCAATCAACACAGTCTTAAATTTTAAAACTGGTGCCTGCCTGGGGTCAAATGTGGTGGCTGACACCTGTAAACCCAACACTTTGGGAGGCTGAGGCAGGTGGATCACTTGAGGTCAGGAGTTCAAGACCAGCCTAGCCAATATGGTGAAACCCTATCTCTACTAAAAATACAAAAATTAGCTGGACATGGTGGTGCACACCTGCAATCCCAGCTAACGCTGAGGCAGGAGAATCATTTGAACCTGGGAGGAGGAGGTTGCAGTGAGCCGAGATTGTGCGACTGCACTCCAGCCTGGGTGACAGAGTGAGACTCTGTCTCAAAAAAAAAAAAAAAAAAAAAGAAAAATTCAGTGCATGCCTGTAGTCCCAGCCACTCAGGAAGCCCAGGCAGGAGGAACGCTTGAGCCCAGGAACTTGAGGCTGCAATGAGCTATAACTGCACCACTGCACTCCAGCCTGGATGACAGAGTGATACCTGTCTCAAAAAAAACAAAACAAAAACAAAACACATAGCCTTGAAGCTAAGTTCAGAAAACGTTTGGGTCTACTGTACAAAGTATACCAGTTAAGTACATTTTGCTCCCTACATAAGCAATAAAGGCTACATAAAGAATTCTTTCAATTCTTCACATCTCTCTGTATAGAATATAGAAGAAACTATATCCAACTGGATAGCAGAATCACCTAGGGAGCTTTTAAACATATCCTCATGCCAAGCTCCGAACCAGATCCATTCAATCCAAATCTCTGGCAGTGAGGCGCAAGCATCATTATTTTTTAAAGTTCCTTAGACAACTCTAATATATAGTTGTCTGGATGAGAATCACTGATAAGAGAATGGTTGAAATCACAACTGTAGAACTCATCTTGTAAAGTTGAAGTTTGTCAAACCTAAAACACAATTCAAGCCCTCTGATAAAACACGCACATACACTTTAGTCTTCACATAATTTTACTGCTCCTTGTTATTCTCAATAATTTCCTTGAAGGCTCAAATCCCAAAGATGCTATAGTACTGTAACACTGAAAACAAAGATTAATAATGACACATGGCAAGGACTAAGAAATGGTCCAAAAGTAATAGGGTAGAAAGCATTTAAAAGGGAAAACTGATATAACAATGAAATATGATCCAGCAAGGATCCAATGCTGCCAAAGGGACAGCAGAACTATCTCACACACTGCTCTGGCACAGTGAATTAGTACAATCCTTTTAGACAGCAGAGCAGTAAGAGGCATGAACAGCCTCAGAAGCATTCCTACTATCTGATACGGTGTTGTGGGCAACACAGTCCAGCTAGCTGGGAAGGAGGTGCTCCAGCTCTGGACTCCAGCTGTCTGCAATCAAGTCCCAGCTTGGCTATTCACCACTGATTCAACTGTGTGCAAGGTATTTAACCGCTCAGTGCCTCAGATTCCTCATCATAAAATGGAGATTATAATAGCACCTACCAAATTGGATTGTTGTGAGGATTAAATGCATTAATACAGGTCAATGCTTGGCACATCTTAAGTACTCAACAATGTGCTACCTAGTAGCAGTAGTAGTAAATGTAGAAATCTAGCTAACAATGTAAAGAAAAAGCTTTAGGCAGAAAGATATCCATCAAGACATTAGTTACAACCACCATAAAGTTAAAAACAAGAAATCTAACAACTGGCAAGTGATCAACTAAAATATGGTATAGTCAACTGAATAAATCATTCTGAAACCAATAAAAATAATAGTTATGATAGAAAAACAAACTATTTTCATTAAAAAAGGTAATATAAATTAAGTACACACACAGCATAGGTAAAATTATAGTAGGGGTAAAATTTATGCAAATTAAATTTGAATAGTAATGTATTACAATCCATTATACAGAAAAGGAACCTGCGAGTCTACACTAATGGATAACTAGCTAAGGGGTAAAAAGAAGGTTGTCTTTTTTTTTTTTTTTAGACAGACTCTCACTCTGTTGCCCAGGCTGGAGTTCAGTGGCGCGATCTCGGCTCAGTGCAAGCTCCGCCTCCCGGGTTCACGCCATTCTCCTGCCTCAGCCTCTCGAGTAGCAGTAGCTGGGACTACAGGTGCTCACCATCACACTCAGCTAATTTTTTTGTATTTTTTTAGTAGAGATGGGGTTTCACCGTGTTAGCCAGGATGGTCTCGATCTCCTGACCTCGTGATCTGCCTGCCTCAGCCTCCCAAAGTGCTGAGATTACAGGCGTGAGCCACCATGCCTGGCCAGAAGGTTCTTCTTCTAACAGAATGATGATTTTATAAGTATTGAAGCAGAGGAGTCAGAAAAATCACAATTTTGCAACTACTACTACAAAGATTGGTTTGAGCAAAAAATCAATGGATCCTAAATTGGGAGGGGAGGAAAAAGATTTGTTAAGGTGTAAGACAGTTTCAGGATCTTAAAAGTGTCTCCCACAGAATGGCTATTAGCTACAAGAGGAAAAACAATACACTATACAGTGTGGCTTTGACTAGATTCTCAAAATTACTATCAATCACTCTGGATATGATACCTTGAGAAGGACATAACATGCTTAAACAGTATTCCAACTGGGGATGTACAACCTGATCTAATCATGAGAAAAAAGCAGGTACACCTCAAATAAGGAATATGCTATTAAAAACAAAGGAGGGGCCAAGCGCGATGGCTCACGCCTATAAACCTAACACTTTGGGAGGCCAAGGCAGGTTGGATCGCTTGAGCCCAAGAGTCCAAGACCAGCCTTAGCAACATAGTGAGACTCTGTCTCAAATTAGTAAATAAATAACAAAGGAGGGCAGTGGCGGATGCTTGCAATTCCAGCTACTCAGGAGTCTGATGTGAAAGACTGCTTGAACCCAGGAGTTGGAGGTTAGCCTAGGCAACATAGCAAGACCCCTATTTCAACACAAAACAAAAAAAGTGGTGGGAAAGGGGGTGGATAGGGGAATAAACCTGCTTCAAGGATACAACTTAAAAATGTGGGAAATTCTGCCTTGAATATATTTCCTAGTTTACTTTTAAACCAAAATCCAATTCCACTTTGCATTCATTACAATTGGTCATTTTCTGCATATTGTATAACATATCCAAGTTCTATTTTTTAAGCCCATTATGAATTTGATAAAAATCTGATTTGCATGAAAGTATTTTAAAATACACATTAATGATGGTTACATGAATGTATATGTAAGATAAAATTGCTCAGAAGGATACATGCCCCCACACATACACTAGCGCCAGTAAAAACTGATGAAATCTGAATAAGGTCTGTAGACTGTATCACTGTCAATTTCCTGGTTGAGATTCTGTATATGAGAGTTATGTGATATTGCCATAGGAGGAAGCTGGATAAAGGGTACATGAGACCTTTCTGTACTTTTTTTTTGTGGTAATTTTCTGTGAGTCACTTATTATGTCAAAATAAAAAGTTAAACTCCACATATTCAGGAGGCATACATACTTTCTTCTATAGGAAATGACCTTGTTTCTTTTAGCCCTACTTGAGGCAGGGGACCAGGAATGAGGGGGAAGGGACAGGATATATACACACACACACATAAAATTTTAAAGCATGGCCCACAACAGTAATTTTTTTTATTGGGTTTGTGCAATTAATGTGAAAGACAAAATTGCGTTTAATTTTCTTTCCTTCCAAATTTGACTTTCAGGAAATATATCAACAAAAAATTGACAGCCCCAAAATAAAATTTAAGGTGAGGGAATTCATATTTGTTGGGCTAGGACCCTATGTACATTTCCTACACAGGTGATAATTGATAGTGAAAGATCACAGACCAAAAACAAAGAAAAAGTAAAATCATGAACCTAAGTAAACAGGTTGGTCTTCAAATGAGAAAGGAACATTTCTGCCTTGGGGGGAAAACAAAGGAGAAGGGATACCTGTATTCTTCAAAATGTCAATTTCATAAAAGATAAAGAAAAGCTTAAGAATGATTTCAAATTAGAAAACTAGCTATGTGAGGCCAGGCGAGGTGGCTCACGCCTGTAATCCCAGCACTTTGGGAGGCCAAGGCGGGCAGATCACAAGGTCAGGTGATCGAGACCACCCTGGCTAACACGGTGAAACCTCGTCTCTACTAAAAATACAAAAAATTAGCTGGGCGTGGTGGCGGCCACCTGTAGTCCCAGCTACTCGGGAGGCTGAGGCAGAATGGCATGAACCCAGGAGGCGGAGCTTGCAGTGAGCCGAGATTGCACCACTGCACTCCAGCCTGGGCAACAGAGTGAGACTCAGTCTCAAAAAAAAAAAAAAAAAAAAAAGAAAGAAAACTAGCTATGTGATCCTGAAGTGGATCTTTTCCTGAAGGTAGAAAAACAAAAGAACTATAAAAAAACATTATTGGGACAACTGACAAACCTGAACATAAACCATAAAATACTATACCAATGTTAAATTTCCTATATTTCTTATACTATGATTCCATAAAAAAATAAGATTGTAGTAAGGAAATACACGCAAGTATTTAAAGGGTAAAAGAGCATGATATATTCAACCTACTTTCAAATGGTTCCGAAAAAAATAATTTGTGTGTGTGCAAATAGAGAAAGAAAAAGAGAGAATATGATAAAACAAATATGGCAAATATTAAAAATTGATGATATGGATAAAGGATACGGCATTCTTTTAATCATCCTTGCAAGTTTTCTGTAAGTCAAAAAATTTCAAAAACCATTTCAAAAGGTATCCACAACCTTTCCTTTAAGAGAAAATTCTTCTTACTGAAAGAGTTTATCCAGTTGTGTCAAAAGTTAAGAAAGCCAAATTTGACTGGCCTAAAAGGCAAAAAAACCCTAAAGATCAAATTAACTCCCCTCGCCTTTATTACGAGGCACTGCTTTCAGTATATCTAGATTCACTAAGAAAAAAATGTAACCATTAACTAACCATAAAATGTAACCATTAACTATTTGAATAAATCACAACATCATAAATATATGTAAGGGAAGATCAATGATACCTAATAATTTTTTCCAGGATTTGATGAGAGACTTTGCCAAAGATGTAACTTCCTCATCTGTACTCTGCTTGCGAATAGCATTAACTGACATTCCGATTCTTGTGGACTGCAAGGCAATAACAAAAAAATTATGTATACCAATTTTATTTTAAACAAATTAGTATTTCACCTACATTCTTTTCTTTCCCAGATTCCTGTTTCTATTTTAGAATTTCAAAACTTCAATTTTTGGATCCTTATAATAGCAAATTATATTAAGATACATACATCTTCAGATCAAACACTAGACTCATTAATGTTCTTATCATCAAGATCTAGAAGCATAAAATTCACTACTGTAATAAGTCTGGTTAACTAGAAAAATGCAATCAATCTTTCCACAAGGGAGAAGTGAAGATAAACGAGGATAAAATATATAATGTTGTATATAAGTCAGGCTGAAGCAATCATGACTAATACATGCATTTCTTTGTTTCTATACATTCCTCTACATGGATTACTTCATAGAGCACCAGCTGCAAATTATTATGAGGATATCCAAACAAAAACTACCACCTATCCAGGTTTAAAAGGCTTTATTTTGCCAGGAACCAGCATATAATCAGAGACATTAAAATGCACTTCACAAAATACAGGTAAAATTTAACCTGTGATAATTACGTGCCTAGAATTATGCTTAGAGCATCCACATTCATCAATCTTTCTAACAACCCTTCAAAGTTGAGATCATCCCTATTTTTAAAGATGAAGAGATTGGAAGTACCAATAAATAACGTGCCCAGCATCACACCATTACCAACCAGCAAAGCTGGGATTTTTTTTTTTTTTTTTTGAGACGGACTCTCACTCTGTCACCCAGGCTGGAGTGCAGTGGGGCACGATATTGGCTCACTGCAACCTCCACCTCCTGGTTCAAGCAATTCTCCTGCCTCAGCCTCCCGAGTAGCTGGGATTACAGGCACATGCCACCTCGCCCGGCTGATTTGTGTATTTTTAGTAGAGACGGACTGCACCACGTTGGCCAGGCTGGTCTCAAACTCTAGACCTCAGGTGATCCACACACCTCAGCCTCCAAAGTGCTGGGATTACAAGCATGAGCCACCGGCCCAGCCAAAAACTGGGATTTTAATCCAGGTTTGTTCACTGCCGAAGTCCATGGTCTTTGTAGCACATTAATGGTTTCAAATTGTGCTCAAAGAACACAAAAGCTATGACAGCCCAAATATGGATGATAAATAAAAAATGGTATATTATTTAGTAAGTTCGGGTTGTTAACAGACAATATTTCAAACATATGGTCTATGGAAGAAAAAAATAACAAAAGGAATTCTTAGTGGTGAAAAAAAAGAGACACCCTATTGTAAGCTTTACGGTAGAAAAATATACGGGTACTTGAGGTTTCCTTCTAAATTATTCAATCCTCTCAACAAACAGATTCAGGATCTAAGTTTTATTCAAGAATTTAGAATATGTGGTTGGCTAGAGTGTCCTATATCTCTTAGAAAGCTGAGCAAAACAGACAAGATTGAACAGCAGAAAGATAAAGGGACTCCACAATTTTAAAGCCCCAAACAATTTGGGGTTAACAAGGCTAGTTTACTAGGAAAAAAACTCCACTTTTTGAATGTGTAGAGGAAATAACTTATTAGTGTGGTTCTGAAGCTTAGAACTGACACAAACGTGCAAAAAAATAAAATGGCACTTTACTAGGGGCTTGCAGGAGAGCAAAGGTGTAAGGAGATGATGAATTGTGTACTGCTGGGTGATTGCTTTTTAATTATCAGAGGATGTTTTGATTACTAAAAAGTCAATGATTATCCCGCTTAGCCTCAAACAAAACCTATACTGAGAATATAGTTATCTTGTAATAAACATGCTTATCTATGGAAGAGATTGTCAAGCCAAAATAATAAGAAATGAGGGGCACGGTGGCTCACACCTGTAATCCCAGCACTTTGGGAGGCTGAGGCGGGCGGCTCACGAAGTCAGGAGTTTGAGACCAGCCTGGCCAATATAGTAAAACTGTCTCTACTAAAAAAAAAAAACAAAAAACAAACAAACAAACAAAAAACAAATTAGCTGGGCGTGGTGGCAAGCGCCTGTAGTCCCAGCTACTCGGGAGGCTGAGACAGAAGAATCACTTGAACCCAGAAGGCAGAAGTTGCAGCGAGCCACGATCACACCACTGCGCTCCAGCTTCCAGCCTGGGCGACAGAGCAAGACTGTCTCCAAAAAGAAAAAAAAAGGGCGGGTATGGTGGCTCACGCCTGTAATCCCAGCACTCTGGGAGGCCGAGGTGGGTGGATCACGAGGTCGGGAGATTAAGACCATCCTGGCTGACACGGTGAAACCCCATCTTTAAAAAGTACAAAAAATTAGCTGGGCATGGTGGCACGCACCTGTAGTCCCAGCTACTTGGGAGACTAAGGCAGGAGAATTGCTTGAACCCGGGAGGTAGAGGTTGCAGTGAGCCGAGATTGCACCACTGCACTCCAGCCTGGGTAACAGAACAAGACTCCGTCTCAAAAAAAAAAAGAAAAAAAAGAAATGAAGCTGCTGAGGTAGAATGAAAAACAAAGATTTGAAATAAGTTTTTCTTTTTTCCTTTGGGGGTACCATGGAAAAAATGAAAAAAAAAAAAAGTAGAGGAAAAGATTATGAAGCTATTTACTTGGATAAGCAAGTCTGAAGTTGACTCTATGAATTCCCTAGAGATTTTTCCTAAAATTGGTATGCTAAGACTTACAAGATGTAATAGATAGGTTATACGAAAGTATTCTGTGCTCAAGTGACCTTAGGAATTGTGGGATTATAACTGTTTTCTTGACTGCAGGACTAATGAAAGCTTTCAGGACAAACTATACATCGTGAAACTCTAGCAGATAAAATATGTGCCTTTGCCTATGATTTCTATAGAACATCAGGTATACAGAAAGAAAGACATTACCTTGGAAAGGTGGAGAGTGCATTAAGCAGCCTTAGGGGTCAGCTGCACACTGATGGAAAAGCAGAAAGGAATGAGTACTGAGATCAAGAGACACTGTTAACATCACAGGAAACAAGCAGATTTGGTGTGCTCCAGAAGAAAAGTCTCCTTTGTGATCACTCATGAGTTTTTGCCAAGATGATCTCAAGGTAGCCACTAAATCTTAAGGTAAAAAACATATAGCTACTGTACAGCTACTATAAAACACATATGTAAAACATACATTTAAAACACACATATATAAAAGAAACACACAGCTACTATAAAACATTTTTGAAAGAAATTAAAGATGACCCAAACAAAATTTTTAAATCTCATGTCGATAGACCGGAAGACTTAAATGTTAAGACTGCAATACTAATCAAGTCGAACTACTGACTCAATGCAATGCCTATCAGAATCCCATCTGCCTTTAGTGTAGAAATTGACAAGCGTACCCTAAAGTCCATACAGAAATGCAAAGGACCCAAAACAGCCAAAACAATCTTGAAAAAGAAGAACAAAGTTGGAGCACTCACAATTCCCTATAGTAACCAAGATAGCATAGTACTGGCAAAAGGATGGACGCGCAGATCAATGGGATAAATTTAAGACTCCAGAAATAAATTCCTACATTTTTCATCAACTGATTTTAGATAAGGATATCAAGACAATTCATTGGAGAAAAGAATATTCTTTTTAACAAATGGTGCTGGAACAACTAGACATCCACATGTAAAAGAATAAACCTGAACCTCTTCCTTATACCACACATAAAAATTAACTCAATATGAACAGGAGTAAAGCTTCATGACCTTGGATTAGGGAATGGTTTCTTGGATATGACACCTAAGGCGCAAGCAATCAAAGAAAAAATAGAATATATCAAAATTTAAAACTTTTGTGCTTCAATGAACACCATCGAGAAAGCAAAAAGATAATTCACAGAAAAAGAGACAATATTTGCAAACTCTATGTCTGATAAGCGACTTGTATTTGGAATATATAAAGAACTATTACAACTCGATTAAAAAAAAAAAGACAATCCAATTTAAAAACGGGCAAAGGATCTGGATAGACATTTCTCCGAATAAGATATAAAAATAACCAACAAGCACATGAAAAGATATTCAACATCCTTAGACATTATGGAAATAAAAATTAAAGCTACAATGAAATACCACTACACCCACTACAATAGCTATAATCAAAAACAAACAACAACAAGTGTTTGCAAGGATGCAGAGAAACTGGACCCCTCGTTTACTGCTACTAGGGATATAAAATGGTATGGTGGCTGGAGAAAAGAGTCTGGCAGGTCCTCAAAATGTTAAACACACAGTTACCACATAAACCAGCAATACCATTCCCAGGTATCTACACAAGAACAACAAAAACATATGCTCACACAAACTTGTATATAAACACGCATAGCAGTGTGATACATAACAGCCAAAAAAGTCTAAACGCATCACCTGACAAATGGATAAACAACATGTGAAATATCCATGCAACTGAATATTATTCAGCCATAAAAAGGCCTGAAAATTCTGACATAAACTGCAACATGGATGAATCCTGAAAACATTAAGCTAAGTGACAGAAGCCAGACATCAAAGGTCAGATACTGTATGATTCCATTTATATGAAAACTCCAGAACAGGCAAACCTATAGAGACAGAAAGATTAGTGGTTGCCTAGGCTGGAAGGAGGAAGACCAGTTGGGGGGAACGGAGAATGACTTTTTGGGGTGATGAAAATGTTCTAAAGTTAATTGTGGTGATAGTACCAGAACATACTAAAAAACAATGAATCATACACTTTAAATGAATGAACTGTATGGTATGTGAATTATATCTCAATAATACTGTTTAAAAAAAAAAAAGAAACATACAGCTACGTTTACTATCCTTTTAATAAGTTCCAAGACAGCAGGGACCTTGTCTTGTCTGCCACTATATTCAGCATGTGGAATAATATCTAGCACATAGCAGACACTTAATCATGATTGAATAAATTAATCTACTATATATAAAAACTTACAAAACTAGCCGAATCTATTACTAGCCCAAATATTTGTCTTCCTGTTTACTTCCTCACCTTCAACCCAATACCCACCTTCTACTCTCTCACTCTGCTCAGTTTCCTGCACTCCTAATTGTAAACTCCCAAGGACTCTTCAGATCTCATTTGATTTAATCAGTCTGTTATATCCCAACTCTGTTTTCCCTTTTTCCTAGGGGATCTAACCCACCTCTATGCTATTACTTCCCAAATATTTCCTAAACCTGTCCTTTCTCTTATATTCTAGAGCTGTTTACATATATGGCTATTTAAAATTTGTTAAAATTAAATGAAATTTAGAATTCCGTTCCTTAGTCATATTTCAAGTGCTCAATAGCCTCATGTAGTTAAGCACTACCATATCAGTCAACACTCACATCAGAAACATTTCCATCACTGCAAAGTCATACTTGACAGCACTGCTAGGGAGGACATACTCAACTACCTACCAGATACCTGCATATACTTGTTTCATAGGCATCTCAAAATCCAGTGTATCCAAATTATCCTTTATCTCTTCACCCCTCCATTTTTATTTTCTTCTCATCCCAAGCTCACCTTCATACTACCTTTCTTGAATATTCTTATATTGCTAAATGGCACCATCTACCCAGTTGCCATGGCAAAAATCTCAGTCATCCTAAATTCCTCCACTCCTTCACCTCCATCCAAACAACTACCAATCCTTATAGGCTGTCTTTCATTAACAAATTCCCCTTCTCTCCATTTATATTGCTATTATCTTAGTTTAAGCCCTCATCACTCCTCACCTGAATAACTTCATTAGTCAACAGGTCTTTCAGGCTCCAGCTTCCCATTTCCTCCAATGTGCAAATCTGGTCACATACTCCCCTGCCTAACACCTTTCAGTAGTAATGCTCTCAGCATCACATATGAAGCCCTGCGTGCCACACCACCTATGTCTTTAAAATCCTGTATGCAACTAGCTCTTCCCATGTCTTTAACCCCATATGCAACTAGCTCTCCTTTATTTTCACTTCTAAATGCCACACTGCTTCCACATACTGTTTTCTCTGCTGAAATATCTTTCCCTGTCTATCTGCTGAGGGAGAACCTAGTCATCTTCTGAGATGTAGTTTCAGCTTTATCACCTACATAACAGCATTCTGCACCTCCCAGATTATGTACTTAGATTGACAAGTAAACTTCTTCGTTCTTCTTCCTACCCTCCTTCTTTCCCCCAGATGAACACTGTATGGACTTTTCTTTGGGTACCTACATCTTTGTTTATATGTCAGTTTTCCTCTACTAGAATTTAAGTTCAATGAGGAGGGAAAGGCCTTATCTTATTCATCTTTATAAACCCAGCACAATTCTTAATCATAGTAAAAACTCTTAGCCGGGTGTGGTGATACACGCCTGTAATCCCAGCTACTCAGGAGGCTGAGGCAGGAGAATCGCTTGAACCCGGGAGGTGGAGGTTGCAGTGAGCCGAGATCGTGCCATTGCACTCCAGCCTGGGCAACAAGAGTGAAACTCCATCTCAAAGAAAAAAAAAACCTCGAATGTTTGTTATATAAATACACAGGCTTTCCAAAGAAGGAAGCACAGGAAAAAATTAGAGATGCTCATAAATATTAACCCTATCCAACCTCCATACTCTCTCTAACTCTACACGTGCCTGTTAAATAAATAATGGGATTACTATGTTGTTTTCCCCACACAGGTCTGTCGGGATAAAGTTATGCCTTGGTAAGGAACTATCTCAAAGGAAAGTTTATTCTTAGAGTTGACTTGCAAGAGAAGTTGCTGATCATTAGACAGAAACCTGAACTCAGAAGGTAGGACTTCATGACTTACTTCCTTTCTCTTACTTTCTCTTTCTGGGGTCTAGAGATAGAGGAGTTCTTTTTTGTTTTTTGATACAGAGTCTTGCTCTGTTGCCCAGGCTGGGGTGCAGTGGCGCAATCTTGACTCACTGCAACCTCCGCCTCCTGGGTTCAAGTGGTTCTCCTGCCTCAGCCTCCCGAGTAGCTGGGATTATTACAGGCACATGCCACCATGCCCAGCTAATTTTTTTGTATTTTTAATAGAGACGGGGTTTCACCATGTTGGCCAGTTGGTCTCAAACTCCTGAGCTCAAGTGATCCACCCACCTCCAGCTTCCAAAGTGCTGGAATTACAGGCATGAGCCACCTGGTCGGCCTAGAGGAGGAGTTCTTAACCCTTTTTTTGCACCATGGATCCTTCTAGCAGTCTGGTGAAGCTTATGGAGCCCTTCTCAGAATCCGTTAAAAATGGATTAAATAAAATACATAGGATTATGAAGCAAACCAATTATATAATATAAAATTACAAAATATTTTTAAATGTAAGATAGTAATGTTCATGCTCCCCAATTTGTGTGTGTGTATTTTTTTCTTTTTTATCAAGACAGAGTCTTGCTATGTTGCCCAGGCTGGTCTTGAACTGCTGGGCTCAAGCAATCCTCTAGCCTCGATCTCCCAAGGTGTTGGGATTACAGGCACGAGCCACTGTGCCAAGCCCTTCCTTATTAAAACATTAAGACCTAGCATAAGGTAGAACAGCAACAATAATGAGCAATTTCAATACTTTTACAATGTAAGTAAACTGAAGTTAAAACATTTGTGAATTATTTTAGTTTTAGTCGTAAATACTGGTAATACAACTGTGGTTTAGTGTTTTCACAACTGAAAGAAATATTCAATTTCAGTTAGCCATTAATGAAAATAAACGTGACTTTTTTTCTCAATCATGTTCACACACCCCCACCACCTTTCCCTAAATTCTGAATTAATATAATAGAAATATCAAAGAAAGCACTTGTGGATAATAAAAAACATCAACCAGAAAATAACGATATTCATGTTATTGGCTATATTAAGTTTCCTTTTTAACACTTTGACTTTTATCAAAGTTTTATTTTTATATTTCATTCTTGATGGAACATTAAAATACACTCATGCCTGTAATCCCAGCACTTCAGGAGGCCAAGGATGGTGGATCACCCGAGGTCAGGAGTTTGAGACCAGCCTGGCCAACATGGTGAAACCCCGTCTCTACTAAAAATACAAAAATTAGCTGGGCATGGCGGCAGGCGCCCGTAATCCCAGCTACTGGGGAGGCTAAGGCAAGAGAATTGCTTGAATCCAGAAGGCTGAGGTCGCACGTCGTACCACTGCACTCCATCCTGGGCCACAGAGTGAAACTGTGTCTCAAAAAAAAAAAAAAAAAAAAAAAAGCTTCTGCACAGCAAAGGAAACAACAGGGTAAAGAGACAATCTGCTGAACAGGAGAAAATATTTGCAAACTATTCATGTGAAAAGGGACTCATATTAACAATAAATAAGGAAGTCAAACAATTCAACAACAACAACAACAACAACAACCAGGAAACAAATAATCTCATTAAAAAGTAGGCAAAATGCTGGCTGCAGTGGCTCATGCCTGCAATCCCAGCACTTTGGGAGACCAAGGCTGGAGTTCAAGACCAGCCTGGGCAACAAAGGGAGAACCCCGTCTCTAAAAAAAAAAATTTTTTTAATTAGCCAAGCATGGTAGCATGCTCCTGTAGTCCCCAGTTACTTGGGGGTAAGGGACGGGAGGGGCTGAGGTGGGAGGATCACTTCAGCCCAGGAGGTGGAGGCTGCAGTCAGCCAATGATCATGTCATTGCACTACAACCTGGGCAACAGAGACCTTATCTTAAAAAAAAAAAAAAACAGTGGGCAAAGAACATGAATAGATATTTCTCAAAACAAGACATACGAGTGGTCAACAGGTATAAGAAAAAATGTTCAACATCACTAATCATTGGAGAAATGCAAATAAAAACCACCATGAGATACCATCTTCCTCCAGTCAGAATGGCTATTATTTTATTTTTATTTATTTATTTATTTTTTTTTTTTTTGAGACAGAGTCTCACTTTGCGGCTTGGGATGAAGTGCAGTGGCGCAATCTCAGCTCACTGCAACCTCCACTTCCTGGGTTCAACTGATTCTCGTGCCTCAGCCTCCTAAATAGCTGGGACTACAGGTATGCACCACCACACCTGGCTAATTTTTGTATTTTTAGTAGTGACGGTGTTTTACCATGTTGGCCAGGCTGGTCTTGAACTCCTAGCCTCAGGTGATCCACCCGCCTCAGCCTCCCAAAGTGCTGGGATTACAGGCATGAGCGCCTGGCCCGGATGGCTACTATTAAAAAGACAAAAAAAAAAAACAGATGCTGGTGAAGGTGCAGAAAAAAGGGAACTCATACACTGTTAATGGGAATGTAAATTAGCACAGCCACTGTATAAAACAGTATGGAGATTTCTCAAGAACTAAAAATTGAAGTACCATATGATCCAGCAATCCCACTACCAAATATTTATCCAAAGGAAATCAGTTTAACAAAGGGGTATCTGCACCCCTCATGTTTACTGCAGCACTATTCACAATAGCCAAGATATGGAATCAACCTAAGTGCCCATCAATGAATAACTGGATAAAGAAAATTTAATGTATATACACAATGAAATACCATCAGTTATAAAAAAGAATGAAATCATGTATTTGCAGAAACACGGATGGAACTGAAGTTATGTTAACTGAAATAAGCCAGGCAGAGAAAGACAAATACCACGTTCTCACTCCTATGTGAGAGCTAAAACAGTGAGCCTCACAAAGATAGAAAGCAGAGTGATGGATACCAGAGACTGGGAAGGGTGCGTAAGTGAGGCAAGGGAATGAAGACAGGTTTGTTCATGGGTACGAACATATAGTTAGATAGAAGGAATAAGTTCTAAGGTTCCACAGCAGAGTAGGGTCACTATAGTTAATAAAACATTATATATTTCAAAATAGCGAGAAGAGAGGGCTTGAAATGCTCCCAACACAGAGAAATGATAAATACTGAAGGTGAGGGATACCCTAAATAACCTGACTTCATCATTATACATTCTATGCATGTAACCAAATATTACATATACCCCCTTAAACATCTATAAATATTATCAATAAAGAATAAGACTTCAGTAATGAATCTGTGTAATGTCTACTAGACATCAACTGTGTACATGCTTGACTGGTGCTAAAAAAAAAAGAAAAAAAAAGGGAGAGGAGCGACACCTTGCCATCCTCACCCTGAAGCTAGCTTCATGCTGGCAGCAGCTATCAATAATAGATCAAGAAAGGGAAATCTTAGGAGACCAAATCAGGGCCAAGAATCCAACTTCCTCTCACAGTGAGATTTCACTGCTACTGCCAACTTTAGAGATTCAGGTTTTATTCTCCTTAAGAAAGGCGACATTGCTCTATAATGGCAACTTAGTAGATTATTGATTTATATTGCCATCTTTAAAAAAAAATAGCAGTTAGTAATGGTTTACACCATTATCAAGAGACTACAAAAACATATTGGTACTGAAGATGTTTTGGTATTTTATGACGACTACCTATTAAAAAAACTTTGATGCATAAAAGCACATACCTGCAGTAATTCCAGGGTCATAGGAATATTCTTAAGCTCCTTTAGCAAATCCAATGCTCCAGCCTATAAAATAAAATAATTTCATATTGAATTCCCAAGATGGTAAAACAGGGACTAGCCAGAAATAAGGTTCATGGGAGAATCACAGAAAACAGCTAAAGAGGAATAAAATCAGATAAGGAGCAACAGCACCACCTATAGCTTACAGCCAAATATTACAATTTGATATTAATTTAATTTAATCATTTCATCTAATTGAATATATTCACATTCTATTTCATTTAGTCTAATGTTTACTTAATGTACTATATCTGGATAAATCATTTCTTTGTATACCATCAATAAAGAAAAAACGATTAAGCTATGATACAGTGTTTTATTATAACTTTTTTTTTTTTTAAGACAGAGTCTCACTCTGTTGCCCAGGTTGGAGTGCAGTGGTGTGATCTCGGCTCACTGCAACCTTTGCCTCCCCTCCTGGGTTCAAGCGATTCTCCTGCCTCAGCCTCCTGAGTAGGTGAGATTACAGGCACACACCACCACGCTGGGCTAATTTTTGTATTTTTAGTAGAGATGGGGGCCAAGCTGGTCTCAAACTTCTGATCTCAGGTGATCTGCCTGCCTTGGCCTCCCAAAGTGCTGGGATTACAGGCGTGAGCCACCATGCCTGGCATTATAACTTCTTTCTACTTTTGCTTATTGAAAGAATTATTTTAGAGTTGAAGTTTTTACCACGTCACCTTTTACATATGTAAAAACATACATATAAGTAAAACAAAATTGGCTGTTACTAAAAGTACTTCACATTCAGAACTTTTTGACTCAGATTCAACAGTATCTGTTTTTACCCCACAAAGAGCTGTTTAAGAACACAAGTGACAAAGCATTTCATAGAAGAATCCACAAAAAAGCTAATGCCGTGAGCTCTAGGGCTGGCTTTGTAGTAGTGTGCACAGCTGCTTTTCACCTCCAATGCTCTTCACAGTCATTTGGTTCCTCAGGATTCAAAGAGAAAGAAATCCTCTCTCAGATTTCCTTCCAAGCCAATGACACTCATTCCACAAGTTCTGATGCTAGGTTTAGCATTCTGCCTGTGAAAGAACATTACAATGGCCATCTGGCCAATGATATGTGTACCTATCCTGCTTTCTAAAATGTTTAAGTATGAAAACAGGCACCCTACAAATCAATGAAATACACGCTATCCCCCCAAAAAAACAGAAAGAACCACAGCACGTCCCTCATTCAACACGCCAAAGGAAAAAGCGAGCAAAGACTCTCATAGTATCACTTTATTTCTTAGATATAAAATCAAGTAAAGGCTTCTAGTCATGTAATTTTTCATTTAAAGGTGACAGACATTAGGCTTGGCCTTCCAGAATAAAACCATTAGCTTTTATTCTGGTAACAAAGAGTTACATCATTTCAATTCAACCCAATACCTCATAAATAAAAATTTAAGTTCAACAGAAATTATGACACGTTATTATAAGTAATGTTTAATTATTTGCTGTTTAAAGATCTCTCCTAATCTTAAAATTCTATAAATTCTTCCTATTTAGTCATCTAGAAACAGTAAAACATTAAAGTTGTTGGAAAAGAAATCTAACACTGACTTAAAACGTATTATTAAACAAGCATTTCTACAGGTATGACATTGTTGTGAGTAAATGAAGTCTTCGATCCCTTATCTGCAAATTTCCAGACCAAAAACCTTTGAAAAGCAAAAGATTTCTAGATTTCTCATAGGTAAACTCATTTGGCAGCTAAACCTAACCACAACACATGTAAAGCTATTTGTGCTCTATGCCACGTAATGTGACTATTACAACTGACTACAGAAATGTTAAGGCCGGGCGCAGTGGCTCACACCTGTAATCCCAACACTTTGGGAGGCCGAGGTGGATGGATCACGAGGTCAGGAGTTCAAGACCACCCTAACCAAGATAGTGAAACCCTGTCTCTACTAAAAATACAAAAATTAGCTGGGCGTGGTGGCGGGTGCCTGTAATCCCAGCTACTCAGGAGACTGAGGCAGAGAGCTGCTTGAACCCAGGAAGTGGAGGTTGCAGTGAGCCGAGATCGCGCCACTGCACTCCAGCCTGGGCGACAGAGCGAGACTCCGTCTCAAAAAAACAAAAAACAAAACAAAAAAAAGAAATGTTAATGTCTGGTTGCTGAAGTGCCCAAATCCTGCTGGGGGTATTATGTAATATATGATGTATATACCAAATTATCTTTATCAAATCTGAAAAATCTGGAATTACCAAATATATCAGACCCTAAGGGTTTTGATTAACAAACTCTAGAAGTCTGGACAACACAGCATGACCCCCTCTCTACAAAAAATAAAGATAAAAAATTAGCTGGCCATAGTGCCTGTAGTCCTAGCTACTCCAGAAGCTGAGGCGGGAGGACTGCTCGAGCCCAGAAGCTTGAGATTACATGAACCATGATCGTGCCACGGCAGTCTAGCCTGTGTGGACAGAGTGAGACTCCATTTCTAAAATAAAAATTAAAAAACGACGACGACAAAAAAAAAAAAAAAAAAAAAAGATTGTGGGCCTGTATTCTCCATTTACCATTGACATTTTTCTTCTATCCACATTTCCAGGATTTCTGATCCACTTCTGACCAAGAATCTCTTAATAAGGGTAAAGAATCACACTTCTAGAAGTTCCTTAAAAAGCAGGGTTTCCTAAGTATTAAGTTGATTCTTCCAACATATCAGCAATGAGACATACAGTTTAAATTGTTTTCCAAGTAGAGGCAATATATTTGCATTAATTTTGTTACTTTCCTTTTCTACTCAGCTCTCTGGTGAGGCCATGGTTGGAATAAAAAGCTAAAAGTAACACTCACGGAATAAAACTATGACCTTTCTGAAAACTGCACTGTGTTCCAACTAATTCAAATAAATATTTCACTGAAGGGTCTTTAAGAAATAACTATGGGCTGGGCACGGTGGCTTATGCATGTGGCTCACACCTGTAATCCTAGCACTTTGGGAGACCGAGGTGGGAGGATCAACCTGAGCTCAGGAGTTCGAGACCAGCCTGGCCAACATGGTGAAACTCCATCTCTACTAAAAATACAAAAATTAGCGGGGCGTGGTGGCGGGCACCTGTAATCCCACAGCTACTCAGGAGGCTGAGGCAGGAGAATCACTTGAACCCAGGAGGCGGAGGTTGCAGTGAGCCGAGATCGTGCCACTGCACTCCAACCTGGACGATAGAGCAAAACTCCATCTCAAAAAAAAAAAAAAAAAAAAAACAAAAAACAGACAAACAAAAAGAAATAACTATGATGATCTGAATGAGTGAAATGCAAAACAGATAATCATACATTAATTCGGTGACAACAAACTTTGAGTGCTGCTATGTGCTTGGCATTGTTAAATACTTCACATAGATTTAATTCCACCTTCACCATAAACCCTATAGAAGCAGGTATTATCTCCATTTTACAGATGAGGAAATATGTCAAGAAACTTGCACAAGGTTCTATGATTACTAACTAGAAAAGGTAAGATCTACTCCAGTAATGTCAAATGTACCAAGCTCTACTGTACTGGGGATACAGCAGTGAGCAAGACTGAAACCCTTTCTGACATCAGGGAATTTTAAAACAAACAGAAATCTTTAATCATCTATTTCAAACCCTTAACTACACACAAAAAAAAGAAACTTAAACCCAGAAAAGAAAAGTGACTTGCCCAAGGTCATACTGACGGGTAGTAAGGTCATGAACTAGTCGCCTGACCCTTATACTGCTGCCCTTTCCCCAGCAGTGCGCCAGTGGCAGCACTCCTTTGTGAATTCAGATGACTAGTATCACCAAACAAGAAGCTGTATTTTAGCCTTCCCCAAGCATCACCTAGCTCTAAATGTCAAGCCTAGGCCAGGCACAATGGCTCAGCCTGTAATCCCAGCACTCTGGGAGGCCTAAGGCAGGAGGATCACTTGAGCCCAGGGGTTCGAGACCAGCCTGGATAACAGAATGAGATCCCACCTCTATTTAAAAAAAAAGAAAAGAAAAGAATACATGTCCAAGTCTATGAGATTGTAGCATCTCCTACAGATGATGCAAGAGAAAGAAAGACTCTTCTTTAATTTCCAGAGCCAAATTTAGTTCACACTACTGGCTGAAAGATAAACTACAGCTATCACACTATTTTATTACATTGTTGGTGCTCCTATCTGGTAATAGAAAACAAGTGATTTTATAAACCATGATACTTGTACTATGTGCTCAGTATACTCAAGACCATGTAGGATACGAACATCCCTCTCCTCAAGGAGATGTAAAAAGGAGGGAGTAATAGGGATTTATAGTTAAGAATATGGTGTACATATATGACAGATTTAGATTCAAATCCATGCTCTGACATTTGCTAACTACAAGATCTGGGTAATGTTATTTGTCCTTTTCAAGCTTCAGCTTCTTTATACGTAGGTGAGCATAACACACCAACCTTGAGTAGTTAAAACAGCCAAATGAGGCAACATTACACAGATAAAGTATCAAAATAGAGGGTCTGACACATAGCATGGTTGATGAGGAGTACAAAAATATACAAATAATTACTTATTTCTACCATAACAATAATCTCCAGGGGCCATAAGCCAGCATTTTCAGTGATCATATTTAAGCTCAATCAAGTAAAACAGTTACTTCTTCTATAATAATGTCTTCTTCATAGGCATTATTATAAGATTTCAAGGTTAAAGAATTAAGATATTATCCATTTTTTTTTTTTTGAGACAGTCTCACTGTGTCGCCCAGGCTGGAGTGCAGTGGCGTGATCTCAGTTCGCTGCAACCTCTACCTCCTGGGTTCAAGCGATTATCCTGCCTCAGCCTCCCAAGCAGCTGGGACTACAGGCGCCCACCACCACGCCCAACTAATTTTTGTATTTTCAGTAGAGATGGGGTTTCACTATGTTAGCCAGGCTGGTCTTGAACTCCTGACCTCGTGATCTGCCCACCTCAGCCTCCCAAAGTGCTGGGATTACAGGTGTGACCCACCATGCCTGGCCCATTATCTATTTTCTTAAACAATGAATTATAGATATTTGAGTTGTAGCTCAATAACATCACTATAAAGCTAGGACTTATGATATTACTATGTCATCTCAAATTTGCAGTTAAACTACACCAAAAGCACAAGCAACAAAAGAAAAATATATATAAATTCATCTTCATCAAAATTAGAATATTTTATACTTCAAAGGCCACAACCAAGAGCAGACAGACAACCCACAGAATGGGAGACAGTATCAGCATATCTAACAAGGTTCTAGTATTCAGAATATAAAGAACTCTTACAACTCAATAATAAAAAGACAACCCAATTTAAAAATGGACTAATCCAATTTGTACTCCAGCCTGGGCAACATAGCCAGACCCTGACTCTTTTCTAAAAAATGGGCAAAGGATCTGAATAGACATTTATTTCTCCATAGAAGATATGCAAATGGCCACAAAGCAATGAAAAGATGCTCAACATTGTTAATCACAAGGGACATGCAAATCAAACCCACAATGAAATACCACTTTACACCCACTAGGAAGGCTATAATCAAGACAAATGATATTGGTGAAAATGAGGTGAAACTGGAATCCTCACACACTGCTAGTTGGAATGTAAAATGGTGCAGCCACACTGGAAAGGTCTGGCAGTTCCTCAAAAGGTTAAACATAGTTACTATATGACCCAGTAATTATTCTCCGAGGTATACACCCAACAGAAATGAAAACATATGTCGCCAGGCGCGGTGGCTCACGCCTGTAATCCCGGCACTTTAGGAGGCCGAGGCGGGCAGATCATGAAGTCAGGAGATCGAGACCATCCTGGCTAATACAGTGAAACCCAGTCTCTACTAAAAATACAATAGCCGGGCATGGTGCTGGGTGCCTGTAGCCCCAGCTACTCGGGAGGCTGAGGCAGGAGAATGGTGGGAACCCGGGAGGCGGAGCTTACAGTGAGCCATCACACCACTGCACTCCAGCCGGGGTGACAGAGCGAGACACTTGTACAGCAATGTTTTTAACAGTATTATTCACAACAGCCAAAAAGCTGAAACAGCCCAAATGTCCACCAAATGATGAATGAATAAGCAAATCGTGGTTGGGTGCAGTGGCTCACATCTGTAATCCCAGCACTTTGGGAGGCTGAAGCGGGTAGATCACCTGAGATCAGGAGTTCTAGACCAGCTTGGCCGACATGGTGAAACCCTGTCTCTACTAAAAATACAAAAATCAGGCCAGGCGGTGTGGCTCACGCGTGGAAATCCCAGCACTTTGGGAGGCCAAGACAGGCGGATTATGAGGTCAGGAGTTTGAGACCGGCCTGGCCAATATGGTGAAACCCCATCTCTACTAAAAATACAAAAATTAGCCGGGTGTGGTGGTGCGCGCCTATAGTCCCAGCTACTCGGGAGGCTGAGACAGGAGAACTGCTTGAACCTGGGAGGCGGAGGTTGCAGTGAGCCGAGATCGCGCCACTGCACTCCAGCCTGAGCGACAGAGCAAGATGAGACTCCGTCTCAAAAAAAAAAAAAAAAAAAAAAGACTATACTAAGCAAAAGAGGCCAGTTACAAAAGACCACATACTGTATAATTTCACTGACAGAAAATTTCCAGATTTGGCAAACACACAGACAGAAAGTATATTAGTGGCTGTCAGAGGCGTGTGAGAAATTGGTGGGGGCAAATGAGGGCTGAATGAGGAGTGACTGCTTAATAGGTACAGGGTTTCTTTTTGGAGTGATGAAAATGTTCTAAAATTATACAGTAGTAATAGTTGCACAAACCCGTAAATACACTAAAAGCCACTGAATTAACAGTTGACCCTCAAATAACATGGGTTTAAACTGCACAGATTCACCTGAGAATTTTCTTTCACCTCTGCAACCCTAGATGACAAAACCAACTCTTCCTTTCTCCTCAGCTTATTCAATGTGAAGACAAAGAGGATGAAGACCTTTACGACGACACATTTCCACTTCATGAACAGTAAACATATTTTCTCTCCTTTATTTCTTTTCTTTTCTTTTTTGAGACATTGTCTCGCTCTGTCACCCAGGCTAAGTGCCTATAATCCCAACATTTTGGGAGGCCAAGGCAGGCAGATCACTTGAGTTCAGGAGTTCTAGATCAGCCTGGGCAATATGGTGAAACCCCATCTCTATAAAAAATACCCAAAAAAGGCTGGGCTCAGTGGCTCACGCCTGTAATCCCAGCAATTTGGGAGGCCGAGGCAGGTGAATCACTTGAGGTCAGGATGTGGAGACCAGCCTGAGAAAAATGGTAAAATCCCATCTCTACTAAAAATACAAAATTAGTTGGGTGTGGTGGCACGCACTTGTAGTCCCAGCTACTCGGGAAGCTGAGGTGGGAGAGCTGCTTAAACCCAGGAGGCGGAGGTTGCAGTGAGCCAAGATCATGCCACCACACTCCAGCCTGAGTGACATGACTGCATGAGTTATACTACTACAAAAGTTATACTACTTGACTGCATGCGGGTAGGGAGGGGGGATAGTGTGAGCACCACAACCCTTGCATTGTTCAAGAGTCAACTACACTTTAAGAATGAATTTAATTCTATTTCTCGATAAAGCTGTTATTAAAAATTGTATAGTCATTCTAAATTTTGAATTATGCTAATTAATCTAACTCTGATATAGATATCAAAGTTTTGTTGCAGTTGTTATTTTAACTGAGGTACTTGGAAATGTAAATCAATATTTCAGGTATCCCAGCTCCTACGAAATTCTAACATCTAATTTCAATTTCTCTCCCTGCAATTTAATTCCACTCAACCTTGAGCCTTCAATGAAATAAATAAATAAACCTCAGCACTACCCACAAAATCTCTCCATGAACTTCAAAACTTTATGTCCTTGCCTCACTCCTCCTTCTATAATCTAAATGAATCCTTTACAAAGAAAGGCAACCTCAGATTGTTTTTTAGGCCTTATTACATCCTTTAGGCCCACAATCCTACACTAGAAGCATTTTATATTCACTTAATCCTTACTAAATTATCTCCAGTTTACCATGACGAGAAACATTTTAGTGATGACAAAGAACTTGCCTAAAATCACACAGCTAAAGTTCAGAAAAGTTCAGAAAAGCCAGGATTTGAACCCACATTAGCAGTCAGACTTGGTTACTGACACCGAATCAAAGTGACAAGAAAACAGCTTAAGCAGAAAACAGCTAATACCTAAAAATTTCGAACTACTTTCTGTGGTTCACTGTGGCTTGGTCATGTGCACTTGAGATCAAGTACACATGTGGGACAACATCTTGGGTAGAACTAGGGTCAGGATATTGATCTAGGTAACTAGGGAAACACACCTGCCCCAAAACAGCAAGTTCATACTCTTACTTCCTGATTTTGTATTCACTTAATTGTATCCATGCATGGTTCAAGAGCAGATGCAAGGGTCTTCTAGAGAGACACTGTAGCTTAAGAGAGGAGTACTAGCTTTGGAGCAAAACAGATTTAGATTCACATCTTCACTTGGCCATTCACTAGCTATTTGGCTTAAGACTATTCTAAATACTTAGCATCCTCATTTTCAGAATGAGGATAATACTCATCTTGCAAAGTTGCCTGAGGAATAAATGGGATAAGGTGGGTAAGTATTTAGCAGAATACCTGGCTCAGAGTAATAGCTCAATAAATGGTAAGCTGTTTTTAGTTAAGTGTGACACCTATGGTTTTAGTAAAACAAAATTATTCAGGTAAAGCAGCAGCATGTTAAAATATTTTTTTAAATGATATCTAAATTTGCACTTAAATTTGTCAATTCTGATGACAACTATTACTCTTCAAAGTTAACTTTTTCAGGCTGGGCGCAGTGGCTCACATCTGTAATCCCAGCACTCTGGGAGGCCAGGACGGGCAGATCACCTGAGATCAGGAGTTCAAGACCAGCCTGGCCAATACGTTGAAATCCCATCTCTACTAAAAATACGAAAATTAGCCAGGCATGGTGGTGCACACCTGTAGTCCCAGCTTCTAGGGAGGCTGAGGCAAGAGAATCGCTTGAACTGGGGAGGCGGAGGTTGCAGTGAGCCGAGATTGCACCACTGCACTCTAGCCTGGGTAACAGAGTGACACTGTCTCAAAAAAAAAAAAAAAAAGTTAACTTTTTCATAATATAAAACATTAAAAAAGCTGAGAGAAAAATCTGAAAACTACCGAAAAAAAGAGAAACACATATACCATAATTCTACAACCCCTAAAACACATTTTGTTGAATTACTGAACACTTAAAAAGCCATCTGTAGGCTGATGATGCAGTTGGGGAAAAGAGGAGTGTCATTCTGACCATTTCTCTTTCTCTGTATTTCATCAGCCTGTTTGAATTTCCAGAGGACAGGCAGGGAAAATGCTGGGGAAAACAAAAGTACAAGAGCCAGTCAGTTTTACCTTTCTTTTTGGGAGGCAAGTTTTCATACTGGAAAAGTTTTGAACTACCTGAAAACTTAGATTTGAGAAGAAAACTTAGATTTGAGGATTATTTGTGGAGTTTATTCTCATTCTCTTCCAGACTCATTACAAAAGATCTGAAAATTTGTTGACGATTTGAGAACTGCAGATAAATATGAATTTATCTTCTCCACACCTGCCCACTAAAAAATTACTTAGAAACATTATTACAAGGAAAGAAACAAAATCAAGCAAACATCTAATGCATTAGATGATTAAAGGATACATATTACAGCCTAAGTTGGAGAGAACATTACCCAACAAATGGCTTTTTTTCCCTGGGAGCTTCTACTGTGCAAGTCTGGGGATCTCCAGACCAGAGAAAAATCTTCCAGTTTAAACAAAATAACGAAAATGTTCCAATAACCAGATAACCTATCAAATAACCAGAATTTGAAGTGGGAAATGAAGGGCCATATCAATGGGGAGGAAAAATGGCACTGGTAATATCTAGAACAGAAAATAAACAGGAAATACTTTAAAAGGCCAAAATTTGCAAATACAGATTAACAGGGTATGAAATGAAATACGAGGCAATGCACCTGTTAAAGGAAAAAGGGGAACAGAGGATGTTTGAAGTCTTACGTATTTAGTGTTAACACTAATTCCTGATCTAGCTGTCATGTGGAAAGCATGCTGTCCAGAAGAAAACCTGGGTCCTGGCTTATTCCAAACTACACAGTACTTAATTTAAGTAGTAGTACTTAATCTCTCTCAGTGTCTTAATCTGTAAAATGGATACCCTTTATGTACTCACAGCTCTGTGTGAGTCACAAAAGAATTTTGAGCAGATGCTTTTTAACTCCAAAGTGCTGTACAAATCAGAGCATCCCTTTTCTCTTCACATTAGTTTGACATGGAATTTACTTCATAGATGGAAGAAAAATTATTTCAGGTACACTGATGATGAAAATGTGCCGAACGTGGTTAAACAAATTTAGGTGAGGACAATTATATAAGTTTACCTGAGAGGCCAGGCGCAGTGGCCTCACGCCTGTAATCCCAGCACTTTGGGAGGCTGAGGTGGGCGGATCACCTGAGGTCAGGAGTTCGAGACCAGCCTGGTTAAGATGGTGAAACCCCGTTTCTACTAAAAATACAAAAAAATAGCCAGGCGTGGTGGCGCACGTCTGTAATCCCAGCTACTCGGGAGGCTGAGGCAGGAGAATCACTTGAACCCGAGAGGCGGAGGTTGCAGTGAGCCGAGATCAAGCCATTGCACTCCAGCTTGTGCAACAAGAGTTAAACTCCGTCTCGAAAAAATATGTTTAGCTAAGAACAGATGAGTCTGAAGCAAGGGACTGAAAGTGCCACACAAATGGGCAAGCTGTAGAAACTGGTCGTATGAGGATTTCTTACAAACCACAAAAGCATATGCTTACATGAATATTCATCAATAACAAAAAAAATGCCACCAGTATTAACTGTAAACCACTTAGAAAATACCCAACAATATAATTTGTCCAAATCCCTCTACCAGCATTCCGGTGAGTGTGCGTGCTGTAGTCCTAACTCTTCTGTACATTACGACAGGACAAAACCCGCTTTTTATAAAACGTTTAGCAACTCGCCAAGAAACTGGCACACTTTACCTTTTTAATCGCTAAGCAAACATGTAGCACAGTTGAGATAACCAGGCGGACGTTCAGCCCTCTTCAAAAATAAGACACAGAAGTTTTACATTTTACCAGCCCGATGTCTAATACCGATCACAAGCCTCTATTTGATGCTCTTTCTAGATGTTGGCCACGGATCACGGAAGACTCCATTCTTTCAAGTTCTGAGGACTTTCTACGCTTCAATTCCTAAGCTAAATTGCCAAGGTTTTACTAGCACGAAAGTTTAAAGTCAACGGAGAGCGTGCCCTAATCCCTAAATCGATTAGGTTTATTACACGGCACCAGCGAGCAGGGACTGGAAATACAAGAGCGAGCGGGTCCTAACGCAGGTTGCCGCGGGACCCGACGCCCCGGGCCCGGACACCCTCCCCGGGGACGCGGGCGCGGCGGGCCCGGCTCCCAGACGGGAGGCTGCAGGGGGAGGGGAGGGAGAAGGAGGGAGGGGGCGGCCCCCTCGGGCCGGACCGCGGCCCGGCCTCCCTCCCGGCCCGCGCCGCTCGCCGCGCTCACCGCGTTCTTCTTCTGCACCATCTTGTCCATCTTCTTGGCAAAGCGGACCACTTCGTCCTCCATGGCTCCGGCAGGTCTTCTCCGCGCCCACCCCGCTGGCAAGGGGAAGTGGGCGAAGCTGGAGCGGAAGACACAGCAGGAGCGACCCCCGGCGCGCAGCAACCCCCACCACCGCAGGCCCGGGCCTAGGCCCCCTTCCTTACGAACGAAGCCCGCGGCGGCGGCGGCGGCGGCGGCGGCTCCGGCTCCTCCTCCCCAGGCAGCGACAATCGAACACCGCGCGCGACGTGCAGGCGCTACCAACTGACTGCAGATCGCTGGTGAGGGGCGAGCCCATGTTCCCGCCAGGCGGGCGTCGGGCTAGTGGGCAGGCGTGGCTTCCGGCTAGAGGGTCGTGGAAGGCGCCCGGTTTTGCTGCGCGTTCACCTCCGGTCCCGCCCCCTCACGGGGCGGGTTTTCGGCCCCCTATTGCATCGGGACATCCCGGAGTTTTAGAACTCGCGGAGGCCCAAGTATCTCGAAACGGGGGCAGATTCCGAGCATGGAACTTTGGCAGGTTTTAAAGTCTGTGGGAAGCCAAGCACTTTCTCCATAGGAGACTGCTACGGGGAAAAATGGAACCCGTGTCCTCTAAGTTAGGTTACGGAGTTACTCGTTTTAAGAGTTCCTTTTTTTTTGAGACGGAGCCTCGTTCTGTCGCCTGGCTGGAGTACAGTGGCGCGATCTCCACTCACTGCAAGCTCCCCCCCCCGGGTTCAAGCGATTCTCCTGCTTTAGTTTCCCGAGTAGCTGGGACTACAGGCGCCCGCCACCACGCCCTGCTAATTTTTTGTATTTTTAGTAGAGACAGGGTTTCACCATGTTGGCCAGGATGGTTTTGATCTCTTGACCTAGTGATCCGCCCGCCTCGGCCTCCCAAAGTGCTGCGATTACAGACCTGAGCCACTGCACCCGGCTAAGCGTTCCTTTTTTTAAAAAAAATCGGCCGGGCGCGGTGGCTCATGCCTGTAATCCCAGCACTTTGGGAGGCCGAGGCGGGCGGATCAACTGAGGTGAGGAGTTCGAGACCAGCCTGACCAACATGGAGAAACATCGTCACTACTAAAAATACAAAATTAGCCGGGCGTCATGGCCTGTGATCCCAGCCACTCGGGAGGCTGAGGCAGGAGAATCGTTTGAACCCGGGAGGCGGAAGTTGCGGTGAGCCGAGACTGCCATTGCATTCTAGCCTGGGCGACAAGAGCGAAACTCCGTCTCAAAAAAAATAAAAAATAAATAAAGGTGAAATCGTTCGTGAGCTCCTGGAGTACTAAGAACCAGTCTTGGGCATGGCATTTTGAATAGTTGAAGAACAGTTGACGGAAACCTTCTGGTCAGAAATTACACAAGGCATCCCACCAGCTTCTGAGGATCAGAGAGGAAGGTGACTTAAGTTGTGACAGGGTTCATAGTGGAGAATGCAGGCTCCTCCAAAAAGTCTTTCCCCACTTAAACCCTTCACGACCAACTCATGCTATTTGCAGGTATAACTCCCACACCACGTAACTATCATTCATCAAAATACACCGCCTAATAATGTTCTTTCTATACTGAGATGACAGGTTTTTCCTGGTTATGACTCACTCATTTGGGGGAGAAGTATTGGGATCGTTTCCCTATTTTGTTTCATTTTTAAATTATCTTTTTATTATTGATTTCCAGCTTAAATTGTAGTATTTGTTGAGATTTATTTTGTCAATTTTTTTTTTTTTTTGACACGGAGTTTTGCTCTTATTGACCAGGCTGGAGTGCAGTGGTGCCATCTCGGCTGGCTCACTGCAACCTCCACCTCCCAGGTTCAAGCGATTTTCCTGCCTCAGTCTCCTGAGTAGCTGGGACTACAGGCGCCCACCAGCACACCCGGCTAATTTTTTGTGTTTTTAGTAGAGACAAAGTTTCACCATGTTGGCCAGGCCGATCTCGAACTCCTGGCCTCAGGTGATCCGCCCACCTCGGCCTTCCAAAGTGCTGGGATTACAGGCGTGAGCCACTGCGCCCGGCCTATCTCGTCAATTTTTATGCATATCTATGTGTTCTAAAAAAGAACACACAGAAAAAAATTGTTTTCTACAGAAAATGTTGCAATATTTACATCCCTGTTTGCTGTCTGCTTCATGCCTCAATTAATGAGTATGTAAAAATTTCCCTTTATAATGTGGATTTGTACATTTATTGTAATAATTCTGTCATTTTTCTTTTTTCCCAAAGAATCAGTTGATGTTTTTCTTTAAAATACACATAACACAAAATTTATCCATTTAACTACTTTTCTTCTTTTTTCATGCTACCTTGTCTAAGACCATTTTTAACTATTTTTTTAGATTTTAATTCATTTTATTTTATTTTTTATTTTTTTTTAGACGGAGTCTCGGCCTATCACCCAGGCTGGAGTGCAGTGGCGTGATCTCGGCTCACTGCAACCTTTGCCTCCCAGGTTCAGGCAATTCTCCTGCCTCAGCCTCCCAAGTAGCTAGGATTACAGGTGCCCACCACCACGCCCTGGTAATTTTTGTATTTTTAGTAGAGATGGGATTTTACTATGTTAGGCAGGGTGTTCTCAAACTCCTGACTTCAGGTGATCTGCCCACCTCGGCCTCCCAAAGTGCTGGGATTGCAGGTGTGAGCCACCTCACCTGGCCTGTTTTAGCTATTTTAAAGTGTAAAGGCCTGGTGTGTGCATACCCAGTGTGCATGGGATACAGCAAAGGCAACACTCAGATGGAAATGTATAGCTGTAGATACCTATGTTTAAACATAAAGATCTCTGGCTGGGCGCAGTGGCTCACACCTGTAATCCCAACACTTTGGGAGGCCAAGGTGGGCGGATCACCTGAAGTCAGGAGTTCGAGAACAGCCTGGCCAACATAGTGAAACCCCGTCTCTACTAAAAATACAAAAATTAGCTGGTCCTGGTGGTGGCCGCCTGTGATCCCAGCTACTCGGGAGGCTGAGGCAGGAGAATCGCTTAAACCCAGGAGGTAGAGGTTGCAGTGAGCTGAGATGGCGCCACTGCACTCCAGCCTGGGTGACAGAGCAAGGTTCCGTCTCAAACATAAATAAATAAGTAAATATAAAATAAAAAAGTGTACAATTCAGTGGCATTTCTAATGATAACAATATAGTGCCACCATCACCACTCGATAGTTCCCAAAAGTTTTCCAAAAATGTTCATCACCTCAAAAAGAAACCCAGTATCAATTAAGCAGTCACTCCTGATTCCTTTCTCCCCTCAACCCTTGGCAACCACTAATTGGCTGCCTCTATACTCTTGAATATTCTGAACATTTTATATATTTAATAAATAGAATCCTAGAATATGTGACCTTTTCTGACTGGCTTCTTTCACTTAGCATGTTTTCAAGGTTCACCTGTGTTGTAGCCGTGTCAGTACTTCATTCCTTTTTATGGCTGAATAATATGCATTTCCTATAGATAACATTTTTAAAATTCATTCATCACATGATGGACATAAGCATTGTTTCCACCCACCTTTCACTACTCCACATTTTCACTCTTGTGAATAGTGCAGCTATGAACATGCCTGTACAAAGTTTTGTGGGAACACCTGTTTTCAGTTCTTTTGGGTGTGAACCTAGGAGTAGAATTGTTGGGTTTCATGGTAATTCTACATTTAAATTCGAGGAACTGTCCATCTGTTTTCCACAGCAACTGCAACATTTTTACATACCCATCGGAAACGTCATTGGGCTCGAACTTCTCTGTATCTTTGTCAACAATTGTTGTTGTCCTTTATTTTTATTTTTATTATTTCTTTTTTGATACAGTGTTTCGCTCTTATTGCCCAGGCTGGAGTGCAATAGCGTGACCTCAGCTCACTGGAACCTCGACCTCCCAGATTCAAGTGATTCTCCTGCCTCAGCCTCCGGAGTAGCTGGGATTACAGGTGCCTGCCACCATGCCTAGCGAATGGTTTGTATTTTTAGTAGAGACTGGGTTTCACCATGTTGGCCAGACTGGTCTTGAACTCCTGACCTCAGGTGATCTGCCCACCTTGGCCTCCCAAAGTGCTGAGATTACAGGAGTGACACACTGTGCCCAGCCTGTTTAGTTCATTTTTAGAATTCTAATTATCTGATGAGGTATGAAATGGTATCTCATTGTGTCTTTGATTGGCATTTTCCTAATATGTTAAGCATGTTTTCATGTGCTTGTTGGCCATTTCTGTGGTTTCTTTTTTTTTTTTTTTTGAGATGGGGTCTCACTAACAGAGTGACAACAGTCCAGGCTGGATTACAGTGGCACAATCTCAGCTCACTGTAGCCTCCACCTCCCGGATTCAAGCAATTCTCCCACCTCAGCCTCCTAAGTAGCTGGGATTCCTGGGGAGCACCAACACCCCCGGCTAATTTTCGCACTTTTAGCAGAGATGGGGCTTCACCATGTTGGCCAGGCTGGTCTGGAACTCCTGACCTCAGGTGATCCACCCACGTCGGCCTCTCAAAGTGCTGGGATTACAAGTATGAGCCACCTCCCCCGGCCTTCTATGGTTTCTTTAGAGAAATGTCTATTCTAGTCTTTTGCCCAATTTTTAACTGAGTTGTGTTTATGTTGTTAAGTTGTAAACGTTCTTATATAATTCTGGACTCTAGAGCCTTGAGATAAATATGCTTTTCAATCATTGTCTCCCTTCCCATTTTGTGGGTTATCTTTTCAGTCTTTTTTTTTTTTTTTTTTTGAGACAGGGTCTCACAGTCGCCCAAGCTGAGTCCTGTGGCGTGATCACAGCTCATTGCAGCCTCCACTTTTTGGGTTCAAGCAAATCTCTTGCCTCTGCCTCCTGAGTAGCTGGGACTACAGGCACACACCACCATGCCCAGCTACTTCTGGATTATTTGTAGAGAGAGGGTCTTACTATGTTGCCCCGGCTGGTCTCAAACTCCTGAACTCAAGCAATCCTCTCGCCTCGGCCTTCCAAAGTGCTGGGATTCCAGATGTAGGCCACCTCGCCCAGCCTCTTTTCAGTCTCTTGATATTGACCTTTCATGCACAAACTTTATATTTTACCAAAGTCCAATTCATATATTGCTTTTGTTACTTGTGCTTTTGGTGTCAAATCTCAGAAAGAGTTGCAAATCCAAGGTCATGAAGATTGACCATTGCCATTTTAACAACATTAAGTCTATCAATTCATTACAACGGGATATCTTTCCATTTATTTAGATCTATTTTAATTTCTTTAAGCAATATAACATAATTTTCAGTGTGCAACTCTTGGCTAAATTCACCTCATTGGCTAAAATTATTCTTGGTATTTTATTTTGTTATTTATTTATATTATATTTTATTAATTTTTATTTTATTGAGACAGGGTTTTGCTCTGTCACTCAGGTGGAGTGCAGTGGCACAATCATACCTCACTACAGCCTCAATGTCTTGGGCTCAAGAGATCCTCCCACCTTGGCCTCCCAAAGTGCTGGGATTACAGGGATGAGCCATGGTTCCCTGCCCTAATCTTTTCTTTTGTCTCTAATTAATCTTTATTATTTCCTTCTGACATTTTGCAGTTTACTTTTCTTCTCTTTTTCCAATTCCTTAAGCCATAAAGTTAGGTAATTAATGTCAGATTTTTCTTCTTTTTTTTTTTTTGAGACGGAGTTTCACTCTTGTTGCCCAGGCTGGAGTGCAATGGCGTGATCTCTGCTCACTGCAACCTCCACCTCCCGGGTTCAAGCAATTCTCCTGCCTCAGCCTCCCAAGTAGCTGGGATTATAGGCACGTGCCACCACGTCCAGCTAATTTTGTATTTTTAGTAGAGACGGGGTTTCTCCATGTTGGTCAGGCTGGTCTCGAACTCCCGACCTCAGGTGATCCACCCGCCTCAGCCTCTCAAAGTGCTGGGATTACAGCCATGAGCCACTGCACCTGGCGGAGATTATTCTTTTTGAGCTATAAATTTCCCTCTGAGCACTGTTTTCACTGCATTTCATAAATTTTGGTATATCGTAGCTTTGTTTTCATTTGTCTCAAAATATTGTTCTATTTTCTGATTTCTTTTTGAAGTTGTGTGAATGTATTATTTGAACATAATTGTGAAATTACTTTTTCCTTCTGTTATTTATATCTAGCTTCATCACATTATAGTTAAAGAAATACTTTGTATGATTATGATTTTTAAAAATTCTTTGGCCGGGCATGGTGGCTCACACCTGTGATCCCAGCATTTTGGAAGGCTGAGGTGGGAGGATTGCTTGAGCTCAGGAGTTCAAGATCAAACACCATAGGGAGGCAACATAGTGAGATCTCACCTCTACTAAAAATTAAAAAAAAAAAAAAAATAGCCAAGCATGGTGGCATGTACCTGTACTCCCAGCTACTGGGGAGGCTGAGGTGGGAGGATCACTTGAGTCTGGGAGACAGAGGTTGCAGTGAGCTATGATTGTGCCACTACACTCCAGCCTGGACGACAGAGCGAGATCCCTGTCTCAAAATAAATAAAGAAATAAAAACAAGGCCGGGCGCTGTGGCTCATGCCTGTAATCCCAGCACTTTGGGAGGCCAAGACGGGTGGATCACTTGAGATCAGGAGTTCGAGACCAGCCTGGACAACATGGTGAAACTCTGTCTCTACTAAAAATACTAAAAATTAGCCAGTCGTGGTGGTGGGCGCCTGTAATCCCAGCTACTCAGGAGGCTGAGGCAGTAGAATCGCTTGAACCCGGGAGGCGGAGGTTGCAGTGAGCCAAGATCGCGCCATTGCTCTCCAGCCTGGGCAACAAGAGTGAGACTCTGTCTCAAGAAAAAATAAATAAATAAATAAATAAATAATGAATAAAAACAAAAATTTATTGAGGCCAGGTGCAGTGGCTCATGCCTGTAATCCCAACAGTTTGGGAGGCTGAGGCGAGCAGATCACTTGAGGTCAGGAGTTTGAGACCAGCCTGGCCAACCAACATAGCAAAACCCTGTCTCTACTAATACAAAAATTAGCCACGCATGGTGGCGCGCCTGTAGTCCCAGCTAGTTGGGAGGCTAAGACATGAGGATCATCTAACCCAGGGGGTGGAGTTTGCACTGAGTTGAGAACCCACCACTGCACTCCAGCCTGGGTGACAGAGCAAGACTCTGCCAAAAAATTGAAAATAAAAAAATTGAGACATTTAATTTGTCTAACAAATGACCAATTCTGGAGAATGTTCCATGTGCACTTTGGAAAAATATGCATTCTTATGGGTGGAGTGTACTGTATGTATTATGTCTAGTTGGTTTATAATGTTGTTTAAGTTCTGTATTTCCTACTGATCCTCTAACTGTTCTATCCATTAATAAAAGTCGTGGGGTTGTTTTTTTGTTGTTGTTTTTTTTTTTTGAGATGGAGTTTTGCTCTTGTTGCCCAGGCTGGAGTGCAATGGCGTGATCTTGGCTCACTGCAACCTCCGCCTCCCGGGTTCAAGCGATTCTCCTGCCTCAGCTTCCCAAGCAGCTGGGATTACAGGCCAACACACCCGGCTAATTTTGTATTTTTAGTAGAGACAGGGTTTCTCCATGTTGGTCAGGCTGGTCTCGAACTCCCAACCTCAGGTGATCTACCTGCTTCGGCCTCCCAAAGTGCTGGGATTACAGGCATGAGCCACCACGCCTGGCCAAAGGGGTGTATTTTTAAGTTTCTAATTATTATTATAGAACCACCTATTTCACCCTTAAACTATGTCAGTTCTTGCTTCATATATGTGGGGGCTCTGTTGTAAAGTATGGACATGTTTATGATTGTTATATCTTCTTGATGGTTTAACCCTTTTATCCATATATAATGTTCTTTTGTAGCAAATTGTAGCAAATTTTGACTTGCACTTTTTTTTTTATTATTTGAGACAGAGTCTCGCTCTGTCGCCCGGGCTGGAGTGCAGTGGTGCGATCTCGGCTCACTGCAAGCTCCGCCTCCCGGGTTCACGCCATTCTCCTGCCTCAGCCTCCCCAGTAGCTGGGACTACAGGTGCCCGCCACCACACCTGGCTAATTTTTTTTGTATTTTTAGTTGAGACGGGGTTTCACCATGTTAGCCGGGATGGTCACAATCTCCTGACCTTGTGATCCGCCCACCTCAGCCTCCCAAAGTGCTGGGATTACAGGCGTGAGCCGCCGTGCCCAGCCTACTTGCACTCTATTTTTATACTAGTATATCCACCTCAGCTCTCTTTTAGTTACTGTTTTCATGGAACACCTTTTTCCATCCTTTTACATTCAATATATTTGTCTTGGATCTAAAATGAGTCTCTTCAAGACATATAGTTGTATCTCTTTTTTAAATTTTTATTTTACCAATCTCTTTCAGTTGCATACTTTAATCCTATTAGGAGCTGAATTTGCCATTTAAAACACAAGTGCATAGAAGCATAAGTTATAAATCCATGTTAATGGGCATACATTGTGTAAAGATTTCCTTTGTAACAACAACTACATGAAGATGGAAGGATGAAATTGAATAGGAACACAGCATTTGTATACTGCTGAAGCTAAGTTGGGATTATTTAAACTAGATTCTTTTTTATTTCCTTTCTTTTTTTTTTTTTTTTTTTTTGAGATGGAGTTTTGCTCCTGTCACCCAGGCTGGAGTGCAATGGCGCAGTCTCAGCTCACTGCAACCTCTGCCTTCCGGGTTCAAGCGATTCTCCTGCCATAGCCTCCCGAGTAGCTGGGATTACAGGCGCCCACCACCATGCTCGGCTAATTTTTGTACTTTTAGTAGAGGTGGGGTTTCGCCATGTTGGCCAGGTTGGTCTCAAACTTCTGACCCCTAGTGATCCACCTGCCCTGGCCTCTCAAAGTGCTAGAATTACAGACATGAGCCACTGCACCCGGCCTATTTAAACTAGATTCTTAAGGCTCTGGGTTCACAGGAGGGAGCATATGGGTCTGCCACATGCTGTGGGGGCCATGAACCCCCACCAACTGGCTGCAGCAGAGGCTTCTCCCCACTTCTGGCTGCCCCAGGCCTGCTGCCTCCTACTCCACATCCATTGGAGCCCTCTCAGTTTTGGTCACTTGTCTAAGGGCACCCACGGGTATCCAGCCAAGGTCATCAAGAAAGGAGTCTTGCTCGTTGCCCAGGCTGGAGTGCAGTGGTTATTCCCAGGTGTGGTTGTGCACTATAGCCTCAAAATCCAGGTCTCAAACCACCTGTGGTATCCAGCCAAAGTCATCGAAAAAGAAGTCTTGCTGCATTGCCCAGGCTGGAGTGCAGTGGTTATTCACAGGTGTGATTGTGCACTATAGCCTCAAAATCCAAGTCTTGAGCCACCCTCCTTCCTTGGAGTAGCTGTGACTACAGGTGCATGCCACCATGCTAATTTTTGTATTTTTGTCATGTTGCCCAGGCTGGTCTCAGACTTCGGGCTCAAGTAAAGGATAGTTTTCTTGGATACAGAATTGTTCATTGACATGTATTTTTTCTTTCAGCATTTTAAATAGTATCATCCCACTACTTCCTAGCTTCTGTGGTTTCTGCTGCAAAATTGGCTGTTAATCTCATTGAAACACTTGGATGTGATGAGTTGTTTTGCTCTTGCTGCTATCAGTAATCTTTTTGTCTTTCTACAGTTAGATTATAATTGGATTGGTGTGTGTAGGGGTGGGTTGCCCCTACACACCTGTGGGTGTTTCTCGTAAGGTGGGACGAGAGATTTGGAAAAGAAAAAGACACAGAGACAAAGTATAGAGAAAGAAATAAGGGGACCCGGGGAACCAGCGTTCAGCATATGGAGGATCCCGCCAGCCTCTGAGTTCCCTTAGTATTTATTGATCATCTGTGGGTGTTTCTCAAAGAGGGGGATGTGTCAGGGTCACAAGACAATTGTGGGGAGAGGGTCAGCAGACAAACACGTGAACAAAGGTCTTTGCATCATAGACAATGTAAAGGATTAAGTGCTGTGCTTTTAGATATGCATACACATAAACATCTCAATGCTTTACAAAGCAGTATTGCTGCCCGCAGGTCCCACCTCCAGCCCTAAGGCGGTTTTTCCCTATCTCAGTAGATGGAGCATACAATCGGGTTTTATACCGAGACATTCCATTGCCCAGGGACAGGCAGGAGACAGATGCCTTCCTCTTGTCTCAACTGCAAGAGGCATTCCTTCCTCTTTTACTAATCCTCCTCAGCACAGACCCTTTACGGGTGTCGGGCTGGGGGACGGTCAGGTCTTTCCCTTCCCACGAGGCCATATTTCAGACTATCACATGGGGAGAAACCTTGGACAATACCTGGCTTTCCTAGGCAGAGGTCCCTGCGGCCTTCCGCAGTTTTTGTGTCCCTGGGTACTTGAGATTAGGGAGTGGTGATGACTCTTAAGGAGCATGCTGCCTTCAAGCATCTGTTTAACAAAGCACATCCTGCACCGCCCTTAATCCATTCAACTCTGAGTTGACACAGCACATGTTTCAGAGAGCACGGGGTTGGGGGTAAGGTTATAGATTAACAGAATCTCAAGGCAGAAGAATTTTTCTTAGTACATAACAAAATGGAGTCTCCTATGTCTACTTCTTTCTACACAGACACAGTAACAATCTGATCTCTCTCGCTTTTCCCCACAGTGTGAATATATTCAAGTTTATTCTACTTGGAGTTCATTGAGCTTCTTTGATGTGTAGATTTATGTCGTTCATCAAAGTCAGGGATTTTTTTTCAAAAGTCTGGGTCTCGGCCGGGCATGGTGGCTCACGCCTGTAATCCCAGCACTTTGGGAGGCTGAGGTAGGAGGATCACCTAAGGTCAGGAGCTGAAGGCCAGCCTGGCCAACGTGGCGAAACCCCATCTCCACAAAAATACCAAAATTAGCTGGGCATGATGGCAGGTGCCTGTAATTCCAGCTACTCGGGAGGCTGAGGCAGGAGAATCACTTGAACCAGGGAGTCGGAGGTTGCAGTGAGCTGAGATCACACTACTGCACTCCAGTCTGGCAACGGAGCAAGACTACGTCTCAAAAAAAAAAAAAAAAAAAGTTATTTGGCTCATGGTTCTGCAGACTATACAAGCAGCACGGTGGGTAGGCATGGTGGCTCACACCTGTAATCCCAGCACTTTGGGAGGCTGAAGCAGGCAGATAGCTTGAGCTCAGGAGTTCAAGACCAGCCCAAACAACATGGGGAAACCCCATCTCTACAGAAAACACAAAATTAGCCAGGCATTGTGGTGAGCACCTGTAGTCCCAGCTACTTGGAAGGCTGAGATGGGAAGATGGCTTGAGTCTGGGAGGCAGAGGTTGCAGTGAGCTGAGATCATGTCACTGCACTCCAGCCTGAGCAATAGAGCAAGAGCCTGTCTCAAGAAAAAAATGCAAAAAAAAAAAAAAAAAAAAAAAAAAAAGCACGGTGCAAGCATCATGAGGGCCTCAGGAAACTTTTATTTATGGCAGAAGGGAGAAGGAGAGTTGGCATGTCACATGGTGAGAGAGGGAACAAGCAGGGCAGGGAGGAAGTGCCAGGCTCTTTAAACAACTAGCTCTTGCATGAACTAATAAAGCCAGAATTCACTCATTACTGTGAGGAGGGAACGAAGCCATTATTCATGAGGGATCTGCCCCCATGACTCAAACACCTCCCATGAGACCCTACAACCAACATTGGGGATCACATTTCAACATAAGATTTGGAGAGGAAAACATCCAAACTATATCAGATGGGGTCTCAATATACTGCCCAGGCTGGTCTCAAACTCTTGGCCTCAAGTGATCCTCCTGCCTCAGCCTTTCATTGCTAGCGTTATAGACACGAGCTATTGCACCCAGCTAAATTTGGGGTTTGGCCATTATTTCTTCAAATATTCCTTTTGTTCCTCTTTTTTCTCTCCTTCTGGAATTCCATTATGTGTATGTTGCTACTCTAAGAAACCCACAGGTTTCTTAGGCTATGTTCATTTTTATTTTCTTTTTCCTTTCTATTCCTCAGACTGGATAATTTCAATTGTACTATCTTGAAGTCTGCTGATTCTTCTGCCTGCTCAAACCTGCTGCGCAATTCTAGTGAATTTTTAATTTTAATTATTGTTATCTTCAGTTCTAGATATGTATTTGGTTCCTTTTTATAATTTTTATTTATTGATTGATGTTCTCTAGTTGTTGAGATATTGTCCTCCTGCTTTAATTTTTTTCTCCATGGTTTCCTTTAGCTTTTTGAGGTATATTTAAGACAGCTTAATAAGGTCTTTGCTCAGTAAGTCCAATATCTGAGCTTCCTCAAGGACAGTGTTTCTGTTCATTTCTTTTTTTCTCCCTATGAATGGGCCAGGCTTTGTTTCTTTGTATGCCTCATAATTTTTGCTGAAAATTGAACATTTTGAAGATTATAATGTAACTTTTAAAATCAGAATTGTTGCCGCTTATTGTTAGAGTTATGTGAGTTTTTTAGTTTATATGTTTAATGACATATCTAAACTCTGTCATGTGTAGTCACTAAAGTATCTGTTTTGTTAGCTCAGTGTCTACCTAATGTTTTGACAGATACTTCATTTTTTTAAACACCTGGAGCAAGAAAAAAAATCTCCCAGACTTTGCAGTAGAGCTCTTTGTGTTGGGCACACTTGTAATATTCAGCTGGTCACTTTCCAACTCTGCCTTAACCTTCATGACCTGCTGGCCCAGGACTTCAAGGTCAGCCAGAGGTGAGAGCTTAGGAATTTCTCAAATCTTTTTTTTTTTTTTTTTTTTTTTTTTTTGAGAGGGAGTCTCTCTGTCGCCCAGACTGGAATCTGCAGTGGTGGAATCTTGGCTCACTGCAACCGCTGCCTCCTGGGTTCAAGCAATTCTCCTGCCTCAGCCTCCCAAGTAGTTGGGATTACAGGCTGGGGCCACCATGCCTGGCTAACTTTTGTATTTTTTAGTAGAGATGGGGTTTCGCCATGTTGGCCAGGCTGGTCTTGAACTCCTGACCTCAAGTGATCCGCCCACCTCGGCCTCCTAAAATACTGGGATTACAGGTGTGAGCCACCACAACCAGCCACTCAGCCACTTTTCTGAACCTGCACCCTGCCCTGTTCATACACATGGTCTGGATATCCAGAAATACGTGAAAGCACTTGAAAACCTTTATTTCTCCAAAGCATCTCACTCCTCAGCCTTTCCTCCCAGGCTTTTTGGTGTGTCTATTGTTTGCTCCAACTTATATCATTTGCCCTAAGTGGTAGTCAGTGGTTCATTTGACTTTAAATATTTTTGACCAACACCCTCTGTGTTGGTCAACTCTCCACCCTCAGAGAGTTCTGAGCTATTTCTTCACCCTGAGAGAGTTCTGAGTTAGAGCAAATAAAGGCAGTCTTTGTATTAGTCCTTCAAAAAGCCACCTGAGAGACAACCACGATTCTTTGAAAACAAGATTGACTTTGGTTCCTCCGATATCTGGAACCCACGGGAATGTGAACTGTTATCTTCAACAGCATCACCATGACTGGGAGGGATAATTAAGCATAAGTAAAAATGACACAAAGCCTTCCTACCAGGCATTAAAGTTTTTTTTTTAACAGCTTTATTTAGATAAAATTAGGTTCATCCATGTGGTAGCTTTTTAAATTTAATTTTATTTTTTTTGGAGACTGGAGTTTCACTCTTCTCGCCTAGGCTGGAGTACAATGGTGTGATCTCAGCTCACTGCAACCTCCACCTCCCAGGTTCAAGCAATTCTCCTGCCTCAGTCTCCGAGTAGCTGGGATTACAGGCGTGCACCACCACACCTGGCTAATTTTGGTATTATTAGTAGAGACAGGGTTTCACATGTTGGCCAGGCTGGTCTCGAACTCTGACCTCAGGTGATCCACCTGCCTCTGCCTCCCAAAGAGCTGGGATTACAGGTGTGAGTGACCGCACTTGGCCAGCATTCTTTTTTATTACTGAATACTATTTTATGGCTATGCCACGTCTTATTTATCCACTTGTTGGTTATGAACATCAGGGTGATTTCTGCATTGTGGCTCCTATGAATAATGCTTCTATGAATATTCGTGTACAAGTTTTTGTGTGGACGTATATTTGTTGCCTTAAAGTCTATTTCACCTCATACAAATATAGCCAAGCCAGCTTACTTTGGGTAGTATTTGTTTATAATTTCCCATCCCTTTCAAACTTTCTGTGCCCTATGTGTTTGATATTGCTTGTAATGAAAATACAGCTTTCGGCCAGGTGTGGTGGCTCACACCTGTAATCTCAGCACTTGGGTGGCTGAGGTGGGAGGATGTCTTGAGGCCAAGAGTTAGAGACCAGCCTGGGTGACATACTAAAACCCTTTCTATGAAACAATAAAAATAAATCTTAAAAATTAGCTGGGCATGGTGGTGCACACCTGTAGTCCTGGTTACTTGGGAGGCAGAGGCAGGAGGATTGCCTCAGCCCAGTTCAAGGCTGCAGTGAGCTGTGATCACATCACTACACTCTAGGCTGGGTAACAGAGCGAGACCCTGTCTCAAAAACCAAAATGTGTGCGTGTGTGTGTGTGTAGCTTTAGATCATTCTTTTGTTCAGCCTAGCTTCTGTCATTTACTGACAAATTTAGTCCATCACAGTGGAAATAACTGTTATTTTTGGATTTGTATGTATCATAGTATGAAATGTCTTATTCTATGTTTTATATGCTTTATTTCTCCTTTCTCATCTTTTTTTTTTTTAATGGAACCTTAAAAATTTCATCCCCTCAGCTGGGCGCAGTGGCTCACGCTTATAATCACAGCTCTTTGGGAGGCTGAGGCAGGCAGATCACGAGGTCAGGAGTTTGAGACCAGCCTGGCCAACACAGTGAAACCCTGTCTCTACTAAAAATACAAAAATTAGTTGGGAGTGGTGGCAGGCGCCTGTAATCCCAGCTACTCAGGAGGCTGAGGCAGGAGAATCGCTTGAACCTGGGAGGTGGAGGTTGCAGTGAGCCGAGATCGCACCACTGCACTCCAGTCTGGGTGACAGAGCTAGACTCCATCTCAAAATAAATAAATAAATAAAAACATCCCCATCCCCACTACTTTGGAATTTACATCTATTTATTCTCGTTTTTTTAGTTAGCCTTACACTGTGAACACTTAGCTTTAAAAGGAATAACTATTTCTTATCTACTCACACAAAATGGAAGAACCACAGAATATTTCAACTTCTATCAGCCCTCCCATTGTACATTTTAAAAAACTTTTTATCTTGAAATATTTTATAGATTCACAGGGAATTGTCAAGATAAGCATAGAGGTCCTGTGTCCCCTTCCATCCAGTTTCCTCCAATGGTTACATCATACATATAGTACAATATCACAACCATGACATTGACATCGTTTAAAAATATGTATAGTCCACTATCATTTTATCATGTGTAGATTCATATAACTGCCACTGCAATCAAATATAGAACTATTCTGTCACCACAAAGATCATTGTCATGCTATTCCCTTGTAGTCACATCTACTACCCTCTCCCACACCATCTCTAGCCCCTGGCAACTAATCCATTTTCCATCTCTGTAATTTAGTTATTTTGAAAAAGTTATATACAGTGCATGACATTTGGAGACTGGCTTTTTTCACTCAGAATAAGGCCCTTCGGGTGGGATGTGGTGGCTCACGCCCGTAATCCCAGCACTTTGGAAGGCCAACGTGGGAGTATTGCCTGAAGCCAGGGGCTTGAGATCAGACTGGGCAACAAAGCCAGACCCCACCTCTATAAAAAACAATTTAAAAATTAGCCAGGCATGTGGCAGGTGCCTGTAGTCCCAGCTACTCTGGAGGCTGAGGTGGGAGGATCACTTGAGCCCAGGAGTTCGAGGCTGCACTGGGCCATGATCATGCCACTGTGCTCGCTCTGGCCTGGATGCCAGAGTGAGACCCCATCTCTTAAATAAAAGAAAGAAAAAAGAAGGAAAAAAACAGAATAATGCCCTTGAGATTCATCTAAGTCATTATGTACATCGTTCTTGTTTATTCCTAAATACTATTCCATAGTATTGATGCACCAGTTTGTTTAACCATTCTTCAGCCATAGGACTTTTTGCTTGTTTCTAGTTTTTGGCTGTGTTTGTAATTATTTGTAATTGTTACAAATAATCCTGTACAGGTTTTTGTGTAGATATGTTTTTGTTTCCCTGGAATAAATGCCCAAGAATGCAATTATGAAGTTATATCAGCATATGTCAGGTTTTAAATAAATTGCCAAACTTTTTCAAAGTGGCCGTACCATTTTACATTCCCACCAGCAAGGTATGAAAGATTCCATTTCTCTGCATCCTCATCAGCATTTGGCATTGTCACTGTTTTTATTTTAGATATTCTCTAATATATATATAGTGATATTTTATTGTGATTTTACTTTTTTTTTTTGAGACAGGATCTCACTTTGTCATCCAGGCTGGAGTGCAGTGGCAGCGATCATAACTCACTGTAAGTAATCTCCGCCTCCCGGGCTCAAGCGATTCTCCCAGCTCAGCCTTCACAGTAGCTGGGAACACAGGCATGCGACACCACGGCTGGGTAATTTTTGTAGTTTTTTTTGTAGAGGCGGGGTTTCACCATGTTGCCCTGGCTGGGCTCAAACTCCTAGATTCAAACAATCCACCCCCCTCTCAGCCTCCCAAAGTTCTGAGTGGTGGGATTACAGGCATGGTGGGCCACGATGTCCTGCCTGTGGTTTTACGTTTCATTTCCTTAATGGCTTAGTGATGTTGGTCATCTTTTCATGTGCTTGCCATTCTTATAGCTTCCTCAGCAAAATATCTCTTCATGTCTTTTGCCTATTTTCTAATTGGATTTTTTTTGTAACTGTTGAATTTTGAGAGCTCTTTACATATTCTAAATGCTAGTCATTTGTCAGGATATGTAGTTTACAAATATTTCCTCCCCGTCTCAGCTGTCTTCTCATCCTCTTAACAGGGTCTTTGAAAACAGCAAAGGTTTTTAATTTCAGTGAAGTCCAATTCATTTTTTTTTCTTGCAAGGAGTACATTTTTGCTGTCATATTTGGAAACATTTCAAGCCCTGGGTCCCCAAGATTTCTGTTTTCTTATCTAAGTTTTAGAGCTTTACATTTGACATTTAAATCTATGATCCATTTTAGGCTAGTTTCTACGTAAGATTTAGATGGAGATTTTTTCGTGTGTTTTTTTTTCTTTTGCCTATGGATAGCCAATTGCTCCAGCACAATTTCTGAAAAGACTATCCTTCCTCTACTGAACTGTTTCTTTGTTTTTTGTTTTGAGACAGAGTCTCGCTGTGTCACCCAGGCTGGAGTGTAGTGGTGCGGTTTCAGCTCACTGCAAACTCCGCTTCCCAGGTTCAAGCGATTCTCTTGCCTCAGCCTCCTGAGTAGCTGGGATTACAGGCGCCCGCCACCACGCCCGGCTAATATTTTGTGGTTTTAGTAGAGACGGGGTTTCACTATGTTGGCCAGGCTGGTGTCAAACTCCTGACCTCATGATCCACCTGCCTCAGCCTCCCAAAGCGCTGGGATTACAGGCGTGAACCACCTCACCCTGCCATATTGAACTGTTTTGTAACTTTTTCAAATCAGTTGGCTGCACTTGTGTGAGGAGACTATTTCTGTGTTATTTTGTTCTGTTCATCTATGTGTCTTTCTGCCAATACCTTTTTGATTACTGTCTCAATTTAGTAAATCTTGAAATCTGGTACAGAGACCACCCCCCTCCATGTTCTTTTTCTAATTATTATTATTTTTTAATATAAGAGATGGGATCTCATTATGTTGCCCCAGCTGGTCTGAACTCCTGGACTCAAGCAACCTCTCACCTTAGCCTCCCAAAGTGATGGGATTACACGTGTGAGCCATCACGCCTGGGCCTTCTTTTTTAACATTAAAGTTTTGTAGTTCCTTTGCCTTTCTATATGTTTTAGAATCATCTTGTGTATAACTACAACAATTTTGCTGGGGTTCTGATAGGAATTGCATTAAATTAGTATATCAGTGTGGACAGAATAAACATCTTTACTATACTGAACCTTCTAATCTGTGAACATGGTATATGTATCCATTTATACAGATCTTTTTTGATGTCTTTCATCATCATTTTGTAGTTTTCTGCCTCCAAATCCTATAAAAAGATTTTTTAGATTTATCCCAAAGTACTATTTTTGTTTGTTTTTTGAGACAGTCTCACTCTTGTCGCCTAGGCTGGAGTGCAGTGGCGTGATCTTCGCTCACTGCAACCTCTGCCTCCCGGGTTCAAGTGATTCTCCTGTCTCAGCCTCCCAAGTAGCTGGGATTACAGGTGCCCACCACTATGCCCGGCTAATTTTTGTATTTTTAGTAGACACGGGGTTTCACCATGTGGGCCAGGCAGGTCTCAAACTCCTGACCTCAGGTGATCCCCCGGCCTTGGCCTCCCAAAGTGCTGGGATTACAGGCATGAGCCACTGCGCCTAGCCCAAAGTACTATTTTTTAGCAAGAGAAAATGGTATTGCATTTAAAATTTTGATTTCCATGTGCTCACTGCTAGTATATAAAATGCACTTGATTTTTGCGTGTGTTTTATCTTTATCCAGTATTTTAGCCCCCAGATTAGCATTATTAGTTTCACACAGTCATCAGTGCTTGTTTAGTTACCCAAATGCTTATCACTGTTTCCAGTTCTCTGAATCGCTTTTCCTCTCATTCACTTTTCTTTTTCTCATAGAACAAACACCTTTAAAAAGTTCTGCCAGTAGTCATTTTCTTATAAACTATGTATTTAAAAATGGTTTTCTTTTGCCTTCAGTCAGAAAATTCCACATTGACATCTCCTCAACTTTTATATTAGGTTGGTGCAAAAGTAATTGAGGTTTTTGCCATTTTTTTAAAAAATGTGACAGCTTAAGTAGTTTCCTTTTCTCTGGTTGCCATTAAGATCTTTTTCTGGCCTGGAGTGGTGGATTATGCCTCTAATCCCAGGGTTTTAGGAGGCCACAACGGGAGGATGGTTTGAGGCCAGAGCCAGGAGTTCAAGACCAGCCTGGGCAACACAGTGAGACCCCATGTTTCTATAAAAATTTTAAAATTAGCTGGGCGTGGTGGCACATGCCTGTAGTCCCAGCTACTTGGAAGGCTGAGGTGGGAGGATTCCTTGAGCTTCTAAAATTCGAGGCTACGGTGAGCTATGATCATACCACTGCACTGCCAGCAAGAGAGCAAGACCCCATCTCTAAAGAAAACAAATTCTGGTCGGGTGCGGTGGCTCACGCCTGTAATCCCAGCACTTTGGGAGGCCAAGGCAGGTGGATCATGAGGTCAGGAGATCGAGACCATCCTGGCTAACACAGTGAAACCGTCTCTACTAAAAATACAAAAAATTAGCCGGGCGTTGTGGCGGGCACCTGTAGTCCCAGCTACTCGGGAGGCTGAGGCAGAAGAAGAATGGCGTGAACCCGGGAGGCGGAGCTTGCAGTGAGCCAAGATCGCGCCACTGCACTCCAGCCTGGGCGACAGAGCGAGACTCCGTCTCAAAAAAAAAAAAAGAAAACAAATTCTTTTTCTATGGTATTCTGTTTTGCTCTTCACCATCACGTGTCTCAGTGGAGATTTCACTTACTTATCCTGTTAGTAACTCATTTTTTGCTTCCTGAATTTGGGGTTTCTTACCTTTCTTGAAGTCCGGAAAAATATCAGCCATTTTATTTTATTTTTATTTTATTTTTTTTGAGACAGAGTCTCACTCTGTCGCCCAAGCTGGAGTGCAGTGGCGCGATCTCAGCTCACTGCAGCCTCTGCCTCCTGGGGTCAAGCGATTCTTCTGCCTCAGCCTCCCGAGTGGTTGGGACTACAGGCAGGCGCCACCACGCCCAGCTAATTTTTGTATTTTTAGTAGAGATGGGGTTTCACCATATTGGCTAAGATAGTCTCGAACTCCTGACCTCGTGATCTGCCCACCTCGGCCTCCCAAAGTGCTGGAATTACAGGCGTGACCCACCACACCCTGCAAACATCAGCCATTTTATAGTTCTCTCCATTCTGTTCTCTCCTTCTGCAACTTCTATTAAAGCCTGTATTGGACCTTTTAAAGCCTGTATTGGACCTTTTTACTTTATTTTTGTAGTCTCCTACCCTCCCTTGTTTGCTGCGCTTCCTTGAGTAAATTCCTCAGAACTACCTTTAAAATCTGTTGTCTCTAATATAGTTTAACTCATCCATTGAATCTTTTTTCTTTTTCCTTTTTTTTACAGAGTCTCATTTGGTTGCCCAGGCTGGAGTGCAGTGGCACAATCTTGGCTTACTGCAACCTCTGCCCCCAGGATTCATGTGATTCTCCTGCCTCAGCCTCCTGAGTAGCTGAGATTACCAGCGCATGCCACCACGCCCAGCTAATTTTTGTATTTTTAGTAGAGATGGGGTTTCACCATATTGGCCAAGATAGTCTCGAACTCCTGACCTCATGATCTGCCCACCTCGGTCTCCTAAAGTGCTGGGATTACAGGCGTGAGCCACCGCACCTGGCCTTTGAATCGTGTTTATAGGTCACAGGTTAACACAATTTAAAATCTAAAGCGTGGGTACAGGGTTTCAGTTTGGAAAGATGAAGTTCTTGAGATGAATGGTGGTGATGGTTGCATAATGTGAATGTACTTAATGCTACTGAAGCATACAGGTAAAAGTAGTTAAGATGGTAAATTTTGTTATGTATTCAGATTTTTAAATCTGTGTTAGAATAAACAATGTATCCCAAAGGCAGGATTCCTCTCTCCCACTCCTATCCTTATTCACTTCATTCCTTCCCTATTCACGCTCCATAGATATTAACTACTTTTATTACACTCTTCAAATGTCCTTTCAGTGTTTTTTTAAATGCAAATTCTAGCCAAGTCAAGTATATGGTCTTATTTCCTCCACCCCTTTCAGTTTTTTACATTTTTTTCATCCGATAACATAACCTAAATCCTTTCCTAACGAATTCAGTGCACCTTATTTTTTAATAGCTGCCTAACATTCCATTGAGTAAATGTTCATGGTTTATTTAGCTGGTCCACTTTCATTCAACATTTGGGTTGTATCAAACATTGTGCTGTCACAAATAACACTTGTCCAGAGATGAGGTCTCACTCTGTTGCCCAGGCTGGAGTGCAGTGGTGTGGTAATAGTTCAATGCAGCCTCGCACTCGGCTCAAGGGATCCTTCCAGCTCGACCTCTGGAATAGCTGGGATTACTGGCAAGCGCCATCACTCCTAGATGAAAATTTTCATTTGAAAAGGCTGTTTTTCATTTTTTGAACCTTTTTTCAAATCTGCATTTTTTATTTTTGAGACGGAGTCTCGCTCCGTTGCCCAGGCTGGAGTCAGTGGTGTGATCTCGGCTCACTGCAACCCCCGCCTCCCGGATTCAAATGATTCTCCTGCCTCAGCCTCCTGAGTAGCTGGGACTACAGGCGTGCACCACCACACCTGGCTAATTTTTGTATTTTTAGTAGAGACGGGGTTTCACCATACTGGCCAGGCTGGTCTTGAACTCCTGATCTCATGATCCACCTGCCTCAGCCTCCCAAAGTGCTGGGGAAACAGGCATGAACCACCGCACCTGACCCTATTTATTTTTTAGGCAAAGTTTACTTTTGTTGCCCAGGCTGTAGTGCAATGGTGCAAAATCGGTTCACTACAGCCTCCTGGGTTCAAGCAATTCACCTGCCTCAGCCTCCCAAGTAGCTGGGATTACAGGCATGTGCTATCACTCCCGGCTAATTTCATATTTTTGGTAGAGACGGGGTTTCACCACCTTGGTTAGGCTGGTCTCGAACTCCTGACCTCAAGGGATCCACCCTCCTTGGCCTCTCAAAGTGCTGGGATTGCAGGTGTGAGCCACCACACCCGGCCTCAAATCTGCATTTTATACTGTTACTCTTTTTCACTTATTCTTCCGCTTTTTTGAGACAGTCTTGCTGTCACCCAGGCTGGAGTGCAGTGGCATGATCTTGGCTCACTGCAACCTCCACCTCCCAGGTTCAAGTGATTGTCTTGCCTCAGCATCCCAAGTAGCTGGGATTACAGGTGCACGCCACCATGCCCAGCTAATTTTTGCATTTTTAGTAGAGATGGGGTTTTACCATGTTGACCAGGCTGGTCTCTTAACTCCTACCTTCAACTGATCCACTCGCCTCAGCCTCCCAAAGTGCCGGTATTACAGGTGTGAGGGAGCCACCGTGCCCAGCCTTCCTTTTATCTTTCGGGTCACCTGGTATTCAGCTGTAGGTAAATCATTCCCTCTTATGATTTGAAATGTGGGGGCTCTGAGCTCATTTTTGACAAGGTTAAATTTATGCAACCTCAGAATTTAAATTCTGAGGCTGTCAGTCTTCATAAAGTATTTGTTTGCTTCTTCCAGGTGCCTGAGAGTAAAGCCAGTCCAGGGAGATTCTTGACGTTAATATTTAACTTCGTGTGTTGACAGACCACATAAATGGTATATACCTTGAAAATCAAAATGCACATGAACACAAACTCCTGGTGAAAAAGTTTTGAGGGATGATTTCATCTCTCCCAGTCCACAGCCCAGACCAAAACAGGCAAGTTTCCCTCCACTTCCCTATGCTGGGGGGTGACGGGGTGGAAGGGGCCAGATTTTTTTTTTTCTAGTTCACCTATGTGCACTGCCCTTAAAAGGGTCCTGGCTTGGCTGGGCATGGTGGCTGTTTGTAATCCCAGCACTTTGGGAAGCTGCGGTGAGATCACTTGAGCCAAGGAGTTCGAGACCATCCTGGGCAACATAGCAAGACCCCATCTCTACAAAAACATTTTAAAATAAAAAAAATAAGGGTGAATTACTTACATACCTTATCTCATCTTAAGCCCCAAAGTTAACTGTGTCATGCGGGTTTTTAGTTTCCTTTTAGTTCTCTCTGGCCACTGGAGATTGTACTTTATGGTGAGCTGATTTGTATCATAGTTCTACTCAGCATTTCCATGTGTCCTGTATTATATGAAATACACATCATTTGTGTGTTTCAAAGCATTTAAATTACCCCACTGGGGCACAGAGCAAGGTTATAAAGACCATGAAGTTAGGCACATGAATTTGAATCCTGGCTCTTGCACATTAATAGCTCTGGAATCCTAAGTAAATAGTTTCCTTCTCTAGAGTTTCCTCTTCTGTAAAATCAAGATGGTTGATCAGAGGACTATATGCTTAAAGGATATAAAATGCTTAGTATAGTGCCCAGCATATATTAAATAATTACATTTTCATTTTTTAGGAATTTCTACAAAATAAAATGGTACTTGTTAAGAGGATTTAAAACTATTTATACTTTCAAAATGCAGCAGTAAGAGTGGCTGCAACAGTAGGCAAATTACCCAACTATTTACATATAGATACAACTATTGTTACCCATTGGTAATTAGATCATAACAGTCAGTACCAAGCTCTGACCACATTTAGTAGTTAACAAAATTATTTTTAAAAGGATCATGAACTAAAGATTATCATATGAAATACAGTGCTGATGTGAAAGATAAACATTTTATAAAACGAACTGAAGTTAGAGACAACATATTTGGTCCAGAATTTTCTTACCACGAGAACTATCCAAAAATTGAACAAGCTGCATCACAAAAAAGTGAGGTGGTCACTTAAGTATCCAAAAGCAGAAAGCGAAGGACTGCTTAACAGGACAGAAGGAATTCCTATATTCGGAAAAGTCAGAAGTCAATGTTGAAATAAAGGAGAAAAACTACTTGGATAACTGACTTATGACACTAATTTAAAAAACCCAGTGAATACTACATTAAAGAAAAAGACCGGGCACAGTGGCTCACGCCTATAATCCCAGCACTTTGGGAGGCTGAAGCGAGTGGATCACCTGAGGTCAGGAGTTGGAGACCAGCTTGGCCAACGTGGCAAAACCCTGTCTCTACTAAAAATACAAAAATTAGCTGGGCATGGTGGTGGGCTCCTGTAATCCCAGCTACTTAGGAGGCTGAGGCAGGAGAATCACTTGAACCTGGGAGGCAGAGGTTGCAGTGAGCCGAGATCGCACCACTGCACCCCAGCCTGGGTGACAGAATGGGACTCTGTCTCAAAAATAAAATAAAATAAAATAAAATTTAAAAAGAGTTAAGAAAAAGACAAAAGATAAACACCAAATAAAACTTCTTAAATAGGTAGAAACATTGAAAACCAAATTTGGGAAATTTTTTTTTAGCCAATTAAAACTGAATAACATGAGATTATTTCTTATGCCTGGTTCCATTCTAAGTCAACCACACCATCATCAAAATTTCTCTCTCTGAATATATATTCTTTTAAGTACATTGTTATTTTCCTCCATTGCATTATAGACATTCATTCCAAATGTTAACATTCCAAATATTAAAATACTCAAAGTCACAGAAAAGTCAGAATTAAATTTTATTTCACATTGATAGAAACCATGAAAAACATTTACACTTTCCCATGTTACAGCACAATATTTCAATGGAATATTTCTTGCCATAAATAATATCTTGCTGATTTGTAGAAGTGAAATAACAGTTTATGTTCTTCAAGGTAAAGAAAAATGACATAGTAAATGATTGTTTAAAATTTTTAAATCCAGACATAAACATATGGCTTCATTATTAACATCCTGTATAGTCCATTACTAAATTATTTCCATTATCAATTAGCACCCATTTATAAAGATGCATTCTTAATATTGTTTTGGTCAGCTGGAATACAGCAGAAAAATTAACACAGTTGAGAAATATCAAGCATACATTTTTGCTACATATTAATCTGTATGGTAACTACACTTTATGGTATAGGGTTCTGACTAGCCTTTATTACCCATAAGTTTGTTTTCAAATAATTTTTACCAGTAATCTGGAAATTTTGACAATTTAAAATGATTGCTATTTTTATGTCTGCATCAAAAACTAATACAAAAAATAATTTGACTAAAGTGAAAATTTCAAATAAGTCCACTGGCAGATGAAAATAAAGCAAAAAATTACAATAGATTCCTCATCTTCTACAGTAGTTGGTTTCAAACGTGTACAAAGTAAACTCTATACTATGAGAAGATGAAATCATCTTAGAAGTTAGTTTTTAAGATCAGTCTTAAAGATATTTCAGAACATACTAGAATATGATCTAATTATTCTTTCAGTTGTTTACAGAAAAATGAAACCACAGAATTATTCCTGTTACCTGGGTTGAAGATCCTAATAGCTAGGTGTAAATTTGGATAAGGTACAGTAATTCGAAATAAGTAGTGCATGAAGTTTTAATGTCTGGTTTCTCTATAAAGCATAAATAGATTTTAAATACCTTATATCTGTGACCCAGAATGTCAAATTACAGCATGTATTGACAGTAGCTGTCTATTGCAGAGAGGCAATACTTGGCCTGCTATGAAGGACAATAAAGAAAAAACAAACTTTTTTTTTTTTCTTGAGAGAAAAGAGTATTAAATAGAAATAATATCAGGGAAAATAAAAGCCTGGTCCCAAAATAAAAGGGCCATTAATTGAAGAGAACGATTTTACTTTTTCTTGACAATAAACAGCATTATCCCTATTATTAGGAATAATGTAATACCACCTCATTCTTATTATGTATTATAATCATTATGTATATATGAACACATATATAAAAATACAGACACTGCATGGTGACTAAGCAATTTTGGAATAAATCCATAGACTAAGTCACAGCATGCATAAATTGTTTATATCTTAACTGCTCATTTATACCTGAACAAATTTTCATTAAGCATACTGCTAATTTTCAAATGATGTAATAAAAAATCTGGTGGCAGTACTGTATTATTTTGCTGAATTACATTTGAGAAAAAAGAAGCTACCTGCTTCATCTATTCTAATATAGTAGATCCTGGGTCGTCTTATAAGAATACATGTATAGAAACTTAAAAGATCATAAATTTCTCATGAGGAGATATTATTTGATCTGTGTTATTGGCATGTATTTGCAAAACATTTTAACACTGCAAAACATTAGAAATTTGAAGACTGGGCATGGGAAAAGGTTTACACTCTACTACAATGATGCTGGTGTACTTCTACACAAGGCCTCTTAGTGACGTCAATCAATTGGAGGTAGGAGTTTATCAATGAATTGCTTGACATCCATCATTTCCTGTTTGGAATAAAGTAATTTAATAGGTAGGTAGTTATGTAAGTCAGAAATTAAATTCCCACTAAAATGCCACTAATCAAATCTATGGTATGCATAAAGGCGAAATCACATTTTTACTACAATTAAATAAGACAAAAGAGAAATGAGGCTCCAACAGAAATTTCAGGACATTTCCTATCATGATTATTGTACACTGAAATGACAGCTCCCATCCAGTATCTAGTTCTGCATCTTCCTATACTGGAACAATATAAGACACTGGGGGGCAGGGAAGTTTAGAAGCGATGGTGCCTACACTGAGAAGTCTCAGTAAGTGAACAATTACTGACAACTAAGTATGAGTGACAAAGCAGAGCTTCTACCATTCTTCAAACTGAATTATGCGCTAAATCCATAGCATTAACTATGCTGTGTCTTTCATAAAGAATTACATACAACTAACCATTTGATAGAGAGCATGTACCTAAGATGTTCCTGGGAAGATATGAACATTAATATACCAAAGATTTATCATAGAAGAAACTTTCTCCTCTTAGCCTCTTGCATTTGGCTCAGTTTTCTCACCTCCCTCAAACTCACTTCCTGCTATCAGCTCTTATATTTCAAGGCCTTACTTAGCCTCACAGTGCCAAATAGTAGCAATGCAGCTAACCTTCAGCCTTGTAATTTAGTCACTCAGAAAAGAGCCCCAGCATGAAAGTGTTCTATTTCACAATACTCTGAAGTCCCAAAGAGTTTCCTGTGAGATCACCTCCCACTATCCTACTTCTCCTCATTTTCTGCTCCTCCTCATTCAGCCCAGAGTTGTTGTAGACTCATCTATAGAGCTTTTATGAAGCTCCAAGGTATTTGTGATACAAAGCCCATGAAGAAAACAGCTGCTCTAGAGACCTTCAGTCCCTCTTGCACACATTAAGGGTTCCAGGACTTCCCCTGCCCTCTCTTTTCTGGATTCAACACTGTAATACTCTATATCAGTAGGAGAACACCCTAGGTTCAGGTTCCCAGGCACCCTTGTCTTTCTGGATAAATCATATTACCACCTCTTTCTCCGTCCCTAAATTATTTAACCCAGGCTGAGTGGTTGTAAAACTGTCAGTATGACTATCTCACTAGGAATCAATTTTTACTCTAGGTCTTCTCAAGCCTCCAGACCTATCCAGGCCTCCGGCCTCCTTCATTCTATCAAGTGATCGCACCTTCTACTTGACTGAAAAGATAAGCACATCTAATATGAGCTCCCAAGCACTCTCTTCTCTCTCCATCTCCTGTTTATATTCATCCATCCTTTCTTTCTTTTTTTTAGGGTCTCACTCTGTCACTCAGGCTGGAGTGCAGGGTGCCAACATGGCTCACTGCAGCAGCAACCTCCGGAGATCAAGTGATCCTCTCGCCTCAGCCTCTAGAGTAATTGGAACCACAGGTGCCCGCCACCTCACCCGGCCTGTCCTCTTCTATCTTGATTGAAAATGGTTTTCTCCTCTTTTAAGGCAAGCACTATACATCTCAGGACTTAATTCTATTCTATGATCCCTCTGAGAATGCCTCTATCAATTATCTTCTCTTTACTGCATCTTCTTCCTCCCTCCTTCCACTCATAGGTCTTTCTCTGATCCCACTGAAGAACAGATTTCCTACTCTTCTTCCTGTTTACCAAAACTTTTTTAAAAGGTCTATACATGTTGCCTCTGCTTCCTCATTTCCCTATCCACTTCATACAATCCTTTGCATTTTGGCTTTATCTACCCAAACATCCAAGGTCACAGGTGGCTTAATATTGGGTACTTTCTTCCTAAACTATTTCTCCTTAATCCTTCTCTGGAACACATTACACATCTCCTTCCCACTCTGAAATTCTCTCCACCCATACTCTCAACACCTAACTCCTTTTCTCATTAGGCTAAACTGTAATGTGTCCCCCAAAGTTCTATCCCTGAGCTTTTTTTCTTATAATGCTTTCTCAAGATAATTCTTCGTTGATCAATTATATTAGTAATTATTTCAAATCTCCATTTCCAGGCTTGAACTTCAGACAAGTATTTCCAATATCCTATTTTGATATTGTGGGGGCACATTGATCTCAATACATTAAACTCAGTATTATCTCCTTCCTTTACTCTAAAACTGTTTCTTGCACCTACTTTTTATGATGGCATCAGAACTAGAAATCTCAGGCCCTTTTGATACTTCCTTGGTTACTACACCCCACATAATTAATCTCTAAATCCTGCTGGATCACCTGTCTCTAGAATGTAGATCAGATCACATCTCACTTCAACCAAAAACACTGACAGCTTCCTGCTGCCTAGAGAGTAAGTCTAGTAAGTCCCTTCTCAGCACAAAGAGTCTCTGTTCCCTATGTCTTCTGTCCTATCATGCCCAGCTTTTCCTAAGACTGAATGGCTTGCTTTTCCTGTCCTATAGTTCTTTCTCTGCACATTTGCTATCCAAATCCCACCGTTTTTCAAAATCTAGCTGTTTCATCATGGTCTCAGTGCCTCCTAAGATAAAATTAATCTCTTCTCAGTTTTTCAGGGCACCTTTTGTTATTTTCCAAGGGCACTTTTTAAAGCTTCTAATACAATGTATATCACATTCTGCTATCCATACAGTTACTTAGACATGCATCTTTCTATTAAATTTTATCTTAAATTTTAATGAAAGGGAATGTTTATTATTCATCTTTGAATTATGTACAATGCTGTGTATAATAGCCAATCAGTAAATATTTGTTGAATTAAGTTGAATACACACTCATCTAATGACTGCTAACTTATGACTCAATATGAATTAACTCATTTAAATCCCCAAGCATTCAAATGTTACTTTTCTTGAAAATATCACATGAAAAAAGTTACAAATATGGCGCTGATCACTGCTTCTAGACACCTACCTGTTGACACGAACTGTGCATCATACCTTCATAGGTTTTAAAGGTCACATTGGCTGGATTCACCAATGTTTTTAGTTTTTCCACCGTAAGAGAACCAAACATCAGGGGAACCAAAGGGTCACAATCCCCGTGGCACTGGAGAATAGAAATATCTCTATTAGCACCACCGATAGGACCCTGCAAAAAGCAAAAGAAGAAATAGTTTTATTTTTGTAAAAGTATAGGACACTATGCCAGGCATTTAAAATTGTACATAAATATGCATATATATAACATATTAGAAGTTACATTTGGCCAAAAAAATAAAATTCCTTCATCCATATACTCACCACATCCCTTTGACTTCTATAGGATGTATGATCACCTTGCCTCATATTATAATATATATCTTCCCAGTGAATGAGTTCCTTGAAGCAGATTATATATACATTTTTTTGTTTCGTTTAGTTTTTTTGAGACGGAGTCTTGCTCTGTTGCCCAGGCTGGAGTGCAGTGGCGTGATCTCAGCTCACTGCAACCTCTGCCTCCCAGGTTCAAGCAATTCTCCTGCCTCAGCCTCCCAAGTAGCTGGGATTACAGGCACGTGCCACCACGCCCAGCTAATTTTTTTGTATTTTTTAGTAGAGACAGGGTTTCACTGTGTTACCCAGGATGGTCTCAATCTCCTGACCTTGTGATCCACCTGCCTTGGCCTCCGAAAGTGCTGGGATTACAGGCGTGAGCCACTGCACCCAGCCAAGCAGATTATATTTTAATCCATCTTTATATTTTCAGCTTTTTTTTGTTTGTTTGGTTGGTTGTTTTAGTATTTTGAGTTGCTGTTTTATTCAGCTATCTTTTTTTTTTTTTTTCCCCCAAAGACAGAGTCTTGCTCTGTTACCCAGGCTGGAGTGAAGTGGCACAATCGTGGCTCACTGCAACTTCCACCTCCTGGGTTCAAGTGATTCTCATGCCTCAGCCTCCTGAGTAGCTGGGATTATAGGTGTGCACCACGACGCCCAGCTAATTTCTGTATTTTTAGTAGCCATGGGGTTTCACCATGTTGGCCAGGCTGGTCTTGAACTCCTGACCTGAGGTAATCCACCCGCCTCAGCCTCCCAAAGTGCTGGGATTACAGGCATGAGCCACCGCACCTGGTCTAAAAATAAGTATGATTTCTATATGTTAAAAAAAGTCCTAATTTTCATATATATCCTAAAATGTATCAAATCCTTCTAATATAAGATTTGTGACAATAAGGTTTCTTTCTAATTCCATTCTATGTACTCCACAATACAGACAGTATAGCGTACAGAAATAAGGCCTAGTAATACATCACAAAAGTCTAAGAAAATTATTTTTAAAAAAGGATGAGTGCTGTAAGTGGAGGACTTGGTGATGGTGATGTGTCAGTGCAGCATTACTGACTGCAGCAAAAACATGGCTGTGGAGGTGGGGATGCTGATGGTGGGGAGGCTGTGCATGTGTGGGGACAGGAGGTAGATAGTAACTCTGTACCTTCTGCTCAGTTTTGCTGTGAATTTAGAACTTCTCCAAAAAATAAAGTTTATTAATAAAAAAAAATAAGATGACTTTATCTCCAACAATATCTACTAGCTACCTTTAGCTCAGTAATCTCATGTTGAGTGCATCAACCAAGTTACCTGTGGAAAGGAAGCCCGAAGTGGAAGCCAGCAACTGAGTGCAGTGACACCTGCCAGTTTCTGCTGTGTGGTAAGGGCAGTATATAAAGATAAAGCTCCTCCCTGAAAAGACAAGCAGGGAAAGTCAATGGAACACACATGCTTGCCCACAGCAATTTAGGGAATATCTTGTTACTAATGATATCCATAAAAAAATCAAACTTGGTGGCTGGTGTCAAATCAAATCAGGCAAATATCGGAAATACAAACACACCCCACCGTGTCCTAAAGGATGCGGTTCTCTACACCAGAGAACATACAGACTTCCTTTCCGACGAGACATAGTTTGTACCATGGGAAACTGCTGCACTTACAACATGCCTTACGAATATTCTGAATTTATATTTTCTCCTTTGCAGAATTTTAGGCATAAAATCCAATCTGCTCTTAAATTGGTATTACTTTTTTTTTTTTTTTTGAGATGGAGTTTCACTCTTGTTGCCCAGGCTGGAGAGTAATGGTGCAATCTTGGCTCACCACAACCTCCGCCTCCTGAGTTCAAGCGATTCTCCTGCCTCAGCCTCCCGAGTAGCTGGGATTACAGGCATGCACCACCACACCCGGCTAATTTTGTATTTTTGGTAGAGACGGGGTTTCTCCATGTTGGTTAGGCTGGTCTCAAACTCCCGACCTCAGGTGATCCACGCGCCTCAGCCTCCCAAAGTGTTGGGATTACAGGTGTGAGCCACCGTGCCTGGCCCTTAAATTGGTATTACTTTCTAAATGAGAATTTAAGATAATAATAACTATTTAGCAGACACCTTCAGAGTATCTGCCTACCCAGCTCACAACATCCCACATTCTGGAAGCTGTACTCCTGCCAGCATCCAGAAGCCCCATCACTCTGACCATGCCCATGGGTTACTGCAACACATGAGTACACGAGAGCCTTTCACATCCCAGGCAGTGATGTTTTCTCCTGGCACTGTGGAAATGGGATTCGATGACCACCAGTCACTCTCTGTGTGGCTACACCTGTAACATGTAAATTCAAGAGCTGGAAAAGCTATAGGCTGCAAAAGCCAAGATGGCCAATTGTTTATGGAAAGGTAAATGAAACAGACAAGCAAAGAAACAAGAGATGAGAGATGGTGAGCAAGGCCCAACTGCTTTTCAATTTCTAGCTACTTCCTGAGGCCTTGCCTCATTTTCCTCCTCAGTTTCCTTGATAGGATGCCACAGACTCATTGCTTACTCCTTGCTTGAGGTATTGAGTTGGTTTCTATATACTGTAATGAATGAATATCAAATATACAGACTCCCACATGAACTTGTTATTCTGGATCATTATTATTATTATTTTTGAGACAGAGTCTCAGCTCTGTTGCCCAGGCTGGAGTATAGTGGTGCGATCTTGGCTCACTGCAACCTCTGGCTCCTGGGTTCAAGTGATTTTCCTGCTTCAGCCTCCGGAGTAGCTGGAGTTACAGAGGCGTGCACCACTATGCCCGGCTAATTTTTGTATTTTTAGTAGAGACAGGGTTTCACCATGTTGGCTGGGCTGGTCTCGAACTCCTGACCTCAAGTGATCCACCCACCTTGGCCTCCCAAAGTGCTGGGATTACAGGCGTGAGCCACCGTGCCTGGCCTGGATCATTAATTTCTGTCCCTATGTTTATGTCACAATGTGTATTACAATATACATTATCTGTGAATTTCAACAAACACCAAATCAGTAACACCTTTTCACTATATTGTATCAACAAATCTTTCTACTGAATTCTATCTTCTAAATAATTTCAGAATTCTGACATCTCCCTAATTAAGGTAATCCAAACATCTCCCTAATTAAGGTAATCCAAACACTAAGTTGCTAACTTAGAAGATTTACAGATGATAAGTTAGAGCATCTGGGGACTGGTTCCATGGCAAACAGCTTATATGCCGCAGTAGCCATGAAAGAAAGGTCCGTATGAGGAAGCTACGTCTGTGGAGGGAGTACAGAAAGCAGGGGAAAAAGTACAGAGACAAAGAAAAATGCCAAAAATAAACACCACATATTCATACCTAAAACCTGTAATACGTGAAGGTAAAGGGAAGAAATTCTCTTGTCTTCCACTTTACTGTTCCTATCAGTAGTCTCCTCCTATAGAGGGGACTCATGCCTGTGTTATCAGTTTTAATTAATTAAAAGGATAAACTGTGTTAACTTAGAAATTTAATTACATGTGTACATGTGTATTATAGTTCTTTCAAGAAGAAATTAATTAGTTCCAGTACACTGAAACTTAATTAAACATCAAAGGTAAGTGTATCAGTCAAGATTCTATAACATCAAAAAAGACTACTCTATAGAAAGGATTAATGCACAGACTTCTAAATAAGTATACTGATGGTACTGACATTCCACTCAAATTTTATCTTACCTGAGAAAACCCTCCCAAAATAATTCTGTTAGAAGGAATGCCATTCTTCACTTCTTGATCAATCAAAGCTTTTACTAAAAACAACATGAAAGTTAGTCAGCAATACTTTCAGAGTTAAGCCCACTGATAAAATTTAAATTAGGAAAAAATTAGTAATAGAAAAGCGCAATTACTTTTAAGGTGGAAATGAGTGAAAAATTCAAAGCACTTCATTAAAATACAAAATTAGAATGTATTTTCATATGCCAACGGAGAACAACGTGAAAAGGAAATTTTAAAAAAATCAAATTTCCGATAGTCACACATAAAATTAAATACCTAGGAATTAAACAAAGAAGTGAACGGTCTCTATAATGAAAACTATAAAACACTGATGAAAGAGGACACCAAAAAATGGAAAAAAGATTCCATGGTCATGGATAAGAAGAACCAATAACAATATTGATTGTTATTGTTCATGAATTCTTCTAATCCATGACCATGGAATATTTTTCCCAAATCACCCAAAGCAATCTACAGATTCAATGCAATCTCTATGAAAATACCAATGACAATCTTCACAGAAATAGAAAAACAATCCTAATTATTTTTTTTTTTTTTTTGAGACAAAGTCTCGCTCTGTCACCCAGGCTGGAGTGCAGTGGCGTGATCTTGGCTCACTGCAAGCTCCGCCTACTGGATTCATGCCATTCTCCTGCCTCAGCCTCCCAAGTAGCTGGGACTACGGGTGCCCACCACCATGCCCGGCTAATTTTTTGTATTTTTAGTAGAGACGAGGTTTCACCGTGTTAGCCAGGATGGTCGATCTCCTGAACTCGAGATCCGCCCGCCTCGGCCTCCCAAAGTACTAGGATTACAGGCGTGAGCCACCGTGCCTAGCCCCCTAAAATTTATATGGAATCACGAAAGACTCAGAGTAGCCAAAGCTACCCTAAGCAAAAAGAATAAAACTAGAGGAATCACATTACTTTACTTCAAATTATACTACAGAGCTATAGTAACCAAAACTGCATGGTACTGGCATAAAAACAGACACACAGACTAAAGGAACAGAATAGAGAACCCAGAAACAAATCTATACACACACACCTACAGTGAATTCATTTTTGACAAAGGTGTCAAGAACATACACTGGGGAAAAGACAGTCTCTTCAATAAAAATGGTCCTGGGAAAACTGGATATCCATATGCAGAAGAATAAAATTAGACCCTATCTCTTGCTGTATACAAAAATCAAATCACAATAAACACTTAAATCTAAGATCTCAAACTATGAAACTACTACGAGAAAAAATTGGGGAAAATCTCCAGGACATTGGTCTGGGCAAAAATTTCTTGAGAAATACCCCACAAGCATATCAACCAAAGCAAAAATGGACAAATGGGATCACATCAAGTTAAAAAGCTTCTGCACAGCAAAGGATACAATCAACAAAGTGAGGAGACAACCCACAGAATGGGAGAAAATATTTGGAAACTACCCATCTGAGAAGGGATTAATAACCAGAATATATAAGGAGCTTTAACAACTCTATAGGAAAAAAATCTAATAATCTGATCAAAAAATGGGCCAGGCCGGGCACAGTGGCTCATGCCTGCAATCCCAGCACTTTGGGAGACCGAGGAGGGTGGGTTACGAGGTCAAGTGATCAAGACCATCCTGCCCAACGTGGTGAAACCCCGTATCTACTACAGATTAAAAAATTAGCTGGGCATGGTGGTGCGCACCTGTAGTCGCAGCTACTTGGGAGGCTGAGGCAGGAGAATCACTTGAACTCGGGAGACGGAGGTTGCAGTGAGCCAAGATTGCACCACTGCACCCCAGCCTGGCGAAAGAGCAAGACTCTGTCTCAAAACAAACAAGAACAAAAAAAACGGGCCAAAGATCTGAATAGACATTTCCGAAAAGATGACATAAAAATGGCAAACAGGCATATGAAAAGGTGCCCAACATCACTGATCGCCAGCAAAATGCAAATCAAAACTACAATGAAATATCGTCTCACCCCAGTTAAAATGGTTTTTATTCAAAAGACAGTTAATAGCAAATGCTGGCAAGGATGTGGAGAAAAGAGAACCCTCATACACTGTTGGTGGGAATGTAAATTAGTACAACTACTATGGGGAACAGTTTGGAGGTTCCTCAAATAACTAAAAATTGAGCTACCATATGAACCAGCAATCCCACTGGATATATACTCAAAAGAAAGTATCTTTCTTTTAACTATATTTGGGTATATATCTTTTGGGATATATACCCAAAAGAAAGGAAATCAGTATATTGAAGAGATATCTGTACTCCCATGTTTGTTGTAGCACTGTTCCCAATAGCCAAGATTTGGAAGTAACCTATGTGTCCATCAACAGATGACTGGATGAAGAAAATGTGGTACATATGCACAATGAAGTACTATTCAGCCATAAAAAAAGAATGAGATCCAGTCATTTGCAACAACACAAGTGGAACTGGAGATCATTATGTTAAGGGAAATAAGCCAGACACAGAAAGACAAACATTGCATGTTCTCACTTTTTTGTGGGATCTAAAACTAACTGAACTAACAGACACAGACAGTAGTAGAAGTATGGTTATCAGAGGCTGGAAGGGTAGAAGGGGGCTGGAGGTGAGGTGTAGCTAGTTAATGGGTACAAAAAAAATAGAATAAGACCTACCATTTGACAGTACAATAGGGTGACTATAGTCAATAGTAACTTAGTGTACATTTTAAAATAACTTACAAGAGTGTAAATGGATTCTTTGTAACTCAAAGGATAAACGCTTGAGGGGATGGACACCCCATTCTCCATGATGTGCTTATTTCACATTGCATCCCTGTATCAAAACATCTCACGTACATATAAATATGTACACCTATGTACTCACAAAAATTGAAAATAAAAAAATAAAATTTTAATTAAAACTTCAATAATTTCCCATTAAATATTTTGTTAACAACAGTTCTTTCTCTCATCAAGAGATGGATTTTTAAAAAATTAATAGTTAATTCTGCTCATATATATTCCATGTTTCTCTCTTCAATGAACCATAGGCATTTGTACCTAAAAGTTGTCATTTTAAAATTGTACGTAGTTAAGTGTTTAAAATTGTACGTAGTTAAGTGTTGTACGTAGTTAAGTTAATGGTTTAAAAAGTGTTTAAAACCATTCATTCTATTGTTTTTTAAAAAAAATCACAGAATTGGCCAGGCACAGTGGCTCACGCCTGTAATCCCAGCACTTTGGAAGGCTGAGGCCAGCAGATCAACTTGAGGCCAGGAGTTTGAGACCAGCCTGGCCAACATGGTGAAACACCGTCTGTACTAAAAATACAAAACGTAGCCGGGCATGGTGGCACAGGCCTGTAGTCCTAGCTACTTGGGAGGCTGAGACAGGAGAATAACTTGAACCCAGGAGGTGGAGGTTGCAGTGAGCTGAGATTGCGCCACTGCACTCCAGCCTGAGCAAGAGAGCAAGACTCCATCTCAAAAACAAACAAAAAAAAACCAGAATAAATCTCTTTTGCTCGCTCACACTCTCTCTCTGTGTCTCTGTCTCTGTCTCTCTCTCTCTCTCTCTCAAAACAGGGTCTCACTCTGTTGCTGACCTCTCAGGCTCAAGCAATCCTCCCACCTCAGACTCTCAAGCAGCTGAGGGGGCCACAGACATGCGCCACCACGCCCAGCTAATTTTGTTTTTTTTTTTGTAGCGACTCTTGCCCAGGCTGGTTTTGAACCCCTGGGCTCAAGTGATCCTCCTGCCTCAGCCTCTCAAAGTGCTAGGATTACAGGTATGAGCAACATCCCTTGGCCTCAATCACCTTTCACCTAAGGGTAAGGGCACTATGTACCCCCAACTATGTAACCTGAGCACTGTCTTCTTTGTTCAGTAGCACATTCTCTTTTGTTTTTTCTTTCCTGGCTGAGTCTGATTCTAATTTTCTCTGAGAGGAATTTTCAGAGAGGAAAGAAGTAACAAGTATTTCATAGGCCAACTCTATTGTTAGGACAGAATCTTTCATTCTGGACCTCATGAGGCCCACGTATCTTCTTCACAGGGCCCAGGCCCTCCCTGTTTTCCATAGCATCTAACACTTACCCTCATACTTTTGTCATCTATTATTTTCAGACAAAATCCCAACTCTAGGATTCTAACTCTAATCTACTTTTTAATGATCCCATAAGTCAGTGTTGTTGGTTTGACATTCCCAAATATCTCACATCTTTTGAATGTATTTTCCCTGTTTTTTTTTTTTTTTTGAGACGGAGTCTCGCTCTGTTGCCCAGGCCGGACTGCGGACTGCAGTGGCGCAATCTCGGCTCACTGCAAGCTCCGCTTCCCGGGTTCACGCCATTCTCCTGCCTCAGCCTCCCGAGTAGCTGGGACTACAGGCGCCCGCCACCGCGCCCGGCTAATTTTTTGTATTTTTAGTAGAGACGGGGTTTCACCTTGTTAGCCAGGATGGTCTCGATCTCCTGACCTCATGATCCACCCGCCTCGGCCTCCCAAAGTGCTGGGATTACAGGCGTGAGCCACCGCGCCCGGCCATTTTCCCTGTTTTAAAGACCTTAAAGAGTTCTTTTAAAACAAAAGGGCTGCGCTCAGTGGCTCATGCCTGTAATCCCAGTACTTTTGGGGAGGATCACCTGAGGGCAAGAGTTTCCCACCAGCCTGGACAACATAATGAGAATTCATCTCTACAAAACAGTTTAAAAATTAGCCAGGCATGGTGGCACATGCCTGTAGTCCCAGCTACTCAGAAGCTGAGGCGGGAGAGTTGCTGGAGACCAGGAATTTGAGGCTGCAGTGAGATATGATCACCAACTGTACTCTAACCTGGGCGACAGTCTCTAAGTAACTATGTAAATAAAAAATTACCAAAAAGCAAAACAATTCACAGCCAGCCTGCCTTGCCATTGCTGCCCACACCCACCTACACCCACCCACACTCAAGAGTCACCAACCAGATTTTCCTGAAGGCAATCCCAGTCCTCACATTATTATACTTGTCAATATTTCAGTACACATATGTAAAAGAAAAGCACATTCCTGTGCACCTGTGCATTTCTTTCTTTCTTTTTTTCCTGAGACGGAGTTTCACTCTTGTTGCCCAGGCTGGAGTGCAACAGTGGGATCTCAGCTCACTGTAGCCTCTGCCTCCCAGGTTCAAACAATTCTCCTGGCTCAGCCTCCCAAGTAGCTGGGATTACGGGCAGGCGCTACCATGCCCGGCTAATTTTGTATTTATAATAGAGACGGGGTTTCTCCATGTTGGTCAGCCTGATCTCGAACTCTCGACCTCAGGCGATCCGCCTGCCTCAGCCTCCCAAAGTGCTGGGATTACAGGTGTGAGCCACCGTGCCCGGCCTCCTGTGCATTTGTTAAAAATAGACACGTCCCAGTAAGTTAGTATTCTGTTTCTCCCTCCGAACAACTAGAATTACCATAATCATAAAGGAGATGGACTCCTAACCAGAGACCAGGCTTTCGAGGTTTTGTAAAGCAGAGCTAATACTTCACAGCGGTGTCAAATGAGGTGCCCTGTAAGAAACACCTAGCTTGTAAACAGTTATGTGCTCAATCAGTGGCACGTGTTATTATTACCGCACTAACATTAACAACTTTTTTCTTCCTTTTTTTTTTTTTTTTTTTTTGAGACACAGTCTCCCTCTGTCACCCAGGCTGGAGTGCAATGGCACAACCTCAGCTCACTGCAACCTCCACCTACTGGGTTCAAGCGATTCTCCTGCCTCAGCCTCCTGAGTAACTGGGATTACAGGTGCCCGCCACCACGCCTGGCTAATTTTTTTGTATTTTTAGTAGAGACGGGGTTTCACCATGTTGGCCAGGCTGGTCTCAAACTCCTGACCTCAGGTGATCTGCCTGCCTCGGCCTCTCAAAGTGCTGGGGTTACAGGCGTGAGCCACCGCACTTGACCACATTTTCACTGTTTCTTATCATTATACTCATTATATCATTATTTTCACTGTTATTCCAAGTCTCTTTAATGAAGATAACTGGCCAAAACTATTTTTTTTTTTGAGACAGAGTTTCATTCTTGTTGCCCAAGCCTGAGTGCAATGGCGCAATCTCGGCTCACTGAAACCTCTGCCTCCTGGGTTCAAGCGATTCTCCTGCCTCGGCCTCCCAAGTAGCTGGAATTACAGGCGTGCGTGACCACGCCCAGCTAATTTTTTAATTTTTAGTAGAAACGGGGTTTCACTAGGTTAGCCAGGCTGGTCTCGAACTCCTGACCTCACATGATCTGCCCACCTCGGCTTCCCAAAGTGCTGGGATTAAAGGCGTGAGCCACCACGCCCGGCCGGCCAAAACTATATAAACATTCTGCTGTTTTCTCCATTTTCCTATGTAAATCAAAGAAAAATTATTATACGTCTGACAGAGTTTAAAGTTGATAAATGCCATTTGTCCCCATCCACCTCATCTCCATTGCCTATACTCAAGTGAGTCCATGCGGACACTGTGGCAAACAAGTAACAGAGTGACCAGAAAGGAAAACAAGCCTGGGCAACACAGGGAGACCCTGTGTCTACAAAAAGAAAAAATTAAAACCTGGCGGGGCATGGTGGTGTGCGCCTCCATGGTCCCAGCCTACTCAGGAGGATGAGGTGGAAGGGTCGCTTGAGTTCAGGAGGTCAAGGCTGCAGTGAGCTTTGATCACGCCACTGCATTCCAGGCTAGGTGACACAGCAAGACCCTCTCTGGGGGGCAGGGGGTAAAAGGAAGGAAACAGCAGTACCTCCTGAGATTAGATAAATGTGGTTTTTTTTGGTTTGTTTTTGTTTTTGTTTTTCTGAGATGAAGTTTTGCTCTGGTTGCCCAGGCTGGAGCGCAGTGGGGCGATCTCAGCTCACTGCAACCTCCACCTCCCAGGTTCAAGCAACTATCCTGCTTCATCCTCTCAAGTGGCTGGGATTACAGGCGCCCACCACCATATCCAGCTAATTTTTTGTATTTTCAGTAGAGATGGGGTTTCACCATGCTGGCCAAGCTGGTCTTGAACTCCTGACCTTCAGGTGACCCACCCGCCTCTACTTCCCAAAGTACTGGGATTACAGGCGTGAGCCACCGTGCCCGGCCCAAATGTGTAATTTTTAACCAGTAGCGATATGATTACTAAATCTACTAAAAACATTTAAGAACACTTTTGGCTTTATAAACATTTTCTGTACTTACTATTTTCTGCTGCCTGTTTAATCCCAGATTCATCCTCCTGTGAATCTGGTGAAAGCCCAATAATATCAAACCTGTAAAATAAGGCAAAATCTTTTGATTCTAAGAAAAATCTATTATTGTAGTAAGTATATTTTACTACATTCATGGTAGCTTGGATTAAAAGGCTAACCAGAAATATGTTTTATTTTATTTAATTTATCTATTTAATTAATTTATTTTTTGAGACGAAGTCTCACTATTTATTTATTTATTTATTTATTTATTTATTTATTTTTTGAGACGAAGTCTCACTCTGTTGCTCAGGCTGAAGTGCAGTGGCATGATCTCTGCTCACTGCAGCCTCCCCCTCCCAGGTTCAAGCAATTCTCCTGTGTCAGCCTCCTGAGTAGCTGGTACTACAGGTGCATGCCACCACACCCGGCTAATTTTTGTATTTTTAGTAGACATGGGGTTTCACTGTGTTGGCCAGGCTGGTCCTGAACTCCTGACCTCAGTTGATCAGCCTGCCTCTGCCTCCCAAAGTGTTGGGATTATAGGTGTGAGCCACCATGCCCGGCTAAAGTCATCGTTTTTTAACAGACCTGATGTTAGGAGTCTCAGAGAACAGTTAGGAAAAATCATAGTCTGGAAGTAGCACATAGGAACAAAAAACTGACCCTACTTTCTGACAGTAAAGTGCAGAGGGAATGTGAGGATATCTTCAGAGGGCTGGAAGGGAAGCGGTTTCCTTAAAAACAACCCAGACAGGCAAGAAATTGGAAAGATGAAGAGGCTGTGGTTTAATAGGGGTCATTCGAATGTTGGGTTACTAAAACCAACAAAGGTTTATCAAGCAGCAGAAGATATTCTCCCACATGATTTTTATTCAAACACTCTCTCCTATTTCCTCTACCTGTATGTACAGCTCCTTAAGTTTACCCCTAAATCCAGAGTATGAAAATGTAAATAGAGGTTAACTATGCAACTTTGCAATTTAAAAAACAGCTAAATAAAAACTGCTGTACACAAAAGCATTTCTGATAACATTAAATAAGTAATATAATGTTCTTATTCAATAAGTAAATTCTTACTTACCATGAAGGCATAGCCACGTTCATATTTAATGTAACAGGCCTAACAGGCCTACATGGAAAAGAAAAAACAACAAAATCAGAATAACAAAGCATAAAAACTGATAAATTCCATTAATCAAAAACAGATAATTGCTTGAGACCTACACAAAACTATATGCTACAGTTTTAACATATGAACTGTTTTATTTCATCCACACCTGTACAACTCTGCTTTCCACGCCCCTCCAAATGTGTTCTGAAGACAGAGCAACAGCAACAAAGGACGAAGCTTGACAGATACATTTTCCCTTCTCAACACCCTTACTTACTACTTTTGACTTCTCAGACACGAGAAGAGAAACCAGAAACCAAGACAGTTGGAAATGTATAAAACACGAGATTCCGGTATAGGGCTAAGGACAATGAGTGATTTATTACACTGATACTGTAGCATCAATTCTCATATGCTCAGATTACACTTTTCCTAATTTTCTAGTTCTTAGCTATGTACTTGCTTAAGAGACCTCTAAATAAATAAGGGAAATCCAAAATTTGCCTAAGTGTCCATTATAGCCAATTCAAGTCTGTGATTAAAAATATGCTAGATAATCTGAATTCAGCTCCATCCAAAGGAAAGAAAAATAAGCACACTCTAACTACATCTCACCACTTTCCTCCTGATTCATGAAGTAAGTCCACCTTAGAGGTTACAAACTGTATCAAAATTTCTTTGAAAATACAAACTTCCTAGGTTGGGCAACAGCCTTTTAAAGCAGTTCAACTTGGGGCAAATATCAATATCCATTCCAACGTAATTAAGAATTCTGGGCCGGGCGGGGTGGGTCACGCCTGTAATCCCAGCACTTTGGGAGGCCGAGGCGGGCGGATCACCTGAGATCAGGAGTTTGAGACCAGCCCGGCCAACATGGTGAAACCATGTCTCTATTAAAAATACAAAAAATTAGCCCAGGCATGGTGGCAGGCGCCTGTAATTCCAGCTACTTGGGAGGCTGAGGCAGGAGAAACGCATGAACCCGGGAGGCAGAGGTTGCAGTAAACCAGGATTATGCCACTGCACTCCATCTTGGGCAACAGAGAGAGACTCCATCTCAAAAAAAAAGAAAAAGAATAAAAAGAATTCTGTCTCTTGCTTGAGCAGAATGATAGAGGACATAGCAACCCTAGCCACAGTATTCACTGTAGCCTAGAGGTAAGACAGACTGTATTTCAGGATAAAAAGAGGAAGAAATGTTTTCTTATCCAATCTTCTCAGCTGTTATTCTTCTTCCCATTCCCTCTTTCATGTTTATGTATCTGTCCCAACTCTACTGCTACTACCACTTCTGGGGATGAATTACTAACTGACATGAGTATGTCCAATCCCTTCTTGTCTTCTCCATGGTTATTGCTTCTCAGCAACTTTTTGACCTAAATCAAGGGTGTCCAATCATTTGGTTTCCCTGGGCTACATTGGAAGAAGAATTGTCTTGGGCCACACATAAAAATACATTAACACTAACAATAGCTGATGAGGTAAAAAATAAAATAATATTTAAAAATCGCAAAAAAAAAAATCTCATAATGTTTTAAGAAAGTTTACTAATTTGCATTGGGCTGCATTCAAACTGACCTGGGCCACAGGTTGGACAAGCTTGACCTAATGTGCCAATCTTATTGATCTTCTAAGTTTGCTCAAAACTTTCAGAGCCAGAATTCAAAACAATACCTATCATATTCCAAAGTCTGTGCTCTTTCCACAGTACATCAACATTGCCCCAAACGATAAAATTAAAGAGTGTTTTCAACGTAATAAAGAGTTCTCACAAATCTAACAGGTAAATCCCCTTCAGAGATACCCTAGGGATATCCTAGAACTTTATAGATATTTGTATATCTAAGATAATTTTTCTGGGAGGCCAAGGCAGGTCGATCACTTGAGGTCAGGCATTTGAGAATAGCCTGGCCAACATGGTGAAACCCTGCCTCTACTAAACATACAAAAATTAGCTGGGCGTGGTGGCACGTACCTGTAATCCCAGCTACTCTGGAGGCTGAGGCAGGAGAATCGCTTGAACCCAGGAGGTGGAGGTTGCAGTGAGCCGAGATCACGCCACTGCACTCCAGCCTGGGTGGCAGAGTGAGACTCTGTCTCAAAAATAAATAAATAAATAAATAAATAAATAAAATAATTTTTCTGGTCTTAAGTTCAGCTGACCTCCAAGACAGCAATATTTTAAATTGCTTAACGAAAGAGAAAAAGAAAAAAATCAATTTACCTAAGAAACCATTTTAGTTTTAAGGAATTCTACTAATCTTTATTTTTAAACAATATTTAAAAAGTAAAAATTAACTGTATTCAAATACTTTTCTGGAAGGGTAAAGCAATCACAATTGCTCCTCTCCAGACTCTGAATCACAAGCCTGAAGATCAGAAATACTCACGCATGCGGGCAGATATATTTGATATGTGAACTTCTGATACCTGCAAAGGCTTCTGCCCATCCGTGCCTGGTGGAAAAATCATTGAATAATGCTATTAGACACTGTTTTAAATCCCAGTAAGTAAGTAGCAGAAGAGTAGCTTTAAAAAATTGTGAAGATAAATGTTAAATCCTAAAAATATGGTTTTTTTTTGTTTGTTTGTTTTTTGAGATGGCGTCTCGCTCTGTCGCCCAGGCTGGAGTACAGTGGCGCGATCTCGGCTCACTGCAAGCTACCTCTCCCGAGTTCACGCCATTCTCCTGCCTCAGCCTCCCAAGTAGCCGGGACTACAGGTGCCCGCCACCACGCCCGGCTAATTTTTTCTAATTTTTAGTAGAGACGGGGTTTCACCATGTTAGCCAGGATGGTCTTGATCTCCTGACCTCGTGATCCGCTCGCCTCGGCCTCCCAAAGTGCTGGGAATACAGGCGTGAGCCATCACACCCGGCCTAAAAATATCTTTAAAATGTGGGCCCTCAATACTATTAAAACAACACCATGAATCTAAAAAGAACCCAGCAGCTGTTAAGTTTTACCTAGGGATAAGGATGATTTCTCAGATTTCTGAACAGCAGTGTGTGCCCCTTCAGATATTTCCACAGGGCTTCACAACTTCCAAACTATAGATATATTTTTAAAATGTCTTTATACAATGTGTTTATAAAGTAGGCAAGAGAAATAATTAACATTTTACACAAAGAAAAAAAGCCTTGGCCGGGTGCAGTGGCTCACGCCTGTAATCCTAGCACTTTGGGAGGGTGAGGCAGGAAGATCACCTGAGGTCAGGAGTTCAAGACAAGCCTGCCCAACATAGTGAAACCCCATCTCTACTAAAAATACAAAAATTAGCCAGGCATGGTGGTGTGCACCTGTAGTCCCAGCTACTCAGGAGGCTGAGGCAGGAGAATTGCTTGAACCCAGGAGGTGGAGGCTGCAGTGAGCCGAGATCACGCCACTGCACTCCAGCCTGGGCAACAGAGCGAGACTCCATCTCAAAAAAAAAGAAAAGAAAAAAAAGAAAAAGAAAAAAGCCTCAGATAAATAAACTAAATCAGTTGTCTAACATCTCTACATGCTTACTACACTATTTAAAAACAGTAACTTTCACCTGGGCACAGTGGCTCATGCTTACAAGCACTTTGGGAGACTGAAGCATGCGGATCACTTGAGTCCAGAGTTCGAGACCAGCCTGGCCAACATGGTGAAACCCTGTCTCTACTAAAAATACAAAAACTAGCTGGGCGTTTTTGTGCATTGCCTGTAATCCCAGCTACTCAGGAGGCTGAGGCAGGAGAATCGCTTGAACCAGGAGGCAGAGGTTGCAGTGAGCCAAGACTAGACCACTGCACCCCAGCCTGGGCAACAGAGTGAGACTCCATCTCAAAATAAATAAATAAGTGAGTAAATAAAATAAAAACAGCAACTTTCGCTGAGCATGGTGGCTCATGTCTATAATCCCAGCACTTTGAGAGGCTGAGGTAGGAGGACAGCTTGAGACCAGGAGTTTAAGACCAGCCTAAACAATATAGTAAGACCCACTCTACAGAAAACTTAAGAAAAAAAAATTTTTTAATCCAGCAACTTTAATATTTCTTCATGCGTACATGTTCACATACATACACGTTCAAAGCAGAACATGGAATAATTGAAAAATTATAAATAATCAAATCCTTCTAGCCAGGAATAAACAGTTAATTTTCTGATGCATTTCCTTCTGATTTTTCCCATGCATGTCAATTAAGGAATAGATGCACATTTTACAAAACAGGGATCATGTTATACATATAGTTTCCTGCTTATTTACATTTGGCCATATACTTGATGCTTTTTACATATTATCTCTACTAAAGAATAAAGTACCAGTAATTTCAGCCTTTCTTACATCAAAGAGTCTTGATGAATGTTAATTTTTTTTTTTTTTTTTTTTGAGACAGAGTCTTGCTCTGTTGCCCAGGCTGGAGTGCAGTGGCGCGATCTCGGCTCACTGCAAGCCCCACCTCCCGGGCTCACACCATTCTCCTGCCTCAGCCTCCCGAGTAGGCGCCCGCCACCACACCAGCTAAATTTTTTTTTTGTATTTTTAGTAGAGACGGGGTTTTACTGTGTTAGCCAGGATGGTCTTGATCTCCTGACCTCATGATCCGTCTGCCTCAGCCTCCCAAAGTGCTGGAATTACAGGCGTGAGCCACCATGCCCAGCCCCCTGTTAAATACTTTTCTATTAACTATTTTTCTATTTCAACCCACTTCCCCCAAAGTGTTAAAGACATATAAAAAGATTAGTAACAACAGTATTAACTGCAATACTTACATAACATTAACTATAACCAGGATATTATATAGGAGTTTTGTGTATATGCACATGTGTATATGTGTAAATAGCTATGTTAAAGACTTTTTTCTGAAAACTATAAAACATATTAAGAAATACAAGAAAATCTATATAAATGGAAGGATATCCCACTTTCATGGACTGGGAGATATAATATTTTAAAGACGGCAGTACTCTCAAATTGATCTATGGAGTCAATGCAATCTTTAACAGAATACCACCTGACTTTGCACATATTAGAACCCGATCTAAAATTTGTATGGAAACTCAAGAGACCCAGAATAACAACAACAACAAAAATCTTGAAAAAGAACAAAATTAGAGGACTCACACTTCTTAATCTCAAAAATTCCTACCAAGTAACATTCAGAAAGACTAGTACTAGAGTACAGACAGACATATAAATCAACCGAAAATCCAGAAATAAAACCTCACATTTACTGTCAAACTTATTTCTGAAACAAATCAACAGGGAAGGAATAGTCTTTTTAACAAAAGTAGCTGGGACAAGTGGATATCCACATGTAATACAAAGAAGTTGGACTGCTACCTCATACCATATGTAAACACTGACCAAATACCTAAATGTAAGAGATAAAACTATAAAACTAGAAGAAAACACACATACATCTTTGTGACCTCAGATCTGGCAATTTCTTAGATATAACATCAAAAGCACAACCGACAAGAAAAAAATAGATAAATTAGAAATCATCAAAATTAACTGTTGTGTTTCAAAGGACACTATGAAGAAAATGAAAAGACAACTTACATAGTGGGAAAAATGTTTGCAAATCACATCTAATTAAAGTGTCTAGTATCCATAATAAAAAAAACTTGCAACTCACAAACAAAAAGACAACCCAATTAAAAAATATGCAAAAGACTTGATGAGATGTTTGTCCAAAGAAGATATACAAATGGCCAAAAAGCACAGGAAAAGATGCTGAACATCATTAGTCATTAAGGAAACATAAATCAAAGCCCCAATGATACATCACTTCATACTCACTAGGATGGCTATCAATATAATGATGAAAGGAATAAATTCTGGTGTTCTGTAGCACTGTTGAGTGAATATGGTTAACTACAATTCAGTGTATATTTTCAAAATGCTAGAAGAAAGGGTGTTGAATGTTCACAATGCAAAGAAACGATAAATGTTTGAGGTGATGGATATGCTAATTACCCTGATTTGATTCTTACATGTTGTATACATGTATCAAAATATATCACTCAGTATCCCATAAATATGAACAATTATGTATCAACTAAAAGTAAAAGGAAAAGAAAAAATACTTTAAAAAAAACTTTGGCCAGGCATGGTGGCTCATGCCTGTAATCCCAGCACTTTGGGAGGCCAAGGCGGGCAGATCCCTTGAGTCCAGGAGTTCAAGACCTGCTTGGCCAACATGGTGAAACCCCGTCTCTACTAAATCTATGAAAATTAGCTGGGCGTGGTGCGCACCTGTAGTCCCAGCTACTCAGAAGCTGAGGCTGGAGAATCATTTGAACCTGGGAGGCAGAGATTGCAATGAGCTGAGATTGTGCCACTCCACTCCAGCCTGGGCGACAGAGTGAGACTCTGTCTCGTTTAAAAAAAAAAAAAAGGAATATACTAAATGTCATGAATTGTTCACATTAAAAGGGTTAGTTTTATGTCATGTGAATTTTACCTCGAATTAAACAAAAAAGACATCTCAATAAAAAAATAGGCAAAAGACTTGAATAGACATTTCTCAGACAAATGAATGGTTAATACACCATGAAAAGATGCTCAACATCATTAGTCATTAGAAAATGCAAACCAAAACCACTGTGAGATACCACTTCATACCTACCGGAATGGTTATCGTAAAAATGACAAATAATAGCCAAGTGTTAAAGGGTATGGTGAGAAATCAGAACCCTCATACACTGTTGGTAGAAATGTAAATGGTGCAGCGACTTTAGATAACCTTTAGGTTCTCAAAAGGATAAATATGAAGTTACCATATCCAGCAATTCTATTCCTAGGTCTATACCGAAGAATAGTGAAAAAATATGTCCAGTACAGATGTGGTGGCTCATGCCTGTAAACCCAGCTACTCGGGAGGCTGAGGCAGGAGAATTGCTGGAACCCGGGAGGCGGAAGTTGCGGTGAGCCGAGATCGTGCCACTGCAGTCCAGCCTGGGCAACAAGAGTGAAACTCCATCTCAAAACAAAAACAAAAACACAACAACAAAAAACTTGTACACAAATGTTCTTTTTTAGCAGTATTACGCAACTTCAAGGTGCAAACAACCCAAATGTCCATCAAATGATGGATGAATAAACAAAATGAGGCCAGGCGTGGTGGCTCATACGGTAATCCCAGCACTTTGGGGAGGCCAAGGCTGGCAGATCACCTGAGGTCAGGGGTTCGAGACCAGCCTGGTCAACATGGTGAAACCTGTCTCTACTAAAAATACAAAAATTAGCCAGGCTTGATGGCGCATGCCTGTAGTACCAGCGACTGGGGAGACTGAGGTAGAAGAATCACTCAAACCCGGGAGGAGGAGGTTGCAGTGAGCTGAGATCACACCACTGTACTCCAGCCTGGGCGGCAGAGCGAGACTCCATCTCAAATAAAGAATAAAATAAAATAAAATGAGGCACAGCCATACAACGGAGTATGATTCAACAATGAGAAGGAAGTACTGACATGCTATAGCACGGATGAGCCTTGAAAACAATGTTAAGTGAAAGAAGCCAGTTACAATAGAACACAAATGAAAGAGTATAGGGTTTCTTTTTGAGGCAATGAAAATGTTCTAAAATTGACTGTGGTGATGGTTGCAAAACTTACGGTGAATACATCTAAAACCATCAAATTACACACTTTAAATGAGTGAATTGTGTGGTATATGAATTATATGTCAATAAAACTGGTACCAAAAATAAAGACGAAGAATGCATGACTGGACCCAGTCATGAGGAACCATTAGACAGACTCAAGTTGAAGAGTCACTCTGCAGAATATGCAGAACTGAAGGCTGTGGCTATATGCTTTAAAACTGCAAAGGAAATGAAAGAAGAACTGATAAACAGTTTCAGACTCAAGACATGACAGCTCAAATGAACACATACTCCTGGAAAGGATCTCAGGCCAGAAAGGAAACGGACACAGCTGAGAAAGCTGGCAAAACTTCAATGGAGTCTGTGGACTGGATATAGTGTTTAATCAATGCTCATCTCCTAATTTGGAGTGTTGTATGTTGGTTATGTACAAGTATCCTTGTGCATGGGAAATACACATGAGAGTATTTAGAGGTGATAGGAACATGTTTGCAGGTTTATCTCAAGAGTTAAAAAAAGACTCATCTATATATACGTACATATATATACAGGGTGGGGGCGTGGACAAGCACACACAGGACTGAGTGCACACACAATGGAACACACGCAGTAAAAGATGAACCAAGGAAGCTCCATGACAGCGATATGAGATTTTTTTGTACAAAAAGCACACATTTTATTTTAAAAGTGTGAGTTACAATTGCCACAAAAAGAATAAAATACCTAGGAATACAGCTAACCAGGGAGGTGAAAGATCTCTACAACAAGAATTACAAAACGCTGCTCAAAGAAATCAGAGATGACACAAACAAGTGGAAATGCATTCCATGCTCATGGATAGGAAGAATCAATACTGTTAAATGGCCATACTGCCCAAAGCAATCTACAGATTCAATGCTATTCCTATCAAACTACCAATGACATTCTTCACGGAATTAGGAAAAAATGTTTTAAAATTCACATGGAACCAAAAAAAGAGCCCAAACAGACAAGGCAATCCTAAGCAAAAAGAACAAAGCTGGAGGCATCATGTTACTGGACTTCAAACTATGCTACAGGGGTACAATAACCAAAACAGCATGGTACTGGTACAAAAACAGACACATAGACCAATCAAACAGAATAGACAGCACAGAAGTAAGGTCACACACCTACAACTATTTGATACTCAACAAAGCTGACAAAAACAAGCAATGGGAAAAAGGACTCCCCAGTCAATAAAAAGTGCCAGGATAACTGGGTGACCATATGCAGATGATAGAAACTGGACCCCCACCTAACACCACATACAAAAATCAACTCAAGATGGATTCAAGACTTAAATGTAAAACCCCTAACTATAAAAACTCGAAAGACAACCTAGGAAATACCATTTTAGACATAGGACTTGTCTAAGATTTCATGGTGAAGACGCCAAAAGCAACTGCAACAAAAACAAAAATTGACAAATGAGATCTAATTAAACTAAGGAGCTATTGCACAGCAAAAGAAACTATCAACAGAGTAAACAAACATCCTGCAGATGGAAGAAAATATATGCAAACTGCGCACCCAACAAAGGTCTAATATCCAGAATCTATAAGGAACTTAAATTTACAAGTAAAAAACAAACCACCTAGCTGTTCTGTGGTGTAGCCATTCTTTTATTCCTTTACTTTCTTAATAAACTTGCTTCCACTTTACTGTTAAAAAAAAAAAAATCAAACAACCCCATTGAAAAGTAGACAAAAAACATGAACAGACACTTTTCAAAAGACAGGCTGGGCGTGGTCGTGGCTCATGCCTGTAATCCCAGCACTTTGGGTAGCGGAGGCGGGCGGATCACTTGAGGTCAGGAGTTCGAGACCAACCTAGCCAACATAGTGAAACCCTACCTCTACTAAAAATACAAAAAATTAGCCAGGCGTGGTGGTGCGTGCCTGTAGTCCCAGCTACTCAGGAGGCTGAGGCAGGAGAATTGCTTGAACACTCCAGCTTGGCGACAGAGCAAGACTGAATCAAAAAAAAAAAAAAAAAAGACATACATGTGGCCAACAAGCATATGAAAACATGCTCAAGATCATTAATGATTAGAGAAATGCAAATCAAAACCACAACAAAATACCATCTCACAGCAGGCAGAATGGCTATCATCAAAAAGTCAAAAAAGGTCGTTAAGGGTTGGGCCATCAGGAACTTGCGCGTCCATCTCAGGGAGACCTGGCCTTCAGAGATGACAGCATTCAGCCCCAGGAGGAGCCTGCAATTCATCCTCGGTCTTCCCAACTTGTGCCGCCCAGGGAGATACAGGACAGTAAGGAACTAAACAGAACCTGCTGTCTGAATGGGGGAACCTGCATGCTGGGGTCCTTCTGTGCCTGCCCCCTCTCCTTCTATGGACGGAACTGTGAGCATGATGTGTGCAAAGAGAACTGTGGGTCTGTGCCCCATGACACCTGGCTGCCCAAGAAGTGTTCCATTTGTAAATGCTGGCACGGCCAGCTCCGCTGCTTTCCTCAGCCATTTATCTACCTGGCTGTGATGGCCTTGTGATGTATGGCATCTCATAGCTTCCAGGACTCCAGAACTACCAGCATCTACACTGCCACTTCTATGCCAGCTGGCATCTGCTTTTCTATACAAAGTTACTATTAATCGACACTGACCTATTTACAGAAGTATAATTTTAGATATCATGCAAATTTCATGACCAGTAAAGGCTGCTGCTACAATGTCCTAACAGAAAGATGACCATTTGTTAGTTGCCTTAAAATAATGAATACATTTCCAAAATAGTCTCTAACATTTCCTTATAGTACCAACTACTTCCTACCTCTTTGCCCTGCCCTCCCCCAAAAAACTACTTCTTTTTTCAAAAGTCAGCCATATCTCCATTGTGCCCAAGTCCAGTGTTTCTTGATACATGTAATTCTACCAAAGTCTTCTTAATATGTTCTTTTAAACAATTGAATTATATCTTCAGATTATTAGAGACTAATCCTAATGTGGACCTTAGGATAGTTTTGAGTAGAGGTGATCAAAATCAATTAAAATAGTCTCTTTAAAAGGAAAGAAAGCAGCCAGGTGTGGTGACTCATGCTTGTAATCCCAGCACTTTGGGGAGGCCGAGGTGGGCGGATCACGAGGTCAGGAGATTGAGACCATCCTGGCTAACATGGTGAAACCCCATCTCTACTAAAAATACAAAAATTAGCTGGGTGTGGTGGCGGGAGCCTGTAGTCCCAGCTACTTGGGAGACTGAGATAGGAGAATGGCGGGAACCCGGGAGGCAGAGCTTGCAGTGAGCCGAGATCGTGCCACTGCACTCCAGCCTGGGCGACAGAGCCTTTAATAGTCATAGATTAAAAAGACTGTTTCTTTACCATCCCCTTAGCTGAGCAAGACTGTGAACGGTTTACATTTACAATTCCTGCAGTAAACAACCTGCAGCCTGCTAAGCATTCTTCATACGTGGTTCATTCCACACAGTTAATTGAAAATGCTCAGTTACAATTTCATGCAGATGAACAACTGATGACTTTATTTACTCAACTGCAAACAGCAGTTAATAGAATGCATCCTTTTTACATCACCCACATTAGGGCTCATACACCTTTTCCAGGACCTTTGAAAGGAATCAAATGGCTGATCGCCTAGTTGCTAATGCAATTATTTAATGCTAGACACTTTCATGATTTAACCCATGTTAATGCCTCTGGTCTCAAACGCAGATACAGCATTACCTGGAAAGAAGCTAAAGCTATTATCCAGCGATGCCCAACTTACCAAATGGTACAGTCCTCATCTTTTACAGGAGGAGTTAATCATCGGGGATTGGAACCTAACTCTCTTTGGCAAATGGATGTCACACATATTCCCTCATTTGGGAGACTAGCTTATGTACATGTATGTGTGGACACCTTTTCTCACTTTGTCTGGGCTACATGCCAATCAGGAGAGTCTTCTGCCTGTGTTAAACATCATCTTGTGCAGTGTTTTGCGGTGATGGGCATTCCAACTTCTATTAAAACAATTAGGTAATGCCCCAGGCTATACTAGCCAAGCTCTAGCTACATTTTTCTCTATGTGGAATATCAAACACATTACTGGTATCCCATACAATTCTCAAGGACAAGCCATAGTGGAAAGAATGAATCTCTCCCTAAAACAGCAGTTGCAAAAGCAGAAAGGAGACAGAGAATATGGAACCCCACAGATGCAACTGAACCTAGCATTATTAACTTTAAATTTTTTGAGCCTGCCCAAAGGCCAGATGTTATCAGCAGCTGAACAGCATCTACAGAAACCAGCTGCAAAGACAGAAGCAGAACAACTGATTTGGTGGAGAGATCCGATTACAAAAAGTTAGTAAATAGGTAAAATAATAATTTGGGGTAGAGGTTATGCTTGTGTTTCTCCAGGCAAAAATCAACAGCCGATTTGGATACCATCAAGACACCTGAAACCTTATCAGATGAGCCAGATGCCGAGTAAGAGACCCGGGAGCATCCCGAGGGCCCCCTGATTGCAGCCATGTCGAGACGGACGCTGAGGAGGATCCCAACTGTCATGAGCAACACCCGAACAGAGCCACCCACCTGGGGACAGATCAAGAAGCTGTCACAGACGGCAGAAGAAAACCTGAGGAAAGCGGGACAACCAGTCACAATGAATAATTTAAAGGTAGCTATGATAGTGGTTATCACCACTGCCTTGAGTATTCCTTCAATAAGGGCTGACACAGAGAACAATTATACTTATTAGGCATATTCATCAATCTTGGCTGGCAATAATGCCTAGATGTAATCACTCTGACACAGTTACATATGCTTTCTGATCTCAGTATTTACCATAATAAATCTGCTCCTATTATTGAGGCATACTACCCTCAAAAACCTATTTCTAAGAAGGACTGGACCTGGCCAGAAATAATGAACATATTTGTTTAGGAAGATTGCACTGCAGAACAGGCAGAGGTGCGGCACAATGATTCCTATGGAATCATTATTGATTGGTCCCCTAAGGGGATGTTTAGCTTGAACTGCACCTCTCAGTCTGTGTGCCACGGTCACACTATGTTCAGGTGATCTGAACAAAACGGTCAGATGGTAGAAATGATAAGAAGTATGGCAAGAGCTCCTATTATCTGGAACCACAGCAGTATAGTGGCACCTCAACCTCAAATGATATGGCCTGCTCTAGGAGCTTAACATAAGGATTTGTGGAAACTATTAAATGCTCTTAATAAGATCAAAATTTGGGAAAGAATAAAAAAGCATCTAGAAGGACACCCTACAAACTTGTCTTTGGATATTGCAAAATTAAAAGAACAAATATTTAAAGCATCCCAGGCACACCTGACCTTAATGCCAGGAACTGGAGTGCTTAAAGGAGCTGCAGACAAATTAGCAGCTAGTAACCCATTAAAATGGATAAAAACACTTGGAAGCTCTGTGATTTCAATGATGATTGTGCTTTTAATCTATGTTATTTGTCTTTGTATAGTCTGCAGATGCGGATCCTGACTCCTGCGAGAAGTAGCTCACCATGACAAAGCTGCCTTTGCTTTTATATCTCTTTGCAAATCAAAGAAGGGAGACATGTTGGGAGCAAGCCCCCCCGAAATCTGGCTATAAACTGGCCCCAAAACTGGCTATAAACAAAATCTCTGCAGCACTATAACATGTTCATAATGGCCCTAATGCTCACGCTGGAAGGTTGTGGGTTTACCGGAATGAGGGCAAGGAACACCTGGCCCCGCTTAAAGGCATTCTTAAGCCACAAACAACAGCATGAGCGATCTGTGCCTTAAAGACATGCTCCTGCTGCAGTTAACTAGCCCAACCAATTCCTTTAATTTGGCCCATCCCTTCATTTCCCATAAGGGACACTTTTAATTAATTTAATACCTATAGAAACAATGCTAATGACTGGCTTGCTGTTAATAAACATGTGGGCAAATCTCTGTTCGGGGCTCTCAGCTCTGAAGGCTGTGAGACCCCTGATTTCCCACTTCACACCTCTATATTTCTGTGTGTGTGTCTTTAATTCCTCTAGCACCGCTGGGTTAGGGTCTCCCTGACAGAGCTGGTCTCGGCAGTTCTCCCATAAAGACACATGCATACTTACTTTCATTGCACTGCTATTCACAACAGCAAAGACATTAAATCACCCTAGATACCCATCAGCGGCAAACGGGATAAAGAAAATATCGTACATATACACCATGAATTGTTATGCAGCCATTAAAAAAAGAATGAGACCATGTACTTTGCAGCAACATGGATGGAACTGGAGGCCATTATCCTAAGCAAACCATCACAGGAACCGAAAACCAAATACCACATGTTCTCACTTGTAAGTAGGAGCTAAATAACAAGAACACATGGATACTAGGAGAGGAACAACAGACACTGGGGCCTACTTGATGGTGGAGGGTGGAAGGAGGGAAAGGATCAGAAAAAAGACCTATCAGGTACTACGCTTATTACCTGGGTGACAAAATTATCTGTACATCAAACCCTCAGAACATGCAGTTTACCTTGCAGATGTACTCCTGAATCTAAATAACAAGTTACAAAGTAAAAAATAAAAAAGTAGTCTGGGCACGGTGGCTCACGCCTGTAATCCCAGCACTTTGGGAGGCTGAGGCAGACGGATCACTTGAGGTCAGGAGATACAGACCAGCCTGGCCAACATGGCGAAACCCCGTCTCTACTAAAAATAAATAAATAAATAAATAAAAAGTTTATTCTTCTGAAAATAAAAGGAATAGATTTATGAGATAGTAAAGTGTATGTTCCAACTTTTAAAAAGAGCTGGACACAGAAGATATACATATAATACCATTTATCTGACGGTCTAGAACGGGCAAAAGTATGGTATAGCAATAGAAGTCAGAATAATGGTCGCCTCTGGGATGGGAGGGTACTAACTCCAGGAGAATGAAAAATACTCCTGGGGAGCTGGAAATGTTCTCTATCTTCATCATGTTGATGGTTTCATGGGTGTAAGTAAAAATTTATCCAGCTAAACATTTATTTTTTATTCTTTTGAGACAGAGTCTTACTCTGTCACCCAGGCTGGAGTGCAGTGACACAATCTCAGCTCACTGCAACCTTTACCTTCTAGGTTCAAGCAATTCTCGTGCCTTAGCCTCCTGAGTAGCTGGGATTTCAGGCGTGCACCACCACGCCCTGCTAATTTTTTGTATTTTTAGTAGAGACGGGGTTTTGCTGTGTTGGCCAGGCTGGTCTCCAACTCCTGACCTCAAGTGATCTGCCCTCCTCAGCCTCCCAAAGTGCCAGGATTACAAGCGTGAGCCACCGCACCCAGCCTGGCTGAACATTTAAGATCTGAATACTTGACTATATCATAATCCAATACAATTTTCAAAATAATTTTCAAAAATAGCAAATCCAACTCAAAAAAGTTCTTACACCAAACCAATCTGAGTTTAGAACTGCATAATAGTTGCAAAGCAAAGCAACTGATAAATTCTCTACCCACCAGACTCAACTACTAAAGTATACATGGTCCCCAATTTACAACGGTTAGACTCAAGATTTTCCAACTTTACAATGGCACAAAAGCAAAACACATCCGTACGCTGCTCAACTTTTCAGCTCTGCCAGATGTAACCCCATTGTAAGTCAAGGCGCATCTATATTCAGCTAAAGGTCACCAGATTTGGCTGAGTGTGGCCTTTTCTGGGCTACCTGCTGCTTACTGCTGATCTAGACTTGTGACTTTGGGATAAGCAGGAAGAGAGAGATGAAGTTGAGGGAAATGAGCTGTTTGCCCTGAGGTAAGTCTGAAAACATTTGGGAAATCATTTTGAGACAAGATTATAGATTCTGTAGATAGAAACACCTTCTACCATCTGCTAAGACAAATGTAAGTTATGAGCTATATCAATTGATTCAAGTACATATTACAGGTCTATGCAAGTCTATGTTCAACAACCCCCCCCCTTTTTTTTTGCTTTTTATGTTTAACACTTTATTACAAGCTATTCACTTGAATTTGATACACTATTTCAATGTACGTATTTTCAGTGTTAACAGCCACTAAGTTTTCTTCTTTTTTTGTGAGACAGTTTTGCTCTGTCGTCCAGGCTGGAGTGCAGGGATGGCTCACTGCAACCTCCGACTCCTGAGTCCAAGCAATTCTCGTGCCTTAGCCTCCTGAGTAGTTGGGATACAGGTGCCCACCACCAAGGCTGGCTAATTTTTCTTGTATTTTCAACAGAGATGGGGATTCACCATGTTGGCGAGGCTGGTCTTGAACTCCTGACCTCAAGTGATCCACCTACATCAGCCTCCAAAAGTGCTGGGATTACAGACCTAAGCCATCACGCCCGTCCAGTTTTCTGTCTGATAATTTCAGTAGAATTAGGAATAAACTTAACGTGCATAGTTAGCTTTGCAAATAGATTTTAATGTGTATAATAAGCAATATTTTGCAGCAATAATAAATACCTGGCATATGGGCTACCATTCCTAGATCGTGGGCCCAGAGTAGACATTACCAAGCAATTAAGGCACTCTTTGTCACAGAGCCTTGACCAGCAAAGGTATCCAAGCAGCATATAAGATAAAAAACTAGACTGGGTGCAGTGGCTCAAGCCTTTGACCCCAGCAGTTTGGGAGGCTGAGTTGGGCGGATCATTTGAGTCCAGGAGATTGAGACCAGCCTGGGCAATGTGGCGAATCCCCCATATCTACTGAGAATACAAAATTAGCTGGGAGCGCTCCTGCAGTCTCAGTTACTCAGGAGACTGAGGTGGGAGGATCAATTGAGCCTGGGAGGCGGAGGGTGCGGTAAACGGAGATCACACCACTGCACTCCAGCCTGGGCAACAGACTGAGACCTCGTTTCCCCCTGAAATAAATAAATAAATAAATAAATAAAATTTAAACCTGTCTGTTATCTCTGCAAAAGATAACAGTATAACCACATTATAAAATGTTTTCCATGGTTATTGCCAATGCTGATTTTCTGTAAGCTTTTTCTATTTCTATTTCAATTTCTAAGTATATCGTTACTATATTTTCTATTTCAGGATTTGTGCTGATGACCTCAGGGATAACTAAATAAGTTTTAAACATTACAGTATTATTTCAGCTAATTATAGTTTTGGGACTACACAGCCACTTAAAAAAAATCACACTTATAAAATAATCTTCAGGCTGGGCGTGGTGGCTCACACCTGTAATCCCACCACTTTGGGAGGCTGAGGTGGGTGGATCACTTGACCTTAGGAGTTCAAGACCAGCCTGGGCAACAATGGCAAAACCCTGTCTCTACAAAAAGTAGCCAAGTGTGGTGGCACGTACCTGTAGTCCAAGCTACTCGGGAGACTGAGGTGGGAGTTGTACTGAGCCACGAGCGTACTATGCCACTGCACTCCAGCCTGGGCAACAAAGCAAGACTCTGTCTCAAAAAATAGTAATAACAATCTTCCACCTATTTATTAGAGTCCAAAATAAAATAAAGCTTCAATTATGTTCCTCAAAACATTACTACATATAATAAAAGCTTGACCTATATCATGGCTGGCCAAGGCAGATGACAGCCGTATTCCTTTATGTTTACACTTACGAAGTATATTGAGAAATATGTAAATTGATGGTGACTATAGAAACAGAATAAAAAATGTAAATATATTTATTTATTTATTACGTTTCTTGAGATGGAGCCTCTCTCTGTTGCCCAGGCTGGAGTGCAGTGGGGTGATCTCGGTTCACTGCAACCTCCGCCTCCTGAGTAAAAGTGATTCTCCTGCCTCAGCCTCTCGAGTAGCTGGGACTACAGGCCTGTGCCACCATACCCAACTAATTTTTTTATTTTTAGTAGAGACAAGGTTTCACCATGTTGGCCAGACTGGTCTCAAACTCCTGACCTCAAGTGATCCGCCTGCCTTGGCCTCCCAAAGTGTTGGGATTACAGGCGTAAGCCACTGTGCCTGGCCAAAAATTTAAATTTAACATGAATTTTAGAATTGTTATTAATACAATAAAACATTGGCTATTTTCTCCATACCAAAGAACTCTATACCACTGGCTTTTTGAGTACTTACAATCTTTTGTATGTATTAGACATTTGCCAAAGAATAAAAATGCTGGAGTTCACACAGAAAAGTACAACAGCTTTAAGGTATGGACTTTATAGTTCAAAGGCCTTTTGCTGTACTCACTAGTTTCTACCCCTGTCTGGAGTAACAGGCTGTTGAAGAGTTGCCTCTCAATTATTCACCCCAAATATACAGACAATGCAACAATATTTCACAGTAAATTTTGACTATTTGTGGCTCTGCCCCTATTTGTGCTCAAAATTGTAATTCAATAATTATTAATATTATTTATTTATATTTTGTGCTACTTCTCTTAACTGTGTTTATGTCTTAACCACATAGACCCTTGTTTTCCCTACTATATACACAGTTTTTGGCCAGCAGCTCTCGTCCAATGAAAGAGCTCAAGAAAATGTCTTTTTTAAATAACAGAAGACATGTTGAAGAAAAAAAAAACAACTGGAAGATTATTTTATTCTGAAACACAGTCTTGCTCGGTCACCCAGGATGGAGTGCAGCCTGTAATCTCTTCACTGCAACCTTCGCATCCCGGGTTTAAGCGATTCTCCTACCTCAGCCTCCCGAGTAGCTGGGATTACAAGCGCGCCACCATGACAGGGTTTCACCATGCTGGTCAGGCTGGTCTCAAACTCCTGACCTCGTGATCTGCCCACCTTGGCCTCCCAAAGTGCTGGGATTACAGGCGTGCACCACTGCGCCCAGCCTTTCTTTTCGTTTTTTTTTTTTTTGAGACAGAGTTCTGCTCTTCTGCTCTTGTTGCCCAGGCTGGAGTGCAATGGTGCGATCTTGGCTCACTGCAATCTCCGCCTCCCAGGTTCAAGTGATTCTCCTGCCTCAGCCTCCCAAGTAGCTGCGATTACAGGCATGTGCCACCACACCTGGCTAATTTTTGTATTTTTAGTAGAGATGGGGTTTCGCCATGTTGGCCAGGCTGGTCCTGAACTCCTGACCTCAGGTGATCCGCCCGCCTCCACCTCCCAAAGTGCTGAGATTACAGGCATGAGCCACCGCATCTGAGGAGAGAAATTTAAAAAACAAACATTCTACATGCATGAAAGATAAAGATTGAGATACAGACTGTATCCTCAACGAAACTGCAGTCCCGTAGGAGAAACAAGATATAAACATACCACCACACAGATCAAAAGTTAAGCCCTACAAACAAGTTACAAAGAATGTCAAAATGTGGAAGAGAAGGAAAAGATTAGTTTCAGCTATGAAAATCAAAAAGAATTTATACAGCAGGAGCAGTAAGACAGAGGACAGGTTTTCCCCACAACGCACACGCACATACATACGCACCATAGTATGTTTTATTCCTTATTACAATTAGGGGAGAAAAGACAAAAGTAGAAAATGAAAAGCATTTGGACTGGTGCGATCAAGAACTAATCCTTTTTTTAAAAAAAGAAACAATCATTAACAGCTTAGCTCCTATTTGTTATGAGACTATATTGTATCTACAGTTTTAGAATGTACTTTTTTTTTGGTAGAGACAGGATCTCACTATGTTGCCCAGGCTGGTATCAAACTCCTGGCCTCAAGTGATCCTCCTGCCTTGGCTTTCCAAAGTGTTTGAATTAAAGGTGTGAGCCATTGCACCTGCCCAGGATACACTTTTTCCACTTAAATTGCTGGAATTCTAACTTATCAAATATTCTTCTTTGTAAACATTTTGGCATTTCAATTTTTTTCACACAGATTTCTCATGGTACAGTCTTTCTTTCTTTTTCTGAGACGGAGTCTCGCTCTCTTGCCCAGGCTAGAGTGCAGTGGCGCGATCTCGGCTCACTGCAAGCCCCGCCTCCCAGGTTCACGCCATTCTCCCGCCTCAGCCTCCCAAGTAGCTGGGACTACAGGTACCCGCCACTACGCCTGGCTAATTTTTTGTATTTTTAGTAGAGACGGGGTTTCCCCATGTTAGCCAGGATGGTCTCGATCTCCTGACCTCGTGATCCGCCCGCCTCGGCTTCCCAAAGTGCTGGGATCACAGACATGAGCCACCGCACCCGGTCTCATTGTACAGTCTTATAAAATGAATGTTCGCAGACATCATTTTTTCCTTAGAAAAAATTCTTTAAAACATTAATGTCACAAAAATCTTTTAAAAAATTAGGCCTTTGCACATATACTGTTAAATTAGTCTAGAAGAATACTTAAAAATCAGAGACAGAAATTGAAGACACCTCAGATAAAGTAGGTTAAGACCACATGGTGAAGAAATGACTGCTGTGCTCTATATTTGAATGTTAACAGGTAGCCCATAAGAACCCACAGAAAAATCAAATGATGAATATTATCATCTTAGGAATATTACTCTAAGCAAATACAGCTCTAACTCTCATGCAAGCTAAAAATAACAATGAAAAGCTCAATTTTTCATAGTATGAATATACAAACAGTTCCCAACTTATAATGGCTAAATTTATGATTTTTTGATTTTATGATGAATTTATCATGATGTAAAACATCTGTATATCAAGAAATATTAAACAACAGGGGTCAATAATTGTTTTCTGCAAAGGACCAAAAGAGTCAACATTTTAGGCTTTACCAGCCAGAAGGTCTCTGTTGCAACTACTCAACTCAGCCACTCTAGGATGAAAATTAACTATAGACAACATGTAAACAAAAGGATGTGGTTCTGTTCCAACAAAACCTTATTTATGTACAATAAAATCTGAGTTTCATATACTTTTCATGTGTCACTAAGTCTTAAGTTTTTTCCTAACCATTTAGAAAAAGTAAAAACACGCAGCAGCGAAAATGCATAGGATGCAGCAAAGGCAATGCTCAAATGGAAATGTATAGCTGTAGACATCTGTGTTTAAAAATAAAGATCTCAGGCCGGGCACGGTGGCTCACGCCTGTAATCCCAGCACTTTGGGATGCTGAGGTGGGCAGATCACCTGAGGTCAGGAGTTCAAGACTAGCCTGGCCAATGTGGTGAAACCCTGTTTCTACTAAAAATACAAAAACTAGCCCGGTGTGGCAGTGAATGCCTGTAATCCCAGCTACTTGGGAGGCTGAGGCAGAGGAATCACTTGAACCTCGGAAGCAGAGGTTGCAGTGAGTTGAGATCACGCCACTGCACTCCAGCCTGGGAGACCAAAGAAAAAAAAAATAAATAAATATATATATATATATATATATAAAATAAAGACCTCAAATTAACAACCTAATCTTTTACCTGAAAAAAAACCAAAACCAAAAAACTTTATCCACAGTAAACAGAAAGAAGAAAATAATAAAAACTAGAGTGGAAATAAATGCAACAGAGGCCGGCGCGGTGGCTCACGCCTGTATTCCCAGCACTTTGGGAAGCTGAGGCGGGTGGATCGCTTGATGTCAGGAGTTAGAGACCAGCCTGGCTAACATGGTGAAACCCCATCTCTACCCAAAATACAAAAACTAGCTGGGTGTGGTGGCACGTGCCTGTAGTCCCAGCTACTCAGGAGGCTGAGACAAGAGAATTGCTTGAACCTGGGAGGCGGAGGTAGCAGTGAGTTGAGATTGAGCCACTGCACTCCAGCCTGGGAGAAAGAACGAGAGTCCATCTCAAAAAAAAAGAGAGAGACTATCAACTAAAGCAAAAGTTGGTTCTTTGAAAAGATCAACAAAAATGGCAAACCTTTAGCTAGATCAACCAAAGAAAAAAAACAGAGAAGACTCAAATTATTACAATCAGGAAACAAAGAACAGACTACTACTAACTTGACACATAGAAAAGATTATAAGAGAACAGTATGAACAATTACATGGTAATAAATTAGATAACCTAGACTAAATAGACAAATTCCTAGAATGACACAAACTACCAAAAACGGATTCAAGAAACAAAATCTATACAGGCCTGTAACAAGGAATTGAATCAGTAATCCAAAGTCTCACAGAGAAAAGCCCAGTACCACATGGCTTCAAGGTGAAGTCTACCAATCCAATGTTTAAAGAATCCTCCTCTCCCTCTCCCTCTCCCTCCTCTCCCTCCTCTTCCTCTCCCTCTCCCTCTCCCTCTTTGCACAGTCTCCCTCTGATGCCGAGACGAGGCTGGACTGTACTGCCGCCATCTCGGCTCACTGCAACCTCCCTGCCTGATTCTCCTGCCTCAGCCTGCCGAAGGCGCGCACTGCCACGCCTGACTGGTTTTTGTATTTTTTGGTTGAGACAGGGTTTCGCCGTGTTGGCCGGGCTGGTCTCCAGCTCCTGACCGCGAGTGATCTGCCAGCCTCGGCATCCCGAGGTGCCGGGATTGCAGACGGAGTCTCGCTCACTCAGTGCTCAATGTTGCCCAGGCTGGAGTGCAGTGGCGTGATCTCGGCTCACTATAACCTCCACCTCCCAGCTGCCTGCCTTGGCCTCCCAAAGTGCCGAGATTGCAGCCTCTGCACGGCCGCCACCCCATCTAGGAAGTGAGAAGTGTCTCTGCCCCGCCGCCCATCGTCTGGGATGTGAGGAGCCCCTCTGCCCAGTCTGGGAAGTGAGGAGCACCTCTTCCCGGCCGTCATCCCGTCTAGGAAGTGAGGAGCGTCTCTGCCCGGCCGCCCATCGTCTGGGATGTGGGGAGCGCCTCTGCCCTGCCGCCCCGTCTGGGATGTGAGGAGCGCCTCTGCCTGGCCGCGACCCCGTCTGGGAACTGAGGAGTGTCTCTGCCCCGCCGTCACCCCGTCCGGGAGGTGAGGAGCATCTCTGACCAGCCGCCCTGTCTGACAAGTGAGGAGCCCCTCCGCCCGGCCAGCCGCCCCGTCAGTTAGGTGGGGGGGCAGCCCCCACCCCGGCCAGCCGCCCCGTCCGCGAGGTGGGGGGGGGGCAGCCCCCGGCCGGCCAGCCGCCCCGTCCGCGAGGTGGGGGGGGCGCCTCTGCCCAGCCGCCCCGTCTGGGAAGTGAGGAGCCCCTCTGCCCGGCCTCCACCCTGTCTGGGAGGTGTACCCAACAGCTCATTGAGAACGGGCCATGATGACGATGGCGGTTTTGTCGAATAGAAAACGGGGAAATGTGGGGAAAAGAGAGATCAGATTGTTACTGTCTGTGTAGAAAGAAGTAGACATAGGAGACTCCATTTTGTTCTGTATTAAGAAAAATTCTTCCACCTTGGGATGCTGTTAATCTATAACCTTACCCCCAACCCCGTGCTCTCTGAAACATGTGCTGTGTCCACTAAGGGTTAAATGGATTAAGGGCGGTGCAAGATGTGCTTTGTTAAACAGATGCTTGAAGGCAGCATACTCGTTAAGAGTCATCACCACTCCCTAATCTCAAGTACCCAGGGACTGTACACTGAGGAAGGCGGCAGGGCCCTCTGCCTAGGAAAACCAGAGACCTTTGTTCACATGTTTATCTGCTGACCTTCCCTCCACTATTGTCCTATGACCCTGCCAAATCCCCCTCTCCGAGAAACACCCAAGAATGATCAATAAATACTAAAAAAATTAAAAAAAAAAAAAAAAAAAAAAAAAGAATCCTTCTCCTCATCCCCCCCGCCCAAAAAAAGGAACAGTTACTCATTTAGAAGGCCATTATTACTCTGACATCAAAACCAAAGGGTACCAAAAAAAAAAAAAAAAAAAAAAAGACAGCCAGGTGTGATGGCTCACACTCGTAATCCAACACTTTAAGAGCCCAAAGTGGGGGGATTGCTTGAGCCCAGGAGTTCAAGACCAGCCTGTGCAGCATAGTAAGACCCCATCTCCACAAAAAATAAGAAAATTAGCCAGGCATGGTGGTGTGCACCTGTGGTCCCAGATACTTGGGAGTATGGTTTGAGCCTGGAAGGTTGAGGCTGCAGTGAGCTGTGTTCACTCCACTGCACTCTAGCCTGGGTGACAGAGCGAGACCCTGTCTCAAAATGAAAATCACAGACTATCCCATAGGAATATAAATACAAAATCCTAAAAACTACCAAACCAAATCTATCGACATATAATTAGGATTATACACCATGACCAGGAGAGATCTTCCCTAGAATGCAAGGATGGTTCAACATAAAAATTTAATAAATACAATACACCATTTTACCAGAGATTGTAGCCAGGGAAACTGGCAAGATAAATGGCATCCAGATAGGAAAGGAATCAGTAAAATTCCCTCTCATGATCTTGTGAGCTGAGTATCTTATGATCTTATATACAGAAAATCCTATGAAATCTACAAAAACATCCTAAGAGCTATTGAGGTCAGCAAGATCCCAGGATATAAAAAACTTATCAAAAAGGTATATTTCTATACACTAGCAATGAACAATATAAAAATGTAATAAAGTCAACAATTCCATTCGTCATAGTATACAAAGAATAAAATACTTGGAGGAATAATTTAACAAAATAAGTGAAGGACTTGAAAACTGGGCAGGGCATGGCAGGGCATGCCTGTAATCCCAGCTACCCGGGAAGCCGAGGCAGAAGAATCGCTGGAACCCAGGGGAGGCAGAGACTACACTGAGCCGAGATCACGCCACTATATTCCAGCCTGGGCTACAGGGCAATACTCTGTCTGAAACAAACAAACAAACATAAAAATCATCAGGATGAAAAACTGTTGTGCTGCAAAACATACTACCAAAAGGGTGCAAAGACACCCCACGCAATGGGAGACAATATTTACAAATAATGTATCTGATAGGAGTCTAGTGTCCAGACAATATAAACAATTCTTATAAATCAACAACAAAAAGGCAACCCAATTTTTAAAACGGCAAAGGATCTGAACAGATATTTCTCCAAAGAAAATATGCAAATGGCCAATAAGGATGTTTGAAATGCTTGTTCTCCGGTGCCGTAAAGAAACAGCACTTGAACATAAATTTAATTTATTTAGTAAGGCCATTTTTACTTTCTGCAGAAAGGGTACACTTGCCAGTAGCTGTGTCACGAGAGTACACCGAACAAAGGAGACAGAGTCATTTATAATCTGACAAGTCCACCCTACTGCTGTGTCTGGTTTCCATTGGCTGGAACGGGACCTCACATTCTGTTATTTGTCCCGACTGGCTAGCAACTTAGAACTTTTTAAAAGAGGCAAAGGTAGAGGAGAACAAAGGAAGGAGGAAGTTAACTTGTGGAATGCTGAGAAAGATAAAAACACTTTTAAATAAGGAAGAGGAACAGGCTATGACCTAATGCTTGCTTGGACCAGTATAAGCATGCCAGGGCAAATATTTAGGCTAAATTGAGGGAGCTAAGAACATAAAGTACATTGATTTCTTTATTACGGCTAGCAGATATTTAAGAATGTTAGCACCTGTCTTCGAATAAATTTTGCTTTTAAGAGAAGTTACTATTTATTCCTAATTAGATGGAGAGGAAAATCTTTAAAGAGGGACCTCTATTTTACTTTTTTCAAGGACATGAGATGATGCTCAACATTAACCATTAGGAAATGCAAATCAAAATCACAATGCGACACCACTTCACATAGAAATGGATGGCTATAATCAAAAAGACAATAACAAGTGTTAACGAGGATGGCGAGAAATCAGAGCACTCACACACTGCTGGCCATTTATCTTGGCAGAAGTGTAAAAAAGTGCAGCTACTATGAAAACTGTCCTGGAGTTCTTCAAGGGTTAAACATAGAGCTACCATTGACTTAGCAATTTGACTCCCAAGTATATACACCAGAGAACTAAAAACATATGTCCATACAAAGTCTTGTACACAAACGTGCAGAGTAGTATTACTCATTAGAGTAAAAAAGTAGAAACAATCCAAATGTTCATTAATTGATGAATGAATTATTTTTATGTGAATTTTCTTAAGAGACAGAGTCTCACTATATTGCCCAGGCTAGACTTGAACTCCTGGCCTGAAAGGATCCTCCTGACTCAGCCTCCCAAGTAGCTGAGACTACAGGTGCATGACACCATGCTCAGCTAATTATTTACTTGGCAATGAAAGAAAGCAGTACTGGTACATGTTACAAAATAGATGAGCCTGAAAAACATTATGTTATAAAATGAAAGAAGCCAGATGCAAAAGACCAAATATTATCTGATTCCATTTCTACGCAGAATAAGCAAATCCACAGAAACAGAAAAAGATAGTGGTTGCCAGGGAGGGGAATAAGTAGTCTGCAGATGAATGTTGGGTTTCTTTTGGGGATGTTGAACATATTCTGGAATTAAGACAGTGGTAATAGTTGAACAACTCTGTAAATAAACTAACTACTGAACTGTATACTTTAAAAGAGTGAAGTTTTTGGTATGTGAATTATATCTCTATAAGTACAGTAGTTCCCCATCAACCACAGTTTTGCTTTCTGTGGATTCAGTTACCACCATCAAAAAATAGGTGAGTACAGAACAAGAATATATTTTGAGAGAGAGATCACATTCACATAACTTTTATTACAGTATGTTGTTATAATTATTCTATTGCTGTTGTTCACCTCTTTGCCTAATTTATAAATTAAACTTTATCACAGGTATGCATGCATAGGAAAAAACATAGTATCATAGGGTTTGGTACTCTCTGTGATTTCAGACATCCCTGGGGGGGGGCGGGATCTTTGAACATATGTGACAATACTAACACTAATATGTATGTATTAGAATGTATATACTAACACTGTAATAATAAGTAAGTGGCAGGCCAGAATTGAACCATGGGCCCTTGTTTGCCAACCTCTTTTTTTTTTTTTTGAGATAGGGTCTCACTGTTGCGCAAGCTGGAAGTGCAGTGGCATCATCTCAGCTCACTGCAGCCTCGACCTCCCAGGCTCAGGCGATCCTCCCACCTCAGCCTCCTAAGTAGCTGGGATTACAGGCACACTCTACCATGGCTGGCCAATTTTTTGTATTCTTTGTAGAAGGTGGATGATACGGTTTGGCTGTGTCCCTGCCAAAATCTTACCTTGAATTGTAATAATCCCCATGTGTAGGGAGACCCCCTGAAACTATTGCTACGGAATAAAAGATGAAATGCTCCTGATTATTGTAAATACAAAATTGCATGCAGGATTGTGTAAAGACAATGCCAGGTTGGACTGCCAGAACGAGCCAACAGCGTGTGATGTGCTTCCCCCTGCAAAGAGCCTATGAATGGATGTGCAATCACGGAGGATTCACATCACCAAGATTCCTATCCCAGAAAAGCAGATGTTCATAGCTCTGGGAACAGAATGCGACCCTTGTGGAGAGCCTATAAACGGACGCATTGGGGGCGCCTGTCCACATGGATAAGATAGGGCTATAAATGCCCTCATCTTGCCACGGTTCTTCTAGGCCTCTTTAGGGTTAAGACATACTCCCCTTCTGAGAATTTCTGGTCTAACCAGTTGTCTAGCTTCACATCCTGTTTCTATGGATTGTTTGTAACCAGCTTTTGCTACAACTGTTACTGCTGATTAATATCTTGCTAATCATAGGTTATGGAAAGACTGTGTTTCTGTTTTAAGGCTCTATTAGAAATTACTGATGCACACACTATATTGTAAATTCTTATCTCTGTATACTGTACTTCTACATACAAATGTACTATACTTCTACATACAAATGTTATGTTAAAGAATTATTTCATCCCCATGTGACCATCTCACCTCATAATCAAATGACCCTAAATCCCTCACTAACCTACCCCCGCCCTCACTAAACTTAGTAATAAATGCTGGTATATCCAGTGCATTGTTGGCACCGCGGGACCAGAAGACAGTGACCCCCCTGGACCCAGCTTTCACTATCTTGTGTGTGTCTATTATTTCTCAACCTGCCGATCCGCCTGGGAACAAAGAGAGAGCCCCATTGCATTGCGGGCTGCTGGCCAGATCCCACAATACCCATGTGTCAAGGGTGGGACCAGGTAGAGATAATTGAATCACAGGGGTGGTTTCCCCCATGCTGTTCTTATGACAGTGAGTTCTCATTTGATCTGACAGTTTTATAAGGGGCCTCCCCCTTCGCTCAGCTCTCATTTCTCTCTCCTGCCACCCTGTGAAGAGGTGCCTTCCACCTTTCCTGAGGCCTCCCCAGCCATGCAGAACTGTGAGTGAATTAAACCTCTTTTCTTTATAAATTACCCAGTTTCGGTAATTATTTATAGCAGCAAGAGAACTAATACACAGGGTTTTGCCATGTTGCCCAGACTGATCTCAAACTCCTAGGCTCAAGCCATCCTCCCACCTCAGCTTCCCGAAGTGATAGGATTACAGGTGTGAGCCACCATGCCTGGCTCCAACCTCCATTCTACATAAGAAATACTAAGAACCAGGCAGGGCATGGTGGCTCATGCCTGTAATCCCAGCACTTTGGGAGGCCGAGGTGGGCGGATCACCTGAGGTCAGGAGTTCAAGACCAACCTGGCCAACACGGTGAAACCCTGTTTCTACTAAAAATACAAAAATTAGCCGGGCACAGTGGCGGGCACCTGTAATCCCAGCTACTCAGAAGACTGAGGCAGAGAATCGCTTGAACCCAGGAGGCAGAGGTTGCAGTGAGCCGAGATCACGCCACTGCACTCTAGCCTGGGCAACAAGAGCAAAACTGTCTCAAAAAAAGAAAAGAAAAGAAAAGGAAAGGAAAGAAAAAGAAAAGAAAAAAGAAAAGAAAAGAAAAGAAGAAAGGAAGGAAGGAAAGAAAGAAAGAAAAGGAAGGAAGGAAGGAAGGAAGGAAGGAAGGAAGGAAGGAAGGAGAAATACTAAGAACCCTTATATGAGAAAAAGAAATAGGAATCTTGGGTTCTAGTCCCCACTCAGCCACTATCTAAAAGTGTGGTCACAGACAGTTCCGTCAGTCTGGTGGTTCTCAGAAGTGTGATCCCCAGACCTGTACTATCAGTATCCAATGAGAACTTGTTAGAAATGCAAATTCTGGCCAGGCACACTGGCTCATGCCTGTAATCCCAGCACTTTGGGAGGCCCAGATGGGAAGACAGTTTGAGCCCAGGAGTTAGACTAACCTGGGCAACATACTGAGACCCTCATCTCTACAAAAACTTTAAAAAATAGCCAGGCATGGTGGCATGCAGCTGTACTTCCAGTCACTTGGGAGGCTGAACCCAGGAGGTCAAGGCTGCAGTGAGCTGTGTTCACGCCACTGCACTCCAGCCTGGGCAACAGAGTGAGAGACCCTGTCGAAGCAAGGAGGAGGAGGAGGAAAAGGAGAAGGAAGAGGGGGAGGGGGAGGCAGCGGCGGCAGAGGAGATGGAAGAGGCAGAGGCGGCGGCGGAGGAGAACCCTGTCGAAGTCAGGGGGAGGAGGAGGAGGAGAAAGACGGAAGAGAAGGAGGAGGAGGAGGAGAAGGAGAAAGAAGGAAGAGAAGGAGAAGGAGGAGAAGGAGAAAGAAGGAAGAGAAGGAGGGGGAAGAGAAGGTGGAGGAGGAGGAGAAGGAGGAGACAGAGAGAGAAGGAGGAAGAGGAGGAGAAGGAGAAGGAAGAGGAGGAAGAAAGAAGAAAGAAGAAGAGGAGGCATGCAGACAAATTCCTTGGTCTCATTCCAGACCCACTCAATCAGAAACTGGCAGTGGGGCCCAAGAATCAAGTCTTTCAAGTGATTTTGATGCATGCTATAGTATGAGAATCATGCCTTTCTAGTTCTCAGTTTTCCCATCCATAACCAGGAGCTAGTTGTACTGGATGATTCGAAGGTCTATACAGGTTATAAAACTCTGACTCCAACCATATTAATATAAAAAGGATGGCCAAGCTGTAGCCAACTCTTTTGATAATTTTCAGTGACAATGAAAAACTCAAGATTTAAGAATTCTGGCTGGGTGTAGTGGCTCACACCTGTAATGCCAGCACTTTGGGAAGCCAAGGTGGACAGACTGCTTGAGCTCAGGAGTTTGAGACCAGCCTAGGCAACATAATGAGTCCCTGTCTCTACTTAAAAACAAAACAAAACAAAACAAAATCAGGACCTGTGTGGTGGCACGCACACATATTATTTCCATTTGTTCATTATCCTGTAGTAATATGGGTGTAGAACAGAGATTCTGTCTGGGTTTGTAAAAGAAACACCACTCATCCCCAACCCCATTCATGTAGCACGTTATTCTTATGAACTCTCCTATCAGTCCCAATCAGTCTTACCAACTAACTAGACAAGAAAAAAAATGACCTAAGACAGATCAGATTCTTGACTGAACACCAGAAGTAGGGTTGATATAAGTCAGAGCTAGGATCGTTCACTTGTGGATAACACGAGTGTGTCCACACTGAGAATTACGCAAATCTACAGAAAGAAGCAAGTGAGAGACCATAAGACCAGGGAAAGGTAGTGAGAATAATGGTGTAGTTGAACAGTGTTCCCCCCAAATTCACATCCACCTGAAACCTCGGAATGTGACTTTATTTAAAAATAGGCTCTTTGCAGATTTCCTTAGTTAAGAGTTGAGATCACACTTGATTAGGGTGAGCCCTAAATCCAATAACTGGTGTCCTCCTAAGAGGAGGAGAGAACAGAAACACAGCAAAGGTCACATGAAGACAGAGGCAGAGGTTGGGGGTATGGTGCCTGAGGCCAAGGAAAGCCGGGAGTTATCAGAAACGGAACAGGCAAGGACGGATCTTCCGTTAAAGAGAATGTATGTGGCCCTGTTGACAGCTTGGTTTTGGACTTTTGGCCTGTTTAACTGTGAGAATGAATTTCTGTTGTTTTTAATCCATCTAGTTTGTGGTTATTTATAATGGCAGCCTTAGGAAACTAATACATGTGGTGATTGATGCTCCTCGTATGTCTCACCCTTTAATTCTTTATTTATTCATTTATTTGTCCAACAAATACTTAGTGCTATTACATGTCCTATACTATTCTAGCACTGGGAATACAGTATTAATTTAAACAAAACACAAAAAATCCCTGTGCTGAGGTATATTTTATGGTATGTGAATTTTATCTTAATGAAAGTTTATTAAAGAAACCTTTGCCTTCATGGACTTTATATGCCAGTGGGCTGCCCTTCTATCCTTCCACAAATTCTAATTTTTGTTTAAGCTAGTTGAAGAGTTTTCTATTCCTTGTAATTAAATGATCTCCAAATCACATTCTATAATTCTATTATTAATAGTTCTTGATTACAGGAAGACTTGCAAACTTATTACGGTCACAAAACATATCCATGTTGCCAATTTATTTTAAATCCTCACCTTGTTTGACCTCTCAGTAAAATCTGATCCAGTCAACCACTTATTTTATCTTTCAAACATTCTTCTCTATACTTTTATAATCTCCTTGGTCTAGGAAATGTCACAGGGACTGGTAATACAGATAAGTAATTCCTGGAATACATCGGGGCTGGGGAGTAGCAGGGAGGGGGACACATGAAGAGAACCAAGCTTTCCACCAGGCCTTTCCTCCTCCTCGTTTCCCCTTAATTGGAACTGAGCTTTCAGGTGTGATATTCAGCAGATGGGGAGAGGTCCCATGAATGAAGCATAGCTGTGAGCTGGTGCAACTGGAGGGGCACACTCCACAGTTGCACTGTTGGCCAGAACCCCCCAAGAACAGAAGTCAGGTTCCTCACGGAATTACAAATATGGAAAGGGAGAAGGCTATAATAAACCCTGTGGTGCTGGGCTGCAATTGGAGGAATCATTATAAACTCAAGATTTTGAATACTTATAAATACTAAAACTGATATGTGTGTACATATGTATGTATGTCCATATATTCTTAGCTCTGTCCACTGCAAGGGTCTAGATCTGGGAGCACATATAGCATCCAGATCTCACTGTCTACTAAAAGGAACCAGGGTTCTTGGAAAAATGGCTGAGTCCAGGACTAGAGCAGGAAACATATAAGACAATCCTAGAAAAAGTCTTGTACCATAAAGTGAGGAAGTGATCAAATAAGAATGAGGATATGTCCAAAAGACACCAAGTACCAGCTTGAAAGGGTTACTGTGGCCAACTAAAGGACAATTTGAGCATCAAAATAAATAACTAACTTGATTGTTATCCTCTGAATACAATAGGAATCCAAGAGTCTGTACTGATTTAAAATTTTGAAACAAATGAGTATCTACATAAGTAATAAATAAAGGAGAAAGGAAAGCTCTACCCCACAGTAGACTGCTAAATAATAAATCCAGAATAAAGGAATTTTTTTTTTTTTTGAGACTGAGTCTCACTGTCGCCTAGGCTGGAGTACAGTGGCACCATCTTGGCTCACTGCAACCTCCAGCTCCCAAGTAGATGGGACAACAGGCATGCACCATCCTGTCCAGCTAGTTTTTTAATTTTTAGTAGAGACGAGGTTTCGTCATGTTGGCCAGGCTGGTACTGAACTACTGACCTCAGATGATCCTCCTGCCTCAGCCTCCCAAAGTGCTGGAATTACAGGCATGAGCCACTGCACCCGGCCAGAACAAAGGAAATTTAATTAAAAGACCATATTTTAACTTTAAATATTTAAATATCATAAGATATTCGGCAACTACCACAACAATAGATTCTGGCAATAATCATTAATGGGTGCTAAATCCATGGGTGAACATATGGTGGGGATCAGGAATATGTTATAATATCAAGGTATCTCCCCACAAAATATTTTTTAATATTTTAATTACATATTCAATATTTTAAATATTTCATATGTTATATTTATTATTTTAATGTGGAGAAACCTGGCAGACACCATCTTAACCAAGTGATAAAACACATCAGTAACAACAAAATCATCATGAGGTCTGCCTAATATGATGCACTGTTATGGACACAGCAATACCCCTATAGTGTTACTGTCAAAAAGGTATAAATCACAAAACATCAGATAAACCCAAACTGAGGGACATTCTACAAAGTAACTGGCTTACACTTTTTTTTTTTTTTTTTGGTAGACACAGGGTCTGGCTGTTGCCCAGGCTGGTCTCAAACAGCTGGGCTCAAGCGATTCTCATGCTCAGCTTCCCAAAGCACTGGTATTACCATACCCGGCCTGTATTCTTGACAAAGTGTCAAGGTCATGAAAGACAAGGACTGTTTCAGAATAAAGAAAACTAAAGAGAAATGATAAGTAGAGGCAATATGTGATCCTAGACTGATAAAGGACATTATTGGCTCAAATCAATGAAATGTGAATGGAGCTGGTGGATTAGACCGTAGTATACCATCAGTGTTAACTTCTTAATGATGGTTATACTGGAGTGTCCTGGTACTTAAAAATGTACACTGAAGAATTAAGCTGTAATGAGGCAACACGCCTGCAACTTATTCTTTAATAGTTCAGAAATATTAACAATTGGGTAATTTGGGTGAAAGGTATAAGGAGCTATAAATGTTATTTCTGCAACTTTTATGTAAATTTCAAGTTATTTAAAATGAAAAGTTAAAAAGTTTAAAACATAACAGAATAGAACATAACCTATTAAATAAATCTGAGTCCAGGCATGACACAGTGGTTCATGCCTGTAATTCCAGGGAGGGACTGGGAGGCCGAAGTGGGCAAATCACTTGAGGTCAGGAGTTCGAGACCAGCTTGGCCAACATGGCAAAACCCCGTCTCTACTAAAACTACAAAAATCTGACTGGACACTATGGCTCACGCCTGTAATCCCAGCACTTTGGGAGGCTGAGGAGGGCAGATTACGAGGTCAGGAGTTTGAGATCAGCCTGACCAACATGGTGAAACCCCCCCGTCTCTACTAAAAATACAAAAAAAATTAGCCAGGCGTGGTGGCACGTGCCTGTAATCCCAGCTACTCATGAGGCTGAGGCAGGAGACTCACTTGAACTCAGGAGGCAGAGGTTGCAGTGAGCCAAGATCACGCCACTACACTCCAGCCTGGACGACAGGGCGAGACAAGGTCTCAAAAAAAAAAAAAAAAATTAGCCGGGTGTGGCGGCACGCACCTATAGTCCCAGCTACTTGGGAGGCTGAGGCAGCAGAACTGCTTGAACCTGGGAGGTGGAGGTTCAGTGAGCCGAGATTGCACCACTGCACTCCAGCCTGGCTGGGTGACAGAGCGAGATTCTGTCTCAAAAAATAAACAAATAAATAAATAAATAGAAAATAAATCTGAGTCCATACTAACTAAATGGGGAGTAGCAGATTAATAAACAAAATGGAATGACAAAAAAAAAGGAATGACAGAATTGGAAAATCACACTGTAGAAATGATTGACTCAAGCAATTATCAATGGATGATAAAAATATTGGGTGAAAGCTTGATGAACAACTTGCATAGTCACAAAGTATCCCCCCGCAACTTGCTTTTTAATTACAAAAGGAAAGTAACTGCAGTCGAGACCTGGAAGATACCACCTTAATCAAAAGATCGAAGTTACAACAATAAAAGGACTCAGCATCATTAGTCTACTGATGCGCGCAATGAATAGGACATATTGTTTACATGGTATTTATACCAGAAATGCATAAACTGAATCTAATCATGAGTAAATACACAAACCCAAATTAAAGGACTAGCCTGTTCTCTGCAGAAGTGTCAATGTCGTGAAAGACAAAAGAAAATCTAGGGAATTGTTCCAGATTAAAAGAGACAAAAGAGACTAAAGAGACGTGATAACTAAATATAATGTATGACTAGGGAGGAGATAGCTATAAAGGATATTAATGGAACAATCTGGCAAAGGTTGAATGCATAATATATTAGATAATACTAAATGTTAAATTTAATGGGATAACTTTTCTGTGATTATATAATGTTTAAAATACCCTAGTCCTTCTCACCCACAGTTTTGTTTTCCATGGTTTCAGCTGCCCACAGTCAACTGTGGTTCGAAAATATTACATGGAAAATTCCAGAAATAAACAGTGGGGGATGCTCTAAAACCCCTAGTGGATGCCTGAATCCATGGATAACACCAAACCCTATATATACTATGTTTTTTCCTATACATAATGCTTGTGATAAAGTTTATTGTGTAAATTAGACATAGGAAGAGATTAACAATAATAAAACAATTATAACAATATGACAACATCACTTCTCTTGCACTTTGGGGCCATCATTAAGCAATGTAAGGCTTATTTGGATAAAAGCACTACAGGCTGGGCGAGGTGGCTCATGCCTGTATTCCCAGCACTTTGGGAGGCCAAGGCGGGCAGATCGCTTGAGGTCAAGAGTTCCAGACTGGCCTGGCCAACATGATGAAACCCCGTCTCTACTAAAAATACAAAAATTAGCCGGGTGTGGTGGTGCACGCCTGTAGTCCCAGCTACTCAGGAGGCTGAGGCAGGAGAGTTGCTTGAACCTGGAGAGTGGAGGTTGCAGTGAGCCATGATTGTGTCACTGCATTCCAGCCTGGGTGACAGAGCAAGACTCTGTCTCAAAAAAAAAAGCAAAACAATACCAAAACAGTTGACCTGATAACCCAGATGGCTACCAAGTGACTAACAGATGGTGAATGGATATAGCATGGATACGCTAGGTAAAGGAATGATTCGTGTCCTGGGTGAGACGGAATGAGATTTCATCACAATACTCAGAATGGTGTACAATTCAGGCCAGGCATGGTGGCTCATGCCTGTAATCCCAGCACTGCGGGAGGCCGAGGTGGGTGGATCACTAGAGGTCAGGAGTTCAAGACCACCCTGGCCAACATGGCAAAACCCCATCTCTACTAAAAATACAAAAAAATTAGCTGGACGTGGTAGCACGCGCCTGTAATCTCAGCTACGCCGGAGGCCGAGGCACAAGAATCACTTGAACCCGAGTGGCAGAGGTTGAAGGGAGCCGAGATCGTGCCACTGCACTCCAGCCTGGGTGACAGAGTGAGACTCCATCTCAAAAAATAATAATAAAATAAATAAAAAAGAATGGTGTACAATTTTAAACTTATAAAGTATTTCTGGAATTTTTCATTTAGTATTTTCAAACCACAGTTAACCACGGGTAACTGAAACCATGGGAAGCAAAACTGCAGGTAAGGGGAGACTACAATATCTTAAGTATTAAATTGCCACTTGTCAGGCTGACAGGTTCGAAGTTTCATCATGCACTCATGGAACCAATCTAGAGTCAGCCTTTCCTTAGCATTATCCCACCAAATAATTTCAGAACTGGAGACCTTTGTTTTTTCTTTTATCACAACAGGTTAAAAAGAAGGATACTTTTTTAATATAAACTTAACTTTTGGTCAAGATGTAATGGATGTTCTTGGTATTTTTGATCCTAATAGTCTTCACCATTTTTACTTTTAGCTTCAGTCTGTGGAATCTGCCTAGACTGAAGTTTTTTTTTTTTTGCTTGAACTAATCATTCAGGCATAGAAGTGCTCATTATTGGCAAAGTTAGAGGATAGCAACCTTCTCCCTGACTTGCAACATCAAGAAAGGTTTGGCCATAAAATAGAGATTCTGCTATTCGAGTTTCATTTGGTAAAATAAGTTCATCATTTTCACAGGACCACTGGATTGCCAGAAAGAGTGCTGCAACCTTTTCTGTAACTCCATACAAAGTTTGTATTACATAACTCGACTTATTAGGCAAAAAATAGGAATCACTTTTAAGTGGTGGCTCACGCCTGTAATCCCAGCACTTTGGGAGGCTCAGGTGGGTGGATCATTTGAGGTCAGGAGTTCGAGACCAGCGTAACCAACATGGCAAAACTCTGTCTCTACTAAAAATACAAAAATTAGCTGGCATGGTGGCAAGCAACTGTAGTCCCAGCTACTCGGGAGACCCAGGAACCCAGAAGGTGGAGGTTGCAGTGAGTCAAGATCACGCCACTGCCCTCCAGCCAGGGCAACACAGCAGACCCTGTCTCCAAACAAACAAACAAAAATCTAGCCTAATGGCATTTTTTTTTTTTTTGAGTCTCACTCTGTGGCCCAGGCTGGAGTGCAGTCGTGCAATCTTGGCTCACTGAAGCCTCTGCCTCCCAGGTTCAAGTGATTCTCTTCTCTCAGCCTCCCTAGCAGCTGGGATTACAGGCATGCACCACCACACCCGGGTAATTTTTATATTTTTAGTAGAGATGGGGTTTCACCATATTGGCCAAGCTGGTGTCGAACTCTTGACATCAAGTGAACTACCCACCTCGGCCTCCCAAAGTGCTGGGATTACAGGTGTGAGCCACCGCGCCCGGCCCCAATGGTTCATTTTAAAGAAAATTTAGTCGTTCTGGGGCTACTTTATCAAAATTTATTTATCTTCAGTTTTCCTCTATTTCTGCAATTTTTCAACAACATTCATATTTTGCTTAAGTTTCACAGATTATCACCAATTTAAATATAAAAACAAAAACATCTCAATATAGAAAAAGCTTGAGTAAAAGATAAATCATGTATCTAAAGTTAGTACAAAAGGCCAGGCTCAGGCAGCTCCCACCTCTAATCTCTGTGCTTTGAGAGGCTGAGGCTGAAGGATCACTTGAGCCCAGGAGTTCAAAGCTGCAGTGAGCTAAGATCCTGCAACTGCACTCCAGCCTGGGCGACAGAGAGAGCCCTTGTCTCTAAAAATAATAACAAAAGAAAAAAGCAAACAAACAAAAAATAAAATAAAAATAAGTAGTTAGTACAACAAATTGTTTGATAAGCCTCCAAATAAATCTTTGAGTTGCCTCCCCTGCCTTTCAACTCATTAGAGTGAACATCTAATCCCTCTATTCAGAATGCTGCATGCCTTATGTTGCCACTAGTTCTCTTATCAAAATCAACTAGTTCTTCTCTTCAATCTGCTCTGAAATTTTAACTGCTCTGGAAAGCTCTCAATTGCACACCGTCCCTACTAACATTCCACGGATCTCTGGTATCCAATACCCAAAGCAACTAATGAGGAATTTGAAATTTTAATATGTTCCAGAAACCAGAGTTAAAAAATCAATAAACTCACGATGATAAGGGGAAAATTCTGAGGGTTTTCAAAACATAAAATCACCGCACTGTAAGATACATTAACTGGCAATCTTAAAATACCATTTTAGCGCCCTTAAACATTAAACCTTTGAACGCGTAAACAAAAGTTGCATGACCCAGTTTCATTACTGTTACTATTAATAATAATGGTACCTACCCAGTATCTCCCAATCCATGCAGGAAAATCACCTATAAGAGAAGAGGAAAATTAATAAGCAATGCCTAAATAAGCCCACACAGGATTGTTACACACTAGCTTTGCTTAAGGTGGAAAACGGAACGAAACCTACGAGAGAATTACACAACACTATCTTCGGCGACTTAATCTTTATCGACCTCTTTTAAATGGCAAAAATTCTGATCAACTTCTCCCTTTATTTCCTGAGATAATGAATGGGGGGGGGGTAGCACTGAGAGGTCCCAGTTAGACATTGAGTGCAAATGATCACATTCTAAGAAAAACAGTTTATCTCTTTCAAGTGAAATCAGGAACATCTCACATATCCTGTAGAATTTTTCCACTGCAAAAGCAAGCTTCCGGAGGCAAAAATAAGTTTGACTTTTCATACACGAGTTTTCTAAAAAACAGTACGTCTGACCTTGTAGGACACTCAATCTTCAAACTTCTTTCATTGAGGATAAGAGTGCGAGGTGACAATAAGGCGATTTCCTGGCGGACTTAGGTTTCCCTCACCCACACACCAGGCAGAAACACGCTGCAGAGGCTGACGCCGTGCCCTAGGCCGGCCCGCGGGGGTCCCGGGGCCACACTTCCTCCGCAATGCAGGGAGGAGCTGGGGACTGGCCCTCGCGCCGGCTGTGACCCCCCGGCTGCCCCCGCCCCCCGCGGACCCGGCCGCGCGGACCATTCGCACCCCACCCGGGCCGGGAGGAGCGTCCTCGTCCGCAGGCCGCCACGCGCCCGCAACGCCCACCCCGCGCGAGGGGCAACCACCGGTGGCCGGCCCAGTGGACCCCTCCGAGCCCACGCCTACGCCACTCACCGCAGCGGTGGCCTTCCGGGCGGCGGGCACGATGGCGGGCAGCGGGGTTGACATGTTATTGCCGCACATACACCGCCTCAGCTCACAGCGCAAGCGGAAGGAAGAGCGGGCGCCCGGCCGCGGCCCAAGGGCGTGCGAGCGGCGAGTCCCGGCCGGCCCCACCGGGCGCACGCTCAGGCGCGTGCGCGCCAACGCGGCCCCGCGCTACCTTCCGCGCGCGCCCGCGCGTCCAGGGTCCGCCCTGCCCTGCCCCTCGCCCGCCGCCCCTCCCTCGGCACCTCACAATGTCCGGGCGGCTCCCTCCCTCCGATTGGCTGCGGCGGCAGCGCGGACCTGGCTGCGCTTTCGCCACACCACGCAGCCTGCGCATGCTCAGTGCTGGCTAGGGAAAATGTGCTCTCAGGTGCAGGCTGAGGGCTGGTCTCTTGGGTCTTGGTTTAGGTTTTTGCTTTTCTGGCGCTGTAGTGAAAAGAATGAGCCCCAGAGCCAATTCACCCAACCCAACCCCAGGTGCTCCTTGGTTTCCTGCGGCCGGGGTCTATCCATTTGTAAAAGTCTGGATGGACTGGGAGACGTTGATGGAGCTTTTGCAGTATTTCCGTTTGGGGCTACAGCAGTATGTAGATTTGGGTTCAACTTACCTTCTTTAAACTTTAGTTGGAAAGGGTAACATTTGTCACCAGAAATCCACTACTTCCCTAACTTGATCGACAACACTTACTGATGTACGGATATTGACACAGTACAGGTTTAAGTGAGAGGTAAAGCCAGCTGGTCTTCTGGGTCGGTTGGGGACTTGGAGAACTTTTCTGTCTTACAAGAGGATTGTAAAATGTACCAACAGCACTCTGTAGCTAGGATTGTAAAATGCACCAATCAGCACTTTGTGGCTAGCTAGAGGTTTGTAAAATGCACCAATCAGTACCCTGTAAAACGGGCTAATCAGTGTTCTGTAAAGTGGACCAATCCGCAGGACTTGGGCCGGGACAAATAAGGAAATAAAAGCTGGCCACGCCCCCCATCCCCTAGCTGGCAGTGGCAGCCCTGGGTCCCCTTCCACACTGTGGAAAGTTTGTTCTTTCACTCTTCACAATAAATCTTGCTGCTGCTGCTCACTCTTTGGGTCTGTGGGACCTTTAAGAGCTGTAACACTCCCAGCACTTTGGGAGGCCGAGGCGGGTGGATCAGGAGGTCAGGTGATCGAGACCATCCTGCCTTAACACGGTGAGACCTCGTCTCTACTAAAAATACAAAAAAAAAAAATTGGCCGGTCGTGTAGTCCAAGCTACTTGGGAGGCTGAGGCAGGGGAATGGCGTGAACCTGAGAGGCAGAGCTTGTAGTGACCTGAGATCGCGTCACTGCACTCCAGCCTGGGAGACAGAGAGAGACCTTGTCTCAAAAAAAAAAAAAAAAAAAAAAAAAAACTGTAACACTCACCACGAAGGTGACAAGCTTTATTCTTGAAGTCAGCGAGACCATGAACCCACCGGAAGGAACCAACTCTGGACACATAAGCATGAGACTAGACTGCCCTTTTCTGCACAGGTGCCTTTATGGCCTAAAATGTAGTTACTCAACAAATGTGTTGCATATCAACTACATGGTAAGATCTGGAAGAGAGCACAAGATAGAAACACTTAAAGCCAAAATGCCCTGACCTTCAGAAGTTTACAATTCAGTGAAGGACATACTGGAGGCCGGGCGCAGTGGCTCAAACCTGTAATCCCAGCACTTTGGGAGGCCGAGGTGGGCGGATCACGAGGTCAGGAGATTGAGACCATCCTGGCTCACACGGTGAAAACCCGTCTCTACTAACAATACAAAAAAAAAAAAAAATTAGCTGGGTGTGGTGGTGGTTGCCTGTAGTCCCAGCTACTCGGGAGGCTAAGGCAGGAGAATGGCATGAACCCAGGAGGCGGAGCTTGCAGTGAGCCAAGATAGTACCACTGCACTCCAGCCTGGGCAACAGAGCAGGACTCCATCTGAAAAAAAAAAGGACATACTGGATACCATCCTTAGAGAGTAAGGTTCGGAAGAAAGCTGTAAAAAAAACAACACTCCATTTCTTTCACACGGTAACCAGTGTCAGAGGCGTGTGAACCAGAGCAACTCCATCTTAAATAGGGGCTGAGTAAAGTAAGGCTGAAACCTATTGGGCTGCATTCCCAGACGGTTAAGGCATTCTAAGTCACAGGATGAGATAGAACGTCAGCGCAAAATATAGCTTATAAAGATCTTGCTGATAAAACAGGATGCAGTAAAGAAGCCGGCCAAAACCCACCAAAACTAAGATGGCAATGAGAGTGAACTCTGGTCATCCTCACTACTGCACTCTCATTGAGAGATAACAACGCGCTAGCAGTCCTCGCTCATTCTCAGCACCTCCTCGGCCTCGGTGTCTGCTCTGGCCACACTTGAGGAGCCCTTCGGCCCGCCGCTGCACTGTGGGAGCCACTCTGTGCTGGCGCAGGCCAGAGCCAGCTCCCTCTGCTTGCAGAAAGGTGTGGAGGGAGAGGTGTCCGTGGGAACCGGGGCCAGAGCAAGTTCCGGGTGGGCGTGGGCTCGGCGGGCTTAGCACCTGGGCCAGCAGCTGCGGAGGGGGCACCAGGTCCCCCGGCACTGTGGGCCCGCCCTCACTGCGCTGGAATTCTCCCCGGGCCTCAGCCGCCTCCCCGCGGGGCAGGGCTCAGGACCTGCAGCCCGCCATACCTGAGCCTCCCCCGCCCCCGCCGTGGGCTCCTGCGTGGCCCAAGCCTCCCTGACCAGCACCTCCCTTTGCTCCGCGGCACCTGGTCCCATCGACCGCCCAAGGGCTGAGGAGTGCAGGCCCACGGCGTGGGACTGGCAAGTAGCTCTGCCTGCGGCCCCAGTGCAGGATCCACTAGGTGAAGCCAGCTGGGCTCCTGAGTCTAGTGGGGACTTGAAGAACTTTTATGTCTAGCTAGAGGATTGTACACACACCAATCAGCACCCTGTGTCTAGCTCAAGGTTTGTAAATGCACCAATCAGCGCTCTGTATCTAGCTAATCTGGTGGGGACTTGAAGAACCTTTATGTCTAGCTAAAGGATTGTAAATACACCAATCAGCACTCTGTGTCTAGCTCAAGGTTTGTAAATGCACCAATCAGCACTCTGTATCTAGCTAATCTGGTGGGGACGTGGAGAATATTTATGTCTAGCTAAGGGATTGTAAATAACACCAATCAGCACTCTGTGTCTAGCTCAAGGTTTGTTAAACACACCAATCAGCACCCTGTGTCTAGCTCAAGGTTTGTAAATGCACCAATCAGCGCTCTGTGTCTAGCTAATCTAGTGGGGACTTGGAGAACTTTTGTGTCTAGCTCAGGGATTGTAAATGCACCAGTCAGCACCCTGTCAAAATGGACCAGTCAGCTCTCTGTAAAATGGACCAATCAGCAGGATGTGGATGGGGCCAGATAAGGGAATAAAAGCAGGCTGCCTGAGCCAGCAGTGGCAACCCACTCGGGTCCCGTTACACACTGTGGAAGCTTTGTTCTTTTGCTCTTTGCAATAAATCTTGCTGCTGCTCACTCTTTGGGTCCGCAGTGCCTTTAAGAGCTATAACACTCACTGCGAAGGTCTGCAGCTTCACTCCTGAAGCCAGTGAGACCAGGAACCCACCAGAAAGAATAAACTCCAGACATACCATCTTTAAGAACTGTAACACTCACCGCGAGGGTCCGCAGCTTCATTCTTGAAGTCGGTGAGACCAAGAACCCACCAATGCTGGACACACCATCAACGCCATGACAGTTTACGAGTGCTGTGGCAATGTCAGGAAGTTACCCTATATGGTCTAAAGAGGGGAGGCATGAATAATCCACCCCTTGTTTAGCATAACATCAAGAAATAACCATAAAAATGGGCAACCAGCTATGGAGTAGCCATTCTTTTATTTCTTTACTTTCTTAATAAACTTGCTTTCACTTTACTGTATGGACTTGCCCTGAATTCTCTCTTGCGTGAGATCCAAGAACCCTCTCTTGGGGTCTGGATTGGGACCCCTTTCCTGTAATATCAGCGTTCTGAAGGATTTGAGGTCTTATTCACACTGTTTTTAATCATTCTTGTGGATTGGATTTGGACAATGAGAATTTTGTGGATTCTCCAAAAGTTTTAAATTGATGACAATTTACTGAAAATGATAATAGTGGGATTCACATTTCATGTACTTGTGTACATTTATCAGGCTTTTAAGTCCTTTAGTTGTGATATCAGTGTTACTGGAAAGGGATCCCAGTCCCAAGAGAAGATTCTTGGATCTCTGGCAAGAAAGAATTTGGGGCCATAAGTGAAAGCAATTTTATTAGAGAAGCAAAAACAAAACAAAACAAAACAAAAAAAAACAAAAGAATGGCTACTCCGTAGGCAGAGCAGGGCTAGGGGCTGCTCCACTGAGTATACTAATAGTTATTGCTTGTTTATATGTTAAACAAGGGGTGGATTATTCATGAGTTTTCTGGTAAAGGGACAGGGATTTCCTGGAACCGAGGGTTCCTCTTTTGACCATATAGGGTAGATTCCCTACCTGGCCATAGCAGTTTACAACTGTCATGGAGCTGGTGGAAGTGTCTTTTAACATGCTAATGCGTTATAGTAAGTGTATAATGAGCAGAGAGGACGACCAGAGGTCGTTTTCCTTGCCATTTTGGTTTTGGTGGGTTTGGGCCAGATTCTTTACTGCATCCTGTTTCATCAGCAGGGTCTTTATAACCTATGTCTTGTAATACCAGTCCGGTGACCTCCAATCTCATTCTGTGACTAAGAATGCCTAACCTCGTGGGAATGCAGCCCAGCGGGTCTCGGCCTCGTTTTACCTTCCTCCATTCAGAAGGAAGTCGTTCTGGTTCTAATGCTTCTGACGTTAATTGAGAAAACAAAACTCTCTAGTTCTTACTGTGAACATGTTCCAAATCACTATTACGTTGAGTTTTTCTATGATGTAAAAAGTAGAGAATTCTAAGGGCCACCAATCATTTATTAATTTACTCCATTAGTGGGGAGTAGGACAGTTCAGGTTGAGGTGTCTACGCTACTATACCTGCAACATTTACCCAAGTTATGTATCCTCCAAGGAGCTTTCTATGAAAACAATCTCTCTCTTCCCCAGGTAAGGGAATGAAATAAATATAATAATTGAAAAAGACAAAATTATTCTTATTTTAGAGGATATGATTGTACAAAGCAAAAATACAGTAAGAGCATTTAAAAATTACTAATAAGGCCAGGTGTGGTGACTCACACCTGTAATCCCAACACTTTGGAAGGCTGAGGTGGGAGGATTGCTTGAGCCCAGGAGTTCAAGACCAGCCTAGGCAACAGCGAGACCTTGTCTACAAAAAATTTAAAAAGAAAAAAATTAGCTGGGCTCAGGAGGCTGTGGCAGGGGCGTCGCTTGAGTCCAGGAGGTCAAGGTTGCAGTGAGCCGTGTTCATGCCACTGCACTCCATCCTGGATGACAGAGCAAGACCCTGTCCCCACCTGTGCCCCCCCCAAAATAAACATTATTAACAAGAAAATTCAGTAATATAACCAATTATTAAATCAGCATACAAAAAGGAATGGTTATTCTAGCTACAAACAATAGCTGGTTAGAATATGTAAATGGAAGAAAAATGTTCAAAATAGAAATTTAAAAATATCAACATAGGTCAGCCTGAGTGACAGAGTGAGACTCTGTCTCAAAAAAAATAAAAATATAAAAAAAAAATAAGGGCCAGGCACAGTAGCTCACGTCTGTAATCCCAGCACTTTGGGAGGCCAAGGTGGACAGATCACCTGAGGTCAGGAGTTCAAGACCAGCCTGGCCAACATGGTGAAACCACGTCTCTACTAAAAATACAAAAATTAGCTGGGCATGGTGGCAGGTGCCTGTAATCCCAGCTACTTGGGAAGCTGAGGCAGGGAGAATCTCTTGAACCCGGGAGGTGGAGGTTGCAGTGAGCAGAGATCACTGCAGCCTGGGCAACAGGGCAAGACTCCGTCTCAAAAAATATATGTGTGTGTGTGTGTGTGTGTGTGTGTGTGTGTATGTAAATAAATACATGTTATATAAATACACACACAGGCATATATATATTATATATATATATATGTAAACACACACACAGGCAAAACTTTTTAAAAACCACTTTATTGAGGTATGATTGACATCATCTCGATAAGTCTAGGGACACGCATACACCCATGAAACCATCACCACTATAAAAGTCATAAATATATCCATCACCTCCCAAAGTTTCCTCCCATCCTCTTTATTAATATTATTGTAGGGTTTTTTAACCAGATGCAGTGGCTCATGCTTATAATCCCAGCACTTTGGGAGGCTGAAGTAGGAGCATCTCTTGAGCCCAGGAGTTAGAAAACAGCCTGGGCAACATAGGGAGACCTTGTTTCTACAAAAACAAAAATTTGTTTAATTAGCTGGGTGTGGTGGTGTGCACCTATAGTCCCAGCTACTTGAGAGGCTGAGGCAGGGGGATTGCTTGAGCCCAGGAGGTTGAGGCTGCAGTGAGACATGATAGTGCTACTGCACTCCAGGGTGGGTGACAGAGCGAGACCCTGTCTCAAAAATAAAAATAAACATATTGTGGAGGCTTTTGTTTTTGTTGGTTGGTTTTGGTAAGAACACGTAACAGAAGATCTATCATCTTAGCAATTTTAAGTATACAATATTGTTATAGGCACTGTGTTGTATGGATCTCCAGAATTTATCTTGCATAACTGAAACTTTGTACTCCTCATCCTTCACCTCTCCATTTACCCCTCTCCTCAGCCTCTGGCAACCATCATTCTAGTCCCTGCTTCTATGAGCTTGACTATTTGAGACTCCACATACAAGTGAAATCATACTCTGTTTGTCTTTCTTTGTCTGGTTTATTTCACTGAACATACCGTCCTCCAGGTCCTACCATGTTGTCCTGAATGGCAGGATTTTTTTTTGGTTTAAGGCTAAATAATATTCCATTGTATTTCTGTATTCATTCATTTCTTAGTATACATTTAGGTTGCCTCCATATCTTGGCTACTGTGAATAATACTGCAATAAACATGGGAATGCAAATATATCTTTGAGCTCCTGATTTCAATTCCTTTGGCTATATACCCATAAATAGGATTGTGAGATCACTTGATAGTTCTATTTATAATTTTTTGAGGGAGCTCCATACTGTTTTCCATAACAGCTACAGCAATTTGCATTTCTACCAGCAGTGTACAAGGGTTCCCTTTTCTCCACATCCTTGCCAGCAGTTGTCTTCTGCTTTCTTGATAATGGCCACCTTAACAGGTGTAAGATGATGTCTCATTGAGGTATTGATTTGCATTTCTCTGGTGATTAATGATGCTGAGCATCTTTTCATATTTCTGCTGGCCATTTGCATGTCCTCTTGTGTGAAATGTCTATTCAGGTCCTTTGCCCATATTTTAGTCAAGTTGTTTGTTTGTTTTGCTATTCAGTTGTATGAATTCCGTGTATATTTAGAATATGAACCTTTTATCAGATACATGGTGTGCAGATATTTTCTCCCATCTGTAGATTGCCCTTTCACTTTGTTGATTGTTTGCTTTGCTGTGCAGAAGCTTTTTAATTTGATATAATCCTACTTGTTGATTTTTGCTTTTATTGCCTGTGCTTTTGGTATCATATCCAAAACATCATTGCCAAGACCAACGTTAAGGAGATTTTTTTCCTATGTTTCTTTCTAGGAGTTTTATGGTTTCAGATCTTATGTTTAAGACTTTAATCCGTTTTGAGTTTATTTTTGTGTATTGTGTATAGATAAGGATCCAGTTTCATTCTTTTGCAAGTGGATAAACAGTTTTCCCAACACTATTTACTGAAGAGACTATCCTTTCCCCATTGTGTATTCTTGGTGCCCTTGTTAAAAATTAGTTGATTTATATGCATGGAATTATTTCTGGGCTTTCTATTCTGTTCAACTTGTGTATGTGTTTATTTTTATACCAACCCCATACTGCTTTGATTGCTATAGCTTTGTAAGATACAATAATTTGAATTCAGGAAGTGTGATGCCTCCAGCTTTGTTCTTTCTCAAGATTCTTTTGACAATTAGGGGTCTTTGTGGTTCCATGTGAATTTTAGGATTTTTTTTTCTATTTCTGTAAAGAAAAGCCATTGGGATTTTGACAGGGATTGCGTTGAATCTGTAGATCTGTAGATTGATGGGTAGTAAGGACATTTTTAACAATACTAATTTTTCCCATCCATAAACATAAGATACCTTTCCATTTATTGTTGTCTAATCTTTTTCATTAATGCTTTACAGTTTTTACATTTTATAGAGCTTTCACCTTCTTGGTTAAAGTTATACCTAAGTATTTTATTTTTTATACTATTATAAATGGGATTAACAATTTTTTTTGAATAGGTCAGGCGCGGTGGCTCACGCCTGTAATCCCAGCACTTTGGGAGGCTGAGGTGGGCGGATCACCTGAGGTCAGGAGTTCGAGAACTGCCTCAACATGGAGAAACCCCATCTCTACTAAAAATACAAAATTAGCCGGGCGTGGTGGTGCATGCCTGTAATCCCAGCTACTCGGGAGGTTGAGGCAGGAGAATTGCTTGAACCTGGGAGGCAGAGGTTGCGATGAGCCAAGATCGCACCATTGCACTCCAGCCTGGGCAACAAGAGCAAAACTCCATCTCAAAAAAAAAAAAAAAATGTTTTTGAATAGTTTGTTCTTAAGGTAACTAACACAACTGATTTTTGTATGTAGATTTTGTATCCTGTAACTTTACTGTATTTGTTTATTAGTTATAACAGGTTTTTTGGTGGAGTTTTTAGGGTTTTCTATAAATAAGATTATGACATCAGTCAACAGAGACAGTTTTACTTCACACAAGCAAAACTTGAATTTACAAGACCTATATCAGGAAAAGTAAAAAGCTACCAAAGTACAAAAAAGACATAATTGGATAGGAAAATCTAATACTGTAAGGTTGTCAATTTTCTTAGAATTAATCTACTAATGCAATGTAATCCCCATTAAAATCTCAAAATATTATGCTTTAATAAACATGATATTTAAATACCCCAATAAGACTTTTTAATTTAGTTACTTATAAAATTTATTAACATGGGAGAATAAACATAGAAGAATATTCATTAATATTAAAATAGAAATAGGGCCCGATGCGGTGGCTCACGCGTGTAATCCCAGCACTTTGGGAGGCCGAGGCAGGCAGATCACCTGAGGTCGGGAGTTCGAGGCCAGCCTGGACAACACAGTGAAACCCCATCTCTACTGAAAATACGCAAATTAACCGGGCATTACGGCATGTGCCTGTAATCCCAGCTACTCAGGAAGCTGAGGCAGGAGAATCAATTGAACCTTGGAGGCGGAGGTTGCAGTGAGCCGAGATCGTGCCACTGCACTCCAGCCTGGGCAACTCGTCTCAAAAACAAACAAACAAACAAAAAAGAGTACTGATGTGGCACTAATCTTCCCAAATGTATGACATCATTTAGAATTACAGAAATTGCAATAGCAAATTACCAGCACAGAGAAAAAAGCAAATCAGATCATTCACTGAATATTCTTTGTGACTTGGATTTATTTCTAGAACAGAATTAAACTCTGAGGAAAACACACATATGAGGGAGAAATAGGTACATGATGAGGGTATTTCATTAACATTTCAAACCAGTGGAAAAAGAAAAGAAAATTTTCCATAAATGGTATTGGAATAACTGGCTACAGTTGGGAGACAATTTAGCTGGTTCCTCCCACCAAATTTTGGGCAATTCCAGAAGGGAAAAAGACCCCATATTGCATGATACCATTTATGTAAAATGTCCAGACAAGCAAGTCCATAGTGACAGAAAGTAGATTGGTGATTGCCTAGGGACAGGGGGTTGGGGGGATTTGGGAGGAAATGGGGAGTGACTATTAATCAATATAGGGTTTTCTTTGTGGGTAACCTAAATGTTTTAAGATTAGATTGTGGTGATGGTTGCACAACTCTGAGTGTACTAAAAGTCCCTCAAATGCACATTTTAAATGTGTGAATTGTATCTTAATAAAGCTGTTAAACAATCAGTCGTCCATAAATTTGTGAACCTGCTTCTGAGTTCTTTACGATGTTCCATTGATCTGTATGTCTATGCCAATACCACCTCATCTGGACTGGTCTGGTTCTATAAGCCTAAAATCAATGACTGTAACTCCTCCTACTTTGTTTTTCTATCTCGAAGTTACTTTGGCTATTCTAGCATTTCTGCATTCATTTTGGAATTGGCTTGCCTATTCCTCCATACAAGCCTATTAGGATTTTCACTGAGATTGCCTTAAATCTATAGACCAATTTGAAGAAAACTGAGTCTTCTGATCCATGAACCTAAATAAATCTCCCAATTTATTTGGGTCACCTTGGATTTCTGTCAGCTTTATTTTATACTTTTCAATGTATAGGTCTGCATATCTTTTGTTAAATTTGTCCCCAGGAATTCCATATTTTCCATGCTACTTTAAATGGTATTTAAAATTTCAATTTGATTGTTTATTGCTAGATATAGAAATTGAACTGATCTTTGCACATGGATTTTGTATTTGCAATTTTCTATACCCACATAAAAGTTCTGGTAGCTCTTTTTGTAGATTTCTTAGGATTCTTTAGACAATTACGTAATTGCAAATAAACAGTTTTGCCTTTTTTCTAGTGATTATGTCTGTTGTTTTCTTTTGCCTTATCACACTATCTAGTACCTCCAATAGAAGTTGTGAATGAACGTTGCTTCATTCCAGATATTAGGGCAAAAGTATTCAGCCTTTCACCCTTAAGTATAATGTTAAGTGTAAGTTTTTTTATTTTTTGAGACGGGGTCTCACTTTGTCACCCAGGCTGTAGTAGAGTGTCACAATCACATCTCACTGCAGCCTCCACCTCCTGGGCTCAAGTGATCCTTCCACCTCAGCCTCCTGAGTAGCTGGGAATACAGGCCTGAGCCACCACCCCCGGCAAATTTTTTTTATGTTTTGTAGAGATGGGGGTTCCACTATGTTGCCCAGGCTGGTCTCAAAATTCTGGGCTCAAGCAATTCTCCTACCTTAGCCTCCCAAAGTGCTGGAATTACAGGTGTGAGCCACCTCACGTGGCCTATAAGGTTTTTTGTTGTTGTTGTTTGTTTGTATTTTGAGAGTGCAGTGGCACAATCTCAGCTCATTGCAACCTCTGCCTCCCAGATTTAAGCGATTCTCCTGCCTCAGCCTCCTGAGTGGCTGGGATTAGAGGCGCCCACCACCACGCCTGGCTAATTTTTTGTCGTTGTTTGTTTTGAGATGGAGTCTTGCTCTGTCGCCCAGGCTGGAGTGCAATGGCACAATCTCAGCTCACTACAACCTCTGCCTCCTGGGTTCAAGTGATTCTCCCGCCTCAGCCTCCTGAGTAGCTGGGATTACAGGTGCCCGCCATCACACTCGGCTAATTTTTGTATTTTTAGTAGAGACAGGGTTTCACCAGGTTGGGCAGGCTGGTCTCGAATTCCTGACCTCAAGTGATCTGCCCGCCTCGGCCTCCCAAAGTGCTGGGATTACAGGTGTGAGCCACCACGCCTGGACACGCCCAGCTAATTTTTGTATTTTTGGTAGAGACAGGGGTTGGCCATGTTGCCCAGGCTGGTCTCGAACTCTTCACCTCAAGTGATCCACCTGCCTCAGCCTCCCAAAGTGCTGGGATTACAGGTGACAGCCACTGTGCCCAGCCTCTAAGGTTTTGTTTGTGTGCATGTTTTGAGATGGAGTTTTGCTCTTGTTGTGCAGGCTGCAGTGCAATGGCATGATCTGGTCTCACGGCAACCTCCACCTCCTGGGTTCAAGCAATTCTCCTGCCTTAGCCTCCCGAGTAGCTGGGATTACAGATGCCCACTCCCACGCCCGGCTAATTTTTTGTATTTTTAGTAAAGAGTGGGGTTTCACCATGTTGGCCATGCTGGCCTGGAACTCCTGACCTCAGGTGATCCACCTGCCTCGGCCTCCCAAAGTGCTGGGATTACAGGCGTCAGCCACTGCACCCGGCCCCAGCCTGTAAGTTTTTTGTATATACACTTTATCAGGTTGAGGAAGTTCCCTTTCATTCCTCATTTGCTGAGAATTATTGCAATAAATGAACCTTTTGTGACAAATGCTTTTTCTACATTTATTAAAATAATTTTTAAGTCTGTCAATATGGTGAATGATATTGACTAATTTTTAAAATATTAAGCCAATTTTGCCTTTCTGGGATAAACCCCACTTGGTCATTACCTATTGTCTTTTATATATTTAGTTGGATTTAATTTGTTAAAAGTTGTTAAGAATTTTTTTTCATGAAGGATATTGGTTTGTAGTTCTCTTTTATTGTAATGTCTTTATCTGGTTTTGATATCAGGATAGTGCTGGCCTCAGAATGAGTCGGAGTATTCCACCCTCTTCAAAAGTCTGAAAGAGTGTATGGAACTCATATTATTTCTTCTTAAATGTTGGCTAGAATTTACCAGTAAAGCCATTTAGGCCTGAAGTTTTCCTTGTGGAAAAGGTTGGGTTGTTTTATCTTGTTTGTTCTTCTTTTCTTTCTTTCTTTTTTGAGATGGGGTCTTACTGTGTCACCTAGGCTGGAGTGCAGTGGCACAATCGCAGCTCACTGCAGCCTTGACCCCCACCAAAGCTGAAGCCATTCTCTTACTTCAGCCTCCTGAGTAGCTGGGAACACAGGCATGCACCACCATGCCCTGTTCACTTTTTTCTTTAATTTTTTTGGAGAAATGGGGTCTCACTACGTTGCCAGGCTGGTCTCACACTCCTGGTCTCAAGTGATCCTCCTGCTTGGCTTCCCAAAGTGCTAGGATTACAGGCATGGGCCACTACACCTGGTCTGGGAAAAGGTTTTTAACTTAAAATTAATTTCCTTTTCCTAGGCATAAAGCTAGTTATTTTATCTAGGTCTTCTTTTTTAAAAGATCTTTTTAAAAATAGCTTTATAAAGCTATAATTCGCATACCGTATACCTATATAAAGTGTGAGATCTAAAATTTGCACAACCATCACCATCATCTAATTCAAAATACAGTCATGCACAGCATGATGACATTTCAGTCAATGACAGACCACATATGTGACAGTGGTCCTGTAAGATTATAATGGAGGTAAAAAATTCCTACGGCCTTGTAATGTCATAGCTGTCATAATGTTGTACCACAATACATTACTCACATGTTTGTGGTGATGCTAGTGTAAACAAATCTACTGCCAGCTGTATAACAGTATAGCACATACTATGTTAAGATACACAAGATGTACAAGTGGAGTAGAAGTACATTGCTTAATGTACAAGTGGAGTACAAGTACATTGCTTAATGGTAGGGATACATTAAAAAATGCATCATTAGATGATTTTGTCATTGTGCAATTGTCATAAAGTATGCTTACACAAACCTAGATGGTCTAGTCTACTATACGCATAGGCTATATAGGATAGCCTATTACTCCTAGGTTATAAACATGCTGTACAGGTTTATACACTCTACTGAATATTGTATGCAATTGTAACACTGTGGTATTTCGTGTATCTAAGCATAGAAAAGATACAGTCAAAATATGGTATTAGATTGGTCCAAAAGTAATTGTGGTTTCAGACCATGAATTTTAAATCATTATAACTAGGCTCAAACACATCTTTGTTAATCAAAATAGGAACCATTAAAATCAACACATTTTTGCCAATGATAAATAAGTATGTTAATTTCTGTAGTGTAAAAATCCATGCTTCAGGATTCGAATAACTCTTGGAAAGCATTTTCTGCATGCTGCTGGTTGTGGAAGCATTTTCCCTGCTAAAAACTGTCGAGATGCTTGAAGAAGTGGTAGTTGGTTGGCGGGACATCAGGTGAATATGGTGGATGAGGCGAATCTTTGTAGCCCAATTCATTCAACTTTTGAAGCATTGGTTGTGCGAGGTGCGGTTGGGTGTTGTCGTGAAGAATTGGTCCCTTTCTGTTGACCAATGCTGGCTGCAGGCATTGCAGTTTTCAATGCATCTCATCAATTTGCTGAGCATACTTCTCAGATGCAGTGGTTTCAGCAGGACTCAGAAAGCTGCAGTGAATCAGACCGACAGCAGACCACCAAACAGTGACCATGACCTTTTTTGGTGCAAGTCTGGCTTTGAGAAGTGCTTTGGAGCTTCTTCTGGGTCCAGCCACTGACTTAGTCGTTGCTGATTGTTGTACAAAATCCACTTTTCGTCACCCATCACAAACCAATTGAGAAATGGTTCATTGTTGTTGCCTGCAACACGAGAAGATGACACTTCAGAAAGATGACTTTTTTTATTTTCACTCAGCTCTTGTGGCACCCACTTATCGAGCTTTTTCACCTTTTCGATTTGCTTCAAGTGCCGCATGACTGCAGAATGGTTGACGTTGAGTTCTTCGGCAACTTCTTGTGTACTTGTAAGAGGATCAGCTTCAATGATTACTCTCAATTGGTTGTTGTCAACTTCTGATGGCCTTCCACTATGCTCCTCATCTTCACGACTCTCATCTCCTTTGCAAAACTTCTTGAACCACCACTGCACTGTATGTTCGTTAGCAGTTCCTGGACCAAATGCGTTGTTGATGTTGCAAGTTGTCTCCACTGCTTTACGACCTATTTTGAACTTGAATAAGAAAATCGTTTGAATTTCCTTTTTGTAGAACATCATTTTCATATTCTAAAATAAATATAAAATAAACATCAAGTAATAAGTCATTAGCAAAATACATAAAGTGAGAAATGTTCATGAAAATGATGTATAACAGAACCACATTTATTTAAGAATGTATTCCAATATCAAACAGCAAATTTCCACAATGCAAAAACTGTAATTACATTTGCACCAACCTAATATAAAAGATAAAAAATGGTATACTTTTTTCTTGTTTTGAGACACTTTCACTCTGTTGCCCAGGCTGGAGTCCAGTGGCACAATCTCACCTCACTGCAGCCTCCACCTCCCATGCTCAAGCGATCCTTCTGCCTCAGCCTCCCAAGTATCTGGGACTACAGGCACACACCACCACACCTGGCTAATTTTTCTATTTCTTTGTAGAGACAGGTTTTTTCCATGTTGCGCAGGCTTGTCTTGAATTCCTGGGCTCAAGTGATCTGCCCATCGTGGCCTCCCAAAGTGAAAAAATGGTATACCTGTGTAGGGCAGCTCCATTATAATCTTATGGGACCACCGTTGTATATGCAGTCCATTGTTAACCAAAATGTCAGTATGCTGTGCATGACTGTAATACCATTATGTTACAATTGCTTAGAGTATTTAGTACAGTAACATGCTGTATAGGTTTGTAACCTAGGAGCAATAGTCTATACCATATAGCTTAGGTGCATAGCAGGCTATACCATCTGGGTCTGTGTAAGTACATTCTATGATGTTCACACAATGACAAAATTGCCTAATGATGTATTTCTCAAAACGCATCCTGGTTGTTAAGCGATGCATAACTGTATTTAGATCATCTACAAAAGAAACTCTATCTATTAGCAATCACTCCCAATTCCCCCACCCTACCCCTAGGCAACAATTAATCTACTTTCTATCTCTATAGATTTGCCTGTTTTAGACATACATATGTGGTTTTCTTTCACTTAGTACAATGTTCTCAAGGTTCATCCATGTGATAGCATGTATTGATACTTTATTCCTTCTTATTTTCAAGTAATGTTTCATTGTATGGATATACCCTTTTATTTACATTAATAAGTTGATAGATATTTGAGTTGTTTCCATTTTTTCTTGGTCAATGCAGCTAAATGCTTATCAATATTGTTAATCTTTTCAAATACCAACTTTTGGGTTCTTGGTTATTGTTTTTCTATCCTCTATTTTATTTCTTTTCATTATATCTTTACTATTTTATTCTTTAGGTTCAGTTTGCTCTTCTTCAGTTTTCAAAGTTTCAATTTGAGAGCTGTCTTCTTTTTTAATATAGGCAACTATAGCCATGAATTTCCCTGCAAGTGCTGCTTTTACCTGAATCTGATAAGTTTTAGTTGTGTTTTTGTTTTCATTCATCTCAAAGTATTTTTTGACTTCCTCTGTGATTTATTATTTAACCAAATGGTATTTAAGATTGTGTTTTTAAAGTTCCATATTTTTGTGAATTTCCTAAATTTCTTTCACAAATTCCAGTGTTTTTAGCAAATGTACTTTACATTATTTCAATCACTTAAAATCTATCAAGGCTTTTTTAATGGCCTACCATGTGATCTATTATGGAGAATACTCCATCTGCATTTGAGAATAATATATATTCTGCTGTTTTTGGGTAGAGTATTCAATAGATGTCTATTAGGTCTAACTAGTTTATAGTGTTGTCCAAATCTTCTATAACCTAGACATTTTATGCCTATTTTTTAAATCCATTATTGAATGTGAGGAATTGAAGTCTCCAACTACTGTTTTTGAATTGTCTATATCTTCTTTCACTTCTGTCAGTTTTCACTTTATGTACTTTGGTGCTTTGGTGTTAGGTGCATATATGTTTATAATTGCTATATTTTCCTCATAGGTTGACCCCTTTATCATTATACAATGTCCTTCTCTATTTTTAGTAACAATTTTTTTTTTTGAGATGGAGTTTCACTCTGTCGCCAAGGCTGGAGTGCAGTGGCGCGATCTTGGCTCACCACAACTTCTGCCTCCCGGGTTCAAGCGATTCTCCTGCCTCAGCCTCCTGAGTAGCTGGGATTACAGGTGTATACAACCAGACCTGGCTAATTTTTTTGTATTTTTTTTTTTGAGACGGACTCTCACTCTGTTACCCAGGCTGGAGTGCAGTGGTGTGATCTTGGCTCACTGCAACCTCTGTCTCCTGGGTTCAAGTGATTCTCCTGCCTCAGTCTCCCAAGTAGCTGGGATTACAGGCATGTGCCACCACGCCCACCTAATTTTTATATTTTTAGTAGAGATGGGGTTTCACTATGTTGGTCAGGCTGGTCTCAAACTCCTGACCTCATTATCTGCCTGCCTCAGCCTCCCAAAGTGCTGGGATTGCAGGCATGAGCCACTGTGCCCGGCCCAAATGTCATTCCTTTTTAAGACTTAATAATATCCCATCATATGTATATACTATACTTCATTTATCCATTTGTTGATTGACAGTTGGAGTACAAGTATGTGCTTAGATCCCTGCCGTTAATTTATCTGGATATATACCTTCAGCTCTCGACATTTGACTTTGATGTGTCTAGATGTGGCTCTTCTTTGATTTATCCTTCTTAGAATTCATTGAGCTTCTTGGATGTGTGAATAAATGTTTTTCATCAAATGTGGGAAGTTTTCAGCCACTACATCTTCACTATATATAGAATTCTAGGTGGTTGCTCTGGTGGTTTTCTTTTTTTTGAGATGGTGTTTTGCTCTGTTACCCAGGCTGGAGTGCAATGGCACGATCTTGGCTCACTGAAACCTCTGCCTCCCAGGTTCAAGTGATTCTCCTGCCTTAGCCTCCTGAGTAGCTGGGATTACAGGCTCCTGCCACCATGCCCAGCTAATTTTGTATTTTTATTAGAGACGGGATTTCTCCATGTTGGTCAGGCTGGTCTTGAACTCCTGACCTCAGGTGATCCGCCTGCCTCAGCCTCCCAAAGTGCTGGGATTACAGGTGTAAACCACCGTGCCCAGCCTTTTTTTTTTTTTTCCAGTACTTTAAAGATGTTGCTCCAGTGTCTTCTGGTTTTCATTCATTTCAAGACGTCTATAACATGTTAGCTTGAGAATAGAAAAAAAGAAACAAAAGTCTGCTGCCATTCTTATCTGTGTTCCTCTGTACATGTGTGTTTTTTTTATTTTTTGGCTGCTTTAAAATTGTTTCTTTACCACTGATTTTAGGCCTATAATTATGATGTGCTACTGTAGACTAAAGTAGCGTGTTCTCCCCCAAATTCATATGTTGAAATCCTAATCCTACAACAATATGATGTTGTTAGGAGGTGGGGCCTTTGGGAGGTCATAATGTCATGAGGGTGAAGATCTCATGGATGCAATTATCGCCCTTATAAAGAAAGACTGCAGGGAGCTTAGTGCCCTTTTGAAAGAGATCACAGGGAGCTCTCCAGCCTTCTTTCTGCCAACAAGAAGTCAGCTGTCTGCAACCTGGAAGAGACCCCTCACCAGAACCTGACTATGCTGGCATCCTGGTCCTGGACTTCCAGCATCCAGAACTGTGGAAAACAGATATTTGTTGCTTATACTACCTACTCTATGATGATTTGTGTATTGGCCCAAATTGACGAAGACATGTGCCTTGGAATAGTTTTTAAAATTTCTCCTGCTTGGGGTTCATTGATCTCCTTGGAAATGTAGGCTTATAATTGTCATTATAATTATCATTAACTTTGGAAAAAGTTAGGCTTTATTTCTTGTATTTTTTTTGTTCCTTTCTTGCTCCACAATTTTTGGGAATTCAATGACACCTGTACTAGGCCACTTGATGTTATTCCACTGCTCACTGATGTTATGTTTATTTTTTCCAGTCTTTCCTCTGTTTCATTTTAGATGATTTATGTTGTCCCCAAGTTTATTAATTATTCTTCTACAGTATTTAACCTGCTGATGATCTTTTTCAGACTATGTTTCCTCTCAGACATCGTATTTTTCATCTCTACATGTCTACTTGTAGGTTTGTTTTTGTCTGTTAATTAGCAGATGTGTTCTTTTTATTACGGTAAAAACATGTCACATAAAAGTTGTCATCTTAAACTTTTTTTTTTTGAGATGGAGTATCACTCTGTCGCCAGGTTGGAGTGCAGTGGTGTGATCTCAGCTCACTGCAATCTCTGCCTCCTGGGTTCAAGTGATTCTTCTGCCTCAACCTCCCGAGTAGCTGGGATTACAGGTGCATGTCACAACACCCAGCTAATTTTTGTATTTTTGTAGAGACGGGGTTTCACCACGTTGGCCAGGATGGTCTCAATCTCCTGACCTCATGATCTGCCTGCCTCGGCCTCCCAAAGTGCTGGGATCACAGGTGTAAGCCACCGCACTTGACCAAACATTTTTAAGTATACAGTTCCGTAGTGTTAAGTATATTCATATTGTCATGAATCTTAAAACATTTTTTTTATATCTCTCCTTAAAGTGCTCATCCTTCTACCTTCTTGAACACATGACCCATATATTAACTGTTTTAACTTTCTTGACAACAATTTCTATCGCTTCTGCCATTTCTGGGTCTGTTTATATTGAGTGATTTTTTTTCATCATAGATCTTATTTTCCTGCCTGATCATAAGTGGCATTTTTTTACTAAATGACAGATACTGTAAATTTTACTTTGTTGATTAATGAAGTTTTTGTATTTTTTTCTGATTTGGGGGCTTTGTTTTGGAATACAATTAAGTCACTTAAAATCAATTTTGTTATTTTGAGGCTTGCTTTTTTGCTTTGTTAGTTGGGCCCACTACAGCCTTTAGTGTAGGACTAATTTGGTCTCAGTATTGGTGCAACACCCTTGTGATAATGCCCCTTCTGTTAGATCTTTTGATTTGGCTGATGGGAACATGAAGTTTTCCCAACCTTGTGTGAGTTCTGAGACTGGCTCTGCCAGAATCTTTCTGGTGGGCTTTTACTGGCCTTGGTAGTTTCCTCACACAATGTGCCGATCAATTCTCCTTTGAAACTCTCTCCATAAGCTGGAGTGCAGTGGCGCTATCTCAGCTCACTGCAAGCTCTGCCTCCTGGGTTCCTGCCATTCTCCTACCTCAGTCTCCCGAGTAGCTGGGACTACAGGTGCCCGCCACCAAGCCTGGCTAATTTTTTTGTATTTTTAGTAGAAACGGGTTTTCACCGTGTTAGCCAGGATAGTCTCAATCTCCTGACCTCGTGAACCGCCTGCCTCGGCCTCCCAAAGTGTTGGGATTACAGGTGTGAGCCACTGTGCCCGGCCAAATCTCATTTTTTCAAAAAAGAAAATCCAGCTGTACTAAAAGCAAAAATCTGGGTGGGCGCAGTGGCTCATGCCTGTAATCCCAGCACTTTGGGAGGCTGAGGCAGATGGATCACTTGAGGTCAGGAGTTCGAGACAAGCCTGGCCAACATGGTGAAACCCTATCTCTACTAAAAATATAAAAAAATTAGCCAGGGGTGGTGGCACATGCCTATAATCCCAGTTATGGGGAGGCTGAGGCAGGAGAATAGCAATAGCTTGAAACCAGGAGGCAGAGGTTGCAGTGAGCCAAGATCGCACCACTGCACTCCACCCTAGGTGAAAAATGAGATTCCGTCTCAAAATAAATAAATAAATAAAAGCAAAAATCTGAAAAATATATTGTTAATGGATATATATATATACACACATATAATAAAAGTATGAAGAAATGCATGGGAAAGATAAATTCCAAATTCAGAATGTTGGTTACTTCTGGGGAAGCTGTGAGAAAGAGGAATGTGATAAGATGTGAAAAAGGGCCTATAATTGTATATGTAATATTTTATTTCATAAGCTGGGTGGTGGGCACACAGATATTCAGTTTACTATTAGTTATATTTAATATCAGACATCAGACTGAAAATATCTTACAATGAATAGATTCCCAAAAGAACAGAGGATTAAGTTATTAAAAAGACAAAGACACTCTAACAACACTGAAAGAAAAAAAGTGTATGTCTTAGGAGCATCTATGACCTTGACTGAACCTTTTACTTTCTCCTTCAAATGTGTGTGTAGGCTGGGTGTGGTGGCTCACGCTTGTAATCCCAGCACTTAGGGAGGCTGAGGTGGGTGAGTCACATGAGGTCAGGAGTTTGAGACCAGCCTGACCAACATGGTGAAACCCTGTTTCTAGGAAAAATACAAAAATTAGCAGGGTGTGATGGCATGTGCTTATAATCCCAGCTACTCGGGAGGCTGAGGCAGGAGAATTGCTTGAACCCAGGAGGTGGAGGCTGCAGTGAGCCAAGATCCCACCATTGCACTCCAGCCTGGGTGACAGAGTGAGACTCTATCTCAAACAACAACAATAACAACAAAAAACAAATGTGTGTGTAATATATAAGAAATCGTCTTAAAATTACAATGATCAGGCTGGGTGTGGTGGCTCACGCCTGTAATCCCAGCACTTTGGGAGGCCCAGGCGGGCAGATCACTTGAGGTCAGGAGTTCGAGACCAGCCTGGCCAAAATGGCGAAACACCGTCTCTACCAAAAAATACAAAAATTACCTGGGTGTGGTGGTGCACACCTGTAATCCCAGCTACTCTGGAGGCTGAGGCAAGAGAATCTCTTGAACCCGGGAGGTGGAGGTTGCAGTGAGCCAAGATTGCGCCACTGCACTCCAGCCTGGGCAACAGTGAGAGACTCCATCTTAAAAAAAAAAAAAATTACAATGATCAACCATTTATGAAATAATTGAGCTGGTCTTGTGCCTATTTCTTTGATTTTTGCTCTGTGAATTTGGTATGGAGAAAATACATGTCTCCAGACTATTCTTTACTTTTAGAGAATTTTAAGGCCATGTGGCTGAAGCTTAGGAAACTGAAATCATTAGTAGGGAGAAGGAGGTAACAGTTTAAGGGCTCTTTCTTGCAGCTCTGTAAAACAGTAGGAAACCATTTCCCCAATTTTAGAGGAGTGAAATAGCAGAAAGACCTGGGGAAGCTCACCAGATCACCTTCTGTCTTGTGCCTACCAGAAGGACCAGACCTAGCAATACTGATGCCCCTGTACAGTTAACAGAACTCTTGCCACTGCCAAGCATGTATCTATGTCTTTCCCTCCCTCCCTATTTTTTTTTTTTTTTTTTTGCAAGGGAGTTTCACTCTTGTTACCCAGGCTGGAGTGCAATGGTCCAATCTCAGCTCACTGCAAACTCTGCCTCCCATGTTCAAGTGATTCTCCTGTCTCAGCCTCCCAAGTAGCTGGGGTTACAGGCATGTGCCACCACCCCTGGCTAATTTTGTATTTTTAGTAGGGTGGGGTTTCACCATGTTGGTCAGACTGGTGTGGAACTCCTGATCTCAGGTGATCCACTCGCCTTGGCCTCCCACAGTGTTGGGATTACAGGCATGAGCCATGGTGCCCAGCCTTTCCCTCTTATTTTTCCTCTCAGTTTGAAGGATTGTGGTAGTCATTAATCATGTTTTCTAAATATTCCTGATTCTCTGTTTTCCAGGACATGGTAGGATTGTATTTCCTAGGCTTGATTTGGATGAAGCCATGTGAGTAGTTCTGGTTAGTGAGTTTTAAGTGAAAGAGACAAGCATCACTTCCAGACCAGAGCTTTTCTTTCTTTTTTATTTTTATTTTATTTTATTTTATTTTATTTTTATTTTTTGAGTCGAAGTTTCACTCTTGTTGCCCAGGCTAGAGTGCAATGGTGCGGTCTCGGCTCACTACAACCTCTGCCTCCTGGGTTATAGCGATTCTCCTTCCTCAGCCTCCCAAGTAGCTGGGATTACAGGCACCTGCTACCATGCCCAGCTAATTTTTCTATTTTTAGTAAAGATGGGATTTCACCATGTTGGCCAGGCTGGTTTTGAACTCCTGATCACAGGTGATCCTCCCGCCTTGGCCTCCCGAAGTGCTGGGATTACAGGCATGAGCCACTGCACCTGGCTGAGAGCTTTCCATTGTTGGTGTGAGATCCTCCAGATTCTCTTTTCACCTGTCACGACAACATGCAAATTTCAAGCGGGTGCCTGCTTGCTCAGCTTGAGTCTTAATTAGACAGATAAGGAGCAGAGCCCCCAGCTGATCCTTCATGGGATTACTATGTAATTCCAAAATAAACCTTTGCTTAGAAAGCGCTAAAAGTGATTGAAACAGGTGTCCACACTCACCACCACTTCCTTACCCTCCACCCTGAAACTCTCCTTGAAATCTGGCTGCTGCCCCAATGTTCCTCTGACACTGGTCCAGCCAAGATCACTAACAACCTTGTTGCTCAATTTTAGGCTGTTTTCCCAGCATTATCTGACTTGAGCTCTAAGTAGCTGATACTAGTGACCATGGCCTTCTTGAAAGTGTCTTCTAGCTGGGTGAGTGGCTCATGCCTGCAATCCCAACACTTGGGGAGGTTGAGGTGGGTGGATTGCTTGAGCTCAGGAGTTCAAGACCAGCTTGGGCAACATGGCAAAACCCCATCTCTACTAAAAAACAAACTGAAAAAAATTAGCCAGACATGGTGGCATGTGCCTATAATCCCAGCTACTCAGAAGGCTGAGGTGGGAGGATCACCTGAGCCTGGGAGGCCGAGGCTGCAGTGAGCCGTGATTGTGCCACTGCACTCCAGCCTGGGTGACAGAGTGAGGCCCTGTCAATAAAAAAAAAAAAAAAAAAAAAAAAGATCTAGGAAGTGAGGAGCCTCTCTGCCCGGCCGCCCATCGTCTGAGATGTGGGGAGCGCCTCTGCCCCGCCGCCCCCTCTGGGACGTGAGGAGCGCCTCTGCCCGGCCGAGACCCTGTCTGGGAGGTGAGGAGCGTCTCTGCCCGGCCACCCCATCTGAGAAGTGAGGAGACCCTCTGCCTGGCAACCACCCCGTCTGAGAAGTGAGGAGCCCCTCCGCCCGGCAGCTGCCCCGTCTGAGAAGTGAGGAGCCTCTCTGCCCGGCAGCCACCCCGTCCGGGAAGGAGGTGGGGGGGGTCAGCCCCCGTCCGGCCAGCCGCCCCATCCGGGAGGGAGGTGGGGGGGTCAGCCCCCCGCCTGGCCAGCCGCCCCGTCTGGGAGGGAGGTGGGGGGGGTCAGCCTCCGCCCGGCCAGCCACCCCGTCTGGGAGGTGAGGGGCGCCTCTGCCTGGCCGCCCCTACTGGGAAGTGAGGAGCCCCTCTGCCCGGCCAGCCGCCCCGTCCGGGAGGGAGGTTGGGGGGTCAGCCCCCCGCCCGGCCAGCCGCCCCGTCGGGGAGGGAGGTGGGGGGGTCAGCCCCCACGCCCGGCCAGCCGCCCCGTCCGGGAGGGAGGTGGGGGGGTCAGCCCCCCGCCCAGCCAGCCGCCCCGTCCGGGAGGGAGGTGGGGGGGTCAGCCCCCCGCCCGGCCAGCCGCCCCGTCCGGGAGGGAGGTGGCGGGGGTCAGCCCCCCGCCCGGCCAGCCGCCTCGTCCGGGAGGTGAGGGGCGCCTCTGCCCGGCCGCCCCTACTGGGAAGTGAGGAGCCCCTCTGCCCAGCCACCACCCCGTCTGGGAGGTGTGCCCAACAGCTCATTGAGAACGGGCCAGGATGACAATGGCGGCTTTGTGGAATAGAAAGGCGGGAAAGGTGGGGAAAAGATTGAGAAATCGGATGGTTGCCGTGTCTGTGTAGAAAGAAGTAGACATGGGAGACTTTTCATTTTGTTCTGCACTAAGAAAAATTCTTCTGCCTTGGGATCCTGTTGATCTGTGACCTTACCCCCAACCCTGTGCTCTCTGAAACATGTGCTGTGTCCACTCAGGGTTAAATGGATTAAGGGCGGTGCAAGATGTGCTTTGTTAAACAGATGCTTGAAGGCAGCATGCTCCTTAAGAGTCATCACCAATCCCTAATCTCAAGTAATCAGGGACACAAACACTGCGGAAGGCCGCAGGATCCTCTGCCTAGGAAAACCAGAGACCTTTGTTCACTTGTTTATCTGCTGACCTTCCCTCCACTATTGTCCCATGACCCTGCCAAATCCCCCTCTGTGAGAAACACCCAAGAATTATCAATAAAAAAAAAAATTAAAAAAAAAAAAAAAAAAAAAGAAAGCGCTAAAAGTTCCTTTGTATCATTCAGCTTAAATGACCCTTTGGAAAGGCAATCCTTGACCACTCAGGATAAAAGTCCTCAAGGATATCGGTTACTTTTTTAACACATTCCCATGTTTAATTGTCTTCATGGTACTCCTTACTCCCTGAAATAGTTTTTTATTTATTAGCACTTCGTGTGTGTGTGTGTGTGTGTGTGTGTGTGTGTGTGCCTCCCCTCTTTAAAACAGAAAATTTGCTGCTTATTTCATTCACAGAAGTCTCCCTAATGCTTTGAGGATAGAGAAAAGTAGGGACCAGATCAGCCAGATACTTAGAGGCCATGGCAAGAAGTTTGCATTTAACTCCTTTTTTTTCTCTTTTATTTGTGAGACAGGGTCTCTCTCTGTCACCCAGATTGGAGTGCGATGGTGCCATCTGGGCTCACTGCAAAGTCTGCCTCCCGGGTTCAAGTGATTCTCCTGCCTCAGTCTCCCAAGTAGCTGAGATTACAGGCACGCACCACTATACCTGGCTAACATTTGTATTTTTAGTAGAGATGGGGTTTCACCATGTTGGCTAGGCTGGTCTAGAACTCCTGGCCTCAAGTGATCCACCTGCCTTGGCCTCCCAAAGTGCTGGGATTACAGGTGTGAGCCACTGTGCCTGGCCCCTAAGTTTGCATTTAATTCTAAGTGCAACATGAAGCCACTGAAGGACAATGAAGCTCTGACTACTTTCAGAGAATGGCCATGGGAATGGGGCAACAGTGACAGTGAAAATAGATCAGTCAATAGACTGTTGCATTATCCTAGGCAAGATGATGGTGGCTTGAACTAGGGTGGTGTCTGTGGACCAAAGATATAGGTCTTGTTGATGTGGGAAATGGGGAAAGTGAGGAAACGAGAATGACTCCCAGATTTCTCTCTTTAATAACTAGGTAAACAGGTGTTCCATTTGTTAAGATGGGAATAGTAAGGGACGAACAGTTTGGGGAAAGGTTGTGGCAAACGGCTGGAAATCTAGAATTCCCTTTTGAGTATATTAAGAAGACATTCTGATATATGTATATCAATTTGGGTAGCAGATATAAATCTGAGAATTTTTAAGTCATTTATGATCACTTTTGGAGAATATCTGTATACCAAAATACATTTTAACATTAGTGCTGGGCACGGTGGCTCACGCCTGTAATCCCAGCAATCTGGGAGGCCAAGGCAGGCATATCACCTGAAGTCAGGAGTTCGAGACCAGCCTGGCCCACATGGTAAAACCCTGTTTCTACTAAAAATATATATATACAAAAATTAGCTGGGTGTGGTGGCAGGGACCCGTAATCCCAGTTACTCGGAGGCTGAGGCAGGAGAATTGCTTGAACCTGTGAGGCGGAGGTTGCAGTGAGCCAAGATCATGCCATTGCACTCCAGCCTAGATGACAAGAGCAAAACTCGATCTCAAAAAAATAAAATAAAAACATTTAAAGGTCAGACAGGTGTGGAGGAGCCCCCAAAAGTAACGGAGAAAGATCAGCTAGGGATGGAAGAAGAAAACCAGAAATGTGAGCAATCCCAGAAACTAAACAAGGGAAATATTTCAAGGATAGAGTGGTCAAGTGTTTTGAATGCTGCTAAGAACTAAGGTAAGAGGACAGAAATTTTTTTTTGCTTTTTTTCTGGAGACAGAATCTTGCTCTGTTGCCCAGGCTGGAGTGCAACGGTGCAATCTTGGCTCACTGCAACCTCCGCCTCCCGGGTTCAAGCAATTCTCCTGCTTTAGCCTCCCAAGTAGCTGGGGCTACAGATGTGCACCACCACACCCGGCTAATTTTTGTGTTTTTAGTAGAGACTGGGTTTCGCCATGTTGGTCAGGCTGATCTTGAACTCCTGGCCTCAAATGATCCACCACTTCGGCCTTTCAAACTGCTGGGATTACAGGCGTGAGCCACCATGCCCAGCCAGGTATGTAACTTTTTAATCTTAGTAGCCATCTTTTTTAGGAATAGAATGGAAGGCAGGTTTGCCCTAAGCAGTTCCCAGCTTGACTTTTTTCTTTGGCTTAGTGATTTTGGGGTCCCAAGATTTATATTCCTTTCCCACTGTGAAAGCAAGCAGAGAAATGGGCACAGCTAGAGGGATACAGAGTTGGTGGGGGTAAGAAAAGTGTTATTTTGTTTTTACTTTTTGTTTTTTTTTTTGAGACTGAGTCTCGTTCTGTTGCCCAGGCTGGAGTGCAGTGGCATGCTCCTGGCTCACTGCAACCTCTGCCTCCTGGGTTCAAGCAATTCTCCTGCCTCAGCCTCCCAAGTAGCTGGGATTACGGGCACATGACACCATGCCCAGCTATTTTGTTTGTATTTTTAGTAGAGATGGAGTTTCACCATGTTGGCCAGGCTTGTCTCGAACTCCTGACCTTGTGATCCACCTGCCTCGGCCTCCCAAAGTGCTGGGATTACAGATGTTTTTACTTTTTAAAGATGAATCATATTAGAACAAACTTGTGTTACAGCATTTTTGTACACTGATGAGACCATCCAGCGTGAGGAGAGATTGGATGATTCAGGAGAGAGAAGGAATCACCAAAACAACAAAATCTTGGTAGGTGCAGTGCTTCACACCTGTAATGTCAGCACTTCGGGAGGCCGAGGTGGGCAGATGACTTGAGATCAGGAGTTTAAGACCAGCCTGGCCAACATGGTGAAACCCCATCTCTACTAAAAATACAAAAATTAGCTGGGTGTGGTGGCAGGCACCTTTAATCCCAGCTACTTGGGAGGCTGAGGCAGGATAATGGATTAACTTGGGAGATGGATGTTATAGGGAACTGAAATCCTGCCACTGCACTCTGGCCTGGTGACAGAGCAAGACCCCATCTCAAAAAACAAATCAAAATAAAACAAAAGAATAAGGAAAAGTCAGGCTGGTTGCAGTCGCTCACTCCTGTAATCCCAGCACTTTGGGAGGCCAAAGCTGGAGGATAGTTTGAGCCCAGGAGTTCAAGACCATCCTGGGCAACTAAGTGAGATCCCATTTCTATTAAATAAATAAATAAATAAATAAATAAAAGAATAAGAAAAAAATCACTAACTGAAGAAGAGAGGATACAAAATAGTCATCTTGGAGAGTGAAAATACAAAGTTTTTTGAACACTGGAATAGGATGACCAATTTGAGACTCCTAATCATGAACGTAACGTCTATCAGGCCTGGTGCAGTGGCTCAGGCCTGTAATCCCAGTACTATGGGAGGCTGAGGCAGGAGGATCACTTGAGCCCAGGAGTTCAAGACCAGACTGGACAACATGGTGAAACCCCATCTCTACAAAAAATACAAAAATTAGCTGGGCGTGGTGGCGCACACCTATAATCCCAGCTACTCAGGAGGCTGAGGTGGGAGGATTGCTTGACCCTGGGCGTCAGATGAAGCTGAGATCACACCATTGCACCTCAGCCTGGGCAACAGAGCAAGACCCTTTTTCAAAAAATAATATATATATATATATATATATATATATATATATATATATATATACACACACATATACATATACATATAAAATAAAGTAAGCCTAACAGCCTGAAAGTCAGTTGTTTTAGCTGGTAAAGAGGAAAACACTGAAAATTGCCCTAGAGACAGCAAATATGGTAATTGTTGTAGCTCATTTACACTAAATAATCATTTAAAGTATATAGTTATAATATAATACATAGCAATGTTGAAGAAAGATACAGCTAACAAAAATTGGAAAGTAGAAAGAGTGAAGAAGTATGAGAGGTTGGAGTGTGAATATCTTTATCTTACCCAGAGTGAGGAGTTAATGTATATTTTTGAAGGTTGAAAATCCAAGAATTAGATGTTTAAAGTACTTAGATTACATAATTTAAATTACAAAGTTTACCACGAGAGAAGAAAAATTTTAGGAAGAAATAGCTTAAATTACCTAAATCTTCATTTATCATAAGACAAGAGAATATACAATGCTAAAAATTGATAAAAGGCTGGGTGTGGTGGCTCATTCATGTAATCCCAGCACTTTGGGAGGCCGAGGCAGGAGGATTGCTTGAGCCCAGGAATTCAAGACCAGCTTGGGCAACATGGCAAAAACCCGTCTCTACAAAAATTACAAAAATTAGTTGGGCATGGTGGCGGATACCTGTAGCCCCAGCTACTCAGGTGGCTGAGGTGGGAGGATCACTTGAGCCCAGGAGTTCAAGGTTGCAGTGAGCTGTGATCAGGTCACTGCACTCCAGCCTGGGTGATAGGGCGAAACTTGTCGTCTCAAGGAAAAAAAATGAGCCAGGCTCAGTGGCTCAAGCCTGTAATCCCAACACTTTGGGAGGCCAAGGCAGGTGGATCACCTGAGCTCAGGAGTTGGAGACCAGCCTGGCTAACAAGGTGAAACCCCATCTCTACTAAAAGTACAAAAATTAGCTAGGCATGGTGGCAGGTGCCTGTAATCCCAGCTACGTGGGAGGCTGAGGCAGGAGAATCACTTGAACCCAGGAGGCGCAGGTTGCAGTGAGTCGAGATTGTGCCATTGGACTCCAGCCTGGGTGACAAGAGCAAAACTCCATCTCAAAAAAAAAAAAAAAAGAAATGATAAAAAAATTAGTGAAGTAGACATTTTATTAATTTGTAAACAAGGAGGCAATCATTAGAAGAAACAAAAACAACATTAAAAGTGATTGCTTATGGGAGTGAAACTAGAAATGGAATAGGAAACAACTACTTCTCATTATAAGCCCTTCTGTACTATCTGATTTTTTCAACATATGTAGGCATTACAATACTTCAATAAAATTAAAACCTATTTAGGTGTGAATAAAGACCTTTAGGTTGGAACCAAGTTTTATCAAGGCAAAATTAGTTAAGTTTTATCAAGGGGACATTTATTTCCAGCCCCTTTCCATGCCCTCTTCATAGCCTTCTCTCAATATTAGTTTTCTCCCAATATCAAAGGGATTCATTGTTCTCCTGCCTCTGGCTTTCTCCCACCTTCACTTAGGAATATTGCTTCTCCAGTTATTTTCTGCTCAACTTTTTTTTTTTGAGAGGAGTCTTGCCCTGTTGCCCAGGCTGGAGTACAGTGGCACAATCTCAGCTCACTGCGACCTCCTCCTCCTGGGTTTTAGTGATTCTCCTGCCTCAGCCTCCTGAGTAGCTGGGACTACAGACACCTGCCACCATGCCCAGCTAATGTTTGTATTTTTTGTAGACATGGGTTTCACCATGTTGGCCAGGCTTGTCTCAAACTCCTGACCTCAAGTGATTCACCCACCTGGGCCTCCCAAATTTCTGGGTTTACTAGGATTACAGGTGTGAGCCACTGTGTCCAGCCTATTCCCTTTTATTTTCATTTCCCAGTCCCCTTCTCTGCTAATCCTGAAATTTTCTTTTTTTTTTTTGAGATGGAGTTTCGCTCTGTTGCCCAGGCTGATCTTGGCTCACTGCAACCTCTGCCTCCTGGGATTTCAAGCAATTCTCCTGTCTCAGCCTCCTGAGTAGCTGGGATTACAGGCTCATGCCACCATGCCTGGTTAATTTTTGTATTTTTAGTAGAGACGGGGTTTCACTATGTTGGTCACACTGTTCTCGAACTCCTGATCTCGTGATTCGCTCACCTTGGCCTCCCAAAGAGCTGGGATTACAGGCATGAGCCACCGCGCCCGGCAAAAAAACTTTTTTTTAGAAAAATAATTAACTCAAAGGAATTAATCTATGTTAACACACTGTCAGGTGCTGATATATATATAGATTGGGGAAGATTTCGTGGCAGTGTGTGAAGTCTTCCAAAGCAGTTCAAATTGTATCACTTCATTCTTTTTTTTTTTTTTTTTTCAGACAGAGTTTTGCTCTTGTGGCCCAGGCTGGAGTGCAATGGCGTGATCTTGGCTCACCACAACTTCCGCCTCCGGGGTTCAAGCGATTCTCCTGCCTCAGCCTCCTGAGTAGCTGGGATTACAGGTATGCACTACCACTCCCAGCTAATTTTGTATTTTTATTAGAGATGGCGTTTCTCCATGTTGGTCAGGCTGGTCTCGAACTCCCAGCCTCAGGTGATCCGCCTGCCTTAGCTTCCCAAAGTGCTGGGATTACAGGCGTGAGCCACTGCGCCCGGCTTCATTGTTATTATGTAATGATTCAGCAGTTATTATCAACTGGGGTTGGAATCAGGATGGACCTTAAATAGTTGTTGAGATATTAATGTTTTTATTACAAGTTCTTGTTAACTTGATTTAAACAGGATTTAGCACATCCCAAGCATGTAGGTGGGTAATAAATATGACTTGTGCAATTATGAGGATGACATAAAACTACTATATACTTAAGGTAAGGATTGTTGACTTATTGACCACACACCCTTAATTTACATTCTTACAACACAAACGAAACTCATCAAATTATTTTGACAGTTTTATATGCTTAATCAACATGTTGGATATGGGATAAACAAACACGTAGCCTACAATTAACTGTCAACAATTGTTATTCCCATTATTATTAACTGATGTCCACCAATAACATTATATAACCCATACGACTTCTACTTCCAAGAAGTGCAGCATATTTCTTGTATTTTATTTATTCAATAAAAAAATTTTCCATGATAAAAAACATTACTGGCATTAACACTTAATCAAGAAGTTCATTACTTAATGCAAACAATGATTTTTTGGGGATTGAAAATAATTGTGCACTTTTCTGTAGATTAGGGTACAGTTTGCAATTATATTTTGCAATTTTCTTCCCAAAGGTAGGAAAGTTTAATAAAAACACAATGAAAACTACTGAATTAAAAATCACTAAAGGCAGGCTGGACTCAGTGGCTCACACCTGTAATCCCAGCACTTTGGGAGGCCAAGGCAGGTGGATCATTTGAGGTTAGGAGTTTCAGACAAGCCTGGCCAACGTGGTGAAACCCAGTCTCTACTAAAAAACCAACCAAACAAACAAACTAAAAAAGCTGTACGTTGTGGTGCATGCCTGTAATCTCAGCTACTGGGGAGGCTGAGGCAGGAGAATCGCTTGAACCTGGGTGAGGAGCCTGCAGTGAGCCGAGATGGCGCTACTGCACTCCAGCCTGGGCGACAGAGTGAGATTCCATTTCAAACAAACAAACCAAAAATCATTAAAGGCAGAAAATAGGTTCTATTGCCCCCCACACCCCATTCTATTTCTTCTGTGCTTCTAAATAGAGTCTAGACTTTACCATCATATCATTTTATCGAACTCACATATTTTGTTTTTGCTAATTAGTCTACAAGAGGCCTACTTTTATCTTTAACTTTTAAAAAACATTCACGGGCCAGGCGCCGTGGCTCACGCCTGTAATCCCAGCACTTTGGGAGGCCGAGGCAGGGGGATCACCTGAGGCCAGGAGTTGGAGACCAGCCTGGCCAACATGGCGAAAACCCGTCTCTACTAAACATACAAAAAAAAATTAGCGGGGCGTGCTGGTGAACGCCTGTAATCCCAGCTACTCAGGAGGCGGAGGCGGAAGAATTGCTTGAACCAGAGAGGCAGAGGTTGCAGTGAGCTGAGATTGAACCATTGCACTCTAGCCTAAGCAACAGAGCGAGACTCTGTCTCAAAATAATAATAATAATAATTCACTTTTGGAAACTGTTCCCTACTAGATTTCAAACAACTTGGGAATGAAATCCTATTTGAGTTCATCCATGTGTATTTCCAACAAGTTCAGTGTCTTACTTATAAATAGTACTTGAAGGAATGAATACAACTTTTTCTTTATGTAGTTATTTTACACTTGATTTAAAGGAACTTTAAAAAGACGCAGTTATACCTAGAGACAGACGCCCTCCAAAAATTGTCTCACCTTCATTATTTGTGATTACTAGTTAGAGCTAGCAGAAAAAACTCCCCAGCAAGTGAAATGTCAAACCACTACTAAAAGAAAGAAAAAGAAAGGAACAGTCTTTTCTATATTTAAGTCACTTGAGAGAAAAAAGAAGAGCTGGTATTTTTCGAGTAATAATGTTCGTATTTTGTGATGCAGATACTCAATTTTACATTCTAAAAATACTACTTTTATAGTAGGAAGCAGTGTACGTTTGAATCCTGGCTCTGCCGCTTGTTGCAAGAAGTTGGTCAAGCTATCGGACCTTGCTAAGCCTTCCCTGTTGTAACTGTAAAATGTAGTAACACCATTTACCTCTAGAATGGCTGTAAATCGAGTAAGGCTTATTTAATACAGCGTCTGGCATACACCAGGCATTCAGTATGGCGCCAGTCATTAACAATAGGTGGTTACTAACTGCGATTCACTCAAAACAATACAGATGCACACGGATGAGAGTTCACACTTTGAGTCTTATTCAAAGATTGGTTATTAGCCAGGCATTTTGATAGGTGCACTCAGTTTTATTTTCGTACCTCACGGTGTATAATTACGCAAGCTCAAAAGCTAATAATTGACAGCTCACTTTGCTTTACTCTGGGTTCTGCATTGACCTCAGAGAAGACACGGCCTAGACAAACAGGCAAGGCCCAACACTGACTCAAAAAAGATCCTTTATTTAACGCAGTGTTTTTAGTGCATGCTCTCGTTTGGCGAAAGAGAAGGTTTTACGTTCAGAATATTAAAAGGGACCCCGAGGACAAAGCAGGATCTCGGAAAATAAGATCACATCCCCAAACAACTAAAAGGACAACCGAGACAAGGTTGCAGACTCCCACGCCTCTGCCCGACTCCCGGGCTTGCGCGCGCGGCTGCAGCGCGACAGGGGCGGGGCCACGGCCACAAAGCAGCCCCCGAGACCACGTGGCCTCCGAGCAGCTCAGGGCGCCCTTGAAAGTTCTTGGATCTGCGGGTTATGGCCGGTCCCTTGCAGGGCGGTGGGGCCCGGGCCCTGGACCTACTCCGGGGCCTGCCGCGTGTGAGCCTGGCCAACTTAAAGCCGAATCCCGGCTCCAAGAAACCGGTAAATGGGTGGTGGCGGTGCGGGGAAGCGCTGGGGACCCGGGCGATGAAAGCGGCCCTTCTCTCCCTGTCATTAGGAGAACTGCCCTTTCTAGGAGAGTGTTGGGATGAAAATAGGATTGCCTCATGCCTGTTCTCCCTTACTGCCCAGAGGGGAATCTTTCCACGTGCACCCAGTTCTTTTTTTTTTTTTTTTTTTTTTTTCCGAGACGGAGGCTTGCTCTGTCGCCCAGAAGCAATTCTCCTGCCTCAGCCTCCCGATTAGCTGGGATTACAGGCGCCCGCCATCACGCCCGGCTAATTTTTGTATTTTTAGTAGAGACGTGGTTTCACCGTGTTGGCCAGGCTGGTTTTGAACTCCTGAGCTCGCGATCCGCCTGCCTCGGCCTCCCAAAGTGCTGGGATTACAGGCGTGAGCCACCGCCCCCGGCCGCACCCAGTTCTTAATAAGGTTATGTTTACAAGTGTAAAGATACCAGGCGGAGAAGCCGACTCGCTGAAACTACAAAGTCTTTGTGTCATTCAAAATTGGATTTAAAATGAAATGTTTTCCCGGTGTATCTTTATGTTCATTGGAAAGATCTGAATTGCAGCTGTCCCTTCTGCAGTTGACTAAATAGAGCTAGAAAAGCTGTTAGTTGACAATGTACTGTCATTTTAACAGTCAGTTCATTGCTTTCGTGAAATGACAGGAAATTAAGGAAAAGATTTTCTTCAACAGATCAGTTTTCAAATAAAATTACAGGTTTATGAATAACATTTGCATATTTACAATTAATTTCAGAATAAATTCTTGCCTATCATTTAAAATGTTGTGAATATTTAATTCTAGGATTTTTTTCGGTTTCAACCTATTATAAAAACCTTATCCCCATCCTAACCTTTACTTTTTGCTTTTGAAACACACTTGGACTTTGGTTACAAGAATTAGCTATGTCTTTAGAGGCAAAGATGCTAACAGAGTGTGTGGAGCTTTGAGCAACTAGGACATGCTTGACACAATAGTGTTAGCTAGCACTGGTGGGCTGGATGAATGAACAGCATAACAAAAAGTGAAGAGCTGAAATGCAGTTTTTAGAAATGCATCTGAAATTCATAAAATTCTTTTTTTTCCTTGCAGGAGAGAAGACCAAGAGGTCGGAGAAGAGGTAGAAAATGTGGCAGAGGCCATAAAGGAGAAAGGCAAAGAGGAACCCGGCCCCGCTTGGGCTTTGAGGGAGGCCAGACTCCATTTTACATCCGAATCCCAAAATACGGGTTTAACGAAGGACATAGGTAAGGTTGCTTTGCTTTTTAAAGTACAGGTCCCCAATTTCCATTAAAAAGCACCTAAAAATAGTTTGGTAGAAATTTTGGTGGAAATTGTAAATTCACTTTGAAGCAAACTTTTGCTACTGTTCCCCTGAACCATTTTTTGGTAATGAAATCTTGCCTGGATTATTAAAAGGAAAAGAGGCCCAGACACTGCACTTAGACCTGCAAAATGGAGATTCTAATGCCAGCTCTAATGGTTATTAAAAGAGTGAGCAATAATAGACAGTATACATAAAAATCTGGCCCACTGTAGTCACCTAATAAATGATAACTACCATTATTACTTTGAGCTCCATAGTAAGTTAAATTTTCCACAGATTTATTTGTGTAAATAAGTGAAGTAAATGCTTAGAGAGGGAAATAATTTTTAGTGGAACAAAGGTGGTACAGGTTTGTTTTCATTACCCAAAATCAAGCAGTATTACATGTTTGTGTTACACTCAAGAGGGTTTTGTTTAGTTAAATAAAATTGGTGGAGGAAAACACAAGACAAAGCTTTGAGTTGATTTCGAGAAGTTACAGGAAGATGAGAGTTTTCCAACTCTTACATTCTTGTTTTACAGTTTCAGACGCCAGTATAAGCCTTTGAGTCTCAATAGACTGCAGTATCTTATTGATTTGGGTCGTGTTGATCCTAGTCAACCTATTGACTTAACCCAGCTTGTCAATGGGAGAGGTGTGACCATCCAGCCACTTAAAAGGGATTATGGTGTCCAGCTGGTTGAGGAGGTAAGTCTTGATTAGATCTTTTGGTGTTATATAGGAGGATTTTTTTTTTAGACAGAGTCTTGCCCTGTTGCCTGAGCTGGAGTACAGTGGCGCAATCTCGGCTCCTGCAACCTCCACCTCACAAGTTCAAGTGATTCTCCTGCCTCAGCCTCCTGAATAGCTGGGATTACAGGCACCCACCACCATGCCCAGCTAATTTTATTTGTTTTTAGTAGAGACAGGGTTTCACTATGTTGGCCAGGCTGATCTTGAACTCCTGACCTTAAGTGATCTGCTCACCTCGGCCTCCCAAAGTGCTGGAATTACAGGTGTGAGCCACCATGCCTGGCCCGTAGGAGATATTTTTGATTTCCAGATAATCAGTACTCTACCCCCTTTATTTTTAGCCCATTTGTGTTTATAACTGTTATGTAGTGGTGATAGCTGTGGTTTTGGAAAGCTGTCATACTATCATGGCAGGGCTCTGTCCCTTGGTCCTGGAATGCTGCTCTTCTGCATATCTGTAAAGCTTGCCTTCTTTTTTTTTTGTTTTTGTTTTTGAGATGGAGTCTCGCTCTGTTGCCCAGGCTGGAGTGCAGTGGCACGATCTCGGCTCACTGCAACCTCTGCCTCCTGGGTTCAAGAAATTCTCCTGCCTCAGCCTCCTGAGTAGCTGGGACTATAGTCGTGCGCCACCACACCCGGCTAATTTTTTATATTTTTAGTAGAGATGGAGTTTCGCCATATTGGCCAAGCTGGTCTTGAACACCTGACCTCGTGATCCACCCACCTTGGCCTCCCAAAGTGCTGGGATTACAGGCGTGAGCCACCGCCCACGGCGCCCCCTTCTTTTGGTTCTCTGCTTGAATGTCAACATATCAGGAAGATCTTTTTTTTTTTTTTTTTTTTTTTTTTTTAAATAGAGATGGAGTCTCACTCTGTCTCCCAGGCTGGAGTACAATGGCGCGATCTCAGCTCACTGCCAACCTCTGCTGCCCAGGTTCAAGCTATTCTCGTGCCTCAGCCTCCTGAGTAGGTGGGACTACAGGTGCGTGCCACCACGTCTGGCTAATTTTTTTTATTTTTAGTAGAGGTGGGGTTTTGCTATGTTGGCCAGGCTGTTCTCGAACTCCTGACCTCAGGTGATCTGCCCGCCTCAGCTTCCCAAAGTGCTGGGATTACAGATGTGAGCCACCCCGCCTGGCCAGGAAGGTCTTTTTTGAGAGTCTTTTTAAAAGAGCACTTGCCCTGCTTCAGGAGTCACAGTGTTTCCTTTACTCTGCCCAAAGTATTTTTCTTTGAATATATATGAGCACTTGACATTTATTACCAAGTTATGCATTTGTTTTCATTGTCTTCCTCACTAGAATATAAGCTCCCTTGAGGGCAGGTGCTTTGATTCATTGCTTTACTTTCTTCTTTATTTTTTTTGAGACAGTATCTCACTCTGTGGCCCAGGCTGGAGTACAGTGGTGTCATCTCAGCTCACTGCAACCTCTTGTCTCCTGAGTTCAAGTGATTCTTCTGCCTTAGCTTCCCAAGTAGCTGGGATTACAGGCACCTGCCACCAGGCCCAGCTAATTTTCTGCTTTTTTTTTGTTTTTGGAGATGGAGTCTCACTCTGTCACCCAGGCTGGAGTGCAGTGGCACGATCTCGGCTCACTGCGATCTCCACCTCCCGGGTTCAAGCGATTCTCTTGTCTTAGCCTTCCAAGTAGCTGGGATTACAGGCATGTGCCACCATGCCAGGCTAATTTTGTATTTTTAGTAGAGACAGGGTTTCACCGTGTTGGTTAGGCTGGTCTTGAACTCCTGACCTCAGGTGATCCGCCTGCCTCGGCCTCCCAAAGTGCTGGGATTACAGACGTGAGCTACCCGTCGGCCAAATTTTTTGTACATTGTTAATCAACTACTGTTTGCCAATAATACAGTTGTATAAGTAAGTTAGTGTCCACTAGAGGGAAGCATATATTTATGAAAAAACCTTTCAGATTCTTTTGAAAAAGTGAACTGTATGGATAAAAACTTTCCAAATAAAGTAATTTGAAAAGAGAATACCAAATACAAGATTAAGCCTCAGTATTCTACCCTGAGTGTATATAAAGAAATACACATGTAACTTAACATATGGAAATCCATGACCTTATCAGCCCTTAAACTGCACATCCCAACATCCTTAGGTGTTGTCTATTAGATTAATAAAAATAACCCTGAAAACTTTACCCCAGGGCACTGGTCAAGTAATTGCAATGACACATTATTTATAGCTCTGTTAACTGATTTACTTCTGTGATTTCAGATTTGTAGTAAATAGTGAATAATAAGACAGTTTTGATCCTTTAGCACAAAATTATCAATTTGGAAACATGTTCTCAAGGAAAAGCAAAATGAAAGAAACCTGATATAAAGATAGTCCTAAAAATGCTATTTATACTACTGAAAATACTGGAACTGACACCAATGCCCCCAAATAGGGAGATGGTTAAGCAAACTATGGATTGCTTAAAAATCACAAATGATACAGCAAGACCCTGTTTTATTGAATCAAAGGTACTGTTGATTTTAAACATATACCAGTATTGGATATAAAAAAAGTGTGAAAATGCATCTTAGAATTGATGGAATATTTTTGAAATACATGAAAAATTAATAATAGAAGGAGCTAAACTGGGAGCCACTTTCTTTCAGCTTCATGAAAGCTTTCTATTGCCATAGAGTGGTAATGCTGCCATCTTTTTGCTTTTATCAGAATCTGCTTTGAAATTAGAGAAAAATATAGCACATCCTGACTGTGACCAAAAATTTAACGTTTCAGAGTTCAGAGCTACATTTTCCTTTTTTTTCTGTCTTTTTTATTTTTTTTGAGATGGAGTCTCGCTCTGTTGCCCAGGCTGCAGTGCAATGGCACAATCTCGACTCACTGCAACCTTCACCTCCACCTTGGGTTTAAGCCATTCTCCTGCCTCAGCCTCCCGAGTAGCTGGGATTACAGGCACATGCCACCATGCCCGGCTACATTTTGTATTTTTTAGTAGAGATGGGGTTTTACCATGTTGGCCAGGCTGGTTTCAAACTCCAGACATCAAGTACTCCGCCCTCCTTGGCCTCCCGAAGTGCTAGGATTGAGTCACCGCACCCGGCCTAGAACTACATTTTCTTTTCTTTTTTTTTTTTTTTTTGAGATGGAGTCTCGCTCTGTCACCCAGGCTGGAGTGCAGTGGCGCGATCTCGGCTCACTGCAAGCTCCGCCTCCCGGGTTCACACCATTCTCCTGCCTCAGCATCCTGAGTAGCTGGGACTACAGGCACCCGCCACCATGGCCGGCTAATTTATTTATTTTTTTGTATTTTTAGTAGAGACAGGGTTTCACCGTGTTAGCCAGGGTGGTCTTGATCTTCTGACCTCGTGATCCACCCGCCTTGGCCTCCCAAAATGCTGGGATTACAGGCGTGAGCCACTGCGCCCGGCCTAGAACTACATTTTCTAGTGTTGACTATTCTAGGAAAAATTGGAGGTTTTTTTTTTTTCAGCTTAGAGGCTATAATAAAGTCAATAGTGAATGCAAAGTGAAATTTCTATTGTCTTTTTTTCCCTAGTGAGGCCAACTTCTCCAAAGCTCAGATTTTGTCAGATTTTCTGTTCTTCCACCTGCTCCAGCCTGCATATTCCCCTGTTTAACCTCCTGCTGGCCTCTTGCTTACTTAGGGATAAGGAAGATTAGTTTTTAATCTATGTTTGACAGCATAATGTTGTGGTTAAGAATACAGATACTGTGACTAAACTCCCTGGATTAGAATACTTGCTTTGTGACCTTGGGCAATGCAACCTCTGTGCGTTGGTATTTCCATCTATGAAGTCGGTATTTCCGTCTATGAAAGTCGGTATTTCCGATCTATGAAAGTTGGTATTTCCATTTATGAAGTCGGTATTTCCATCTATGAAGTCGGTATTTCCATCTATGAAGTCGGGATAGCAATAATCCTATCATAAGGTTGTTATGAGGATTAAGCAGCCTACTATTAATGAAGTCAGGAATGAATGCTTAGTAGGTGTACATAAAATGGAAATGTAGTCAGTCTTACTTACACGGATTGAAAATTAGTAAAACAAGGTAGCCTAAATAAAATGTTAAAAAAAAAGTGATAGGACCTCAAAGCAGAGATATTTAAAATAGGAATTATAGTCGTCCCTTAGGATTGGTTCCATGACCGCCTCCTCTCACTACAATCCAGATGATCAAGTCTCTAAGATGGCCTAGTATTTGCATATAACCTGCCACATCCTCCCATATACTTTAAATCATCTCTAGATTACTTATAACATGTAATATTAGGTTGGTGCACAAGTAATTGTGGCTTTTGCCATTGAAAGTAATGTAAATACTATATAAATAGTTGTTATACTGTATTTAAAAAAGAATTGTTTTCTTATTGTTGTATTGATTTTTTTTTTTTTTTTGAGATGGAGTCTTGCTCTGTCTCCCAGACTGGAGTGCAGTGGTGTGATCTCAGCTCACTGCAGCCTCTGCCTCCCGAGTTCAAGTGATTCTCCTGCCTCAGCCTCGAAATAGCTGGGATTACTGGTGCCTGCCATCATGCCCGGCTAATTTTTGTATTTTAAGAGACGGGGTTTCACCATGTTGGCCAGGCTGGTCTCAAACTCCTGACCTCAGGTGATCTTCCTGCCTTGGCCTCCCAAAGTGCTGGGATTACAGGCATGAGCCACCATGCCTGGCCTTATTTTATTTTTATTTTTATTTGAGACGGAGTTTCACTCTTGTAGCCCAGGCTGGAGTGCAATGGCGCGATCTCAGCTCACTGCAACCTTCCCCTCCCGGGTTCAAGCGATTCTCCCACCTCAGCCTCCTGAGTAGCTGGGACTACAGGCACGCGGCACCACACCCAGCTAATTTTTTGTATTTTTAGTAGAGATGGGGTTTCTCCATGTTGGGCAGGCTGGTCTTGAACTCCTGACCTCAGGTGATCCACCTACCTTGGCCTCCCAAAGGGCTGGGATTACAGGCGTGAACCACTGCGCCCAGCCTTATTTTTTATTATTACTTTTTTTCCGAAAATTATCCATTCAAGTTGGTTGACTCACAGATGTGGAACCCACAGATATGGAGGACTAACTGTATTGTTATGTTATAGGCACTTTGGAGGGAAAAACACTGTCTAAAAAGGAAGCTTGACATAATTAATTTACTTTTAGCCAAGCTGTTTACCAACAGACTGTTTTGACATATTTCAGGGTGCTGACACCTTTACGGCAAAAGTTAATATTGAAGTACAGTTGGCTTCAGAACTAGCTATTGCTGCCATTGAAAAAAATGGTGGTGTTGTTACTACAGCCTTCTATGATCCAAGAAGTCTGGGTAAGTTTGTTCCACGGTCATTTTCTTCTTTCTCTCTTTGTCTCATGTTGGCTACTAATTTTAAATTACTTAGTGAATGGCAAATGTTGGTAGTAGTTTGGATGTAGTATTGATCTACATCTACCATATGGATTATTATGATTTAAAGAATACAGCCTGTTGCTGACACATACACCAAGGGCAAAAAAGGCTCTCAGCCCCTCCCCTGAACTGTAGACCTGCATCTGCCTGCCTGGCCAATTCTCTAGAATGTCTAGCAGGGACCTCAAATATAGCATGTCTGAAATGTCTCTTTTCTCTCTTTTTTTTTTTAAGACAGAGTCTTGCTCTGTTGCCCAGGCTGGAGTGCAGTGGCGCAATCTCTGCTCACTGCAACTTCTGCCTCCCAGGTTCAAGCGATTCTCCTGTCTCAGTCACCGGAGTAGCTGGGGTTACAGGTGCCTGCCACCACACCCAGCCAATTTTTGTATTTTGGCTAGAGGCGGGTTTCAGCATGTTGTCAAGGCTGTCTTGAACTCTTGACCTCAAATGGTCCACCCTTCTCAGCTTCCCAAAGTGCTGGGATTACAGGTGTGAGCCACCACGCCCAACCCCTCTTTTCTCTTTTACCTCAGCCTGGCTCTTCTTGTAGTCTTCCCTATGTAAGTAAATGACAAGTCCATCCAAAATTTGGAGTCCTGAACTTTTTCTTTTATGCCCTCATAAATCTTTTGAGTTGTTTCTTCAAACTGTGTCCACATTTGACCACTTCTCCAGCTACTGCCAGTCTGTCCTAGCCACTGTCCTCTTGCCTGGATGACTGTGGGCCTTCAGGTTGCCTCTCTGTTTTGCTTCCATCTGCAGTGGAGTGACGTGGCACAAGGTTCCTTTTAAAGCATGGACTGTCACTCCTTTGCACAAAACCTGCAGTGGTGTCCGTGCTGCTCCTGCAAGGCTGGCTGTGATCTGCACCAGCTCTTGTCCCTCCTGGTGTTCCCCTGCTCCCTCCATTCCCTTACTGGCCACCGGGTTTGGCCTTCCTCCATACACCGAGCCCTGTGTACTGTGTACTTCAGCCTCGGCCTCTGCTGTTCCTCCTGCCTGGAGCTTCCCCCACTTGGAATATTCATGGCTTTGGGCCCCACTGTTCCAGGTCTCTGCTTATTAGGAGATCTTTCTCACCTGTACTAAATAAAAGAGCATATGTACACACATGCACATGCATGGTGTGCACACGCACACACGCACAGTCACATCCTGTCCCCTTGCCCTGCATTGTGTTTGCCCTTGGCAGCTATCACCAGCTGACAAAGTATAAGTTCATTTCTCTTTCTCTGTTCATTCTTTCTTTCCCATCTCTCAGGATGATGGAGACCTTTTGCTACCTGCTGTATCTCCTGCACATAGAGCGATGCCTGGTATCTAGAAGAGGCTCACTTAAATTTTGTTGAATAAATTAATTGGATTTTTCAAGTTGCAGAGATGACAACCAAATGTAACTTGTTGACTAAATGCTCTACAAAGGATTCTTTGATGCTTTTACATTCAAATGGGAGTTAAACATTTCCTGGCCAAATTGCATGATTAGAAGAAAATTCTTTGAAAATTAATATATAAAAGGGAAAAAGGGAAGGATTTGTGTCATCTGTATGTAGAGTTTGAAACAAATAACTACCATTTCCTTTTTCCCATAATTGAAAGCTTTTTAAAAATATTCATCAAAGGCCGGGCGCAGTGGCTCATTCCTGTAATCCCAGCACTTTGGGAAGCCGAGATGGACGGATCACATGAGGTCAGGAGTTCTAGACCAGCGTGGCCAACATGGTGAAACCTCATCTGTACTAAACATACAAAAATTAGCGGGGTGTGGTGGCAGGCGCATGTAATCCCAACTACTCGGGAGACTAAGGCAGGAGAATCCCTTGAACCTGGGAGCAGAGGTTGTAGTGAGCTGAGATCGCTGAGATCGCGCCACTGCACTCCAGGCTGGGTGGCAAAGTGAGACTGTCTCAAAAAAAAAACAAAAAAAATTTGCCAACATGATGATTCCGTTTTCCCTCTAGTTTATTATAGATGAGCATCTTTTCTTATTTTGGTCCATCACTCAGTTTTTAGGGTAGGCTGCCTCAAATATGAAAACCAGCATTTTTAAAAGAGTCACAGACATTTTGGAAGGACTTTGGTGTTAGTGTGTTTTTCAGTGATTGTTACCACAGAATGTGGTGGTGGAGTTTGTTCTCTAGCCAGATGCCCTCTGCCACACTGAGCTGGCATCTTCAGAGGCACCCTCAGCCTTGATGCTCTTGTGCGTGGCTCTCTGCAGCAGCTCTGCAGGTTGTCCCAGGATCTTTTTGTTTAAAAAAGTAATAAAACAAATCCAATCACAGGCTTATCACTTATTAGCAATTTTGCCTCTGAATAATTTACTTTGTTGTACTTTAGTTTTCCAAGTTATAGAAAATTTTTTGCACCATGGTCTCACTCTGTCACCCAGGCTGGAATGTAGTGGTGTGATCAAGGCTGACTGCAACCTCCAACTCCTGGGCTCAAGTGATCCTCCCATCTCAGCCTCATGAGTAGCTGGGACTACAGGTGTGTGCCACCATGCCTGGCTAATTTGATTTTTATAAAGATAGGGGTCTTACTGTGTTGCCCATGCTGGTCTCAAACTCCTGGTTTCAAGTGATCCTTGGTGTGAGCCACCATGCCGGGCCAGAAATTTTTTTTTTTTCTTTTCATTTGAGATGGTCTTGCTCTCTCAGGCTAGAGTGCAGTTCCACTCACTGCAATCTGAAACTCCTGAGCTCAAGAAATCCTGCCACCTAGGCCCCCTGAGTAACTGGGACTACAGGTGCATGTCACCATGCTAACTTTTTTTTGTTTTATGTTTTGTAGAGATGAGGTCTCACTATGTTGCTCAGGCTGGTCTTGAACTCCTGCGCTCAAGCAATTCTCCTACCTCCCAAGGTGCTGGCATTAAAAGCATGAGCCATTGTGCCTGGTCTACAAATTTCTTTCTTAAATATATTTTGAAGATACTTTCTTGATGATTCAAGGACATCCACTATTTACTTACCCTCTGTTGTAGGTGAAGTAGGTAGGATGGTTTATCCAGAGCATGACCTGGCTTTAGGTGGCTCTGCTTTATAATTCTTGGTCTCGACCCTTAGCAGATAGCTTCCAGTTCTCATTTCTGTGAGTGGCCTGCCTGGAGTACCTCCTAATCACCATTTCTCATTTGCCCTGTGTGGAGATACTGCTAGGTGATGCAATATATTAGAGCTGTATAAAACAGCTGTCAGATTCTTGCATTCAGCAAACAGCCAGAGGCTAGTGTTTGCTAGATACTGTTCCAGCTGATGGAGAGACGATAGTGCAAGAGTCAAAAGTCCTTTCCTGGCCGGGCGCAGTGGCCTCACGCCTGTAATCCCAGCACTTTGGGAGGCCAAGTGAAGTGGATCACCTGAGTTCAGGAGTTCAAGACCAGCCTGGCCAACATGGCAAAACCCCATCTCTACTAAAAATACAAAAATTAGCTGAGCATGGTGGTGCATGCCTGTAATCCCAGCTACTTGGGAGGTTGAGGCAGGAGAATCACTTGAGTCTGGGAGGCAGAGGTTGCAGTGAGCCGAGATCATGCCACTGTACTCTAGCCTGGGCGACAGAGCGAGACTTTGTCTCAAAAAAAAAAAAAAAAAAGTCCCTTCCTTCACAGAGCTTACGCCCTGGTGGGTGATAGTTAACATCTGTCTCATTGTATACCAAATACTATACATGTGTGAATGGATTCTGTGGATTACATCAGGTAAACTTTGTAACTGCTCTGTGACATATGTACTATTATTTTGAGGTTCTCAGTAATTTCCTTAGTACTGTTTTGATTTCTGTAACCAGCTTTGGTTAAGGTTGCATTGCTAACACGATGAGTAGAGTGTCAGTTGTATTCATACAGTTATCTATTTGTGTAATTGCTTTCTAAGCTATCTAAAGGCCCTGTGGCATCTGTGATATCTTGTGCGTAGGCCTTTTTTTCACTATCTCACTTTCAGAACATGTGTCTCGGGTCCTTTAAAATGTTTGAAAACAGAACTGGGGTTATGCAGCATTCCTTGGTTTGTTTCACATAAGATTTCTTTGCCTGCTCTTTAGTTAAGATAACTCATTTTAGTAAAATTGGTTTTCCAGATACAGGTATGGTTGCTCATGCCTGTAATCCCAGCACTTTGGGAGGCCCAGGTGGGTGGATCACCTGAGGTCAAGAGTTCCAGACCAGCCTGACCAACATGGTCAAACCCCGTCTCTACTAAAAATACAAAATGATCCGGGCGTGGCGGCATGTGCCTCTAATCCCAGCTACTTGGGAGGCTGAGGCAGGAGAATTGCTTGAACCCATGAGGCAGAGGTTGCAGTGAGCCGAGATGGTGCCATTGTACTCCAGTCTGGGCAACAAGAGTGAAACTGCGTCTCAAAAAAAAAATAATAAAAATTAATAATCAAGAGAAACTCTGTAACATCTCTATGGTACAGAGTTACATCTCTATGTTAGAGTTACATCTCTAGGTATGTCTATGAGCTAATATTTGCATCTCACTTTTTAAATTTAAATTTTCTTTTAGACATTGTATGCAAACCTGTTCCATTCTTTCTTCGTGGACAACCCATTCCAAAAAGAATGCTTCCACCAGAAGAACTGGTACCATATTACACTGATGCAAAGAACCGTGGGTACCTGGCGGATCCTGCCAAATTTCCTGAAGCACGACTTGAACTCGCCAGGAAGTATGGTTATATCTTACCTGATATCACTAAAGATGAACTCTTCAAAATGCTCTGTACTAGGAAGGATCCAAGGCAGATTTTCTTTGGTCTTGCTCCAGGATGGGTGGTGAATATGGCCGATAAGAAAATCCTAAAACCTACAGATGAAAATCTCCTTAAGTATTATACCTCATGAATTCCCGTCCAAGGAAGCAGAGTTGTTAAAGAGTACTGGAATAGGGGCTGAAGGATCTATATTCCCTTATTGCATTTTCCTTATGTATAATTTTCCAGATGGTGATGTTACTTTTCAGTGTACTCATATGTCTCATTTTCATCTAAAATTAAATGGCAGGAAACAAGGACTGCATAGAGAAACTGAGTCTGTGTGGGTTCTGTCTCAAAGATACAAACTCCCTGATAGTCTATGGAAGGAAAATGACAACTATTTTAGAATATTTCTAGTTTGTTTTTTCAGTGATCTTTTCATCCAGGCCTTGTTACTGTTACAGATCAGAATGAAATGCACAAGTGGAATGGGATTGACCTGTAGGCCTGCTCTGCCGAGATGAGAGCAGATGGAATGAGTTGGTGACCCCTCTTAATCTGTAGCCTCAGGGAAACACGGCTACCCAATGCCAAGATGGTAAACCCTCAACTCGAAGAGTAAGATCAGGACGTATGCTTAAGGTGTAAGGCTGAGGAGTAGCTGGTAGGCAGTATGTTTGCCAGTGACATTGAAGGTGAGAGAAACAAAAATTACAAATGAATTTATTTTCTCAATTCTGTGGTAGAAGTGTTACAGGCAGGCCTTTGTTCTTAGAGCTCCCAAGATGGTGGTGGCCACTCCCAAGATGGCAGCAAGCCTTTTGTTCTCTGACCTGGGGTTCTTGGCCTCACGGATTCCAAAGAATGGAACCTTGGGCCATGTGGTCAGTGTTATAGCTCTAGTAGAAGTCATGGGTCACGGAAGAGAACTGTGGAACCCAGTGACTAGTGTTCAGCTCGATTAGGATGAACCCTGGGCCCTTAGCCATGCAGGAACAATGGTGAGCCTCTAGCCCGATTGGGAGCGGCAATGGACACCTCTCTGGATCAGAAGCACAGCGGACACCCTGCTGGATCCAGTGGGTGGAAGTCAATGGTGGGTCTGGGACAGCAGTGAACAGCAGTGGTGGACAGTGAGCGAAAGCTCAGCTCGAGCTGTAACAAACACAGACCAGAAGAGTGTGCAGTTGCAAGATTTAATAGAATGAAAACAGCTCCCATACAATGGGAGGGGATGCAAAGGGGGTTGCCCACTTCCTGCTCAAATGCCTGGGTTTATATCCCAATCATTGTCCCTACCCCTGTACTCTCAGGCGATATGTGATTTGACTATTTCTCTACTTCCTGCTTTTAGCCTAGTTTGTATTTTAGTGAGCCCTCTTTGCTACCTGATTGGTCGGGTGTGAGCTGAGTTACAAGCCTCGTGTTTAAGGGTAGGTGTGGTCACCTTCCCCAGCTAGGCTTAGGAATTCCTAGTCGGCCTAGGAAATCCAGCGAGTCCTGTCTCTCAAAAGTAGACAATCATGATTAAGCCATTAACATATTTTTCTTGAAGAAGGTAAATGTTCTAGTATTAATTGATATCCTTTTACTTATCTCAGACATTGGAGACCTTCATCTTTCAGTCATTACAACTGATTTTGAAAAAATGGTTCAAATATTATATGAGCAATACAATTGATAATGTGAGAATTAAGCTTAAGTTAATGTAAAAGATTCAGCAGTTAATAAGTTTTTTTTTTTTTTTTTTTTTGAGGCAGTCTCCCTCTGTTGCCCAGGGTGGAGTGCAGTGGTGCAATCTCAGCTCACTGCAACCTCTGCATCCCGGGCTCAAGGGAGCAGTTAGTATGATTATTTAGCTTCTGAAAGATACTTTATATCCAAATCATATGAAGGCTTAATTTACATTGAGCAATTAAAGATTGATCTTGAATAATTCATAATTCTTCCACAGTAGAAATAAAATGATTCCTGGCTAGTTATTTTCTTAAAAATAAAAAAAATTTGAAAACCTCAACAATGCAATATTTGTTTTGTTTGCTTATCGATCTCATATATTGCTCTTCTGAGATTCTATTTACAAAATAATTTATGTACCAAGATTATCTTTCAATTTTTTTTTTTTTTTTTTTTTTTTGAGACGTAGTTTCTCTGTTGTCCAGGCTGGAGAGTAATGGCATGATCTCAGCTCACTGCAACCTCTGCCTCCCGGGTTCAAGTGATTCTCCTGCCTCAGCCTCCTGAGTAGCTGGGATTATGGGCATTTGCCACCACGCCTGGCCAATTTTTGTATTTTTAGTAGAGACGGTGTTTTGCCATGTTGGCCAGGCTGGTCTCGAACTCCTGACCTCAGCCTCGGCCTCTCAAAGTGCTGGGATTGCAGGCGTGAGCCACAGTGCCCGGCCTCTTTCAATTTTTATCCAGGATTATATAATTGACTTGTTATTAAACGATTCCTTAGAACCTAGGACTTGTAAAGAATCATGACTGGGACCATCTTTTTTTTTGGGGGGCGGACACAGTTTTGTTCTTTTTGCCCAGGCTAGAGTGCACTGGTGTGATCTCAGCTACTGCAACCTCCACCTCCTGGGTTCAAATGATTCTGCTGCCTCAGCCCGAGTAGCTGGGATTACAGGTGCCCGCCACCACACCTGGCTAATGTTTTGTATTTTTAGTAGAGATGGGGTTTCACTATGTTGGCCAGGCTGGTCTTGAACTCTTGACCTCAGGTGATCCGCCTCGGCCTCCCAAAGTGCTAGGATTGCAGGCGTGAGCCACTGTGCCCAGCCGACCATCTTCTATAATAACACGAAATCCTGTGAATTTTAAAGGACAGGCAAAAATTTTAAAACATGCTTTTATTTTTCAGAGACCCAAGTGACGGAGCTGGTGTGTTAGCATTCATTTTGGATCCACTGATAGGATCCCCAAATCACAGTGCTTGAATGAGATAGTTTATTTTTCTCTTGTGCACGAAGAGCTGCGATCAGTTGAGGGCTGGTTGCTGGATCTGCTTCACAAAGTCTCAGCCCCAGGCACCCTCATTCCTAGAGTGAGATACTCATTTTCATGATCCAAGCAGGCAAAGAGCAAGCCTGCTTTTCCTAAGGAAGTTTCCACACAAAATTCTTGTTTATATACCATTGGCCAGAACTTGGATGCAGTCCCATTATTTCAAAGGAGGTTGAAGCCTTTACTTTGGCCGCTTCTGAGCTGAACTGAAAAATTCTATTATAATGGGTGCATAAGAGAGTAGATGTATTAGACAACCAGCAAGGTAATTGTCACCTGTGTTGGTATTGAAACCTCAACTCTGAAGTTAATTGACTTAACATCAGACAAACACAGGAAAAGTGCAGAATTATTTAATTCTATACCATCTGGAATGCTAGGTTCAGTAAGTTGTGTAACAGCCAATAAGTTGATTATTAATCTTGATTTACAAAGTATTTTTGAAGAGTGATGATGTCAGAGGCATTTGACCCACAGGACTCCATCTTGAACAGGGGCTGGGTAAAAGACCTACTAGGCTGCATTCCCAGGTGGTTAGGCATTCTTAGTCACAGGATGAGATAGGAGGTTGGCACGAGGTTCAGGTCACAAAGACCTTGCTGATAAAACACGTTGTGGTAAAGACGCTGGCGAAATCCCACCAAAACCAAGATGATGAAAGTGACCTCTGGTCGTCTCCACTGCTCATTATACACTAATTATAATGCATTAGCATGCTAAAAGATACTTCCACCACAACATGACAGTTTACAAATGCCATGGAAACGTCAGGAAGTTACCCTATATGGTCTAAAAAGGGGAGGAGCCCTCAGCTCTGGGAATTGGTCACCCCTTTCCCAGAAAACTCATGAATAACCCACCCCTTGTTTAGCATATAATCAACAACCATAAAAATAGCTAGCTAGCAGCCCATGCTGCTGCTCTGCTTATGGAGTAGCCATTCTCTTATTCCTTTATTATTATTACTATTATTTTTGTTTTTTGAGATGGAGTCTTGCTCTGTTGCCCAGGCTGGAGAGCAGTGGCGCGAACTCAGCTCACTGCAATCTCTGCCTCCCAGGTTCAAGCAATTCTCCTGCCTCAGCCTCCTGAGTAGCTGGTAGCTGGGACTACAGGCACCTGCCACCACGCCTGGCTCATTTTTTGTATTTTTAGTGGAGACAGGGTTTCATGGTGCTAGCCAGGATGTTTTCTTGATCTCCTGACCTTGTGATCCGCTTGCCTCGGCCTCCCAAAGTGCTGGGATTACAGGCATGAGCCACCGCACCCAGCCTCCTTTACTTTCTTAATAAACTTGCTTTCACTTTATGGATTGACTCACCCCAAATTCTTTCTTGCCCAAGATTCAAGAACCTCTTGGGGTCTGGATCGGGACCCCTTTCCCGTAACAATGACAAAGCACAGGAAACCATCTGAGAAGAAGCATTCACTTTGTTCTATGCCTGCTTTTAATAAACATTTTTAATAATAAAGCCATCTTCCTATGTTAAATATTTTACAAAGTGTCTTTTTTTTTTTTTTTTTTTTTGAGACGGAGTCTCGCTCTGTCGCCCAGGCTGGAGTGCAGTGGCGCAATCTCAGCTCACTGCAAGCTCCACCTCCCCAGGTTCATGCCATTCTCCTGCCTCAGCCTCCCGAGTAGCTGGGACTATAGGCGCCCGCCACCACGCCCGGCTAATTTTTGTTTGTTTGTTTGTTTTGTTTTTGTATTTTTAGTAGAGACGGGGTATCACCATGTTAGCCAGGATAGTCTCGATTTCCTGACCTCGTGATCCGCCCGCCTCAGCCTCCCAAAGTGCTGGGATTACAGGCGTGAGCCACCATGCCCGGCCTTAAATATTTCAAAAGTCCTATTTGCATATAACATAGGGAGGAAAAGAGAGGATAAGATACAAAGAAGGTTGCTAAGAAAAGCGCCAAGGTACAAAGAATGTGTTTTTGGCCAGGCGTGGTGGCTCACGCCTGTAATCCCAGCACTTTGGAAGGCAGAGGTGGGCGGATCACCTCTGAGGTCAGGGGTTCGAGACCAGCCTGGCCAACATGGTGAAACACCCGTCTCTACTAAAAATACAAAAATTAGCCGGGTGTGGTGGTGCGTGCCTATAATCCCAGCTACTTTGGGAGGTTGAGGTGGGAGAGTCACTTGAACTTGGGAGATGGAGGTTGCAGTGAGCTGAAATTAAAAAAAAAAAAGAAGAATTCTTAGAGTACAGTGAGATGAAGATAAAAACATAGTGAGATGCCAGGAACTCTGTGTTTGTTAAGGGGAGGGCTAACCTTCTCTCCTTTCATACAACACATTTTCTGAATATTCATTATTGGGGTATTTAAATTGCGCTCTCTTATTCTTAAGCCATTTAAAATGGAATCTATTAGACAAATCACTTCATCTTTTAGACTGTAAAATACAATGACAAGCTTTGTAAAATATGAGGACTGTGTAAAATGACCTCTAAAGTCTGTTGTAATACACTGATGATAAAGATGTTCCCTTGGGCTGAGGAAAACTTCTCTGACCTCAACCTATTTGCATAGAAATGAACTTCCTTAAATTTAAACACATCCTGTGTTCTGTATTCATGTAAGAGGTTCCATTTTTTTCATATCAGAGTGTACTGGCTTTGCTTTAGGTAAGTTACTGCCTTGCCTTATTTGTGCCACAGGAGGTTTTCCATTTGTGATTCAGTTCACAATTGTATGTTTGGAGGGGCTGGTACTGCCTCAACAGGAAAAGTTCTTAATGGGGAACAAGGGAGGAAGTTAGTCACCTAAAGATAGACTGCACAGGCAACAGCCTTCCAGGCTCAGAGTGACCCTTGGGTTCCCTCCCCCATCCTCCAAGTAGAATGACTACACTACCCTAACAACAGTTACGGAAGGGAAAAGAGACAGTCAAACATTAGACTTACTTCACTGTGGTTGTCTTAGGTGGCCTACAGGTGAAAGGAAATTGGGAAAGAATGATAAAGGAAAGAAAGAAAACAGGAAACAGATGTCTGGTGATGAATAATGCTCAGATAGTACTTACTCAGTGAGCATGGGCTTAGTCACAAACAGCTGTATCCTGGTCTCAATATTAGAATCGTGCAGATAAGTTCTCAGCCAAAACAGGCACGTTCCACAAAATCTGTCTATTCTGTTTAATAAAGTTAATCCTCAAATTGCTGTATAGCCGGGAGACTCAAGTTCATTGTAACTACGCAGCAATACTGGGCTCTATGATGCTGATATACCATGGCCCTTCAGCCGTGTACAAGGATAATGGGGCAGAGAGTGTGCTAGCAGATGGTATTGTTATCTTGTTAAGGGTTCATATTACTTGGAAATCTAAGAATAAAAGTAAGAATGCTTCAGTCTAGATTTTAGTCCTCTCGTGGTATGTGGCTTCCAGTATATGTGGCTAGTTTGCATCCAATCCATTGAGTTAATATGGATTTTAAAATATTTTTTTAACTCCTTAGAGAAATAATTGCTAGGGATTTCCTGTCTATTGAGTTCCCGGGTTTTCTTTTTTAAAAATGCTACTCTCTGTTCTTTGACAATGAGAGTGGCTCTACCATAGCCGGGGAAGATGTCAGATAACAGCAGTGTAACCCAATTTAGTTCGTGTCAGAGAAAAAAGTGCGCTCTCTGATGTTCGCACAGATCCCAGAATGGCTGCATTTTGATGCTTTACTGAAAAGACATAGCATGGTTGAAGTAGCACAGCTTCCATGTCACCAAACCTGGATTTGAATCCAGGCTCTGACAGCAGCTGTGTGACCTCGGGCACATCACATAACTGCTGTGCTCTCATCTGTCTCACATGTGAAATGGAGATAATCATACCCACCTCTGTGCTTCTGTGTTTGGGAGACCCAGTGAGGTTATTTGCGGGGAGACACGAAGCTCAGCCAGTTTGCAGAGCCACCTGGAGCAGTTTACTTGGGCTCAGATGCCAAGACTAGCTGTGTGACCTTGATATGTTACTTAATATCTCTGCCTCAGTCTCACCATCTGAAAAATGGGGGATGATTAATCCTAATGCATATGGGTATGAAGATTGAAAGAAGTCAATATTTGTAAAGCACTTACCATAATGCCTGACACATAAGTGCCTCTGTAAGTGTTCATAAATCAAGTTTTTTTTTTTGAGACAGAGTCTCGCTCTGTCGCCAGGCTGGAGTGCAGTGGTGTGATCTCAGCTCACTGCAAGCTCCGCCTCCTGGATTCAAGTGATTATCCTGCCTCAGCCTCCTGAGTAGCTGGGATTATAGGCACCTGCCACCACACCCGTCTAATTTTATATTTTTAGTAGAGACAGGGTTTCACCATTTTGGTCAGGCTGGTCTTGAACTCCTGACCTTACATGATCCACCTGCCTCAGCCTCCCAAAGTGCTGGCATTATGGGCGTGAGCCACCATGCTCGACCTCACTTGGCATAATGTTTTGAAAGTTATCCATGTGGTGGCATGTTCCAGTACCTCATTCTTTTTTATGGCCAACTAGCTTTCCATCGTGTGGAGTGTGTATGCATTCATCAGTTGGTGGACATGTGGATTGTTTCCATGGTGGGGCTATTATAAATAATGCTACTGTAAACATATGTTTGCAAGTCTTTATGTGAACATGTTTTTCTTTTTCTTGGGAATATATTTAGCAGTGGAATTGCTGAGTAGATTAGCAAATTTATGTTTAACTTTTTTTTTTTTTTTTGAGACAGTGTCTCACTGTGTCACCCAGGCTGGAGTGCAGTGGCACCATCTTGGCTCACTGCAACCTCTGCCTCCCGGGTTCAAGCGATTCTCGTGTCTCAGTCTCCTGAGTACCTGGGATTACAGGTGCGCACCTCCATAGCCCACGTAATTTTTTTGTATTTTTAGTAGAAATGGGGTTTCACTATGTTGCCTAGGCTGGTCTCGAACACCTGGCCTCAAGTGATCCACCTGCCTCAGCCTCCCAAAGTGCTGGGATTACAGGTGTGAGCCACCATGCCTGGCCCATGTTTGACTTTTAAAGAAACTGCCAAATTGTTTTCCTAAGTGGCTGCACCATGTTACTCCCCCACAAGAAATGAATGTTCCTGTTTCTCACATCCTTGCCAACATTTGTTATTATCTGCATTTTTGATGATAACCATTCTAGTGGGCACGAAATGGTTTCTCATTGTGGGTTTGATTTGCATTTCACTAATAATGATGTGGAACATGTGGAATGAGAATAGCTTCTTGGCCATTTGTATGTAAGAGACTTCATATTCTTCTATGTACTTGAAATTTTATAAAGATAATTCTGATGATTATCGAGCATCCATATATATAGGAGTTTTTAAAAGCTTTATCTGTTCATCTTATTCAATCCTCACCAGACCCTTTTATTTATGCCATTTTATAGTTGAAAAAAATTGAGGCACAGAGAGGTCAAGTATTTAGTATGAGGACATCTAGCTCGAAAGAAGTATTAGGGCTAAGATTTAAACCCAAGTCAACTGGCTCCAGAGACAATGTTCTTTTTTTTTTTTTTTGAGACGAAGTTTCACTCTTGTTGCCCAGGCTGGAGTGCAGTGGCACGATCTCCGCTCACTGCAACCTCTGCCTCCCAGGTTCAAGCGATTCTCCTGCCTCAGCCTCCCAAGTACCTGGGATTACAGGCATGCACCATGCCTGGATAATTTTGTATTTTTAGTGGAGATGGGGGTTTCACCTTGTTGGTCAGGCTGGTCTCGAACTCTTGACCTCAGGTTATCCGCCCGCCTCAGCCTCCCAAAGTGCTGGGATTACAGGTGTGAGTCACTGCACCTGGCCTATGTTCTTGGATACTAGACAAACAGTTGTTATATACACATAGTACATTAAAATGATTTAAATGTTTTTATTATAGTAACATTTACATGACACAAAATGTACAATTTCAACCGTTCGTAAGTGTACATTAAGTCGCTTTAAGTGCATGATATACATTAAGTGCATTCACAAGGTTATGCAACAATCACTGCTATCCATTTCCAGAACTTTTTCATCATTCCAAACCTAAACTCCATTCAATTAAACTGTAACTCTCCATTTTCTCCTGCCCCAGCCCTTTGTAACTATATTATTCTACTTTCTGTCTATGAATTTGTCTATTCTATGTATCTCATATAAGTGGCACCATATGATATTTGTCCTTTTGTGTCTGGCCTGTTTTACCTAGTTCATGTGGTTCATCCATATGACAGCATGTATCAAAATTTCATTCTTAAATTTAAAAAAATTTTAATTGTGGTACAATACATATCACACAAGGCCGGATGTGGTGGTTCATGCCTGTAATCCCAGCACTTTGGGAGGCTGAGGCAGGCAGATTACCTGAGGTCAGGAATTCAAAACCAGCCTGGCCAACATGGCAAAACCCCGTCTCTACTATAAATACAAAAATTAGCTGGGCATGGTGGCGGGCGCCTGTAATCCCAGCTACTTGGGAAGCTGAGGCGGGAAAATCCCTTGAACTTGGGAGGTGGAGGTTGCAGTGAGCCAAGATTGCATCACTGCACTCCAGCCTGAGAGACAGAAGGAGACTCTGTCTCAAAACAAACAAACAAAATCACACAAAAAATATCATCTTAACCATTTTTAAGTGTGCAGTTCAATAGTGTTAAGTATGTTCACACTGTTGTGCAGTAGATATCCAGAACTTTTTCATCTTGCAAGATGGAAACTCTGCAAGATGGAAACTCTATACCCCTTTAAACAAACAACTCCCTATTTCTTTCTTTTTCTTTTTCTTTTTCTTTTTCTTTTTTTTGTTTTTGAGACGGATTCTCGCCCTGTCGCCCAGGCTGGAGTGCAATGGCACGATCTCGGCTCACTGCAACCTCCGCCTCCTGGTGCAAGTGATTCTCTGGTCTCATCCTCCTAGTAGCTGAGATTACAGGCGCCCGCCACCATGCCTGGCTAATTTTTTGTATTTTCAGTAGAGACGGGGTTCTCAACATGTCGGCCAGGCTGGTCTTGAACTCTTGACCTCAGGCGATCCACCTGCCTCAGCCTCCCAAAGTGCTGGGATTACAGGCGTGAGTCACCGCACCCAGCCAACAACTCCCTATTTCTTCCTCCCCTCCCCCAGTCCCTGGCAACCACCATTCATCTTTCCTTTTCAATGAATTTGACTACTTTAGATACCTTATTTAAGTGGAATCAGAAGTATTTGTCCTTCTGTGACTGGCTTATTTCATTTAGCATAATGTCTCATGCTTCATTCATCTTGAGCACCTGTCAGAATTTCCTTCCGTTTTAAGACTGAATAATATTCCATCGTATGTATATACCAGATTCTATTTATTCACTCCTCTGTTGAGGGACATTTGGGTTGTTTCCATCTTTTGGCTGCTGTGGTTGATGTTGCCCTGAACATTGGTTTTCAAGTTTGAGTTCTTGCTTTTTTTTTTTTTGATGGAGTCTCACTCTGTCACCCAGGCTGGAGTGCAGTGGTGCAATCTCGGCTTGCTGCAACCTCCAGCTCCCAGGTTCAAGCGATTCTCCTACCTCAGCCTCCCGAGTAGCTGGGATTACAGGTATGTGCTGCCATGCCCGGCTAATATTTTCTGTGTTTTTCCAGTAGAGATAGGGTTTTACCATGTTGGCCAGGCTGGTCTCGAACTCCTGACCTCAGGTGATCCCCCGACTCGGCCTCCCAAAATGTTGGGATTACAGGCATGAGCCACCGCACCTGGCCATGAATTCTTGCTTTCAATTCTTTTGGGTATATACCTAGGAGTGGAATTGCTGGGTCATATGGTTATTCTATGTTTGAACTGTTTTTTTTTTTTTTTGAGATAGAGTCTCACACTGTTGCCCAGGCTGGAGTGCAAGTGGCTCGATCTCAGCTCACTGCAACCTCTGCCTTCCAAGTTCAAGCAGTTCTCTTGGCTCAGCCTTCAGAGCAGCTGGGATTACAGGTGTGTGCCACCACACCCCGCTAATTTTTATATATTTATTAGAGACAGGGCCTCACTATGTTGGCCAGGCTGATCTCCAACTCCTGACCTCAGATTATCTGCCCTGCTTGGCCTACAAGGCACTGTGCAGATAATTTTCAAATATTTATTTGATTAATCATTCCAAGGCTTGTTTATTGAGTACCTCCTAAGTCCCAAACTCTGGGTCTTCCATGCTGAATAAAATACATGGTCTTTGCCCTCATGCAGTTGATAGTCTAAAAGCAGAGTTGTTCACGCAAATGAATATAAAATTGCAATGAAGATAAGTGCTGGAAATGGTGTTTATGTGGGACACGACTGCATACAAGAAGGTAATCTGATTTAGTAAGTGAAATCAGGGAAGGATTCCTTTAGAAGTGACAAAACAAGGGTTGAGAGTGAGCCCAGTGAGGCGATGAGAGCAATCCTTCTGTGCAAAGGGAGCAGCGTGCATCAGGATGCTGTGCCTGAAGGAAGCATTGCGTTACAGAGATCTCAAAGACCTTTTTGGAACAAAAAAGCAAAGAAAGGCTGTAGGAAACAAGGTAAAAGACATTTCATCTTCACAGAAGTTTTTTAAACCTTGGGGTGAAATTCATATACCATAAAGTTGACAACTGAAAACAATTCAGCAGAATGTCATACATTCTCAGTGTTGTGCAACCACCTCCTCCATCTAGTTCCAAAGCATTTCATCACACCAAAAGGAAACTAATAGCCATTAAGCAGTCTGTATTCATCTCTCCCTGCCTCCAGCCCCTGGGAACTACTAATCTGCTTTCTTTCTCTTTTTTTTTTTTTTTGGAGACGGAGTTTCACTCTTGTCACCCAGGCTGGAGTGCAATGGCGTGATCTCAGCTCGCCGCAACCTCTGCCTCCTGGGTTCAAGCAATTCTCCTGCCTCCTGCCTCAGCCTCCCAAGTAGCTGGGATTACAGGTGCCTGCCACCACGCCCAGCTAATTTTTGTATTATTAGTAAAGATGGGGTTTCACCATGTTGGCCAATTTGGTCTCGAACTCCTGACCTCAGATGATCCACCCGCCTCAGCCTCCCAAAGTGCTAGGATTACAGGCATGAGCCACCACTCCCAGCCTATTAATCTGCTTTCTATCTCTACAGAATTATCTATTTTGGATATGTTATGTAAATGAAATCATACACTATGTGGTCTTTTGTGTCTGGCTTCCTTCACTTAATATATTTTCAAGGTTCATCCAATGTTGTAGCATGAACCAGTACTTCATTCCTTTTGATGGCTAAATAATATTCCATTGCATGTATATATGACAACTGTTTATCCACTCATTTGTTGATGAACATTTGGCCTGTTTCTACCTTTGAGTTATTGTGAATAAAGCTGCTGTGCACATTAGAGTGCAAGAAATGAGTCCCCGGTTTCAGTTATCTAGGGTATATGCTGGGGAATGGAATTACATGGTGATATGGTTTGGCTGTGTCCCCACCAAAATCTCAACTTGAATTTTATCTCCCAGAATTCCCATGCATTGTGGGAGGAACCTAGGGGGAGGTAATTGAATCATGGGGACCAGTCTTTCCCACGATATTCTCATTATAGTGAATAAGTCTCACACGATCTGATGGGTTTATCAGGGGTTTCCGCTTTTGTTTCTTCCTCATTTTTCTCTTGTGGCTGCCATGTAAAAAGTGCCTTTCACCTCCTGCCATGATTCTGCGGCCTCCCCAGCCATGTGGAACTATTAAGTCCAATTAAACCTGTTTTTCTTCTCAGTCTTGGGTATGTCTTTATTAGCAGCGTGAAAATGGACTAATATAGTAAATTGGTACGAGTAGAGTGGGGCGTTGCTGAAAAGATACCTGAAAACGTGGAAGTGACCTTGGAACTGGGTAACAGGGAGAGATTGGAACAGTTTGGAGAGTTCAAAAGAGGATAGGAAAATGTGGGAAAGTTTGGAACCTCCTAGAGACTTGTTGAATGGCTTTGACAAAAATGCTGATAGTGATATGAACAATAAAGTCCGGGCTGAGGTTGTCTCATGGAGATGAGGAACTTGTTGGGAACTGGAGCAAAGGTGACTCTTGTTATGTTTTAGCAAAGAGACTGGCAGCATTTTGCCCCTGCCTGAGAGAATTGTGGAACTTTGAACTTGAAAGAGATAATTTAGGGTATCAGGCAGAAGAAATTTCTAAGCAGCAAAGCATTCAAAAGATACCTTGGGTACTGTTAAAAGCATTCCATTTTAAAAGGGAAACAGAACATAAAAGTTCAGAAAATTTGCAGCCTGATGATGAAGTAGAAAAGAAAAACCCATTTTTTGAGGATAAATTCAAGCCAGCTGCAGAAATTTGCATATGTAGCAAGGAGTCTAATGTTAATCTCCAAGACCATGGGGAAAATGTCTCCGGGCCATGTCAGAGACCTTCATGGCAGCCCCTCCCATCACAGGCTGGAGGCCAGGAGGAAAAAGAGGTTTCGTGGGCCAGGCCCAGCATCCCCGTGCTTTGTGCAGCCTAGGGACTTGGTGCCCTGTGTCCCAGTCGCTCCAGCTGTGACTGAAAGGGGCCAACGTAGAGCTCGGGCTGTGGCTTCAGAGGGTGGAAGCTCTAAGCCTTGGCAGCTTCCACGTGGTGTTGAGCCTACAGGTGCACAGAAGTCAAGAACTGAGGTTTGGGAACCTCTGCCTAGATTTCAGAAGATGTTTGGAAATGCCTGGATGCCCAGGCAAAAGTTTGCTGCAGGAGTGGGGCCCTTATGGAGAACCTCTGCTGGAGCAGTGCAGAAGGAAAATGTGGGATCGGAGCCCCGACAGAGAGTCCATACTGGGGCACTGCCTAGTGGAACTGTGAGAAGACAGCCACCGTCCTCCAGACCCCAGAATGGTAGATCCACCAACAGCTTGCACCATGTGCCTGGAAAAGATGCAGGTACTCAATGCCAGCCCATGAAGGCAGCCAGGAGGGAGGCTGTACCCTGCAAAGCCACAGGGAGGGAGCTGTCCAAGACCATGGGAACCCACCTCTTGCATCAGCGTGACCTGGATGCGAGACCTGGAGTCAAAGGAGATCATTTTGGAGCTTTAAAATGTGACTGCCCTGCTGGATTTCAGACTTGCATGGGCCCTGTAACCCCTTTGTTTTGGCCCATTTCTCCCATTTGGAATGGCTGTATTTACCCAATACCTGTACCCCCATTGTATCTAGGAAGTAACTAGCTTGCTTCTGATTTTACAGGCTCATAGGCGGAAGGGACTTGCCTTGTCTCAGATGAGACTTTGGGCTGTGGACTTTCGGGTTAATGCTGAAATAAGACTTTGGGGGACTGTTGGGAAGGTATGATTGGTTTTGAAATGTGAGGACATAAGATTTGGAGGGGCCAAGGGTGGAATGATATGGTTTGGCGGTGTCCCCACCAAAATCTCAATTTGAATTGTATCTCCCAGAATTCCCACGTATTGTGGGAGGGCACCAGAGGGAGGTAATTGAATCATGGGGGCCGGTCTTTCCCATGCTATTCTCGTGGTGGTGAATAAGTCTCACAAGATCTGACGGGTTTATCAGGGGTTTCCGCTTTTGCTTCTTCCTCATTTTTCTCTTGCCCCTTGCCACGCAAGAAGTGCCTTTTGCCTCCCACCATAATTCTGAGGCCTCCCCAACCATGTGGAACTGTAAGTCCAATTAAACCTCTTTTTCTTCCCAGTCTCAGGTATGTCTTTATCAGCAGTGTGAAAACGGACTAATACACATGGTAATTCCATGTTTAACTTTTTGAGGAACAGCCAAACTGTTCTCCACAGTGGCTGCACCATTTTACATTCCTGCCAGCCGCTCATGAAGCTTCCAATTTTTCCATATCTTTGCCAAGATTTATTATTGTCTGTCTTTTTGATTGTAGCCTTTCTAGTGGGTGTGGAGTGGTATTTCATTGTGGTTTTGATTTGCATTTCCCTAGTAATTAACGGTATTGATAATCACTTTCATGAACTTATTTGCCACTTGTATGTTTTCTTTGGATAAATGTCTTTTCCGGTCCTTTGCCTATTTTAAAATGGTACCATTTGTCTTTTTATTGAATTATAATAATATTTATGTATTCTGGATACTAGATCCTTATTATATATATTATTTGCAAATATTTTCTCTCATTCTGTGTATTGTCTTTTCACTTTCTTGACAGTGTCTTTTAATAAACAAAAGTTTTTAATTTCAATGAAGTCTAAATTATCTATTTTTTCTTTTTTTTTTTTGCCTGTGGTTTTGTTGTCACATCTAAGTTATGATTACCTAATGCTAAGTCATGCAGATTTACTCCTAGGTCTTAAAATTCTCTGTTTTCTAGCTTTAGCTTTTCATTTGAGCATTTAATACTTTTGAGTTAATGTTTGTATGTGATGTGAGGCAAGAGTCCAACTTTATTCTTTTGCATGTGGTATCAAGTTGTCCCAGCAACATTTACTGAAAAGAAATATTCTGTTCCCATTGAATTGTCTTGTATCTTTGTAGAAAATCAGTTGGCCATAAGTGCCATTGAGCTATATATGTCTAACTTTATACACTTGATACATAAAGTCTTATACAGTCTTGATTACTGTAGTTTTGTAGTAAGTTTTGAAAATAAGAAATCCTAGCCTTATTCTTCTTTTTCAAGATGGTTTTGACTCCTCTGGGCCCCTTGAATTTCCATACAAATTTGAGAATCACCTTGCCAATTTCTGCAAAAATGGCAGCTTGCATTTTGATAAATGCAAGCTTTAAATTTGTAGATCAATTCAGAGAATATGGCTATTTTAACAATACTAAGTCTTCTAGCCAGACATGGTGGCTCACTTCTGTAATTCCAGCACTTTGGGAGACCAAAGTGGGAGGATCACTTAAGCCCAGGGGTTTGGGACCAGCCTAGGCAACATAGTGAAACTCCATCTTTACAAAAAAGTAAAAAATAAAAAATTAGCTGGTGGAACATGCCTATAGTCTCAGGTACCTGAGGGACAGGCAGAGGCTAAGGTGAATCCCTTGAGCCCTGGAGGTTGAGGCTGCAGTGAGCCATGATTGTGCCACTGTACTCCACCTTGAGTGACAAAGTGAGACCATGTCTCAAAAAAAAAAGTCGTCTAATCCATGAACATGGGCTATCTCTTATCAGTATGTGTTTTTGTCTTTTATTCTATTAATTTGGTGTATTACATTGATAGATTTTCAGATATTAAACCAACCTTGTATACCTGGGATAAATTCCACTTGGTCATAGTATATAATCCTCTTTTATATGTTGCTGAATTTGGATTGCTTGTATTTTGTTGAGTTTTGCATGTATCATTTAAAATATATTTGTAGTTTTTTGTGATGTCTTTGGTATCAGTGTTATACTAGGCAAATAGAATGATTTCGAAGTGTTTCCTCCTCTTTTTTTTTTTGAAGAATTTTTGAAGAATTGGCATTAATTCTTTAAATATTTGGTAGAATTCACCAGTGAAGTCATCTGACCCTGGGCTATTCTTTGTGGGAAGTTTTTGATTAATAATTCTCTTGTTATACATCTTTTCAGATTTTCTATTCTTTTTTATTTCTCTTTTTTTCTGTGATTTTCTACTCTTCTTGAGTCTGTTTTTGTAGTTTGTGTCTGTCAAGTAATTTATCCATTTCAACTAGGTTATCTAATTGGTTGGCACACAATTTTTCACAGTGTTCTCTTTATTTTTATTATTTTATTTTATTTTTGAGACAGAAATGTGCTCTGTCACCCAGGCTGGAGTGCAAGTGGCATGATCTGGGATCACTGCAACCTCTGCCTCCCGGGTTCCAGCCATCCTTCTGCCTCAGCCTCCCGAGTAGCTGGGACTGCATGCATGCACCACCATGCCCAGCTAATTTTTGTATTTTTAGTAGAGATGGAGTTTCACCATGTTGGTTAGGCTGGTCACAGTGTTCTCTTATAATTCTTTTATTTATTTTTTATATTTCTTGAGACAGGATCTCACTCTGGTTGTCCAGGCTGGAGTGCAGTGGTGCCATCTCAGCTCACTGCAGCCTAAACCTCCTGGGCTCAGGTGATCCTCCCACCTCAGCTTCTCGAGTAGCTGGGACTATGGGCAAGCATCACCATGACTTGCTAATTTTTTGTATTTTTAATAGAGGTGAGGTTTCACAATGTGTCCCAGGCTGGTCTCAAACTCCTGGACTCAAGCAATCCACCAGCCTCGGCCTCTCATGGTGCTGGGATTACAGGTGTAAGCCACCATGCCAGGCCTGTTATAAGCCTTTTTTATTTTGGGTTGGGACTGTTGTCTTATTCATTTCTGATTTAGTCATTTGCTCTGCACGTGGTAAAAGATACCTTTTATATTACCATAAGAATATTTATAAACCAAAACTTTAAAATATTTCAATTTTTTAAAATTTGAGACAGAGTCTCGCTCTGTCGTCCAAGCTGGAGTGCAGTGGTGTGATCTTGGCTTACTGCAACCTCTGCCTCCTGGGTTCAAGCAATTCTCCCACCTTAGCCTCTCGAGTAGCTGGGATTGCAGGCACATGCCACCACCCCTGGCTAACTTTTGTATTTTTAGTAGAGATGGGGTTTCTCCATGTTGGCCAGGCTGGTCTTGAACTCCTGGCCTCAAGCAATCCACCTGCCTCGGCCTTCCAAAGTGCTTGAATTATAGGCATGAGTCACCGTGCCCTCCCCAAAACATTTTTTTTAATGTAAAGAAACTTACATTTAAAATAAAACTAGAATAGTAGACATACTATGTGCAAATGCCATAAATTGACATCCAGTCTGCCAACATAAGGATTCTATACATTTTTCTTGTGTACTTTCTGTAAGTCCTAAACATTTTCCTTCACAGTGCCTTCTCATATCAAGCAGAGGTTTGTGGTTATTTCTCTTCCCTGACTTCAATATTACATTGACATCAAATCATCACTCAACTGATTTTAAGATGAAAGACCACTGGTTTGGAGGACTAAGATTTATAATGCAGCAGGTGTTATAAACTGCTGACTGTCTTAAATATAAGGAGTGACTCTGGCCCAGAGAAATTCCTGGGGAGGCTGGGTCTCTTTTTATTGCTTCTCCCGTATGTAGGTGGGACAGTTCTCAGGAGGGATTGGGTCATTGTTCTGTGTACAAAAGTTGCTGGAGGCAGAGGTAGAAATTTGCTGTCTTGCACAGGGAGATGTGACAGAGAATTTTAGGCCATAGCCCAGTCCAGCCAGCTGTAGCTCAGTGTTGCTGATAGCGAGCCTAGTTCCTCTCTGGAGTCACATTGGTCAGAATAACCTGACACTGGGAAAGGAGTTATTCTAATGCATACTTATTGCTTCCTATTAATACCGTATGTAGCATCTCTGCAATTTTATTGCATTAACTGGAGAATGAGAAAGTGTTAGCTGCTGCTGGATATTGTCCGGAGTTAGAGAAGCTGCCATTATATTCCCCTCATGACTCGCCGCTGGCCCCTGCTGTCGAAGCTTCGCTGTGGCTTCACTCTCAGGGCGTGTATCTGCCATCACTGCCTGCATGCTGATAGCCTGGGACACACTATTGCACACCAAGCGCCTTTGAGCAGGCACTTGTCTCACTTTTCTCAAATGCTGAGTTGAAGGGGTGTCCACGCCTTTTTCCTCATTGAGCCAGTAGTCTCTTGGTTACTTGTATGCAGTAGTTATCGAGAGTGAAATGCTGACTTCTGCTTTGACAGACTAGAGTAAGGGACCCACGGAAGTCATGAGCAATGACCCCTGAGAAGCCTTCCAGCTCTGGAGCGCTCCAAATCATCCTCCTTTTCCCTCGAGTGGAAAAGTAGGTTTTGTTATCACGAAGTGAATGTAGCCGGCTCAAAATAGGCAAGACTGCCACCTACTGACCAAATGGGAACATTCCTCAGGGAATTTCTAGGTTTGATCTTTGCCCTACAATTAATTGGGATAATTAGTTATTCATGAATTTATAATTCAACAAACCTGAAATACACACAGGACACAATGCTGGACACTGGAGATAATAAACAAAAATTTTTTTTTTGAGACGGAGTCTCGCTCTGTCGCCCAGGCTGGAGTGCAATGGCACCATCTCAGCTCACTGCAACCTCCACCTCCGGGTTGAAGTGATTCTCTGGCCTCATCCTCTTGAGTAGCTGGGATTACAGATGCACGCCACCACGCCTGGCTAATTTTTGTATTTTTGTAGAGACAGGGTTTCACCATGTTGGCTAGGCTCCTCTCAAACTTCTGACCTCATGATCAGCCCACCTTGGCCTCCCAAAGTGCTGGGGTTACAGGAGTGAGCCACCGCACCCGGCCAGGAGATATTAAAATTAGAAAGGTAGAGTTATTGCCCCATGGGCATACAGAGACCAGGAGAAGGGAACAGGTAATTAAGGGAACAAATCATTAAAATACAGTGTGGTGCTATGCTATAAGTAATCTGCCTCCCAACACTCTGGTTCACCTTCAATTTTAAAGGTATTGGAACCTAAATCTGGGTACCACAAACTCAAGTTCTTTATTGGGAGAAGTTGGTGACCAAAAAAAAAAAAAAAACAAAAAGAAAAAGCAACCAAACCAAAAGTAGTAACACTGCCTTTTACCGTGATGTTCACTTGACCCTCTCAGAAACACTTTAAAGTTGGATACCATTATCTCTCTGTTTTTAGATGTCGACTTTCTTAAGTCTCCTAAACTTGCATTTATAGTACCTCCTCGCATCTTAAGAATACAGAATAGGCAAACTCTTAAAAAAGTCCCTTGCGACTATATATTATACATATGTATCTGAAAGCTGCATATTATTTAATAAAGAGAAGCCCAAAGAGGTGTGCACTCACAAGCTAGCAAGGTAGCAAAGTGGTTTAAAGTAAGAGTTTTGGAATGACTTGGTCCTGGGTTTATGTTCCAAGTTGGCCACTTACCAAAGAGGGCTATTAACACGCTAAGCCACAATGAGATACCATCTCACACCAGTCAGAATGGCTATGATTAAAATAAAAAAATAGGCCGGGTGCGGTGGCTCACACCTGTAATCCCAGCACTTTGGGAGGCCAAGGCAGGAGGATCACTTGAGGTCAGGAGTTTGACAGCAGCCTGGCCAACATAGTGAAACCCCATCTCTACTAAAAATACAAAAAATTATCCTGGTGTGGTACCCTGCGCCTGTAATCCCAGCTACTCGAGAGGCTGAAGCAGGAGAATAGCTTGAACCCGGGAGGCAAAGGGTGCAGTGAGTCAAGATCATGCCACTGCACTCCAGTCTGGGCAACAGAGCTAGACTCTCTCTGGAAAAAAAAAAAAAAAAAAAAAAAAGAAAAGAAAAACAGATGCTGGCAAGGTTGTGAAGAAAAGGGAATGCTTCTACACTGCTGGTGGGAATGTAAAGTAGTTCAGCCACTGTGGAAAGCAGTTTGGAGATTTCTCAAATAACTTAAAATAGAACTACCATTCAACCTAGCAATCCCATTACTGGGTATATACTCAAAGGAATATAAATCATTCTATCATAAAGAAACACACACACATATGTTCATAGCTGTGCTAGTCACAATAGCAAAGACATGAAATCAACCTAAGTGCCCATCAAAGGTAGATTGCTTAAAGAAAATGTGGTTCATATACACCATGGAATACTACGCAGTCATAAAAAAAAGAATAGGCTACGCACAGTGGGCAGATCACTTGGACCAGGGGTTGGAGAACAGCCTGGGTAACATAGCAAAACCCTGTCTCTACAAAAAAATACAGAAGTTAACTGGGCATGGTGCAGCATGCCCGTAGTCCTAGCTACTTGGGAGGCTGAGGCAGGAGGATTGTCTGAACCCAGGAGGCAGAGGTTGCAGTGAGCCATGATTGCGCCACTGCACTCAAGCCTGGGTGACAGAGACACTGTCTCAAATAAATTAAAAAAAAAAAAAGAAAGAAAATCTATTTTTTTTTTCCAGCAACATGGATGGAGCTAGAGGCCATTATCTTCAGCAAATTAACGCAGGAACAGGAAACCAAATACTGCATGTTCTCACTTATATGTGGGAGCTAAACATTGAGTACATGTGGACACAAAGAAGGGAACAACAGACACTGGTATCTACTTGAGGCTGGAGGGTGAGAGGGAGAGGATAGAAAAACTACCTATAGCGGATTGTGCTGATGATCTGGGTGACAAAATAATCTGTATATTGAACTGTCACAACACAGCAACATGTAATTTACCCACATAACAAACCTGCATATGCACCCCTTGGACCTAAAATGAATGTCATAGGCCGGGCGTGTTGGCTTACGCCTGTAACCCCAGCACTTTGGGAGGCCGAGATGGGTGGATTACCTGAGGTCAGGAGTTTGAGACCAGCCTGGTCAACATGATGAAACCCTGTCTACTAAAAATACAAAAATTAGCTGGGTGTGGTGGTAGGTGCCTGTAATGCCAGCTACTTGGGAGGCTAAGGCGGGAGAATTGCTTGAACCTGGGAGATGGAAGTTGCAGTGAGCCGAGGTCGCGCCACTGTACTCCAGCCTGGGTGACAGAGAGAGACTCCGTCTCAAAAAAAAAAAAAAAAAAATAGAGTAAGGGTTGAATATTCAAGTAGATTGATTTTGGGCAATTTTTAAAAATAATAGTTAATTCAACATCACCAATTCATCTCAAGTAATCCCTTGTAGAAAGGGAGAAAATGAGTTTGATTTATGGATTGTTAGCATCTAAAATGATCTTTACACATAATAAAAACTTTCTAATTCTTTTTAGGCAATTAGGCTTAATAGTCAAACTCACTAAAATGTGCTACATATATAAAAACTAAGTCCATGCTACTCAGAGTGGTTTATGAACCAGCAGCATTGGCACCTCCTGGGAGCTTGTTAGCAGTTAGATTTTCAGTTCTCACCCTTCAATTTCTGAACGAGGTTCTGCTTTTTAACAAGATCCCCAGATGATTTCTGTGCACATAAAAGGTTGAAAAACTGATAGAAGTTAAGGAGCCTATATTATCATTGCAGTACCACATCTTGAACAATAGGTGGAGCTATTTCTTCAAATTTTGGCTACTTCTTAAGGGTGTTTAGAACAGCCGCTGTAAGTTGTTTTGCAATTCTTTTTTTCCCATTGACATGACATTTTGCTATTTAAAGGAAGAGAAAACACACGCCTGTAATCCCAGCCCTTTGGGAGGCCGAGGCGGGTGGATCAGCTGAGGTCAGGAGTTCGTGGCCAGCCTGGCCAAGATGGTGAAACCCCATCTCTACTAAAAATACAAAAATTAGCTAGGCGTGGTGGCACGCGCCTGTAGTCCCAGCTACGCGGGAGGCTGAGGCAGGAGAATCGCTTGAACCCGGGAGGTGGAGGTTGCAGTGAGCCGAGATTGTGACACTGCCCTCCAGCCTGGGAGACATGAGTGAGACTCTGTTAAGAAAAAAAAAAAAGCTATTCTGATATACAGATTATATCTGATGAATGATTGTGGAAAAGAAAATTTAAAAATTTCTCTATTAAAGTCTAAAAAGTTTTAGAAAGACTCAAACAATTATTTTAAAAGTCCAGGTAAATATTGAAGAATGAGATCACATTACTTGTATTGTAGATTGTGATGCAGCTGCAATAAAACTAAGTAAATTAAGTTGAAAAACTTTTGCTTTAATCTATGGACATGATGTGTGTGTGTGTGTGTGTGTGTATACTTTATTTCAGGAAGTACGCTCACTAAAGAAATGTGAAAAATATAACAACAAGGATGGCGTCATGTTATAATGACATAAATAAACGATGTTGAATTTTTAACCCATTAAACATGATCATCAAAGACATCTAGTCAAGGTCATGGTAAAAATGAACTTCCTGCTTCTTTACTTTAGAATAAACAAAGAAATCTATAAATTGAGACTTCAAGCTTACAGCTACGGGAACTCCAAGGCGAGAGGCTAAGTGACAGGAGGGAGAACTGGCCGCAGCTGCTCGCCCTGCACTTCTGGGCTGCACCAAATCGCCACAGGCCTCACCCTCCTGGCTTTGTCTCCACACAGTGACAGCCCACTGACTCTTTTCATGAAGGGCGAAACACAGTAAGCGTTCCTTGAAGCACTTTTATCCCCTCTGCCTGAAGGTTTTGAGAGCAGGCTTCTGGGAGAGGGTCCCAGCTTGTGTTGGGCCTAATGACCTTGGGAATTGGAGTTCCCTTTTTTTCCACTGCACCAGCTTATGTGCTCATGGTCCTCTTCAGTCTGAGTGGATGTCCACCTGTTAGGTTACTGCTGTAAGGTGCAAAGACTGTGGATGGATGAAACACCCCAACAGGGAAATGAGAAATCTGAAAAAGTAGTCCATAAGCATACGGAGTCTGCACAACCTTACCAAGAATGAAATCATAATTGCAGAATCCAGTGTCAGCGAGAATATGTGGAACTGGGTACCCTCTTACACCATCGTTGGGACTATACTTGGCATATCCTTTTTGAGGGCAACTTTACAGTGTTTGTCAAAGTAAAAAGTCCTTATATTTTGGCCCAAAACCATGTTCTAAGCTAACAATTGTTTTCTAAGGTTGGAAGCCTGACAAAATGGCCTGCAAATGGGGAGAGTTGGCAAGTGCCCCAAACTACTGCTGCTCCCTGTGCACCTGCCGCCTGGGTCTATGCTATTCATTCTCATTTTAGTTAATTATTATTATTATTATTATTTTGAGATGGAGTCTCACTCTGTTGCCCAGGCTGGAGAGCAATGGCGCGATCTCGCTCACTGCAACCTCTGCCTCCTGGATTCAAGTGATTCTCCTGCCTCAGCCTCTCGAGTAGCTGGGATTACAGGCACGTGCCACCACACCAGGCTAATTTTTGTATTTTTATTAGAGACGGGGTTTCACCATGTTGGCCAGGCTGGTCTTGAACTCTGAACTCAAGTGATCTGCCCTGCTCGGCCTCCCAAAGTGCTGGGATTACAGGTGTGAGCCACCGTGCCTGGCCATTTTAGTTGATTCTAATTGGAAATCAGTCACAGACATTGGCAGCTCAAGAGATAACTTTTTTTTTTCTTTTTTTTCCCTCGTGATGCAACAGTATTTTCTTTTCTTTTAAAATTGAGACGGGGTCTTGCTATGTTGCCCAGGCTGGTCTTGAACTTCTGTGCTCAAGCAATCCTGCCTTAGCTTTCTGAGTAGCTGGGATTATAGGCATGTGCCACTGCACCCAGTTATTTATTCTCATTTTATAGGTAAACCCAAAGAGAGCAGAACTTTGATCCCTGTAGCCAGTGAGTTGCCAAATCCGGATTTCAAATAGTCTTAGAAATACCAAATTACACTGAAAATAAATGCATGGATAAAGGAGTGATGGTGTTTAAGGGTTAAAATATTTTCTATTACTCAAAAAGGATTGTGAAATAAAGGCTTTTCCAGTTGAGCAGAGCACCAGCCTGGGCCAGCTGAGCCACACTGCCTTCTGTGGCTTCTGATTACTCATGCAGCAGGAACTGGGAGAGGGTGTCCTGGTCTTTGTTCCCACTCCCTATTCTGACAGCTCCTCCATGGGGAGAATCTTTTCCATCTCTAAATGAACTCTTGCAGGGCGAGGACTGTGTATTGGGTGTCAAGGTCAGAAGCAGAATCCAGTGTTCCAAATCATAACACAAAGAAAACCAACAAGGCTGTTTTTAGTTCCTAAGTACACTACATGATAACTGAGATACATTTAAATCATTGGAAGTGGAGAAAATTGGGGAAAAAGTTATTTATTTATTTATTTATTTTTGATACAGTTTCGCTCTTGTTGCCCAGGTTGGAGTGCAATGGCGTGATCTCCGCTCACTGCAACCTCTGCCTCCCAGGTTCAAGTGATTCTCCCGCCTCAGCCACCCAAGTAGCTGGGATTCCAGGTGCCCACCACCATGCTTGGCTAATTTTTGTATTTTTAGTAGAGATAGGGTTACACCATGTTAACCAGGCTGGTCTCAAACTCCTGACCTCAGGTGATCCACCTGCCTCGGCCTCCCAAAGTGCTGGGATTACAGGCGTGAGCCACCGCGCATGGCCGCAAAGTTTATTTAGACAATTGCGCTGAACCATAAGGAATATCTCTGTGTGCTGTGACTTCTTTGAGCTGGTCTGAATCCTAGCTATGTGGTTATGTACATTTCATTTTCATCAACAGGACAGCCTGGCTGTCTGGCAAAACTAAAGAAAGATTATTTTGCTTATCTATTCCTCTCCCTCATAGCCCTCCCCAAATTATAAAATACTTTTGAAAGCATGTAAATGGTGTAGTAGTTGAGCTCATTTTCCTTATCTTGCAGGTATGCATAAGCCCTGCTCAATCTACAAAACAAAACGAAAATCTCAACTTTATAAAACACTAATAATTTACTACAGTATTTCTTCAAACACACACACATAACTGACATTTATTGAGTGCTTTCTGTGTGCCAGGCCTAGGTCTAAGTTCTTTATGTAAATTAACTCACCCCTCGCAGCCCTCTTCCTGGGGCTGGTAGGAATGCCTGTCTGTGGTCGGTGCTGAGATGGGGCTCAGCCCCAGTGAGCATCTTGTGATCCTCCTAGGTGATCAGATGGCCGTCAGCCCCATGGTCATCCTTGTCCATGATGCACACACTTAGTTGTCTTCTTGTTGGCATAAAAGGATGCCAGTCTCCGCTGTTTCAGACAACAACCCCAGAAGGATCATTTGGAAGGGACTGTGGCTGTGTTCTGAAAGCTTCTTGACACCCCAGGTAAGGTCAAGAAAACAGCACACCAAAACTTGCAAAAGAGGTGTCTGAGGCTTGATGAAGGTCCAGGAGAAAATGCTGCCGGTGTCCTGATGGCACAGAGCAAAGACCTTTGAGTGGAAACTCATGGACCACAATGAACAGGCCGCAGGTGGTAGAATTTGGAATGCTGGATTCTGCTTCTGACCTTGACACCTAATACACGGTTCTCGCCCTTTGATACTTGGACTCTGAATTGAAAAAGATCTAGAACTATCCTAACTGGTTTTAAAAATTATATGCTCCTTTGTGTGTGTGTGTATAAGAATGACATGATGAAAACCTGTATCTAAATAAAGTCTAATTAAGGCTTTTTTGTTTTTCTTCCTTTTTTTTTTTTTTTTTTTTTTTTTAAGATAGAGTCTTGCTCTGTTGTCCAGGCTGGAGTGCAGTGGTATGATCTCGGCTCACTGCAGCCTCAACCTCCTGGGCTCAGGTGATCTTCCTACCTCAGCCTCTTGAGTAGCTGGGATTACAGGTGTGCACTACCACACCCAGCTACTTTTTGTATTTTTAGTAGAGACGGGGGTTTCACCAAGTTGGCCAGGCTGGTCTTGAACTTCTGACTTCAAGTGATCTGCCTGCCTCGGCCTCCCAAAGTGCTAGGACTACAGGTGTGAGCCACTGTGCCCTGCCTAATTAAGGATTTTTAATGATATATAAGATAAAAATTTGAAGCGATGTGAAAGCATGTGTCATAGTTTAACTGGCAGTGTTTTTCTTCTTAGTGGCTTATAAAGTATTAGTACATCATAAAATTGACAGCACTTTAGATTTGTTGAAATATGGCATTTTAAAAGGTTAATTTTGGAGATGAGGAAACTGAGGCACAGAGAGGTTAATAAACTTGCTCAAGGTTGCACAGCTATTCACAGTAAGTGATAGAACTAAGAAGTGAAGGCTGGGCACGGTGGCTCACGCCTGTAATCCCAGCAGGCCTTTGGGAGGCCAAGGCGGGCGGATCATTTGAGGCCAGAAGTTCCAGACCAGCCTGGCCAACGTGGTGAAACCCCTTTTCTACTAAAAATACAAAACTTAGCTGGGCGTGGTGGCGGGTGCCTGTAATCCCAGCTACTCGGGAGGCTGAGGCAAGAGAGTCGCTTGAATCCAGGAGGCGTAGGTTGCCGTGGGCCGAGATCGTGCCACTGCACTCCAGCTTGGGCGACAGAGCGAGACTCCGAATCAAAAGAAAACAAACAAACAAAAAAACTAAGAAGTGAAGGAAACAGGCTGACCCTGGGGCCTGTGCGCTGAGCTAGGGGGCCCCGCGAGCATTACTCACCGGCTTCCGCTTCTGCTGTGATTTTGGCTGGACTCCTCCCACCTGGGCTGCCGCATTTCTTGCAGTTTTCTGAGCGCAGTTCTCGCGTCTTTCCAGGTTGTTTGAGAAATGCAGGGAATACTTTTCTGCTTAAATTCTCCAGGGTCAGTTTTTCTGCTGCTGCGGAAGACACCAGGCGTATTGAATGGTGGCAGCAGGCAGGGCTGCATCAATTTACCAGGACGGGGGTGAGAGCCGGGGCCTAAGCGGTCGCCTCCGCTCTTGCGTTTTCCCGGAGCCTGTGGGCTGTGTGATGCCGGGGCCTCCCGCAGCCCCGCTGCGCCCGCACCCACGCTTCAGGGCGATTCCCCGCAGGCATAACGGTGCCACTTCCTTAACCAGGCTAAACTCCCGGGCTGTTGGGAAAGTTCATGCCATCACATACCCAGGATGTGTTATTTGCTTTTAGAGCCCTTTGAGTTTTCCTCTGGAGCACTTCAGACACTTTAAAGTTTATTTTTATAGTTATTTGATTTCTGTCTGCCGTCCTCGTTATGCGGAGTCCACCAGGGCCGGGATCTGGGCTATTTTATGCCTGGCACCAAGTAAGTGCTCAGACGCCATCTTGTTGACCTGAAATTTTCGAAGGTGAGGGCCTCAGAGACCCTTGATGAGAGAGTAATTTTAGAAAGGTTTACAGGCTGTGGCCTGGCGCTGCACCCGGGTTACTCCACTCCGGTTCCCAGTTGCGTCCTTCAGGCCCGGGGACTGCCTGGGTCCCCTTGTCTAGATCCTTCCTGAACATTCTGTAGGGAATAGGGCGGTGCCGGTTTATTCTACCTAAAGCGTGCGTTTGTAAATGTCAATGCGCAGCAGTTCGGTGGGGTTAGAAGGCTGGCTAGGAGGAAGCGAGACAATGGGTGAAAATCAAGGTTGAACCCAGGAATCCGGGGAAAGGAGACACCGTGAGTGAAGGAAAACGGGGAGCCGCTTGGGAGTGGAGCCCCCGGCAGAGCTGGGGGAGTAAGCCCCGTGTAGCAGGGAGCCGCTGCCAGTCGCTGTTGCGAAGCCTGGTAGGTCTTGGCCCAGCCCCAAACCCTACAATCTGCGCTGTGTGCCTTTGCCACAGACGGCGCTGCCTGGGCAGGGAGAGCCCTGGGGCTGCGGTGTGGGATGCAGGGATGGGAACCACATCATTGCTGAGGGCTCAAGCCACAATCTGGATGAAGAGGGGTCTGGAATCATGTGTCTATGGTGCCCACTACTTCCCTTTTCATCACCCTTGGTCGGACGGGTTCCACGGCCTGTACTTTCATGCCCGCTTGAGGTGGGGCTGGGTCACCCACACCTGTGGCCTTGAAAGGAGCCCCTACCAAATCCTCAGCCGGAGGCAGTGAAAGCGACCGTCGTTCAACCAAATCTGTATTTCACCCAGAAAAGGTGAAATCGGTGCCAGCGTTGTGCTGCAAAGTCCTGCCTGTGATCCCAGTTCCCGTAGAAACAGGTCAAAATCAAGATGGAGATGGTGAAGTTCACGCCTCATACGCGGAAGCCGTTAGGAGAACTGTGATGAATCCAGTCCGGGCTCTGTCATGGGTGGTGCCAAAGATGTGTGTAACTCTGTTTCCTGCTTATAGCACTGGTCTCCTACTCGACCCCTAGGGGAGAGAGGGCCTGTGGGGCTGTAGGGAACAGGAATGGCCCTGGGAGGGCAGCTGCCTGCTCCAACTGCAGCTGGTCCTAGCTGCCGTGACCTTTTTTTTTTTTTTAACTGAAACTGAGTCTCGCTCTGTTGCCCAGGCTGGAGCACAGTGGCGCCATCTCGGCTCATTGCAACCTCCACCTCCCAGGTTCAAGCGATTCCCGTGCTTCAGCATCCCGACTAGCTGAGATTATAGGCATGTGCCACCACACCCGGCTAATTTTTGTATTTTTAGTAGAGATGGGGTTTCACCATGTTGGCCAGGCTGGTCTGGAACTCCTGACCTCGGGTGATCAGCCCACCTCAGCCTCCCAAATTGCTGGGATTACAGGCATGAGCCACCGCACCCGGTCAGCCATTAGCTTTTTACAGAAAGCCTGGTAAGGGCTCTAGACCCCCCACGGTGGTGTGTGTGTGAGAGAACCCGTACATAGACACATACATACACACACACACACACAGACACACACACACGAACCTGGGAAAACTCAAGTCTAACCAAAGCATTAGGTCCTGTTTTACAAAAGGGAGAGGAGCTTATTAGTTCCTTGGGGAGACTGATCATATGAATGGGAAACATTGACCAAAGGGGACAAGTGAAAGTCATGAGGTCAAAGCCATAAGCTAGGTAGAAGGGGCAGCCAGGTGTATGGGCAAGAGCCCTTGCTTAGAATATGGATGAGCATATTCATGCCTGTAATCCCAGCACTTTGGGAGGTCGAGGCGGGCGGATCACCTGAGGTCGGGAGTTCAAGACCAGCCTGACCAGCATGGAGAAACCCCGTCTCTACTAAAAATACAAAATTAGCCGGGCATGGTGGCGCATGCCTGCAATCCCAGCTACTCGGGAGGCTGAGGCAGGAGAATCGCTTGAACCCGAGAGGCAGAGCTTGCAGTGAGCTGAGGTCGCACCAGTGCACTCCAGCCTGGGCAACAAGAGCAAACTCCATCTCAAAAAAACAAAAACAAACAAAAATAAACAACAACAACAACAAAAACAGGATAAATTAAGGAGTAGAATGCTCTATTTAAAAGACTGAGGAGGAAAGTCAAAGTTTCGCCAGCTGTGCTGTCTTTCCTTTGGTAATGGTGTCTGTGCGTGTAGGTGCTGGCTCCTCTTCCCCCGGACCATGCCCTTACCTGATGCAAGAGGACTGTAGGTGTCTTAAGTGTGCACCAGCTCTGATGGTTGATCACCACGTGCTCTGGCTTCTCTCTTCTTTTGTTTCTTTTTTTTTTTTGAGACAGAGTCTTGCTCTGTTGCCCAGACTGGAGTGCAGTGGTGCAATCTTGGTTTACTGCAACCTCTGCCTCCTGGGTTTAAGCAATTCTCCTGCCTCAGCCTCCTGAGTAGCTGGGACTACAGGCATGTGCCACCATGCCCGGCTAATTTTTTGTGTTTTTAGTAGAGACTGGGTTTCACCATGTTGGCCAGACTGGTCTCGATCTCCTGACCTCGTGATCCGCCTGCCTCGGACTTCCAAAGTGCTGGGATTACAGGCATGAGCCACCGCGCCCAACCTGGCTTCTCTCTTCAATGACTTTCTTCCAAATGGTGCCTTTTGTAACGGCTGTTGGAGAAGTAAAGGGCTGAGTGCATCTGGCTTCCCGCGGGGTCCTGTGACTGAGAAGTCCATGTGCTGGGGAGGGAGCAAAGCCTCACTTTCTCTCAAACATCTTGCAAGGTGCCTCAAGAGGCTTAAGGGCCTTATAATCATTTGGCAGCCTCATCCCTCACTTAGAACTGTGAATTGGCTTGCTTATTTGCCTTATAAAGCCCATATGTTTATTTTATTTTATTTTACTTTATTTTGAGATGGAGTCTCGCTCTGTCGCCCAGGCTGGAGTGCAGTGGCACAATCTCAGCTTACTGCAAGCTCTGCCTCCCAGGTTCACGCCATTCTCCTGCCTCAGCCTCCCGAGTAGCTGTGACTACAGGCACCCGCCACCACGCCCGGCTAATTTTTTGTATTTTTAGTAGAGACGGGGTTTCACCATGTTAGCCAGGATGGTCTTGATCTCCTGACCTCGTGATCTGCCTGCCTTGGCCTTCCAAAGTGCTGGGATTACAGGTGTGAACCACCACGCCCGGCCCCTAAAAAGCCCATATGTTTTCTTAAAATCATTTTCAGGTAAGCTTTTTCCATGGGTTTTCGTGATGATATAACATACTCAGAACCCATAGGCAAGTTCATTTTAAAAAAAGATGACCTCTTACAAATGGTTCTATTTCTTTCTCTGGCTATTTGGTGTCAAGATGACAAGTGGCTGGGAGGTGTGGGGTCTGTGTAGGAAGTCTCCCACATGGCCACACTGAGAATGTTTATTGTAGAAAGGGAACTTTTGCCCTGTGAAGTCACCTCCTCCGAGTCACCAGTAGCTTTCTGATATTCTATCACAGGAAATTCCTGGTGGTCCACAAAAGCAGTCTTCTGAGTGCAGCTGCAGAGAGAGACAGAAAATAATTGCCGAATTTGACAGTAAGGTCTGGGGATCTGTGTTCAGGGGTGGCTAGCACCTGGGCTGTGTGAGCTGCAAACTGGGAGGCTCTTTGAACAATGTCAGAATAATCCAAGGAACAAAGGTCAACTGACCTCTCATTGTAATGCATGTAATGCAGAGAAAAAGGTACTGGAGGATGTCTTTTGTGTTTCAACAAGGTAGCTAGAAATTATATTTAGATTTGGTTGTTTTGAAGCTGTAGTAACTAAACACCACCCTGCCCCATCTTACCTAGCACTTAATATTCATTATCAAAACGTCAGCTTAAAAGTTTGGATATGGCAGTGGCATGCTTGAAGTATCAGATTTTGAATGAAAAACCATCTTACATCTGTGATTTAAATGAAAAACAGTACACTGCAGATATTTCTGCATCAACTTCAAATCCCTGTGTGGCATAGGTCAAACCCCTTAATACGCTGGGCCTTAGTTGTCTTATCTGTAAATAAGGGAATTTCCTGAATCTTTACTCTTACAGATTTAAGATCCTGGCATTCTACGTTTTTCCATGTCTCTACCTAGGGAGGAGCAGGCACCATCTGGCACCCTGACTGGGTGGGGGACCTGGACATTGTGTCTCCAGGCCATGTCCAGGACTTGTGGATTTCACGGTGCAAGCATTCTTTCCCTAGAGTATCTGCTGCTCTGCCTTTGTATTATAAGAATTAGAATGAACAGTGCAGTCTGAAAGATCAGTAGAGGTTGAAATAGAGATTGACTTCTCTAAAATAATGATAACTCTTCATCTGAGATTGTTTGTAGGCTTTTAAAAATCCATTTCAATAGATTTTTTTTTTCTGGAGTCCCATGCAACAAATCTAGGCTTTGAGTTAAATCTTCAATGTTTTCTATCGATAGTTTTTTTTTTTTTGAGTGCCTTTAATGCACCAAGTTGCTTGTGTGAGTTGGTCCACTGACAGAGGGTCTCTTCCTGACCAACTCAGCCTCCTCTGGTTCCTATTCCTGACGAGGCCTTGACTTTTGGACTTTTTGTCCATTTTTGCATTGCTCAGCTTTAGAGAGAATACCTTAAAGTTGGTTTAGCCAGAATCCCCCAGCATCGATATCTGGTCACCGTTGATATCTAATCATTCTCAGTATCTCATCAGCTTCCTCACGCCCTACAGTCCCATTGATGTCTGATCACCCTGGCCCGCCTTCAGCCAGAATCCTTTCATGTTGGTTCAGCCAGATTCCCTCTTACCTCTGATATTTCCTCTTAATAATTTTCCATCCACTGACCCTCACCCTGGTCCTTGGCTATAAAATCCTCACTTTCTCTTGCTGTGTTCGGAGTTGAGCACAGTTCTATTTAACTATTGTCCAGCTCTGGTCTTCAGTGAACCACCGTGAGGGCAACAGTCTCATCTGATGTTTTAGAACTGCTGCAGTGGGATTAGCCTGAAGAATCCTTCTATGTCCCCGTTATTCTCTCTGCAGTAAGGTGGGAGGCCCAGGAGGGGCATGAATTCACAGGGGCCAAGGCAGTGATGAAATTGGGAAGAGAGATTCAATAGTCTTTGTGGCCTTCTGTTGGCAGCCTGCATGTTCTAGCCATACAACTGGCGGCTGCTGCATACCTCCCACCAGCCACAACAATTCATGGAAATTAATAAATGCATTTATTGGGAGAGGTCATGGGTAAAACAGGAAAATCAGTCCCCCAGCTTCCCAGACAAATACTCTAGAATTGAGTTTCAATAGAAACCAACAGCCTCTTTCACAGCACTGCGTATTTATAGCAAACAGAAGTGGTTCAAATTCTTATGTAGTTCAGCAAGGTTAAGTACAGTTCTTGTGTTTGTTTAGGTAACAAATGTGTTTGGAGGAGGTTTATGTCACAAAATAGCAAGTGCTAGAAATTCTGGGATGTGAGAAGACTGAGTCAATGAGCCTGATTATCCTTCTCTCGGACTGCAGTCATAGAAAACAATCTTTTTTTGCTTAAAATGGGCATGCAGTTCAATGAGGGAAAAATTAGCCTTTTCAATATATGGTCCTGGAAGAAGTGGACACATGAAAAAGAATAAAATTGAACTTCTTTCTTATATACAAAATCAACTCAAAATAGATCATAGACCTAAATGAAAGAGCAAAAATTATTACATTCTTAGAAGAAAACCTAAGAGTAAATGTGACCTTGGATTACTCAGTGCTTAGTTATCACATCAGAAGCACAAGAAACCAAGTAAAAAATAGAAAAATAAGACTATATAAAAATTTAAACCTTTTGTGCTACAAATGGTACATGAGGAAAATGAAAAGATAACCCAAAGAATGGGAGAAAGTATTTGGAAATCATATACCTGATAAGAAACTGATATCCAGAATATATAAAGAGCTCTTACAAGTCAACAACAAAAAGATAAGTAATCCAGTTAAACAATGGGAAAGTATTTGAGTAGCCAGTTATCCAAAGAAGATATACAAATGGCCAATAAGCACATGGAAAGATGCTGACCATCATTAGCTATTAGAGAGATGCAAATCAAAACCACAATGAGATGCCACTGCAAGCCCACTGGGATGGCTATATTAAAGAAAGACAATAACAAGTGTTGAGCAGGTTATGGAGAAATTGGAACCCTTGCACACTTTTGATAGGGCAGCTGCTGTGGAAGGCAGTTTGGCAGTTCCTCAAAATGTTAACCATAGAGTTACCACATGAGCCTGCGATTTCATGACTACATATAGGCCCAAGAAAATTAAAAACACATGTCCACGCAAAGACTTATACAAGAATGTTGTTAGTGGCATTATTCATAATAGCCAACAAGTGGAAACAGCTCAAATGTCCATCAAATGATGAATGAATAGACAAAATTTGGTATATCCACCAGTACAGTGGAGTACAGTTCAGCAATGAAAAGGAATGAAGTACTGATACATGCTGTGACATGGATAAACCTTGAAAACAAGCTAAGTAAGTGAAGCCAGCCACAGAAGACCACATATTGTATGGTTCTCTTTATATGAATGTCCAGAATAGGCAAATCTATAGAGATAGCAAGTAGATGAATGGCGGGATGTAGTGGCTCATGCCTGTAATCCCAGCACTTTGGGAGGCTGAAGCGGGCAAATCACTTGAGGCCAGGAGTTCGAGACCAGCCTGGCCAACATGGCAAAACCCCATCTCTACTAAAAATACAAAAATTAGCTGGGCCTGGTGGCACACACCAATACTCCCAGCTACTCGGGAGACTGAGGCAGGAGAATTGCTTAAACCCGGGAGGCAGAGGTTGCAGTGAGCTGAGATCACACAACTGCATTCCAGTCTGGGTGAGAGGGAGACCCTGTCTCAAAAAAAAAAAAAAAAAAGTAGTGAATGGTTTTCTAGGGCTGGTGTGTGTGTGTTTGTGTGTGTGTGTATGTAGTTGTTGAGGGAGTCATTACCAGTGGGATTCTATTTGGGATGATGTGAATATCCTAAACTCAGATTGTGGTGATGGTGTTATACAACCCTGTGAATATACTTTGGGAATAAATTGTATACTGTAACGGGGTGTTTTTATATCTCAATACATTGTTTAGAAGAATTGACACTTGGGTAGGGGGGTAATAAGACATTATGATGCCCTTACTAGGACTGCTGCAACTCCCACTTGCCTTTTCTCCCTCTCACCAGATCCCTGTTCCAGGCAGTCAAAGGGAGGCCTTGTCCATCTGGGCTGTGAGATAGGAAGGGAGCTGTTTCTCTACTCCTTCCTCTTACTTGTCTGATTTCCACAGACAGAAAAGAGGCCAACAACAAAAAATCCTTCAGGCTGTTTTTAGTTACAGAGAAAAGAAAAAGATAATCTACACATTGAAAAAATTACATACTTTTTATTGTACCTTTCTCTCCAGAGCTTTAGAGATATTTTTAGTACCTCAAATAATCTTTTTATAAATTATAAATATTTCTGTATTAGAAATTGACACTACCTATGATACTCTGCTTAGTTCCTTTCCTTTTACATATTTAAAATACTCGTATATATATATAGAATGTCTGTTAGCACATTATTCTAAATAGACTTATTCTAAATAAGACTCCAAAGAATCTTACTTCCTTTGTTCTTTTATTTTTACTTATTTATTTTTGAGACAGCGTCTCACTCTGTCACCCAGGCTGGAGTGCAGTGGTGCGATCTTGGCTCACTGCAACCTCTCCCTCCCAGGCTCAAGTGATTCTCCTACCTCAGCCTCCAGAGTAGGTGGGACTACAGGCGTGTGCCAACACACCTGGCTAATTTTTGTATAAAATTTTGTATTTTTGGTAGAGACAGAGTTTTGCCATGTTGGCCAGGCTGGACTCGAACTCCTAGACTTAAGTGATGGCCTGCCAGAGCCTCCCAAAGTGCTGGGATTACAGGTGTGAGCCACCACGCCTGCTTTGTTCTTTGTAATAGAATTTCTTTTTTTCTTTTTCTTTTTTTTTTTTTTTTTGAGATGGGAGTCTTACTCTGTCATCCAGGCTGCAGTGGCACGATCTTGGGGCTCACTGCAACCTCTGCCTCCTGGGTTCAAGTGATTCTTCTGCCTCAGCCTCCCGAGTAGTTGGGATTACAGGTGCCCACCACCACACCCAGCTGCTTTTTTATTTATAGTAGAGATGGGGTTTTGGCATGTTGGCTAGGCTGGTCTAGAACTCCTGACCTTAGGTGATCCGCCTGCCTCGGCCTCCCAAAGTGCTGGGATTACAGGTGTGAGTCACCATGCCCGGCCTTTAGTAGAATTTCTTATGGTACCTTTTTTTTACATTAAAAAAAAGTTTGTGGGTATATAGTAAGTGTACATATTTATGGGGCACATGAGATGTTTTGATACAGGCATGTAATGTGCATTTATCCTTTGAGCTGCACATAACCAATTACATTCTTTAAGTTATTTTAAAATATACAATTAAGCTATTACTGAAACTAGTCACCCTATTGTGCTATCAAATAGTAGGTCTTATTCTTTCTATTTCTTTTGGTACCCATTTTATGGAATCCTTTTGTTAACCATAGCTGGTTGTGGTGGCCATGAGAAGGAATCTTTTAGGTTTTCTACTTGCAGAGAGTGTGGTTGAACACGGTTCTAGATGGCAAGTTCTGATATCTATCACTACGTGGATGCAGAGGACACACTGCTCATGGCTGCTTCCAGAGAATGGTTGAATACAGCAGGTATCCTAAGATCTGTTCTTGGATGTCTCTAACAGGTCACTTTGGGTCTAGGACCCTCCATTACCCTTGCTGAAACTTTTTCAGAACATTCTGTAGTCTCCATACTCCAGCCATCCAACCTTCCTCCCCTCACAGAATGGGAGACCGTGTTGCATGGGACACTGCCCTTGACTGCTCCTGGTGGATTGACTACACTGGATCCCTGACCCCTCTGAGGGCTATCAGTGGTACTTCACCACTGTGGACACTCCTTCAGGCTACAGCGTTATTGTTCTAGTCTGATCAGCCAACTCCTGTCAGACCACTGTAGCCTGTGAAACTGATCCATGTCATGTGTCTGGTTTTCTGGACCATTTGCATTCTGACAATGAGGAGCGTTTTTTCAAAGGGGAGTCAACCGTGGCCTGATAATCAAGGTATTTGATGGAGTTTTTATGTGTTCCTGATATGGTTTGGATGTTTGTCCCCTCCAAATCTTATGTTGACACGTAATCCCCGAAGTTGGAGGTAGGGTCTGGTGGGAAGTGTTTGGATCATGGGGGCAGATCCTTCATGAATGGCTTGGTGCAATCCTTGCAGTAATGAGTGAGTTCTTGCTCCATGAGTTCATGCAAGATTTGAGTTTTTAAAAGGGCCTGGAGCTTCCTGCTATCTCTCTTGCTGTCTCTCACCATGTGATACATGGGCTCCCCCTTTGCCTTCGGCCATGTTTGTACGTTTCCTGAGTCCTCACCAGAAGCAGATGCTGGTGCCATGCCTCTTATACAGCCTGCAGAACAACGAGCCAAATAAACCTCTTTTCTTTATAAATTACTCAGTTTCAGGTATTCTTTTGTAGCAACACAAATGGACCAGCACAGTTCCTTACCATTCACAAGCTTCCTGTGTTGAGTATTGAAACTGCCTCCTCAAAAACTGACTGAAAAATATTTCTCACTCTACTCTCTCACCTTGTCCTGGTCCATGCACTGTAGTAAGGCAGTTTGGTCACTGAATTTGGTTGTCTTCAGAAAGGAATTATATTCTCTTGGCTGCTTCCTTGGTAATGATCAGGACAAAAGATATGAGAGTGATCATCAAGAAGTGTGAAGTGGCTGTGTGCAGTGGCTCACGCCTGTAATCCCGGCACTTTGAGAGGCCAAGGCGGGTGGATCAGCTGAGGTCAGGAGTTTGAACCCAGCCTGGCTAACAAGGCAAAACCCCATCTTTACCAAAAATACAAAAATTGGCTGGGTGTGGTGGTGCATACCTGTATTCCCACTTACTCAGGAGGCTGAGGCAGTATCGCTTGAACCTGGGAGGTGGAGCTTGCAGTGAACCAAGATCGCACCACTGCACTCCATCCTGGGTGACAGAGGGAGACTCTGTTGAAAAAAAAAAAAAAAAAAGAGAAGCCCAGCCTGCACAACATGGTAAGACTCTATCTCTAGAAAAAATTAAAAAATTAGCTAGGCATGGTGACATGCCAGGACACACTCCCAGCTACTTAGGAAGCTGAGGTGGGAGGATCACTTGAGCCTGGGAGGTTGAGGCTACAGTGAGCTATGATTGCACCTCTGCTCTGCAGCCTAGGTGACAGAGCAAGACCCTGGCTCAAAAAAAAAAAAAAAAAAAAAAGAAGAGGTATGAAAAATCTGAGGTTTTATCCTACTTGCAAGCTAACAAGTGAGCTTGCTATAGTTTCAGGGTGTTGGCAGAAAACATGAGACACTTGGCTCAGAGACAAAGGACTTTATGTCTCATGGAATAGCGGTAGTAGCCAGAGTTTAGCATATTTACACCAGTTCCCCAAGCCCAGTTCCCATGGGGTAATGTGATGGGGGGCAGATGAAATCTGAGCATTCATTAGGTTGTGTACAAGAAAGGAATTCCGTTTAAGAATCCCAATTCTCCATTAGTGGGAAATGAGTGTGTCTGATCTTCGCTCTAGAATAAAACATTATTACACTGAAAATTTAACAACACTGCCTTTGCTCTAGAGGGAGACATGATTATCCTCAAAGGCTGTTTGCCAGGCAAACATTCTGGAAAAAAGAGTCTAGAACATAGGGAGTCAGTGTCTTTGACCTTAAAATGTGCAGGGAGAAGCCCTGGGGGATGGTCTTGCAACAAACCTATTTTGAAAATTTGGGTTTCTGCTGTTATGAAAACTTGGGACAATGCTCTCTTCTTTCCTCAAGTGGCAGTTCCAGGTTTGCTTTGTGGGGCACCCTCTGGGTAACAACCCAGCCAAAAGGGAACCCTAGGGAATTCAAACTTCATTCTGGTTAAGCCACCTAGATTTTCTTGTTGGATTAACATGGCCTTAGGTCCTAAAAATAGTGAACACATGTTTGAATAGACTGCTTACCAAGTCCTCCTATGGGGGTCTGCACAGGCCAAAGTGGGGAAATAAGTGTTGTTGTGAGTTGTACTGTGTTCCCCTATAATTCACATGTTGAAGCCCTAATCCCCAAAGTAACTGTGTTTGGAAATAGAATAGAGAGGTAATTAGGAGTCCTAATCCAATAAAACTGGTGTCCTTAAAAGAAGGGGAGCAGACACCAGATATCTCTCTCTCTCCACTCAAGCACAGAGGAAAGGCCATGTGAAGCACAGCAAGAAGCCACCACTTACAAGCCAGGAAGAGTGGTCTCATCAGAAAGCACCCATGGCACCTTGATCTTGGACCTCCAGCCACCAGAACTGTGAGAAATGAAATTTCTTTTGTGTAAGCCACTCACTCAGTCTGTGGCACTTTGTTATGGCAGCACAAGCAAACTAATAGAAGTGTTCTCTGTCCATTTAATAAAAGTTCCTTGTTCCTCTTGTACTTGACCCTTCCAAAGAAAGGTCTTGGTATGGGTAAGGGAATAATTGGACAAAGGGTGACTTTATAGCTACTGAAATGGACAACAATGATTTTATGGTAGTAGAGGAAAAGGAACAACCCTGGCACTTGGAAAGGGAACCCCTTAGACCTCAGGAGGTATAGGGGAGTGAGCAATATTAGTGATCTTTCTCTGCAGCCTTTCTCAAAAAGGAAAATCACCCACAGTAGCTCTCTTAAGCTGTTGCAAGTACCTGAAATTTAAGACTTCTAGGTCTGCCATCCTCCTCCAGATGACTTTCACTGTGATTTGATTGCCATTCCCTTACCCTTGCTGATAAATCTGCTGGAAGTAGCAAAGGGGGACTCTCCTTTGTCTCCTGCCTTCTCCACACCCATTCTCACAGCTGTGGCTCCGTCGTTCTGTGGGGTGAATGAACGCTCCTCCCCTGGTGTACTAGTCCTCGTACAGACAGGATAAGTGGATTGTCTGTCCTTTAGGCCGTCATTCCAAATCAAGGTCTAGACTCAATTATTTAAACTGAGCTAGGAACTCTAGGTGTATCAGCTGGCCAGGAGGCCACTAAGGCATTGTCAGTTTTTTTTCACACAGATCCCTCTGCACTCCATCCCTGCTGAATGATGTAGACCTCATTTGTTGGCTGCAACAATTGTAAGCTCTCTTTCCAGGGGCAGCGTGTGCACCCTTGATATTTGCTTTTAGTCTGGAAGCCAGGTGTTAATTAGCCTTTCTCATGGGGACTTGTACCCCGGGGATGGCCATAACAGACCTTTGAGGGTTTGAGGAAACAGCACCAGGAGACCATGCAGCCTCAGATGATTGTGCAGAGTTCTCCAGAAGCAGCTGCTCTTGGTTCTGTGGCTTGTGTCTTGGAGGGATAGGATAACTGACTTGTTATTTATGTAAGTCCTATGGCAGTTTTTTTCTGTGAGGGGAAGCATCCAATGAGAAAAGGTGGTTTGGAATTCGCCACTTTTTTTAGCTGAAGTGATCACAGCTATGACATTCTCCCGCTAAAGCCATTTAAGTCAGTCTAAACCAACTGGCTAGGGTTGTTATGGTTGATGGGATTGCCCTAGACTTCCTCCTCCTGTACCTGGATTAATATCTAGGGCGAAGTTAAAAAATCAATACAGAGGCTGGGTGCCTTAGCTCAGGCCTGTAATCCCAGCACTTTGGGAGGCTGAGGCAGGCGGATCACCTGATATCAGAAGTTGGAGACAAGCCTGGCCAACATGGTGAAACCCTGACTTTACTAAAAATACAAAAAAATTAGCTGGGCATGGTGGCAGGAGCCTGTAATCCCAGCTGCTGAGGCAGGAAAATCGCTTAAACGTGGCAGGCAGTGGCAGTGAGCCGAGATCGCACCACTGCCAGCCTGGGCGACAGAGCGAGACTCCGTGTCCAAAAAAAAAAAATCAATACAGAAAGTGAAGGAGAAAGCCACCTGGATTTCTGAGGTAGACCTTGATGGGTTGTGAGGTGTTCTGCTGATTGGATACAGGACCCTGAGAGGCGTGGCTGAGGTCCGTACTGTAGGTTGGCCTATCCTGCTGCTTGGAGTCCTGTAGGCAGTAGCCTTAATTAAATGCCATATAAGACAAATTGGATGAGCTTAGCCACAGAGTAGAAGTGAGGAGTGGATATTAGGGGGAAACAATTCTCTGTGGGTCTCTCAAGTTCCAGCAAATATTAATAACAGAGGCACTGACAGCCCTTTGTTCTAGACTATCTTTTCTTTAATTTCTTTCTTTCGTTTTTTTTTTTTTTTGGAGACAGAGTCTTATTCTGTTGCCCAAGCTGGAGTGCAGGGGCATGATCTCGGCTCACTGCAACCTCCACCTCCCGGGTTTAAGCTATTCTCCCGCCTCAGCCTCCTGAGTAACTGGGACTACAGGTGCACACCACCATGCCCAGCTAATTTTTGTATTTTTAGTAGAGACGGGGTTTCACCATGTTGGCCAGGATGATCTCAATCTCTTGATCTCGTGATCTGCCCACCTCAGCCTCCTGAAGTGTTGGGATTAGAGGTGTGAGCCACCATGCCCAGCCTAGACTATCTTTTCAAGGATGTTTATATAGCAGACTTTCTTGAAAGAAATATTTCCCTCTGGAGCAAAGAACAGGTATGCTTACTGCTTGTTATGAATGATTTGGGCTTTTGAAGCCCAGAGTTCCTCCTCTGTACTGTAAGGCAATTCATGGTGTGTTCAGGTGCCCCCCTGGGCCAACTGCATTCATCCCATGGGATTTGGGGGCAAGAAAGATGCAACATTCTGGTACCCATGTTGCTTGCTATATAGGAAGTAATAAAATTCTTTGTCTCTGACCCATGAGTCTCTTGTCTTTTGCCAGCATCCATGAAGCAAACGGTAACAGGCCGATTTATCAGCTTCTAAGTAGGTTAAAATATCAGATCTGCCAGTTTCCTGTGAGTAGATGAGTAGTAAATGACCATTAAGTATTCCATAAATCATGGATTGGAGAGAGGGAAGGAAACAATTAGTGCATATCTACAAGGACTTTCTTCTGTAACATAAAAAATTTTAAAACCCCTGGTCCTTATTGAGCATTTAACATATTTTTCTTAAATTTCCCAAAGTACTTGAAACAAGTACAGTAGGTGTTTGTTTGGTTAACACAGCCTGTTTGCCTGTGTTGTTTATATTTTCCCTCTACATCTTTCTATGTTCCCTATTATTTTTTTGTCTCCTTTATTTCTCAGCACATGAACAGGCTCAAGGGTGATTGATACTTGCAGGAAGATTTTATTTTCACGCTAGAATAGCATTCATAAAAGAATAGGGCTCTGAGGCCGGGTGCGGTGACTCATGCCTGTGATCCCAGCACTTCGGGAGGCCGAGGTAGGCTGATCACCTGAGGTTGGGAGTTCGAGACCAGCCTGACCAACATGGAGAAACCCCGTCTCTACTAAAAATACAAAATTAGCCGGGCATGGTGGCAGGTGCCTGTAATCCCAGCTACTCAGGAGGCTGAGGCAGGAGAATCGCTTGAACCCAGGAGGCGGAGGTTGCGGTGAGCTGAGATCATGGTGAGTGGAGATTGTGCCATTGCACTCCAGCCTGGGCAACAAGAGTGAAACTCCGTCTCAAAAAAAAAAAAAATGAATAAGGCTCTGAAACCCAATTGAGCCATGGTTGAACCAGGAAAAATGCAGATAGGGCCTCTGCTGAGGACTGAATTCCCTTTTAGAGTGTTTTATTTTATTGTGGTAAATAAACATAACAAAAATTTATCATTTTGACCATTTTGGAGAATACGATTAATTCATTGATATTAAGTACATTCACAATGTTGTGCAGCCATCACCACTATCTGTTTTCAGAAGTTTTTCATCACGTCAAACAGAAACTCTACCCATTACACAGTAACTCCTCATTCTCACCTCTCCCCAGGTCCCTAGTAACCACCATTCTACTTTATGTCTCTATGAAGTTGCCTATTCTATATACCTCATACAAGTGGAATCACACCATATTTGTCTTTTTTTGTGTCTGCTTATTTCACTTAGCATAATATTTTCAAGCGTTATCCATGTTGTAGCATGTATTGAAATTTCATTGCTGTCTGCCTTTTGGCTACTATGAATAATACAGTTGTCTCTCTGTATTTGTGGGTTCTGCATCCATGGATTCAACCAATCATGGATTAAAAAATACTTGGAATGGCCAGGTGTGCTGGCTCATGCCTGTAATCCCAGCACTTTAGGAAACTGAGACAGGTGGATCACCTGAGGTCAGGAGTTCAGGACCAGCCTGGCCAACATGGTGAAACCCTGTGTCTACTAAAAATACAAAATTAGTTGGGCATAGTGGTGCACGCCTGTAATCCCAGCTACTTGGGAGGCTGAGGCATGAGAATCACTTGAACCTGGGAGGCAGAGGTTGCAGTGAGCTGAGATCACACCACTGAACTCCAGCCTGGGCTATGAAGTGAGACTCTGTCTCAAAAAAAAAAAAATTGGAAAAAAGATACAATAATAAAATAATACAAATTAAAAAATATAGTATTAATGATTTCCATAGCATTTACAGTATATTAGGTATTATAAGTAATCTAGAGATGATTTAAGGTATATGGGAAGATGTGCATCAGTTTATATAAATACTACACCATTTTTTCCCTTATATCTACTGATTGCTTTTGCAAAACTACACCATTTTATATATGGGACTTGAGCATCCGCAGATCTGGGTATCCAAGAGGGTCCTGGAACCAATCCCCTACAGATCCTGAGGGATATTGGTGTACAAGTATCTGTTTCAGTCCCTGCTTTCAATTCTTTTGAGTATATATTGAGGAATGGAATTGCTGGATTATATAGTAATTTTATGTTTTGAATTTTAGAGGAACTGCCAAACTGTTTTCCATAGTAGCTGAACCATCTTACATTCCACCAGCAATGCATGAGGGTTCCAATTTCTCCACATCATCACTAATGCTTGTTATTTTCATGAAAAATAAACAGCCATTCTAATTTGTGTGAAGTGGTACCTCACTGTGGTTTTGATTTGTATTTTCCAAATGACTAAGGCATGTATTTATTGGCCATTTGTTTATCTTCTAGAGAAATATTCATTTTCTTGGAAGAAAATCATCTCATTCTAATTGACTCACAAAGAATAAAATCGTAACAGCCAGTTTAAGGAGGCCACACAAACATTTGCCCAGCCCCAAATTCTACACCATCTTAATGAAATTCTACACAGTTAGAACACCCTCTTCCATTTCAATTCTGAAGCAAGGAAGCTATAGATGACATACGAGAGGTTTAACTGGTGGTTATATTTTATACCTTCACTATCAATTTTATTTTAATAGTGAATTAACTTGGTTAGGAGAGCTGATTTTCCATTTCTCCAATTTGAACTTCTTGATTAGGCCTATCTGTTTGCAAGTCTGCACTGTTTGAGAACCTCTTGAAAGCCCCACAGAGCTTGTTGGTGTCACCCTGGTTCTGGGCACACTCCAAAAACTGTTTGATCTCATGGAAACAAGGCTGCTGCTGCTGTGCTGGCCAGGTTCCCTGATGCTGCTGGTAAGTGATGTCAAGTTTTGCAGGCTCACCATTACTTCCTCCACTGAAGCTCCCAGTGAGGGCATAACCCAGTGTGTGACCCACAGCAGAGCCTACAGCCACGCCAGCTGCAGTGGTTGCCATTTGGGCCATCAGACTTGGCTGCCGGGGTGCAGGAGCAGGAGAGCCAACTGCAGATGGGGGTGCCACTGCTGGCGGCTGAGCTGCTGGTGCTAGCCTGGGTGTAGCTCTCATCTGAGGTGCCTGGCTGGTGGGAGGGGCCCTGTAGGAGGTGTGGCTTCGGCTTCCACGTGGCATACTAGCTGCACGGCGGCTCAGTGTTTGGTAATACTCATTTTTGAATTGAGTTGTTTGTTTTTGTCATTGAGTTTTAGGAGTTGTTTATTCTGGATACGAATCCCTTATCAGATATGTCATTTGCAAATATTTTCTGTCATTCTGTGGGTTGTTTTTTCACTCTGTTGATTGTGTCCTTTGATGCAAAAAGTTTTAAACTTTCATTAAAAGAATGGTTCTTTAATATTTACTTTTGTTGACTGTGTTGTTGGTGTCGTATCCAAGAAATGGTTGTCAAATCCAATCTCATGAAGATTTCCCCGTTTTTTCTGAGAGTTTATTGTTTTAGCTTTTAACTTTGGATCTTTGACTCATTTTGAGTTTAAAAAAGTATGATGTAAGGATCCAACTTTACTTGTTTGCATGTGAATAGTCAGTATTTCTAGCACCATTCGTTAAGGAGAATGTCCTTTCTCCATTAAGTGGTCTTAGTACCCTTGTTGAAGATCATTTGACCCCACATTTCTGGGATTATTTCTGGGCTTTCTGTTCTTTTCCATTGGTTTATATAGCTGTCCTTATGCCAGTATCACTTTTTTTTTGAATACTGTAGCTTTGTAGTAAGTTTTGAAATTAGGAAATGTGAATCTTCCAATTTTGTTATTTTTCAAGATGTTTTGGTTATTTAGGATCTCCTGAGATTTCCTATAACTTTTAGAATCAATTTTTCTATTTCTACAAAACATGCCATTGGTATTTTGACAGGAGTTTCACTGAATCTGTAGATTGTTTTGGGTGGTTTTGTCCTCTTCACAATATTAAGATAAAATGGAAATGTCTTTCCATTAATTTATCTTCTTTGATTTCTTTCAGTCATGTTTTGTAGTTTTCAGTGTACCAATCTTTTTCCTCCTTAGTTAAATCTATTCCTAAGTACAGTTTACCCTTAAACAACATAGATTTGAGTTGCGAGGTTCATTTACACTCAGTTTTTGCAATAAAAGTTACACCAAGTGTGCCTGCCTCTCCTGCCTCCCCTTTCACCTCCTCTACCTTTTCTACCTCTGCTACCCCTGAGACAGCAAGATGAATCCTTTCTCCTCCTCCTCCTCTTCAGCCTACTCAATGTGAAGATGACAAGGATGATGACTTTTATGATAATCCATTCCACTTAATGAATTGCAAATATATTTTTTCTTCCTTATGATTTTATTTTGTTCTTATTCTTTCCCTCTTTTTGTAATTATCCAGACATTGTTGAGACTCCTTCTGATTTTTAAAATATCACTTTCTTTTCTCTATCTTACTTTATTCTAAGAATATAGTATATAATACATATAACATTAAATATGTATTAATTGACAGGTTGTTATCGGTAAGTTTTCCAGTCAACTGTAGGCAATTAGTACTTAAGCTTTTGGGGAGTCAAATGTTGTATGTGGATTTTGACTATGCAGGAGGTCAACTTATTCTTTTTGATATTATTGTAAATTGAATGTTTTTCTTAATTTTCTTTTCAGACTATTCATTGCCAGTATATAGAAATGCAACCGATTTTTGTGTGTTGATTTCATATCCTGCAACATTGCTGAATTCATTAGCTCTAAAGTTTGTGTGTGTGCAGTCGCACAATCTTTGGGGTTTTCTACATAAAAGATCTTGCCCTCTGTGAACAGTGATAATTAATTATCCTTTTTCCTTCCCAATTTAGATTACTTTTGTTCTTTTTCTTGCCTAAATGCTCTGGCTAGAATTTCTAATCCTATGTTGAATTGAAATAGTGAAAGCAGGCAGCCTTGTCTTGTTAATGATTGTAGAGGAAAAGGTTTCATACTGTCTTTCCACCATTGAATGGTATTGGCACTCTTGTCAAAAATCAGTTGACCATATATGCAAAGGTGTTTGGAGTATGATGTTAGCTGTGGATTTTTCATATATGACCTTTATCATTTTGAGGAAGTTTCCTTCTACTCCTAGTATATTGAGTGTTTTTATCGTGAAAGGTGGTTGAATTTTTGTCAGGTGTTTTTCTGCATCAGTTGAGTTGATCATGTGCTTTTCTCCCCTGAATTCTATTAATGTAGTGTACTATATTGATTGATTTTTTTTTTGTTGAAGCATTCTTTTTTCATTGTTCTTATTTCATTTTTTGCTTTTCTATTTTAAATTGATAGATAATTGTACATATTAATGAGGTAAATTGTGATATTTTGATACACTTATACAATGTGTGATGATCAAATCATAGTAATTAGTATATTCATCATCTCAAAAATTTCCTTTTTTTGGTGTTCGGAACATTCAAAATCTACTCTTCTGGATACTTGAAAATATACAATAAGTTTTTGTTAGTTTTCCTATAGTGTTACGGAACACTAGAACTTACTACTCCTATATAGCTGTACTTTTGTATTTATTAACTGACCTTTACTGTCTATCCTCTGCTCCCACCTACCATTCCCAGGCACTGGTGACTACTATTCTACTCTCTACTTCTGTGAGATCAACTTTTTTTAGCTTTCACATATGAGTGAGAACATGCAGTACTTATCTTTCTATGCCTGGCTTATTTCACTTAATATTTTCCAAGCTCACTTATATAGCCGCTAATGACAGAATTTCATTCCTTTTTATGACTAAATAGTATTCCATTGTGTATACATATCACATTTTCTTTATGCATTCATCTGTTTTAAAACTTTTAATTTTTATGGATACACAATAGTTGTACATATTTACTTATTTATGGGGGTACATGTAATATTTTGATACGAGTGTCACAGTGTGTAATGACTAAATCAGGGTAATTAGGATAGCCATCATCTCAAGCATTTATCATTTCTTTGTGCTAGAAACATTCTTTTTTTTTTTTCTTTTCTGAGACAAGGTCTCAGTCTGTTGCCCAGGCTGGAGTGGCTCACTGCTTTCTCAACCTCCCAGCTCAAAGGAAGCCCCCAGCCTAGACTTCTGAGTAGCTGGGACTACAGGTGCACACCACCATGCCCAGCTAATTTTTGTAATTTTCTTTTGTAGAGATGGGGTTTCATTATGTTGCCCAAGCTGGTCTCGAACTTCTGGGCTCAAGCAATCTGCCCACCTTGGCCTGCCAAAGTACTGGGATTACAGGTGTAAGCCACCGTGCCAAACTGCTAGGAACATTCTAATGCCACTCTTTTACTTATTTTGAAATATACAATAAATTATTGTTAACTATAGTCTCCCTCTTCTGCTACTGAACACTAGCTCTCATTACCTCTATCTAACTATATTTTTGTGCCCATTAACCAACCTCTGTATGTTTCCTCCTCCTGACCACCCTTTCCAGCTTCTGGAAATCATTCTACTCTCTGTCTCCATGCGTTAAGTTTTTTTTTAGTTCCCACATATGATTGAGAAATATGATATTTGTCTTTCTGTGTCTGGCTTATTTCACTCAACATAATGTCCTCTAGTTCCATTCATGTCATTGCAAATGACAGGATTTCATTTTTTTTGGCTGTATAATACTCCATTATGTATATGTACCACATTTTCTTTATCCACTCATCCATTGACTATCCATTCATCTGTTGATGGAACTTAGGTTGATTCCATATCTTGGCTGCATATCTTGTGAATAGTACTGAAGTAAACATGGGGGTACAGATATCTTTTTCACATACCTATTTCTTTTCCTTTGGATACATACCCAACAGTGGGATTGCTAGGTCACATGGTAGTTCTATTTTTAGTTTTTTGAGAAACCTCCATACTGTTTTCCATAGTGGCTGTACTAATTTACATTCCCACCAACAGTGCATAAGAATTGTCCTTTTTCTGCATCCTCACCAGCATCTGTTTTTTTTTTGTTGTTGTTGCTTTTTTTTTTGAAATGGTGTCTCACTCTGTCACCCAGGCTGGAGTGTGGTGATGCGATCTCAGCTCACTGCAACCTCTGCCTCCCGGGTTCAAGCAATTCTCCTACCTCAGCCTCCCAAGTCGCTGGGATTACAGGTGTGCACCACTGTGCCCAGCTGTGTGTGTGTGTGTGTGTGTGTATTTTTAGTAGAGATTGGGTTTCACATGTTGGTCAGGCTGGTCTTGAACTCCTGACTTCAAATGATTTGCCTGCCTCAGCCTCCTAAAGTGCTGGCATTACAGACATGAGCCACTGTGCCTGGCCTTTTTTGTCTTTTTGAGAGTAGTCATTCTAATTGGAGTGAGATGGTATCTCATTGTGCTTTTAATTTGCATTTCCCTGATGATTAGTGATGTTGAACAATTTTTTCATATACCTGTTGGCCATTTGTATATCTTTGTTTGAGAGGTGTCTGTTTAGCTCATTTGCCCATTTTAAAATCAGATAATCTGAGTTTTTTGTTTTGTTTTGTTTCTTGCTGTTGAGTTGTTCGAGTTCTTTGTATATTTTAGATGTTAACCTCTTGTCAAATGAATAGTTTGCAAATATTTTCTCCCATTCAACAGATTGTCTCTTCACTTTGTTGATTGTTGTCTTTGCTGTGCAGAAGCTTTTTAGTTTAATATAGTCCCATTTGTCTATTTATGTTTCCACTGCTTGTGCTTTTGAGGTCTTAACCACAAACTCTTTGCCAAGACCAATGTCCTGGAGCATTGCTTCTATGTTTTCTTCTAGTAGTTTTATAGTTTTGTGTCTTATGTTTATGTCTTTAATTCATTTTGCATTGATTTTTGTATATGGTGAGAGATATGGGTCTGGTTTCATTCTGCATATGGATATCCAGCTTTCCCAGCACCATTTATTGAAGAGACTGTTCCTTCCTCAGTGAATGTTCTTGGCAACTTTGTCAAAAATCAGTTGGCTGTAAATATGTGGATTTATTTCTGGGTTCTCTATTCTGCTCCATTGGTCTATGTGTCTGTTTTTTATACCAGTACCATGCTGTTTTGGTTGTTATAGCTTTGTAGTATATTTTGAAGTCTTTAATGTGATACTTCCAGCTTTGTTCTTTTTTTCTCAGGATTGCTTTGGCTATTTGGGTTTTTTCTGGTTCCGTATGAATTTTCTGATTGTTTTTCCTATTTCTGTGAAGACTGTAATTGATGTTTTGATAGGGATTGCATTGAATCTGTTCATCACTTTTGGTAGTATAGTCATTTTCACAATATCAATTCCTTCAATCCACGAGCATGGAATGATGTCATTCCATTTTTGTGTGTGTGTATGTGTGTCCTCTTCAATTTCTTTCATCAATGTTTTATAGTTTTCCTTGTAGCAATTGTTTACCTTCTTGGTTATATTTATTCCTACATATTTTTAACTTTTTTTGTAGCTATTGTAAATAGAATTGCTTTCTTGATTCCTTTCCCACTAGTTTGTTGTTGGTGTATAGAAAAATTACTGATTTTTGTATGTTGATTTTGTATCTTGCAACTTAATTTGTCAGTTCTAAGGGATTTTTGGTGGAGCATTTACAATTTTTTGAAAACTATAAGATGATGTCATCTGCAACCAAGGAAAATTTGATTTCCTCTTTTCCAATTTGGATACACTTTATTTCTTTCTCTTGCCTAATTGTTCTGGTTAGGATATTCAGTACCATGTTGAATAAAAGTGGTTAAAGTGGATATCTTTGTCTTGTTCTAGTCTTTAGAGGAAAACCTTTCAACTTTTCCCATTCAGTATAATGTTTGCTGTGGGTTTTTCACATATGGCATTTATTATTTTGAAGTATGTTCCTTCTATACATAACTTGTTAAGATATTTTATGAAGGGATGTTACATTTTATCAAATGTTTTTTTCTGCATCTGTTGTTATGAGTGTATTTTTTTTGTCCTTTATCCTGTTGATGTGATGTATCACTTATAGATTTTAGTATGTTGAACCATCCTTGCATCCATGGGATAAATCCCACTTGAATACAGTGAATGATCTTTTTAATGTACTGCTGGGTTCAGTTTGCTAGTATTTTGTTGAGGATTTTTACATTTTTATTCATCAGGGATATTGGTCTATAGTTTTCTTTTTGTTGTGTCTTTGTTTGGTTTTGGCATAAGTTTAATGCTAGCCTGATTAAATGAGTTTAGAAGAATTTCCTCCTTTTAAATTTTCTGGAAGAGTTTGAGAAAAATTGGTATTAGTTCTTTAGATGTTCAGTAGAATTCTGCAGTGAAGAGATGATGGGAGACTTTCTATTACAGATTCAATCTCATTACTCATAACTGGTATGTGCAGGTTTTCTATTTCTTCTTGGTTCAGCCTTGGTGGGTTGTACGTGTCTAGGAATTTATCCATTTCTGTTAGGCTTTCTAATTTGTTGAAGTATAGTTGTAATAATCTCTAATGATCCTTTGTATTTCTTAGGTATCAGTTGAAACATCTCATTTTTTATTTCTGAATTTATTTGAGTCTTTTCTCCTTTTTTTCTTGGTTAGCCTAGCTAATGGTTTGTTGATTTATCTTTTTAAAAATCAATGTTTTATTTTGTTGATCTTTTTTATTTCTTGTCTCAATTTTACTTCTGCTCTGATCTTTATTATTTCTTTCTTTCTACTAAGTTTGGGTTTGGTTTTTCTTGCTTTTTTTAGTTCCTTCGATGAATCATTAGGTTATTTACTTGAAATCTTTCTACCTTTGTGATACAGGCAGTTATTGCTATTACCTTTCTTCTTAATAGTGCTTTTGCTGTATTACATAGGTTTTGGTATGTTATGTTTCTATTTTCATTTGTTTCAAATAGTTTTTAAATTTTCTTCTTTGTTTATTCACTGACCTATTGGTAATTCAGGAGCATGTTGTTTAATTACCATGTATTTGTACATTTTTGAAAGTTCCTCTTGTTATTGATTTCTAGTTTTATTCTATTGTGATCTGAAAAGATACTTGATATGATTTAAAATTTTAAAAACTTGTTGAGACTTGTTCTGTGGGCCTAGTATGTGGTCTATCCTGGACAATGTTCCATGTGCTGGTGAAAAGAATGTCTACTCTGCAGCTATTGGGTGAAACGTCCTGTAAATGTCTGTGAGGTCCATTTGGTCTACAGTCCAGTTTAAATTCGATCTGCCTTTGTTGATTTTCTGTGTAGATGCTCTATTCAATGCTGACAGTGGGGTGTTGAAGTCCCCAACTCTTATTGTATTAGAATGTATCTCTTCCTTTAGACCTAATAATATTTGTTGATATATCTGGGTGTTCCGATATTGAATGCACATGTATATTTACAATTTTTGTTTTGTTTTGTTTTGTGTTTTAGATAGGGTCTCACTTTGTCTCCCAGGCTGGAGTGCAGTGGCATAATCAGAGCTCACTGCAACCACCTCACAGGCTTAAGTGATCCTCTCATTTTGGCCTCCTGAGTAGCTGGAACTGCAGGCATGTGCCAACATGCCCAGCTAATTTTTTGTATTTTTTAGTAGAGACAAGGTTTTGCCATGTTGCCCAGGCTGGTCTTGAACTCCTGAGCTCTGAGAGATCTGTCTGCCTCAGCCTTCCAAAGTGCTGGGATTACAGGTGTGAGCCACCGTGCCTGGCCTACAATTGTTATATTCTCTTGTGAATTGAAAGCTTTATCATTACATAATGACTTTCTTTGTCTCTTTTTACCGTTTTTGACTTAAAGTCTGTCTTATCTAACATAAGTATAGCTATGCCTGTGTGCTTTTGATTCTAATTTGAATGGAATATCACTTCATTTTCAGTCTGTATGTGTGTTTACAGTGAAGTGAGTTTCTTGTAGGCAGCATATATTTGGGTCATGATTTTTTAAATGCATTCAGACAGGCTGTATCTTTAATAATTTAATCTGTTTACATTCAAAGTTATTTTTGACAGGTGAGGACATACTCTTGTTATTTTGTTAATTGTTTTCTGGTCAGTCATTTTGTATATTCTTCTTGTCTCTTCTCTTGTTATTATTGTGGTTTGGTGGTTTTCTGTAGTGATACGTTTTGATTCTTTTCTCTTTCTCTTTTGTGTATCTTGTGTGTCTTCTCTACCAGTAAGTGCTATACCTCTGTGTGTTTTCATAATAGTGATTATTGTCTTTTTGCTTCCAGATGTAGGACACTTTGAACATTTCTTGTAAGGTTAGTCTAGTGGTGATAAATTCCCTCACTTTTTTGATTGCCTAGGAAAGACTTTATTTCTCCTTCCTTTCTGAAGGATAGTTTTGCTTTGCATAGTATTCTTGGCTGGCATTTTTTTAAATTGAATTTCAGCAATTTGAATATATCATGTCATTCTCTCCTGACCTATAAGGTTTTTGCAGAGAAATCTGCGTTAGTCTGATGAAGATTCCCCTTATATGTTTCCTGGCACTTTTTTCTTGCTATTTTTAGAACTCTCCCTTTGTCTTTGACTTTTGACAATTTGACTGTAATGTGCCTCATTAAAGGAGGATCTTTTTGGGTTGCATCTATATGGAGACTTTTGAGCTTCCTGGATCTGAATGTTTGTATATTTCCTTAGACTTGGGAATTTTCAGCTATTATTTCATTACATATGTTTTCTATGCCTGTTCCCTTCTCTTCTCCTTCTGGAGTTTCCATACTATAAAAATTGTCCCATGAATCTTGTAATGGTGTCCCATGAATCTTGTAGGTTTCATTGGCTCTATTTTTTTCCTTTCTGACTTTTATTTTAGGCTCAGTGGGTACATGTGCAGGTTTGTTGTATGGTAAATTGCATGTTGTAGGGGTTTAGTGTATAGATTATTCTGTCACTCAGATAATGAACATAGTAACCAGTAGGTAGTTTTTTGATCCCCACCTTCCTGATACCTTCCACTGTCAAATAGACTCCAGTGTCTATTGTTTCCTTCTTTGTGTTCTACTCACTCTTTTTCATTCTTATTTATTTGCTCTCTGACTGGGTAATTTCAAACAACCCATCTTCAAGTTCAGAAATTCTTCTGCTTGATCAAGTCTGCTGAGCTTCAGCAGCAGACTTGCTGTTGAGCTATTGTATTTTTAATTGTATTAATTGAGTTCTTCAACCACAGGATTTCTGTTTTGTTCTTTTTCATAATTTCTATCTCTTTGTTTTACATCTCATTCGTATCATAAGTTGTTTTTCTAATTTTGTTGAATTGTCTATCTGTATTTTTTGTATTTCATTGAGTTTCCTTAAGATCATTATTTTGAATTCATTTTCCTGCAATGTATTGATTTTCTTTTCACTGGACTCTGTTACTAGAGTTATTATGTACCTTTGGTGGTATGATATTTCCTTACTTTTTCATGTTTCTTCTGTCCCTGTATTTATGTCTATGCATCTGATAGAACAATTGCCTCTTCCAAATGTTTTAGAGTGACTTTCATAGAGAAAGACTTTCATCTGCAGTTGGATTTTAGAGTGCCAGTTGTGATGAGTGTGGTGACCCTATTTCTGGATAGGTGCATTAGCATACTCTTTATGCAGCTTCTTCTGTTGTGTTCAATGTCAGTAATAACTGTGGACATCTCAGTGGCCTAGGCTGTAAAAATTTGTGACGGGGCAATAGTGGCATTGGTTGTTAATATCCTCAGTATAAAGGGCTTTTGTGGTCCTCCTGTTGTTTTCTTCTCAATGAGGGGACTTAGCTGAGGGGATCTCTCTTGGTGTTGGGTCTGACATAGCCTACAAGCATCTGCAGTGGCACTGGATTACAGGTGCAAGTGCTTTAAGCAGTTGTGGGGTTGTGGTCTTCGGTTCACAGTCTCATGAACTTATCATGGCACCTGGGTCTTGGGGTGCAGGTTTGCTCTTTGTGGCAGGGTTAGATGTAGGTTGCCCACAGAGCCAGGATCTGTGACTCTATGGCACCCCCTAGTAGCTCAGGCCCAGGGGTGGAATTGTTGCTGAGATTATACCCCTGGGGGGAGGGCACAACCCTGGCCTGAGTTTGGGGAGGAAGGAATGAATGCTTTAGAGGTTTGAGCCTGGGAAGCAGGGTATGGCTGCAATTTGGGAAGCTGAGCCAGTAGGGCTCAGTGATAACTCAGGTCCCATTGGATGAGGTACTATGTAGTAGTGACTCTAGGCCTTGAGATGGTCAGGGTTGGGAGTATCTCAGACTCAGTGAGGGCAAGTGCAGTGGCAGTAAGTACCCCAGAATGGCAGAGCACAGCTATCATTTGGGCCCTGAGGAGTAGGGCAGAAGAAAGCACAGTGATGAGTCTACTCCCCAGGAAGAGGGGTGTTTCAGCAGCTAAGACTTTAGTAGGCTAGTCCAGCTCCAGGGAAGCAGAATACTAGATCCGTTTGGCCTGTAGGGCTGAGTGTCTCAGCTCAGCCATTGCTCCATTTCTCTGGGACACCGGATACTATTTCAGCTCAACCTTGGGATGTGGAGCTGCTCAGCTCATCCAGGGCACCAGTTCCTTAGGGGGCAATGTGCTACTTCAGCTCAGGCCTGGAAAGGCAGGACTGTTCTGGGTGGCCCAGGAACCATTTCCCTGGAATGCAGGATGCCCTGCGGCTTAGGTACTGGTGTGTGTGTGACTGCTCTGGGTGGTCAGGGCACCACTTTCTAGGATGCAGGGTGCTGCTTCAACTTAGGTACCAGAGAAGTATGAGTGCCATACATGTACAAGGTAGTCTTTTCCCAGGAGACAGGGTACCACTTCAGCTCTGACCTGAGGGGCTGGGGAGGAGTAGGTGGAGGACCTTTGCCTCTGCTTGGTTCCGTAGGGAAGGGTGTAATAGCTGCTCACAGCTGAGCTTGGGGATGTTGGGCCACTGGGCTGGAGTAGCTCAGTGGTGGCTTAGCCTCAAGGATGAAGGCGAGCCAAGGGTACTCACTTCCTGGACAAGACATTCTCCATCCATAGTTTCAAATCCAAGATGGCACAGCACAGTAGTTTTGCAGGCCCCAGGAGGTGGAGCACAGTGTTGGTGCCTTCTCTAGTGGGACCACAGCTATGTGGTCTCCAGGCAGTTCCCTCACTGGGCTTAGTTCCTGTGAGGACTGCAGGGGACCCCAGCGGTGAGGCCTGTAGGTGTCCAAGGTGTTCATGCAGGTTGCTGGGATCCTCTTTCTTACCTCATTGCCAAAGGAGAAGGTCTCTCCTCATTCCCAGCCCATCCTGGTTAGGGAATGGGATGGTGGAGGCTCAGTGTTTCCTTTGGTTCTCTATGTGGCCATTCCAATTTTCTGTGCTCACCCGGATTTCTATTACTCCTCTGATGCACAATGACACTCTCCTTCAGTTATTTTTATTGCAATGTTATCGTTTATTCATTGTTCTGGATGTTTTTGTGAGGGGGACAAGCACTAAAGGCTTCTGGTCAGCCATCTTGCTCCATTGAACCATTCTTGCTTTCCGAGATTAAATCCCACTTAGTCATGGTGTTTAATCCTTTTAATATGCTGTTGAATTTGGTTTGCTAATTTTTTTTTTGAGGATTTTTGCATTAATATTCACAAGGGTTATTACCCTACAGTTTTCTTTTTTTGGCAACATCTTTGTCTGGCTTCAGTATCAGGGTCATGCTGGCCTCAGAGAATGACTTAAGAAGTATTACCTCCTCTTCAAGTTTTTGGAAGAGTTTCAGAAGGATTGGTGTTAATTCATTGTTAAGTATTTGGTATAGTCCAGGCATGGTGGCTAATGATTGTAATCTCAGCATTTTGAGAGGCTAAGGTAGGAGGATCACCTGAGCTCAGGAGTTCAAGACCAGCCTGGGCAATGTAGGGAGTCACTATCTCTACAAAAAAATTTTTAAAAAATATTAGCTGGGCATGGTGGCATGTATCTGTAGTCCTAGCTACTTGGGAGGCTTAAGTGGGAGGATTGCTGGGGCCCAGGAAGTAAAGGCAGCAGTGAGCTGTGATCACACCACTGCACTCCAGCCTGGGTGACAGAGCAAGACCCTATCTCAGGAAAAAAAAAAAGCATTTGGTGTAATTCACCAGTAAAGCCATCTGTTCCTCAGCTTTTTGTTGTTGATATTGTTGAGAGGTTTTGATTATTGATTCAATCTCCTTACTAGTTGTGTCTATTCAGATTTTCTAATTATTTATCAGTCAATTTTGATAGATCATGTGTTTTCAGGAATTTGTCCATGTCATCCAGGTTATCCAGTTTTGAAGAATATGCTTGTTTAGTATAGCTTTTAAAGATAGTGATGAATTACATATGACATAAAATTTACCATCTTACTCATATATATATATATATATATATATTTTTTTTTTTTTTTTTTTTTTTTTTTTTTTTGAGACAGAGCTTCATTCTTGTTGCCCAGGCTGGAGTGCAATGGCCCAATCTCAGCTCACTGCAACCTCCACCTCCTGGGTTCAAGTGATTCTCCTGCCTCAGCCTCCCAAGTAGCTGGATTGCAGGTGCTCGCCACCACACCTGGCTAATTTTTGTATTTTTAGTAGAGATGGGGTTTCACCATGTTGGCCAGGTTGGTCTTGAACTCCTGACCTCAGGTGATCCACCCACCTCGGCCTCCCAAAGTGTTGGGATTACAGGCGTGAGCCACCATGCCCGGCCCGTCTTACCCATTTCTAAATGTACAGTTCACTGGCATTAAGTATACTTAGTTGTGAACCATTACAACATCCATCTCCAGAAGTCCTTTCATCCTGCAAAACTGAAACTCTGTACCCATTAAACAATAATTTCCCACTTTCCCCTATCCCCAGTCCCTGGCAACCACCATTCTACTTTCTATCTCTATGAATTTGACTACTCCAGGTACCTCATATAAGTGGCATCATCCACTGTTTGTCCTTTTGTGACTGGCTTATTTCACTTAGCATAATGTCCTCAAAATTCATCCATGTTATAGCAAGTATCAGCCTTTTCTTCCTCTTTATGGCTGAATAATATTCCTTTGCATGTATAGACCACTTTTTCTATGTCCATTTATCCATCAATGGACACTTGTGTTGCTCCCACCTTTTGGATATTAGCACAGTGTTTTCAGTCACAAAAACCTGATTTTGAGAACTGTTTCTGTACTTGTGAGCTTTTGGACTTTGGGTAACTTAATTTGTGTAATCCTCAGTTTCCTCATCCTTAATAGGGGGATAATGATAGTGCCTTCATTGTAGAGTTATTGAGTTAAATGACTATATTCAAAGCACTTAACACATAGTGCCTCTGTAACCATTTGTTACCATCAGCACAGTGGTGCTGGAGAGTTTGTTTTTAGAATCAAATAGCCCTGTGTTCATCTAGTATGTGACTAAGGGAAGTTATTTGAGTTACAGTTTCCTTATTTAAAAAATGGAAATAATAACACACTATTTTATTTGACAAATGTTTATTGATATCTACTCTCAATATCTGCATTATTCTATGAGATGGGATACAGGTGAACAAAACAGAAAAAGTAATCCATGCCCTCGTAGAACTTACATTCTAGTGGTGTGAGAACTGAAACAGAAATAATTCTCAATTGATGTATTAAACAATACTAGGAAATGGTGCTTGTTTATCAAGACTAACAGTTTACGTATCAAACCCTACAAGACCCTCACCTCAATCCTCCCACCAATTCAAAGCTGGTATGTCATACATCATCTGATTCCAGCCAATTCTCCTCCTTACAAGATCATCCTTGGCATCACCTAGTTGAAGCCTTAAATCCCCACAAAGACTCTGCTCTAACTTCTCATTTTGAAACACTACTAAGATTCTGTCAAAGTGGTCTGCTTCTTTATTGCAGGAAATCTCATAAACCCAGTTTTGATTGACTAACAGGTTTTTCTGGTGATTGGGTAGTCAACAACAATAAACAAGTGTGTTAGTCTGTTTTCACGCTGCTGATAAAGACATACTCGAAACTGGGCAATTTGCAAAAGAAAGAGGTTTATTGGACTTACAGTTCCACATGGCTGGGGAGGCCTCACAATCATGGCAGAAGGCAAGGAGAAGCAAGTCACATCTTACATGGATGGCAGCAGGCAAAAAGAAAGCTTGTACAGGGAAACACCCCCTTATAGAACCCTCAGATCTCATGAGACTTATTCACTCTCATGAGAACAGCATGGGAAAGACCTGCCCCCATGATTCAATTACCTCCCCCTGGGTCCCTCCCACAACACATGGGAATTCAAGATGAGATTTGGGTGAAGACACAGCCAAACCGTATCAACAAGATACATAAATTATAGAGTTGTGATAACAAGATGAAGGGAGAGGGCTCATGGGAAGGAGGCTTTGCAGGGCAGATTGTTTTATTTATTTGACTTTACTCTGAGTAAGGATGAGAAGCAATTGGAAGGCTTGAGCCAGAGAAGTGGCATGATCTGCTTTATCATTTAGCAGGATGACTCTGGCATCCACATTGATAAATGACTGAAGAGAGCAAAGGTGAGGAACCAGGAGGTGGACATGGTGGTTCATTCTCATAATCCCAGCACTTTGGGAGGCTGAGGCAAGTGGATCACTTGAGCTTAGGAGTTCGAGACCAGTCTGGGCAACATGGTGAAAACCCACCTCCACAAATAATACAAAAATTAGCTGGGCATGGTGGCACAAGCCTGTAGTCCCAGCTACTTGGGAGGCTGAGGTGGGATGATCACCTGAGCCCAGGGAGGTTGTGGCTGCAGTGAACCATGATCATGCCGCTGCACTCCAGCCTGGGTGACAGAGTGTAACCCTGTCTCAAAACCAAACCAAAGTAAACTAAACTAAACTAAACTGAAGGTGGGAGCCAGGGACCATTTAGGAGGCTCAGACTGGGGTGGTAGGGATGGATCTGGGGAGAGGTGGTCGGACTCTCTTACCTATTTTGAAATGGGAACCAATGGAATTTGTCGATGGATCAGATGGGAGTGTGTGAGGAAGCAGCTCACCTATCCTACAGGATGTCATGAGCTTTCAACATCACGATGTTTGTAATCTGTCAGTGCTCAGTAAACAGCAGCAATTTGAAGATTCTTACATGTTTCTTCTCTGCCTAGATCTGGGTGTTCCCACCTCTGTCACTTGCTAAACTGCCAAAGATGCCTCTTTCCCCAGGGGCACCTTCCTGATGCTCTCACTCAAGCTTAGGTGTCCTCCATATGCCTCTATCATCCACTCTCCTTTGCAAGCACCACATGTGGCCCCAGTGCTGTGGACTCTTGCAGCCCCTTACTTGTTTCTGTTCCCCTACAGACTGCCCTCTCCATGAGGCTGGCCTCATCTGCCCTGCTCACTACTGAATACTCTGCACCCAGGACAAAGCCTACAACACAGCCGGTGTCCAGCCCGTGCTTGTTGATTATTATTGACATCTTTTATTTTTTTGAGACAGGGTCTGCCTCTGTCACCCAGGCTGGAGTGCAATGGCGTGATCTTGGCTCACTGCAACCTCTGCCTCCTGGGCTCAAGCGATTCTCATGTCTCAGCCTCCCAAGTAGCGGGGATTACGGGTGTGCACCACCATGCCTGTCTAATATTTGTATTTTTAGTAGAGAAGGGGTTTTGCCATGTTGGCCAGGCTGGTCTTTTAACTCCTGGCCTCAAATGATCCGCCTGCCTTGGCCTCCCAAAGTGCTGGGATTACAAGCGTGAGCCACTGTGCCTGACCTTAACATCTTAATAATCTGTAATGAGGAAAAAAGGGTAGTTCCGTTATCTCAAGCATGAAGTTTGGGTTCCACTCACAGAGGCTCTATGCCTGTAATCCCAGCACTTTGGGAGGCCGAGGTGGGCAGATCACGAGGTCAGGAGATCGAGACCATCCTGGCTAACACGGTGAAACCCCATCTCTACTAAAAATACAGAAAAATTAGCCAGCCATGGTGGCGGGCACCTGCAGTCCTAGCTACTTGGGAGGCTGAGGCAGGAGAATGGCATGAACCCGGGAGGCGGAGTTTGTGGGCAAAATTGTGAAGTATCCAAAGTCTTATGGAGTTTTTGCATTAATTTTGACTTTTTTTTTTTTTTTCTAGATGGAGTCTCACTTTGTCACCAAGCTGGAGTGTGGTGGCATGATCTTGGCTCACTGCAACCTCCCAGGTTCAAGCTATTCTCCTGCCTCAGCCTCCCGAGTAGCTGGGACTACAGGCGCACGCCACCACACCCAGCTAATTTTTGTATTTTTAGTAGAGACAGGGTTTCACCATGTTCGCCAGGGTGGTCTCTATTTCTTGACCTCGTGATTTGCCCACCTTGGCCTTCCAAAGTGCTGGGATTACAGGCATGAGTCACTGTGCCCGGCCTAATTTTGATTTTTTAAAACATTTAATTAAAATGTTATTTAATTACTGAGTTTTTGGTATCCCTGTCATTTTTGTGCCCTGGGAAAGAAAGTACCTCCCCACCTTACCCAGCCCTGGCCCTGCTGGAGAGGCAGTAGGGGTTAGGAAGGCGCTGTGGGACGTGGGATTAGGTAAGCATGGCATTTTTCTGAGTGTTATATGAGGTGTTTTGAAGAGAAAGTCTTAAAGGCACCAAGGTGGGTGTACTAGTCTGCTCAAGCTGCCATCACAAAATCCCTAAGGCTGGATGGCCCAAACAATGAACACTTATTTTCTCATAGCTCTGGAGGCTGGAAATCCAAGGTCAAGGTGCCTGCAGGGTAGGTTTCTGGTGAGGCCTCTCTCCCTGGCTCGCAGATGTCCACCTTCTCACTGGATGCTCACATGAACTCTTTTTTTGTGTTCACTTGGAGAGAGAGTCATGGTGCCAGTTCTTTTTCTTTTCTGAGACAGAGCCTCACTCTGTCACCTAGGCTGGAGTGCAGTGGTGTGATCATGGCTCACTGCAGCCTCAAACTCCTGAGCTCAAGCAATTCTCCTACCTCAGCCTCCCAAGTAGCCAGGATCACAGGTGTGTGCCACCATGGCTGGCTAATTTTTTTTTTTATGTTATAGAAAGAGGGTCTCACTGTGTTGCCCAGGCTTCCTTTGCTTATAAGAACATCAGTTCTATTGCTTTGGGCACCCCCTTATGACCTCATTGAACCTTAACTACCTTCCTAAAAGCCTGACCTCTGAATGCGGTCACATTGGGAGTTATGGTTTCAACATACAATTATTTTGTATTGGAGGCACAATTCAGTCCATACCAGTGGGTACCCAGCCCCCATTCAGATCATGTTGCCTGGGGTAGGAGCTCGGTGCTGAGAGACGAACAGGTCAGGTTTGGATTTGGGCTCTTCTAATTAGCTGTGTGATCTTGAGCTAATCACTTAACTTCTCTGAACCTCAGCTTCTCCACCTCTACAATCAGTCCATATTTCTTATCTCACAGGGAGATGGAGGGACTAATCTGAGATGCATATAAAAACCTTGAAGACAATTCTCAGTAAACTTTAGGTTTCCTCCCTTTAGCAAACTAATTGGAATTCAGGAAGCAGCAACTGGCACTGTAGTTAGAATGCGGTTCTGTTCATTGACTTCGGGCAGCTGCAGGGCTCGAGGGTGACATTACACAGAGTCTGTCTATGATTTTTCTAAGTTTCAGTGGCTGCACACCCTTATCCCACATAAGATTAGATTTTCACGCAGACATTGGGCAAGAGTCCCAGGCCTCACAGATATTCTTGGGTCAACCAGGAACTCTCCATTGCTGTCGAGTACGAGGGAAAGTGCCGAGTCATGGATTTGTTTCCTTCAGATTTTGTGTGGTTCTTATCATGTTCTTCAGGAAACATTAGCACACCCAGCTATTAATAATGATGATGGAATGAAATTTCTGACTAAATCCGGGGTGGAGGTGAGGGTCACCTGCCTGCCTGGCTAACCTATACTTCTATCTATCCAGGAAGGAAGGGAGCTATCTGGAGGCAGGCTAAGGAGATAGGAATGTCCAACATGCTGGGAATCCCTCGACTTCACGCAACAGGGTAACCCAAGCCTCCCGAAGGTCAGGCTTGGGCGGGAGGGGTCAGTGTTGTCATTGGCACATTTTCCCAACCAAGTCCAAAATCCCTTAGTAGGCAAAGAGTTGAGATAGGGAAACAGTACCTGGGGCCGCACTGAGAGTGAGATGATGGTCCTCATCCCCGCGCAGATGGGAATCTTTGTTTAGATTAACAGAGGACTGTACATACACCCTCAAAACAGATTAGATATTTTCCCTGGGAACTTGCTGTAATTCTTACTCCCCTTGCCCCTCTTTTCCATGAAAGCATGAGGTTACACTGATGAACGCTCCTCCCTTCCTGCACTCCTTCTTGGGCCCTTGCCGCTGCTATGTCCCTTCAATTGCCCTAACAGTGTTGATGAGCAGAAATAGTGTCAGATCATGATGTCAGCAATAATGTCAGATTTCTGTTGGGTGCCTAGGACCTTCCAAGATTTATGGCTACCAGTAAATCACAAGAGAGACTTTCCTCCCAGAAGGTGAAGGACAGCTATGGTCATGCCTCTCACTGAGTAGTCTCTTTTAGACAATTGCCGGCATTACTGGGTGCAGAAGCTCATTTGTTTCCCCACAACCTGCGTGGAAAACTTCACTCAAGTGCTGGAATATATGCTATGCTCCCATTGCCCATCAAATCCAGACCTAACTGACATAAGGGAATGTTCATTTCAACTATTATTGGTCCTTTCCCCTTATAGCATTCATCCTTGAGAAGTTTCCACAACAGAATTAAATTTCTGACATTTAAATCAGGTTAATGATTAACTTAAGGAACCCAGAAAAAATTTCTGTTGCAATCTGTTATTGGAAATAGAGGAGTAACGCACTGCAGCTGACTGGAGCCATGAACTTGGGCAAGTCCTCAACATCTACAAGTGCACCGGCAATACAGAACCACAGGTCACAGGTGGCTTCTTCTTTTTTTTTTTTTTTTTGAGACGGAGTGTCACTCTGTTGTCCAGGCTGGAGTGCGGTGGCACAATCTTGGCTCACAGCAACCTCTGCCTCCTGCATTCAAGTGACTTTCCTGCCTCAGCCTCCCAAGTAGCTGGGACTACGGAGGCCCACCACCACACCCAGATAATTTTTACACTTTTTAGTAGAGATGTGGTTTTGCCATGTTGGCTGGGTTGGCCTTGAACTCCTGACCTCAGGTGATCCACCTGCCTCAGCCTCCCAGAGTGCTGGGATTATAGGTGTGAACCACCACGCCTGGCCCACAGGTGGCTTCTTAAATTAAAACTTAAATTAGTTAAAATTAAAAATTCAGTTCCTTAATTGTACTAGTCACAGTCAAGTGCCCAAAAGCTACATGTGGCTGTGGCTACGGCATAGAGCAAGCAGATAGAGAATGTTTCCATCAGCGCCTATTTCATCATCTGAGAGGGGAGTGACAGGCACCTCAGATGTCGCATGAGATGGTGCATGTACAGACACTTTGCATATTATGAAGTGCAACACAAGCCTTGTTGTCAGCCTTGACTTGTCATTTGGATGGATGCAAAGTGGATTCCAGGTTCCTAATGAAAAGCTTTATGAAATAATCTGAATCTTTTGGTGTATCTGTTGAATGGTTTTCTAAGTCAGCCCTATTTTTTTTTCCATTATAATCAGCAGTGCTGAGAACCCACCTTTTCTGGGCAGAAAGAGGGTAAAAGTCTTGTCCACTCTAACTCCTGGATTCCCACTGTCCTCAATCAATCAACACCTCCTCCTGGATAAGCTCAGGGACTCCTTTTTATCCCGACTCTCGGTCTCCAGTTCTACAGCAGCATAGTACCTTTGGGAGGGCATAAAGCTATCTTTCCTCTGCCCCTGCTGTCATACATAGACGTTGTCCCCTTCTCTCCACATCCCAGCCGTGGCTGCCCTCTCAGACCCTCCATTCTGATGATGGGCCACATGAAGATGTTAAGGACCCTTGGCAAACTCTAGGGTTTCTTTACAATTAGTAATCCTTTCTGATGATCTGAAAGTGTGTTAGCACACTTCTCCCAATGCTCAACATCATGAAAGGCTGTGTTCTCTCCTGCTCCAAACAGCAGGATCTCCTTTCCCCCACTTAACACCCCTCCATCACTATCACAAGTTCCTGCTCCCCGCACACTTGTCTTGGGAATCAAGCAGTGGAGATGTATGCCGGAAGAGAAGGAGCTTGGGCCTGAGGTAGGTGTGGGCTGGCTCTCACCTCTGTCATGGCTTAGCTTGTGACTTTGACAAGTTACTTAACTTTCCTTGAAGCAAGTGTTTGTCTGTTTTCTTTCATTTGCATAAATGAGGGTAATAGCATCTACTTTGCAAAACTGTGGTAAGAACAAAATGAGCTATGGGCTAAAATGCTTAGCGCAGTGCAGTGCCGGGCATGTGGCATTTGGCATACAACTGGTGCCACAGAAATCAGTAGTTGTGTTTATTCAAGAGCCGTCCTCAGTTCTGGCGGAACATGGTATTTACCCTTTCCCTTGGAAAACAATGGAAGGATCTCAGACACTTCATTGTCTAAACATTGTTAGATGGGACTAAACAGCTTCAAGTGAATGTGCCAGCTACAACAGGCATGTTGCAACAAATTCTCTTCTTTATCCCCATAAAGCCATGCCCTCTTCTTTACCTTTATAACAGAATCCAGATTTTGTTTAGGTGTCTGGTGTCCAGGACTCCCTCTCCAGGTCCAAAGAAACGTTGACTCTTTATTGGTCCCAGCAATTGGGTTAATATTCTCCTTGCTGGTGATTCATCTAAGAATAGTCACGTGATGTACTTGTGATAAGTGAGACATAGAGGAAGTGGGGGAGGGGTAGTTCCAAGGACAATTTCCTGCCCATAAAAATAAAAGAAAAACAATTGGAGACATTGGCCCCTCTTCTTTCACCCAGAGTGGTTGTGCCCCTGTGGAATGACTGAACCTGTGGCCCTTTTGTGTCATAAGGGGACAAGCTTGAAGACCAAGGCCAAAATGCTCAGATGGCAGAGGGTAAAGATGGAAAGAACCTGGCTCCATGAAATCCTCAAGCTGTTATGTTAACCAGCCCTAGAATCATTCTATTTCTAGACTTTTGGTGAGATAATAAAATTATTTTATTTAAAAAATCAATTAAAAGTAAGATTTTTCTGTTATTTATAGTTGACAGTCTCCTAAATGATTTCTAATACAAATAACCAATATGTTTGCATTCTAGTTATTTCTATACGTGTCTTATATTCTCTACTTAACCCTCTGTTCTTTTTTTTTGAGATGGAGTCTCTCTCTTGTCACCTAGGCTGGAGTGCAATGGCGTGATCTCAGCTCACTGCAACCTCCACCTCCCAGGTTCAAGTGATTCTCCTGCCTCAGCCTCCCGAGTAGCTGGGATTACAGGCATCCACCATCATGCCTGGCTAATTTTTATACTTTTAGTAGAGACAGGGTTTCACCATGTTGGCCAGGCTGGTCTCGAACTCCTGACCTCAGGTGATCTGCCGCCTTGGCCTCCCAAAGTACTGGGATTTCAGGCATAAGCCACCGCGCCCAGCCAACCCTCTGTTCTTAGGTGGTATGCTGTATCTTTCTCCCTTGTTCAATCTCCTAACACCTGGTTTACCATCTTGCACATACAAAGCACTAACATGGAATTTATAAATATATATGAAAGTGAAATATGGCCCTTGAAATGACAGCTTCCTTCCAACAGAGCTTCCACCCCAAGATTTTAAGATAGAGAGTTGGTGGTGAGAGGAGACCTGAAGATGATCAGTACTGCGATAGAGTCTAGCTTTTTGTGTTCTATATGTGGTATATCCTTCTTCTGGGAACTCTGACCTCAAAATTTGATATTACCATTGACTCTTCTCATTGTCAACTCCTCATATCCGAAGAGTTGCCAAGTTCTGGTCATATTATTTTGACTCTTCAGCTTATCCAAAGTAATTAGAGAAATCTGGGAGAAAACTGTTTTATACTGTTCAAGCAAATGACATTGGTCTGAGACAGAAAGGCCATGTAATTTTTTTGAACAGGAACTGTGTCTTTTCAGGAGGGAAGTCTACTAGGAAGGCCACATGAAGATAAAAAAGCTGTTTAGGTTGGGCAGGGTGGCTCATGCTTGTAATCTCAGTGCTTTGGGAGGCTGAGGCAGGAGGATCGCTTGAACTCAGCAGTTGGGGGCAGCAGTGAGGTATGACTGTACCTCTGCACTCCAGACCAGGCAACAGAAGGGGACCCCACAGCTTTTTTAAAAAAAGCTGCTTGGAGAATGGATGGAAAAACATGAAGACACCATAGAAATTGGCTCCAAGTCCCTAGTCCTCTAGACGTCATCCTCTGGTGTGAAGGCCTCTGCCCTCCTGACTGCTGGAGACCGGTGTCCCCTTCTCTCCACATCCCAGCCGTGGCTGCCCTCTCAGACCCTCCATTCTGATGATGGGCAACATGAAAATGTTAAGGACCCTTGGCAAACTCTAGGGTTTCTTTATGATTAGTAATCCTTTCTGATGATCTGAAAATGTATTAGCTCACTTCTCCCAATGCTCAACAGCATGAAAGCCTGTGTTCTCTCCTGCCCCGAACAACAGGATCTCCTTTCCCCCCCTTAACACCCCTCCATCATCATTCTTCCCAGTGTGCTGATGGGCAATGAGCACTCTTGATAGAGCGGCCCCCAGGGAGAAATGTTCCAGCTGGGACAAGTGACATTCTGTTGGAGAGGGGACTTGTGCACCTGCAGAGGTCTGAGAAGCTGTGAGTCCACACTGAGCTCTGTTGTCTTCATTCCCAGCCACGACATCTCCCCTGGGGGACTGTTCTCATCTGAACAAAGTAGGCAGGGTTTTCAGGGTGAAGCCTCACTGGGATGCTGTAAGTGATTCCATCTCCATATTGAGAAATTTTGTGTTTTCCATCCAGATTCGAGAAAAAAGAAATAAGAGGAAGAAACAGGTGTACCATGAGGGGAATAAAAGAGATAACAAGTCAGGGAAAAGTGCTTGGTGAAAAAACTGGAGCAGAAAGACAAAATGGGCTGGGTGCAATGGCTAACACTTGTAATCCCAGCACTTTGGGAGGCTAAGGCGGGCAGATCAATTGAACTCAGAAGTTTGAGACCAGCCTGGGCAACATGGCAAGACCTTGTGTCTACAAAAAGTACAAAAATTAGCAGAGCATGGCAGTGTGTGCTTATAGTCCCAGCTACTCAGAAGGCTGAGGCAGTTGGATCACTTGAGCCTGGGGAGGTCGAGGCTTCAGTGAGCTGTGATCATGCTACTGCCCTCCAGCCTGGATGACAGAGTGAGACCCTGTCTCAAAACAACAACAACAACAACAAAAAGCTATTGGTAAGAGGCTTAAACAAGAAGACAGAAATAACCACAAACAACTCTGAGACCAAAAAATAGTTCACATATAAAAAGAAAGTCAAAATGGTCCATGAAATATATAAAAAAAAAGTTAGGGATAAATCAAAGTAAAGAAGATAGTGGTGTAATCTGAGAAGACTGGCACATGACAACCTGGCTCCTTTTACGAAAATCCTTCTTTCCTAGTCCTTTTTAAGAATGATGAGGCCAGGCGCAGTGGCTCATGCCTATAATCCCAGCACTTTGGGAGGCTGAGGCGGGTAGATCATGAGGTCAGGAGATTGAGACCATCCTGACTTACATGGTGAAACCCCGTCTCTACTAAAAAATATACAAAAAAAATTAGCTGGGTGTGGTGGCAGGTGCCTGTAGTCCCAGCTACTTGGGAGGCTGAGGCAGGAGAATGGCAGAACCCGGGAGGCGGAACTTGCAGTGAGCTGAGATCATGCCATTGCACTCCAGCCTGGGTGACAGAGCGAGACTCTGTCTCAAAAAAAAAAAAAAAAAAAAGAATGATGTGTTGCTTGGTAAATGTTTTTGTAAGTTTTTTGGACATACTACAAATAATGTGAAATAACTTTCTTATTGTTTAACTGATAGTCACATGCTGTGCCTTTCATGGTCCTTTTCTTTATAGAACCTAGAATTTTAGTTGTGAAAAGGGGGCTGGAGAATACCTATTGTATAGTCATTTTAGAGAAAAGGAATCCCCAGTCTGGAACAGTGACTTTCCCGGTGTTGTGTCGCTGGTGACCCAGGAGAGCCAGGACCCTGCCCTGCCTGAGCTGGGGCTCCGGGCTGCTCCAGCGCCCACCCAGGCTCGCGCTCTCTCTCTAGGCCTCCCAATCTGCAGACCTACTCCTGTCTCCCCACCTAGCAAAAGTGATTACTGCTGTGGCTCTTTCTTAGGAGTCTTATGAATTTAAATTAGTACTTAAAAATTACTAAATAACATTCTAACATGAATATAAATTAGTATTAAAACAATTACAAAATAACATTGTAACATTTTACAATGTAATACCTAATTTTTTTTCTTTTTCTTTTTTTTTTTTTGGAGATGGAGTTTCACTCTGTTGCCCAGGCTGGGTGGAGTGCAGTAACATGATCCCAGCTCACTGCAACCTCTGCCTTCCAGGTTCAAGCGATTCTCCTGCCTCAGCCTCCCAAGTAGCTGAGATTACAGGCGCCCACCATCACACCTGTCTAATTTTTATATTTTTAGTAGAGACAGGGTTTCTCCATTTGGCCAGGCTGGTCTCGAACTCCTGATATCAAGTCATCCACCTGCCTCAGCCTCCCAAAGTGCTGGGATTACAAGCGTGAGGCACCATGCCCAGCCAATACCTAATATTTATATAGAAATTTTACCAAGTGCTAGGTATTGTGCTCAGGGTTTTACATATATTAACTTTTATTCCTTAAGTAACAATATAACATGTTAATGGTTGAAGGCTGATGGCTAATATTTATAGAAGTTTTACCATGGGATGTGTATCGTGCTGTTGGCGGTTGGATTGTCGCCTGTCCCCCGTTCATCTGTTGAATTCTTACCCCTTTGTACCTCAGAATGTGACCTTATTTGGAAATAAAATTGTTATTAATTAATGTAAGTCCTAATCCAATGTGACTGATGTCCTCATAAAAAGGGGAAATTCAACACAGAGACAGGGGGAAGATGATAGGAAGACAGGGAGACAATGGGCATTTTCAGCCAAGGAGAGTGGCCTAGAACAGACCTTTCTCTCCCAGCCCTGGCAACACCAGCCCTGACAACACCTGGATCTCAGGCTTCCAGCCTCCAGCACTGTGAGACAACACATTTCTGTTGTTTAAGCCACCTAGTCTGCGGTACTTTGTTTTGGCAACCCTGGCAAATTAATATACCTGCTGAGCATTTTACAAGTATTAACTCATTTAATCCTTACAATTCAACCTATGAGATATGGAAATGGAAGAAAAAAGTTAAACACCACTGGAAGGAAGCAATCAACCTAATCCAGAATGTGGAACATTCCACAAGACAAATGATGTGGTTTCTCCAACAAAACAGTGATATGACTTAAAAAAAAAAAAGGGACAATAACCACATCCAATATCCAGACCCTATTTGCGTTCTGATGTGACTAAACCAACTGTAAAAATACATCTTTGAGACAACTGGGGAAATTGGCTTTGGACTAAATGTGACATGATGTTAAAGAATGATTGTTAATTTTGCTAGGTGTGACAGTGGCATGGTGGTCACGTTAAAAAAAATGCAATCCTAATTATCAGCGATGGGTGAAATGGCATGATGCCTGAGAATTTTTTCAAGGAATCTAGAAAAAAGTGTTTGGGACCAGGTGATGTATACATGGCAGCTTACTATTCTGCTTACTTTCAAAAATATGCTCTAAAGCTTTAACTCATAGAAGCAGAGGGTAGAACCGTGGTTACCAGGGGCTTTGAGAAGGGGGAAATGAGAGGGGAGGTGTTGTTCAAAGGGTCCAAACTTTCAGTTATAGGATGAAAAAGATTTGGGGCTCTAATATACAGCATAGTGGTAACGGATGTGTTAAATTAATTTGATTGTGGTAATCATTACACAGTACGTATGCATATAAAAACATCATGCTGTGCACTCTGAATATATATAATCCTTATTTGTCAATTAAATATTTTAAAATAAAAAAACACACTAAAAACAAGTTTGAAAGCTTCCATAAAAAAATGAGAAAACCTGTGGGATTCTTTTATTGCTATTTTACAGATGTGGAAACTGGGGCTCAGAGAGGTCTGGTAAATGCCTTGGAAGAGCTGAGACCAGTCAGTCTGAATTCAAAATGTAATTCCAAAGAGGCATTTTAAAATATTAATATTAACGGCAAAGTGATAACGCTTACCTCTCCTTTCTACACCAATCCTCTGTGATATGCAGGGACGACATCATCCCCACTTCAGAGGTGGAAGCAGAAGTTTAGAGAGGTCAGGTATTCACTAAAGAATGCTGAAACCAAGAGTGGAACCGAAGTTTCTCAACTTCTAGTAAAATGCCGACAGCAGACCCAGTGGGCCAATGGCATCACATTTAAGAGGAAGGATTTAGGGACAGGACTTCTGGGTTGCGGTCCCCCTTGGTCACCTCCCTTAGCTCTGTGGGCCTTAAATATCCCATATGTGAATTGGACAGCACCACCACTTCTGCTGCGCCAGCCTCCCAGGGTCCCTCGAGGTGCAGAGGGACTCGGTGAAGAGGTTGGCTAACTGCAAGAACCCTGCAGAAATGCTACTAGCCTTTTCTATCTGAGCACTAGTGTTTATCAGTTGGTGTGAAGACGAAAACGTGGCTAATGGGCCCTCAGGAGAGGCAATTTTGGGGCAAAATGGAGCAGAAGGAGTTTCTTACCATGTCCTCAGATTTATACTCGTCAGACTTCAACTGCTTGAGATAAAATTCAGGGCATAGGTTGGATCTATTGAGGCCAGTCCTGGGAGGTGCTTGGTGTTCCTGACCTTTCTCTTGGCACTGGGGTTGTGGATGGTACACTTTTAGCCCGAAGTTCTCAGAAGCAGCCTGCATTATCCATTAGGGCCTGTCCATCCAGTTCAAGTTCACAGTGATAAATCTCACAGCCCCTGAGGGTCCTCACAAAGGTGGGTGTGGTGTGCTGATAGCAGGCATGATTAAGTGCTTTCCTGTGTCAAATATAGCTGTAATATACTACAAACAGGCAGTCAGGCTTTATACAAACTGATCTGGCTGCTATCAGCTGCTCTGACATTTTATACTAATACTTAAAATAAATCTAGAAACAGGAAAGAAAGTACAGAATTATTGTTTTAAGCAGCCTGTGAGAGCTTATCTTCAAAGTGGCAGAGGTTCTATTGTATTTAGAGAAACTGCTCACTCCTTGGGCATGAAGTTTGTTGCAGGGACTCTGGGCTGCCTTGAGCAGTTTCCCACGTGAGTGCTGAGGGCTGTCTCCAGGCAGAGCACTCACCCCTGCCCAGGGGCTCTGTCCCTGCTCCTTGCTCCTTGCTCCAGGGAAGACCTTCCAGTGCACCTGAAGCCCCAAACACACTTTAAGAGTTAATTTAGAATTCCCCTTTAAAACAAACAAAAACATCACATTTTCCCTTGTCAATGTTGCTTTTGCCTTCGCATGTGGTGTCTCTGCCCTTGTATGTTTCACAGTTGAAAACGAAAGGAGGCTCCTGACTTTCTGGAGTTTCTTTCTGGACTGGGAGACCAAGGGAGAGGTGCCCATGAAATAGAGATCTAAGACTTTTAAAAAGAACGTGCTGGACGTGGTAGCTCATGCCTGTAATCCCAGCACTTTGGGAGGCCGAGGTGGGCAGACCACCTGAGGTCAGGAGTTTGAGACCAGCCTGACCAATATGATGAAACCCCCCCATCTCTACTAAAAATACAAAAATTAGCTGGGTGTGGTGGTACGCACCTGTAATCCCAGCTACTTGGGAGGCTGAGACAGGAGAATCGCTTAAACCCGGGAGGCGGAGGTTGCAGTGAGCTGAGATCATGCCACTGCACTCCAGCCTGGGCGACAGAGCGAGATTCTGTCTCAAAAAAAAAAAAAAACAAAAAAAAAACACAGAAATCACTGAGCTCCTCTAGGAATTCTCAATTCTGGCAACACCTTGGTCACTCGGGGGGCTTTTTAAAAATACTGATGCCCAAGATCTACCACCAGGGTCCAGCTTAATTGTTCTAGAATTTTTGAGGGGTGAGGATTGGGGTATTGGTATGTTTATAAAACTCCCTAGGTGATTCTAATGGGCAGCAGAGTGGAGAAACAGCCATTTATTCATATGGTTCATTAGACAGATGGCAGGAAGGAGTGGCTGCCGCCTCCCACAGAGTGTGAGGACCGGACCAGGGCTCTCCAGCTCCCTTTCAGGAATCTGCATTAGACACTATGATTTATTGGTGCTCTAACCGAGATAAATCTAAGAAGGCACTGGATGCTAAGTACTTAGTGCTACTTGCAGTCACGGTTGGTTTCTTCCTCAGCTTTATCTCATAATTTAAATTAGTTTTTTTCTACCAATGTAATCAAAGGATCTTATTTTTTTCTGTCATTTCTGTAAAATGCCTTTATTTCTTGGATCCTCCTTCTTTACTCAAAACAATTTTGTGTAGATTTGAGTCATGAAAGACTTTAGAAAGATTGACGCTCACGTTCACTTTGTAAAACTGAACCAACAATTAAAAATGACCCAGCTGGGATAGCACAGAGAACTGAGTTAAATTGGTGGCTGCCTTAAGTGCCACTTCTGGTGTTGTTTGTAAGAATGAGGAAGCCAGTTACTCCCTCTGCTCTGATGCCTGCATTTTTGGTGGATGTTTTCAAAACATTTTAAACCAACTACACAATACATGCAGTACATGATTATGGAGATTATATATTTGGAATTTTCTGGGGTAGTCTTATTTTATTTTATTTTTCAGACAGAGTGTCACTGTGTTGCCCAGGCTGGAGTGCAGTGGCATGATCTCGGCTCACTGCAACCTCTGCCTCCCGGGTTCAAGCGATCCTCCTGCCTTAGTCTCCCGAGTAGCTGGGATTACAGGCATGCTCCAGCGTGCCTAGCTAATTTTTGTATTTTTAGTAGAGACGGGGTTTCACCATATTGGCCAGGCTGATCTCGAACTTCTGACCTCAGGTGGTCTGTCTGCCTCAGCTTCCTAAAGTGCTGAGATTAGAGGCAAGAATCACCATGCCTGGCTGTCTTATTTTATTTTTATTTCTTTATTTACAGATTGAGGTGGGGTTCCCTATGTTGCTCAGGCTAATCTCAAACTCCTGGCCTCAAGGGATCCTCCTGCCGCAGCCTCCTGAGTAGCTGTGATTACAGGTGGGAGCCATGCTGCCCAGCTCAATAGTCCTATTTTACGTATCCTATCTTTATATTCACATAAAATAAAAAGGACCCAGAAATTTGACTACTTTGATATCCAAGTGATATCTCCCAGACTGTAGCAAAAATTCGATAAAATGCACAATCAGCTGTTGTGTTTCAGCTCCTGGTTTGGAGAAGATGATCAGTCTACAGACCTTCCGTTATGCTGATGGAGGCTGCCTGGGGCTCTAAGATGCAGGCATGGGCTCTTGCTCCTGCTCTCCGGTCTGTGCCTCACACATGGGGGCAGTGGCTCCTGAGGCCAGGGCTACAGTGTAGCATAGAGCCTCAAAGCTTGTCAGTCTTGTCAGCTTGTCCCGGCTAGCGGATCTTGAAGGGCAGCGGGAGATGCCGACGAGGCTGCTTTTGCAAGCCATCACACGCTCTTCATTCTTCACGCCTTTGGTCATGAAGCCTTCCCCACTCCCTGACTTCCCACGTCACATCCTCTACTATCTCAGCCCCACACGCTGTGTGCTCTGGATGCTTGCTGTGTATCCACAGGCCTGCAGACTCTGCAGTCTCCCTCTTGGCTGCCTTGACAGCCTCTTCAATGCCTTTCCTGCTTCACCCTTGCTATCTTCCCACTCACTATCCATCCGCCTGCAGCATCTGGTCATGCTCCTCCTGACTAAAAAACAGACAATTCCTGGCTGGGTGCGGTGGCTCATGCCTGTAATCTTAGCACTTTGGGAGGCCGACGTGGGCAGATCACTTGAGGACAGGAGTTCGAGACCAGCCTGGCCAACATGGCCCAACCCCGTCTCCACTAAAAATACAAAAATTAAACAGACATGATGGCACGTGCCTGTAGTCCCAGCTACTCGGGAGGCTGAGGCAGGAGAACGGCTTGAACCTGGAAGGCGGAGGTTGCAGTGAGATGAGATTGTGCCACAGCACTCCTGCCTCCAGCCTGGACAACAGAGCGAGACTCCATCCAAAAACAAACAAACCAAACAATTCCTTAGGGGCCCCACTGTCTCTTTAACATACTTCCTGATGCCACCTCCCAGCCTCATTGCCCACCTTCCTGTGTGCTCACTCTGCCCACCAGGCCATGGGCTGCGCTCGGGACCATGGATGGCTGCGTCGCGACTCCAGAGGTCCTGATTTCATTAATCTGGGTGCCACAAGAGCATGGGGATTTTATTGTGCAGCCAAGGTGGAGAAGCTCTGCTTAGCCTTTGTGAACTGCTCACTGTGGCCCAAGCTTGTGTGCTTTCTTATCTCCTGGCCTTCGCAGGGGCTGCTCTCTCACCCTGGATGTCCTTTCCCACCTACTTTTTTTGGCTACCTGTCCACAGAACTCAAAGGGGAGGCTATCAAAGAGTTCAGTGTTAGCTGTGGGGCAGGGCAGACTAAAGGGAGGTTCAAGGGAGATTCCACACTTTCAGGACCAGTAAATCATCATTTTGTAAGAATATGAGAGGAAGGGCGTTACATGGAGGAGTGAGGGCTACCCTCCCCCATGGAAAATGGGCTTTGTCTTTTCATTCTGGCTGGCTGTGGTTCCAGACCATGTCCTCTAATACAAAGAAAGATTGGAAATGTGATGCTTTGGGGACCTTGGAGGCCATTCCATTTGTGAACTTCTGTGTCCTTACACATTCTTGGCATAACTTCCTTGCTTACTTGCAACTTTCTCCCATCTCTACATATTACAAAGAGGTGGGGGCCTCAGGTCTCCAGGTCTGACTTGCCTAATTGGGGGTGGAAGGGGTGGAGGCAGGGAGGGGTTGTTAAAATCTCTTCAGGAACTGCACCAATCACAATGATCACTCCCCAAAGATAGGAATACAAATTGGCTTTGATCACGCCATTCTATTTGTATAACCGATAGAGAGCGGTTCAGCTGATTAGTCAAAGCAGCTTGAAACTGATCATTTCCTTCAACCATCTAATTATATTTTATGCTCACCCTTCCCCCACAAACATCCTTAACATTATTTATTCTGATTTGTACAAGAACTTAAACAGATTTTATCTTAGAGGACTATCAAATACATATCAACAAAAACCCAAGTTCATGTAACTAAAGGAGAATTTTAGGTCAGTCCCAAAGCGAGCCCTGCATAACAATCTATTGCTATGTGCAATCCCAGGTGCTCACAGTACAGGTGGAATCGAAACAGCTGTGGCTATTAGACACCATAAATACTAGCAATGAACATAAGACCTGGATTCACTCAAATCCCAGCACTGCTGTTGACTAGTGTGTGACCTGAGCACGTTCCTCGCCTCTCCGTACCCGTTTCCTTGTCTCAGAAACGGATAGGATAATAGTGTCTATCTCAGAGGTTGGTGTGAGATTTAACTAAGTGCCTTGTGAAGTGCTTACTTAGCTCTTTATAGGCACTTAATAAATGTTAACTTTAAAAAAGTGGCTAGGATTTTTTTTTTCTGGCAGGGCCTTCATCTTGATGTTAGAAATGCCACTTTTTTTTTTTTTTAAAGAGATTAGACTAAATAGTTCTCATAAATCAAAGATGACACAAGAGGCCGGGTGCAATGGCTCATGCCTGTAATCTCAGTACTTTGAGAGGCTGAGGAGGGAGGATTGCTTGAGCACAGGAGTTCAAGACCAGCCTGGGTAACACAGCAAGACCACGTCTCTACAGAAAAATGAATAAATTAGCCGGGCATGGTGCCCTGTGCGTGTAATCCCAGCTACTTGGGAGGCTGAAGTGGGAGAATCGCTTGAGCCCAGGAGTTCAAGGCTGTAGTAAACAATGATCATGGCACTGCCCTCCAGCCTGGGCCACAGAGCAAGACTCTGTCTCAAAAACAAACAAAAAAGTGATGGCACAAGACAGAAAGTCTCCTGTCCAAGTCTAAGTCCTGGTGTCACATGGACTCTGCTTTACCAAGATGACCCTTGCAACATGCATTTTACACCTGGGAGTGACAGCAGTGGTCCAGCGGCTCTGGGTCATGAGCTGGCTTGATGGCAGAGCTGTGATTGGCTCTTTGGGTACCGTGTTATCCCATGACACCCGGCTTCCCATCTGCACTGGGCATGACTTCCCTGCTCACACTAGACCAGGTGCTATCTTACCCCATATCACCTTTTATCATCCCCTGGGGCCTTGAATTAAGTGGATGTCAGAAACATTGATCATTTCTGAAAAGACAAATTTGTAACAGAAATCCAGGGGGACTTTTTCCTAAGGATCCTTTGCTGTCCCCCATCCTAACAACTCTGCCGGTAAAGGATGAGGACAGTGGCTCCGTGGTGGAAAACAGAGACCCATGCATCAGAAAGGAAAGTTATCACAGTTGTTTCTAAAGCATAGATCTGCTAGTTCACAGAATTTAACCAAACAGGTATTCTTAGTTCAAATGAGAGAAACATTGAGCATTTAAAGCTTCGTAGCATCAGGTGTGGTGGAGAGTATTGTCTCTTGTGGTTTACTGAGAGGGTAAAAGCTCTTGTAATTCTTAGTGCCAAGCAAGCAGCATGATCAGAGCTAGATAACATCCAAAATAGGTCTGTTAAAAGAGAGGAAGTCACCAAAAGAAGTGGGTAACTAAGATATTTAGGGTTAGTGCTATACATACCAGTATGTTCCCCATCCCCCAAGGTTTTCCTTCTCTTTAATCACCTCACAATAGGAAGTGCTGGAAGGCGACCAGGCAGGTACCTGCACTGGGTCACTCCATGTACCTGCACGGGGTCACTCATCCAGCTCTGGGTTTTGGACACATTGTCAGACAAGGGTAGGTTTGAATGCCACTTGTCCTTAATCATGTCATCACACTGATAGCCTCCTAGCAGCAACCATCAGTGTAGTAACTATATGTAATTCAGACCTCACCTGGGAGGTGAATGGACCTTGGGTGATAACACTGAACAATGCAGGCACCCTTCACAGTCTGAATTTCACCAAGTGCCTTTGAGGTTGCATCAGTCTCGGGCTTCACAGGCAGAGGGAGGGACATAGGCATAGTGATGACTTTGTTCAGAGACAGGCATTGATTAGGTGGCCCCTAACACTGGGGGTCAATCTGTCCAGGTTTAGAGGGTTGCTTTGCTGTGATGCCACCTGCAGAGTTGGGACAATGCTTAGGAAAGCTGAGACCTGCAACCCTAAACTGGACAGAACCTACACAGATAAGCTTTGGGAAGATCTTTAACCTGACTCCCTTCATACCTGCAAGAAGCCACTGTAAGATTAGGAAATGTAATTACATCTGATAAAGTGATTGCCAAGACATTGTTTGAAGAGAGGGCTTTATCAGCCCTATTGTATGAAGATTAATAGAGATCTGGATCTTCTAGCCACTGGTCTTGCGCCTCCAACAGAATGAAATCTGATTATATTAGAATGTTTACATAGTAGCTCCATCTTCCTTAGACTTTCAACACTTTATAATTTATTCCCTTTGTTACACACTAGCCTGGGAGCCCACAAATAACCTCCAGTAGCGTGGGACCCATCCCCAGGGCTCGACTGGTGATGTATTGACTGGCTTCACATTCTCCATTGCTTGCTCTGTGCTCCTCCCTGAAGCATGTGCCTTGCAAAGCACTGACTTCATTACATTACAATTCTGTTTCTCTGCCTCTCTCCCCACTGGACTGGAAGACCCTTGAAAGACAGGCACTTGCTTATTTTGTGTTCCTGGAGCCTAGCATGGATTTTGTCTTCTAAGAGTCAGCCCCCACATACCTGATCAGAGAAACCTGGGCTTTTCCCACTGGGGAATACTGGAAAGGTGGGTGAGGGTTGAGCAGATCAGAGGAATCCATGAGACCCCAGGAGGCTGGATTGACTATTTACTAAAACCCTGGAGGGGAGGAAGAGGACAGGCAGGTGGGGCGGGGCAGAGCAGAGGAGAACATTCTCACAGCTGAAAGATGTTCACTCCTGTGCTGAACTGGAAGGGAGCATCTCATCCAAACTTCTTATTTCATCAATGGGGAAACAGAGCTTGAACAAGGTCACACAGAAAGATTACATCACGAGGAACGTTCCATGTGACATTCAGCCATGAATACCACCTAAATGTCCACCACGCTTACAGGGATAGCGTACATATTTCTATTCTTTTTAGTTTTTTTTTTTCTGTGATGGGATCTCACTGTGTTACCCAGGCTGGAGGGCTGTGGGTATTCACAGGTGCGATCATAGCTCACTGCAGCCTTGAACTCCTGAGCTCAAGCAATCCTCCTGCCTCAGCCTCTGAGTAGTGGTGAGTGCTGCCAGGCCTGGCCATGTTTCTATTATTTTATAATTAGATAGGAAAGAAGATAACATTTTAATGAATCAGGGGATTGGGTCTAGATCTCAAGAATTGGGACTCAAAGAATCTTAAAAATACATGACATAGCTGGACACCTAAAAAACAGACACTTTCAGTTAAGATCCTACCACAACTTAGAAAATGCCACCTTAGTCTCATTTCTCCAAAACTAGGTTTGACTGAATAGGCCTAACAGGAGAGATGTTTACTGTGGCTCGTTTACCAACCAGGGCTCCACCTCCCTCAGCCTATTTCCACCTTTTACCCAGACCTTAGACTTAGAAGGTCCCTGCTGGGCTTGAGTAAGCAATCAGCATGTCCCCAGCGCCCCACCCCAATGAGGAAAGGAAGAAATACAACTTTTGCAAATATGGAAAGCAGCTCTCTGTTAGTCAGTGTAAAAAGGAGAGCCTGGCCGGGCGCGATGGCTCATACCTGTAATCCCAGCACTGCGGGAGGCTGAGATGGGCAGATCACAAGGTCAGGAGATTGAGACCATCCTGGGCAACATGGTGAAACCCTGTCTCTACTAAAAAAAAAAAAAATACAAAAATTAGCTGGGCGTGGTGGCGCCTGCCTGTAGTCCCAGCTATTCGGTTGGCTGAGGCAGGAGAATCGCTTGAACCTGGGAAGCGGAGGTTGCAGTGAGCCGAGATCGCACCACCACACTCCAGCCTGGTGACAGAGCGAGACTCTGTCTCAAAAAAAAAAAAAAAAAAAGGAGAGGCCAAGAAGAGGTGCACCTATCAGTAACAGCCCGGAAAGACCTAGGCTATGGCACATGTTCAGTACCATCCTTCCCTCCATACCTGGTTATCAACACAAAATACAGATAACTTACTTGCATAAAGTATGCCCACCTACATAGGTCTGTCTCTTTGTTCCTCAACGACATTCCAGTGAGAAAAATAAGACAGTTATTGTCCCTATTCCATAGGTGGAGGAAGAGACCACAGAGGGGTTGAGCAGCTGGCCTGGGGTCACCCACAAAAGGTGAATGTCAGGGCTGGTGTTCTTTTCTTCCAGTTACACTTTATGGGCTCCTGTCCAGACATAGGAGTACTTGTTAAACACTGCAAGTACTTAGACACCTACTTGAAGGGGTCAGCCTAAGAGACCCAGCTTTTCTCTTCTGAGTGCCCCCACCTCAGAGGCTTTCTTGTCTTAGGGCATCAGTACCAAGATCTGTCTGTATCAAGGTCCTCTGACCCAAGGAGGAAGGGAAAGGCAGAGAACTTGATCACAGAACAGATTGGCAACCACCACATTTTCCTTCTTGGAAACATCTGGGTTTTCGTTTCCCTGCTGCTCAGTAGAAAACACCCAGCTATGTAAAACCTCCTAGTTAGAAGTCACCGCCAGCTCTGTGTAGGAGGTGAGATGTGAAATAGATGATTTCCATGTAATTTTCTATCATCCCAGGGCCTTCTTAGTAACTGTCTCCAATCCTGGTTATTCAATCCTGGTGCAGACAATGCCAATACAAAGATGTCATGTGACCCAGAAATCCGTGTGCAGCAAGAAACCTTGGTAGCCATAGAGTTTTTGTTGTTTTACTCCAGGGATTTAAAAATCCACTTAGTGATTAATGCCCATTCCAGGCTTATGTACAGCAAAACAATCTCTTGCAGTTGAAGTTGGCCTTTATATTCCCTTTAGAATGAAAGTATCAAACCATCCACTGATATACTTAAAAGCCTTAAGAGCATCTTCCATGTGTATAGAGTGTCCTTGTAGTTCCAAAGGTGGCTTTGCAGGGAGGCAGTAGCTCTGGCTTGGCAGTTCCAAAGATAGTTTTTCCTGGGCCTTCTCTCTTGAAATAGGAGCCATAGGTTTTATATATACTTAATAAAAATCAGAGAAAAGACAAGAGATTTCCAGTGTCCCCAAATCAGATGGAGGAGCCTGTAAACCATCCTTACTTACATGGCCAGCGTGGTGGCAGCCCAGGTGGTGAGAGGAACCATCTTCAGGGGGACAGACCTGGAGACTGAAAATGAAGGGAAAATGTGGAAAACTGGGATTTAACCAACTCGCCCTTGCATCTGCCACAATGGGACATTGTTAGGCCTGGGCTTCATGAAACAATAGACTTCGATAGGACATAATACCCATTCAGAGGTCAGCTTTACATCCTAGCTCTTGGGCCACTGAGCTCCCTTTGAATTTGCAACTGCTGCACACAATGTGTGTGTTACAGATTATTTGGCCTAAGTCTCTTCCTGTTCTCCCTCCCCCATGACTTAACTTCTGCTCTACTCTTCCAGTAAGTCCAGGAGGGCTTTTCTCTCTGGAAATGTTGGGAATTTGCCACAGGGCTCTCCACTGCCGAAATCCACACCACTGCTTTTCCTGGCCATTTCAAAATGAGATGAGTACATCGTATGAATGGATTTTAAGCACACATTCGTTCAAATGTGTCTGTACCCCAAATTCTCCAAGAGTGTAATCCATCCCTATGCTAAATCACTGGGTGTTTTAGGTGAAGAATCTACTATTTATTAATGAAGGACCACGCTCATTTTTTATAGTGGAATGCATTGTAAATACAAACCATTGAAGCCTTCATAATTTTTTCAAAGATATAACCCACCAAAGAGAAAAGTGAAAAAGAATAAAAGCATGCTAATAAAAAGGCTTGTTGTAGCAAAAACCTGAATAGAATATTAATATCCAGTGTTATACAACTTTTACAACGTGATCTATCCTAGAGCCATTTTGTAGTATAACATGAGAGCTGTGCTGGCAAAAAATAAAGTCGCATAAAAAAGTAGAATATAAAACTATAAGAAACCATTTCTGCATATGGACAAATGATGCAAAGTAATAACTAAAAATAAAAATAGTTGTAATGTTTGGGGGATTTGGGAGAGTATGGCTCTTTACAGTCTTTATTTTATTTCAAATTTTTTTAAATTTTATTTTTATATAGAGACGGGATTTCACCATGTTGCCCAGGCTGGTCTCGAAGTCCTGAGCTCAAGTGATCCACCTGCCTCAGCCTCCCAAAGTGCTGGGACTACAGGCGTAAGCCTTCGTGTTCGGCCTATTTTTTTATTTTTATGGGTACACAGTAGGTGTATATATTTATGGGGTATTTGAGATATTTTGATAGCCATGCAATGTGTAATTATAACATCAGAGTAAATGGGGTATCTATCCCTTACAGCATTTATCATTCTTTGTGTTATAAACATTCCAATTTTACTCTTTTACTTATTTTAAAATGTACAATACATTATTGTTGACTTTAGACACCTTTTGTGCTATAAAATACTAGATCTTATTTATTCTAAGTTTTTATTTTTCAAACTTTACATTTATTTATTTATTGAGATGGAGTTTCTCTCTTGTCACCCAGCCTGGAGTGCAATGGCATGATTTCAGCTCACTGCAACCTCTGCCTCCCGGATTCAAGCAATTCTCCTGCTTCAGCTTCCTGACTAGCTGGATTACAGGTTCGTGCCACCAAGTCTGGCTAATTTTTATATTTTTAGTAGAGACGGGGTTTTGCCATGTTGGCCAGGATGGTCTTGAACTCCTGACCTCAGATGATCTGCCCGCCTTGACCTCCCAAAGTGTTGGGATTACAGGCGTGAGCCACCGCACCTGGCCACATTTTTACATTTAAAATAATTTTGTTAAGGAAAACTTTCCAACAATAATAGGACAATTCCTGTGGGAATGACAGTTTGTTCCATGGATCCGTATGTGGTTTATTGCATGGAGATACTTTGTCTTACAAGTTACATTTGCCTGTGGTGTATTCTCAGCGATGGTCAGAACTGTGGGTTATGTTCTGGCTTTGAAGTAGTCTCAAGGATGCCTGGAGTGTGCAGTGAGGGGCCCTGGAACCAGGCTACCTTTTTTCCTTCCTGTGAAGTTGTTATAAAGTGGAAAGGAGAAAATTAACAGGAGTCAGTCCATCCCAGCTAATGCCTTACAAGCACAACCTCCTATCCAAAGAGTGTTTGATACTCATTTCAGAGAAGGGGCAACTGGGATTCAGATGTTAATTAAAATGCCCAAGGTCACTCAGTGAGTCAATAGATAGGATCTGAGTGTGAGCCCAGGGGTAGGATCCAGAGGCCTTATTCTTTCCCAGGACACCACTATACTGCTGAAAATGGTGTTTACTAAGAGCAGCCTTCCTATTTCCCAAATGGCATGTAACTTCACTAGACCACAGAGGACTCCTTTAACAGCACATTCCCCGGCCCCAGGGCTGTGCCAGCCTGAGTACTAATCAAGGGTGCTTGCTATTCTAAGAACTTCACATGCATCCTCCTTTAGTCTTCACAATTTAGCTGTCCTCATTTTAGAGTGGAAACTGAGAAGTTCCTTCTTTTTTCTTTTTTCTTCTCCCGGAAGTTTTCTTCCAGGAGAAGTTAGCAACTTGTGCTGAGTTATAGAGCTTATAAATGACAGAGCCAAGATTTGAATGTTTGAAAACAGAATACCATAGGTGCTAAAAAAATACCTGTAAAATACATTTTCTGCAATCTATCTAAGGCAAATCTGATCTAAGGCAAATCAGAGGAGAAAGGTATAATCAAGAAACATTAAAAATATATATACTTCCAGCCGGACGTGATGGCTCATGCCTGTAATCCCAACACTTTGGGAGGCCGAGGCAGGCGGATTACCTGAGGTCAGGAGTTCGAGACCAGCCTGGCCAACATGGCGAAACCCTATCTCTACTAAAAATTCAAAAATTAGCAGCGACTGGTGGCAGATGCCTGTAATCCCAGCTACTTGGGAGGCTGAGGCAGGGAGAATTGCTTGAACCCGGGAGGCAGAGGTTGCAGTGAGACGAGATTACGCCACTGCACTCCAGTCTGGGCAACAGAGGGAGACTGATCTCAAAATATATATACTTCCTTAGTTTTTTCAGTTCTGTTTCACCAAAGAAGGTGTTAAAGAGTGGATTGTCTGAGGGAAGTACCTGGAACTTATCAGGGAAATAAGCTAATGGTGGCTTTCCTTGAGATTGAAGCTTACCTACTCTAGATTTGCCAGTGACCATTAGCAACGCAAGGTTAACCCTCCCTCAACTTTTCCCTGAGAAAAACGAATTCTCCTGTTTCCCCCTTCATGTAGCTGTTATTTAAAGTAGAATGCCTTGTTTTACTTTCAAATGAAAAGAACCGTAGTCTATGGCAGAGACATTTAAACTTTTGCATGTGACCCACAGTTGAAATCTGTCTTCTATATGACCCTTATAAACATAAACAAACACACAGTTGAAATCACAGTTTCATAAGACACAATCTGTCTTTATCCAATCCAATATATTTTTATTTTATAGTAAAATAATTCTGTTTATAACTCTAAATTGATTGCAGGATCCATGGATTGAAAACTCAAGTTAGGAACCTTAACTTCAGGTTCTCACAGACAAGTTTTAGAGCTGTGCCCCCAAACACACATCTCCAGAGCTATCCCCTCCACTTTCATATCTACTGGCTGTTTATTCATTGGTTAAGATGTGCTCAGCTCTGGAGCTGCTCTACCATAACTTATATCTTTGACAGCTTCACCAGGTTGGGTGAGAACTTTCTGCATTGCAGAGTGTGTGGCTCCTTTCTCTTCTCTCTCTATCAAACACTCAGTGAGACTAGCTGGCCTTTGAGCTTGTTGGATATAATAAGGTACAAGGATCCTGGTAGAACCCAGAGCAGTTTGAAGGCACAAGTCCTATGTTCAGGGAAATGGGGAAACAAAGAAACTGTGTGAGAACGTCAGCCCAGACTTTTTATGAGCTAGGACACTCACCTGTCTCTGGCCTGCTACAAGGAAGAAGAGTGGAAACTCTCCTTGGATGGAAACAGGAAGCATTCATCCCATTGACTAGTGCTCTTGTGTCCCACAAGGGGATGGGTGCCTCTCAGCTGCCTTGTCTTTAGGGAGTACCTGCTTATGAGGGAAAGTTTCCTTCATTGTAGAGACACACAGAACATTTGCTAAGTAATGAGTTGGTTTTTTGACCATGAGAATTTCCTGGTCCCAAACCTGGGTTATATATGAGAAAGCTGAAGTTCGGGGGTAAATTCTCTAAGGTCCGGTCTTGGTAGAACCATGGGTTCTTTCATTACCTGCACTCCCTATACTCCCTGGATTCTCTACTTCTCCTGATTCTACACATTATCCCCTTAAGAATGCAACATTTTCAATAATGGATCCCGCCGTATGTTAATACATAAGGTTATGTGGTTGTAGCTATTTTTGAGTAAGGAAGGAAAGAAGAAGTGTGCAATTTGGGTATGAGACACATACATGTTACATTGTCAAGTCATCTGCAAAATACAGGATGTGAAACTTTCCAACCTTCTACTTTCCAGGCAGAATTGATCACTTTTAATTCTTTATTGTTACTGGGCAGAATATCCAGCTCCATGGCCCGCTGTTTGATTTTAAAATGGGTCCATAGAATGCGTACTTATTAGGGCAAGAAACAGAATATTTGGAATAAGCCATGTCCCAGAAAACTCGTTCATTCATTCATTCATCCATCGCACAAACATGCTTTGTGCACCTATTAAACATTACTAGTTATCAGGAAATGCAAATTAAAACCACAATGAAGTATACCTCATGCCCATTAAGAATGAAAATGCCAAATGTTGGCCAGGGTGTGGAATGACTGGATGTCTCAGACATTGCTGGTGGGAGTGTAAAATGGTACAGCCACTATGGAAAACTGTCCGGCAGCTCCTTATAAAGTTAAATGCGCATGCAAACTATGATCCAGCAATTCCCAAGAACTGTGAACACCTACGTCCACAAAATACACTTGTACAAGAATGTGCATAACAGCTTCATTCATTATAGCCCCAAGCTAGAGACAACCCAATGGCCAGCAACAAGAGAATGGATAAACAAATGGTAGTTTAATCACACAATGATTCAACTAGACAACAATGAAAATGAATGAGCTACACCTATAAGCACAGCATGGACAAATATCTTAAATATTGAAGGAAATTAAAATATTTTAGCTTATAATACATATTTTGACATGTTTTGAGATGGCTGTTCAGAGTGCCAACAGAGGAGCCCTCAAAACTGTTTTTCAAGGGGATGATTTACATCTGTAGCGAATCTGTACTGAGGCAACCAGGCGTTCAATTGTCTGGACCCAGGAAAGATTATCTGAGAGTCTGATATTTTATTTATTTATTATTTATTTTTGAGATGGAGTCTCACTCTGTCACCCAGGCTGGAGTGCAGTGGCATGATCTCGGCTCACTGCAAACTCTGCCTCCCAGGTTCAAGCGATTCTCCTGCCTCAGCCTCCTGAGTAGCTGCGATTACAGGCACCCCACTCCCCACCCCCACCCCTGCCCCCCGGTCGCCATGCCCAGCTAATTTCTGTATTTTTAGTACACGGGGGGGTTTCACCATGTTGGCCAGGTTGGTCTCGAACTCCTGACCTCAGGTGATCCTCCCGCCTTGGCCTCCCGAAGTGCTGGGATTACAGGCATGAGCCACCACGCCCTGCTGAATCTGATACTTTTAAAGGTCTGAAAGAAACATTTACCATCTGTTCTCTTTGAGGGCTGCTACCTCTGTGGTTTTATTTGTGTAGCAAGACCACCTTTGCTAGCCAGGTCTCCTCTTCTCTCCCTCTCATAATCTGTCTTGCCAAAATAACCTCATTTCCACCATATCCTGTTTTTGGCTATGCTCTGGGCCCTATTCCTTCTGTAACCTCGGGCTGGCCTGTAATCTTCTGCGCCCCATTGGGAGTTGAGGGAAGCACCCTGTTGTCTCCTATGTGTGCATTTTTCCTTGGCCCCTACAACATTAAGTTAAGCTAAGAAACCAGATACAAAAACAATATATATGGCCTGATTTCATATATACAAAGGTCAAAAAGAGACAAAAACAAATCAGAAGTGATCAAAGTCAGCATAGTGGCAGCCTGGTGAGGGAAGCTGGATGAAAGGAGCCAGAGGGAACTTTCCTCACCGATGAGAAACATCCTATGTCTTGATTTGGGTGTTGGTTACACAGCGTGTACTCTTGCAAACCCCATCAGCCTGTACAGTTAAGATCTGTGCATTTTATTGTATGGAAAATTTACCTTAATAAAAGTAAATTGGGTCTTTGAGAACAAGCAGAGGTTTTGAGGTTCAGAAGAGGGAAAGATAATTCAAGGTGGAAGGATCTACTGAACAAAGATTGGCAAATGTGTGTGCTGTTTTTTGTTTGTTGGTTGGTTTGTTTGTTTGTTTTGAGACTGAGTCTCGCTCTGTTGCCCAGGCTGGAGTGCAGTAGCGTGATCTTGGCTCTCTGCAGCCTCTGCCTCCTGGGTTCAAGAAAGACAAGCAAACAAACAAAACTTTATTAATAGATGCAGAAATTTTGATTTCACATGATTTTTGTGTGTCAAAAATATTACTTTTTTTTTTTGAGACAGAGTCTCCATCTGTCACTCAGGCTGGAGTGCAATGGCACAATCTCGGCTCACTGCAACCTCTGCCTCCTGGGTTCAAGTGATTCTCCTGCCTCAGCCTCCTGAGTAGCTGGGATTACAGGCGCCTGCCACCACGCCCAGCTAATTTTTGTATTTTTAGTAGAGAGAGGGTTTGGCCATGTTGGCCAAACTGGTCTCAAACTCCTGGCCTCAGGTGATCTGCCCTCCTGGGCCTCCCAAAGTGCTGGGATTACAGGTGTGAGCCACCGTGACTGGCTTTCTTTTGATTTTTTCAACCATTAAAAAATATAAGAACTATTCCTGTCTTGTGGGTGATACAATGATCAATAGGTGACCAGATCTGGCCTGTGGATCTTAGTGTGCTTACCCTTGGCCTGGGGTATAGAACAGCTGGGCCAATGATATTGTAACTATTAGTTGCTGGATAATCACGATGCTGGCCCCATCAAAGGCAGCGTGTAGTGACTGGAAAGAGACGACTGCCTGGGGAGATGTTTCCAGGGTGGAGTTGATAGGATTTGGGTGAGAGCTTTGAAGAAGGTGGAGTCATGGAGAATTCTAATTTGGGAAACTGGATGGATAATTAAAGCAGAATTAACCAAAATTAGAAGGAGAAATTGAACAAGGAGGGAGATTTGGGGGGAGACTAATAAGGTCAGATTTGGGTGTGTTAGGTTTGACGTGACTGTAGGACAATCATGTGGACATGCTCAAAGGCAGCTGGAGGTAGAACATGCTCAGGAACATGGGTCACACGGGGCCGGGTGAGAGCAGGCTGGAGATACTGATGTGAGAGTCAAAAGCATGTCAAGTGTAGGTGAAGCCAGAAATTGCAAACATATAAATACTGGGTTTAATTAAACCTAAAACATTTTATGTACTTTCTAAGAAGTAATAATGATGGAATATGACACACTATCACTTCCAAGACACGGAGACAATCATGCACAACCCAGCTTTATTCTTCTGTCTAGAGACACTCCTGGCCAGGTGCAGTGCCTCACACCTGCAATCTCAGCACTTTGGGATGCTGAGGTGGGAGGATTGCTTGAGACCAGGAATTTGAGACCAGCCTGGGCAACATAGTGAGATCCTGTCTCTACAAAAAATTTTTAAAAAATTACCCAAGTGTGGTGGTGCACTCCTGTAGTTGCAGTTACTCTGGAGGCTGAGGTGGAAGGATTGCTTGAGCCCAGGAGGTGGAGGCTGCAGACAGGTATGATGGCACCACCACACTCCATCCTGGGTGACAGAGTGAGACCCTGTCTCAAGAAAAAAAAAAAGAGATACTCATTAAAAAAAAAGAGATAGAAAAAAACACAGCAGGCAAATCCATATAAAAATAAGGCAGATTTAGCAATATAAATATTAAACACATAGACTTTGTAGCCAAAAGTATAAAACAGATCAAAGATGGGCATTTCTTGTTTTCATCATCGTCATCGCTGTTGACATCATCATCCTAGATAATTTCTTTGAGAACGTATAATGTGTCAGAGGCTAGTCTCAGCTCCCTACACGTTATGACACTTGATCTCCCAACCACCCCAGAAGGTGACAGTCACCAGGATCTCCATTTTAGAGATGAAGCCACCGATGCCCAGTGAGTGGAAGGAGCTGCCACAGAGCCATGAGTGGCAGAGCCATATAGACGCAGGCATTGGCCCAGCTAGTGCTCTCATCCAGGGGCCATGGGCCTTCGACAATATGGATCAGCGGGACTAGTGACCAAGAAAATAGAAGTGTCATAGATCTTTTATTTTATTTTATTTTATTTTGAGATGGAGTTTCACTCTTGTTGCCCAGGCTGGAGTTCAATGGCGTGATCTCAGTTCACTGCAACCTCAGCCTCCTGGGTTCAAGTTATTCTCCTGCCTCAGCCTCCTGAGTAGGTGGGATTACAGGCATGTGCCACCACGCCCAGCTAATTTTGTATTTTTAGTAGAGACAGGGTTTCTCCATGTTGGTCAGGCTGGTCTCGAACTCCCAACCTCAAGTGATCTGCCTGCCTCAGCCTCCCAAAGTGCTGGGATTACAGGTGTGAGCCACTGCGCCTGGCCGAAGTGTCATAGATGTTTATGTGCCTGGTCACATACATTTGGAAAATAAAAAGCAAAAATGGCTAAGAACGTGAAGAAAACGGACAAAGTTCTAATTATTTGGAGAGACCAACATATCTCTTAATAGGCAAATTAGTCAGATAAAAAAATTAAAACTGTGGAGAAGTGGAAAATTCTTCTTGACATGCTTGATATAACAGATGTACAGTATATGGAAGACTTTTTTTTTTTTTGAGATGGAGTCTTGCTGTCGCCCAGGCTGGTGTGCAATGACATGAACTCGGCTCACTGCAACCGCTGCCTCCCGGGTTCAAGCAATTCTCCTGCCTCAGCCTCCCGAGTAGCTGGGACTACAGGTGTGCACCACCACACTTGGCTAATTTTTGCATTTTTAGTAGAGACGGGGTTTCGCCATGTTGGCCAGGCTGGTCTTGAACTCTTGACCTCAGGTGATCCATCCACCTTGGCCTCCCAAAGTGCTGGGATTACAGGCATGAGCCACTGGGTCTGGCCAGGAAGACATTCTTGACCCCAAAGCAGAAACCATGCAGGTCACAATCAATCAATGGTGCAACAAAGTTAGAAATGAGCAATAAAAGCAAGTTAAGAGAAAAAAAGAAAAACCCAATCACTAGGACATTTAAAAAATATACTCTTAAGCCTGGGCACAGTAGCTCATGCCTGTAATTCCAGCACTTTGGGAGGCTGAGGCAGGTGGATCTCCCGAGGTCAGGAGTTCCAGACCAGCCTGGCCAACATGGTGAAACTCTGTCTCTATTAAAAATACAAAAATTAGCCGGGTGTGGTGGCACGTGCCTGTAGTCCTAGCTACTCGGTAGGCTGAGGCAGGAGAATCGCTTGCACCCGGGAGGCGGAGAATGCAGTGAGCTGAGACCGTACCACTGAAGTCCAGCTTGGGCAACAGAGTGAGACTCTGTCTCAAAAAAAAAAAAAAGAAAAGAAAAACAAACAAACAAACAAAAATACTCTTGAATCACTCTTGAGTCAAAAAAGAAATTTTAAAATATAATTTAAACAATTTACAAATGAATAATAAAGAGTGGTTTAATATTAAATTTCAACCAAAGCAGCTCCAGAGGAAATTGTTTTGGTTTCAAATTCAATTGGTGGAAAACAGTAAACATTTAAAATGGGCAAACAATCTAGAAAAAGGACAACAAAATAAAACAAAGGACAGAGGAATGAGGAATTGCTATAGCTATAAGCGGAAATTAATGAATAGAGAAGAAAAAAGTAGATGATCAATACAAGTTCAAAAAGAATATAAATATTTGACAATTTTGATTAAGAAAAAAATGAGAGAAGACATTAGAGAACAGCAGTAGAAATAAGACAGGAAACACAAATACAGATAGTGAAGAAATTATAAAATTATTTAAAATACTAAGTGCAGTAGGTCAAAGAATATTCCCCCTCCCCAAATTTATGTCCACCTGGAAGCTATGCATGTCACCTTATTTTGGAAAGAGGATCTTTGCAGATGTTATCAAGATGAGGTCATACTAAATTAGAGTGGTCCTAAATCCACTGTGACTAGTGTCCCTAAAAGAAGAGAAAAATTTGGACCACACACACACACACACACACACACACACATCACCATGTGGAGACAGATACAGGGATGGAAGTAATGTGACGAGTCTATAAAGCCAAGGAACACCAAGGATGCCGCCAAGCACTGGAAGCTACAGAGAAACATCGAGCAGATTGCTTTTCAGAGCCTCTAAGGGGCGCCTTGGTTTTGGACTTCTGGCCTCCAAAATTGTGAGAGAATGAATTTCTGTTGTTTTAAGCCACCCAGTTTGTTATGACAGCCCCAGGAAGCTAATACACTATGTAAAAATTTTATGCCAATAAATTTGAAAACATAGATGAAATGTGTGATCACCCAGGAAAATTAACTCATGGAAAGGTAAAAAGCTTGAAATGGTGATCAAGTATCAGCCCCACCAAAAGATTTAGCCTGCATAGTTTTATGGATAGAATCTAGCTAATCTGTAAAGGGTAGATGACCCCGATGTTATATATAATATTTCAACGCATGGGAAAAAATGAGACGCTTTTAAATTGTTCCAACAAGGCTAACATATCCTGATATTAAAAGAAGGGAAGGAGAGCACACAAAAATAAAACTGCAGGATTTTTTTTTTTTTTTTTGAGACAGAGTCTCCCTCTGTAGCCCAGGCTGGAGTGCAGTGGTACGATCTCGGCTCACTGCGACCTCCACCTCCCGGGTTCTGGTTCAAGCAAGTCTCCTGCCTGAGCCTCCTGAGTAGCTAGGATTACAGGCACGCACCACCATGCCCAGTTAATTTTTGTATTTTTAGTGGAGACGGGGTTTCACCATGTTGGCCAGGCTGGTCTTGAACTCCTGACCTCGTGATCCGCCTGCCTCGGCCTCCCAAAGTGTTGGGATTACAGGCGTGAACCAGCGCGCCCGGCCAACTGCAGGAATATCTTATTTATAGGTGGTAAATTTCTAAGCAAAATACTAGTAAATCCAACCATGCGACGTTAATAAAATACACCGTATGGCCTGAGTGTGTGAGGCGAAGGAAACATGAAGAAATTTAGTCATGGAATTGAAGGGAAAAACAGCCATAATCATTTCAATAGGTTTTGCTTTAAAAGTGTTTGATAAAATTCAGCAAACAACAAAAAACAAAAAATAGTAATTTGGCAATACAGAAAAGCTGACTTACCCAGATAAGAGGCATCTATGACAGAATCGTTAAGGTGAAGATAGAGATAAGGAAAGAATGCCGCTCTTGCCGCCGTATTCAATATTTATTCTGGAGGTTCTGGTCAATACAAAGACATGAGATACAAGTTTTTGCAGACATCAACTGCAAGATGGTTAGAACTAATAAGAGTTCTGCACAATAAGTGGACTCAAGGCCAACATTATAGCTTTGTTATATAGCAGCAATGACTGATTAGAAAATATTATTAAAAACTCCATTAATAATATCCACAGACTTGTAAAATACTAAAAAGAAAGCTAAAAAGTGCATAAGACTTATGTGAAGAATGAACAAAATTTTATTGGCGGAAGGAAAAGGAGATTTAAATTTATATGAAGCGAAATACCATGATAGGTATTTAAATATATAATAGACATTAAATAGTGATATTAAATAAATGGCAGATATTTAAGTATATGGAAAGAAATACCACCCAAGGTGGAAGCTATAACATATCTTTCACCACTGTCAACATATCTCTCTATGAAGAAAGAACACAGCATATTTGAAATTAGGCTATTTCTGGAAACAGTAGAAATTACCATTTATTAAATGCCAACTAGATGCCAAATGCTCTAAAATTTTATTTCAATTAAACTCTCATAAGCCCCAATTTTCTCATCTGTGACATGGGATAAAAAGCCCATTCTGAAGAGCTGTGAGATTTAAAAGGGCAAACACATTAAAACAATAACTCTTGGCGGGGCACAGTGTCTTACGCCTGTAATTCCAGTACTTTGGGAGGCCGAGGCAGGTGGATCACCTGAGGTCAGGAGTTTAAGACCAGCCTGGCCAACATGGTAAAACCCTGTCTGTACCAAAAAAATACAAAAATTAGCCAGGCATGATGGCGCAAACCTGTAGTCCTAGCTACTTGGGAGGCTGAGGCAGGAGAATTGCTTGAACCTGGGAGACAGAGGTTGCAATAAGCCAAGATCATGCCACTGTACTCCAGCCTGTGTGACAGAGTGAGACTCCATCTCAAAAAATAAATACATAAAAAATAAAACAGCGACTCTTTTTATACGGTGCCTTCCACCTAGTAAGAACTCAAGAAAATTACAGGAAAAAGAATGTGTTATTTAACAAATATGTTCTTTCCTTTTTATAGTAACCTTGTCGAGGAGGAATTTGTATTGATGAGTACATTGAGGCAACAGTGAAGTTCATATTTGAAGAGTGTTTCATCTGATTTTAAAACTTGATCATATCCTTCCATATTATACAGCTATTCAGGATGTGTGCTGATATAGTCATAGAGAGATCAAACCCAGAAGAGAGATCAAGGGTTGCAGAGGGAAGAAAATATTGTGTGAAGTCAAGCTCTGAGCATTGCAGTACCTTGCTCAGAAGTACCGGCTTGAGTCCTGAGCTCTTTCTCTGCCATAGTCACTGGCGAAAGGTAACTGCTTTGTTGTGTAGATTTGGGCAGTCCTTGGCAAGCCTGGTAAGACTCACACACACACACACACACACACACACACACACACAGACACAAGCAGCCAAGGTGTCCTTCTGGAAAGCCGCGGTTTGGAGGCCTACATCAATTCAGTTCCTCCCTGAAGTCTTTTCCCCCAACAGGTGTGCCCACTGCTGAGTTAGTGCTGGTTGAAGTGCACTAAAGACCTGCTTGGGTCAGAGATCTGTTTCTGCACCCAGGGATTCTAATCCATAGGTTACCTTTTTTGCCCATTCTCAAATAGCTTTCCTTTATAACCCTATCACAGTTATTACTTTATAAGTTCTTGAGCAATTATTTACATTTTGCATCCATTCTCTCCTGTATCCCAGGCTGGGGCAGGACCTTTGTGGGGTTTGCTCTCCATTACTTCTCGGTGTTGTGAAGGGACCTCAGACCATGTGGCCACACACAGCTCTTGGGTTCTTTGAGGCAGATGCTGGTACCACCCAGAAGTCTGAGGTGTGAGGGCTCCTGCCCCAGCCCCACTCCACTTCCAGATTGTGAGGGAAGGACCCTTAGCCAGAGTGTCTCCCATGTAGACGTTAAGCAAAGCAAGCTCCAGATCTCTGGCCTCAGCTGGCCTGAGAAGACTACTCAAGGGAGACAGCACATTCTGAGGATCTGCATCAGGGAATGGCAGACTAAGCTGTGGGCCAAATTCTTATAAATGAAATGTTGGAACATTTGGGTGTTGCCTGTCACATCTTTCCTGACATACTGGCAGAGTTGGGTGGTTGCAATAGAGACTGTGTGGTCCACAAAGCCTAAAATATTTGCTTTCTGGCCTTTACTGCAAAAGTCAGCCAACCCCTGATCTAGAGCCTAACTTGGAATCTGCTTGTTGACATGAAGCATTCAGGAATCCATCTAAAGCAATGGGGAGGGGAGAACAGAGCAGAGAAGGAGCCTCAGGGGCCATTCTGAAGGGTGCTGGGGACAAGGTTTACTGTTATTCCCTGTTTGTGCAAGGATGGGCCATGTCTAAACCTTAAAAAAAATTTTTATTGTGGTAAAACATACATAACACAAAATTTACCATTTTAACCATTTTCAAGTGTACAGGACAGTGGCATCAAGTACATTCACGTTGTATGCAACCATTACCACCACCACTGGCTTCCAGAACTATTTTCTCTTCTCAAACTGAGAACTTTGTGAACCATTTCTCCTGTCTTTTTTTTTTTTTTTTTTTTTTTTTTTTTTGAGACAGTCTTGCTCTGTCACCCAGGCTGGAGTGCAGTGGCGCATTCTCAACTCGTTGCAACCTCTGCCTCCCAGGTTCAAGCAATCCTCCCACCTCAGCCTCCCAAGTAGCTGGGATTACAGGCATGTGCCACCACACCCGGCTAATTTTTGTATTTTTAGTAGAGACAGGGTTTCACCATGTTGGCCAGGTTGATGTTGGAACTCCTGACCTCAGGGGATCCACCTGTCTTGGCCTCCCAAAGTGCTGGGATTACAGGCATGAGCCACCACACCAGGCCGATTTCTCCTGTCTTCACTGCCTTTATTCTTACCAGTAAGAGCTCACTTTTAGGATTCATCATGATAATTAATAAGTTGCTGGTGTTGGCAATGAGTGTCCATTTTTGACACTCAGGCTGCAGAGGTGCAAATCTTTGGTGCTGACTGCGCTGTGCCTGACAGGAGGCTTATGATGCCGCCTGGGGCGCTGCGTGGATGTGCAGTGCCCAGTTGGTCTGGAGCAAGCACTCTGAATGACACATGGGTGGATGAAAGCTGACATGAACATTTGAGTACTGCTCTTGATAATGATGAGAACCATTGTTTCAAACTGGACATTGCCTACGGGTGCCCCAAAGTCCTGCTCTCCTAGAATTTCCACGCAGGGTCCCTGTTCCTCTCTTCTTCCCTTCCTGGCTTCCTTGATAGCTGGGCAGTGCTCAGATTTCCACCAGGGCTGTCTGGTGCTGGGTAGATGGAGTTCCATTTGGGTGAATGACTCTGGGGGAGGCCCTTGTTCTCCTGTTCAGATGCACCATTGAGCAGTTGCCAGAATTTGCACTCTGTTGACACTCAGGATGGGGCTGAATTGTTGCTGTCTCCTCTATTCCTTCCCCCTACATCTGGCCAGAGCCCAACCGTGGGGGTGGGAGAAGGAAGTGAGAAGAACTGGTGTGTGTTTTTTTACATTGGGGATGAGTATGGGAGCATGGATGGGTAAGTGGATTCATGGTTGGAGGAAGTGAAATAGGAACTACTTCGCCTTTCCCCCAGGCTGAAAAGGGCTTTGAAGATCAGGATGGAGGCACTCACTGGGCAGGATGGAGAGACATGGACCAGGAGGAACTAAGTGACATGCAGAGTCCTCCAGGGGCCAATCACACACGTCATAGAGGAAAGGCTTGAACAGACTTCATGTCCACATCCCTGTGACACGAATGTTGAGTATACTCGCCGGGATTGGCTGTCATTCAAAAAAGACCCAAGTAGAAGGTAGCTTCAACTGCAGGCCTTTAAATGAGGATGTTAGAAGTTAGAAGGGACTGGGGAAATACACTGGTCTGGCGGCAGGGAGAGGAAGATGGTCAAGGACACTATGTAAACAGGCCCACTGCTCTGAACATTCAGTCCTGATCTGCCCCACCCCTAGCTTTCCTGGCTGTGGTCTTGCGGGCTCTGGGGAGGCTCAGTGTCTTCAGTTACAGTCTTCCTCATGCGATGACCTCTAGGGCAAAACTCTGGTTCTCCCGGGGAGTCAGACTCACTGAGTTGGCATGGCCTTCGCTGTCCTGTCTTACTAAGCAGGACCCTGCGGCGACAGTGAAATAGACGATAGACACAACGCTCCAGGAAACCACAGGATTTTTTAAAAATTTAATTTTGATGTGAATTATCTTGAGATTTGCCTTGCTTTAATGCTTGACTCTTTGTAGGGTGCAGTAGTTCCTGAAGTTGCTTGTCCACACCATCACAGGCCCCGGGCAATTTAAACTGATTGACCTCATTTTCTACCTCTCCATCTTCAGATAATTATCTCGAGTTTTTCCTCCCTTTGATTTAAGTTGAGAGAGGGCTGGGGAAGACAGAGAAATAGAAACAGGGAGAGAGAATGAATGTGTGATTGGATCTTTCCATATCTCTTTAAAATTGAGTTGAATGCGCTGGTGGCTCACGCCTGTAATCCCAGCACTTTGGGAGGCCGAGGGGGGCGGATCACTTGAGATCAGGAGTTTGAGAATAGCCTGGCCAACATGGCGAAACCCCATCTCTACTAAAAATACAAAAATTAGCTGGATGTGATGGTGGGTGGCTGTAGTCCCAGCTGCTAGGGAGGCTGAGGCAGGAGAATTGCTTGAACCCAGGAGGCAGAGGTGGCAGTGAGCTGAGATCGTCCACTGCACTCCCATCTGGGTGACAGAGCAAGGCTCAGTGTAAGAAAAAAAGATAAATAAAGTTGAGTTCAATGCTAACATTAATTTCTGGCATGGGAGTACTTGTATTAATTTAAGATATTAGGTTAATGGCTAATAATAACTTTTTTGTTTGTTTCTGAAAGGTAGAAACAAGCCAGCGAGACTGGGCATGCTTGTGTCACTAACTCTCTTTGGGACGATATTACAGGCTAGTGAGATCAACCAACGAGGTCAGCTGATCCACTTTTTTATTCTTCCTTTTTTAAAAAGTAAAAGCTGGAGAAAGGAGCTGGCTAAGTCCAAGGCTATTTAGATTGTGTGTGGTTTTCTGGAAAACATCTTCAGTGCACGGGGTGAGGAGTTGAAGGTTTATTTTTACGTGTCTGTTTTTAGCTGCACATCCACTTTGCTGGCTCACGGTGGAAGCCCCTTTGTATGAGACATCCCTGACTGCATTTGACCCGGGAGCACAACCCATGCCAAATGATCATTTCTCACAGGCTGCTTGACGTTCTGGAGAGAGGAAACACCTTGATAACTCACTGAGATGTGTTATGTCAGAGAAAGTGTGCCATGGATCCCCGACAGCTCCCACGGGGCCTCTCAGCGGCGCAGCGTTGAGTGCCAGGGACTCCCCGCTCCCCTGCTCAAGGCCCACTGCTCTTCGCCTCTCCTTACCCGGCCGTGTACACTTGGCTGCCATTTTCTCAAACACACTTACGCAGTGGTATTTTGTAACGACGTCAATTCTTTTCCTGCCTGACCCAGAAGATTACAGTGACTCAATGCTGGCTGGTCAACCTTAAAGATTAAATCGGGGACATTGGCTTAATGATTTTAACAGCTAGTGTAAAGGATTTCCCAAGTATGAGAATCAGGATGGGAAGGAGGGTTGGGATTTTATTTAATCTTAAAGAGAAAGTCAGTAACACAGCTGAAAGCAAACTTTACTTTTGTATTTCTTAAATAAAAAGCTTCAAGTTTAAAAGATTTAAACAGAAATATAGGTTCTAATGGAGAATCAACATACACCAAATGGATAAAATGCCTTACCATCTGAATGAATATCCAACTCTATGTTGGAAACTATGCAAGAATCATTATTATTCTATGATTGTGATATCTATTTGCTCTAGTTCAGTGCTTCTCAAATGTTAATATGCCTAAGGGTCTCCTGGGGAGCTTGTTCATAATGCAAATTCATGGATCACATCCTCAGACCTCAGTAGGTATGGAGTGGGCCCCAGGAATAGGAATTAAATAAGCGCTCCCAGCGATTCCAATGCAATGCAGATGGTTGTGGAGATGGGGCCCCCTTAGCCACCCTCTGGGCACTGACAGAAAATGAAGGAAAAATAAGAAAGCCTATGGCAATTAAGCTTTATGAACATACCTGCTCAGAAAAACCTTTTTTTTCACTCCAACTTCTAGCATCCCAGAGAGAAATACAGTTTCAAGAGAAGGGAAGCCCTGGAATAGTGATTTCTTTGTAGAGCTTAGTATACTGTCTAGAAGTATTTGGAAATCCATTTAGCAGATAATAAAAATTCCTGCCTGGAATTTGCTGAGGACAAATCTAGGTGTGTGCTCCAGGATTCTGCGTCTGGTCTGGAGCGCTTCCCTGTTGAGCTCTGTGTCCTTGCTCTCCATCCTCCCAAGCAGTTGCACGTGGTGGTGGGGCTGTGGTGCCGGCCAGGTGGGACGGGGAATGCCTGGGCAAGCCGGCTGCCTGGCCACTGGGCTACCCTGCCAAGCTGTTACTGGGCGCTGGGCTGCTGCATATGGGTCAAAGGAAAGGAGAGGGGTGAGTGATAGCCTCCTCCTTGGCTTACAGAGTGTGTCCTCTCTCAAATTTAGGAAAGTCTTGTTTTTCTCTTTGAGGAGAATCAGGCCAAATTACTTTATTTTTAAAATACTGTATGTAGACTCCATGGATGAATAGAGATGCAGTACTTGCAAGAAAATATCAACAACAAAAACACCTCTTTTCTTTTGTGATTTATTTTCCTGCTGCCATCTTGAAAGGCACCAGTCACTTGAAGCTTCTTGGGAAGGCAGACATGTTATGTAAGGTGACCGATTCTGCCCTCGGTGCCTGTGAGTTCTATATAAATTACCTACTGGACTTGGATATCTCACAGAAACTGCAAACTTGATGTGCACAAAAACTGGGTGTACTATCAAAATCCCTTTGGTGTTTTTTGCAGAAATAGAAAAAAGTTCATCCTAAAATTCATATAAGAGCTCAAGGGACCCTAAATACCCAAAATAATTTTGAAAAATAAGAACAAAGGAGGTGAATGCTTCCTGATTTCGTATTACATATTACAAAGCTACAGTAATCAAAACTGTGTGGTACTGGCAAAAGAATAGACCTATAGACCAATGCAATAGAATAGAGAGCCCAGAAATAAACTCTTGTGTATATAGCCAAATGATCTTCAACAAGGGTTCCAAGACCACTTAATGGGGGAAAGAAAGGTCTCTTCAATAAATGGTGTTGGGAAAACAGGATATTCATGTGGAAAAGAATGAAGTTGGACCCTTATTTTACACCATATGCAAAAATGAGCTCAAAATGGATTAAAGACCTAAGTATTAGACTTGAAATCATAAAACTCCTAGAAGAAAACATAGGAAAAAACTTCATCACATTGGATATGGCAATGAGTTATTGGATCTGATACCAAAAGCATAGGCAATAAAAAGCAAAAATAGATGACAGGGCACAGTGGCTCATGCCTGTAATCCCAGCACTTTGGGAGGCCGAGGCAGGAGGATTGCTTGAGCCTAGGAGTTTGAGAACAGCCTGGACAACATGACAAACCTTGTCTCTACCAAAAATACAAAAAATTATCTGGGTATAGTGACAGGTCCCAGTTACTCGGGAGGCTGAGGTGGGAGGATTGCTTAAGCCCAAGAGGCAGAGGTTACAGTGAGCTGAGTTCACTTCACTGCAATCCAGCCTGGGTGACAGAGTGAACCCTGCCTCAAAAAAAAAAAAAAAAAAGTGCAAAAATAGATAAATGACACTACATCAAACTTAAAACCTTTTGTGCATCAAGAGATGCTATTACTAGAGAGAAAAGGCAGCTTATAGAATCATAGAAAATTTTTGCAAATCATGTATCTCATAAGGGGTTTATATCCAGAATATATAAAGGAATCCTACAACTCAACCACAATTAAAAAAAAAAACTCAATTAAAAAATGGGCAGAGAGAGGACTTCTGGACACTGACATCAGGGCTGCACGGGGAAGGGGAGACGTGGAGCAAAGAGTGACCATGATGAAATTAGCACAGTGGCTTTGGGGACTGGCACTCCTGGGCTCCACCTGGGTGGACCGGACCATGGGACCCCTAGGCCTGGAGCTGCCCTCATCCTGCTGGGAGGTCCTGTGGCAACTGCCTGCCTGCTTGCTGGTGTCTGCCAGCTGCTGTACCCTGGGTGCTGGGTGCTATCATGTGACCACTTTCCACAATTGCTGAGAAGGCTGCATTCAAACTGCAGAACAGATCCAGGAGGCCCCAGATGACTCAGCCCTCAGGGGGCTGTGCTTCTGATACCCTAACCTCATTCCCAGCCTGGACAGTCCTTCCCAGTCCCCGTTAAAGAACAAGTTTATTTTCTTAAAAAAAAAAAAAAAGAGAAAAAGACTTGCATAGAAATTTCTCCAAAGAAGAATACAGATGGCCGATAAGCATATGAAAAGATGTTCAACATCATTAATCATCAGGGAAATGCAAATCAAAACCAGCGAGATATCACCTCAAACCCATTAGAATGGCTACTTTAAAAAACAACAACAGAGAATAAGTGTTGGCAATAATGTGGAGAAACTGGAACCCTTACACACCGTTGATGGATTGTGAAATGGTGAAAAACAGCTATGGAAAACGGTGCAGCGGTTCCTCAAAAAATTGAAAATAAAACCACTGTGTGATCCCACAATCCTGCCTCTGGGTATATATCCAAACGAACTGAAAGCAGAGTCTTGAAGAGATCTTTGCCGTGGTCACAGCAGCACTGTTCACAATCGCCAAGAGCTGGGTGGAAGTTACCCAAGTGTCTGTAGATGGATGAATGGATCAGCAACATTTGGTATAGACATACAAAGGAATGTGATTCAGTCTTAAAAAGGAAGAAAATTCTGACATGTGCTGCAACCTGGAAGAACCTTGAGGACATTATGCAAAGTGAAATAAGCCAAACATGAAAAGACAAATACTGTATGATTCCATGTATGTGAGGTTCCTAGAGCAGTCAATTCCACAGGTACAGAAACTGGAATCCTGGTTACCAGGGGCTGGGGGAAGGGGAACAGGGAGTCATTGTTTAATGGGTACAGAGCTTCAGTTTTGCAAGATGAAAAAGTTCTGGAAATGGATAGAGGTGACGGTTGCTTAATAACGTGAGTGTACTAAACCATTGAACTACACGCTTAAAAATGACTAAGATAATAACAGGATTGAGAGGATAACAGGACTAATTCTTTGACAAGACTGAGCACCCAGGTTGCTCTGAAAGCACTCAAAGTGCATCTGAATCAATCCTAGGGATGCCAGAAAACTTCCCAAAGTAGGTGACTGAAGCTGACTCAAAAGTACAAGTATTGTATTTTTTTCAATGCTAATATGTATGCTTTTCTACCTTTTTACATCTCTGACATCGGGATGTGTCTTACAGTGCATGGTAAGTCATTGTGTGGCTGGGTGCATTTTTTCTTTGTCAGTAGTGCATAAAATAATGATGCATCTTGGGCTTGTTCAAATGTGGTGCCCAAGCCAGAGCCTGCCCTTTCCAGAAATCTGCACAGCCCTAATAGTCACCAAATCTTACAGATTCCACCTGCATAACACACTCCTCTGCATTTCTACAACCACTATTCCCTACTGCAAGCGATTTCAGCAGCCTTGTTCTTTTCCCTCTGCTCCAAAGCTTGTCTTCTGCTAGCATAATCCACCCTTCAACCAGGCTGATCTTTTCAGAAACAAAATTTGGTTACATTACTTTCCTTCAAGACAAAGTCTGAGCTCAACTGAGCAGCATCCAAGGCCTTTTACAATCTAGTCTGTATTGGCTGCTGTGATCTAGTCTCTACTGGCTGCTCCAGGCTGTTTCCCCACCTCCTGACCCTTGCTCTTGGCTAACTCCTGGCTTATTCTATGGAATCTGATGGTGTGTCACACCTTTCTTTTAGGGAAAATTAAGAAAGAAAAATGGACTCCCAATCAAACTGTGACATGCTGACTTAAGCCGGTTCCTCTGATTAGGTGATCTGAGTGCAGGTTGATAGGGAAGAGCACCCCAGAACAATGCCTGGATGGGAGTGAGGGCAGAGGGCGGGGCAGCGGGAGGAGTGAGCTGCGCTGAACAGGGAGGGGCCTCAGCAGAGCCACGGGGACGCTGCAGTCGGAGCGCTTCAAAGACGTCTGCCACGAGGGCTCGGGAGCCAGAACTTTGTGCCCGTGCACAGACTTGTCACTGGATGTGGGGTGCGGCTTTCTCCAACAGCAGGCAACTCTCTGAAAGGGTCACCCAGCTAAGAGCTGTCCTCTGTCAACACTCCAGGAAGACGGACTTGGAGGGGGATCAGGGCAGCATCCACCTCCACCTTATCCACTGTAAATGTCATCAGCTGGGAGATGAAGTCTAGTACTAGACATGCTAGGGTGTGAAAAGGTGTACATCTTATCATCAATAAAATATGATCTATCTGTGACTGGTTCCTCTTCTGCTCCTGCTGCTTGTGGTGACGGCCAATGGCCCCGACTTGACCTTCTGCATCTGCAGGAAGTGGGCCCACTAGCCAGGGAAGTCAAAGAGGACCAAGGTAGGCTAGCAGGAGAAGGCCACCACGTGGGAATCGCGTCTGTCCCTACCTTTGGCACTCGAGCCACACCAGGCGGGGCAAGGGTCCGCCTCCTCCCTTGGCTCTGCATGCTGCTGTTCCTTGAAGGATTCGTTGTGTATATTACATTTCAATTGTAGTGGGCTCCCGTATGCCCTTTTTTCTTGGTTCGTCCCCTTGTTTTACTGCATAACACACCCTCTGATAGCACCCAAGAGGGCTTACATGAGAGCTCAGTTTTCTGATTCTTTGTACATTTTTATTCTATCCTCACAATTCACTAATTGCTTGACTGGGTATAAAATTCTGTTTGAATTTCAAAGTTCTGTAACATCCAGCTTGGCTGTTAAGAAATTTGATGGCATTTGGATTCCTTTTCCTTTGTTTGTCACCTGGCTTACTTTTCTTCCTTCTGTTCACATATAGGGAGACAAAATTTTCAACGATATGTCTTTGCATGAATTAAAAAAAAATTGTGGAGGGTATTTGGTGGATTTTTTCAAACTGCTAAATATTACCTAATTCCACTTATTGTGGAAATTATTCAGATATTATTTGTTATGATCGAACTCCCTCATTTTTTCTGGTTTCTTTATATGGAATGCTATTTATCAGATGTTACAACTTTTGGATCCACCTATTAAATATTTTACTTATTTCCTATTTATAATCTACATTTATTTGATTTTAATATTCAACATTCCATTGATTTTTAAAATTTCAAATCTGATATTCATGCGACCCATGGTCTTTTTCTTCTTTAATCCTTTCCATATCTCAGATATGTATATGTGCATATATATATATATATACACACACACACACACACACACACACACACACACACACTTCCCATCATCTTTCTTTGAAGGTGTTATGGTTCCTTCTATTCTCTGCACTGTCTTTGCTTCTTCTGGTCCCCCCCTTCCTGTGCTTCTCTGTTTGTTTTGGTCTGCTGATGAATATCTTCCATTTGTCCTCCCAGTCTACACTCCAGCCCCGCCGGCCCCACCCTTCTGCTTTTTGCTATGGTGACTTTTGCCTCTAGCAGCTTCTTTTGCCTCTAGTGTGTTTGGGTTGTGCTTGTGGCAGAGTGGGACGGGGAGAGGGGATCAGAGTATGGGTTCCCCCAGGCTCCTCCTAGCCAGGGAAGCTAGATTCTTCCCTGACAGTCCAGTGTTCCAGGTGAGTGGCCTCTCCACAGTGACATTCTGCAGATGTTGGCAGCTGCTCCTTGTGGCTCAGCAGACTTTGTTGCTAGCCTCTGAGCACTGCTTGCTTTTGTGGACTGTTCCTCCAGTAAACTGACTTTAAATTTCCAAGTTTTAGTATGCCGGCCATTTTTCTCAGAACCTTAGCTCATACTCTTTTTCATGTAAGAAGCTTTCTTCAAATGTAGAATGATCTGCAGCTGTGTCTTTGCATCTAAGAGTGAGGCAGTCAAATGCTCACTGGGACCCTGGCATGTTGCAGGGGCTTGCTACCTGGCAAGCTTCACGGTAAGACATGCAGGACAGACAATCGCTTCACTGGGGAACTCTCAGATGTCACCATCTGGATATATTTTCTCTGGGACTTTCTTGGGTGAACAATAATGCTCTATTTTCTACCTGATGGGGGAGGAGGTAGAGGTGGCTGCTGGTACCTCTGAGCAGGACAGAGAGCCAGACTCCAAAGGTGCATAGGTGGACCAGTAGGGAAGTATCCTGTGTGAGTTGTCCTCTCAATCCTGCCCTCTTCTGGCTCTGGTCTTGGAAAAGAGGGAGGGGATGAGAATGGGGATAGAAAGGAAGTTGCTGCCAGCTGTGGGTGATGTCAGGGCCGACCTAGGATCTAGGTCTTCTTTGTCCGGTTTCACACGATTCTCTGGTTTGTATGGCACCTCCTCCTTCCTTCCAGGATACGCTGTCCTTGAGAGTCTGGGAATGAATTGCTGGCCTCTCAGCTCCCTCAGGCACATGCTTAGATTGGGCTAAGTCAGCTACCATGCCTCCTTCTACTTTGTGTCTACGCAATTTACTGAATTTTTTTTTTTAACTTTGATTGTCTCCTCTTCCCTTCTTTTTATAATTTTGAGTCAATATCTTATGTTATTCCTTTACTGTCACTTTGGCAGGGTTTTTGAATAAAGAAGAGATGAATGTGGCCAGATGCCATGGCTCACACCTGTAATGCCAGCACTTTGGGAAGGATTAGTGAGGGAGGCTGAGACAGGAGGATCGCTTGAACCTAGGAGTTCAAGACCAGCCTGGACAACATGATGAAACCCCGTCTCTACAAAAAATACAAAAATTAGCCAGGCATGGTTGTGTGTGCTTGTAGTTTCAGCTACTCGGGAGGCTGAGGTGGGAGGATCGCTTGAGCCCAGGAGGTTGAGGCTGCTGTGAGCTGTGATCACACCACTGCACTCCAGCCTGGGCAACAGAGCAAGACCCTGTCTCAAAAAAAAAAAAAAAGGAAAAGAAAAAGAAGAGATGAATATGTGTACATGTTACTTTTAGGAACAAAGGAAAAGAAGAAGAAACTTTTTCTTAGTAAGCAAAAGTAAGAGATAGTCTATCCTTGGATTCTGAGCCATTTTGTGACTTTATTTCCTTCCTGGTAAATAGCAGAAGAGTGTAAGAATAACACTTTCTTTAAAGAATTTCCAGGAAGATTGAATTAGTTACTATAAAGTGCTGAAAACAACATGGGTTACATAGTTAGCACTACCTGTAAAGGACAGTACAACACATTTGATTTTAAAATGTTCTGTTGTGGCCGGGCATAGTGGCCCGCGCCTATAATCTCAGCACTTTGGGAGGCCAAGGCAGAAAGATTGCTTGAGCCCAGGAGTTCAAGACCAGCCCAGGCAACAGAGTGAGACCTCTCTAGAAAATATAATAATAATGATAATAATAAATTACCCGGGTACAGTGGCATGCATCTGTAGTCCCAGCTACTCGGGAGACAGTTTGAGGTTGCAATGAGGTATGATAGTGCCACAGCACTCCAGCCTGGGTAACAGAATGAGATGCTGTCTCAAATAAATAATAAATAAATAAATAAAATCTCTGTTGAGAGCAATAGAACTCTGGTATAGGGTCCTGAGATTCCTTGGCATGAGTCCACCAGAAGCTGATTCTACCAGGAGCTGGGGCTTGGCTGGCCCAAGGACTGAGATCATCTGGGGTCACAGTGTGAAGCTTGCAAGGGATTTGGGGAGCCAGAAGAGGGAGATGGCAGAAGATGGAGGAGGGGCATTGGGAATGTGCAGCCCTCTTTGACCCACCAGCCACTCCCATCCTGCTGGGTTGGGCTCAGGCTGGGATATGCAATTTATGCACCGTTACAACCTGGAAGAATAGGAATCTGCCCAGAATACCTTGGAAGAACTCATCAGGAGACTGACTGCAGGAATAGGAAATAATGATGCACTTGAAAGACATACTGCTGTAAGCAATACTGTGAAAAACACGGAAAAAGGATTTAGAGAAAATCAATCAACACATGTGTAGGCTGTACCAAGCATTTGAAATAAATCAGGGAAGTCTTTTATTAATTTTAATTTTTAATATTTCATGTATTTATTTATTTACATATATATTTTTTAATAAGATGAGGTCTTGCCATATTGTCCATACTGGTCTCGAACTCCTAGGCTGAGGCAATCCTCCCGCCTCGGCCTCTCATGGTGCTGGGATTACAGGCGTGAGACACCACTCTTGGCCCAGGGAACTCTTAATAGAAGACAAAACCTAGTGTTCTTATAAAATCCTGATCTAATTGTCTTATTTGCCCATTCATTCAGTATTTATTGAGCACCAACTCTATGAAAGATGGCATTAAAATATTACAAAGAAAAATCGAGCACCACCCTTTTCCTCTAGAGTTTTCCATCTAAGTGAGACATTGTAAAAATCACTACATTAAAGTAGCATGTGATGAGAAGTAAAGTTTGATCCTATTATGAGGGTCAAGGAAGGCTACACACTTCCAGTTCCCCCTCGTCATTCTCCTGCCATCTCTTTAATAGGTGTTCTAGAATTCAGTGGAAGAAGAAACAACCATAAGCTGAAGATGGCCAGTGAAAATATGGGAGGGAGGCTCCGAGCTTGGGTCTTGGTCTTTCTGCTTCTGGAGCCTGGTTGCTGGTTCATCCTCACCCTAGACTCTGCATAGCAGTGCTGAAATACATGTGTCCTCATGCAGGTCACACTGTATCTCCCAGCAGCCTGATAGCAGCAAATCATTTCCTTGGAATGCTCTTCCTCAACCAAGAGAAAGGTCTCTGGGTGGCTAATGGCTGGTTGCTCTGCAACCTTTAAACATCTTTGATGCCAACTTTTCTGGGGGCCTCTGTGACCACCTGTGACTTAGTCAGGGGCGTTTTCCCCATTTTGTAAAATAATTTAACATATGCCAGCCAAATAGAGTATTTGTATCTTTATTCAATTCAATTCAAACATATCAGGCTGAGCGCGGTGGCTCATGCCTGCAATCCCAGCATTTTGGGAGGCCAGGGCAGGTGGATTGCTTGAGGCCAAGGGTTTGAGACCAGCCTGACCAACATGGCGAAACCCCATCTCCACTAAAAACACAAAATTAACCGAGTGTGGTGGAGCGCACCTATAATCCCAGCTACTCGGGAGGCTGAGGCACGAGACTCGCTTGAACTCAGGGCGGTGGAGGTTGCAGTGTGCCGAGATCGTGCCACTGCAATCCAGCCTGGGTGAAAGAGCAAGACTCTGACTCAAAACCAACCAACCAACCAACCAACCAACCATATCTGCCAGTGTACTATGGAACTACAGTCCCACAACTGAGGCAATGCAAGGGAAGGCTCGATATGCTGATTCCTCAGCTCTTAGTAAACCATGCGTGGTGTAAGGGGTGTCCAGAACCCCTATCTACCGTGGGTGACTGCATCTCCATGGTGTAGCTGAAGGGACAGCTCTGAGCCATGACATGAAATGGATTTCCAGTAAACCTTTGTGAGAGAAGGTGAGAAATGACATCTAGCATAGATTAACACTCTCTGAAATGTCAGGGGAGTTTTGTACGGAGTCTTCTAGAGCCCCTGCTTGTCCCACTGCGTGGCTCAGCATCCTGCCTTGTAATCAGCCCTCATTACTGTATCTCCTTGTGGCAGGTCTTGCAGACAGTTGTGTTCCCAGCACCTGGTACTGAACACTTACACTTTTGTAGATGGAGTGTGGCTGGGGAGGCAAGAAGAATAGCGAAAGGAACTTGCAGAAGGGATTTGCAAGTGTGTGCATGTCTGTGGGGAGAGGAAAAAGTTTGCTTCTTGTTCACTGGGAATGACTACTCCAGTGAGCTTTACTGGGCTCCCGCAGACACAGGCAAGAGGGCAGACAATGCACGGTCTCAGCCTGCAGACTAAGGGGGCGCTCCTTTGCTTTAAAATTCCTCTACCTCCATCCTTGCTGAGAAAAGTGTAGTCTGAGGACCCGTGGCATCAGCATTAGCTGGGAGGTTGTTAGAACTGAAGACTCTCAGCCCCACCAAGGTCCACTGGATGAGCCAACATCTTCCCAAGATTCCCCAGGTGATTCAAGAGCACCTTAAATTGTAAGAAGCACGCTTCATTTGATGCCAAGATTTTCCCAATTTTACTAACTTTACTTGAAATTTTGTCCAGTAACTCCTTACTTCAATACTCAATACCTTTTCATTGATTGAATTTCTTCTTTTTTTTTTTTTTTGAGATAGGGTCTCACTCTGTCACCCAGGCTGGAGTGCAGTGGTGCAATCTCAGTTCACTTCCACCTCTGCCTCCTGGGCTCAAATGATCCTTCCACCTGTTTCCCAAGTAGCTGGGACCACAGGTCTGCGCCACCACACCTGGCTAATTTTTGTATTTTGTGTAGAGACAGGGTTTTGTCATGTTGCCCAGGCTGGTCTTGAACTCTTGGGCTCAAGTGATCTGTCACCTTGGCCTCCCAAGATGCTGTGCGAGCCACTGTGCCAGGCCCAATATTGAATTTCTAATAGCCTCTTGTGAATTGTTGAAAAAATGTTGAAAACGAGAAAATAATTTCCACACAGAAAGCAAAGCCTCTTCTCAACACCACACCTTGAGTCCTTGCGAAGGACTGCATGGTATAACCACAGGATGGTCAAGGTCCACTGGCAGGATCTGGACACACATCGATTGGTGACATGAAAGCTTGTTGACTTCTAGCTCCATGAATTTCCTGCAATAGCATCAGTCCATGTCTTTCATCTTTCCTCACGAAGATGAAATAGAATTTATTGAGGGATAAGCATATTAACTTATTCTTTAATAAACTTTTATTTTTATTTTTATTTTTATTTTTTTGAGATGGAGTCTTGCTCTGTCGCCAGGCTGGAGTGCAGTGGCACCATCTCGGCTCACTGTAACCTCCACCTCCTGGGTTCAAGTGATTCTCCTGCCTCAGCTTCCCGAGTAGCTGGGATTATAGGCACCTGCCACCATGCCCAGCTAATTTTTGTATTTTTAGTAGAGACTGTATTTCACCATGTTGGCCAGGATGGTCTTGAACTCCTGACCTCCCGTGATCCACCCACCTCAGCCTCCTAAAGTGCTGGGATTACAGGCATGAGCTACTGCGCCTGGCCTCTTTAAGAAAATTTAAATCTTAGAATAGTTTTAAATTTACAGAAATGTTGTGAAGATAATGCAGAGAGTTCCCATATACACCTACCCCAGTTTCCTCATTGTTAGCATCTTACATTAGTAGAGTGCATTTGTCACAATGAATGAACTAATATTGACACATTATCACAAACTGAAGTCTATACTTTCTTCAGATTTCCTTAGTTTTTCCTCATATCCTTTCTTGGTTCCAGGATCATGCAGGATCTCACACTATGTTTAGTTGTCATGTCCCCTTAGGCTCCCTTTGGCTGTAACGATTTCTCAGACTTTTCTTGTTTTTCAATATATTAATTTTAAAAACTCTTTTTTATTTTGGAATGCTCTTCCTTCCCCTAGCAGAGCAGAATCCTACTAAATGAGTTCCTATCACACTTTAAATCAGATTTAAGAAAATAAATATCCACTTAAGAGCTCCTGGAGGGTGGGGCTGGATTATTTTAATCAATCTGCTGCTCCAGAATCCAGCACTGGTCCTGTTTCTGGCACAAATAGGTGTTCAGTAAATTATGTAGTCGGTTTCTTGGTTGATTCTTTACTGTTCCCTTGCTGGCATAGTTGGTTGATCTTTACTGGGCTTATAATGATCAATGGGATAAGATTTCTGCTTTTTGTTGTGTTTTTAAGACAGGGTCTTGCTCTGTTGCCCAGGCTGGAGTGCAAGTGGCACGATCTTGGCTCATTGCAGCCTCAACCTCTTGGGATCAAGTGATCCTCCTGCCTCAGCCTCCCAAGTGGCTAAGACTACAGGCACACACCACCATACCCAGCTAATATTTGTACTTAAGATCCCTGTTCTTAAAGATCTTAGAGGCTGGATGACAGAGACAGCTGTAGAGAAAACTAAGTAGAATGAAACATTGTTTATGTTGTTTATTGTTTATCTGGGGAGCTCTGCTGGACCCATATACAGAGTTGGGAGAGAGGGTAATCCTTTTCCTGGAGACCATTCCCAAATGTCAGTTGCACAGTATTAATCCATACCTGTGTTAATTGCAAACCTCTTATTGGGAAGCCTTTGGTGCAGACAGATAATCATAACTGTGCAGTGTATACAATGCCTTCCAAAATGATCTCCAGTGTGTTCACAGAACAATTTCTACACAACTACCTTTGCAGGCAGGAGTCAACCAGGCTGGCAGTATTCCAGGCACTTAAGCAAAATGCCTTGAAAAACATTTTTAAAAAGAAGTTTTTCCAGGGTCATATTCCCCTTGATACTAAAGACCTTCAATATTTCAAGGAAATTATATCTCATCTGTTCTTAAGCCATTTTTTCCTCCACTGAAACCAGTTGTCTTGTTAAACTGTAATGCCCAGTAGCTCTTTCTTAGCACTCTAAGGCTGCATGGTCCAGGATGATAGACACTAGTCATATATGGCTTTCTAAATGTAAATAATTAAATTTTAATAAAATTTACAAGTCAGTTCCTCAGTCATGCTCGCCACATTGAAAGTGCCCAGTAGCTGTACATGGCTAGTGGCTACCATGTTAGACATCACAGGCATAGTACACACTGTCATCAAGGAAATGTCTGTTACGCAGCTCTGCTTAAAAGACAATTTTCTTTTTTTCTTTTTTTTTTGGGACACTCTCTTGCCCAGACTGGAGTGCAGTGGCGTGATGTCGGCTCACCACAACCTCCGCCTCCCAGGCTCAAGTGGTTCTCCTGCCTCAGCCTCCTGAGCAGCTGGGAATATAGGCGTGTGCCACCACACCCGGCTAATTTTTGCATTTCTAGTAGAGATGGGGTTTCATCATGTTGGCCAGGCTGGTCTTGAACTCCTGACCTCAAATGATCCACCTGACGCGGCCTCCCAAAGTACTGGGATTACAGGCCTGAGCCACCGCACCCAGCTGACAACTTTCTTTTTATTTTTCCTTCTTCTTTTAATCAGAAAGCTACATTTTTCCATTTTAAAAGAATGCAATTTAAAGGAATACAATGAATACAATTGGGGGTGAACAAAATTCTTACAAAAATGCATATATCATAGGGAATAAGGAAAATGTCACAAAAACCTGATTTTTGAAGGCTTAAGGGGTCCAAAAGTTTTTTTTACCAGGAGAGTAAGGGTTTTCAGGCCTCCCAGCCTTTAAAAATAGAGTCTACAATTTTCAGTCTTATTCTCCTTCCATGGGCGACCTGATTTTGGATTAAATCTTAGGACCTGTGAAGAAATTAGTCATGGTGTATTTTACGTACTATGCGCATTATCCCTAGCCCTTTTCTTACTTCAACAAATGTTGGCACCTTCCTTAATTTATCTCAGTGGGTCTCAGTACGCTGGAGAGGAGCCAGAGGGAGCTTCAGTTGAGACGCACTCACTAGGGCAGGTGTTGGGGAGGAGGAGGGAGAGGGAGAAAGGAAGGGAGAGAGAGGATCTTAGGCAGACAGATAGGGCCCGAGGGAGGAGGAGAGGGCAAGGATGTATAAGGGCAATTTCCTTAACTTTACAAAGGACTTACAAAGATGTAAACATATTTTTGCCTTCCTAGCCGTGTGAACTGTGGGTTTGGATAGGTGAAAGAAGAAAGAAACAGCTGGGTGTGGTGGCTCACGCCTGTAACCCAGCACTTTGGGAGATCAAGGTGGGTGGATCACCTGAAGTCAGGAGTTCGTGACCAGCCTGGCCTACATGGCAAAACCCTTTCTCCGCTAAAAATACAAAAATTAGCTGGGTGTGGTGGTGGGCCCCTGTAATCCCAGCTACTGGGGAGGCTGAGGCAGGAGAATCACTTGAACCCTGGAGGTGGAGGTTGCAGTGAGCTGAGATCGTGCCATTGCACTCCAGCCTGGGTGAAAAGAGCGAAACTCCCTGTCTCAATGAAAAAAAAAAAAAAAAAAGGAAAGAAACTGACTTTTCGCAGTTTATCTTGCTCTTTCTTTCAAACTTTGTTCTATGTGCAAGTATTACCTATTAAAATAATTGCATTTAAAATCATTAAATTTAAAACAGAGGGCATGAAAAGCCATTCCACTGTTAGCAACTCTTGAATTACTCAAAGTAAGTATAGACTTACTTCAAAAAATAAGCCATCTTATTTCTCCCCAGAGCTAGAAATCATCTCTCTTTCTTTCTGATGTATTCCTGTGACTTTTCCTATCTTCACAGCTATTGTGCACTTGATTTCATTTCCAAAGCTCTCTGATCCTGCTGTTTGCTTCTCCACTGTGTTACAGCTGGGGCTGAACAATGGACCTGCCCAGTGCTGTTAGCATTACATTTTCATACAATGTCTCCCTGCCAGCATTGAGCAACACTTGGCTTGGTAAATCTTGTGGTATGATACTTATCAGGTGTTCCTTAACTGTAGCTGCCAGAATACCAGCAAAGTCTAACAGCAACACACCTTCTATATGTTAAATTTCTAATTTCTAAAGTTTTAATTTCTTGGAACTATGGTTGATGCAACAGTGCCCCAATAAAGTAAAAGAATTTATACAGTACTCTAGCTTCTATGCCTCTTTTGGGAGCACTTCAAGTAGTCTTTTGATCCATTTTTCACTTTACATTTCCTAAAAGTAAGCCAGACTTATTTAGTGAAGGACTTCAAGATTTTCTAATCTTGTAAATGAACCAATTGCTATTGTAGACATAATAATGACTGAGTAACATCAAAATAAGAAAGCTCAACTTTGGCAAATAAATCCATTATTTTCCAAACTATGGGAAATTTCTGATGAATAGCTTGTGAGAAACCAAAGCCATGAACTTATATATAAAGATGCTACTTGAATTAATCCCAGCTATACATAAATATGCCATTACCGAAATTTTACTTCTCACAAGGGACAGGAAATTAGAAAGAAAGAGAAGTGCTTAGATGTTTAGACTTAACTAGAGATTTACTCAAGACAAACCATGGGTAGAATGGTTGAAGGACGCAAACCTTGGGATGACAGTTTCTACAAATTATTACTATTATTATTATTATTTTTTGAGACGGAGCTTGCTCTGTCACCCAGGCTGGAGTGCAGTGGCTCAATCTCGGCTCACTGCAACCTCTGCCTCCTGGATTCAAGCGATTCTCCTGCCTCAGCCTCCTGAGGAGCTGGGATTACAGGCGCAAGCCACCATGCCCAGCTAAGTTTTGTATTTTTAGTAGAGCTGGGGTTTCGCCATGTTGGTCAGGCTGGTCTCGAACTTGTGACCTTGTGATCCTCCTGCCTCAGCCTCCCAAAGTGCTGGGATTACAGGCATGAGCCACCGTGCCTGGCCAGTTTCTACAAATTAATTTTGAAAGCCATAAATTACATGAAAGTTTTCATGAGTGATACAATGAACATCCGTATACCCCTTACACAGATTCGCCAGTTGTTAATGCCCTGTTACATTTGCTCTCTCTCCCTCTCCCATACTCCTAAATGTTTCAGCATTCGTGTCCTAGAAATGAGTCCATTTCCTGCAAATCCCAATACCATTTTTTTTTTGAGACGGAGTCTTGCTCTGTTGCCCAGGCTGGAGTGCAGTGGCACGATCTTGGCTCACTGCAACCTCTACCTCCTGGGTTCAAGCGATTCTCCTGCCTCAGCCTCCTGAGTAGCTAGGATTACAGGCGCCCGCCACCGCGCCTGGCTGATTTTTGTATTTTTAGTAGAGACGAGGTTTCACCATGTTGGCCAGGCTGGCCTCAAACTCCTGACCTCAGGCGATCTGCCTGCCTTGGCCTCCCAAAGTGCTGGGATTACATGGGTGAGCCACCGCGCCCATCCCCAATATCATTACATCTGAGAGAAGAAACATTCATTCCACAATCTTATCTAATCTATGATTCATATTTTAAATTCTTCACTTGTCTTCCAAATGTCCTTTCAAGCTGCTATTTTTTTCCAATTCAGAACCCAATCAAAGTTTACCCATTACCTGTGGCTGTACCTTCTCTTAAGTCATGTTGCCTGGAAAATTTACTAATGAGACTGTAGTGACCACCTACATGAGCCAAGTTCTCTGTGATTTTGCAACAGAAAGGCTCACAGCCAATGTAAGATGCTCGAGTCACCTGGTTTAGTCAATTAAAACATACCACAAACAACAAGGTGACACACCACCTGAGTCCTGGGTCAGGCTTCACCTTTCTGGCTGATGGTGTGGATCAGAAATGGGGTTTCAGCCAGCAGGCACCACAGTGGGAGATTTCCAGAGAGACCTGGGCCAAACTGCTCTGGCAACAGCGGAGGCTGGCCAGTTAGCCAGATGCGCAGTTAGCCTAGGGATGAACATCACCAATGAAGGGCCGAATTTAAGACCTGATGGATATTGGGTGCCTGATGTACCCCTTCTGTATATTTAGCAGGAACATCCAGTGCTTTTGGGGTTTCCATCTTTTTCTATCTGTGCACATTTGGGCTGCATTTAGTCTTCAGGCATGTTCTCAGAGGTTACTAACTTATTTATCTTACTTGGCATCTCTTATGGATTCTTCCTGGGCTGCACAAGCTTCTTCCTTCTTCAGTTACTTTCTCTACCCTCCTTAGGTGCTTTCTTGTGTCTATAATAGATCAACATTCTCAAGTAATACGGCATACACACATGACAATTATTTATTATTATTATTATTATTTTATTTTTGAGACAGAATCCTGCTCTGTCACCCAGGCTGGAGTGCAGTGGTGCCATCTCAGCTCACTGCAACCTCCGCCTCCTGGGTTCAAGTGATTCTCCTGCCTCAGCCTCCCAAGTAGCTGGGACTACAGGTGCCCATCACCAGGCCTGGCTAATGTTTGTATTTTTAGTAGAGACGGGGTTTCGCCATGTTGGCCAGGCTGGTCTTAAACTCCTGACCTCAGGTTATCTGCCCACCTCAGCCTCCCAAAGTGCTGGGATTACAAGCATGAGCCACCGTGCCCAGCCGACAACTATTTTTTAATCTAGAGCAGTTCCCTCTCCCTTGGGTTTTCCTTGCGTTGAATTTTTGAGGGTCTAGAGCAGCTATCCTGTAGAATATTCCATATTCTGGATTTTTGATTTGTCTGATCATTTCTTTTTGAATAAATTCAGGGTTAAATATTTTGGCAAGTATTCTTCATAGGTGCATCACACCAAGTGGCACATAATGTGAAGCTGTCCCATGACAGTGAATTTTTTTCACTTCGTTAAAGCTGTCACTGTCAATCACTCTATAGTGAAGACAAAATTTCCCTATTGCATTAATAGGGAGATTTGTAGGGTGCCCCACCCTTTTTTTTTGAGACAGGGTCACACTCTGTCACCCAGGCTGGAGTGCAGTGGCTCCATCTCAGCTCACTGCAACCTCTGCCTCCCGGGTTCAAGTGATTCTCCTCTCTCAGCCTCCCAAGTAGCTGGGATTACAGGCACCTGCCACTACGCCTGGCTAATTTTTGTATTTTTAGTAGAGATGGGGTTTCACCATGTTAGCCAGAGTGGTCTTGAACTCCTGACCTCAGGTGATCTGCCCACCTCACTTCCTAAAGTGCTGGGATTACAGGCGTGAGCCACTGCTCCCGGCCAGGGTGCCACTTTTAAGCTTTATAAATAACCTATTAATGGAATTGGGCGTGCTGGTCAAAGTGTATAATTTTGTTAGATATTGCAAAATTCCCTTTTATATGGTTAGTGCTGTTTTCTACTCCCACCCTCAATTTAATAGCAGGCTTATCTTTCCGTATGCTTACAAAGACAGTGCATTTTCAAACTTAAAGTTTTTAGGAATGTGATAGGTTAGACATGGAATCTCAGGGTGCATTTTACTTATGAATTAAGTTGAGCATGTTTTATTTTTATTTTTTTGAGACAGAGTCTTGCTGTGTCACTCAGGCTGTAATGCAGCCGTGCAATATTGGCTCACTGCAGCCTCGACCTCCTGGGCTCAAGTGATCCTCCCATCTCAGCCTCTCTAGTAGCTGGGACTATAGGTGTGCGCCACCACACCCGGCTAATTTTTGTACTTTTTGTAGAGACGGGGTTTTGCCATGTTAGCTAGGCTGGTCTCAAACTCTGAGCCTCAAGTGATCTGCTTGCCTTGGCCTCCCAGAGTGCTGTGATTACAGGCATGAGCCACTGCACCCAGCTTGAGCGTATTTTAATATGGTCAAGTGCCATTATCTTTCTCTGTGAACTGCTATTCTTGTCTTTTTTCTATAAACTTTTAACTTTTCCCCTCGATATTTAAAGTGCATTGTAAATCAGAGAGATTATCCCTTTATCTGGGATATAAACTGCACATACTCTCTCCTAGGTTGTCATTGCCTGGTAATATTCCTTGTGGGGATTTGTTGTCATCATTATTATGGAAAAGTTTTAAAATTTTTACGACGTCAAATTCATGAAACTTTACTGTTATTGCTTTTTGATTTTTTTATGAGACATGGTTTAAAGGCTGCCCTACATCTAGTTTATAAAGGAATTCACCAGTTTAAGTGTTTTGTATTATTGCATTTCCTACATTTGTATTTCTTATCCATTTGGAGCTTATTTTGGTGTAAGGCCTGAGGAAATTTAATTTCTAAATGAAATCATACTATATTACCTCCCCAAGAAAGCCAATTTTAAAGTGAAATTTAACAGACAAAGCAGTATGTTTAAGACATGTAAAGAACAATAAATCAGGCCAGGTGTGGTGGCTCACGCCTATAATCCCAGCACTTTGGGAGGCCGAGGTGGGCAGATCACCTGAGATCAGGAGTTTGAGACCAGCCTGGCCAACAGGGTGAAACCCTCTCTCTACTAAAACTATAAAAATTAGCCAGGTATGGTGTCACACTCCTGTAATCCCAGCTGCTCAGGAGGCTGAGGCAGGAGAAATGCTTGAACCTGGGAGGTGGAGGTTGCAGTGAGCCGAGATCATGCCACTGCACTCCAGCCTGGGCTACAGAGTGAAACTCTGTCTCAAAAAAAAAAAAAAAAAAGAACAATAAATCAACAAAATAGGGAAGACAACTCAGTGTCATAGGCAAGAGAAGTTGAAAAGGTATTTCACAAAAGAGGGAGTCCAGCTGTCCAATAAGCATATGAAGCAGTGCCTGCCAATCACACCACAGTGGTGAGATACTCTACACCCTCACCAGAGAGAGGGGAAAAAAAACCCAGCAACATCAAGTTTTGGCAAGGACAATGGACACTGTCTGAGAATGTGCTGTGGAAGACTCTGTGGCAGGAATTATTACACTTCAGGATGCGCCTTCCTCATGACCCAGGAATTCTGCTGCTGGGTGTGTAATCAAAGGAACTGAGTGGTGTGTTCCCCAGGTGATGTGTGCATGTTCATTGCAGCATTACTTTTTTTTTCGTTTTTTTTTTTGAGACGGAGTCTCACTCTGTCACCCAGGCTGGAGTGCAATGGTGTGATCTTGGTTCACGGCAACCTCCACCTACTGAGTTCAAGCGATTTTCCTTTCTCAGCCTCCTGAGTAGCTGTAACAACAGGCACGCACCACCACACCTGGCTAATTTTTTGTATTTTTCGTAGAAATGGGGTTTCACCACGTTGGCCAGGCTGGTCTCGTACTCCTGAGCTCAGGCAATCTGCCTGCCTCAGCCTCCCAAAGTGCTGGGATTACAGGTGTGAGCCACCTCGCCTGGCCACAGCATTACTTTTATAATTGCCTAGTTAGAAACAACCCAAATGCCTTTCAACACTAGAATGGATGAATAAATTTATAAGATGGGATATGTTATATTTATAAGATGGAATATGCTCTTGAAATGAGAATGAATAGGGCTACATCCAACAGCCTGAACGAACCTCACACAGGCAATGTTGAGCAAAAGATGTCAGATACAAGACTATTTGTCATACGACTTCATTCATATAAAGTTTCATGGCAGTTGTAACTAAGCTATAATGCTAGGTTGAAGACTTTGCTGGTAAAACTACAAAGAAATGCTACGAAGTCATTACCATTAAAGTCAAAATATTGGTTATTTTGGAGGGCAAGGAGGGGTTTGTGATTGGGAAGAGGCAGACAAAGAGCTTCTGAGATGGGTGCAAGATTCTGTCTACTGACCTAAATGGTAGTTTCAGGGTTTTTGTTTTCTAAAAAATGGTTAAGTTGCTCATTTATATTTTAGACACTTGTGTATCCAGATAGCTCCTGCCTTTCCTTCAAGCCCCTGCCTGGAAATTGTTGGATTATCTAAAAGGGTGCCTCCTACTCTTAAGAAAAACATTTTTATTCTCGGATATTGTAAGGTTCCTGAAAAAGTGTGAGTTGGCTATCCGGTTCTTTTCTTTTTCAGTAGGTAGAAATGAGCAGATGCAGTTTATATGGTATCTTGGATTTTTGCTTTCGTAAGCTAAATAGATTTGCAATCTAAGAGATTTCAGGATAGCAGAATACTATTAACAATTATAGCTGCTGGGGAGAGGGGAGGGTAGGACAACATTCCAAATAGGATGCTGGAAAAACATCCTATTTTAAAAGTTCTGTTTTGCTTGAAATTTTGCAAAAGCATGATTATTTTTCTATGAGAATAACTAAAAAGGGTGACTGAGGCCAGATGTGACGGCTCATGCCTGTAATCTCCCAGCACTTTGGGAGGCTAAGGCGGCGGATCACTTGAGCCCAGGAGTTCGAGACCAGCTTGGGCAACATGGCGAAATCCTGTCTCTACAAAAAATACAAATTAGCCAGGTGTGGTGGTGCATACCTGTGGTTCCAGTTACTTGGGAGGCTGAGGTGGGAGAATCACGAGCACAGGAGGTCAAGGCTGCAGTGAGCCGTAATCACACCATTGCACTCCAGTCTGGGTGACAGAGGGAGATGCAGGTCTCAAAAAAAAAAAGTGACCGAATCTGTTTTATTAGTGGAGAATAACATAATGACATGTCTTATGGTCACTTAAACCTTTAATTTTTACAACCATTTAACCATTTTTAAATTCTCAGAATTACTTAACCATATGTGTTTCATCCCCATTTGATAGATGGAGAGATTGACACACAAAACAGCCAGTAACTTGTCTTAAGACATCAAATTAGTGATGAAGCCAGAACTAGAACTTGGGTCTTCTGTATTCTAGCTGAATTACACATTTTCCTAGATCCCACTGATCTTCAGGTGTTCATTAAATTCTTCACCTAAGAAGAAAACAATCGCAGGAATTTTAAAGTTCCTGGAAGTTATTTGGAATGAACACCTTCCCTCCTCCACAGTGTCCTGTCCAAATTTAGACTATATGAGTAAAATTTATTAACATATTTTTACTCTGTGCTTTAATGCAATTGTTAAAATTTTCCTGTACTTTCAAAAGTGATTTCTGGTTTGCCATTTATCATCACCAAGATGTAAAAGTAAAAAGATTTTTAGACCGGGCGTGGTGGCTCACTCCTGTAATCCCAGCAATTTGGAAGGCCGAGGCGGGCGAATCACCTGAGGTCAGGAGTTCAAGACCAGCCAGTCCAACATGGCAAAACCCCGTCTCTACTAAAAATCCCCAAATTAGCTGAGTGTGGTGGTGCACGTCTGTAATCCCAACTACACCGGAGGGTGAGGCAGGAGAATTGCTTGAACCTGGGAGGCAGAGGTTGGAGTGAGCCGAGATGGTGCCACTGCACTCCAGCCTGGGCGACAGAGGGAGACGCAGTCTCAAAAAAAAAAAAAAAAAAAAGATTTTTAGGTCTGCATGATTTATTACAGAATTAAATAGCCAAACCAAAATATAAAAGGTTATAAAAATCCTATATAATCTGTATGCATTTTTGAATAGAGAATCGGAGGCAGATATACATTTCATGCTGATTTGTTGGATGTAGATTTCTGGTTCCAGGTATGTGTTAGCCTGAGTCCTGGGCTGGCTGAGAACACAGGCATAAGGTGTGTTGTGTACCTGTCATAGATTGATTTCTTAGGTAGTCAAAAGCCACACGCTGAGAAACCGGAAATAATACCTCACATACAGAATGCCAGGCTTGCTTCTAAGCGCTTAGTATATAGTCACCTAATTCATCTTCCAACAAAGCTAGGCACTATTATTATTCTTATTTGATAGATGGGGAACTGTGGCCTAGAGTGAGGAAGTGACATGTCACTGCACACAGCCTGGGAGTCCTGCTCTCAATCACCTCACTCTATCACCTCCACAAGGTTGACACAAATTTCTGTTATTTTGGATAGTTCTCTCATAATTAATTTCAAGCTTTTGTTTGGCTTCACAGTTTGGGCAGTGTCGCCTGCATCTCGGGGGTCAGTGCACAGTTGAGCATTCCAAAGCGATGCTGACTCTGTGTTGTTGCCTCTCTTGGTAATCAGTGACTTTTAGTGCCTGGTTTATTTTCATTCACTCAGAAGTCAAATTTCAAATATGCTAAGTTGATAAGATGCTACATGAAAGGAGGCTGTTTGGATGGTTTCAAATCTGCAAGCTATGAGTCCTGCCACCGCCCCCAACTCCAAAAATGTCCCCAACACTGGGAAGGTGCTCCCAGTGAGGGCCCACTCAGATGCAAATTTCTGGCTTCTAGTTAGTTTGTTTTGCATCTATCACCCAGCCTTGAGTCTCCGGAAGGACCCTCCACTGCCAAAGACAAAGCACTTCACATTCACACCCATGAGCTAGTGATGAAGGCAGGATAAGAGGCCCTTTCAGGATGAGATATGGGGCAGGGTCTCAGACCACACATTTCTGGAGGCCTTGTTTTGTATAAGGCAATTGCAAAGAGCAGTCTCCTCTCAGTAAAGGGTGGCAGACTTCTTAAATCCTGCTAATGGAGTTTGACAATGAGGGGATTAGGCTTGAATCTGGGCAAAGTGGAAGAGGCTGGCTAGAGAGGACACTGGGTTTTCCTTGATTCCAAGCAGGTGTAGAATGCCTAAGAGGAAACCTGTTTGTTTCCTCAACCAAGATGTCCCTAACCTGGTTCCCTCTATTTTGGGTTGAGGAAACACCAGGTCTATTTTGGGTCACCCAGACTAATATTAATCATTTAAGACTTCTGTTCAAAGCCTCCAAGGTCACTTTGCTAAATTTCAAGTCTCTGCCTGATTTCACTGCCTAAGGTGTTTGACCATAGGGGAAGAACTGAAATTTTTTTTCTGGCTCTGCCTTTAGAGAAATCCAAATTCATCATTCTTAGGGATTGTGGCACCAATGTCCAGGACGACAGCCCACAGGGGCCCTGGTTTCTCCCACTCTCAGTCCTCAATGCCTGGCAAACTGGCGAACTCAGAATGTTAAGAAATGTGAGCTACTGAAATACAGAACTTGAGAAATGATCCCAGGGAACATGACTCACTGTGTGACTGGTTTCAGCGGTTGCTCTGTGGAAACTGCTCCATCTGTTCCAGCTACAGTGGTTTCCTGCTGTGTCCCGTTGCCTGGCACTCAACACTCTGTGAGGCATGGTCACCACTGCTGGCCAGAGAGGGAGCCCGGGCCTCCCACCCCACACAGAGTGGACCTCCGCCATCTTGGAAGTTGGGTGTTTGCTTTTGGCCTGATTTAGTTGGCCTCAGTGAGATGTTTCTTAGCAGTGTAGGGATTGGGCATTTGCTATAAGAATTGCTGTCATGTTGAGTGTGTGTATGTGTAGGAAATGGGGAGAAAGTTTCATTTTTCAGAGCCTTTGTACTTCTCATCAACTCCATCTTATCCACACTTAGATGTCATTTGTTTTGCTAGCTGAGCCCCTAGAAGCTGATGGGCCTCCTAAACTCAGTTGTAAGTCAAAAGTTGTTATTTTGAAACTAAGTCCTGAAATTACTCTTAAATAGAGGTATTTCACATTTCCCACAAATGTTAATAGGACTGGTTTAAGTGGAGAAGAAATGCAGTTACATTTGTCTGCCAAATAACTCTTGGGAATCACTGAATAGTGCAACTCCCCCTGCTTCTATTATTATTATCATTATCATTATTATTATTGAGACAGGTTCTTGCTCTGTTTCCCAGGCTGGAGTGCATTGGTGCAATCATGGCTCACTGCAACCTTGACCTCCCTGGCTCAAGCAATCCTCCTACCTCAGCTTCCCGAGTAGCTGAGACTGCAGGTGCAGGCCACCACGCCTGGCTAATTTTTGTATGTTTTGTAGAGATGGGGTTATACCATGTTGCCCAGGCTAGTCTCAAATTCCTGAGCTCACGTGATCCTCCTGCCTCAGCCTCCCAAAGTGCTGGGATTACCAGGCCCAGCCTCTGCTTCTATAATTTAGTAAAAATAGAAAGAAAATTTTTACTGACAGTGAATTTTAGAGATATCTTATCCATTTTTGAATAAATTGTTCACGTTTGATTTTTCTCTTTGGAAACTCTTTTCACTTCTTGGGAGACAGGGAGTTGGCTGGGTGCAGTGGCTCAAGCCTGTAATCCCAGCACTTTGAAAGGCCATGGCAGGTGGATCACTCGAGTCCAGGAGTTTGAGACCAGCCTGGGCAACATAGTAGAACTTGTCTCTAAATAAATACATGAAATCAAAGTTAAGTCTCCTAGAAAACATTCTTGTAACTGGAGCCATACATTATAAAATTAGTAGGTTTTAAAATTTTAATTATGGATTTACAGAGATAGAAGAGAAGACAGGTGAGCAGGGGGCAGTGAGCAGGTCACCACTGTGCATGATGACACTCTGGCTGCCTCCACCTGCTGCCCATCTTGAAGCGCCTACCTCGTGAGACTCTCCAGCCTTTCGTCTTTGCCAGTCCAAATCCTCCTCAAAGGCTTCCTCTAGTTTGTATCTTTTAAAATGCAAATTGTTTTCATGCTGCAGTCTCTTGAGTTCTTTTACTCTTCTCCTTTCTTGGTCCATAATAGGAGAAGCTTTCTATCATAAGTAAAATTAGATTTTAGTCTTGTAAAAGTTATATTTGTTTGAGTGTGGTAGCTCATGCCTGTAATCCCAGCACTTTCAGAGGCCCAGACATGAGGATTGCTTGAGCCCAGGAGTTCAAGACCAGCCTGGGCAACATACCAAGACCACATCTCTACAAAAAATTAGCTGGGCGTGGTGGCATGCAGCTGTAGTCCCAGCTACTCAGGAGGCTGAGGTGGGAGGATCGCTTGAGGTTGCCATGAGCTATGATCATGCCACTGCCCTCCAGCCTGGGTGATAGAGTGAGATCCTGTCTCTCTCTGTCTCTCTTTTTTGTTTAAAAGAAGTTGGCCTGGCACGGTGGCTCATGCCTGTAATCCCAGCACTTTGGGAGGCCGAGGCGAGAGGATCACCTGAGGTTGGGAGTTCGAGACCAGCCTGACCAACATGGAGAAACCCTGTCTCTACTAAAAATACAAAATTAGCAGGGCATGGTGGCGCATGCCTGTAATCCCAGCTACTCGGGAGGCTGAGGCAGGTGAATCGCTTGAACCCAGGAGGCAGAGGTTGCAGTGAGCCGAGATTGTGCCATTGCGCTCCAGCCTGGGCAACAAGAGTGAAACTCTGTCACAAAAAAAAAAAAAAAAAAAAGAAGAAGTTATATTTTGCTATAATGTCAATTGCCCCCTCTATCCATTAGGATTTAAGCATGATTAAGTTTTTCCCAACTTAAAAAAAAAACAACAAGAATCCCTCTCCTGTTCCTCTCTACCCCTGCTGCATGCTGTCTTCACTTCTCTTATCTAAGCCTCAACTCAGAGGCTTCTCCACTCCTTGGAATTGAATAATGACCTCTTTCTTGCCAAATTCATGGTACACTTTTCCTTCTTCCCTTGCTACACTCCTGTGGCATTTAACTTGGGTATTAATTCACTCCTTTTTGGCTGAATCTCTCTCTCAGTGGCCCCTGAACACTGCTGGTCCTCTGAACTCTCAATAAACTCTTTTCAGCCTCCTCAGAAGCCTGTCTTCCACTGCACATCCCTGCAAACTTTCTCTTCTGCCCTTCCTGGGGTCTCTGCAGGCTACACAGTCTCTGGGAGCGGGGAGGGTCATCTACTTCAAGCCCAAGCTCTTTAAATTGTCTCTGTGATGGACAGTGCCGGGGGAAAAGAGTCTGTAGGAACCCCTCTCAGTTGAGTCCCTTTCTGGCTCTCAGTGTAAGACAAACTCCTGGCCCAAGGTCATGGCCCTTCCCAAGGGAAGCCACATCCCATGACCTGTTTGAAGGCCCAATTTCTCACCTCAATTCAGGTCAATTCTGAAGGGCCATCTCCACCCACAAAGCTCCCTTTGAGATCAGGGGAAGCCTTTGTTGTGACTGGATCATGGTTCAGCTTCTTCACGTGCCTGAGCTGGCTTCCTTCATTTTCCCACGTGTTGACCCTAAGAGCTTCTCCATGGACAACAACCTCCATCTCGGAATCTTCTTCCCAGAAACTACCTGTGGCCTCTATATGCTGAAGGTCTCCATCTTTACATTTGCAGCCTGAATTTCTTTCCTGAAACCCAGATCCCAACCTCTGTTGTTTGTTGGATATCATTATTTGGGTGTTAAATAGGTTCTTCAAACTCCACAGGTCCCAACCTATGTTCATGTCTTCCTTTCCAGTCCATTCTCTTCTCGGTGGGCTCCTTCTCTCTTTTTTTCAATTTTTTTATTTTTGAGACGGAGTTTTGCTCTTGTCGCCCAGGCTGGAGTGCAGTGGTGCAATCTCGGCTCACTGCAACCTCTGCCTCCCGGGTTCAAGCAATTCTCCTGCCTCAGTCTCCTGATTAGCTAGGATTACAGGTGCCTGCCACCACGCCTGGCTAATTTTTGTATTTTTAGTAGAGACGGGGTTGCACCATGTTGGCCAGGCTGGTCTCGAACTCCTGACCTCAGGTTATCCATCTGCCTCGGCCTCCCAAAGTGCTGGGATTACAGGTGTGAGCCACGGTGCCCGGCCTTTCTCTTAATAAAGTGGTTCAAGCCAGATACCTAGAAGTTACCCTTGGTCTTTTCCTCGCTGTTCCCATTCAATCCATCACCAAGTCTTGTTGATTCCTCATTTCCACTTCCTTGTGATAAATATTTCCCAGATGTATCTAGTCTTCCATTCTCTTTGCTGTTACCTTATCTCATGTCTCCACCATCACTTATTCCAATTTTCTCCTTTGCCTCCAACTGCCTCCTGAGTAATTTCCTTGGAATGTAAGTATTTTCATGCCGTTGCTCTGCTTAAACCTTTCAAGGGATTCCTATCGCCCTTCTGTCAAGTCCAAAGTTCTTGGCCAGGCATGGAGATTCGTGATTTGTCATTAGGCCCTTGCTAACCTGCATGGCCTCCCTCCTATCTTGCCATTGCAGCGCTGGTCCCCAGGACTAGCCATGTAAGTCTTTGAGGAGTGATCAAAAAAGTCATTAGCTGCAAAAGCCTTTTTTTATAGATGTTTTTTCTTTCTATCTGTTACTTTCTTCTCTCTCTCTCTCTTTTTTTTTTTTTTTGGTTATCCTTCCTACTAAACTGTATGTTCCCTGAAGGGTATAGAAAGCATACTGAGTGAGTGCTTGTAGAATGGATAAAAAAAAGTGTGAAAAGTGAGATTTGAATCAGTGAAAAATGAATGGAATTTGTAAGCAATAGAATACACTGAAAACATCCCAGGGGTCTAATGAGTGGGCTTAAATCCTGTGTAGGGATTTGGATTGCAGAAGAGAAAGAAAGTATACATGTGACTCTAAGAAGCCAGTGCATTTGGGAACCAGGCAAAAAAAAGATCTTGCTTCCCCCATGATGAGGACAGTTCTAGTTTGGATGGGAGTGTTGGGGGTGGGTTGATAGGAGCTAGAGATGGACACCAAGCTAATTTGTGAATGGACCTGTGCCAAGCAGAGCTGAGGAGTTTCAATTTGTGATTATTTCAGTTGTAGATGGTTGTACTTCAAGAAACTTCCACAATGTGTTAGAAAATGTTTTCACTTTGAACACTAGCAGATAAATATTCTGCTAATGGGTAAATATTCTAAAAATGATGTAGTAGAAGATGAATGGAGAAAAAGACGCGATTTCAGAAGCTTTATCTTAAGCAGATAGTTCTGTCCCTCTAACTGGTAACAGAAGTATACTACCGAAGTGGCAGGATGAATTAGGGCTCAGAGAGGAGAAGAAAGGGAGAGAAAAGAGAGAGTCCAAGGACGTTGCGAATAAAATTCCAAATGCCCTGCTCCCAGAGCTCTGGAAGGAAAGCTGTTCTTGCCCTCTGGCTAATGCAGGATTTAAGCTGATCTGGGTCAGTGCTGGTAAGCGCCATCATTTTGGGGGTCTCCTTTGGGAGACTTACTAAAAGTATCCTCTCTTGCATTCTAGACGGTCTTCTGAGGGTTATGTCCTCTGTATCTGTGATGTCGTCGGAGCCTGAACTCTGGATCCATATTTTAACATAGAGCTAACAAAGCCCTTTACCTCTGATGACTTGTTTTGTTTTGTGTTTAGCAGGTGTCAAAAATTTCCAAAACAAAAGATATATTATTTGTTACTTCAGTAAACAAACAACACCCCCTATGATCACTTGATTTTTTGACTTGTTTTTGTGCTTACCAATAACCCTCTTCACAGCAATTTTAATATGCCTTCTGCTTTCCTACTTTAAAGGAAGGGCAGAGATGTTTAGATTAGCCTTGGGGTAAAATTCTAAGGTGTCCGATAACTTGAGGGATCTTCTTTTTTTTTTTTTTCTTCTGGGTAACAGAGGTGTTGTTTTACCTTTTTTGGGTTATGGTCCAGTATTGCTTGAACTATTTTTTAAAACAAAATTTCTTAGGCCGGGCGCAGTGGCTCACACCTGTAATCTCCAGCACTTTGGAAGGCTGAGGTGGGTGGATCACCTGAGGTTGGGAGTTCGACACCAGCCTGGCCAACATGGGAAAACCCCGTCTTTACTAAAAATACAAAAAATTAGCCAGGTGTGGTGGCATGCGCCTGTAATCCTAGCTACTTGGGAGGCTGAGGCAGGAGAATCACTTGAACCGGGGAGGCAGAGGTTGCAGTGAGCTAAGATTGCGCCATTGCACTCCAGCCTGGGCAACAAGAGCCAAACTCAGTCTCAAGAAAACAAAACAAAACAAAATAAAACTTCTTTTCTGAATGGTCTTAGATTTATAGAACACTGTGAAAAGAGCACAGAGAGTTCCTATATGCCCTATATCTAGTTTCCTTTCATATTGACATCTTATATTAGTATGGGATTTTTATTATAATTAATGAACTACTACATTACTATTAAATGAAGTTCATATTTTATTCAGATTTCCTTAATTTGTTATTTTTTATTTTTTTTGAGACAGAGTGTCACTCTTCTCACTCAGGCTGGAGTGCAGTGGCATGATCTTGGCTCACTGCAACCTCCGACTCCTGGGTTCAAGGGATTCTCCTGCCTCAGCCTCGCAAGTAGCTGGGATTACAGGCACTCGCCACTACACCTGGCTAATTATTGTATTTTTAGTAGAGACAGGGTTTCACCATGTTGGCCAGGCTGGTCTCGAACTCCTGACCTCAGGTGATCTGCCCACCTTGGCCTCCCAAGGAGGTGGGATTACAGGTGTGAGACACTGCGCCCGACCTTTAGTTTGTTGTTGTTTTTGCTTTGTTACCTAACATCCTTTTTCATTTCCAGGATTTCATCCAAAATACCACATGACATTTAGTCGTCGTGTCTCTTTAGGCTCCTCCTGGCTCTGACAGTTTCTCAGACCTTCTTTGTTTTTGATGACCTTGACAGTTTTGAGGAGTACTGTCAAGTACATTTTGTAGAATACCCCTCAGATGTGTTTATTCTGATGTTTTTCTCAGTTTAACATGAGGTTATGGGTTTACAGGATGAAGACCACAGAAGTCAAGGGCTATTTTCATCACATTGTATCAAGGGTACATACTCTCAACATGATTTATCACTGGCGATACTGACTTTGACCACCTGGCTGAAGTAGTGTTTGTCAGTTTTCTCCACTGTAAAGTTCCTTTTCCCTACCTTCCAAACTGTACTTTTGGAATGAAGTTGTTACATGTAGTGAACACTCAAGGAGTTGTGCTGCATCCCTCTAAGGGCGGAGTAGCTCCAAAAATTATTTGCATAGGAGATTGGTCTCTTCTTCCCATTTTTTTCTTCAATAATTTATTTGTACCATGAATTTGTACTCATGGATATATATTTTATCCTTTGAACGTAATCTAATACGAATTTATTTTGTAGTTCTAGTTGTTCCAGCTTTGTTAGGAGCTTGTTAGTTGGCCTCTATGTTCCTTTGACATATACTCCAGTCAATGTAGGTTTTTGTTTTATTTTATTTTATTTAGCATTTCTGTATTTCCTGGCTCTATAAAATACCTCCACTCATCTTCTATATTCCCTGTCCTGTCACAGAATCAGCCATTTCACCAAGAAGTTCTGGTTCCTTTTATTGGCAAATAGTATTAGAAAACAAGAGCTAGGTGTGCTTGTTGCTACTGGTGTGTCATCGCTTCAAGACCCTTTTAGCTGACAAAATGTGGAAATATATGTGTGTACACTAACCTGTGTGTATACACATATCTACATATTTTTCCATATGTGACTATTGTGTCTATATTAAGCTAAACATGAGTTCATGCTGACGTCCCCAACTCTAATCTGTTATCATGTGGATTGCTCTAGACTCTTCCTCTCGCTTATTTGTAAACTCCTGTTCCAGCTGTGAGGAATTCGACTTCCATCAACTGCCATCCATTTACTTAATTGTTCAATTGCAGTGTACATGTATGGTAGCATTAGAATTGTTAACCTGTACTCCCATGGGAAACAACTTTCATCAACTAGAGTAGAGTCTGTCCAATTTCATTTGCTTTTAGTCCTGTAGGCTTCACTCATTTCCAAAGGTGCTTAAGTCAGCACCCTTTCTTCCCATCCCACTAATGAGACTATTTCACACATTTGTAATACAGTTAGATCCTCTTATCTCATTCTGGGATTCCCGACCTCCTAAACAATTTTTTTTTATTTGCACACATTAAGGATCACTCTTTGTGCTGTAAAGTTCTATGGGTTTTAACAAATGCTTAAACTTATGTATACATAATTATGATATCTTGCAGAATAAATTCACTGCCCATGAGCAGAGATCGCTCCCCTGCAATCCAGCCTGGGCAACAGAGCAAGACTCCATCTCAAAAAAATAATAATAAAATAAAATAAAATAAAATAAAGAATAGATTCACTGCACTAAGAAATCTGTGCTTCACCTCTTCAATCCTCTCCCACAAGTCCTTGTAATCACCCATCTTTACCATTTGTGTTGCCTTTCCCAACATGTCGCATAACTGGAAGCTTACAGTATGTAATATTTTCAGACAGGATTCTTTCATTTAGCAACATGTATTCAAGATTCATCCGTGTCTTGTTATGACTTACAGATCATTTATTTTTTATCTCTAAATAATATTTCATTGTATTTGTATATCACAGCATATTTATCCATTCACCTATTGGAGCATATATTGAATGTTTCTAGTATTTTGCAATTACGAATAAAGCTGCTGTAAACATTCACATGCAGGTGTTTATTATGGACATAAATTTTCAGAGAAGTTGAATACATACCTAGGAACATGATTGTGGAATCCTATAAGACTACGTTTAGCTTTGTAAGAAACAGCCAAACTGTCTTCCAAATTGCTGTACCATTTTGAATTGCCATCAGAAATGAATGAGTGTTCCTATTGCTCTTCATCCTCAGCAGCAAGTGGTATTGTCAGGTTTGGGAGTCTGGGCCGTTTTCATAGGTGTATTGTGGCATCTCATTGTTGTGTGTTTTCTACTTTTAACTTTCCATTGTATAACTAGCTAAATTACTTCACAGAATGGATTGAAAGCTGATATATGGCTGTCTTTTTTTGTTAGAGGTTTTAGAGAGTTATTTTTGAAAGTGTTCTAAAATATAAATTTAATCACTATGCTATGTAAGCATACAGTAAGATCTCAAAGTCATCAATAGGTTCTTGGAACCTGCAACTTTAAGTGAAATGATGTATAATGAGATCAGTGTTACTTGATATAAAATTTTAATTTTAGTATCAATATAAATTTTAATTGATATAACCAAGAGTTAAGTTCCTATGGCATATTTCTAGCCACAAGAACATCACCAAACTTCTAAAGAAAGACCCCAAGCACTTTTAATATTAAACAATGAAATAAATGTGAGCTATAAGTAAATTTAAGAAAGATTAATAAAAACAAGAAAGATAATTATTTACCCAATTATTGGTGAATCAGTGAGTGATAGTCGTCATAGTTATGGTGAGTTAAATCAAGGAATAAATGTTTGCAAAGTGAAATTATAAGAAGCACCTCCTCCCACCACACAGTTCAAAAACCATCACAAACATGGCGGGCTTGTTGAATGATTTCGTTTCACATCGTTTGTGTGATTATTGTAGACTTTACACATTTTTATTTTATAATCATTTGGATTCATTCATTCATTCATTTATTCCAGCTCACGGTGCAGCCAGAGCTTGGCCTGGCAGCTCATGGTTCAAGACAGAAACCAGCCCAGGTCAGGATGCCATCCCTTCTCAGGGAGAACTCACACACTCCCAGGCGCACACCCACTCACTCCCCACACACTCTCACACTCTAACCCACACACACTCCCACACAATCCCACAGTCACCCTCCCACACACACTGCAACACACTCATTCATACTTACATCCACACTCATTCCCACACCCACATGCACATTCACACACACTTCTACCCTCCCACACTCCTACTCTCACACTCACTCCCATACTCACTCCCACACTCCCACACTCACACTCACTCCCACACCCACATACACACTCCCACATTCACACACACTTCTCCACTCCCACACTCTTACTCCCACACTCACTCCCATACTCACTCCCACACTCACACTCACTCCCACACCCACATGCACACTCCCACATTCGCACACTTCTACACTCCCACACACTCATTCCCACACCCACACTCACTCCCACGCTCACACTCCCACAATCACACTCCCACACGCACACTCACTCCCACACACTCCCACACTCACCTCACTCCCACAATCACAGTTCCACACCTACAATCACTTCCACACTCTCACTCCCACACACTCTCACCCTCACTCCCACACTCACACTCACTCCCACACACTCACACACTCCCACACCCACACTCACTCCCACACTCACACTCACTCACACACTCCCACACTCACACTCCCACATTAACACACTCCTACACTCCCACACACTTCCACACTCACACACCCCCACACTCACACTCACACTCATACTGGGACCGTTTAGACACGCCAATGAACCTTTGGGACATGGTAGGAAACTAGAGAACCCAAAAACTCCCCGCAGATGTGGGGAGACCGTGCAACCTTCACACAGACAGCGGCCCCTGCAGGAATAGATTATTTTTTCTCATCAACGATATAACAAAATGGCATTACTCGAGGACCTGCTGTATATGGTTTGATGAGTCAAGTCTTTACAATGCAAGTTTGTTCAGTTGGTGTGTAACTTCTTTACGATCTGAAAATTCTAAAGAATAAATTTTTAGGGATGCAATCAAATGTGATTAATTTACTATCTATTGGACACTTGCTATGGAAATGGAGTAGAAAAAAATAATATACAAATTATTGTCATCCAAGTTTTAAACTAATATGCCTATATATTACTTTTATTGTAAGTTTAAAGAACCGTAAAATAATGATCCCGAATAAAGCTAATAGAGAAAGTATCTTCTTATAGAAATTTAGGTGGAAAGCTTTTTATTTAACCATGTAGGTTTTTTTTTTAAAACACAACTGCCATGAAAGGACAGCAATTCATTTTATATTCTAATTCTAATTTGTATTCTTAAAATAAGAATATTAAATTCAAGGAAAAGTTTCTTTTCCTGAGCCGTTTTTGGATGGTCCTGAACTCCTGCCGTCTCTGCCCTCTGGCATTGCCTGAGTTTCCGTGGTAAGGCAGGTTAATCTTTGCAGCTACTGCAAAGAGCGCAGGGAACTCATCTGTCTTTCATTGTCAAGTAGGTCGTTCCTTAGTCCTCTCTGGGATTTGGGCTGGGTAAGAATGATTTATGCGAGTAGGTAATTTTATTCACATCTCTTTATTGTTTTAGAAAGCTGAAGTTGAGTAATGATGTAACCTTTAACATCAGCAGGCTTATTTAACCCTACATTTGGTTTATTTAAGTTAATACCATCCGGTAGTTGCCTATTTTGATTTTCCCGAATCTTTGAACTTTGCACCCTCTTTATTCTTGATAAACCCAGGGTCTGCCCTTACCATCCTGCTTGGTCTCTTTTGGGACTTGCCAATTACACGTCTGCTTTGGTTTAGAAAAATCGTTCCTGTGCATTTAAAAAAACCTCCACCCAGCGATTCCTGATATAATCACAGAGTAGACTGCTTGAAACGGCCAGTTGCAGGATAAAGGAAAGATAAATCAGTGGGAGTTGTGTCTCCCTGTCATGAAATCTGGTTTTTGACCCTAAGGGTTAGGAAGCCTGATAATCACCTCCTGCTTTGGGCTTGGTCCTGAGCTCCCCTCGGAGGACGTCGGTGCCCAGGCTGTTCCGTTTGGGTGGCCAGCTTGCTTTGGCCCAGGGGGTTCTCATGGCAACAGTGAGCTTCCAGGTATTCATGTGGGTGGTGTGAAGAATGGGAAATGTTGCCAAAATTCCCTGAGTGTTCCATAATCACCTTGAGATCTGACTCACTTGGGGCTGTCACGTGGGGAGATGAGGGCTGTGGATTCGAGGCAACCATCCATCGGTTATCAGGACTCAAGTTGTGATTTCTCTCTGTAAGCCACAGTTCTGAATCTGGAAACCAATATAATCTCAAAACACATTTCAACTTTAAATCGTAGGGGGAGAAGAAATGAGCTCCTTTACACCGCATCAGTCTAAAATAATAACTTTTTATTACTACAGAAACAGCACATGATCATTGTAGAAAATTAATAAGTAAAGCAAAAATAAAAATGAAAACATATCACCTTCCTTTCACCTAAACTCACTACTGTAACACGTGTGCATATCCTTTTTTTTTTTTTTTTTTTTTTTTTTTTTTTGTGTTGGAGTTTCGCTCTTGTTGCCCTGGCTGGAGTGCAATGGTGCGATCTCGGCTCACCACAGCCTCCGCCTCCTGGGTTCAAGCGATTCTGCTGCCTCAGCCTCCTGAGTAGCTGGGATTACAGGCATGCACCACCATGCCCAGCTAATTTTGTATTTTTAGTAAGAGACAGGGTTTCTCAATGTTGGTCAGGCTGGTCTCGAACTCCCGACCTCAGGTGATCTGCCTGCCTTGGCCTCCCAAAGTGCTGAGATTACAGGCTAGAGCTATTGCCCCTGGCCATGTGTGTATATCCTTCTGGATATTTTTCTTCATGTACATATAGGAGCATTGTTATTATTATCAAAACGACACCACATGATATACACTGTATTGTGACCTATTTTGTCAACCAAACATTTCCATTTCAATAAATTTTCCTCTCTTGTGTATACCATCCAAATCACATTCAGATTCCCCCAATGTCTTTACTGCTGGCTCTCACAAGGAAATATCCACTTTGATGTCATCATGCATTACACGAGGTTGTTATAATCTATGTATAAGGGAAATTTTTCTATTTATATCAGCATTTGCTCAGGAGATACAAAAACTGAATACTGTGTTTCATGAAAACAGATTCTAGTGAAAGCATGCTGACAAAGCAGCAGGAGCTTTGCATGACCCTTGTACAACAGCTCCTAACTGGGCCGAACTGAAGACTTTTTCTTGGCTGACAAACAATCGTACTTTTTAGCCAACAGTTTACAGAGATTGGTGGACTCTGTCCTATCCAGGATGCTAGTTTTCATTCCTAGCTAATATCAGCACCATACGTACACTGCCACCACCTTCAACCTTTGACTTTTCCCTGGGTGAAGCATTCACTGAATTTCTGTATTGATGCATATTTTCTCATCTGGCCAGGAATTAATAATTTGACTTTATGGCTGGGTGTGGTGGCTCGTGCCTGTAATCCCAGCACTTTGGGAGGCTGAGGCGGGCGGATTGCCTGAACTCAGGAGTTGGAGACCAGCCTGGGCAACGTGGTGAAACCCCGTCTCTACTAAAAATACAAAAAAAAAAAAAAAAAAAAGAAAAAAAAATTAGCTGGGCATGGTGGTGTGTGCCTGTAATCCCAGCTACTTGGGAGGTTGAGGCAGGAGAATCGCTTAAACCCGGGAGGCTGACGTCGCGGTAAGCCAAGATCACACCATTGCACACCAGCCTGGGCGACAGAGCAAGACTCTGTCTCGAAAACAAAACCAAAACAGAACAAAAGACTTTGTATTTTTTCTTTTTTCTCTGGTACTCTTTGTTTTATTTTTCTTAAATGTACACTATTAAAGGGATTTATTGGTAGTATTGGAATTATTAGGCAAGTTGAGTTGATCGTTGCAAAGGTATATTTAGTTGGGTCATTTGGAGACTCACTCTGGATAAGGCGGTCAGGCTGTCTGCCTGGCTTCCCCATTCCAGGGCTCACCTGGTACCAGCTTACCTGTTGGCTCCTCCCCCAGGGCTGCATGTTTCTGGGGGTCCATTTCATCACATTTTCAACATGGGGATTCTACAGCTGTCTTCTTCAGATTTGAGGTTGGATGTGTTTCTTTGAAGTTGGATGGAGTTATCTTAGGAACAGTTCTTCTGAAGTATGTTTATTTCCCCGGTCTGCAGGTTTGCCCCAGTTTCTTAGACAAACAACTGGACTTTTGACTCATCCATGTCAATGAGTAGAATTCACAGGCTTCTCAGGCTGGGCCCCACAAAGTGTATAATTCTCAGAACTCACCTAAATCTAGGGTCTCAAATTTTGTAATCATTTCATTTTAGTTTGACAAATCAATGTCTGCAGTTCCTTTAGCTTTGATGTTATAAAGTGGATTTATTTCCAGTTTTTGTAGTGTGTGTTGTAACTAGCAGAGCTATGAGTCAGAGGGTTGGGTGTTCTCTATTTTGCATGGAACACGCCGTAAAACACTGCACAAAATGCTTACTGCTCCCAGGTTTAGTTTCCTCACCGGAAAATGGAGCTAACACTCCCTTCACTGAATTCTCCTTAAGGCTGAAGAATAGATAAGTGCTAGAAATCATTTATCTGTAGTTACTGAATAATGTTTTAGGGATTAAGGATAACTTATTATTTTAACTTGCATTTTGTTATCTTTTAAAGTGGGTTATTCTTATTATTTTTTGAGACAGAGTCTCACTCTGTTATCCAGGCTGGAGTGCAGTGGCGCAATTTTGGCTCACTGCAACCTCCTTCTCCAGGTTCAAGGGATTCTCCTGCCTCAGCCTCCTGAGTACCTAGGAACATGATTATGGAATCCAGGCGCCCACCATCACTCCCAGCTAATTTTTGTATTTTTAGTAGAAACGGGGTTTCGCCATGTTGGCCAGGCTGGTCTTGAATTCCTGACCTCAGGTGATCCACCCGCCTCGGCCTCCCAAAGTGCCGGGATTACAGGTGTGAGCCACCGTGCCCAGCCACGAAGTGAGTTATTCTTAAGGATCCTAAGAAATCGTTGGCGTGACTCCAGATGTGTGGGGTAGACTAAGAGTTGATGAAGAACTTGCTCTGGTTCAGGGCCCCTTTAGTTCAAGGTTTACAGGGCTTTGAAAAACCTTGGAGTCTGCCCTCTAACCAGGGCAGGGCCTGCTTTGGAAAAGGCTGCAATCAAATTCCCCTTGACAAAGGTAAAAGTGCTAGAGGGAGCCACCTACTGAGATCACGTTTCATTACACCAGGAAAATTTTCTTTTTAAAATAGTAAAACTATAGGATCAAACATGTTGATAGGAGATAATAATATTAAGAATAATAATGATTGTAATGGTGATGGCTAGTTTTTTTTTTTTTTTTTTTTTTTTTTTGAGATGGAGTTTTGCTCTTGTTGCCCAGGCTGGAGTCCAATGGCACAATCTCAGCTCACTGCTTGAACCTCCACCTCCTGGGTTCAAGCGATTCTCCTGCCTCAGCCTCCTGAGTGGCTGGCATTACAGGCACCTGCCACCATGCCAGGCTAATTTTTGTATTTTCAGTAGAGACAGGGTTTCACCATGTTGACCAGGCTAGTCTTGAACTCCTGACCTGGTGATCTGCCCGCTTCAGCCTCCCAAAGTACTGGGATTACAGGAGTGAGCCACCATGTCTGGCTGGTGACGGCTAGTTTTTTTATGCATTAACTCTAGCATCAGGCATGGTTCCAAGTACTATGCATGTATTGTTATATTATTAATTCTTACACCACTCTCATTAGGACAACATTATTATCGTCATCTAGGCTGGTATAGTTTTTTTTTAACTTTATCTTTTTCTATTATAAAATACACATTACATGAAATGTACTGTCTTAGCAATTTTTAAGAGGCATTAAATATATTCACATTGTTGTGCAGCCATCACCACCGTCCATCTCCACAATATGATCATCTTCCCAAATTGAAACTCAGTACCCATTAAACACTCACTCTCCTTTCCCTCCATACCCCCAGCCCCTGGCAACAACCACTCTACTTTTTGTCCCTGTGAATTTGACTACTCTAGGTACCTCATATAAGTGGAATCACACAGTATTTGTCTTTTTGTGTCTGGCTAATTTCACTTAGCATAGTATCCTCATGGTTCAACCATATTATAGTGCGTATCAGAATTCCTTTTCTTTTTAATACTGAACAATATTCAATTGCAGGTCTTCATCATGTTTTGTTTATCCATTCATCTATTAATGGACACTTGGGTTGCTTCTACCTTTTGGCTGTGTGACTAATGCTGCTATGTACATTGCTGTGCAAATAGTCTTTTCTTTTTTTTTTTTTTTGAGACAGAGTCTCACTCATCTCTCCTAGGCTGGAGTGCAGTGACGCTATCTCAGTGGCCAGGAGACCATCCTAGCCAACATGGTGAAACCCCGTCTCTACTAAAAATACAAAAATTAGCTGGGCGTGGTAGTGCACGCCTGTAGTCCCAGCTACTTGGGAGGCTGAGGCAGGAGAATCACTTGAACCCATGAGGCGGAGGTTGCAGTGAGCTGAGATCACACTACTGGACTCCAGCCTGGTGACAGAGCGAGACTCCGTCTCAAAAAAAAAAAAAAGAATCACCTTATTGTTCTTCACAAGAGCTGCACCCTTTTATATTCTCATCAGCAATGCACAAGGGTTCCAATTTCCCTACATCCTCTCCAAAACTTATTTTCTAGGCAGGTGCAGCTTGATAAATGCCTAGAAACTTGGAAATGGAACAGAATTGAAGCAATTTATGATATTCACAAATAAAAATCCTTACAGTACCAACTTTGGCAAAACATAACTTTGATGACAGATTCTTATGAAAAATTTTAATTTAAGTATTTGATTATTGCTATAAACATTGTTTTTAATTAATTAAAAGCTTTCAGTATGCTCGGGGAAAATGCGTGAGAGTTTTATGCTAAAAATGGCTAGGATTAATTTAAACCATTCCTCCTACGCAGGGCTGAGAAGCAGCCCATCGCCTCAAGCAGGGAGCCCATATCATCTGATATAGTTTGTGAGAAGCAAACTATTGTAAAGTCAGAGTTGAACAGAGCTTTATAAAATGAAAGTTTTGACAAAAAAGACATTAAAAGATAGAAAAAAAAAAAAGATCCAGCTGGGCGCAGCAGCTCACGCCTGTAATCTCAGCACTTTGGAGGCAGAGGTAGAAGGATTGCTTGAGCCCAGGAGTTTGAGACCAGCCTGGGCAACTTGGTGAGACTCCTTCACTACAAAATGTAAAAATTAGCTGGGCGTAGAGGTGTGCCTGTGGTCCCAGCTACTTGGGAGGCTGAGGTGGAAGGACGGCTTGAGCCCAGGAGGTCAAGGCTGTAGTAAGTGGTTTCGTGCCACAGCACTCCATCCTGGGCAACAGAGTGAGACCCTGTCTCAAATAAATAAATAAATAAATAATAATAGTAATAAAAGAGTTGTGGGAGTGAAATCGTCTTTGTTTAGAGAAGCTTTTTTTTCTTTTTTTCTTTTTTTTTTTTTTGAGACGGAGTCTTGCTCTGTCACCCAGGCTGAAGCGCAGTGGCGCAATCTTGGCTCACTACAAGTCCGTCTCCTGGGTTCACGCCATTCTCCTGCCTCAGCCTCCTGAGTAGCTGGGACTATGGGTGCACACCACCACGCCTGGCTAATTTTTGTTGTATTTTTTAGTAGAGATAGGGTTTCACCATGTTAGCCAGGATGGTCTCTATCTCCTGACCTCGTGATCTGCCCACTCGGCCTCCCAAAGTGCTGGGATTACAGGTGTGAGCCACTGCGCCCGGCCTAGAAGTTTTCAAGATCTGAAACAGCACAAGTCAAAACGGTTTCATTTCTTTCTGAAAAGTTTATTGGTGCAATATAGGCAGGCTCTTTGTTTTTTACATCCAGCCATATGAGTTAGTGGCCTGCTTTGTCCTCAACCTGTGAAACCAGCCTCTCAGAAATGCTCTAAAATCTTCAGAAAAAATAGATCTGCAAAATTCCTAATGCAATTGTCCTAGGCCTCACTTTAAAGCTGAGGTCTGAGGATGGCGACATGTTGCTAGGTGAATCCTCCTGGACCTGGCACACACTGGAGAAGGTTTCACCATGATAAAAGAAAAACTTCAGCTGAATTAAATTTAAAGCTGAGGCAGGAGTATCACTTGAACCCAGAAGGCAGAGGTTGTAGTGAGCCGAGATCGTCCCACTGCACTCCAGCCTGGGGGAAAAAAAGGAAAGAAAAGAAAAGAAAGGAAAAAAGAAAAAAGGAATTTAATTGAGCAATGAACAATTCGCAAATCAGGCAGTCCCCAGAATCACAGCAGATTCACAGAGACTCCAGGGGTGCCTCGTGGTCAGAACAAACTTATAGACAAAAAAGTTAAAGTGATGTACAGGAATCTGAAGTGAGGTACAGAAACAGTGAGATTGGTTACAGCTCTGTGTTTGCCTTATATGAATATAGTTTGAACACTCAGCAGTCTATGAGTGGTCGAAGTATGGCTGCTGAGATTGGCCAAGACTCAGCTACTGTTTTGGGTGCATACTATCAAGTTAGGTTTTCAATTTTGTCTGACTGTTAAGCTAGGTTACAGTTCATCCACAAGGACTTAAATATAGAAGTACAGGGTCCTTTTCAGGCCATATTTAGTTTGCTTTAACAAGCATTATTTAGTATTTTCTCTCCTTCAGCCAGGACTGAATAATGATTTGTTTTTTAAAAAATTAAGGTAAAATACACATAAATAAAATTTACCACCTTAACCATTTTTAAGCATACAGTTCAGTGCCCTTACGTGCACTCACGTTCTGTACAACCATCACCACCCACCATCTCCAGAAAGTGATCATCTTCCCAAACGGAAACTGTAACCATTAAACATTCTCTCCTTTCCCCAGCCCTTGATAACACCATTCTCCTTCCTATCTCCATGGATGTGACCTCTCTAGGTACCTCATGTAAGTGGACTCATATAACATTTGTCCTTCTGTGCCTGGCATGTTTCCCCTAGCATGCTGTCTTTGAGGTTTATCCATGTCGTAGCATGTGTCAGAATCCCTTTCCTTTTTAGGGCTGGGTAATAGTCCATTGCACGTACGTATCATATTTTGTTTCTCCAATTCATCTGTCAATGGCCAGCCCCTTAGGTCGCTTCTTTCTTTTGGCTATTGTGAATAATACTGCTCTGAACACAAGTGTAGAAGTATCTTTTGGAGTTTCTACTTATAGTTTGTTTGGGTATATATAACTATTGATTATTGTAGCCTAGAAAATGTTATTTTCAGTTTAATTCACCCCACTATTTCATTGAACAGCATCGTTTGTGTACCATGTTCATGTAAAAAATAGTGAAAAAGAGAACAGAGTCTAGCTTATGGAAGGCTTTCAAATTGACGAAGAAACATTATTTAAAATAATAATGGTAATATTTCATGTTATTGTTTTATTATATATGCCAGTGGTTTTATTATATATGCCAGTGGTTTTAAAGACTTTTAGCGTATTATCTAGGAAGCAAGCCCAACAAGAGCATTCATTCTGAATTCTCATTTTTCGAATATAGCTAAAACTTAAAAGTAGAAACTCTAGAGTTAGATGCTGTTGTGAGTGAAGGTAGCTCTGTCGCTTAATCAGGATGTTACCCAAAGCCACAGACTAACCTCTCCGTAAAATGGGTTTGTTACCTTGTGGTGTCATTGTGGGGCCAGGAAAGGGCCTGTCAAGGGGGCTTTCCCAGGCGACCTCAGAAGAAATGACCTGGTTGCCCTGGACAGTATGTCGCCATGGAGGACCCCACGTCAGAGGAGGACCCCACGTCAGAGGAGGACCCTGGTCCTGCCCTCAGCAGGGGCTGGCTCGCGGGTGGGGAGACCAGCCATTTTCAGTATCAGCCCTCAACAAGGGTTGTTATTTTTCCTGTCATGTTTGTTGGGGTCCAGCTCAAGTTTGTTTTTCTTGCAGAAAGGCAGGAAGGCCAATTTGGAACACACACAACTCACATGTCATCGGCGATGACTTGGCCCAGCGCTTGGCATTGGCTCCCTGACAGTTAAAAGGCCCAGGGTAGGCGAGCCCCATAGGCAGGGCCGAGGAACAAGGAAATGGAGGGAGAATACAAGATTCTTATCTGCTCAGCCCCTCCATTCTTTTCCCTGCTCACTCCCCCCCAGGGGACCTCTGGCTTCGGCTCACACTGGCTCCAGCCTGCAGGTCCCCTGTTCTGCAGCCGCCTCCACTTTCTGTCCACCTCTTCCTCTTACTGAATGTGTGAGGAAACAGCCCACCCTCAGGGAGGGAAAGCCTGATCCGCAGAGATCCATGCGTAGCCCTGTGGGAGGCAAAGGCAGGAAGAGGGAGAAACGGCATTTTCCAATTTGGACCCAAGACAACCCATGGTTATTTGAGAAAAGCTGGGTGTTTTTCCATCCAGACTTCAGTAGTGTTGGGAGTTGCCATGTAGAAGTTTCCACTGGCTTGAACTATACGGCTGTTCTGTGATGGAATGATGGGATCCTGCAGGTGTGTGCAGATGCTTCAGTAATGTTTTCCGGTCTTCCCGCGTAAAGACACTGGGCATTAGGAAGACTGAACCATAGCCTCACATCTTAGAGAAGAATTACTCCAAGTCCAGGGAGCCTTGTATGGGTAAAATTGGAAATTAAAAATACATATATAAGCAAAAATACTTCTAAAATATGTTCCAATATTCTCAGTAACTAAGTCTCCTTCAGTCAATCTACTAATATTTCAGGAGTCAGTGTTACTTTGAGAGCATTTAACCCCTCAAAGCATCAGTTTTCTCTCCAGTACAATGACTAATGGTGGAGCTTTTGCAGGGTTCTGAGAGAATTCAGAGAGACCATGCTTGGCATAGTTCCTAACACCTGGCAGCCTCCCCCCAAAAGACAGCTGCTTTTGTATTCCTATGTGCACATGGCTTCTGAAATAAAAGTATTGGCCGGAAAGCTGTCTTTAAAAAGTTATACTTTACCTGGGGGTATAAGACTAGCTCATTAAACATTCAAAACTATTTGTTGAGTGAACTAATACCTTTACAGTTCCTCTTTTGTGTATTTTATCTCTCAACTACACAATAAGGCAGAAACTGTTTTCCATTTCCTCGAGGTGAACTATGTCTTTCATGTAAGATGCTTGTTGTCAAGAAGTTTCCTTTTAGGATGATTAAACATGATCCCTGCTGCCCTGTGACATATCTCATTTGTTTATCAAGCTTTTCACAAATCATATAGCAGTCGTGGTAGACGATATTCCTAGAGACACTGCAGCAATGCCTCCTACCCCACAGGCTCTTTGCAGGGCGGCCTGGTCCGTCCTTGTCAAGAGCTGATGTCTCTTTCTCATCACCTTGAATCTGGACTGCTCTGTGATTGCTTTAGGTAATAAGCAGTAGAAGTCATGGTCTGGGACTGCCAGGGCTGAGGAAGGGCTGACAACTGTTCCTGTGTTCTTGGAAGTCGTGAGTCCCCATGGAAGCAGTCTGGCCACCGGATAAACCGTATAGGGAGGCCACATGCAGAGGGAGAGGGCTTGAGACTATGTAAGGAGTTCTGCTGTTCCTCGTCTCCGCTGAGCCCCGACCCTAGCTAACCTGCCTGCCAAACACATCCGTGTGGCGTAGCCACTGGCAAGACCAGAAGCAGCAGCACTCAGTCCAGGCCATGTTGCAGAATCGGGAACAAATAAATAAATGGTTATTGTTTAAGCTGCTGGGTCTTGGGGTGTTTTCTTATGCAGCAGTAGATAACCAAAACACTAGATAAACTGATGTTGATTGTAATTGAACTATTTTCTTTTCTTTTTTTTTTTTTCAAGATGGAGTTTCCTTCTTGTTGCCCAGGCTGGAGTGCAATGGCGCAATCTCGGCTCACTGCAACCTCCGCCTCTCGGGTTCAAGCGGTTCTCCTGCCTCAGCCTCCTGAGTAGCTGGGATTACAGGCACCCACCACCACGCCTGGCTAATTTTTGTATTTTTAGTAGAGACGGGGTTTTACCATGTTGGCCAGGCTGGTCTCGAACTCCTGACCTCAGGTGATCCACCCACCTCGGACTTCCAAAGTGCTGGGATTACAGGCGTGAGTCACTGCGCCTGGCCAATTGAACTATTTTCAAATGTTTAGTGAGAATAATATATAATAATATTTTTGCTTCATATATCTTTAGTTTATAAGTCAGATCTTAGTTTGACTCATACAACTTTATCAGCAAGATCTTGTGAAGACAATACACTTGACAACTTTATTAGTATTGTGTTTTTTTAGATTTACCAATTATATCTATCTTTTTTGTATTTTAATTCTCCCTTTCCTTTTCCTGGTTATTTTTATCACAGAATACAAGATATTTTCAAAGTGTTAATCCTAACTGGTCACAGTAAATGTTGGTCATTTTGACAGTTTTTAATGATCATTTTCTCTGTTCAAATTATTCAGGATATTTAGTACCTTTAAGCTCCCTTTTTAAAATTATTTTTTATTATTTTATTATTATTATTTTTTGAGATGGAGTCTCGCTCTGTCACCCAGGCTGGAGTGCAGTAGCACCATTTCGGCTCACTGCAACCTCTGCCTCCTGGGTTCAAGCAATCCTCCTGCCTCAGCCTCTTGAGTAGCTGGGATTACAGGCACCCGCCACCGCGCCCGGCTAATTTTTATATTGTTAGTAGAGATGGGGTTTGGCCATGTTGGCCAGGTTGGTCTCGAACTCCTAACCTCAGGTGATCCGCCCATCTCAGCCTCCCAGTGTGCTAGAATTACAGGTATGAGCCACCGTGCCCCACCTGGTTTCTTTTTTCTATTGAATTCTCGCTAAATTTTGATTTTTAAAATCATACTTTCATTCCTTTATAATTTTCACTAAGTCCAGAAATGCCATTTAAGTTCACTTGCAGTTCACAAGAGGGTTTTCCTTATCTTTATTAATTAGTTTCTATTTAGTTTATCAACAGTCTATTTCCTCTTCCTTATTGCTAAAATCATGATCCTTTTCTCTCTCTCTCTCTCTTTTTTTTTTTCTGAGACAAGGCCTTGCTGGAGTGCAGTGGTGTGATCATAGCTCACTGTAGCCTCCAACTCCTGGCCTCAAGCAATCCTCCCACTTTAGCCTCCCAAAGTGCAGGGATTACAGGCATGAGCCACTTTGCCTTCTCTTAATTTTAATAGTTTCCTTCTCTCCTGTAAAAAGTTTATCGTGAGCCGGGCGTGGTGGCTCATGCCTGTAATCCCAGCACTTTGAGAGGCCCGGGGGGTGGATCACTTGAGGTCAGGAGTTTGAGACCAGCCTGGCCAACATGGTGAAACTCCGTTTCTACTAAAAAAAAAAATACAAAATTAGCCAGATGTGGTGGCTTATGCCTGAAATCCCAGCTACTTGGGAGGCTGAGGCAGGAGAATTGCTTGAACCCAGGAGGTGGAGGTTGCAGTGAGCTGAGATTGTGCCATTGCCCTCCAGCCTGGGAGACAAGAGCAAAACTCCATCTCAAAAAAAAAAAAAAAAGTTGATTGTGAAATTGAGAATAGTAATGCAGAGGTGGATACTAGATAATACTTAATGCAAAAAACAAAAATCTGTGGTAGTGATAGTGAAGTCAATTATCCTTCAAACCATCATTTTAGCAAATTATTTTTGTTTTGGAGAATGCCAGGTAATGTCCCTATGGGGCGGGTGGAAGATGGGGTCAGTGGGGGCAGGCGGCTCCCAGGTGGGAGTGGAGTGGGTTGGTGCAGCATTACGACGATCCAACAGCTGGCAGTGAGGACTCAGCTCTGGGGGTCCTTGTCTTTGCCCAGTGGCATCATCATCCCTGGAACCTTCCGCTCCTACGTCCAAAAACTCCTGGCTTTCCCATTGTTCATGCCTCTAGCACCTCATCCTGTGGCGTGCTCCACAAGTCAGACAGACAGCCATCCAGACATCAGACCTATTCCACCATAAATGATGTCAACTTGCACAGTTCACAAACCACGTTTTATGATCATGCCTCTTATTTAGAAGTCTTAGCAAACAAGTTGTTATGGAGACAGAGGAAAAAAACCCTAGAACATTAAAAACTTACATTTATATCAAAGTTACTACTTCCTAAATAAGATACAATTAGTTTAAATTCATAAATGATTGTAGAGTTAGAATATTTTAGCATCTCTTTAAAATCGTAATTAATAGGTAGCATATAGCATTTACTATATATAATTTTATATACATATTAATTTTTTGGTAGGTTATTACAAATTGTTTCTAGATCAGGAGGCACACTGGCTATTTTGTGATCTCAGATATCTTTTTTTTTTTCTAGAATAGATACACATGTGGATAATGTAGAATTTCTAGATTATAGGTCACATTTTCCTGCTTTCGGCACGTCCAGTGACTTTTTATGGTATGCTGGGCATTAAGGATGAGACGTGGAGGTGTGTACATTAAGTTGTCTTCTTTTTTTTTTTTTTGAGATGGAGTCTCGCGCTGTCGCCCAGGCTGGAGTGCAGTGGCGCAATCTCGGCTCACTGCAAGCTCCGCCTCCCAGGTTCACGCCATTCTCCTGCCTCAGCCTCCCGAGTAGCTGGGACTACAGGCGCCCGCCACCATGCCCGGCTAATTTTTTGTATTTTTAGTAGAGACGGGGTTTCACCGTGTTAGCCAGGATGGTCTCGATCTCCTGACCTCGTGATCCACCCGCCTCGGCCTCCCAAAGTGCTGGGATTACAGGTGTGAGCCACTGCGCCTGGCCAAGTTGTCTCCTTTTAAAGGGTGTTGAATTTTGTCCTAGCCAGCAGTTAAATTATTAGTGGGTTTTCTCAGTCCTATCAGGCGGGTCAATTTCTGTTTTGTGCTTAGCCCCGCGATCTGGCTCTTACTCTAGGATGTGTTCTTTACCCAGAAGGCCTGGTCTTCCTGGGGTCTGAGTTGGATGCCTGCCATGGGCAGCAGCATCTTCACTCCGACTGCGCATGGATCAGACGTCTCCCTGCCTGATTGGCCTTCGGGGCCTCTGTGGAGCTCTCAGTCTGCAGCGGCTCCTCTCTGCAGGGCCCCCTAGAATTCGCTCTGTACTTGTGCAGTTCAGTTTTTTTGTGTGGAATGCTCACACAGACTTCAGCTACCTTCTCCTCCCCAGTCCTTTTCCTCACCATTCCAGCGGCTTCAGCTGCCCAGAATACCACTATCAACCTCCCCAGTCGTAGAGATCGGAGTTCTCTGCTTGGGCTCACCTCCCTGTGCTGAAGACTGGAGGGCGAGTCCCCCAGACTGAGTAAATTGGGCTCATTTTGAGTGGTTTCATCCTTTTCTTTAGGACTACCATCCTCTTCTTCCTCTTGTCCAGTGTTGCTTTATACACTGAGTAGTCCAAATGCTTTATACCTTGAGTAGTTGTATGCTGTTTACAGTAGGAGGCTGAGGCAGGAGCACATTTCTCCATCAGGGCTGGGAGCTGAAGTTTGAATTTCTAAATCACGGCAGTTGATGTTTGGGAGAAGTAGTGGAGGTTTCAGAATGGGACTACTCAAATTTAATTCAATTCTTTGGTATATATAATTTTTACAATATTTTCTGTAGTTTTATGGTCTTCAGTTTACATGAAATGGCAGCCTTTTATAGCCTGAAAGAATCTTAAAAATCTTTTCAGTTCCTACTTTTAGAGATAAGAAAACTGGGACCCCAAAGGGTAGAGATTTGTCAAGGTGAAAAGCTGGAGGAGTGGCAGAACTGACTTATTCTCTTCTCTTTGTTTACGAATTTAGTACCTCTCATGGAAGACAGAATTGCTTCTCTCCTTCTCTCATACACATACCCATTGTCTCTTATTTTCTTTTCATTTCCTCCTTTTCTTTCTCTTTGTTTCTGTTCACAAAAGGAAACATTTTCCCCCCTTTGGAAGACAAATACTAACATAGATTCTGGATGGCAGTGCAGTCTTTGAAAAAATGGATTGGTTTTAAGTAACAACAGAGAGGAATCTTCTATTAAACAATCAAACTTTGGAAACAGAAAAGGGAGGCAGCAACGATGACAGCCTTATTCTACAGGCTGTGTGAACATTTTCATATTTAGACTATTCAGGTTCAAATGGTGAACATATTTCTAGAGGTTAAAGAATAAATACTAGGTTTCTCTGCTGGTTAGAAACAGAAGCCATGCCAGGTATTTCAACCAGAGGGATTTAATCCAGGAAATCAGTTACAAGAGTGTTGGGAGGTTGAGAGAACAAATAGGCAATGTTGAGGTGGCTCAGATATTAGAAGCTGCAGCAAGCAGCTATTATCCTTAGAACTTGGGGAGCATAAGGGAAGAGGTGGTGTTGTCAGAACTTTGGAACTTAGAGAAAGGGTACCTTATGGCTGACCCTTGTGCCTTTGAGACAGATGCTGGGGGGCTAGTGCTTGGCCTCAGAGTCTGCTTCTGGGAGCATGGAGAAGCTGCTGCTGGGAGTGCCAAGAGGACTGGAGTCTTAGCTTCCCTCACTGCTAGGCATTTGGTAAGAGCTAGAAACAGAAAGGAAGTCCCTTCGGCTCTCTTCTTACCTAGGAGTTGGTGGGAAATGATGACAATCCAGCTGGTGAGGGGGTCTGGGGAATGTGGTTCGCTGAGTCCCAGCCTGCCTCAGAGTCACAGGGCAGTGTGGTGGTTCCTCAAAAAATGAAATAGAATTACCATGTGCCATAGACTACATGCTTGTGTCCCTGCACTTTCCGATGCTGAGCTCCAAATCCTCAGTGTGATGGCCTGTGGAGATGGGGCTTTTGGGAGGTAATTAGGTCATGAAGGTGGAGCTCTCATGAATAGGATTAGTGTCCTTATAAGAAGAGATATGAGAGAAATTATGTCTTTCTCCCCCTCCCTTGCAACCCACCCCATGAGAATACAACAAGAAGGCAGCACGGTGACTCAAGCCTGTAATTCCAGCACTTTGGGAGGCTGAGGGGGGGGTGGATCACCTGAGGTGAAGAGTTCGAGACCAGCCTGGCCAACATGGTGAAACCCCATCTCTACTAAAAATACAAAAATTAGCTGGGTGTGGTGGTGGGTGCCTGTAATCCCAGCTACTCAGGAGGCTGAGGCAGGAGAATTGCTTGAACCAGGCGGAGGTTGCAGTGAGCCGAGATTGTGCCATTGCACTCCAGCCTGGGCGACAGAACAAAAACTCCGTCTCAAAAAAAAAAAAAAAAAAAAAGAAGAAGGCAGCAGTGTGCAAACCAGGAGGAGTGTGCCAGCACCATATTTCTGTTGTTTAAGCCACCCAGTCTATGATATTGTGTTACAGTAGCCAAAATGGACTAAGACAGCATATAATCCAGTAATTACACTTCTGGGTTATGTGACACCAAAAAACAGAAACTATTAAACTGATACATGTACCCCCATGTTGATAGCAGCATTATTCACAACAGCCAAAAGGCAGAAGCAACCCAAGTGTCTATGCATGGATGGATGGGTAAACTACATATGGTATATACATACAACGAAACATCATTCAGCCTCAAAAGTAAGGAAGTTCCAACAAACACTGTGCCATGGAGAAACCTTGAGGACATTATGCTAAGTGAAGTAAGCAAGGCACACGAGGAAAAATATTGCATGATTTCACTTATATGAAGTACCTAACAGGGTCAAATTCACAGAGACAGAAAGGAGAACGGTGGGTACTGTGGCCTGGGGGAGAGGAAAATGGAGAATTGTTGTTTAATGGGTACAATGTTGTACAACAATCATCAGTATTCATCATCAGAATTTTCACTGTGAATGTACCTAATACCACTGAACACTATACTTAAAAATGGTTAAATGACAAATTGTATGTTAATATTTTACCACAAATGAAAGAAATCACAGACCTTAGTCGTGGAGTGGGGAGCTGAGAGAATTTGGTCAGTAACAAGCACAGTTGCTAATGACTCTTATCCTTACTAAAGCCCACTGTAGCTTAGGATGAAGTTGCCTTCTGCAATGGTAATTTCACTATCCTGTCAGAGTTTCCTGGTTCTAAGGCCTTTGCATTTGAGACATGGTATCACACTATAAATCAGGACACATTTTCATGTGCCAGGGAGTGTGCCCAACTTGTAAAGAATAAAGCACCACATCCTTTACATGTCACCATGTGTGTTTTTACAGACATGCCAGGCCTCAGGCACATTCCTCTGTCTTGTATGAGATTTATAACAGCAAACTTCATGTAAACACACAGGAGTAAGGTCATGCAAATATATTCATCTTTTCATTCAACAAATATTTCATTCAATAAATATTTACTGCTTGCCATGCACCAGAAACTTTTCCAGGGAAGCAGTGAACGGGAGAGCAAAACGGTGAACAATTTGCGTCTCCTGAGTACTTCCATTTTAGGGTGTTTGTGTATGTGTGTGTGTGCACACGCATGGATGTGTGCAGGGGATGGTAGGGGATGGTGGGTGGTCGTGGAGCGAATTATCTAGGCAGAGTGGATAACAAGAATCTGCACTCAGTGCTAAGTGGGGAAATAAAGCCAACAAGGGGCAGAGAGAGGGCGAGCAGGGCTGATGGGCTTTTCAGGGGAGTCTTAATGAGGGCCCTTCCAGCCAAGACTGGGACATGAGGGCATGTCTGGTGGAAGAGCACCCGGGCAGAGTGGTAGAGTGAGGAGCGGGGCAGAGTCCCCAGCACCCCTGGTGCAGTTGAGGAACAGCAGGGAGGCTGGTGAGACTAGAGTATGGGCATGGGGTTAGAGAGCAGGGCCCAAGTGGGTGTGGGGCCTCTTCCAGAGCCACGGAAGGATCTTTGCTTTTGCTGAGCGAGCGGGGAGCACTTGGGGCAATGGGGCAATGGGAAGAGCTAGGCAGAGGCAGGAGAATAGCTAGGACAGGTGGGTGAGGTCTGCAGGGCAGGGCAGGGCAGGGCAGTGGAGGGGGGGATGTAATTGGATTCAGGATATAGTTCGAACACAGAACCAACAGGATTTTCTCCTTGGATCAAAGATACTGAGTGTGATAAAGAGGCATCAAAGATGACTGGGAGATTCCTGGCCTGTTCTCTAGAAGAATGGGACTGCTGTTTCTGAGAGTGGAAACCCTTTGGGAGGGTTTGCTTCTGGCCAAGTGAGCACACCAGACCCCTGAGTGGAGGTGGAGGTGGGCAGTGAGGATAGTGATTGAGTCCCGAGTTAGGCATGATGGTGTTTGCAGCCTGGGGTTGGATGAGATCTTGGAGGGAATGGGGAGAGTTGGGGAAAAAATGAGGTTTAAGGTTTAGCCCTTTCTATTGGGCTCCAAGGAGTTTCAAGACCTTAGACTCATTGCTGAGCCTCTTGAGAATCTCTGCTTCTGTTTGTAAGAGAGGATAACAGCAGCCACCCCACCTCGCAGGGATACTATTATGATTACTGAGGTGATGAATGCATGGAAGCTGCTTACATGAGTTCCCAGTTCTGTCTCTCCTCTCCTAGCAAGAGAGCGGCAACAGGGTCCACAGAGCTACTCCAAAGCCATCTGATTGCAAACAGCCTCTAAAAGAAGTCTGGGAAAATTACCAGGGAGATGTTTCCCACCAGCTCTGCTGCTTCCCTTTCAAACCTTGCGTTTGGCCACTCTCTAGAGGTTGGTCCCTTTCGCCCATCTTTCAGAGACTTTCCTTTGCTGGTTTCCTACACACCCCCTCCCCCTTTCCAAAACCTAGCTGGGTTTCTGCTCCAGTTTTGCAAACACCATTCTCACCTAGGTGCCAAGATAAACTGGCCGGAGGTTACTGTTGATGGTGCTAGTGGGTATTTGGTTAACTTTCTCAATCAACTGGAGGTCACAGGGCCCACCCCGAAAAGTAGCTGCCCTAAAAACCTGCTATTCTCCATCAGTGGGTGGGAGGTGGGGAGGGGGTGGGAGATGAGAAACCAGGAAGTAGAGATTTCTGAGAGGATCTAGAAAAAGAGAGATCATCTACACTCTGTCAGGCGGTTTTCATGCATAACTGATAAAACCATGCTGTTCTTGAAATTAAGATAATGGCACTAAATAAGAGCACATGTAGACTAAATATACTAAATATACGATTGTCTCATCCTGATCAACCTGATAGACCTAACAATAGGTTCAGCACAGTGAGAAGGATGATAGTGTGCTTGGTCTTGCATTGCTTGTCTAGAATATTGTGAGAAAAAGTACATTAGTGCCAGAAAAATAACTTGAAGGTGAAGTGCTTTCTGACAGTACTTCCAAAATACACAGATTTAATGAAAAGAGGAAAAATTTAGTGAAGATAACACCAGCATTGAAAAACAAAGCCTGTTTCCAGGGAAACAGCAATTTTTTAAAATATTTTTCTTTTTAATGGAAACAGAATGTGACAGTGGACTTGAGAATCCCAATCCTTAAACTCAAGAGTCAGGAGTTGAGTAAATTCCCTTATTTTTATAGATTTCACAAATTAATTCAGAAGTCTGTTCTTGGCAAAGTTTACGCATTCTGAAATAATGATTTTTACAGTTTAAAATTTTGAATTTCCTAAGTTACTTTTCTATAAATGTCTTCTTTGTTTTTTATGATTATTAAAGCAAAAAAGGTGCCCATGTTCCCCCTGCCCCCCCATTTCAGAAAGCACTGAAAAAACAAAACCAAGAAAAGACTGATAACTTCACTGCATTACTAAGTGGGTTGACTATGTGCTTGTGACAATTTTAGTCATCACGCTGGTTATTTGTCCTTCGAAAATGTTTTCCTGGCTGGGTGCGGTGGCTCAAGCCTGTAATCCCGGCACTTTAGGAGGCCAAGGCGGGTGGGCCATCTGAGGTCAGGGGTTCGAAACCAGCCTGGCCAACATGGTGAAACCCCGTCTCTATTGAAAATACAAAATTAGCCAGGCGTGGTGGCACATGCCTGTAATCTCAGCTACTCAGGAGGCTGAAGCAGGAGAATCGCTTGAACCTGGGAGGCAGAGTTTACAGTGAGCCAAAATCGCACCATTGCACTCCAGCCTGGGCAACAAGAGTGAAACTCCGTCTTAAAAAAAAAAGAAAGAAAGAAAGAAAATGTTTTCCTCTGCCAGTTGGGATAATACCATAACTCTGTCTGGGAAGCTGCTTTTCTCACTGAGCAATGTGTTCCGAGCGTGTTTCCAGGCCAGCCCTCACCTGTGTTCTGGCCTCCAAGCCGAGGGCTGGGCTTCTGGGCTGGCTTGTCAATATTAACGAGGTTGGTAGAGTCCCTTGCCATGACAAGCTGATCGTGTAGTGAAGGATAAAGAAGAAGGAACCCAGAATACACTCCACAATGATGTAGCCAGGTGTCTGATAGAAGTCTGGCTTTGGGAAAAGGGATTTTCCAGGTAGGACTTGAAAGGTAAGTTAGAATTAGCCAGGCCAAGAGCAGAGGGTGCTCTGGGCAGAGAGGAAGGCTCTGGGAGGAGAGACCTCGGGGTTGAAGAGCTGGGTGGAGGTCGGCCTGGCCTGGGCAAGGGCTGAGTCAAGGTCAGAGGAGAGATAAGCGCCGAGGAGTATGTTGGGGAGTTCAGACGATCCTGAGTACCTTGAGAAACTCTGAAAGGGGGAGTCTGAGCGAGGGAATGACAATCAGATTTGGAGTTTGGAAAGATTATTCTGGAGTGTGGAGGGTGTTTGGGGACACCAGGGAGAGACAGTGACACCAGGGAGGGGGCCTTGGCAGAGTTTTAGGAGGTAGAAAGAGAGCAGGAGAGAGATTGATGCCAGCAACATTGAGGCAGTAGAAAGGAAAGGGCTTAGTGTTTGCGGTGGTGTGTAGCCTTTGAGGAAGGGCACGTTCCGCGGGGGGTGGGCTGTCAGCCACTTCAGACCACCTCTTGCCCCCCTGCTAAAGACTGACTGAAGCGGGGCAAGCCTTACAGACCAGGCGGCCCTGTGTTCCTGTGGCCTTTGGTGAGGCTGCTACTGGGCCTGTGTGGCAGCTCAACTTCACTCTGCCAGGTCTGCCTCGACCTTCCCCGAACTCCAGGAGCCCACCCAGGGGTACGCCGGAATAAAGCTCCGGTGCAGTAACCTCCATCTCGAGGCTGCTTCGTGGGGAGCCTGACCTGTGGCAGTGACTGCGAGCCACGCGGAGAGTTACTCACTGTAATCAAGAACTAATGGGGTGGGGATGGGGGGAAACCGGGAGGTAGGTGGCTTAGCGTGGGGCATGGGGACTTGGGGGCCAGGGGAGACATCCGGGAGGCGGGTCAACGAGGTCCATGGTTTTGCGGTGGAGTCTGGTTTGAAGTCTCCTGGGCAAAAAGGTATTCCTTGCCAGCCTTTCCTCCCAAATACTTCCAGTTTCTTAAATATACTTTGTTTTCATTTACCTCAGAGTCTTTATACAAGCTATTCCGCTGCCTGGAACATTCTTTTTTCCCTTGATTTCTTCTATTAATACTTTCTTCTCATTCTAAGGAAGTGACTTCCTCCAGGAAGTCATCCTGGACTCACCCGGCTCTAGTTCAGGGGCCTGACGAGCATCATGCGCCCGGCATTTCCCACATCACAGCCCTTGTCATGTGATGTTATAATTGCCTATTTTCTTCTTTGTGTTCCTCCCCAAAGTTTATAAACTTTGAGATAAGAGACTTTGTCGAAGTTGTTAAAGGCTTTATCAGCAGCACCTAGTGTGGTTCCCGATACAGGAGGTGTCAGGAAATAATTGTGGAGTGAACCAATGGTAATTAAAACAGACACTTGGAAAGAAGAGGAGGAATACATAGATTAAAGGTGAAGTCAGGAGCAGAAGAGGAAACAAAGATAGCAGGGGAGGGTGGCCAGGAGGTAAGGGTCATTTGTTCACTAAATTTAACCAGAATTTATTATCCAAACGTTGTTGGACATTTAAGTCCTCCCAACATTTTCTTAATAATTTGCTATGACAAACAATATCTTCATAAGCACCCTCCTACATGTAGATTTTGTGGATGTTTTTATATAATACCCATAGGATAAATGTATCGAAGTGGAAATTTCAGTGTCAAAGGATTTCCTGTTAAATTTTTGATATTTTTAGTGCCAATTTATCCTCCAGAAACATATCATTTTCTGCTTATTCCCAGCCCTGAATTATTTAACATTTTAAATATGAAGCTCTTGTTTATTTTGAAAACTGTGATAAAATATGTATAACATAAATCTACCGTTTTCACTGTTTTTAAGTGTGCAAGTCAGGGGCACTGATTACATTCATAATGTTGTACAGTCGTCACCACTATTCATTTTGAGAACCTTTTTTTTAAATCATCTCAAACAGAAACTCTGCGCCCATTATACAGTAACTCCCTTTCTCCCCTTCTCATTTGTTCCTGAGAATCATTTGCATTTTTTAGGAAGGAAGCTTGAGTTCATTGCATTTTCATCCAACGAGAGGAATGGCAAGTGACTTAAAAACTTCTGATTCTGCATTAGGCCAGCAACCTTGAACATGGGCAAGTAAGCATGTCTTTATGCCAAGGCATGGGGCATAATAATATACAGACTCACAATGCCATGGAATAGATAGCCTTTGGGGTTTCATAGACCCAGAAGAACATCTGTTGGTAACACTTAGGAGCTCCTCAGCCAATCTGGGGATATTTAATTATCTAATTATTTCAAATAAGCCAAGAATCACATGTTTAGGATTTTGGAAGCCTATCCCAAACTAGAAATAAGATACAGAAAGGTTCTCATTGTTTTTGCAGGTGAAACACTTAACCCTGAGTATCAATGATGTTGTAGCTCATCCAAGCACTTTTAAGGAGTGCTTACAATTTTTTCAGAAGTTTGTAAAGACAAGTTTAGTTTTTGCTCTGAAATGGTTTCCTACATTCGTGTTAAAGATTGCATTTAATGCTTATATTTCCACAATACCTTCTGGAGAGCGCTCATGGGAAGGCAGAATAACCTAAGGCTGAGACACTGTGGGAACCAGATGAGAATCTATTTGGGCCTTGATAGGGATCCTGAAGTTAAGATATGTGGAGACCCTTCAAACAATAGCAGTTTGCAGCTCTGCTAATTATTGGCTCTTGCCTATCTGTTACTGTTAGAATTACTGAGCAAAAAGGTATTGTATTGAAACCCTGGCTGAAACAAGAGGGAGAATTTATGGAGGATTAACTTTCTTTTATCTTTTTACCTTTTAAATAGGGTAATAGTCTCACAAACTGAATTAAAGGGAGGTGCTTTCTTAAAGGCTTTGAAGTTTTTCTTTACAAACAGAGTTGAATTTATTTGAGCCCTTTCCCTTCAAAGTAAAAGCCCCACAAGGAAATGATTTCCTTCATGCATTTCTTGCCCTTTGTGAATTAACAGGAGTTATACAGTAAAAGAGAGGGCCTAATAGGGAGTGGGGGCAAGTCAATCCCTCTAGAATATAAAATAAATGCTGATGGGCTCTTAAAATGACAGAACCATTTTTGTAATGATGAAAAGGTTTTCCTTCTGCATCTTGGAAGCATGAAACCCTGAGGATGAGGATAAAGCTAACAGAGAAAAAAATTCCAAAAATTGTATGCCCCTGAGGTGTGTGCATCTTCATCTTGTACTATTTATTTGTTATTTTAAAAGTAAATTTTATTGCATATATTTGGTGCTATTTAAATTCAGCCAAATGCTGTCCGATGGTGGGGCTTTCTGTATTTCAGCCTCTGAAAAAAATAAACAAGAAAATCGTGTGTAAATGTTTTAAGATAGCCAAAACTGATGTCTTACAAGTTACCAATTTTCATGGCCACCCTATCCCCAGAATAATTTTCCATTAAGAGTGTCCTCTGCAGCAGCCTCAGCTCCCCAGCCAGTTCTACCCCGCTGAGCTCTCCAACTGCACCTCCTTTCCAGGACTATTTCTTCATTTGCACAATGGGAATATAAATGTGGGGTAAGTCAGGAAGCTATAATACTACTGGGGCTAGAGGCATGGGAATAGAGAAGATGTTCACTTTATGCACTTTTGAAACATTTTGCATCATTTTATTTTATTAAAAAGAAAAAGTTGGGTGAGATGAAGCCATGTGTGTAGGTGTGCTGGCTCAACTTTTGTAGGTGACAGTGGGCGTGTCCTGGCTTGGGTCTGTTGTCAGCATGACATCGGGTGAGTGATGACATGAGTCTGGCTTCACCTTCTCTGATGGTAGAATGAGGGGTGTTGAGGGGCAGACGTCTCTTGGAATTTTGAAAGCAAGCATTACTTTCTTTGGAGTTGGGCTCTGGAGAGCAGGAAAGGATTGGGAACGTTTGTAGTGGCAGACAAGTTGCAAAGATAGTACAAAATGTTCCCATATACTCCTCACCCAGTTTTCCCCATTCTTAATCTCTCTATATATGTATGTGCATATTTTTCCTTTTGACTTAATTTCTTAAGTACTTAAGAGTATCTCAAGCCTAGACACTTTGCCAACTATCTAAAGCTCACCTCTGGATGTTCAGACACAAGTAACCTATTAATGTAACATTCTGAGGAAGTCCCTCTGGATCCTACTCCAATCTTGACTGGCTGCCCTTCCTGTCTGAGGATTCCCACTCCCTCCTCTGTGCTAGGTTTCCTGTTCCTAAAAGCCATATTTCTCTCTTCCTTGGTTTACTCATACATAAGCTTTTAAAATAGCTTTCTGAGAAAAAATACATGGGAAATAAAATTTTGCATGTCTAAAAATGTCTTTATTCTAGCTTCGTACTTGACTGATAAATTGGCTGCATACAGACTTTTCCTTTCAATTCCCACGCTGCTGTTGGGACATCTATAGCCATTATGATTATGAGCCTTTGAAGGGGATCTGTTTGTTTTGTTTATTTTTCCTTTGTGGAAGCATATGTCATGTTATCTTTGTTCTCAGTCTTTTCTTCCCGTGTGTATATGTATTCCTTGTTTTATACTACCTGTTCATGTTTCATGGTTGCAATATCGTCTCTTAGTTAATATTAGTTTTGGGGGAGAAATTTCTTCCCCCTGCACAGTCCCTTATTTCTTCCAAGTTGGTTTTTCTACTTGTTTTGGTCTCTGTTTCTGTCTCTGTCTCTATCTCTCTCTCTTTCTCTTTCTCTTTCTCTCCTTCTTTAATGATAAACCATTTCCTCGGGTGTTTGATAATCCTGGACAGGCAAAAAACAGTGGATTGGAAACTCCGACACACAAAGTTGTTACTGTCAGGAGATAGTCTGGACCCATAAGTTGAGCAACGTCTAATATAATTTTTAAAAAAGTGTTTCCTCCTGAGAAGGCCATATTCTCTAGCGAAGGCTGTTCTCATCTCCTGGCAGAAAGAGGAAGCCATCCTGCCAGTATTTTGGAAGCTGCACAGAGGAAGAGGAACCCGAGCTTCAGCAAGCAGTTCCCTTGTTTCACTATTGTAACCCACCTTTACATGTGGGGTGGCCCAAGCCAGAGACTTGGGTTAGCTCTCTTCAGGGAATAAACCTCCATTTTTTTTCCCATCTGGTAGGGGAGGGTAATTGGTTAATTGGAGATCTGATAGTTGCTTACGTAGACTTTCAATCAGTCACCTAGTTTCCTAAATATATCTAGGTCATCCATTTACCCTTCTTTCAGGTATCTGATATGGTATTTCCAGAGGCTGTGGAGGATTCATATTAATCAGTTTGATTGTCACCTCTCTCCATAGGACTATGCTGTCTTGGGTCTGCTGATTCATTTGTGACTCTCCGTCTACTTTCTAGCATCCAAAGTTATTGCTCTTAGCTCCTTTTTGTTCTCTCCTTTTCTGTAGATTTCTGTCTTAAAATTTATTTCTTCATTTTAGTGGAATTGCAGTAGAAATGATAATAGGTGCATGTATTCCACCTGCTATCTTTTTATTAGTGGTCTCTGTTATTATCATTTTCTCCCCTTGATGTCTTCACTTTTCATCCTATTACTTATCCACCTCATGATTAAGCGTTAGAAAAGAGTTCGCCAAATAATTTTACACTTCAATGACACAGAGACCAAGAAAAAGAAAGATTATTTGACTTAGAGCAGAGCTGAGAAAGTGGCAAGTCAAATGTCTTAATTATTCTTTTATTTTACTTTTTAAATTGAGACAGAATCTCGTTCTGTCACCCAGGCTGGAATGCAGTGGCAATCTGATCTTGGCTCATAGCAACTTCTGCCTCCCGGGTTCAAGCAATTCTCTTGCCTCCAGCCTCCCAGCTAGCTGGGACTACAGGTGCACACCACCACACCAGGATAATTTTTGTAATTTTTTTAAGTAGAGCCAGGGTTTTGCCATGTTGGTCAGACTGGTCTCGAACTCCTGACCCCAAGTAATCCACCCACCTCGGCCTCCCAAAGTGCTGGGATTACAGGCATGAGCCACTGTGCCCAGCCTTAATTATACTATTCAATGAATCTCCAGTCCAACAGCTAATGTCCTGTCTTATTTACATACTAAAGGTGTGGTGGTTGCTATCAACAGGCTCAAAAGTCCTCTAATAAGACAATTTCACAGAAAAAAAATTTTTAGGCAATTGTTTGCCTAGTGGAATAATACAGCATACATTCTATACAGGCAAAAGTTCGCTAGAATTTGTTGACTTGTATTTTCAACAGTGCCCTACCACTGAAAGTGGCAGTGGAGTTGCAATAAAAATAGTATTTAAAACACATTATAAAAGATAAAACCACTTTATAGTCTTAACTACTATAGTGTGATTTTAATCTGCTTAATGCTTCTCTCGAAAATAAACTGAAATAAAAGTTTTTGTATTTTTTGACATTTGGAACTATTTTTTTTTCATTAAAAATCAATTTATGTGAAATTGTGGTTTTCTTTTTCTTTTTTTTTTCTTTTATTTTTTGAGATGGAGTCTCATTCTGCCACCGTGGCTGGACTGCAGTGGCACAATCTAGGCTCACCACAACCTCTGCCTCCCAGGTTCAAGTGATTCTCCTGCCCCAGCCTCCGGAGTAGCTGGGACTACATGTGCACACCACCACGCCTGGCTAGTTTTTGCATTTTAAGTAGAGGTGGGTTTCACCATGTTGGCCCGGCTGGTCTTGAACTCCTGACCTCAGGTGATCCGCCTGCCTCGGCCTCCCAAAGTGCTGGGACTACAGGCATGAGCCACCACGCCCGGCCTATGGTTTTCTTTTATTTCCTCTTGATGCTTAAAAACCTTTTGAGACTCTGGGGAAAATTGTAGAAGACATGACTGCAAATACAGGGTGGTATGTCTTCAGTGATGGTGTGCCAGCCTCATATATTGAAAGTGAAGTTCCTGCTTCTGCATTTATTCATATGCTGGGTAATTTAAGCTACTAAAATGAAAGCAAATAAGAAAAATAAGGGAGAACAAGAATCAGGAAACAATGAAAAGTACTGAACATTTATTGAGTGCCAGTTATGTGCTAGGCATTTTCATGCATGTTGAAGTCTTTGCCTAGAGTTTTCTTTGTTGAACAAAAACCTCAGTGGGCTTATAACTGAGAACTTTGTATATAGGTAATGTGCTCTACCAGAAATTTAGTGTGAAGACTACTATTATTATAAGATAGCAACTATCTTCAAAGGAAAGATATCTGTAATTTGCTGTTAGAATGGCAATGTATTCTTTTAGGAACTTGCTGTGCAGAAATATATATATATTCATATATAAAGTCAACTCTTTGGCCAGGTGAGGTGGCTCACACCTGTAATCCTAGCACTTTGGGAGGCCCAGGCAGGCGGATCATTTGAGCTCACGAGTTCGAGACCAGCCTGGGCAACATGGTGAAACCCCGTCTCTACCAAAAATAGCTGGGGGTGGTGGCATGCACCTGTAGTCCCAGTTACTTGGGAGACTGAAGTTGGAGGATCGTTTGAGCCCGGGAGGCCCAGGATGCAGTGAGATGAGATTGCACCACTGCACTCTAGCCTGGGTGGCAGAGTGAGACCCTGTGTAAAAAAAAGAGTATAGTCAACCCCATTATTCATGGATTCTGCATTTGTGAATTCACATGCTTTCTAAAATTTATTTGTAACCCCAGGACCAATGCTTCTGGTTGCTTCCATGGCCATTTGCAGATGTGCTGAGGGGAACTTGAGCTGCCTGCCCATAAGGCAGAGCCAGGCAGTGCTCTGCATTCTTGCTTCAGCCCTCACACTGTGAGCACATGTCATTTTGGTAGTTTATTTTTTGGCATATTTTTTGCATGTTTGCACTTTTTGTTTTGGTGATTTCTCTGTTTAAGATGGCTCCCAAGCATAGTGCTGGACTGCTGTTCAGCATTCCTAAGCCCAAGAAGGCTGGGATGTGTCCTACAGAGAAAACACATGTGGTAGATAAGCTTCCCTCAGGCATGAGTTACAGTGCTGGTGGCGGTGAGTTCAATGTTAATGAATCAACAATATACAGTCATGCACCACATAATGACGTTTTGGTCAATGACAGACTGCATATATGATGATGGTCCCATAAGATTATAATAGAGCTGAAAATTCTTATCACCTAGTACTTAGTGCATGCCTTAAATCATTATTTTAGAGTATATTCTTTCTATTTGAAAAGTTGACTGTAAATCAGCCTCAGGCAGGTCCCTGGGGAGGTATCCAGAAGAAGGCATTGTTATCATAGAGATGACAGCTCCAAGCCTGTTGTTGCCCCTGAGGACAAGATGTGAAGGTGGAAGGCAGTGATAGTGATGATCCTGATCTTCGTAGGCCTAGGCTAATGTGTGTGTTTGTGTCTTAGTTTTCAACAAAAAAATTAAAACAAAAAAAACCTTTAAAAATTCAAAATAAAAAAGCTTGTAGAATAAGCATGTAAAGAGGAAAATACTTCTGTACAGCTGTATAATATATTTGTGTTTTACGCTATTACGAAAAGTCAAAACTTAAAAACATAAACTAAAAAGTTACAGTAAACTAAGTTTATTATTGAAGAAAAATATTTTATAAATTTAGTGTAGTCTAAGTGTGCAATGTTTATAAAGTCTATAGTAGTGCACAGTAATGTCTTAGGCCTTCACATTCACTCCCCACCCACTCATTCAGTCACCCAGAACAACCTGCAGTCCTGCAAGCTCCATTCATGGTGAGTGCTCCATACATGTGTACCATTTTTTATCTTTTTTTTTTTTTTGAGATGGAGTCTTGCTCTGTCTCCCAGGCTGGAGTGCACTGGCATGATCTAGGCTCACTGCAACCTCCGTCTCCTGGATTCAAGCGATTCTCATGCCTCACCCTCCAGAGTAGCTGGGATTACAGGTGTCCACCATCACACCAGGCTAATTTTTGCATTTTTAGTAGAGGTGGGGTTTTGCCATGTTGGCCAGGCTGCTCTCGAATTCCTGACCTCAGGCGATCCACCCACCGTGGCCTCCCAAAGTGCTGGGATTACAGACGTTAGCCACTACGCCCGGTTCATTTTTTGATCTTTTATGCTGTATTTTTACTGTACCTTTTCAATGTTTGAATACACATTGTGTTACAATTGCCTACAGCATTCAGTACAGTAACATGCTGTGCAGGTTTGTAGCCTAGGAGCAATAGGCTATACCACACAACCTAGGTGTGTAGTAGGTGCTACTGTCTAGGTTTATGTAAGTGCACTCTGTGATGCTTGCATGATGATGAAATCATCAAACCATACACTTCTCAGAACATATCCCCATTGTTAAGTGATACATGACTGTATATTATATAATGAGTCAATAAACTAAAAAACACATGACACTAGGTTATGTATATTAATCAACTGACAAAAATCTTGTGACCAGAGGCTCACAGAAACCTAACCTTTTATTTCCCCCAGGAGCAATGCTTCAATATTTTCTAATTCAGTGTTCCAAGTAACTTTATAAGACACAACTACTGTGAATAATAAGAATTGACATGTACACACATCCAACACTGTCTTCAAGAAAAAAAAATCAATTTGGGGAGATATAAAAATAAAGATAATGCAAATGGAAGCATCTGAGTGACACTCAAAGAAAACAACTCAAACACATTGGCAGCTGAATGGAGAATGAGTCCATCTATTGAACTAATTTTTGGTATTCAAGTAAAACTCTTTCCTGCCAATAAAATGGAGGGGTGGCACCTACTGCTTGGCTGCTTTCTGCCTTTTTTTTTTTTTTTAGTACAAACAAGGCTGTACTCAAAATATGGATAAACATATCCATGTGAATTTTATATAAGGTTCTCCCTTGTAGAATAATTTTTCCTCATTTTCCTCACGTAGCAAAGAGAATGTTTCTTTGATCTCTTCCTGCCATCTAGGCAGTGCAATTCAAACTGCTGTTTAATATCCTTTGCCCTGGTTTATGTTCCCTGAAAGTGACAGATCGTTCTGTTTGTAATCTGCATATAATCTGTATTTCTGCCAAGTTTCAGCTCTTGTTTTTCCTATTTAGCAGTGGACCAAAGTTTCAAGTGAAGCATTTAAAGCTGGAGTTTGCAATTCACAAATGAAAAAAAATTAACTTAAAAACGTCGTTCTTGGAGGAGTGAGACTTGGATTAATTTGACTTTTTCTATCATTTAACATGATATCAAATGCTTGAAGGAACTTCAGAAATTCTGGCAGAATATCAGCCAAGGCCTGGTTTTCTCCTGCTGCCTCTCTCCACTGTCCTCCTCTTCTTCTCCCTCCTGAGGTTCACAGAAGAGTCCATCTATAGCATAGATGTCATGATATTGAGTTCATTAATTCACGGTTTCTAAGACTTGATCAGTGATTTTTTTTCCTTTCTTCTTCTTTTTATTTCATATCTGGGGCCCTTCCATCGTCTCTCCAGGAGCACCCGTTAGCTCCCTTTGGCTGGCTCTCTCCCCTTCTCTCCCTCCCTTCCTTCTCTTCCCCTCACAGCGGGCTCATTAATCCAGTGCCTTTACCCCAAAACAATTAATCCCAGGTTTTCTTCAGATTTTCTGTGTGCCTCTGATTTCTCTACTCAGACTCTTCACTTTTTCCAATCAATTCCCAGTCATTTGTCTTCATGAGAGTCCATTTCCTATCTAGGATCACCTGGGTTTAGCTTTTGCCAGAGCATTTTTTTTCTACCAGACCCACAGGTGGTTTAAGGAGAATTTAGAACAGCGTATCTAAGTGCAGTTACTGCTGAATGATCTTGGGGTCAGTAGGCATGACTGAGAGGAGGAAGTCCATCAGCCCAGGACAATGAGCAGGTGGCTTTGGGCACAAGCAACCCACACAATTGTATATTTTCTTTGAGGTTGGCTGCCATTATATGATCTCAGTGTTATAACAGTAGACTGATTCAGTTACTCTTAAAAGCACCAAAATCTATTAAAAATAGTTTATAGAAGAAAAAAAGAAGGATCCTTAAACATATAATATTGAAAGCACTAAATCCAACTGTTGCAATTTATGAATAAGTTATTTACAAGTTTTACTAGAAGTAGGACCATAACTCAGGCCTATAGAGTTCTAGTTCAGTGCTATTTAATTTTTAAGTAATTAATCAATGATTGGCAAGTGTAGCAAAGTAATTAATGACTGGCAAATATTTGGGCTTGTTTCATTATTAAAATCAATCCTTTTATTAATCAGTATTGTGAATTAGTATAATCATTAGTTTTTGGTGAATATTTTCAGTTGCCTTGCAGATAGACATTTTTAACAACTTTATAGAGGTATAACTGGCTTACAATAAACTGCATATATTTAAAGTACCCAGTTTGACAAAATTTGACATATGTGTATGCTCTTGGAACCATCACCACAAAGCAAAATAATGAACGTATCTGTTACCATCACACATTTCCTTGAGACCTTTTGTAATTCCTCCCTCCCACTCCTTTTCGTTCCATCCATGCCTCCCAGGTTTGGCAACCACTGATTTGTCTTATGTCACCATACGTCAGGGTGTATTTCCTAGGATCTTATCTAAACGGAATTGTACAGCGTGTACTTATTTTTGTCTTTATTTTCTTTTTGACTCAGCATAGTTTTTTCAGATTCGTCCATGCCATTGCCTGAATCAATAGTTTGGTTCACTTCATTGCTGAGTAGAATCCTGTTGTGTGGATCTACCATACTTGTCTTTATCCATTCACCTGTTGATGGGCATTTGGGTTGCCCCCTTTTGGGGTTGTAGACATAGTTTTCCAACTTTGGAAGGGTTAACATTTGGGGCTGGCCAATTCTTTGTCACAGGAGCTGTTCTGTGCACTGTAGAATGTTCAGCAGAATTCTTGATCTCTACCCATTATATGCCAATTGCACCCCTGCAATGTGACAACCAAAAACGTCTCCAGACGTTGGCAGATATCCTCTGGGAAGCAAAGTCACCTCAAATTGCAAACTATTGGGCAAAAAACAGAGCTGCTCTGAATATTCAAGTAGAAGATTTTGTATTGAAAATACGCCTTCATTTCTCTTGGGTAAATACAGCAGTGGAATGGCTAGGTCATATAGGTGCTTATTTAACTTAAAAAAAAATCAAATGGTATTCAAAAGTGATTAAAAGTTTCCTCCAGCTGGGCGCGTTGGCTCACACCTGTAATCCCAACACTTTGGGAGGCCGAGGTGGGCTGATCACCTGAGGTTGGGAGTTGGAGACCAGCCTGGCCAACATGGAGAAACCCCCGTCTCTACTAAAGATACAAAATTAGCCGGGTGTGGTGGCGCATGCCTGTAATCCCAGCTACTTGGGAGGCTGAGGCAGGAGAATTGCTTAAACCCGGGAGGCGGAGGTTGCGGTGAGCCTAGATGGCACCGTTGCACTCTAGCCTGGGCAACAAGAGCATAACTCTGTCTCAAAAAAAAAAAAAAAAGTTCCCTCCAGCAGCGTGTGAGAGTTCAAGTTCCTCAACATCCTTGCCAACACTAGATGTGGTCAGTGTTTTCAATTTTACACATTCTAATAGGAGTGAAGTGGTATCTCACTGTGTTTTTACTTTTCATTTATCTGATGACTAACAATATTGAGCATCTTCATATGCTTATCTTCTTTGGTGGAGTTCTTGGAGATCATAATCTTTCATCACTTGATGACCCATATCTTTAAAACTGTTGTTTCATATATTTTGTCCATGTATTTAGTAGTTGCAGGTTGGAGGGTAGACCCAATCCCTGAGAGTTGGTCTTGGCTGAAAGCAGGACTCTGGACACCTGCCCACACATGTTTTCCTAGCAGTTACTCACAGCCACGTAACTCCCTGCTGTATGTCCCCTCTTTCTTCAATTTCCAGTCCTTAGACTTTTGCTTTTCTTGTTTTTGGCTTTTAACATTAGTTTGCTTAATGAAAAGTTTATATCATGTGTTTTCTCTTCTTGTTCTGATTTGCTGACTTCTGTTGCATCTTTAAAAATTGCCAAGGAGCTTATGCACAGTGGCTTACGCCTGTAATACCAGCACTTTGGGAAGAGTGTTAGAGGCCAGGAGTTCAAGACCAGCCTAGCAACAAAGTGAGATTGCTTCTCCTCATGGGGTCTCTACAGATTTTTTTTTTTTTTTTAATCAGCCAAACATGATCCTAGCTACTTGGGAGATTGAAGTGGGAGAATTGTTTGAGCTCAGGAGTTCGAGGCTGCAATGAGCTATGATTGTGCCACTGCACTCCAGAATGGAGCAAAACCCTATCTCTAAGAAAAAAAATTGCCATGGTAGCTAAATGATGTTTACAAGTTTTAATTAAATAACCAGATACACAAAGGATTAAGAGGATAAATGGATGGAAGGGATGGATAAAGATTGAAAATATCACTTCATTCCACGTAGAGATTTACTTTTGGTGTCCTTACAAGTAAACTGGTAGAAAAGAAAACAAGTTATAAAATGGGTTTCATCAAAGTTAAACACTTTAAGAATAAAAGTTAATAAAGCAATAAAGTAAGCTACAGATTGGAAGCAAATATTTGCAACACATTCAACTTTATACAGCTTAAAAATAAAAGTGGTCAAAAGACATTAACATGCACTTCATAAAAGGAGGTATGCAAATGGCCAGTGAGTGTGCAAGGGTGGACATCATCCTTAGTCATTAGGGAAATGAAAATTGAAACTGCAGTGATACTACTACACATCCACTAGAATGACTATTACTAAAAGGACTAAAAGGACTGACTATGCCAAATACTGGAAAAGATATGGAGCAACTGGAACTCTCATACATTGCTTGTGGGAATGCAATATTGTACAGTCACTTTGGAAAATGGTTTGACAGTGTTTTATAATGTTAAATACTTATTTATCCTATGAATCATCAATCTGAGTCCTAGATATTTTTCTTTTGGAGATGAAAACATATGTCTGTGCAAAAAACTTTTATGTAATATTTATAGAAGAATTATTCATAATAGTTCAGAACTGGAAAGCCCAAATGTTCATCAATAGGTGAATGGATAAACTTGACATGGCCTTATATGGAATACTACTCAGCAATAACAAAGAGTGAAATGCTAATACATGTAACAATCTGGAAGAATCTCAAAAATATGCTTAATGAAAGAAAAAGACTACACATGTATGATCTAATTTATATGAAATCCTAGAAATGGCTAAAACTATAGTGACATAGGGCAGAACAGTCATTCTTGGGGTCGGGGAGAGAACCAGCTGCAAAAGGACAGGAAGAAACATTTTGGGTAATGGAAATGTTTTATATTTTGACTGCGTTGTAGTTATGCAACTGTTTACAATTGCCCAAATTCATCCAACTGTACACTTAACAGAGGGGAATTTTATTGTATGTAAATTATCCTTCAATACAGCTTGAGTAGGGGAGTAAATGGGTGATATTTAAATTGGAAAGATAAATGGGGAATAACTATTTTCTATAGTGAATGGTGCAGTTTCTGAGCTGACATCTCATTCTGTGTTTAGGCTCTTCCACACTTTGTGGACACGCTTTCTTCAGGGATGTTTTAAAGAAAATAATATAAAACTTTGACGTGTCTTCAATTTTTTACTGAAAACTGTAATACAAGTGCTGCACAAATCACTAGGAACATGCTACAAAACCAAACTAAACTTGCAAATATGTGATTAGCAATTTAGGCTGGGAAGTGAAGACACACTACTGGCTCCTTATATTTTACTATCTTTGCTTTAAAAATGTGTGCTGTTAGACTGTGATTAAGGTGTTTGGGTGAAACATAATGAAAGAAAGAAACAGAATGAAAGAAAGAGCACTACTGAAAACATGTACTTTCCTGACTGAGGAATATTAAAATCAAAGCCTAATTTGACAGCTTAAATGTTGTAGGTTCAGCAATAAATAGTGGTGTGTTCAATAGTGACCTTTTTCCCTTGGGTCTTTGAAACCTGAGATCCACTTTGATTTTCTGAGCTAAAGTGTCCTGAATGGAAATATTGCCAGAATTATGCTTTAAAAACACAGGCAGTAAAACCTTGGAAGCATATAGAGAAAAAGGTCTTCAAGTTGTAAATCCCAGTGGGTAAGGGGTTTTTCAAAACACAATTTCTGGAAAATCTCTTGCTTTTCTAATCTACAGTGTGGTGCATTAAACAGGGCTTACAGACTTGTGTCCAATAATGGTACCCTGTGGGAACAGGAGGGCGTGTGCTGCTGAGCACCAGGACACTCTTCTCTTGCTTTCTCCTTTGTTTGTTTGTTTGTTTGTTTTTGAGACAGAGTCTTGCTCTGTCGCCCAGGCTAGAATGCAGTGGCATGATTTTTCAGCTCACTGCAACTTCCACCTCCTGGATTCAAGCGATTCTCCTGCTTTAGCCTCCTGAGTAGCTGTGATTATAGGCACCCGCCACCACACCCGGCTAATTTTTTTGTATTTTTAGTAGAGACAGGGTTTCACCATGTTGGTCAGGCTGGTCTGGAACTCCTGACTGACCTCAGGTGATCCGACCCCTCAGCCTCCCAAAGTGCTGGGATTACAGGTGTGAGCCACAGTGCCTGGCCTCTACTTTCTCCTTTGATGCTTCGTTCGGCTTCCTGATTGGAGTTTAGAACTCATTTCTTTCTCTCTCTCTCTCTCGCTCTCTGTCTGTCTCTTTCTCTCTTTCTCTCTGTCTCTCTCTCCCTCTTTAGTAGATACATCAACTTCCTCCAAAATCAAATATCACAAATTCTCATTTGTGATAAAGAATTTTGTAAAAACCAGTGTTCTGACAAACTTATGTCACACTTGTGCCTGAAACATTTGTGTATTACAGATAAAAGGGGCCCATGGAAAGTGGGTTGCTGAGAACACTGGGCCTGGAAGTTGGACAGAGTTTGAATGTTGGCTCCACTATTGATTCTGTTTTTACTAGGTACATGATTTTGAGCCAGTGTCTTAAACTTTCTAGGCCTCAGTTTCCTTATCCATAAAGTGGAATTAATGCCTTGCAAAATTTTTGAGAGGAGATATTGTATCTCAAACCTGAATGTCCCTTACGTTTGCCACTAAATCTACAGCATCCTAGTCTCCCATCTGCCACATGAAAGGACCACCTCCCTGTCTTCTCTAGGTTCCCTAGGAGCGCTGTTTCACTTGCAGGCTGAGGAGCAGACTGAGTTTCTGCAGTCAGTTTGGCTCCACTGTTCTTTGGCTACGCTGCCTGTCTTGGTTGAGGCTGAGCTGGGCTCGGTGCCGGTGAAGTGGTGTCTCTGCCTGCATGGGTCTCTGCCTGGTGCCAAGAGCTTCTACTCCACGTGCCTACACTTCTCTGCTGCTCCTCTGAGTCTCTGTAAGAGGGAGGTGTCTTCTGTAAGAGGGAGGTGTCTTCTGTTTGCATCCCCTTCACTCTGCAAATTACCAGGAATGCTTGTTCCCTTGGTACGAGCCTGGCCTGGAGTAGCCCAGCTAATTTTTGCATTTTTTCATAGAGACGGGGTTTCACCCAGGTTGGAGTGCAGTGATGTGATCACAGTTCGCTGCAACCTCTAACTCCAGGGCTCCGTGGTTCCCATCATGGCTGCCTTCTTCTCCAGCTCCCCTGGTCCATGAGACAGACCTGCTTGTGCCCAGACCGAAAATGCAGACAGTATCCACGTAGGTGCTTTCCCGAGGGTCTTGTCCATGTAGGTGCTTTCCGGAGGGGATCGTGGGTCCTGTAAACTCAGGAGATGGATTGTGGGATCATAATGTCCATGTTTTTGTTTCTGTTTTTAAATACTTGTTTTTTTTTCTACCTATGGTGATATCTCTAAATATTACAGTTTAGTTTTACCTTTTTGAAATTTAAATAGTTTCTTTCTTTTCTTTTTTTGAGATGGAATCTCGCTCTGTCACCCAGGCTGGAGTGCAGTGGCGCAATCTCGGCTCACTGCAAGCTCCACCTCCCGGGTTCACGCCATTCTCCTGCCTCAGCCTCCCGAGTAGCTGGGACTACAGGCGACCGCTACCACGTACGGCTAATTTTTTGTATTTTTAGTAGAGACGGGGGTTTCACCGTGTTAGCCAGGATTGTCTTGATCTCCTGACCTCGTGATCAGCCACCCTCGGCCTCCCAAAGTGCTGGGATTACAGGCGTGAGCCACCGCGCCCGGCCTTTCTTTTCTTTTTTTTTTTGCTTTGGAGTTTCGCTCTTGTTCCCCAGGCTGGAGTGAAAAGGCGCCATCTTGGCTCCCTGCAACCTCCGCCTCCGGGGTTCGAGAGATTCTCCTGCCTCAGCCTCCCAAGTAGCTGGGATTATAGGCATGTGCCACCACACCTGGCTAATTTTGTATTTTTTAGTAGAGACGGAGTTTCACCATGTTGGTCAGGCTGGCCTTGAACTCCTGACCTCAGGTGATCCACCCACCTCACCCTCCCAAAGTTCTGGGATTACAGTTGTGAGCCACCGCGCCCGGCCTAAATAATAAAATTATTTTTCACGTATTCCTTTATGTCTTTGATTTTTTTGCTCACTTTTTTTTTTTCTTGATGGAGTTTCGCTCTTTAGCCCAGGCTGGAGTGCAGTGGTGCGATCTCGGCCCACTGCAACCTCTGCCTTCCTGTTTTAAGTGATTCTTCTGCCTTAGCCTCCTGAGTAGCTGGGATTACAGGCATCCGCCAACACGCCCAGCTAATTTTTGTATTTTTTCATAGAGAGGGGGTTTCACCCAAGTTGGAGTGCAATGATGTGATCATAGTTCGCTGCAGCCTCTAACTCCTGGGCTCAAGTGATCCTCCTGAGTAGCTAGGGGTACAGATGCATGCCGAGCTAATTTTTTAATTGTTTGTAGACAGGGTCTTGCTATGTTGCCCAGACTGGTCTTAAACTCCTGGCCTTAGCGATTCTCCTGATCCTCCCACCTCAGCATCCCAAAGTGTTGGAATTACAGATGTGAGCCACGGTGCCTGGCCCTCACTCTATGTTAATAGGATTCGTCAATGTTGGGAATAGCCATGGCTGTTCATTTTCATTACTATATGCTATTCTATTGTACATACACACCACAATTTGTCCATCTGCTCTAGTGCTGATGGTAGTTGGCTTATTTCCAGCTTCTCACTATTATAAACAAAACCGTGATGAACCCTCTTGTACATGGCTCTGTACACAGTGTATAGGAAATTCTCCAAGCTGCATGTGCAAGAGCGTCATAGAGGGGTCACCCTGTATGCATATCTCCTACTTTATAGGTTAATCCAAAGCTTTTTTCCAAAGAGATTATACCAACTTACATCCCTGTCAAATAAATCAACATTAGTTGATCACCAACTATGTTATTTAGGTCTTGGGGGAAGAAGCAATAAACAGAACAGACAAAATCCCTGCCAGCATTGAGTTTATATTAAAGTGGATGGTGACAAATTAAAAAAAATAATATTACAAATGTAAATGAAATGAAACAATAATGCATAGTAAGGGGGGAGAGGGTAAGAGTGGAGTGAAGTGCTCTTTCAAGCAAAGGTAATTGTGGTGGACTTTCTACCTCTTCAAGGAGGTCAAGGTCAGATTTAAAGATTTATGAACTTGGACTTCTTGTTTTCACTTCTGTAAGATGTAAGGAGCTTGGAAGTCATCTCTCTGTCCTAACAACAAGTAAAAACCTGAACAGACACAAACATCAGCAACTCTTTTTGGGTCTACAAGGAGGGAAGGACACAGAGTAAAGTGCTGCCTGCAAGATTGGAGAGACAAACAAGTGAATCCAGGGAGCCATGATTTACTGGAGCAGATACCCATAAGCAGAAACCTCTGCAGAAATTAATGCCAGGGAAGGAAAACCTGAACTGTAAATGACAAATTGGTGGAGCCTCAGAGTGGGCAAAGCTGAGAGTTAAAACTCCAGAGGGATCCACTGATAGGTGTGCTTCCACAATATTAGGGGATTTACCTCCGGAGCTTATCCAGGTTCCCACACTAAATATTGGAGGAAAATCCCCTCGTTCTTCTGACAGGGGAGGGGAAAATGAATCCCTTTGAAATACACCAGTGTATTCTGTTAATAAGGTCTGTCCTTAGGAGAAACAAGTTAGCTAGAGCCTGTCTTGCTGGGGTATTATCAGAGCCTAAAGACCTGGGGAAGGACTGGCTGGGCAGGTTGGCCCATGCCTGTAATCCTAGCACTCTGGGAGGGCGAGGCAGGGGGATCACTTGAGGTCAGGAGTTTGAGACCAGCCTGGCCAACATGGTGAAACCTCTTCTCTACTAAAAATACAAAAATTAGCCAGGCGTGGTGATGCACTCTTGTAATCCCAGCTACTTGGGAGGCTGAGGCAGGAGAAACGTTTGATGGAGGTTGCAGTGGGCCGAGATCGTGCCACTGCACTCCAGCCTGAGTAACAGAGTGACATTCCATCAAAAAAATTTTAATTTAATTTAAAAAGACCTGGGGGAGGGAAATACCTAATTCCAGTCAGCTTTAGCTTTCCACATGGAGAAAAGAGGTAAACACCCACCTGTAGCCCACTGTAACCATCCTGTCCCACCTAAGAGGGAGGAAGAACTGAGGAGTACTTGTGAAGGTCACCATCCAGAGTCACAGGCTCACTAAAAGACTGAGACCTAATCGCAGGAATTCAGAATGCTTTCTCCCTGCACCCCTTGCCACCACAGCACTAAAGGTCATTTACAGCTATTTTTTTAATGTGGTACATAATGTCCAGCTACCAAGAAACAATTGTAAGACATACCAGAGGGCAAAAAAACCCAACACAATTTGAAGAAACAGAGCAGGTATCAGAACCAGACTCAGACATGGAAGGGATGCTGGAATTATTAGACCAGGAGTTTAAAACAACTGTGATTAATATGCTAAAGACTCTCATGGGTGAAGAAGACAGCATACAAGAACAGATGGACAGTGGAAGCACAGAAATGGAAATCCTAAGAAAGAACCAAAAAGAAATGCCAGAGATCAAAAATGCTGTAACAGAAATGAAGGATGTCTTTGATGGGCTTATTAGTAGATTGGACATGGCTGAGGAAAGGCTCTCTGAGCTTGAAGATATGTCAATAGAAACTCCAAAATGTGAAAAGCAAAGAAAGCAAAGAACAAAAAACCAAAACAATGTCTCAGGACTATGAGACAACTACAAAAGATATAACATACACATAACGGGAATACCAGAAGGAGCAGAAAGAAAGAAAGGAAAGAAATATTTGAAATAATAATGACTGAGAATTTTTCCCCAAGTTAATATCAGACACCAAACTACAGATCCAGGAAGCTCGGAAAATACCAAGCAGGATAAATGCCAACAAAACTACACCTTAGCATATCATTTTCAAACTACAGAAAATCAAAGATATGGAAAAACATCCTTAAAGAAGCCAGAAGGGAAAAATACTTTACTTGTAGAGGACCAAAATAAGAACTACATCTGACTTATTCTCAGAAGTCATGCAAGCAAGAGGAAAGTGGAGTGAAATATTTAGAGTTGAAGTCAGGTACAGTGGCTCATGCCTGTAATCCCAGCACTTTGGGAGGCTGAGGTGGAAGCATCACTTGAGCCTAGAAGTTTGAGACCAGACTGGGCAACTTAGGGAGACCTTGTCTATACTAAACATTTTAAAAATTAGCCAGGTGTGGTGGTGTGCACCTGTAGTCCCAGCTGTTCAGGAGGCTGAGGTGGGAGGATTGCTTGAGCCCACAAGTTCAAGGCTGCAGTGAGCTATGGGTGACATGAGTCTGGGTAACAGAGAGAGACCCCGTCTCAAAAATAACAAATAAATAAAGTGTTGAGAGGAAAAAACCACCAACCTAGAATTCTGTACCCTGAGAAAGTATCCATCAAAAGTGACAGAGAAATAAAGACTTTCTCATACAAACAAAATTTGAGAGAATTTGTTGCCAGAAGATCTGCCTTCCAAGAAATGTTAAAAAATATTCTTTAGAGAGAAAGGAAATGATATAGGTCAGAAACTCAAATTTGCATAGAGAAAGGAAGAGTATCAAAGAATGAATAAGTAAAAGTAAAATATTTTATTTTTCTTATTCTTAATTGATGTAAAGATAACAGTTTATTCAAAATAATAATAATAGCAACAATATATTCAATTATGTGTGCCTATGTATTCTCATATATAAGTGAAATGAATGACAGCAATGACACAAGGGATAGAAAGGAGAAATTAAGATTATTTTATCATTCCAAGATACTCACACTACTTGAAGTGGTACAGGGTTACTTGAAAATAGACTTGGATTAGTTATAAATATATGTTGCAAACTCTAGAGTAACCATTAAAAAAGTAAAAAAAAAAACCACACAAGTATAATTAGCATGTAAAGAAAAGTGAGAAAATGAAATCATTGAAATGCTCTATTACAACCACCAAAGGCAGAAAAAGAGTGAAAGACAAAAATAGGAACAAAGAACCAGGGCAGCAAATAGAAAATAGCAACAAATGTGGTAGATATTAATTCAACTATATCAATGACCGCTATGAATATTAATGGTCTTAATCCACTATTTAAAAGACAGAAATTCTTAGAGTGAATGAAAACACAAGACCCAACTGTATGTTGTCTACAAAAAAGTCAGTTTAAATATAGACACATATAGGTTAAAAATAGAGGCATAGAGAGTAATATACCATGCTAACTTAATTAAAAGAAAGTGGGAGTAGCTATATTAATTTCAGACAGAGCAGATTTCAAAGCAAGAAAAGGTATTAGGGATAAAGAAGGGCACTATATAATAATAAAGGGGTCAGTTCTCCACAAAGACATAACAATCCTTAACCTGTATACATCTAACTACAAAGCATCAAACTATGGGAGGCAAGAATGGATAGAACTGCAAGGAGAAACAGGTGAATCCACTATCATAGTTGGAGACTTCAACACTCCTCTATTATAAATGGACAGATCCAGAGGCAGAAAATCAGTAAGGATATAGTTGAACTCAACAACACATTAATCAACTGGATATGATGAACATCTATAAACTACTTTATTCAGCAGTATCAGGAGATACATTCTTTTCAAGCTTACATGGAATATTTGCCAAGGAAGACCACATTCTGGGCTATAAAACACACCTTAACAAATTTAAAAGAGTAGAAATTATACAATATCTGCCCTTAGATTGTAATGGAATTAAACTAGAAATCAATAACAGAAAGATAACTGGAAAATCCCAAAAACATGCAGATTAAATAACACACTTTCAAATAACACATAAGTCAAAGAAGATATCTCAAGAGAAATTTTAAAATATTTTGAACTAAGTGGAAATGAAAACACAAGTTATCAAAATTTTGGGGATGCAGCAAAAGTAACGCTTAGAGGAAAATATATAGCATTGAATGCAAATATTAGAAAAGAAAGAAGATCTAAAATCAATAATCTAAGTTTTCATTTTAGATCACCAGAAAAAGAAGAGCTAATTCAATGTAAAGTAAGCAGAAGAAAATAAATAATAAGAATTAGACAAAAAATCAATGAAATTGAAAACAGGAAGTCAATAGATAAAATCAATAGAGAAAAAATCTGGTTCTTTAAAAAGTTCAATACAATTGATAAGAACCTAGCCAGGCTAACTAAAAAGAAGGAGGGAGGGAGAGAAAGAGGGAGACAGACAGTAAGAGAGAGAGAGAGAGAGAGAGAACACCAATGATCAATATAAGAAACAAAAGAGGGGGACATCAACATAGATCATATAAACATTAAAAAGATAATCAAGGAATACTATGAACAACTCTATCCCCACATTTGGTAACCTAGATGAAATGGACCAATTCCTTGAAAGACACAATTTGCCAAAATTCACATAAGAAATAAACAACTTGAATAGACCTATATATATTAAAGAAATTGAATCAATAATTAACCTTTCAAAGCACAAAGCACCAGGATCAGATGTGTTCATTGGTGAATTCTGCCACACATTTTAAAAGAAAATGATACCATTTCTCCACAATCTCTTTCAGAGGATAGAAGGAGAAGAGATACTAACTCATTTTATGAGGCCAGCATTACCTTAATACCAAAACTAGACAAAGACTACGAGAAAAGAAAACCACAAACCAATACTTCTCATGAACATAGACGCAAAAATCCTCAACAAAATATTAGAAAATAAAATCTAACATTGTATGAAAAAATTATACACCACAAGCAAATGGGATTTATCCTGGATATGCAAGGCTGGTTCAACATTATAAAATCAATTAATGTAATCTATCGCATAAACAGTCTGAAAAATCACATAATCATGTTAATACATGCAGAAAAGGGCATTTGATAAAATCTAATACCCATTCATGACAAGAACTCTCAGTAAACTAGGAATAAAGGGGGACCTTTCTAAACTTGATAAAGAATACCTACAAAAAAACACCTATGGCTTACATCATAATTAATGGTGAAAAAGTTGAAGCATTCTTGCTAAGATCAAGAACAGGGGAAGGATATCCCTCCCCTCTCATCACTCCTTTTTGGTATCAAACTGGAAGTCCTAGCTTATGCAATAAAAAAAAAAGAGGAAATAAAGGTTATACAGATTGGGAAGGAACAAATAAAACTATCTTTGTTCACAGATGACATGACTGTCTGTATAAAAAAATTCAAAAAATTCAACAAAAATACTCCTGAACTAATAAGCAATTATAGCAAGATTGCAGGATACAAGATTAATACAGAAAAGTCAACAGTTTTTCTATACACCAGCAATGAACAAGTGGAATTTAAACTAAAAACACAACACCATTTACATTAGCACCAAAAAATGAAAAATACTTTGGCATAGATCTAACAAAAATATGTACAGGAGCTACATGAAGAAAATCACAACATTCTAATGAACAAAATCAAATAACTAAATAAATAGGGAGCTATTTCATGTTCATGGATAAGAAGGCTCAATATTGTAAAGATGCCAGTTCTTCCCAACTTAATCTATAGATTCAATGCAATCCCAATCAAAATTCCTGTAAGTTTTTTGAATATCTTCTAACACATTCTAGAGTTTATATGGAGAGACAAAAGACCCAGTGTGGCCAACACAATATTGAAGGATAAGAATAAAGTTGGAGGACTGACACTATCTGACTTCAAGACTTTATATAAAGCTATAGTAATCAAGACAGTGTGGTTTTGGCAAAATAACAGATAAATAGATCAATGGAAGAGAATAGGGAACCCAGAAATAGACACACATAAATATAGTCAACTAATCTTTTACAATGGAGCAAAGTTAGTCTTTTCAACAAAAAGTACTGGAACTGTGTGGACATGCACACACACACACACACACACACACACATACATCTAGACACAGATCTTACACCCTTCACAAAAATTAACTCCAAATAGATCATAGACCTAAATGTAAAGACCAAAACTATTAAACTCCTAGAAGATGGAAGAAACCTAGGTGACTGTGGTATGGGGATGACTTTTTAGATATAACACCAAAAGCAGGATCCTGAAAGAACTAATTGATAAGCTGGACTTCATTAAAATTAAAAACCTTTACTATGCCAAAGACAGTGTCAAGCGAATGAAAAGATAAGCTACAGACTTGAAAATATTTACAGAATACACATCATATAAAGAACTGTTACTCAAAATATTCAAGGAACTCAACAAGAAAAGAACAACCCAATAAACAGGTCAAAGACCTTAGCAATACCTCAGTAAAGAAGATACATAGCTGGCAAATATGCATATGATGCTCCACATTATACATCATCGGAAAAATGCAAATTAAAACAATAATGAGATATTACTACATACCTATTAAATGGCCAAAATCTGGAACACTGACAACAACAAATGCTGGTGAGAATGTGGAGCAGCAGAACTCTCATTCATTGCTGGCAGGAAAGCAAAATGGTAAAGCCACTTTGGAGGATAGTTTAGTGGTTTCTTACCAAACTAAACATATCTTTACCGTATAAACCAGCAGCTGTACTCTTTGGTGTTTACCCAAAGGAGTCGAAAACTTATGTCCACACAAAAACCTGCACATGGTTTCTTATAGCAGCTTTGTTCATGATCACCAAAACTTGGAAGCAAGATGTCTTGGAAGCAAGAATAAATAAATAAATAAATAAATAAACAAATAAATAAACAAACATGTTGAGAATGGAATATTATTCAGTGCTAACAAGAAATGAACTATCAAGCTATGAAAAGACATGAAGGAACCCTAAATGCATATTACTAAGTAAAATAAGCCAATCTGAAAAGGCTACATACTGTATGATTCCAACTATATGACACTGTGGAAAAGCCAAAACTATAGGGATAATAGAAAGATCAGTGGTTGTAAGGGGCTGGTGGAGTGGAGGAGGAACAGGTGGAGCACAAAAGATTTTTAGAGCAAAGAAAATACTCTGTGATACATGTCATTATACACTTGTTGAAATCCATAGAAGGTGTAACACCAAGAGTGAACCCTAATGTAACTGTTGACTTTGAGTGATTATGATGTGTCAGTGTTCATAAATTGTAACAGATGTACCACTCTGTTGGGGGTGTTGATAATGGGGGAGGCTATGCATATGTGGGAGCAGAGTATATAGGAAATCTCTGTAATTCCCTTGGAATTTTGCTGCAAACCTAAAACTGTTAAAAAAAAAAAAAAGATCTTAAAAAAAAGGGCTGGGGCTGGGCGTGGTGGTTCTTGCCTGTAATCCCAGCACTTTTGGAGGCCGAGGTGGGTGGATCACTTGAGCTCAGGAGTTTGAGACCAGCCTGGCCAACCCAGTGAAACCCTGTCTCTTCCAAAAATACAAAAAATTAGCTAGGCATGGTTGCGAGTGCCTGTGGGCTCAGCTATTCAGAAGGCCGAGGCAGGAGGATCACTTGAGCCTGGGAGGCGGAGGTTGTAGTGAGCTGAGATCACACCACTGCACTCCAGCCTGGGCGACAGAGACCCTGTCTTAGAAAAAAATAAATAAATAAATAAAAATAAGGGCTGCGTGTGGTGGCTCACACTTGTAATCCTAGCACCTTGGCAGGCCAAGGCATGAAGATTGCTTGAGGTCAGAGGTTTGAGACCTGCTTGGAAAAAATAGTGAGATTTTTGTTTCTATTAAAATAAAAAAATAGCCAGGTATGGTGGATTGCTTGAACCCAGGAGTTCAAGGATACAGTGAGCTATAATTGTGCCACTGCATCCCAGCCTGGGTGACAGAGTGAGATCCTGTCTCAAGCAAACAAACAAACAAACAAAAAATAACTGTGTCCTTTTGTTGGTTTTAGTTTACATGGCTAATGATATGGGTACATTTTCATGTAGTTCCTTGGCTATTTGAATTTCCTCTTTTGTGAAGTTCCTATTGAAGTTTTTTTGTCCATTTTTGCATTGTCTTCCCTTATTTTCTTATTGATTCATCAGGAGTTTTTCACTCTCTTAATTATATCTTTTGATGAACAAAATTAAAATTATGTGGTCAGATTTATCAATCTTTTTTGCCTAAAACTGCGCTGTTGCTGAATTTTCCGGTGGTTTGGTTTCCTTCCTGCAATCTCTGTGGCTGCCTCCTAATGGATGCACCCGCTCACTCCAGTAGGCAGAATGGCCTCAAGAGGTCAGACCACAGGCTTCCAGGGATCCGCCAGGACCTCTGAACCTATAGCTTCATTCCTCCTCATTTTCCCAGTCCCATGGAGCTGTTCACTCCTCAAAGCAATGGGAAAGTGCCTGGTGACCCATTCTTGCCACATGGACTGTGTGATCCGGTAGCGGCTGCATGCTGTCTCTGGCCTCTGTCCCTGGGAAGATGCTGCTGGTGTGGCTGGGAACGTACTTTCCCTCCTTCGCTTTTCTTCTCACCTCTTTCAGGCAGTGCCCACTCACACTTGAGTTTTTCTTGGTCCCCACTCCCACCCTGAGCTTGGGTTAGGACCCCCTTGTTGGTCTTCCTGTGGTGCCTACTCTCTACCATTATCACTGCCCTGACCACAGTTCATGCCCAGTGTTAGTGTCTTAAAAAAAGAGTAAACATCTTAACACTCGACACTGTGTGCTCCATGAGGACCAGGGCAGCCAACTAATCCAGCACAGCGAGCACCCAATAACTGCTTGTTGATCTGGACATGAACACTGACTAAAAAGCATTGTCCAGGTCTTTAGCTTAGTGAGTTCTGTTGGCTGACTACATTTTAAAGATGTCTGTTGGTTTCTTAATAAGGTGAGAACTTGCTCTTCTTACCATTAACTCATATTAGGATTTCTTTCCAGCAAGTGGTGGTGAGAGTGGGTGGAGGGTGGCTGAGAGAAACAAGACACTTGAAAATCTGCTAGGAGAAGGAGAGGCCCTGAAAGCCAGCTGTGGATACTGGGTCAAAAGCCATAATCAAATCATCACAAGCAATCTCCGCCCCTTATTCATTTTGGGGAGACTTGCAAAGCCTGGCCAAAGTGAAGAGAGAGCTCCTTGTGTGGTTTGGATGAATCTGAGGCAGCCCCCATGTGGATTCTGTGCTATTCGTGCTGTTTATCTTTTAAAAATAGGGCAGTGGTTACACAGCTGAGGCCCTGAGCCTGCCCAGCTCCCTGCACGACCCTGCCCGCTCCAAGGCTGATAGCACTTCCTTCCTGGCCTCGCGTGGCTTCCTGCACTGGCCTTATCGCCACACAAAACTTGACACTGTACTGGAATGCGCTCAGGGTCTGTAAATGGAAATCTCTTGCTTTCTACATTTACAAACAACTGTCATCTATAAAATGCTTTCTTTATTTCCAGACTTACACTTTCTTTACACTAGTTGGAATGGGGTTCATATGAGATCATTTTCCCTCTCTATCCCTCATTTTCACCTGAAGTTTTAGTCTTTCGTTTTTTGAGCCCAGAAAATAAATAATACACATGGCATCTGTGCAAGCTGCAGTGTTTACAGCAGTTGTGGGGAATGGTTTTCCACATACAGTGAATTATACTTTATGCCATTTCCTTCATTTTATTACATGCCTGCTGTGAAGAAACAGGGTAGGTAGAGGGCTGTGAATGATGTCATGTGAACAGACACACGTTTAGTACCGACATCTTTGGCATTCTTTGCAAATTTTAAGCATTTCAGTGATTAAGAAAGCTTTTTTGGGCTGGGCGTGGTTGCTCACACCTATAATCCCAGCACTTTGGGAGGTCGAGGTGGGTGAATCATTTGAGGTCAGGAGTTCTAGACCAGCCTGGCCAACATGACAAAATCTTGTCTCTAGTAAAAAAAATACAAAAATTAGCCGGGTGTGGTGGTGCACACCTGTAATCCCAACTACTGGGGGAGGCTGAGGCAGGAGAATTGCTTGAACCTAGGAGACTGAGGTGAGCCAAAATCGAGCCACTGCGTTCCAGCCTGGGTGACAGAGCAAGACTCTGTCCCAAAAAAAGAAAAGAAAAGAAAGAAAAGAAAAGAAACGAAAAGAAAAGTAAAGAAAGCTTTTTTGTTTCTCATCATCTGAGATCTGCTGCTGCTGTACTACTTTCTCTCTCTCATACAACTTCAAAGTGGACATTAGGTAAACATCACGTTGAAAATTAACATATGGAGTGCCAAATTCATTTAAGAGAAGATGGGGCTCACAAAATATTTAAAGCTTATCTGTCTGAGCTCTTTAATATTCATGAAGACAATGCAACAAGAAGAGTTTCAGAGAAATAGCGCATGTGCTGTTCTCTGCTTTGCAGTGTAGTAAATTAAAAGCTATGTTGAAAATAATTTAAAATTTGGTATGGTCCTGATCTGGAAAATTCAAGGGGTTAATGAAAGGGAAAAGTAGCTTAAACGAGATTTCTGGGAGTGTCTCGGCTTTCTGAATGCAGTTGCCTTTCATGAGCTCATGAACCTTCTTAAGATATTATGATCTTTTACCCAGGCAAGGGGAATTTCCTCAGATATGATTAAAGAGTGGGCGGGCCATGTCCTCAGAAGTCAGAAGACTTAATATTGGAAACATGAACTCTCTTGGAGCCATTCCCAATTTTATTTCAGAGGAATTCCCCCTTGCAGAACCACTCCCACGATGGAAGGCAGGGATGAAGGAAGCCTTTTGAAATGTATTTATTTTTTAATCTGAAAGTTGAAGAGTTTCCCCTCCCCCCACCATGGAAACTACTAAATTAAGAGTCTGGGTAAACAGTTTGAAGTCTCCTTTTTAGGATGGGTAAAGTAAACAAGTAAAGAGTACTCAAAAATTCTCATTAAAGGTACACAACCATCCTGAGTTATTATTTCCAAGGGAACATTACCTCAGTCGTGGATGGAAGCCTCATGGGTGACGAGAGATCAGGGCTTTTACTTAAAGAACGAGGCAGCTTTCATTAAGCTACTAAGTGTGAATATGAACTCTGCTGTGACACATTAGGAAGAAGTAAAATATGACAGGAAAAATAGCGGGCTTAAGACTGAACTGTGAGGGAAGGCTTCTCTGTGGAGCTGTTTATTGAGGCCGGTGGAGGAGAAGCAGCCCACTGGGGTGGAGCGGAGGGAATGGCCGATATTCCAAGGTAGGAGGGAGTCTGACGGTGAACAGAAGGGACAAACGGCCAGAGCCCAGAGAGTGCAGCCAGGGTGGGAATGAATGAGAGGGCAGGTCGAGAGATAGGCAAGGACTAGATCACCTATGGCCTCTTAGATCATGGTAAAAGTTTTGGATATTATTTTTACTGTGGTAAATACACATAAGACAAAATTTGCCATCTGGACTATTTTTAAGTGTACTGTTCAGTGGCATTAAGTATATTCACATTGTGTGCAAGCATCACCACCTTCCATCTCTAGAACTCTTTCATCTTCCCAAGCTGACTCTCTGTACCCATTAAACACCAACTCCCATTTCCCTCTCCTCGCAGCCCGTGGCAACCACAATTCTACTTTCTGTCTCTATGAATTTGAGTACTCGAGGTACCCCGTGTGGGTAGGATTGTAAAGTATCTGTCTTTTTTGACTGGCTGATTTCGCTCAGCACTATGTCCTCAGCGTTCATCCATGTTGTAGAATGCATCAGAATTTCATTCCTTTTTAAGGTTGAATGATATCCCATTATATGCATATGCCATGTTTTGTTTATCCATTCACCTATTGATGGACTTTTGGATTATTCCCATATTTTGGTTATTATGAACAATGCTGTTACAAACACCGGTGTACAAATACCTGTTTGAGTTGCTGCTTTCAATTCTTTTGGGTATATAATCAGAAATGGAATTTCTGGATCATATGGTAATTCTACATTTTATTTTTTTAGAGTCGCCACGCTGTTTTCCATAGCAGCTGCACATTTTACACTCTCACCAGCAATGTACAGGGGTTCCAGTTGCATCACACCCTTGCCAGCACTTATGATTTTTCCTGATTTTTGTTTTTCTGTAATAGTAATCCTAACGGGTGTGAAGAAGAGTTTGAAATTATTGAGTTAGGAGCCATTGCATGATTTTGACGAGGGAATGACACAATCCCTTTTCTTTTTAAAAAGATCACTCTGGCTGATGGATGGAGAAGAGATTGAAGGGGAGAAGAAAGCAATGGGGCAAACTAATTTTGAGAACATTTTGGTGTCCAGGAAAAGAATGATGATGGTATGACCTATGGTAGTAGTTCTGAAGAAGAGAGGATACAGATTCAAAATATACTTTAGGGTGAGGGGTGGTGGCACATGCCTATAATCCCAGCACTTTGGGAGGCCAAGGCAGTCAGATCACTTGAGGTCAGGAGTTTGAGACCAGCTTGGCCAACATGGTGAAACGCTGTCTCTACTAAAAATACAAAAATCAGCCAGGCATGATGGCGTGCGCCTGTAATCCCAGCTACATGGGAGGCTGAGGCAGGAGAATCACTCGAACCTGGGAAGCGGAGGTTGCAGTGAGCCGAGATCGCGCTACTGCACTCCAGCAGCCTGATGGAGACTAGGGAGGCAGGCACCAAATTTGGCAATCAATGCCCATAAAATATTCAGTGCAAACATCAAGAGACAGAAAATGGGATTGGTAACATGGATACTGAGGAAACCAACTCAGAAAGGTTAAGTAAGTAACTTAAGTTCACACAGCATAAAATGCAAGTGGCAGAGTCAAGAGGCAAACCCAGGACTGTCTGATTACGAAGCCTGGTCTCACCATTTTATGTCACTTCCTTCCAGTCAGAGCCGACCAGTCTCCAGGAATTTGACTGCTGACTGCATTTATCCACTTTGGGAAATCTCTAGTAATAAAAGGGAGACACGCTGAGTAATAAGTGTGAAGTTTAGAACACAAACCTTGCAAGAGCTTTCAAGAATAAATAAAATTCCAACATGGATAGTCTGGGAGGTCACTCTCCCCAGGCTCTGTGGAAGTGGTGTTGGGGAGCATAGACGTTTGGTCCATGACGTACAGTACAGCCCCTTTCCACAATGCTGGAGATGAAGCTGGGTCTCCTGTCTGCGCCTGCATATTCCTATAGCTTCCCTGAGTCCTGTGGATGATGACTGGTGAGACAAATCGTGCAGGAAACAAGTTTAGTTTGAAAAAAAAAAAAACAACAACAAAAAAACCCAACATATTTGGAATGTGATAGACAACAAGTGAATAGACAATCTCACTTAGAAATTGTATTTAATAGAGTTAATAAATTCAGTTGCCTTTTGCTGGGGAGTATTGAACAATTTCATCTCCCCCAAAAGACTCTGGAGTCAAAGGTGGTGTTTAGACTCCGTTACCCGGAGCACTGGTCTCTCATCTGTGTCAGGTACTTGACACAGAGGTATTTTACAGAGGAGGGGTGCTAAGTCACGAGAAGGATGAACAGGAAGAGAAGAGTGATGACAGGCTGGAGGTTAAGAACAGAGATTCCGAAGTTTCACAGTATGAGTAGGAACTCACTGACTAGCTGTATGCTTTGCTAATGCTTCATCCTCTCCAACATTAAGCTTCATCGTCTGTAAAAGGAATCCCGTAATGTCTATGTCTCAGGGATCCTGTGAGGGTGAGGTTAGGCATCGCACATGAAGGGCTTAGCTTAGCAAGTACTAGTTGCTTGTTAATCTTTATTACAATGGCAGTTGAGCATATACTTTACCTATGGAGCACATTTTACCTCTGAGCACCCTAGAGGAAGGAGAGTTTGGCAGTTTAGCAAGGGGGTCAGGGGATGTAGGAGGATGGCTACACAACGTGCACTAAACTCACAATTAGGGAGCACAATCATGCTTTGTTCCGAAATGGCAAGTTTTTTGACAATGTGTCTTTATATCCATTGCTGGGTTTTTTTTGTTGTTTGTTTGTTTTGTTTTGTTTTGTTTTTAAGATGGACTGTCTCTCTGTTGCCTAGGCTGGAGTGTAGTGGCGCGATCTTGGCTCACTGCAACCTCCGCCTCCCGCGTTGAAGCAATTCTCCTGCCTCAGTCTCCTGTGTAGCTGGGATTACAGGTGCCTGCCACCATGCCCAGCTAATTTTTTGTATTTTGAGTAGAGATGGGGTTTCACCATGTTAGCCAGGCTGGTCTCGAACTCCTGACCTCAAGTGATCCTCCCGCCTTGGCCTTCCAAAGTGCTGGGATTACAGGCATGAGCCACCATGCCCAGCCATCATCCATTGCTGTTTTAAAGAGTTAAATACATCACATTATTGGAACAAATTAAAAAAAACACTCCGAATTTTTTTCTACATATATTACTAATAATTAATGACTTCTGAAGCATCAGCTAATTATAGTTTTAAAGGCCTAGAATTCTTTGTAAGGATAGATGGCATTTTTTCTAGAATCTTCCTTTTGGATGGAGGAGAATAAGGCAAAAAAAGCACTGGATTTGGCACTGGGTAGACCTTGGTTGGAATCTTAGCTCTTAGCTGTGTGTCCCCTAGAGAAATGACCTAACCTCTCTGAACCTCCTTCTTCATTTGTATGATGGGGATGATAATATCTCTCTCATGGGATTTTGCAAGGCACGTGAAATGCTTATTACACTGGGTTCATCTTAGGCTATCAATAAATGGTAACTATTAGTAATTTATTAGTAGCTATCTTGAATCTTTCCCCCTTTTTCTCTTTTCCTTTCCTACTATACAGTATGCTTTTTTCAGGTGAAAGGATACAGAAAAAAAACATTATTGAGCACAGGTCATCAAGTTCCCATGGAATCTTTGAGAAATCAGGGATGTCCTTCTTGCTTTTGACACAACTTCATAAAATAACTCTTTGACCAGCTATAACCCTCCTTGATAGAAGTTACAGATGGAAATGACTGATGAGTTTGTTTATATCCAGTACTTGTATGGTTCAGCCTTTTAACCGATTTGCTTTTTTTTTTTTTGTGATGGAGTCTTGCTCTGTCGCCCAGGCTGGAGTGAAGTGGCGCGATCTCGGCTCACTGCAACCTCTGCCTCCTGGGTTCAAGTAATTCTTCTGCCTCAGTCCCGAGTAGCTGGGATTACTACTATAGGTTCATGCCACCATGCCCGGCTAATTTTTGTGTTTTTAGTAGAGATGGCGTTTCACCATATTGGCCAGGCTTGTCTCGAACTCCTGACCTTATGATCTGCCCGCCTCCGCCTCCCAAAGTCCTGGAATTACAGGCATGAGCCATGGCACCCGGCCCTGATTTTCTTTTGAAGAACTACCACAAAAACGCAGTTTCTTTCCCCCTGCTCCTCAGGGGCCACTCCACATTTTAATGAGATTTTTCCTGATTAAGAGCAAAGATGTTCTTTTGCTCAGTCAGTGGCAGTTTGACCTTTCCTGACTCCTCCCTGCGGCCGCAGCACAGTGCCTGACTTCTTCCATGAAAGAGCTGTGGAGCTGGCAGGGCCTAGGTGCTGGTGGAGGGCCCTGCGACTGGACCAGTGGCTGGAGGGAGCAGGAAGGGGTCTGCGATGTAAATGATGGGTCTGAGGTCACCAAGCAATCATCAGGTGGTTAGAAATATGGACTGGGGCTTGTGGAAAGTTCTCATGGAAATATGCCAGAGGCGGTGGTCATTTGCACAGAGGTGGGAGGTAGACTGTGGCATGGACCGACTCACCCACAGGGAGGAAGAGTGTGAGCTTGGATTAGGGAACACTGTGGAGGAAGAACTTTGAGGCTGGTGGCCTTGAAGAGCAGTAGAAGGAACCAAGGAAACTAGCAGCAGGGAGCTCTTAGAGTGTAGACATCCAACAGGAAAAGTGCCCAGGGTTACAATATCCAAGAAAGGCCTGAGTCTTGGGTCAAGGAGTCAGCATTAGAGAGTGCTGAGCAGTTGGGGATGGACGAAAGCTCACGGTGCGGGTTAGCTGTGGAGTTTTTGGTGACTCTTCAAGTACCAGTTTCAGAGCCAGGTGGAGAAATGTCATCCTCCAATTATAGGAAGACAGATGTTAACTTGAGGGATCAGGGAGACAGATGTACTCGAGGGATCAGGGGGTGAAGGAAATCTTTAGAACAGTCTTCAGTTTCAGTTTTTAGAAGAACAAGGATCTGAAGCAAATTAAATTTTATCAAATAATTATCTTTTTGACAATTGGCTGAAATTTAGGCTGCTCTCTGGAGCAGATTATATAAATACAGAGTTTCAGATATACAGAACACTGCTTACACCAAAAAAGCTGCAAAACAACTAAAATGTTTAAGAAACAATATTAAAATTTCTCATGTTTTAACCTGACCTAACACCTAACTAAAATGCTTTTCAACTGCTTTTCTTCAATGCTTTTCTTTATTTTTTTGAGACAAGGTCTTACTCTGTGGCTGAGGCTGGAGTTCAGTGGCACGATCATGGCTCACTGCAGCCTTGACCTCCCAGGCTCAAGTGATCGTCCTGCCTCAGCCTCCTGAGTACCTTGAACTACAGGCGTGTGCCACCATGCCCGGCCACCATGCCCTGGCCTGTCTTGGATATTGTAGAGTCGAGATCTTGCCATGTCTCCTGGACTCAAATGATCCCCCCACCTAAGCCTCCCAAAGTGCTGAGTTTAGAGGGGTGAGCCACCACGCCCAGCTACTTTTTAACTGTTTTCAATCAGCTTCTTGAGTTTTGTTTTCACTGTTTTAAAACTAATTTCAGCCTTCCTGTTTATTGTTTTAAGATTTATTTTAGCTTTTATTCTAAAATAAATTCTAAAATGTACTTACTGGAGTTTGTAGTGCCTGTTAATTTTGGTGCATCTGATGAATGTTAGCTTTCCCACGTGCTGTTAATAACCAACTCTTCTTATAGCCTGTGACACAGCTTATGGAGACAGCCATGGAACTGCCTTGGATAACACAGAGTCAAATTCTAAGAGAATCAGTTTATTCTTTGGTAGAAATCTTAACTTTTGGGGGAATACATTAAAACTTAAAAATCATATCTATTTTACATATTAAACATTAAAAATTAGTCCAGGTAAAGTAGCTCATACCTGTAATCCCAGCACTTTGGGAGGCTGAGGTAGGAGGACCACTTGAGCCAAGGAGTTCAAGACCAGCCTCGGCAATATAGCGAGACCTTGTATCTAAACAAACAAACAAACAAAAAAACTAGCAGGGCACAGTGGCTCATGACTGCAGTTGCAACTACTCAGGAGGCCGAGGGGAAAGGATTGCTTAAGCCCAGGAGGTAGAGGCTGCAGTGAGCCATGATCATACCACTGCACTCCAGCCTGGGCAACAGAGTGAGAGCCTGTTAAAAAAAAAAAAAAAGTTAAAAATTAACATGATGGCAATTATGTTACATTTAATATAATATAAAATTTATTTTAACACTAACCATTATTTTCTGGTTCTCTGGGTTTCAAGTCTAATTTTCTGTCACTAAAGAACCAAATAAGAACCCATTGGTTCTTAGATTTCTAAATTTCCTGAACTGGAATTTTAAAAAATAACATGCTGTGGCTGGTGGCATGGCTCATACCTATAATCTCAGCACTTTTGGAGGCCAAAGTAGGAGTGCTTGAGGCCAGGAGTTTGAGACCAGCCTGGGCGACATAGCAAGACCCCATCTCTCCAAATTAATAGAAAAATTGGCCGGGCATGGTGGCACTTGCATGTGGTCCCAGCTACTCAGGAGGCTGAGATGAAAGGATTGCTTGAGCCTGGGAAGTCGAGGCGGCAGTGCGCCGAGATCCTACCACTGCACTCCAGCCTGGGTGACAAGGCAAGACCCTGTCTCAAAAAAACCAAAAACTCCAAAAAACAAGCAAAACACCCCCAATAAACAAACAAACAAGAACAACAACAAAAAAACATGCTTAAGGGGTGGGTATTGTGCATACACAGAAACAGGCTGGCCAACTTTTAATTTTGCCAACTAAGAGCATTTTTTTTTCAAAAGCTCAATTTATTATCAGCAACAATGGATCAAAGAAATGGCATGATAATACAAAACTATGTGAGAACATTTAGCTGTATGGAATGAAGTAGGTCTATATCTACTGACAAAGATCTCCAGGATAAATTAAGTCTTAAAAAAAGGCAAGGTGCAGAACAATGGATCGGGTGGATCCATCCAATGTGCTCCCAAGAGTGGACTGGGAGAGAGGGAGACTTACTCTTCATTGAATTCCCTTTTACACCTTTTGAAGTTTGTATTGTGTCTTCAAAAATAAATACAGATAAATTTAAAGATTAGCTTTGTGAAAAATTCATTCCAGTGTCTTGTTTTTCATTTGTCTAGGATCAGTAAAAGCTTTGTCCTGAGACGGGTACTAGGCTGCAAACAGGCTTTAAGACCCTCCATCCTAACCCACTTTCCACTTACTTTCAAATGAGTAAGCTCTCAGGCAGAAGGGGCCAGTCTAGCTGTACCTTAGTCCCCTCCCCCTGAGAAAATGACACATTACGGAAACTATTAGTTCTTAAGAGGGGAGTTGCTGTTTCCAAGATTGAAGAGGAGATACACTATTTCCAAAGCTTCACTTCTTTCCCTTTTCTCTATCCTTGTTTATATAGATGGAAAGGTTCATATAAGGAAACATAGCCTCATAGCATTTTCCTTTCAAGGGTGTTTGTAATGTTCGTGTGTGCCAGAATGCCTGCATTTACTAATATGCACTACACATTGTGTTTATTTCTGTTTCATCAAGGTTTTGCCAGATTATGGCCTGTCTGTGCCTGATAGTGGCTGTGTTTGTGTATGAGCACAGGGTCATCTGATAACAAATTGTCACATCATGCGATTAAGCGATGTTTAAAATGGGTGTAAGCCAGAAAGTGGTCTGACTCCCAGACCACTTTTAGAAGGTCCCATCAACAAAAGAAAGTTCAAGGTATCTTGGAAGAGGTCATTGATTACAACCATCTTGATCATTCTGGACTTGTTCCTTCCTGCAGAGACACAATTAAAATAATGTTGTACAGTAGACATTTTTCATTGTTAGAGGAAGGACACTTTTTCAGACATAAATCAATGTAAAATCTATCTCCTCTTCAGAAAGATAAAAATTCATATTTTTAGAAGCTCGCTCAATGAATTGTATGAGAAGTGATGCTTTATTACAAGCATCAGTGTTCAGTTGCTGTTTCTCATGACTTTCACTGCCACATCTGAGGCCACACAGGCAGACTGTGAGCATCCTGGGCCAGGGACGTCATGTCTGTCACTTTCCCATGCCTGGTATAGTTTTGCAGCACACAGTAAGTGCCTAGCACATTTCCGTTGACTGAATGAATGAATGCTTCAAATTAATACTTACTAGCAAAAAATCTTAACAAAACCTTAACCTTTGATTTGTAATACTTATATTATATTTTTGTACTATTACCTAATCTCTGAATTATCAGTGCTATCATCAGCTATAAAACTAAGTTGGTCTGGAAAGTATTGGAAGATAGTTTTGTCTGATAGCTAAAGCTCAGGAAAAAATGTCACCCTAATCATTACTAGTTTTGTGCTTAAGGGAAAATTCCTTGAATTAAGGTTTATTATTGTCATCATTATTTGTCTCAGTAATATGGACATATAAATCACCTTGTAACTGCTTTGAAATTTAATAAAATGAACAAAAGCAGTGCATTTTCTGTTCTCTTCCGTGAAGTCTGGTAATTTTAGTAATCCACTGCCCTATGAGATACAAGGCAACTCTGTTTCCTCTGTAGTCTGTTTTTTCTTCCTTTCTTTCAAAATAACCTGCCATCTTTCCAAAATAAACATGAGGAGGAAATACATGAGTGGGTATGTAATCACCCAGATATTTGGAGCAGCATGCCTCTAAAAAATTGTAAAAATAGAGTAGTCATCAGAAATTTCTTCTGGTTTTACAGAACTTGTTAATGTTATTTTCTTGTCTCTATAAGAATTTTTAAAAGAAACATTTACATTAGTGTAAAAAGTTTGCCCAAGTGAAAATTAAATAGCTATCCACCCAAAACTTATTTTCCCGTATAAGGATAATCTTAGATTTTTAGAAACTCGGAGTGAACGTCATGAAAATAATTATTTTACAGATTTTTTTTTAGCATTTTAGATTTATAATATCGTATTATATTTCAATCTAATATTTATGAGGCCTCATTCTGTGATGATCTTATTACAGTGTTAATTACGTAATTACATTACAGGTCAATCATAATATGTGTATTTCACATTTGTTTTTAGATACTTTGAATTTAAAGGTATTTTTGGGATTTCTTATAATCCTGGAGGGTTTGTGATACATAACAAACATTTAGAAAACAGGGTTGCTTAGAAGACATCATCTAATGTAATGAGTCTGGTGAATGAGTTTACGACTTTTAGCTTATGGTTCAGAAAATACAAAGATCATTTTTCTCTCTCTTGCCGTTTCTCTTGTCCTCCTTTTTTCCCTCCTCATTCTCTTCTTCACCTGTCTCCTTTTCATCTTCAGCAAATATTATTTAGCATCTACTCTCTATGTTGAGTTCAACAACAGTTCAGAGTTTTCAACTGCTGCTCTTGGATCTCAGAGAGGCTGACCTCAGAGTCAGATCCTGCGCTCCTTCTAGATCATTACCATAGACAGAAACAGACCATTTGAAACATGGTACACATTTATTAATAGAGATCCTACTCTTTGGAGTCTGTGATAATTTGTAGGTAGCTAAGCAAAACTTTTTAAGTATACCACCTACCCATCTAAGGAGAGAGTGTTTCCCAAACAATTTAACAGCATCAATAAGATAACAGTGTTTGCTCCTCTCAGGCAAGTCAGCTGCTTTTGCCCAGGCACATACATGCTCAGGAAGCCTGAAGATGCTAATTACAAATCATTCTTAACTTGTCACTAAAGTTGCAAGGAAGCTTACTTGCAAGCAAATCTTTGTAACTATGGGAAAACAGTTTTGAAGGTCTATGGGTAAAGCTAAAACATTAAATTACAAAAAAACAGTTCTTAATCTAGACTAGTTACACCTCAAATTTCAAATTACCCAGACAGTAACACATGGTGTGAGTAGATCTTGTCTTCCCTTTGAGTGTTGATTTATTACAATTCTATCCACTAAAAAGAACCCATTATTGACTCTCCTGTGAGTGAGTCCTCTAGCCTCGGTTCTGGAGAGAGAGCCCATGAGGTCACGGCTGGCCCTTCAGTGGGTGAACAGGGCCAGTTCTGAGGCTGGAGAACTTGACCCCATAGGTGGCATTAGCCATCATTCCTGGAGACTCTTGATCTGAAATGGATGCTCCTTCTCACTGTGGAGCTGGGCCTTGGCTGAGGCTGGAGATGTCCATGACCTGGGAATTCTACATCATGATCCTTTCTCTGAATAGTATAGTTCCGTGGCTCACCTAGCCCAGTCGGTGGAGGTGGCTCAGAAGCTGCCCAGTTCATAAACAAGAAGAAAGAAGAAAGGACAGCACCCCCATATCTGCACGGGCTGTTTCTGTACATATGCCCCTCTGGGTCCTGGTCTGGATGGTTTCCTGTGGGTGGATGACTAACTGGCCCAGCTCAAGTTACTTGGCCTCCTTGGCTGCTCCTTGAGCCATCAGACTCATCCCCAGGAAACGAGCTCATCCACAATCATTATAGCTTTAGTCCATGCATTATGACTAAAGCTCTTGAAGATAAGGAGGAAAAGTTAAAATGCTGAGCCACATTTCTTCTGGGCAGAGCTATGGAGCATTTCAGACTATACCTTGGAATAGGGCAAGGCAAAATGCCTAGCTTTAATTAGAGAGAGAGAGAGAGAGGCTGGCATTGATGGAGCTAATTCTTTCTCGCCAAATTGCTATGTAGGGAAAGTTCAGTGTTAGAACTGAAATCCCAGGCTAAGGAACAGCTTACCTGAATTCACACCAGTAACTCTGGGCAGCTTACTAAACATAGTGCCTCAGTTTGCATATACCTATTAAAATGGGGATAGAAACATTAACACTTCAAAAGGTCCTTCGAAGTTTTCTTTGCTGGATTAAATGAGTTAATATCTCTAAAGTTCTTACAGCAGAGAATCACAAAGTTAGCATTAGATATAGTTCTATTTCTATAAACACAGGCTGTTATCACTGTTATCATCACTAGCCCATGTTTGAATGCAATAACTCTAAGTGACTAAAATAATAGAGAAGGGAAAAAAAAGAAAAGGAAACTTTCTGGTGAGGAGTGAAGGTAACATCATGTTTCCTTTAAATCTCACAATACCTTTGTGAAATAAGTAAACAGCTATAGAATAAGTCTAGGGATGCACTCTGCAGCAGGAGCACTATAGTTAATAATATTGTACAGTCATCTCTCCTTGGGGGATTTGTTCCAGGACCCATGAGGATACCAACATCTGTGAATGTTCAAGCCTCTTATATAAAATGGCATAGTATTTGCATATAACCTATACACATCCCCCATATACTTTATTTATTTTATTTTTTGAGACAGAGTTTCATTCTTGTTGCCCAGGCTGGAGTGCAATGGCATGATCTCACCTCACTGCAACCTCCGCCTCCCGGGTTCTCTTGCCTCAGACTCCCAAGTAGCTGGGATTACAGGTGTGCACCACCACACCCAGCTAATTTTTGTATTTGTAGTAGAGACAGGGTTTCGCCATGTTGATCAGGCTGGTTTCGAACTCCTGACATAAGGCGATCTGCCCACCTCATTCTCCCAAAGTGCTGGGATCACAGGCGTGAGCCACCGTACCTGGCCCTTCCCATATACTTTAAATCATCTCCAGGTTAGTAATAATACCCAATACAATGTAAATAGTGGTTATATTTTCATTTGTATTACTTTTAAATGTTTATTTTTATTTAAAAATGTTTTCTATTTACAATTGGCTGAATCTATGGATGCAGAATGGGAGGATATGGAAGCCAATTATATACTGAAAATATGTGAAGCAAGTAGATTTTAGGCATGCTTAATACAAGAAAAAGAAGGTGATGGATACGTGAGTTTGACTGTAGTAATCATTTCACTATTATATGTATATCAAAACGTCATGCTGTATACTTTAAATATATATAAAATAAATTGAGAATAAGTAAATAATACTATATGAGAGCTGGGAAAAGAGCTAACATTGTGAGTGAACTAACATTTGCTAGGCATTGTGCTAAACCCATTGCAGATTTAGCTAGTTAAATTATTGTAACTCCTAAAGACTTGTGTATTTATTATTTCATTTAAAAAAGTATTTGAGCAGCTTACTTAAATTCATAACACAAAATAATAGACAAAGTAAGAAAATAAGGACCAAGAGAAAAGAAAGCTCAGAGTAGTAAGATAAATACAGTAACGACGATGTATAAGGCCTTAGTATAATAGATGAGGATGCTGAGGTTCCGAGAAGTTCTGCGCATTGTGTGGGATATCCTGCTACGGCGGAGCTGAGCTGGGTGTCATTCCTGACTCTGTGGGCTCTAATGCAGTTTAGAGTGACTTTTCCAGTTTAAATGGAGCCGAGAGAAGGGGAAGAAAGAGAGCTCAGGCAAAAGGGAAATGTAAAACAAGAGAGAAGATGGAAAAGAGGAAAACTAAGTGGTAGAAGAGAAGGAAACAGGAGGTGAAACAACAGCCATGTGACTGTTGGTTTGTAACAGTGGGGGCTGCCTGTAGGGATGCAGTGGCTCAGGGGAGGGTGAGGGGCCGCTGCTCTGGGATCTGGGACTTTCTTCTCCTTGGACAGGCATCACCAGGCCCCTGAGGCTTACCTGCTGGCACTCACAGAACAGCAATCAGCTCTCTAACACAGTGCTAGATGCAGTTCTGGAAATTGAGATTCTGGGCCGCTCTGAATATTTTGAAGTAAAGGAGTGACAAGATTGTACCATTAAGTTCCAGAAGCACAGATATTTCCTGTAAGGAGCCATTTCTTCCACTCCTGGAGAAGCTGGATTCTGGGTCTCAGATGTTCCTGCTTATCTTCATTCAACAGATTCCTGGACCAATTACAGTGTGCCCACCACAGCTGGCCCTTCCTATGGTGGTCCCGCATCTGTGGATGCAACCAATCGCGGAATCGTGGATCAAATGCACTTTAAAAAATCAATAAAACATAAAAACACAACAATAAAAATAATACAAATAGAAACCCAATACAGTATAACAACTACTTACATAACATCTACATTGTCTTAGATATTATAAGTAATCTAGAGATAATTTAACGTATAAGGGAGTTTGTGTGTATCTTATATGCAGGTGCAACCCCATTTTATATCAGGGACTTAAGCTTTGCAGATTTTGGTATCCTCTGGGGTCCTGGAGCCCACCCCTCGGGGATAACGAGGAAGGACTATATTGGCATGTGGAAGGAAGAAGGTTAATAAGGCAGAATCTGGTGGAGAAGACAGACATGGAGCTTACAGCTAAAGTACAGCATAGTAAATGCTTCTCTGAGGATGCACTTCTATCCCTGAGCTCTGGGGGCCCTGGAATGGTGCATCCCACTCTGGCTGGGGCCAGAAGCCAAGGCTTTAAGAGAGGAGGGCACACATAGCTGGCTCAAAGGACCATGTCAGGTGAGGAAGGGAGGGGTGGGAAGCCAGCAGAGAGTTGCGTGAGCCAACATCATGGCCCCAAAGGGGACTGTGAGATCAGTCAGCCAGGTCCGGGACCAGCAAATGGGGAGGTGGAGAGAAGTGAGGAGGAAGACAGATATGAAATGAGGCTAGAAGGTGGGTTCCAGCCACATTGTTAATGATCTTTTACATTAGTTTCTTACATAGACTCTGCTTGCTCCAGCAATGACCATGGCCTGACCACAGTGTACATTTACTTCCTGTAGCCAGCAGGGCCTGAGCTGAGGACTGAAAGGAGCCTGGTGTGATTGTCGCTCCAGCAGCCTGGCTACACAGCCCCTTCTTGGGAGTGTGGGGGACTGCAGCAGGGTCTGAGAGAACTGGTGGGGCCTGGGGAAGCCTCCACGGAGAGGAGGGAGGGCCCAGTGCAAGGAAGGCGTGGCAGTGAAGGGACACTTGAATTTGAGGCATGATTGTTAGGATTTGGAGCGGGGCTGACACGTGGTGTTACAGCTTGGGAGACCGACTAGGTAGTGACTATACACATTTCTGTTAAATTGAAGAATCTAAGCTTACTATAGGATGAAAACCATTTCCCAAGAACTCCAGTTCTGTTTTAAAATAGTCTAACTTCGCTTGTGTTCTGGAGAAGCATGCGGCACACTGCGCAAGCTACCACCATGGCGCTGCCATCACCTGTTAGCCATATCATCTCTGGCAAATCACCCGCTCCAGAAGCTCTCACTCCTTATCTACAAAACCTGGATAATATCGAGTCCCACAGACTTGAGAATCCCGTTTATAGTTTATGTGAGTGAGGGCTGACCGTGTGTTAGTGCCCTGTGACTAGCAGAGAGAGGTCCGGTTAGCACGTGGCTCTGCCCTCCTCTCCCCTCAGCCCTTCCTCTTCCTCTCCCTTCTTCCCTCTCTTCTCCTTCCTCCTCCTCTTCCTCTTCCTCACTGTTCTCCATCTTCTCCTCCCCTCTGCTTCCTTCTCCTCTTCTTCCTCTTCCTCTCCTCCTTCGTCTTCCTCTGCTTTTTCTTCTTTTCCATAGCTAGATTCTGCAATTCAGAGAAACTAGAATTTGCATTTGTTTTCTTGTGAATAAGAAAAGACAAGTAAGCAATTTCTGGACTTTTATTTGTGGGTCTAGAATTTAGCTAACTGAATAAATAGATATTTAAGTTTTAATATTTAAAACCACTGTTACAGTATCCTTTTGTCTCAATTGGTCTAAGTATTTCGAGTTCCCATCTTCTCATCAATTTCAGATAATCAGGATTTGGTATTTGGGAAGTGCTGATGGCCCATGTGCAGTGAGAACTCCCGTGTGACTGTGTGACCATGTGACCGTGCACAGAGGCGGGCTCCCCGCCTTCTCATGCTACACGTAGTCAGGTACTGGCCGCTCCCCCAGGCCTTCCCTGCTCCCCTGGCCCCAGCCTTCCTGGGCTTCCATCCCACCAGAGCTGGAACCCAGGGTTCCCACAAGCCTCACTCCACGTACAGAGCTTGTAGTGAGGTAGGCTGGTCTCTCTCCTTGACTAGACTGGATTTCAAAATCAGGGCCCTTGTTCTAGCCATGGTTTTATTCTCTCTTCTAACACAAGATCTGGCACAAAGCAACCACTGAGCAACTGAAGGGAAAGTGTGAGTGTGTGTGTGTGTGTGTGTGTGTGAGGCATGTGGGTGGAGAGGAGGCTGTTGCTAACTCTTGTCTTCAAGAAGAGACTGTGGACCATGTGCAACCAGGGTTACTTGTCAGACATGTGCAGAGGAGACAAAGCCTTGGGAGGGATTTGTCACCTCATTAGCACAGGCTCATCTCCCAAGTTTTTTCTAGCAAAACTTCGCCACAGATATCTCACCCCAGTTCTGGAGCTCTTTTAAGGTGGAGAGAGCACTGAGCTACCAGATGCTCCTCCCCTGCCAGCGTGGACCAGCAGCACCATATTCTGTGCACCCTTGATGGAGTCTAAACTGTTGGCATGGGAGATGATTTGTATTTTAACAGGCACGCTGAAGAAATGTGTGGGGCTGGGCACGGTGGGGAGATGGAGCAGTCCCTGGGCCTCTTTAGGGGCCAGAGTGTGATCATCTGCCCTGTGACTGAGGCTCAGCACTCCTTCGTCCCTTTCTTTTTTTTCTTTTTCTTTTTTTTTGAGATGGAGTCTCACTCTGTCACCCAGGCTGGTGTGCAGTGGTGCGATCTCAGCTCACTGCAACCTTTTCCTCCTGGGTTCAAGAGATTCTTCTGCCTCAGCCTCCTGAGTAGCTGGGATTACAGGCGCCTGCCACCACACACAGCTAATTTTTGTATTTTTAATAGAGACGGGGTTTCACCATGTTGGCCAGGCTGGTCTCGAACTCCTGACCTCAAGTGATCTGCCCACCTTGGCCTCCAAAGTCCTGGGATTATAGGCGTGAGCCACCGCGCCTGGCTCCTTGGTCCCTTTCCTTGGCTTCTCTGTACAAGTCTGCTCAGCTTGGATATTGTCTCGGAAACAAGAGAGAGGGGAACATCCCAGGCTGGTGCTGATGCCGCTCCCCCTGGGAACGGCTTTATCTCTGTAGTTTCTAGCACGTAGGCTTTGTAAATAAAACAGGGTCTGGACTTCCCTGCTTTGTTAGTGCAAGCTATCATCGCGGCTTGGAGCCGCCTGGCCTTTATGTCAAAGACATTTGGTTATGTGCCGTCTAGAAGCTACCTCCTACCCAGGGAGGGAGGCCAGCTTGCCTGGTGGTGGTGTCTGCAAGGTGGGCCACAGTTTATCTTGTCTTCTCTTTTGATTTTTTGGCCTGATGGCAATTTGGTATTTTAAAACAAAGTTATAGGCCAAATTCCCACAAACTGAGAGATGCTAAATTGCTTCCAGTCTTCTGGTAAATTACCATGTTTCCCATTGCCCTTGGAATGATCTTCTAAACACTCTGTTCTATAATCAGGATATTTATTAGGTGTTGTCCACCTCAGATCAGATATAACTCCCAGAGAAAAAAAGGACTGAACAAAGTGTCACCTCCAAGCAGGAAAGAATAAAATACCCATTTCTTTAAAAAATTGTGGTAAAATGCACATCACATAACATTGACATTCCTCACTTAATTATTTCTAAGTATACAACTCAGTGGTGCTTCGTAAATTTGCAATGTTGGGTGTCCATCACCACTGTCTAATTCCAGAACATCATTTCCATCACTTCACATATTCTCTTCTTTTTAAAAGCTAGGATTTTGTCTACCTAGTAAAGATACCAAAACAATTTCAATCAACCAGTGATCAGCAGCAATTAGTTCATAAAATGTCTACATTATATATTGACCATCCACAAGAAACTGTAATTTGATTGAGTTCTTGGGATGGAACATTATGAAGAGATTTTGCAAAATATACATCTATATAAGCTATAGGTATGGATAGATAAATATTTAAGAAAATAAGTAGATAAATGCTTATATGGATTAAATATATTTGGAATAATATTTATAAAAAGATGGGCAGATTTTTTTGACTGTATTAAAATTTCAGAAATTTTCCTTATTTGAAGGGAAGATTAAAAATTTGACATGTAGAATATTTTGAAGAAATACAATTTTATTGTTTTTATGTTCATAGAGTAATTCTACTAATAAAAAAGGGAAGGTCAGAATATATTTGATTATTTTACTTAATAAACATAAATGATAGGGAGATGGGGAGATATAGATATGTAGTAATATTGTTTATCTTGATTACCCAATAAGAAGATAAAAATCACAAGTAATGATCACATTGATGATTTTATAGCAATATTTATATATGATGACTTTTCTAAGAGCTTTCCCTGGTTATCGACTCTACTTTTAAACAGGAGTTTTTCGGGTTACTTTAAAAATTTTCCTTAGCAAATACTGTCGCAGGAAATGCAAAGTTAAATTTCCTTGAATCATGACAAATTCCAAGTTGTTAGAGCCCTTACACATCACTATATCAGCAATTATTCTTCAGCCACTCTCATTAACTGGTAGCTTTGTAGCAAGATTGTCTCATTCAATAGAGACTGCTCTTTCTTTCTAGGCTAGTTAACTCTGTAACTAGCAGTAATGTGTGTCAATATTTCTAAAAAAGTGACATGTTAAGGAAGTTATGTAAGTCACAATTTGTTTTCTACAGAGTATTGGATATCTATTATTGGATATGCCTTTGCACATTAACCTTGCCTGTCTCAGAAACCATCGTTCTATAATTCAGGGATGACCTCTTGATCATTTCCTTCCCTATTTTTTCTAAGTGGTAGGTCTTTTCTCCAAATTTCCATTACCTTATTTTTGGATCTCTAAATGTACCTCTTTTGTTTATCATTCCCAGGTCTTCTATAATTGAACTGTGGCATTATGTTTTGTTAATGGGGACTGTCTATAATATCACAAAGCATGTATACATATATATCTGGAGCAAATGAAAGAGTCAACCAAACTGTATAATGGATGCAAGAATTTTTCTTATGTTATTCTCTGTATATTTCTCGCTATTATTTCATTATTTTAAAAATATTTGTAAAAGTCACTCATCTAAGTCCATAAGTCAGAGACTTTAGGCTTCTTCTTCTTTTTTTTTTTTTTTTCAGAGTCTTGCTTTGTCACTCAGGCTGGAGTGCAGTGGCACAATCATGGCTCCCTGCAGCTTCGACCTCCTGGGCTCAGGTAATCCTTCCACCTCAGCCTTTCGAGTAGCTGAAGCTACAGGCACATGCCATCGTGTCTGGCTAACTTTTCTATTTTTTGTAGAGATGGGGTTTCTCCATGTTGCCCAGGCTGGTCTTGAACTCCTGGGTTCAAGTGATTCACCTGCCTCAATCTCCCAAAGTTGCCGGGATTTCAGGCATGAGCTCCAGGGCCCAGCCAGATTTTTTATAATAAATTAGAATTGAGCCTCAACTTCATTATTTATTTATTTATTTATTTTTGAGACAGAGTCTTGCTTTGTCACACAGGTTAGAGTACAATGGCATGATCTCGGCTCACTGCAACCTCTGCCTCCTGGGTTCAAGCGATTCTCCTGCCTCAGCCTCCCAAGTAGCTGGGACTACAGGCGCCTGCCGCCATGCCCAGCTAATTTTTGTATTTTTAGTAGAGACAGGGTTTCACTACGTTGGTCAGGCTGGTCTCGAACTCCTGACCTCAGGTGATCCACCCACCTCGGCCTCCCAAAGTGCTGAAATTACAGGTGTGAGCCACTGCGCCCGGCCAACTTCATTATTTCTGAAGTTCAAATTTTAACTGCCTTCATGTTCCTGGTTTACTGGCAATGCCATCATACAAAAGAATTTTCCAAGTTCATAAATAGTTGTGGTTTTAGCTTTAAGTACAGTGGGTTAAACACACACCTTTTCTTATTTCCTCTCGTTCCTCCTTGGAACTTCCAACCCTTCCAACTTCATCTCCCTGTAGGAAGACTTCCCCCACAACCTGAACCTCACCTTACCCTTTACTCTCAATTTTCTTTCAGTTTCAACAATTACTCAGGCTACTTCCTTGGGTTTTCAAAGATGTGCCTTGAGTGTGAAATGGAGGTAATAATCAAAATGAGCTCCTATATTTATGAGGAGAATTAAAGAAACTAATGTATATAAAGTGCTAAGCATAGTTTCTGCCCTATGGCCTGCTCTCCCTAACGGTAGCTCTCATTTAACCACTCAAGGGCAGGCACATCATATTACCTTACAAATTAGTTCTCAAAGGGAGCTTTGCTAACTTGGTATGGAAGTTCCAAAGACAGGTCATAATGAAAAGGAGAGTTAGGGTGACTAGCAGATAAAATCTGTGACTATCAACTCTTCATTCTGAAATAACCCAGAAAAGACAAAAGTGAGACTTCAGTGAAAGGCAACAAACTGATGAGAGTTGGGCAATTCTCTCTTTTTTTAAATTGTGGTAAAATAAAATTCATCATTTTAGCCATTTTTAAGTTTACAGTTTAATAACATTGAGTACATTCATGTTTTGCAAACCTCACCACCATCCCTCTTCAGAATTTTTCATCTTACCAAACTGAAATTCCACCTCCATTAAACAACTCCCTAGTCCTCCCTCCCCCTGCCCTATAACCACCATTCTACTTTCTATGTCTATGAATCTGACTCCTCTTAGTGCCTTATGTAAGTGCAATTACACATTATTTGTCCTTTTGTGACTGATCTATTTCATTTATCCTAATGTCTTCAAGGTTCATGTGTGTTATAGCTTGTGTCAGAATTTCCTTCCTTTTCAAGGTTGAATAATATTCTATTGAACGTGTATGCCACATTTTGCTTCTTCATTTATTCATCAATGGACATTTGAGTTGCTTCTACCTTTAGGCTACTGCGAATAATGCTGCTATGAACATGGGTTGATACTGATATCTGTTTGAATCTCTACTTTCAGTTCTTTTGGGTATATACCCAGAAGTGGAATTGCTGGCTCACATGGTAATTCTATGTTTAATTTTTTGAGGAATTGTCATACTGTTTTCTATAGGGGCCGCACCATTTTACATTCCCATCAGTAAGATGTAAGGTTTCCTATTTCTCCACATCCTTACCAACACTTTTGTCAAGTCTCTTGACTTTTAAGTGTCTCAGGATACACAAGTGATGGGTATTAAGAGGACTATGAATCACCAATTGTTAACATGTGAGAATGTTGAGGTACTATGAAAAAATCGTCAAAGATAGCTTGATAATTGTCAAAGAAAACACATGGGAATCAGTAAGTTGTGGTGATTCCAAGCCCAGCTTTGTAATCAAATCACACGTATCCTTGAATTCTTGATTTCTGGCATGGCACCTGCTAGCTGTGGAACTTTGGGGAAGTGTTGTGACTTTTCTGAACTTCAGTTTACTTATGCATAGAAGGAGGATCATGGTACTTAGCTTGTGGGGTTGTTAAGGGATTTAAATAGAGAACCATGGTGGAATACCTAACAGTGCTGCGCAATAGAACTCTGAAAATGGCAGTTTTTGTTACTTTTTTGGAGTTTCTTCTTCTTAATAAGATGATTAACTAAGAATGCCATCTTTTGTTAGATCAGTCACTACAAACTTGAAATGCTCCTTCATTCTAGAAATGCGTACATACACAGAAGCTTCAAACATTTCATTTTTATCTGATCTGGAAGATGAGAATTTGATGTAAGATTAGAGTAGTTCCAGGAAACAAGAAGTTAGAAGTTAATATGGTCTAAAGACAGACAGGTAACACTTTACGGCAGTTAGATAGATGGAATATTGCTCAATGATAATGGTTTGGAAGCCCCCACAAAAATCTACGATGCCTCTGGAAAAAGATCTGGATCTATTTATTTAATCATTTCTTCCTGTTGTGGTTGGCAAAAGATCTGGAGTTAGATGGAAAGAGAGATCATCCAGGCAAGACATGAGACAGCTTAACTAACCCAAGGAAAGACACTTAATGATAGACTCCAGTGGAAAGAAAACTCAAAATTCCTGAATAGCAAGAACAGAACATTAATTCTCCTTTTCTTAAGATTGTTATTAGTTTTTTGGATGTTACAAGAATTATGTAGGCTGAGCATGTTGTCTCACGCCTGTAATCCCAACACTTTTGGAGGCTGAGACGGGTGGATCGCTTGAGCCCAGGAGTTGGAGACCAACCTGGGCAACACGGTGAAACCCTGTCTCTATTAAGAATACAAAAAATTAACTGGGTGTGGTGGTGCATACCTGTAGTCCCAGCTACTCGTGAGGTTGGGTGGGAGGATCTCTTGAGTCCCAGAGGTTGAGGCTGCAGTGAGCCAAAATCATGCCACTGCACTCCAGCCCAGGGGACAAAGTGAGACCCTATCTCAAAAAAAAAAAAAAAAAAAAAAAGAAGAAGAATTATGAAAAAAGAAAAAGGCTTCTCCACACGAAGAAATAGAGATAATAATTACCTGAATTATATATCTAAGTAGTAAATGATAGACCCGACAAAAGAAATCAAATTTTCAGTTCCCTTGGTCGGGTGCAGTGGCTCATGCCTGTAATCCCAGCACTTTGGGAGGCCGAGGTGGGTGGATCACTTGAGGCCAGGAGTTCAAGACCAACCTGGCCAACATGTTGAAACCCTATCTCTACTAAAAATACAAAAATTAGCTGGACATGGTGGTGCGTGCCTGTAATCCCAGCTACTCTGGTGGCTGAGGCAAAAGAATCACTTGAACTTGGGAGGTGGAAGCTGCAGTGAGTCGAGATGGCACCACTGCACTCCAGCCTGGGCGACAGAGATCTGAGACAAACACTTAGTGTTTTTCTTTCATGTAGGACTTGATCGTATATTTTACATAATGCATATGAATTTTGTACATAAGTAAGACAAAATTCCATTTTCTAAATTGCATAATATTGTGGAAAATCGCTATGGAATACCAATAGGAATTCTCTTTAAAACCTCTTCAAGTTTGTTATTTATATACTCAAACACAGCTATGCATGTACATGCATGTACACCATTGCTCTTCCCATAGACGTTAGGAAAGAAACTCGTATTATAACAAAATCTCTGTGATGTCCATTTTCCATCTTGATTTTTGGAACTATGTTTCAAAAAACTCTTGTTTTCTCTTTGATACAATGAAAGTACAAATTTAAAAAGAAATTTTTTTTTTTTTTTTTAGACAGAGTCTTGCTCTGTCACCTAGGCTGGAGTGCAATGGCATGATCTCAGCTCACTGCAACCTCTGCCTCCCAGGTTCAAGCAATTCTCCTGTCTCAGCCTCTCGAGTTGCTGGGATTACAGGCATGCGCCACCACACCCGGCTAATTTTTGTATTTTTTAAGAAAGCTGGAGGAAGATCTTATTGTGAGAAAGGAGAGAGGTAGAGATTGAAATTCGTTTACCAGAACCAAAGGTGTTGTTGGTTTATGTCTTTAAAGCAGGGTTTCCAGCTCTAAAAGTTACCTGAACTTCGCTGATATAGAATCTTCGTGAAATTCCTGAAAGGTAACTCAAGCCAACTCAGTGCCCAACTTTTGATGACATGAAGCACACCTACAATAAGTGGAGGTCTCGCTGACCCAGTGGAAAGCTACAGATTGATACTTCTTTTGTTGAACAGCCTGTGATTTCATTAATTTCATTGACAGTCATTCTGAGTGAAATTTATGAAGGCCACAAAGTAGAGTTAGTGAACCGCATGAAATGTCAGCGTGCCCACTTTGAGCTTGGCCATCTCATTTCTCTCTTTCCCCTCCACCCATACTGTTTGCTTTGGCAGGTGACTATTTTTCCAGTCTAATTTATAACGTTTCAACATTTTGCCATGACCTCACTTGAGCTTCATTTCTGACAGCCTTGGAAGGACTTTAATTCCACTCACCACCAGGTATGTGTTCCTAGTAGGCGGACATTTTGTTTTTCATGTAGGCACCAAACCAAAAAAAAAGGGAAAAAGGTCTGAGAGGCAGCACCTACAAAACCACTTTCCTGAGTTTGACATCGGATGGACTCTTTAACAGTTCATGATCACACTAAGCAATTGCTTTTTCTGCTCATTATCTGTTTCCTTCTCCTTTAATAAGCCAGCATTCTGCTCTCAGACTTGACCCATCTGCAGATTGTGTTTTTCTAGCCCCGGTCCTGTATTGGGCTAGGTTCACCAAAACTCAGGAGACCCAGTCTGGGGGCTTTCACTGGGGTGGTTGAGAGAAAGGCACCGTCACCTTTTCAGCCAGGTCTGCAGTTGTGAGTCATAATCTTGGAGTTGCTGGAAGCAGCCCCGCCACCGCGAGGGGAGAGCCTATTTGAGAATGAGCCACCAGGGAGGAGAGCAGGCTGTGCCCTGGAGTCCAGGCACCCGCCCCGCACTTCTCCCTGGATGGGCATGAAACGCTGTTTTCCCTCGTGTCAGTTTCAGCTGGATTTTCTGTCATTTGTAATCTGAAAAGTCCTGGCTAATAAAATATTTTTAGAGAAAATTAGTTTATTATCTTTCTGAGATAATTTGAGTACACAGTACTCTAGGGCTGACATCTTAATTTGTGTGTTTAGTAAATGCCTTTTTCCTCCAGTAAAAATGTATCTACAAGGCAAGTTGCATAAACTAAATTATAGGAATTACAACTGAGAGTGTGTCATGATGCCCTGGTACTAATAATAAATGTAAATATTTTTGTTTTGATGAATTTAATGTTTAGGTTAGGTGTCTTAGATATTACACCCAGGTGTAAAGATAAGCATGTATCCATTAATTAAAGTTATTAAATGTGTAAATATTCTTAATTAGATGACTTATCAAAGACAAAAAGAGACAAATGCTATCTAACTGTAACCTGATAAATCAAATCTATTAACATAACAATAGGATAGCCAAAATATGGAAAAAAATTAAAAAATGAATGTATTCAATCTCTCAGAATTTTTTTTTTTTTTTGAAATGGAGTCTTGCTTTGTGGCCCAGGCTGAAGTGCAGTGGCTCCATCTGGGCTTACTGCAACCTCCGCTTCCTGGGTTCAAGCAATTCTCCTGCCTCAGCTTCCCGAGTAGCTGGGATTACAGGTGCTCACCACCACGCCCAGCTAATTTTTGTATTTTAAGTAGAGATGGGGTTTCACCATGTTGGCCAGGCTGGTCTCGAACTCCTGACCTCAGGTGATCTGCCCGTCTTGGCCTCCCAAACTTCTAGGATTACAGGCATGAGCCACCACACCCGGCCTCTGTCAGAATTTTAAACAAGTAATAATTACGATAAAGCAATACTGAGTATTTCAATCAATACCTAATTTTATTGCATCTGTACTTTCAGCATTTCAGGACTCTGTGTGAAATACATACAAATGTTTACTTTGAATGAGAAAGTCACTACAAATTACAAATTTTAAAAAGTTAACAATGCATCACAAAAAGATAACAAAATCAAAAAATGTATCTTATTAACTAATTGTACATATCTCTATAACACTTTTTCCTTTGTACTTTAAGGTCATACTCTTTAATCACCTCTCTATATATAACACTAATTTTGTAACAGAATTTTCTATAAAGAGAATATAGAAATGGACTAGTCTTTCCTTTAGCATGGTTGATAGATTTTTAAAAAAATTTTGATAGTGTAGAAAAATTTCTTTCAGTTTTACAACTTGTTATTGGTAATATTGTGCAAATCTTTGTAATTATCATCAAATTTAGAAAAATCTCTATCAAGTTTCTTTCACATATGAGTGTAGGGTTTTAGGGCATTTCTAGTTTGCTTGTAAAGTAGTTTTAAATGCTTCTAGAATGACAGCACATAATCAGTTTGTCATGCTGCTCTCCTTGGAGTGGTGTCATGGATTTTGGATCTGTTTGACGGATTTTGTGTAAGCTCCGCTGTAGGTGTAAAACGCTCATGTCAATCCAATGCTGTCTGAAGAAGTATGGTGGTGAGAAGGCAGGGTGGGAGGACGCAGAGGTCTTATCCGATGATTGTAAGAGATATTATTTTTTCAATTAAAAAATATATTGAACACAGGCCGGGCGCAGTGGCTCACACCTGTAATCCCAGCATTTTGGGAGGCCAAGGCAGGCAGATCACTTGAGGTCAGGAGTTTGAGACCAGCCTGGCAAACATGGTGAAACCCCATCTCTACAAAAAATACAAAAAACTAGCCCAGCATGGTGGTAAGTGCCTGTAATCCCAGCCACTTGGGGGGGTGAGGCAGGAGAATCACTGGAACCCAAGAGGTGGAGTTGCAGTGAGCCAAGATCACGCCATTGTACTCCAGCGCAGGCAACAAAGGGAGACACCATCTCACAAAAACAAAACAAAACAAAACAAAACAGAACTAAAAAGACAAAAAACGTTGAACACAATACTCATATCCTTCCCAGCGTCTTGGAAGGGGCCTATGCAAGTGGGGGTGCTGAATTTCATTAACTTCAGATGTAGTCACCTCTGGACAACACTGAAGATTAGAACAAATTGGGCTAAATCTGAATTCTAGTCTGCTACTTAGAAAAAGACACATACTTCCTAGAAAAAGAATCATTCTAGAATTCCTATGTGTTAAGGGGGCCCATTTGGTAGAGGGGAAGTTCAGGCTCTGAAGCCAACCTTAGCTTCTGAGAGTTGAATAATCTTGCTGAGAACAGAAGGAGATATTCTGCCCAAGCTGTATCTTTGGCAGGTCTTTTCTGTGCAACAAAACAAAAGCTTGTGCTTATATAGGAGCTGGTAAAGGACGTGTCCTGTGCTTCTATGCAGTGATGAGATTTGAAAAAGGCTCTTGAGATGTATCTGGATGAATTGGATGCTTGCCATTGCTGGTCTTGTCAAATGGCAGCATAGCCATTCCAGAGGGAACTGTGTCCATGCCCCTGTGTCCTGTCCACAGTTGGTGTGGTGCGTGAGTGAGGTTCTCATAAAGAATCAGGGAGGAGTTGCTGGTCCCCATGGAAGTGATGAGCTAGAGAACACAAAGGCCCATGTCCCAGAGGTGGTGAGGAGGCCGGGGCCAGAGAGCCATCAGACACCAGCAGGGCAAAGTGAGGGCAGGATCATTTTTGAGGCTTTTTGTTTTCTTTTGTCTTTGATTGCATATGCTTGTTCATCACCTCCTAACTTAAAAGGTGGATTTGTTCAAGATGAAGTGTCCATGTTTTCTGTTAGGAAAAGCATAGTTTATACTTGAATGAAGAATAGTTTCTTATTAGAACCCCTATTATAAGACATGAAGAATATTTAAGGAGGCTTTAGACACTCTCCCAGAAAATAGGCCGGGATCTATGTGCATTGGTGGGCAGCAAGCAGAGTGGTCCCCATGCATCTCTGCATGCAGCTGGTAAGCAGTGACCTTTCACTTTTGGGCGCCGGCCTCTAGAAGGTCCGTCAGTGTTGCTCTGTGGCTTAGTGGTACTTTGAGCTGAAGAGTGTGCAGTACATGCAAAAGGAAGTCCCTTGGATATCTGCAGGCCTTGAATGTCAGTTCTGAGAGAAACTGCCTCAATATTTATTTGTAAAATAAGAGACGCAAGTTAAATAAACTCTACTGCCTTATTGGCATTCTGATTCTAGTATGCTTGGTTGATCCAGGCCCAGGTCCGGCAGAAGAGCCAAACCCAAACTTGCTCTCCGAGGATTCCCCTCTTCCTCTTTTCTTACATATCTGCTACGTCCACTAGCCTGTGAGCTTCTAGGGACCAAGGATCAGGTCTCTTCAATTTTGAAACCCCCAAAACTTGCACAGCATGTGGTATAAAATATATGTTCAATGAATGAGTGTTCTTTGTATTTCAGTTTTTTAAAAACATCATGACCTGTCTGGGCACGGTGGCTCATGCCTGTAATCTCAGTACTTTGGGAGGTCAAGGCTGGTGGATGACCTGAGGTCAGGAGTTCGAGACCAGACTGGCCAACCACGGCCAACATGATGAAATCCTATCTCTACAAAAAATACAAAATTAGCTGGGCGTGGTAGTGCACGCCTGTAATCCCAGCTACTTGAGAGGCTGAGTCAGAAGAATTGCTTGAACCCAGGAGGCAGAGGTTGCAGTGAGCCGAGATCGAGCCACTGTACTCCAGCCTGGGTGAGAGAGCAAGACTCCATCTCAAAAAAGAAAAAAAAAAAAGATCATGAGCTATGATTGGTTATATCTTTGGGTTAAACCTCAGGCCCATAGAACCAATTGCCTCTACCTGTAATGCCCCCAAGCATACCTATCACACAGACCAGAGACCAAGCTAATTTCTGTCTCTCTCCAACCTGGCTTTTTTTCTGACTTCCCTTCAGGTAGCCCAAGCAGAACTATGGGGGGTCATCTTAGACCCTCTGTCTCCCTCATTCTTCATTATCCCATTATCCCACCATCCCATGTCCCACTGACCCAGTCCCTAAAGTCCCTCTTATTCAGCCCTGGATCCTCAGTGCTTAAGTGACATGGCCTGACATGGCAGTTGCTCAATGACTGTTGGTTGAAAAAAAAAATAATGTTATTTAGGGTGTTTGCAGAATCGCATATGTTTACAACCCTCAGTAATACAATGAATTGTCATTTGTTTGAAATGACCTAAGTCTGCAGGTCTGAAAGTAGAGAGAGCCCATATGTGATTTGCATATTTCTTCTCAGTGTTGTGACTTGACTTTGTACAAGAGTGGTCTTTACTCTGGGATGCTTGCTCCACCCACAGTCTGTGAAGACTCTCCAAGAGGTGACTGGCGTTGATAGTCCCTGTAGTCAATTTCCTAGCTGCCTTGCCCGGGTGCTAGGACCTGGCTTCTTTAGCCAGCTGACCTAAAGCTGCTCAGTGTCCTTTGCCACCTCTGCTTTCTCAGGGACCTGACCCCAGCTGAAAAGAGAAGGGCATTCGGCTGTGATTATGTTTCCTCGAGGTATAAACATCTCCTAGGCATTGAAAAAGAAGCCATTGGAAATGTTGCCTTCTTTATCCAAATTAACAACTCCACCTCAACATTTTATACTTCCCACAAATTTTTCTGTCATATTTAAGAATTATTTATCAACATTGGGAAATGTGTTGTTTTGCCCAATTACATACTAGCAAAAATTGTGTGGATTATTCCATCCAGAATAAATTTTTTAATATTTAGAGCCATTTGGTCACAGGAATTATTTAAAATGTTAAGTTTCAATGTATGTACATTCTTTCCCAGGGATATATGATAGTTGATCATAAAATAAACTCTCAAATATCTGAAGATATTATGTTAAAGTTCTGAAGGGGCATGGAGTGGAATATAGCTCTTGAAGAGGAAATGCATTGGTGTAAAATTCCTGATTTTTACTGAAAATCTGGTTCCAGTATTTTAAACAGATAGTGGTCAGTAACAAATGACTGAAGTGTTTATTCCAATGGATGCGTTTGAACGTGAGAGAAAGAATTTTATTTACAAATGTTAATATTTAGACATTTCGAATACACTGGAAGTCACATCCTTTGCAACAGTTTAGATTTAAGATGGAAATTTTTAGATGGCATTGCATCAATGTGCAAAGTGAGAAGGTAGCTTTTCAAAATTCTTGAAGGGGGTATGTGTTTTAGTCACTTTGTAGATGAAGCCATAATATTAAGCAAAGAAAACATCTCTTGACATTCAGTTTAACATAAAACAGTAGAAAGTTAGCACTGAAGAACCAAAAATAGAAGCGACGCTGCATGTCACGTTGCCATAGCATAGGTGCTATTTAGAGCCAGGAAAAGTGAAGCTCAGTTGCCATACAAAAGGCCTCCCCAATTGTGTATGGCTTACTTCCTCACATTGTGGGCCTCCAGTATCCACTGGCAAATGTGGGGTGAGTCAGGTCTGAGCTGCTGATGCCAGGGCCTAGATAAGGCCTGTGGAAATCCCTCCCGGAGCACAGAGAAGTGGAGGGACAGCCACCCATTTTATCAAGGTTGGGTAGGATGGTGCCAAGGGCACAGTCCCGCTGGGCCCTGTGGCGCTTAAGCTGAATTAAGCTTAAAGGGAGGTAAATATGCACAGGCTGGAGGCACAGTCCATGGACTTTAGGCTGAAAGAACTCAGTGGCGCAGTCTATCCACGGAGGGAAAGCACTCCCAGGGAAGTGCCTGGCACTTGACACCAGTAAATGTTCTTCTGCCTACGAATTCCAGCAAAGCAGACTTAGTAATACATCCCTAAATGTTACCATGCAGACAATTTTTCCATAGCTGGTTACTTCCTCTAGAGGCAGGTAAGTAGTAGATCAATGAACTAAGTGCCTCTACTGTGCTTCTGGCAGGGTCCACTACCCTGACCTCTGTGAATTCCTCCCGCTCAAGAATTCTCACCTGCTGGTGACTCAGGTGGAATGTTCACAAGCATCCTCAAAACCATGTGTTCCAAGAAACTCCTCCATCCCCTATCCTGATCTCCTGTCCTCTGTGCCAGCCACACTCCTGACTTCTCTGCTTAGTCATCCTCCATGGATTCCAATCACAAATGCAGAACCGTCTTCAATCTCTCACTTGCTGTCTCTTAGCTAACAGTGTATTTGTTTATGTATTTCTTTCTTTTTATTGTGGTAAAATAAGCATAACATGAAATTTACCATTTTAATCAGTTTTAAGCGTATGGTTCAGTGGCATTAAGTACATTCACAATGTCGTGCTGCTATCACCACCATCCATCTCTAGAACATGTTTGTCTCGCATCACAGAAACTCCGTACTCATTAAATCATAACTCCCCATTTCTCCCTCCCTGCAGCACCTGATAACCACCAAAATTCAACCACATTGAATTTTGACTCTATGAATTGGACTACTCTGTGTACGTATTATGAGTGGGATCATGCAGTATTTGTCTTTTTGTGTCTGCTTTACTTCACTTAGCGCAATGTCCTCAAGGTTCATGCATGGTGTAGCATGTGCCAGAATGTCCTTCCTTTTAAAGGCTGTATAATATTCCATTGTTTATATACTCCACATTTTGTTTAATCCATTCACTCACAGATACACACTTTAATAGTTTATTAATCTCATCGATTACTATTTTATCATTATTCCATTACTGTAATGGACACAGCAATCCATTAATATTCTAGTTTTTCCCTTTGTCTTAAGATTCTTCTCTTTCAGAATATTTATAAACTCTGCATCTGGCAAAGTTCTAGTATCCAGAATCTATAAGGAACTTAAAGAATTCAACAAATAAAAAACAAGTAACGCCATTAAAAAGTGGGCAAAAGATATAAACAGACACTTCTCAGAAGAAGACATACAAGCAGCCAACAAATATATGAAAAAATAACATCACTAATAATCAGAAAAATGCAAATCAAAACCACAATGAGATAATATCTCACACCAGTCAGAATGACTATTATTAAAAAGTAAAAAAAATAACAGATGCTGGCAAGGTTGCAAGAAAATGGAACATTTATACACTGTTGGTGGGAATGTAAATTAGTTTAGCCATTGTGGAAAGTAGTTTGGAGATTTCTCAGAGAACTTAAAACAGAACTCCTATGTGACGCAGCAATTCCATTACTGGGTGATATGGTATATATGGTTTGGTTGTGTCTCCACCCAAATCTTATCTTGAATTGTAGCTCCCATAATCCCCACATGTCGTGGGAGCGACCTGGTCGGAGGTAATTGAATCATGGGCGTGGGTTTTTCCCGTGCTGTTCTCATGATAGTGAATAGTTTCACAAGGTCTGATGGTTTTATAAAGGGCAGTTCCCCTGCACGTGCCATCTTGCCTGCCACCATGTAAGATGTGCCTGTGCTCCTCCTTTGTCTTTTGCCATGATTGTGAGGCCTGCCCAGCCATGTGGAATGGTGAGTCCATTAAACCTCTTTTTCTTTATAAATCACCCAGTCTTGGGTATTTCTTTATAGCAGTATGAAAATGGACTAATACATATGGTTTGGCTATGTCCCCACCCAAATCTCATCTTGAGGTGTAGTTCTCATAATCTCCATGTGTTGTGGGAGGGACACAGTGGGAGGTAATTGAATCATGGGATGGTTTCCCCCATGCTGTTCTCATGACAGTAAGTTCTCATGAGATCTGATGGTTTTATAAGGGGCTTCCCCCTTCACTGAACTCTCATTCTTCTCTCTGCTGCTACCTTGTGAAGAAGGATGTATTTGCTTCTTCTTCTGCCATGGCCGTAAGTTTCCTGAGGCCTTCCCAGCTGTGTGGAACTGTGAGTCAATTAAACCTCTTTATTTTATAAATTACCCAGTCTCAGGTATGTCCTTATAGCAACACGAGAATAGACTAATATACTGGGTATATACCCAAAGGAGAATAAATCCTTCTACCAAAAAGACACATGTACTTGTGTGTTTTTTGCAGTACTCTTCACAGTAGCAAAGACACTGAATCAACCTATGTGCCCATCAGTGGTGGACTGGATAAAGTAAACGTGGTACATACACACCATGGAATACTACATTGCCATAAAAATGAATGAAATCTTGTCCTTTGAACCAACATGGATACAGCTAGTGGCTATTATCCTAAGCAAATTAATGCAGGAATAGAAAAGCAAATACTGCATGTTCTCCCTTATAAGTGGGAGCTAAGCATTGGGTACACATGGGCATAGAGATGGGAACAATAAGCACTGGGAACTACAGGGAGATAGAGGGAAGAAAAGGGGTGAGGGCTGACAAACTACATATTGAGTGCTATACTTACTACTTGAGTGATGGATTCAATGGTACCCGAAACCTCAGCATCATGCAATTTACTCATGTAACAAACCTGCATATGTACCCCCTGAATCTAAAGTAAAAGTTGAAATTATTTTTTTAAAGATTCTCTTTCAAATGCATTGCATGCACCACCTGAATAATTTACCTAAAGTTTCTAATAACTGCTCAATTCTACTATGTGTCCCAAATCCTTGTCCCTCAATAGACTGGGCCCAACCAACCCTTCTTGCCTTATCTTTAACCACTTTTCCTAGTTCGCATGTCTTCCCTACTCATGGGGTCAATGGATGAGTACTGTGCTTCGGGCATGCAGAAAACAGAAAGGTCAGGAAAGGCTGCACTGAACACATCCACCCTAGAGAGCTGGAACTGCGTGTGAGAATACCCCCACCTTTCCTGAACCGTCTCCATGGCTGCACTACTCACTCCTTGCTCTGTGGACTCCTGCTTCACTCCCCACTTCTGTGAGCCTTGTGTTCCACATGAGTGGGATGCCCACCAGGTTGGTGGTGGTGATCACTCAATGGCTATGGGCTTAGAGCCTGGAGCTAGATGGCCTCTTCCCAGATCTCAGCTCTGCCACACCCTAGCCTGTCACCTGGGACAAATAACTCCTGTGTGGATGGTTCTTCTGCTATACACTGTAAAGTGGGGGTAACAGTAATGGTACCCCACACCGGCATGTTGTGAGGATTCCTACTACACTGTGTTTGTAATGAACTATCACAGGACCGTGCTGACTGGAGATGATTGCACTATTACCTTTTTGTGACCATCCTTGGCTGGATCATAAACTTTAGCTCATTTATTTTCTGCTCTCTTTCAAATTATTTTTGAATGTATAATTATGTGCTAGACACAAGAAGTTCTGGTAACGAAAAGACACTGATTTTGCTCTTCAGAAGCTTAGAGTATGTATATACGGCTCTCTCTGGAGCTCCATGGCCGTGGCATAGTGCATCACTCTCCTTCTCCTTCCCTTCCTCCTTCCCTCTTTTCCTTCCTTTTCTTCCTCTCTCCACTCTTTCCTCCTCCCTTCCCTCCATCTCTTCCCCTCCCTCCCTTCCTTCTTTCCTTCCCTCTTTCCTTCCCTTCTTCCTTCCCTCTTTCCTTCCCTCTTTCCTTCCCTTCTTCCTTCCCTTCTTATTTTCCTCTTCCTGTTTCTCCCTCCCTTCCTCCTTTCCTTCTTTCTCTTTCCTTCCTGCCCTCCCTCTTGCCTTTTTCCCCTTCTTCCTTCCTTTTCTCCTTCCTTTCTTACTTCCTTTCTCCCTTCTTCCCTTTCTTCCTTCCTTTTTTTCTTCTAGGTGACATATGAGGTGCCTGCCCTGTGCTGGCACTGCCCCAAACACTGGGGGCCCTGCAGTGAGCAGGACAGCCACTCCCCGATGGGAGGTACTAGCTAATGGGGAAGACAAACCATAAATGCATGAGTGAATAAATAACATGATTCAAAAGACACATAAATACTCTGAAAAAATCCTGAAGTGTAACAGGAGTTCTGTGTGCTGTTCACCATAGCTTGGTCAGGGGTGGCCCCTCTAGGAGGCAATGGTTGAGTATGACCTAAAGGTGGTGGTGGTTGGCGGGGGTCAGCCCCGCCCAGATCTGCGGGCAGAGCAATCCAGGCAGAGAGAACCCCTGAGACCTGGACACAGGACTGGGCTTTGTGTGTGTGGGTGGAGTGAGCCTGAGGGAGGTTGGGGGGTTGTGACAGGGAGTGAGGTGGGAGAGGTAGGCCAGAGTAGACAGTGGTGCTAGCAGGAGCTTGGGTTTTATCTCAAATGTGATGGGAAGCCATTTAGGGGTCAAGGGACTCGATCTCACAGGCAAAGGATGTGATCCGATGTACATTTAGAAGAGTGTCCTCTGCCTGTGAAGCACAGGAGAGGGATAAGAGGAGGAGTGGGGACCAGGTGGGTGGCTGAGCAGGACACACCTAGCGCTGCTGGGGGAATCCCTGGAGAGCAGCGCCGTCTTCCGGAGGGGGCTGTAGTGATGCAGCCCTGAGCTCTGCCTTCCTGCTTCCTTCTTACTTTTTGTTTGTTTGTTTGAGACAGAGTTTCACTCTAGTTGCCCAGGCTGGAGTGCAATGGAACCATCTCAGCTCACTGCAACCTTCGCCTCCCAGGTTCAAGTGATTCTCCTGCCTCAGCCTCTCAAGTAGCTGGGATTAGACGCATGTGTTACCACACCAGCTGATTTTTGTATTTTTAGTAAAGATGGGGTTTCACCATGTTGGTCAGTCTGGTCTCAAACTCCTGACCTCAAGCAATCCACCGCCTTGGCCTCCCAAACTGCTGGGATTACAGGCACGAGCCATTGTGCTTGGCCTCTTACCTTTAAAAAATTAAATAAGAGCTAAGTAGATATTGTATTGTTAGACAACCAAAAATTTTTTAAAAATTTGTTAAATTTTATCTACCAAAAATAATTGTAAACTTATCCTAAGTAGAAGAGTGAATTTATTGAATTTTTAAGTTTAATGGAATGCAATCATTTTATATACCAGAGATGGAAGAGACAAATTCAGTCCTTTCACGTCTACCTGATACAACCTATGTGCTGATGTAATTTTAAATATTTCATGGGGTGAGTGTTTAGTGTTTCTTGAAGGAAATTTTTTCAAACATCTTTCTATTAAGAAGTTAAATTGTAAATTTTTAAAAATTTAAACTAAAAAAAGCCAGTGAGCATCTATTCAATGTAAGAAGCAATGAAGGCAAGTGGACCGGAGGTCAAAGGGCTGGGACACAAATAATTTTTGAATTAATTTCTTAGGTAATATTCAACTCTACGGCCAATTCAAAAGGAATTCCTCTCTGTCCTGTAAATTTATTTATTCTAGGCATTTGTAGGTTACTCACCTTAATCCTTCACTCATCTCCTGTCCCCTAATCCTTGTCAAAAAAGGAAAAAAAGAATCATTGATTAGCTCAGCAAAACATCAAAGGAGCAATCTTCCCCATAAATCAATCCTTCCATTCTCCGACTTGCTTTGTTGATTTCTCCCAAACTTCCCCATTTATCTATTGAGTGGCTCATTCCTAAAGCCTCAGGTGTGTTGTCAGAAACTCTTCCCTTTTATGCTTTTCAATTATAAGTTGTTAATGACTTAGGGATGCTCAGAAGTAAATCAGGTAATGCTGCCCCAGTGAACGGCACTGAGGACATCAAAACTCAGCAACTCAGCAGTGTCTCACCTTGGGCATGAGGTTGACTAAAATCCGAGACTCAGCTCCATGCTTCCTCAGAAAGCACATTCATTTCTCAAAGAGTACAAAGGGGGTCAGTTTGCTTTTGTTGTTTTCTCTCTTTTCTAGAAATGAAATTAATACAACGATAACCTCCTTCCCCCTAGACCCGAGTATTGATTTCTGCTTTGCTCCCTGGCCCTCTTCTAAGTTCTGAAGACATTACCAGAGGAGCTATTGATCAGCAGGCTGCCTGTCGCTTCCTTGGGCGCAAAGGACAGCAGCCCCATCACCTCCATGCCCCGGAATAGACCTGGAGGTAAAGGGTCAGAGATGAAAGGCTTCTGATTAGTTCTTCTTTGTAAGCCGCCTCCCAGGAAGCGCTGAGCTTCTGTTTACACCTGTCCTTGGCATTTAAGATGGAAAACTTTTACTCCCAGGTCCGTGCACGGGTGTAGCTGAAGCAGAACTCTTATCTTTCTCAGCTTCTCATTGGGAGAGATGGATTGTTTGTTGTTAAGCCCGGTTGGCTTTTTAAGTAAAAAGTTTATGCTTCCTGGGCCTTTCATTTGTCGCCTGCACCGCTGCGGCTTCATCTGTTATAGGAACCTCAGTGCTTTTAGACATTGACTAAAGGACACTCAAATCAATTTCCTCTGAGGAAAAGAACCTGGAGAGTCTGTGGGACTCCATTTTTTTTCCGTTAAGTTGTGGCAATGTCATTGATTTCATTGCTGAACCAGAGCAGAGGGGGTCAAGGGAGATTCATGAAAGTAGGAGAAAGAATGACAGAAAAAAGCCATTACTTATCCATGTACCTGGAATGGCCCGACAAAATTCAGAAGGTCAAGTGGCTTTGGGTTAACCCATCCCCTTTATAGCTAACTCAATAATTAACCTTTAGAAACAGGGTCATACCATGAAATTCTGCTAATCCTTTATTAATATTTCCTACATACTCTCTCCTTTTTAGCCCTAGATGATTGCCGTTAAGCAAGATTTCTCACCTGATTTATGACGATACTCTCCTCTCTTTTCCTTGCCCCTAGTCATGCCCTTACACAAATCCTTTCAAAGCCTCTGGTTACCTGCAGGTATCTGCCAAAACCCCTGGGATGGCAGACAACAGCCTTCACTTTGGGCCCTATGCAAACTGTGGCTGCTTCTCTGCAGCCAAGTCCTGGCTCCCTCCTCCTTCAACCAGGGGCAGAGTTGCCATGGAGCTCCTGCAACTTAAGTTGAGAGCCCATCCGGCATATGTGTCCGGCACCTAACGAAAAGTTCAACATTTTGGATCCTTTTTTAAAAACAGGGCCGCCCAAGTTACACATGCTTCAAGACCTACCACACCTGGAACTGCCCTTCTCTAATTCTGTGACTCATTTGTACTGACCTTGAAGCTTCTTGGACATGGCAGCCATGCTGTTTAAATCTTGCCCATGCCTATTACTTGTCCATTCCCCATAGCAGATGCTAAGGCCCTGAGAACAGAAATGGCTTTGGTGGTTTCTGTATCCCCAGTTCATATATGGAGTGCAAATTGGATGTAAACAGAATGAATGAATGAATGAATGACACTCTTAGATTGGTGCAAAAGTAATTGCAGTTTTTGCCATCTTTTTTTTTGAGACAGAGTCTCGCATTGTCACCTGGGCTGGAGTACAGTGGTGCTATCTTGGCTCACTGCAACCTCCGCCTCCCAGGTTTAAGCAATTCTCCTACCTCAGCCTCTGAAGTAGCTGGGATTACAGGCGCCCGCCACCACACCCAGGTAATTTTTTGTATTTTTAGTATAGTCAGGATTTCACTATGTTGGCCAGGCTGGTCTCAAACTCCTGACCTTGTGATATGCCTGCCTTGGCCTCCCAAAGTGTTGGGATTACAGGCATGAGCCACTGCGCCTGGCTGCCATCATTTTTAAATGGCAAAAACTTTTACACCAACCTAATAGAATGTTGTTATCTAATTTCATCATCTAATTTATCTAACAATAACAGTGACTAACAGAAACCAACTGGATATTATGCACAAGGTACTGTTATAAGGGATGTATGTATAATGTTCCATTTAATCCTCTCAACACCCCTAAGAAGCCCAGTTTGTAGATGAGGAAACTGAAGCACAAAGAACGCTACTTGCTTGTCTAAATCACTCAGCTAGTGTGTGCTAGTGCCAGGATTTTAAAAGAGGTAGACTGACTCTTGCATACTGAATTATATAGCATCAAAGAGTAAGGGTAACTTGCTTGAACTCGGAGTTCACTTTCTTCCAGGCCTTCAATGAGAACTGATACCTGACTAAAGAATTCTTAGTGCAAATTGTTATCCCAAGGAAAGACAGAAACCATCTATTGTGATCAATTAGGCTCCACAGATAGTTCAGATTCCTGGGTGCTCAGAGGTAAAGGGGACTGTGATTTATATTCTCACTGATCAAATGAGGGAAGGTATTTTCATGCTTATCTCCTAAGTTCTCTTTAGTTTTTAGAGCTGGGAATGGATGACTAGGCAACACATCCAATTAGCTGCAGAGAAGGCATAAATGTGCTGAGTTTAGTTGAATAATAAAAGTGAATCTTCATGCCTTGTGTAATTCCAGTAGTGCTGCCTGGTAAAAGGACCCCTTCACTCCCTGCTGCTCCCTTCTTTGCTCTTTGCTCTCTCCCCTGTCCCTTTTCCTGTGAGAGAGAAAGACCAGCAGGTTTCATTGCTATCAAAACAGTAGCTTTCAGTCCCCTACCCTTTCCAGAACCTGCAAAACAGCTCCCCAAACCCTGTCCATTCCACTTCCTGACCACTGAAAAGCTCCCTCTTGTCACCCTCTTGGGCTCCAGCATGGAAGCAAGCAGGGAACAGGCGTGTGTGTGTGTTGTGTGTGTGTGTAGTGTGTGTGTGGCCACACCTGCACCAAGGTTAGTAAGGCAACGTTCACTGCCTTGCTTCCATGCTAGTTAAAATCTCTGGCTGCAGGAAATATGATTGGAAATTATTCCACAAACAGCTGAGTATTATTAACTAAATTAAATGGAAGGCACCCCTTTGGTTAAGGCTCAAGTGTCATTAACTCAATGAATTAAGGTGGCAATCACATGACCTCAGTGGAAAATGAGAATCACATAGATTTGCTGAGATGCAAATACACATTTACTCTTTTTCCCTTGAATTTTTTTTCATTTGCATGTCTCACTTTTTTGAATATTTCAATCATTAATACAGTGTACCCATTTGGGGGAGAAAGTTTGTATAACAAGAATAACAGGCCAGGTGCAGTGGTTCACGCCTGTAATCCCAGCACTTTCAGAGGCTGAGGCGGAAGAATCAATTGAGGCCAGAAGTTTAAGAGCAGCCCAAGCAACACAGCAAGACCCTGCCTCTACAAAAATAATTTTAAAAATTATCCAGGTGTGGTGGTGCGCACCTATGATCTTAGCTACTCAAGAAGCTGAGGCAGAGGATTGCTTGAAACCAGGAGTTGGAGGTTACAGTGAGCTATGATTGCTCCACTTCACTGCAGCCTGGGTAATATGGTGATACAGTCTCAAAAAGGAAAAAAAAAAAAAAAGAATGACATGGAAACTCTGCCCATATTTTAGATTGGGACAGATTGACCTAACCTAACATAGGAGCAATGAGGGTTTCCTTTTCTCTCCTCCAGTGTCAATTTAACTCTGTCATTAAAGAAATAGGTTGGTTTTCAGGGGCCTATCTGCAAATGCTAATCTTTACTGTGATAAGCAAGAAATCTAAATGCTATTTGTTTCAGAGTATTTTCCATTAACATCAAACCCAGTTGATAACTCACCTTGTGTCATAAAACAATTCACATAGATCTTAGGATTAGTAGACCTTTGAAGAGAGTGTCAATCAAGATATGGCCACTGTGTGCCCTACTGCTCCTAAGTCCTGCTGGAGATTGGCTTCTCCTAGTTGTCCGGCAATTCTAGATTATTTATTAACAACGCTTGGGCATATGAGTCCCGCTTGTCCAATGAGCATATGATGAAATTTCAACTCACTCCATTAGACCACGTCACCAGCCAGTAGAAGATGCCCTTTAGAATTAACCTGATGTGGTTAGGTTAAGTCAATACGATGTTTATCACTTGCTTGTTTAATTCTTGTTTGATCTTCGCTAAGGATGAGATTTGGGCAGTTCCTTACAGTTGTGTGTCCAAGAATTGGAAGCCCAGCAAGGAAGATATCCTTGGAAAAGCTGAAGCAAGAAATAAAGAGAGAAGTGGGTTTTGGAAGACATTGAAGGAAATCACATCCTATCTTCCAAAAGGATGTGGAGCTAGTTTTACGTCTCTCTTTAACAACCCGGGTGACAGAGACCGGTAACTTAGGCTCCCCGGGCATGTTTACCCTCTTATTTCATGAGGAGATCAAACTAGATATTTTCTTTAAGTCTCTTCCATTAGTTAATCAGTACATTAGTTATTCAAATGGATTTCTGGCTGTTCTCCAGCCTCGGGCTGATCCAGACCGGCAATACTGCATTTACCATTCCCCAGGCAAGGCACTTCCCCAAACCCACGATCTTCCCACTGAGGGGCCTTCCCCCACAACAGGACCAGCTCAGGTGACAGTGCTTTCAGAGGCCTTCCCATGGGCCCCACTCCTGCAGACTTTCTGAGCCTTCTTCCTGCTGCATTTTGGACAGCATGCATCACCATGGGAACTCCAGCAGCTCACATTTCGGATCCTGCAGACTTGTGCTTGTCTTTCTCGCTAGTTGTCAGCATGGGTGGGCAGGGTCTTTCTCTCTCCTTCACGGCCATGCCCACCCAAGCTGACCAGGTACCTGGTTTCCAGTGGGGCTCAGCTACTATTGGTTGAACGAATGCTCAAAGAATGAATGTGCCACTTCTGTATCACATGATTGTTTATCTGTGCTCTGACTACCAATCAATTTAGCTATTTCAGTGACTATCTCTCTGACAACAATTTGATTTCATTGCCTTTGAGAATCCATGTTTGTATTTCTTAAAAGTGTAAGCGGCCGGCCGCGGTGGCTCATGCCTATAATCCCAGCACTTTGGGAGGCCGAGGCGGGCGGATCACGAGGTCGGGAGATCGAGACCATCCTGGCTAAGACGGTGAAACCCTGTTTCTACTAAAAAAAATACAAAAAAATTAGCCGGGCTTGGTGGCGGGCGCCTGTAGTCCCAGCTACTGGGGAGGCTGAGGCAGGAGAATGGCGTGAACCCAGGAGGCGGAGCTTGCAGTGAGTGGAGATCGCGCCACTGTGCTTCAGCATGGGAGACAGGGCAAGACTCCGTCTCAAAAAAAAAAAAAAAAGTGTAAGCTTTGTTTTTATAATCTTTTAATTGCAAAATAAAGCCAAATATATAGAAAATATCTAAGTATAGGACAAAGAAACCTTGTATAACCTTCACTCAAATTCACCAATGTTTAACATTTTGACACATCTATTTGAGCTTTCTCTCTCTCTCTCTCTCTCTCTGTGTATATTTATATATTTTTTTCTGAAGCATTTGAATGTAAGTTGCCTATATCATGTCCGTGTGTATTTTCCAACAGTAGGAATTTTTTCTTACATATCTACAGCTTAGTTATCAAATTTAAATAATTTAAATTTGGTACAGTACTTCTATCCAATAGGCGTTTCATATTCCTGTTTCTTAATTATCCCAATAAAGTCCTTAATAGCAATTTTATTTCTGATATAAGATCCAGTCCAGGATCATTTGTTTTCGTGTCATGAATCTTCTAAAATTTGGAACAACTCCTCAGTCTTTGTCTTTTACCATCAATATCTTTGAAGAATACAGGACACTTACTTTATAGAGTGTCTTTCAATTTGGGTTTCTCTGATTTTTTTATGGTTAGTTTTGTGTGTGCCTTTTTGGCTAGAAGCCTGCATAAGTAATATTCTCAGGGCATCCCACCTGGAAGCACATGTTGTCCATTCATTTGCCTCATTTTGGTAATGTTAATTTTGATTAGTTAGTTAAGGTGGTGTTTGCTTTTTCACAGCATGGTTACTATTTCTCTTTCTTAGTTACTAGCCACCTTGTTGGAAGATACTCTGAGACTATCTTGTTCTTCATCAAACTCTCTGCTCCAGATTTAGATTTATTGATGATTCTTGTCTGAATCAGTTTTTACTATAATAGTTGCAAAATGATGTTTTAAAAACCCTTTTTTCTCTTCTGTATTAGTTAGCTTTCTACCTAAGGAAGAGCTTTCCCTTTTTCCTTTTCTTTCCTTCCTTCCTTTTTTCCTTCTTTCCTTCCTTGCCTCCCTCCCTCCCCCCTCTCTCCCTCCCTCCCTCCCTCTCTTTTTTCTCCCTCCCTCCCTCCCTCCCTGTCTGCCTGCCTATTACCACATGGACTCATGAATTCGTACCCTATTGAATGGGTTATAAGTAATTACTTTCTTCCTTTATTTTGATACTAAAGTTGTTGACTATTTGGTCAGTAGGAGCCTTGAAATGTGTTTGTGTGTTGAATAGTACAATAAAATTTCAACCAAAAACCTATGTTTTTCCTGTGATTAATTATTCAAGGAAAATAAATGTATATCATTTAAATAGAGCCTATAATATAATTTTAAAATTTCTACAGCTGATTTGGAAAATGGTTACTATTTCTGACATAATTGTATTGCAATTTACATTTCTCCTATTATAATCTTCTGAGGCAGCCCATTTTATTACTGAACAGTTCTACTTAATCCATTTATTCAAAATGTTATTGAGTGTCTATAATGATTAAAATAGAGGTAATAGAAAGGCAAACAATGGTTTAAGTCTACATGAGTTGTTTTTGTATTCTAACCAAACCATAGAATCTCAGTTATAGTTTTATATGCCTGTGAAATTTTATTTATTTTGAGGATTTCAATTTTATTGTTTCCTTCTACACACACTTGTATATTACAGATTTTTCTTTTAGAATCAGGATATTGCTAAAATCACTTTAGGGATGAAAATAAAACATTTGAAATCTAAAACATGTTTGGGTCATATTATGACTATATCTTGTGCATTCATTTCTATTATGGAGAACCTATCCTTCTGATGTGTAAGTTCCTCTAGACTAGCTTGCTGAAGCTGTTCTCAGAAAACGGGTGTCTTAGGCATATTATACCTTTATTAATCTAGAATGTGTTCTATCGTCCTATTCTGCGAGGATCAGGCCACTTCTGAAATCCCGAAATCTACAAAATTTACGCTCTGGAGAGTTTTAAGAAGACATTGATCAATGACAAGGGCTTTAGATTGGGTGCCTAGAAAGCAAGGGTCTAGAAACCTTGTTGTGTCAAGAACTAGTGATGATTAGGACAAAGGAGGAAAGGGACAAGAAACAAGGTAGAGGCCTACCTGTGTAGTCCTGTGTCACTTAACGCTGGTGATACATTCTGAGAAATGCATCATGAAGTGATTCTGTCATTGTGGGAACATCACAGGGTGTACTTTCACAAACCCAGGCCGAGCCTACTACACACTAGGCTGTATGGTATAGTCTATTGCTCCTAAGCTACAAACCTACAGTACATGTGACTGTACTAAATAGTAGTAGGTGATTGTAACACAATGGTAAATATTTGTATATAAACATAGCTAAACATAGAAAATGTGCAGTAAAAATATGGTATGAAAGATAATAGATGTACGCAGCTCCATTATAATCTTATGGAACCACCATCATATATGCAGTCCGCTGGTGTCAGAAATGTTGTTATGCGTGACTTTCAGATGACTTTTTGAAGAACTGGGTTATAAGAGAGAGTAAAATTTTTTTCTTTATTGCTCCAAAAGAAAAATGGAAAAATTAGCTCTTATGGATACAATTACAGAAATCCTATTTTGACACCGCAGAGGATGAACTTTCCATTAACTCTGCTGGCTAGTCCCAGGCCATTCATTCATCATGTGAGTACTGCACATTCTTTGGCCTTTGATTTTGTCTTCCCCTTTCTGATCCTCTGCACCAGCCTCTGAGAGTCCAACGTTCCTGACTTCTCTGAGCCTCTGTGCCTTTGCTGGAGCACTTTCTCCCCCTGCCTCCAGCCTGTCTCCCTCACAGAGCTCCTGCACATCCTCAGCACCTGCCCATCCTTCTAGGAAGCCGGCCTGCCTCACTTTCCAAGTAAGCCAGGCCATGGTCTGCTTCCCAACCAGCCCACTGTGCCCTCTAAAATGGTAGTGGCTGCAACATTTTTATCCTATTTGTTGACTTGTGTGAATCTGTCTCCTAGACTGTGGGAGACAGTACTCAGGTACCATAACCACACATAGTGACCAAACACTTAAAATGTGGTTGGTGCTGCCATATTGGGCAACACAGATTCTAGAATATCTCAGCAAGCTCTGTTAAGCAGTGCTGACCTGGATAAACTCCTTAACGGCAAGAACTGTATTGTGTCCATCCCCAGTCAAACACAGAGCTGAGGTACATTAAAGACACTCAGTAAATATTTTCTTTTTTTTTTTTTTTGAGATGGGGTTTCGCTCTTGTTGCCCAGGCTGGAGTGCAATGGCGCCATCTTGGCTCACTGCAACCTCCGCCTCCCGGGTTCAAGCGATTTTCCTGCCTTAGCCTCCATTAAAGGCGTCTGCCAATAAGCCCAGCTAATATTTTGTATTTGTAGTAGAGACCGGGCTTCACCATTTTGGCCAGGCTGGTCTCGAACTCCTGACCTCAGGTGATCCGCCCGTCTTGGCCTCCCAAAGTGCTGGGATTACAGGCGTGAGCCACCATGCCCGGCTTCAGTAAATGTTTTCAAAATAAGTAAGTTAAATAGACCAGTCCAATGACAGAATGGGCTACATAATGAATAGTGGAGTTTTCATTGTAGGAGGAATTTAAACTTAGGATAAATGTCATCTGCTGGGGTTACCATGAAAACAGACATGCAGGCTGGGCGTGGTGGCTCACGCCTGTAATCCCAGCACTTTGGGAGGCCAAGGCGGGCGAATCACCTGAGGTGGGGAATTCAAGAGCAGCCTGACCAACATGGAGAAACCCCATCTCTACTAATAACACAAAAATTAGCCGGGCGTGGTGGCGCATGCCTGTAACCCCAGCTACTTAGGAGGCTGAGGCACGAGAATCGCTTGAACCCGGGAGGCGGAGGTTGCGGTAAGCCGAGATCACGCCATTGCACTCCAGCCTGGGCAACAAGAGCAAGACTCCATCTCAAGAAAAAAAAAAAAAAAGAGAGAGAGACATGCATACGTTGCATGACAAGCTGTAGCACATAAAAGTAGGTAGCTTCCAGTTCTAAGAGTTTATAATTATTAGAAGGAATTAAATGTAACACAGAACATGAAATCATTTCTGATTTAAAGTATTTCCTATTGAGCCACAGAAATGAGAAATTCCTCACTTTATTTAAATTACATAAAGTTTACTCCACTTGAAGAACTCATGTCAGAAAAAAAAAGAGTTTATCTTTAAAAATTTGCTCTTCCTCTGAACACCCAGATTATCAAAACACAGCTGAAAACAACACCAAAGGGGCTGTTCTCAAAAACAAGGAAGTCAACTTTTTAAAAAGGGATTGTCAATTAAGTAACTAGATAGCCAGGCGTAGCACAGGTGAATAATCTGAATGTTACAGAAGTGACAGCTTTATTTTTTGAATATTTTTTTCAACCCATAATTCAGGATTTCCACTGGTAGCGAGGATCCTCTCTGGTGCTGAGGATGTGGCCACGGGCGAGAGAGAAAGGGAGAGACACACACGGTGTCCGCAAGATGAGTGAGGGATACCCTGGGAGTTCAGCTGGAGCGGAGGGAAGGCACCAGGATCTCAGCAGGGCCTGGCCTCCGGAAAGGACCCTGGTGAGAAGGCGGGCCCTGGGGAGACGTGGAGCGCCCAGCCCAGGGCGCGGGAGGTGAGTGCGGCCAGGGAGGGCCTTGTGTTGAAGGGGAGTGAGCCCGGGGAGCCAGCACCCCAGGGGACTGGAAAGGCAGGCCTGGGGAGGAGTCTGGACGCCCGTGCTTGGTATTTGGGACCTGGGCAGGGCTTTGTGGAGGGCTGTCCGAGAAGGAGGTTGTGCGGGTCTAGGATGAAAAGTAGCCGGGCAACATGGCGAAACCCCATCTCTACCAAAAATACAAAAATTAGCTGGGCGTGGTGGCGAGCACCTGTGGTCCCAGCTGCTCGGGAAGCCGGGAGGCTGAGGCGGGAGGATCATCTGAGCCCAGGGGCGAGGCAGCAATGAGCGGAGATGGCGCCACTGCACTCCCGCCTGGGTGACAGAGGGGGACCTTGTCTTAAAAAAAAAAAATGTTCTAGGGGCTTGCCCACGTGTGAATCCCAGCTCCATGTTTACAAGATGCTCCATCTTGAGTAGGTCCCTTCACTTTTCTGCGTCTTGGTTTCTTTGGCTGCAAAAAGGGTAGCTTTAAGGATTCCATGGACTAACATAGTAAGTAGGAAGTGTTTATTATGTTGTCACTGTTTTATGTTTAAAAAGTATTATCCTAAACAAAATGTGATAAGACATACAGTGGAGTATTATTCATCCTTAAAAGGGAAGGAAATTTTGTCACATGCTACACTGTGGATGAAACTTAGAAATTATTCTGAGTGAAATCAGCCAGTTACAAAAACTTGAATACTGTGTGATTCCACTTACATGAGCTATCTGGAATAGTCACATTCATAGAGACAGGAAGGAGAACGCTTTCCAAGGGCTTAGGGCAGCGGGGCTTGGTAAGTGTTTAATGGGTACACAGTTTCGGTTTGGGAAGATGAAAAAGTTCTATAACAATAATTTACTGCATATTTCAGAATCGCTAGAAGAGATTTGGAGTGTTACCAACACAAAGAAATGATCAATGTTTGTGGTGATGTTTATCCCAAGTACCCAGTTTTGATCATTGCACATTGTACTCTTGTATCAAAATATCACATGTACCCCATAAATATTATGTATTATGCATCCATACAAATTAAAAATAAATTTTAAAAAAGATCTGGAGATGACTGGTGATGATGATTCTACAACAATGTGAATGTACTTAACGTCACTGAACTGTACACTTAAAAATGACTAAGATGATCAATTTTATGTTAGGTGTATGTTGCCATAATAAAAAAATTAAACCAAAAAGACCTACCTTGGCTTCTGTGTGGTAATGGGGGTTGGGGGCAGGGTGGATGCAGATGGAGCAGTCAGGGTCCCTCCGTTGTCCAGGCAGGAGATGCTGCTGATGGTGAAGACGCAGAAGAAGATGCATTTGGGGAGGTTTGGAGGCAGCTAGATCTTAAAGATAGGAACTAGCTGGCAGATTGGATGGGGGCTGAGGAAGACAGGGAACCAGAAGAGCTTTTTGTTTCTGGCTATAAAGGTGGGTGATTTTGAGCCACTATTATCAGGAACAGAGAAGATGGGGAGAGGAGGGGTTTGTAGAGGTTTGCAAGCCTGGCTGGTCGTTCACATGGAGACTTCTTTAATAAAGTGATGAAATCCATAATGAGCATGACACCGAAAACTCTTCAAATTTATTAACTTTATTTACTTGGTATCGTGGAGTTTTAGTTTCTCTCTACTACTTTAGGTACCTTATTTCACGAATAGTAAGTTCCTCCCATCACAGTCTCCCTCCTGCCCCATCATCCATTGTATTTGCCAGATAAAACAGGTTTTCAGACGGGAGTGAATAAACCTGATTTTGCTTGTAGTATTAATGAATACTAGTCTTTCTCTTCAGTTTTGAAATTTGGAACTTAGTCCTTTATTTTTGTAGATGAAAATTAAATAACTGTTAATAGTTACTGGGTATTTACTCTGAGGATTGTTTTAGACTCTTTATTTTTGTATTCATTATCTCATTTATTCCTCACAATGAATTTATGGAGTAGATATTCCTATTATTTGTACTTTATAGATGATGAAATTGAAATAACTTTCTCAAGGGCTAAAATAACTTTCTCAAGGGCTCAGCTTTCATAAGAAGCAAACCCAAGATACTATTAATATTATGAGAAAATGAGTTTTGAGTTTTTATTCCAGATTTTATCTAATTAGCCTATCTCTTATTTATCTATCAATCTATTCATTATGGTAAAATATACATCACATAAAACTTAGCATGTTAACCATTTTTGAGTGTACATTCAGTGGCATTTAGTACATTCACGTTATTGTGCAACTATCACCACCATTACCACCAAAATTCTTTTCGTCATCCTAAATGGAATTCTCTTCTTTTTAAACAATAACTCGCTATTCACTCTCCCCCACAGGCCCTGGCATCCACTATTCTACTTTCTGTCTCTATGAGTTTGACCACTCTAGAGTCATCATGTAAGTAGAGGCTTACTGCATTTGTCATATAGTGACTGACTTATTTCACTTAGCATAATGTCTTCAACGTTTATCTGCATTGTAATATGTGTCAGAATTATGTTGCTTTTTTCTTTTTCTTTTTTTTTTTTTTTTTTTTGAGACGGAGTGTCGCTCTGTCACCCGAGCTGGAGTGCAGTGGTGCAATCTCGGTTCACTACAACCTCTGCCTCCTGAGTTCAAGAGATTCTTCTGCCTCAGCCTCCCGAGTAGCTGGGACTACAGGTGGGCGCCACCACGCCTGGCTAATTTTTGTATTTTTAGTAGAGATGGGATTTCACCATATTGGCCAGGCTGGTCTCAAACTCCTGACCTTATGATCTGCCCGCCTTGGCCTCCCAAAGTGCTGGTATTACAGGTGTCAGCCACCGTGCCCAGCCTGAATTCTGTTTCTTTTTAAGGATGAATAATATTCCATCCTATGTCCATATCACATTTTGCTTATCCATCTGTTGATGGCCAGCCACTTGGGTTACTTTCTACCTTTTGGCAGCTGCGAATAATGCTGTCTTGAACATGAATGTACAAATATCTCTTTGAATCCCTGCTTTGATTTATTTTGGGTATATACCCACAAGTGGGATTGCTAGATCATATGATAATTTTATGTTTAGTTTTTTGAAGAACCACCCTATTGCTTTTATTAATTTTTTTAATATAAATGTTCTCTCTCTCGACTTTTTTGTACCTTGGATATTGCTTTAAGTGTGGTATTCAATAAATATTATTAATGATGATTATAAATGTAGCTGACACCCCTGCAGCTTTTAGCGTATGTACTATAAATCATTTTATAATATGATGTTATTATTCAGCTTTACTTTCTCCTCTGTAACAGGCACTGTCCTCAATGATCGGTTTGGATTATTGCCCTTAATTCTCATAGCTTCTCTATGAGGGAGGTGTTAGTACTCACTGCATCTTACATATAAGGAAACTGAGGCACAGAGAGATTAAACAACTTGTCCAAAGTCACACAGATAGAAAGTGAAAAGTGGCAGAGGCAGTATTCTAACCCAGACAGTCTGAGCCCACAGCCCATAGGCCTAATCTGTATTCCAAATGCTTCCTACAGGCTGTGCTACCTGCCAAGAAGACATGTCACACAAGTATACTAGCGATACTGCTGTATACATAATAATTGAATCAACTGACTTGAGCTTATGATGTGCTCTTCATTAGAATGGATCCAATTCGTGGCATCTGAATTTTTGTTTACTCCTTTCCTTATCTCCTGCCTCAAGCTAAAATATCAAAAGGATGTTTTACATATATCCTTTACATATTGTTAATTAGGAACAAATGAATCTATATAATAGTGCACCATTTTGGTTGTGACGAAGCACTGTTATTTGTTTTATTTTATGTTTGCCATGGTAGAATGTATGTCTACCAGCAATGCCTAGTAGTGCTGACTTAGGTTTTCTTTTTTGCCAGAAGTAATTTTATGATAAACGAATATTGTACTATCCTGGGAAGCTGAAAGAGGTGAGTGATTTGCTCAAATATGCTGAAGGTTCAGTTTGCCAATTCCATTTATATCTGAGACCCACTTTGCCAAAACTGAAAGGGATAATAGAACAGAAATCTGGATAGTTTTTTATTTCTTTGTTTTTGTTTTTGAGATGTAGTTTTGCTCTTGTTGCCCAGGCTGGAGTGCAATGGTGTGATCTCGGCTCAGTGCAATCTCTGCCTCCCAGTTTCAAGCAATTCTCCTGCCTCAGCCTCCTGAGTAGCTGGTATTACAGGCATGTGCCACCACACCCAGCTAATTTTTTTTATTTAGTAGAGACGGGGTTTCACCATGTTAGTCAGGCTAGTCTCGAACTGCTGACCTCAGGTGATCCGCCCACCTCTGCCTCCCAAAGTGCTGGGATTATAGGCGTGCGCCACTGCACCTGGCCGAAATCTGGATAGTTTAAGTCAAGGAAATGATGCTGGTTCATTGGAAGCCATACTAATTTTCCTTTTCTTCAGCAGCAAAGTTATTCCTGGGGTCTCAGACTACAATTTGGGGGCAGTTTCCTACACTGGCATTGCCCTCTCCTGGCATTTACCAGCTGCCCAGTCCTGCTTCTCCCTGGCATATCTGCTTCTCCATCTATTCCTCTGACCACGTCTTCCCGACCACCTTTCTTTTCTTTTAGCAGAGACTTAGGGATTGAAGATAACAAGCAGACCACGAATAATGAGAAAGCAATGGACACATTTGATTCTTAAGCCCTTTGGGGAAAATTGGCATGCTCCTATAGCGCTTTCGGGGATGGAGGATGGTAGAATCAAGTCAAGAGCCAACACCCGGGGCAGAAAGCAACCTGCCCTCACTGGTCACTCCAAGAGGCTCAGAGATGGAGTCTGGTGACCCCAGCCATCAGTAGACCCCTCCTCTGAACCTAACTGATAGCATGCCACCCTTGCTCACTGCCATTGTTTGTTTCACACTATGGACCTAGAGAGATGAGTTGCCTCATCACCTACTCTATGCAGAAACTGCCATGTCCTCCCCTCTGCACAGGCAAATATTTACCAGCTCTGTGGACAGCCACGTGTATCATATCAAGGACCTGAGGCCAAGTCAACTCAGGGTCAGATGCAAAAGGGCAGACAAAAGCAGAGAGAGACAGAGTACTAACTCGTTTTTCGACTCCAATTTTATTCAAATAGGCATTGAAATGTTGTCAGTTAATCCTCTGGAAAAACCAGCCTTGACAATGAGCTTGGTCTCAGATACAAGCTTGTAGCCTCTTTGAGTTTCCTCATTGTCAACATCAAGACCTAGGAATGAGAAAAGAAGGAAAAAGAAGAAGAAAAAAGGAAGAAAGGAGATGAAGAATGCAGAGAGGAAGGGATGAAAGGCCCCCGCTGCAGGATGGGACTGGCTGGGAGCAGGATACACTTCCTTTCACCAACATTCTGGGCCTCAGGGAGGAGCTTGGGGGCTGATCCAAACTGTGTATGGGAGTGGCAGGGGTCCATAGAGAGAATCAAAAACCTAACAAATCAAGTTATTAAGTTACTTTTGGAAGGATAAACATATCTTTCAATAAAGGTCTAGGACTCAGATAAAACCCAGAGATGAAGAGGTAAAATCAATTGTTGAGAATAAATGAAACATGTATCGACCCACACACTACAGCCATCTGTGATGTCTAATCCTCATGGTAATCACGGTAGGATGGTATTTTGATCCCCCTTTGATAAGAGAGGGTATCTAAGTCAGAAAGGGTCAGTGGCTCGCCCAAGTCCACATGGTAAATGAATGACAAAGCCACGCATCCATCCATTCGTCCTGCCTCCAAATCCTACCCATGTTTTCCCACAGAATCTGGACTGCACTGAAACCTGGAAAACAACAGACGCTGTTGGATCGGGAAATATCTGACGGCAAACAGCACCAGGAGAGTGAGTTGGGGAAGAAGTAGCCCGGGCTGGCAGGTGGGAGGGAGAAGGGTCAGGCCTGAGAGCTGGGGAAGAGGAAGGCCCATCTGGTCCGCTCCCACTCCACATGCCAGACCTGCCCGGGAGCACGTCGGGGGACAGGTTTCCTCGGATCCCACGTCCATTGTTCTGCTGTTATGACATGGCCTCACCGTCTATCATAGATGGAAATGAAATTGGTTTGGAATGGTTTCCTCTTCCCACAGTTTTCTTGGTTGTGTATCGATAGATGACTTTTAAATATGATATCCTTACAGATAGGAAAATTAAGCTAATCTCTCTGTTCAATGTCCAGAACTGTCCTTTTTTTCAAGTTTAGCATGAGAGATGATGTGTTAGCCTTTGTCAGTTCTCTAAGACTTCCTTATCATGCCTTAGTTTTTAAAAAAGTTCTTAATTTCCCTGGGTCACCGGAGAGCATCAGTGGGAGTTCCATTGTGTCAGCATTCTCCACGCTGTTGGAGCACGGCTTCCCTTCGACTGGGTTGCAGGCCTGGGCTCACAGATTCCAGCTCACCGTGGCCACAAAGCTGGGAGAGGAGGAAAGAGGCCTTGCCTTGGCTGGAGCATGTGCTATTCTCTTCCTAGAGCTGTTGTTTTCCTTGATCATCTGTAACTAAGATCTTTTCCCAGCTGCTGCCTGCATCTCCAAGAAGATCCATCTGGTTTTTTTTGTGGTTTGCTTTTTTTTTTTTTTTGAAACAGAGTCTTGCTCTGTTGCCCAGGCTAGAGTTCAGTGGCATGATCTTGGTTCACTGCAACCTCTGCCTCCCATGTTCAAGCAATTCTCCTGCCTTAGCCTCCCAAGTAGCTGGGATCACAGGTGTGTGCCACCACGCCCAGATTTTTTTTTTTTTTTTTTTTTTAGTAGAGACAGGGCTTCAGGGCTTCACCATATTGGCCAGGCTGGTCTCTAACTCCTGATCTCAGGTGATCCGCTTGCCTCAGCCTCCCAGAGTGCTGGGATTACAGGTGTGAGCCACCGTGCCTGGCCATGGTTTGCTTTTTTGATTCTGACTTGGAAACCACATACTCTCTCTCTCTCTCTCTCTTTTTTTTTTAAACTTAGCTGGAGCTCCATGGGTTTCTCAGGCCCTGGACAGAGGGGGTTGATTTTTGTTTTGCGTCTGTCACTGCCTTTCTCTGTCAGTATAATTTCTGTGACCTTAGAAATGTCTACTAAAAGTACATTTCTTGCAAACGTTGATCCCTAAGATTTTATTTTCCCTGGTGCTTTCTGCTCATATCTAAAGCATGTTGGAATGTTTCTCTGAAGCTCATGCCAACTGTTGATTTTCCTTAATGTTGTGAATATTATGATTATTTTATCTATTTATAGAGGAATTTTTAGAAATGTTTTCTTATGGTAACATGCATTATCTCATTTCATCTCTAGTTACCAGTGAGGGAGATACTCTCACCATCGTCTGTTTCATAGATGAGGACACTGCCAAGGATTTGCGTGCATCACACAGCTCACGGCTGTCAGAGCTGGAAGTGGAGTGCGTTTCCACCTTGAGAAGCACACCAACACCTTTTTGTTTTCTTCTGTCTTTAAACGTAACTCCTTTCCATGTGTAAAAATTAAATCAGGCTGGGTGCGGTGGCTCACGCCTGTAATCCCAGCTCTTTGGGAGGCTGAGGCGGGTAGATCATAAGGTCAAGAGATCGAGACCATCCTGGCTAACATGGTGAAACCCTGTCTCCACTAAAAATACAAAAATTAGCTGAGTGTGGTGGTGCGCGCCTGTAGTCCCAGCTACTCAGGAGGCGGAGACTGCAGTGAGCTGAGATTGCACCATTGTACTCCAGCATGGGCAACAAAAGCGAAACTCCCTCTCAAAAAAAAAAAAAAAAAAAAAATTAAATCAGGGAACCAAACTGCCTGAATTATTTCATTTTCTTTACTAAGAAATTTAGAAAACTCTCCATCTGAAATACTTCCTTTTAAAATTTATTTTATTTTCATAATACATTTTCCAATACAAGAATAGGGAATTCCCTGTGTTAGCAGGTGGCAGACTCCGGACCCTGGGACCCATATCCCAGCTTAAAGGGCCATTCCTTCTTGCCCTGAAGCACCATTGCACAGGGAGTAACTGGCACCCGGTGTTAACATTGGAAACATTTGGATGGAAACAGATTTTTACACTGGTTATCATCTGATGAGGGTTTTAAGGGGAAAGTGTCAACATAAATTTGGAATTTCCTGACTTCTGCGGATCTGAGTTACAATCCTGACAAAACTAGAAAGGAAATCTTTAAAAAATTTTTAGTGTTTTATTGTGTGGAAATGTCCCCAAACATTTTCATCCCATTTTCCCAGAGAAACCTGACAGCTCTTGCGGGGCGGGGGGGGGGTGGGGAGGGGGTGGCGGACGAGGGGGGATGGAGAAGAACAAAACCCAGTGGCCACATCCTTGAACTCTTTTGTGTGTTTAGAACAATGTCCAGTTAAAATCAAACAATATTGCTGCTAAATGCGTCTAAAATAGTCCTTGGTAAGTACTCTTGCTCTTGCCCGGTGGAAGGGCTCCGTGAGAGGACAGCTTGGAGAGTGATGAGAGCCGGGCCCAGCGCTGACCGCAGAGGCAGCAGGGCACAGGGAGATATTGTATCTTTCCAATAACCCTGTCATCAGCTCCTGCGTTGCTGGGACTTTAAATCTCAATCTGAGCGCAGCGTGCATACAGCCGCTGCATCCCAGTGGAAAACAAAAGCCGGGCTAAGGCTGGGGGTGGGGGAAGCTCATAAAGGAGAAGTCATGAAGTCTGGCTTTCTGGCCAGATTTCCTCTGGAAGGTGAGGTGTGGCCGGCACTGTGTGTGTGGACCGCCTGGGAGGGGACACACACCCTGCCTTCAGACGGCAGGACCTCAGCCTGGCCCGCAGCCAAGGAGCCAGACGCCAGGCCCCGGGCTCTCAGCAGTGGGAGCGGTCTCTGGGCTGGGTATACAATGGTATTATCTCAAGCCAACCTCGGCTGCAGAAACTCGCAATGCTTCCTGTCCTTGCATTGCAGCACAAACTGTCCGATTTCCAACTGCTTTCGGACACACTCACCCACACTCGGCCGCCAGGCTTGCTGTATAAATGTCTAAAGCCATTTCTTCCTTGAGAATTGCAGACGCTGCAATGCCGTAATCCATTGTATTTTTATCCTCTCTGGAAGGACCTGCACCGATCATGAGTCACATGGGGAAAGGGATTAACTCCCAAAACAGTTTATGTAATGTAGGCAAATGCCTGAAGCTTCTTATAATGGGGGAAAGCAGAAAGGTCTTCAAACTCATTAACATTATATACAATTTATTCATGTTGGTCCATCGTCTTATTCTCTTTCCCACTTTGAATCCCTGGGAAAGCAAGAAGATGCAATAGAAGAGCAAAATCTGGGTGAACGTGATGGAGAAAGCCTGCTTTTAATTTCTAGTGATTACTTTTAATATATTTTGAATGAATTTTGTTTAAACTGCTATGGTACTCTCAAACACGGCCATTGGATTAAATTATTTCAAAAAATTAAAAGCCTACTAAACCCTGGTACTAAAAATGTGTTAAAAAGGACAAGACAGATGAAGGAGAAGGTTCTTTTTTTTCTTTTTTTTTTAATTGTGTTTGATGTTCTTGGCTTTGGAATATTTCAGTTAGGTTATTAAGCATCTGATTTAACCTTTCAAATTACATGCCTATTTCAGAAAGTTGAACACTCTCAGCAACCTGCTCCCAGAAGTCAGAGGTTTAATCCAACAGTTACCAGAAATGCTCTTAAACTTTCTGCTTCCAGGTCAGGAAGTTTTTGGCAGGCCGCTGTTCCCAGGGACGTGGACTTTGATGCAGTGTGGACTCCTTAAGGAGGCTTAGAACAGGCTGGCCTCAGGCGGGCAGCCAGGGCTCACAGGGCCAAAATCCTCTGCTTTGTGCTTCGTGGGAATTCCTGTGATTACAGTACAAACCCAGTTTTCAGTAAAATGGGATGACAACTGCTCCAAATAAGGTGGCCCTTGGTTTATCCCGAATGTGCTTAAGTAGATCTACTCCCTCCTAATAAAGCCTGAAGATTCTTTCAGCTACTTGCCCCTGTGAAAATGGGCAGGCTTTTTTGGACTGGATTCAGCAGTGTGCTGGCAAATGTTTAACCACCAGCTCTCCGCAACAAGCAGCCCTGATGGGGGCATTTGCTATGGCCTTCAAGAGATTGGGGCCTTGAAATATACAACTTTTTAAAACTAGAAAGTATTTTAAACATACAGAGAAATATAGAGGATAATAGAATAAATGTTTATGTACCCACAAACTCTTATTTAATCTGAACACTTCGTGGTATTGACTTTTCTTCTGAAGAAATGGTTGAAGCCTCCTGGGTCCTCTCTCTGGGCTCCTCCCTCCCTGCACAGAGGCAATGGCTGTCCGAACTTTGTCTTTCCCCTGCCTGCAGGACAGATGTTCTTCAAGCTCCCAGACCTGTCTAAAGGCCAGAGTGACAGCACAAAATTTTCAGTTTTCAAATACCACCCTTGCCTGCATTTTCCAAACATGTGTTTATACATGCAATAGGTAATATTGTTTTGCATGCTTTAAAATTTGAATATAAATCATAATGTATATACTTTTTTGATAAATTTAATGAGATATTATTTACACACCATACAATTCATCTATTCAAAGTGTACAATGGTTTCTAATATATTTAGAAAGTTGCAAAACCATCATCACAATCAATTGTAGAACCTTTTCATCACCACCGCTCATGCCAAGCCAAAAAAACCTTCTGGTGCCAATGAACACTCCCTCATCTTCCCCTGACCCTGCCCCACTCCCAGACCTAGACAACCAATAATGGATCTTCTGTCTCTAGAGGGTTGCCTAGTCTGGTAATTTCACATAAATGGAATCATATAATATGTGACGTTTTGCATCTGGCTTTCTTCACTTAGCACAGTATTTATCATTCATGCATGTTATAGCATGTATTTATATTTCTTCATTTTTATTGCCAAATAATATTCCATAGTATGAAGGTATCACATTTTATTTATTTATTCATCCATTAATGGCTATTTGGGTTGTTTCCACTTTTTGGCTATTATGAATAATGCTATTAATATTTCTGTACAAGTTTTTGTGTGAACACGTGCTTCAATTCTTTGGGGCATATACCTAGGAGAGGAATTGCTGGGTCATATAGGAACTCTATGTTTAACCTTTTGAGGAGCTGCTAGAGTGTTTTCCAAAGCAGCTGCATCATTTTATATTCCCACTAGCAGTGTGTGAGGATTCTGGCTTGTCTATATCCTCACCAACACCTATTATTATCGACTCTAGCCATCCTAGTGGGTGTGAAGGGGTATCTCATGATGACTTTGATTTGCATTTCCATAATGACTAATAGTACTGAGTATCTCTTCACGTGCTTGTTGGCTAGCTGTATATCTTTCTTGGAGAAATGTCTGTTCAGATCCTTTGTCCATTTTTTAAATAGAATTACTTGTCTTTTTATTTATATATATTTTTTGATACGGAGTTTTGCTCTTTTTGCCCAGACTGGAGTGCAATGGCATGATCTCAGCTCACTGCAACCTCCACCTCCCAGGTTCAAGCAATTTTCCTCCCTTACCCTCCCAAGTAGCTGGGATTACAGGCATGCACCACCACGCCCAGCTAATTTTGTATTTTTAGTAGAGATGGGGTCTCTCTATGTTGGTCAGGCTGGTCTGGAGCTCCCAACCTCAGGTGATCTGCCCACCTCAGCCTCCCAAAGTGCTGGGATTACAGGTGTGAGCCACCACGCCAGGCCTATTATCTTTTTATTTTTGAGGTACAAGAATTCTTAATGTATTCTAGATATATGTCACTTATCAGATATATGATTTGTAAATATTTTCTCTCATTCTGTGGGCTATATTTTCAATTTTTTGATAGTGCTCTTTGCTTTATATAAGCTTCTAAGGTTACTCTTAAATTAATACATTTTTAGCATTATCCAAGTAGAAACATGGAACATGAATACATCAATTTGAACCATTTTCAACCTCTGCATAGTACTTAATACTATGACTATTTAGAATTAATTTATTGATTCATTATTCTGTCAGTGGAAACTTGGGCTTGTGCCAGTATTTGGCTGTGGCAAACAATGCCACCATGAGCATTCTTATCCATGTCTCTTGGGGCACATTTCCAAGTGTCTGTTGGGCAAATACAAGGCATACCTTAGAGATAGTGTGGGTTTGGTTCGAGACCACTGCAATAAAGCCAATAGTACAATAAAGAGAGTCACATAAATTTTTGGATTACCTTGTGCATATAAAAGTCGTATTTACACCATACTGTAGTTTATTAAGTGTGTAATAACATTAGGTCTAAAAAAAAATGTATAGACCTTAACTTCAAAATACTTCTTTTTTTTTTTTTGAGACAGGGTCACCTAGTGACAGACAGACTCTGTCACCTAGGCTGGAGTGCAGTGGTGCGATTTGGGATCATTGCAACCTCTGTCTTTCGGCTTCAAGTGATTCTTCTGCCTCAGCCTCCTGAGTACTGGGATTATAGGCATGCACCACCATGCTTGGCTAGTTTTTGTGTTTAGAAGAGATGGGTTTTTGCCATGTTGGCCAGGCTGGTTTCAAACTCCTGGCTTCAAGTGATCCACCAGCCTTGGCCCTCCAAAGTGCTGGGATTACAGGTGTGTGCCGTGGCGCCTGGCCTAAAATACTTTATTTCTAAAAAATGTTAACAATCATCTGAGCCTTCAACAAGTCTTAATCTTTTTGCTGGTGGAAGGTCTTGCCTTGAGGTTGATGGCTGCTGACTGATCAGAATGGTGGTTGCTGAAGGTTGAGGTGGCTGTGGCAATTTCTTAAAATAAGACAATAATGAAATTTGCCGCATCGACTGACTCTTCCTTTCATGAGAGATTTCTCTGAAACATGCAATACTGTTTGGTAGCATTTTACCAATAGTAGAACTTCTTTCAAAATTGGAGTCAATCCGCCAAACCCTGCCACTGCTTTCTCAACTAGGTTTATGTAATATTGTAAATACTTTGTTGTCATTTTAATAATGCTCATAGCATCTTCATCAGGAGCAGATTCCATCTCAAGAAACCACTTTCTTTGGTCATCCATAAGAAGCAACTCCTCATCCATTAAAATTTTATCATGAGATTGCAGCAGTTCAATCACATCTTCAGGATTCACTTTAAATTTCAGTTCTCTTGCAATTTCTACCATCAGCAGTTATTTCCTCCTCTGAAGTCTTGAAACCCTCAAAGTCATCCATGAGGGTTGTAGTAAAATTCTTTCAAACTCCGGTTAATGTTGATAGTTTGACCTTCTCCCATGAATCATAAATGTTTTAATGGCATCTAGAATGCTGAATCCTTTCCAGAAGGTTTTCAATTTACTTTGCCCAGATACATCAGAAGAATCACTACCTATGGCAGCTATAGATTTAGGAAATGTATTTCTTAAATAATAAGACTTGAAAGTTGAAATTACTCCTTGATCCATGGGCTACCGAATGGATATTGTGTTGGCAGGCAGGAAAATAACATTAATCTCCTTGTACATCTCCATCAGAGCTCTTGGGTGACCAGGTGCATTGTCAATGAACAGTAATATTTTGAAGGAAGTATTTTCTTCCGAGAAGTAGGTCTCAGCAGTAGGCTTGCAATATTCAGTATGCCATGCTGTAAACAGCTGTGCTGTCATCCAGGCTTTGTTGTTCCACCTATGAAGCACAGGCAGAGAAGATTTAGCGGACCCTAGGATTTTGGAATGTAAAATGAGCATTGGCTTCAACTTGAAGTCACCAGCTGCCTTAACCCTTAATGAGAGCCAGCCTGTCCTTTGAAGTCAGGCATTGATGTCTCCTGTCTAGCTATGAAAATCCTAGATGGCATCTTCTTCCAATAAAAGGCTTTTTTGTCTACACTGAAAATCTGTTGTTTGGTGTAGCTACCTTCATCAATGATCTTTCCTAGATCTTCTGGATAACCTGCTGCAGCTTCTCCATCAGTATGTGCTGCTTCACTTTGCACTTTTATGTTACAGAGATGGCTTCTGTTCTTAAATTTCATGAAGCAAACTCTGCTAGCTTTCAACTTTTCCTCTGCAGCTTCCTCATCTCTCTTAGTATTCAAGGAATTAAAGAGAGCTAGGGCTTTGCTCTTGAGATGAGGGTTTGGATTCAGGGAATGTTGTAGCTGGTTTGATCTTCTATCCAGGCCACTAAAATTTTCTTCATATGAGCAATAAGTCTGTTTCACTTTCTTATCATTCATGTGTTCACTGGAGTAGCATTTTTTTTTTTTTTTGAGATGGAGTCTCACTCTGTCGCTCAGGCTGGAGTGCAGTGGCGCGATTGTAGTAGCACTTTTTTTTTTTTTTTGAGACAGAGTCTCTCTCTGTTGCCCAGGCTGGAGTACAATGGTGCAATCTCGGCTCACCGCAACCTCCACCTCCCAGGTTCAAGCAATTCTCCTGCCTCAGCCTCCTGAGTAGCTGGGACTACAGGCACGCACCACCACGCCCAGCTAATTTTTGCATTTTTAGTAGAGATGGGGTTTCACCATGTTGGTCAGGCTGGTCTTGAACTCCTGACCTCGTGATCTGCCTGCCTCAGCCTCCCAAAGTGCTGGGATTACAGGCGTGAGCCACCGCACCGGGCCTGGAGTAACACTTTTAATTTCCTTCAATAACATTTCCTTTGCATTCACAACTTGGCTAACTGCGCAATGCAAGAAGACCGGCTTTTGGCATTTCTTGGCTTTTGACATGCCTTCCTCACTAAGATTCTTAATTTCTAGCTTTTGATTGCAGTGAGAGACATGCAACTCTTCCTTTCGCTTGAACATGTAGAAGTCATTGTAGGGTTATTAATAGGCCTAATTTCAATATCATTGTGTCTCAGGGAATGAGGACGCCCAAGGAAAGGGAAAGAGATAGGGGAATAGATGGTCTGTGGAGCAGTCAGAACACACACACATTTATTAATTAAGTTTGCTGTCTTATGTGGGTGTGGCTTGTGGTGCCTCAAAACAATGACAACAGTAAGGTCAAAGATTCCTGATCACAGATCACCATAACAGTGATAACACCATAAAAACAAAGAAAAAGTTTGAAATCTTGTGTGAATTACCAAAATGTGACACAGAGACACAGAGTGAGCATATGCTGTTGGACAAATGGTGCCAAAACCCTTGCTTGATGCAGGGTTGCCACAAACATTCAATATGTTACAAATGCAGCATCTGTGAAGCACAATAAAGCAAAGCATAGTAAAATGAGGTGTGCCTGTATCTAGAATACCTGGACTTAGAGAATGTAGGTCTTCAGGCTTATTTGATATGGTTACAGTTTTTCTTTTTTCTTTTTTTCCTTTTTGTACCAGCAGTGTATTGGAGATCTCAGTGTGGGACGTCTTTGCTAATACTTGGTATTGTTTGACATTTAAATTGTAGCTATTCAGATGGGCATGAATTGGTTCTGATTGCTGTTTTTAAGATGTGGCCTGACTGTCAAGCCTTCAGAGAACAGGTAAGCTGCTGGGCCTGTTTTGTTATTTGTAAAGCAGAGTCATGAAATTGTGGCCATAATATGCTCTTGTGTATTCAGAGTTCTGGAGACCCACATAGAAAGAGAACAATATGAAGAACTTTATGAGATACTTGTATGGTTCCTCTGTACAGTAGTAGTTGGCTGTATTACATCATTGATGATTTTTATTATACTAAGTATGGAAAATATTTTAAAATCTGTAATGTAAACTTTTCGCAACTGAATAGTATAAAGTTCTAGAAATTTATTAGTGTAAGCCATTTGCAAATTCTTTAGCCCCTGGAAGTCCTGTAAAAGCAGGATCATTCCCATTTCCATTCTTTGTCTCCACCCTTCATTTAGTCTTGCTGTTAATAATGCCAATTCCTTCAGCATTTTCTCATATAGTTCCACTCAACTCTTTAATCTTGTAAAAGTTATTGTTTTTTTTTTGATACTGCATACATAATGCATGCAAACTTTGCATAACTTTCAAAATTAACTCCTCTTCCAAGATGAAGATTAAATAACTGAGACCACTATGGTGTTTCTTGTTTGACATTTTTAGCAGAGTGGAATGTTACCAGATAGCCCGTTTCTAGATTTCTCATCAAAGTTATACTTAAATCAATATGTTAGTATTTAGGTAAGAAAGAAACTTTTCATGGTAAATGAAGGTTTTTCTCTCAGACTAGAGTCTCATTTGGAAGAAGACTAAGGAGAAGCTTCAATTTGAATTGTGAATAGACCATGTTGTGCATTGTGAAATATGACTAGAACATGTTTTTCAGTGGAGTTTCTCACATGGGTGTTGATCTGTTGCTTTTAATATTTGTAGGTAGATCCTGCAGAGTAAAACAAGCAAACAATAATCTACTAATAAGTGAGAAGCTTTCTTTTTTTTTTTCTTGAGACAGAGTCTCACTCTGTCACCCGGGCTGGAGTGCAGTGGCATGATCTCGGCTCACTGCAACCTCCCACTTCTGGGTTCAAGCAATTCTCCTGCCTCAGCCTCCCGAGTGGTTGGGATTACAGGCGCCCACCACCAAGCCCAGCTAATTTTTGTATTTTTAGTACAGACGGGGTTTCATCATGTTGTCCAGGCTGGTCTCGAACTCCTGACCTCCAGTAGTCCACCCGCCCTGGCCTCCCAAAGTTCTGGTATCACAGGCGTGAGCCACCATGCCTGGCTAAAGTGAGGAGATTTCTACACGGAGAGCTTTATAAATGTTGTGTCACTTAATTTACACAATGTGTTTTTTTCTAAAGGTATTTTAACAAAATGGTTCTCTTACGGAACGTTTATGTGCCACTGTGTTCAGTTTGCACATACATTCATTATATCATTTTCTGCTGACCAGGGTGTCACTAGACACTACCTCACTCATCCTGGCTTTAGCTATTTTCCAGAATCTTCCACAGATGGTGATATTAATTTAGGCTCTGAAAATAAACTAAATATTATAGTCTTTGGATATTTCCCTCCAGTAAGTTTTCAAAAGCCAAGAAAGTTCAAGAGTTTGATTAAAAATAGTTGGCCTTCTTGGCTATCAATTGAAGCATTCTCCTTCAGAGGGAAAGGTAAAGTCAGGAAATCCTGAGATGTTCTGTCTAAATCCTACTTTACTGAAGTGATAAAAGATTAAAGGTCAGCTTCAAAGTTATTTTTATTGAAAACTGGGCAGACTTCAGTTTGCACCAGATTTTCTTGGCCCGACTCTTTCTTTTTCTTTTTCTTTTTTTTTGTGAGACAGAGTCTTGCTCTGTCGCCCAGGCTAGAGTGCAGTGGCGTGATCTCGGCTCATTGCAGCCTGTGCCTCCCAGGTTCCAGTGATTCTCCTGACTCAGACTCCTGGGTAGCTGGGATTATAGGCACATGCCACCATGCCCAGCTAATTTTTGTATTTTTAGTACAGACGGAGTTTCACTATGTTGGCCAGGCTGGTCTTGAACTCCTGACCTTAGGTGATCCACCTGCCTCAGCCTCCCAAAGTGCTGGAATTACAGACATGAGCCATTCTGGGTGAAGCTTGGGACTATCTCTGCAGCTGGTGGGACCTTGCCTATGGAAGTGCCTCAAACGAAGGGATGTCGGGTGCAGAGAGGAGAGGTTCTGACCCTGTTCCCAAGCCCGTGATCATCCAGTGGTAGCACAGGCTTTGTATCAACATGACTGTGGATGTGGTGTTGGCCAGACGTGGAAACAACACCCTGCATGGGAGCAGATTTGAGTTGATGAAGAATGAAAATGTCCCACTTCACAGGCACTGCAGGTGTCTGACTTCTCTGCTGGTGGCATCTGCCTCTTATGTGGTTATGAAATTAAGGAGAAACCTGGATTAGGTCTGCTCAGCAGTTTAGCTTTGCCACATATTAGCTGCATGTCATTTAACTTCTCTGTGCGTCAGTACCCTCATCTGTAAATTGGGGATACTAATAGAACGGTCCCATAGAGCTACTGGGAGGATTAAATGAGATTAAACATATAAAGTGCAGGAATAGTGCCTGGAAAAGGGAAGATGCTCAGTAAATGTTAGATAGGATGATTACTGTACTATTAGTAATATGTCCAATAAAGTCAGGGGAAAATAAGTTAATCCTTAATGAAGCCAAAGAGTTGTCTGAATAAACCTTTAGCAGTTTTAGAGATCAATCATGTGCATTCAGTCATGTGCATTCAATTAGAATCAATGTAGGTCTTCTCAATGCATATACAAATTGAACTTAAAGGAGAAGTTGGCCAGGCACAGTGACTCACACCTGTAATCCCAGCACTTTGGGAGGCCGAGGCGGGAGGATCACTTGAGGCCAGGAGTTCAAGACCAGCCTGGCCAACATGGCAAAACCCCATATCTACTAAAAATGCAAAAAAAAAAAAAAAATTAGCCAGATGTGGTGGCGCATGCCTGTAGACCCAGCTACTCAGAAGGCTGAGGCAGGAGAATCGCTTGAATCCGGGAGGGGGAGGTTGCAGTCAGCAGAGATTGTGCCACTGCACTCCAGCCTGGGCCACAGAGCCAGACTCTGTCCAGGTCTAACCCTGGGGTTTTCTCATGAAGAGCAGAGTGTAGGAAGCCTGGTGAGACCTGAGTCTTATCCCTAGAGAGAACACCTGTCAGCCGAGACCATTTGGGAAGCAGGAAAAATAAAGAGAAGCACAAACAGCCACAGACTAATTTCAGGAAATAGTAGTAAGGGAGAGTCGCTGAGCTTGTCAAACCTTGGTTTGAGTTTGGAGGTGAGATGAAAAAGCAGGAACGACCCCTCAGTCCTTCATAAGAGAGACACCATACTCCAAAAGTTTCCAGAGTGTGATGTTTAAAACTGGGATTTGGTTAGTTTTTTTTTTTTTTAACTTTTAATGTAGAAAATTGTACAAGTCACAAATACGCAGGTTAATTTTTTTAATTGTGATAAATTATACATAACACAAAATTTATTATTTTAATCATTTTGGGGGCACAGTTCAGTGGTATCAAGTACATTCACATTGCTGTGCAAACACCACCATTCATCTCAAAACGTTTTCATCTTCCCAGGCTGAAGCTTCATTCTCATTAAACACAGATCCCCCACTCCCCTGTCCCCTGGCCCAGGCCCTGGCAATCCCCATTGTACCTTCTGTCTCTACGGATTCGACTACTCTGGGTACCTCATGTAATAGAATCATACAGATTTGGTCCTGCTGTGATGAACTCATTTCACTTAGTGTAATGCCCTCAAGGTACAGCTTGGTGAATTTTATAAACTTGAACCACCTATGTAACCAGTGCTCTGACAGAGAAACACGGCATTGCTAGCCACACAGACCTCCCTGTGCCCACCTCTGGTGAGTCCCCTCTACCCTTGCAGGACCCCGAGGGCAACCTTGTCCTTTGTCTATGCAGAGAAGGAGGCAGAAGGGGGAAGACTAAGGTTTCTGCCTCTTACCTCCCCAGTAGGGAAGCTGCACATTTTATCTGTTTCACACATTAGGCTTTAGTGTCTCTGCCAAAGAAAATTTGGAAACTTTGACTTGGGCAATGTTTATATTTCACTCCCAGATTGTACAGATAAATGCCTTGTTTTATTTAGTCTGCCTTTGTTCAACTAACTCCCATTTTTGCAACTCTGTTTAGGCAGCCTCTTCTGGGGGAAGCCTTCAACCCTGTGCATCCCACAATCTGGAGACACTGTTGGCTGACTGTGACTTACCACCAGACAAATGCCCACCAGAGGACAGTCTCCTTGGCATCTGTGTAACCTCAAAGCCCAGCACGGTGTCCAACACTCAGTGGTTTCTACAATGCATGTTTAACTGAGCAGAGCTGAACTAGTGCTCCCAGGGAACTGACTGATGGAAGTCTGTCTTAAAAGCTGAGCTCTATAATTTTGCAGCTGTTTGCCCTTGGAGACGTCATTTAACTTCTCTGTCTGGGACTCTGGCAATATAAGGAAAGTGCCATAATATTAATCTGAACAAGTGCCCAGGCAACTCTTAAGTTTAACAGCAGTATCATATCGCCATTTAGTGTGCACACTTCATTCTCTTATATACCTGAGAGAGATTATTTTAAAATCTCTCATGTTAATCAAACCACATTTCCTGATCTAGATAAAAAAGGTTTCAGAGTTTAATTACACAAAAAGTAGGTAATGTTGCATGAAGATTTACAAAGAAGCCAAGATTTTTTTTTTCTTTTTAAAGTATGACTAGGTAATAATAGATATAAGCATATTTTTCTCATTCCTAATACATGTTTTATTTGGATGGTGTGCTGTGATATTTGAGGATTTGGGACACACTCTTTTAGTGTAGGTTGCAAGAAAACTGTGAAACACAGACGCCAACAGTAGGTGAAGTCAGAAGATCTTCTGTGTTAATTTCTGAAATGTCTAGCAGTGGGCCATTCTTTGACGGTAGCCTGATATCTGATAAAGATAACATTCTGCCACTGGCCATGTGAGGAGCAATTCCCAGCCAGGGGAAGGACTCCAAGTCCCCAAATCTTTCTTAAAATTTTAGATTGAGAATTGACAGAAAACATATAAACTCAGATAAATAGGCAAAGGTATTGAACAGACTATTCATAACTGTACTTATGACCACAATAAAAATAGAAGCAATATAAATTTGGGTAAAATAATTAGATATGTATTTGGGGCCTATGAAATCACAAACTACATCTAAAATTTAATTAGAATGATAGGTGATTTTTGTTTTCTTATTTGCATTTGTCACATTTTAAAAAATACTGCATAGGTATTACTTTTATAACCACCCAATAGTATTTGAGAATATGCTCTAAAACAAATGAGCCCAGTTCATTTTATTCATGTTCAGGAAGCTAAAGTCAGCCAGTGGAAACAGTGCAGTGAGGTGGCTGTGACTGGTTTTATTTGTACTTGCCACTTACTCTGCAGATACCATGGATTGGCAGGCATAGCTCTTATTTTATCAGATAGAAGAGAAATGGGAAATGACACAGAATTCCCACACATGGGAAGGGGGCATTTTTTAATTGAGCAGATACTATATCCTGTATGTTATGCTCAGTACTTTACACCTATATCTCATGCCATCCTTAAATGACACAGAGTGGGGCCTTCCAACTGGAAAGAATGCTGCAGTACGATGGCTGATAAGCAGAAAACAACATACAACAAAGCTTGGCATTAAAATTACTTTCAGAAGATATGGTAAAACTGCTTTTTTTGGGTCTTGGATTGTTAGTAGAGCCTCAAAGTTTAATAACCAAGACCCAGGTGCCTAATTTGCCCCACTGGGTCCTGTCACTGACTCACTGGATGACCTTAGTGAAATCGTTTTCCATCTGTGAGTGTGTTTCCTTGCTGTGAAGATGAAACTAAAAATAAATACTGCCTTCATCATGGGTTATGGTAAGGACTAGCTGAGTAATGTTTACTAAGAAATTGCAACTTTTTCAAGCAAAAGGGGGAGAACAAAATGCCTGTTTCATCATATAGGAAACCTGTTTGGGAGTTTTGTGACCCTAAAGTGATATAAATAAAATAGAGGACTTTTTTTCAACCTCCTTTGTTAGAGTATGAGACAAAACTGGCTGAATTCCGGTGTTCTTTGGTGCTGGCTAAGAACAGCTTGGTTGCCCATGAGCAGCGTGGTCAGAGGCTGGTTCCTGGTGGCAGGGTGCATTCTGGAGAAAGCAGTCTCCTCCAGCCTGAGCTGTGCTCCCCCACGGGACTGAGTCACTCAGGCCACCCAGTCTCTCTCTCCCAAAGCTTCCAAAGCTCACTCTCTTCCAGGTGCTAAGTCCACCATCAATTTTTCTTTGACTAGTCTAGTTTTGTAAGTGGCAGGTTTTCTGATTTTAAACAGAAAAATTCTGCCTCCCTTGCATTATTTTTTAAATATAATTTTATTCTTCTCTTTGATGTGAGTGTCCAGTTCTCATAGCTAAGAAGGTCCAGGAGTGCAACTCAGAAGTGTAGAAAGAAAATGGGCTTCAAAGGTAAGGTTTTCCCTACTTGGTTTCCAACTGTCTTATGATGGCCTTGGACACTAACCTCTTTGAGCTTCAGTCTCCAATGGGAAATATTAACCTTATAGGGTTGTTGTAAGGATCGGAGACCTTTTATTTATTTATGTTTCATGTCATACAAAACACACATTATGGGCACGGGCACCAAGTTCCTTACCTCATAATATGGTGGCAAAAAAAGATAAGCCCTGCCCTGATAGAACCCGTGTTGCAGGGGGAAGCTAAGTCCTAAGTATGAATCTACAATTCAGGTTCTAACAGGTGAACAGTCTATAGCACAGTGGGCCTCTCTGCGTTGGGTGCTGATGAGCTCTTCATTTACCCTCCAAACATAGAACAAAAGAACACATTGAGGGCTTACGTGGTCTCATGTTGCTCCCATTTTTCACTACTTGTTCAAACAACAGTGACAGAACACCTGGTTCCCATGGGCAGGGAGTTCTGCTGGGCACTAGGAACACTGAGATCAAAGGGACCCTGCGTTGTCCTGAAGGGGCTGACAGTCAGAGTAGGGGAGGCAGACACCTAAACGGGTGTTACACTTCAGAGCACTGAGCACCACAGGGCTCTTAGAGAATGCTCCAAGCTGGGACTAGGAACTGAGTCCTGAGGATCAAGGGACATTTGTGATGCAGGGTGGCAGTGATATGGTGGGGAAGAAGGTGGAGTTGGTGCTTCAGACAGAGAGGACAGAGGAAAAGGCTGTGGGGGGACACAGCATTTTTGGTTTCTGGCATGTCACAGAACAGTTCAATTCAGTGTGAGGAGCTTGGAGGGAGCAGGGGACAGGCAGTTAAGAGGTGAGAATAAAAACTGGAAGTGTGAAGGGGTTGGCCTGTGCGTGGTGCTGACCTTGGAAAAGGGAAGACAGGTGGAAGACTGGGAGTGAGAGGGGCTGGGGGCCTGGAGGAGGTGCCAGGACCAGAAACAGTCAGGGGTCAGTGTCCCAGGAAGGGTGGACAAGACTTAGTGAGTGGCTGGTGTGGGCATTGCGGGGAGAAGGAGACGCTGAGGACAGGACCAATGTCCCCTGCAGGGAGGATGTGGTGACATTAACTAGGGGAGGCTGACAGCGCCACCTTTGATGCCAAATCCCACCTCCAGCTCTTCCCTGTGGCTCTGGGAAAATTGCTTAATTATCTGTGTCTCAGACTCTTCACCTATAAATGAGGATGACAATAACAGAACCTCATAGATTGGGGCTTTATTGTGTAGATTAAGTAAAATGACCACATGTAGATATCAGAACAGTGTCTGGCACATCTGAAGTCCTCAGTAAGGACTGGTTGTTATTCTCGGGGAACACGGGGAGACAGAGAATCTTGGAGGAGAAAGATTAGGGTGGTCCAGTTCTGATTACATGACAAAAAGCTGCCTCAAGACTCTGAGGCCATTATGGCCATCTTTGTCAAAAGAAGGTGAACTGCCCCGTGGAGTGTTAGCTCGGAAGTCTCCAGCTGTGGAAACCCAGAGCAACTCTTGTGAGATTTCCTATCAACCAGAGGCAGGTGGAGCTGTGGACCCTACATTTATTTCAGGGCTGGGGCAAGAAAAATGTGAATGAAAGTGTTAAACCTAGTCCCTTGGGTTGTTTAGTCTGCAATGCTGGAGACCACACTGGCTCCTGGTGAGACTGTGAAATGGGTGTAGTTTGTTTTGGCCTGCCTCCCAACTTCTCTAATGTTTCTCTAAAGATCTATTCCTCCTAAATCTTCTTTTTAAAGACTTAATTTTTCTAGGGCAGTTTTAGGCTCACAGCAAAATTGAGCAGAAGGCACAGAGATTTCCCATGTTCCCCTGCCCATCACCCCTGCAGAGCCTTCCCCATCGTCAACACCCTGCACCTGAGTGGTCCATCAGCCACAGCCGAGGAAGCCACTCACCCGTTGTTATCACCCAGGCTCCATGCTGTACAGTACGGTTCACTATCTCTTCATGGCAACAATAAATAACACAGTTTTAGTTGATGATTTTTAAAGGCTATGCACCCTACTGGGAGCATAGGGTAACTACCCTTGCCTGACAACCAAGGCATTTCAAAACCAGCCTGCTCCATCTCCTGTCTCTCACCAAACAATAAAGCTCCCAATGCTGGAATGACTGAGGGTCTCACCAAGGCCTGCCTGGACACTCACCACTGTTTGTGAAACTTTGGAACTGCATTCTTTCTCTTCATCCTCACATTTGCTTTTATTCTTGACACATCCGACTCTGTGACCTCTTAGCTCCTTGACCCAGTGACCTTGCTTTCCAGTGGGCCATGGCTTCCCTTTCTCACGGTGCAGAATGTGAGTCTGAACCATGTTATCTCTTGCAGCTGCTCCACCTCCAGCATCACAGATTCAAACATCCTCCTCGCTGCCCGCAAACCCTGCCCTGCAGCTTCCTGCTCGAGTATTCCCTGTACAGCCTCCTTTACTTCTGGGTGACCTTCCCTGACCCCCACTTTTTCCCTATTCACGGCCTGCCACTGTTAACTTGTCTGACATCCATGCTGGATTCTGTCCCATCATGTCAACTGTGCCCTCTTTCTGTTGCACGTGCTGGCAAACTTGAAATCTGATGAACCCACTACCTTCACTACACTCACTGTCTGGTCTCTCTCAGGTAGCTGAGGACTGAGAAACACCCCAGCCAGGCAGGTTGGGGTCACTATAAATTCACAGTCACCAACCACACATGGTGCTCTGTTTGGCTGGCCATCTCATTATACCTGTCTGACTTGCTTACTGTCCTGCCCTCCGAAAAAGCTTTTCAAACACTATCTCCTTCTGCCTCAAATGTATCACCTCCCCCTCAATGACTTTGCTTCATATGTGACACAAAGAAATGTTAATACCAGCCAAGACCTTCCTCAACTTCCGGCCAGCAAATCTGGAACACAAGCTGCATCTGTCCTGGTTTGCCTCTTCTCTCTTCTCGTTACAGTAGAGTAGCCATTCCTCTTCTAAAAAACACTGATCTCCCATCCTGCTCTGGACATTAAAGTACTGAGAAGTGGTTTTGTGTTCCCAGCAATATGGGAGTCATTGGTGACCTTAATAAAAGCCACATTGAAGTGAAATGAGAAGGAATTAGAAGGTGAAGACAGAAACAAGACAGTTACAGACAACTCATTTAAGCAATTTCATTATGAAGGGAGGCCATTGCTACTATCTCCGAAACCTTAAGCTATCAGTTATTCCTTTTGCTCTTTCTTCCTCTCTGCCCATTCCCTTCAGCCCTTAAACAGACAAAGGTCTGAGCCCTCTAAACAGTAGCAGAAACTGCATACACAGGAAACAGAAACCCTGCTCCAGCCTTACATCCCTCACCTATTGGCCTATTCATTGCTGCCCTTCATAGTCAGATTTCTCAGTGGAGTTGTCTTGTAACTTTTTTTTTCATCTTCTAGTCCTTTCACATCTCATTTCAATATTATTTTCTTAAGGTCACCAATGACTTTGAGATGACCAGAACTGCCCCCACTCCCCCGCCGCCAAAAAAAAAACAAAAAACAAAAAACAAAACACTTTTCAGCCTCCTAAGGTGCTTTTCACAGGTGGTCCTTGATGGAAGAGTCTTGCAGGTTTGGGGAAGTGACTTCCCGAAGAAGGTTACATCATCAGTTCAACAAATCAATGGCACGTGCGCAGACTGCATACTCTGGAGGCACTGGGCCCTGTCCAGAGAATGCACAGCAGCGTGAGATCCAGCTCTGTTCTCTAGGCCCTGTGGACTGGCCTGTGGGGGGCAATGATGGTACGTGGTGGGTGCCACACGCAGCAGCAGCCACCAAGGAAGATGGGCCCCAGAGCACAAAGGAAGGAGTGGGGAGCCGCCTTCGCTGGAGTGGTTGGAAAAGGCTTTGCAGGAGAGGTGGTGCCCAGGCTGGAGTTTGAGAAGTGAAATGCAGGGGCTGAGAGGCTGGGGAAGTGCACTCCAGGCAGTGAAATCAACAGGTGCGACATGCAGGGAGACTCGTGTCACGTGGGACCGTGAAAGCCCAGGGTGGAAGTGAGGTGAGTGTGGGGCGCGGGGTACGGTGTGGAGATGGCATATGGAGCTGGATTCATGGTGAAATCTGACCAGGAATGCCTGGGTGCTCAAATCCTGGCCTCTGGTCTGTCTCTCCAATCCCAATGACATCAGAATCACTATATTTAGCCTAAGTATGGTCCTAGGTGCTAGCAGGTACAGAATAAATGAAAAATGGTTGAATGACTATTTTAGTTCATGAAATTCTACCACATTATTTGTGCTATTTAAGTTAAAAGTACTAGGAGTAGAGTTAGGCACAGAGTACAAGAGGCAGTGAAACATAATGGTTAGGGCATCATCTATGGGACTAGATACCTAAGTACTATAACCTTCCCGAAGAAGGTTACATCATCAGTTCAGCAAACCAACGGCACATGTGCAGACTGCATACTCTGCTCAGTAGACCAGATACTGGCTTCACCACTTACTGTGATTTTGGACAAGTTACTTAATCTCTTTGAGCCATCTATACACTGGGAATTCCGAGAGTGCCTAACTCATAAGGTTAAAAGAGTTTATAGGTATAAAGCACTTAACCCAATGCCTTGTAACAATTCATAATAATTGTTTGTAATTACCATTAATAATAAATCACAAACAGGTTGGGTATGGTGGCTCATGCCTGTAATCCCAGCAATTTGGGAGCCTGAGGTGGGAGAATTGCTTCAGCCTAGAAGTTTGAGACCAGCCTGAGTAACATTGCGAGACCTCATCTCTATCAACAATTAAAAAAGTAGCCAGGCATGGTGGCGCACACATGTAGTCCCAGCTACTTGGGAGGCTGAGGTGGGAGGATCACATGAGCCCAGGACTTCGAGGCTGCAGTGAGCTATGATCATGCCACTGAGCTCATGCCATGCCATGTCACCCAGCCTGGGTGACAGAGTGAGACCCTGTCTCTAAATAAATAAATAATAATACTATAAGCCACAAACATTTATTACTAAAATTTAAATTATGATTATTTATTGACCATTATGATTGAATCCTCCTAGAGCTCCAATTCTTAATGCCCTCTCTCCCACGCCAATTGCAATCTTTTCCTGATGTATCTTTTTTTCATTTGAGATTCAGATCACTCAGCAAGTGTATTTGTTAGCTGGTAGAACATAAGTTACATGATAAGTACCTGCAAGGAGAATTGGAACAATCATTCATTGACCTAAACATGATGCTATTCCAAAGCCGAGATAGCCCTTCTTCCTCATTTAAAGTGCAATTGGATTATTGATGTGTAAACCAGTATATCTGTCTGGAATTACGTTCTACAGGGCTAAAGAAATGATGATCTGACCTAGGTGTGCACTCTGGAAGATTCCCATGAAAATCTCTCCATGTTTTTTGTTTATTGGCACGTCAGCTTTTCAGAGGCACTGTTCAGCCAAAGGGCATGTGTTTTTATGTTCTGAAAAATTGTATTAACCAACAGTGTAAAACAACAGAAACCGGTTGCAAAGCTTTCACTTTTAAAGAGTTTCCAAGCACCCTGCCCTTTTCCTAAAGGACTCTTTTCCCTTTTATGGATGAGCACCAGGCTCCAAGACAGTGTAAATAGAGTTTCCTGTTCCAGGGAAGTGCTGGCTCCTGCAGGAGCCCAGGGGTCCTTTGGGAAAAGTTGATAGGAACTATGAGCTGTATGTGCCCTGAGGCTTAGGAGCCAGCTGAGCCAGGAGGGAGGGAAACACATTTAACAGCCCCTTTGTGCAGACTTCAGTCCCAGAAGCACTTCTGGGAAAATAAGTCCAGTGCCATACACACAGTCCTTGCAAAGAATGGCAGGGAAGCTGGCCGGGCTGGAGAGAGCCATTCCCAGATTAGAGGCCTAAATCTTTGACCTGGCCACTTTGAGGAACCCAGAGATGTCTGTAATTCCCACAATTCAGGGATCCTGTGCTTCAGATGAGTGAGGTTTCAAGAAGCAGAAGAAAACCGATTAGATGTTAACTTTGGCCCAATGGCAAATATTTTTCAGTGTGGTTAGTGTTTATGCACTGAGGACATGAAAATTAATATCTATTCTTCTCTCTTGGATTTTATCATCTTCCTGTGTTTTTAAATGATAATAATAAAAAGCATTATTTTTGTGGTTGAGTTGATGGGCCGTTCACTTTGATAATTTTCTTTTGACTTTTGTGTGCTTTAGAATCTCATCAGTGGTGGCAAGGAAACAAACCAGAAAAGTACAATGAATACTTTTGGACTTATTCATTATGATATTATGACAATTATATTATTTTGATGATAGTTAACATTTACTGAACACTTGCTATGTGCTCAGCAGTGAGTTAAGTCAATAGTCTCCATCCGTAAACAATCTTGCATGAACTTACAAATTGTCAGCTAAATTAATACAAAGTATGTAAACGTACAACCATGCTATTATGTTGTGTACATTTATAGAGCATAAACAAAAATAAAAACTAAAGGAGTGACATAAATAAACATAAATATCAGTTCTTATATTTTCTTCTTGCATAAGAGCAGATTGTCTACTACTGGAGTCTCGGCACCCCTGTTTGAAGACCACTCTGCAAATACTGTCCAAACTATTATTAATTCCTTGCCCAAGACCATGGGTTATCTTTGTGTGTCTACCCTGTAACCTTACTGACTTCTGTAGCTTTTCCATCAGCACTTCCAGGAAGCCACACTATCATATTAGTGTATTCCTATTTCTGCTGCTTCTTAATCTAAATATTAGATGCACGTATTTAAACAGTGTGTCCAAATTTTTTACAGACTTATCATCTAAGATCCTTAAAACAGTTTGAGTCAAATTTGTAGCTTTATCTTCTGATCAGACATAAGAATCTCAGAATGAGATTTCCTCCTCTGAAGCTTCTTTCTTAATCCAGAAATGAAGTCTAAGTATCAGTCTTGTTTTGGGTATGGGTAAGATTAAGCTCACAAACACAGATAAAATTAAGAAAATGGTTCCATTTAGAATAGCAGCAAAAGAAAAATAAAATATTTAGGAATAATAAAAGTGGTGCAAAACATGTACTCAACTACAAAACACTGTTGAAAGAATTTTTTTTTTTTTTTTGAGATGGAGTCTTGCTCTGTCACCCAGGCTGGAGTGCAGTGACGTAATCTTGGCTCACTGTAACCTCTATCTCCCAGGTTCAAGTGATTCTCCTGCCTCAGCCTCCCACGTAGCTGGGATTATAGATGTGCGCAACCATGCCCGGCTAATTTTTGTATTTTTAGTAGAGACGGGGTTTCACCATCTTGGCCAGGCTGGTCTCGAACTCCTGACCTCAAACGATCCACCTGCCTCAGCCTCCCAAAGTGCTGGGATTACAGGCATGAGCCACCACACCCGGCCTGAAAGAAATTTTAAAAGTTCTAAATAAATGAAAATTCATCCCATGTTCATGGATTGGAAGAGTTAATAGTGTTAAGATGGGAATACTCTTCAAATTGATCTACACATTTAACTCAATTCCTATCAAAGTCCCAGCTGACTTATTTCCAGAAACTCACAAACTGATCCTAAAATTCATGTGGAAATTCAAAGAACAGAGAACAGCCAAAACAATCTTAGAAAGAAGAGCAAAGTTGGAGGACTCATACTTTCTAATTCCCAAACATAATATAAAGCAACAGTAATCAAGACAGTATGGTGGTGGCATAAGGATAGACATATAGATCAACAAACAGAGTTGAGAGTTCAGAAATAAGCTCTAACATTTATAGTCAGTTGATTTTCAACAAGTGTACCAGGACAATTCAATGGGAAAAGAATAGTATTTTCAATAAATGATGTTGGGGAAACTGGATATCCACATGCCAATGAATGATGTTGGGACATTACAATCATGCCATATAAAAAAATTCAAAAGTGGCCAGGTGTGGTGGCTCACATCTGTAATCTCAGCCCTTTGGGAGGCTGAGGTGGGTGGATCACCTCAGGTCGGGAGTTTGAGACCAGCCTGACCAACATGGTGAAACCCTGTCTCCACTAAAAATACAAAATTAGCCAGGCATAGTGGCGCATGCCTGTAATCCCAGACACTCGGGAAGTTGTGGCAGGAGAACTGCTTGATCCCAGGAGGCAGAGGCTGTGGTGAGCCGACATCACACCATTGCACTCCAGCCTGGGCAACAAGAGAGGAACTCCATCAAAAAAAAAAAAAAATCAAAATTGATCAAAGATTTAAGGGTAAGGGCTAAAATTAAAAAGCACTTAGAAGAAAATATAACATTATAATCTTGGAATAAGCAATAATTCTTTTTTATGGCACTAAAAGCATAAGCAGCCAATAAGAAAAACAAATAAATTGAACTTCATCAAAATTAAAATATTTTGTACTTCAAAGGATACTATTAAGATAGTTTACTCTCTTAATAATAAATAATAATAATTATTATTTTTATTTAGATGGAGTTTTGCTCTTGCTGCCCAGGCTGGAGTGCAATGGCCCAATTTCGGCTCACCACAACCTCTGCCTCCCAGGTTCAAGTGATTCTCCTGCCTCAGCCTCCCAAGTAGCTGAGATTACAGGCACATGCCACCGTGCCTGGCTAATTTTGTATTTTTAGTAGAGATGGGGTTTCTCCATGTTGGTGAGGCTGGTCTTGAACTCCTGATCCCAGGTGATCCACCCGCCTTGTCCTCCCAAAGTGCTGGGATTACAGGCGTGAGCCACTGCATCCAGCCCAATAATTAATAATTATTATTAATTAATAAGTATGTGAGCCAATTCACAGAATGGGAAGAAATTTGGGCAAATCATATATAATGTATTTGTATCTAGAATATATAAAGAACTATTACAATTAATTTTTTAAAAGGCAACTCAATTAAAAAAAACCCACAAATACCACAATTAAAAAATAGGCAAAGGATTAGAATAGACATTTCTCTGAAGAAAATATACAAGTGACTAATACACACATGAAAAGATGCTTAACATCACTAGTAATCAGGAAATGCAAATCAAAACAAAAATGAGATACCAACTCACATCCATTAGGATGGATATCATAAAAACAAAACAAAATAAAAAACACTAAATAAGGCTGGGCACAGTGGCTCTTGCCTGTAATCCCAGCACTTTGGGAGGCCGAGGTGGGTGGATCATCTGAGAATGGGAGTTCGAGAAAAGCCTGGCCGACATGGAGAAACCCTGTCTCTACTAAAAATACAAAATTAGCTAGGCATGGTGGCACGCACCTGTAATCCCAGCTACTCAGGAGGCTGAGGCAGGAGAATCGCTCGAACCCAGGAGGTGGAGGTTGCGGTGAGCCGAGATTGTGCCATTGCACTCCAGCCTGGGCAACAAGAGCGAAACTGTCTCAAAAAAAAAAAAAAAAAAAAAAGAAAAAAAGAAAGAAAATAACCAGTATAGGCGAGGATGTGGAAAAATTGGAACCTTTACGCATTGCTGGTAGAAATGTAAAATGATACAACCATTGTATAAAATAGTATGATACTTATTGAAAAAATAAACATAGAATTACCATATGATCCAGCAATTCCACTTCTGAGAATATACCTAAAAGAAGGGAAAGCAGGGATCCAGACAAATATCTATACATCCATGGCTGCATTATCTACAATAGCCAAACAGTGGAAGGAATCCAAGTATCTGCCCATTGATGGGTGAATCAATAAATAAAATGAAAAGGGGTATATACGTATAATGGAATGTTCTCCAGCCTTAAAAAGAAATGAAAGTCTGACACATTCTACAACATGGATGAACCTTGAAGATGTGAAATAATTCAGTTATGAAAGGGCAAATATTATATACTTCCACTTATATGAAAGTAGTCACATTCATAGAGACAAAATAGAAAGGTGGTTGCCTGGGGCTCGGTAGAGAAAATAATAAAGAATTATTGCTTAACGGGTGCAGAGTTTCAGCTTGAGAAGATGCAAAAATTTTGGAGATGGATGGTGGTGATGGTTGCACATCATCAGGAATGTAAGTAATGCCACAGAACTGTAGACTTAAAGATGATTAAAATAGTAAATTTTATGTTATGTATATTTTACTACAATAAAGGAATATATTAAAATATAATAAAAAGCAAATTACCCAATTTAAAAACAAAGGATCTGAATAGACATATCTCCAGAGAAGATATACAAGTGGCCTATATGTACATGAAAAATTGCTCACTGTTATTAGTCATCAGGAAATGAACATCAATACTGTCACGAGATACCTCTTTACATGCACCAGGATGGCTGTGATCAAGAAGACAGATAAATGTTAACGAGGATGTGGAGAAATTGGAAACTTCATACCCTACTGGTGGGAATGTAAAATGGTGCAGCCATTTTATTTATTTATTTAGTTAGTTAGTTAGCTAGTTAATTATTTTAGAGACAGAGTCTCACTCTGTCACTCAGGATAGAGTGCACTGGTGCAATCATAGCTCACTCCAGCCTTGAACTCCTAGGCTCAAGCAATCCTCCTGCCTCAGCCTTCCAAGTAGCTGGGACTACAGGCAACACCACCATGCCGGGCTGATTTTTATTTTTTATAGAAACAAGGTCTCACTATGTTGCCCAGGCTGGTCTTGAATTCTTGGGCTCAAGCAATCCTCCCACCTTATCCTCCCAAAGTGCTGAGATTTCAGGAATCAGTAACCATGCCCGGCCCATGCAGCCGTTTTAGAAAAGAGTCTGGAAGTTCCTCAAATGGTTACATATAGAGTTACCACAAGATCCACTAGTTCCACTCCTAGGCATATTCTCAAGAACAGTAAAAACACATATCCACACAAACTTGCACATAAGTGCTCATAGCAGCACTGTAACAGACAAAATGGAAACAACCCAAATGGTCACCAACTGATGAATAAATAAATAAAACGTGGTATACAAACAGTGGGATATTTGCAATAAAGAGAAGTAAAATACTGATACACACTGAAACACGGAGGAAACTTTGATAGCATTATGGTAAGGGAAAGAAGCCAGTCAGAAAGGACTACATATTGTATTTTTATATGAAATGTCTAGAATAAGCAAATCTATAGAGACAGAAAGCCGAGTAGTGGTTGCCTAGGGCTGGGAGAGTTGGGGAAACTGGTGTGACATCAGGGTTTCTTTGGGGGTTAATAAAAATATTCTAAAACAGATTGTGATAATATGTATGCAACTCTGTGAGTAGACTAGAGACCACGGAACTGTCCACTCTAAATGGATGAATTGTGTGGTGTGTGGATTTTAAAATAGTTTTAGAAGAAAGTAAGCACAAAATGTTTAATATATATTTGTGGGATGACTAAAGTACAAAGATATAAATATTTATAGAATAATTTCAGAAAAATTAATTATTGACTCTCATACCCCTCTCATATATGTGAATATAAACATGAAATTGGGGCTATTCTCCTTGATGTTAAAAGTTGGCCTTTGGTAGAAGAGAGATCAGCTATCTTCCTCTGTGGAAAAAAATGATGACATAGGATTTCACTATTCTTTTCCTTCTCTTTTTTAAAAACAAATTTATTGAGTTATGATTTACACACCATACAATCCATCCATTTTAAGTATACAATTCAATGATTTTTTGCAAATGTATACAGTTGCCCAAATATCACTACAATTCAGTGATAGAACATTTCATCACCCCAAAACGTTCCCTGGGGCCCATTTGCAGTCAGCTCTTGCTCCTACCCTATACCCATTTAGCTGCTTTCCGTCTCTGTACTTCCTCTCTTCCTTTTTTTTAGTTCATACAAATGTTATACAATATGCAGTATTTTATGTCTGGCTTCTTTCACTTAGCTTAATGTTTATGAGATTCATCCATGCTGTTGCATGAATTAACAGGTCTTTCATTTTATTGCTGAGTAATATTTGTTTTTGTTTCTGTTTTTGTTTTTTTGAGACAGTTTCGCTCTTGTCACCTAGGCTGGAGTGCAGTGGCACTATCTTGGCTCACTGCAACCTCTGCTTCCCGGGTTCAAATGATTCTCCTGCCTCAGCCTCCCATGTAGCTGGGATTACAGGTGCCTGCCACCACACCTGGCTAATTTTTGTATTTTTATTAGAGATGGGGTTTCAACATGTTGGCCAGGCTGTTCTTGAACTCCTGACCTCAGGTGATCCACCTGCCTCGACCTCCCAAAGTGCTGGGATTACAGGCATGAGCCACCATGCCCAGCCATTGCTGAGTAATATTTCATGGGATGGATATACACATTTCATTTACTGATTCTAGTAGATGGACATTTGGTGTGTTTTGGACTATTATGACTGAAGCTGCAATGAACATTTATGTACAAGCCTGGGTGGATGTATGTTTCTCATTTCTTCTGGGCTGAGTTTCTGCATTATACAGGTATGTGTGAGTTTAACTTTCAAAGAAACTGTCAACTGTTTCCCAAAGTGGCTGCACCACTTTGTATTTTCACCAGGTGTGTATGAGGATTGCAGTTTCTCCACATCCTTGTCAACACTTTGCACTATCGGTCTGTTTACCTTTAGCCATCCATCCCAGTAGATGGATGCTGATCTAATCTTTTTTTTTTTTTTTTTTTTGAGACAGGGTCTCATTCTGTTGCCCAGGCTGGAGTGCAGTGGCACAGTCATCACTCACTGCAGCCTTGACCTCCCAGGTTCAAGTGATCCTCCCACCTCAGCCTCCTGAGTAACTGGGAATACAGGCGTGCACCACCATGCTCGGCTTTTTTTGTATTTTTGTAGAGACAGGGTCTTGTTATATTGCACAAGCTGGTCTCGAACTCCTGGGCTCAAGTGATCTGCCCACCTCAGCCTTCCAAAGTGCTGGGATTACAAGCATGAGCCACTGCCTGATCTAGACTTTTAAACCCAAATATAAATTACTTCTGGATTTTGCTGTTGAATGGGAAATGCTGAGTCTCAGAGAGGGCCACAGGATGTGTTGGGTGTTGCCACGTTCCCGGAGCACCTTGTACTGAGTGTGCTCTGGGTGGAGGAGGGGAGGGAGAGCTGGGGACTCTCCAACATCTCTTCTCCTATTTTCAGGGAAAAAAAGAAAGCCAACCTTGAGAAGAAGGGCAGTAAGACACTCCGTAATGAATTTAAGAAGAAGCACTGTAATACTTTTTCATTAAAAAGCAATGGAGGCCGGCTGCGATGCCTCACGCCTGTAATCCCAGCACTTTGGGAGCCCGAGGCAGGTGGATCACCTGAGGTCAGGAGTTTGAGACCAGCTTGCCCAACATGGAGAAACCCCATCTCTACTAAAAATACAAAAAATTAGATGGCTGTGGTGATAAGTGCCTGTAATCCCAGCTACTCGGGAGGCTGAGGCAGGAGAATCCCTTGAACCCGGGAGGCAGAAGTTGCAGTGAGCCAAGATTGTGCCACTATACTCCAGCCCAGGTGAGAGTGAGACTCCATCTCAAAAAAAGAAAAAAGCACTGGAAATAGTTTGTAGCCTTAAATTCTAGTTGCAGCTAAGTCCCTAAATAGCCCAATAAGCATTTTTATCACTCTTGGGCCTCAGGTATCTTATGTGCAGAGACAGATTTTCAAATATCATACTTAAGCATCCTTCTAATTCCATACTTAAGCAACCTTCTAATTCTACTTAGAAAGTTCAAGAATGTGGCTGATGTTTCTAAGATAAGAGGCAGCATATGCAGTGATATTAGACTGTTGAAAATGAATGTATTTTATTTTTATCTTACTATTGATATTGTAGTCAGAAGATGCAAGCTGATATCTTGCTGATATGATTAGGGGAAAGGGCATTTACATGAGTTTCCTAAATTCTATCACTTGGTGACACATTTGTTAGTAGTCTTTACTCATCCACGTGGCATATGCTATCATCTATAGCAGTATAACCTGTGATATTATGAAAGGAATAAAAATGCTTATTTAAAATATTTTCTTATCTGTGAGATGAAGATGGATTGCGATAAGTGGGCCAGGCGCGATGGCTCACACCTGTAATTCCAGCACTTTGGGAGGCCAAGGCAGGTGGATCATCTGAAGTCAGGAGTTCGAGACCAGCCTGGACACATGCTGAAAACCTGTCTCTACTAAAAATACAAAAATTAGCCATGTGTAGTGGTGGGTGTCTGTAATCTCAGCAACTCGGGAGACTGAGGCAGGATAATCTCTTGAACCTGGGAGGTGGAGGTTGCAGTGAGCCGATATCGTGCCACTGCACTCCAGCCTGGGTGACAGAGCAAGAATCTATCTCAAAAAAAAAAAAAAAAAAAAGATACCTAAGTGGGCTGCTTAAATTTTGTACCAGGAGATCACCAAGTCAATCCTAAGCCAAAAGAACAAAGCTGGAGGCATCATGCTACCTGACTTCAAACTATACTACAAGGCTACAGTAACCAAAACAGCATGGTACTGGTACCAAAACAGAGATATAGATCAATGAAACAGAACAGAGCCCTCAGAAATAACGCCGCATACCTACAACTATCTGATCTTTGACAAACCTGAGAAAAACAAGCAATGGGGAAAGGATTCCCTATTTAATAAATGGTGCTGGGAAAACTGGCTAGCCATATGTAGAAAGCTGAAACTGGATCCCTTCTTTACACCTTATACAAAAATTAATTCAAGATGGATTAAAGACTTAAATGTTAGACCTAAAACCATAAAAACCCTAGAAGAAAACCTAGGCATTACCATTCAGGACACAGGCATGGGCAAGGACTTCATGTCTAAAACACCAAAAGCAATGGCAACAAAAGCCAAAATTGACAAATGGGATCTAATTAAACTAAAGAGCTTCTGCACAGCAAAAGAAACTACCATCAGAGTGAACAGGCAACCTACAAAATGGGAGAAAATTTTCGCAACCTACTCATCTGACAAAGGGATAATATCCAGAATCTACAATGAACTCAAACAAATTTACAAGAAAAAAACAAACAACCCCATCAAAAAGTGGGTGAAGGACATGAACAGACACTTCTCAAAAGAAGACATTTATGCAGCCAAAAAACACATGAAAAAATGCTCACCATCACTGGCCATAAGAGAAATGCAAATCAAAAGCACAATGAGATACCATCTCACACCAGTTAGAATGGCAATCATTAAAAAGTCAGGAAACAACAGGTGCTGGAGAGGATGTGGAGAAATAGGAACACTTTTACACTGTTGGTGGGACTGTAAACTAGTTCAACCATTGTGGAAATCAGTGTGGCGATTCCTCAGGGATCTAGAACTAGAAATACCATTTGACCCAGCCATCCCATTACTGGGTATATACCCAAAGGACTATAAATCATGCTGCTATAAAGACACACGCACACGTATGTTTATTGTTGCACTATTCACAATAGCAAAGACTTGGAACCAACCCAAATGTCCAACAATGATAGACTGGATTAAGAAAATGTGGCACATATACACCATGGAATACTATGCAGCCATAAAAAATGATGAGTTCATGTCCTTTGTAGGGACATGGATGAAATTGGAAATCATCATTCTCAGTAAACTATCGCAAGGACAAAAAACCAAACACCGCATGTTCTCACTCATAGGTGGGAATTGAACAATGAGAACACATGGACACAGGAAGGGGAATATCACACTCTGGGGACTGTTGTAGGGTCGGGGGGGGTAAGGGATAGCATTAGGAGATATACCTAATGCTAAATGACGAGTTAATGGGTGCAGCACACCAGCATGGCACATGTATACATATGTAACTAAACTGCACATTGTGCACATGTACCCTAAAACTTAAAGTATAGTAATAATAAAATAAAATAAAAATTTCGTACCAGGAGAAAGGTCAGTCCACAATTACCTGTCGGTTAGCAATATGCTTTATGAATTGGGTATGGAGCATCTAAAATAGAATTTTGTTTTAGAAAATAGTTATTTTTCACAACTGCATATTATTTGTGTTGGCTATAATAGATTTGTTATTTTAAATGGATAAATAACAGTACTTAAAAGTGTTCAATTTTAATTTCTAATATGCTTACTATCGATAGATGTGACCCACATAAACAAAAGCATTTGGGTTTCTCTGTAATTTTTAGGGTATAAAGAGTTCTCAGGGCCAAGAGGCTTGAGGCCTGCTGGTCTACATCCCCATCATCTGGACTTCCTCATCTCCCACACATTTCTCAGCCCTTTGCTAATATTGCTGCTTCTTCTTCTACTGCTTTCCTGAAGCTCTTTGTGGTAAGATTACCTATAAATGCCAAATTTCAAAATCCAATTCACATTTTTGTTTCTTACCTTGTTTGAACATCTTTAAGCCTCTTACACTGTTGTCTACACCCTTCATAAAAATGTTTCTCCCCTGATGTTGGGACACTAGCACTGGCACCATCTCCTCCTGCCTCCCCACTCTCCAATCCTCTTTGGCTTTCTCCTTGCCCTTATATGCTGGTTGTTTCTCAGGGTTCCAACCTAGATTTTCTCCTGTTACTGATCTACGTATTTTCCTTGGTGTGTCTCATTCAAATCATTGGCTTCAGTTGCTTCCAATATACCAATGATTTCCAAATCTGCATTTCTTTCCTGGGCTTCATATCCTTATTTCAAATATGTATTCCTGCCAAAGAAGCATCTCAAAAAGAGCATGTCCAACTGAAACTCATGAGCTTTTTCTTCCTGAACTCACATTTACTTGCATGCTGCGTAGGTCAATAATATTATTATTCATTTATTTGGAAACAACAAAAAAGAAAATCAAAAACAATAGCTTAAAAATTTTGTAAAGCTGTTTTTTACTCCTCCTGCTCCTTGCCCCCTGCCCGTGCCATGTAGTAAATCTCCAACTCCAATTCTAGCTCCAAAATATCTTGTATGTACTTCTTGTTTTTCCTCCTGTCTCTGTTGCTCACACTATCTTTTCCCTGAGTGATCGCAACTGTCCTATTGATCAGCCTCCTGCACACCTTCTCCCCACCCCTCGTCAGGGTGATCTTTCCAGCATGCATATGGCATTGTCACTTCTGGCAGTCAACATTCTTCCATGCTTCCTCCTCACCTGCAGGATGAAATTCATGCTCCTTAAGCAGGCAAAGGCACAGGAGTCCTTCATTATTTGATCCTATGGAGTTTCCCACTGAGTGTCTTGCCATTCCTAGTTTCTACCCTGTTTCCCAGCCGTGCTTTATGATGGGACCGTGCCTGTGCTCAGGTGGTTTTCTCTGTCCAGGATGTCCATACCCTCCATTCTGTGTGCCCCCTCTTAGAGGTCATCTCCTCTTTGAGAGCTTCCTTCTCTCTCAGCCCCCAGGCATTTATTTGCTTTATCTAGCAAATTCCCAAATCAGTTAGAATCAGGCCTTATCATATCTCCCTGTACTGTAGATACATTTACATCTCTAATTCCCCACAAGGCTGTGTCTCCTCTGTGCTCCACACACTGTCCAAGCCCACTGACAGGTGTGCAAATGGATTAGTCAGAACTAACGGGGAGGTCAGAACAGGGATCTTTTACTTTCTCTTTGAAGCAGCTGCAGAGATTAATTTCTTTTCATTGTTAAATCAAGATAGAAATATTAAATTGCTTCATCACGGAAAAAAACGGGTTCAAAATAAAAAATTTGGGGATGTAGATGAAATGAATTTTCCCTCACAGAGCGATCAAGATTGTTCCCTGCAGTCTCGTCGTTGGCTTCTTCCCATGGATTAGCAATGTGGGCCAAGATTTAGAGAAAATAAGATATGCTGGAATGAAGGCATTTGGGGGAAAAAAAGGAAAACCAGGTAGGTTACTTGGAAAGAAAAGTACCAAAGGAGATGAGGGAGATAGAACAAGAAAAGGAAAAAAAGATTGTGGGAAAGAATGCACAGAAACAGTACTAAAGAATAGTCCATTTGCTGCCAATAAGGGGCTACAGGGAAAAAGAAATACAGGAATGAGAGGAAACCCTGACAGGATGCAGCTTCACAATTCTTTTCAGAGCTCAAGCTCAGGCAGACTTCTTGATATTGTCTCTAAAGTGTGTGTTCACCCTGACGCTCATGTCCATGTAGTTTCTCTCTCTGAGGCATTCCAGGGTCAAAAGGTCAGAGCTCCAGCATTAGAATAGGAAACTGTCTTTTCTGGACGGAGTGCCATCTTAGAAATAAACCTAGCCAATGCTTCAATCATTTGATGAAATAGCTCCAATAATTATGAGTTTGGTTTAAGACATTGATGAGATGTTTATTGACCCCAATTGTTATATTTAATTTCTTCTATCTTGTATAGTATATAGGATTTTAATAAAATCTATGCCAAATCTTAACATTCTTCAATATCAAAAGTCATAAATAACTCTTACTCAAAACCATATAAGAGATCTAGGCTATAGCTAGCAATTGCTTCAGTTAAAGAGTGATACAGCTATAAATTTAATCCTAATTTTAAAATTGCAGCAAAACATAAGGATTGAATTTACAAATCCCTCATTTTTTGCAAAGATTTCTCCAGAATTGGAACTTTTGTTTGTTTAGTCATAAACTACATGTTGAATGAAATTATCCAAAATTTCATAAGAGTGTTATGTGGTAACACTTTATAAGTAAAATATGCTTTCTTATTTAACCTCCTGGTAATGTTTGCCTGGTATTGAAAGACAACACCATATCTAATTATTTTAAAGTCAGCAGAGTATTAAAAAAACTAAATATTTTGCAAAGATAGAACTTATAATAACCTTCATTTTCATTTATTATTTTTTTTTGTGTGTGAGAAATAGTCCCACTGTTGCCCAGGCTGGAGTGCAGTGGCACAGTCTTGGCTCACTGCAACCTCCACCTCCTGGGTTCAAGCAATTCTTGTGTCTCAGCCTCCCAAGTAGCTGAGATTACAGGCGTGCAACACCATGCCCGGCTAATTTTTGTATTTTTAGTAGAGATGGGGATTACCATGTTGGTCAGACTGGTCTCCAACTCCTGACCTCAAGTGATCCACCCACCTGAGCCTCCCAAAGTTCTGGGATTACAGGCTTGAGCCACTGCGCCCAGCTATAACCTTCACGTTCAAAGCACTCTCCCATCTATTATTAAGGCCTCTGAGAAAATCTCCTTTTTATATATATTCTCAAGTCAGAATTATTAGTCTCCATCTTTCATCTTAGTCTTCTTCAAATACCAAACTCTTTACTAAGCAGTTAGACACAAGTAGTTTCACCAGTTCTATCACTCAAATACGGTTTCATAAGTTCTGCCTAGTGATTGCCCATCAGAGGGGATATGGATTTGTGGGCAGGAAATAGAATAGAAACCTAACTCTAACTCTTCTGTGAAATGTAGTGTTTAGGTTAATATTCTTCCTTAACTGCCATCTGCTTTTTTTTGTTTGTTTAACACTTTGTCCAAATCTCTCAAACCTTACACCGCAGAATCATGGAGTGTTCAAGCCTGAAGGGAATGGAGAGATTGGGCCAGCTCCTCTTGGATGCATCCTGAAATCGAGGACCAGTCAGAGGCAGGGAGTCGCCCACTATCAATCCCGATCACTAGGAGGAGGGCTGAAGAAGAGTGGAACTCGGGTTTCCCAGCTCAAGCCCCTCCCCATCGGGGCACATCACACCACCTCTTCCCATGCCACTTAAAACAGCGTGCTGCTGCATCCCCCAAAGTCCGGAACACATTTCAGATTCATCAGCCAATCCAGTTTAAGAGAATTGGTGTTGGCTCCCCTTGTTAGAACAGACAGAACAGACCACTCGAGAATCTTTTGTATTTGTTGACAAATATAAATAGAGATAAAAGAGAGGAAAGAGGGGAGATGAACTTGAAGCTGTACGGCTTAACATTGAAGCCATGTGGCGTAAGCAGTTAAACACAGGGACCCCGTCTCACACTGCCTGGTTCCCTCCTCCAGCTGTGTTGTCTGCTAATGACTGTGTGGCCGCGGGCCAGCTGCTTGGTCTCTCTAGCCTCAGCTTAGGGTTTCTGTGATGGCTATATGAGCTCAAGGATTTACAAGGAGTCCTGTTACATGGTGAGCACACAGGTGTTAACTGTTAGGGAAAGAGCTCCTTTTTATTCAGAGGAGCCCGACATAACTTCACAGGACTTGAAGGTGTCTTATATAGTCACTCATCTGCAAAGACATGTGGTCTTTTCAGCACTTCTTTCTCTCTCTAATGTGGTTCTACTAAGCTACCCACATTTAAGATCCCAGCCAGGTCACTCGGGTGCTGCTAAATTGTGTAATTCAGTGTGACCCTAAGAGACCCATATAGGAATGGAGCTATGATTTTTTTGTTGTTGTTGTTGAGACGGAGTTTCACTCGTTGCCCAGGCTGGAGTGCAATGGCACGATCTCGGCACACCACAACCTCCACCTCCCAGGTTCAAGTGATTCTCCTGCCTCAGCCTCCCTAGTAGCTGGGATTATAGTCACGTGCCACCACAACCAGCTAATTTTGTATTTTCAGTAGAGACAGGGTTTCTCCATGTTGGTCAGGCTGGTCTCAAACTCCCGACCTCAGGTGATCTGCCGCCTCGGCCTCCCAAAGTGCTGGGATTACAGGCGTGAGCCATCGCACCTGGCCAGCTATGATTTGTTTTAGGGCTGTCCAGAGCCAACTCATCTACCCCACACAGACTGTCTTGAGAGGAAGACACATCTGCTCCCTAAAAGCCTAGGGGTAGGAGTATCTCATTCCCGTCAGCGTTCCACACATCCCTTAGCTGAACCCAAGAGGTTGATTCCAACCTTCATGTCAATTTCAGACAGACGGACCCAAGGTCAAGAAGGAAAACACTGAAATTATCCAAGGATCTTCGCTTTCTCTCCATCCCCTGGGAGAACATTTCAGGTTTATTAGACAGTTTGTCTGTTAACATTATTCACTTGAAACAAAACCCTGGGTGTGTGCCTTTTGGAGAACTATGTAAATCAACAAAGCTATACATAGAACAGAGCGATTCGCTCAGCAGCCAAGTTCCCCACAGATAGCAGGTGGACAGATCACGCCGAGGAAAGGAAGCGCAGCCTTTCCTTATTTTTCTAGCATTCTAGGCTTAGCAGTCAATGCACATCCTCTATGCTGTTGTTGGCTATTCAAATAAATATTGACAAAAGGTGACTAATTATTACAAGGTGTTAGTTTGTATGATCACACTGTAAGTAATGGTGGAGCTCATTTCTGAAACATTAGTATTATGTGTATTTATTATTTTGGTCTTAATTTTAGAGGTAATTTAGAAATGGCATATCAAAAAGTAATCAAATATTTAAATTCATAGCTAGCAAAACTAAAATATCATTTATGTATACTTTGAAAAACTCTACATTACCACTGTGGTTTAATTCAACTCAGAGACATTTAAAAGCGGAGATGAACAGGCATTTGTGCCATGCTAATATCTTTCTCACATTTTCTTAATGCTGTTGCAATTACCTACGGAAACACAGAAAGCCATGTCCCATCTGCCCAGCACACGTCGCCTCCTGTTTTTCGTTTCTTTACAGTGACATTCAGCACTTCTCTGGTTTTCCAGACAGTTTTCAGTTCTGAAGTAAAAGTTGTTTCTTAATTTCTTCTCAGGTTGTGTGAGGGAGTATCTCATAAATCCTAGGCTGACCCCTTTTTGGAGATCAAAAACAAAACAAGATTGCTATGAAGACCTGGGGTGAAATTAAGCCTCCAGGGTTGTGGCTGTTGTAGTGTTTCCCCCTTTTCTAACTCCCTCTCCCAAACCTCTCCTTCCAGGATGCGCCACACAGAGTCTTGATGCAGGCCCAGTGTCTTGTCTACTGCCAACCAGGGGCCAGCTTTTGCATTTGCTTTGATGGTCTATTCCAGAATCTTTTTTTCTTTACTTTTTTTTTTTAATTTAAGAGGCAGAGTTGGCCAGCCGCGGTAGCTCACATCGGTAATCCTAACACTTTGGGAGGCCGAGGCAGGTGGATCACCTGAGGTCAGGAGTTCGAGACCAGCCTGGCCAACATGGTGAAACCCCATCTCTACTAAAAATATAAAATCAGCCAGGCCTGGTGGTGCATGCCTGTGATCCCAGCTACTAGGGAGGCTGAGGCAGGAGAATCACTTGAACTGAGGAGGCGGAGGTTGCAGTGAGCCGAGATCGTGCCATTGCACTCCAGCCTGGGCAACAAGAGCAAAACTCCATCTCAAAAAAAAAAAAAAAAGAGTCTTGCTCTGTCATGCAGGCTGGAGTACAGTGGTGCGATCTCAGATCACTTCAGCCTCGATCTCCTGGATTCAAGCAATCTTCCCACTTCAGCCTCCCGAGTAGCTAGGGCTACAGGCGTGTGTCTCCAGGCCCAGCTAATTTTTAATTTTTTTGTGGAGACACAGTCTTGCTTTGTTGCGCAGCAGTCCTTTTGCCTTGGCCTCCCAAAGTGTTGGGGTTATAAGCGCTAGCCACCGTGCCCATCTTTTCCTGAATCTTCAGGTGAAAATCTGAAGGGAGGAAGTAGGGCAGGCTTCAGACTAGCTTCAGTGGTGACTTGCTCTTCAGGGTCTTTGGTCAGATGAACCTTTCCATGCAGTGATGCTCGGGGACCTATACTTGAAGTGAGGCAGAGCATTTTCTGGCTCTTTAAGCAGAACTGATAAGGACATGACTTATAAGGACATGGCATTCCCGAAGCCAAAGATGTCCCAGCTGCAACCTGTGTCCCAGCTGCAGTCCACTTGGCTGCCTGGCAAATCCATCTTCCTTCATGGCTGGCCCTGTCTCCACCTCCTTATGAGAGAGCCCCGCTGCTGGCTGTGGTTATTTTTACAGATAGTCCACTTTCTTAGGGAAGACAAAGGTTTCCTGATAACGTTTTGATTTAGCAAGTGGATGTATTCTCACTCTCTGAACATCCTGAAGTGTGTGCCTGTCACTCACCCTGCAAGACTCTACCACCAGGCTTCATCATGAGAAAAGCCCCTCCTGGCCCTGAGGGAGCCCTAGAGCAGGGCAGGGCAGGGTCTCTTATTGTGTACCCACACACTAGCGATGTCACTGCCTGTCACTTGTGTACACAACCTTCATCCCACGTGACTTACGAGCTCTCGAGAGTGGGACATATGTCTCCTTTGCCATCCTATCTTCTGGCTTAGCAGGGTCCCATTCAAAATGCATGTGTGCCCAGCAACAGGGCCATACCCTCAGGTCCTTTCCCCAGCTTCCGACTGGGAGCTGCAGCTACCTGCTCATTAGCTGCATTCAGACATCAAACAGGTAGTGTTAAAATCACTGGATTCTCCTCCCCTCCCCAGAGCTGCTCCTGCTCCGGCGTCCCTAGTCAACAGTCATTATTCACATGATTACCTGAGCCTTAGACCTGGAGTCACACTTAGCTCCTCCATCTCCCCAGACACTCCCCCCTCCACAATACAGCTTCCACCTTTAATCAGTTACCTAAGTCCTGCCAGCTTCTTATCATTCAAATTTATCAACTGCTCTTTATTTGCCTTGACACTCCCTTCATTTCAGCAATGGTAATATGTCACCTGAATTAATATAACAGCTCCCAAATCAGTGTTCTTGTCCCCACTGCAACTGCCCTTCATCATAAGAACTGTTTCTTGCACATACATTGGTAGCTTCACTGCTTGCTGGAAGTTGCTCAGCAGCCTTAGTGTGGTTTCATGGGCCACTGCTGTTTTACCCTGTCTATCATCCACTCCTCCTACCTCTGGTCACAGTGCCTGATTTTCACAAGGGCAACTCCCCTTTCCACATCCTCCCTCCTTTTGCTTTGATCCCCGCCCATTCCTCTCTACCTCTGATAAGCCAGCTCCAAGGCAGAAAGAGGGATCATCCCCCTGGTGCAGTGACTGATTCAGGGTTGGCCATTCATCTCCACCAGCCCCACAGAAAATCAGTCTTGGGAACTACTGGTCAGCAAGAGTTCCTTCTGCTGGGTTTGCAAAATGGGAGAATCCGAGCCTGGAGCTGCTGGTGGCCATCTGGACATGAGGGACTTGGCCTGCAAGAGATGGGCCAACAGCAGAGACTGAGCACAGACTTCTGACATGTCCAAGCACTTGGATCCAGGCTTGCTCAAACCACTGCACCCCCAGTCTTCAGTTTCTGTTTGGATTTATATTTTTAAACTTGCCAACAAAAGAGACTTGACTGCTCCAGATACAAGACCCTTGGTGACCAGGACTCTCCCTGTCTTTTGGAGGGTCCATGCTTTCTCTTACCGCCCAACTATGGCTCAAGTTACCTCCTTTTCTGGGATTTCCTTTTCTTTTCTTTGTTTGAATATCTCCTATTCATCCTTCAAATATTTGCTAACACTTCACCACCTCTGAGAAGCCTTTTCTGACCCCCACCAGACTCCTTGATCATTTTACCTTCTCATAGCACGTAACATATTACATCCTAATCACCTCTTTATGTGGGGGGACTTTCTCTAGACTACAGCCTCCTTAAGACTAGTATTATGTTTTATCATTGTTGTACCTCCAAAATCATATGTATTCACTCACATGTATGAAATAAGAAAATTAACGCTCAAAAAGAGACAAAAGAGAAATTATTACCTTGATTTGATTAAAATACATTTGTATGTACTTGGCCATCTGCACCTGTGGATTCAACCAATCAGGGCTCAAAAACATTAGGAAAAAAACAATAAAAATAACAATACAATAAAAAATCAAACAAATAAAAAACAATATAAGATAACCACTATTTCCATAGTATTGACATTGTATTAGGTATTATAAGTAATCTAGAGATGATTTAAAGTATACAGGAGGGTGTGCATAGGTTATATGGAAATAGTACACCACTTTATATCAGGGACTTGAGCATCCATGGATTTTGGTATCCATGGGGGTCCTGGAACCAATCCCCAAGGGTACAGAGAAGCAACAAACCATATTTTAAAATATCACTTCCTTGGCTAAATCATAGAGAATGGACTGGCGCAAGGACAAGTTTGGAAGCCTGGAGAGTAGTTGCAGTGATTTAGGCAAGAGACGATGGCATTATGAACCATGGTAGCGTGAGTGGGAATGAAGAGCAAGGGACAGATTCAAGACACTCAAAAGAGCTAAAGGTCAAATATCAGGGAAATGAGGACTACAGAGAAGGAAGAAGTCCAAATACCTCATAAGGTGTCTTCAGATAGGGAAACACACAAGGAGGAAGAGTTTTGGAGTCAGGGAACTTTAAATCTGATTTTTTTTTTTTCAATTTAAAATTGAGATATGGCCAGGCATGGTGGCATGTACCTATGGTCCCAGCTACTTCGGAGGCTGAAGCAGGAGGATCATTTGAGTCCAGGAGTTCTGGGCTGTAATGCATTGTGCTAATCAGGTGTCCACACTAAGTTTGGCATCAATATGGTGACCTTCTGGGAGCAGGGGATCACCAAGTTACCTAAGAGGGGTGAACTGGCCCAGGTCAGAAATGGAGCAGGTCAAAACTCCTGTGCTGCAGCCTGGTCAACATGGTGAAACTCTGTCTCTACTAAAAATACAAAAATTAGCTGGGCGTGGTGGCGGGCACCTGTAATCCCAGCTACTTGGGAGACTGAGGCAGGAGAACCGCTTGAACCCAGAAGGTGGAGGTTGCAGTGAGAAAAGGTTGTGCCATTGCACTCCAGCCTGGGCAACAAGAGTGAAACTCCGTTTCAAAAGAAAAAAAAACAAAAGCAAACAAACAAAACTCCTGTGCTAAACAATAGTGGGATTGCACTTGTGAGTAGCCACTGCACTCCAGCCTCAGCAACATAGTGAGACCCTGTCTCTAAAAATAAATAAATAAATAAATAAAATAAAACAGAGGTATAATCCACGTGTCATAATATTCACCCTTTTAAAATATACAATTCAGTAGTTTTTAGTGTACTCACAAGGTTTTCTAACCATCGCCATTATCTAATTCCATAACATTTCATCACTTTTCAAAAAGAGACCCAAACTAGCCAGGTACAGTGGCTCATGCGTGCAATCCCAGCATTTTGGGAGGCCGAGGCGGGTGGATCACCTAAGGTTGGGAGTATGAGACCAGCCTGACCAATATGGAGAAATCCCGTCTCTACTAAAAAATACAAAAAATTAGCCGGGCGTGGTGGCACATGCCTGTAATCCCAGCTATTCAGGAAGGCTGAGGAAGGAGAATCGCTTGAACCCAGGAGGCGGAGGTTGCAGTGAGCCCAGATCATGCCGTCGCATTCCAGCCGAGGCAACAAGAGTGAAACTCCATCCCCCCCACCCAAAAAAAACCAAAAACACCAAAACAAAAAACCCAAATCCATTAGCAGTTACTCCTCATTGCTCCATCACCCAGCCTTGGGCAGTGACTAATCTACTTTCTATCTTCACAGATTTGCTTACTCTGGGCCTTTCATATAAAGAGAACCATATGCTATTGGGTGGTTGTGTCTGGCTTCTTTCACTCAGCATGTTTTCAAGATTTACTCATGTTATAGCGTGTACCGGTATTTCACCATGTTTTATGACTGAATATGATTCAATCATATAAATATACCACAATTTATTTACTCATTCATTAGCTGATGAACACTTACTTGGCTTGTTTCTACCTTTGGGCTATTGTGAATAGTGTTTACACCAATAGTGGTGTAAAAGTGTTCTTTTACACCAGAACACTGGTATAAAAGCTATTGTGTAGACATGTATTTCCTATTGTCTTGGGTATATACCTAGAACTCGAAAGCTGGATTATATGGCAACTCTGTGTTTAACTTTTTGTGGAACTACCAGACTGTTTTCCAACGTGGTGGCAACATTTTAGATTTCTACCAGCAATTTATGAGAGTTCCAATTTTTTGACAAACTCATCAACATTTGTTATTAATATCTTGTGTTGTTTTGATACAGCAATCCTAGTGAATGTGGACTGGCATCTTATTGTCATTTTGGTTTGTATTTCCCCAGTAAATAATGATGTTAAGCATATTTTCATGTGCTTTTTGGCCCTTTATGTATCTTCTTTGGAGAAATGTCTATTTAAGTCATATGCCCATTTTTTAAGAGTGAAAACAAAATTTTATTCTAAAAATAGAACTCAGTAAAACGAAATAACAAAAGATAATAAAAAGGAAGAGAAAAGGCATTTTTAGATATTTAAAATATCTAAAAATCAGATTTTTGTTTAAGTGAATGAAGAACTGAAGATGCCATCCTAGAATTGTTTTTGGGGCCAAGTTAAAAAAAAAGTCAACCTTATTAATGGTATGTAGACAAAGAGGCAGAAGAATGTGGAAGCCTCTATCTCTGTTTCCTCCTGACTTTGTTCATAGCTGACATTCCTTCTGCCCCACACAGAGGGCTGGCCCCAGCACAGCTGCCCTGGTCTTGGCTGTGATTGATACGGATGCTCCAAAGTCAACAGGTGTGTTCTGATGTCAGAGTTTTTTGTGTTTCCTTTGGATGCATTCCAAGCCTGGATAGAGACGTGTCTGCCTGAAATGGCTTATCTCTTCTACAAGACTGGGTGGCTGGAAGATGCCTGAGACCATGGTGCCAGAGAATTCTCCGTTAGAGTATGTCCTTACAACTCAGTAAGCTTCCAGGGCTAAGTTCCGTGTTGTGTGATACACACGGAGTCTATGATCACAGGGAAACCAGCTAAAACATTTGATTCAAAACTTTGAGGCCGGGCGCAGAGGCTCATACCTGTAATCTCAACACTTTGAGAGGCTGAGGTGGTTGGATCACCTGAGGTCAGGAGTTAGAGACCAGCCTGGCCAACATGGTGAAACCCTGTCTCTACTAAAAATACAAAATTTAGCTGGAAGTGGTGGTGGGCGCCTGTAATCCCAGCTACTAGGGAGGCTGAGGCAGGAGAATGACTTGAATCCAGGAGGCAGAGGTTGCAGTGAGCTGAGATAGTGCCACAGCACTCCAGCCTGGGCAACAGAGCAAGACTCCGTCTCAAAAAATAAAAAATAAATAAACTTTGGTCCCCAGCAATATCTAAAAATTGTTTTTAATAAGAAATAGGCATAACACATGGTTACTCTTCTTCCTTGATTTCTAACTAAATTTATGGTCAGGTGATTCATGGAGAATTTTAAGTTTGAATATATTGTTACTTTTAAACATAGGGTGCAAAGCATGATATTTAGATTGTTCATATTAGAAGAAGCTATCACAATGATCAGTCAATTTATAATCATTCACCAGTCACAGGGGAAGAAGAAAATCCTAGATGCATCAGAAAAATAAATTACTAAGACAATTATAGTTATAAGATCTTCATGCTCATTGAAATTATTTCATGGGCTTAATTATTAATTCATTGAAGAAAACTGTGTTTTCACTAGTTAAAGCTTAATTTAAATTGTAGATCATATTACCTTCCTTCTCCAAGTTATTAAGGAAGATCTTTCCAAAGCAGGAAAGGATTTTTGGTGTATTGTTAAAAGTAAAAATATGGTCTATCTATCAAACTAACTGGGGGAACTTAAGCATTTTTCTCATGCTCTAAATGGCCATGCTCCATGCTAGCTCAGGATCCTAATAAACTTCCCTCTTCCACATCAGGAATTATTTGATTGAGTTGCTCAATGAAATCAACTGGTTCTCCTTTCATTATTATAACCAAAGTCTTACATTGTTATAATAAATATCAAAATTAGGAATGTATTTAAAGGCGTGATTTCATAGGCTCTGGTCCAGAGAACTGGACTCTTTTCCCCGCATGTCTGAGCCAAAATGAAGCAAGCCCCCACATACATGAATTATGGAGAATAAAACTCAGCAGGACAGGACATTAACAAGGATCAGATCAAAGGGCATTCACTGAGAGTAAGAGGTGACATAATTCACAGAATAACTACAGGAAAAGGAAATGTTCTTGACGATTTTAGATTACCTTTTATGAGAGAGTCCTGGCAGTTTGGAATATGTTTCACTAAAAGGCAGGCCATACTTCCAGATTTCTGATTTATAATATTTTTTGAGTGCAATCAATATCTTTGTCTAAGACTGTCCCTATCTGGGCTGCCTTTAGAACAAATCAACTGACACACAAAGAGTCCCTGCTCTCCGGGCCCCAACCTCCTTCTTGTACGGATGGGCTCTTCCTAAATCAAAAAACCCTGCCTCCTTCAGTTCTCCAGATTTCCTTACTCCCAGCTCAGCTACCCACACCCCAAGGGAGGGGTGGGTGATAATCCAGCTCTGGCACCCTCCTCTCCCCTACATGAGCCTCTCTGCAATGAGGCAGCCCAACTCCTCTGATGGGCTGTCACAAAGGTAATTGAAAAGGAGCATCAGGGCTCCTGTCCGCCTCCCTCACCCTCCTTGCTGGCAGCATCTACCACATTCCTGTGGATGTGAGTGGAATCCTGGACCCCGCCATCTCTTAGGTCTCCCTGCTCTGTCACCACCAGGGCCAGAGTGTGATAGTTGATGCCTGCTGGACGCTTGGGGATTCCTGAGTTCTACTTTGTTCAGAAAAGGTCTGTGTCCGCTGATGTCTTATCAGCTGGCATAAGTTGGCAGGTGAGGTTGAGGATTACCTCTGATTGCTGATTCTAGAGCAAGTAGACCCTGTAGTAGAAGAGAAGCCCATCCTTGTCAAGTGGAGGTTGATGCTCGGACTCTGCAGCTAGTTTAGAAGCCTAGTTAAGGGCTTCTCCCATGATGAAAACCACAGCCCTCGCCGCTGGCGAAGGAACACCAGGGTGAGGTTACCAGCATTCCTTCATTGTATCCTTACCAGGGATATTTTTTCCAGCCTGCTTCCACCTTGTATCTCCACACCATGTTTTTGTCTTGTTTAGTTTTATTTGCAGATAGGGTCTGGCTCTGTCACCCAGGCTGGAGTGCAGTGGCGTGATCTCGGCTCACTGCAGCCTCTCGCCTCCTGGGCTCAAGCGGTCCTCCTGCCTCAGCCTCCAAAGTAGTTGGGACCACAAGCACACACCATCACACTTGGCTAATTATTCTTTCTTTCTTTTTTATTTTTTATTTATTTATTTATTTTTTTGTGGGGACGAGGTTTTGCCATGTCACTCGGGCTGGTCTCCAACTCCTGGACTCAAGCAATCCACCTGCCTCAGCCTCCCAAAGTGTTGGGATTACAGGTGTGAGCCACTGCATGGCCCATTCCGTGTTTTTAATTCACAGACCTGGCCCAGGAGGCATATTCCCCACTGTCACTTCCCCTCGGCCCCTCCAGGGAGGGAAACCCAGCACCCACTCCCATTCTATCTACCGCCCTGAGAGCTGTTCAGACAAAGACAGGCAATGAGAAGAAACAAACCCAGCCTTCTCTGTCCATCCTGTGAGGCCCGGCAGGCAACAGGGACAATGGGAAAGGGAAGGAATTGCTATGCGTTAAGAATTCAGTAGTATTTTGTGGCCACATTTTCTTCCTCTCTTCTTCCAAACTCCTTTATCCTTCAAACTTACCAAGTTGATACTGTACAATTCCTGACTTGTATTGTCTTGAGCAATGAAGCAAGGCTGCAGGGAGTCCACAGAGAAGCTGCTGGAGTGAATTTCCTTATCGATAATTCTTATCAGCTCAAATATGCCACTGCTCTCTGACATAGTTTGAATGTTTTCAGAATATGTCCTTTCTTTTTAGTCTTATGGTATCGTTTTTTCTTTTCTTTCTTTTTTTTTTTTTTTTGAGACAGGGTTTTGCTCTTGTTGCCCCAGGCTGGAGTGCAATGGCGCGGTCTTGGCTCACCTCAACCTCCACCTCCTGGGTTCAAGCAATGCTCCTGCCTCAGCCTCCAGAGTAGCTGGAATTACAGGCAAGCGCCACCATGCCCGGCTAATTTTGTATTTTTAGTAGAAACGGGGTTTCTCCATTTTGGTCAGGCTGGTCTCGAACTCCCAACTTCAGGTGATCCACCCACCTTGGCCTCGAAAAGTGCTGGGATTACAGGCGTGAGCCACCGTGCCCGGCCCGTTTTTGTTTTGTTTTGTCTTTTAATATAGAAGAGTAGGTATTAAATACGTTTTCTTTCCAGATTATTTTGGTTTAGTGAGATAACTAAATAATATTCAAAAGGAGGAATTTGATCAGCATCATCTTAAAAGCTATCTGAAATCTATTTCTAAGCCCCAGGGTGCCCTGGGCTGGTGAGCCTGCCCAGCCTCTGGGGGTGGTATGGACTGAATGACCGCAGGAAGGAAAGTGAGTCTGTGCCCTCTGTAAGCCTCTTTGTGGACTTTAAACAGTACTTGTGGACCACCTCCCTGGGCGTGCTTCTTTGTGGAGTTACTCATTCTCTTGGTTGTTATATTTACCTTGTGAACTTCATTCCCTCTAAAAGGTAGCTAAGGATACAGCAGAATGACTTGAAGAGTCACCATTTAGTAAATGTTTGGTTTGACATCTGCCAAGAAACAAATTAACATTGATGTCGGCCTGGGTGCATAGGAAGTACCAACACTGATGAGTGTTGCGGAGACCTTACTTAGTTCCAAGTGCTTTATGTCCAGCATTGCATTGACTCTTATTGCAACCTTATTAATAGAATGAGAGCACCATTATTACCTGCTTTAAAAATGAGAGGCTTGCAAATTACCGGGTGTGGTGGTGGCACCTGTAGTCCTAGCTATGATGAGGCTGAGGCAGGAGAATCACTTGAACCTGGCAGGTGGACGTTGCAGTGAGCCGAGACGGCGCCACTGCACTCCAGCCTGGGTGACAGAGCAAGACTCCATCTCAAAATAAATAAATAAAAAATAAAATAAAAATGAGAGACTTGGAGTGATTCACTTAAGGTCACACATAATAAGCAGCAGGACCAAGACAAGAAACTAGACCTTTAAACGGTATGTTACATAAATGATACATATTTTTCTTTGGATGGCTCCTTTCCCCATGAGTTTACAATGCATCATTTACTGAGGACAGAAGGTACCGCAAATGAGTTCGTCCTCACCAGACATGATCTTGGTGCTGGAGTTATGGGTAGAGGGATGGAAACTGTCCCGTTCCTCCTACAGTCAAAGAGCTGGCTTCCTCAGGCAAGAGGCTGAAATTTGATTTAGCTTTGCAAACATGGCTCCTCCAGGCCCTCAATTTTGACTGCCATAACACACACAGAAAATACAGGAGCTGATTCTCCCCGCTCCCCCCGCTCCCCTGGGTCTTACTCTTCTTCACTGTTCAGCTCGTCCTTTGGGTGTTTTCATTCACCCATATTCCTCCAATCAGTTCCCTCTCTGGGAAGTTAGCCAGATTTCATTGCTGTAGTGAGCACTCAAAGAACCGCATATGTAGGATACTTATAAAATTCATGGCACTGTGTGTGGCAGCAACTGCTTTAATCCTGGAGATAAGTCATTCCTCAACATCTAGGTGACTATATCCTGAGGCACTGGGAAGTAACTTCCTCAACACTGAATAGCAAACCAGAGTTAGAATGTGTACAAGTCCACCACTCCTTATCCACAATTCTAAAACCCAAGCAGCTCTAAAAACCACCAGCAAAACGTGGCCTGACCTCATATGCCGTGGTTGACGGTCTTTACCTTACTTAATATAATACAACTCAAGTTGTGACTCACAGAACCTGTGCTCCTCCCCCGTTAATGGATAATGGTCTTGAAGGTTTCAAGTTTGTGGTGAGCCTCCACCCTCATGGTCATCCTCCACTGTCGGCTCCTCCTTCTCATAAATGTCAGCAGCTTCCAGTGATTGGTGGGGTAGGTGGGGGCTATAAGTTTCTCACCCAAATTTGCAAATCTTGGACCACATCCTGACAAATGCATAAATGTTTAGCAAGTAAATTTCAAAATTCATAACTTCTGAACTTTTATGCTCAGGGAAACCCCTCCTTCCCTTTTTTTTTTTTTTTTGATACGGAGTCTTACTCTGTCGCCCAGGCTGGAGTGCAGTGATGTGATCTCAGCTCACTGCAACCTCTGCCTCCCAGGTTCAAGTGATTCTCCTGCCTCAGTCTCCTGAGTAGCTGGGATTACAGGCGTGCACCATCACGCCTGGCTAATATTTGTATTTTTAGTAGAGACGGGGTTTCCCCATGTTGACCAGGCTGGTCTTGAACTCCTGACCTCAAGTGATCTGCCCACCTCAGCCTCCCAAAGTGCTGGGATTACAGGCGTGAGCCACTGTACCTGGCCCCCTCTCTGATCTTCAAAGAGTACCCGCATGAGAGTTCACTCTGTGCTGGGTGCAATTGTGTTCTGATGTGAGGACCACATGAGCTGAATGGATCCTTTTGCAGTCCACACCTGAAATTGTAAAAATAAACAAAATAACTAAGAAACCCCTGACAATCCAACACTAAAAATCAAAGTTATTTTTTCAGCTTATTTGATAGAAAACAATCTGATACTGAGGGTTCGTTATAATTTCATTCATCCACTAAGTGCGAATACTTACATGTTTTGTGTTGAAGTTTTAATACATTTGCTTCCAGGGTGTTTCAGACCTCTCTGGGTTATTAATAACTGCATGGCGAATGCATTTTATTCTTTTTCTACTTGGCCCAAAGGCTCTGAAGAAGGGATTAAGATCCTGTAATTTGTTCATTCAAGAACAAAAGGCCCATGTAATCTTTTTAGTCACCACTTATCTTGAACACCATGACTTTCACCAACAAAAAAATTATTTAGCATACTTTATTCCAATTAGTGAATACATTTTTTGGTGTAGAGATTAGTAGTTTATTGCCTATTAGCCATTGCTATGGTAAAGTTTCTGATACTTGAAATGCCAGCTAACTACACTTGCTATTTGGCTGAAATATAATTTGCATGAAATAATCATCACATAGTCACTATAATACTCTAAGCACCAACATTTTAAGAAATGTGAACTATTTGCTATGAAATTATTTTAAAATTCCTGGCCAGGCACAGTGGCTCACGCCTGTAATCCCAGCACTTTGGGAGGCCGAGGTGAGCGGATCACGAGGTCAAGAGTTCGAGACCAGCCTGACCAACATTGTGAAACCCCGTCTCTACTAAAAATACAAAAATTGGCCAGGCGTGGTGGCATGTACGTGTAATCCCAGATACTCAGGAGGCTGAGGCAGGAGAATCGCTTGAACCCAGGAGGTGGAGGTTGCAGTGAGCCGAGATCACACCACCACACTCCAGCCTGGGCAATAGAGCGAGACTCTATCAAAAAAAAAAAAAAAAAAAAAAAAATTCCTTAGAAACCTGCCCATATTTTAAAATGAAAAGGTTTAAACTGTATTGGAAAACCTACAGGAGTATGATTTCAACCAACAGAAAAGCATTACAAACCTCCGCACCCAGTTTCTTTTTCATTATCTCCTAACTATTAAAGTGGTGTCGCTTGGTGCCACTGCACGCAAACACAAATCCAAGCAGGAGACTAAAACTGTCAGTGGTTGTTAGGAGCCGGATATCCACATGACTTAGAATGTATCTATATTGATATTTTTAACCAACCAAAATCCAAACATAAAATTGCATAGAAAATCCATAGATCCCCAAGAATATGTCTCAGAATTCCTCAGGCCCATGAACTCTACTCTGAAAAACACTAAACAATTCCTCTGCCATTATATGTGAAATCCAAAGGGAGAACTGAAGACTCAGGCTGATCCCAGAACACCGTACCATCTTAAGCTAGCTAAGCATATGAACTTATTCAATCTACCTATAGTTTTCCTGCCTTCAAGCACTCCCCTGGACTGTGATAAAAATATATGTGTACTTGGCATGCAATGGAATCCTGCCAAGAAGGGCAACTGTTTCTTATAAATGCTAAATAAACCTAAATTTCTAAAAATTATTGGAAATAAATTCAAATGAACCAATAAAATTTTTAAATGAACCAGTAAGTATATTTTAACGGAACTGAGTTCATTGAAATTTTAAACACCTAGAGTTTATTGCTGGGGGGAAAGGATTTGTGAAGAAACTTCATTTATTGCATTATCTGAATTTATTAAAAATATTTTGCTTGGCCAGGAGCAGTGGCTCCTGCCTGTAATCCCGGTACTTTGGAAGGCAGAGGCAGGCGATCACCTGAGGTCAGGTGTTCAAGACTAGCCTAGCCAACATGGTGAAACCCCATCTTTACTAAAAATACAAAAAAAATTAGCCAGGCATGGTGGTGCACGCCTGTAATCCCAGCTACTCAGAAGGCTGAGGCAGAAGAATCACTTGAACCCAGGAGGCAGAGGTTGCAGTGAGGCGAGATCGTGCCATAGTGCTCCAGCCTGGGTGACAGAGCCAGACTTCGTCTCAAAAAATAAATAAATAAAATAAATAGAAAATAAAAATAAAAATTTTGCTCATCCTATCCATGTATTTTCAATTTAGTAAGTGTAAACATAGTAGATACTTTCTGTTGTAGCATGTAAGGCTTGATATTATTTCAATGGGGGAGGATTTCTAGCTTGGTAGTAAATTGCATTTTACAGAGGACAAAAAAAAAAAAAAGAATGCAAGCATTTTAACCCTCACCAAGGATGCTGAAAAACTGATACAGTTTGCTCTGTTTCAGAGAAGCCTGGAAAAATTTAACAAAACTGGAGAGATCTAGGACTAAGGAGAGGTTTCAGAGGCTCTTTGGATTGAGCATTTGGCAGGACTCTGGGACAATTCCCATATCATCCCAAATTTATCCAAAGCCAAGAAATCTATAAAAAAGAGATCACCATACTCTCGAGATGGGTTGGAGGTGAAGGGTCATTTGTTTTGCAGCTTTATCCTGCGTATTAGACTTCTGTTTCCTAGGGAACAGTAAATGATAGCATGAGGCTTACTTGTTTAAATGCAATCTCTCAATGGTGTAAGGCACCATAAATAAAAATCAAGTTGACCCAAAACACAATGCTACTTAATATGTAATAATGTTGTAATATATAGATGTTTAATGTAAAAGATCAGTTTTAAAATTACTCATTTTTCAGTATTAATGTGACAACAATCAATAGGATATATGTGAGTATATATCTATACAAAGACATATGTATGTATATAATTATAAATTTACCAGTGATGAAGATTGATAACTGTTGTAATAACACAGAAAATACAAACAGGCTGGGCGCAGTGGCTCACTCCTGTAATTCCAGCACTCTGGGAGGCTGAGGTGAGAGGATGGCTTGAACCAGGGAGGTCAAGGCTGCAGTGAGCCGTGATGGCGCCACTGCCCTCCAGCCTCGGTGACAGAGTAAGACCTTGTCAAAAAAAAAAAAAGAAAGACAAAAGAAAAAAGAAAGAAAATACATGCAAATAATTGTCCTGTTATCAAGCATGTGTCTTTTGATTGGTTCTTGAACATCTGTCCGGAGTCAGTTGTATATGTTTCTCTGCTGTAAATGCATTTTTTTCCTCTCAAGACTTAAAGAAATAACAACAACAACAAAAACCCTCCAGTTTACCCGGATACTTTTTGGTGGCTCCAAGAGGATCTGATTGTGTCCTTGACCTCAAGGGCCACCTGAAGAGTAGTAAGAAGGCCTTTTCTTATGGGATGTTGGAGCAACTCAAATCTGTAAACTTGTCCCTGTTGCTCAGTTTAATTGAAAGCTGCCTTCATTTATTGCCATTTTGAACATGACTGAATTGGGATGAGAAGAGAGCGCATTTCTTCCTGATCGTTTTGAATCTTTTTTATAAGTTGCTTCTCTTTTCCACGGGAAGCTATGGTTATGTATACGGTGAGCAAGGTAAAAATGAATAAAATCCTGACTAAATGTTTAGCGCCACCTATTGGTAGTGAAGTACATATTGATTCTTGGTGACAGACATTCCCACCAAAGAGAGCAGAAGTAATTTTAATGATTCTTTTTCTTCCAGTGTATATGCCTGTATGCATGCTTTATTATGACTATTATATTTAAATATAAACATATACTTAAATTTTGGTAATAATATAAATATGGAATTCTTCTAGGTTATGATTTGTATTATTTAGCTTCACAATACCCTTGAAGTAGAATATGCAGTGATAGTCTACTTTTCAACAGTAAAAAGAAAATTCTAGGCTGGGTTCAGTGACTCATGCCTGTAATCCCAGCACTTTGGGAGGTTGAGGCAGGAGGATGGCTTGAGTCGAGGAGTTCAAGACCAGCCTGGGCAACATAGTGAGACCTTGTCTCTACAAAAAAAAAAAAAAAAAAAAAGAAAAAGAAAAAAGAAAAAGGAAAAGAAAATTCTAGAGAACGGGGAAGAAACAACAACATGACATTGTCACATGTTGTTTGTTATGTTTGTCTTGAAATACATATTGTCACCTATACACAAAGTATCTTGAATGTGCTCTATATCTTTTGAAACCGCCTTTAAAATGGTTTTCCACAGAAATTTGAGTTTGAAATAATGATGTTATTTAAATTCAGTTACTTATCTGTGCTAAGAATGAACTGGCCACAGATGGTGCTGAGACAACTGGATTTGCACATGGAAAACAATAAAGTTGGACTCCTACCTCATACCATAAATGACACTTAAATCAAAATGGATCAAATGCCTAAACAAAATGTAATATATAGGCCAGGCATGGTGGCTCATGCCTGTAATCCCAACACTTTGGGAGGCCGAGACAGGAGGATTGCTTGAGTCCAGGAGTTCAGGACCAACCTGGGCAAAATAATGAGACCTTGTCTCCATTACTTTTTAAAAAAGTAATATATGCATATAATGGGCTATTATTTGGCCTTAAAAAGGAAGGAAATTATGACACATGCTACAACATCCATGAACCTTGGGGGCATGCTAAATGAAACTGGCCAATCAGAAAAAGACAAAGACTGTAGAATTCCATTTATAAGAGGTAGTCAAATTCATAGAGACAAAAAGTAGAATGCTGGCTGCCAGGGCTGGGGGCGGGGAGAAATTCGGATTGTTGTTCAGTGGATACAGTTCCCATTTGGGAAGGTAAAACCATTCTGGAGATGGATGGTGGCAATGTTTGCACAACAATGTGAATACAATCAACACTACTGAATTGTATACTTAAAATGGTTAAGGTAGTAAATTTATTGTATGTGTGTTTTACTATAATAAAAAAGTAAAACTTTTTAAATGTCTCAGACTCCTAAATGTAAGAACTAAAATTAAAATTCATAATAGAAAACATAAATATAAATCTTCATGATCTTGGATTAGGCAGTAAGTTCTTAGATCTGACGCCAAAAGCAGAGACAATCAAAGAAAAACAGAACAAACACATTTCATCAAAATTAATAAGTTTTGTGTTTCCAAGGAAATCATTAGGAGAGTGAAAAGGCAACTAGGGAGAAATCATTTGCAAATCGTATATCTCATAAGGAACTTGTATCTAAAACATAAAAATAACTTTTAAGGCTCAATAATAAAAAGACAAACAACTCAATTTAAAATGGGAAAAGAGTCTGAACATTTTTCCAAAGAACGTACACAAATAGCCAGTAAGTACATGAAAAGATGCTCGATATCATTAGTCATTAGGGAAATGCAAATCAAAACCACGGTAGGATTCTGACTCATACCCATTCAGATGGCTGTACTAAAAAAGATAGATAATACCAAGTACTGGCGAGAATATGGAGAAATTGGAACCCTCGTACATGGTTGGTAGGATTTGTAAATGGTGCCGACACTTTGGAAAACAATCTGTCAGCTCCTAAAATGGTTAAGGTTAGTTACCATATGGTCCAGCAATTCCACCAAAAATAATTATAAAGATAAAAAACTTGTATACAGATGTTCATAGCAGCATTATTCATAGTAGTCAAAAAGTGGAAACAAACAATCCACATGTCTATCACCTGATGAATGGATAAATAAAATTTGGCATAGCACACAATGGAATATAATTCAGCCATAGAAAGAAATGAAATGCTGATATATGCTACAACACAAATGAGCTTTGAAAACATTGCACTAAGAGAAGCCAGTCATAAAAGACCACATATGGTATAACTCCATATGTGTTATATGTGAAATGTCTCAAATAGGCAAAACTATAGAGATATGAAATTTCTGTGAAATGTCTCAAATAGACAAAACTATAGAGATATGAAATAGGGTAGTTCTTTCTTTGGGCCATATCTGGGGGGATAAACTGCTAAAAGTTTCTTATGGGGTCACGAAAACATTTAAAAATTAATGGTGATGATGGTTCCAGATATCTCAATATACTAGAAATCACTGAATTTGTACACTTTTAAAGAATGAATTTTATATGTAACATCTTAAAAAGATGTTAATGGGTCAGCACTAGATCCACCATTGTCAACTTGTGACATTGATTTAAAAATACCTTCAGAATGAGCAAGACTAGAAAAAGAGATATGAGATGTGAATCATATAGAAGGATGTGAAACATCCTTCATGGTATTAAGGAATATAAAACTATTTATATTTAGATTTAATGAATGTGAGTATTACAGTGCTTTATTTACAGCAAATAATTTCCACTAAAATTAAAGAGACATTGGTCTTATCATTCCTTATCTCTATACTCTTTTCAGCAAACAATATGAACAAGCATCTTAAACCTAGAAATTGTCCCCCAGCTATGACAATTGCTCTCCTTCCTGGAACTGCCTTTCCTATATGTTAATTTCCTCAGTGCAAAAGCTGTTATTTTCATTCAGAATGTTAAAGATACCCCTAGGAAAAGTCATTTTAAAAGTCTTGATTTTCACAGCCTTCTTCTGCATTAGAAGCTTAAGAGATATCCTAGGGCTAGTCTTCACTCCAGGTTTTAGGAGCAATCTAGGTAAGAATCTGCAGAAGCTAGGTGAAAATGCAGATCCATGGAAGCTATTTCAAACCTATCACATCCTTCCCCAGGTAATTTTTATACTAATATATGCTAGAATGCGATAAGGTTAAAAATATTCTACTTCTCCACTTTATCAGAGAGGTGGGAGTTTTGAAATCTCATTGCCATGCAAAGAACTACGGCCCAGAATGTGATAAATGAAAGGCACCTAAGAGTCATGTAGGGCAGTCCTTTTATTCTGTGAAGGAAGAAACAAGATGATTAGGCCAAAGCCACACAGATATTAGCTGCACAACCAGCACAAGATTGAGCACGAGATGGGGCTCGGGTGTTGTGACGTCCAGCGCAGTTTCTTCAGCTCAGTTAGGGCAGAATTAGGTTGATTGGGCACCATTGAAGTACATGCTACATCCATCCACCATTAGATGAAACCTCTAATTTTAGTTCTGCTTATTATTTTTTATTTTATATATTTTTTATATTTTATATTATATTTATTTTATTTTGGTTTATTTTATTTAATTTTACTATTATTTTTTAAGACAGGATCTTGTGCTGTCACTCAAGCTGGAGTGCAGTGGCGCAATCACAACTCACTGCAGCCTCGAACTCTTGGGTTCACGAAGTCCTCCCACCTCAACCCCCCAGTAGCTGGGACCACAGGCACGCAACCACCATGCCTGACAAATTTTTTAATTTGTAAACGTTTTTGTAGAGATAGGGTCTCACCATGCTGCCCAAGCTGCAATTTTAGTTCTATATAAATAGGGTAGCCCAGGGAAAAGAGAGGGGAGCTACCATGGGGAAGGGGTTACTGTGGATATGATTTTTAAAATTTTCTCTGCTACAGCTCTTCCACGTTTACCCACATAAATTTGAAGTTTAATTTTTAGTCTCTAGAAAGCATTTTGTGATGTCTTTTAAAATATTATGTATGTATTAAGAAAGCTTGCATCCATATGTGTAGAACTATTTCCTTTTCTTTTTGGGCACCCGTGGCTCTCTATTAATATTAAGAATTTCTTAGATGTTGCAATTCTTCAAGGAAACAATTTCAGAAGATAGTTTCTTTTCCTCCCTTCCCTTCCCTTGCCCACATTTCTCTCTCTTTTTACTTCCAGTTCTGGAAATTGGCCAGCAGAATTATTTATGGCTCTTAGTTCCCATCACACCTTAATAATAAACAGAAGGAGTTTTCCTTTGTTTTAAAATTTCAACAGTACAGTAGTTAAAAATTGGCTTCCATCAGAAAACTCTTTCTCCAAGTCTAATTTGCTATGCCATGTATATACATGATTAACCAGTACAATACGTACAGCAAAGAAACCAGGTGAGAGATTTATTGATTCTGGCTGAAACAAATTGAAAAGTAACCTTGAACACTTTGTGAAGTCCATAATTGAGTTCCACAAATCAACTTTGGAGCCAGTTTAGCATGTCCATTTAGTTGAGGCAAAGAGCCTGTGTTTGATCTAACTTAATAAAGTAATTCCAGTGTAAAAAGGTAGGTCAAAATGACTACCTTCTAAAATTCAAAGTTCCTTTTTTCATGAGAGAAATTATATTTATTTCAAACAGAACTAATGATACTGTATTTGGTACAATATGTTATTTTCTTAGATATCTTAGGGGTACCTTCTACTAACTAATACTTTGGGATAGGCTTCTGGGATTCATGAGTGTCACCAAGTTCAGAGCTGATCTTAAGCAAAACTGAATGGCTTGGCCCTTCTAGAAAATTATCTTGCCTCTGATAACTCAAAATTCAAATTGAGATTGTAAACTATAACATAGAAGTATTTAGTGTAGGTGATATTATAGAACAGGTATCTGTTCTACTGATAGTCACCCCATTTGAGTTAAATATGCTATGTGACAATATTAAGAAGCTATGTCTTCTGAAATTGTGTAAACTTTAAAAAATATATGAAAAATTAGAATACTATACAAAACAATAATTATTAAACCTTCTCCCACTTTCTGGGATATCCAAGTCTAATTTGCTATGAATTATAATTATTAAACCTTCTTCCACTTTCTGGGATATCCAAGTCTAATTTGCTATGCCATGAGAGTGGCATGCTGCCCAAGCTGCAATTTTAGTTCTATATAAATAGGGTAATCCAGGGAAATCAGAAATGCAGAGTGTGTTTATAAGCACATGTGAATAATTACAATAGCAGACACACAATTTTAAATTCAAATTTGTTGTTGTTTTTTGTTGGTTTTGTTTCTTGTTTGGGAACCACAAAATAAGCCTGTCTTTCTTTGGATCTTAAAATTTATTCACAATGTTTTCATGTTTTATATTAGGAATTATCTGGTTCTACAGAAGTAGAGAATTCCATTCCTACGGGAATATCAGAAGGAGGTTAAAGTGGGCACAGGTAAATCATCCATTTGGCTATCAAAAAGTCTGATTCTGACCAGGCGCAGTGGCTCACGCCTATAATCCCACCACTTTGACAGGCCGAGGCGGGCAGATGACCTGATGTCAGGAGTCGAGACCAGCCTGGCCAAGATGGTGAAGCCCCGTCTCTACTAAAAATACAAAAATTAGCTGGGCGTGGAGGCGGGCACCTGTAATCCCAGCTACTTGGGAGGCTGAGGCAGGAGAATCACTTGAATCCGGGAGGCGGAGGTTGCAGTGAGAGGAGATTGCGCCACTGCACTCCAGCCCGGGCGACAGAGTGAGACTCCGTCTCAAAAAAAAAAAAAAAAAAAAAAAAAAAAAGGCTGACTCTTTTTTCTGGTCCCAAATAAAAATGACTAACTTCTTCAAAATATAGGGTAATAAAATACCCTGAAATGAGTAAAAGTTATTCATTCTGACTATAATACACTTTGTTTTGGTAGAAAAAAAATCTTCATAAATTTAAAAACTGAATAATAAGCCCTTGGTTAATCATTTAACATTAGAACTCCTATTTTCTCTTCTAGCAAATGTTTCCAAACAGAAAAACGACCACAATCAATTTTAGAAAACATGTTTCCCCTTTGAGGAAGGAAGGACAAATAAGATGTTTAAACTGCAGTTGGTAAAATCATTTGCTAACCCTCTGCGTGGTAATGATGCCACATCACCTGCACTTTGCTGTCTTGATCCATGCTGAAGTGATATGTTCTTGGACCCAAGCAGAACTCTCTAGCGATTTGCATGTTTTGTCATATTGTCACAGACACTCATGGTTAAATAAAAACAATCTGGTTAGTATAAAGCTCAATTTGCAGAGAAATAACTATTCTCTGTGTCAGAGTCCACAGGCACCAGAAGAAAACATTTTCACACAGAACATGGCTATGTGCCTTTTAAATCCATTTGCAAAATTGTTTCATTTCTTATGTAAAAAGGTGGAATATTGACTACTGATAAAAATTTCCTCCTACACAAATATTTTTCAGGTTCATCCAATCCCACCCTTACTCAATATAGTGGAACATGAAGCTAAATTCATCTGGAATACTTCACTAACTCCCAAAATGAACAAGGGAGTGGAAAGTTGATAAAAAATACTAGCCCATACATAATCAGGGAAACAAGGGTTGTATGTTAAGTGGATTTTCTTCCATCCGTGTGATTACCTGAATGTCATTTTTAACTTGGGTAACTTAAGGTAAACTTATCTCTCTAAGTTCATCAATATTCCTGCACAAACCTTCATTGCCATTTAATTTTAATAAAACTGAGAAAGAGAGAGTGAAAACTCATGTTACCCATTCCAGGCAGGAAGATGGGAAGAAAGGAAGCATGCCATTCAGAATTCTGAATTGATTTGTACAATGTCTTAGGCAAAAGCTCTTCCAGAAATATCTATGAATTCACGTTGAACATAAGACACAAAATTACAGATAAAGGTTAAAATCAAACTTGTCAGATGTTAACATTATCCTGACTACTCATAAATTGATTCATTTATGTGCTAGAACATTTTTCTACTACCCACCCTGGAGGAGGAGAGAATCCATTTACTGGGAATGTGGAATGTGCTTCGTCCGGGAGGGGAGGGGAAAGAAAGAATCTTGACTGGTGCTATGTAAAGTGGCTGCACCTTTCAACCAGTTTTCAATTTCAAACAAGACTTTTAATATCTATGTCTTTTGATTGTTTCTGACTTTTAATTTTTGAAATAACTGCTTTATTAAGATATAATTTAGATACCAATTTCCTCATCTAACGTGTACAGTTCACTGATTTCTTGGTATATTCAGACTTGTGTAATCATCACCATAATCAAGTTTATAACATTTTCATCACCCCAAAAAGAACCACACACCTTTTAGCCATCACCCCTCAACGCTTTTTTTTATCCTTTAGCCCTAAGCAACTCATAAGTCTACAGATTTGCCTATTTTGAACATTTCATATAAATGGAATCAGGCAATTTGTGGTCCTTTGTGATGGGCTTCTTTCAGTTAGCATAATGTTTTTAAGGTTTCGTGTTTAAATAATTTTTTAAAATTTGGGAATCTTTTCAAATTTACAAAAGAGTGGCTAAAAAACATTGTACGGAAAACCTCCATTTATCCCTTATCTAGATTCATGGTATTGTTAATCATGTTTCTAAAGGTTTTTAATGTCTGTTGTTATAGCAATAAAACATTCAAAATGGTTATATTTATAAAAGAGTGGTCTGCAAATGCTTATAAATAATTTGGATTGTCATTTGGAACATTCTGAAAATGACATGGAACTCAGGGCTATGAAAATCCACTGGTAGATGTGTAGTTGATGTAGGCAGATTGAATTTCCATATGTGCCTGGCATTATTAACCATACAGTCATACAGTCGTGTACCACAGGAACCTTTAGTCAACGACAGACTTCATATATGACTGCAGCCCCATAAGATGATAATGCCATATTTTTACAGTATTTTTCCTGTGTTTAGATATGCATAGTTACACAAATACATTTGTGCATGTAATACTACATTATAATTGCCTACAGTATTCAGTACAGTAACATGCTAGGCAGCCAGGAGCAATAGGTTATACCACATAGACTAGGTGTGTAGTAGGTGACACCATCTAGGTTTGTGTAAGTGCACTTTAGGATGTTTTCACAAAGACCAAATCGCCTAAGGAAGCATTTCTCGGAACACATCCCCATTGTTAAGTGACAGAAGACCATACAAGAAAACTCAAGATTCTCACAATCAAAATGAACATGTAGGAAACAGGGCTTAAGAAGGTCATAGGGCTGGGTGCAGTGGCTCATGCCTGTAATTCCAGCACTTTTGGAGGCTGAGGCAGGTGGATCACTTGAGGTCAGGAGTTCGAGACCAGCCTGGCCAAGATGGTGAAACCCCGTCTCTACTAAAAATACAAAAATTAGCCAGGCTTGGTGGTGGGCATCTGTAATCCAAGCTACTCAGAAGGCTGAGGCAGGAGAATTGATTGAACCCGGGAAGCAGAGGTTGCGGTGAGCCAAGATTGCACCATTGTACTCCAGCCTGGGTGACAAGAGTAAAACTCCGTCTCAAAAAAAAAAAAAAAAAAAAACAAAACTCATAGGGATACCAAGTCCTTTTCCATCATTCTTAATCAACTGGAATTACAACCAATTAGTATTTATTAAGCACCTAATAATTTGTGTCAAAAAGTTGTACAAAGAGGTAAGGAGTAAGTATAAAGAAGAATAAAACAAGGTGGTCAGTTTTAACAAGATGATCTACATTGTGACCTGAACTCTGTCAGCAAAATTAGGACAAAATAGCTATGAAAGATATAAAAAATTAATTCTTTCTGGGAGTAAGACACTACTGGAATCACAAAAGAAGATGTACTCAACAAAGCTTCAAGTCATAATTTTTTTTTCCTTCTGACATTAAAGATTACCAAGGCTCTAGCTCTCTTATGGAAAAAAGTAATAAGATGAAGTTAAGGGGATCTTTTCCTTAGAAGTTTTATTATTTACAAATAATGAGGGGACTAAGAACCTAGTTGTTGTTGTTGACTTTTTAGGAATAATAGTACTCGGGCACCTTGAATTTAAGCTTAGCATAATTATAGTTTTAATCTATGTTGCAACAGTTCTATGGAATATCATTAATCTTTTACCACTTTTAATATATTAAAGCATTGCATCCCAGTCTTGGCTAGGGAACATAATTTAATCTGTATTCAAGCTTGGGGTGCTTGAATACAGATACCCAGGGTTCTCTGCAGATCCCCTTAGGAGAACCTCTGTCAAAAAAAGTTTGGAAAACTCTTTGAAGGACACTCCTTTAGGAGTTTATCAGCTAAATGTAGGATGCTCTGGGTTACTATATTCATTATTGACACCTAGTTTATGGACATAGAAAGTATCCTCACTAAAATATTTAATAAGAAGCATGTTCTACTGTCTTTGAACCAAGACAGAGTGCTCTTAGTAATCAAGGTCAACTGAGCTGGGTGCAGTGGCTCATGCCTATAATCCCAGCACTTTGGAAGGCCGAGGTAGGTGGATCACTTGAAGTCAGGAGTTTGAGACCAGCCTGGCCAACATGGCGAGACACCGTCTCTACTGACAATACAAAAATTAGCTGGGTATGGTGGCAGGTGCCGGTAATCTCAGCTACTCAGGAGGCTGAAGCAGGAGAATCGCTTGAACCTAGGAGGTGGAGGTTGCAGAGAGCCGAGATTGCGCCACTGCACTCCAGCCTGGGTGACAGAACGAGACTCTGTCTCAAAAAAAACAAAAAGTGAACTGGAGTCCTTCGAGCATTGGATAAATACTACAGTGGCTAATAATTTCCCTCTTTACATGTGTAAAACCATGTTAGCAGTTTGGGACACAGAGGGCACAAACTATGGAATGAGAAGATTCAATTCTTCCTCTTGTGTGACCCTGGGGGAGCCATTTCATCCTTTTGAACCTCATTTTCTCTTGTAGAAAAAAAATGAAAAGAGTAAGAATATCTAACTGGTAGGGTAATTTTGATGATGAAATTGAAGTATGTATATAAAAGTACTGTACACACTGTCATTATTATTTTATTTTGTAAAACAATAATTTTTCCACATTCTTGTCCTTTAGAAAGCAGTGCCAACTATTGTAACAACTTTTTTCTTTACGAAGCTACATACCATTTTAAATATATTGTGCAAGTCTATTATATCTGAAAATAAATCTACAAAAGAAATAATTTTCCCCTTTTGTGTACTATTCTGTACTATAGCAATTTTGACCCTTTCACAATTTTGGATCTCCTCCATACAGAAAGTTCCCACTCTAAAAGACTTGAAGATGTTTGTGGATGCCTGGGTTAGAGAAAATGTACAGATATATAAAATAATAAAATAAAATAATTTGAATTCAAAAAAGCTATTTATAAAGAAATGTAACATGCAAGGAATATGGCTACCCAATTTAAGCATCTTCGAGAGTACAGCTATTTGCAATTTAGAATGAAAGGAATTGAGGATAAACAGTTCAAGTGTCTGCCTGGAAAATACAATGGCACATCAAATAATAATTTTAAGTCCTCTGTCTGAACAAAGGCTTTAGTATGGTAATAAGTAGTACAAAGCAATCAATGTTTCATATATTATAATTTTTCACATATGGAAACTTGCAACTACAGCTCTCTGTTGGCTGCATGTGGTGGAAACAAAAGGAAGATGGGAATTTAAGGGACTCCAAGTGTATTTATAAAGTCAGAAGTTACACTGAGTTGGAGGATAGGGTGGAAGGCATGACTTGAAATATCTAGGTGAGGAGAGTTTGGACAAAAACGCTGATCCCATTAGAAAGCCAAATGGCACCTCCCAGGTGTGGAGCAGGCCTGTCGCATCTCACAGGCGGAACAGCGGGCACAGCCGAGGGGACGCCCACTCTAAAGAGGGTGAAGAACTAAACCCCTTAGTTTGGGCTTCTGCCACCAGATCCCCTGGATTGACTATTAGAAACTTCACTTCTATTTCTCCATCAGTAAAACAGAAAAAGAAATATTCGATGGGTAGGAGTAGCTATGGTTAATAAAATAGGTTTAAATATTTGGCAACAGAAGAAAGAATTCAAATCTGTGATTGAGAAGCAGGTCACTGGAAGGTTAAGTTAACCTGAAAACTCCAATTCCCCCTTTCCTCATCACTGCGTAGTTTGCTTTTCAGTCGTTTCACTCAGTCTGCACCTACACTAAATCCCAGCAGCGAAGTTGAAGGCATTCACGTCTCCACTCACCAAGGTCCCTGGATCTGAATGGCCAGGCAAATAACCTAGCTGTGCGATAGCGAATGCAGTCAATATATGGCATAGTGTTCATCTGGTGCTTACGAGTGATAGAAGTTTTTATCTAATTTCACTTTTATAATCAGTTTGAGGTCTCATTATTTTTCCTTTTTTTAAAAAATAAGGACCAGTAACATAAAATGGCAAAAAAAAAAAAAAAAAAAAAAAAAAGGGCTGCTGTTTTAAGGCCCCCTGTGAACTGTTTGTATCCCACCTGCAGGGGAAGTACAGAAACTGCAAGTAAGCAGGTTGGGAATTTGGGAGCAATTTGAATGGAATCTGACACCTGCTGAAATCTAGAATAAAAAAATGTGTATTTTGTATGCCTTTATTTTATTCTTCTAGTGATTTATTTTTAATGTATGTTAAAAGTACTACTGTGTGACAGATTGGAAATAAAGGAAAAACCTGATTCCTCTCCACAGGTAATCAGTGAGAACATTGAATTTTGATGGGCATTTCAATGACTGAGTTATTTTCTCCATAGAAAGAGTGACACAAGTGAGGGGTGAGGGGGTGGGGAGGGAGCCCTGTCTTCAGATCTCCCGTTGTTTGACTTGGGCGTAAGGAACTTTCTGAGTCAACCTGCAGGTGGCTTGGCAGGGATTCCTTCTTCCCAGCTCCTGGCTCCAGGTGATAGCTGTGGTCTCATCTCCTCAGCAAACACCTTCAAAGAGCTCACAGCAGATATGCAGTGGGCAGGGAGATTGGCTTTCTCCAAACACAGGGGAGATTGTGGAGGGGGAGCAGGTGAAAATCATATTGTTAATCACAAACAAACATAATTAACCGGCAACTGGATTAAGATACCTAATCAGTCAAAATTATTTAGAGGCTCTTATAACCATCACCCTTCTTTTGGAAGTTCCTGCTTGCTCTGTGAGATAATGCTCTGTTAATGAAATACATGTCCATAGGGGTCCCCTGAAGGGGACATTCCTCCTCTTAAAGTGACATAATGAGGCTTCAATAAAATCTCTAAGGGGGAAGAGTGTTTTAAAGAACAAGAGGAGACGTGAAAATGTGTGGTCAAGGACTAACCAAGAGTCAAATGCTTGCCCAGCTTTGGTCCCTCTGTGGGCTTTAAAGAAATCCTTCAGTAAGGCTCAGTCTCAGGTGATCTTTCATTCATTCAACAAATCTTGCGGAGTTCCCACGATGGGCCAGTCGCCAGCAGTTCTGGGCATGGGGGGCTGGGTACAGCAATGAACAACACAGGTAACACCCCTGAGAGCTAGCATTCTAATGGGCAGGGGGTAGACAATACAAATAAATATAGAACATAATGACTGCTAGTAATGAGTGCTTTAAAAAATTATAAAGCAGAGAACAGTGTGTCACAAGTTTGTGGAGGAGGTGGGGGACAGTAACGATTCTAGGTAGGATGTCTCTCTGAGTAGGTGTCGCTGAATGAGGGGACTGTAGTTCCAGGCATAGGCAAGAGAATATGAGTTTCGAGCAAAAAGGAGCTTGGCATGTTCTGGGAATGGCCAGAAGCCAGTTGACTAGAACACTGTGATGAAGGCAGAGTCATGAAGGATGGGAGTAGAAGGATAGGAATGAGCCACTTTGGCTGGGCGCAGTGGCTCATGCCTGTAATCCCAGCACTTTGGGAGGCCGAGGCAGGCAGATCACTTGAGGTCAGGAGTTCGAGACCAGCCTGACCAACATAGTGAAACTCTGTCTCTACTAAAAATAACAAAATTAGCCGGGCTTGGTGGCGAATGCCTGTAATACCAGCTACTTGGGAGGCTGAGGCAGAAGAATCACTTGAACCCAGGAGGTGGAGGTTGCGGTGAGCTGAGATCATGCCACTGCACTACAGCCTGGGCAATAGAGTGAGACTCCATCTCAAAAAAAAAAAAAAATTAGATGGTCATGGTGGTGGGTGCCTGTAATCCCAGCTACTTGGGAGCCTGAGGAAGGAGAACTGCTTGAACCTGGAAGGCGGAGGTTGCAGTGAGCCAAGATCGTGCTGCACTCCAGCCTAGGAGACAGAGCAAGACTCTGTCTCAAAAAAAAAAGAAAGAACCAGTTCATATGGGACCTTGTAGGTCACCAGCATGGATAGGATATTTACATAGGATTAAATCAAAATTGATGATTGTGATGTTATGCATGTACACAAGAAAGTGCAAGGAGCATTCACTAATAAAATGTACCTAAATCAAATGCTAGGCAAAAGGTTAAAAAGTAGCTATAAGTTAACCATCTTTATAAATATGCCATTATAATTCATGTGTTAAACAGCATAAAATATGTACTGGCAAAATCAAATTAGCATAGGCCCTCCAACTGTTGAAGACTTAGACTGCTCAAGAATTAAAGCTTCAATTCGAACAACCACCCTAAAACTGAGTTGACATGTTAGGTATTTGTGGATCACACTACATACAATGACCAAACCAGTTAGTCATATACATATGATTGCTATTTGTTAAATCATTCATGCTCAGAGTCTTTGCTTAACCAGAGGCTGCCCCTTCTGGCTCTGGGATGTCCTATCATCACCTTTTCTGTAGACACGACCCTGTCAGATTTTCCTCCTTTAGTCCTGGAAAGGGAGAAAAGATTTGCCAAGAAGAGAAGAGCCTGTTTACGTGCCCTAGGTCATCCACTGCAGCTAACTTTTGGGGTATCTGTTTGTTTTGTTTTTTGAGGCAGGGTCTCGCTCTGTTGCCCAGGCTGGAGTGCAGTGGTGCAATCATGACTCACTGCAGCCTTAACCTCCTGGGCTCAAGTGATCCTTCCACCTCAGCCTCTCGAGTAGCTAGGACTACAGGTGTGCACCACCACGCCTGGATAATAAAAAAAAAAAAAATTGTAGAGACAGGCACTCACTATGTTGCCCAGGCTGGTCTCGAGCTCCTAGTCTCAAGCAATCCTCCCTCTTCTGCCTCCCAAAGTGCTGGGACTATAGGCATGAGCCACCGTGCTTGACCCGTAGCTAAACTTGTACCTGCGCACTGTCAGGTTTCCTGGGGCTGCCAGCAGTGCCGCTCCTGAGCTCTCTAAGAGAAAGCACCACACCAGGGATGTAGAGTTCAGAGAGCCACTGAGCCTGCTTTGGAGACAGAGGGGTTGATCTTCATTTTAATGTAGTTCCACTGAACTTTCCCTCTTACACTGAAGATGGAAATGACTCATGGGAATTCAATCATGCAAAGCAGCAGTATAAATTAGATTGGCCAGCCTCTGCACTTGGGGCAAGTCATGCAATCTGGCTTGTTATGCATTATTTTCTTCATCTACAATCATGGAGAGTAATGTGTGTGTGGGTGTGGCTGACAGCAGGGAAAGGCAATATATTTATGAAATATTTCCTCAAAGCTGCCACATATTTTATTAACACATCTGGAAAATACTATTTAATGCTTACTCCTCTTTCTTCCTTAGGGTTTGTTTTGTTTTGTTTTGTTTTTGAGATGAAATCTTGCTCTGTCACCCAGGCTGGAGTGCAGTTGCACAGTCTTGGCTCACTGCAACCTCCAACTCCCAGGTTCAAGTGATTCTGCTGCCTCAGCCTCCTGAGTAGCTGGGACTACAGGTATCTGCCACAACACCCGGCTAATTTTTGTATTTTTAGTAGAGATGGGGTTTCACCATGTTGGCGAGGCTGGTCTCGAACTCCTGACCTCGTGATCTGCCCACCTCCGCCTCCCAAAGTGCTGGGATTACAGGAGTAAGCCACCGCGCCCGGCCCCCTTATGGTTTTTAAGAAAAGAAATCCTAGTTTTGCTTTAGCCATGACTAAAAGCCCCAGACGCAAAGAATATTTGTTTGTTTGTTTGTTTTGTTTTTTGTTTTTTGAGACAGAGTCTTGCTTTGTTGCCCAGGCTGGAGTGCAGTGGCGTGATCTTGGCTCACTGCAACCTCCAACTCCCCGGTTCAAGAGATTCTCGTGCCTCAGCCTCCCAAGCAGCTGGGACTGCAGGCACACACCACCAATATTTTAGTTCTTAATGGTACAATCTTACAGTTTTAAAACGATGAGTGACTGCATTCAAGACAAACCAAAATTGTGCCTTGTTTTTAACTGATGCCTGAGGAACGTGCCAGCAGGTAAAGGGAGTGAAGACGAAAACATCAATTAGCTTAGAGTTTATGGTCACACTCGATACTTAAAATAATTTTTAAATAGATTTAAACAAGTAATTCTTTCTTTCTTTCGCTTTGGGGCATGGAGGAAGCAGGGTGCTGGGCAAAGCCTGCACAGAGGCGCTGGCATGCCTGGAAGCCAAAAAAATGGGGGCTGGGAGCGGGCAGTGGTGTGGCCGGGAGCCTGATTACAGTGAGCACATATGTGCACATATGGAGAGAAACAGGAGCCAGGTTTCTCACTGTGGGAAAAGAGATTTACAAATACAGCAAAGGAGCAGTCTAGAAAGAACCCTAAGATGTTGGATTGGAATTGGAGACTAACACAAGATATATATATATAAACACACACAGAGGTAGATTTAGAAATAGTTATAGATATGTATGTATGTGGACACACACGTATACATACATGAGCATACATTATTTCCTAGCTCTGTCTTTTGAGGGTGCCTGGAAGCAGGGACAGTACAGTACTGATGAGAACCCAGATTTCCACTTCTAAATGCCATCCTCCACAAAAAGATGCCCTTGATCCTTGGAGAAATGCCTGGATCTAGGGCTAAATGAAGGGAAAATTCAAAACGAGCCTGGAATATCGTGTTGTGCTAAAAACTATGAAAATGGTCAAAGGGTTATAAGGACATATCAAAAGAATACAGGAGCTAGCTCGAAAGGCACCTCACTGGCCAAATCTGTGGCAACTGCAGCACCCAAACTATTGATACAATCTAGGGAATAAAAAGAGAATCAATTGGCCAGGCATGGTGTAATCACACCTGTAATCCCAGCACTTTGGGAGGCTGAGGCGGGCGAATCACCTGAGGTCAGGAGTTCGAGACCAGCCTGGCCAACATGGTGAAACCCTGTCTGTACCAAAAATACAAAAATGTTAGCTGGGTGTGGTGGTGGGCACCTGTAATCCCAGCTACTTGGGAGGCTGAGGCAGGAGAATCACTTGAACCTGGGAGGCAGAGGTTGCAGTGAGCCAAGAACATGCCATTGCACTCCAGCCTAGGTGACAAGAATGAAACTCCATCTCAAAAAAAAAAAAAAAAAAAGAAAGGAATCCACAGAGATACAAATAAACAAACAAATAAAAGAAGGGAGAACTTCCTTACAGTAGAAGGAATACATGCCATTTCATTGTCAGAGTTCTCAACACAAAGACACACACAAAATTCTCACTTACAAAGGGGAAAAATAGTGACCTGAAGGTAGAGAAACTGGGTAGACACCAACTTGATGAAGTGACCAGATTAGCATCACCAGTGATGATGAGACGTCCGACGGCCTTCCTTGTCATACCCTGATGGGAGCACACCACCATATCAACGATTTTCCTACAAAGAATGTGTGAGTCAACATAGACAGACCAGGGTGTGGGACATTCTTGGCATGAAAGGCCTGCACTCTTTAAAACTATAAAGGTTATAAGATAGACAGAAAAATATGGAAGACCTTTGATAAATAAATGTAACTTGATCCTGAATTGGATGTTGGGCCAGAAAGAGAAAAGAGGCATTGTTGAAGCAGCTTGCAAAATTTGAATTGAGTATGTGGCTTAGATGGTAGTGACGTATGGTAGTAATGTCAATTTCCTAATTTGTATGGTATTTGATGGTTTTGGGGAGAGTGTCCACATTTTAGGGGAATATACACTGGAGTATTTGGAGTAAGTGATGAGACATTGTGCCACAGCTTGCTCTCAAATGGGTCAGAAAAAGACTAATGGCATGCATATATGCATATGATTTAATATAGAATATGTAACAATATATCCATATTACATATTTATATAGTATCTATATTAATATATTATATACTAATGTATTCTATGTTTCTATTGTTCTGTGTATGTATATTTAGAAAAGAAGAATGAGATGGAACAAATGTGGGAAAATGTTTATTTAGATAGAGATGGAGCAAAAGATAAAATGCTGGTGAGGCGCAGTGGCTCACGCCTGTAATCCTAGCACTTTGGAAGGTCAAGGCAGGTGGATCACTTGAGGTCAGGAGTTCGAGACTAGCCTGGCCAACATGGTGAAAACCTATCTCTACTAAAAATATAAAAATTAGCCTGGTGTGGTGGCGCAAACCTGTAATCCCGGCTACTGAGGAGGCTGAGGCAGGAGAATCAAGTGAACCTGAGAGGTGGAGGTTGCAATGAGCCCAGATCACGCCACTGCACTCCAGCCTGTGCGACAGTGAGACTCCATCTGAAAAAAAAAGAAAGCTAACACAGCAGTCTCAGAAAAGGTGATACAGTTCTTTGTGTTATTCTTGGAACTTCTCTGCAAGTTTGACATTATTTCAAAATAAGTGATTTTAAAAGAATATCTGTGTATTTATATAGTGGTATAAGTAACAAACACTTTCATTTTTAGTGGAATATGTAGTATTTCATATGGAAGATATTTCCATTTTTCAATACTCTCTAGGAATTCTGGAACTTGGAAGGAAGGGGGTGAGTTATATAGCCCTTTTTAGCCCCTGTAAAAATGTTATATAACCAGAAAATGTCAAAAAGAAAGAGTTATCTATTCTCTGTCCAAATTCCCAAATTCTACTTTTAGATTAGCCACTGAAATAATCGATTAGCTTTACTAACGTAATGGAAACCCAGTAAATCCATAGTCATTCCTCATAAAAGTAGAATCTGCATTCCCCTGGATCAAAGGTAGGGACCCTCTGTGCAATAATTAATTTCAAATAATTTTAAAAAGGGTTTGCTCTATAAAAAAATAGCATTCCATTTTTACCCAAAGCAGTATAGTCTTCTTTACAGTCCCTGACTTGCGTTTTATCTCAATTTGCTATTTTTTTCTGTACAGAAAATTTTCTCTAAATCATTATATCCCTAGACACACACACACACACACACACACACACACGCACACACAGTTTTACTCAGCACTTTTACTTTACAAAGGTGTCTGTGATCATTTTTTTCACTTCTTTATCTGACAAAGATCTGACATTCTCCCCTTCTTTTTTTGGGAAAATTGAGGGTGAGGACTTGCAATTTACCTGGTAGCAAGTTATTGAACAACCGAGACTAGAATTTAGTCTTTTCACTCTACAACACAAAGATCTAGCCTAGGTTAGTACATTTGTGGGTTATTCTTCCTTTAAAATACTTGATACCAGCCACACTTATTGAGATTGTACTCTGCCTCTGTAAGTCTTTAGGAGAAGAATTTAGGCCTACCCATGTAAATACCCATTTGCAAAGCATCTCTTTGCATTGCAAAGATATACTAATAGAATATTGAATTCTTTGCAATTGTATTTTTGCTTGCCGGTTGTAACAGGGTTTTAGAAGGTTGACATTCACAAAACAAAGACTTCTTTTACCACCAGAGTAAAAATGCTCACATTCAAATATAACTAGAAAATGAACAATAATTTATAGAGAAATCTCTGAAAGTTTTGCTAGTGTAAGACAATTTTGATTAAAGTATAACAATGTTGTTACTAGCTATCATAGATGTTAACACATGATATTATACATTCCATCTAGTTGCTATAATGCATGTACCCTCAACACTGTGGTAGTTTTATTTTATTTTTTCTCACAATGTTTTCATAAGCTAACATGCATTTATTTAATTTAATTTTATTTATTAAATACCTGTGTAGAACTTACTATGTGCCTGGCCCTATTATAAGTAGTTTATGAATAATTAATTCATTTCATCCTCATAAAACTCCCTGAGGTCATTACTATTACCATCCTCCAGTTCACAGATGAGGTCTAAAGAAGATTAAGCAACGTGTCCAAGGAATACACCACTGGTAAACTGTAGAACTAGAATTCCAGCCCAAGCAGTTCAACTCCAAATATGTGTTCATAACCAATGTGTCATGCTGTGCCAAGCCTCAGATTCACAGTTGTTGGATAATTATTTGTGGATTAAATGAACAAATTACTCTCTTGTCTCTTAGGCTGATTTGAAAGCATTAAGCAAATTACCCAATTGTTCTGTACCTTATTTTTTCACTTTGTAAAACAGAATTGATAATATTTGCCATCCATTTCTCTTCCAAACAACAGGAAGAATGGAGAGCATTTACTTTACCTACCTGCTGTATGTTTTTATGTCTTTAAGACTGGATCTGCAGTGGGTCTAGAGTAGGCTAACAGCTTATACCTTAAACAGGCAACAAAACCACAATTCAGTATAATTAAGTTGCTTTCCATCTGAATGAGTGTGAAGTAGAGGGGCAAAAGTTTGAGAACTTCAACTTCCTTACACATGAGCTTTATTCCCATTTAACTCTGAACTGTTCTGTCTTTTTTTCAGCTGAATCAGAATTTGTTTGTGTAAAATAATAGTTAAATGAAATGTTATCTAGGGCTTAGATTATATGATCTAATAAAAATATCAAGTTATAGATCTTCTAAATGAAAATGCTTTCCTCTTACAGCACTGCATCTCTAATATTTAAAAATTATCAGGACCTAGTTAGGGATAACACTGGAAGTTTCTGTGCCAAGGGTCCTTACTCCATCTCTGTCTATCCACTGTCTTTATTTTGTCCCTGCGCTTTCCATTAGGTTCTTTATTGGCTGTAGACATGGCATGAAAAGAAATTCAAAACAAGACCCACTAATGTTTTGTTTTGTTTTTTTTAGAAACAGGATCTTGCTCTCTTGCCCAGGCTGGAGTGCAGTGATACAGACATGGCTCATTGCAGCCTCCAACTCCTGAAGACCCACTACTGATAGCAGCAAGGGCAGATAGCTGGTCCAAGCACTCTTGTGTGCTTTTGAGCAAATCATCTGTCCTTTCTCAATCTTAATCTCCTCTTCTGAAAAATGAGGCTAATAACAAAGGCTGCACTGTCTACCTCCAGAGCTGTCAGGAGGGTCAGAGAAATTAGTGAAACTGCTTTGTAAACTGTCCTCTACCATTATGAAGACGTTAATACTAAAGGTCAGTTTCGAAAAATTTTCCAAATATAGACATTTGCTTTTGCATTATATCCACATGCAAAATTATCCATTTACATTCTTGGCCTGGAGCTCCAAGTGGAATCAGTTCAGAAAAGAAACAGAATTTGACTTAATCCTCAAAAAAGGTGGTATTTCAGATGCTCAATGAATGTCTGGAGACTAAACTCCTGGTGAATGAGAAAAAGAATATGACAGACCTGAAGTCAGATGACCACAGGCCTACACAGATGTGTCTGAGATGAGAACAGTCTTTGCTAAGGTCTACAGAGGTCATTCTCAGTGCCTTTGCTAAGGTCTACAGAGGTCATTCTCAGTGCCTTGCCTTGTAGGGAGATGACCTTAGGACTCCATCCATGACAGCTGTAACAGTATACTGAAGAATATATTGAAGACCAGTGAATTGCGTGGGCTCTCAGGACATAAAGATGAAATGTACCAAAGACCCTGTGTTGTTATTAAAGAGTATTGACAGTTTTGCAAGGTCCAAAAAGTGGACAGAGAAGAAAATTTAGTTAACAGGTTAACCAAATACTGACTGCAAAGGAATCTAGCAAGGATCCCTAACATTTTCTCTTCTGTTCAGAAACTTTGGAAGCCAATTCAGATACCCTTTCAAAATCTGACATGTGTGTGGCTAAAGTTGTACAAAACAGTGGGTAATGAGTGTTGTCAGAAGTGGCCTGTCCTATGCCCTATTTAACTTTGATCACTTCCATGATAACAAAATGCACACCTTGCCCTAACCATCTGGCACAATCCAGCCCTGCTTACCAGGGAAACTTGGCAAGCCAGAGTTTTCAGGGTGGAAAGGAAACCTATTATCTCTACTAGAAAAAAAAAATCTCAAAGCGCTTGACCTACTGATGTCAGCATCACCTTTACATGCCAGGAACAAATTATTACAGAAGACCATACCTAGAACACCCAGCTGGAAGTTAATGAATCAGGGAGGAAGACTAATGACACGGCACGGTACATTCCTCCGAGGCAGGGACCGCGTCTATTCTCCTTCGGGTGGGAGTGGAAGTGCTCTGCGCACAGTGGGCACGCTGCTGATAAGGCTGTCTGGTCAGGTGAGGACACAGGTCTCCAAGGAAAGCCCTGCCTTCTCCTAGGGTGTGGATGGGGAAAGTGGGAGTAGGAGTTCACCTGCAGCACCGAGTGCATAGAAGCTCTGCCGCTATTGAAATCCCTTTTAAGGCTGAGGGGCAGATCTGAAAGGGGTGAGCAAGACAGTACTGTGTATGTGACGAGTCCTGGGTGAGGAACGGGACCCTCTCCCTCATTCCCAACGCCACCTCTCCCTGGAGTATGAGGTTCCACAGCCCAGGCAATAAAGGGAAGTAGCCCACACACCTCAACCCGGGGCCACAGTTGGAGGTGGGGAGATCTAAGAAACACTCCACGGATGAGTTTCTGAAGAGGGAAGTGGACCGGGAACAGCGCATTTCCTGCTTCGCCTGTGCAAATCCCAGGCGGGGCCAAGCGGGAACGGGGACACGGTCTAAGAGTCGCCCGCTGCCAGGGAGGGGTTGGGGGGCAGCCTCGAGGGGACACCGCGGAACCAGGGAGGGATGCGCATGGAGGGAGTGGGAGAAGGCGTCCAAGTAAAATGCATGCTCCGGTCATCGGGGGTAACGCGCGTCCCCAAATCCCCTCTCGCTGTCGCCCTTTTTTTCAGTCCTCACGGGGAGAGGCCGGCGCAGCAGTGGAGCACCGCAGGGGCTGGATCGGACCCGCACTGCAGCATCTGCAGGGCTCCGACCTGGTGCGGGCCTCCAAGGCAGGGGGCGCGCGGCGGCACAGCCGGTGGCCGCGATTTTCCGGGCCACTCCTTCCCCCCTTACACTCCCCTCCCGCCCGCGACCTTCGACCTCCATCCTGGACCCACGGGGTACTGGCCCGGGGACAAGGAGGAGACGTTAAAGGTATCAAGGGGCGCGGCACCGCCGCCTAGACGGCGCCGGGACGCGAGGTGCGAATCGGCGGCGTCCGGCTGCGCTGCCCTACCTGGGAGGTGCGGGACCCTCGGCCGCGCTCCACCGCCGCGCGCCACCTCGTGCTGGCCTCCGGGAGGCAGCCGCCCGCGCACGATTTATAAATGCAAAGGCCTTATTGTTGTTCTTTGTTCAGGGATACCATTGTCTAGTCATCCACGGGCAGCCTGGAGTTTTCCCAGGGTTTGCGGCGCGCACTCCCCTCCCCCGCCCCCACAGACTTGCTCTCCAGCGCCAACCCGGATCTGCCTAGGTGCCCACGGGTCCTTCCCGATCGACTTGAGTGTCCTTCCTCCAGCCCCTGCTTTCCCAGCATCGAAAACACAAAAGCCTGCCGGAAATCACCCAGCCTTTGCCTGGTCACTCAGGGGCCCACGGATAAGCGTGGCTCTGATTCCTCCAGGTCAGCCCCACGGTTCGCCACCTACCCGAGTTAATTTCTGCGCCCGCTGACCAAAGGCCCCAACTGGCAACGGGCACAGCTTCTTGGTGCGCTAGTCGCTTCCTTGCCCAGCCTTTAGAGCCTCGGGTCCGGCCCAAGGACCCGGGGACGTGAGCGCAATTAGTAGCCAGGAGCCCTGCGACCCTGGACCGTGCAGTGCTAACGCACCCGAACGGCTATGCGAGCGGTGTACTCGGCTCTTACTTGTGAAAGTTGTTTCCCCCAACCCCCTGCGTAAATCTCTTGTGTTGAGAAAAGCAAGGCTTGCAGGAAGCCACTCCGGATGTTTGCTGCTTTACATGTGGCATCTGTGGCTGGCTCTGATAACGTCCCGGGGCACCACGTATTAAAGTGAAGAGACTGAAATAGAAGGCTCCACACACCGCGCGCGGGTCAGCGACGTCGCCGCCCTCCACACTGCCCCCCGAAATATAAGACAAGCGAATGATCAGAAGAAATGAGATCTAACTAGGTCACAGTATGTAAAAGGGACTAGTCTTGGAAAGCCACCACAATTCCTCCCCTGTAAATTTGTAAACTGTGAATTTATGATCTCAGGGAGGGTGTTATAAGAAGTAGGGGGAGGGGCGTCAAAATCTGAAGCTCCTACTCCAACCTATGATTGTGTACTTTCACCTGATTTCTCTTACCAGACCAAGATCAGTCCCCAAGAACAAGGGCAAATAAAAATAGGGAAACCCGGCCGGGCGCGGTGGCTCACGACGGTAATCCCAGCACTTTGGGAGACCAAGGCGGGCGGATCACCTGAGGTCAGGAGTTTGAGACCAGCCTGACCAATATGATGAAACCCCGTCTCTACTAAAAATACAAAAATTAGCTAGGCGTGGTGGCATGCGTCTGTAATCCCAGCTACTCGGGAGGCTGAGACAGGAGAATCGCTTGAATCGGGGAGGCGGAGGTTGCAGCGAGCCGAGATCGCGCCATTGCACTCCAGCCTGGGCAACAAGAGGGAAACTCTGTCTCAATAAATGAATAAGTAAATAAATCAATAAAATATGGAAACCCCACGTTTTCTTCCCCATCATTTTCTCCACCTTCTTGGCTCCCAAGCGCACCTCTCCCAATAATGAGCTGGGTGAGGAAGAGCATGAGGATGAAGAAAGTGTACAGGGCTAAATCTGTATATGTACATTTTTTGGACTCACACCTGGATTGTATTTCCTGTAGTGTTTTTTAAGGAATTAGTCAAACAGACTAGACAGATAAAAATGAATTCTGGACCAGATATTGTTTTTTAATTTTCAATGTTTATTCTAGGAAAACTCCTTAGCTCATAAAAGATTTAGTGTTAAGAGAAAATTCTGCTTTGAGAGCTTTGAAAAATATTTATTATTATCCAGAAAAGTTAGAAAAGATCTCAAAAAAAAAAAAAAAAAAAACAGCAAAAAACAAGGTACTACGGGGTTAATTTGTAGATTGCTCTCTCTCCTCCTATAGTTTTGTTGCTTATTTAATCATTTGCAATGTGCTTTTGCTTTATACTGAAGCCCATTTTTTTTTCAGAAAAAATAAAGCTTTAAAAGTACATCATCATTTAAATTTGTCTAAAATCAACCGCTTTCAAAACTACCAACTAGAAGTAACACCTCTCTATGATTTCTTTATGCAGATTTAATTTTTTTTCTTGTTTGAATCTTAGAGACCCAGGAACTAGAAACACTTTCTTAACTTGTCCCCTAGCCAAGGCTTCACAGATACTTGCAGAATTAAAGATAAGTTGGCTTAAAACAATTGTGTAAGAGTTCTTTTGAGAAAAAGCAATGCCAGAGAAACTGAAGGCCAGGAGTTTGCAAAAGTTTTGTATTTTTATGGATGCCACTAATAAGCAAGACTGGACAGACGGTCTTGTTGTTGTAGTATCACACTCAAAGCAGCAGCATTTTACTTCTCAGATTCCAGGTGTAAGCTCTACTTTTTTATCACGCCTTCATAATAAAGAAAATCTGTTCTGGAGATTCGTATATTGATTTCTTTGCAAAGTTATCTCTAATTATGCAGGAATGGCTGTTAGTTGCCCTCAAAAACCAACACAAATACACAAACACAACAGCCTGGCTTAGTGATTATTAAGAGCTGCAAGTCTGAAGGCGGACTGCTGGGTGTGAATTCCACCTTCTCAACGCTGTAGTCTCCAGCAAGTTCCTTAACTTCTCTGCCTCCGTTTCCTTTCCTGTAAGATAGAGTCTACCTCAGGGTTAATATGAGGATATGCTTCTTTGCTAATGCTGGAGGGCGCTAGGAATAGCAGTGGCAGGCTGTGTCATTTCTCAGTGTTGTATAACGGCTTGTTTTAAAAGTCCCACTGAAAACTTTTTTTTTTTCCAGATCGAAACACAAGTTTAATAGTCATTCAGATTTCATTCCAGTCTAAAGAAACTTATAGAAATCTAATTATCTGCCAGAATAACCGCTTTAAACTGACTGTAAGAACCACAGTTACTTTGCAGCTAAAACAGATTGTTCTCTTCCCCCAAACAAACTCGGACATTTAGACAAATATTGCTGCTGTCTTTACATTTTAGAAATCAGTATTAAGGCTCACCTGTTACTGAACACATACGAGAAACAGTTTTGTTATGCGTATCTTATATACATCATGTATACATTTTCGTACTTTCACATGATGTGTATAATAAGATACACATAAAAACTGGTTGGCTTGTCATGAGTAAATGCTTTATTCTTTAGAGTGAAGGAATATTGGATACAGAACGTCGTTCCATATTTAATCTTGCTTTAGAAAATTAGGATTTATCTTGGACACAGCATTTTGAATATAACACAGGCAAGTTGAGTCCTGGGGGAAAAATTGTATTTTTAAATTTATTATCAACGGTGTCTTTCGCATTTGAGAAAACACATTTGAAGATGCCCATGCAGTTCCTTGGAAGTAAACTAGGTCACCCACCACTGAAACACCCTCGGCTTCTGCAAAAAGATGTGCTTTAAAGAGAATAGAATGGACGCTCGGTATGTTCATCTAAACGACCTTGGGCAAGTACGTCGATTCCAAGGTACAATCAGCCCTCCCAGACGGCTTTTCGAGTCTCCCTAACCCCGGTGGGAGAGGACGCGGCGCCAGAGCCCAGCTCCGGCTAGTTTTCCCGGGGGCAGGTGTAGCCTTGGGCGCGGGGCCGGGGGAGGGGCAAGGGGCGGGCGTGGGGTTGGACTGGGACGTGGGACTCGGACCACGGCCTGGGCGTGGGCCTAACGACGCGGGACCGGCCCGCCCTCGCCGCTCCATTGGCCACATCTGTGCAGAAAAGGCCCCGCGGCCCAGGGGCGCCCGCAGTGTCACTAGGCCGGCTGGGGGCCCTGGGTACGCTGTAGACCAGACCGCGACAGGCCAGAACACGGGCGGCGGCTTCGGGCCGGGAGACCCGCGCAGCCCTCGGGGCATCTCAGTGCCTCACTCCCCACCCCCTCCCCCGGGTCGGGGGAGGCGGCGCGTCCGGCGGAGGGTTGAGGGGAGCGGGGCAGGCCTGGAGCGCCATGAGCAGCCCGGATGCGGGATACGCCAGTGACGACCAGAGCCAGACCCAGAGCGCGCTGCCCGCGGTGATGGCCGGGCTGGGCCCCTGCCCCTGGGCCGAGTCGCTGAGCCCCATCGGGGACATGAAGGTGAAGGGCGAGGCGCCGGCGAACAGCGGAGCACCGGCCGGGGCCGCGGGCCGAGCCAAGGGCGAGTCCCGTATCCGGCGGCCGATGAACGCTTTCATGGTGTGGGCTAAGGACGAGCGCAAGCGGCTGGCGCAGCAGAATCCAGACCTGCACAACGCCGAGTTGAGCAAGATGCTGGGTGAGTCCGAGTCGCAGACCCAGGCGGCCGGGCGCGCTGGCGCGAATCGCTAGGCCGATTTCTTAAACCCCAAACTGTTCTTTGCGAGCCTGACGCCCAAAACCAGGGGTGTGTAGCGGCCACGTCCTTTCTTAAGGCTCTGGGTTCCCTTCCCGCTTCCCGCCCTCCGACCCTCCAAAGCAGCTTTCCGCCTTGCTCTCCGGCTCCCGGATTCCCCAGGTGGCCGGGGGCGCGGGTCCAACGGCTCTGGGAAGGCGACTTCCCGGCACCTCCGGGCGGCGCGAGAGCACCCTTGGCCCTGAACTGGGCCGGTTGTGTCCATCCCTCGACCCCTTCCCTAGTTAGGTGTCCTTTTCTGTTTTTCGAACGACCGGGTGATGGGTGAGCGGAAAGCCGCTTCCAGGAGACCAAAAGAAAGGGGTGCCTTTAGAGGACGGGTGTTCCCCAAGGGCTCGGACTCAGGAGTCCCAGATCTCCCTCTTTAACTTCACCCCGGTTGCGCAATTCAAAGTCTGAGGGGGGAGGTGCGTCCAGGTGGGGCCAGGTGGGGCCTGGAGCGGGAGCGCAGCCGATAAGCCCTGCGCCCCTCTCCCCCTTCCTTCCACTGTGCAGGCAAGTCGTGGAAGGCGCTGACGCTGGCGGAGAAGCGGCCCTTCGTGGAGGAGGCAGAGCGGCTGCGCGTGCAGCACATGCAGGACCACCCCAACTACAAGTACCGGCCGCGGCGGCGCAAGCAGGTGAAGCGGCTGAAGCGGGTGGAGGGCGGCTTCCTGCACGGCCTGGCTGAGCCGCAGGCGGCCGCGCTGGGCCCCGAGGGCGGCCGCGTGGCCATGGACGGCCTGGGCCTCCAGTTCCCCGAGCAGGGCTTCCCCGCCGGCCCGCCGCTGCTGCCTCCGCACATGGGCGGCCACTACCGCGACTGCCAGAGTCTGGGCGCGCCTCCGCTCGACGGCTACCCGTTGCCCACGCCCGACACGTCCCCGCTGGACGGCGTGGACCCCGACCCGGCTTTCTTCGCCGCCCCGATGCCCGGGGACTGCCCGGCGGCCGGCACCTACAGCTACGCGCAGGTCTCGGACTACGCTGGCCCCCCGGAGCCTCCCGCCGGTCCCATGCACCCCCGACTCGGCCCAGAGCCCGCGGGTCCCTCGATTCCGGGCCTCCTGGCGCCACCCAGCGCCCTTCACGTGTACTACGGCGCGATGGGCTCGCCCGGGGCGGGCGGCGGGCGCGGCTTCCAGATGCAGCCGCAACACCAGCACCAGCACCAGCACCAGCACCACCCCCCGGGCCCCGGACAGCCGTCGCCCCCTCCGGAGGCACTGCCCTGCCGGGACGGCACGGACCCCAGTCAGCCCGCCGAGCTCCTCGGGGAGGTGGACCGCACGGAATTTGAACAGTATCTGCACTTCGTGTGCAAGCCTGAGATGGGCCTCCCCTACCAGGGGCATGACTCCGGTGTGAATCTCCCCGACAGCCACGGGGCCATTTCCTCGGTGGTGTCCGACGCCAGCTCCGCGGTATATTACTGCAACTATCCTGACGTGTGACAGGTCCCTGATCCGCCCCAGCCTGCAGGCCAGAAGCAGTGTTACACACTTCCTGGAGGAGCTAAGGAAATCCTCAGACTCCTGGGTTTTTGTTGTTGCTGTTGTTGTTTTTTAAAAGGTGTGTTGGCATATAATTTATGGTAATTTATTTTGTCTGCCACTTGAACAGTTTGGGGGGGTGAGGTTTCATTTAAAATTTGTTCAGAGATTTGTTTCCCATAGTTGGATTGTCAAAACCCTATTTCCAAGTTCAAGTTAACTAGCTTTGAATGTGTCCCAAAACAGCTTCCTCCATTTCCTGAAAGTTTATTGATCAAAGAAATGTTGTCCTGGGTGTGTTTTTTCAATCTTCTAAAAAATAAAATCTGGAATCCTGCTTTTTTGCTCTACTAGTACCTCTGTCACACTAGTCTTATCAAAAACCAGTTCTTAAGATCAATGTTAAGTTTATTAGTTAATGTAAATTTCTCATCCTCGAAAAGGGTGAACATAAATGCCTTTAAGGAGTATATCTAAAAATAAACATTAGGATATCTAAGTTTGATGTAATTGTTTCAGGAAGGAAAAAAGAAAAGCATTCTGGAATGAGCCTACTTCAAGTAATCTTAGTTTCTAAAACTAACAGTTAATATTTTCAATTCCAGTATATCACTTTAAGTAGAAGGGGATGTCCAAGTAATTTTGGTTTTCTAACTGTTGAATCATAAGCTTGACCTGCCCCCAGAGGCTTTTTGGATGTTTTTATCTGTGTTTTGCCATCTCTTTACACTCCTCGACATTCAGTTTACCTTAATCTTCACATTTTTACACCTTGGGAAGTGGCAAGCATCGCTGGGTTTAAGATAAAGGAGTCACAAAAACTAATCAAAATAAAATTTGCATTATGACAACTTTTAATACACTTTAGCATTTTATTTGATTGGTTTTTTTTTTTTTTGCTTTTAGATTTAATACATATACGGACGATTGCACAGACTTAGGGGAGAATCCATGAATGGTTTGTGTGTAGTGTCCCTATCTATCACCATTACTTTATCAAGAAGAAACAGTTACAGGGTTGTGAGTAAAAGATGGGGATCAGCCCCTGTAATCTGCCATACTAATCGCTGTGGCACGTCTCACCACATTTGAGATTGAGACATAAATGGAAACAGGTGACTTATAATGGGCATTTCCTGTGCCAGATGTTTGTTCAATGCCATTCTAAACAGTGTGAGCCTCAACAAACCTGCAGGTTTAGGTGCTATTTTTCCTATTTTGTAAGAAAAGGAGGCACCAGGCCTTCCCCTGCCATGTATATGAAGGCTTGTATTACAAGTTCTTTTGACATATTTCTCACCTGTTTTCCTCTGGGCCAGTATGTATTCATGGGCACTGGGAGAATTTACATTCTGTTGATGAGAAACCATATAATTATCCTTAGCAGCAAGTGCTATAGAAAAAGGAAAGGCTTGGAGGATAGCTTCCAGCATTTACATGGGAGAGATGTCTGAGCTGAAATGATTGGCTGGATTCTCTTGAAAAAGGGCATGGAATATGTTTTTTAGAAGGGATTCCTGGAATGTGAAGGATAGACAGTTTTAGTGAGGAAAGGTAAGTTTATTCTGTCAGGCATAACAGGCTGCCTTTAAAAAGGTTAAATTCTTTCTCTTAGCTCAGATGGGTTGTTTCTGCTTCCAGCCTGAGCTCCTTCTGCAGGGTGTCCCAAGAGTTCCCAGTAGATAAAGTGGACAGAAGGGCTACCAGCCCAAGTTCAGGGCTGTGCTCAGATTACACTTGGCATTTTCATCATAGTCAGCCCAAGAAGACTCAGTTTTACCCTTGGCTGCCATCTCTTAACGATATTAAGATAAGTACAGAAAAGAAAAAGAAAAAGAGTTCTTAGGGGAAAGATCTAAAGTCCTGTAAATTACATCTTTAACTACTCACTAGGCGCAGGTGGAAAAGCAGTAAGAGCTAAAATTGTTAAGTTAATGTTCATGCATTTACATGGATGGAGGGATTGGTGTTCACAAATAATTTTTTTTGGGTAAGAAGCATCAAGCCAATTCCTTCTCTTTCCTCAAGCACACAGATCAAGTGACTGCAGGTAGCAGCTAGTGATTTTTTTTAATTCCTAATTTTAGTTTTTATGGGTACATAGTAGGGGTATATATTTATGGGGTACATGAGATGTTTTGATACAGATATGCAATGTGTAATAATCACATTATGTAAAATGGGGTATTTATTCCCTGCAGCATTTATCCTTTGTGTTACAATCCAATGATACTCTTAGTTATTTTAAAATGTACAATTAAATTAATATTGGCTATAGTCACTCTGTTGTGCTATCAAATACTAGGTCTTATTCCTTCTATGTTTTTTTTTTTTTGGTAGTTTTAAATTACCAAAACATTTGGTATCCTTAAACCCTTTCTCATTTTAAAGTACAGGGATGTGGGCCCTGGTGGCAAAATTAGAAATAGAGCTTTGGGGTCCATTACAGACCATTATAGTTTTAAAGTGAACGACAGAATGTAAAACTTCTGCCTAGGTCGAACGACTCTATGTCATCACCAAGTGAACAGACCTCCCCCCACCACCAGGTATGACATCGCCAAATGCATAAATCCCCTCTGTGACATTACCAAGTGCCTGGATACCCCCATGACATCACCAAATACGCAGACCTCTGTTTCCTCAAGTAGATTCAGATGAAGTGACCACAGGTACCAGCTAGTGAATTTTTGAGACAAAATATTAAATCTGTCTCAAGTTTTTACTGTTTTATTTTGGAGACAAATACACATAAAGGATACATTGCTTTTCTACCCATGTCTAATTTGGTACTTTAGAATTACATTAGGAGGTAAGAATCCAGCTCTTTTATGAGCTAAGATAGCCAGACTTGATGCCAGTACAGAATGTGCATGCCTTTGAGACATCCGGAGCAATAAGGAAGAGGTTATTTTTTCCCCCATGAGAATACTGACTACATCTCTATTAAAGCTACCAGGTGGGTCTGATAAATTACAGATAAACTTGTAAATGACTTACACAAGCAGCTAAGAGATAATATTGCAATGAAACAATTTACTTATTATTCTTATCAGTAGATTATTGCCTCTTTAGTTTGAATCACGCTGCAGAAGATATCAGCTTGAATTTGTACTGATATTAGGAAAAGCACATACAAGCCAAAGGAATTCAGATAAAATGGAAAGGGTGCAATGAACCAAAAGACATCATCTCAGCCTAACATTTTAAAATGTCCCATTTCATTTTGTTTTTAATACTGTGCCTGTCACATAATAAATGTTCAACATTCCCTTCCTCCTCCTGTTCCTCTTTGATTTGTTTTGACAATAGTGGACAGGGAGAAGTATTTTACATCCATTATTTCAGCACAAATTTATTTTTCCTGCTTACAAGGTGCTTCCTTCTGGGTCTACAATATTCATCTGAAGAAAAATGGCACTGATGTTCCTACCCAGTCCCCATCTGGAGTAGGCTCAAGTTCCTCCACAGGGTGGGCTCCTAATGGAGAGAGTATTTCTTTAGGTCCTCTGGCCTGGGATCCAGCAGCATCTCAGTTTTTCACCATAACACCTATCCCTACCCTCCTTCTAATGAGAAGGTGGCTGTGTGCTTTCTCTGGAATTACCAAGCAGCTTTATGGGAATAATTCAGTTTGCACCATCCTCCATATACAAACACTGAACCCTCACCACTGATATTTTTCCCAGGTTGGTTCAAGACACTGGAAACTACAATGTCTTAGTGCAGCACTTAGTACACGCAAGTGCTAAGTAAGTTGTTGTGATAATCATGATGTTCTTTAATGTAAAAATTTCTCTGTAGCTAAGATTCAAGAAACCATTTGGCTAAATATTTTAAAAATCTCTTCTTGCTGAAGAAATTTTAGCTTTGACAATCTTTTTTTCCACTTGAATCGAAGTCTTAAACCTTTTGCCAAAGTTGACTTCCTAACAAGTATTCCCCAAATTGATGTTGCTCCAAAAGATGATCTTGTGAGGATACTCTCTGTGTGCAGGTTCAGATAACAAAAAAAATAAACATCAGTAGCTGTGCTGTGGATCCCAGTTCTGTAAGTCAGTGCCTTCCCATAAGCCTGATAACTTGTTAGGCAAGAAAAAGAACTGTGGTGCGTGTGAAGTTAAACCCAGCAGTTTTCTGCTCTTGGTTAAGGACTGTCTCATTTTCAGTATTACCTGACGTTACCGGTTGCTCAGAAAACTGACTGAATAACTTGCTGGAAGCAACTTGCTGGGAAGCCCCAAGGAAACTCAAGAGTTCCTGCTTTGCCTCTCTTTTCTATTAGAGGCAGTCACCTGGTGACTATTATTCCTTTCTCTTGAATAATGTGTTTGAACACAAAAATTTAACCCCAGACTGTAAACTACTGGAGCAAGGATTAGAGAATAGCTCTATGAATAAAGCTAGCAGTGTCTGTCCTCCGTAAGAAGAAAAATCTCTGCAGTTTGAATCAGAGGTTCACCTGGCTTGGAAACTTAGCTCTGTGAGTTTGGAGACATCACCGACCATTTCTGCACTCCAGCCAGCTTATCTGTAAAAAGCAGGGGTGACGGTAAAACATTTTGCCAAAGTTGACTCTGGATAACGGCGAAAGCTTCACTGAACTGTTGTAGGGATTAGATGAGATTACGCTGAAGGGAGTGCTTCAGTGCCACAGAAAGTGATCTCTCTCCCTCTCTCCGGCTTCCTATCTTTTGATTTTATGTATCTCTCTCTATCTCAGCTGACTTGGGGAATTTAATTTCATTCTTCCATTGGGAAAGAAAAAACAACAGGAACTCGCCTTCCCCGGGTGCTTTCCTTAGTGGAATGAGAATTTTACAGCCCTATAAGATGGTCTGTGTTTGCTGGAGACACAGCATCTGTGTTTTACTTTGTGCTTTGGACAGCTTAGTCTCTTTGATTATAAAATGAGAAAAAAATAATTGTCAGTTGGAGAACTTTGTATAGAATGTCTTAATACACAAGAACTCCCATCCTGCATGAAAATCTTAAGATCTTTATAAAAGGGACAGTTAATTGGGACATACTGAATGCGATATCAAGTTTGCCAACATTTATCTTTCTGTTAGCCCCTCCTCCCACCAGTATGGTTTCTGAAGTCCTGAATCGATTTCCATACCGTTTACTTTTTGAGAACTGAACAGGGTCTGAATTCTTGAGGAGGAATAAGCAGAGTGTAATGGGGAAAAAGGCAAATTAAGAAAAGATTCTGGCTTCCAGTAGTTCCAGGTAATACTGAAACGCGATCCGCAGGCTTTTAAATCCCTCAGTCCTCAGAAGTTATTTCTGTGAACTGATGGATATGGACGGACTGATAGAAGAAAATTAGTAGACACCAGCAAAATGGAAGGAGCAATTTTATAGCTGCCCCCTATATAGTGGATTTTTCTGCTTTTTAAAATAAATATTTGTTTGGACGTTTGAATACAATAGTAAGGATCAGAGGTGCACACATGCGCACCAAGAATATTGACCTGAAAAAGCTTACTGAGATAACAGGAAGGAAAAATAGAAAATAAAAATTTAGGTTTGTAGTTTCAATAACGAGACTGTGGATATAGAAAACATTATTGTTTTATTCATTTAAAAATAATTTTAAAAATGTAAATGATGCACACGCTTACAACAACTCAAACAACATTGCAGACGGGCTTGTAATATAAACAGAGTTGTCAGAAGTTTCCATCTCTCCCCAGCCCCAGTGCCACAGGTCAGAATCAATTCCTTTTTTCTTCCCCCTACTGGGCATTACCTACATTAATAATTCTGCTTGTCTAGTGGTTAATTAATTAATGTACCTGCATGGCTAATTTTAGGCTTATGAGTTTTAGACATTTACTTTCTGCTACGACAGCTAAGAATTTCCTGCCCGCTCTTCCTCGGAATATAGTTACATCCTTATTTCCACTTCTGTTAATTGTCTTTTAAAGTCCAGGACTACATACCCTTTTCTAGTTCCATCGCGAAGGCGGGAAGTCTCGATTCCTCACTGGGAAAGGTGAGGACATGGATGCCTCCACCCTTCCCTGAAGCACTCCTCTCCTCTTCTGCGGAGGTGGATTTTTAAAAACAGATTGGGGTTGGGGTGGGGGAGGGACAGCACGCAGAATATTGATGCAAACGTCATATGAAAAAAAATACATATAATATATATGTATGTATACCTGCAAAGTGCTGTTACATATACGTGTGTATATTAACAGCATTATGAATCCCAGACAATTGGGGCCGCTTACCGCCGTGGCTGTGACTTTAAATTCACTCACTTCTTACATCCACTAGGAAAAGAGGATTTGTTTCCCTAAAGCCTATAAAAGGGGAAAGGCTTAGGCGCAGTGGCAGCCCCGTTCCCCGCACCCTCCTGCCCTCGGGTCCCGGGCGGGCTGCGGGAGTTCCTCCTGCGCGGGCGTCTGAGGCGCTAGAGGTCACCGGAGCGCGCTCCCCTCGCCAGGGACCTACACTCTTCCCGCTGCTACATTAGGCCGCATTAACAAGGATCTGGATTCACTTTAATTTAAAAGGTAAAAGATCTTAGGTCTGATGGGGGAGTGCGGCGAGGAGAGCTCGGACCGCGACGTCGCGCGCCCGCTTCGAGGAGTTTTGAGCTCTTAGCTTGGTGCCGGGGCCCGCCCGGCGCTAGATGAAGTGCTCGTTTACTCGGCCTAAGCCACGGTGACTCGAAGGTGAGAATGCAACTTCGCGGTGCACCGGCTCAGGGGCCTGCCTGCCGCGCCAAGGCTTCGGAAGTTCTCAGCGGGACCGCTGGGACAGGCTTTCCTCTGAGGGAAGAGGAGGGGATTTGTGCCTCTGCACGTTCTTTCCTGTGGAGGGGAAAATCAAACCCTGTAGCCGTCCGCTGCCGGGTAGGGATCGGGCGATGCTCGGCGCCCGAGTTCTCCGCCGTTGAGGTGGAGCCCGGCGGCGGGAGCTTAGATTCTCTGTGGGCCACATGGTCTCAGAAGAGGCCCCGCGGCCCGGGGGCGCCCGCAGTGTCGCTGGACCGGCGGCAGCGCTGGCCACGCCGTGGGCTGGGACTGGCCCGGAACGCGGGTGGCGGTTCGGCCTCGGAGACCCGCGCAGCCGTCGGAGCATCTCCGTGCCTCGCTCACCACCTTCTTTTCCTCCGCGTCCGGCGGAGGGTTTCGGCGCGCGGGGCAGGCCTGGAGCGCCGTGAGCAGGCCGGATGCGGGATACGCCAGTGACTACCAGAGCCAGACCCGGAGCGCGCTGCCGGCGGTGACGGCTAGGCTGGGCCCCTGTCCTTGGGCCGAGTTGCCGAGCTCCCTCGGGGACTTGAAGGTGAAGGGCGAGGCGCCGGCCGGGGCCGCGGGCCGAGCCAAGGGCGAGTCTCGCATCCGGCGCCTTCCAGGTGGGGCGAAGGTCGAGCGCCAGAGGCTGGCGAGGGACCCCCGCCCAGCTTGACGCCCAGCTGCGCCCGACGCCGGGGGAGGCGGAGCGCGGGGAACCCGGGCGCCGGGAACCCCGGACGTGGGAGGGCTGGGCTTCTGCGCGGGGAGACGCCGGGCTTGGCGAACATCCTCAAGAACCGGTCGGTGGCTCTACCTCCGAAAACTCTTTCGTGTTTAGCGATTCTCATATTTAGTGTTTCCCTTTAGGGAGACTTGACCGGCAATTGCAGACTCGTCTTGGGAGCTGGAGATGACATTAAATAAAAAGTTCAAAACCAAATTGTTAATTATCTCCAGGTATAAACGATAACACAAAATTTTGCAGTCTTGGGAGAAAGGTTTTAATGTGCCGCCTAATTAGGCCAGGTTCTGCAAAAACGAAACAGCTCTATTCCAAGTTAAAAAGTATGCCCCTATTCCAAGTTAAAAGAAAAAAAAGTTGTATTCCTTGTTCATTTATTGAGTAAGGAATTGAGAGATGGGTGCTGAGTTATTACAGATTCTAACTGCTCGCCACACATGGAGCTAGAAATACATTTAACAGCCTTTCAGGAAAACGCCTAAAGCTTTAGAATTTCAAGCTAGCCAGGTTGCAATCTAGAGCTCTAGTTTGTTGCTGAAGTTTGGGAGAGGATGGCCTCTACCTGTGCACACATCGAGTTAATTTTCCAGAGTCTTTTGAAGTTAATAGGGAGCGGCTTTTCTGTTTGTTTATTTTTTGACAGGGTATCCTTCTGTCGCCCAAGCTGGAGTGCAGTGGTGCATCGCAGCTCACTGCAACCTGGACCTCCTGGGCCCAAGCGATCCTCCTGCCTCTGTCTCCCAAAGTGCTGGGATTATAGGCATGTGCCACCGCGCCTGGCCTGTTTTTTGCTTTTAAGAGAAGGAATAACATGGCCAGAGTTTGTTTGTTTATTTTTTGAGATGACGTCTAGCTCTGTCGCCCAGGCTGGAGTGCAGTGGCGCGATCTCGGCTCATTGCAACCTCTGCCTCCCGGGTTCAAGCGATTCTCCTGTCCCAGCCTCCCAAGCAGCTGGGATTACTGGCGCGTGCCACCACTCCTGGCTAATTGTCTTATTTTTTAGTAGAGACGTGGTTTCGCTATGTTGGCCAGTCTGGTCTTGAACTCCTGACTTCAAGTGATCCACCCGCCTTGGCCTCCCAAAGTGTTGGAATTACAGGCGTTACCCACCGCGCCCCGCCTGTTTTTTGCTTTTAAGAGAAGGAATAAAATGGCCCGAGTTTATTTTAATCAAACCAGTGTAAAACCCTTTCTATTCTGCATTATAGCTTTATTTAAAACTTATTTCATAGAAATGTAAGCAGCATATGAAAACAGTTTCCCTGCTCCAGTCCCAACTTCAGATATTCAGATATGTGTCCTGTGTTCCCTTGAACACATTTTCTCTTTTCTTTTCTTTCTTTCCTTTATTTCTTTTCTTTTTCTTTCTTTCTTTCTTTCTTTTTCTTTCTTTCTTTTTTCTCTTTCTTTCTCTCTCTTTCTTTCTTTCTTTCTCTTTCTTTCTTTCTTTCCTCTCTTTCTCGCTTTCTTTTTTTCTTTTTTTGAGATGGAGTCTGGCTCTGTCACCACGCTGGAGTGCAGTGGTGCGATCTCCGCTCACTGCAACCTCCGTCTCCTGGGTTCAAGCAGTTCTACCTCAGCCTCCCGAGTAGCTCGGATTACAGGCGTCCGCCACCAGGCCCAGCTATTTTTTGCATTTTTAGTAGAGACGGGATTTCACTACGTTGGCCACGATGGTCTGGAACTCCTGACCTCAGGCGATCTGCCCAACTCGGCCTCCCAAAATTCTGGGATTACAGGCGTGAGCCACCGCGCCCAGCCGCACACATTTTCTATTTACAGTCATACAGAGGAGTTTCTCCCCCCAAGCCCCCATTGGGATCGCATTTTCCTACTATTCTGAAACTTGCTTTTTCAGTTTAGAGTACACATTTGGCGGTCTTGTATTCCTAGAAGATGGACTTCGATTTACCGGTTGATGGTCTTCTCCACTCTTCCGTGGGGTCAGCCCCACTTGTCCCGTCTCCAGTCCAATGTCAGTTTGTGACTTAATCTTTTACATCGTGTACAGTCTGAGCCCTCAGACCCCCTCACACATGCACAAATTGAGTTTATGCACAGAACAGATAGTACCTGTACTTAAATGTAGACTCACTGGGGAGCACGTTTCACTCCATAAGAAAAGGGGTAAAAATTGTGCACACCATAATTGCAATATTTTACAAGACCGGTGCTTTCTTTATCTCAGGGGTGCTGGCAGAGAGAGGTGCATAGAAAACTCTGGGTGGGTTATTTCCTCCTGGAGCATTGCCCCTCCGTTGCCTGCTTACCTGGGCAAGTGCTGGTCTGCGTGGATGGCTTATTGGCACTTCCGGGACCCTCATGTCGTAAGGCTGAGACCTAAGAAGCTGATTCTGTCCAGGAGGTGAGATCTGCCCCGATAATCGTAGGCTGATGGGGTCGCTGCTCTGGCGTCATAGTTAATGTTAACTTCCACTCACACTGTGTTCGTCTGGGTGATAAAAGTGTGTGGGGCGCCTCTTTGCAGGCTTCCTGTCCTCTTGGGAGATGTCTGCGCTTTGTGAGTTTGGGAAACAACTGGGTACCCAGCGAGGTGGGCGCAGGAGGAGGAGCTGCCTTCCTCCGGGAGGCGGCGCAGCGCGGGGATCTTGCGGGACCAGGCCAGAGACCAGGACCGTCCCCCAACCGTTCGCGGCCGCGTAGCCCTGGGCGGCCTGGGCCTGCCCTTCCCCGCGCAGGGCTTTCCCTCCTGCCGGTCGCTGCCCCGCACATGGCTCTGGTCGTACTCCCGCTCCACTGCCACCACTGCCCACGCCCTGCGTCCCCGTTTGACCGCGTGGAGCCGGACCCCGCCTTCCTCGCCCCGCGCTGCCCCAGGCCTGCCCCGCACCAGCAGCTAAGCGCAGGTCTCTACTGCAAGCCCGCAGCCCCCTCATCGCTGGGCCTACTGGCGACCCCCGGCGCCATGCGCGTGAACTGTGGGCGACGGGCTCGCCCTTGGCGGGCGGCGCGCGCGGTTTCCAGATGCAGCCGCCGCGCCGGGGCAGCTGACGCCGCCTCCAAAGACGCGCCCTGCTGGACGGCGCTGACCCCACGCAGCCAGCGGAGTCTCCTGGGAACAGCCCAGGCGCCGGTGCCGACTTCAACCTCTCTGCTCAGGCCTCTTGAGTTGCGTTACCAGCTTACCATGTATTACTAAGACTGACAGAATATAGGAAATATTCCTGTCTTTCTCAGAAGGAACTTTCCAGTAAAGACAGCGTTTAATACTGTTAACGTCTCAAAGGAGGCAGTGAAAAATGTGCTCAGCTTAAGCATATGCAAAGTCAGTCTATTTCCATTTTCTACTTATGCACATTATATTTTGCATTAAAGTTTGATCATTTTAAAAGTGGAAAATTAATGGGCAGTGGCAGAAACAGCTTTTTTCCCCCAAAAGTAATCTTCTTCCAACTAGTTTTAAACATTTTACTAACAATTATTGAGTATCTTCTACATTTTAAGTCATTATTTTAAAGTTCTTGGTTATTGACATGTTGTAAATTTGAAAAATAAAGTTTTTCTTAAAAAATTGTGTGTGTATGTAGATTTTATATTCTGCAAAATTAAATGAAGTGTGTGTGTGTGTTATTCAGGGCCCCGCAGGAAACAGCTAACATACTTAAAGAGTGCCCGAAGAAAGATCATGAGTGGTCTATACATGTGAATCCATCTCGGGACTGGAAGCATCCAGGGCCCCAGGCGCTCAAAGCTGCACTCATCAGGCCTGACTGGGATGATGGCAAAGCAGTCCCTGGAGCCCACGATGACTGTGGCTTTAGGAGTTCTGCCAGCCAGGAGCTCTGACCTTGAAGCTAATGCTGATTGTGGCCCAGAAAGATGGGACTAGGAAATAAATCCCGGAGAAAATCCTGTTGCCCACCTGGTTTGCTGGCCAAACCTGACCCCCAAACCAGAGGACAGGAGGCCAGTGGACGCAGGAACCCGGAGAGCTGGGGGAGAGGGCATATGCTGGGGGACATCCAGGTGGAAAGGGCCAGGCTTTCCTTTAAGCAGCTCCATGGGAGGCCGTTTAGCAGAGCACCGTCATATTATGGGTGCGGAGCGTCAGGGATGGGAGGAGGGAATCTTAGCTGCTGTTCTTCTCATTCTCAAGAACTTTATGGCCCAGGTGGGGACCCAACCAAAAATGAGTAACAATACAACATTGCCGGGTGGAACGTTCCTTCCCTACTTTCTCTGGTTGACATTACTTCTTAGAAAGGTTGGGTGACACCCTCTTAGGAGCTTGTGTTTTGTCCCTTAAATGTTAGAGGTTTGAAATACTAGTTTCTGAGGAGGCTTTTCAAAGGTTGGGGATACATTAGTACCTGCAGAATGAGCTAATAAAATGGATTAATACATGCCATTCTCCATGATAAATGTAGAGTACGTATCTTGCTATTTTTCATACTACTTACTTAAGACTTTGAATGAGCTTGGCTATTTTCCGACCAAAAATTAGCTATGGTTTTCAAAAGAGCTTTGTAATGTTTGAGTGCTTTTCCCTGGAATCAGGGATGTGGATGTAGGGTGAATGATTTCTGTAGAGGATTTCTAAAATCGGTTTTTCAGGAAGCATCTTTGTGATCAAAGGTGCAATTCAACTCCCTGGATTCATGTTAAATAAATTTTGAAATGAAATACCATAGGCCGGATGCAATGGCTCATGCCTGTAATCCCAGCACTTTGGGAGGCCAGTCTGACCAACATGGAAAAACTCCGTCTCTACTAAAAACACAAAGTCAGCTGGGCGTGGTGGCGCATGCCTGTAATCCCAGCTACTTGGGAGGCTGAGGCAAGAGAATCGCTTGAATCTGGGAGGCGGAGGTTGCGGTGAGCCGAGATAGCGCCATTGTACTCCAGCCTGGGCAACAAGATTGAAATTCCATCTCAAAAAAAGAGAAATACTGTAATACCCACATGACCAGCACTGTATTGCTGTTTAAGAACTGGTGACCAGCACTGTATTGCACTTTAAGAATTGGGGACAGAGCTCCCTGTTTGGCCTCTCAGATGGGATGCGACCATGGCAGTTGTTGCTGTCTCCCCAGAAGAACTTTGGTTTTTCTTTGGAGAACTTGCCCTTTCAGCATCGTCAGTCATGAGGTCTGGGTGGAGGTCACTCGGGTGAGCCCGGCATGTCTCAAGCTTGTTGGCATTACCCATCCCCCTACCCCCCCAGTTATCCAGTTAAAGGACAGACGTGACTCAGAAGGCGGGTGGATCGCCTGAGGTCAGGAGTTCGAGACCAGCCTGACCAACATGGAGAAACCTCGTCTCTACTAAAAATACAAAAATTAGCTGGGTATGGTGGTGGGTGCCTGTAATCCCAGCTACTTGGGAGGCTGAGGCAGGAGAATCGCTTGAACCCAAGAGGTGGAGGTTGCGGTGAGCTGAGATTGTGCCATTGCACTCCAGCCTGAGGAACAGAGCGAGACTCCATCACAAAATAAATAAATAAATAAATGAACAAACAAGAGAGTGACTGGAAGCAGCCCTCCTTGGACACAGTGGGGGTGACGGTCCATAACCAATGCAGCCATTTTCATGAGAGTTGGGCCAGGAGGTTACCGGTGGAGAACGGACACAAAGCCAAGCAAGGACACAGAGAACCTGGATCCCAGGTGACAATATCAAGGCTCCCAGGGAGTGAGCTGTACCTCTGACTACTTCAGTTATGTGAGCAAATTCAGTTTATTTACTATGAGTTCATTTTCTTTTCACTTGAAACAAAGGGATTCATAACAGATAACCAGGGTACAGGGCAGGCTGGAGCAGTGATTGCTAATTCCACTGGCTGGCACAAGGAAATACCAAATATGGAGTCTCTTTGGACCGCCGGCATTTGCATTGCCTGAGATCATCCAGAAATGCCGAATCTCAGACCATCGCTGCACTTCTTCTTTAGATTGGTCCAGAACAGTACTTCTCAAATGAATGTGCATGCAGATCTCCTTGGGATCTTGCTAAAAATGAAGTTCCAAGATTCTGCACTTCTAGCAAGTTCCCAAGCTAGGCTGATGGATCATACTCAGAGAGCAAAGCCCTGGTCTACACTTACTTCATAGGGACCATTCTTTTTTTTTTTTTTTTTTTTCCCCCGAGACGGAGTTTCGCTCTTGCTACCCAGGCTGGAGTGCAATGGTGCGGTCTCGGCTCACCACAACCTCCACCTCCCAGGTTCACGCTATTCTCCTGCCTCAGCCTCCTGAGTAGCTGGGATTACAGGTGCACGCTGCCACCACGCCTAGCTAATTTTGTATTTTTAGTAGAGATGAGGTTTCTCCATGTTGGTCAGGCTAGTGTTGAACTCCCAACCTCAGGTGATCCGCCCGCCTCGGCCTCCCAAAGTGCTGGGACTACAGGCGTGAGCCACCGCGCCCGGCCTTAGGGACCATTCTTAACCTAAAACACTTGAAGTTCAGGAACGGACACTGAAGATTCATTTCAGAAAAGTCACTAGATGAGAATCTTGGGTCATTTCTCCTCTGCTCCTTACCTCGGCACAGCCTGTCCTCCTGACTCACCAGGATCCTCTTTCTTTTCTCCAAAGTCTTATCAATGATCTAGTTAGATCGAGACTGACATGAGCTGACAACACATACACCCTGTTGGCAGGCGGCAAGCAGCCCCCGCTTCCTCATGCATTTCCACTGGCCTCACTGCCAAATTCATTATTGCTCATCATTTCAAGAATCTGTCTCTGGTTTGCTTGTCTCTCTTACTAGATTAGAGTCAGGCTCTTGCTGTAACACAACATACTGAATTAGATACTGAGTTTCTACCTTCTATAAACAAATGATTCTCAAAGCAGGTTGCACACTGCAATCAGTGGAAGCTTTAAAAAAAGACTGAGGCTTGGTCTGGCCCCTTGAGATTCTGACTTAATTGGTTTTGCCTGCAGTCAGGGTGTTTCAGTTTTAAAATCTCTCGAAGTGCTGCTAATTGCTGCCATAAGTAGATGAACATATTGATATCACAGAGCTACCTGAGAAGTCAGTTACTTATTTAGGTATTTATTTCATCAAATATTTATTGAACATCTATTATATGCCAGACACTATACGTTGTCTTCAAAGATAAGACACATACATTCCCTGTCCTAAAGGAGCCTGTCATCCTGTAGAAGGGAAAGGTGTATAGACAAATAATTGTAATGGTGTGTTCAATGCAATGAAAAGTATAAAAACTATCCTTTGGCAAAAGGCAGAGTGGTGGATTCCATGTAAAGGGGCATGGGATAAAGGTAACTATGGCTGACAGTAACTGAGCATTACTATGGAAGAGGAAGGCCTCCAGAGAGTGCTGATGTGTGTGTGAGGCCTTGAAGGAGGAGAGAACCCAATGAAGAAGGTGAGTGGGAGATGGGATGGGGAAGGTTTTTCTGGGTTGAGGTTGGGGGATTTGGGGATGAGATGGTGGAGGAGCTGAGGGGGCTCCCTTCTGTTTTCTTTGTAAAATCAGAGTGGGGTGAAAACCTGAGAGGGCACAGTGCTGGGTGTTGGGAGGGGCAGGGGCATTGGCAGGGGTGGGCCTGAGAAAAGCAGTGAGCTCTGTTCTGCAACATTGAAGGCCCTGATAAAGGTGAGTTCATAGATCAGCATCCCTCTTCAGGCTCTTGTGAGCAGAAGCTCCCATGTAAACAGAGATGAGACTATAGGATTCATCCGAAGCTGTGCTTTCAGCAGCAGGGGTGAAGGCAGACAAGAGGGCCAGAGAGTGTTGGTGAGACTGGGGTTCGAGAGTTCCAATTTCCATATGGAGGAAGTGAGATCTGAAGAGAGCTTGGGAAAAAGGGAGGGAGAAGCTGGGATGACAGGAGAAAGTATCAGAGGGGAATTTCAGAGACAAGTAGGTCAGGGTGACCAAAATGTGCAGGATGGACTGCTGAGGGGGTGACTGTCACTGGAGTTGTGGAGCTCTGGGACGTGGATGCTGAAACCCCCCATGGTGGGGAGGGGAAGACTGTGATCCTCTCTGTACATGGTTCATGAGATGCCCACCAGTGGGTCCACCCAGAGGGGAAGGCAAGTCTAGTGGGAGTGGATTTGAAGAAATCATTCAGGAGGGGGAGGTAAAAGAGAACATAGGGACATGGCACTGAAATGCAAAACAGAGCAATGGAGAAACAGGAAAATACTGAGGAAAAAGGACAGAGGTTCCTAGTGATAAAAGGAAGCCTTGCACATCCCTCTGAAAGCTGGATTTTTTTTTTTTTTTTTTTTTTAGTTTAGGGGTAAAAGACCTAGAGTTCTGAAACTTTGCTAGAGGCAACAGTGGAACTGTTGCTACCAGCTCAAGGCCAACCTAGACAGCATCTCTTATCAACTCTGTAATTGATAGCAGGCTTTACAGATAAGTGATTTCAACAATGCACTCCTGCTGAGAACTTCCAGTTAGAATTAATTGATCTTGATCACTGGGTGCTAAACTTCAAAAATCATTATTAAAAAATATTCTGCCCAACAGCTCCATATTGACACCTTGAGGCAAAGCCCCATTCATCTGGCATCAATTACAGTTCTGCTCAGCCTGGAGGGATGCCTGACTTCCCACACTTGACATTCCTCTCCCCTCCCCCAGACCCTAGAACCTTCCCTTATCCTATTACTGAGCATTAGGGCCAGGTTCTCTATCTGACAGCACAAGGACAACACCCAATGTCAAGAGGAGCACTATCTGACCCAAGATATAATGGAACTTCAGAAGGTGGCTGGCTTTCCCAGAATTTCCCACTAGAGGAGGGGGATGCACCTGGGGTGCTGGAAACATGCGTGCAGGGGTCCTCCTGGAGCCTCCTCCTCCAGAGAAGTCCAGTGATCTCCAAAAACAGGGCACACAGACCCTGCAAGATGCGCCCCCTACTTAGAGAGAGACAGAGCCGCCCGAAGACCTTCGAGGACAGAACCCGAGTTCACCAGTCAATGAACGCCGGGAGCATCCTCAGACCCTCTGCAGCCAATGCTGGTGTGAAGGTGGAGTCAGTTCTTTCTTGGAAGTTTATTACCAGCGGCGGCTGCGACGTCCATGTTTGCAAAGGAAGGGAGGCCTTCCTCTTCCCAAGTGGATCCTACATCCCGCTCCACTCACTCCACTCAGGAGAATCAAAAAAGAGGAAGATAGGGCTTTCTGCCTTCCTTTTCCCAGCTTTTCTTTCTGGGCTGTCTCACTCGGGCTTTTGCTGAACCATACACCCCAGAACCATCCAAGAGCACAATGGCTCTGTGCTGTGGGGGAGTCTCCAGGTGCGGTTATATATAGTGTGGGCCAGCACACCCACTCCCGTTACTCATGCAGTTTGGCCCTGGTTGAATGCATGAACAATCTCTTCCAGGCACTCCCTGTTTTCACTTCCCGCTGCCCACAGGGCCCCTCCTCTGTCTGACCCTTGGGGGTCAACATCCTTTCTAGCTAATCCACCCCACTTCCTCCCTCAGGCCGGGCTGGAGGCTGTTTTTTAACTTCAGGGGTTCCTGGAGAAGAGCTTCCTCTGCCCCTTCACGATCACATCAAACACACTGGATTCAGGGTCTTGAGATTTGAAGATTTGAAAGCAGAAAGATCAGTGTGAGTCCAAACTGTGGGAAGGAACATGATGAAAGAGGCTGGACTTGAAATATCCACCAGCGAAGGTGGGCAAAGGGCCGCCTCAAACAGGGAGAAATGGGAGCACCTCGCATTCTGGGTTCTCTGGACAGCAGCCTGAGCAGCTGGAGCAGGGGCGCAGGGGTGTCTGAGGGGCTCTGGCGAGAGTTCGTGCAAGCAGCATACTCAGGCAGGGTGGGCGCTGCACAGGTGATGGAGCTGGACACCTCATTTTGAGAGCCCCCTAGCTGGGTCTGTGACCTGGGGCCAGCCCCAACCACTCGGAAGGTCTGTTTCCTCCCTGTAAAATGCAGGTAATTATATTAAATAACTAACTGCAGAGTCACTGTAAGGATTGGAAATATTTGCACAGTGCCTGCCTGAATGATGGTATTGGGAGGAGACCTGTGTACCTGAGTTCCTCTGACCTGATATTTCCACGGGAGCTGGGGGGCAGCTGATGAGGAAGAAGCTTCTGCCCCACCAGCGCAATTCTGTACCGAGCAATGCAGCCTGAGCCTCCGAGTGACCACCCTCCTGAGCAGTCATAATTCACTGGGATAGAAACATGAAACAGTTTTTTCTCGAAGTATGGCTTTAACCATGCTCTCTTAAATCTCCCTGTCTTGCTCTTTAATGATCCCTTGGGAAGATTTTATTACTTTTTACTTTTATTTGTTAAAATCTAACTGTATTTATTTGAAAACTAAGAATGCAAAAAGTCAATTCGCTGTAAAACCTCAAACATAGTTTAAATCTTATCCCTTTTATTCCCTTCCCTAAAGGTTTAAACTGGGACCCTATCTACCAGCCATGGAAGAGGAGGGACACCCTGCCTTACAGATATCCCTTCTCCCCTCCCTCTCTAAGGCAGGCTTCTGCTGTGTGCGTGTTAGACTGGGGTGTGGAGGAAGGAGAGGGAAAGGGACAAGGGTCATTTTACTTACCTGGTAGCCGCTGCTGTGCTTATCTCTGGTGCTTCTCTGCAGGTCATTTACTGGACTAAGATCCCTTATGTGGCAGGGTCCAACTCATGGGCCACATGGGATGCTTTAGAAGGTGCTGGGGGCCACCATACTGCCTTCTTCCTGGGAGATGGGCTGCGGCTGGCCACTTCCACTTCCACCTGCCCATCCTGGGCGGCAAGCCCACAGCTCTGTGCTCAGGCGCCCTCACCTGGAAGGCAGTTTTCTCTGTGGTGCACTGGCAAGATGACTAGGGCCTGATCACTTTGCATGGTGCCCACTCTACACCAGGAAAATCCATGCACTCTGGAAGGTAGTGAGATGGCCCCTACTGCCCCTCTCCCAGCCCTGCCGCTTCCCCTCAAATTCTTTTTTCTTTCAAATTTGATTCTTAGACATCAAATCAGAAACCAAAGTTCAACTCTCCTTTATTGCATTTCCTGAAACATCTGTCTTCCTTTTTTTTTTTTTTTTTGAGATGGAGTCTTGCTCTGTTGCCCAGGCTGGAGTGCAGTGGCACAATCTCGGCTCACTGTTAACTTTGCCTCCCAGGTTCAAGTGATTCTCCTGCCTTAGCCTCCTGAGTAGCTGGGACTACAGGAGCGCACTACCACACCCAGCTAATTTTTGTATTTGTAGTAGAGACAGGCTTCACTGTCTTGGCCAGGCTGGTCTCTAACTCCTGAGCTCAAGTGATCCAACCACCTTTGCCTCCCAAGGTGCTGGGATTATAGATGTAAGCCACCATGCCCAGCCTGTCTTCCTTTTCAGAAATTATTTAACCTACAATTATTTATTATGTAATTTATAAGACATTCAAGGACTAGGTGTGGTGGCTCACACCTGTAATCCCAACACTTTGGGAAGCCAAGATGGGAGAATCACCTGAGGTCAGGAGTTCGAGACCAGCTTGGCCAACATAGTGAAACCCCTGTCTCCACTAAAGATATGAAAATTAGTCTGTAATCCCAGCTATTTGAGATGCTGAGGCTGGAGAATCGCTTGAACCTAGGAGGCAGAGGTTGCAGTGAGCAGAGATCGTGCCACTGCACTCCAGCCTGGGCAACACAGCAAGACTCCGTCTCAAAAAAAAGACATTCAAAATTACACAGTGTAATAGCATACCACCCATCGTAAGAAACAAACATCTTCTACAGTTGGTCCTTTGTATTCCTTTGTATAATACTACATCCGAACTGTGTTTGTAGTGATTCTTTATTTGCATGTGAAAGAAACCCAACTCTGACTGGACTGATAAAAAGAAAGGAAGTATTGATTATGTAATTAAGCCACAGAAAGGGCAGGTAGACTTTTTTCTTCTTTTCAATTTTTTTTTGTTTTGTTTTGAACCTTTAATGATAATATATATGCATACTGTTGGGCTATAGAACACCATGTTTGGTTTGTCTTTGGGTCAAGGGTTGGGGATGCGCATGGCAGCACTAGTGAACAGGGTCTACATCAACAAAGATACACGTGGTCATAAAGCAAGAAACTGGTGCGTGGCGTGGTCAACTTTCATTTCCTCATCACTCAGTAGCATGTTGGGGTCCCCACGGCTGATGTGGGACAGATGTCCAGACTCTGCGCATTGCAAGGTGTCCTCTAACACATCCAGCTCGAGCAGCATGTGGTGCATCTCCCTTGGAAATTTCTCATAATGCTCATACCCCTGAATCAGCCCTTTGGAAACCTCGAGCAGGTCCAGAGTCTTGGCTGCTTCCAGGAGTGCTGCCCACTCCACCATGGGTAGCATACACAAGTGTTGAACTTTGTAGGGTTGATGTGGACCTCAGTGTAGTGGGGAGGTGGAAGGGGAAGCCACAGGGCCCCATCCCCTGCACATGTGAGCTCAGCTGATTGTGGGGTGAGCAGTTTCAAGTCATCCCATTAGCTCTTGCCAGGCCAGAAGTGGAACGGTCCTCTTTTCTCTTCTGAGCTTCTGTTGGCCTGTTGGTTTCATTCCTTTCGGCTGTGGATCTCCAATATACTGGATCTATTGGGACAGCTCTTTCCAGCCTCATTGCTAGATAGGGCGTGTGCCCTCCACCAGCTCCAGACAGAAAAATGCAGGGGAAGTCATATGCCTATCGTTGAATCAATTATTGTGTGTAGGGGGACTGGGTATTGGGTTAGGCTGAGCCTGGTTTTTTAGAGTTAGGTATTTTATTTTTAGAAAAATTGAGAGAGAATGCTTGGTACTACTTAGTATCCACTGTATAGATCCACTCAATTCTTTAAAATGCTGCATTGTATTCTGCTTCAGGGCTGTGCTGTTATTTGGCCAATCTCTATTAATGGATATTAAAGGTGTCTCCATATGGAATCAATCTAGGTTCCCATCAATGATGGGTTGGATGAAGAAAATGTGGAACATGCACACCATAGAATACTATGCAGCCATAAAAAAGAACAAAATCATGTCCTTTATAGCAACATGGATGCAGCTGGAGGCCATTGTCCTAAGCAGATTAACACAGAAACAGAAAGCCAAATGTCACATGTCCTTACTTATAAGTGGAAGCTAAACTTTGGGTATACATGGGCATAAAGATGGGAACAATAGACCCTGGGGACTCCAAAATGGAGAAGGGAGGGGAGCAAGGGCTGAAAAGCTTCCTAATGGGTACTGTGTTCACTATTCAGGCGATGGGTTCAACAGAAGCCCAAACCCCAGCGTCACACAATATACCCTCGTAACAAACCTGCATGTGTACCCTCTGAATCTAAAATAAAAAAAAAATTTAAATAAGAACTTAAATGGACTGGATGTGGTGGCTCACCCTGTAATCCCGGCACTTTGGGAGGCTGAGGCAGGAGGATCACTTGAAGCCAGGAGTTTGAGACCAGCCTGGCCAACATGGTGAAACCCCATTTCTACTAAAAATGCAAAAATTAACCAGGCTTGGTGGCACATGCCTGTCATTCCAGCTACTCAGGAAGCTGAAGCAGGAGCATCACTTGAACCCGGGAGGCGGAGGTTGCAGTCAGCAGAGATCACCCCACTGGGTGACGGAGCAAGACTCTGTATCCAAAAAAGGAAAAAAGAAAAGAAAATAAATTGTCTCTATTTTTTTCCTGATATGAACAATGCTTTCCATAACATTCTTTTATTTTTGTAAGCATGCGTCCATATTTTTTATAAGACAAATTTCCAGAGGTGGAATTGCTGCCTAATGGTATGCGGGTGGATCACGAGGTCAGGAGATCGAGACCATCATGGTTAACATGGTGAAACCTCGTCCCTACTAAAAATCCAAAAAAAAAAAAAAAAAAAAAAAAAGGGAAAGAAAATTAGCCAAGCGTGGTGGCGGGCGCCTATAGTCCCAGCTACTTGGGAGCCTGAGGCAGAAGAATGGCGTGGACCCGGGAGGCGGAGCTTGCAGTGAGCCGAGATTGCGCCACTGCACTCCAGCCTGGGCGACAGAGCGAGACTGTCTTAAAAAAGAAATAAAATTGATATTGCCAGATTACTTTCTAGTTGCACTCTACCAGTAGTTCACAACAGTGTTGGCTTTTCCATACTCCCACCAACATCAACGTACTGGTTAATTTGTGCTGTGTAACAAGCTTCTGAAAACTTAGTGGTTTGAAACCAACAACCACTTATTTGCCCACCATTCCATTGATCAGCAATTTAGGCAGGGCCCAGATGGGATGGCTCACCTATGTTGACCATAGTGCCCCAGTTTTACAGTCAGCTGGAGGTCAGTGACCTCGCTCACATGTCTGGCAGTTGGCTGGCTGTTAGGTGGAGTGATGGAGACAACTAGGTCATTTGTATTTGTCAGTCAGCATGTTGTTGGTGGCCAATGGATTCCCAAGAACTGGAAGTTGCAAGTTCCATTGCATCAGTACTTTTCAAGCCTGCATTTGGGTAACATTTGCTAATAACCCTTTGGCCAAAGCAAGCCACTTGGTCAAGCTGGGATCCATAAGATGGAAAATAAGCTATACCTCTTCATGGGACAAACTGCTAAATATTGTGATCATTTTTGTAATCTATCATAGCCAGGTTATATCATTTTGTTAATCTTGGTCAATATGACTGGTAAAAAATGAAATAATCTTTTCTTAAATTTTACTATTATGATTGATCATTTTTTCCCAATTTGTGTCCATCATTTAAATTTGTTATATAACTTGAGTGTCTGTATTTTTGTTTGGGGTTTTGTTTTGTTTTCCACTAAATTGAAACACCATTTTTGACATATATTAACTTTCTCATATGTACTTGGATTTGATTTCTTCTGCATCCTCTATATTTTTTCTGTACCTTATTTGTTAATTCCTGAAAATATTTTCAATATTTCTTTTTTTTTTTTTTTTTTTTTCAGAGAACAGGGTCTTGTTAAGTTGGCCAGGCTGGCCTTGAGCTCCTGGGCTCAAGCAATCCTCTTGCCTCAGCCTTATGGGTAGCTGGGATCACAGGTGCTGCCACCATGCCTGGCTCCTATTTACTATTCTTATTTTAAAATTTCTTTTTCTGGCCAGGCATGGTGGCTCATGCCTGTAATCCCAGCACTTTGGGAGGCCAAGGTGGGTGGATCACCTGAGGTCAGGGGTTTCAGACCAGCCTGGCCAACGTGGTGAAATCCTGTCTCTACCAAAAATACAAAAATTAACTGGGCGTAGTGGCAGACACCTGGTCACAGCTACTTGGGAGGCTGAGGCAGGAGAGTTGCTTGAACCTGGGAGGTGGAGGTTGCAGTGAGCTGAGATTGCACCACTGCACTCCAGCCTGGGAGACAGAGCAAGACTCTGTACCCCTCTCCCTAAATTTATTTTTCTATTAATTAACTTTTATTATTCTATTTAAAGTTAAAATCATACTTATCCAGTTTGAAAAGAATTGGAATTTAAATTGGAATGATAGTACATTTGTAGCTTACTTTAGGTAAAATATATATTTTTACGATTCATTCCCATCTCATATTTCCTAGCCTGGTCTAGAGATTCAATGCAATCCCTATTAGAATGCCAATTGCTTTTTCTTGCAGAAAAGACAGTTTGATCCTAAAATTCATATAGAAATACAAGGGTCCTCAAATAGCCAACACAATCTTGAAAAAAAAAGTTGGAGGATTTCTATTTCCTGAGTTCAAAACTTAATACAAAGCCACCGTCTGATACTTACAACTCAACAATAAAAGGACAAATAACTCAGTTTAAAAATGGGCAAAGATTTTGAATAGACTATTTTTTATACTGTCTTTGTCTGGTTTTTGGATCAGGGTAATATTAGTTTCATAAAATGAATTGGGAAGTCTTTTCTATTTTTTGGAGGAGATTGTGTAGAATTGGTGTTACTTCCTTTTGGATTGTTTGAGAGAATTTTCCTGTGAAGCCATCTGTGCCTGGAGATTTCCTTTTTGGGAGGTTTTTAAATTATAGATTCAATTTCTTCAACAGTCATAAGATTATTCAAATAATCTCTTTTATATTGAATGGTATTTTGTGATTTTCAAGTAAGTGGTCTATTTGTTCTAAGTTAGTAAATTTATGATTATAGAATTGTTCATAGTATTCACTTACTATCCTGTTGATATCTGCAGTGTCTGCAGTGATATTCTGTTTCATTCCTGATATAGTAATTGGTATCTTCTCTCTTTCTTTGTCAGTCTTGCTAGAAGTTTGTAACTTTTATAGAGTTTTTCAAGGACCCAGTTTTTGCTTCATTGGTTTTCTCTATTATTTTTCTGGTTTCAATTTTATTGATTTCTTGTTTTTCCCTGCCCCCACCACCTTTCCTTCCTTCCTTCCTTCCTTCCTTCCTTCCTTCCTTCCTTCCTTCCTTCCTTCCTTCCTTCCTTCCTTTTTTCCTTCCTTTTTCTTGCTCTGTCACCCAGGCTGGAGTGCAGTGGCACAATCATGGCTCATTGCAACCTTGATCTCCTGGGCTCAAGGGATTCTCCCACCTCAGCCTCCCAAGTAGCTAGGACTACAGGCAAATACCTAAAAAAAAAAATCATTCTACCATAAAGACTCACGCACACAAATGTTCATTATGCACTATTCACAATAGCAAATACCTGGAATCAACTTAAATGCCCATCAGTGACAGATTGGATAAAGAAAACTTGGTACATATACAACAGGGAATGCTATGCAGCCATAAAAAAGAATGAGATCATGTGTTTTTGTAGGAACATGAATGGAGCTGGAGGCTATTATCCTCAGCAAACTAATGTGGGGACAGAAAACAAAATACTGCATATTCTCACTTAAAAGCTAAATAATGAGAATTCACGAACACAAAGAAAGAAACAACAGACACTGAGGTTTCCTTCAGGGTGGAGGGTGAAAGGTGGGAGAGGAGCAGAAAAGATAACTATAGGGCTTAATACCTGTGTGATGAAATAATCTGTACAACAAACCCCTGTGACATGAGTTTACCTGTGTAACAAACCTGCACATGTACCCCTGAACCTAAAATGAAAAAAATTAGCTTGTGACTTTGCTAGCTCACTTATTAGTTCTAATAGCCTTATTGGTAGATTATTTGAGATTTTCTTTGTAGACCCATATGTCATTTGTGAATAAAGACAGTTTTAATTCATCTTTCCACATTTATATGCCCCCTTTTTTTCCTCACGTTACTGAGCTGGTGAGGGCTTTCTGTACAGTCTCAAAAAGGAGAAACACCCAAGAGTCTTCCTTCTTTTTCTGGTGACATGACTCGTTGGTAAGTCATCTCCCAAGAGGATGAAAGTACATTTTTAATTACTAGACTCTGCCTCCATGACACTCACCTTTGGAGGCAATCAAACCACCTTAGTTTGAGAAGGGAGTAGAGTGAACTTTGGTAGTGTGAGAACTGAAAAAGTGAGTGACTCAACACTTGTAGTGGCTCATCTCCCAGAATGAATGCCCAGTGATTATGGGTCCCTGATGGACTTAAACATGTCTTTGGGGAAGCTGGGCTCAGAGAAGAATGGACATTCATTGAACTGAGAGGATAGGGCTCTTAGGCTACAACATGGCAAATATGGTGAGAAAGTCTTTGCATCATGTGTGGCTCTGAGGAAATGGAGGCATACAGGGGCAACATCTAACTTCAGAAGTCCTGGCCAACCAGTGCTGGGAGATGGGCCTTTGCTTTGGACAGAGGGAAGACTGTTTGATGGCAGTCCTGGGTGGCAGAGATATGGCAATGCCAGTGGCAATGGTTTGAGAGACACCAGGGCTGTTGGAGTCTTGGATCCACTTGGCAGTGAATGTTTGAGGGATCTTTGTTTGGACTGCATGTGACTGAAATTCTTGAATGATCCAGAAGAGGATAAGAGAGAGCCTCTAGGAGGGTGAAAATGTACTTCCTGCTAGTCACACATTTGGGAGTTCAAATCAGTTTTAATTCAATTGTGGGAAATGAAATAAATAAAAAGCAGAATCATTAAATGTTTTGAGAAGGAAACGATGGACATGTCAAGTGCATGGTGTGCCACTGTATACTGGTGTGTACTATTCTCACAGGTCAAGGGAAGAAAAGGTGTGCACAAGCATGGAGGCTGGAGCAGGTAAAGCCCATACTGGAAGGACAAGTTCATTGGCCTGTTCAGAGTGGAGGAGAACCCAAGGCTCTTGGGCCAGGGTGGGGGGAACTTGAACAATGCTTCTGCAAAGAACTTTTCCTACAATGAGTTAAAAACAATTCCAAGATCTGGAAATATTTCCACTTCTTTTTCTTATCAGACTAAAATCCATTTTAGTAGGTATTTCTTGAAGTTATTAAGGGAATAGACTTATTGTTTAAAGAGAGGGTGGCTGCTCCATTTACCAGGGAGAACCTATTTAAGAACCCACAGTCTTGGGCTCTTTCCAAGGCATTGTAAATTTACTTTACAGTGTCTGATTTACTTTAAAGCTTCTTGTTATTGCAGTTTAAAACAAAATTTATCCTGCACACATCCTGTTTAAAACAGAATTTTCTCCTCTGTTAGGCAGAGATAAAGAATGCAAGAACGTGTGCTTTTATAGCATTGATTGCACCTTGATATTAGGTGAAAATGGGCCCTGATGCTTTAAATTATCAGGTTGATGGCTGAAGGGAAACCAAATCAATATGCATTTTAAAATGTAATTTCATTATTTCTTAATTTAGTTAGGGTGATAGTTCTAACAAATCTAAATGGAAGAAAAATTCATTTTGTCTCCTTTTCCTCTTGCTCCTTCACTTTCTTCACCTTTGTGTTCCTCTTTAGAAGTGTGACATGTACACATTTTTATATATAGCATTATGGTACTCCTCCAACATTTAGATCCTATTTTCTTTTGGAAGACAACAGTATGCTCCCCAGGCTGCGTGACATGCTGGTGGATCGCACCTGTCCCTGTCTGGCACAGAATCACTAGTAGCTAGAGCAGCTCTCCCTTGCTGAGCAGCCCGGGGTAACTGGGACCTTCTTGTGCAGCACTTTTATTTCCTTTTGCCAACTCACAGCGGATTTGCCTCTTGCATAAGTGAGCAAAGCCCCCAGAAGTGTTGTATGTGCTACCCCATGTCATGCAAAGATGGAGGTAGCAGGCTCCATGCACTGTGCATGCCTTTCTGTCTTTGATAGGGCTCAGGTATTTGGCCCACATCTTTATAGTTTCAAAGACTGCCAGTGGAACAGGAGTCATGCTTTTCAGCTTATGACCTCTGAAAGAAACACATCTCATATATGCTTGCTTTGGAGATTCAGCTAGTTGACAATGGTTGATATTGACAAAAAAGTCAAAAATCTACAAGAATAATATTTTACTGCTAGTCTCAAGGAATTTTGACACAGATAGGCCTTGACTATGGCCCACTGAAGTGTCATGAGAACTAGGTTTGCTTGCTTTTTAGGTAATCCCCTGTCATTTCTGGATAATCTCGAAGAAAATGCCAATTTCTTGCTGAGGATGAGCAGCCTTCTTGGTCTGAAAATAGTGCTTCTGCCTCAGGGCAACTTCCTTCACGTGCCCTCACAGATGCCCCCAGTGCTTTATGCTGCCTTCTCCTAAGCTCATCAGCATCCTGCCCTTATCTGGGAATCCTCTGTGACTTTGACCTGGGAAGGTCCTTCCACTGCCCTGGGCATCACATCCACTGGTCATCATATCCACTGGACATCACACACACTGGTCAGTTGCTAGGGAAGGTTCTGGTTGTAGACCTCGGAACTGGCCTTGTTTTATGGTAACTCTGTGACTTCAGGATAGAGACTACGTGTCCCATATTGGTTCCCTTTAAAACAGTCAACCAGAATTGTGTCACTTGCTGTTTCAAAACTTGTGTTTCTTGTAGAACCTAGGCCTCAGTTGTGGTTTGAATGCTTCTATATTCAGATGACTTTTCGGGCAAAAAGATTGGCACTTCATTGATGACTGGTCAATTCTTCCTAGCTAGACCACCAGTCCTGCTCATCGTCTAGGCTCTCTTTGACTCAATTCCCCCATCAATTGTCAATCAAGCTCTCTTCTTCCCCTCTTCTCTATCTATCTCTCTACCCCAGCTTTGGTGTTCTACAATATTTAAATGTTCTAATTTACAGTTTTTGTGACACTTTGGTTCCATGTAACAGAAAATCCAACTGTAATTTGCTTAGGTAACCATGATCTTTTTAACTCACACGACTAAAATGTTTACAAGTAAGACATATTTCAAGCATGGCTGGATCTAGGGACTCAACAATATTCTCAGAACCAAATTTTTCTCCTTTCCTTTTTATAAATTTTGCCTCTGGTTCCTTGGAGGTGAATCCATTTTTAGATACCACATGGAGGCAAGATGACTGGAGAAGCTCTAATATCCACATGGCAAGAGGTACCTACATGGCGTGGTCCCCATTCCATTAATGGCATCTTAAGTTGGCTGCTTCTTGTGCAAAACCCAGTCTCTGTTGGGTAAATACTGTCAGTTCAAGATTTCCTCCTTGGTTTTCTCCCCAGGGGCTCTGGAAGTCATGGTGCATGGGGGCGGGGAAGTGGCTTCTTTCTTGGTGTCTTCATGGGCTTCCATCCCTGCTCAGTCTTCTGATGAAACATTTGCTTCCCCTTCTGCTCTCCAAGTAGGTATCTGTTGTTTTTGTCCCAACTTCAAGGTGTCCTCATTCAGCTACTTCCATCTTTCTGTGGCACAAGAATTTTTGGTCACCCTGCTGTTTCCTGTGGGGACTGCCTGAGCCTTTAAAAAAAAAAAAACACTGGCTAGGGGCAGTGGCTCATGCCTGTAATTCCAGAATTTTGGGAGGCCGAGGCAGGCAGATCACCTGAGGTCAGGAGTTCCAGACCAGCCTGGCCAACATGGCAAAACCCTGTCTCTACTAAAAATACAAAAATTAGCTGGGCATGGAGGGCACACCTGTAATCCCAGCTACTCAGGAGGCTGAGGCAGGAGAATCACTTGAACCCAGAAGGCGGAGGTTGCAGTGAGCCAGGATTGTGCACTGCACTCCAGCCTGGGTGAGAAGAAACAAACTGCGTCTCAAAAAAAGAAAAAAACAACAACAAAAAAAACCTAAACATACTTGCTATCATTTCTAGCCTAACACTTCAAATATAAATTGAGTCTCAGATTAGCTTACTCACATATTTCCAGCCCTGTGTTGGTGTTTCTAACTCCTTCTCACAAGGGTTTTGACAAGGTTGAGCAGGGGCCAAGGAGTAAGCTTTGATCATAAGTATTGAAAACCTTCTCCTTTCTCTAGCTGGTTAGATTTTTAAAAAAATCACCTATTGCTTAAAAAAAGAGCTGCATTCCTTTCTGCGCCCTCTCTAACTCTGTAAAGCATATTCGTTCTGTGCTTGAGTCTCCTAGGCTTTGCTCTTGCTGGTCACAGGCAAATATCTGGAATTCTAATACACACAGCAAACAGCAACAGTTACAAAACATTTTCTTTCTTAAGTTTCTCTGAATCCATGGCTTTCAAGACTGTTCTCTGTGTTTTAAACTTGAAAGAGTACTGTGAGAGATGGAGAAACCAAGAATTGGACCCTCCATTGACTCAGAGGCTCCTGCTGAGATGTTAGGAAGAACAAACACTGGGAAATGGGGCAGGGTGGGAAAGGGTGCGGTGGAGGACGTGTATTTGTTTAAGTGGTCCAAATTTTAACTTATTTCTATTATGCCTAACAGCTCTTGTATCCTGAAATCATATATAATAAAATGCTGTAATGACCATCACAGGATGATCTTACAAAGGACATAACTAGTAGAGTTTAGGAGCATTGGTGGAAAGGAGGGAGGAAATATACATATTCTCCCAACATCTCAGGTTGGATCAGGGTGTAGTGAGTGTTCTGTCTGGGATGTGATATGCTGAGATGACAATGACAGTATTTGTGAAGCTCAAGCTTCATGGTGTTAGTTCTGAACAGGAAGAAGGAAGGAGGTGCTACAGCAGTGGTTCCAGACTCTGGGTAAATCACCCTGGGGGTACTTAACAAAAATACACTGGGCCTCCTGAGCCAGAATCTCTGGGGTTGGTGATAAGCTTCCAGGGTTTTTTCTTTTTTTTTTGAGACAGAGCCTCACTGGCGCAAGCTTGGCTCACTGCAACCTCCAGCTCCCAGGTTCAGGTGATTATCCTGCCTCAGCCTCCCGAACAGCTGGAATTACAGGCATGCGCTACCACACCCGGGTAATTTTTGTATTTTTATTAGACACGGGGTTTCACCATGTTGGCCAGGCTGGCCTCAAACTCCTGACCTCAAGTGATCCACCAGCCTTGGCCTCCCAAAGTGCTGAGATTATTGGTGTGAGCCACTGCGCCTGGCCATAGGGAATTTTATTGTAGCCAGCCTAGTACAAGTCAAGTATGTTTGGGGAACACTGTGTTAGATCAGGGAAGAATCAACAAAATATAAAATGGCAGCATGATCCCCTGGTAGCCTGGTTTTAAGAGACTTCATTGTCAAGTGCTCTGACATGAATAGTGCTAGACAAGAAAGAATACTGAGCTGAAAGAATTTTAATGATTTATATGTGGAGGAGAAGATGTTTTCTTTGTAAAGTTGTCAAAGCTACCATATTTGGAACTCTTTAGAAATGGTTGGCCGATAAGAGACCCTGATGTGCAAAACAAACCATTGGGGAAAGATGCTAAACTGTTTTTCTTCTATTGATTGAACCTAATTAAAATGATGTCTTAACATTAAGCTATATTCCACTTGTCAAGCTATGAATAATTTTATCTGCCTTTCTCTCTTCTAACCAGGCTAACATTAAGAGAGGCCAGTATTGAAGGCTGCATCATTAAAAATCCTGTCCAGGTAGGAGAAGTCTCTGGAGAAAGCCCTATACATCATAAGACTGCTCTGTTTCTGTGTAGCAGGATAGAACAAGGAAAGCCTTGTCTTCATTATTTCCCACGGATTTTAGGACATCTTTTGCAGCTGCATTCAGATACTCACGAAGTAAGCCTTTGATTAGGAAGGCGGAGAAACAGAGATGCTTAAATGGAACCGGGCAAACTAAAGTGAGCACATAGCTTAGTTTGTATTCCCTTTCCTTTTGTTCTCTCTGATAGTGTTTATTCTTTCTTATCTGAAAGCATTTTATTGTCTACTTAAAAAATCTTAGGTATAAATTTATAGAGCTTGGATTTTAGGATTTATATAATCTCTGCTTTGCTGAACATTCAGGTGCTTTTAACAACTGAAATCTTTCAAGTTGTATGCCAGGTTTTTGTGTATGTAAGGTTTTCTATGGAAGAAGATTCAAATATTTCCTTAGATTTTCAAAGGAGTCTTTGGCTTCAAGATGATAAAGAACTAAGCAGAAGTCTTGATGCTAAGTCAACAGTTCTCTTTGGGAATTTGACAGTGCTAATCGGTAGTTTCTATAGATTACAAGATGCCCCACACCTGAACAATAGAAAAAAATCTAAGGTCATCAAATGAGACCCTTGAGGGGCGGTCCTCCTTGCATCTGGTCTGAGGGCTGTAGCAACTGGTTCCTTTCTCTTGATAATGCTTTTCTTGTTTGTTTTGAAATGTGGGTTGCTAGAGAGATTAACTGAACTAGGAGGGGTTCTCAGAGATGTGGCAGTGCAGAGAGGGCTCATGACTTAGATAACTCTTTAGCAAAGTGCTGTACTGGGCCAAACTTGACATCACCTGGTGCAGTCTTGTGCAGGAGGCATGCACCTGAGCTCTGATGAACAATCCTCTGTAAAACTCTATTCTTCTTGCTTTGGGTCTTCTTGCAACCCCAGGGAGCCTGCTCAGAGAGTCTGTCATGGTCATGGCATAATAATTGATTTTAAACTGGGCACAGTAGTGTGCGCCTATAGTCCCAGCTATTTAGGAGGCCAAGGTGAGAGGATTGCTTGAGCCCAGGAGTTTGAGTCCAGCCTGGGCAGCATATCGAGATCTTATGTCTAAAACAACAAAAAAAATTAACTTTATAAAAAAACTATATATTTTATCCTCTGTGGCTAAAAATTTATTCAGAATACCCCCTCTATCTTACTCCTTAATATATTTGAATGTCAATAGCTATTTCAAGAGGAAGAGAGGGCAAAAGTAAACATTCTTGAACATTAATATATCTGAAGCTTTCCTGTAGTAACATTCCATCCACAGACAAGTCTGTAAAGTAAGGCCATGCCAGTTTATAGATGAGAAAAATGAGCGCTCCTCTAGCAATTCTGCCTCAGCAATGGTTTCTCTAATCCTTTCCACTCTGCTGTCTTCTCTGACCTAAAGCAAACCCATTTCTTAGGATGACCTTCTTCCTTTTAAGTGAATGAACAATTTCTGTCCTCTTCATGGCCAGCTATAAAGAAAAAACTTGCCTTGACTTTCTGTCTTCAGACTCTCATTTCCTTTCTCTCCTCATCATTGCTTCTGAAACACCCCAGAAACTCCTACTTGTCAACTTATCCTAAATTCCAGAGAACTGATGTGAGTTGGAAAGGAACGGTGGGTTCGAGAAGATTGCAGAAGGCTGGGAACAATTAAAAGGATGGAAGTGGCAGCCAGGGTACAAACTGGGTCAAACCAAGAGGGGCCCGTCCCTGTGAGAGGGTCAAGGTTTCACAGAAGCACAGGTGAGTGCAGAGGTGCAAGCTGTGAGTTGTTGCAAGAAAAGCAAATGAGCATGTGTAGAAGGCAAATGCACTGGAAACGTTGTCTCTGTTGAATGTGCTTATGATCAGTGAGAGCCTGCATGGCTCTTGGAATGCTGGAAACAGTTCCCCTGACAGCTGCCTGGTAGTTTTTGTTATTCAAATTGCACATCAAATTGTTCTTTGACTGGTCTCATGGATTTTATTCCTACACAGGTGCAGGCTAATATGCAGCCACAGACTCGAAGGGACCCTGCATGCAATTTCTGGAGCTCTTTCTCTCACATCATCCTTTCTGCCACTCTGCTCACAAATTCTAGTTGCCTCAGTCTCCCAAACTCCAACCTCTGTTTCCTGAGCTCAGCAGAACTGCTGCACTATGCTTGCAGTCTCCTTTCACAAGTCTTTATAGTCTTATACACTAGCTGATATATTGTGTATTATTTGTTTATTTTCTGATATTGTACAGCTATAGTAGGTCCTCAATGTGTTAAATTAATACACGAATGCATCAACAGAAGGGTTCGGTTAGTTGCTGTTTTTACTATTTTATTTCAGTTTAGTTTTATTTCATTTTACTATTTTATTTATTTTATTGAGACAAGATCTCACTCTGTCACCCAGGCTGGAGCGCAGTGGCACCATCAAGGCTCACTGCACCTTCAACCTCCCAAGCTCAGCCTCCTGAGTAGCTAGGACCACAGATGTGCCACCATGCCCAGCTAACTTTTTATATTATTTGAAGAGATGGGATTTCACCATGTTGCCCAGGCTGGTCTCAAACTCCTGGGCTCCAGTGAGCCTCCCTCCTTGGCCTGACAAAGTGCTGGTATTATAGGTGTGAGCCCCCACTCCTGGCTTTCAGCTGGTTTTTATTCAGGTTGTTTGGAGGAGGTTGAGTATGGTGCAACCTCAGATGAAGACTCCAAATTCTCTTTCCCTCACCCTCTTTTCTGGGACCCACAGTCCACCCACATACTATTGATCTTCTGAATGCCAAACCAGACTAATTATCGTCTTCCTTCTATTCCCAAGTCTGCCTTCCTTAGATATTCCTTGTCTGGAAAAATAATACTATATACATGTTTTACTTTATTCATGGTAAATTACCTGCTGTCCTGAACTTACTCTTTCAACCACAACATTAATTGAAAATTTTTTGCATCTCCTATGTGCCAGCCACTGTCCTAGGAGCTGGGCTAATAAAAGCACTGCCCTCTAAGAGCTTACATTTCAGACAGGGAGACACGCAGGCATGCAGGTACTACTACACTGTAATAAATCACAACAGAGGCAGAAAACAAGATGCTCGGAGACTTAACAGGAAGGTAAGGTCTCCTTGTTTCGCCCATGTCTCTGACTCTCCCCAACCACTATCTCTAGACTTCGAGAAGTCCCATTCATTCTCTGTTATTCAGCACATATATATATCTCTTGGGCATAGTTCAAGGTCCCTGGCTTTATGTTGCTCCAGTGTGTTTATACAGCTACCATAACACTTACTGCTTGTAAGGCTAGGATCATGGTTTTTTGTGCCTCTGTAGTCAAATCAAAAGCATAGCTCCTAGCACATCATAGGTGCCGAAAGAATCAAGAGGCCAATGTGACATGCCATTTTCCTTATGCAGGGCCCAAATCTCATGCCCCTGTATAGATATTTTGTAGGGTTTGGTGACAGGAGTACTGGTGGTGGTTATATACTGTACGGTATCACTAGAGCATGGGATTTTTTTTCCATAGGTTATTGGGGTACAGGTGGTATTCGGTTACAAGAGTAAGTTCTTTAGTGGTGCTTTGTGAGATTTTGGTGCACCCATCACCAGAGCAGTATACACTGCACCCTATTTGTAGTATTTTATCTTTTGCCCCCCTCTCATCCTTCCCCCCAAGTCCCCAAAGTCCATCGTGTCATTCTTATGTCTTTGAGTCCTCATAGCTTAGCTCCCACATATCAGTGAGAATATACGATGTTTGGTTTTCCATTCCTGAGTTGCTTCACCTAGAATAATAGTCTCCAGTCTGGGCACGATGGCTCACGCCTGTAATCCCAGCACTTTGGAAGGTCAAGGTGGGTGGATCACCTGAGGTCAGGAGTTCAAGACCAGTCTGGCCAACATGGTGAAATCCCATCTCTACTAAAAATACAAAAAAAACCAAACAAACCCAAACAACAACAACAACAAAAAAATTAGCTGGGTGCGGTGGTACATGCCTGTAATCCCAGCTACTCAGGAAGCTGAGGTAGGAGAATCACTTGAACCTAGGAGGCAGAGGTTGCAGTGAGTCAAAATTGTGCCACTGTACTCCAGCCTGGGCAACCTAGTGAGACTGTGTCTCAAAAAAAAGAAAAGAAAAGAAAAAAGAATAATAATCTTCAGTCTCATCCAGGTCACTGGAAATGCCATTAGTTCATTTCTTTTTATGGCTGAGTAGTATTCCATCATATATATATACACATATGCGTATATATATACACACATATGTGTGTATATATATACATGTATATATATACACACATATGTGTGTATATATATACGTATATATACACACGTATGTATATATACGTATATACATATATACATACATATATATACATACATATGTGTGTATATATATACGTATATATACTTACATATGTGTGTATACATATACGTATATATACACACACATATGTGTGTATATATATACATGTATATATATACACACATATGTGTGTGTATATATATACATGTATATATACAGATATATATATACATGCATATGTGTATGTGTGTATATATATACACATATGTGTACATATGTGTATATATGTATATATCTCACAGTTTCTTTATCCACTCGTTGATTGATGGGTATTTAGGTTGTTTCCATGATTTTGCAATTGCAAATTGTGCTGCTATAAACATGAGTGTGCAATGACTTCTTTTCTTCTAGGTAGATACCCAATAGTGGGATTGCTGGATCCAGTGGTAGTTCTACTTTTAGTCCTTTAAGGAATCTCCACACTGTTTTCCATAATGGCTGTACTAGTTTACATTCCCATCAGCAGTGTAAAAGTGTTCCCTGATAGCTGCATCTATGCCAACATCTACTGTTTTTTGATTTTTTGATTATGGCCATTCTTGCAGGGGTAAGGTGGTATTGCATTGTGGTTTTGATTTGCGTTTCCCTGGTCATTCATGATATTGAGCATTTTTCATATGCTTGTTGGCCATTTGTATATCTTCTTTTGAAAATTGTCTATTCATGTCCTTAGCCCACTTTTTGATGGGATTGTTTGTTTGTTTTTCTTACTGATTTGTTTGAGTTCATTGCAGATTCTGGATATTAGTCCTTTGTCAGATGTATAAATTATGAAGATTTTTCTCCCAGTCTGTGGGTTGTCTGTTTATTCTGCTGACTGTTCCTTTTGCCGTGCAAAGGTTCGTTAGTTTAATTAAGTCCCAACTATTTATCTTTGTTTTTATTGCATTTGCTTTTGGGTTCTTGGTCATGAAATCCTTGCCTAAGCCAATGTCTACAGGGTTTTTCCAATGTTATCTTCTAGAATTTTTATAGTTTCAGGCCTTAGATTTAAGTCTTTGATCCATCTTGAATTGATTTTTGTTTAAGATGAGAGATGAGAATCCAGTTTCATTCTCCTTCATGTGATTAGCCAATTATCCCAGCACCATTTGTTGAATGGGGTGTCCTTTCCCCCACTTTATGTTTCTGTTTGCTTTGTCGAAGATCGGTTGGTTGCATTGCAAGTATTTGGGTTTATTTCTGTGTTCTCTTTTCTGTTCCATTGGTCTAGGTGCCTATTTTTTATACCAGTACCATGCTGTTTTGGTGACTATGGCCTTATAGTATAGTTTGAAGTCGAGTAATGTGATGTCTCCAGAATTGTTCTTTTTGCTTAGTCTTGCTTTGGCTATGTGGGGTCTTTTTTGGTTCCATATGAATTTTAGAATTGTTTTTTCTAATTCTGTGAAGAATGTTGGTGGTATTTTGATAGAGATTGCATTGAATTTGTAGATTGCTTTTCGCAGTATGGTCATTTTCACAATATTGATTCTACCCATCCATGAGCATGGGATGTGTTTCCATTTGTTTGTGTCATCTATGATTTCTTTCAGCAGTGTTTTGTAGTTTTCCTTGTAGAGGTCTTTCACCTCCTTGGTTAGGTATATTACTAAGTATTTAAATTATTTTTGCAGCTATTCTAAAAGGGATTGAGTTCTTGATTTGATTCTCAGCTTGGTTGCTGTTGGTGTATAGCAAGGCTACTGATTTGTGTACATTAATTTTATATCCTGAAACTTTGCTGAATTCATTTACCAGTTCTGGGAGCTTTTTGGATGAGTCTTTAGGGTTTTCTAGGTATACGATCATATCATCAGTAAACAACAAAAGTTTGACTTCCTCTTTACCAATTTGGATGCCCTTGATTTTTTTCTTTTGTCTCATTGCTCTGGCTGGGACTTCCGGTACTATGTTAGATAGAAGTGGTGAGAGTGGGCGTCCTTGTCTTATGCCAGTTCTCAGGGAGAATGCTTTCAACTTTTCCCGTTTCAGTATAACGTTGGCTGTGGGTTTGTCATAGATTGCTTTTATTACATTGAGGTATGTCTCTTGTATGCCGATTTTGCTGAGAGTTTTAATAATAAAGGGAAGCTGTATTTTGTCGAATGCTTTTTCTTCATCTATTGAGATGACTGTGTGTTTTTGTTTTTAATTCTGTTTATGTTGTGTATCACATTTTTTGACTTGCAGATGTTAAACCATTCCTGCACCCCTCGGATGAAACCCACTTGATCATGGCGGACTACCTTTTTGATGTGCTGTTGGATTTGGTTAGCAAGTATTTTGTTGAGGATTTTTGCATCTATATTCTACAAGGATATTGGTCTGTCGTTTTCTTTTTTGATTATGTCTTTCCTTGGTTTTGGTATTAGGGTGATATTGGCTTCATAGAATGATTTAGGGAGGAGTCCCTCTTCATTCCATGGAATAGTGTCAATAGGATTTGTAACAATTCTTCTTTGAATGTCTGATAGAATTCAGCTATGAATTCGTCTGGTCCTGGACTCTTTTTTTGTTGGCAATTTTTAAATTACCATTTCAATCTTATTGCTTCTTATCGGTCTGTTTAGAGTTTCTATATCTTCCTGGTTTAATCTAGGAGGGTTGTATATTTCCAGGAATTTATCCATCTCCTCTACGTTTTCTAGTTTGTGTGGGGAAAGGTGTTCGTAGTAGCCTTGAATAAACTTTTGTACTTCTGTGTTATCAATAGTAATAGTTCTCATTTCATTTCTAATTGAGCTTATTTGGATCTTCTCTCTTCTTTTCTCGAAAATTGTCTATTTTCTTGGTTAATCTCGCTAATGTTCTATCAATTTTATTTATCTTTCAAAGAACCAACCTTTTGTTTCATTTATCTTTTGTAATTTTTTTGGTTTCAGTTTCACTTAATTCTGCTCTGATCTTTTTTATTTATTTTTCTTCTTCTGGGTTTGGGTTTGGTTTGTTCTTGTTTGTTCAGTTCTGTGAGGTGTGACCTTAGATTGTTTATTTGTGCTCTTTCAGATTTTTTGACATAGGTATTTAATGCTATGAACTTTCCTCTTAGCACCGCTTTTGCTGAATCCCAGAGGTTTTGATAGGTTGTGTCGCTATTATCAGTCAGTCCAAATAATTTTTAAATTTTCACCTTGATTTCATTGTTGACCCAACAATAATTCAGGAGCAGGTTATTTAATTTGCATGTATTTGCATGGTTTTGACGGCTCCTTTTGGAGTTAATTTCCAGTTTTATTCCACTGTGGTCTGAGAGAATACTCAATATAATTTCGGTTTTCTTAAATTTACTGACATTTGTTTTGTGCCTTATCATATGGTCTTTCTTGGAGAATTTTCCATGTGGTGATGGGTAGTAGCAGATCTTTTTGTAAATGTCCTTTATAAAAGGTTAAAAATGTTCCCTTGTAACCCCAGTTTGCAGATAATTTATATCAGGAATGGATGATAATTTTTGCCAAAGTTTTAAATTTTCAGTATCTGTTGAGATGGCCAGTTTTTAAAAGTTTGATATTATTATGAATTAATTTATTTGCAAATCAACATTAGTTGATTTTCAAATGTTAAGCCAGCCTTGTCTAACTAGGCTAAACCATACTTGGTCATGATGTCATTTAATATGTTGTTGAATTCAATTTGCTAAAATTTTGTTTGGAATATTTGCATTCATGTTCATAGGGGATATTGGTCTGTAGTTTTACTTTTGTGTAAAATCTTTTTCTGATTTTGGTATTAGGGCAATACTAGCTTCATATAATATGCAGTGAAAAATTCACTCTTCTTTCATTTTTGGAGGAATTTGTGTAGAATTTGTATAATTCCTCCTTAAATTTTTTGGTAGAATTCACCAGTGAAGCTATTTGGTTCTGTAGTTTTTTTGTGGGAAGGTTTTAAAAGTATAATTTCAATTTCTATTAAACATTTAGGGCTTTGCAGGCAATTTATTTCTTCTTGAGTGAGCTTTGCTAATTTGTGTCTTTCAAGAAATTTATCAATTTTATCTAAATTGTCAAATGTATCAGCATAAAGTAGTTTCTAATGTTTTATTATCTTTTTAGTAGAACCTGTAGTATCACCCCTCTCATTTCTGGTATTGGTAATTTGTGTCTTCTTTTTCTTTCTAATCAGTTTGGCTAGATGTTTATCAATTATATTGATCTTAAAGAACCAGCTTTTGATTTCATTGTTTTTTTCTACTGTTTTTCTATTTTTCTATTTTACAGCTTTTTACTTATTTTTTGTTATTTATTTTCGTGAGCTTACTTTAGGTTTCATTTTCTCTTCTCTTTCTAGTTTCTTAAGGTAAAGGCTAAAATTGAGTTGGGAACTATCTTCTTTTCTAATATAAGCATTAAGTGCTATAAATTTTCTTCTAAGTACTGATTTAATGGTCTTTTGACAAATTCTGATGGGATATATTTTTATTCAGTTAAAATACTCATAAATTTTTGTTTTGAGCATTTAGTACCATAAATTTTCTTCTAAGTACTGATTTAATGGTCTTTTGACAAATTATGATATAATATATTGTTATTTTTATTCAGTTAAAATACTCATAAAGTTTTGTTTTGATTTTTTTGGTTCATGGGATATTTAGAAATGTATTATATAATTTCCAAATATTTGGAGAATATTCCAAAGGTCTTTCTGTCATTGACAGAGGGGCATTCAAATCTCTGACTACAACTGGGAATTTATCTATTTCTCCTTGATGTTACTGTAGTGCCTGCTAATCCATGGTTTTACTTTCTGTGGTTTCATTTATCCACTATATAGTACAATAAGATATTGAGAAAGACAGAGAGAGAGAGAGAGAGAGAGGGTATACTCACAAAACTCTTATTACAGAATGTTGTTATAATTGTTCTATTTTATTATTAGTTATTGTTAATCTCTTACTGTGCTTCATTTACAAATTAAACTTTATCGTAGGTATATATACACAGGAAAAATCATACTACATATAGTTTGGTACTATCTGTGGTTTTAGGCATCCGCTAGGGTTCTTAGAATGTGTTCTCCATGGATAAAGAGGGACTACTGTCTATCAGTTTGGTTGCATTTGTTTGTTTGTTTGTTTTGAGATGGGGTCTCACTCTGTCACCCAGGCTAGAGTGCAGTGGCGTGATCTTGGCTCACTGCAACCTCTGCCTCCTGGGCTCAAGCAGTTCTCCTGCCTCAGCCTCCTATGTACCTGGGACTTCAGGTGTGCACCACCATGCTTGGCTAACTTTTTGTAGAGACAAGCTTTCGCCATGTTGCCTAGGCTGGTCTCAAATTCCTGGACTCAAGGAATCTGCCCACCTTGGCCTCCCAAAGTACTGGGATTACAGGTGTAAGCCACCTTGCCCAGCCTGTATATATCATCTATTTTTGATTCATCTATTTTGAAGCAATCTGTTAATACATGCATATTCATTTAGAATTTTTATGTACCCTTGATGAATAAATTCTTTATTATTATGAAATGACATTCTTCAGTCCTCATAATATTTTTTCCTCTGAAATCTACTTTTTCTGATATTCATATAAGCCTTTTCAGATTTATTTTTATTATTGTTAGCATGATATCTACATTTCCATCTTTTCATTTTTTAACCTGTTTGTATTTAAAGTGTATATATAAACTCACTTTATATTTATATATTTATAAATATATATACACTTTATATATATTTATAAACATAAAGTGTATATATATTTTTATATACACTTTATATATATTTATAAACTTATAAAGTGTATATATATTTTTATATACACTTTATATATAAATATATATACACATATATTTATATATATGTGTATATATAAATATATATATTATATATATATAAAATATATATATTTGTATATATAAAAATATATATTGTATATATAAAATATATATATTTGTATATATAAATATATATAATTTGTATATATAAAATATATATATTTATGTATATATAAATATATATTTGTATATATATTTATATATATATAAAGTGTATATATATACACTTTATATTTAAAGTGTGTTTTCTATAGGCAGCATATAGTTGGGCCTGGCTTTCATATTCAATCTGACAACCTCTGTGTTTTAATTAGTGTATTTATTCAATTTACATTTAATGGGATTATGGTAAGGTTAGGTATGGCTGTAACATCTTCTTATTTGTTTTCAGTTTGCTTTATTTATTATTCTTTTTCTTTCTCCTTTTTTCCTGTTTTTTTTGTTTTAGTTAATTTGTTTCTATGATTCAGTTTTTTCTCCTTGTGGGTTCTTAGTTATAACTCATTGTTCTAGTATGTAATGGTTGCTTTATTGTTTATGGTATACATCTTTAATTATCACAAACTACCTTCAAGTGATATATCACTTCATGTATAGTATACTTTCATTTCTCTGCGCTTGGTCTTTATGGTGTTGTTGTCATGTACTTTACTTTTATGTGTTATAAACCCAATAATACATTGTTATTTCTGTTTAAACAAGCACATATCTTTTAAGGAGACTTAAGTAATAAGAAAAAATTTCTTATATATTTACTCATGTAGATATATTTTTGGTGGTCTTCATTCCTTTGTGTAGATCCAGATTTCCATCTGGTATCATTTTTCTTCTGCCCAAGGATGTTATTTGGCATTTCTTGTAGTGCAGACATTTCTTCTGGTGGTGGTAAATTATTCTAGCTTTTATATGTCTAAAAATGTCTCCACTTCACCTTCATTTATAAAAAATATTTTTTGCTGGGTACTGAATACTGAGTGACAGTCACCTGCCCCCCAGTACTTCAATGATGCTGCTCCAATGTCTCTTGCTTGCCTGCAATCTTTGGTGAAAAATCTGATGTCAGCCTTATCTTTGTTTCTCTGGATGTAATACGGGTATATTTTCTGGCTGTCAGATTTTTCTCTTTGTCATTGTTTTTTAGTAACTTATGCTGTAATTTGGGGTAGTTATTTTCATGTTTATTTTTCTTGGTGTTCATTGAGCTTAGATCTGTAGGTTTATAGCTTCACTAAGTTTGGAAATTTTTCAGCCATTATTTCTAAAAATATATTTTTCAGTCTTTCTTCTTCAGGGACTCCAGTTACTCATGTATTAGGCCACTGAAACTATCCCACATATCACTTATGCTTTTTCATTTTTTGGAATTTTATTTTCTGCGTGTTTTATTTTGGGTAGTTTTCATTGCCACACTTTTAATTTCACTGATCTCGCCTTTCTTCTACAATGTCCAATCTGCCTTTTTCTTCCTCCAGTCTATTTTTCACCTCAGACATTATAGTTTTCATATCTAGAAGTTTAGGTTAAGCCACGGTGGCTCACGCCTATAATCCCAGCACTTTGGGAGGCCGAGGCAGGTGGATCACCTGAGGCCAGGAGTTTGATACCAGCCGGGCCAACATGGCAAAACCATGTCTCTACTAAAAATACAAAAATTGGTCGGGCGTGGTGGCGGGCACCTGTAATCCCAGCTACACAGGAGGCTGAGGCAGGAGAATCACTTGAACCCGAGAGGCAGAGGTTGCAGTGAGCCGAGATCTCACCATTGCACTCCAGCCTTGGACGACAAGAGTGAAACTCCGTCTCAAAAAAAAAAAGAAGTTTAATTTTAATTTTCATCTTTGTAATATTCTTGGGCCAGGCACAGTGGCTCATGCCTGTAATTTCAGCATTTTGTGAGGCTGAAGTGGGAGGATTGTTTGAGGTCAGGAGTTCAAGATCAGCCTGAAAAACATAGCAAGACCCTGTCTCTACAAAAATTTTTAAAAACTAGGTGGGCATAGTGGTATGTGCCTGTAGTATTAGCTACTCTGGAGGCTAACAGAGAAGAGTCACTTGAGCCCAGGAGTTTGAGGTAACAGTGAGCTATGATCAGGCCAGTGCACTCCAGCCTGGGTGACAGAGTGAGACACTATTTCTAATATATAATTAGATATCTGTAATATCTAATATATATATATATTTATAAACAAATAATGTATATATATTTCCTCAATATTTCTACTTAACTTCAGAGGTTAAACAATATGGAAAACAATTCTAATAATGGCTTTAACATCTACTTTGTTAATTCTAATTTTATCAGTTCTGGATTGGTTTTGATTGATTAATAAATGTCTTCATTTGGGTCATATTTTCTTGCCTCTTTGAATGCCTGGTAATCTTTTATTGGATGCCAGACTTGTAAATTTTGCCTTGTTGGTGCTGGGTGTTTTCGTATTTCTATACAGCTTGAACTTTGTTCTGTGATGTGGTTATGTTCCTTAAAAACAGTTTGATCCTTTTGGGTCTTACTTTTATGATGTGTTAGGTCAGTCCAGTGCAATATTCAGTTTACCCTTGTATAACCGAGGTAAGACCTCTACTCAATACTCTGTGAATTATGATTTTGTTTTTACTCTGGCTAGTGGGAACACACACTGTTCCTCATCCTATGTGAGCATGCTGTTCCTTCAGATACTTTTGGGTGAGTTTTTCCATAACCTCAACTATTTTTCTTAGATGAATCCGTTGATCTGCATTCTACTGAAAAATCCAGATGGACCATGTCACTGGCAACTCTCTTTTCTCTTGTCCTCTGTCCTGTGAATTTTTGCTGCCTTGGTCTCTGTGGAATCAAGGACATGGAACAGGATGGAGAACTTAGAGAAGCTGTTGGATTCCCTGAGTCCTCTTTCTTGTCACTTATAGCCATACTAGTACATTCTTTTTTTCTCCCCAGAGACAGGGTCTCACTGTGTGCCCAGGCTGGAGTGCAATGTCATGATCGTAACTCACTGCAACCTCAAAATCTCGGGCTCAAGTGATCCTCCTGCCTCAGCCTCCTAACGTACTGGCATGAACCACCATGCTCAGCCACTAGTACATTCTTATAAGAGTTTTGTTGCCTTGTTTGCAATAGCAAAAAGACCTTTAAATAATTTATATAGAAATCATTAGAATACACTATAATAGATTATTGTACAACTATTACAAGTAATGTGCTGATATGGAAAATTCTATATTAAATGAAAAAAGTAAAGTATTTTATACTTATTATATACAATTGTTTGTATTGTTAATTAAAAATCATCTGTGTATGTGTATGTATATGTATATGCATATATGTGTGTATAAATTTGCATAGACACAAGAAATTTAACAGTTATCTTAGCAGACATCCAGTGTTTTGTGTGTGCAGTTTGTCTTTTCATTGTTTGAATTTTCTTTTGGATATTTTTGTTCCACAGTCATGTCATCTGTGAGTAATGATAGTTTTATATTTTCTTCTCTAATCCTCATGCCTTTTATTTCTTTCACATTGTTGATAACAGTGTCTTGTTCCCAATCTCAAAGGGAAAATCTTCAGCATTTGACCTAGAAGTCTGGTGCTTTCTGTAGAATTGTTGTTTATATAAATACCTTTCTCATATTAAGTTAGTTTCATTCTATAGTTTTTATTTTAATTTTAAAATTGTTTAAGATTTTAAATAATTATAAATGTAAATTTGTAAATATTAGATATTTTAAATTTTAAATTATGTAATTTGTTGATTAGATTGACATTAGATTTAATTGGGATCTTTTTCTGAATATTTTGAAGTGATTTGCATTTTTTTCACCTTTTGTCCTGTAAATGTAGTTATTATACTGATTGATTTAAATTAACTTTGCATTCCTGGGATAAATCTAATTGGTTTGTCCACGATGAGATACCATCTCACGTCAGTCAGAACGGTGATTATTAAAAAGCCAAGAAACAACAGATGCAGGTGAGGTCGTGGAGAAACAGGAACACGTTTACACAGTTGGTGTGAATGTAAATTAGTTCAACCATTGTGGAAGACAGCATGGCGATTCCTCAAGGATCTAGAACCAGAAATATCACTTGACCCAGCAATCCCATTACTGGATATATACCCAAAGGAATATAAATCATTCTACTATGAAGACACATGCACATGTATGTTTATTGCAGCACTATTTACAATAGTAAAGTCATGGACCCAACCCAAATGCCCATCAATGATAGACTGGATAAAGAAAATGTAGTACATATACACCACGGAGTACTATGCAGCCATAAAAGGGAATGAGTCATGTCCTTTGCAGGGACTTGGATGCTGCTGGAAACCATCATCCTCAGCAAACTAACATGGGAACAGAAAACCAAACACCACATGTTCTCACTCGTAAGTGGGAGCTGAACAATGAGACCACATGGACACAGGGAGGGGAACAACGCACACTGGGACCGTGGGGGGTTTGGGGGCGAGGGGAGGGAACTTAGAGGACAGGTCAATAGGTGCAGCAAACCACCATGACACACGTAGACCTATGTAACAAACCTACACGTCCTGCACATGTGTCCCGGAACTTAAAGTAAAATAAAATCAAAGAAAAAGAAAAGAAAAAAAGAAAAAAAGAAAAGAAAAGCATATACATAGCTTGAAAAAAAAAAAAAAGGAAAGAAAATGTAATCCCAGCATTTTTGGAGGCTAAGGCGGGCGGATCACCTAAGGTCAGGAGTTCGAGACCAGCCTTGCCAACATGGTGAAACCCTGTCTCTACTAAAAATACAAAAATTAGCCAGGCATGGTGGCAGGTGCCTGTAATCCCAGCTACTTGGGAGGCTGAGGCAGGAGAATTGCTTGAACCCGGGAGGTGGAGGTTGCAGTGAGCTGAGATTGCACCATTGCACTCCAGCCTGGACAACAAGAGTGAGACTCTGTCTCAAAAAGAAAGAAAGAAAGAAAGAAAAGTAACATACTTAAAAAAAAAAGTCTTAAAAGTTCTCCATCAGGAACTAGGAATACTAAAATATATTTTTATTAGTTACAAACTTAGTAAGATATTAAAATAAGAGGGATAGCATTGAAAGTTGAGAGAAAAGTTGGGTGTATTTTAATGCCGTGCTGTCCTGAAATGTCAGAACTATGTACTAGCCCTTCCTGTAAGGGTAAGAGTCCTAGCAAAGAATTCAGAGTAAGGTTTTTGTTTGTTTGTTTGTTTGTTTTACCAAACTGTTCCAATATAGTCCTAGAATGCTGTAAAAGCCATGTTAAATTAAACCAAAATTGATAAAGTTAAAAAAAAACACCAATTGGTTTATGATATATATATATATATATATATTGATAGATTCTGTTTGCTAATATCTTGCTTAGGATTTTTCATCTGTGTTCAGGAGTAGATTGGTCTGCACTTTCCTTTTTTATAGTGTCCTTGTCAGATTTAGAATCAAGGTTGTTAGCTTCTTTTTCTATTATCTCAAAAGGATTGTGTGAAATTGTTATTTTTATTTTCAGCCTGTTTCAATCTACTGTTAATCCATATGATGAGTTCTTAGTTTCAGTTACTGCATTTTTAAGTCCTAGAATTTTTGCTTGATACTTTTAAAACAGTTTCTAATTATCTGATAACATTTTCTATCTTGTTTCTTATTTTCAAATAATTAGCATAGTGATTTTAAAGTCTCCAATCTAGAGAATGTTTTCAGTAGTTTTTGTTACTTTTTTTTTTTTTTCTTGAGACAGGATCCTCTGTATGTTGCCCAGGCTGGTCCAACTTCAGGCATTGAGATAATTTGAACCTAAGTTCCTTCAGTGTCTATAGGCCTTCCAGTTTACCCTCATTCCAGAGGTGATTCCTTTAAATTCAAACTCAGTGCACAGTAGGAGTGAGGGGCATTCACTAAGGCCTGATGGGACCTGGATTCTAAAACTTTTCCCTCTAGACCCATGAGTCCTTCAAAACTGCAGCTCAGCTCTTCAGCTTCTCAGTCTTTCTTTCTGGAATTGGCAACATTCCCTAGGGCAGAAATGTCCCAGCGCAGGACTCAATTCCCTGGTCCTCCAACTTTCTTGGTTTCTGTCTTGGAAATTCTTCACTATTTTAGCACTCTGTTGCCTTCAAGTAGAATTGCTATTTCCCTCTTAACTAGTTTGCGCTTACTAGAAATGGACACAGTAACTACCTTCTTTCCAAAACCGGGACTTCAAATAGAAAGTTCTGCTGTTGGTGACCAGAAGCTTGGCCGCCCTGCCTCTGCTGTCCAGGGGGAAGCAGGTGGAGAGAGGGGCCCTCCATGCCTGTTCTTTCCGGGAGGCAGGCCTCTTCTAGGTGAACATCCTTATATTTGCTTAGCTGACAGTGGGTATTTCTTTAAATGGGCTGTTTGGTTATAGGAGACAATTAGATTAAAAAAAATTCTGAAAGCTGCTGCTTGCCAAATTTTATTGATGATGAGTGAGCTTTGCAGAAAATTTCCAAAATAGGTTCATTGTTCAAGTCACCTGCCTTTCTGCTTTTGAATCCTCAACTCACACCTGAGCAGTGGTCCACCAAGTCTGAGCCCCCCAAGCCTGAGGCCTGACAGAGGCAGAGTGGATGGGATAAGAGGGTGAGCGCGGAGGTCAGCACTTCTGAGGTTCATTCCTGCTCTCAGATGTGATGCTTCTGGGTAACAGGAGCCAGGCCGGGAGTCATGTCTGCTGGGATTTAACCATGCTCTGCCATTCACTGGCTGTGCCAGAAAGAGAAAAAGCATCTAATCTCATTTTAAAAACAAGGGATTAAGAGATTATTAGCTGATTCCAGATGTGGCTGCTCATTCAAAGTACCCAAAGAGGTTGTGAAAAATACAGATGCTTGAGTCATACCCCACACTGTCTCTACCCCAGGACCTGAGCTGCTGAATAAAACCTGGAATATATATGTGTGTGTGTGTGTGTGTGTGTGTGTGTGTGTGTGTGTGTGTGTGTGCCTGCATATGAGTGGCATAAAATAATCATTCATTATTATTACCATTATCGCCTGTCACAGTTCCAGGGGTTGACGGGGCCTAGTGAGGCAGGGCCTGCTCTGGGTCTATCATGCAGGGCAGTAGCAGAAGACTGAGGCTGGAGTCATTCTGAAAGCATCCACTTACTTTCTTTCTTGCTTTCTTTCTGTTTTTTGTTTTGTTTTGTTTTGTTTCTGTTTTTATTTTTTTTATTTTTTTGAGATGGAGTTTTGTTCTTGTTGTCCAGGCTAGAGTGCAATGGCACGATCTTTGCTCACTGCAACCTCCACCTCCCAGGTTCAAGCATTTCTCCTGCCTCAGCCTCCCAAGTAGCTAAGATTACAGGCGTGCACCACCATGCCTGGCTAATTTTTTTGTATTTTTAGTAGAAATGGGTTTTCACCATGTAGGTCAGGCTGGCCTTGAACTCCTGACCTCAAGTGATCCACCCACCTCAACCTCCCAAAGTGCTGGGATTACAGGTGTGATGAAGGCATTCACTTTCGAGTGTCTGAGCTGTGGGTCAGAATACCTGCACTTAGCTTCTCCCGGTGGCAGGGACAGAATCTACATTTTTAACAAGCCCCCAAGATGATTATCAGTTGGCTAGGCAGTGGTCTCTGACAACATTTTAGGAATTACTGGACAACATGAAACTTTTAGTCCCTTAAAGTTGTACAGTTCCAGAATTCAAGTTTTTCTTTTGAAGTAAAAAATAACTTCTGTTTTAAGAGAATACAGGTGTTTCTCAAAGCAAAATGTCAAGACCACTTTTCAGACATAGGATTATCAGAAATTCTAACAAAAAGCTGGTAGAATACTGCCCAATAGAACTCTGTTTATTCAGTTGGATGTGCTTTAATCGAGTTCTCACTCTGTGCAAGTTACTGTTTGGGAAGGTGTAGACTTGTATTATTTTTATGGCTACTAACAAAGATTACACATAATCCAGAGTAGCAGTACATTTAAGGTGAGTCTACATTTCCTTGAGACTCAAACTCCTGCTGTTGTTTGTGGAAAATGAGTATCTGGGGCAAAAGAGGAAGTGAGAGCCCTTAAAGAGAGCAGACCTTCCTGCGAAGCTGCCCGCTGTGCTTGGCTTGGGGACAGCCTTGTATATTGGGCCAAAAATGTTTGCCTCCAATATTGTAGGGTAGGGTGCATGTGACTGCCACACTGGCTTCTTGGTGTTCATCACCAGACAAACGTCTGTTTTCCTGCCATGATGCTAACCATGTTTAGCATTTGTGTCCACTTGGTATGATAACTGGCTAGACATTTTGCTCCTTTCTCAAAAACAATTTTAACTAGTTCATAATTAATATGCCACAAGACAAACTATGGTTCAGCATTGGGTCTTCTGGGTGTTTCAGGCATTAAAAAGAAAATTTATTTCGGGGAATCATACTAGTCAATTGTTACTTTTCATCATTACAGTTTCCAGAGGTTTATTGGTGGCAGATGTTGCACTCTTTTTTAAAAAAGAAAAACTAAAAAACAAATGGACATCTCCCCGATGGATTCTTAGTGAAATGAGTCTTTAAAAAGAGAAACCAGGGGCTTTCTCATAGTAAGCAGAAATAGACCAACTTAGGTTTTAGGCCAAGTGATGAATAACGATATGGGGGGACATCATGTAAACAAACTACTCTGTCTTTTAATGATTCTTATTTCCTAATTTAAAACTGCAACAATATCCAGGAATTCTCACTTTCTGGTGAAGAGTGAGAAATCTTTATGGGCTCTCATGATTCAGTTGAAAGCAAGAGGAAATGTGCCTCAGACATTTTCCTTGAACATTCTCCTTCTGGGCAGGAAGTGGAAGTGGGCAGTGTTCACTGAAGACGTGGCCGTCAGATGGGAGGAAAAGCTGATGGTGTGACAAAATATCTACCTCCCCTTCTTGGTGTGTTTCCTTCTTCCCTAGTATTTCTTTGCTTTTTTTTTTTTTTTATATACAACAGAAATTTATTTCTCACAGTTCCCACAGACCTTGAAGTCCACAGTGAAGGCAGATTGAGTGTCTGGTGAGGGCTTGCTTATGGCTCCTGAGTGGGACCTTCTTGTTATGTCCTCGCGTGGAAAAGGAACACTCTGGTTGCTTCGGACACTTGTAAGGGCTCTAATGCCATTCTTTTTTTCTTTTTCTTTTCCCTCTTCTGTGTTGGATTTTCTGTTTATTATTATTATTATTATTATACTTTAAGTTCTAGGGTACATGTGCACAACGTGCAGGTTTGTTACATATGTATACATGTGCCATGTTGGTGCTTTCCTGGTATTTCTAACTTAGAAACTAAACCAAAGCTCAGTGACATGTAAGTATTGGGAGAAAGCCAATCAGATGATTACTGAAAGTGATTAGGGAGTAAACCTGTGTGCACAGAGCTAAACTGAGCCCTTCTTACTGAGAGGGGAGCATCAGGAACTGCCTTCCTTTGCGACGATGAAAGGCTGTCCCATCTATAGGAGAAAAGGTTAGAGAAGAGTCAAGCTTTGTTGTTTAGTTATTGGGTGCCTTTAGATAAATCTCAATTTCTCCACAGAAATTTCTGTAATACTAAAGTGTCAAAATTTGCTGGAAAATTTTTTAAATGTTCAAAAAAATATTGTACAAATCTAAGACAGTGGTGCTAAAACAATACTAGTTAAAAATGGACTTTATTTTATTTGGTAAGAATGCCCATATTTACAAATAACTCCGTATAAATCCAGGTCTCTGAAAGCAATACAGTCTCTGAGAGGAGCTCGATTTGAGTGTTATATGTGTATATCTTTGCATTCTTGAGTCTGTGTTTTTTCATAAATTTCATTTTCTTTTACTGTTAAAATATAACTACTAATTAAATAAATAATTATTATTTACTAATGTGCAAGCACTATACAGTTCTTTGTATGGTGCATAAAAAATGATAAAACACTGTCTCAGTCCTCACAGAATTTACACTGCTCACATTATCTTGAAAATATGCATTTTGAGATCAGACTGATTTGTGGATTTTATACGTGTGCTTCCTGAGATCATTGGGTGATGAACAAAATTGATCATGGCCTGAGTATCAACAAGATTTTCAATGTAACAGCCTTCATCAGATAACATAATGTGTTTCTTAGAAAGGAAGTTCAAAAGGACCAATTCTGTTAGATTGCTGACCTTGACCTCCTGTGGCCAAAAATCCTGTTTCCCTATGTTTTGAAAGGAAACACGTTTGAGAAAAGCTCCCCATCCCAGATTTGGTGATTTTCCTTAAAGGCTGTTTGGAGAGACAACAATGGAATTCTGGGAGAGATCTGACATCAGCAGGTTCATCTGATCTCTCTCAGGAGAGAGAAGTGTTTGTTTACTCTGCTCAGAGTGCTATATTCCTATGCATGTGCTATTATTAGAGTCCTTTGAAGTAGAAGAGTCATATGTCATAGACCTCTTTGTAATTAAAAACTGTAAGGCTGTTTTTCTGATATGTATGTAGAGTAGATGGAGAAGGAGAAACACTTGTTTGTTGAAAATGAATTCTGAGGAATTTGGGAGCAGAGCTTTGCAAGTTTGGGTTTTCTGTACAATGTCACATTTATTTATCTTACCTTTTCAAATGTTTTTGGAGAGATGGTACTAAAGAGAAAAACATGATTGGACCTTTGCATCTGGACCTCAAGAAATTTATAGGAAATTGAGTGGTATCCAGAAACTGTGCTGGGCCGAAGTTAATTGGGAGTAATACTTGCCCTGAGTACATACATTGTGAATATCAAATGAAATAAGTCATATGAAATAGCTTCCAGACCATAGCTATTGAAAACTGAAACATTTGTTATTTATTTGGCTCAGCATAACTTAAAATTCAAAATTTAAGAAAATCACAATTTAAAAAAATGATATGCAATTTAATTATTGTTACTCTATAGCAATATACCCTAGAGTTTTTTACATGTGTATCTAATTTTTTAAGTGGCTGCATAGTATCCTCTTGTATGAAAGTAAAATACATATTCTGTGTTGATAGACATTTAAATAATTTTCTGTTTAACTATTTTGAAAAAGCCACAGTGGGTACCCAAGTTACACATACTTTTATACATTCTCAAGCATTTCTTATTGATGGTAAAATGTGTGAAAAGAGAAGAAACGCACAAAAGATGATATGCTGTTGAAGATGTGGACTAATTATGTTTATATTTATTAAGGAATGAAATTTTGCATGAGGCAATTAAGACAATAGAGTGTAAGAGTAAAGCCATTTAAAAATTGTAAAAAACGGGCCGGGCACGGTGGCTCACGCCTGTAATCCCAGCACTTTGGGAGGCTGAGGTGGGTGGATCACTTGAGGTCAGGAGTTTGAGACCAACCTGGCAACATGGTGAAACCGCATCTCTCCAAAAAACAAAAATTAGCTGGGCGTGGTGGCACGTGCCTGTAATCCCAGCTACTCAGGAGGCTGAGGCAGGAGAATCACTTGAACTCGGGAGTCGGAGGTTACAGTGAACCGAGATCGCACCATTACACTTCAGCCTGGGCAACAGAGTGAGACTTCGTCTCAAAAACAACAACAACAACAGCAACAACAAATTGTAAAAAACAAGCCGTCTTGGCTCCTGCCTCCAGGAAGATGCAATAGATATACTTTTCTCTATTCCTCTTGCTAACTACAGCTAAAAACTGTGGGCATTACACAAAAAGTAAATATCAGAAGACTTTAAAAGATGAGAAACAAAAAGGACTGGCTAGGGATCATGGGACCTGGGTTTTTGTGTTGCCTCAGGTATTCTAGATTGGGTATTCGAGAAACGTAATGTGGAAATGCCAAAGGATTTAGACTAAAAAAGCCCAAAGGTGAATCTGTTTCCCAAATGACCAAGAAAAGTGTACTTGCTATGGTTTAAATGATGGCATCTCCTGCAAAATTTATACTGCAACTTAATTTTCAGTTCAACAATATTAAGAGGTATGGTCTTTGGGAGGTGACTAAGTCATGAAGGCTTTTCCCTCGTGAATGAGATTAGCACCCTTATCAAAGGGCTGTAGGTTGAAAGAAGTGCTCTCTTGCCCTTTCTGTCCCTTCCAGCATGTGAAGACACAGTGTTTCTCTCCTCCAGAGAATGCAGCTACAAGATGCTATCTTGGAAGCAGAGAGCAGCCGTTACCAAACACTAAATACCAATGCCTTAATCTTGGACTTCCCAGCTTCCATAACCAAAATAAATAAATATCTATTGTTTATAAATTACCTGGCCTGTGATATTTTGTTATAGCAGGACAGACTAAGACACCAATCTAATGAGACAACTTTTAGATAATATCTGCTCTATTCCATCAAAATATCACAGAAGCTGACAATATCCCAAATTTGGCAAGAGACATAAACCTGTAGATTCAAGGAGCTGCGGAAACCACAATAGGATAAACTCAAATATTTCTGTGTCAAGACACTTCATAACCAAACTTCTAAAAACCAAAGACCAAGAAAAAAGCCTTGAAAGCAGCAAGCGAGAGATTACTTGTAACAATTCAAGTGATAGTGGAGTTTTCATCAGAGACAGTGGAGGCTGAAGACAAAGTGGCACATTTTTCAAGTGCCTAAAGAAAAGAACAATTAACCCAGAATTCTATATTCAGAGAAAATATCTTCCAGGAATGAAGGGAAAATCAAGACCTTCTTAGTGAGTCAGGCTGAATAGTTACTCTCCTCCAAATGCTCATGCCCTAATCCATAGAATTTGAGAACATATCACCTTCCATGGCAAAAGGACTTTTCAGATGTGATTTGGTTCAAGATCTTGAGGTGGAGAAGTTATTCTGGACTATCTGGGTGGGTCCAATGTAATCACAGGGTCATTATAAGAGGAAGGCAGGAAGGTCAGTGTCAGAGAAAAGAAAATGATGATAGAAACAGAGGGGAGGTAGAGAGTGGAGAGAGAGAGTTTGTGACAGATTTGAAGATGCTACCTGTTGGCTTTGAAGAAGAAAGGGCCACAAGACAAAGAATGTAGAAAAGGAAAGAAACAGATCCTCCCTAGAACCTCCAGAAGGAACTAGAACTGCTGACACCTTAACTTTAGTCCAGTGAGACTCATTTTGGACTTCTGACCTATATAACGGTGAGATAATACATTTGTCTTGTTTTAAGCTACTTAGTTTGTGGTAATTTCTTACAGTAACAACAGGAAACTAATATACTCAGATAAAGAAAAACTAAGAGAGGTATGTTACCAGCAGACATGCCTTAAAGAAATGGTTAAAGAGATTCTCGAAATAGAAAAGAAATTACATTTAAAAAAAGAATCTTGGAACATTGGGTATAAAGAAAGAACATGGCAAGCAAAAATAGAGGTACATGCAATAGGTTTTCCTTCTCTTGACTTTTCTAAATTATGTTTGACAGTTGAAGCAAAAATACAACACCATCTAAGTGGTTCTCAATGTATGCATAGGGAATATTTAAGAAAATTATATTATAAATGGAAGAGAGTAAAAAATGTAACAGTAGATAAAGTTTCTGCCTTCATCTGAACTGCTAAATTGTCAACACCCATTGTATTGTATACATATAATGGAATACCTAGAGTAACCACTTAAAAAGCTATACAAAGCAATACGCCCCAAACACATAGAGAAATCAAGTCAGAATTCTTTAAAATCTTCAAATAATACACAGGATAGCAAGAAGAAGATATAAACTGAAAAATAAGCAGGAAACAGAAAATGAAATAACATATTTCAGCCTTAACATATCAATATTTGCAAGGAACTGTCCACAAGAAACTAATTTCAAATATAATAATAAAAGGAGGTTGAACGTAAAAGGATGGTATGACATTTCATTTTATAGGTCAGCTTGACTGGGTCAGATGGTGTCTGGATATTTGGCCAATCAATATTCTGGGTGTGTCTGTGAGGGTGTTTCTGGATGAGATTCACCTTTGAATCAGTAGACTGAGTAAAATAGATTTACTCTACCTTCCCTAATGTGGGTGGGCCTTATCCAATCATTTAAAGACCCCAATAGAACAAAAAGGCTGTGTAAGAGGGAACGCCTTCTCCCTGACTGAGCTGGGACATTGGTCCTTCTGGCCTTTATCTTTAGGTTGAAACATTGGGTCTCAAGCCTAATGGCTTTCAGACTGGAGCTTACACCCTTAGCTCTCCTGGTTTTCAGGCCTGTAGACTTGGACTGGAAGTATATATCAGCTCTCCTGGGTCTTCAGCTTGCTAGCTGAAGATCTTTCAGGACAATGTAGAACTTGTTAGCCTCCATTATTGCATATCTTTCTATATCTATATCTATATCTATATCATCTATATCTATATCTAAATAGATCTATCTCCTAGATATATAGATATACCACCTGTTAGTTGTGTTTCTCTGGAGAACTCTGACTAATATAAATGGGAAAATATTAATATATACTATGTAAACAATTGAAAGTGCAAATAATTGATAGAACACTTGATAGAAAATCAGCAAGGATACAGGAGAACTTAGTAACATTATCATCCAACAGAATTTAGTGGACTTTTACAAATTATTCCACACAATAAGAGCAAAATACCCATCCTTTTTTCAACTGCCCATGGGCTATTTACCAGTATAGACCATACGCTGGGGATAAAATAAGCTTCAATAAATTTTTAAAAATGGAAATTATTCAGAGTATATTCTCTGACTTACAAAGGTTTCAAACTAGAAATCAATATTGGAAATATAATAGGAAAAATCTCCAAACACTTGGAAACTGAACAAGACATTTGTAAATAATTCATAGGTCAAAGAGAAAGTTTCAAGGGAAATTTAACAAATATATTAAACTGAATTAAAATGAAAATACACATATAAAACTCTGTGGGACACAACTAAAGCAATACTAGGAAATAACTTCATAGCATTAACACTTACATTAGAAAACCAGAAAAATCTCAAATCAATAATCTAAGCTCCCATCTCAAAAACCTAGAAAAAGAAGAGTACAAACCCAAAGTAAGGAGAAGGCATGAAGCTATAAATGTTAAATAGAAAATTAATAAAATTAAAATTGAAAACAGAAAATTAATGGAGAAAGGCAATGGAAAAAAAAGTTGGTCCTTTGCAAAGATCAATAATACTGGGAAAAGTCTATCATGACAAAGAGAAGACACAACTTACTAATATCAGGAATGAGACAGGAGATAGCACTATCAACTTTGCAGACATCAACAGAGTTAACAAATCAAGACTATGAATACCTGTACATACATAAATTTGACAACAAGACTGTGTGTGGTGTTGGCAGAGGGATAGACATAATGATCAATAGATCATTCTCAATAGAGATACACCCATCCAATTTATGAGAGGTGCAAAAGCCATTCAGTGAAGGAAAGAACACTTTTCAATAAATGCTGCTGGTGTAACTGGTTATCCATAGGCAAAAAAAAAATGAACCTCAATTTCAACTTCATTCCTTAAACAAAAATAAGCTAAAATGAATTATGGATTTAATGTAAAATCTATGAATCAAATATAGATAAAATGTAAAGGTGTAAAACTGACAAGTTAACATAAGAGAATATCTTTGGGATCTAATGCTTGTGAAGAGTTCTTGGACATGATACTGAAGGCATAAATCATAAAAGAAAAATCAATAAGTTGGACTTTATTAAAGTTAAAAACCTTAGCTCTGCAAAAGACCCTGTTAAGAGGATGAGGAACAACCTACAGGGTGGGAGAAAGTATTTCACACCACATATAAAATAAAGGATTCATAACTAGAATTTATAAATAAACCTCAAAACTGAACAGTAAAAAACAATCTGATTAGAAAACGGGTCAAAGATCTTGAGACATTTCATCAAAGATATACAGAGATTGCAAATAAGCACATGGTGTTCAGCATTACTAGCTATCAAGGATATTACTACACATCTATTAGAATGCCTAAAATTTAAAAAAATAGTGAAATTATCAAATCCTGGCAAAGGTGTATAAAAACTTCCTCTCTCACACATGGCTGGTGGGAGTGAAAAATGGTACTAACCACTAGAAAATAACATGGTAGTATTGGTATTATTATTATTTTTAAACTAGACATACACTACCTCATGACCCAGCAATTCCACGGCTGTGTATCTATCCCAGAGAAATGAAAATGTGTGTTCACACAAAAACCTGTATGCAATTATTGATAGTGGCTTTGCTGGTAATAGCCAAAAACTAGAATCCACCAAAATATCCCTCATTAGGTACATGGGACCGGATGTGATGGCTCAATCCTATAATCCCAGCACTGTGGGAGGGTAAGGCGAGAGGATAGCTTGAGCCCAGTAGTTCAAGACCAGCCTGGGGGAGACCTCATCTCTAAACAAACAAACAAATGTAAGGTAAATTGTTAAACAAACTGGTGTATCCATACCACATAATAACTACCCAGGAATAAAAAGAATGACCTGTTGATGCATGAATCAAGTTGGATGGATCTCAAGGGCATTACGCTGACTGAATAAAGCCAGTCTCTACAGATCACGTACTGTGTGATTGTATTTATATATCATTATGGAAATGACAAAACCATAGACATAGAAAACAGATTCATGGTTGCCAGGAGTTAGGGGTGGTGGAGTGGGGCGGAATGTGGGCGTAACTAAACGGGGTAGTGTGGGGAAAATCTTTGCATTGATGTACTTATTATGTCTCTTTATTGTGGTAGTGGTTACCCAAATCAAAATATGTAGATGTGTTTCTTTGGGAACTAGGAACAGAAATGGGCTAGATACTCAGAATGGCAAGGAGAATTTTTTAGGAATCTTATCTATTTTTTTTCTCATCAAAGATATTAATTTGACCAACAAGTATTTATTAAATGCCAGTTACCGAAATAGCTGATGGAATACAGAGATAATTAAAATATGTTCTTTGCCTTCAAATGGCTGACAATCTAGTACATGTGTAATCTCCGGTGCAATGTGATAGATGGATATTAACAAAACTATTGTTGGAGGGCTCAGGTGGGTCTCCTGATGCCAGTGAGACCCCACCCCTAGCTGATGTGAGAAAGAATTCAGGGACGAGTCAGAATGAAGTGCAGGGCAAGAAGCCTCCATTGCTAAGTGAAAGCACACCCTTACAGAAGAAGTGTGTGTGTGCTCGTGAGAATGACTTGTGCACAATGGAGTTTGGGTTTCTAATTTATGGGTGTTTAACTAATGGGTGGAATAATCATTAGGTATTCTGGAAAAGGAGGGGATTGCAGGGAGCTGCCTGGTTATCATCCCCTTTCTCCCTTGTTTGGGTTTGTCTGGAAGAGTCATGAACATGTCACCCTGACTGGCGTTTTGGCCATTTTCTCCCTTATTTTGGGTTTTCTGTTATCCTGTGATTTCTTTGCCTAGTTCCTGTTTTTGCTGTTGTTTGGGTTTTTCCATCCTCCTGCGACCACCCAGTGCTATTCCTATCTCAAAAACTGGCGAGAATGAGGCATTGAAAAGGTGTTGCTATTTCTGATCTGGGAGGAACCTGCAGAGCCTGCTGCTGTGAGGATGAGGAAGTTGTCTCAGTTTGGCACAAATGCCTCCATCCTCTTATCTGTTGTCCACCACTGATTTATCACGTCCCTTTCTCTGTGCACATGGTCTTGACCTCAGAATCCTTCTGAAACACATTCTAGGCAGCCAGTACCAAGCAAGCAGAGTGGCTTCTTGACATAGAAGAAAAGTTTCAGTTGAGTAATCTTAGATTGTAATAATCACTCCCCCTACGAGCTTTAAGGTTAACACTCAGGGTGAGCAATCTCCAAATTAACAGCCTTCAACATGTGGTCTGTGTTTTTTTCATGTTTGTGATTCTATTTAGATGTAAGGTGTTTAAAACATTTTAAATTTTATTGGTTGTAAATATCATGAACTATTTTATGGATAACAATAAAATTGTATGACATACAGACCTTCTCACGATTTCTAAATGTGGAATTACACATAGGCAACCACAAGCTGTCATGAGAGTTTTTTAACCATCTTGGTACTCTCACTTCAGTGATGCTTTAAACACACAGGACTCCTTTGCATGCAGCTCACTCCTTGTTCTCAAGTCCTGCAGGATTCCCAGCCTTCATGGCCTCCTTACAAGTCTCAGCCCTGCTCCAGTCTCCAAGACCAATCCTGATTTCTGCCGAAGGCATTTAGGCAACTTTAGCATATGCTGAGCCTCAGTATCTGGTCACCTGCAGCTTTTATCTGAGATTTTACAACCAAGCTTCTACTTAGATCCTATTTGAAATTGAAACTCAGAATTAGATATTGCTATTAAAGAGTTAATATTTGTATCCTCCAAAATCCGTATGTTGAAACCTGATCCCTAATGTGATGATATTTAGAGGTAGAGCTTTGAAAGGTGGTTACATCATGAGGGTGAGGTCCTCATGAAAGGGATTAGTGCCCTTATGAAAGAGGTCCCAGGGAAATCTCTTTCCCTTTTTTGTCAGGACACAGAGAAAAGCAAACAAAAAGACAGCAGTGTATGAAGCAGTTTCCCACCAGACACTGAACCTACTGATGCCTTGATCTTGGACTTTCCAGCCTCCAGGATGATGAGAAATAAATTTCTGCTGTTTATAAGCCATCCCATCTATGGTATTCTGTTAGCAGCCTGAACAGATTAAGTCAAGTATACCGGGCCTGGCCCCTAAATCTCTTTTTATAAGCTTTAAGTAAACTAGGAATACAAGAAAATGACATTGGAAGAAAAGAAACACATTTATCAGTTGTAGATGACATGACAATATACCTAAAAATATAATAAATTCAACAGGACAGGTGAGGTACCTCACGTCTGTAATCCCAGCACTTTGGGAGGCCGAGTCAGGCAGGTCACTTGAGCTGAGAAGTTTGAGACCAGCCTGGCCAACATGGCAAAACCCTGTCTCTACTAAAAATACAAAAATTAGCCGGATGCGATGACAAGTGCCTGTAGTCCCAGCTACTTGGGAGGCTGAGGCAGGAGAATCACTTGAACTTGGGAGGTGCAGATTGTTGTAAGCTGAGATCAAAGCCACTGCACTCCAGCCTGGGCGACAGAGCGGGACTCCGTCTCAACAATAACAACAACCACAACAACAACAAATTTACAGACTGTTAGACTATTAAATTTTTAAAAATGGCTTTATATAAGATGGAATACAGAAAAAAGTATTACTTTCTTTTACTAGCATTGAACAATTAGAAATTAAAATGGGAAAAATCACATTCAAGATAATGTCAAATTAGTTTGTAAAGCATCTAAGAATAACTTAATAAGAGCACTATATATATTTTTATTAAAGGACATAAAATAGGACTAAAATAAATGAGACATAGTAATAATTCCTCACGGGAGGAAGACTAAATGACATACAGATGCTGTTCCTTCCCAAGTAAATTTACAAAGATAATGCAAATCTGATTAGGATCCCAGTGAATTGTTTTGGGAAATAGACAAGTTGGTTTTAAAATTTGTTTGTAACAATGAAGTTAGCATTTGAAAAGAAGAATCAGAAGGGGAAATTTGCTCCCTAAGATAACACATAATTACTTAGATAAAAATGGTTGGGTAATGGTATAGAGATAGAGAAATAGATCAGTGGTACATAAGACAGAATGTAGAAACAGACACATTGATATATGTGGGTTTATGTAGTGAATCTTATAATTTTATGTTGCCTGAACATGCATTTTGAACATTTAACTTTCTCTTATCAGTAGCAGAGTTAGTCTGTCTTGACAGTCTCCAGTTTTATGCTCCCCCCACTCCCACACCCAGTTGCTCAGTGTTGTTGATTCAGCTATCTGCCTTATATAACTGCCTCCTGGTAACCCCCTCCCTATGGGACAGCTGGATACAACTTACCTGACTGGCCCTGCTGATCCCCATATCCTACATGGACAGTGCAGATGTGCTACAGTGACCACCTCTCAGTCACGGTGTGACCTGGAATTTGTGCCTGCTGCTTTGAACCTACTAACTAAAACTCCTCTTGGGAAATCTGTTTGAATAATGTCCTGGACTCCAATAAAGGGACTGGCCCACGGATCCCTCTCCCAACACACTCCCTGACCTGTGTGTGTGTGTGTGTGTATGCAATGTGTGTGTGTGTGGCCTCCAGGCATGCTGTGCACCCCATGAACCTGTAAGTAGTCAAATATTTATTTCCATCTTATATCTCATCTATCTAATCATTGAAGGAGTGGTCTCCATCCAAAAAAAAAAGAGAAGATTCTAAGTAAAAACAGTTTAATATTACGATAATGACAGTATTTTGAAAAAACAAACTTACTCTCACATTGCATGATGTAAATATAAATTGTAGGTGAATTAAACTTCTAAATGTAGAGAAAAAACATTGCTAGGTTAACTATGCTGCAATATCAAAAATATCTTAAGATCACAGTAGCTTAACATAGGAAAGTTTCTTTTTTTTTCTTTTTTTTGAGACTGAGTCTCACTCTTATCACCTAGGCTGGAGTGCAGGGGCATGATCTCTGCTCACTGCAACCTCCGCCTCCTGTGTTCAAGCAATTCTTCTGCCTCAGCCTCCTGTGTAGCTGGGATTACAGGCACGTGCCACCATGCTCAGCTAATTATTGTATTTTTAGTAGAGACAGTGTTTTGCTATGTTGGCCAGGCTGGTCTTGAACTTCTGACCTCTGGTGATCTGTCTGCCTCGCCCTCCCAAAGTGTTGGGATTACAAGCATGAGCCACCACACCCAGCCAGGAAACTTTCTTGATTATGTGAAGTCTGAAGTGAGCCTGGAGATTCTTCCAAGGAAGCTTCCTTCCATGTGGTGACTCAGGGATTAAGGCTGCTTCCATTTTGTTCCCACAAAATTTGAACCATTTGGTTTCAAGGTGTACTGCTGAAATGGAAGAGAAATCTGAAGGTTCACACAGGGGTCTTCACGATCGGGGTGAAAATGACATAGAACTGTCTATGTCACCTCTGCTAACATCTCATTGGCTAGAATGAGTCACATCCATGTAACTTAATTCCGAAAAAGGTTGGAATATGGTAACATACATGGATATTAAGTCAGCATTAAATATCTCAATCGTAAAAAGTATAATTATCAAGAATAGATATACATTTTTATAAACTTGGGGTTGAGGAAGCTTCCTTAGGATTATTTAGAAAAGAAAAAGCAATAAAGGAAAAACTAAATTTAACAATAGAAAAGCTTAAAATAATTAAACAGTGAAGGATGCCAAAAACAAAGTTAAAAGGCAAGCAACAGATTGAGAGAATATATTTGCCACACATACGAATTACAAATGTTAAAATTTCTAAAGTGCAGAGTTTCTATAAAGAAAAAATAGGCCAGGTGTGGTGGCTTACACCTGTATTCCCAGCACTTTGGGAGGCTGAGGCAGGAAGATTGCTTGAGCTCAAGAGTTTGAGACCAGACTGGACAACATAGTGAAACCTTTGTCTCTACAAGAAATAAAAAAAATCAGTCAGGCATGGTGATGTGTGCCTGTAGTTCCAGCTACTCAGTGGGGCAGAAGTGGGAGGATCACTTAAGCCTGACGGGTTGACATTGCAAGGAACTGTGATTGTGCCACTGCACTCCAGTCTGGGTGACAGAGTAAGACCCTGTCTCAAAAAAAAAAAAAAAATATATATATATATATTTATATAGATGGTCAGTGATATAAATAATATATATATTATATGAGGCAGTCCATTGTAGTATTGTGGTAATGGCATAAAATTGAACACAATTTAATTTTCAATAAGAGTCTGACTAAATCACTTACAGTATGGCTATACAACAGAATATCACGTAGTCATTAAAAAAGAACAATGTGGATCTCTATACACTGACATGAACAAATATTCTTGATGTATAAGTGAAAAAAATGAGATGTAGATCACTACGGACAATGGTGATTGTAATTTGGGAAAAAAATTAATGATATATAAATAAATAGATAAATAATATAAAACAATAAAAGTATTAAAATATGACAAAATAGGGAAGGATATGGATAAAACTTTACATTGTTAATCGCTAAAAAGTAGGAAGGCATTCACTTTGTAATTCATAGAATTTTCTTTTTTTTGGCTCAATCTTTTAATATAAAAAATTCACTGCTGTATACAAAAATGTGAAAGTGTGACAATGACAACTATGAAATCCTGTGAATGAAAGTCCCCTCAAATGCACTCTGTGGTGCACATGCGGCCGCCCACAAAAACTCTGGCGTGGAAACAAACTCATGCAAACCAGTGCTGCCAAGAAGCGCCAACACGTGTGTTCTCCATTCCACCAATCACAGACCAATATCTACTCCAAACATCCAGTAACAAAAAATGTGGCATCTTCCCAGGAACAGCAAGGCAGACTTCTTACTCACGATGGACCAGCACAAATAAACCCAGCAAAAAGAGCACTTCATACTTATGTTTAGGATAGTCATTCATGAGGCTCGTCCCAATTCCAATATAAGGAACAAATCCCCTGGCTCTCCCCACGACATCTTTTTTCTCTAGCCAATGTTGATCTTGTTTATAGAGGCCTCTGTCATCAACCGCATTATTATCTCCTTTGGTCAAAAACTTGATATGCCCATTTTGCTTTTCATGAATCTTCAAGACTCGGTGAACTATAGGAATCTTTCTTCCTTCTATCCTTAGAACAGCGATTTCTCCCACTCGTATGGGATCTTCAACTCGATTTGTTAGAAAGAGAAGATATCCTCTATGAAATGCAGGTTCCATGCTGCCACTGAGCAACACAATTGGACTTTCACTTCCAGTTATTACCATTAACCCCTTCCAGATCATGAGTGCTGATGAGACAATCATTCCAAAATTTAGGACTTGATAATAGAGCCGCCACTTGTTCATCCACTGCACATCATCCAAAAAGACTAGAGACAGTATGGTGGGGATGGCGAGCAGGACACCGGCAAGGGAGAGGGTGCGAGGACCAGCGGGCAGAACGACTGGCCTGTAATTCAGAGTTTTCTAAGTGATAACTTTTGTCTTTTTGTGTTCTGGGCATGGTTTAAATAGAAAACCTTCAATAATATTCACTCATTCATTTATTTATCTACCCATCTATCCAACCATCCATCCATCGTTCCATCCATTCATTCTATCATACCTAAGAAACATTGATTAAAAGTCTATTTGTAGGCATTGTGTTTGCCATGCACATTCAAGTCACATTTAGTTTGGCACAGCTTGGAATAAGAAGAAAAATGCCCATGTGTTTTTTCCTTTTTCTTCTAGTTGACTATTTTAAAACCAATCAACAAAACGTAAAGAGTCTGGCCCTGGGCTTCTTGCACACAACATCTGTTTTGGCTTCCCTGGCCTCTGGCCTTTGTCTGCCCTGTAGATGACAGATTAGTCGGGGACATCCTTCATAGTAGGAAATGGAGGTCAATAAAATTTGCACCAGGCTTTTCAATTTAGTATCATCCCAGTCAGGACATCCCAAAATAAAATTTGTTTTAAAAATAGATCTAGGAGGAGAAAAAAGATTGAAAACAAACAATCCTCTTATGTCACTAATTCTGTGAGAAAACCTGATTGAAAAACAAATCAGTTTCTTGTTCAGGTGCAATGATTTTGCGGGTAGAAAAAAAGCAGAACAAAAATAGTGTAAAGAGTCCAGTGTGATAAAGGATACTATAGAGCAAAACAGGAAGTTGTTTAATGGAAGGGAGTAATTGACCTCAGAGCCTGAGACGTGAATAGATCCTTGGATGCAGAGGTTTTTGCATTTGTAAAGTGTTGTATCGATGCTTTATTGACCAGATTTGAATTGTACACCATGGATTCTTTCTTTTTTTGAGACAGAGTCTTGCTCTGTCGCCTAGGCTGAAGTGCAACAGCGCGATCTCGGCTCATTGCAACCTCCGCCTCCTGGGTTCAAGCGATTCTCTTACCTCAGCCTCCCGAGTAGCTGGGATTACAGGCATGTGCCACCACACCTGGCTAATTTTGTATTTTTAGTAGAGATGGGATTTTTCCATGTTGGTCAGGCTAGTCTAGAACTCCCGACCTCAGGTGATCCACCCATCTTGGCCTCCCAAAGTGCTGGGATTATAGGCTTGAGCCACCGCGCCTGGCTGGACATTGTAAATTCTTACTCTGATAATTCAAGCAAAATTTCTTGAATTAAAGAGGAGTATGAGGGAGGCTGTTGTGAGGTAGGTTTAATTTTTATCTTCATTCTGATCTTACAGGGGAGGAAATGAATGCTCAAAGAGATTCTGTGATTAGTTTGTGATAGAGCCAGTAAATAGAAGAACCCATCTCAAACCAGGTGTACCAACCCCAGACACTGGCAGAACGCTCTCTTTATGTAAGACCTCAAAATCTTACTGGTTGGTGTCTGCTGACTTGTTTTTCTCTGTTATCTTGCCTGTCTGCAGTGACAAATTCAGTGCAGCTCTAACTCATGTGGACAGGGAGGAAATGATTCTAGGATTGAGGACTTAAGGGTGTCTGGAAGAGAAGAGAATTGTTTTGTTTTGTTTTGTTTTGTTAGTTGTTGTTTTCCTCAGACAGGACCTTGTCAACGCTTTCAAATATGTAGGCTGTTTGCTGTTTCCTTTATGTTGGTCCCTGAGAAGGATCTGCCCTTCTACCCTGTTTCCCTGGGGGGTGTGGACAGAGCCTTTGTCTTTGGGGAAGGGGGTCATCTTGGGAAAAGGAGAACAGGGCATCCTGAGGACCTGCTCCGTCTAAGGAGAGAAAGCCGAACAGATGGCAGCTGCCACGCAGAGGGCACTTTGTAGGAACTCTGGCTGGAGCAGGCTTCCTGCGCTCCAATGCCAAATCCTTCCCTTCCAAGGCAATGCAGAGGAACCTGATGATGTGGCTTGGGGCCAGTGGGCTTGTGGCCAAAGAGCACTAAATCAAAGCAAAGAAGAGGTGACACCTTAAAAGCAAAAGACATTTCATGTTTGTTTGTTTTGGAAGGCAGAAAGAAATAAGTTGTAATTGCAAAAGAGTAGAAGATATAAAACAACATGGCTGTAAAATATTTTAATGTTATTTGTTTGTAAAAGGCTTTTCTTTAATGAATATGCTCTATTCTTATTAAGCAACTTTCCCATTTCACTAAATGAGGATGGTGAGTTTGTAATTTCTGGTTTTACCTGAAAACCGGTGACCTGGTGTTAGGGAGGCTCTTATCCCTTTAAAATAAACATAATGCACTAGTTTGTAATCTCTGCAGGTATATTAAAATGTTTGCAGTGATAAACATTTCTAGCTTTAAAACTTTTATCTCTTATCCGAATTCAAGATCTATGTCTTTAATGAACTCTTTCAACTGGACATTCAAACATGGAAAATGTTTCTAGATTCTCATCTCCCATAATCAGCTGAGAATGGCTGTGAATTCCCAGAGGAAGACCTGCGGAAGACAGGGCTGAGCTTCTGGAGGCAATATTATGGGAGCATAGATCTTGGGGTACGTTTCCTCAGAACCCAGGGGACTCCTAGGCACTCACTCATTTATCATGATCATACGTTTAATCTTTTTTACTTATGTTTCAGGAATATAAGAAAATGTATGTTTTAAAAGCATGAACACTCATACTTACTGAATACAATGCCTGACTAAGAAACAAGGCTTTATACCTTATTAATAAGGAGAAAATGCCAAGCTACCAAAGCATACATTGGAAAGCAATATGACAGAGTAGAAATAATGCTAGCTTTATTGTTCCTTTACATTTATTAGTAACCTTTAATGAGCTTCTGTTTGTGTCAGGAACTGAAGTTGCAGAGATGAAACTCTGAAATTACAGGTGCCCATCACCATGCCCAGCTAATTTTTGTGTTTTTAGTAGAGACGGGGTTTCGCCATGTTGGCCAGGCTGTTCTCGAACTCCTGGTTTCACGTGATCCACCCACCTTGGCCTCCCAAAGTGCTGGGATTACAGGAGTAATGCAGATGATGAAAGATACCCTTTCCTGACTCAGATGTGATGAGAGACTTGTAAGACACACACACACACACACACACACATACACACACACCCTATACTATACTTCAGGAAGTGCTGTGGCAGATGAAAGCTCTGGGAACTAAGAGATCAGCAGTAAAGGGAATCTAACCCAAAGTGGGAGCAGGGTTAAGCCAGACAACTCCGGAAAGAAGGATGCAGCAGGCAGGAGGAACAGCATCTGCTAAACTCTGTGGTGGGGCAGAGCACTTGCACACAGGCAGCTGCCATGAATATGATTGGCTGGTGTAGGCTGTGCTGTTGGTGGTGGAGAGGAATTGTGGGGGGCCTGGGTATCCACACCAAAGAGCTGAGGCTTTCAGCAGGGGACCCAAAAGTTCACATCTGTTTACTCAGAGACTAAGGTGGAGATTTTTGCCTGGAGGGGTCTGAGGAGCACATTAGAAGCTATGCAAACCTGTCGAAATTGTGTGCAATATGTTAGGAGTATGTGAGGGTGGGTAGGTGTGTGTGATGTGTGCGTTTTCCCCTGGGAAGGTTTGGTTATGTTCTTCCATCTTAAAATGTGTCATAACTCTCAGAAAGGGTGAGGAGCTCAACTAGGACAGAAGAGGGTGATCAGATTGGATGGTTATTGCAATACTTCAGATGACTAATAATGAAGTCTTGGGCTGATAAAGTTGTCCTCGGGATGGATGGGCCAGGACAATTTCAGAGAAAATAAAGATATGGTGCTGACAGGATGTGTTATCTGATTAGATCTGCAGGGGGAAGGGGAGAGGGAGGAAGCTGCCCAGTGCAAGGCCTCTTGAATTGTGACCTGCCCATGAGCTACCTGGGGCTCCTGCTCGAGTGTAGATTCTGACTAGAAGGCCTGGGGAGGACCCAGAGATTCCACATGGCTAACAAGTTCTCTGGTGATGTCCATGCCATGCCATTGGTGCTGAGTAGCATTTTAAGTCACAAAAGTGGAGGTAGCATACTCTAGGTCCAATTCTCAACCTTGGCTGTCGACGCTTTCTCTGTTTAATGATTATGGGGCTTGGCATTGTGAGCATGGTAGGTGGTTGGACAGCATCACTGACCTCTGGCCATGAGATGACAGTAGCACTCTTGGGAGTGCTGAGGAGACAAACAACCAAAAACTTCTCCAGGTATTACCAAATATGCAAGGGCGGGAGTGGGGGCGAGGCACTGATCTAGAGGTTAACCACTCTGGCTTCACGTTAAAATCATCTGAGGAGTTTTAGGAGCTATCAGTGCCTGGCCTCGCCCAGACTGATTATATTCTAATCTCTGCTTGGGGGTTGGGGAGGGTGCCCACCCAGCTTTCGGGAAGTCCAGTGTGCAACCATCTCCGTGGTTGATGGGGCAGCCCGGCTGATAAAACCCAGGACTACACCTGAACGCAGGAAGAGGAGCAGTGTGGGTGGGGAGGTGGCCTGAGGAGTGAAGATAAGACTTCAGATTTACATGTTGATACGAGGGAAATGCCTGGGGCTCATTTAGATGGAGATGCTCACTTTGATTTTCTTGGTTAGTGACAAGCTCTGTGGCCTCGTATCTATGAAATATATTTTCAGGTTTTTATTTTACTCGTCAATTCTGATAGTATCTACTCTATGAATAGAGCAGATTGATGAAAAGGTAAAATAAATGAATGGATGTGAAAGAAAGTAATAGCTGTCTTACACTATTGCACACACACATGCTCAAGAGTTCTTCAGAATTTTATTTGAAAAATCGTATTTTGAAAGTTTTGGAAAACACAGAACAACATTCTATAATATCAGGGCAAGAACTGATTTCTAGAAAAAAGAACAACAAACAAAAAGCACAAATCATAATTGATGCATTCAAGTAAATTAAAAAGCACCATCAGGAAAGTTAAAAGACAAAGACTGAATGAAGGTATTTGCATAGCATATAATTGACAAAGCTTTAGCATAAAGAATATGCAATAAACCCCTAAAAATCAGTTACAGAAAGTTGAACAACCCAAGAGAAAATAGACATAAGATATCAATAAGAAAGCTACAGAAGAGGAAACAGAAATAGCCAATATACATAATACTACAAGATGCTCAACCTCCACAATGATCCGGCAAATGGCAGCTGGAGCTGCAATGTATACTATTTCTTACCTACCAGATAGGCAAAATTTTACAAGTCTGATACAATGAAATGTTGCTGAAATGGCAAGGAAGAGGAAACTCATGCTGCTGGTAGGGATACAAATTAGTACTACGATTCTGTGAGCAATTTGGCAATATTAAAAATTAAAATGTCTAATAACCTGTGACACCGTAATTCCATTCGTAGGTAAGTTGTTTACGTGCAGAGATGATTGCTGCAGCATTATTTCCAAAAGTGAAAAATTGTAAATGCCCTAAAGGTCTATCAGTAAGAGAATGGCTAAATAAATTACATTCCTTTTAACATAATGGAATTTGTGTATTTTTATGAATATAAATAAATTAGAGCTGTAGATATTAACATAGATAAATATCAAAGGTGACTGAAAAAATGGTAAGTTACAGAAGCTGTAATTAGTGTATCCTGTTTATTTAAAATGTAAAAAATACAAAACAAGACTATATTTTATTTACATTGGCATACATTCTTACTTTAAAAAGAATCAAGTGCATGCACGGCAATGTTGAAAACCAAATTCAGGATATTGGTTCTTTGTAGGGGAGAGAGAAATGAGATTGGGGAGAGTGACACAGGGTGGAGAAGTTAAATAGTTTGCCCTGGTGTCAATAGCTTAGAGAACAGGAGAGCCTGGATTATACCTCAGCCTCCGGCCCCAGAACCTGAACTCTTATGCTCTGTGGTTCATCCTGAATTTAAACTCTATCTCCATATTGAAAAAAAGTTTCCTGGATGAGCTGTTGTGCTCAATCTGCTCATGATAATTTAATTGGAGAAATTATTGGTTATTGATAAATAATCTTAAATTTTGTGATTCAATCTTAAAATATTTCTAGCACAGCATTTCAGTACTAGCAAGTATCATAGTATAATTGTGTGACTACCTGTATTACCTTTTTTAAACCTACATTTGATGTATAATACATTGACTAAAATAAAATTCCTCATCATTGAAAGTCAAAGATTCAGTACAATAATGATTTTTTATAAATCAGCTTTCTATTCCTTTTTAAATCTGTTTTCTACTCTCAAAAGTTCTAAATTTTCTACTAAAAAAATTCTAGTTTGATAAGATTTTGTGAACTTTATAAAAACATCTCTTTATACTGAGAAGGAAGGAGTCCATAAATCTTGAGTTTGAGCCCATGATATGGTTGTTTGGCTCCTAGAAGTGTCTGAAATAGGACCCAACATGTACACGGAGCTTTCCTAATTTAAAAGTTCCTTCATGTACATGCTCAATCTTTGTCTTCGAGCTCAGATTGCTGTAACCAAGTCCCATGGACCCAGTGACTTACAAACAGGAATTTATTTCTCATAGTTCTGGAGGCTGGAAGTCCACAATCAGGATGCCAGCACGGTTGAGTTCTGGTGAGGGCCTCTTCCAAGTTGTAGAGTGCTGACTTCCTGTGTATCCTCACGTGGCAGAAAGACAGCCAGCAATCTCTTTGGCTTCTTTTCATAGGGGCACTAATCTCAGTCACGAGGGTCCCAGCCTCATGACTTTATCACCTCCCACAGGTCCCACCTCCAAACATCATCACATTGGGATTACAGTTTCAGCATATGGATTTTTGGGGGGACACAGACATTCAGTCCATTGTACCCTTGAACCCAAGGATTCTGTGGGGTGGGTAGATGCTATTTGTTACACTCATCAATTTGCAATTGATACCAAAGAGCAGTAGTTTAAGTGATTTGCTCTGAGACCCAGTGACCCTGTGGGGATTGGAGCCAGAATTGCAATGTAAAGCCCTTGGTGTTATCACTTGTGTTTGGTTCACTTGGACCTGCTCGTTATCATGCACAGAACCATTGCTCACTGATTTGACCCCTTTCTCTTCACTGGAGCAGCTCTCCAGACCACCATGGCCTTCCCTGCACATCCTCCTTCTGTCCAGAGCAGCAACAATTCTTGGCTCAGTTCATCACTTCCCCCTTGAAATGCTCTCTGGCTTCTGGGACCTCCTCTCTTGCTCTTTCTCAGTCACTTTGCAATCTCCACACTTCTAAATATTGGAGGTCTCAGGACTATGAAGTTCTCTTGTATCTACATGCATTTGTTATTTTTTAAAATTTAAAATATCATAAAGACATACATAAATCAACAGAGAAGTAAACTCTAGGAAAGACCTTGGCTTTTGATCTATGTACCTGATCACTACTCTTAGAGTGAGAATTAAACTATTTTCAGAGAACAGTTATTGGCTGATTTTTATTACACTTTGGATGATGTTAATACCAGAAGTGTCAGTATAAGAGCTAGGCTTACACAGCAAAGGCTTCGGAAAACCATTTCCCCCCCATCCTCAAGTTATGAGGCAGATTAGGAGCTAGAAGGATAATGGGCAGTGTTCATAGCAATGGGAATTTAGCAATTTTATCGGCAAATTAAGAGGAGGAGAGATGGTGAGTATTAAATGTGGCCATTTCAAAATCCTTGGGATACTGTGTTAACCCTCAAGAGAAGCAGCAGATAAGGAACCAGAAATACATTTGGCACCGAGAGGCTGGGGACACATAGCCAACAAAACAGGTGAAGTTGGAAGAGACATGATGAAGTAGTGAAGTAAATTTATTGTATATCAGTTGATGATATGTGCTAAGAAAAAGAAATAATTAGTGGGATAGAGAGTGATGGTGTGAAAGTGCCATTTTTTACATAATGCTCAGGGAAGTGCTAAAGATAATATTTGACTAAAGGCTTGATTGAAAAGAGGTCAAGCTAGCTTTGGAGTTTCTAGTAGGCAGTTTGAGATGTACAATGATTGGTAAGGGGTGGGATGTGAGCTGGAGTCCAGATTCAGGACTTGTTGGCACATAGCGGGTATTGAAAACCATGGGGCAAGATGAGGTCATCTAGTCAATGTTTAATGGCCATGAAAAGAGCAAGGCCCCCAAGAGATGTGGGATATCTCAAAGGAAGTGTACCAAAGCTGACTGGGATGGATGGTCTAAGCAGGGAGGTGGATAACCCAGGTGGGGTGATATGGTTTGGCTGTGTCCCCACCCAAATCTCATCTTGAGTTATAACTCCCACAATTCCCACATGTCGTGGGAGGAACTGGTGGGAGGTAATTGAATCATGGGGGTGGGTCTTTCCTGTGCTGATCTTGTGATGGTGAATAAGTCTCATGAGATCTGATGGTTTTATAAAGGGGAGTTTCTCTGCACAAGCTCTCTCTTTTGCCTGCTGCCATGTCAGAAGTCCCTTTGCCCTTCCTTCATCTTCTGCCATGTTTGTGAGACCTGCCCAACCATGTGGAACTGTGAGTCAATTAAACCTCTTTTTCTTCCCAGTCTCAGGTATGTCTTTAGTTTCCACAGTGTGAAAACAGACTAATACATGGGTTGTCATGGAATGCAAAATAAAAGTCTTTCAAGAAAGGGGGTGGGTGTTAGTATGTCTTTTGCTGCTATGAAGTCAAGTAAAGAAAGGATTGTGAAGTTGCTATTATGGTAGATCCTCTTCAAAGATGGCCCCACCAATTCCTTCTTCTCCGTATGATACACATGCCTATGGGGTGATAGCTGAAGCTGGATCTAGAGGAAAAAGGAATTTTTTTCTTTTTAAAGATAGGAAATTCTAGAGCATATTTGAAACAAGACAGAAGGAGAAATAGATGATATAGGTTGTAAATGGAATTCCGAAGTGAAAAAGCATAAGGCCTTTGATAGGACATTTCATTGCTAGCAGTAGAATGGGGTGCACAGTATGGGAAAAGAAGCAAGTGGATTGTTCTTTGGTGGATGGAAGATGAAGGGCCTCCTAGTGATAGTTCCTAGCTTCTTCGAAAGGCAATGCTAACATCTGATGGGGCCAGGGGTGTGTATTTTTATGAGAGGTTTGAGCCAAGAGGAACAAACAAAAGGGAGAAAAAAAAACCCTCTGCCCCTCCTATTTTGTTTTCACTATATGAGCTGCCCAGGTTCATAAACTATTAGTGACTATTTTTATATTAAGCACAAAATATTAGAATTTAAGTCAGAATTGAATTTTTTCTTACAATTTCACTAAACTACGTTTTAAAGTTTACTTCTCTGTTTGTAAGACCCATTTATCTTCAAATTTTATGTTCAATATAAACATGTAAATGTAATTTATTAAGAAATTATTAAATGGAAATACTTATCATTTATGTTTAGTAATTAGAATCTGTCTTTACCACTCTTTTTTAGGAAGAAAAGTGAAAACCATCTTGATAGGTTTTAGAATGAGATTTTCATGAGAGCCAATGCAATGTCCATGCTTGTTTATGACATATTTGAAGTGCTTAAAGGAAATATCCATGGATTATCAGGATTTTAAAAAGTCATTTGTGTTGTCAAACTCTCTAATGCACAATATTGGAGTGCCACCACAAAGTCAGCTAAAATATGCTAAAGGTAATTAAATATGTCTTAGAGTTGTTTTTTCTCTTTTGGGGGGTTTGAGTTTTAGAGCTTTGTTTGATTGTTTGTAAGGGTTAGTCAGAGAATAAAAGTGTCATGCTAAGTAAGGAAATGTTCATGAAATAGTGCACTCATCCTTACAACTTTTTTTTTTTTTTTTGCTACAGATAAGCCTGTTGTTAGTGATAAGGAATTTAACATGCTTTATCTTAGAAAAAGAAAAAATAGAACAAATGTATCTTAGATTTCAATGAGTTAATTTATAGCAAGGGAGACTTTTCTGTTTGTAATGACACAGGATGGTCACCAAATAATTGACCCAATGGAGGGCTGGGGCTCTGTCTGAGCCTAGAGCCTGGTCCCAGTGGCATCCTGTTGTTGTTTTTCTTCATTCAGGGATATCCACATGGAGGAGGTTTGAGGAAATCAGATTGGACACAAGTTCTGAACAGTTTTTACTGCTAGAAGCTGTAAATATTCTAAGACTTGTTTTGCTTTTCCTGGAGTTAATATTTCTTGGGCAATGGGATAGCATCCTAGTTTTGATCTGTATGGGATGTTGCATAAGCTACTTGGTAAAATGAGGGGGCAGAAGTAGTCTCCAGTGTCTCTTCCAGTTCTGTGTTTCTGATTCCATATAAATTAAATTTCACACAACACTGAACTGTAAGAAGTAACTTGCAACATGATTCTGCATTTGCCAATCTGACTTTTAAAAAGTCACACTAATATATTAAAACCCAAAATGTGTTAAGTGAATAAAGTATTTGAAATTTAAAAAGTGATACCTGGAATGAAAGGAAAGGATGCCTTGACCAGTTTTACTACGGTAGCCCCACTGTTCCAACGTTTGAGGGTATGAAAGAGTATAAAATGATGTCTCATTAACACCTCCTCACACTATTTTGAATTAATCAAAATAAACATAGAGCCCATTTTCTGACAGCCTGTGAGCCCAAACGTGGCATCCTATAGTTGTTCTTTGAGAGAAGTCAAGGACTCAAAGGCCCAGCTCTCACCAGACTGTTCAGAATGTAAATTTTACCAACTCCAAAACCTGAGGAAGACACTGATAATTATATTTCTTTCCCCTTCTCAATATTACTATTAGAAGGATTTCCTAGTATGTTACTTAATTGTGCCCCAGTTTTCTCACCTGAAAAGTCAGAATAATGGTACCTACTTCATAGGGCTATTTTGAGGATTAAGTGAATAATTTTATACAATAGGTAAAGTTTTTTAGTATTAATATAATTTGTTATTGTCCCATCTCCAATACTATTTCCTTCCTCTTTAAAGTTATATGCATCATTGCACCATTCTTGTGTGGGTTTTTGTGCTACCATAACAAAATTATGTACATGCTTTAAAAATTTGTATAGCTGCTAATTCTTTTTTCTTTTCTTTTTTTTTTTTTTTATGATACGAAGTCTTGTTCTGTCACCAGGCTGGAGCGCAGTGGCACGATCTTGGCTCACTGCAACCTCTGCCTCCTGGGTTCAAGCGATTCTCCTGCCTCAGCCTCCCGAGTAGCTGGGACTACAGGCGTGCACCACCACACCCAGCTAATTTTTGTATTTTTAGTAGAGACGGGGTTTCACCATGTTGGCCAGGATGGTCTTGATCTCTTGACCTCGTGATCCACCTGCCTCAACCTCCCAAAGAGCTGGGATTACAGGCGTGAGCCACCATGCCCAGCCTCTATAGTTGCTATTATACATATTCTTCTATAATGTGTTTTCAGTCTGCAAAATGTTTTTGATATTTGTTTGATATATGTTTATCTAGCTTACTGATTTTTACTGATATATAACTTGGAGTTTACTTACTCATTGCAATATTAATGACATTTAGACACTTCATTTTTTAAAAACAGAGACAAAGTCTCACTCTGTTGCCCAAGCTGGAGTGCAATGGTGCAATCTCAGCTCACTGCAACCTCTGCCTCCTGGGTTCAAGCGATTCTCCTGTCTCAGCCTCCCGAGTAGGTGGGACTACAGGCACACACCACCATGCCTGGCTAATTTTTATATTTTTAGTAGAGACAGGGTTTCACTACATTGGCCAGGCTGGTCTTGAACTCCTAACCTTGTGATCCTCCTGCCTCCACCTCCCAAAGTGCTGGGATTACACCGCACCTGGCCATTTTATTATTCTTTTCAATACCAATGTTTATCCTATACATATTTTACCTGGCTCCGTAAGGTGTTATCTAGAAGTGGATTTGCTGGGTCATACAAACTGTGCATTTTCAGCCATAATAGGGATTGCCACATTGCTATCCAAAGTAGTCAAAGTTACAGTTTCAACAACAGTGCATGTATAAGTGTTCTGTCCTCTCTGTCTCCTTGTCAACATTTACAATTGTGTCTTTGCCAATTTGACAGGTGTGAAAAGACATACTATAGTTTTAGTTTACATTTTCCTGATGAACAAATAAGGTGAGCAACTTTTTATATTTATTGGCTCTTCAGATTTCTTCTCCTGAGTCTTGTCTGTTTGTATGCTTTGCTATTTTCTATCAAGTTGTTTGTCTTTTCCTTTTGATTTGTAGAACTTCATAGACTCATGAATGTACAGTTGATTCTCATTCTCAGTAGTTACATTCTATAAAGTCACAGGGAACACTGAATTAGTGAATACTGAACCGTTGCTCCCAGGGGAAATACAGGGCTAGGTTCCAGGGAGCCTTCCTTCACTACATTTTCTTCACCTGATCCATACATAAACTTGTTTTATGTATGTTTCTGCTTAAAGACACATGTTTAATATATATTGTTGATTCATTAACATTGAGTTCATGGCCAATAGCACTGTAACTCCTACCTGAAGGAAGCTTATGTAACACAAGTATTTTCTTTTTTTTTAATTTTAATTTTAATTTTAAGTTCCGGGTACATGTGCAGGATGTGCAGGTTTGTTACATAGGTAAGCGACATATGTATTTTCTCTACAAGGCAATCACAACCTCTTGTGCTTAGGAACATTAGACAGCACTTCAGTGATATGCTTTGGGGCCATTTTAAATAGGGAAGTCACTACCAAAAAGCACAAAAATGCAAAAATGTGGCACTAAATACACCTTGAATAGGACATTTGTTTACAGTATGAGAGCTGAAACAAGAAGGCAGAATGCTGCCTTGTTTGGCTTCAGCTGGGAATGTGCGTTTCAGGTAGCTCAAATTTTTCACTGCTCTGTGCATGGCTGTGAATGACTGTGAAAGTACCATCAGTATTGATTTTGAAGTTACAAATAAATTTTAGCGAGTAGGTGAATTCACATATAAGGAATCTACAAATAGTGAGGACTGACTTTAATTTGTTCATTGTACACAATTCAAATATTTTTCTCCACTCTGTTTTTAAACAATGTTTATGTGTCTTTTGTCATACAGAACATTTTATTTAAACTTTTTCAATTTTACTAAGCTTTCCTTATATGGTTTACGGGTTCCATTTTGTTTTAGGCATCTTTCCCTATCCTGATATCAGATAAATATTCTTACATGTTATCGTATAAACGTTTTATAGTTTTGCCTTTCCCGTGTAGATTTTTTGTTTTTTTTTTTTGAGACAGGTTCTTACTTCCATCACCCATGTTGGAGTGCAGTGGCATGATCATGGCTCATTGTAGCCTCAACTTCCTGGGCTCAGGTGAACTTCCCACCTCAGCCTCCTGAGTAGGGGGGACTACAGGTATGCACTACCATGCCCAGCTAATTTTTTGTGTGTTTTCAGTAGAGACGGGGTTTTCCCATGTTGCCTAGGCTGGTCTCAAACTCCTGGGCTCAAGCAATCCGCCCGCCTTGGCCTCTCAAAGTGCTGGGATTACAGGTGTGAGCCAGCATGCCCAGCCTCCCATGTAGATTGTTAATCTATTACGATTATTTTTTGAGTAAAAGATGTGATAGGAATTGAATAAAAATTCTCCAAACTTATTAACTAGAGCTTTTGCTTTGATTCATAGTATAGCTTCTGTTATATATCAAGTTCCCATATATAATGGTCTGTTTCTAGGCTATTCTTTTCCAAGTTTGTGTATTCTTTAAGAAAGTCCATACTTTAACAAACTATTATAGCTTTATGCTAAGTCTTTCTATTTGGAAAGGAATACTCCTTCTCCCTTCTTCCACCTTATTCTTCTTCAAAATTGTATCTTACTTTCCCCAAATGAGTTACAAGACTTGTCAACTTCTTTGAAAAATGTGGTTAGTTGCATGATTAGAATAGCACTCGATTTACAGGTCTTTTGGGGGAAAATTATCATTGTTATATGACATTGGGTTTTTCCATTTATAAATCATAGTATTTTTCTCCTTTATCCTTTTAAAAAGTAGTTATAATTTTTCTCAATGCAGATCTTGTATATCCCTTGTTCTATTTATTCCTAGGTACCTTGTAGTTTGGTTGCACTTTGAATGAGATTTTAAAAAGGCATCATTCCTAACAGATTTTTGCAGGTGTGTAGTAAACCATTAACTTTTATCTAGCAATCTTGCTAAAGAACTTATTAGTTTTAATGATTTGTCTATAGATACTCTTGGATTTTTAATGTAGGTAATTATATCATCTATGAAAACATATAATTTTGTCTGTTCTTCAAAGTATTATTTCTTTTTCTTGTGCAGTTGTGTTGGCCAGTGTTTTTGTCTTGATGCAGCTGTGTACTTGCAACAAATCAGCTCTGTGTTTTCAAATGACCAGTTGGAATCAGGTGTTTTCTCTGTTTATAGTCTGCAGTAGCCTGACTGTTACAGAACTCTGGAAGATGGCCTAGGTCCTGGGCACATTATTTAACTACCTATGACTTAGTATCCTAATTTATAAAATAGAGATAATAATAGAACCTTCTTGATCAGGGCTGTTTTGATGACTGAATTAATATTTATAAAAGCCTTAAAACTGTGTCTGACATGTATAAAGAGCTCAACAGATCCTATCAATCACTACTACTACTGCTAGTACTGCTACATAAGAATGACATTGGCTTTGGGAGGCCGAGGCGGGTGGATCATAAGGTCAGGAGACCAAGACCATCCTGGCCAACATGGTGAAACCCCCGTCTCTACTGAAATACAGAAAATTAGTTGGGTGCGGTGGCACATGCCTGTAATCCCAGCTACATGGGAGGCTGAGGCAGGGTAATCACTTGAACCCAGAAGGCAGAGGTTGCAGTGAGCCAAGATTGCACCACTTTACTCCAGCCTGGTGACAGAGCAAGACTCCATCTCACACACACACACACACACACAAAAAAAAAAAAAAAAGAATGACATTGGCTAACAAGCACGTAGTAGGTATACACATTTATGGGGTACATGTATTTTGATAGAGGCAGGCAATGCATAGTAATCACAACATAGAAAATGGGGTATCCATCCCCTCAAGCATTTATCCTTTGTGTTACAATCTATTATACTCTTTTAGTTATTTAAAATGTGCAATTAAATTATTTTTTACTATAGTCACCCTGTTGTGCTAGTAAATACTAGGCCTTTCTCATACTTTTTAACTATTTTTTTGTACCCATCTATCCACTTTTGATATTAAGATTTTGCAACCTTCATAAAATGAGTTCTTTAGTTTTCATTCTCTTTCTATTCTTTTAAGTGTGTTAATGTAAAAATAGGAATAATCTGTTTTTTAAAATTTTGGCAAAACTCACATTTGTAACCGGTTAAGCCTGGAGATTTTCTGACATTGATGGCTGATTTAATTATTTAATGCTTGATGTCCATTCATATTTTAAAATGTCTTTTGGAGTTAATTTTGGTAATTCCCATTTTCTAGTTGTCAAATTTATTGGCATAAAATTGTTCATAGTATCTTTTTTGATGTCTTAAAGCTTTACTATACCTGTTATGACCAATTCTCTCATAGAAAGAGTAAAATCTGTTCTGTTAGTTTATTTCTTTTTATTTATTTATTTTTGAGACGGAGTCTCTCTCTGTCACCAGGCTGGAGTGCAGTGGCACAATCCCGGCTCACTGCAACCTCTGACTCCCTGGTTCAAGTGATTCTCTTGCCTCAGCCTCCCAAGTACCTAGGATTACAGGCATACGCCACCACGTCCAGCTAATTTTTGTATTTTTAGTAGAGCCGGGGTTTCACCATGTTGGCCAGGATGGTCTCGATCTCCTGACCTCGTGATTCGCCCACCTCGGCCTCCCAAAATGCTAGGAATGCAGGCGTGAGCCACAGCGCCCGGCCCTGCTAGTTTATTTCAAAGATTTAGCTTTTGCTTTCATTTCTCTAATTTCTTCTTAATTTCATCATTTTTCATTATTGCCTTTTACTTTCTTTGGGTTAACTGTGCTGTATTACTAAATCCTAGAGTCATATGCTTAGCTCATTAATTTCCATTTCTTCCTAATGCATACACTTAAGCATATACATTCCCTTTAAATACTGATTTTGTGGCATCCCATGGAGTACTACATGTTTGGTTTAAAGAGTCACCAAGGATTATAATAAAAGAGTCACTTCCCTTCTTAACATCCTTACCCTAATCTTACTCCACAGAGACGACTATTTTTAAAACATTTTTAGCTATTTCTTTTGGAGCCTATTGCTTTATTTCTAATTAACATGATATAATTTCATTTCTATTTATTTATTTCTCCACCACATGAGCTATTTTCATTTCTTGATATTGGAGTTTAAATATGATCTACTGACTTCCTACTACGGAAGATGGGATTTGTCCCCACAGCTTTCCCCTTCCTCCATCTGTTAATAGAGCCTTGTCTCCATTTTGCAGTAAATCAATATTCAGAGTTTGCATTATTATATAGATATATAGGTATAATTCACAGAAGAGCTATGTAGTATGCTGTGATTACATTTCCTGTTTTGCCACCTTTTTCCTTTCAAAAGTTAATAATGGGCTTTTATTTTTTTTTTAGTTTTCCATTTTCTTATCACTCTTTCATCCCTAAGGCCGCCTCTATAATTCAAATCTTCTCCCACTGTGGTCATACACATTTTGTATTCGATTGCTTGTAACTCTTTCCCAGAGGTAACCCTCCTAGCATCCTCTGTCCGATCCTTCCAAATCCTTTCAATCTGGACTTGTGCTTTACGCCTGCTGTGCAGCTCCCGTCTTGGGATTTCCCTTCACTGTCATGCTGGGGAGTCCATCTGCCTTTTTTTTTGTTGTTGTTGTTGAGAGGGAGTCTCACTCTGTTGCCCAGGCTGGAGCTCACTGCAACCTCCACCTCCTGGGTTCAAACGATTCTCCTGCCTCAGCCTCCCAAGTAGCTGGGACTACAGGTGCCTGCCACCACGCCCGGCTAATTTTTGTATTTTTAGTAGAGATGGGGTTTCACCATGTTGGCCAGGCTGGTCTCGAAATCCTGACCTTGTGACCCACCCGTCTTGGCCTCCCAAAGTGCTGGGATTACAGGTGTGAGCCACTGCGCCCAGCCCATCTGCCTTTCTTCAGGGTTCATGTCACTGATTTTTTGGTGCCTGCACCTCCCCCGTTGTTAATGCTGTTATTTTGGTGGAGCACATTCTGCAGTAGCTTTCTGAGAATGGGTGCATAATATTTTGGATCACTTTATGTAATTCTTAAACATTTCTGAAATATTTTGGCATTTTTACTCATCTGTATTATTCTGGAGATTTGTCATAATGTGCTTTGGTGTGGGTCCTTTTCCTTTATTGTCCTGGGAACTTCGTAAGTCCTTCCAATTTGGAAACTCATATTGTTACAGAGTAGGGAAATTTCTATAATTCTATGATAATACTCTCACTTTTCTTTCTCCTTTAGGTGTTTATGGAAAAACTAGGATGAGATGTTGGATCTCCTGAATTTATCCTCTGCATCTCTTCGCCTTTCTCTCTTATTTTCCATCATCTCTGTGTGTGTTTATGTATCTTTCATCTTTAAGTCTAAATATAATTTTTCTTATGATTTCTTCTTTGATCCATGAGTTATTTAGAAGAATCTTTTATCATTTCTAAAGTATATGTGTGCATGTTTGGGTAAGTTATTGGAAATCTTTCTATCATTGATTTTTAATTTTATTGCATTTTGATCAGATAATGTGGTCAATATATAATTTTAAAAATACTTGTTGAATTTTCTTTTGACTTAATTTTCCTTTTTTTGGGGGGGTTGGGGGAGGGAGATGAAGCCTCACTCTGTTGTACAGGCTAGAGTGCAATTGCATGATCTCAGCTCACTGCAATCTCTGCCTCCTGGGTTCAAGTGATTCTCTCGCCTCAGCCTCCTGGGTAGCTGGGGCTACAGGAGCACACCACCATACGTGGCTAATTTTTAAATTTTTCTGTAGAGACAGGGGTCTTACTGGGTTTCCCAGTCTGGTCTCAAACTCCTGAACTCAAGTGATCCTCCCAACTCAGCCTCCCAAAGTGTTGGGATTACAAGTGTGAGCCACCATGTCCAACCACTGATCCGTCTGTATAGTTTTGCCTCTTCCAGAACATGATGTAAATGGAGTCACATGATATGACATCTCCTGGGTCTGGCTTCTTTCACTTAGAAAAAAGCACTTTAGATGAGACACATGGACATGTAGAGGGGAACACACAGTGGGGCCTATTGGAGGGTGAAGGGTGAGAGGAGGGACAGGATGAGGAAAAATAACTAGGATTAATACCTGGGTGATGAAATAATCTGTGCAACAGACCCAAGTTTGCCTATATAACAAATCTGCATATGTACCCCTGAACTTAAAATAAAAGTTAAAAAAAGAAAAATGCATTTAAGATTTACCCATGTTGTTGCATGAATCAATACTGTTTTCCTTTTTATTGCTGAGTAGCATTCTATTGTGTGGACATGCCACAGATTGTTGATCCAGTCACCTTTTGAAGCATATCTAGGTTGTTTCCAGTTTGGGGATATTATGAATAAAGTTGTTATAAACTTTTGCGTAGAAGTTTTTAGGCAAACATATGTTTGCATTTCACTTGGGTAAATACCTAAAAATTGTATTTCTGGGTCATATGGCAAGTGTATGTTTAATTTTATAAGCGACTGTTAAATTGTTTTCCAAAATGGCCATACGATCTGCATTCCCACCCGCAAAAAGCAGGGGTTCCCATCGCTCTGTATTCTCCCCAGTCTTGGCATTGTTAGTTTTTTAAAAAAATTTTAGCCATTCTAGATATGTGGTGGTAACTCTTTGTGGTTGTATTTTACTTTTCTTAGTGACTACTGATGTTGGATTTTTTTTTCTAAAATTTGTTATCTGTTTATCTTTGGAGAAGTATGTTTTCATTTAAAAAGTGTGGATTATTTCTAATTGCTGAGCTTTAAGAGTTCTTTATATATATATTATCATCAGATGAAGCTTCTTAATGGGAAAAATCCTCCACACTTTACTAATTTGTTTCCATCTTGATCTTATCATTTTGATCTATATGTGTGTGTGTGTGTGTGTGTGTATGTGTGTGTGTATATATATATAATATATATTCTAACTTTAATTTTAAGTTCTGGTGTACATGTGCAGGTTTGTTACACAGGTAAATGTGTGCCATGGTGGTTTGCTGCACCTATCAACATATCACTTAAGTATTAAGCCATTTATGCCTAGTGTTCCATTATTGGAACACAAGCTTGTTGGAGTTGTTTATATCCTACTGCTCATGGTCATCACCGAGGTCTGATTTTTCACACAAAAAATCTGCAACCTCTGGCATAAATGGGTTAAGCCCTGAATGCATTAGCTGTTTTTCCTAATGCTCTTCCTCCCCCGACCCCACTCCCTGACAGGCTCCAGTGTGTGTTGTTCCCTTCTCTGTGCCCATGTGTTCTCATTGTTCAGCTCCCACTTACAAGTGATAAGATACGGCATTTAGTTTTTTGTTCCTTAATTACTTTGCTAAGGATCATGGCTTCCAGCTCCACCCATGTCCCTGCAAAGGACATAATCTTGTTCCTTTTTATGGCTGCATAGTATTTCATGGTGTATACACACCACATTTTCTTTATCCAGTCTATCATTGATAGGCATTTTGGTTGATTCCATGTCTTTGCTATTGTGAATAGTGCTGCAATGAACATACACATTCGTGTATCTTTGTAACATAATGATCTGTAATCTTTTGGGTATATACCCAGTAATGGGATTGCTGGGTCAAATGTTATTTCTGGTTCTAGATCTTTGAGGATTGCCACACCGTCTTCCTCAATGGTTGAACTAATTTACATTCCCACCAACAGCGTAAAAGCATTCCCATTTCTCCACAACCTCAACAGCATCTGCTGTTTCTTGACTTTTTAACAACTGCCATTCTAACTGGCGTAAGAAGCTATCTCTTTGTGTTTTTGGTTTGCATTTTTCTAATGATCAGCAACGTTGAGCTTTTTTTCATATGTTTATTGTCTGCATGAATGTTTGTTCATGTCCTTTGCCCACTTTTTAATGAGGTTGTTTTTTTCTTATAAATTTATTTAAGTTCCTTGTAGATTCTGGATATTAGACCTTTGTCAGATGGATAGATTGCAAAATTTTTCTCCCACTCTGTAGGTTGCCTGTTTGCTCTGAGGATAGTTTCTTTATGTATTTTAACACAAGTCTTGTATCAGATATGGGATTTATAAATATCTTTCTCCAAGTCTGTAGCTTATCTTTTCATTCTCTTAACACTGTGTTTGACAGAGCAATGTTTTCAGTTTTTAAAAAGTCCATTTTATAAACTTTTCTTTTGTGGGTCAAGCTTTTAGTTTCACATCTAAAAACTTGTTACCAAACCCAAGGTAACACAGATTTTTCTCCTACATCTCTTCTAGAAGTTTTAAGGTTTTAAATTTTGAATTAGGTTAATGATCTATTTTGAGTTAATTTTTGTATAAGGCATGAGTTTTTTTACACATGGCTGACCAACTGTTCTAGCAACATTTGTTGAAAAGATAAAACTTTCTTCATTGACTTGAGTTTGTACCTTTGCCAAAAATCAATTGACTATATTTGTGTCTATTTCCAAGATTTTTATTCTGTTTCATTTTCATATGTATCTATCCTTTAGCCAATATCATATGGTTAGATAACTGTAGCTTTATAATGAATTTTGAAATCAGGTAGAGTCCTTCAACTTTGTTCTTTTTCCAAAGAACTTTGTTTTGGCTTTTCTAGTTCCTTTGCTTTTCCATATACGTTTTAGAATTAGTTTGTCTATATTTACAAAGAAGCTTGCTGGAATTTTGATTTTGATGTACTGAATCTGTACATCAACTGGATAAAATAGATACCTTAACAATATTGAGTCTTTCAGTCCATAAATATAGCATATCTCTCTGTTTACTTAAATCTTCTTTAATTCTTTCATTAGTGTTTTATACTTTTCTGTATACAGACCCTGTACATATTTTGTTAGATTTAAGTATTTGCATATTTAAGGACATATTTAAGTGTTTCAATTTTGGTGCTATTACACTTGGTTGTACTGTTTTTCGCATTTTAAATTTCAGTTGGTCATTGCTGTATGTAGGAAGACAATTGGCTCTTCTATATTGGCCACGTATCCTGTGACCTTGTTAAACTCACTTTTTAGTTCTGAGAGATGTTTTTGTAGATTCTTGGGATTGTCTTTTTAAACAATCATGTCAATTGAGAATAGGGGCAATTTTATTTCTTCCCTTTCTCTTTGTGTGACTTTTATTTCTTTTTCTTTACTTACTGAAAAGGACAGGAATTCCAGTATGGTATCAAACAAATGTGGTGAGAGAAGATAGCCTGTCCTTGTTCTCATCTTATGGAGAAAGCATTCCATTTTCTACCACTGAGGTTAGTTGCAGGTTTTATAGTTTTATGTATATATGTATATAGTATGTAGTGTCTTTCATAAGATTAAGGACATTCCTTTCTAATTCTAGTTTGCTGAGACTTTTTACTATGAAGTAATGCTAAATTTTGTCAAATGCTGGCTTTAGAATCAATTGAGATGATTGTAAGGGTTTTCTTCCTTAGTTTCTTAATATCATGAATTATATTACTTGATTTTCAAATATTGAAGCAGCCTCACATTCCTGGGATAAATTCTGCTAGATTAGGATGTGTAATCCTTTTTCTATTAATATATTGCTGGGCTCAATCTGTTGAAGAAATTTATATCTAAGGTTTGATATAATAATGGTTTGCAATTTTCTTTTACTGTCTTTTGTTTCAAATTAGATTAGTTCTGGCCTCACAAAATGACTTGGAATGTTTTCCCTTCTTTTATTTGCTGGAGAAGACTGATAGATTTGTTCTTATTTCTTCCCTAAATATTGGTAGATTTCACCAAGGAAATCATCTATGCCTGGAGTTTCCTGTGTGGGAAGGTTTTCAGTTACAATTCAATTTCTTTAATAGACATAGTGTTATTCAAGTTCTCTATTTCTTCTCAGTGAGTTTTGGTGGTTTATGTCCTTTAGAAAATTGGCCTATTTCATCTAAGATGTTGAATTTATGGAGGGTATACAGCTGTTAATTGTATTCTCTTATTATTCCTTTGATGTCAGTGAGGCAAAAAATGAAGTTCTACTCTTTTATTCTTGGTATTGTTATTTATATCTGCTCTCTTTTCTTCTTAGACTCACTAGAGGCTTATCAATTTTATTGAGAATCAGCTTTTGGTTTCATTGGTTTTCTCTATTGTTTTCCTGTTTTCAATTTCATTGATTTCTGTTCTCATCCTTATTATTTCATTTCTCTGCTTGCTTTGGGTTTAACTTACTATTCTTTTTCTAATTCCTTAAGATAAAAACTTAGGGTACTGACTTTAGATCTTTGTTCTTTCCTAACATAAACATTCATTGCTGTAAATTCTCTTTGAGCACTATTTCAGCTGCACTCGCAAATTTTGTTTTTATTTGCATTCAGTTCAAAGTACTTTCCAATTTTGCTTGGGATTTCCTCTTAGACCTAGTATTATTTAAAAGTATGTTGTTTAATTTCCATATATTTTGAGGTTCCCCTAATTTCTTTCTGTTATTGATTTTTAGTTTAATTCTGTTATGGTCTGAGAACATACTTTACATGATTTCTATTCTTTAACATTTATCAGGGTTTCTTTTATGGCTCAGAATATGGTCCATCTCAGTGACTGTTCCATGTGCTGCTGCTGTGAAGAACATGTACTCTGCTGCTGATGTTGTTGTTGGGTTGCATGTTTCCTAAATGTCATTAGGTTGGGTGGGTTGATAGGTTTGTTCAGGTTACCTATACACTTAATAATTTTCTTTCTATTTGTTTTACCAATTACTAAGACAGAAGTCTTGACTTGTCCAAGTATAATTGTGGATTTGTTTATTCTGCTTTTAAATATATCAAGTTTTACCTCTTTTATTTTGAAGCTCTGTTGTTAATTCTACCTTCAAATATATCAACTTTTGTCTATTTTATTTTGAAGGTCTGTTGTTGTTAATATGTTGTAAACATATTTAGGATTGTTTTTCTTCTGGGAAAACTTGCTTGGAAAATTGATAGCTTTATCATTAGTTACTTTCCTGCTTATTTTTGATAATATTTCTTGTGCTGTAGTGTAATTTGCCTGAAATTAGTATAGTTACTCCAGCTTTCTTTTGGTTAGTGTTTGCATGATATATATTTCTCCATATTTTTTACTTCTATCTATGTCTTCATTTTAAAGTTGGTTTCTTGTAGACAACATATGGTTGGGTCTTGATTTTTTTCTTCTGGCCCAGTATGACAAATCCTTTTCTTTAAACTGGCTTATTTAGATTAGTCATGTTTAGAGTGATTGTTAATAAGGTTAGAATAAAATTTACTATTTACCATCTTGCTATCTGTTTTATTTGTTCCATTTATTCTGTATTTTTTCCTTTTTAAATGCTTTCTCTGTGTTTATTGGAAAATCTTTTATTATTCCATTTTACCTTTATTTGATGTTATTTATACCTCTTAATTTTTTTTCTAAGTTGTGGCCCTAGGGCCCACATGTAATTTTTAAGTAATCATTTGCATTTAAAAACAATCTGAGTCTTCTCTCAATAGTACACCATTGACATATTGTGTAAGGAACTTATTATAGCATATCCTTAATTCCTCTCTACCATTCTTTGTGCTATTGCTGTCATCTATTTTACTTTTACATAGCTATGAATAGAGACTATATTGTTACTATTTTCTTTAAACATAAAAAGTAACTACAGTAAGAAAATAATAAATTCGATCTTAATTCTATATTTTCTATGTATATGCTCTTCATTTATTTGTGTAGATTCAAGTTTCTGACCTCTATTATATTCCCACAGTGAAGATCTTCTCAGCCTTTGTTGTAGAGTTGAACTGCTGCAATCCTCCTCTGTCTGCAGCCCCAGGGACTTCCAACTCTGGTTTTATCTCCACACTGGGCCTTCAGCAATTCATCAAAAATTTCTAGCTGAATCTTCTTATTGGCTTATATGGCACCTGATGGCATCTACATCTGTTCCAGGTAAGCAAGAATTTGGGTCCTGTTTCTCCCCACAGACAAATCTTCTCTGAAGATTTCTGGTTATTTGTTTGCTCTTGTGACCTCAGCTCTCCAATGGAAAAGTCATTCATATGGCTATTATTAAAAAGTAAAAAAATAACAGATGCTGGTGAGGTTGTGGAGAAAACGGAATGCTTATATACGGTTGGTAGGAGTGTAAATTAGTTTAACCACTGTGGAAAGCAGTGTACCAATTACTCAAAGACATAAAGACAGAAATACCATTTGACCCAACAATCCCATAACTGGGTATATACCTAAAGTAATATAAATAATTCTATTATAAAGACACATGCACGTGTATGTTCACTGAAGCACCATTCACAATAGCAAAGACATAAAATCAACCTAAATGCCCATTGATGATAGACTGGATAAAGAAAATGTGGTACATATACACCATGGAATACTATGTAGCCATAAAAAGGAATGAGATCATGTCCTTTGCAGGAACATGAATGGAGCTAGAGACCATTATCCTTAGCAAACTAATGCAGGAACAGAAAACCAAATGCCACATGTTCTCACTTACAAGTGGGAGCTAAATGAAGAACACATGGACACAGGGAGAGGAACAGCACACAGTGTGGCCTATCAGAGGGTGGAGGGTGAGAGGAGAGAGAGGATGAGGAAAAATAACTAATGGGTACTAGGATTAGTACCTGGGTGATGAAATAATCTGTACAACAAACCCCCATGACACATATTTACCTATGTAACAAACCTGCACATATACCCCTGAACTTAAAAGTTAAAAATAAAGAATAAATAATAAAATAAAATAAATTATTCATTTGTTATTGTCCAGCATTTTTCTTGTTGTAAGGGTGTGTGTGACACTCTTTCCAGCCCTCTATACCTCCACAATGAATCTGGAAATCCAATGAATCCGGTTTTGGTTTTATTTTGTTTTGTTTTGAGACAGAGTCTTGCTCTGTCACCCAGGATGGAGTGCAGTGGCTTGATCTTGGGTCATTGCAACGTCCGCCCCCTGGGTTCAAATTCTCCTGCCTCAGCCTCCCGAGTAGCTGGGATTACAGACAACTGCCACTGCGCCTGTCTAATTTTTGTATTTTTAGTAGAGACGGGGTTTCATCGTGTTAGCCAGGATAGTCTTGATTTCCTGACCTCGTGATCTGCCTGCCTCAGCCTCCCAAAGTTTTGGGATTACAGGCGTGAGTCACCGCGCCTGGCCAAATCTTTTTTTTAATTTCTGTGTTTCACGTTTTTCTTCCCCAAATATCCTCAAGCTTTAAAATACTGTCTTGTATTTTATTATTGTTTATATTTTTTCTTTTACCTGTAAAATAAGCTTAAACTATCTTTTTAATGGTGGCTTTCAGATTTTTCTATTTCCTCTCATTTCTTTTTTTCTTTTCTTTTTTTTTTTTGATGGAGTCTCCCTGTCTCACATAGGCTGGAATGCAGTGGCGTGATCTGGGCTCTGTGTAACCTCCCCTTCCCAGGTTCAAATGATTCTCCTGCCTCAGCCTCCCAAATAGCTGGGATTACAGCTGCCCGCCATCACACCTGGCTAATTTTTGTATTTTTAGTAGAGATGGGGTTTCACCATGTTGGCCAGGCTGGTCTTAAACTCCTGACCTCAAGTGATCCGCCCGCCTCGGCCTCCCAAAGTGCTGGGATTACAGGCGTGAGCCACCGCTCCCAGCCTCCTCTCACTCTTGAGCACTAATTCTTTTTTATTTATTTATTTATTTATTTATTTATTTATTTATTTATTTATTTTTTTGAGACGGAGTCTCGCTCTGTCACCCAGGCTGGAGTGCAGTGGCAGGATCTCCGCTCACTGTAAGCTCCGCCTCCCGGGTTCACGCCATTCTCCTGCCTCAGTCTCCCGAGTAGCTGGGACTACAGGCGCCCGCCACCAAGCCCGGCTAATTTTTTTTGTATTTTTAGTAGAGACAGGGTTTCACCATGTTCGCCAGGATGGTCTCGATCTCCTGACCTCGTGATCCCCCCGCCTCGGCCTCCCAAAGTGCTGGGATTACAGGCGTGAGCCACCGCGCCTGGCCTCTTGAGCACTAATTCTACCTGTGTTAATTCTTGCCCATCTCTGTGTCACGATGGTTCCTCATGCAGTTTTGATGGTGCTTGCATGTGTAGTTTTGACTATGTAATTTTGAATTCTGATTTATTGTCAGTAAGAGCTATGCCTTCTATGGTGATCTATACATCCTGGGTTGTGCACTAAGGGAAGTTTTTTGTTTGCTTCTGCCAGGGTTTCAGGATTCTACTGCCCTGGCTCAATCTTTCTGTTTAATTCTCAGGTACCTGTAGGCATTATAACTCACATCTCTACATGGTGTATTCTGAGGTTTTGATTTCTTGCAAGTAATTATTTTTCTTTTTAATACAAAGCACCTGTAGACTAGAAGTTTACGTTTCAGTTTGGCTAGCCCTTAACACATTCGGACAGTGACTCGGTTCCAATTCCCTTCTTCCTTCATCTCCTGTCCTCCCCTGGGCATTAAAACCCCAGTTTTCAGGCCAAGTCTGAAATCCCTGTTGATCACATGGCAACAGCTCCTGCACATTGTTGTGAGTCTCATTGCTGGAACCTAGGGATTTCCATTGGTCAAGCACAATGTCAACAAAACGTGACCTACAATTCTACTTGCTTGTTTCTGGGTGGGGGAGTCCCTCCCCATCCCCTGATCCACTCCCTCTGATGCCTGGATCAGCTGGGAGAGGACTGAGCACAAGTTTTATGTGATGCGAATTCTGTTCATGACCAAAATGCAAAGTGTCTCCCTCTGTTTCTTTAAAAGAGAGAGATTCAGGTCAAGGCCAATTCAAACTCCACCCTCCTTAGTAACTTGAATTAAAAATACAGAATTTAGTGATATTTTTCTTATCTTCTTTCCCACTTTATGAGTTGTAAATACAATGGTTATTGTCTACATGACAGCAAGAAGGCAAGGTATTTTGATATATATCCAGGGAGTTTATATTATAGCCTTAGTTTATTTGAATGTGACGTTTAAGTATAGGGGATTAAATTTCTTGGTATTTCGCTAATTACTAACATACTGACTATACTTTTTTTTTTTTAACTTTAATTATTTTCCTCCAGTAAAGAGTAGACCTCCTATTGGAGGAAGCAGCCTGTCTTTCACCCATAAACTGTTGTTTGCCACCCTTAATTCTGTATTACTCTGGCCCTCAAAGCAGTCTCACCCCGAGATGAGCCTGGACATGAGTGTCATAGCCAGCGATGTAACAAGTAGAGAGGCTGTGTATGAAGACACTCCATCTTATCTGCCAATGTTTTTCTGATCTGTACAATTAAGGTGCTCTATTAAATCAGCTCTAAGGTTGTTTCAAGGTTAAGAAAAAATTAAAATCATAAATCAAAATTTCAGAGGCATTGGAGGATTGAGATGCTACAATTTTGGAGTTTATAAATTGATAGTAAAGAGAATTGACAGAAAATGACCTCTGTCCTGAGAGGAAGCAACCCCAGGGAAGTCTTGCCAGACCTCACCTCCACCTGCTCTTCTTTCAGAGACTGCACAAGAAGGGTGTTAAGGACACTTATTTCCAAATCTGTCTCCCTCCCCACAGCACACTGCTGGGCAGGATTCAGGCCTCACTGTTTTCTTGATTCTTAGAACCTGTCACTGATGCATGTGTGTTGACCAAATAAATAACGCTACTGTTTTTCTTACACTTGCCCTTTCTGATCATGAGTTCTAAGTTAGTATCCTGAGTGACTACTGCTTCCCACTTGCCTTATTTTCATCATCTTTCAACTTTCTCCTTTCCCTTCCTCAACACCAACAAGCCCTACATCTGCACGCCTGATTCCTGCACTGCAACTCAGAGTTTTAAGTCATGACTATTTAAACTCACATTGAAAACTTGTGCCTGGTTGTGTGCTAGAAATGTCTCCTTGGCTCTAGCTGTCTTGCATCCCAGAAGGAATAAAAATCTACATAGCTGCAGAAGGCAACATAGCCCCACCTGAAGGAGGTGAGATCCCGGTGTGGGAGAAGCAGGCCTGAGTGACAGGACATCGGTATCGGTCCTTTAAGATGATGAGGAAGCTGCCTTGCCGGCCCAGCATTGCCTCCATTTTAGCTGCCCATTTAAAGTGAAGGAATTCTTAAAGATAATTTCCAGATTATTACTGGAAGAATAGGGAATTTTTATTTCAAATTTAGAATGATGAATGGTGGAGAAAATCTTTTAAAAATTCTCTTTACCCATGTAGCTCATTTAAAAAATGTTTTTTTTCTGGACCATTAATGAAGCAGGTGTAGTGTTTTATTTATTCGCAGTGATGAACAAAGTGAATAAAGCCAGTCTGATTTTACCTGGAAACATTATGGAAAAAAAAAAAGACTCGCCTTCCAGATCAAGGTAGCTCTGCCAATGCTCCCTCAGTGCCTCTGCATGAGTGCGGTCCTCCCAGAGCTCGCCTCTTCCCTCTGCAGTCCCGAGCTGCACTGATGCTCATGCGCCACAAGATGGAGCCTTCAAAGCGGGTCATTTCCTAGTGCTTCCTCTCCATTTCCCCCTGTGAAAAGTCAATGTCTGGGTTTGTGAGGGTTTAGGAAAGAGAGGCAAACACAATAAGGACGAGGTGAGCAGCCACTGAGGGGAGCCACAGGATTGTCCTAAAGGAAGCAGACCTGATCTTGGCTTTCTCTTGATGAACACTGCTATCAGCGTCTCCATGAAGGCACAGAAGACACGCTCAGCAGGTGTGCAGGTGACATAAAGCCAGAAGGGATAGTTGGTGCATTTGGATGATATCGTAAAGATTCTAAAAACTTTCAGCAGGATGAAACTGACCAGGTGAAAGTGAGCGGGAGCACATGCATAGGTGTGTCTTCGATGGAGTAGTAAAAACAGATTTGGATGGTGAAAGAGGAGACCTGAATCTGTCCCAAACCATACTAACAATAATCATGGTGCCTGTGATGGTTATTACAATGTCATCTCACACAGCGCTCCGCAGAGTATGGTTCATGGACAGTGAGCTGGCAAACTGCTTGTTGCTTGGCCTCAACAAGATATGGAGCTCTGGTTAGAGTTTCAATGGACATTATGACAAACTTCATCACATTTTTTAGTACAGCCGAATAAGCAAAACTTTCCCGAAGGAAGCAGGGCATCAATCTACCTTCTGGCTTGAATTCCTCAACTTGCAGAGGATCTGCCCTGAGAATGGTGCTAAAATTTGAAGGCTCCCCTGTGTCCGTACTAAGTACTTAGTACTGATTGTGTTAAGTACTTCAAATGCATCTTTGTATTTGTAGAGACATGATGTACTTTGAGCTGGTGTAGTGGAATGGTTAAGTACATACATCTGGACCAGACTGCCTCGGTTCCTTCATTTGATGGATAACAATACACAGGGTTGTTGTAGTGAAGGTCAGAAGTATAGTGCGTTTGAAGACACCATGTTTCTTGGCACATCGCATGTGCTCAGTAAAAGGAAGTGAGTAATAACGTGTTTCTCCTCAATAACTCTTTGAGGAAAGTGCCGTTGATACCTGATTTTATTGATGAGGAACTGATCTGAGTTTCAATGAAGCAAAATAAATTGCTGCGGTCACGCAGTTCTTAAAGGCGAGATCCAAGACCATAAACCAGGGATTTTCTGACTCTAAATTTCAAACAAATGCTTATCCATTATAGAACACTGCCATTTCCTGATTGAACTGGATCAGTGGCATTTAAGTTTTTTGACCAAAACTCAATTATGGTTATAATCTATACACACACATACTTGTGTATCTAAATCTGAAACATAAGTTTTATTGATAATACTTGTCTTTCATATGTGCAATGTACTCTGATACTTTCTACTGCATCTTATTCAGTTTTTAAAGAAAGCTGGGGGTGACCGTCTTAGTCCGTTCAGGCTGCTATAATAAACATACCATAGACTGGGGTGGCTTAAACAACAAACATTTATTTCTCACAGCTCCAGAGGTTGGGAAATCCAAGATCAAGGCACCAGAAGATACAGTGTCTAGTGAGGGTCTGCTTCCTGGTTGAAATATAGCACTTTCTCACTGAGTCCTCCCATGGTGGAAGAGGCAAGGGAGCTCTCTGGGGTCTCTTTCATATGGGCACTAACACCATTCATGAGGGTTCTACCCTCATGACCCAATCACCTCCCAAAGACCCCATGTCTTAATGCCATCATGTCGGGGGATTACGACCTCAGTATGTGAATTTGGAAGTTGGGGGACACAAGCATTTGGCTCATAACAGTGACCTACTTAAATTGATTTCATGGCCCATGAATGAGCTATATAACCCATGACTTGAAAATATGTACCAGCAATTTCTACGGACTCTTTCATTCTAATGTTCTCTGACTCTCCTAAAAAACAAAAATACAAAAAAAACTTTCAAACCCAATTCCCTTCGTCCAGAACAGAAGACTCTGACTTGGGAGCAGTGCATGTGAAAAAGAAGTAAGTATTTTATCGCAGGTCGATATGTGAAAACCCTGCAATGTGGGGACAAAAAACTCACCTGTAAGGCTCCATCAGGGATCCTGCATTTCCTCCTGGGAATCATATTTTAAGAGAAATTAACAACCTAGACTGTGTTCAGAGAAGGACAGTGAAGGTGGGGAAGTTTCTGAAATTATTTAGGAAACTGAGAATGTTTAATATGACTTTAAGGAAGAAGTGTCTCTAAATAGTTTATATGTATATGTATATGTGTATACATATGTATATATGTGTGCTTGTATGTATATATTATGATAATAGGTCTCTGAGTTAGTAGAATAATTTTTCAGCATTAAATAGGTCTTGGTCCATCTGACATGGTATTTTGTGTAAAACTTATGTTTCTCGTGTTTTTAGATTTTGATGTCTACAGTGAGAATCCTGTAAAATGATTATGACTGCACCTCCCTCCTGTGAGAGGCTGTGAAATGCAGGCAGGAAACAGCCCCTCCCAGGTTAAGCGGAGGAGCTCTGAAGCTTGGCGTTGGCAAGATTTTTGCCCAGCTTCAAAGGGATTTGAAGGGTGGTGACAGGCTCCAGCCCAGACTGCGCCTCGGAATGCAGACGCTTCTCTGCCTAGAACCTGGCCCGGCCCTATGGGAAAGCCCCGGTTCTCGGCGGCACTGAACTGGTAAAAAGCAGTTGCTGTGGGTTCCCTCCCTTTCTCCCCGACTCCCTGGCCATGGGATTCAGGAAAACAGGCAGTGAAAGGCTTCAACAGTTCCTTTCCAGTTTTCCACGGGGGCCCCAAGGAACGCCTGCGGCTGGAATTCCCCGGGAGACAGGGAGCTGTAACAATAGAGGTCTGCACTGTGGTTGCCGAGGGAGGGAGGGCTTCTTGTTGGAGTGGGTCTCCGCAGATTTGTTGGTGGCTTATTAAATTCAGGAAGGAAAGGGGAGAGAGAAGTTGAATGTGACTCAAAGCTTACTTGGTTGGGAAACCTGGGAGCAAAACGGGGCCACCAAAACAAAGTGGAAAAATTGCAGTTGCATAAGTTGTAGGGAGAAAGGATAAATACTTTTGATAGTACTATGTTTGTGGCTTTGAGTTGGGGCTGTGTCTGGGAAGGTTCGAAATGAAGCTGGAGTAGTTAAAATATATTAATCTTGTCCGGGCACGGTGGCTCACGCCTGTAATCCCAGCACTTTGGGAGGCCGAGGCGGGCGGATCACGAGGTCAGGAGATCGAGACCATCCTGGCGAACATGGTGAAACCTCGTCTCTACTAAAAATACAAAAAAGTTAGCCGGGCGTGGTGGCGGTCACCTGTAGTCCCAGCTACTCGGGAGGCTGAGGCAGGAGAATGGCGTGAACCCGGGAGGCTGAGCTTGAAGTGAGCCGAGATCGCGCCACTGGACTCCAGCCTGGGCGACAGAGCGAGACTCCGTCTCAAAAAAAAAAATTATATATATATATATATATTTATATATATTATTTTTATATATATTTATATATATATTTATATATATATTTATATATATTAATATATATATTTATATATATTAATATATATATTTATATATATTTATATATTTATATATATTATATATATATTTATATATATAAATATATATTAATATATAAAAATATATATATATATATATAAATCTTGCTGCTCAACCTTCTGCTACCCAATGTTAAATCCAGACACTTGGGTAACCTTTGATCATATTTGAGACTGAAGTGGCTTTAGAGATACTGAAACTTCACTGTAGTCCCGGCTAGCATATTCATTCATTCGCTAGCTGTTGGCACCTCATACTGAGGTTAACTCTTAGAACAGAATTATCATATTTATTTTTGGTAGTTATTTCAAGTTCTTTCAGTAGGCTTAAACAGGTTAGTGAGTTTTGCTTTTTTAAGCGCCTAACACAGTATCTGGCACATAGCAGGTACACACACACAAATATATACATACATATATATATATATAATTTTTTTTGAGATGGAGTCTCACTCTGTTGCCCAGGCTAGAGGGCAGTGGTGTGATCTTGGCTCACTGCAACCTCCATTTCCTAGGTAGCAATTCTCCTGCCTCAGCCTCCCGAGTAGCTGGTGTTACAGGTGCGTGCCACTATGCCCGGCTAATTTTTGTATATTTTTAGTAGAGATGGGGTTTCACCATGTTGGCCAGGCTAGTCTCAAGCTCCTGACCTGAAGGGTACACAAAAATACTGAGTGAAAGAAAATGCTAGATGCAGGAAAGCCCATCCAACCCACCCAGCTCCTTACTTTGCAGATAAGTTAACCGTAGCCAAGGGAGGTGAAAAGACTTCCAGCTGGAATGGGATCAGACTCAGATTTCCAGATGGTCAGCCATATATTTTCCCACTGCACCATCCTGCCCCCTGCTGCTTGACTTGTCAAGAAACAGTAGGTGTTTCAAAAGGCAGGGGTTCTTCGAGAACTTCTTGTTCTCTATAGTTGACGTTCTAAGATCAGATTTGAAGGAAATTTACTTTTTGTGTGTTCCGCTTCACAAAGAAGATATTTTCTGCATTGAGGAGAAAGCCAAACAGATTGCATTCTGCTCTAAACATTAAAACCAAGAGATCACAATTTGATTGCCTAAAACCAAATATCCTGATTTAAAAAAGGATTCAAACAGACATTTCTTAAAGAAGACATACAGATGGGCAACAGGTACATTGTAAGATGCTCAACATCACTGACCCTCAAAGAAATGCAGATCGAAACCAAAATGAGATGTCATTTCACACATGCTGGGATGGCTGTTTTAAAAAAACAGAAGACAGCAAGTGTTGGTGGAGATGTGGGGAAACTGGAATCCTTGTATATTGTTGGTGGGAATGTGAAATGGTGCAGCAGCTATGGAAAACAGTGCAGAGATTCCTCAAAGAATTAAAAATACAAAACATCTCGTGTATCCTATAAATATATACACCTCTGTACCCACAAAAATTAAAAATTAAAAACAGAACTAGCAAGCCTATTACACAGCATATACCCAAAGGAATTGAAATTAGGGTCTTGAAGAAATATCTGTACTCTCATGTTCATAGCAACATTATTCACAATAGCCAGGAAGTGAAAACAACCTAAGTGTCCATAAATGGACGAATGGATAAAGAAAATGTGATCTGTCTATCTGTCTATCTATCTATCTATCTATCTATCTATCTATCTATCTATCTATCTATAAAATACATGACTACTATTCAGCCTTTAAAAAGAAGGAAATCATGCTCTTGCAATAACATGGATGAACCTGGAGAACATTACATTAAGCGAAATAAACCAGACACAGAGGGAAGAATACTGCATGATTCCACTTATGTGAGGGCTTCTAAAGTAGTCAAACTCATAGAAGCTGAGAGCAGAATGGTGATTGCCAGGTGATGAGAGGAGGGGAAATGGGGAGATGTTGTTCAAAGTGTATCAAGTTTCAATTATGCAACATGAGTATGTTCTAGAGATCTGCTGTGTGACACAGTGGCTATAGTTAACAATATGGAATTTTGTACTCTAAAATTTATTAAGAAGGTAGATCTCATGTTAAGTGTTCTTACCATGAAAACAAACAAAACAGCAAAGACACACAGGAGACTTTGGGAGGTGTTGGGTATGTCTATTACCTTGATTGTGGCAATAGTTTATGGGTGTATGCATATGACATCATCAAATTATAAATATTTACGGTTCCTTATACAGCAGATCCTCTAATAATGTTGTTTCGTTATAATGTTGATGAGGAAAAAATAATGTATTCTCAGCCAGGGCCACTGTCTGTGTGGAATCTGCATGTTCCCCCCGTATCTGTGGGGGTTTTCTCTGGGTCCTCCGGTTTCCTCTCACAACCCAAAGCTGTGCACATTAGGTGAACTTGCATGTCTACATGGTCCCAGTGCATGAGTGTGGGTGTGTGAGTGTGCCCTGCCATAGGATGGTATCCTGTGCAAGCGTGGGTCCTGCCTTGTGCCCTGAGCTGCTGGATATGCTCAGCCACCTGCGACCCTGAACTGGTACAAGCAGGTTGGAAAATGAATGAATGAATGAATGAATGAATGAAGGAAAGTTATGGGTTGGAAAACGAGTGAATGAATAAAAGTTACAGGTTGGAAAATGAATGAATGAATACAAGTTGATTGGAAAAAAAATTCGTAAGATCTGTGATAATCATACAAATGCACGACAATAAACAAAGAAGTGTTTTGGGAGCCTGTTGTATTTGTAATGGTTTTCAAACTGCGAGGTGGGAGGAGGTGCTCCTGACAATTTTCGCTTTGCAAACATTTATTCCTTGATTTAACCCACTGCCATTACGACCACTGTGACTTGCTGATTTATCAAAAATTGGATAAATATGTTACTTGTTTTTATTAATCTTTCTCAAGTGTATATTTCACATTTATTTCAATGGCTAATATTAGGAGTGTTGTAGTGTTTATTTAGAAGTTTGGTGATGTTTTTATGACCAAATATATGCTGTAGGAACTTGACTCTTGTTTATATCCATCAACTTATGGGAAAATTGGTTTTGTTATACGTTGCTTTGCTTGAAGTTGCAGTTTCCAAGAAATTATCAACAATATTAAGTGAGGACTTACTATATATCCATTATGCCTCAATAAAACTGTTTTTTTGTTTTTTTTAATTTGAGACCTTTACCCGGGGTCCTGGTGACCAAAATTAAGGCCATGAGGACATTGAGTGATTTGATACATGTATCACCCTCCCAGGCCCCTGTCTCCCTGGGCGGCCTGCACTGCGCAGTGCCCAGTGACCAGCTGTGCTTGGCCTAAATAAGTGTTTGTGTGGTTGTTGAAATAATGAATAAAAAGTAGAAAGAATACATGCTTACTGATGGTTGTCACTGTACAAAAGATAACTGACTTGTGAATTCTTGGAAGTCATTTTTTGTTTTGTTTCTTTGTTTCAGGTTCATATTCTAAAGAGAGCAGGCACTGAGCAAATGTTTGTTGAACTGAACCAATCTGCTAGTTATGGGGACATGACCTCCACTTCATGGTGTTGAACTAAACAAACACATACTTCTCCAGACAAATATTAAAACTGGTGAACTTCAAAATAACGTGAAAAGCTCCTATGTTTCCATGCCTCATTATATGCCACAAAAAATCAAATGATAACGAGAACAAAGTAGGTTATTTTGTTTGCTATTTAACTTGTGTGCAGGTCTTCACAGAATGAGAGGCATACCAACACTCATGACCCCAGGCTAGTTCTGTTCTTTGCCAGTGTGTGGTTTGGGAGTTCTGTGAAGTGTTTGCAGTCGCTACTAATAATCCAGGTGACACGGCAAACATTGCAGTTCCTAGGTCCAGCACAATTAGAGGAGGGTTCACTCGTAGGCAGCATCTGAGCAACAGGCTCACCAGACTTCAGCCTCTTCACTCCGACTCTTCCACGCTCCAGCTCTCTTCATTAAGATATTCTAGAAGCAACTGAGGAGTTTCTACAAACATTTTGGAAATTACAGGTAAAATATATGTGTTTTCTTTTCTCCTTGCCTGTTTTATAGGGAATGATAACGAACATTTAAGTTTTTATAATTAGGCTTTTTAAAAGGGAGGAGATGTTTAACTTTTATTTAAATGTGAAAGGTTGCTTAATGGTATGGAAAATATGCCAAAGATGGTAAAGCAAGCAGTGGAAGGCCTGAGCTAAATAACTGTGTCTTGGTTGCTGTGGGGATGGTGAGTGAACCATTTTTCCTGTGAGGCATTTTTGCAGATATTTGTAAGGTATTGTAGTTTTGAGAGGGAGTTTGGACAGATATCCTCACGGCCTGTACACGTGGGCCATGTATACGACTTGTGATTTGATCTTTAAGGCCTGGGGAAACCCCTGGAGGGTGATGAACAGAACAACAGCATGATCCGTCTTAGGTTTTCCGGAGGAGAGTGGGTCACGTTCGGGCAGGACTGGCTGGAGGCACAAAGACCAGTTAGGAGGCTATGGAGACAGTATGATAAAGGATGACTATTAGAGACTGAGAAAGGCCACAGCAAAGAATGTAAAAAGAGTATGGACAAGATGAGATGGGGTGGGGACATATTTAGGGACTCAGTCCCCAACTGGGAGAAGGAGAAGTTTAATATGACTCTGTGGTTTCTAACTTGGATGATATTAATTTTTCATATTGTTGAGACTGTAATTTTTCATGTTGAATTAGTAACTGTTAAGCCACAAACATATTTGCAGCCGGCAGAATGTAGCTCGAGAGGAGAAGCTTCAGGGCATCATGGCAGGAGCTTGGGCTGTGGAGGCTGGGGTGGGTCTGCGTTTGAACCCAGCTCCTCCTGGGGGAGTGACTGCAGCCAAGTGCCTCGGAATTCCTCTTGATGTGAGGGTTGGGACCTCCATCCCCCAGGAGTTTTGGGGATGGGGAAGTTGGGTGAGATATTCTAAGTGAACGCACTCTGAATGTCAGCTATCACTTTTTTCTCAGCAGGTCAAGTGGAAGTTTGTTTTCATTTCAGTTAAGGTACGAGTTGTTCTGACTGCTGTGCAGACATTCACACGCCCGCTGCTAGAAAGCTGGAGCTGGAAGGAGCATTGGGGCCCGCTGAGTCCTCCTTTCTCATGTATGGATGCGGATGTGGAGGCAGGCCCTAAGTCTTAGTGTAGGTGCCGATGGTGCAGGTGAGAAGCCCCCTGGTAACTCACTTAGTGCTCTATCTGCTCTTCCACACTCTCCAACATGACGTCACCGGTTTATAAGTGAGAAGCAGGTCACAGGTCCCTAAGGTTTCTGCGAGGGAGGCAAGCGTTGCGCAGTGGTTCAGAACACCTGCTGCACGGGTTCATCCCGTGCACCTTCTCTCACCTAAGTTTCTGTTTCTATATCTGTAGGTTGGGAATAATGCTGTGGCTGTGTAAGGCCACAACACACAGTGCTTAGCACATTGTGAGCACTCAACGTAGAAACAGATCTTATTTGCTCTAGGTCTGACAGGCCTAGAGCTTGTCATCCAAGCAGGAGACCCACATGGCCTGCAGCACATTTAGGGCCATCTCTATGTCAATAGCATCCAATGGCTTTAGGTGGGGCCTGGACTGGAGCCTCCATGTTGGGGGTGCAGGCAGGGGGCATGTTCTCTCACTCCCCTCGGCATTGGAGACAGGTGCCACTTTGCAGGCTCAGGGGGTGTGACACAGGATCTGGATGCTAGGGAGACCACAGCCGATGGGGAAAGACCACACAGTGTAAATGGGTGGAAGTGGGGGATATACTGGGGGGGTGGCCACTGGATGAGCCACCCTGGGAGATTGGTTCCTCAGAAGGGTATCTCTCAGTCTGACCCTATACACTGAAAAAGCAAGTCCATCAAAAGCTTCTACTATTAGAGCTTCTTAACTAAATCCCTAGTAAACCTCTTTACTTCATTTGGTAAATTCAAAATTAATGGCATAATACTTCCACAAAAATATACCATGAAATCATTTTCCTTCTTCTTTTTGGCCAGAGTTTACACGTTTTAAATTTTAAACTCAGATTCCGAGTAAACAAAGTGGTTGTTTAAATTACTTGTCATCGACTCCACAGCAATAGGTGTTTAGTTTCTGTTTATATTTATTTTACTTAGTATCTTAGAACCATTTAATAGCAACATAACAGAGCAAAAACAGCACCCTTAGAAACTTGTATACACAATCAAGACCTGGGCATTACCATGGTTGAAGGATTCCTTCAGTACAAGGAAATACTAGAGAAGTTTGGCAGGCATGACTTAACTGGCCAAGTCATAGAGAAAGTGAACATCACAGATGGTCAGCTTGTAAAAAAGTGAGATGTGGCTTTTCAGATGATTAACTGGCAGAAATGTGCAAACTTTTGCCGTTGGATTCTTTTACACTAGGTTGACTCACTTAAAGAAGAATTTGAATCATTATCTAACAGAAAAAGATCAATAACAAGCATTATTGCTGGAACATTCTATGGATAGACTGCTTTCTATACATGATTGGTGAATATTGTATTTCAATTAATTATATATCCTGATAATATATGAATTAATACTGTGATATCCTGCATACAATAACAATAATCAATGGAAATATAGTAAAACAGAAATGAAAATAATTTTGCTTTTCCTTGAGAAGGTATTTCAAATTTTTGTAGTATTTCAGGGACATTAACATAAATGCCACTTATCACAACAAAGTACCTTAGCTACAGAAGGTATATGAAATTGACTGTCAAATGAATGGATGGTCCTCAAACTTGTCTAGAGAAATATGAGATCCTGACAGTTAAAATTAAGTAATTTAAAGTGAATCAACCTTTAAAAACTCAGCAGCTTTGCTATTACTCAAATGATAAAAACTCCGAATTTAAAATTTCATGTCATAGCTATGCTCACATGTAAAACTAGTGAATATGAATATGGGAGCAACATTTTTCATTAAAAAAGGAAAGACTGATCAATTATTGCTTTTATTAAATTGCATGATTCACATCTGAAGCTATTTAACATTTCAGAGAACGCATGCCTGAGGCTGTAATAACATTTGGTATATAAACCAGTCTGTAGAATAAGTTAAAAGAAATATTTTAAGTAGGCTGGGTGTGGTGGCTCACGCCTGTAATCCCAGCACTTTGGGGAGCTGAGGTGGGTGGATCACCTAAGGTCAGCCTGGCCAACAGGATGAAACCCTGTTGCTACTAAAAATACAAAAATTAGCAGGGTGTGGTGGCAGGCACCTGTAATCCCAGCTACTCAGGAGGCCGAAGCAGAAGAATCGATTGAACCCGGGAGGCAGAGGTTGCAGTGAACCGAGATGGTGCCATGGCACTCTAGCCTGGGTGACAAGAGGGAAACTCCGTCTCAAAAAAAAAAAAATCTTTTAAGTAATATTAGGATAGGTGAAGTATTAGTATAAGTTGATAATTTTCACATTAGATTTCAACATTAATTGATCAAAAATCATTTTTCTAGCAGGTGCTAGACAGATAGATGGCATCTTCTTTCACATAGAAGAGCAAAGCAGTTTTCCAAAGGTCTTTGAAATTCCCCAGGGAGTTCTGTGCAAAGACCACGGAGACAGGTGAATGCCTTCTATTTCTACAGGCTTTAGCCTGAATGGATAATGCAGTTGCTGGTCAACCAGGCAGGCCATATGGAGTCACCCTTTACTGAGGCCCCTGGTAGGCCCAGTCCTACAGCAGTCAAAGATGTCCCAGTAATGACTGTAGACTCTTACTCTTAACTTTACATCCTATCATCTGTTCCTCAAGCCTAAATCAGCTCTTCAGAGAGAGAGAGAGAGGAAAACATAATTTGTTTCCCCCCACACCTCAGAGCAGAAGAGTCAGCCCTCAGGGCTGGCTTCCTGGTCTCAGGCTCCACTCTGGCTGCTGGTGGCTTCCTAAGGAGATCTGAGATTGGGAACAGGCTGAGAGGGAGGAGGGCCTCTTGTTCCCTTGACCACACAGGAAATTCCTCAGGGACACGCTCACTCTGTTATGGGCTCCTCAGAGCCTCTCTCAGAAGGAAAGACTGGCAGTGAGTGGAGGGCAGCGAGTCAGGGACCATCTCATCTTCTCGGCTCAGTTACCTCCCCGGGTACCCATGTCCACATATGTGATGTAGATAAAATATCTCCCTTGCAGAGGTGCTTGATATTTAAGAGTCCAGCACATTTTGAATGGCTTACAAGTGTCAGCTATTATTACTATTTGTGTGTGTGTGTGTGTGGTTTTTTTGTTTGTTTGTTTGTTTGCGATGGGGTCTTGTTCCTCCCAGGCTGGAATGCAGTGGCGAGATCATAGCTCACTACAGCCTTGAATTCCTCGGCTCAAGTGATCCTCCTCCCTCAGCCTCCTGAGTAGCTGGGATTACAGTTGTACCCCACTGTGCCTGACTAATTTATTTTTTATTTTTTGTAGAGATGAGATCTTACTATGTAGCTTAGGGTGGTCTCAAACTGCTGGGCTCAAGTGACTCTCCTGCCTCTGCCTCCCAAAGTGTTGGGATTATAGACATGAGCCACCACGCCCGGCCTACTATTTGTTTTTGACAACCAAAATCTTCACACCTTGGCCCTAAATCTCAATACATTTGTCTAGCAAATGGAAATAGCAACAAAGGACTAATCCGTGTCAGCAGAAATGTTGGCTATTTCATTAGAAATGTGAGTAAACTCATCCCAGGAGCTATTTCAAGTTATGCTGGTGTGAGAGACCGCTGCGGAGTTGTTGCCCAACTCAGATCTCCTCTGGGTGGCACTTGGCAGCCTCCATCTCTGTCCTGGTATTCATGATCCCGGAATTGTCGGGACTGGTCAGCACAGTGGACAGATGCCATTACAGTGGTGGTCTTCAGTCTCTGGAGGGCTTTCTTAATGTAAGCTTTTTTACTAGGAGGCTTTCCCTCTTTGGTCATTGCAGGGTCTGAGGATGCCACTAAAAAGAATGTCACCAATTATGGGTGCCTACCGGGTGCAGGTACTGAGCTCATTTGCTGCAGAGGGGTGGGGTGAGGACTCTGGAGCCAGGGCTTGGGCTGGAAACCTAGATCCAGCACTTCACAGTGCAAGTGTGGGCGAGTGACCAAGCTCTGTAAAATGAAGTTTCCTCTGGATAAAACACAGAATGGAAGTACTGAGCTCAGAGGGTTGTTGTGACAATAAAAGGTGTTCAGTAAGTGTTCGCTGTTGACACTGTCTCATGGCACCTTCATGATGTCTTGGTGATTGTTTCAGTCCCGTTTCACAGATGACAAAAACAGGCTCATAGAAGCGGTGGACTCTGTGACACACACTGAATAAGCAGAGAGGCTGTGCTTTGGGGTTAGAGAAGAATTGCAGCTGTTTCCACTCCGAACCTTAGAATTCTGTTTCTCCCTAGTTACCAATACACTTTGAGCAAGCCAATTTTATTGGACTTAGAGACCCAGCACACCTGATTGATTCCTTGTGGTGGGAGATGTGAATTTCCTAGTCCAGTCTCTTTGAGGATTGAAAGAGCTCAGTGAGAAGCCAGCAGAGTTGGCAAGGTTGTTGATTTCAGTAACCTGTGGGCACACATCTGCAGGAATTACAGGTGCACCCCACTGTGCCCAACTAATTTATTTTTTATTTTTTATTTTTTGTAGAGATGAGATCTTACTATGTAGCCTAGGCTGGTCTCAAACTGCTGGGCTCAAGTGATTCTTCTGCCTCTGCCTCCCAAAGTGTTGGGATTATAGGCGCGAGCCACCATGCCTGGCACAGAAGCTGAGAACCACAGCTTCTCAGAGAGAAGGTGTGAACAGACAGGAGTGTGTCAGTTGCCTGGGATTTACAGGCAGCAGAGACAGAGAGTTTCTGTGGGGCATGTGCTCTTAGGAATGTCCTGGAGAGAAGTATGCTACCTGTGATCTGCTCAGTGTGCAAGGTCCAGGAAGACAGATGGGCCAGCCATGGAGGTGAACAGCAAGTAGCAAAACCTTAGCTGGGGCTGGGTGTGGTGGCTCATGCCTGTAATCCCAGCACTTTGGGAGGCCAAGGTGGGCAGATCAACTGAGGTCAGGAGTTCGAGACCAGCCTGGCCAACAGGGCGAAACTCCGCCTCTACTAAAAATACAAAAATTAGCCTGGTGTGGTGTCATGCGCCTGTAATCCCATGTACTCAGGAGGCGAAGGCAGGAGAATCGCTTGAACCCAGGAGGTGGAGGTTGCAAAAACCAAAAACCTTAGCTGGCCCAAAGCCCTTTATACTGGTCCATTTGCTCTTACAGATCCACCCAGACACCAGGATTGCCTCACCCTGCCATAGAGGGGCATGATGAGAGAAAATCCACAAAGTTCATCAATAGCCCACATGTGGTTAGGGTATGTGAGAAACAAGGCCCTCACTGTTACTCTCTGGGGGTGGAGAGCGGGGATTGGGGGGATCTGGGTTCTGACTGGCCTGGTCTCTCATCAGACTTACTTCCTACATTAGACTTTTAGGGATGCTGGAACAAAGCACCACAGACTGTGCGGCTTGAAAAACAGACAATGACTGTCTCACAGTCTGGAGGCTGGATGGCTGAGATGAAGGTGTCAGCAGGGTTGGCTCCTCCTGAGGCTCTGGGGGAGACACTGTCCAGTCTTCTCCCCAGCTCTGCGGGTGTGCTGGCCATCTTTGACATTCCTTGCTTGGGGGAGCATCACTCCTGTCTCTGCCTTCATCTTCACACTGGTGTTCTCCCTGTGTCTGTGTCCAAATTTCCTCTTTTATAAGGACACAGCCCAGCTGGATTCGGGGCCCAACCCCACTCCAGGATGACTCCGTCTTAGCCAATCACATCTGCAAAGACTCTATTTTTCAAATATGGTCACATTCTGAGGAGCTGAGGGTTGGACTTCAACATATGAATCTGGAGTGGAGCTCAGGGAAGTGGGGCACAGTTCAACCCTTAACATCTTCCTTTTTCTTAAGAATAATCTTCAACTTCTCTCCACCCCAAACTTAATCAGTGTCGTCCTGATAAGAGAGGGAGACGGGAAGACTCAAAAGCCTGCTTCAGAAGGCAGTGAGCTGACCCCAAGCTATTCTAGAGGTTGGTGAAAGTTAAAGTTTAATGATAAGCCTTCTGTGTTGACTCCTTCCAAATCACTCAAAGGGCAGCTCACGTTTTTGGGGCTGTGTCATCTGAGAAGAGTGAAGGACCTCACAGGGTAAAGCCCCGCCCCTCCCATTTCCTTCTCCCCCAGGAAGGAGTGGCTAGAGGAATGGGCCAGGCAGGTCAAAGCCATCAGATTTTAGAATCTCTACCTGGTGGCTCTCTCCTTCCAGCTGCTTCTCTGAGGGTTGTCTTAGTGGGTTAGTTCTTTTTCTCTGGCATTAGCTGTGGTTTTGTAACCTGAGGCTGGCCAAGGAGAGCTATAGATGGTGGCTCCCAGCTGAGCTCAGCGCCACTGCTACCACCAGACCCTGAGCCTCCACCCCAGTCATTTGAAAGTGAAAGAAAGGTAAAAGATATTTAATGCTTACAGATTATTCACAAAGGGCTCAAACCAACAACTAGTAACCCAGAGACAAAACTACTTTAAAGTGTGCTAAGTTAGACATCACTAAAATGTCGGATGGTACCGAGGCCCAAGGTGCGCTGTGTGGAGCCAGCTGAGGCAGGCAGTGAGGTGAGCCACGAACTCTGAACCTCCCTGGTGGCAGGGAGCCCGGTGTGAGGTCTGGAAAATAGAGCCAATCAATTCACTTGCAAGTCCTGGCTGCAGTTCTGGGCTCACCCTGAACCCTGGGTGTTCCCTGATGTTCCTATAGCTGATTTCAATACTCAAGTCACGGTAGTTCAAAGGGCAATTTGACTTTTGCTTGTCCAAAGAAAACTTTTAAAAGAAAAACTCTTCAATATAGGCAACTATTTTGTCTCTTTTCACCCAAATGCCTATTTGACATGTTTGTCAGTCTCTCAGTCGCGGAATGTGCACTGTTACCATCAGCTAAGGGCTTTCATTATATTCTGGTAAATGGGCCAGTTTAACCTGGACATCAGTATCTAGGCATCTTTTTTACAGTCTCAGAGCCTAATACCTTTCAGGAAACTACAAAAGGCTTTATTTTTAAAGCATAATTCAAAGCTTATCAAAGTCACAGGAATTTCACTTATTATTATGAGACTTCCTGAGGAAAAGTAAAGTAAAAATATAGGTAAGCAGGCTTCTAGAACTTTATTTTTTAGCAGGTGGGATGGAGAAGAAAAAAATACTACTACTGGTTTTGAGGTCATTATTTTTTCAGTGTAATGGACTTTAAAAGCAATAAGCAATGGGAAGCTGGACCTCACTTTGTAGGTTCAGGGAAAAAAAAAATCACCCTTCTTTTGTGTGGTAGAAAACCTCTTGTAAATGCATAGATTTGAGACCATGTAACAAAATTCTTGGGTCCTCTGAAGCATTTCTGTAAAATTTATGGAAGAAATGCTTGTGATTGGTGTGATCTGTGATTACTTCATTAGATCAGGCTTTGCCTATACATCCAAATGATTTATTTTCTTGTTTATGTGTGTGTTGTGGTTAGGGGAGGTAGAGGGGGATTTGTCTGTAGCCTAATGCTTGGCACACAGTAGAAGCTTCTCTCAGATAATTTTGGCTTCAAACAAAAGCAGCATGAAAAGCAGACACATATATTTCTTTCTCATTAAAAAATGTGAAATATATAGTCCAGGGCTGGTATGGTGGACCTACAGTGCTAAAACCAGACTCTATTTTTCCATTCTGCTGTGATTGGCTACCATTCCCATGGTCACCTTATGGTCCATGAAGGCTGCTAGAGCTCCAGCTATTCAACCATTCTAGAACAAGAAGGAGGAAAAGGGGAGAAAAAGGGGACCCCTCTTTATTCATGAGTCTTGCTGAAGGTACCACATAACACTACTGTTTCCAGCTCAGTGATTGGAACAGTGACATGGTGACAGGTGGCTGCGACAGAGATTGGGAAATATGCATGGATTAGGGAAAAAAGTCAGAATCTTTTTATTAAAAAGAAGGGAAGAATACATTTTGAGAGACAGCTAGCAATCCCTGCTACACTGCCCAAAATAATGTTTGTTGAATTGAATTGGATCAATTGGCCAGAACTGGTGGTAGTGTTCCTGAGTTATTTTGTTCTTGAGTTATTTTGTTCTTGAGATATTTGGAGATATGTTGTTGAAGATATTTTATCTTCCTCCTTGAAAAATGGAGTAGGATGTTTCTGTACCTTTAGTGTGATAAGTGTGGGACTTGGGAGACAGAATGCTGACATAAGTACTTCTTCAGCTGACACCAACTTACTCTGGGCAAGGACATTAAGACGCTTGTGCTCTTTTATCTTAAGGAAGTTGGGTGTGAACAAGAATGGTGTGAGACACATGCTTTCAAGTTCCCTAGTATGTGCCAGGCACATTGTAAGGTGAAAATGAAGTGCTCTGGTGATGAATGAGAACAATCTGAGGATCTTATCTCTCCAGTTTCCTCCACATAGTCACCACAGGGGACAAAATCTGGAGAAGCCTCCAGTTCCCTCATGAATTTGGAAATCACTGGCATTATAAATGGTTCCACCACTTGTTTTTTTGTATGACCAACCAACAATAAGTTATTTAACATTGCTAAGCCTCAGTTTCCTCATCATTAAAATGAGAGTAATAAAAATCCCTATGTTCTGGGGTTGCTGTGAGGATTTTTAAAAATGCATGTAAAGAGCTTTGCTCCATGCCTGGCACATACTAAATACTCAATAAATATTAGCTGTTCTTATTAATAATGCAAAAAAGAGCAGAAGAAAAATGCCCAAAGTTACGTTCCCAGGAGAGCAAGTCCTGGTTGGATGATTAAGTAATTATAGGAAGATTATGTGTCAGTCAGAAGTGGGGAGCAGTCATGGAGGGCCTAGGAAGGCACACAGCACACAAAGACCAGGCCACCTGTCTGCCCACTCTGACCGAGAGGCCTTCTCAGTGAATTGGTTTGGATTCTTGGGGTCCCAAGGGAAAGGCTTTCTCAATTGTAGATAAAAGTACACATGGCTATATTAGCATGATGCCATTTTGCATTTGATTTTGGTTCCTCATTCACTATATAATCTTGTGATTGTAATTTGCCTTGCCTTGTAGATCTATGTACGGGGAAAGAATGAATGGGCCATATTGGCTTGAGTATTCAGCTGTGATTCCCATTGTAAGATGAACAAAGTGGCATTCTGATATTATACATTATTCTCTTTGAGGTTGGTTAATGTGAGTCTGCCACCCAAATGAAAAAACATTCACTGTCTCTGCCCACCATGTGCTTCATAGGCATCTTCTTTTGGAACTTTTTCCCAGAAGTTTTTACACCAAGTAATGAATATAGGAAGCTGTCACCACAGATTCACTGAGGGCCCAGTGGTTGTCAGGCACTGTATTAAGGACTGGGGAATATGGCAGTGAACAAAAGGGACACTATCCCCACCTTGTGGAGATTACAGTCCAGTAGGACAGAGAGTTGGTAAACTATTACTACATCATCACAGACGACGTACCGCATGATGTCAGAAAGAAGCCCAGTCATAGGAGCAGTAAGACAGGGAGGTGGACACAGACAGGCTGGTGTAGGAAAGGTTCCCTCTCAGTCTCCACCTGAGACCTGGAGGACGAGTGGGAGTATGGAGAGAGCACATACCCCACACTGGAGTCTGCGTGCTCCTCTTCCACCTTCCTTGTCATGGGTGTTGGGTGGGGACACGGGAAGCTACATCACGAGCCCTGTCCCCTTGAATCTGGACCTGTCCACTCTGCGTGTTCCTTTGAACGTCCCCACGCTTGTACCCTGTGTGGCAGCTGCTGCAGCCCGATGTTGCAGCCTCCCCTAAGATGTGGAAAACCCAACTGCCCAGAAGGAAGCCTGTGCTCCTGGAATGTCATGAGGGAGGGAGAAGGAAAGACAGCATCACAATATTCATCCTGGCTGGATGCTGTCTCCATTCTTCAGAAACCAACTGAATGGGTGTTCAGTATTCTGTGAATCTTTGCTTTTATGTACTTTTTTTTTTTTTTGAGACAGAGTCTCGTTCTGTCTCCCAGGCTGGAGTGCAGTGGTGTGATCTCGGCTCACTGCAACCTCCACCTTCTGGGTTGTAGTGATTCACCAGCCTCAGCCTCCTGAGTAGCTGGGATTACAGGAATGCGCCACCATGCCCAGCTAATTTTTATATTTTTAGTAGAGATGGGGTTTCACCATCTTGGCCAGGCTGTCTCGAACTCCTGACCTCTGGTGATCTGCCCACCTTGGCCTCCCAAAGTGCTAGAATTACAGGTGTGAGCCACCGCACCAGACCTAGGTAAACTTTTTTTTTTTTTTTAATCAAACTATTCTTTGTTTTCAAACAAACACACGGAACACATTCTCACAGAAACCTAACAACCAAAAAGTGTCGGAAAGGAAAACTGGCTTTGTGTTTCACATTAAATAATACAATACTTGTTCATAATTTATCTTTTCAGCCTGCTAGACTCCATTTTTAAGTAGAAAACAGAAAGACAGCCATCAGGCCCAAGAGAAGTCTTAAATATATCTTTGAAGTTTGGAAGTGACTCATGCCGTGAGTCTGGAAGTGTAGGTTTCTTTTGAAACATGCACTGCTGCCGCAGCTGTAATCACTGCCTCCTCAGCACTGGTGGCCTAGGCAGGCAGGAGGGCTCATGTCAGCTGTGACTGGCCGTCATCACATCCCACAGGACACTCTTGCTCCTTCTGTTGCCAGCCCTACATTCTCCCCCTTCTGCCTGTCTAGACAGCCCCTTCCCTTAGAGAAAGGGGAGGCCCTGTGAGCTCTGCACTGGTCCTGCCTGCAGCACACACACTGTGCCCTCCCCCTCCTTACTCTGTTGGGTGCTAAATCCTTGCCTCCATTCCCCATCTCTGTGTAAACCTCATTGGCTTATGAAAGTCTCCCTTGGCCCATAGACTGATTTCCCCAGGACAGCCTCTGTTCCACAGCACACATCACACTTGCAGTCACTTTTATAGAGCTGATCTTCCTGGGAAACTCTGGGTCCTCCTTGGCAGGGACTGTGTCTTCCTGCTCATGGCTGTGTCCTGGTGCCTAACATATCATAGGTGCTTAATGAATAGGTTTCTTGTCTGAGAGATGTGGCCCCTCCTTCCCATGACCACAGTCAGGTTTCTCAGAGTCAGGAGTGGGCTCAGAGCCCCTATGCACCCCAGTCCTGTATGGCAGCATGGATGGTTCCACTTAGACCAGCTGGAAGGACTGGTTAAGATCCATCAGCTCAAGTCTTCCTTTTCAGATGTGGCAACAGGATTAGTTTGCTAGGACTGTCAAACAAAGCACCATAAACTGGGTTAGTTAGACAACAGAAATTTATTGTCTGCCAGTTCTGGAGGCTGGAAGTCTGAGATCAAGGTATCAGCAGGGTTGGTTCCTAAGGGCAGTGAGGGAGGATCTGTCCAGGCCTCTTCCTCAGCTCCTGGTGGTTTGCTGGCCTTTTTTTTAGCATTTCTTGGCTTGAGGAAGTATCATCAATCTTGCACTCTCTCTGAAGGTGTCTATATCCAAATTTCCCTTTTTTTGTAAGGACACCAGTGATTGGATTAGGGCCTACCCTAATCACCTCATCTTAACTTGATCATCTTAAGTTAAGTCATCTATTTGCAGATAAGGTCACATTCACAAGTACTGGGGGGAAGGACTTCAATATATTTTAAGGAACCCAATTCAGCCCAAAACAGTGACTCAGTTTATAACACATTATCCTCCCTGCTGAAAGATGATCCTACTCACCCATAATAAAGGGGTCATGCTATTTTCCCAGGTGTAGTCTTATTTGTTGCTCTTTGTGAGCAGGAACTGGAAGACAGAGGAAAACTCTGGTTATAAAATAAGAGGTCATCTGCCTGGGTGATGGGGCTAATTGCTAAGTCTGGAACATGGTCTGCACAGGGTGTTTCAGCTGACCGGCATCAGGCCCACTTGACTGAACATCCCATAAGAACCCCAATCACAGGAGTTCAGTTAATCTTCTGGATCAATAAACAATTATTTAGAGAAAGTGACTTTGTCAACAATTTAATTAAAATCACCCAACCTATGAAATTAGAAGTAATTCAAGTTTGAGCACATATTAGCTGTGTGGCCTAGGCAAGTCATTTGTCTGGATAGCAACATACTCTCTGTAAAGCACTGGGATTAGGTAACCTCTGAAGACCCTTTCGACTGGAACCTTCCTTGGATTATGTGGTTCTTTTCGTGTTGAAAGCAGAAAAGCTCTCTAAGGAGTTGGGATATACAAGTATGAAAAGAAATTAAATGAAGTGCTTTTCCTCTTCATTATCATTGTAGATATGAGGTGGTTCTTGCCTCTGCACGGAAGAAACATGCTAGATCTCTGTCTTGATCCACTTTTATGTACTCAATGTCTACTCCTTGCAAGAGATAAACCAGCACACAGGACATGGGACCTTTGCTGATAGGGTACCATTCTTGGCTCACCCTGCTGGTCCCACCCTGCTGGGCTGGTGGTGTTAGAATTTGCATGGGTTGAATGTATCATTTTCATCTTCAAAATAACCAATTTTCCAAAGAGTTATTTCTGTAAGTGTCTAATAACATATTTAAGAACCAAATCAGAGTGTCAGTTGTACAACCTAGTCTTCAGGCTATAGACACTCACTTTTTACAATCTTGGCATAAAAAATCTTACTAATAATAGTGTCTTGACTATAAATAGAGATTTTCTAATGTCCTCTCCTGCTATTGTATTGCTCATTACAATGCTCAATGTATCATAATCCCTTTTTTTGGCCATAAAACTGTGCCTCTTGATTGTGAGAAGGATATAAAATAGACCCAGATGTCTTAACCAAGTTTGGATAAATCAGTCATCACCTTCTTTTTTTCCAGTAAGAATGAGGCATAACAGCTTGAGTGATGCACAGACTTTATTTTCCATTTGGTCTTTCCAAAGCAAACAGAACCAAGGTGTAAAGTCTGCTAATGGCACTGTGTCAGCCGTGTGGCATTCAGTTTTAAGGACGCGAACATCACTATTGTGAAAAGAGAGGGAAGTTAAATTGTTAGTGTTTAGTCTCATTTAATATTAAGACCAAAAATAAAAACCTCAGGAGAAAGACAAAGAGAATGACTAATGAACTCAGTTCTAGTTTAATGCTTGAGAGGGGCATAGACTTTGATATGAAACTAGGGAGACGAGCTCTCAATACGGTAGCTTTTCCCTCAAATATAAGAATTCTTAGATTTAAATTTAAATAGTAAATTATTTTAGAATTTTCCGTTTTGCAAAAAAAGGTAATAATAAATACAAGAAGTCCCACTCAACAAGGTCATAATGAGGCAGAGTGGATCTGCAGTAACATAACAATAGTCAGACACCAGAGCATTTTTTATCCCAACATTTTATAGAATGTGTTATGTGTTGGTCACTAGATGGGTGTTGAATATACATGGCATTTAAAACACAAAGCTACATTACAGGATTGGAACAACTCCAATGTTTAAATGAAGAAAACATAACATAAAGGGGTTAATAGTCTGCTCAGGCTCATCCAGTTAGGAAACATTTAATACTAAACTCAGGAATCAAGAGGGGAGCAGGGCCATTTGACTCAAGTCCTGAGCTTTCAGAAGACTTGGGTTTTCCTATGAAGAGGACCTGCATGTGTGCAGATACTGCTCTCATGCTGCTTTCCAGGTGCGAGAATAAGACGAACACAAAGATCTGGTTGTGATACCAATTCTGATGGCATCATTAATCTAAGCCAGGCCTATACCATGGAGTTAGAAGGAGGATTGGAAAAAGTCCTGGCAATGCTGCCCGTGACAGTCTGAGGCACTACAGGGCACACAGAGATGAGGGAAACACAGTTCCTCAGAGCACTTTTAGGAAGGCCCTGGTAGTGTACATATCATGATAACAGGGAGGCTCCAGGTGTCATGAAACAACTGTGAAAGAATGCTATTGGGAGCCGAAGCGGGGTGAGACCCTGGTAGCAAAGGCCTTTCTGAAGCCCATTCCACGCATGGCTATTGCTGGTGGTGACTGCAGCACTAGGAGACAGGAGAGGAAAGGTCTGTTAGAGGAAGGGGAGCATGGCACGGGCCTCAAGGATGGGTAGGTTTTGGGTAAGAAGAAAGGGGGTGGGAGATGGCATTCCGAGCAGAGGGAATAATAAGAGAGAGGCATAAAGGGGAGCATCACTTGGGACAAATATTGGGAGATGTAGCCCTAAATTTGTAAGACTGGGGCCTGGGAGCATTCCATTCCAGGGATTCCAAACTTGGTCTGAAGATTGTCTAAGAAATCTGGGAATAGGCTTTGGTTAGTCTATGAAGTTTTATTTGAAACTAAATATATGTGCATGTTTCACTTATCTATGTTGTTGGATTAAAAAAAACCACTCCAGAGTTAACTTAAAAATGAACTGTCTTAAAACAACAATTTCTTATTTCTTCTAGTTCTGTAATCTGTGTTGGGTTACCTAGGAACGAAAAAATTGTTCCAGAACCCCAGTCTGGTGTCTGGGGCCCTGCCACCTATTTTCAGCCCTCCTTCATGTTCAGTGCCTACCCTCCTGCTGAGAGTTTGAAGTAACAGCTAACCCTATCAAGGGATTCCTCATTAAAGGCCATCTTTGGGGATATTTCTATATTTTATATTGAAACTTCCACTGCCGTCAAGTACAGAACTTGTACAAAAGAGTGGGTTTCCTGAAGGCCAGTTTTGACTCAACACAAATAATAACATTATTTTATCTAGAGCTGTTCAACTATGAACTTTTTCCCAGGTCAATGAGTCCTCTAATAATAGATGATTTGAAGCAGAGGGTGGATACTGTGACTCAGGGTTTCTGTAGATACAAATCCTTCACCCCAAGACTCTACTGCACCAGCAGATGCTCTTATGATGATCTGGAAGCTGTGAAGGGTCCTGATTTAGCTGTTCCCTAATGTAACAAGGATACTGAGATGGAGAAAAACCAACAGTGTTAGGAAACAGCAGTGCACTTGATAACTGGAAGAACAAACAATGTCTATTTCTTTCTTTAAGAAAAATTATTTTTTTTTTAATTTTTAGTTTTTGTGGGTACATGCTAGGTATATATATTTATGGGGTACATATGTTTTGATATAGGCATGCAATGTGTGATAATCACATCATGGAGAATGGAATAGCCATCCCCTCACATTTATATTTTGTGTTATAAACAATCCAGTTTACACTTTTAGATATTATAAAATGTACAATTAAGTTATTACGACAATCGTCACCTCGTTTGCTATCAAATAGTAGGTCTTTTTAACTTTTATTTTTATTTTAGTTTCAGGGGTATTTAGGTTCATGTGCTGGTTTGTTATATAGGTAAACTTGTGTCATGGATTTGTGCACAGATTATTTTGTCACCCAGGTACTAAGCTCAGTACCCAATAGTTATTTTTTCTGTTCCTCTCCCTCCTCTCGCACTCTATCCTCAAGTGGGGCCCCAGTGTTTGTTGTTCCCTACTTTGTGTCCATGAGTTCTCAAAAATAATGTCTATTTCTGTAGCACCGTTATCAATAGGTGAGAGTGTTGTTCTTTCTCACGTGAGTGTGTGAGCAGAGAGAAGGCAGGTGCTACTTTCTTAAACATTCTGTAGTTGCTGCATTAAAAGGTTCCCACCTGTGTGCTATTTATATATCCTAGGGAGAAAAAGAAAGAATAAACCTGTCAGACTCTTTTTTTTTTTTTTTGAGACGGAGTCTCACTCTGTCACCCAGGCTGGAGTGCAGTGGCGCAATCTCGGCTCACTGCAAGCTCCGCCTCCCAGGTTCACGCCATTCTCCCGCCTCAGCCTCCCGAGTAGCTGGGACTACAGGCGCGCGCCACCACGCCCGGCTAATTTTGTTTTAGTATTTTTAGTAGAGACAGGGTTTCACCATGTTAGCCAGGATGAGTCTCGATCTCCTGACTTCGTGATCCGCCCGCCTCGGCCTCCCAAAGTGCTGGGATTACAGGCGTGAGCCACCGCGCCCGGCCAGAACATGTCAGACTCTTAACACTGATTAATGCTGTAATCAGCCTGGCAACAGCTGCTGGCTTAACAACTTCATTTGCAGCCACAGAAGTACGTGTTTCTACTCTTGCATTACTTACCGGCAACCTAATTTATATCGAGCCTCTTCTCATGCTTTAAAGATGTTCTTCAAAGATATGTTAGATGTCAGCAAAGTCATCACCAGTCATGTAACGTGGATGATGCCATTGGGATTACAATGAAGAGATCCTAGCCTGTGGGTTCTCATTTTAATTCGGAATCATAGTGTAATTAATTATCCTTATTCTAGACATGTAACAGATCTGGTTACAGTCAAAGGCAGGGAAAATATTAGAAGTCTGGAAGTGAAAACACTGGGAAGTGATTTATCTTCAGGGCAAGAGTTAATCTCTTTCCACTTTGGGTCTGGAAATTCATGGGTTTTGTTTTCTAGATAAGACTTCCTACAACACTGGCCAACCAGAATATGTTGGTTGGCAATTCTAGGTGTGGACGGTGCTTTCTGTTGCCCCAGGTTAAATTTGATAGACATTTCTGAAAACTTGGTTTGATTAAACTGATTGATCAGGATAGTTTTAAGTTTCTTTGTAATGTATGCTGTTATTTGTAGTTGCTCTATGTATTATTCTAAGAATGTATATATGAAATGAAAACTTAATTTTCTTTTTTTTTGAGATGGTGTTTCACACTGTCACCCAGGCTGGAGTGCAGTGGCAATCTCAGCTCACTGCAACCTCTGCTTCCCGGGTTCAAGTGATTCTCCTGCCTCAGCCTCCTGAGTAGCTGGGATTACAGGCACAAGCCACCATACCCAGCTAATTTTTGTATTTTTAGTAGAGATGGTGTTTCATCAAGTTGGTCAACCTGGTCTCGAACTCCTGACCTCAAGTGACCTGCCCACCTCAGCCTCCCGGAGTGCTGGGATTACAGGCGTGAGCTGCCGCACCTGGCTGAAAACTTTAAATCAGTGAAAGCTATCTGAATAGATGGGAAACAACTGCCTATTTTTGGTGTAAAAAGTGTCAATCATTTATTTGTGATTTATATGTAAGAGGGAAAATGTTGCTGTCATATTTACTGAAAGATAAATGCTAAAAAAAGAATATGCCTTCTATGTGGTTTTTCATGTTTACTTGTGTACTTTTTTTGCTTATGAAATTTTGAGAATAGTGTATTATTAGATTCACACCCACTTCTTAAGTCGTGTGTTATGAAGCAGTCACATGTGTTGTGAATTACTTATGAATAATAATGATAGCTAACATGATTTCTTACTAGATACTATGCTACTTTATCTCATTTAATCCTCAAGATAATATTGTAAGATATATACTGTGATATCCTCCTCATATTGTAGATGAGGAAATGGATGCTTAGATAGTTTAACTACCCCTCACGGAGCTGGAAAGCGTACAGGAGGGGCTCAAATCCAGGTGTGACCATTGTTCAACTGCATTGTTAAACTGCACTTCACTGGCTTTTCACACGGTGCCTTGATAATTTCAGACTTGGATAACTTCCAATGATGAGAAGCTTGGTAGACATTTTCAGAGAGGAGGAGATGAAAGCATGACAAACATTTTCTTTTTTTTTTATTATTATATTTTAAGTTTTAGGGTACATGTGCACAATGTGCAGGTTAGTTACATATGTATACATGTGCCATGCTGGTGTGCTGCACCCATTAACTCATCATTTAGCATTAGGTATATCTCCTAATGCTATCCCTCCCTCCTCCCCCGACCCCACAACAGTCCCTGGAGTGTGATGTTCCCCTGACAAACATTTTCTAATTATAGAGCGAGAAATGGGAGCTCAGAGGAATCAACTAATTTTTAACTTTTTAATTTTTATTTTTTTAGGGACAGCGTCTCATTCTGTTGCCCAGGCTGGAGTGCAGTGGTGCAATCATAGCTTATTGCAGCCTTGAACTCCTAGGCTCAAGTGATCCTCTTGTCTCAGCCTCCTGAATATCTGGGACTATAGGTGCACCATCATGCCTGGTTAATTTTTATTTTATTTTTTGTAGAGATGGAGTCTTGCTATGTTGCCTAAGCTGGTCTTGAACTCTTGGCCTCAAGTGATCCTCCCTCCTCAGCCTCCCAAAGTGCTAGGATTATAGGTGTGAGCCACTGCACCTGACCTAATTTTTTAAGAATATTAGTTGACAAAAATTAGTTGAAATTTTCCAAAAGCAGTTCTACATCTCATGCTATATTTCATTTCTTTTGCCTCTGAATTTTACTCTGGAAGTGAAATATTTTAAAATTTCTAATGAAGGTCCCAGGATCATGTAGTACCTTTCAAATAAAAATATCCTATATCATGTGTACATAAAATAAGCTGCTGTGTTCTTTTGTTTAGTTAATCAAAGAAGGGTTTTCAACATTTATTATGCACTACACACCGGGCTAAGCAAGGTACTTCATTTAATCTTCACAAGCATGGTGTAAGCTGGTATTACTGTAGCTGAGGAAACAGTCTCAGGGCAGTTAAGTTCCTTAACAAAAGTCGTACATATTGTAAGCCACAGAGCTGGGATTACAACCCATGCCTGCCTCATCCCCCTTCTTAGAAACAGATTTACTGTCCCCTGAAGATGAGGGAAATAAAGCCATTTCCCCAAATAAGCAATTTCTATTTTTTTAGTTACCTTCCAACTCTCTTAGTTCCAATGCTTCACTTGTAAGGTTGGATGCTTAGTCAATATGAGTTCTAATTCAAAATCTGCCTCAAAGTTTCAAAAGCTGCGCTGGTGTGTTGTTTCAAGAACTCCAATCTAATCACCATAGTCTGTCTAGGAAACAGACATCAGGGGCCTGAAGTGTCCAGATTTCCACTTGGTGTTATCTCAGTAGACACACAGCTGCAAATCAGTAGCAACAGACAGCCTCGTTTAATGATTCTTAACATTTCCCTCCAAATGAGAGAGAAAACTAAGCAAACCGAGGATGAGACTAGTCAGCATGTTTTATATCCATAAAGACTCAAGAAGCTGAAATGCAGGATTAATTCTGAAGGCTGAAGAGCTGGAAGTATTAATGACTCACCTTCCTAAGGAGACCAACTCCTCTCTTGTCACGTTGAGTGATGAAGACTCTGGTGTCTTGTGGCATTTCCCCCCCAGTAGATGGGGCATTTGGGATTAGTGAGTTGCCTGTAGGAATGAGTCCTAACATTCTCTTACATCCTGTGTCAGGGAGAAGTTCTGGGTCAGCATCCTTATGACACGTGATCCTGTAAGTCTGTTCTGATCCTGATTCAAAGCTTTGAATGGGTCCAGCATCTTTGAAACCACCATGGGATGGTCGGCAATCTAAATGTGGTCATTGTGCATCAGGCTGCTGTTCCTTTGTCTTGCTCGCAGTTAGAGAAGCAGGGACCTCTCTATCCCACTCTGTACTCTGGTGTTTCCCTGGCCTCTGAGCCTAAGTTCCTTATTCCTTCAAGTTAAATACATGTGCCAATCCCTTCCTCAGAATCAGCCTGCACACGGGTAACTGCAATGTTCACCAACTTCTCTCCAGGACTGGTAGAGGCAGCCTGTCTCCTGGGAGTGCAGTGCTCTGCTCCCTCACATTCCTCCTGGGCTAGGAGAGGACCTCCTGTTTGGACTTCGAGAGCCCTGGACCAGGTACCAACAAACCCTGACAAAGGTGCTGTAGTAATGGCCCAGAGCAGCAGAAAAAGCAAGGCTTTTTTAGACAGATGACCTAAATAGTGGCTCCAACACACATTCAACCGGCTTGAAGCCCCCAGGAAATGCTCAGTTTCCTTATCTGTAGAATGAAGTAACTGCTGTGCAGGTCAGAGTCAATGTATATAAAGCACTTGGTGTAATGCCTGGCATGTAATAGCCACTTAATAACTGGTAGCATTTATTATGTCTTTCAATGAACTTTCCAGACAGTGGGAAGCTAAATGTATCGTAGACTTCTTTTTTTTTTTTTTTTTTTTTTTTTGAGACAGAGTCTCACTCTGTCGCCAGGCTGGAGTGCAGTGGTGTGATCTCGGCTCACTGCAATCTCTGCCTCCTGGGTTCAAGTGATTCTCCTGCCCCAGCCTCCAGAGTAGCTGGGACTACAGGCGTGCGCCACCACGCCCAGCTAATTTTTGTATTTTTAGTAGAGATGGGGTTTCACCACGTTGGCCTGGATGGTCTCAATCTCTTGACCTCGTGATCCACCCCTCTCAGCCTCCCAAAGTGCTGGGATTACAGGCGTGAGCCACTGTGCCTGGCCAATGTAGATATTTTATTTATTTATTTATTTTTGAGACGGAGTCTTGCTATGTCGCCCAGGCTGGAGTGCAGTGGCACAATCTTTGCTCACTGCAACCTCTGCCTCCTGGGTTCAAGTGATTCTCCTGCCCCAGCCTCCAGAGTAGCTGGGACTACAGGCCTGTGCCACCATGCCCAGCTAATTTTTGTATTTTTAGTAGAGACGGGGTTTCTCCATATTGGCCAGGCTGGTCTCGAACTCATGACCTTGTGATCTGCCCACCTCGGCCTCCCAAAGTGCTGGGAGTACAGGCATGAGCAACTGCGCCTGGCCCAACATATACATTTTTAAGCCTTTGGGATAGTTTGTAATATTGGAAACAATGAAATCAGGACTCAAATTCTTTTTATTTATTTATCTATTTATTTTTTTTTATTATACTTTAAGTTTTAAGGTATATGTGCACAACGTGCAGTTTTGTTACATATGTATACATATGCCATGTTGGTGTGCTGCACCCATTAACTCTTCATTTAGCATTAGGTATATCTCCTAATGCTATCCCTCCCCCCTTCCCCCACCCCACAACAGGCCCCGGTGTGTGATGTTCCCCTTCCTGTGTCCATGTATTCTCATTGTTCAATTCCCACCTATGAGTGAGAAGATGTGGTGTTTGGTTTTCTGCCCTTGCGATAGTTTGCTGAGAATGATGGTTTCTAGCTTCATCCATGTCCCTACGAAGGACATGAACTCATCATTTTTTATGGCTGCATAGTATTCCATGGTGTATATGTGCCACATTTTCTTAATCCAGTCTATCCTTGTTGGACATTTGGGTTGGTTCCAAGTCTTTGCTATTGTGAATAGTGCCGCAATAAACATACGTGTGCATGTGTCTTTATAGCAGCATGTTTTATAATCCTTTGGGTATATACCCAGCAATGGGATGGCTGAGTCAAATGGTATTTCTAGTTCTAGATCCCTGAGGAATCACCACACTGACTTCCACAATGGTGGAACTAGTTTACAGTCCCAGTAACAGTGTAAAACTATTCCTATTTCTCCACATCCTCTCCAGCACCTGTTGTTTCCTGACTTTTTAATGATTGCCATTCTAACTGGTGTGAGATGGTATCTCATTGTGCTTTTGATTTGCATTTCTCTGATGGCCAGTGATAATGAGCATTTTTTCATGTGTCTTTTGGCTGCATAAATGTCTTCTTTTGAGAAGTGTCTGTTCATATCCTTTGCCCACTTGTTGATGGGGTTGTTTTTTTCTTGTACATTTGTTTGAGTTCATTGTAGATTCTGGACATTAGCCCTTTGTCAGATGAGTAGATTGCAAAAATTGTCTCCCATTCTGTAGGTTGCCTGTTCACTCTGATGGTAGTTTCTTCTGCTGTGCAGAAGCTCTTTAGTTTAATTAGATCCCATTTGTCAATTTTGGCTTTTGTTGCCATTGCTTTTGATGTTTTAGACATGAAGTGCTTGCCCATGCCTATGTCCTGAATGGTATTGCCTAGGTTTTCTTCTACGGTTTTTATGGTTTTAGGTCTAACATTTACGTCTTTAATCCATCTTGAATTAATTTTTGTATAAGGTGTAAGGAAGGGATCCAGTTTCAGCTTTCTACATATGGCTAGCCAGTTTTCCCAGCACCATTTATTAAATAGGGAATCCTTTCCCCATTTCTTGTTTTTGTCAGGTTTGTCAAAGATCAGATGGTTGTAGATATGCGGCATTATTTCTGAGGGCTCTGTTCTGTTCCATTGGTCTACATCTCTGTTTTGGTACCAGTACCATGCTGTTTTGGTTACTGTAGCCTTGTAGTATAGTTTGAAGTCAGGTAGTGTGATGCCTCCAGCTTTGTTCTTTTGCCTTAGGATTGACTTGGCAATGCGGGCTCTTTTTTGGTTCCATATGAACTTAAAAGTAGTTTTTTCCAATTCTGTGAAGAAAGTCATTGGTAGCTTGATGGGGATGGCATTGAATCTATAAATTACCTTGAGCAGTGTGGCCATTTTCACGATATTGATTCTTCCTACCCATGAGCATGGAATGTTCTTCCATTTGTTTGTATCCTCTTTTATTTCATTGAGCAGTGGTTTGTAGTTCTCCTTGAAGAAGTCCTTCACATACCTTGTAAGTTGGATTCCTAGGTATTTTATTCTCTTTGAAGCAATTGTGAATGGGAGTTCAGTCATGACTTGGCTCTCTGTCTGTTATTGGTGTATAGGAATGCTTGTGATTTTTGCACATTGATTTTGTATCCTGAGACTTTGCTGAAGTTGCCTATCAGCTTAAGGAGATTTGGGGCTGAGAGGATGGGGTTTTCTAGATAGGCAATCATGTCATCTGGAAACAGGGACAATTTGACTTCCTCTTTTCCTACTTGAATACCCTTTATTTCCTTCTCCTGCCTGATTGCCCTGGCCAGAACTTCCAACACTATGTTGAATAGGAGTGGTGAGAGAGGGCATCCCTGTCTTGTGCCAGTTTTCAAAGGGAATGCTTCCAGTTTTTGCCCATTCAGTATGATATTGGCTTTGGGTTTGTCATAGATAGCTCTTATTATTTTGAGATACGTCCTATCAATACCTAATTTATTGAGAGTTTTTAGCATGAAGGGTTGTTGAATTTTGTTGAAGGCCTTTTCTGCATCTATTGAGATAGTCATGTGGTTTTTGTCGTTGGTTCTGTTTATATGCTGGATTACGTTTATTGATTTGTGTATGTTGAACCACCCTTGCATCCCAGGGATGAAGCCCACTTGATTGTGGTGGATAAGCTTTTTGATGTGCTGCTGGATTCAGTTTGCCAGTATTTTATTGAGGATTTTTGCATTGATGTTCATCAGGAATATTGGTCCAAAATTCTCTTTTTTTGTTGTGTCTCTGCCAGGCTTTGGTATCAGGATGATGCTGGCCTCATAAAATGAGTTAGGGAGGATTCCCTCTTTTTCTATTGATTGGAATAGTTTCAGAAGGAATGGTACCAGTTCCTCCTTGTACCTCTGGTAGAATTCGGCTGTGAATCCATCTGGTCCTGTACTTTTTTTCATTGATAAGCTATTAATTATTGCCTCAATTTCAGAGCCTGTTATTGGGCTATTCAGAGATTCAACTTCTTCCTGGTTTAGTCTTGGGAGGGTGTATGTGTTGAGGAATTTATCCATTTCTTCTAGATTTTCTAGTTTATTTGTGTAGAGGTGTTTATGGTATTCTCTGATGGTAGTTAGTATTTCTGTGGGATCGGTGGTGATATCCCCTTTATCATTTTTTATTACGTCTATTTGATTCTTCTCTCTTTTCTTCTTTACTAGTCTTGCTAGTGGTCTATCAATTTTGTTGATCTTTTCAAAAAACCAGCTCCTGGATTCATTGATTTTTTGAAGGGTTTTTTGTGTCTCTATTTCCTTCAGTTCTTCTCTGATCTTAGTTATTTCTTGCCTTCTGCTAGCTTTTGAATGTGTTTGCTCTTGCTTCTCTAGTTCTTTTAATTGTGATGTTAGGGTGTCAATTTTAGATCTTGTCTTCTTTCTCTTGTGGGCATTTAGTGCTATAAATTTCCCTCTGCACACTGCTTTGAATGTGTCCCAGAGATTCTGGTATGTTGTGTCTTTGTTCTCATTGGTTTCAAAGAACATCTTTATTTCTGTCTTCATTTCGTTATGTACCCAGTAGTCATTCAGGAGCAGATTGTCCAGTTTCCATGTAGTTGAGCGGTTTTGAGTGAGTTTCTTAATCCTGAGTTCTAGTTTGATTGCACTGTGGTCTGAGAGACAGTTTGTTATAATTTCTGTTCTTTTGCATTTGCTCAGGAGTGCTTTACTTCCAACTATGTGGTCAATTTTGGAATAGGTGTGGTGTGGTGCTGAAAAGAATGTATATTCTATTGATTTGGGGTGGAGAGTTCTGCAGATGTCTATTAGGTCCGCTTGGTGCAGAGCTGAGTTCAGTTCCTGGATATCCTTGTTAACTTTCTGTCTAGTTGATCTGTCTGATGTTGACAGTGGGGTGTTAAAGTCTCCCGTTATTATTGTGTGGGTGTCTAAGTCTCTTTGTAGCTCTCTAAGGACTTGCTTTATGAATCTGGGTGCTCCTGTATTGGGTGCATATATATTTAGGATAGTTAGCTTTTCTTGTTGAATTGATCCTTTACCATTATGTAATGGCCTTCTTTGTCTCTTTTGATCTTTGTTGGTTTATAGTCTGTTTTATCTGAGACTAAGATTGCAACCCCTGCCTTTTTTGGTTTTCCATTTGCTTGGTAGATCTTCCTCCATCCCTTTATTTTGAGCCTATGTGTGTCTCTGCACGTGAGATGGGTTTCCTGAATACAGCAAACTGATGAGTCTTGACTCTTTATCCAATTTGCCAGTCTGTGTCTTTTAATTGGAGCATTTAGCCCATTTCCATTTAAGGTTAATATTGTTATGTGTGAATTTGATCCTGTCATTAGGATGTTAGCTGGTTATTTTGCTCGTTAGTTGATGCAGTTTCTTCCTAGCCTTGATGGTCTTTACAATTTGGCGTGTTTTTGCAGTGGTTGGTACCGGTTGTTTCCATGTTCAGTGCTTCCTTCAGGAGCTCTTTTAGGGCAGGCCTGGTCATGAGAAAATCTCTCAGCATTTGCTTGTCTGTAAAGTATTCTATTTCTCCTTCACTTACGAAGCTTAGTTTGGCTGGATATGAAATTCTGGGTTGAAAATTCTTTTCTTTAAGAATGTTGAATATTGGCCTCCTGTCTCTTCTGGCTTGTAGAGTTTCTGCTGAGAGAGCAGCTGTTAGCCTGATGGGCTTCCCTTTGTGGGTGACCCGACCTTTCTCTCTGGCTGCCCTTAACATTTTTTCCTTCATTTCAACTTTGGTGAATCTGACAATTATGTGTCTTGGAGTTGCTCTTCTCGAAGAGTATCTTTGTGGCGTTCTCTGTATTTCCTGAATTTGAATGTTGGCCTGCCTTGCTAGATTGGGGCAGTTCTCCTGGATAATATCCTGCAGAGTGTTTTCCAACTTGGTTGCGTTATCCCCGTCACTTTCGGGTACACCAATAAGAGGTAGATTTGGTCTTTTCACATAGTCCTATATTTCTTGGAGGCTTTGTTTATTTCTTTTTATTCTTTTTTCTCTAAACTTCTCTTCTCACTTCATTTCATTCATTTAATCTTCCATCACAGATACGCTTTCTTCCTGTTGATCGAATCGGCTACTGAGGCTTGTGCATTCATCACGTAGTTCTCGTGCCGTGGTTTTCAGCTCCATCAGGTCCTTTAAGGACTTCTCTGCATTGGTTATTCTAGTTAGCCATTCGTCTAATTTATTTTTAAGGTTTTTAACTTCTTTGCCATGGGTTCGAACTTCCTCCTTTAGCTCGGAGTAGTTTGATCGTCTGAAGCCTTCTTCTCTCAACTCGTCAAAGTCATTCTCCGTCCAGCTTTGTTCCGTTGCAGGTGAGGAGCTGCGTTCCTTTGGAGGAGGAGAGGTGCTCTCATTTTTAGAGTTTCCAGTTTTTCTGCTCTGTTTTTTCCCCATCTTTGTGGTTTTATCTACCTTGGGTCTTTGATGATGGTGACAAACAGATGGGGTTTTGGTGTGGATGTCCTTTCTGTTTGTTAGTTTTCCTTCTAACAGTCAGGACCCTCAGCTGCAGGTCTATTGGAGTTTCCTGGAGGTCCACTCCAGACCCTGTTTGCCTGGGTATCAGCAGCAGAGGCTGCAGAACAGTGGATATTGGTGAACAGCAAATGTTACTGCCTGATCCTTCCTCTGGAATTTTTGTCTCAGAGGAGTACCAGGCCGTGTGAGGTGTCAGTCTGCCCCTACTGGGGGGTGCCTCCCAGTTAGGCTACTCAGGGGTCAGGGACCCACTTGAGGAGGCAGTCTGTCCATTGTCAGATCTCCAGTTGTGTGCTGGGAGAACCACTAGTCTCTTCAAAGCTGTCAGACAGGGACATTTAAGTCTGCATAGGTTTCTCCTGCCTTTTGTTTGGCTATGCCCTGCCCCCAGAGGTGGAGTCTACAGAGGCAGGCAGGCCTCCTTGAGGTGCTGTGGGCTCCACCCAGTCGAGCTTCCTGGCTGCTTTTTTACCTACTCAAGCCTTGGCAATGGTTGGCGCCCCTCCCCCAGCCTCGCTGCCACCTTGCAGTTTGATCTCAGACTGCTGTGCTAGCAATGAGCATGGCTCCGTGGGCATAGGACCCTCCAAGCCAGGTGCGGGATATAATCTCGTGGTGTGCCGTTTGCTAAGACCATTGGAAAAGCGCAGTATTAAGGTGGGAGTGATCCAATTTTCCAGGTGCCGTCTGTCACCCCTTTATTTGACTAGGAAAGGGAATTCCCTGACCGCTTGCGCTTCCTGGGTGAGGCAATGCCTTGCCCTGCTTTGGCTCATGCTCGGTGCACTGCACCCACTGTCCTGCACCTACTGTCTGACACTCCCCAGTGAGATGAACCCAGTACCTCAGTTGGAAATGCAGAAATCACCCATCTTCTGCGTTGCTCATGCTGGGAGCTATAGACTGGAGCTGTTCCTATTCGGCCATCTTGTCTCCACCCCTCAGGACTTGAATTCTTATGCAGCAGTCCCAGTGATCTTTAGAGAATGCACATCTTGCAGAACACCTGAGGTGAGGAGTTTGAGACCGGCCTGGCCAACATGGCGAAACCCTGTCACTACTAAAAATACAAAAGTTAGCTGGACATGATGGTGGGCACCTGTAATCCCAGCTACTCAGGAGGCTGAGACAGGAGAATTGCTTGAACTCGGAAGATGGAGGTTGTAGTGAGCCGAGATTGTGTCACTGCACTCCAGCCTAGCTGACAGAGTGAGACCCTGTCTCAAAAAAAAAAAAAAAAAAGAGAGAGAGAGCATGTCCATTTTGGCTCTGATGGTCTCACCTTGCTTAGGCATTTTAAAAGTACACCTGACAAGGAGGTGAAAATCCTCCCTCTAATACTGTATCTGCAGTTACAGCTAAGAAAGGCCAAGGCAAGCATTGGAACCTACTGGGAAGTTGAAAATTTAGGCTGAAGAGCTGCAAGGGGTGACCATTTCTGAAGGTTTGTTAGACAGCAGAATACTTTTACAAATAAAATTCCTGAAGTCAAGACTCTTGGGTCATCTAAAATTAGACGGGACAAACCCTTGAGAATGAGCTACTGACAGGGACATGAGCAAGGTGAACTGATGACTTTTTCTATTTCTAATTTCTGTGAGTCTATAGAAAGGTCTATTTCTTTCAGTATTTTATAATGCATGTTTCTCCTTTAGCCTTCTTTACATTTTTTCCTCTGATATTTTTATAGATTCTACTTACAAAGCTTAAAATTACAACAAAAATGCCATTTCATACATTATTAAGTTTAGACCATTTAAAATCCTGTCTTGCAAATTTCTCTTCCTACAGAGCAATGCTGTCCCATCATGTTGCCTTATGTCTGCTGCTATTTTTGAATTACAGCACATTTCATCCACCTTTGATAAGGAACTTAATATCCATTGGCAGGTCAACTTGTGACTTTATGCTGTGACTATAACTGCAAATTATGGTGCATATTTCATTTTAAGTTATTCCCTGGGATAGGAAGCTGGTCCAACGGCAGAACTTTGTGTTATAAAGACTGAAGAAGGAATCTTACAGAAACAATGTTTCCACGGTGGGCAATGCTTACAGGATAGAATGTCAGGGAAGATTGCAATAAAATATATGGAAGGGAGTTGGGTGCAAAAGAGCAAACACATAACTGGAGAGCAACAGAGATCAGTGTGGGATTGAGGAGTCCAGAAAAGGTTAAGCATGGAGCTGAGGTTCAGAGAGGGACCCAAGGTCTGACTGGTGCAGGAAGCTAGGCCTTCATGTTTTGAAGATTAGAATAAACAGCTGCAATATTAGGATCTCACCATAGAAGGAAGCTGGGCCCAGGAAGGAGCTGGCACACAGGCTATGGCTTTGGCAAAGGGAAAGGCTGTGGACACTAAACCAACTTTTAAGTTGAGCTCTGAAGTTCTATAATCATCGTGTCAGGTCAGAAGCTAGTGTTAGTAGCCTGAAGGCGCAGGCATAGGGAAATAAGAATATTGGGGAGGAATATCATGGAGTGAGATTTAGAGGAAGAGAGATGGTTACTGACTTTACATCTCTAGATGTACATGGGCCTCCCTTAATTTTAATATTCTTTGCTTTTCGGCTTTTGTTCAGATACTGTATCCTCTATCTTGGAAGTAAAGTGAAAGGGAATTAAACAAACATTTCTAGAATATCTACCATTTAAAAGGTACTTGGATAAGCACTTAACATATGTACTCATTGAGCTGTTCCAGGAGAGTGGGTTATTGTTATCTCCATTTCACAGACAATACACAAGCTCAAAGGTTAAGTAACTCACCCTAGTGTGCACAATTAATAAATGGGGGCCTTTAGATTCACTTCCAGGTGTGTGTGTGTGTGATTCCAGAGTCCTCACTCCTTTCACTCTACCATACTGCTTCCTAGAGATAGATGTCTAGGATCAGACTCCAGGGACTGGGCCTGGCACACAGCAGGCCCTCTGTAAATCGTTGACTTCCTCTCTCCCTCCCTGTCCTCCACCCCTTCTAACCTCTTTAAAGTCCACTGCTTTATTTTCAGGTTTTTAGTTGACTCTATAGAGTTATTGTGTTAGGTTATAAAATCACCTGCATATTCTCTTTCTTTTCATGAAGGAGGATAATATCCTGAATTTGGAAATTTTGGATAATTTTTTTTGGGGGAGAGGGTAAAGCAAGGATTGATACATTTTTTTTCTTATTCTTAAAAGCCAGACTCTCAGACTCTTGGAATATAATGGTTTTTAAGAAATTCATGAAATAAAGGGATTTTCCAATTTTTCAGAGAAAGTGGAAAAAAAGGGCTCTATTTCAACCTACATGATTTAGCTCCTTGGGCCCAATGACAGCACAGGTCCACATGTCTGAAGCTCACTTTCTTGCATCATTGTTGTTTCTGCTGCTCAGCTCTTCCTGATCTTATTCCTAATCATGTGACTGTTAAGTCTGCACTTTGCTGGCCCTCCCACTTGTCTTCCAGCCTTGTATTTTTAGATATCTACAGGACATTGCTAATTGGAGCTCAAGATGTGAAAAACTGACAACTCCATAATTTTTCTTCAATTTTCCCCACCAAATATGCATCTTTTCTCAATTCTGGAATTCTAATGGTCTTTTGGTCCTCATTGGAATAATTTTTGACCACTTCCTCTAATTTCCACTGCCACTGGAATGGACTTAAAATGAATGATCTCAAGTACCAAGTGGGCATCCAACATGGCGCTAAAATCCTAATACAGTTCCCTAGTAATTTACTTCTTTCTTTCTGAGATGATTTTATCCTTTTTTCCTTGAACCTCCTAAGCTTCCTCTATGTTCTCAATAACTCATCCAGATGACCTGCATCAAGTACCACATCATCTGCCTTCCTTCTGCTTCTATGAAAGAAGCGTGCCTGCTCCTGCCATTCCACTGTGCTCAGGGTCCCATTCTCTTTCACCTTCTTAACATCTTCCATTCAGCATTATCCCTTCCCTGTCTTGGAAAATCTATTTCTTTCTCTCTGTTGAATCATTCTGCTAAACACAAAAATACAACTTAGTATCACGTATCTCAGAGAACATCCTCCTTTGATCTCATAGCCCTCCTCTGGCATTGTATCACTCCTCTGCTCCCCTTCACAGAAACATTCCAGCAAAGAGCCGCCCACCTCTCTCATCCCTTAGTCTTTCCTCAACCCTCCCTAACTGGTCTGTCTTCTACCACTCCACTACTGTGGCCATTGTCAAGCTCACCAATGACCTCCCTCTTGCACAAGCAGTGATTTATATACCCAATCAGGGGTGCTCACCCAGCCTAACCGCCACCTTTCCTTAGAGTGCCCCCTCCTCAAAGCTCTCAGGACCCTTTCCTACCTTGTTTTCCTCTTACCTTGTTGGCCACACATGATCAGTTTCTTTTGGAAGCTCTCCTCCTCTACAAGACCTTGCTTGAAAAGCCCAAGGACGTTATCTTAGGCTCTCTTCTCTTTCGTTTTTAAATTCTCTTCCTAGAAAATTATCTCCAGTTATGTAGTCCCTCCCCCACCATATTTATGTGGTTTAAAGTGCCATCTGCAAGCGTATTACTCTCAAATTTACATACAGCTCCAGATGTGATCACCAGCCTGAGCTTCAGACTCAGATAGCCAACTGTCTACCTGACACCACCATTTTGAAATCCACAAGTATCTCAAACATAACACAGCTGAAATATAATTACAGATGTCAGCCTTCATCCACTCTCCTCTTCTCAAGCCTTCCCCGTATCAGTAAATGGTCCTACCATTCACTCATACCCAAACCTAAAGGTTAAACTTGAATCCTTTCTTTATCCTATAACCTACAATAGTAAGTCTCAACAGTTCCATTCCATGAATATAACCCAACCAATCCACTTATCGTTATTTTCCTGGCTACACACCTCATGTAAGCCACCATAAGTTTTCATCCCAACTAGCAGAGCAGCAAGGCTCCTACCTCTACTCCTGCTGTTCTAACACCCATGCTCCTCATAGCAACCACAATGATCTCTTTAAAATGTATAACATCAAAATACCTTAAAAAAGTACAATCTAAACTCCGAACCGCAGTCCAGAGGGCCCTAAAAAATCTGGCCTCTTCCTATTTCTCTGATGAAGTCTTCCTTGACTCTCCATCTTGTTACTGTTTTTCAGCCACACTGGCCTTCTTTCCGTCCTTTGAGTATCCCCAGTCCTGACTCAGGGGCTTTGTACTTGCTCTGTCTTCTGTTTGGAATACATTTCTTCTGTATCTTTGAATAGTCTTTGAATAGTTTTTTCTCTTTAAATTAGTTTTACCTTAAATGTCCCCTTCTCAGAGAGGACTTCCCTGACAAACTGAGTGGCCTTATCACCTCTACAAAATTAACCTACATGATCTTTTTCACATCCCTTCTGTACCTGAAATTATCTTATTTATCAACTTGCTTGTTTTTGCTGTCTGTAGTTGTATCAGATTTATGGCATAAAAAATCACTCCAAACTTAGTACTAAAACAAACATTTATTGAGCTCACAATCCTTTGGGTGGGCCAATTGGACTGAGCTCAAATGGGTGGTATCTGGATTAGGCTGGGTTTATCATGCGTCAGCGGCCAGGTGGGTGGCTCTTCTTCTGGGGGTTGGTTGGCTGTTGGCTGGGGTAACTGGGCACTGGGGCTAGGTTTCTCTTATCATCCAGCAGGCCAGCCCAGGCTTACTCACAGGGTGGATAACAGGATTCCTGAGAGAACAGAAATGTACCAGTTCTCTTGAGGTTTCGTTTTGGCACTAGCACAATGTCCCTTCTGCCTCATTCTTTTGGTCAAAGCAGCCCAAACACTAGAAGTGGGGGAAATAGTCTCTACTGCTTAAGGGGAAGAGCTACAGATTACATTGTAAAGGGATGTGGATATGGGGAGAGAAGAATTGTAATCATTTTTGCAAACAACCCACCACAAGGATATATATTTGCAATTCATTTGGGATTCTTACAATTTGAATCCCTTTTTGAGTTTAATAAATTACCTTATGAATCTTTGTAGGGCAAAGAATGTTTCCTCCTGTAGGAGCTGAACAAGCTACATAATTTCTTTCCATTAAGGGCACAGGTACTTGTGCAATTTGGGAGAGAGCAAGGTGCAATAGTAGGCTCCCTGTGGAATTCATTTTCTGGTTAGGGTGACAGCAAAGATGACTGTGCCAGGTTGGTATCACCTTATTTGCTGTACAATTATGTTCCTGGTGGGAAAGTAGCAAGAGTGCAAGCTGTAGCACCTGGGGCCCTGCTGCGATGAGCTGGTGATTTCCTCATCAGGCCAGTTCTATGAAAGGTTTTATATGTTGTTCCTGGAATCTTAAGTTTGAAACTTATTCTTTAGCCCTCTTGAAGATTCTGTGAGCCACTCAGTATTCTTCTATTAGATTCCTTTTCTGTGTAATTCCCCGGGGTCGGATTTGGTTGCTTGCAATGAAGAGCTCTATTTTGGCAGCTGGCACCAGGAATGGGGCTTATTTTTCTTATATAACAGGAAGAGTGAGGTGGTTGCTAAATTAGTCCAGTTGCTCACACAGCTATCAAGGACTCTTATCTTCCTGCTTGGTTGTCCTTAGTGTATTAACTTGTAATTTTCATGCTTGTTGCCCCTTAGTGGCTCCAGGTATTACTTCTGTGTTCTAGGCAGGAAGGGGGAAAATGGGACGGCACCAGCTGTGTCTGTTCCTCTTATCAAGAAAGCAAAAGTTTCTAGGAAGTGCTCCTTTTATCAAGAAAGGAGCTTCTCTTTTGTCAAGAAAGGGGTCTAAACCGATCAGCTGGCCCCCTACAGGCATCAGTGATTAGGAAGTACCTGGCTTTCTAGCCTCTATGAGGAAGTCATGCAGGGAGAAAGCTTGAGAATGTGCCAAATTAGGTGATACCCAGTGCCTATCCCATGATTAGTTTCCCCCTTTAGAATGACAGTTCTTGGGGTCGGTGGCAGGGGCTCTGATTTATTCATTGCTGTCTCTTCTGGGCCCAGAAAAGCAACTGGCAAATATGCGGTTTCAAAATTCATTGATGACTGACTGATCTTTAATCTGCCATCAAGGTCTAGAGATTTCTTTCTTCAAAATGTGTCTTATCTCTTGCTTTCATTATAGAACCACCATTTTATTTCAGGCCTGTAGTATATTATTAAAGGTTGTTTTCATGCTGTATTTCTCTCTCCAGTCTTTTCCATCCTGTGTCTGCATTATATTCTGCTACTAGTGTATCACCTTGAATACCATTTTTATCTTGTCCTTTTCTTTCTCAAAGTATTAGTTATGTTGTAGTAAATCCCAGTCTCTCAGCTTGGGATCTGACTCCTTGCATAAGCTGGTCTGTTGCCTCTCTGACATCAGCAATTTATTTGGTAATCACTCACAAGTCCAGCTAATCTCATGGCCATCTGGTATACACTGCCACATCCAGTGTATGCAAAGGGAGCAGGCTGCACTGTGAAGGGAACAGGAAAGACCAGGACAGGGAAGACTCTCATTCTAGGTGACAGGTGGCCAAGCTGCTTGGCTGTAAAGGGTAGGGCCGTCAATGACCACTCAGTCTGAACTTGTGCTTAGTCTGCAGCCTCACCAGTGGAACTCATATCAGGCACAGGGTCTGACTGGGCTGAAGCAAGACTGGGCTGGCTCAGTCTAATCCGTGGGGTGCTCACAGGAGTCTTGTCATCCCAGAGGAAAAGTGGAGTGTAAACCAGGATCAACTTCTGTCACAGAGACTGGCCCACAGGGCAGAAGTTGCAGAGGAAGGTGAAAGTCAGTGGCATGTAGGTGTCCAAGGGCTTGCTGTCCAGCCCAGCAGGAAACACATCATTCCTGAACTCTGAGAGAACTTGGGACCAGGAACTTGGTTCTTCTTGGTCTGAGGCTGGAAACACATCATTCCTGAACTCTGAGAGAACTTGGGACCAGGAACTTGGTTCTTCTTGGTCTGAGGCTGGAAACACATCATTCCTGAACTCTGAGAGAACTTGGGACCAGGAACTTGGTTCTTCTTGGTCTGAGGCTGGAAACACATCATTCCTGAACTCTGAGAGAACTTGGGACCAGGAACTTGGTTCTTCTTGGTCTGAGGCTGGAAACACATCATTCCTGAACTCTGAGAGAACTTGGGACCAGGAACTTGGTTCTTCTTGGTCTGAGGCTGGCAAGGAAGAGCACTTTGTGTTGGACCTCAGTGTTGGCAGCTAAGCTGTTGGATCTGGCAGGCACTGGTCTATCTTCCACTTGCCTTTAGTTCTCTACCTTTATGAGTGCCCTACCTTTTGTTAGAAGCACATTATTTTCTGGTATGCTACAAGTGATATTTTGAAAAGCTCTGGAGACAATTAGGACACATCTGAATTTGTTTGATGAAAGTAATTTAAATCATTTTTACAATAAAACAGAATAAACATGGATAAAATTGGCATGCTGTTTCAGACAAAATTAAGACTTAAATTTGAAGCTCTGATTACAATTCTGGTTTATGATTATGTATTCATTCTTTTCTTTCATTAGGGGTACTTAAATGGAAAGAATTGAAACACAGAATTCTAAGGCAAATAAAAGGCCACTAGAAGCACTGTAATTATTATGGAAGTTGTTCATTAGAGATACATATGCTAGGAATTTAAATCAGAACTCAGAAATTTCCATTTTTAGAATGAATTAAAAAGACCATGTATGAGATTTTAAAAAATATTCTTTAACAGGAAGGGAGAATTTGTGATGATAGCATATAGTGGGAAGGATGGGAATAAAACTGCTATTTGAAGAGAATATCTACTTTTTAAGGTAAAAATCTCAAGTCAGTTTAAAATAATTTCAAGGTATTTTTCTTACTCAAAAATCCCTATAATAAATAAACATTTAAAATAAATAAATATTAAAATGAATAATTCCTTCTGAATAGTATACTTTTATTCTAGAATGTCTATTTCCTCTAAGAAGGATCCTCCAAACATTTTTTTTTTTTTTTGAGATGGAGTCTTTCTCTGTTGCCCAGGGTGGAGTGCAGTCGCGCGATCTCAGCTCACTGCAAGCTCCACCTCCCAGGTTCACGCCATTCTCCTGCCTCAGCCTCCCGAGTAGCTGGGACTACAGGCGCCCGCCACCATGCCCAGATAATTTTTTGTATTTTTAGTAGAGACAGGGTTTCACTCTGTTAGCCAGGATGGTCTTGATCTCCTGACCTCGTGATCCGCCCGCCTCAGCCTCCCAAAGTGCTGGGATTACGGGTGTGAGACACCACGCCTGGCCCCCTCCAAACATTTTAAACTAACAACTTTAATCTAACTGCTTGGTTAGAATGAGAATTCCCTGTGTCATCTCCTCTTAGCAAACTGCAATCTTTTAACATCTTAATACTTCTCTCTGGCAGGGTGCTAGGAGCATACCAGGGGAGATTTCTCCAAAATCGCTTCTTCCACTGGCTGCTTCCAATAATTTATTTGAAATCTCAAGGACTGCTTATTACTCAAAAAGAAAAGTATAAACCCAGAGTCTACTCGCCTGATTATGCTAAGCATAAAATGCTTTATTGTTTTAAATAATTAGAAATTATTTTGTGGATTGACTTGTCTCTCAAACTTGATTATATGTTTTGAGGATAGCTGTATTTACTATCATTATTAATAAAGCTATTTCCTTTTATTATAAAAGAAAATATATGCTCTTACAGTATTTCAAACACTCTGGAAGACTTGCTACAGAAGAGGTGATTTATTCCTGACCATCACATTCTTTGGAGGAATTAGCTTTTTTCATTCTTTCATTTAGCAAATAAATTATTGAAATCTGATGAAGTGATTATAAGTCAATAATTTTGTCTAAATTAAAAATAAGTTTAGTCAAACAACAAGAATGATAATGATACATTGTAATTTAGTGTTGCTTAGAAAATTCTTGGGATATATAGAATGCTATTTTATTTAATAATTCTGTTTCTCCATAAGACTATAATAGACTTCAAGAGCTTTTTCATTCTTGTCCTATGCATTAATCAGGATCGCTGTGAATTTTAATTCAGAGTACATTTAGATCGGTTTCATCTGTTCAACAACTGATGGAAATGTGAAATTCCATTGTGATTTTTGGGGTACACTTGTTACCTCAGCATAACCTAGACTCTCTTGTCCATTATAGGCCCTACCTATATCACAACTGTAAATCTACAATTTCTGGAGTTTGTTTCATTGCATGAACAATAATATTCACCTCCTTCACAATTCTTTGTCTCTTAGCTATCCCATGACTCAAATTATCTCCTCTACATGAATACCTTTCAAATCTTCTCTTATTCTGATCCCTCTCCAAATTTCCAATATAAGATTAATAACTTTCAGACATCACCACCTAGATGTCTATGACCTCAAATCTGTTACAAATAGGATGGATTTACCCAACTCTTGATTTAACATTGTTTTTGACACATGTTGTCTGTTTTTGTTAGTGGTACCACAGGGTTGTAAGACTTGAGCTCCCCACTTAAACAAGGACAGAGCAAGTACTCAGTAAGAGCCAACTCTTTTCCTCTGTGATACTCCTGCTCTATGCAGCTTTTGCTGAACTATGCTCTGTGTCAGATTATTTAATTACGATACATTATTCATTTAAAGGATTAAATAAATTACCCATCTCCTTGCCTTCTACAACCAATCTATTGTTATGTTATTTTGGGTCCACCTCTGAAATTTTTTGGAAATAATTTCCTTCCTTTCTATTCCTATTCTCATTACTCTAAGTCAAGCCCTTATGAACTCTGGATTTCACTATTTTTAGAGCTACCTTACCGGTTTCTGTCAGCACTGTGTCCTCCCTCCAAATCATTTGACATAGCAATGTCAAGGACATCTTCAGTTCTGATTATGTCATTTCCCTGCTCAAAAACCTTCAGCATTTCCATGTTCAATAGAATAGAACTAAAACTCCTTAGCCCGGCATTTTCCATCTCCACAGTATGGTCTCCACACATACACAGGCTTCAATGTTAGATGGAGAATACTACTGCAAAGTGGTTAAGAGCCTTCATTATTTACTAATTGTGTGACCTTTGGTTAATTACTACTCCCTCCTCAACTCCAGTTTTTCTACTTGGAAAAACAGGGATAATAATAGTACATACTTCCTATAGTTGTTATGAGGATTAAATAATTCATTTAAAGCATTAACATGCCTGGTAAAATATAAGTAATCAAGACATTTTATTATTATTATTATTACAGCATTTTTAGATGAGTACATAAATACATGTTGTATATTTATGGAACTTGATATCAATTCAGTTCTTCTCTTTATATGTTTTAGAAATGGGAACATGAGTCTACAGGACTGGGAATTATGGCTCCCTCACCATTCAGTTCCCATGTATTTCTCATTAGCAATTATTTCTAGATGAAGGGCTATGCCTGTTGTGCTGTATGGAGCACACTGAATGTTGTCATGATTACTTGCCTAAGCAGGTTATTAATGAAACTCAAGTTTCCACTAAAAAGAAGCAATGTACTGATATATGCTAAAACATAGTTGAACCTCAAAAACATTATGCTAAATAAACAATGCCAGACAAAAGACCTCCATATTGTGTGTCCATTTATATAAAATGTCCAGAATAGTCAAGTCTATAAAGCCTAGAAGATAGATTAGTGGTTGCTTTGGGCTGTGGGTGGAAATGAAGAATGACTGCAAATGGAGACAAAGTGTTTTTTTTTGGGTTGATGAAAATGTGTACATATAGTTCCATGTCATTTTATCACATCTGTAACCACCACCACAAGAAAGATGCAGAATTGTTTGATTTCATAAAGATCTTGCTTGAGCTACCCCTTTATGGCCATACATTTTTCCCTCCCCGCACTATCGTTAACCCCTGCCAACCACTAATCTATTCTCAATCTCTGTAATTATGACATTTTGAGAATATTATATAAATTAAATCATATAGCATATGAGTTCATTACCAATAATTTAACGTAATTATTGATATTCTAAGGTTTAAGTCTGCCATATTATTTTTTGTTTTCTATTTTCTCTGATTTTTCATTTCTTTCTTTCATATACTTCCTGTGGAATACTTTAACATATTTTAGAATTCTATTTTGATTCTATATTGTTTGTAAGCATATCTCTTTGTATATATTTTTAGTAACTACTCTAAGTATTAAATTGTACATACATAACTATCAGTCTACTGATGTAGACATTTTACCAGTGTTAAGTGTAGCCCTTTAATTCTCTTTACCCTCCCTCATTTATAATTGTTTTAATATTTCCTCTACTTCATTGAGAGCCACATAAGAAAATATTATACTTTTGCTTCAATTGTCAAAAACAATTTAGAAAATTCAGATGGAAAGTTTATTGTATTTATTCTTATTTTTGTTCTTTCTGTTGTCCTTTTTTCTTTCCTTATATTCCCAAATTCCTTCTTTTATCATTTACTTTCTGTCAGATAACTTCCTTCAGTCATTCTTTTAGAGTAATTCTGCTGGTGACAAATATTCTTAGTTTTCCTTCATCTGAGCATGCCTTTGTTACCTGCATTCCTCAAGGATATTTTTGCCGGACATAGAACTGTGGTTGACAGCTCTTTTACTGTAGCACTTAGAAAATGGTTGCAATATCCTTCGGAGCTTCTTGACTTTTGATGAGAAGTCGGCTGTCATTTGAATTGTTTCCCCCTTTTCCCTTACAGGTAATGTGTCATTTCTCTCTGGTTCCTTTCAAAATTATTTTCGCTGTCTTTAGTTTTCTGAAGTTTGATGATGGTGTGTCTTAGTGTAAATTTCTTTGGGTTTTTTGTCCTTGGGGTTTGATCAGTTTCTTAAATCTGTAGTTTGTTTTTGCTAAATAAGTTTTCAACCATTATTTCTGGGAAAATATTTTGAGGCCCACCTGCTTCCTCCTCTCCTTCTGAGATCTTTTGTTATAGTTCTGCAAGTCCCTGAGGTTCTGTTCAATTTTTTTTTCAATCTATTTTCTCTCTGTTGTTCAGATTGGGTAATTTCTATTGTACTACCTTCAAGATAACTATATAATTATTTCCTGTCTTTTCCATGATGCTGTTGAGCCCACTCATTGTGTTTTAAAATTTTGATTACTGTAGTTTTCATTTCCAGAATTTCCATTTGGTTCTTCTTTATATCTTCTATTTCTAAGGCTTTCTATTATTTCGTTTGTTTCAAGTCCATTTGGAATTGCTTGTTGAAGTAGTTGTATGGCATCTGCTTTAAAACCCTTGTCAGATAATTCCAACTCTGTGTCATGTTGATGTTGTCATTTGTTGACTGAAAGTCTTTTTTTTTTTTTTGAGACAGGGTCTCACTCTGTCGCCCAGGCTGGAATGCGGTGGCACCGTCTCGGCTCACTGCAACCTCTGTCTCCTGGCTTCAATCAGTTCTCATGGCTCAGCCTCCCGAGTAGGCTACAGGTGCACATCACCATGCCTGGCTAATTTTTGTATTTTTTGGTAGAGGCGATGTTTCATCATGTTGGCCAGGCTGGTCTCAAACTCCTGACCTCAAGTGATCCACTTGCCTTGGCCTCCCAAAGTACTGGGGTTACAGGCCACTGTGCCTGGCCTGACTGAATGTCTTTTGTCATTCAAGTTGAGATTTTCCTTGTTCTTGGTATGATGAGTGCTTTTTAAAGGTTGCATTCCGGACATTTTGGGTACTATGTTATGAGACTCTGGGTCCTATTTAAATCTTGTGTTTTAGAAGACCTCCTTTGACACTGCTGGCAGAGGAAAGGGAACTCACTCCTCTTTACTACCAGATGTGGATGGAAGCTCTGGCCACTTACACTGCCTCATTTGACATCCTGAGGAGGGGTACACCTTATTACTACTGGGCAGGGATGGGACTTCAGGCTTTGATATGGTTTGGCTGTGTCTTCATCCAAATCTCATCTTGAATTGTAGCTTCCACAATTCCCACATGTTGTAGGAGGGAACTGGTGGGAGGTAACTGAATGATGAGGGTGTGTCTTTCCCATGCTGTTCTCGTGACAGTAAGTCTCATGAGATCTGATGGTTTTATAAAGGGGAGTTTCCCTGCATAAGCTCTGTCTCTTGCCTGCCATAATGTAAGAAGTCCCTTTGCCCTTCCTTCATCTTCTGCCATGATTGTGAGGCCTGCCCAGCCATGTAGAACTTTGAGTCAATTAAACCTCTTTCTTTATAAATTACCGAGTCTTGGGAATGGCTTTATTAGCAGCATGAGAACAGACTAATACAGGCTTCCTTTGTGGTCTCATTTACCCTGCAGAGTGGCGGGGAGTTGGGGAGGGATTTGGGCAGACCCATTACTGCTAAATGGTGGTGAAAGTTCTGGCTTCCCTCTGGGCTTCTTCTGATACGAATAAGAGGGAGTGTGGTGGCTTTACTACCAGGTGGAGATGGAAGTCTTGGTTCCCCACTTGGCCTTCACTGATATCATCCAGTGTAGGGAAGAGAGGGATGCCTCATTATTGCTGGAGAAGGGCACAGGTCGAGGCTTCCCAAGGCAGATAAGAGTATGGTGAGGCCTGGGTATTTTCCTGTGGTGTTTGGCTGCATTGGGCAGGTATTGCCTAAATGTTTTCTGTCTTACTAGCTTGCCCCTTTCCTGGACCCTTGGCCAGAGAGAGGTGACTTTCATTGGAGCATTTTAAATCTGCTCCTATCGGTGTTTTTTGGTCACTGGCTTCTCTAGCACCTAGTTTGGGATATATGGGACAAAAAGAAAACCCAGAGAACACACTGCTGTGTCATTCCTTGAGTTTTGTGATTCCTAGCCCTCCTGTCTTCTTGTCTGTGTCTTTCAGTGTATTTGCTTTATATATAATGTCCGGGGTTTTCGGTTGTACTTAGTGAGAGGAATAGGGAGACGTGGTCTCCTCCATTTCGGTCTGGACTATTCTCTGCAACTAATCTGACCATTTCGTTTTGCCATTCTGCCTTACAATGTAGGAGTATTGACTTACATGACCTACAAGTAACTTGCATAAAGACATGAAAAGGCAAATAATGGGGTTTATCAAAGATACCTCTCCACTGTTAAAAATTAAGCTTTGAAATCCTATCATAAGAATGAATGCTAAATAAAAAGAAAACCTAAAATATTTTCAACATGTGGATATGTAATTTTTTTTGAAAGAAGCGATATTCACAAGAACAAAAAACCAAACACCGCATATTCTCACTCATAGGTGGGAATTGAACAATGGGAACACATGGACACAGGAGGGGGAACATTACACTCTGGGGACTGTTGTGGGGTTGGGGGAGGGGGGAGGGATAGCATTGGGAGATATACCTAATGCTAGATGACGAGTTAGTGGGTGCAGCGCACCAGCATGTCACATGTATACATATGTAACTAACGTGCACATTGTGCACATGTATCCTAAAACTTAAAGTATAATAAAAAAAAACAAAATAAAAAACTTAGAAAAAAAAAAAAAAGAAAGAAGCGATAGTACCAAAGACTTGCACAAGAATGTTCATAGAAGTATTATCTGCAGGAGCCCCAAACTGGAAACAACCTAAATGCTATTCAAATGGTGAATGAATAAATAAAATACAATAAAATATTTGAAAATAATAAGGAATAAAGTACTAATATATGCTACTACATGGATGAATCTCAAAAGCACTATGCTAAGTGAAAAAAGCCAGCCATAAAAGATCACATATGGCATGACTCCATTTATATGAAATGTTCAAAATAGGCAAATCCATAAAGACAGAAAGTAGATTCGTGGTTGCCTAGGGCTGGTGTAGGGGTGGTGGGATAGGTACAGTTTCTTTCTTTCTTTCTGAGGTGTTCTAAACTTAGATCATTGTAATCTTGGAACAACTCTGAATATTCTACAAATCACTGAATCATCCATTTTTTTAAATTATGCTTTAAGTTTTAGGGTAAATGTGCACAACGTGCAGGTTTGTTACATATGTATACATGTGCCATGTTGGTGTGCTGCACCCATTAACTCTTCATTTAACATTAGGTATATCTCCCAGTGCTATCCCTCCCCTCTTCCCCCACCCCACAACAGGCCCCAGTGTGTGATGTTCCCCTTTCTGTGTCCATGTGTTCTCATTGTTCAATTACCACCTATGAGTGAGAACATGCGGTGTTTGGTTTTTTGTCCTTGCGACAGTTTGCTGAGAATGATGGTTTCCAGCTTCATCCACGTCCCTACAAAGGACATGAACTCATCCTTTTTTATGGCTGCATAGTATTCCAAGGTGTATATGTGCCACATTTTCTTGATCCAGTCTATCATTGTTGGACATTTGGGTTGGTTCCAGGTCTTTGCTATTGTGAATAGTGCTGCAATAAACATACATGTGTATGTGTCTTTATAGCAGCATGTTTTATAATCCTTTGGGTATATACCCAGTAATGGGATGGCTGGGTCAAATGGTATTTCTAGTTCTAGATCCCTGAGGAATCACTACACTGACTTCCACAATGGTTGAACCAGTTTACAGTCCCAGTAACAGTGTAAAAGTGTTCCTATTTCTCCACATCCTCTCCAGCACCTGTTGTTTCCTGACTTTTTAATGATTGCCATTCTAACTGGTGTGAGATGGTATCTCATTGTGCTTTTGATTTGCATTTCTCTGATGGCCAGTGATGATGAGCATTTTTTCATGTGTCTTTTGGCTGCATAAATGTCTTCTTTTGAGAAGTGTCTGTTCATATCCTTTGCCCACTTGTTGATGGGGTTGTTTGTTTTTTTCTTGTAAATTTGTTTGAGGTCATTGTAGATTCTGGATATTAGCCCTTTGTTAGATGAGTAGATGGCAAAAATTTTCTCCCATTCTGTAGGTTGCCTGTTCACTCTGATGGTAGTTTCTTCTGCTGTGTGGAAGCTCTTTAGTTTAATTAGATCCCATTTGTCAATTTTTGTTTTTGTTGCCATTGCTTTTGATGTTTTAGACATGAAGTGCTTGCCCATGCCTATGTCCTGAATGGTATTGCCTAGGTTTTCTTCTAGGGTTTTTATGGTTTTAGGTCTAACATTTAAGTCCTTAATCCATCTTGAATTAATTTTTGTATAAGGTGTAAGGAAGGGATCCTGTTTCAGCTTTCTACATATGGCTAGCCAGTTTTCCCAGCACCATTTATTAAATAGGGAATCTTTTCCCCATTTCTTGTTTTTGTCAGGTTTGTCAAAGATCAGATGGTTGTAGATATGCGGCATTATTTCTGAGGGCTCTGTTCTGTTCCGTTGGTCTATATCTCTGTTTTGGTACCAGTACCATGCTGTTTTGGTTACTGTAGCCTTGTAGTATAGTTTGAAGTCAGGTAGCGTGGTGCCTCCAGCTTTGTTCTTTTGCCTTAGGATTGACTTGGCAATGAGGGCTCTTTTTTGGTTCCATATGAACTTGAAAGTAGTTTTTTCCAATTCTGTGAAGAAAGTCATTGGTAGCTTGATGGGGATGGCATTGAATCTATAAATTACCTTGAGCAGTGTGGCCATTTTCACGATATTGATTCTTCTTACCCATGAGCATGGAATGTTCTTCCATTTGTTTGTATCCTCTTTTATTTCATTGAGCAGTGGTTTGTAGTTCTCCTTGAAGAAGTCCTTCACATCCCTTGTAAGTTGGATTCCTAGGTATTTTATTCTCTTTGAAGCAATTATGAATGGGAGTTCACTCATGATTTGGCTCTCTGTTTGTCTGTTATTGGTGTATAAGAATGCTTGTGATTTTTGTACACTGATTTTGTATCCTGAGACTTTGCTGAAGTTGCCTATCAGTTTAAGGAGATTTGGGACTGAGACGATGGGGTTTTCTAGATATACGATCATGTCATCTGCAAACAGGACAATTTGACTTCCTCTTTTCCTACTTGAACACCCTTTATTTCCTTCTCCTGCCTGATTGCCCTGGCCAGAACTTCCAACACTATGTTGAATAGGAGTGGTGAGAGAGGGCATCCCTGTCTTGTGCCAGTTTTCAGAGGGTATGCTTCCAGTTTTTGCCCATTCAGTATGATATTGGTTGTGGGTTTGTCATAGATAGCTCTTATTATTTTGAGATAATTCCCATCAATACCTAATTTATTGAGAGTTTTTAGCATGAAGAGTTGCTGAATTTTGTCAAAGGCCTTTTCTGCATCTATTGAGATAATCATGTGGTTTTTGTCGTTGGTTCTGTTTATATGCTGGATTACGTTTATTGATTTGTGTATGTTGAACCAGCCTTGCATCCCAGGGATGAAGCCCACTTGATCATGGTGGATAAGCTTTTTGATATGCTGCTGGATTCATTTTGCCAGTATTTTACTGAGGATTTTTGCATCGATGTTCATCAGGGATATCGGTCTAAAATTCTCTTTTTTTGTTGTGTCTCTGCCAGGCTTTGGTATCAGGATGATGCTGGCCTCATAAAATGAGTTAGGGAGGATTCTCTCTTTTTCTATTGATTGGAATAGTTTCAGAAGGAATGATACCAGATCCTCCTTGTACCTCTGGTAGAATTCGGCAGTCAATCCATCTGGTCCTGGACTTTTTTTGGTTGATAAGCTATTAATTATTGCCTCAATTTCAGAGCCTGTTATTGGTCTATTCAGAGATTCAACTTCTTCCTGGTTTAGTCTTGGGAGGGTGTATGTGTTGCGGAATTTATCCATTTCTTCTAGATTTTCTAGTTTATTTTCATATAGGTGTTTATAGTATTCTCTGATGGTAGTTTGTATTTCTGTGGGATCGGCGGTGATATCCTCTTTGTCATTTTTTATTGCATCTATTTGATTCTTCTCTCTTTTCTTCTTTATTAGTCTTGCTAGTGGTCTATCAATTTTGTTGATCTTTTCAAAAAACCAGCTCCTGGATTCATTGATTTTTTGAAGGGTTTTTTGTGTCTCTATTTCCTTCAGTTCTTCTCTGATCTTAGTTATTTCTTGCCTTCTGCTAGCTTTTGAATGTGTTTGCTCTTGCTTCTCTAGTTCTTTTAATTGTGATGTTAGGGTGTCAATTTTAGATCTTGTCTTCTTTCTCTTGTGGGCATTTAGTGCTATAAATTTCCCTCTACACACTGCTTTGAATGTGTCCCAGAGATTCTGGTATGTTGTGTCTTTGTTCTCATTGATTTCAAAGAACATCTTTATTACTGCCTTCATTTCGTTATGCACCCAGTAGTCATTCAGGAGCAGGTTGTTCAATTTCCATGTAGTTGAGCGGTTTTGAGTGAGTTTCTTAATCCTGAGTTCTAGTTTGATTGCACTGTGGTCTGAGAGAGAGTTTGTTATAATTTCTATTCTTTTACATTTGCTGAGAAGTGCTTTACTTCCAACTATGTGGTCAGTTTTGGAATAGGTGTAGTGTGGTGCTGAAAAGAATGTATATTCTGTTGATTTGGGGTGGAGAGTTCTGCAGATGTCTATTAGGTCCACTTGGTGCAGAGCTGAGTTCAGTTCCTGGATATCCTTGTTAACTTTCTGTCTCGTTGATCTGTCTAATGCTGACAGTGGGGTGTTAAAGTCTCCCATTATTATTGTGTGGGAGTCTAAGTCTCTTTGCAGGTCTCTAAGGACTTGCTTTATGAATCTGGGTGCTCCTGTATTCGGTGCTTATATATTTAGGATAGTTGGCTCTTCTTGTTGAATTGATCCCTTTACCATTATGTAATGGCCTTCTTTGTCTCTTTTGATCTTTGTTAGTTTAAAGTCTGTTTTATCCGAGACTAGGATTGCAACCCCTGCCTTTTTTGGTTTTCCATTTGCTTGGTAGATCTTCCTCCATCCCTTTATTTTGAGCCTATGTGTGTCTCTGCACATGATGAGATGGGTTTCCTGAATACAGCACACTGATGGGTCTTGACTCTTTATCCAATTTGCCAGTCTGTGTCTTTTAATTGGAGTATTTAGCCCATTTCCATTTAAGGTTAATATTGTTATGTGTGAATTTGATCCTGTCATGATGATGTTAGCTGGTTATTTTGCTCATTAGTTGATGCAGTTTCTTCCTAACTTTGATGGTCCTTACAATTTGGCATGTTTTTGCAGTGGCTGGTACCGGTTGTTCCTTTGCATGTTCAGTGCTTCCTTCAGGAGCTCTTTTAGGGCAGGCCTGGTGGTGACAAAATCTCTCAGCGTTTGCTCATCTGTAAAGTATTTTATTTCTCCTTCACTTATGAAGCTTAGTTTGGCTTGATATGAAATTCTGAGTTGAAAATTCTTTTCTTTAAGAATGTTGAATATTGGCCCCCACTCTCTTCTGGCTTGTAGGGTTTCTGCCGAGAGATCTGCTGTTACTCTGATGGGCTTCCCTTTGTGGGTAACCCGACCTTTCTCTCTGGCTGCCCTTAACATTTATTCCTTCATTTCAACTTTGCTGAATCTGACAATTATGTGTCTTGGAGTTGCTCTTCTCGAGGAGTATCTTTGTGGTGTTCTCTGTATTTCCTGAATTTGAATATTGGCCTGCCTTGCTAGATTGGGGAAGTTCTCCTGGTTAATATCCTGCAGAGTGTTTTCCAACTTGGTTGCACTCTCCTCATCACTTTCAGGTACACCAATCAGACGTAGATTTGGTCTTTTCACATAGTCCCATATTTCTTGGAGGCTTTGTTTGTTTCTTTTTATTCTTTTTTTCTCTAAACTTCTCTTCTCACTTCATTTCATTCATTTGATCTTCCACCACTGATACCCTTTCTTCCAGTTGATCGAATCGGCTACTGAGGCTTGTGCATTCGTCACGTAGTTCTCGTGCCATGGTTTTCAGCTCCATCAGGTCCTTTAAGGACTTCTCTGTATTGGTTATTCTAGTTATCCATTCGTCTAATTTTTTTTCAAGGTTTTTAACTTCTTTGCCATGGGTTCGAACCTCCTCCTTTAGCTCAGAGTAGTTTGATCGTCTGAAGTCTTCTTCTCTCAACTCGTCAAAGTCATTCTCCATCCAGCTTTGTTCCATTGCTGGTGAGGAGCTGTGTTCCTTTGGAGGAGGAGAGGCGCTCTGATTTTTAGAGTTTCCAGTTTTTCTGCTCTGTTTTTTCCCCATCTTTGTGGTTTTATCTACCTTTGGTGTTTGATAATGGTGACAAACAGATGGGGTTTTGGTGTGGATGTCCTTTCTGTTTGTTAGTTTTCCTTCTAACAGTCAGTACCCTCAGCTGCAGGTCTGTTGGAGTTTCCTGGAGGTCCACTCCAGACCCTGTTTGCCTGGGTATCCGCAGCAGAGGCTACAGAACAGTGGATATTGGTGAACAGCAAATGTTACTGCCTGATTGTTCCTTTGGAAGTTTTGTCTCAGAAGAGTACCCAGCTGTGTGAGGTGTCAGTCTGCCCCTACTGGGGGGTGCCTCCCAGTTAGGCTACTCGGGGGTCAGGGACCCACTTGAGGAGGCAGTCTGTCTTTTCTCAGATCTCCAGTTGCATGCTGGGAGAACCACTACTCTCTTCCAAGCTTTCAGACAGGGACATTTAAGTCTGCATAGGTTTCTGCTGCCTTTTATTTGGCTATGCCCTGCCCCCAGAGGTGGAGTCTATAGAGGCAGGCAGGCCTCCTTGAGCTGCGGTGGGCTTCACCCAGTTTGAGGTTCCTGGCCACTTTGTTTACCTACTCAAGCCTCGGCAACGGCACGGACCCCTCCCCTAGCCTCGCTGCCACCTTGCAGTTTGATCTCAGACTGCTGTGCTAGCAATGAGCGAGGCTCTGTGGGCATAGGACCCTCTGAGCCATGCGTGGGATATAATCTCCTGGTGTGCCATTTGCTAAGACCATTGGAAAAGTGCAGTATTAGGGTGGGAGTGACCTGGTTTTCCAGGTGCTGTCTGTCACCTCTTTCTTTGACTAGGAAAGGGAATTCCCTGACCCCTTGCACTTCCTGGGTGAGGCGATGCCTCACCCTGCTTCGGCTCATGCTTGATGTGCTCCACCCACTGTCCTGCACCCACTGTCTGACACTCCCCAGTGATATGAACCCGGTACCTCAGTTGGAAATGCAGAAATCACCCATCTTCTGTGTTGCTCACACTGGGAGCTGGAGACTGGAGCTGTTCCTATTTTGGCCATCTGCCTTTTTTTTTTTTTTTTTTAATTTGAGATGAAGTCTCAGTCTGTTGCCCAGGCTGGAGTGTAGTGGCACAATCTTGGCTCACTGCAACCTCTGCCTCCTGAGTTCAAGTGTGAATCATCCACTTTAAATGGGTTAATTTTATGGCATGGAAATCATGTATCAACAAAGCAGTTTTAAAAACTAGATGGTCATGACGGTATGTTCAATGTAAGGGAGCATATAGAAGCCCTCTCTGCCCTCTGTTTTCAGTCTAGGCAGTTATTTGTGCCTGACTAACCAAATGACTTGGCCGAAAGAATAGCATGAGATGGTTTTGCATATACACTGACTATGAAAAAAAAGTTGGCTTACATATGTTTGTTCAACATGGTAAAAAAAGAAGGGAGGAATCTAGTGAAAATTAGAGAACTCCTAGGGGATGGACGATATTGCAGCAAACCACCAAGGCACACATTTTCCTATAACAAACCTGTACATGCTGCACATGTACCTCTGAACTTAAAAGTTGAAGAAAAAAAGAAAATTAGAGAGTAAGTCTTAAATATATTTGCTATCCTAATAACAATAGTCTGTATATACTCAAATCTTTGCTTGTTCTCTCTTCCTTTCAAATAATACATTAAAAACCATAGTCTTCTAGTTAGTAAAGTGTATTTGGGCTGAGTTTGCCTTCCCTCTACATCTAAGCACCATGAAGATGGGGGCTGGGACTGTCTTATCTGTAGTCACATGGACAGGATCTGACAGTAGATAGACATCAGCCTCTTTGGTTCCGGAGGACTTTATGTTGCAGACAGGCATGCTAAGGCATGAGGAAAGTCCAGTTGATGGGGCTGGGGATACCCAGGTTCAGGAGGGCTAGGTACAGGCAGTAAGCTATGATGGATAGATGTCAGGGAAAATCAAGGTGTAGACCAGGAAATGGTCCCATTCCATCAGATCATAGCAGATCAATGCTGGGTAGCAAGAGCCAGGAAAGAACAGTCTCCTGGCCAGCCTGCATTGGGTGCTGCTTGGTGTCATTTTACATTTGTGTGGGAGGCCAAGGTAGGAGGATTACTTGAGCCTAGGAGTTTGAGACCAGTCAGGGAAACAAAGTGAGACCCAGTCTTAAAAAAAAAAATAGCTGGGTGTGGTGATGCACTCCTGCAGTCCCAGCTACTCAGGAGGTTTAGGCTGGAGCATCACTTGAGCCTGGGAGGTAGAGGCTGCAATGAGCCATGATTGTGTCTCTGTACTCCAGCCTGTGTGACAGAGCAAAACCTTGTCTTAAACAAACCAAAAGAAAACCGAAACCAAAACAAAACACAACAACAAAAAAAGAGAAAACAACATAAAACAGAATACACTTATGGTTACTAACCAACAGCAGGTTCTCAATGCCCCCCACAAGCCTACTATACCTCCTCTTCTGGTCCTCCTTTCATTCCACTGGGTGACTATTTCACAGCTTCTCCTGTCTCATTAGATTAATAACACCTCCTCCCCCTCACTCACACCCTCAGTGGATGGCCTCACATCCCAGGTCGCTGAGATGGAGAAGCAGTCAGAAGGGAAGGTCACCTCTACCAGCATCACTGCCTGTCTTTCTGCTACTGGGGATGGCCTTCTCCTTAATCCCTGCTGAGACATACACCTCTGTTGTGCATTATATTCCATCTCCCTGTTAGGCACTGAAGGATGCAGCTCCAAGAGCTCCCTGCTCTTACCCACAGCATTAAATCTTCCCTTTTGACTGGTTCATTCCTATCAGCATACACGCATATTACACCTCAAACTGTGTCTGATTTTAAATATGGAAAAACAAACTAACAGAAAGAAAACTAGCAAAAAATTTATCTCCACGTGCTGACTCCAATCCCTCTCCTTCTAGTTTTCTTTTGCCCCTATGCCCAGTGAAGATTTTATCCATACTGTTCCACCAAAAAAGGTCTTGAGGTTACAGATAAACTTCACATTGCTAAAGCCCATGCTTACTTCTCAGCACTCCTCTTACTTGATGTATGAGTACCATTTGACACAGCTCATCACTACCTCCTTTTGAAACACTTCTTTCCTTTGGCTTCCAGAACACTACTCTGTTGATGCACCTTTTCCTCATAAACTCCTTTGCTGGAGTTTGCTGATGGTTCCTCACCGTCTCTGTGGCTGCTATCTTTGCAGTGCTTTGGGATCTGATCTTGCACCAATTCTCTTCTCTATTTACACTCACTTCTTGGAAGTTCTCATCCAGATTCTTCCAAGTTTTAAGCACCATCAGTATATCAGTGCATCACGTTTATACCTTTAGCTTGAACCTTTAGTATAATGCCTTTAGTATACTTAAGAATCTTCAGTATACTGCCTACTTGATATTTCTATTTGGATGTCTAATATGCTTTTCAAGGTGATATTCACTATCACCTCCCACTCTCTTGACTGGTACTTCTGAGGTCCTCTCCATCTGAATAATTAGCAACTCCATTCTTCCAGATGTACTGGACAAAAATCTTAGTCTTCCTTGACAGTTTTATTGCTCTCATTCCCCACAGCCAATCCATATCCAATCCATAACTAAGACATCTGCAAATGCTGTCACATCCACAGCAGCTATCTTGGTCTGAGTAATCCTCACTTCTTGCTTGGATTATTACAATGCCCTCCTAATTGGCGTACCTGAATTTCTTTTTTTACAATCTAATATAGTGCCTTTTTGTTTTAACTTGAAGGACTTCCTGTAACATTTCTTGAGGAGCAGGTCTATTGGTAATAAACTTCCCGAGCTTTTATCTATCAAGGACTGTCTTAATTTTGCCCTCATTTTTAAAAGACAGTTTTGCCAGATATAGAAGTCTTGGCTGGCAGTTCTTTTCCCTTCAGCACTTTGAATATATCATACTGTGCCTTCTGGCCTCCAAGGTTTCTAATGAGAAACTGGTGAATAATCATATAGAGGATCCCTTGTATCTGATGAATTGCTTCCCTTTTGATGCTTTAATGTATTTCAGTGCAGGTCTCTTGTAGTTCATCCTACGTGTAGTTCATCGAACTTTTGAATTTGTAGATTCATGTATTTCATCCAACTTGGGAAAATTTTGGCCATTTTTTCTTCAAATATCTCTGCCCTTTTCTCTTTCTCTTCTCCTTCTGGAACTCCCATAATGTGTATGTTATTCTAGTTGATGGTATCCCCAGGTCCTTCAAACTCTGTTTACCTTTCCTTAATAGTTTTTCTTTCTGGTCATCAAACTCAAAACTTTCAGTTGTCCTATTTTCAAGTTCTGCTGATTGTTTTTGCTGCTCAAATTTGTTTTTGAACTGCTCTTGTGAATTTTTCATGTCCATTTTGTACTTTTCTGCTCCAGAATTTCTTTTTGGTTCCTTTTCATATTTCCTATCTCTAATAATATTCTTATTTTGTTCATACATCTCATTTTGTTCCTGTTTTTGTCCATGTGTTCCTTTAGTGCTTTAAGCATCTTTAAGATAGTTGTTTTATAGTCTTTGTCTAGTAATTCTGCCATCTGGCTTCCTCAGGGACATTTTCTGTTATTTTGTTCCTTTTAATGGGATATACTTTCCTCTTTTTTAATGTGTGTGCATTGTGACTTTTTCTTTGTTTAAAACTCTATTTGAATCATATAATTTGGTAACTCTGGAAATTTAATCCTCTCCCCTCCCCATGGTTTGTTGTTTTCTTTCCCTCCCTCCCTCCCTCCCTCTCTCCCTTCCTTCCTTCCTTCCTTCCTTCCTATTCCCCCCTGCCCCCCAACCTTTCTTTTTTATTTGTACGGTTTCTCTTTGCCAAGGATCAGCCTGCAGTAGAAGCTTATGGTATTCAGGTCTTTTCTGAGTCTATGTTTTTCCCTGAGCATATGAGATGACTTTCTAAACTCCCCGGTATAATGCGGTTGCTTTTGAATATCTCATCTTTAAGTGCCTAGTTCCTAAAATGGGGTAGATGATTTAAAAAGAAGAAAAACGTCCCAGGTATTATATCTTTAAATCCCCTGGAAGCCACTTCTGCCACTGAGAGCTGCAACAATGCCTACCTCTGTATGCACCTCTGCAATCAGAAGCAGAAATCAGCAGCCAGAACACAGAAACTTAGTATTTGGAGGAGGGAGTTCTTATTTCTCACTCTGGATCCTGCAAGCTGCTGTAGGAATGCAGGCTGCTGTCCCCACAGCTGCCTGCCATGGGGCTGGGGGATGAGGAATGAGTAGTCACTATAGCACTAATGGCTGAAATAAATGGAAATTAATTACAATTTACCAGCCAAGCCTTCCTCTGGAACCTGCAAGCATTCAGATATACTTCAGAGTTCCAAAATATTAACTTCAGACAGTTTCTGCTAGTACAATTTTTGTCCAAGTGGGGAGATGAGTTCCTGGCACTGCCTACTCTGCCATCTTCCATTGGATATACCAGTATTTTTAACATCATTGTCAAAGTAATCCTTGGAAGTGTGAGATCATTACTTCTCTTCTCAAAATCCTTCCTTGGTTTCTCATCTCACTTAAAGTTAAAGCCAAAGTATTTACCAACGGCTACAGACCCTGTATAATTTGGTGCCCTGCTTTCTAGCCACACTGGTCTTCTTATAATTTCTCAAATACTTCAAATACTTCCCACAAACCTTTGCACTTACTCTCTCTGCCAGGAACACACTTCTGTCAAATATCTGAACACCATTTCCCCTGACTACTTTTAGATTTCTTCTCACGTCACTTCTCAGTGAGGTTTTCCCTGACCTCTACCACTGCCACTCCTACTTTACCTCACTTTTCTCCATAGCACTTTATAGGATCTAACATGCTGTAGATTTGCTTTTTTTATTCATAGTTTGTCTCTGCAGGATAATGTGACCCCATGAAGGCAAGGATTTTTTTCTGTTGTGTTTGTTGCTATGTGTGTCTAATACACAGTGAGTATGCATTAATTATCTGTTGAACAAATAAACAAATGAGTAAAGAAGGAAGGGGAATGGGTTTTTACAGGGAATGGTTTTTTAAGGTAGAGGCCATTTAGGTTCAATATCCAATAATTTAACTTCATCAGAATGGACCATACACAGAATTCTATGTGGCTTGGATGACAAAGGACGAAGGCCATATTCCATAAAAGGTATACAAAATTATTATGCTTCCTGATATAGTCTGATCTCTGTCCTGGGTTCCTTGGGCCTGCCTGGAAAGGTAAATTCTAGCAGTTACAATGAGACAGCATTCTTCAGGCATATATATCTCCACAACAATTCTGTACTAAGGCAGGCAGAGGATCATTCCTTTAATAGGTATTTATTAAGTGCCTGATATATATAAGGTATTGAGCTGTTTCTGGAAATTCAGAGATGATAAAGAAGTTACACTTCTGGTGCTTGATGCACCAGTTGTTTGTGCAGTATGAAATGTATAGAGAGTATATTTATACAGATAGATAAGGGGGCATATTGGAGGGTACTTACTTCATTCAGCGTGTTGATGTAGTGGGAAGGCAGGGGTTCAAGAAAGGTTTCTGAGATGAACTGAGTGTGGAAGGAAGGGACAGAAAATGTATGGCAATGAAAGGCAGGGTGTCTGGGTTATGAGGAGGCATTCCAAGTAAGATAAACAATATATGCAAAAATCTAGAGCCACATTTAAAAAACTTCAAATAATCAAAACTACAGAGTAAGACATATGGATCGAAATGAAATTGGAAAAGTAAGCTGAAGTCAGATCACAATTTTTGAGGCATGCTAGGGCATGAAGTCATTTACTAAATGCTGTGAGGATCATGGAAGTGTGTTAAAAGAAGATAAACATGGCAAAAATAATAATGTCCATTTACTGAACACTTGTTATGACATTCAGACACTGTGTCAAACACATAATGTATATTCTCTTACTTAACCCTCACCAATGAGCCTATAAAGCAGGTACTTTTCCACATTTTATGGCCAGGGAAGTAGACAGAGGAATTAAGTACATGGCTTGCAGATTCACATAGCAAAGTGGAAGAGGCAGGATTTGAACTGAGGTCTGACTGACTCAGTGGTATGCTGAGAATGTATGCTTAACACCACTCCTGTCATCTGGCCACTCTAACAGCAGTGACTAGACAGAACTTAACAGAGCTCAGATATGACATACAGGTAATCTCAGAGGCCATGGCAATTGAAGTCATTCTCAGGGAAGAAGCCTAATATGAACTCTGCCAATGAGGCTTTTGGCATTTCTTAGACTCACTTATCAAAGGCGGGCCAGGGCCAGAAGCATCAGCATCAGCTTATTAGAAATGTAGACTCTCAGACCCCACCCCAGGCCTACTGAGTCAACCACTGCAGCAAGATCCCAGGAAATTCATGTGCACCTTCAAGCTTGGGAAGCCATGGTTTAGATACACACTGATATGTGCCAGAGACAAGTGATACCAGGGAGAGGGTATGGTAGCTCGACTGGATAACAGGGATACCTGGTCTCTGTCCTTAACTGGAGTTGTGGGAGTGGAACGTATACTACGGGAGATGCTCAGAAATGGAGAGCCCATTTTGTGCTGTCTTATATGTAAGAAATGTTATCTTTCCTAAAAGTGCTCCAAAAGAAACCTTTTTTGGTTCTTTTGATTCTTTTGATGCTGATGCTTCTGGCCCTGGCCCACCTTTGATAAGTGAGTCTAAGGAATGCCAAAAGCCTCACTGGCAGAAATACTTTCAGTGTCAAAACAGAACTGATCAATGTGAATTGTTTATCAGACATAGATTATAGAATTAAAGATAAAGTCAAGAGAAATGCTGCATTAGTCCTTAGCTATTTAATGGCAGATCATATCTGATCCCAAACTTTTTGAATTTGTACTTCAATTTGGAGCTGGTAATGATACAATTCATGCCTATTGCTACCCTGTAAACACAAATTTCCTTACTGATTTAATAGCCATGTCTGTGTGTAGACAGTGATAATTATAAATGGAGGTTTGTATCAAAGCTGGACACTACTGTTTCTCTTATCTACACCTCACTCTTTCTCTTTCTCCCCATCCCTCCCTACTCCTCTCTCCATTTCTCTCTCATAGGTGGCCTGCAACAAAGTCAGTATTTATGAGGCAAAGTGTGCAGTTTCATGACCTTTTTCCTTTTGTGATTGGTGTGGAGACAACATTGTGGCGCACATGCTTGAACCTGGTCCTGTTTCCCCAGAGGACCCCTTACCTTGTTTTTGTTGTTCAGAGCTGAGGCAGGAAGCCCCGTAGGAAACCCGATTAGGTGAAGCATCTTCAAGTCCGATTAGACCACAGGTAGTCATTAGAAGGATCAGGTGCCATCTGGGGACTTTATGTGTGACAAAGTCCTGAAACATGTTCAAACCCCAGTATGAGTAAGGGAAGCAGTGGAAGCGTGCTGGGTATGCAGAAGCATAAAATCATAGCATTTCATCGTGTGCTGCTTCTGCTGTTTGTCCTGCGTTATGCTGAGTCACCAAATTGTGTACGTTCACAGTCATTTCAGAATTACATCAATGAGGTAATAAGCAAGAGTGCCTAAATAAAACAAAAGGCCTAGATCTTTATTTTTAAATGATTACCAGGAGCAAGTACTGACTTAGAAACTTATCAGAATGAGAAAATGTCAAACAATTTCATTTTTAGCCTGCACAATAACAACTTTCTCCTGTTAACATAAATAAATGAGGGTTAAAAGTTGTCTGGGAGAGAAATGCTTGTGTACTGGTGAAGTACTTTTTCTGGAGGATAACACTAGGCAAGAAAGAAGATGCAAGGGAAACCTTCATGAGGAAGATTTCACAACTGCAGAGCATGCTAGGAACTGGTTTGCTTCTGGCTGTTGTCTCCTTAGGGTGAGCTCTGTCTGGTGATTAGCATCACCATGGATTAAATTAATTGGCTGTACTCAATCCCTTGCTGGACATACTGAGAATAAATCCAAAGACATTAGTTTCTTTGCACGAAATGAGGTTACATATCCAGTGACATTTATTTGAGCTATTTAAACAACTTAAACATCTTTTTCTTTTCTTAATAAGGGACGTTTCAAGTTGTGGTAAGTACAAAACTATTTGAAATCTTTCTTTGGAAAATATTCTGTTTTGCTAGTTGTATTTTGTTTTCCATGTTATACTTAGATTATATATCTGTGTTCTGTCTTTAACTGTTAGAAAAAGCATAAATGTTATTAATAATTATCTTTTACCTAACTATGCCAGCAACCTTCACAATATGCTGATATTGAAATAGAATGGAACTTCAGTATCAGGAAATCAAGTGATTCTAGTTTATTCAAATGAGTAATGTTTACTTTGTTTCTGACAATAAAAGCATTATATACTTCTTATAGACATCTAGGCAATACACTAAAGAAGAAGACAGCTGCTTGTAATTCAACAATGCTGTGACTACCACAGTGAATAACTGGTGATTTTCCTTTTTGAATCTCCTCTCTCAACTCTGCCCCATAGGCTTATGAAAATCTGAAATGAACTGATTTTTCTTGCAACATCAAGTCTCTGAATTGCTAAAAGAATGAACATTCTGTACATTCTGTATTTCTCAATTTTCCATTTTTTCTACTTCATTATTTGTGACTTGTCTGAATTCACACTATGTGGTAGAAAATTAAACTTAAAATATAATTAGTGAAATGACGCATGTAACTCTGTCATGTTTTGTCAAGTGAGTGAGAGAGTGAAGACACAGCCCTCTTGGTAGAGGCCAACTATTTAGTTCTGAGCAGCACAGCTGTAAATGATTGTTTTAAGTGGGGTTTGATTGAAACTAATGATGCCACAGATAAGCCTAGCCACAGTTGAGCCTAAGGGTGTTAAAAAATCTGCTTAATATTAAAGAGCAATGAAAGTATGCATGATAGCTCCATTGTCTAACTTTAGGCAATAAAGAGTCTCTGCAGAGAAGAAGAGACGATATTGGTAGCAAGCTGTCATGTCATTAGAAGCGGATTTTAAGGCAAAAAGTTTTTGTAAACCAGCTTCCTTGCTACATATAAGGAAGTCACTGGTGAAGAAACTGGAGGGCCTCAAGATTCTACAGTTACCTCTTTCCACCTCCACCACTTCTTCAGCCTAAACTTCTGGGAGAATTCAACCATTTTATGCTGCTCAGTTTGTTCGTTCCCTAGGTAGCCCTTAAGTATATTACTGCCTTATTCCAAATTTAAAGGGCATAAGATACACCTTATTATCGAAAATGTATGTAAAGATACATTGCTAAATTTCCATGCAAATTCTGATTCGTTCTTAAAACTGATTAAGAATGGAGCACAGCTAACATAGGAGAACTCAAAAACGTTATGGAGGGCTGGTAGCTCTGTTTCACAGAAGTGGGCACTGTATTGTCAAGACTTAATGACCACGTTGCTAGTCTTGCTCAGGTGCACCAGGTAAATGGTGTACCACCTCTGCCTTCTTCCTGGAGGGCATCTCTACCACTTTTTGCCTCTGGCATCTCAACTTTACACAGACTCTCCTCTGGAAATTGCCCTCTCTTCTCACTCCTACCCCCAATCCCTGAGGCTGTATTAGACATCCCTCCTTAATATTCTCTTGGTACCCCAACTCTTCCTCTTCTTCAGTTGAGCTATTGAGTTACTCTGTGAACTTCCCATGGACTCTGTAGGAAATGCACATTATTAAGACAGGGCAAAAGCTGATTCACTTCCTTCAGAAATACTTGGTTTGCACCCTCTTTCCAAATGATGACATTGTGCAATCAATGAACACAAATGTTTTTATTCAACAATAATACCTAATCTTTATCATGTTCTGGGTTTTACACACAAGGCCCTCTTTATCATAGGCTCTTAAGACTCACCTACAAGGATGCAGAATCTCAACACTCTACCTAAAAGTTCCCCCAGTGACTTCTAGGAGTTCCCAGAGATTCTCTCACACATATGAAGATCATGTGAACTTGTATTTTTGTTTTGTTTTCACTACAGCATCCCCAACAAGGTGCCTGGCAACCACGTGTTGGATGCACCTTCTCTGCAAATGCTCCTCCACTGCTGGGGACCTGGCATCTTCCCAGGTCATGGTACCTTCAGCACCTGCCCTTCATGCACTGGGCTCAAAACCAATGCTCAGGGCTGGGTAGCAGTGGGATAGGGACAATGGCAGCTGCTTCTTTGCTCCTATTGTCTTTATCTTCTATGTTTTCCCTCCTGGCCCCAGCACAAAATCTTTCTCTTTAGCCAAAACCGACAAACAAAACTACCCACAAAATTCTTAGCATATTGGCTCACATAGATGTGTTCCCAAAGTGGTCACCAGGTTAACAGCTCTCCAAATAGTGAGATTCAGGCATTTAAAAAGTGACATTAAGAGCCTCATGATGCACCTACACCAAGAAAAATATCATTTTCCAAAATTAAGTGAAAAATGTGTCTCAAATATTATTCATGTACGATATTTTCAAATAAACATATAAGTACACCAACCTAAAATATAATTGGAGACAGAGTTCTAAAGTCTTACTTATTTTTTATTTTATTTTTTTCTTGAAATGGAGTCTTGCTCTGTCATCCAGGCTGGGGTGCAGTGGTGCGATCTCAGCTCACTGCAACATCTGCCTCCTGGGTTCAAGCAATTCTCCTGCCTCAGCCTCCCGAGTAGAGTAGCTGGGACTACAAGCACACGCCACCATGCCTGGCTAATTTTTGTATTTTTAGTAGAGATGAGATTTCACCATGTTGGCCAGGCTGGTCTTGAACTCCTAACCTCGGGTGATCTACCCGCCTTGGCCTCCCAAAGTGCTGGGATTGCACGTGTGAGCCACCACGCCCGGGCCTAAAGTCTTATTTAAATACTGAAGGAACTCATCCTTCTTACAGTTGCTGAGGCCATGGCGATTAAGCAGCTTGCTCAAGGTCAGACCACAGTTGACCAGATGAGGATGAGAAGAGGTTGCAGTTTTGCTGACTCCATTGCGAAGCTGGATTCCCCAGCTCCTGATGCACATGTCTGCTACAGCTGCTATTTTTTTGGCTTAAGTATTATAATTACTTTAAACCTCTGAGGAAGAAGGAAGGGAAGACATCTAATTTCTAGGCTGATCTTCAAATGTTTTTTTTTCTAAGTTACATTTAAATAAGATTTGCAAATCAGATTGGAGATATATGAAGAATCTTGGACAACAGCTTGCAAACATTTAAGTAGATAATTTGGGCCAGGTTTATAGCTGATTTACAATGATAAACATGCCTTTTTCCATCTCTGTATTACCAATCACATTAATTTTGTTTGTTCAATTTGTCTTCAAGGCTGCAGGACTTTCTTACTGTGTCAAAAGACACTAATAATTAAAATGATTTCAAACAATAGAAAACAGCCACAAATGAAAACAAGGCCAGAACCAGATAAATCCTTCCACATGCTGCTCATTTGTCAGTCAAACTCCAGTTTCACTGAGAAGTGGAAAAGGAAAACCTTAGTGCTTTGCTGAAAATTACTCTTCTTGAATTCTCTCCTGAAGGTTTAACTTTAGAACTACTAGTGGGACCAGTAACCAGACTGCACCAGTTTTAGCAGCCCATAGCAATGCTGTCATTCATTCAAAGGACATTTTTGCTTAGTGCAGTGTTTCCCAAAGTAAGATAAGTGGTGTGTGAGATGATTTGCCTGCATTTTCTCTAATAAGCGGTGGAAACATCTGACAGTATCTTAAGATGGCTCTTACTTAAGGTTCTATGTGATACATTCCTCCTAGAACTTAATGTCAAGTACATTTTCCTCCAGACAATTTGAACTTTAAAAACATTTCCTGTTTCTCCCATATTTCCTTATTGTCAGGATATGAAGGACTAAATTGATGAACTGCAAAACTCTCTTACTTTTCTCAGTGGATGGTTTCTGATTTGTGTCTCTGTTGTTTTTTAAATTGTGCAATAATACCTGCTAATTTTAAAGGTTCACAAAGTTTAGCAATGTATAAAAAACACAAATATTATCCAGAATTCTGCAATCCAGAGATAACCACCATCAACACTGGGTTGTATATATTTCTGGACTTTTCCCCAATTCATATAACTCAGTCATGTGCCACATAACACTACTTTGGTCAATGGTGGACTACCTATATGATGGTGGCCCCATAAGATTATAATACCATATTTTGACTATACCTTTTCTATGTTTAGATATGTTTAGATAACAAATTACCACTGTATTACAATGCCCTACGGTATTCAAACAGTAACATGCTGTACAGATTTATAGCCTAGGAGGAATAGGTTATTCCATAAAGCCTGGGTGTGTAGTAGGCTATATCATCTGTTTGTGTAAGTACACTCTCTGATGTTCACACAATGATGAAATCACCTAACAATGCATTTCTCAGAACTTATCCTCCTTGTTAAGCAATGTGACTGTACGTATACATTTAAATCAGTGGCACAGAATGTTTTGCAAACTGATTTTTTTCACTTAGTAATATGTCATGATCATCTTTCTATGCCAAAAGATACATCTATAAGGTCATGTTTAATGGTTGCATAGTTTTCCATTGCATGGGTGTATATGTGATAATTTATCTAGGCCCTTATTCGTGTGTTTAGGTTGTTTTTTCAAATTATACATATCCTTATTTAACAGTTTATCTCTTTTATTATAAGTTCCTTAAAATTGTCGTTCAAAATTGATAGGTATAATGAATGAATAAATGAATGAAAGAATAAACTTCTGTGAATATCCTGGATGTCTGCAGCTATATTTAGCATGCATTAGTATTACCATGTATTCGCTATGGTGCTGTGATTCTGGAGATAATTTTCTTTCTTCTCTAGGTCTCAGCCAAAATGAGTGATACCCCTTCTACTGGTTTTTCCATCATTCATCCTACGTCTTCTGAAGGTCAAGTTCCACCCCCTCGCCATTTGAGCCTCACTCATCCTGTTGTGGCCAAGCGAATCAGTTTCTACAAGAGCGGAGACCCCCAATTCGGCGGGGTCAGGGTGGTGGTCAACCCTCGCTCCTTTAAGTCCTTTGATGCTCTGCTGGATAACTTGTCCAGGAAGGTGCCCCTCCCTTTTGGAGTGAGGAACATCAGCACCCCTCGGGGCAGGCACAGCATCACGCGCCTGGAGGAGCTGGAGGACGGCGAGTCCTACCTATGTTCCCACGGCAGGAAGGTGCAGCCTGTAGACCTGGACAAAGCCCGTCGGCGCCCGCGGCCCTGGCTCAGCAGCCGGGCCATTAGCGCGCACTCACCGCCCCACCCCGTAGCCGTCGCTGCTCCCGGCATGCCCCGCCCCCCACGGAGCCTAGTGGTCTTCAGGAATGGCGACCCGAAGACGAGGCGTGCGGTTCTTCTGAGCAGGAGGGTCACCCAGAGCTTCGAGGCATTTCTACAGCACCTGACAGAGGTCATGCAGCGCCCTGTGGTCAAGCTGTACGCTACGGACGGAAGGAGGGTGAGCGTTCTGGGGGCTCCTCGAGCCTGAGCTCATTTTGAGCACCCTACTAATTGGATTCGTGTGGGATATGAATGGTGGCCCCCGGGAAGGAAATCTTCCTTCCTCCCTGCCTGTGTATGTGAGTGTGTGTGCTCCGATGCTGCCTTTGTTCCTTTGTCAGAATCTGACTGGAATCTCATCTTTCCCTCATGCTACCTACCCCTTTCTCTCTTCCCTGAGCCCTGAGTTACATAATGTTTTCACATGGAATCCAATCTTGATAATATTTTTTGGAAAGGAGTGGCAAAGAGTAGTATTTTCACAGAGGAAGCATTTTCCTGGGATCCCTGCTGGGACGTAACTGACTCCCCCACCCAACCTTGACATTTGGTATTTCCGCTTATTTTGTATACACCATTGGTGCCTAAGAAAATGCTCAGTGATGATGTCTTTCAAGCCTAGGAGGTTGTTGATTTGATTCAAGCAAAGTTATAAAATTACCACTTAGTATAAAATGTGCTCATCTCAGGATAATGACTCTGGTCTCTTTTAGGTTCCCAGCCTCCAGGCAGTGATCCTGAGCTCTGGAGCTGTGGTGGCGGCAGGAAGGGAGCCATTTAAACCAGGAAATTATGACATCCAAAAATACTTGCTTCCTGCTAGATTACCAGGGATCTCTCAGCGTGTGTACCCCAAGGGAAATGCAAAGTCAGAAAGCAGAAAGAGTAAGTCACTTATTAATATATAGCCCATATTTTTAGCCCTGAGATTTTTTTTGCCTCAAGGACGGCAAAATCCATGCTTCAATGACCAGTTTCTTCCACCACAGAAACGAAAAGGAGAGGATTTAAAAACATTCTAAACTGAAATTGGCTATATTTATAGTTGGAAAGAGTCATAGATATTATCTATTTTTTAGACTTTTCCAAATCAATGGTATGCCTATTTAAATTGATGATGTGTGCTTTTTTGCATAAAATACCTAGTTAAAAAAATAAAAATGCCAGCATTTCTTGCTTTAGAGTGGAGTCTGTGTAAGTCTCTTCTCTGGTAGTTGCGGAGTTTTCTCTAAATAGTACCATGCAGCATCCATAGCTGACCTCAGCAGGTTAGCAGAATGACTGTATTTTTTCAAATCTACGCTATGTGCTCTGCCTTCTGAAGTTATTCCTAAAAAAATCACAGGTTCTTAGATCCACATTTTATTTATTAAATAAAAGGTTCATGCAACCAATTCATGCTGGTTAATGGTAATGTAGGTTGATAATTCTGTAGGATCTGCTGTGTAGCATTATCCTTTGGATAGGGGAGGAAGAGGGCCTCTTCAGGCCCAGGGATGTGGGATAAGCTGTAAATTGCCTATACAGCATGGCTAATCTCATTATTCATTATACTCAGTATTTCCAGGGAAGACAAGCTCTTTGCTAGAGTACTGATTGTTTTTTATACTTAAATTTAAGTTTTTATTCTCTTTAGACTTGGATAATATGTATTTTAAATAGTATTAATCTCTCTACTTATTGCTAATGTGGGTGAAACTAATCCATTGTTGTTTAATGATTTCATGGATATATTCAATAGATAATTATTAATGCTTCTATTTTGTAAGCATTAGGTTGCCACATATATGTTATAAATATGGTAGTGCTATTTCACGTTTGTCATTTTACTAAAATGATTTTATTATCTTATGTCTGATACAGATTGCCGAGTATGGTTTCTGATGACTGCAGGGAATCTGAGGGCTTTGTTAAGTTTTCTTCAAAAATTTGAGACACTTTGATTTACAATTTAAGTAAAAGCATATCAAAAATAAGAAAAAATATTTCTAGGTTTATACTCTGCAACATTAAAGGGGCTTACCTGATGGCAAGTATGTGCAAATCTATATAGATTTGCTAACAGGATTTTTTTTTTTTCTTTTTGAGATGGGGTCTCACTATGTTACCCAGGCTGTTATGATGGGCTCAAGTGATCACCCGCCTCAGCCTCCCAAAGTGCTGGGATTACAGATGTGAGCCATTGCGTCCAGCCCAGGCATTTTGACTGAATTTAAGAAGCAAGAGTGCCAAGGTTAATGCTGAAGATACATGTTAAAAAGATAACTGATATCTGGACTTATGTCTAGCTCTGTTCTCTCTTGTGCCCTATATTAAGTCAGCTGCAACGATTATACAAAGTGCATGCTAAATAATTAGTACTTGATTAATTCAGTCTGAATCATAAAATGTTTCTGCTTTCATAAAGCTATGGATACCTGTTTTGATATGTGTAGGTGGGAAGATGAATACCATCATAAATTGTTGGCTGCCTTGTTTGAATAGGTAAGCGGTATTTGGTTAGACTCCAGTTTCAGTACTGGTAAACAAAACAACGAAATGAAAACCCACAAAAAACTTTTATCTTTGGTAGAATTCTTAGCACTTTTTACTTTATACATTTTTAAAATTAAAATTACCTTATTAAACTTGTTAAAATTCTCTGAACCTCCACATTGAAATTGAGGTAGAATTAGAGATCTCTTCTAAAGAGTGGTTTGAAGAAATGTACCACTGTTATAGTAGGTTTTCTCAAATAACTATTGGGAAAACACATAGGCTGAGCGTGGTGGCTCAAGCCTGTAATCCCAGCACTTTGGGAGGCCGAGGCGGGCGGATCATGAGGTCAGGAGATCGACGAGACCATCCTGGCCAACATGGTGAAAACCTGTCTCGATTAAAAATACAAAACAATTAGCTGGGCATGGTGGTGCGGGCCTGTAGTCCCAGCTATTCGGGATGCTGAAGCAGGAGAATTGCTTGAACCCTGGAGGTGGAGGTAGCAGTGAGCCCAGATCACGCCACTGCATTCCAGCCTGGTGACAGAGCGAGACTCTGTCTCAAAAAAAAAAAAAAAAAAAAAAAAGAAAAAAAACAAAATACATAGAGCTCAGAAACATATCAGTAACATTTTACTATGAAATACAGAAAATATGCTACTTTTCATACTAATCATTTCCCCTTTTCTCTTTCTTTTTTTGCTGCCTCTTCCTTTGGATATTTCTAACTTCTCTGCCTTCCATATTATATTTTGATGTGGGCACCTTTTACTCTTAAAATCTTTAAAGTAAGCACACATATGTCTTCAAGCTCAAGGTCCCAGATTTATTCTGTTTCTTCTGAGAAAACACATAATAATGATTGCTACTTAGACTATTCTTTTGTTCCTGAAAAGTACTTGGCCTTAGAAAAGAATGATTCTCAGAATTTACCAATATATCCTTCTGAAGATGATATTGAGAAATCAATTATTTTTAATCAAGACGGCACTATGACAGTTGAGATGAAAGTTCGATTCAGAATAAAAGAGGAAGAAACCATAAAATGGACAACTACTGTCAGTAAAACTGGTCCTTCTAATAATGATGAAAAGAGTGAGATGAGTTTTCCAGGAAGAACAGAAAGTCGATCATCTGGTTTAAAGCTTGCAGCATGTTCATTCTCTGCAGATGTGTCACCTATGGAGCGAAGCAGTAATCAAGAGGGCAGTTTGGCAGAGGAGATAAACATTCAAATGACAGATCAAGTGGCTGAAACTTGCAGTTCTGCTAGTTGGGAGAATGCTACTGTGGACACAGATATCATCCAGGGAACTCAAGACCAAGCAAAGCATCGTTTTTATAGGCCCCCTACACCTGGACTAAGAAGAGTGAGACAAAAGAAATCTGTGATTGGCAGTGTGACCTTAGTATCTGAAACTGAGGTTCAAGAGAAAATGATTGGACAGTTTTCATATAGTGAAGAAAGGGAAAGTGGGGAAAACAAGTCTGAGTATCACATGTTTACACATTCTTGCAGTAAAATGTCATCAGTATCTAACAAACCAGTACTTGTTCAGATCAATAACAATGATCAAATGGAGGAGTCATCATTAGAAAGAAAAAAGGAAAACAGTCTGCTTAAGTCAAGTGCAATAAGTGCTGGTGTTATAGAAATTACAAGTCAGAAGATGTTAGAGATGTCACATAATAATGGTTTGCCATCAACTATATCAAATAACTCAATTGTGGAGGAAGATGTAGTTGATTGTGTGGTATTGGACAACAAAACTGGTATCAAGAACTTCAAAACTTATGGTAACACCAATGATAGGTTCAGTCCTATTTCAGCAGATGCAACCCATTTTTCAAGTAATAACTCTGGAACTGACAAAAATATTTCTGAGGCTCCAGCTTCAGAAGCATCCTCTACTGTCACTGCAAGAATTGACAGACTAATTAATGAATTTGCTCAGTGTGGTTTAACAAAACTTCCAAAAAATGAAAAGAAGATTTTGTCATCTGTTGCCAGCAAAAAGAAGAAAAAATCTCGACAGCAAGCAATAAATTCCAGGTATCAAGATGGACAGCTTGCAACCAAAGGAATTCTTAATAAGAATGAGAGAATAAACACAAAAGGTAGAATTACAAAGGAAATGATAGTGCAAGATTCAGATAGTCCCCTTAAAGGAGGGATACTTTGTGAGGAAGACCTCCAGAAAAGTGATACTGTAATTGAATCAAATACTTTTTGTTCCAAAAGTAATCTCAATTCCACGATTTCCAAGAATTTCCATAGAAATAAATTAAATACTACTCAAAATTCCAAGGTTCAAGGACTTTTAACCAAAAGAAAATCTAGATCACTAAATAAAATAAGCTTAGGAGCACCTAAAAAAAGAGAAATCGGTCAAAGAGATAAAGTGTTTCCTCACAATGAATCTAAATATTGCAAAAGTACTTTTGAAAACAAAAGTTTATTTCATGTATTTAACATCCTTGAGCAAAAACCCAAAGATTTTTATGCACCGCAATCTCAAGCAGAAGTGGCATCTGGGTATTTGAGAGGAATGGCAAAGAAGAGTTTAGTTTCAAAAGTTACTGATTCACACATAACTTTAAAAAGCCAGAAAAAACGTAAAGGGGATAAAGTGAAAGCAAGTGCTATTTTAAGTAAACAACATGCTACAACCAGGGCAAATTCTTTAGCTTCTTTGAAAAAACCTGATTTTCCTGAGGCTATTGCTCATCATTCAATTCAAAATTATATACAGAGTTGGTTGCAGAACATAAATCCATATCCAACTTTAAAGCCTATAAAATCAGCTCCAGTATGTAGAAATGAAACGAGTGTGGTAAATTGTAGCAATAATAGTTTTTCAGGGAATGATCCCCATACAAATTCTGGAAAAATAAGTAATTTTGTTATGGAAAGTAATAAGCACATAACTAAAATTGCCGGTTTGACAGGAGATAATCTATGTAAAGAGGGAGATAAGTCTTTTATTGCCAATGACACTGGTGAAGAAGATCTCCATGAGACACAGGTTGGATCTCTGAATGATGCTTATTTGGTTCCCCTGCATGAACACTGTACTTTGTCACAGTCAGCTATTAATGATCATAATACTAAAAGTCATATAGCTGCTGAAAAATCAGGACCAGAGAAAAAACTTGTTTACCAGGAAATAAACCTAGCTAGAAAAAGGCAAAGTGTAGAGGCTGCCATTCAAGTAGATCCTATAGAAGAGGAAACTCCAAAAGACCTCTTACCAGTCCTGATGCTTCACCAATTGCAAGCTTCAGTTCCTGGTATTCACAAGACTCAGAATGGAGTTGTTCAAATGCCAGGTTCACTTGCAGGTGTTCCCTTTCATTCTGCAATATGTAATTCATCCACTAATCTCCTTCTAGCTTGGCTCTTGGTGCTAAACCTAAAGGGAAGTATGAATAGCTTCTGTCAAGTTGATGCTCACAAGGCTACCAACAAATCTTCAGAAACACTTGCATTGTTGGAGATTCTAAAGCACATAGCTATCACAGAGGAAGCTGATGACTTGAAAGCTGCTGTTGCCAATTTAGTGGAGTCAACTACAAGCCACTTTGGACTCAGTGAGAAAGAACAAGACATGGTTCCAATAGATCTTTCTGCAAATTGTTCCACGGTCAACATTCAGAGTGTTCCTAAGTGCAGTGAAAATGAAAGAACACAAGGAATCTCCTCTTTGGATGGAGGTTGCTCTGCCAGTGAGGCATGTGCCCCTGAAGTCTGTGTTTTGGAAGTGACTTGCTCTCCATGTGAGATGTGCACTGTAAATAAGGCTTATTCTCCAAAAGAGACATGTAACCCCAGTGACACTTTTTTTCCTAGTGATGGTTATGGTGTGGATCAGACTTCTATGAATAAGGCTTGTTTCCTAGGAGAGGTCTGTTCACTTACTGATACTGTGTTTTCTGATAAGGCTTGTGCTCAAAAGGAGAACCATACCTATGAGGGAGCTTGCCCAATTGATGAGACCTACGTTCCTGTCAATGTCTGCAATACCATTGACTTTTTAAACTCCAAAGAAAACACATATACTGATAACTTGGATTCAACTGAAGAGTTAGAAAGAGGTGATGACATTCAGAAAGATCTAAATATTTTGACAGACCCTGAATATAAAAATGGATTTAATACATTGGTGTCACATCAAAATGTCAGTAATTTAAGCTCCTGTGGCCTTTGCCTAAGTGAAAAAGAAGCAGAACTTGATAAGAAACATAGTTCTCTAGATGATTTTGAAAATTGTTCACTAAGGAAGTTTCAGGATGAAAATGCATATACTTCCTTTGATATGGAAGAACCACGGACTTCTGAAGAACCAGGCTCAATAACCAACAGCATGACATCAAGTGAAAGAAACATTTCAGAATTGGAATCTTTTGAAGAATTAGAAAACCATGACACTGATATCTTTAATACAGTGGTAAATGGAGGAGAGCAAGCCACTGAAGAATTAATCCAAGAAGAGGTAGAGGCTAGTAAAACTTTAGAATTGATAGACATCTCTAGTAAGAATATTATGGAAGAAAAAAGAATGAACGGTATAATTTATGAAATAATCAGTAAGAGGCTGGCAACACCACCATCTTTAGATTTTTGCTATGATTCTAAGCAAAATAGTGAAAAGGAGACCAATGAAGGAGAAACTAAGATGGTAAAAATGATGGTGAAAACTATGGAAACTGGAAGTTATTCAGAGTCCTCTCCTGATTTAAAAAAATGCATCAAAAGTCCAGTGACTTCTGATTGGTCAGACTATCGGCCTGACAGTGACAGTGAGCAGCCATATAAAACATCCAGTGATGATCCCAATGACAGTGGCGAACTTACCCAAGAGAAAGAATATAACATAGGATTTGTTAAAAGGGCAATAGAAAAACTGTACGGTAAAGCAGATATTATCAAACCATCTTTTTTTCCTGGGTCTACCCGCAAATCTCAGGTTTGTCCTTATAATTCTGTGGAATTTCAGTGTTCCAGGAAAGCAAGTCTTTATGATTCTGAAGGGCAGTCATTTGGCTCTTCTGAACAGGTATCTAGTAGTTCATCTATGTTGCAGGAATTCCAGGAGGAAAGACAAGATAAGTGTGATGTTAGTGCTGTGAGGGACAATTATTGTAGGGGTGACATTGTAGAACCTGGTACAAAACAAAATGATGATAGCAGAATCCTCACAGACATAGAGGAAGGAGTACTGATTGACAAAGGCAAATGGCTTCTGAAAGAAAATCATTTGCTAAGGATGTCATCTGAAAATCCTGGCATGTGTGGCAATGCAGACACCACATCAGTGGACACCCTACTTGATAATAACAGCAGTGAGGTACCATATTCACATTTTGGTAATTTGGCCCCAGGCCCAACGATGGATGAACTCTCCTCTTCAGAACTCGAGGAACTGACTCAACCCCTTGAACTAAAATGCAATTACTTTAACATGCCTCATGGTAGTGACTCAGAACCTTTTCATGAGGACTTGCTGGATGTTCGCAATGAAACCTGTGCCAAGGAAAGAATAGCAAATCATCATACAGAGGAGAAGGGTAGTCATCAGTCAGAAAGAGTATGCACATCTGTCACTCATTCCTTTATTTCTGCTGGTAACAAAGTCTACCCTGTCTCTGATGATGCTATTAAAAACCAACCATTGCCTGGCAGTAATATGATTCATGGTACACTTCAGGAAGCTGACTCTTTGGATAAACTGTATGCTCTTTGTGGTCAACATTGCCCAATACTAACTGTTATTATCCAACCCATGAATGAGGAAGACCGAGGATTTGCATATCGCAAAGAATCTGATATTGAAAATTTCTTGGGTTTTTATTTATGGATGAAAATACACCCATATTTACTTCAGACAGACAAAAATGTGTTCAGGGAAGAGAACAATAAAGCAAGTATGAGACAAAATCTTATTGATAATGCCATTGGTGATATATTTGATCAGTTTTATTTCAGTAACACATTTGACTTGATGGGTAAAAGAAGAAAACAAAAAAGAATTAACTTCTTGGGGTTAGAGGAAGAAGGTAATTTAAAGAAATTTCAACCAGATTTGAAGGAAAGGTTTTGTATGAATTTCTTGCACACATCATTGTTAGTTGTGGGTAATGTGGATTCAAATACACAAGACCTCAGCGGTCAGACAAATGAAATCTTTAAAGCAGTCGATGAGAATAACAACTTATTAAATAACAGATTCCAGGGCTCAAGAACAAATCTCAACCAAGTAGTAAGAGAAAATATCAACTGTCATTACTTCTTTGAAATGCTTGGTCAAGCTTGCCTCTTAGATATTTGCCAAGTTGAGACCTCCTTAAATATTAGCAACAGAAATATTTTAGAACTTTGTATGTTTGAGGGTGAAAATCTTTTCATTTGGGAAGAGGAAGACATATTAAATTTAACTGATCTTGAAAGCAGTAGAGAACAAGAAGATTTATAATTTCAATATCAGCACACTCATTCTTTGTCAATTCATTTTTTCCCATGAGATGAAGCACATGTGACGAATACGGACTAGATAACCTCTAAGAATTTTCCACTTCTTCAAAATGAACTTACTCTAGAAAGCTTACCCTTGGATAACCAGTTTGACTTTCATAATGTCTCTGTTTTTTGTTTTTCCAACAATTACAGACTCAGGTTCTCTTATTTTGGAAGTTTCTATCTGGTTTTGTTCTGAACTTACATTTTTTTTTTTTTTGGTATCTATGATTTTTTTTGCTCAGGGCATCAAAATGTGCTAAGGACAAGAATTATATCCTTTTTAAAAAATGTTGTTAGCTTGGTGTAAAATGTATATTGACTGTATTGGTGAATAAATTGAATAGACATAACCTCAAAGTACTTCACTTATTCTTTTTAACTACTGATTTGATAAAAAGTATGATTATAAGATATCCACGACAATCTCATAGTTTCTTGTGCCAAATATGTTGAGTCCAGTTCCTCAGAATATCCAGTGAAATTGCAAGCATTTCCATGGGACAGGATTTAGTGTTTTTCTAATAGACTAGACTATCAAGTATCAATTGGTTTGAATAATTGTGGTGTATTTCCCAGGAGTTAACCAGGAAAGCTTTTAAGAGTCCTTCCACTGCATGACTATATGATGATATAGAAACAAGTCTTAGGAAACTTGGAAATCTATGCCTCTTGTCTACAACTAACTCAAATTAGAATGATCAGTATTTTTGGAGCCACACATGGAGATGCTAAAATAACATAAATTTGGCATTGAGGAACAAAAGGTAATTAAATTAATTACATCAAGAATAATGTTGGTGTCAGTTCAGCATGAGTCATAAATTCATAAAAATTATGAATTGCTACTTCATCAGCTGGAGACTACTTCTATGTAGAGTATGCTTTTTAAAAAAACATTAAGTGATGCTTTCTTTTAGTGAAAATATGGAAGCTATAATGTTATGTAAGTTTCTGTAGTAAGCAATGAGAAATTGTAGTGAATGAAAGGGCACAAAGTTTTGGAGAAAAAATAGAAAGGAGAAAATAATTTACATTAATTTTGTGCCTACTGTGTACCAGGGACTGTGGTACACCTGCAGGCTTTTTGTGTGTAATTCTTCCTCATAAAAGCACTGTGAATGTGGCTTTATTACTTCCCCTGCATTTTTTTTTTTTTTAAGTAGAGAAGTTAGGAGCAAAAGGTAAAGGACTTTCATGACTGGTTTACAGTAGGGTATCATGCCAGGATTTGAACCCAGTTCTTTGTGCTTGAAAATCAATGCTCTTTTTACTACTTTTTTTTTTTTAAAGCTGATTCTCAGTATGTTTCACAGGCTGGTTTTGAACTCCTGGGCTCAAATGATCCTCCATCCTCAGCTTCTCAAGTAGGTGGGACTGCAGGCACACGCCACTGCGCTGGGCATCCTACATTTTTATCATTGTTTTCATGTGAGGAAGAAGGGATAAGATTTTTTTTTTTTTGAGACAGAGTTTCGCTCTTGTTGCCCAGGCTGGAGTGCAATGGTGCGATCTCGGCTCACCGCAACCCCTGCCTCCTGGGTTCAGGTGATTCTCCTGCCTCAGCCTCCCAAGTAGCTGGGATTACAGGCATGCACCACCACACCTGGCTAATTTTTGTATTTTTAGTAGAGACGGGGTTTCTCCATGTTGGTTAGGCTGTTCTTGAACTTCCGACCTCAGGTGATCCGCCCGCCTCGGCCTCCCAAAGTGCTGGGATTACAGGTGTGAGCCACCGCGCCCAGCCAGGGATAAGATATTTAAAAAAAAATTACCACTCATTCTCTAGTGCAGGGAGACAAGGAAAGAATTTTTCTTTTTAATTTGGAAGGTGTGAAATATAGATATACCCAAGAAGATTGAGGAAATCATTTATAAAAACCAGGAGGTTTCAAGAAATATGGCATGCAGTATGTAGTTTTTGGCAATACTATTACACCAAACAGTGTCCTTCATGCATCATAATTGGGAGAAGCTGGAGTGACAACCATGAATTAGTAATGCATGGGACTGTGTAACATACTTCTTCTTTAAACATACTTCTTTAAAGTGAACGTGTTCACATGCATTGAATTCTGAGATCTTGGGCCACATCTTATTCACAGAGCTAGCTTCGTACTTGGTACATGGTAAGTACCTAATAAATGTGTGTTAAATGGATAAGAAGTGCATTTGAAGGCATTTAATTTTTCTTTACCTCTTACTAATTTCAGATCCATACATGTAGAAGGATGTGCAAATATGCTGAAGGATAGAACTCAGTTTTTTGTATTTTTTTTAGTTTTTTTATATTTTACGAAAGCAGTATTTTAGTTATCCTTAAAATGTCTGTAAAGATGATTTTTTCTTTTAAGCATTCAAAGCATGTTTTTAGTTTTGCAAGATTTATATTTAAAAAATCTTGTCACACTGTGAAATTTAGAAGAGTAAGTGAAACTTTAGAGGAAATTTAAGGATATTATAGAGAGCTAGCTTTTGCTTTAGAGATGAAGTACCTGAAGGGCTGAGTATGGAAGTGTAGCCTCCCTTACTCAGGGGAAGATATGTAGAATTCAGTCTCTGGTCCCAAGGTGGAGTGGTGAAATTATTGTGTTTTGCCCACCAGATGGCAGCTGTGCTATGCGCTGCCAAAAGTTCAGGCACTCTGAGAGGCTTGCATGGATAAAGGCAATGCTTTAAGCATTGGGGCAGTCTCTGAGCTTCCTGCTTCTGCTTCAAAGAAAGCTGAATGCCCAACTGTGCAGGCATCCCCCAAATATTAAACCCGGAAGAAGCAGCAGTGTTCAGAATTAAAATAAATATACTATTAGTATATTTAGTAGCAAGGAGCAGAAGTTCAAAAGTAGAGGCACTCAAAAATGCCAGCTGTCAAGAATCATCAGAGTTGATTCCAAGGAAAGCCCAATTTGGGGACTATGGGACCCAACAAAATTCCCTAATTCAAGCTGAAACTAAGTTAATGAGCTATTGGTTCAGTGGATAGGGGTAATTTTTACATGACACTTTCAAATATTATAATGTAACTTTTCAGTGGCACAAAACATGCCTCATTTTTCAGAGTGTAAACTGAGGTATTGAAACTACATTCCATATTTGTGGCACTCATTAAAGTTCTTATGAAGAGCTACCTTATAAGGTGGTTGTGAGAGGATCACTAGAGAAAATACTTGTAAAACTCTTAGCACAGAGTTTGGCACACAGTGTTAAACATGTTTTAGCTATTTTTCTTTAAAAAGCCATTAGTGTGAATACGTTTGATACACTTTTCAAAGTTGGTGTTCTTCTGACCAAGATGTATTTTAGCTTTATTTTGTGCCTCTCTCTCTCTCTCTCTCTCTCTCTCTATATATATATATATATATATATGAAATGTAATATTTTCAACATTTAGTCATATAGCCCTTCACAAAAGTGAAGGTGACAAACAGTTTGAGCCCCTGCTCTGTGCCAAATATTGGGCTAAGTTCTTTATGTGTATTATCTTAGTCCTCACGAGAACCCTCTCGATGGGTAACAGTACCTTTAATGTAGCAGGAAGGGGACTAAAACTCACAGAGGCTAGTAAAGAAGCACTTTTACTTTAATATCTGTATTCGATTCTCATAAAAAGTCCTGAGTTTTGTGGTTTGATACTCTATGTACAGATCTACCCTGAAAACAAAATGACTTTCTATTCCCTGTTTATTGAGGTTAAGAAGGATTCCATTACTGCCCAGGGTTCTTTTAATCCAAAGTACTTACCATTTTTCCTACTATTCTACGCTCTTGTCCATTAAGGTATTAAAGGATAATTGTTTTTAAAAGCAAAATCATGAATTCCATATAGATATAACATGACCATGTGCCAAAGATTGTATTTAACTTACAAATTACATAGGGAATTATTAACATATACAATGGGCTGAAGGAAGAATTTAAAGTATCACTAAAAATAAGCAATAAGAAATGCTGAAATGAATTTGGGTCTGTCCAGGACAAAAATTACATTCCCTGGACACCACCAATTTATATTTCTATGGACAAGAATAGTTTGCATTATCTGTGTTTTTACAATTTGCAGGATTATCAGATAATTTAAAGATAATGAAAAAACAGAGATAACCCCAAGAGGGCTTGATAAGGCACTTAGTAATTTCTTTTTTGTCCATTTCAAGGTATTTCACAGTTTTTTTCCTAAAAGGGTTTATCTTCCAGTAACTTAAGTGCTAAGTTATTAAGGGACTATTCCCAAGTCATGGCAAAGAATGTATGACCAAAAAGCTTTTGAAAATTAAGCAACAAAACAGCAAACCTTCAAACAGAGACAAGTACTATGTTTGATGGTTTAGAGAAGATACGTTCATCTTGTTCTAGACAAAAATTAGTAAACAATTCCCATCATGGACTTTAGATGTAATATACAATGGGCTGGGCGCAGTGGCTCACACCTGTAATCCCAGCACTTTGGGAGGCCAAGGTGGGCGGATCACGAGGTCAAGAGATCGAGACCATCCTGGCGAACACGTTGAAACTCCATCTCTACTAAAAATACAAAAAAATTAGCCAGGTTTGGTGGTGGGCACCTGTAGTCCCAGCTACTCGGGAGGCTGAGGCAGGAGAATGGCATGAACCCAGGAGGCGGAGCTTGCAGTGAGCCGAGATGGTGCCACTGCACTCCAGCCTGGGCAACAGAGCGAGACTCCATCTCAAAAAAAAAAAAAAAGATGTAATATACAATGATTATTTTTTTATCAATGGGAATTCTTTCTAAAGGATATACACATGAGCCTTTTCTCTATGCATAGATATTTCATATATTAATGTTTACTTTTTGATTCATACACAGATTATCATAACAATCAGTAACAGCAAGAACAAAAAACAAAGGTCAATGGAGTAGAAATCATTTAGCTGCTTTTCATCTTGAGAATAGTTCTTTTCTTCTGTAACACTAATGTTGATAAATGGCTGCAGTCTACAGACTACTACTTACGTAAGACTGCTTAAAGCTCAGGTGAATCAATACAACCAAGTAAATTAAGATAGGATGGTAGGTTCATGGGAAAACATGACTTGTACATCACAGGAATTCATTATATTGAGAGTGAAAGTGGTTAGTGAGAAATGGGTGATACAAAGCTAAACACTATATTTATGTTCATATATATGAATATTCATATATATATTTATAAGTTTATTTAATGTAGTTGCTGCCTCAGCATCCATTTTTAGGATTGACATAATATTTGAAATTTAGTCCTACTTTGTCACCTTTGGCTTAGTTAAAAGCTTACTTTCCCGTGTAGTTGTTTGCCGTATGGCTTATTTGTTCCTCACTTCTTTGACCCAAAACCCAACACACCCCACAGCTATTGAACGTGATAAAATGTAACGGTCAACACCAGAGTCACATAAATAGGTTCACCCCTTCAGGAGGGAAGAGGGGAACTTATTTCTTTAAATTAGCCCATCTACAACCCCCACAAGAAAGCCTAAGGGATAATGTCCACAGAGCTTAATAAAGGCATACACAGTCCCAGAGATTTCCCCGTCCCTCTCTCCCAAAAGTTCTGTCTCACAACCTCCCTCCTTCCCTTTCTCCCTCTTCCTCTCCTCCCCACTGACCCCTTGCTGATTGAGCTCCCTGCTGCCTCTTTCTGTTGGCACCCCTAACCTTTCTGGGAACTGTGAATAATAAACACTTATGTTTTGCGCATTTCCATTTCACTTCATTGTGTCTCATTTGGCATAGATGCTCTTAACGTAGCCTTCTTTTTGGTCAGAGCTATCTTAGAGAGTGGCTGTCTTGACAGGAATAATCTGGATACAGGTCAGGCAAGACCCACAAGGGTGTCTGCCTGAAAAAACAGTTTGTTGTGAGAGGGACACCTAGTCATGGGTCAGACACTTAGGCAATAGGCATCCTTCAGGATAAAGAGGCATCCCATGGAAGGCGCACTGTCAACATCCACAACAAAATCCTTTGAATTTCTGGCAAGGGCAAGGCTGGAGCTTATGGCCACTCTCAAGAAAAACCTCAAGACCAAATTAGAAAGAAACCATCATAAAAATCACAACAGTTGGCTGTGCATGGTGGCTCACGCCTGTAATCCCAGCACTTTGGGAGGCCAAGGCAGGTGGATCACCTGAGGTCAGGAGTTCAAGACCAGCCTGGCCAACATGGTGAAACCCGTTCTTTACTAAAAATATAAAAATTAGCTGGGCCTGGTCGTGGGCGCCTGTAATCCTAGCTACTCGGGAGGCTGAGGCAGGAGAGTCTCTTGAACCCGGTAGGTGGAGGTAGCAGTGAGCTGAGATTACGCCACTGTACCCCAGCCTGGGCGGCAAGAGCAAAACTCCCTCTCAAAAAACAAAAACAAAAAACACACTTGCATACATATGTATCCCATTTATTCTCATGGATGTGGTATAGAGAATCCAAAAGAATAATTTCATGTCATTTAAATGACATTGGAGTTTGTTTTAGACATATATTTCAATATAGGTCTGTTAGTGGAAATTCTCAGTCAAAAAGACATTATATGAAGAATAACTAGGACCAAGAGAAAGTTCTCTAGATTTGTTATTTTATGCCTTTGCTTACTTTCTCCCTGTTCACCTATTAGTTTGCACCAGTCTGCACAATGGGCTCTGTCCTGTCACCCTTCCAGGAGGCATGGTGTAGCATAGCATTATGGAGATTGTCTGGTGCTCTTCCTTCAGCAGGTTGATGTTGAGGTTAGCCTTGTATGCCCTGTTCGGTATCCTGCTAGGAACTTGTGGACCTCATCTGGATCAACAGATAGAGTCTCATGAAATATCTGGTTGTCATGAAATGTCAAAGTATGTAGAGTGCTATGTAATAGCTCGATAGGACTGATTGAACTCCTGGGTGGTCCTGAGTGGGTTAGGAAAGGGGTCCACAGTGAGTGCCTAGCTGGACAAGTCTCTGCATACAGCTGACCACCTAGGCATTAAGAGCCAGAACCACACAGTAGACCTGCACTGGCAGGCTATCCAGCATAGAAGTTTTACTTTTTCAATGGTGAACTCTTCCATTTGCATTTTTATTTCTTATCAAAGTTATACATTTATAACTAGTTTTAATCAGAAGTGCATAGCTCAAAATAAAAAATAGACCACTTTCTGACCCTGTACATGCCTAATTCCCACTCCAGAGGCATCTTTCTTGAAAATATTTAGCTGTTTTTCTGCTGTTTATTTCTGTATTTAGAGACATACTGCTTTTTTTTTCAATTTTAGATTTTGTGTATTGACATTTCACCTTCAGCCTCCCACTTCATATCTCTGCCAATATAATTTTTTTTATTAAATTACAGGGCTTTCATTAATAACCATGTAAATATGTAAATATTTTCCTCAGCTGAGCCTTTTAGTGTATCCTGACTACATTTTCTTTTTTGAACTATTTTTTGTTTTCCTTGGATTAAAAATGGACTACCATTTATTACTGAACTCTTCCCCAGGGCTGACTCTGTCAGCATAAAAGTGCACATCTATTCTATTTTTTTCCCTTGGGGACATTATTTTTCTTGAAGGCATTCCTTGGGGAAGTCCCTTCCCAACTCCTCTACCCAGCTCCCTCCTCATCCGACGTGAACTGCTTCAATCCAGGTCAGCTGTGCAGTTGTCATCCTGAGCTATCCCTCAGCAACATCCTGGGAATCTCCTTTTCCTCTCTATATTGAATGTCTTGTTTATTGAAATCTTAGTTTAGGCCTCAGTTTAGGTGGAGAAAATTCTCTTATAGTTTATAATAAGGGGTGCATGGGAGTTCTTTTTTGATTCTTGAATGTATGAAAATATCTTTTGGCAGGTGGATTGCCTGAGCTTGTGAGTTCGAGACGAGCCTCGGCAACACAGTGAAACCCTGTCTCTACTAAAATACAAAAGATTAGCCAGGCATGGTGTTGTGCACCTGTAATCTCAGCTACTTGGGAGGCTGAGACAGGAGAATCACTTGAACCCAGGAGGTGGAGGTTGCAGTGAGCCGAGATCGCGCCACTGCACTCCAGCCTGGGCGACAGAGTGAGACTCCATCTCAAAAAAAAAAAAAAAACATACCGTTATTCTCATGTTTAATGGATAAAAATTATATGGCCTTATACATTAGAAGTAACTCAAACATTTTAAAAGCTTTAAAAATTTGTCTTTTATTTTCTAATCCCAACATGAAAAGTACTAAGCCATTCTCATTTCTGCTCCCATACATGTGACCCCTCTCCCCTTCCCAAAAGCTTTTAGGACCATCTGTTTATTCTGGTATTCTGAAATTTCACAATAATACACACTTGTATAGGGTTGGTTTGTTTGTTTTTGCTACACTAGGCATTCAGTACCCGTATCCTTTAGTTCTGGGAATTTGTTTTATATTATTTCTCTGATCTTTCCCCTCCGTTTTTTGTTCTTTCATTTTAAAATTTCTATTATGAATATTACCTGAGCTTGATGAACCTCTGGAATAATTCCTTAATTTTTAATTTTCTTCTCTCTCTCTCTCTCTCTCTCTCTCTCGGTCTCTCTCACCCTTTATTTGGGTATAATTTACATTTGATAAAATCTCCCCAATTTTAAGTGTTATGATTTGATGGGTTTTGACAAATATATGTATTCACATAATCACCACTATAGTAAGATAATGGAACATTTCCATCACTCAAAAAAGGACTTTTTATTTCCCTTTATAGCCAGTCCCTTCTCCCCTTTGCCCAACCCTTGGAAACCATGGATTCACTTTCTGTGGCTGTAGTGTTTTCTCTAGAATTTTATGCAAATGGAATCTTATGGTCTGGCATCTTTGATATCTGCTTCTTTTACTTAGCAAAATGATTTTGAGATTCATTATTGTTGCCTGAATCAGTAGTTGTTTTTCATTGCTGAGTGGTATTTCATTGTATGTACATACCACACTTTGTTTATACATTTACCAGCTAATAGACATTTATTTCTGGCTTTTGGTTATTATGGATATAAGTTATATAAACATTCATGTCCAGTCTTCTTGCAGGACATACTTTTTTATCTTTCCTAGGTAAATATCTAGGAGTGAGATTGCTAGCTTTTATGGTAATTGTATGTTAATGAGAAATTGCCAACTCCTTTCAAAAGTAGTTGTATCATTTTGTATCCCTACCAACAATATATGAGGATTCTAGTTGTTCTGTATTCTGGTTTGCACTTGCTATTATTAGACTTAAATTTTAGCTATACCAGTGTGTTTACTTTCTGCATTTAATTTGCATTTTTCTAATGACTATTGATGTTGGACATCTTTACATGTACTGATTTGCTGTTCATATATCTTTTGTGGTATAGTGTGTTTTCAAATTTATTTTCTGTTGGGCATTTGAAATCTAGAGCTGCAAGAGTTCTTTACATATTCTGGGTACAATATATTCACTTGATCTTAGCCAAAAGGCTGAGAAGCAATTATATATATAATACAATATACAATATATTCAGATGTATGTCTTGCACGCATTTTCTCCTAGTGTAATAGCTTGACTTTTCACTTTCTTAGTGGTGGGATTTTGAATGAACAAGTTTTAAATTTTGGTAAGCCCAGTTTGTTAATTTCCTTTGTATGGCTCATGCTTTTCAAGTCTTATCTAAGAAATCTCTGCCTGCCTATCTCAATGACAAGATTTTCTCCTGTGTTTTCTTTTAGGAGTTTCATCATTTTAATTCTTACTTTGGGTCTATTTGTCCCATTTTGAGCTTTTTTTTTTTTTAAATATACTGTGGGAGGTAAGAGTTGAGGTTCATTTTATTTTAAATGGACATCCAATTATTCCAGCACTCTTTGTTCCAAAGACTATCCTTTCTTCATTGAATACTTTGATTTAGAAAGGATAGTCTTTTGTCAAAAGTTAATTAACCACATGTGTAGGGGTGCATTTCTGCATTCTCTATTCTATTTCATTGATTTGTGCATATATTTGTATGCCAAAATATACCATCTTGATTACTGTAGCTTTATAGTAAGCCTTGAAACCAGATAGTGTAAATTTTTCCAACTTTGTTCTCTTTCAAAATTGCTTTGACCAATCTAGGTTCTTTCATTTTTCCTTTTTAAACTGCTAAACCAGCAGCTGGAGAGTAAAGCTTTGAATGCCTAGCTTGGAACTTCCCCCTGCTGTGTAAATTTTTATCTATGCCAGAAAAGTAGCCTTGGGCCTTATATTCCTGGGTGAAAAGAGAGACCATAGAAGATGGAGTCAAGTCGGCTGGTGCTTAGATTCAACATGCAGAAGAGTCCTAGAGAGAACTACACACAATGACCCTGCCCATCTGTAAAGCAGTCCATCATTACCTTGGACACTCAAATTGGTATTTTGCTACTTTAGGTTTTTCTGGCCTGAAAAGAGAAACAGTTACCTTCCATTAGTTCTGTATCTTATACTACTTAGAAGTTACTTATTTTATGGCTACTTCTGATTTCACACAATCTTTTTCAAACAACGGTGGCTAAGATTGAACACTCTTATTGCCTTGCTTGGAGTTTGATTTCCATGGTTTAATCCCAAGTATTTGTGATTTATATTTGCCCACCAATATAAATCTCCTTTTTTTTTTTTTTTTTTGAGACAGAGTCTTGCCGTGTTGCCCAGGCTGGAGTGTAGTCACTGCTAGCTCCTCCTCCCGGGTTCACACCATTCTCCTTCCTCAGCCTCCTGAGTAGCTGGGACTACAGGCACCCGCCACCACGCCTGGCTAATTTTTTGTACTTTTTAGTAGAGACGGGGTTTCACTGTGTTAGTCAGGATGGTCTCGATCTCCTGACCTTGTGATCTGCCCTCCTCAGCCTCCTGAAGTGCTGGGATTACAGGCGTGAGCCACTGCGTCCGGCCATAATTCTCCTTATAGACACCATTGTAATCCAGTGGCTACATACCTATATCATGAAGGCTGATCCTTTTCTGTTTCTTTTTATTGTTATGTATATGAATTGCAATCACTCAGGCATGTAGACAGACACAGGCACTATTTCTCTAATTTTGTATATTAGGAGATTAATTTCCATTTATATAATAAATTTGTCCTCTGAAATTTCCAAGGTTGATAACAGTTTTTACATGTAATTCTTAAGTAGCTTAATTAATTAGCTTCTCAACTTTTTTTTCTGTTATTGCCTCCTGCTAATGAGAGAAATTAAATACTAAGGAATAATGTTTTGCCAGATAGCACTGAGTTTAGAGGGCCCCAAACCATTGTATATTTAAGCTTTTTTGCCCTCCAAAAACCAGTTTTTGTCCTTTGGGATTAATATTGCTCTCATGAGAATGCGTGGTCTAATTGATGCAAAAGAGGTAATTTTGTAACAATTATAATGAAAATAACTTTCCTTTCTTGGGTAGCTGTTATGTAATAGGCACCGTACTATGTGCTTAACACATGTTGTCTGATTTAGCTCTCCTAAAGGCCATGTGAGGAATGTATTATTTCTGTTTTCTGAGTGAAGACGCTGAGAAAGTTTAACTTATCTAAAATCAAGTTTCAGACTAGATCTCAAAATGATTATGTGTGACGCTGAAGATCTACTACCCTCCTCTCCTCACAAAGATACTATTCACATTCATAGAAAAGTCAAGCCATTTCTGACTAGAGATGCACAATTAGTTGTGGTACTAAATTTAGTGTACTGATTTGCAGAAATGGTTCAGTCTTTTCTGTTTGGCATCACTTATAGATCATTAAAGATTTTTCTAGCCTGTGAATACTCTACTGGGAAGAACAGTTTACATATGATTATTAGGAACTCTAAATATAAAATGATAATTCTAAAGAGGACTTTTATAATCACAAGGTGAAAACATTTTTTTTTGTTTTGAAAGAATTTAGGCACAAAGTTCCTATATGCTGATACTCCTAAAGAACTTTGCATTGGTTAACTATATATATTTTTCTCTTTACATACTTAACCAATTTAAAAAAGGTAAAAGTTATATAGCATGTAGTAAAAAAATTAGATAGTGTAGGCAGGTATTAAATAAACAATGTCTTCCTTCTCCCATCTCCAACTTCTAAACTTTATTTATAAAGGTATCTTAAGGCGTTTTTTCTAAACTTTAAATGTGCATAGCAGCATGTGTACATATATTTGGGGATATCTTTTTTATTTGTAAAACTGAGATAATAGTATCCAAATTTTACCACATTTTGCTTTATTCTTTTAAAATAGTTGTGTGTTGCACTGAGTCAAAATTTAACTCATTCTGTATTTAAAGATACATGATTGTATCTAAATATTTGCTACTTAGATAAGGAGACTTTTGAAGAATGTTCTTAGTACACATAGTTTGGCGTCGTTCTGAGTATATTTGTATAGTAAATTACAGGAGTAAAATAGTTACATTAAAGAATATGTGCATTGTAAAATTTCATAGATATTCTCAAGCTGCCATTCAATAAAGGTATGTGAAACTTCACTGATGTCAAACTGTGTTTGAGAAAGCCCATTTCTTCGGACTGTTATAACACTAGGTGTTTTAAAACTAAAGATTTTTGTCACTCTGATAGATGAAAAACAATGTTTTGATTTGCCTTTCTTCAGTTATAAGGGAGGTTGAGCATATTTTCTATTTCTTGATCACTTGTGTTCTCTTTTTTTTTAATAAATTGCCTATTCATATTCCTGTCCATTTTTCCATTGTGATATCGATGTTTTGTTTAGTTTTGTTTTATTGATTGTATGAATTATTTGCAAATAAAGGAAATTTGTCCTTTTTCATTTGTGTGGCAGTTTAAAACAATTTTACCATTTGGGTTATAACTTTTACAAGTTTTGTTTATTAATGTTGAAAAAAATCAACTTATTGAGGTATAATTTACATAAAGAGATGTATGCATTTTAAATGTACAATGTGATGAGTTTTAACAGTTGTGTTCACCTGTATAATTACCATCTCAATCAAGATACAGAACAATTCTATCCCAAATAGTTTCTTCATGTTCTCTGAAGATAATTCCACCATTCCTGGCCCTAGGAAAGAACTCATTTGCTTTTAGTTATACAAATAAGCTTGCCTTTTTCTAGCAGTTCTTCTGTGGAATCATAAAGTATATACTCCTCTGACTAGGGTTTTGATCATCATGAAGCTTAAGATTCATCCAAGCTGTTACATCTATTAGTAGCTTGTGCCTTTTAATTGCTGAGTTGTATTCATTATGTAACACATTTTACCTGTAGAGTCACCTCTTGTTTGCTGGGGCTTCTGTAACAGATTACCACAAACTGAGTAACTTAAAAGAACAGATTTATTCTCACAGTTCTGAAGGCTAGAAGTCTGAATGCTGTCTCTAAAGACTCTAGGGGAAGATCCTCCCTCACCTCTTCTCTGGCTTTTGGTGGTTGCCTGAAGTCCTTGGCATTCTTTGGCTTGCAGCAGGGTAGCTGGAATGCCTGACTCCATCTTTGTGTAGCACTCTTCCTCTGTCTCTGTATCTCTTCTCTTCCTATAAGGACACTAGTCACCCATAACAGTTTGCTTTCTAGCCCCCAATAATTCACATCCTTAAGTGCAAAATGCATTTACCGCATCCCAATATTCCCAAAAGTTTTAACCATTCCACCATCAACTTCAAATTCAAAATCTCATCTAAATATTATAATTTCACAAAGTCCCAAATCTCATTTTATATATTATCAAAATAAAATTTGGGTGAGACTCTGGGTATAATGCATCTCGGACCAAAATTCCTCTCCATTCACAGATGTGTGAAACTAGAAAACAAATTATTTGTTTCTAAAATGCAATGATGGGACAGGCATAGGATAAGTATTCCCATTCCAAAAGGAAGAAACTGAAAGGAAAAAAGGGGTCATGTGTTCCAAGCAAGTTAGAAACCTAGCAAATTTCATTAGATTTCAAGGCCTGAGAGTAATCCTCAGTGGCTTACTGCTTTGTTCTCTGGGCCCTACTTGGGTGGTAGCCTACCCACTCAGCCCCCAAGGGCAGTGGCTTTACCCTCTCTGGCCCTCAGAGTCATTTGTCCCATCTCTGTTTCTTTCATCTGATGAAATAATATTCTCCAAAAACCTTGTTGGTCTTCTGTGGATGCCAAAGGGGTCCATACCATTAGACACAAGGACACAAGGGTTCTTCTCCACAGATCTTTCCTTGGTAACTCCGTCTCTATTTATGGCTTCTGCTGAGATGGCTGATTGGATCAGTGAATCATATGTTTAATGCTGTTAGCAAGAGGTTGTTCAGGCACACCCCTGGCCTATTTCCAGAGCCTATCTAGAAAGCTTTAGGTATTTGTTACAGCAGCACCCCACTTCTTATTACCAAATCTTTTTCAGTTTCCTGGGACTGCTATAAGAAAAGTACCATAAATTGGTGCCTTCAAACAACAGAATTTATTCATTCATAGTTCTGTTGGCTAGAAATCTGAAATCAGAGTCAGCAGAATTGGTTCCTTTGAGTGCTCTGAGGGACATCCTGTTCTGTGTGTCCCTCCTAGCTTCTGGTGATTTCCAGCAGTCCTTGGTGTTCCATGATTTGTAGATGTATCATGCTAATCTCTGCCTCCATCTTCACATGACATTTTCCCTGGGTGTCTCTTTTCTAAGTTGTATTGGGTTAAGAGCCTACACTATTCCAGCATGACTTAATATTAATTTATATCATAATTACATCTGCAATGACCCTATGTTTAATTAGGGTCACATTTATAGGTACCAGAGGTTAGGATTTCAACATATCTTTTTTGAAGACAGAATTTAACCCATGACGAACCTGTTGATGGACATTTGGGTTACTCCAGTTTCTGGCTATTGTGAGTAAAACTACAATGAAAATTCATGTACAAGTTTTTGTATGTTTTTATTTCTTTGGGTAGTTTACTACAATGGAATTTCGGGGATATATGGTAAGTTTGTTGAACTTTACAAGAAACTGCCAAACTGTTTCCAAAGTATTATGCCATTTCACATTTCCTCTGGTTATGCATGAGAGTTCTAGTTGTTCTATGTCCTTACCTTGGTATTTTCACTGTTTTTAATTTTAGTTATTATATGTAGTGCTCTATCTCATTGTGGTTTTAGCTTATTTACATTTCTCTAATGAGGAATGATCCTGAGTATCATTTCATTTTCTCCTGTGTTCTGTTAATATGGTGAATTACATTGATTGGCTGCTTAATGTTAAAAAACTTGCATTTCTGGAATAAACTTGAAGATTATAGTTGATGTGGTTTTCTAATATTTTGTTGAGAATATTTTCATTGATGTTTTTGGGGGTTATTGCTCTGCAGTTTTCTTATAATGTGTTTTCTGATTTGGGTACCAGAGTAATATGCTTCTCATACAATGAGTTGGGAACTATTCCAAATGGTTTATATAGGATTGATACCATTTTTTAGAATAGTTTGATACAAAATTCACCACTGAAGCCATCTGGGCCTGAAGTTCTTTGTGAAAAATATTTACAGTATAAATTTATTGTTTTTTTTAGAGGATATAGGATTATTCAAATTTTCTATTTGTTTTGTGTCTGCTCTGGTAAATTGAGTCTTTCCCCAATCTGTTTGCTCATTAAATGACTAAATTGTTTATATAAAGAAAAAAGGAGCTGTTTGTCCACCACCCGCATTCTTTTTTTCTCCAGTTCATCTACTCACCCCTTCAACTCACTCTTTTTCAAATCGAGGCCTAGTGGTATATGTATATTACAAAGACTTAGAATTTTGTCTATTCACATTTTTTCTCCCATAGCATTTCTGAGAAAACTGGGTTAGATGCTGGACAAACTCCTGAAATCTTCTGTCTTACTTGCTTTTTGACTTCTACTTTAAAAGATTATGGCATAAAGTTTTGTACTTTCTTTCTGCTGATGTTTCTTTTTCTTTTTTTTGGCTTCTTATTGTTCTCTTCCTCCTCCCTACTCTCTCCTTCTCCTCCCCCTCCCCCTCTTTTCTGTCTCCTTCTAATTTTTCTTATTCATTATGTTAGTTTTTCTGTGATCTGACCTCGCCTCACTAAAATATTACATTAAGAATATTCTGATGTTTTTCTCTTTTGGTGTGTTGGCCTATTACCTCATATAGATTACAAGCTAATGGAAGACAATGACATCATCTTATGTTTTTCATCTACTCCTCCCTAGACAGTGGTCAACTAGTAATGACCCAATGACTTGTTGGCTTTCTGTCGATTGAAATGTAAGTTATAAACTGAAAGATGAATCTTCGTTCATGATCTTTAGATTCTACTCCAGTTTTTATGGTACTCTGTTGCAGGGTTAAGGTTTGAATCATTTAATGATTTAGGGAGGTGCAAAAACCTATAGTAAACGGACATCATATTTCATTATTTTCATTTTTATTTCCATTCTTTCACTTTTCAGCCTTTCCATCCTAGTTGTTGGAAAATGCAATTTCTTTCTTGATTGATTTGTTCCGTGCATTTTTAGCAAGTATTGATTCTCCCCTGAACTCTTTTGCTGCATTTCTAAGACAGAAGTATGGTATTTCAATTTATTCAAACAAGAACTAACATACCAGTCATCCTACAGAGCATAGCTAGAATTTTTCTAGCTCTGTAGTTTGTAATTGCAATTTAACATTTTCTGTCACTGTTAAAGACAGACCATCCTTGACTAGTTTTTTTAAAATTATGTTTTTATTTACTGATTGTCTACCAAGATGATTTGGTAGCCTAACATGGCTTTCCACTATGTGTAGGGCAAACAAAATATAGTTTTATATTTTTAAGTAGATTTTTTACAAACAGGCCAGGTGCAGTGGCTCATGCCTGTAATCGTAGCGTAGCACTTTGAGGGGCCAAGGTGGGTGGATCATTTGAAGTCAGGAGTTTGAGACCAGCCTGACCAACATGGTGAAACCTCATCTCTACGAAAATACAAAAATTACCTGGGTGTGGTGGCGGGCACCTGTAATCTCAGCTATTGAGAGGCTGAGGCAGGAGAATCACTTGAACCCAGGATACAGAGGTTGCCATGAGCCAAGGTCATACCACTGCACTCCAGCTTGGGTGACACCAGCGAGACTCCCTCTCAAAAAAATAAAAATAAAAAATACAAATACAAACATACATTAATTTAATGTGTATTTATTGTACCATATAAATTTAAATCTAGCCTTTGGTTATTTATTTTAATGATAAAAATGGCAAATACATTTTAGTTCAAAGTTGGAAGAGAGGAAAACAGTCTAATGAGTAGAATGCCATTTAAGTCAGTAGTTCTTAATTTTATTACCTTATATTCTTACTTATTTTATGTAATCTTGAGTGTGTTCCCTAATTTCTCATTACTTCACTTTTGTTTTATTCCTTTTTTTTTTATTTTGAGATAGGTTCTTGCTCTATTGCCCAGGCTAGAGTGTACTGTGGCAAGATCACAGCTTGCTGTGACCTCAAATTCTTGGGCTCAAGCTATTCTTCCACCTCAGCCTTCCAAGTAGGTAGGACTACAGGCATGCGCCACCACATCTGGCTTTCATTTTTCTTATAGATCAGCTTTCTGATTGACATGGTTTGGCTCTGTGTCCTTACCCAAATCTCATCTTGAATTGCAATTCCCAGGTGTTGAGGGAGGATCAGGTGGGAGGTGGTTGGATCATGGGGATGGTTTCCCCCATGCTATTCTCATGATAGTGAGTTCTCATGAGAGCTGATGGTTTCAAAAGTGTTTGGCAGTTCCCCCTTCGCGTGTGCTCTCTCTCTCTCCTGCCTTGTGAAGAAGGTACTTGCTTCTCCTTTGCCTTCTGCCATGATTGTTAAGTTTCCTGAGGCCTTCTCAGCCATGTGGAACTGTGAGTCAATTAAACCTCTTTTATTTATGAATTACCTAGTCGCAGGTAGTAGCTTTATAGCAATGTGAAAATGCAATAATACACTGATGTTTACCCCAAAGAAACCTGACAAAATTAAATCGAAATCCTAGGACATTATATCATACCACTATTAATGTACTATAATGTTTAGTCAGTCTCAGTTATGTTCACAGTGAGCCATATGTTTTCTAGCATTGTTTTCATTTGTTTCTAGGTGATACAAAATATACTTCTGTTTGTAGGATTTAGTTACTTTATTAATTGGGGATACTTAAAATAATAAATGAATAAATTATAGCAGATAACTTCTCAAATTCTACTCACCCAATTCCAGTTTAAATTCTTAATTATTATATAAATTTTTATTTTGGAAAAAAGACATCTAAACTCAAAAAATATCCTAAAAGGCATTAATTCTCAATGCACATGTTACATGCCAGAGCTGAGAATATTGGAGATTTTTTGTCAAAATACTGGGAGCTTCAAAAAAGTTGTTTAGTGGCTCTTTTGGAGTCCAGGTATGACCAACAATAATATAGTAATGATACCACTCTAGCCACCTCACTAAAGATCTTTTTGGAAATATTCTCACTGTCACATTGTAGAAAATAGTAATTTTATTGAGTATTTTAAATTCCAAATATAAATCTTCTGTTATGGCACTTTTTCAGAGGAGATGAAGAATAAGTTTTGTCTATCCTGAACTCTCCTAGTTTTATGATGACCTGCTGTTCTGAGTCTTCCATTTCTATCAGTTGCCATAATGCTGTATGTTATTTTTTCTTTTATAGGTAGTAACTGGAAAGTTTTTATAATCACCAGTGACTTGCCAGATGCAGGGACCAGCTCACAGATTTATATTATTCTGTATGGACAACATAGAAGTTCAGCCCCCATATATCTTTATGGAACAGATGGGGCTCGATTTCAGGTTGGCCATGAAGACATATTTACTGTAAGTAATAAAACTGAGTATAAACTGTTAATATAAGTGATACACCTAGTAGGTACTTTGGAATGAACATAGTCTATCCCTTTAGTAACACCATGTGCCCTGTAGAAGATCATTCAAAAATAATTTATGGAAGTTTTTGCTCAAGCAGATTTAACACAAGTAAATCTGCAATATGGGAAGAGACAGTAGCTAGAGAGAAATACTAGATGGTAAACACTTATTTTTATGTGGACAGACATCAGGAGCAAGGGCTTATGCCTTTCTGGCTCTCCAGATAAGGCTCAAAGTCAAGCTCAAAAAGGGAAAAATAAAATTGTCAAACAAGGAAGGCAAAAAAGTTGTCATCAAGTTGTTAATTACTGGTTTTTATTAGGTATTAGTTATCAAGTTATTAGACCATGGCTAGACACATGGAGATCAGGGTCTAGAGGGAAACAGAGGTAACAAAGATGAAGCAGGGAGACCAGTGCCATGTTGTTAAACTGAAGTCAGATACATTAGCAAACAAAGGCAAGACTTGAAGTGGGTCAAGCACCTGGCACTTACAGATGCTTAGTAATGTCTGTTGAATAAATTAATGGATGCACAGAAGGATTGGTTTGAACCAGGTGGAGACAGAGTAAAATCACCATGAAAAAAGAGTCTCCTTAAGTATTGCAAGTCTTCACAGGACAGCCATCTCCATGTGATCCTGGGTGTTTGGTTTACTACAACCACAGGAGAGGCTGAACCATTTGGAAACATTGTTCCCATTAGATTAGTTTGATCTAACTTTTCCATCCTATATGAGTCAATATTTAAAGACACTCTTGTGTTTATAGTCACTAAAAGGAAAAGATTTTGTCATTATTTTCTGTGAGTAAGAAATAAAAATAGTCTGAGCTGTTGTTGTTTTACTATTTTAGTGTTTCATGTTTTCTTTTAAATTGAATTATATATTCACATAGTTTATAGGGCTAAATAATTTTCAATTCTGTAATAAGAAAGGAACACCCTTAACCCCTCATTTTTATAGTTTGATGCTTCTTTTTTCTGAATGCTGCTACTAAATTTCAGCTCTTTCTGTTGTCACTCTTGCCTGAGTTCTGGGATGGCTACATTAATCTCTTGTTGTAGAGGTGATGGCTTTATTAAATGCAGTAATTTCATGCCAATTTTGATCACAGTTTCGTTTGTTCTAATGAATTGTTTTCTTGTAAGGGTTCTTAGGCAGACTGTTTTACATCTTCCTTTCCTTTTTCCCTGTACTTTCTTTGTATAGACCTTTTCTTTTCTTTTTTATTATGGTAAAATACACAAAAGTTACCATTAAAAAATTTTTAAATTGTACAATTTAGTGGCATATAGTACATTCACAGTGTTATTCAACAATCACTATCTACTTTCATAACATTTTATTCACTCCAAAAGAAAACTTTGTTATGCAGTCACTCCCTGTTGCCTTTCTACCAACCCCTAGCAACCTCTGTCTTGTCTTCCCTTCCTTTCCCTTTCTCTTCCCTTTCCCTTCCCCTCCCCCGTCTACCTCCCTCCTCCCTCCTCCCCTCCCCTCCCCTCCTCTTCCTTTCCCTTCCCTCCCCTTCCCTTTCCTTTCCTATTTGGATGTTTTAAATTTTTTCTTATTGCTGAATTGCTGTAGCTAGAACTTTCAGTACAGTGTTGAATAGAAGTAGCAAAAATTATTATCCTTGTCTTGTTCCTGATTTGGGGGAAAAGCTCTTCATCTTTTGCCATTGAGTAGGACGTTATCTGTGGGTTTTTCTCACGATAAGTGCCCTTTATCATGTTCAGGAAGTTCTTTTCAATTTCTAGTTTGTTGAATTTTTTTTTTAATCATGAAAGGGCATTTGATTTTGTCAAATGTGCATGTGTGTGTGTGTGTCAGGGGGGCAGTTTGGCATCAATTGAGATGATTGTGTTTTTTCCCTCTATTTTATTTACGTGGTATATTAGATTGATATTTGTATGTAGAACCAATTTCCATTCCTGGGATAAATCCTAGTTTATTATAACGTATAATCTTTTTAATATGCCTCTGGATTCATTAGCTAGTTTTGTTGAAGATGTTTGCATCTTTATAAGGCACAGTGGTTTATAGTTTCCTTGTTATGTCTTTGGGTTTGTTATCAGCATAATGCTGACCTTGCAGAATGAGTTAAAAAGTATTTCCACCTCTTTTTTGGAAGTGTTTGGAATTAATTCTTCTTTAAATATTTGATAGAATTCACCAATGAAGCCTTCTGTCCTAGGTTTTTTTTTCTTGGGAGGTTTTTGATTACTGATTCAATCTCTTTACCCTTTATAGGTCTATTCATATTTTTTATTTCTTCGAGTCACTTTTGGTGGTCTGTGTGTTTCTATAGATTTGTCCATTTCATGTAGGTTATCTAATTTGTTGGCATACTATTGCTCATAGCATTCTTTTATAATCCTTTTTATTTCTGTAAAGTCAATAGCAATGTCTCTACTTTTATTTTTGATTTTAGCAATTCTCTTTGCTAACATCTAGATAGGCTAAAGTCTATCAGTTTTATTGATGTTTTTAATAACCAAACATTAATTTATTTTGTTGTTTTTATATTCTCCCTTTTGTTTATCAGTCTATCTCTTTCTTCTACTAGCTTAGGATTTAGTTTGCCTTTCTTTTTCTAGTTCCTTAAGATGTAAAGTTAGGTTATTTATTTGAGATTTCTCTTCTTTTTAAATGTAGGTGTATATAGCTATAAATTTCCCTCAGAGCTCTGCTTTTTCCATATTTTTGTGTTATATTTTTGTTTTCACTTGTCTCAAAGTATTTTTTAATTTTCCTGCAGTTTGTTCTTTGACCTATTTGTTGCTTACGAGTATGTTCTTTAATTTACACTTTTTTTTTTTTCTGAGATGGAGTCTATCTCTCTCGCACAGGCTGGAGTGCAGTGGCATGATCTCAGCTCACTGCAACCTCTGCCTCCCGAGTTCAAGCAATTCTCCTGCCTTAGCTTCCCAAGTAGCTGGGATTACAGGCGCCTGCCAACACGCCCAGCTAATTTTTGTATTTTTTGTAGAGACAGGGTTTCACTGTGTTGGCCAGGCTGGTCTTGAACTCCTGACCTCATGATCCACCTGCCTTGGAATTTACACATATTTTGAACTTTTCAGTTTGCCTTATAATACTGATTTCTGGATTCATTCCATTGTGTTTCGACAAGATACTCTGTATGATTTGTCTTTTTAAATTTTCAAGCCTTGTTTTGTTGCATTACATATGTTCTATCCTGGAGAACGTTCCATGTGTACTTGGAAAGACTGTTTTCTGTTGTTGGGTGGAGTGTTCTATAGATGTTAGGTCTAGGTGGTGTGTAATGTTCAAGGCCTCTATTTTCTTATTCTTTTCTCTACTTGTTCTACCCATCATTAAAGTTGGGTATTGAAGTCTCCAACTATTATCATAGAGTGTCTGTTTCTCTATTCAGTTCTGTTAAATTTTGCTTATTATATTTTAGTACTCTCTTGTTAGGTGTGCACATGTTTATAATTCTTATGTCTTCTTAATGAATTGACCCCTTTATCAACATTTCATGTCCTAATCTGAGCTGTTTTTAAGTGAATTTTGTGAAATTACATTGAAAGTTGTTCCCTTGGCTCTTCATAGATAACAGTTGGAGACATTGGAGCACTCTTTAAGATTCGTATTGGTCATACCAACTCTGGATCCTCCCCTTCCTGGCACTGCAAGGAGGTAAGGATATATCAACACTTTCCCATTCTTTGCAAAATCCTCTGCATATTCCTCTCAGGAGTCAACTCATCATGCCTATAATGAGTTGATAGAGTCCTGTACCTTTTTAGCCAGTGCTTTCTTCAAGGCAGAAGTATCATATGCCCTTAATAATTAATTAATTCTTAATTGATTGAGGGAGGCACCTTAACCAAGCAATTCTTTCACCTCTTTGCAAAGAAAAAAACGCCTGGGACTCTGGATAAACTCATATAGCTTCTTGATATAGTTGCACTGCTGATAAAAAGATGACTAGCTGTATGTTATTTGCTTCAGAAATGTTGTAAAGATAGACCACTGTGTTGATGAAATAATAGTCTACTAGAATTGAATGCCAGCTTTGAAATTTAGTCTATTCATGCTAAGAAGGAAAATGCCCCTTGAGTATTTTTAAGATTAAAAAAAGGCTTAAATTTTCTACATTGTTCAGCATGAAACATCCTACTTATTAGCATGATTGTCAGTAAATGCAGACCTCCAACACTGGAAATCATAGAGCTTGTCATCCAATTTTATATATGGTGTATTTACACCTTCTGTCATTTCAAAATAAATGCTCTTTAACTAAACAAGTTCTCAAAATGTGCAGAAAATCTAGTCATATTCCTGATATTTTCGGCAAACTTACTCTTCTTGAGTTTTAACATGTGGAAGAATTAATGAAAACTTCATAGATGATGAGTAATTCCTTAAAAACATTAAAAAATTCCATTAGCAGAAATATATAGTTGTTAATACCATCTTCTTTATGTTAAAGTTACAAACGATTCTGAAAGCAGAATGAGAAAATAAAACTTACCTTATGAAAATACAGAATGTTGAGGTTATATTTTAAAATTCAAAATTACTACCTGGCTTCTATGTGAAATACTTTTATGCTATATAGAGCTTTTGAAGTATGATATTCAAATTGATTCTTAAATGATCATATATGACAATATCTTTTTTTCTTCCCTCTCAGTAAGGTAAACTAACATATGAAAATTATCATTAATCCTCCTGCCATTTCATTTGATAGCCAATAAGCAAGATTACATTCATTATGAACTTGGGATGCTGAGACAAAAAATTTTGTATTATAGAGGAATGATATAAAAATCAGGCTGAAAATTTCTATTGTCTTTCTCTCTATGGCAAGTATTCTCTCACTGCAAGGGAACTTTGCCTAAGGTTTACTTTGGCTCTTGTTGAGTACCTGTGAAGAAGAAACACATTCTTGATCCAAAGTTTCCTTCTGAATGTAGAAAAGCCCTTATCCAGTTTATCCATTTTGCCAAATTAGATATTGGTTTGAAAATTTTCTGTTCAATTCTTATAATACAGTTTAGAAGTTTGAAATTTGAAATTTTAATTAATCAACTTGTATGGGGATTTGAACAGAATCACTGATTCCATGATAGCAACAATAATACATTTCCATAAAATAACCACATTGCTTTAGAAACTTAATCTTGATTTTTTTCAAGTTTAGTTAGGGAAGATTACAAAATAAAAAGTTCAAAATGTTAGGTTATTTTCTGCTTCTCAAATGATCAGCTTTGGGCCTTAATTAAAATAATCAAATCAGACAGTCTTGGCAGTAATAACCTTGCAAACAATAATTTTTCTCATGGGTTCTCAGGAAGCCTTTCTAAAAGTGACATTACATTGTATCAGAATCACACTTAACATGCATTTATAAATGTGAATTCCTGAACCTGTCTGAGTCTCACAGACCTTAGTAGGATCAGGTACTGAAAATCTGACTTTTTTTCCTTTTTGAGACAGGGTCTCTGTCTATTGCCTAGGCTGGAGACCAGTAGCACGATCATGGCTCACTGCAGCCTTGACTTCCCAGGCTCAAGCGATCCTCCCACCTCAGCCTCCCAAGTAGCTGGGACTATAGGCATGCACCACCACACCTGGCTAATTTTTTATTTTTTGTAGAGACAGGGTCTTGCCATGTTGCCCTGGTTGGTCTCAAACTCCTGGGCTCAAGCAGTCTGCCCACCTTGGGCCCACAAAGTGCTGGGATTACAGGTGTGAGCCACTGTGCCTGGGTGAAAATCTGCCTTTTTAACAGGGTGATTTTAAAATCATTGAAGTTGAAAATCTCTGATTTAAGGCATTCTCAAAAGAGTAAGATTAATTTAATAGTTAAAATAACACCTCACTGAAGCTTTATTTCTAAAAATATTTTAATGAAAAAGTTATCTTTCTGTAAACATTTCATTATACTACAAATGAAACATCTGAATCCATTACAGAACACATCTGAATTCTTAAACGTCAGAAAACATACTGAAGTTTTAAAGTAATTTTGAATATTTAGGTAGGCTAACAATCCTTACATTACCCTTGCACACTGGCATGCTTATTCACTATTTTGTGACATCAATTACTGGAACTCCAAGAGATACTGTAAAAGAATAATAGTACTCTATTCAGAAAAGGCTAGACTTTAGTATCAGAAAATATAATTTTTACTTTTTGATGATTTTCATATTTTTCAGTTCCTACCAGAAATTATTAACATTCTTGTTTAACTCCAGGATAAATGGATCAGGTATAAATAATCAGTGCTTGAGTTTTGTTCATTGCTAAGGATCCAAAGGGGGAACCATATCAGTTTGAATCTGTAGTGTATGAAATCTGACCTTATGCTAATATTTATAAAATCACTTTAAACCAAAAGTTAATTTCTAAGAAGTTGAAACAGGGAAATAATATATTTCTAAAAATGTAAACATCTCTTTCTAAACAGGAAAATATTAATGACATAAGATTTGGGAAGAAATTGCCATGTTTGACATAAACATTTCAAAATAGAAACACTAGAAATAGAAAATTTATCTGGGTGCAGTGGCACGTGTCTGTAGTCCCAGCTACTCAGGAGGCTGAGGTGGGAGGATCACTTCAGCCTAGGAGTTGGCAACCAGCCTGGGCAACATAGCAAGACTTTGTCTCAAATAAATAAATAAATAAATAAATAGAAATAGGAAGATTTTTAGATAGAGGAAAGAAATGCCATTGTACCTGAGATGGCAGTAAAAGAAGAAATTAGCACTGTCAAATTATCAACAGTTTCTCATATTAAAAATAATTCTCTGAGCTAAGTGGCAGTCTTGAACAAAAACTTATTTGACACTTTGATAAAGCATTCCTACATTTTTAAAAGTAATATTATTGTTATTATAGATACAGCTGCATAATATGAATTCTGGAAAACAGTTTTATGTACCTGTTCAACGATGGTTGGCACGAGATCAAGAGGATGGGGAAATCTGTCGAGAATTTCCTCTTTTAAGTAAAGGACAACCTGTCCTTCCAGGTAGGAAAGATTCAACTCCAGGTAGCATGGATAAAACTTGTTTGCCTAAATGCTGAAGGACAGGGAACCAATAAACACATGTTGAGTAAATGAATGATTAAGGACTGCCAGTTTCTTATCACTTACCTCTCTGATGTGGCAGCTGCATCTAAATGCTTTTTAGTTGTTTCACATGCCAGCATTCAGGAGTATGTTCTTGTCAACAGCCCTATAGGAAGGTTGGCTGAAATGCTTCTTAATCAAAACAAGGAAATTAATTCTTAGGCGGTCATGAGAAAATTGAATGTCAAATGACGTTCCTCCAGGGCTAAGAAATGCAAGTCAGTGTCTACTTTTCCCACTGGGCTCTGCCTCATTTTTGAAAATTTATCTATTTGATTAGGAAATAAAACACAACTGCTCAATGACTTTCTAAATGTCTGGCCGAAAGCAGAGATGTGTTCAAGCCTTGTGTAAATTTATGGCTGATAATAGGCTCTTGTTCTACTCAGGATTAGGTAGTCACTGCTCCCCAGCACAAGAATTCAGGGTGACTATCCATAAGAACCATTTGCTCTTGGGTCTGCTGGCCTCTGCCTTGGGGGAGAACGGGATAAGGGCATACGAGATTATTAAATAGACAATTGGCAAAAAATGGATTTTTCTCCAATCCAGACTATGTTCTGTTAAAAATGTGATGTTTTAATTTTCTGAATAAATAAATAAATGAGTAATATTAAGTCTTATCTGACATTAGGCTTAGGTCCATACCAACCTGTGTAGTTTTTTGAGGGAACATAGACTGGTAAACATTTGCACAGATTGATGATTCCTTTGTGGTTTTAAATAAGGTGTGATCACTTTTCTTAAGTTTCTGAAGTTAAAATATTTTTGAAAAGACATGAATAGCCCTAGTTACTGAAAAGTGAAGCAGGAGCATTGTTCTCACCATTCATAAGTATTTTTTTCACCATTTAGAAGCATTGTTATCACTATTCTTCCTCATCAGCCCACACGTTTCACCTGAGAAGATGTTCGCCAGGTGCCCTATTCCTACCCATTGTTAGTAACAATGCAGAGGTGACTTTCTGCTGCTACTTCCCTCCATTTTAACTGTTAAAGTTCTGCTCAAAGAAGGCACACTCTACAAATATGTTCTGATTTTACTTGTCTTCTGTGTAGGGCTTGACCCTTATGGTTTATTAATAAACATTTTTCTTTTCAGTTTCAGGACATGGCTTGGTATTCTAACCATACCCTATCATATGTATCTATAAATTTGATAAGCCTTTAGTTATCTAGGTCAGTGGTAGATACAGCAAATGATGATTTACCCTTGCCATATTTTTATCTAATATTCTAGCTAAGATTGATGCTGTGTCTGAAATGATATCATTACGAATAAGTTAACACTCTTCACTAGAGGTAGACACATAAGTTCTAGGTGGTACAAATAATGAAAGCTGGATTAATGTCTTTTTTGCTATATTTTATTCCTTTAAGATTATAAAAAGTAATGGTAGTTATTCACCATTTAAGACAACAGTAACTCTAAAAGTGTTTGCCCAGTTTACCAGTATACCATCATGTGTACGTGAAAAAAAATTTGTTGTAATTATGGAATTATTTTCCTGCGAAGGATAAAGGTTCCTAACAAAACACCAAAAGTGGGCTCACAGTCTGTGTGAGCTACTTTTAAACAAATTTTATTTTTAATTGTGATAATTAACACAAACATTAACCTTACTACCTTAAACATTTTTAAGTGTACAGTTCACTTGTGTTAAGTGTATTCACATTGTTATGCAACAGATCTTTAGAACTTCTGCATCTTACAAAGCTGAAACTCTATATCCATTAAATACTAATTCCCCCCAATCCCCATCCTGCTGCACTTCTCTCAGCCCTTGGGAACCACATTTCTACTTTCTGTTTCTATGATTTTAACTACTTTAGATACATCATATGAGTGTAAGCATACAGTTTTTGTCCTTTTGTGACTGGTTTATTTTACCTAATGTAATGTCTATGGTATACCATGTTAACAGAATTTTTATTCTTTTTAAGACTGCGTAGGCCGGGCGCGGTGGCTCACGCCTGTAATCCCAGCACTTTGGGAGGCCGAGGCGGGCGGATCACGAGGTCAGGAGATCGAGACCATCCCGGCTAAAACGGTGAAACCCCGTCTCTACTAAAAATACAAAAAAATAGCCGGGCGTAGTGGCGGGCGCCTGTAGTCCCAGCTACTTGGGAGGCTGAGGCAGGAGAATGGCGTGAACCCGGGAGGCGGAGCTTGCAGTGAGCCGAGATCCCGCCACTGCACTCCAGCCTGGGCGACAGAGCGAGACTCCGTCTCAAAAAAAAAAAAAAAAAAAAAGACTGCGTATTACTCTATCATATGTATATACCACAATTTATTTATCCATTCATCTGACAGTGGACATTAGGCTTGCTTCCACCTTCTACCTATTGTGAATCATGTTGTAATGACCATGGGTGTGCAAATTTAAATATCTCTTTGAGATTCTACTTTGAACTCTTTTGGGTGTGTATCTAGAAATGGGGTTGCTGAATTATATGGTAATTCCATTTTAAATTTTTTGAGGAACCTCCTTACCTTTTTCCATAGTAGTTGGACAATTTTACATCCCACAAGGGTTCCAATTTCTCTGCATTCTCCCCAACACTTGTTTTTTTTTTTTCTATTGATACTGGCCATCCTAATGGGTGTGAGGTAGTTTTTCATTGTGGTTTTCATTTGCATTTCTGTAATAATTAGTGATGTTGAATTTTTGTAGGCTTGTAGGCCATTTGTATATATTCTTTGATGAATTGTCTATTCAAGCTCTTTGCCTATTTTTAAATTGGATTGTCTCTTTTTCATGTGTTATTGTTTAGTTGAAGGAGTTCCTTATTTTTTCTGGATATTAGCCTCATCAGATATATGATTGGGAAATATTTTTTGCAACTCCATAAGTTGCTTGTTTACACTAATGATTGTTGCCTTTGCTGTGCAGAAGTTTTTAAGTTTGATGTAGCCCCATTTGTTTATGTTTGTTTTTGTTGCATGTGATTTTGGTGTCATATTCAAGAAATAACTGCCAAATTTGATATCCTGAAGGTTTTCTCTTAAGATTTCATCTAGGAGTTTTATGTATTTAGATTTTTATGGTTAGGTCTTTAATACATTTTTAGTCAATATCTATATTGATGTAAGATAAAGATTCAACTTTATTTATTTATTTTTTTGCATGTGGATATCCAGTTTAGTCAACACCATTTATCGACGAGACTGTCTTCCTCCTTGTGTGGTCTTGGCACCCTTGTCAAAATCATTTCACTGTATAATCGAGGGCTTTTTTCTGAGTTCTCTATTCTATTCTATTAGTCTGTCTATCTTTATCCCAGTACCACACTGCCTTTATTACTGTTGCTTTGTCATATGTATTAAAATCAAGAAGTGTGAGGCTTATAACTTTGATCATTTCAAGATTGTTTTGACTATTCAGGGATCTCTTGGCAATCTACATGAATTTTTGGATTTTTTCCTATTTCTGTAAAAATTGCTGTTGAGATTTTGATAGGGACTGCATTTAATCTTTAGATTGCTTTGGGTAAGGTAGACATTTTAACAATATTAAGTCTTCTAACCTACAAACTTGGGGTGTCTTTCCATTTATTTGTTTCTTTATTTTAACAACGTTTTGTAGTTTTCACTGTACATATCTTTTGCTGCCTTGGTTTAGTATTAAGTATAGTATTTTATTGTTTTTGGTGCTATTGTAAATGCAATTGTTTTCTTAATTTCTTTTTGTATTATTCTTTGTTAGTATATAGTAACGCAGCTGCTTTTTGAGTGTTGATTTTGTTGTTTTAACAATTTTTTTTGTGTGGAGGCTTTTAGAGTTTTCTACATATATAACCTGCAAACAGCGATAATCTTGCTTCTTCTCTTCCAAGTTGGTTATCTTTTATTTGTTTTTCTTGTTTTAATTGCAATACCTAGAACTTTCAGTCATATGTTGAATAGAAATGATGAGAGTGGGCATCCTTGTCTTTTTCATGATCTTAGAGGAAAAGTTTTTTTCTTTCATCAATAAGTATTGTGTTAGCTGTGAGCTTTTTATATATTGCCATTATTATGTTGAGATAGTTTCCTTCTTTTCCTAGTTTGTTGAGAGCTTTTATCAAGGAAGGATGTTGGATTATAAGAATGCTTTTTCTGCATTGATGAAGTTTTTTGTTTTTTGTCTTTCATTCTGTTAATGTGGCATGTTACATTGATTGATTTTCATATGTGGAACCATCCTTGTATATCTAGGTATAAATGCAACTTGGTCATGCTGTATGTGCTGGGGGTAGGAGGGGGAGCTTCAGCATGTAAAATGCCATGAATTTTCCTACTGACTTTGATGAGGTTCTTTTTGTCTTTGGGCTTGCCTGGGTGCAGGAACCTCTTAGGTGGTTTCTGGGGTTCTCACAAAGGCAAATGTTCCAAGCATTGTTGTTATGATGGTGTCTCTGTGGGCAAATGCATTTTGCTGATGCCCTATGGGTACTTTTTAATGAAACAACTATTTTGTATTTCAGTTTACCCAGTAGAACCCTGGGTAAATATGTCAATTAAGAAAATTTCAGTTCATTTTTATTATATATTTGTCTTTTAAGTTCTTACATGGAAAATAAAAGAAGAATACCTCTGATTAGAATAGCACAAAGGTGATAGACCACTGTTACTCTGATCCCCCTCCGCTTGTTTTCTCTCTCCAACTTTAGCATAGTTATTTGGTTTTTAAAAAAGGAAAAATGAAATTTTGGTTAGAAAAATAATAAGGAAGCCTGAGTGTGGTGGTTTACACTTGTAATCCCAGCACTTTGGGAGGCTAAGTCAGGTGGATCTCTTGAGTTCAAGACCAGCCTGGGCAACATGGTAAAACCCCATCTCTATTAAAAAATATAAAATTATATATTATGAATATGTAATATAATATAATGTTATAATATATAATTATATTATTATATATACATAATGATATATATAATATATACATAATGATATATAAATGATATATATAAATGATATATATGATATATAAATGATATATATATGAGATATATATATATATATGAGAAAATTAGCTGGGCATGGTAGCACATGCCTGTAGTCCCAGCTAGTCAGGAGCCTGAGGAGGGAGGATCGCTTGAGTCTGGGAGGTTGAGGATGCAGTGAGCCATGATTGTTCCACTGCATTCCAGCCTGAGTGACAGAACCAGATCCTGTATTAAAAAAAAAAGAAATCTTTAGATTCTTTAGAAAAGGATTGTCAAGTTTACAATCCCAGAAAGTAAATAAAACTTCCCTCAATAGTTCCTACTTATAAACCTTCTGCATGAGCTGAGGAGGGAATGGAATATGAAAGAATATCAACTGATGTGAAAATCCAGAGGATGGAGCTGGTGTGGGAGGGCAGTGCAGAACCGTGTTTGAATTCACGGAATTCTTGAATTAGAATCTTTTTCTCTTCTTCTGGTACTTCACGCCCATGAATATCAGGTATTTTATTATTATCCTACAGGTCCCTGAGGTTCTTTTTTTTAAAAAAGTATTTTTCTGTGTTGTTAGATTGGATGATTTCTATTTATCTGTCTTCAAGCTCATTTGTGCTTTCCTCTGTTCTCTCCAGTCTGCTCTTGAGCCTCTTCAGTGAGTTTTAAAATTTGTTTATGATGCTTTTTTTCAGTTCTAAAATTTCTATTTAGTTCTTCTTTAAATTTTCTATTTCTTTGTGAGGATTTTCTATTTCTCCATTGGTTTTAAGAGTGTTCATGCTTGTTTGTAGTAACATTTGTATCCTGACTGCTTTAAAATCTTTGCCAGATAATCAGTACCCGTGTCATCTCAATGGTGATGTCTCCATTCTCTTTTCCCATGTGAGCTGATATTTTTCTTGTTCTTAATATTCTGAGTATTCTTATTATATTCTGGGAATTTTACATATTATTATATGAGACACTAGTTCTTATTTAAATCCTAAGGAGAATGTTGATATTTTTGTTTTAGTATATAGTTGACTACTGGTTAATTTCAGGTTATAAATCCTAACCTGTCTTCTGTGGGCTGTGGTTCCAATGCCAGTTCAGTTCTTAAAGCCACTACAGTTCTTGGATCTTTCTTTTGGTCCTTTGCTTAGAAAACTGAGGCTTTGGTTATCCTGTTGTGCTGTGCACTTCTGCAGTCTTCCTGTTTGGAAGGAAGACCCTACTGAAGCCCAGTTCCACCAAACAGAAGAGAAAGTTCTCTCCTTCAGAATGTTGGCTCCAATGTGCTCTTCTTCCTAGGCACAAGGATGTAAGAAAATAGAGAAATGCAAGTAAAAAAATGGTAGCATGTCTGCATCTTCTCATCTTTATATTTGAGGAGTTCCCTTTCCTGCCTCCTGAACCAGAACTAGAGGGCTTCTACCGAGCCCCCATATCTGAGGTCCCAGTACCTATTTCCAGGTCTCTGGTGCATTGAATCCAGGCTGGGGGACTGCGGAGGAGGAAAAATGGTAAACTCACAGATGCTTGGTGTTACTTTAAATGTTGGTCTTCTTCCCCATTCCTCCTGCTGCTGTTCATGTTTTGATCTTCATATAGCTGTTCTATGCATTCTGTCAAAGTTTTATAGCTGCATTCAGTAGGAGAGACTGGATGGTGTGGGTTACTCCATATTACCTGGAACTAGAACTCTTGATTGGATTTCTGTACAGTAGTCCCCGCTTATCCATGGTTTTTCTCTCCTTGATCTCAGTTCTTCAAAGTCACTTGCTGTCCAAAAATATTAAATGTAAAATTCCAGAAACAGACAATTCATAAATTTTAAGTTATGTCCCATTCTGAGTGTAATGAAATCTTCTGCTGTCCTGCTCCATCCTGCCCTGATGTGAATCACCCCTTTCTCTAGTGAATCCATGCTGTGTATGCTCTCTGCCTGTGCATCACTTAGTAGCCATCATGCTTATTGTATCGACTGTCACAGCATCGTAGTGCTTGTGTTCAAGCAACCCTTATTTTACTGAATAATGGCCTCAAAGTGCAAGAACAGTGATGCTGGCAATTTGGATATTTCAAAGAGAAGCCGTAAAGTACTTCCTTTAAGTGAAAAGGTGAAAGTTATTGAATTGATATGGAAAGAAAAAAAAAGTATGTCAAATTTGCTAAGATTTGTGGTAAGAACAAGTTTTCTGTCTGTGAAATTGTGACCAGCATATTGTTATAATTAATCAATTTTATTGTTATTGTTAATCTCTTATGGTGCCTAATTCGTAAACTAAACTTTATTATAGGTATGTATCAATAGGGAAAAACATAGTATATATAGAATTTTTTACTGCCTGTGGTTTCTGGCATCCACTGGGGATCTTGGAACTTTTCCACCATGGATAAGAGGAGATTTCTGTATGTAATTTTCTGTTATATGAGTACTGCTTGGCACTGAAAGTTTTTTTTCTTATGTTGTCAGTGACAATATATGAAGTGAATGTGGCAACGGGTGAGCTATGGAATGCTGGAACAGTAGCAAACGTCTACATTTCTATCCATGGGGAAAAGGGAGATACAGGATCCAGACAACTATTTAGATCGAAGAGCTCCTTCAATTTTTTAAGAGGACAAGTAAGCAAAATGCCCTTTGATTTTAAAAAGATTAATCATGGTAAAAACACATAAAATAAGATTTACTGTTGTAACTATTCTAAGAGTTTTTAATTTCACAGTTTAGTAATGTTAAGTATATTCACATTTCTGTGCAACAGATCATCAGAACTTTTTCATCTTCCAAAATAGGTAATCTAATAATTAACAACTCCCCATTTCTCCTTCCCTTCAGTCCCTAGTAACCACCATTCTACTTTCTATTTCTGTGCATTTACTTCAGATACCTCATGTAAGGGAAATAATATAGTAATTGTCTTTTGTGACTGGCTTATTTCACTTAGCATAATGTCCTCAAGATTCATCCATGTTATAGCATGTGACAGTATTTCCTTTCTTTTTAAGGCTGAATAATACTCCATTGTGTGTAAACAAACAAACTACATTTTGTTTATGATTTCATTGATTAATGGACATTTGGGTTGCCTCCACCTCTTGGCTATTGTGAATAATGCTACTGTGTACATAGGGGTGCAGATATCTCTTTGAGCTCATCTTTTCAAATTGTTTTTGAGACATATTTAGAAGTGGGATTGAGGGATCATATGGTAGTTTGTTTTTAATTTTTTGAAACTACTGTGCTGTTTTGCATAGCAGTTGTACCATTTTACAATCCCACCAGCAGTGCACAAGGGTTCCAGTTTTGCCATCTCCTTGCCAAGACTTGTTAATTTTTTTTTATGTAACCATCCTAATGGCTATGAAGGGATATCTCATTGCTTTCGATGTACATTTCTTTATTTATTAGTGATGTTGAACATCTTTCATATGCTTATTGGCCACTTGTATATAATCTTTGGAGAAATGTTTGTTCAAGTCCTTTGCCCATTTTAGGGTTGGGTTATTTGTAGGAATAGAAAACCAAATACTGTATGTTCTCACTTATAAGTGGAGCTCATTATAGGGTACTCATGGACACAATGAGAGCAACAATAGACACTAGGGTGTGGAGAGGGATGTGAGAGAAGGAGGCAAGGATTGAAAAACTGTTGGGTACTATGCTTAGTACCTGGGTGATGGGATCATTCATATCCCAAACCTCAGCATCACACAATATACCCGGTTAACACACCTGCACATGTACTGCCTGAATCTAAAATAAAAGTTGAAAAAGAAAAAATTGGGTTATTTCTTCTTTTTTGTTGTTGAATTGTAGAAGTTCTTTATTTATTCTGGAACTTAAACCTTTGTATTTCCTCTTTGTTGAAATTCTCACTTGGTTCATTCATCACTGTCTTGATGTCTGTACCTTTGTGACTGTTATTTTGAATTCTCTGTTGAGTAAATCACTTAGTTCCATTTCTGGAAATTAATCTTGTTCTTTTGTTTGGGACATATTCCCCTTTTTTCTTCATTTTCTTTGACTCTTTCTATTAGTTTCTATGCATTAGATAAGACAGCCACCTCTCCCAAACTTGTGAGACTGGCTTCATGTAGGAAATAGACCTCACTGATCAACTTGGCAGAGATTAAGTGCCTCTCAAACTTTTGCATTTGTCCCAACTACTGTCTTTGTTTTTAGTGGCCCCCAGGAGTTTAGGGTGTGCCAAGTCCTGTCAGTGCCCCAGAGATAGGTAAGATAGAAGTCAGTCTCTTGAGAAGCAGCTGGAAAAGATGAGTTGCTAGATGTGTGATCAAGTTCGTTTTTTCCTCAGGCAGAAACTCAGAGCTGGAGTTTATCTCTCACTCACTCTGCATTAAGCTGGGGAGAGGATCTGTGGCAAATGCCTGCACTCCTATTCAGACCACACAGTTGCATTGCTGTTTGTTGCTCCCAAGAGCCTAGCAAATGCCCAGTTTCATCAGTTCTTAGAGACAGGTGGGTCAGCTGGAGACTTGTTCTATCTCTGGAATGAACCAGAGGAAAGAGCTGTATGAAGTGTGCAGACACTCAGTAGACTACTGATTGCTTGTTCTGTCACCGCCTGGATGCAAGATAATTAAAAATGTAACCCATGGAAATCGTTGGGAAACTTGACATTAGGTGTACACTCAAACCCCTTTCAAAGAAAAACTGGGTGCTGGGGGTTTTTGCCTGCTTTCTCTGCATGAAGCCAGGAGAAAGCTGCTGGAAGTGCTCCTTATGTGTTTAAAGCATCTCTTCATTCTCTGTGGTCCCTGGGGTACTTGAGAATGCCTATCCCCATCAGCTCCTACAGCTAGGTGGTTTAGAGGCCAGTCCCTCAGGTAGAAGCTGTAAAATATGGGACATTCGATGTATGGACAAACTCCTTCCAGGGAGAAGATGAAGATTGGCTTTATTGCCGGAGCCAGCTGGGGAAGAAGGCATGTCTGTTCAGGTTCACAAAGGACTTCTAATTACTTGACTTATCACCAACCAGATGCTGGCTAAGTAGAAGCTCAACTCTGGGGCAACATCTAAGAAAGTGCAAGTCCAACCTTTTGTAGTGAGAAAATGGGATTTGGGTATTTTTGCCTGCTTGCTCTGTGCTAAGCCTTATGTGGGATAGCTGCTGGAAGTGTTCTTGTACCCAGTTAAAATTGCCTCTTTGTTCTCTGTGGTACCAGGGACTTCTCAAATGCTGAGCCCCCACATTTCCAGAGGTAGGTAATTTAGGAGCCAGTTGTTTAGGTGGGAGCTATGAAAGTTGGGATGCTCAGTGTGTGGAGAAACTCTTTTCAGGGAGAAGCTGGAGACTTGGTTTTATTGCTGGAGTTAGCTAGGGTGAGAAGACATGGGAAGTACCCACATGCCTATTGAGGCTCTGGGAACTTTACTAATTTCCTGCCCTCTAGGCTTCCAGATGTACTCTAGTTAAAGCCCTGACCCCGGGACAGCAGCTGGGATTGTGTGCAGTCAGACCTCTTCCAGGGAGAAACTGGAAGTTAGATAATTTTCCTTGCTTACTCTGCACTAAGTCTAGGGGTATGGCTGCCTGTTTAAAAAGACCTCCTAGTTCTCTGTGGTCCCAGGGGATTTTCAAATGCCAAGCCCCATCTGTTCTCAGAGGCAGTTGATGTAGGAGCCAATCCCTTGGATAGCAACCATAAAAGTTAGGTTTTCTCCTCCACAATCCCTCAATCTGGATTCAATGCACCAGAAACCTGGTGCATTGAATAGGCACCTGGACCTCAGATATGGCACTGGAAATAGGCACTGGACCTCAGATATGGGGGCTCAGTAGAAGCCCTCTAGTTCTGGTTCAGGAGTCAGGAACGGGAACTCCTTACATATAGAGAAGGTGCAGACATGCCACCTTTTTTTTTACTTTCATTTTTCTATTTTTGTACATCCCCATGCCTGGGAAGAGGAGCACACGGGAGCCATCATTTTGAAGGAGAGGAACTTGTGCTTTTGTTTGGTAGAGCTGGGCTTCAGTGGGGTCTTCCTTACAAATAGGAAGACTGCAGAATTGCACAGCACAACAGGATAACTAAAGGACAGAAATGGAAGAGTGGATCCTATGTCCAGAATTCTGTCTCATTTGAAGGCTGCCTGAGAAACTGGTTTATGTCTCCCCTAACTTGGAGCCATGACAGAAAAGGCAGATAGTTTGGAAGCCTGGAAAAACAGAGGCCAGCCCTGCAGGCTGTTTTTTGCAGCAGAGATTCTTCAGTACAGCAGAGAGACAATAAGACAAGAAAGAGATTGTGGGCTCCAGATGAAAAACAAACACTTCCTTTTTGAAGCTGGAGAAGCTCCTGACTGTGCAGTGCTATTTCTGGGATGTGGTTTGCGGCAGGAGCTTATCTCAGCTTTTTCTACCTGTTTCGGTGTGGATATTTTCTCAGTTTCCCAGTGTGTGTGTGTTGCAACAAGTGTCTGAATTTCTCTCAAAATGAATTGTTGTATTTGTATTTGTTTATTTGGTACGTCCATGGAAGAACTGAAAGTCAGAAACCTCCAGTCTGCCATATTGCTGACATCACCCAACCCAGTGATGGTTTAAAGAGTGAGTTGTTAATAACAGGCTCTGAAATTGGGGCAATAATTAATAGCCTACCAAACAAAAAAAGGCCAGGACAAGACAGATTCAAAGCCGAATTCTACCAGAGGTACAAAGAGGAGCTGGTACCATTCCTTCTGAAACTATTCCAATCAATAGAAAAAGAGGTAATCCTCTCTAACTCATTTTATGAGGCCAGCGTCATCCTGATACCAAAGCCTGGCAGAGACACAACAAAAAAAGAGAATTTTAGACCAATATCCCTGATGAACATCAATGCAAAAATCCTCAATAAAATACTGGCAAACCGAATCCAGCAGCACATCAAAAAGCTTATCCATTGCGATCAAGTGGGCTTCATTCCTGGGATTCAAGACTGGTTCAACATATGCAGATCAATAAACGTAATCACAAGCATTCCTATACACCAATAACAGACAAACAGAGAGCCAAATCATGAGTGAACTTCCATTCACAATTGCTACAAAGAGAATAAAACACCTAGGAATACAACTTACAAGGGATGTGAAGGACCTCTTCAAGAAGAACTACAAACCACTGTTCAATGAAATAAAAGATGACACAAACAAATGGAAGAACATTCCATGCTTATGGATAGGAAGAATCAATATCCTGAAAATGGCCATACTGCCCAAGGTAATTTATAGATTCAATGCCATCCCCATCAAGCTACTAATGACTTTCTTCACAGAAATGGAAAATACTACCTTCAAGTTCATGTGGAACCAAAAAAGAGCCCACATTGCCAAGACAATCCTAAGCCAAAAGAACAAAGCTGGAGGCATCATGCTACCTGACTTCAAACTATACTACAAGGCTACAGTAACCAAAACAGCATGGTACTGGTACCAAAACAGAGATATAGACCAATGGAACAGAGCAGAGGCCTCAGAAATAACACCACACATCTACAACCATCTGATCTTTGACAAACCTGACAAAAACAAGAAATGGGGAAAGGATTCCCTATTTAATAAATGGTGCTGGGAAAACTGGCTAGCTGAAACTGTAGAAAGCTGAAACTGGATCCCTTCCTTACACCTTATACAAAAATTAATTCAAGATGGGTTAAAGACTTAAATGTTAGACCTAAAACCATAAAAACTCTAGAAGAAAACCTAGGCAATACTATTCAGGACATAGGCATGGGCAAGGACTTCATGACATAAACAGAAAAGCAATGATAACAAAAGCCAAAATAGACAAATGGGATGTAATTAATCTAAAGAGCTTCTGCACAGCAGAAGGAACTACCATCAGAGTGAACAGGCCACCTACAGAATGGGAGAAAAGTTTTGCAATCTACCCATCTGACAAAAGGCTAATACCCAGAATCTACAAAGAACTTAAACAAATTTACAAGAAAAAAAACACAACCCCATCAAAAAGTGGGCAAAGGATATGAACAGACGCTTATCAAAAGAAGACATTTATGTGGCCAACAGACACATGAAAAAATGCTCATCATCACTGGTCATCAGAGAAATGCAAATTAAAACCACAATGAGATACCATCTCACACCAGTTAGAATGGCGATCATTAAAAAGTTAGGAAACAACAGGTGCTGGAGAGGATGTGGAGAAATAGGAACACTTTTACAATGTTGGTGGGAGTGTAAACTAGTTCAACGATTGTGGAAGACAGTGTGGCGATTCCTCAAGGATCTAGAACTAGAAATACCACTTGACCCAGCGACCCCATTACTGGGTATATACCCAAAGGATTATAAATCATGCTGCTATAAAGACACGTGCACACGTATGTTTATTGTGTCACTATTCACAATAGCAAAGACTTGGAACCAACCCAAATGTCCATCAGTGATAGACTGGATCAAGAAAATGTGGCACATATACACCATGGAATACTCTGCAGCCATAAAAAAGGATGAGTTCATGTCCTTTACAGGGCCATGGATGAAGCTGGAAACCATCATTCTGAGCAAACTATCACAAGGACAGAAAACCAAACACCGCATGTTCTCACTCATAGGTGGGAACTGAACAATGAGAACACTTGGACACAGGGTGGGGAACATCACACACAGGGGCCTGTGGTGGGGTGGGAGGGAAGGGGGAGGGATAGCATTAGGAGAAATACCTAATGTAAATTATGAGTTAATGAGTGCAGCAAACCAACATGGCACATGTATACCTATGTAACAAACCGGCACGTTGTGCACATGTACCCTAGAACTTAAAGTATAATAATAAAATAAAAACCAAAATAAAAACAGAAAAAAAGAGTGAATTTTTAAATTTCCACATATATGTGAATATTTCAGTCACCTACTATTATTTTCTAGTTTTGTTCCACCATGATTGGAAAAGATACTTTATATTATTTTAATTTTCTTAAATTTGTTAAGACTTGTTTGTGAACTAACTTGTGATCTCTCATGGATAATGTTCCGTGTTTTTTGGTGGTTCTGTATATGTCTGTTAGGACCAATGGTTTACGGTGTTGGTCATGTCCACTTGCTTTATTGATCTTTTGTTTCATTTTTCTATCCATTATTGAAAGTGGGGCATTGAAATCTCCTAGTATTGTGTTGCTGTCTATTTCTCCCTTCAATTTTGTAAATGTTTGCTTTATATGTATGTGTATGTATGTATATATATGGATACATACATATACACGTATACCTACATATATAGGTTTACATATGTAAGTATGTATATATATACACATATATATGTATGTGTATATATATACATATATATGTATGTATATGTATATATATACATATATATGTATGTATATGTATATATATACATATATATGTATGTATATGTATATATGTATACTCTGATGTTAGGTGCACATATATTTATGAATAATATATATGTTTTTATATATATATATATATATATATATATATATATATAAAACATTAAGTCCTGGTGAATTAACCATATTATCATTATATAGTACATTTTTTTGTCTCGTGACAGTTTTGGAATTAAACTCTATTTTGTCTGATATAAATATGGCCACTGTCTCCCTCTTTAGGTTCCCATTTACATAGAATTTCTATCTTTTCACTTTCAACCTATGTATATACTGAGATGTATGTATTGTTCTTGGCTTACCGCAAGCCTCTGGATCCTGGGCTCAAACTTCATATTTTCATATGACTTCATGTTGCTATCTAGTGTCCTTTTATTTCAACTTGAAGGACTTCCTTAGCATTTCTTGTATTGTAGGTCTAGTGGTAATGAGCTTACTCAGTTTGTTTATCTGGGAAAGTCTTAATTTCTTCTCCACTTTTGACAGTTTTGCCTGATGTAGAATTTTTGGTTGAGAGGTTTTTTTCTTTTAATATTTTGAATGTATCATCCTGTTGCCCTTTAGCCTGCATGGTTTCTACACAAATTTACTCATAATTTTATAGAATCTCCTTCATATATGATGAGTTGCCTTTCTCTTGCTGCTTCCACGATTGTCTCTTTTAAAGTCACCAGTTTGATTATAATGTGTCTACGTTGGATTTCTTTTGGTTTATTTTAGTTTTAGCTCATTGAGCTTCTTGAATTTACATGTGCATTTCACTCCTCAGATTTTAGAAGTTTTTGGCTATTATTTTTTCAGAAAAGCTCTGTGTCCCTTTGTCTCTCTCTTTTCCTTTTTAAATTCCCGTAATGCATATGTTGGCCTGCTTGATGGTGTCTCATGAGTTTCTTATGCTCTCTTCACTTTTCTTCACCCTTTTATTTTGTTGCTCCTGTCTTGATGATTTCAAGTGAACTGCTTTCAAGAAAGCTGATTCTTCTGCCTTATTAAATCTGAGGTTAAACCCCATTAGTGAATTTTTCAATTCACTAATTATATTAACAGCTGTAGAATTTCTGTTTTGTTCTTTCTTATAGTTTCTATCTTTTTCATTGTATTCATGCCTGAATTTACTGATTTCATTTAGTTGGTCTCTCTGTATTCTTTTTCACTCATTTAGTATTTTAAGATAGTTGTTTTAAATTTCTATCAGGAAGTTTAGAGATTTGTATTTCTTTAGGGTTATTTCATGGAACCATTCATTTCTTTGATCGGGCCATGTTTTCCTCTTCTTTGTAGGCTTTGTGATCTTTTACTAAGATTTGAACATTTAGAAATACAACCATACCTCACAGTCATTATGAGTCACGTGCTTTACTAGGGGAAAACTTGCATTGGTCAGCCCAGGTGGAGGTTTGGGACCTCTCAAACCTTTTCTGACAATGTGTCTTCCCTGGGCTTATATATTTGATTTTAAGTATCTTAATTTCCTTAATTGCTTGCCCTTGTTTCTTATCCAGAGCCCACAATCTCCTGCTTGCCTTGTCTCTCTGCTGTACTGAAGAAGCTCTGTTGAAAAGACAGGCTGCAGGGCTGGCCTCTGTCTTTTAGCCTTCCAAACTATCTGCCATTTCTGCCATGGCTCCAAGTCAGGGGAGACAAAAACCAGTTTCTCAGGTAGCCTTCAGACAAGACAGAATTTTGGATGTATGGTCCACTCTTTCGTTTCTGTCCTGAGGGAGGTTCTGGACTGTGGGTGGTTTCCTTCCTGTTGCACTGCACTATGCCAGGTAGGGGTAGGGCATGGGCATGTAAGATGGCTTGAACTTTTCTGCCCTTTTTGGATGAAGTCCTTTCTTGGTTATGCATTGGCCTTGGTGCTGCATCTCTTAAGTGGTTTCTAAAGTTTTCAAAAAAAGAGTATTCTAGTTCTTACATTATTGTTAACTTAGTGTCTCCGTGTGTAAATTGGAGCCTGGAGCTTCCTAATCTGCCATCTTCTTGACATCTCTCCCTTCTTTGTCGATGTTTAAATCTGTATGTATATTGTTAAATGTGGATAATTATATACAGCCAGTTTTATTGTTGAATGTAGAAGCCAAATACATTATTTTATTATTTCTAATGTTAATATGCATGTAATATTTAACTTTTTCTTTTACTGAGTAAATTATAGACATTTTATCATATTATATTTATCTCAACTTTCCTTGAGGACCCAACTAGTTCTTAACGAGTATGTCAGCATATTTTCATTATGCGTTTCTTCTCTTTTCCTTAGAGTTCTCTATATTGATTATTATAAATATCATAACTCGTAATTATCTTTTATTGCATAGAAAGTCCTGCTTTTCTAACTGTTCTGTTTGGTGGATAAAGGGATAACAATGTTATCCATTAATTTGTACCAGGCATGAACAGTATTTTTTTATTAATGAATGCTAATGGTTTTGTTTCTCCTTATTTATATTCTTAACAGTGCACTTACGTAGAGACAAAGAGATTCAAAAGAAAATAGTCTTATTATGTGTCAGAGGAGCTGAGCTCTAATCCTGGATCTGTGCGTCAACTATCTTATCTGTAGAAAGGATTTTTTTTTCACTTAGCGATATTTGAGGATAAAATATGCATATGAAAATATTTTGAAACATAATACACTATACAAAGGTTATTTTTTCTTACCATTTTTTAATGGATATGCTACATCATGTATTTTTCTTGGATTGAAACCTATAGCGTTATCTTTGACTTTATCGGAAGTATTCTGTGATTTTCACTTTTTGTCTGTATTCTGAATATATAAACCATTGGAGCACAACTATGTCTCCTTTTAATTGTAAATTAATTTTTACAATCAATTTTTACTGGCTGGGTGCCGTGGCCCACGCCTGTAATCCCAGCACTTTGGAAGGTTGAGGCGGGCGGATTGCTTGAACCCAGGAGTTTGAGACCAGCCTGGGCAACATAGCCAAACCTCCTCTCTACAAAAAACACAAAAATTATCCTGGCATGGTGGCACATGCCTGTAATACCAGATACTCAGGAGGCTGAAGTAGGAGGATCATTTGAGCCCGGGAGGCAGAGGTTGCAGTGAGACAAGATTGTGTCATTGCACTCCAGCCTGGGTGACAGAGGGAGAGCCTGTCTCAAAACAACAACAACAACAACAACAACAACAAACACTGCATCTTAATTTATACTATTGGTATAAATCAGAGTTATAGTCTAGATCTAATTATACTTTTTGATTCGTTATAGACTGACACCTTTTTCCTGGAGGCTGTGCACCTTGGAGATTTGTGTAAGATTGTGATAGGCCATGATGGACTTGGCCCAGGTAAGACTCTTCCACAGAGAGTTCATGAAGGTCTGATTCCATTCTGTTTATATGAAACTCTGTTCAAATCTAGAAAATACTGTGGAAAATTGGTAGAAAATGGATCTCTATGTATTGACTATATGAAATCAAAATATTGTCTCCAAATACCCTTTAAAATTTAACTAGATGTATTTTTCTTCAAAATGACATAGGCTTGGCCAAGGGGATAATCTAGGATGGGCCTAAATACTAGAAAGAGTAATTTTAAAAAATAGAAGAGATTGGGGATTTATATGTTGTGACATGTGATGGCATTCCAGCATGGTAGTTAGTGGTGGAGGCAGCAGTCGTATCTCCTGGTGGTGATATTCCTTGAAGGCTACTGATTGTCCAACAGCGGCACGTTAAGGAGACTGTCCTGGCAGTGAGGTCTGAGCTGTTTTCTCCTGCCATTTTATTCATGCTTTTCCTCAGTCTTCTCATCAACTCTGTGAGATGACTCACATCTTCCCAATAAATTTATTTTCTGCTACTGTATAAAACAATTATAAGATAAACAAAATCCATTTAACAAAAGACAGACTACTAGAGGACACATACCAAAAAAAAAAAAAAGGAAAAAAAAACCCAAATGCATCAAACAAGGTGATAAACTTTCTTATTAAAAAGTGTCAAAGTATAATTTTCAAACTAAGAACAAGATTGTTACACAAATACAGAGTGGACAATGTGTTTAGGTAATTAATGAAGGAATTAGGAGGTTGACAAAGCTGGTTGAAAGGAGGTTACAAGAAACTAAAAAATATATACTTATAATCCATGAAAAAAAAATTATGAGTAAGATTAATAAAAATATGACCAATATTCTATAGACAATACAAATATACTTTTGAGGTTGTCTTCTCTCTTGGACAAAATGTATCTATATTTTGAACAGATGTAAATTATTTGCATATTATTTTCTGTCAGTTGATAGCTAATTTTACAGAGTCTAGGCCTGAATCCATAGTAAATATTAAGTCAAATAATGTTACACTCCCACAGTGAGGCAAATGATTCTCAGGCAAGCTTGTTAGTGTTTTACTACAATATTGAAAGGACATGTGTCATCTTTTAGCCTTATTTCTGAGTTTCTGTTAATTTTTTTAAACAGAAATAAAGGCAATAATTTTCAACCTAAAAAATCCCTGTGTCCAATTATATGCTCTATGCAAGAGACACTTGAAATAAATGACCCAGTAATATTAAACATGAAAGTTTAGGCAATGATATATCAGAAATATGTAAATAAAAGAAATAATCTTAGTTTTAACCTTATTATAAGATAAAGTAAAATTCAAGACAACAAGCATTAAAAGTTACAAGAAGGGTAATTTTTTGGTAAAGTTTATAATTCACAATGAGATTGTAAGAGTCATGAGCCTTTATTCCACAGATAATATTGCATATAAATAGATAAAGTAAAATACTCAGAGATAGTCAGGAAGAAATGAAAAGAAGATAGGATAGGATTTTATCATATGTCTCAGATTTTGGTAGGTTAGTTGGATACATCAGTTACTCTCCTCGGTTGTTTGTACTTTGTAGATAGGGAAGCACTTTCATTTCAAAACTTCATGAAACATTTTTATAATTTGACTCAGATATTAGGCCAAAAAGAAAATCTCGGTATATTTCCCCAAACAAGCCACATTCTCTGACTACAATTTAGTAAAACAAAAATTTAATTAAAAGGACAAAAGTAAAAAAAAATTAGTCATTTAAGGTATTTCAGTCCTCTTCATGACTTTGGGCCAAAGCAAAAATCAGAACTATAAGTACAGTCTAACAGAATGTTATGATGGTGTTTTTTTCTGTCTTATTTTCTGCTGAGGTCTCAAAAGACCAGAGTAAAATAATAGAAGCAAGACCTCACCATCTGTCTTACTTAGTTTGAGGCTGCTATAACAAAATACCTTAGACTGGGCAATTTATAAAGAAGAAACATTTATTCTTACACTTCTGGAGGCTGAGAAGTCTAAGATCAAAGTGCTGGCATTTGTTGTCTTGGGAGGGGCTTCTTGCTGTGTCCTCCCATGGTGGAAGGGCAAAAAGGCCTCGCTAGTTCCCTGAAGTCCTTTTATGAGGGCACTCATCCCACTCATGAGGGCTGAGCCCTCATGACTTAATCACATCCTAAACGCTCCATCTCTTAATGTTATCACATTGGGTCTTAGGTTCCAATAGATGAATTTTAGGGGGACAAGTATATTCAGACCCATCCCAGCACCATCCTAAATGTAGGCACAAAGCTACATATTCAGGACTTAATGAAGGAAGGGACAGACAACAAGTTATGGGTTCACCACTGAGTATAAAAACTACAAGTTTTCATTGCAGTAGGTTGGCTGTTGATTTGATACCTATTCACCAACTGCCAGTAATAGGAGAGGGTAGTAGGGGTTTTTCCGTTGTGAAGAAACCACTTGAAGAACCTGTGCCATCTAGAATTTGTTACATGACCCCCACTTGAATAAAAATCTGCAGGCTTCCTAAGTGGCCTTTGGCCACAAAGAAAGGAAAGTCTGCAGAACAGTCAGAGTAGAATTGTAGGCAGATAATCCGAGAAGATAGTAAGATAAATGATTACTGCTTTAAATACCTACTCACCAACATACATATGTAAACAATGCCGGTTAATAAGACTTTTCTAGACTCTTACCCGTCCCTAATCCCTGCAGGAACAGCCTAGCTTTCTTTAGGAACCCATCTTTTCTAGTTTTCTAAATCCAGTTCTAGTTCTTTCTTATGGGAAAAACATGATGAAAATGTAGGCAATATATTTTTACGTTAATAATTTAAAAACTAACTTACTAACTTACAAAGTATTGTTAAAATCAATGTATCATTACCTCTAAGAGTTTTCTTTACAGCCTCCTCAGTTCTTAAAACTCATTTTAGAATTCTGGTAACATTTTATTTTTCCTTAAAGGAGACAAGTAATTCTTTTTTGGGAGATAGCATCTAAAAATGAAATTAAATAACATTTTGGAGATTTTTTTCCAGGTGGAGAGAATAGTGTATGTAAGGACATAAAATTATGTATGTGAATCATCTGTGGCAGTGGTTTTCAAAGTGTGGTTCGTAGGCCATTAGCATTGCTTACCAAAATTGTTAAAGATTCAATGCTTGGGGTCTTATCTAGGATGACTAGCCATACTGGTTTGCCTGTGGCTATTCTGGTTTACCTATGTCTGTCCTGGTTTTAGCACTGAAAATCCTGCATCCTGGGAAAACCCTCTGTCCTGGGCAAACTGGGGCATTTGATCACTGTAGGCTGCCTGTGCTGAGTCTACTGAATTAGAAACTGTGGAACTCAGTAGTCTGTGTTTTTGTAATCCCTCCTGGTGATGCAGATGCATGCTAAGTTTGGGAACCACTGATCTAGGGAACTGTGAAGAGTTTGGCACCACTCAATAACGGGAGTATGTGATGAGGGATGAAGCTGAAGAGTAAGCTGAAGCGTCTTATATGCTGCGTTAAAAAGTTTTATCTGGCTGAGAACAGTGGCTTATGCCTATAATTCCAGCATGTTGCGAGGCTGAGGTGTGAGGATTGCTTGAGGCCAGGAGTTCAAGACCGGCCTGGGCAACATACAAGACCCCATCTCTACAAAAATATTTAAAAATTAGCTGAGCATGGTGGTACACACCTGGAGTCCCAGCTACTTGAGAGGCTGAGGCTGGAAGATTGCTTGAGTTCAGGAGTTCAAGGCTATGGTGAACTGTGATTGCACTACTGTACTCTAGCCTGGGTGACAGAGTGAGCCTCTGTCTCTAAACATATACAAATAAAAAATAAAAGAAAAAAATAAATTTTATCCTATAGCTGATGAGTATTAACTCACCAACTCAATAATTTTAATTAGAATAGAATATATTTTGAGCTGGACCTTTGCATAGACAAAACCACTATGACCAATTAAAATATTTTATGTGTAAGTAAAATTGATTTTAACTAACTCTAGTTTGCAAATTAATATGAAATTAAACATTTAAAAAGAAATTTATACCTTCATGTGTACCAGGTGAGTCTATGTGCTTGGACAGGATTTCTGAATGATTTTTCATTTTTAGTCTATCAAAACATATATATTTTATGCAGACTTTGTTTAAATTTGAACTTTAAAAAACTTCCTGGAAGTAGAAAGTGTTGGTAACTCATCGAGTATATATTCTTTGGAAGATGTTAGGTTCAGGATTATGAATGCAGTTTATGAAATTAAAAGCAGCTACAGAATTGTTCTATTTTCAATTGTTTGGAAAAGCCCACTGAAATAGACACAATAAGGCATGAAGCCTTAAAATAATGCTTTGCTTTTGTTATATGTATAAGAAATACATTCCTTACAGTTTACTTCTGTTATATTTTGCTTTATTTGAAGTACTAAAGCTTTATATTGTACAAGACCTTTACATATATTTGGAAGTTAGAACTTGTTTCTCAAAACTTGAAGTATTATTAGGCCATATTTATTCATATCACATTTTCATTCTTTAATTTGTGTTTAGGAAATGGTTGGTTTCTTGATGATGTTGTTATCAAGGATCCCACAACAAATTACGAATATGCCTTCTTCTGTCACAGGTTTGTAGGTGTACTTTTACATCGAAAAAATCCATTTCATGTTAGTTCCAAGTTTGTGCATTGAGAACTGGGTAACTTATTTAGTTGTTCCTAGTCACTGAGTCTTTGTTGGGTAACTTTTGTGAACATTAATTTTAGTGGCTCTTTATGCTATTGAGACAGACATTTATTATGTTTATCATCATTCCTAATGATAGAAATTTAATATTTAATGGTAAATTAAGATAGATTCTTAAAAATATTACCTCTCTGTACATATCAGAAAGAAAAATGAAAGTCTCTGACAAGAAAACATATTCCCTTTGGACTAGGTCCCAAATTAGGTTAAAAAATAATAAATATACACAGTGTTTCATGTAGCTTTTTATACAGAGATGATAGTGCTTACTTACTATCAACAGACCTTGATTTTTGAGTTATTTTCCCAGCAGTGGTGATAGATTTGCTTTCGTGATAGATTTGCTTTTTTTTTTCTTTGACACTTTCCTGCCTCTTTTCCTATGGAACCCATAGTAACCATTTATGAAATAACTGATTAGGGTTTGAACTATATTTAGTGGCCAAAGGACAGGATAAATTGATCCAGTGAATATAACATCTACGACTTTGACAGTTAGCAGGCTGATTGAGTAACTCACCTGTGTTATTAGGCAAAAACATATTTTAGCCTTACCAGATAGTAACTGCTGCTTCTACCTCCCTTGCAGTCTTAGAGTCATTTTAGGATTTTCTTTTCCATTCTGTACTGCTCTGCCTTTGAGAGCCAGATAGCCACGTCTTTTCCCTTTCCTGCTATCTTGTATTTCTGACTTGGGAAGATAATTGCCAATGGTTAATGTAAATATAAAGTCTGAAAATAATCGATACACTTTTCTTTTCACAGATGGCTAGATCAGGGGGAAGATGATTGTAAAATTGTCAGAGAACTGTATGCCAGGGATAACAGTATCTTCTCTGCGAGTAGGTATCATGTATACACATTTCCTGGAAAACTCTTTTATGATGACTGGAGAAAGCATGACACTTCTGAAATTAATTGCCCTCTCTTTATCTTCTCAGGGCAGAAATTGGAACTTAAGAGAAAAGAAACAGTAAGATTTTGTTTGGGCTTTAGATTATCTCATATAAACAATGTTCAAATGACTATTTGATGTGTTAAAACAAAACAGCCTATAGAGTTTAGTAAGTGCTGTTTCTTAGCAATTTCTTCTCTTTGTTTCTTCTCATACTGGTGTTTTCATTTGTTTTGCTTTGTTTTTCTTTTTAGTGGACTGCAGAAAGCTGGAAGTTTACAAAAGGAAATACTCTTCAGTTCTATAACAAGCTGACTGGAGGGTTTGTCCGTTTGCATCCAGATGGCACAGTTGACGCCATTGGAGAGAAGACAGACAAATATGGTAAAACTATCGTACAAAGCTTGTGGTGCTGGACAGGTCTGGGAGTTAAAGGAAGGTAGATTTCTAGACACAGTTTAATTTATAGTTTTGTTCTTTTTACAGATGGCTTTACACAAGTGTTAGGCCATTTAAATAATTTACTATCTGTATTAATAGAAATGATAAATAGATGACAGGCTTTAAATCTGGGCACTGTGAAAAATATATATATTTGGTATTAATTAATTGAAGAATAAAATGTAGGCAGTTATCAAAACACCATGTTAAATAATTTGAGGGCCAGAGAAAATAACTAAAATATTATTCTATATTTCAGACATTCATAATCTAATGAAGAAGACAAATACAACAATTCTAATAATTATTATTTGTAGCTAGTGTCATAATAAATGTACAAAGGAAAAACAAGGCAAGGAAAAACTAGATTTGATGTGTAATATCTGCATGTCATGAAGCTGTAACCATGAGAATTAACAAAAGAGTAAACGGATGATGGTAGATGTTTGACTATAAACCCAAACCTCCAACTCTTTTTGAATTTGGATCTTCATTATTTAAACAATATTTGCCTGCAACACCTATGAATTTAACTGTACTTTACTATGCTGGAAACCGTGCTGTTCAGTCTCGAGGATGTGCTGGAGCTACTAACCTACCGCATGTCTCAAAATGTAACCCCTTCTGCCTCGTATTTGAGATCCTAGGGAACAACCAGTTTTCTCCTGTATGAAAATAAATGTCTGGGCCGGGTGTGGTGGCTCATGCCTGTAATCTCAGCACTTTGGGAGGCCGAGGTGGGCGGATCATGAGGTCAGGAGATCGAGACCATCCTGGCTAACATGGTGAAACCCCGTCTCTACTAAAAATACAAAAAATTAGCCGGGCGTGGTGGTGGGTACCTGTAATCCCAGCTACTGTAGAGGCTGAGGCAGGAGAATGGTGTGAACCCGGAGGGTGGAGCTTGCAGTGAGCCGAGATAGAGCCACTGCACACCAACCTGGGCGACAGAGCGAGACTCTGTCTCGGACAAAAAAAAAAAACAAAAAAGAAAAGAAGTGTCTGTCTAAAAATACTTCCTAGGAGCTTCTCTTTCCAAAATTATTCTTTAGACATTTTCCTTACCTCGGCAAAAATTGGTTCCCACTTGAGATTACTTATCCACTTAAATCAGTCAAAGTGGCCCTTCATCCTATTCCCTGGGTTCTCTGCTGCCACTGTTGTTATTCTTTTTCTTTATTAGTATCCTGTATTTGCAGATGTGGCCACAAAAATATCTCCCATTGTTAAATCAGAAACAGTGAAGGATCTAAATTGTACCCTACTTGTAGGAAACACGAGACCACTGGGTCAGAGACCAAGACCATTTATTTCTCACATCAAGTACACCAGCTAGAGCAGCTTCTTGTGTTGGGTTCCCTGAACTCCAGTCCTGCAGTATCATGATGTGAGGTCCCAATGGTACCAGCACACGTAGTCAGGTACATTAAAAGAGAGAAATTTGCAAATTAGGAAACTATGATCTTATATTTTCTATTTTTATTTTTTGATTTGTGTGTGTGTGTGTGTGTGTGTGTGTGTGTGTGTGTGTGTATGTATATATGTATATTATTTAATCAACTTTTAAGTTCCAGGGTAAATGTGCAGGTTTGTTACACAGGTAAACGTGTGCCATGGTGGTTTGCTGTACAGATCAACCCTTCACCTAGGCATTAAGCCCAGCATCCTCTAGCTATTCTTCCTGATGCTCTCCCTCCCCTGGACCCCCAACAGGTCCCAGTGTGTGTTGTTTCCCCACCACCCCCTGATGTGTCCATGTGTTCTCATCATTCAGCTCCCACTTATAAGTGAGAACATGCAGTGTTTGGTTTTCTGTTCCTGGATTAGTTTGCTGAGGATAACAGCTTCTAGCTTCATCCATGTCCCTGCAAAAGACATGATCTCATTTCTTTTTATGGCTGCATAGTATTCCATGGTGGTTAGGTACCACATTTTCTTTATCCAGTCTGTCATTGATGGGCATTTGGGTTGATTCCATGTCTTTGCTATTGTGAATAGTGCTGCAGTGAACGTACGCAGGCATGTATCTTCATAATAGTATGATTTATATTACTTTGGGTATATACCCAGTAATGGGATTGCTGGGCCAAATGGTGTTTCTGCTTCTAGATCTTTGAGGAATTACCACACTGCCTTCCATAATGGTTGAACTAACTTACATTCCCACCAACAGTGTAAAAGCATGCCTTTTTCTCTGCAACCTCACCAGCATCTGTTGTTTCTTGGCCTTTTTTCCCCTTTTTTTTAAATTAAAATTTTTTTTTTTTTACTTTAAGTTCTGGGATACATGTGCAGAATGTGCAGGTTTGTTACATAGGTATACATGTGCCTTGGTGGTTTGCTGCACCTATCAACCCATCACCTAGGTTATTAGTGGGAATGTAAATTAGTTCAACCATTGTGGAAATCAGTGTGGCGATTCCTCAAGGATCTAGAATCAGAAATACCATTTTACCTGGCAATCCCATTACCGAGTATATACCCACAGGAATATAAATCATTCTATTATAAAGATACATGCACACATATGTTTATTGCAGCACTATTCACAGTAGCAAAGACATTGACTTTTTAATAATCTCCATTCTGACTGATGTGAGATGGTATCTCATTGTGGTTTTGATTTACATTTCTTTAATTTACATTTCTCTAATGGGTTTTTTTTTCTTGTAAATTTGTTGAAGTTCCTTGTAGACTCTGAATATTAGACCTTTGTCAGATGGATAGTTTGCAAAATTTTTCTCCCATTCTCTAGGCTTTCTGTTCACGCTGATGATAGTTTCTTTTACTGTGCAGAAGCTCTTTAGTTTAATTAGATCCCATTTGTCAATTTTTTCTTTTGTTGAAATTGCTTTTGGTGTAATTTTGTTGCCATTGCTTTCCCCACCTGTGTCCTGAATAGTATTGCCTAGATTTTCTTCTAGGGTTTTTATTGTTTTGGGGTTTACATTTAAGTCTTTAATTCATCTTGAGTTAATTTGTGTATAAGGTGTAAGGAAGGGGTCCAGTTTCCATTTTCTGCATATGGCTAGTCAGTTTTCCCAACACCATTTGTTAAATAGGGAGTCCTTTTCCTATTGCTTGTTTTTGTCAGGTTAGTCAAAGATCAGATGGCTGTAGATATGTGGCATTATTTCTGAGGCCTCTGTTCTGTTCCATTGGTCTATATATATCTGTTTTGGTAACAGTACCGTGCTGTTTTGGTTACTGTAGCCTTATAGCATAGTTTGAAGTAAGGTAGCATGATGACTCCAGCTTTGTTCTTTTTGTTTAGAATTGTCTTTGCTATATGGGCTCATCTTTGGTTCCATATGAATTTTAACACAGCTTTTTTTCTAATTCCATTAAGAATGTCAATGGTGATTTAATGGTAATGGCATTGGCTCTATAAATTACTTTGGGCAGTGTGGCCATTTGCATGATATTGATTCTTCCTCTCTGTGAGCATGGACTGTTTCTCTATTTGTTTGTGTCCTCTCTGATTTCCTTGAGCAGCAGTTTGCAGTTCTCCTTGAAGAGATCCTTCACTTTCCTTGTTAGCTGTATTCCTAGGTAGTTTATTCTCTTTGTAGCAATCGTGAATGGGAGTTCATTCATGATTTGGCTCTCTGCATGCTTGTTGTTGGTGTATATGAATGCTTATGATTTTTGCACATTGATTTTGTATCCTGGGGCTAAAGTTGCTTACTAGTTTAAGAAGCTTTTGGGTTGAGACAATGGGATTTTCTAGATATAGGATTATGTCATCTGCAAACAAAGATAATTTGGCTTCCTCTCTTCCTATTTGCATACACTTTATTTCCTCCTCTTGCCTGTTAGCCCAGGCCAGGACTTCCAATAATATGTTGAATAGGAGTAGTAAGAGAGGGCATCCTTATCTTGTGCCTGCTTTCCAAGGGAATGCTTCCAGCTTTTGCCCACTCAGTATGGTAGTGGCTGTGGGTTTGTCATATATGGCTCTTATTATTTTGAGGTATGTTCCTTCAATACCTAGTTGCTTGAGAGTTTTTTTTTTTTTTTTTTAACATGAAGGGATGTTGAATTTTACCAAAGGTCTTTTCTGTGTCTATTGAGATAATCGTGTGGTTTTTGTCTTTAGTTCTGTTTATGTGATGAATTACATTTATTGATTTTTGTATGTTGAATCAACCTTGCATCCCAGGGACGACGCCAACTTGATCGTGATGGATAAGCTTTTTGATGTGCTGTTGTATCTGTTTGCCAGGATTTTATTGACGATTTTTGCATCTATGTTAATCAGGGATATTGGCCTGAAGTTTTCTTTTTTTGTTGTATCTCTGCCAGGTTTTGCTATCAGAATGATGCTGGCCTCATAAAATGAGTTAGGGAGGAGTCCCTGCTTTTCAGTTGTTTGGAATAGTTTCAGTACACATGGTACCAGGTCCTCTTTGAACTTCTGGTAGAATTCAGCTGTAAATCTGTCTGGTAGTAGGCTTTTTTTGGTTGGTAGGCTATTTATTACTGCCTCAATTTCAGAACTCCTTATTCATCTATTTTGGGATTCAGTTTCTTCTTGGTTCAGTCTTGCGGGGGTGTGTGCATCCAGGAATTTATCCATTTCTTCTAGATTTTCTAGTTTGTGTACATAGAGGTGTTTATAGTATTATCTGATGGCTGTTTGTATTTCTTTGGGGTCAGTGGTGATATTTCCTTTATCATTTCTGATTGTGTCCATTTGACTCTTTTTTCTTCTTTATTCATCTAACTAGTGGCCTATTTTACTTTTTTATTTTTTAAGTTTTGAGGTACATGTGCAGGATGTGCAGGTACATATACACCATGGAATACTATGCAGCCATAAAAAGGAATGAGATCATGCCCTTTGCAGGGACATGGATGAAGCTGGAAGCCAATATTCTCAGCAAACTAACACAGGAACAGAAAACCAAACACCCCATGTTCTCACTTATAAGTGGGGGCTGAACATGAGAACACATGGACACAGGGAGGGGAACAACACTTACTGCGGCTTGTTGTGGGAGGGCAGAGGTGGGAGAGCATTAGGGAAAAGAGCTATGCATGCTGGGCTTAATACCTAGGTGATGGGTTGATAGGTGCAGCAGTCTGTCTATTTTATTAATTTTTTTCAAAAAACCAGCTCCTGGATTTGTTGATTTTTTGAAGGGTTTTTTATGTCTCTGTCTCCTTCAGTTCAGCTCTGATATTTGTTATTTCTTGTCTTCTACTAGCTTTGGAGTTTATTTGCTCTTGGTTCTCTAGTTCCTTTAGTTGTGATGTTAGGTTGTTGATTTGAGGTCTAACTTTTTGATGAGGGCATTTAGTGCTATAAATTTCCCTCTTAATACTGCTTTAGCTGTGTCCCAGAGTTCTGGTGTGTTGTCTCTTTGTTCTCATTAGTTTCAAAGAATTTCTTGATTTCTGCCTTAATTTCGTTATTTACCCAGGATTCATTCAGGAGCAGGTCGTTCAATTTCCATGTAGTTGTGTGGTTTTGAATGAATTTCTTAATTTTGAGTTCTAATTTGACTGCACTGTGATCTGAGAGACTGTTATGATTTCAGTTCTTTTGCATTTACTGAGGAGTGGAAACTCTAATCTTATATAGGGCTGTCCATCCTTCCTTCTAGAGAATGAGCCAGAGAATGAATTTGAACACAGCACAAATTCATGAACTTTCTTAAAACATGATGAGATTTTTTTTTTCTTTTAGCTCATCAGCTATCCTTAGTGTTAGTGTATTTCATGTGTGGCCCAAGACAATTCTTCCAATGTGGCCTGGGGAAGCCAAAAGACTGGACACCCCTCTTCTCAGTTTTATGACTAATTGAATGCAGCTGATGCAACACTTGAACTTCTAAGGTCTGCATCTTCTATCCTTACTTCTCGAATTAATCCTTCTTGGAACCCAGCCCTCAGGTGGAAAGGAAACCAGGCAGCCATGCAGAGAGGTCCTTCAGGAAAGAACTGGCCCTGACAGCCCCAGCTGAATCTCCAACCAGCAGCCATCACCAACTGCTAGCATGTGAGCCTCTCTGTAGATCAAACTAACTGGTAGATGATGCAAATAGAAAAACTTTTTACCCTTCAGTGTTTCTAGCATCTTAATATGCTAGTCTTGCCATATACAAAGCAGAATGAGAAGTTCTAAAAAAGGCAGGTGGAGGATAATATGAGTAATTTTCCTCAATGTAACTGACATTTTTGCAACAGGAGGTCTTTTATGTGTGATAATTACTTGCAGGATTATTTCCTGATGTTATGCTCAGTGTCCCATAAATTCACACTAACGAATCAGTTTTCACATGCCTGGAAAGTGTTTTGATGAACAATGCTGACCTGTAGACATCTTTTCAAGAAAATATTTCAAGACTATCTCCCTGAGACATTTTGACTTACAATTTTCACTCCAGAAAAAGTTTTTTTTTTTTTGCCACCATGAACCAATATTTCTATTTAGTTATTCAGCTGCTTGTGAATTTAGTTTTTTCCATACTTAGAGAGTTAGAGTACCCATTTCTCTGAGTTCTGCTGAACCACTTCTAGGCAATACTATGCCTAAAAGCAGACACACAGCATGAGAAGTTCTTTGAAATGGCACAGGGAACTTCATTTTATGATAAACTCTTTAGGTACTAGAAACAATACTGTAACAACATTGACAATGGCAGTCACAAAGAAGTGTTGTCTCTATTGTGGGATCTTATCACTAAAAGGAAGGACCAGACAATGAAAGCTATTCAGTTTTTAACACTGAACCCTTGATGGCTACTTTTATGTCAGGGCCAGTTTCACAAACTTTACATCCCTTGACATTTCAAAATATTTACTATAAAATACAGATTCATATAGTTTTTTTAATTTTATAATAGTAGACTTTCAAGAGAAAAAATTTATAATCTGGATTTGGATATAATTGATTCATGCTACTAAAATGTTTTTAAATATTTACAATATATTACACAACTGGAAGTTTTCCTCTGTCCTAGATTATCTCCGTATTGATTTATGTAAATAATTTTACCAGGTTTTGAGTGTGGATTTTTTGCTTTTTGTTTTTGGAGTGTTTATTCATGCCATGTCAGACTATAACACATGGAAAAGATAATTGCATTTTTCTTTTTTTATTATTAAAAAGAATCTTTTGTATTACTCAATTCCTAGAAAGAATCAGGAAAGTAAAAGTCTAAAAAGCAGTGGTTTGAAGAAAAACAGGAAGCCTGCAACAGAACGTTTTGTATAGGTGAATGAAGATTATTAGTTAAGCTGCGGATGCCTGCTTTTTCTGCCCTAGTAGTCACAGGCAGAGTGGACATGCCTCTGCATAATCCTATTTTTTTAAAAAATATTTTTTATTATACTTTAACTTCGGGGATACATGTGCAGAACGTGCAGGTTTGTTACGTAGGTATACACATGCCATAGTGGTTTGCTGCACCCAACAACCCATCATCTACATTAGGTATTTCTCCTAATGCTATCCTTCCCCTAGTCCCCCAACCCCTGACAGGCCCCGGTTTGTGATGTTCCCCTCCCTATGTCCATGTGTTCTCATTGTTCGACTCCCACTTATGAGTGAAAACATGCGGTGTTTGGTTTTCTCTTCTTGTGTTACTTTGCTGAGAATGATGGTTTCCAGTTTCATCCATGTCTCTGCAAAGGACATGAACTCATCCTTTTTTATGGCTGCATAATATTCCATGGTGTATATACGCCACATTTTCTTTATCAAGTCTATCATTGATGGGCATTTGTGTCGGTTCCAAGACTTTGCTACTGTGAACAGTGCCACAATAAACATACATGTGCATGTGTCTTTATAGCAGAATGACTTATAATCCTTTGGGTATATGCCCAGGAATGGGATTTGCTGGGTCAAATGGTATTTCTGGTTCTAGATCCTTGAGGAATCGCCACACTGTCTTCCACAATGGTTGAACTAATTTACACTCCCACCAACAGTGTAAAAGCGTTCCTATTTCTCCACATCCCCTCCAGCATCTGTTGTTTCCTGACATTTTAATGACTGCCATTCTAACTGGTGTGAGATGGTATCTCATTGTGGTTTTGATTTGTATTTCTCTAATGACCAGTGATGATTAGCTTTTTTTCACATGTTTGTTGGCTGCATAAATGTCTTCTTTTGAGAAGTGTCTATTCATATCCTTGGCCCATTTTTTGATAGGGTTGTTTGTTTTTTTCCTATAAATTTGTTTAAGTTCTTTGTAGATTCTGGATATTAGACTTTTGTTAGATGGGTAGATTGCAAAACTTTTCTCCCATTCTGTAGGTGGCCTGTTCACTCTGATGATAGTTACTTTTGCTGCACAGAAGCTCTTTAGTTTAATTACATCCCATTTGTCTATTTTGGCTTTTGTTGCCATCGCTTTTGGTGTTTTAGTCATGAAGTCCTTGCCCATGCCTATGTCCTGAATAGTATTGCCTAGGTTTTCTTCTAGGGTTTTTATGGTTTTAGGTCTAACATTTAAGTCTTTAATCCATCTCGAATTAATTTTTGTATAAGGTGTAAGGAAGGGATCCAGTTTCAGCTTTCTACATATGGCTAGCCAGTTTTCCCAGCACCATTTATTAAATAGGGAATCCTTTCCCCATTTCTTGTTTCTGTCAGGTTTGTCAAAGATCAGATGGTTGTAGATGTGTGGTGTTATTTCTGAGGCCTCTGCTCTGTTCCACTGGTCTATATATCTGTTTTGGTACCAGTACCATGCTGTTTTGGTTACTGTAGCCTTGTAGTATAGTTTGAAGTCAGGTAGCATGATGCCTCCAGCTTTGTTCTTTTGGCTTAGGATTGTCTTGGCAATGCAGCTATCTTTTGATTCCATATGAACTTGAAAGTAGTTTTTTCCAATTCTGTGAAGAAAGACATCGGTAACTTGATGGGGATGGCACTGAATCTACAAATTACCTTGGGCAGTATGGCCATTTTCACGATATTGATTCTTCCTATCCATGAGCATGGAATGTTTTTCCATTTGTTTGTGTCATCTTTTATTTCGTTGAGCAGTGGTTTGTAGTTCTTCTTGAAGAGGTCCTTGACATCCCTTGTAAGTTGGATTCCTAGGTGTTTTATTCTCTTTGTAGCAATCGTGAATGGGAGTTCACTCATGATTTGGCTGTCTCTTTGTCTGTTATTGATGTATAGAAATGCTTGTGATTTTTTTACATTGATTTTGTATCCTGAGACTTTGCTGAAGTTGCTCATCAGCTTAAGGAGATTTTGGGCTGAGATGATGGGGTTTTCTAAATATACAATCATGTCATCTGCAAACAGGGACAAATTGACTTCCTCTTTTCCTAATTGAATACCCTTTATTTCTTTCTCTTGCCTGATTGCCCTGGCCAGAACTTCCAACACTATGTTGAATAGGAGTGGTGAGAGAGGGCATCCCTGTCTCGTTACATTTTAAATGCCTCTCTGGGCCTGACAATTTAAAGGGATTAGCATTCCTCAGATGAAAAGTTATTTCCTTTCTTGGGGCCTAAGTTGGCATACCCAGCTCCTTCTTTCAAAGTCAATTACTAGGTTACAAAGGATGCTAAGTCTCTTTATAAATATTGCCACATCTCTTTCCAGAAGTTATACCAGTTTTCACTGTCATCAGTGTTGCATGAGTCTCAGACTCACTACACTCTTGCCATTAAAGTAGAAATAATAACAAATACATAAGCTTGTATATGTACTTGAAACAAATAAAGGCACACTTATTTAAATTTGGAAAGTAAGGCTAAGGTTTTTTTGCATAAAGCATAACTAGTTAATGGGGCTGTACACTCTACCCACTTTTGTTTGTGACATAGTTTTCTATTTACTTGGCATCCCCTTTCACTCTCAGTGGTGCCCTAATGACAGTCAGTTATACAGTCACCATATCTCTAATACATACTTTTTAAGTTTCCAGTTCCAGTTTCAACTAAAGTGAAGTGACAATTTAAAGAGAATTATTTCATAGGGGATATAGCTTCTTAAATCTTCTTTGCACTTTCAAGACAAACTTCTAAATTTTAAAAATTACTGCTTCAGTAAATAATTTGTATGGTGTGTTGAAGAGGGTAATACCTTTTTTCCCTTTGCTTCAACTTAAAAAAATTATTTTGCTGGTTGTTCTCTAATTCCCTTTGAATAGATAAAAATATAGCCAATTTCAATACCTGCCACCTGTGTAAATTTTCTTTGGTCTCCTTACCTAACCCTTGGTACTAATGGAATTCCAGTTCCTCTCTGAGGTCATTGCTAATAGTTAATCAACATAATTTTAGGCCCTATTTCTAGTGAATATCCTGTGATGATTAGCTGCAGTTCTTGTCTCTGTCTGGTTCTCTGTACTTGGTTCTAATTAAGAATCTGAAAAAAGGTTTATTAGTGTATAACACTAACTATACACTGGCCAGTTTTTCTACTGCCCAGTTCTTACCACATCTTAACTATACTTCTCTGAAATCAAACCCCTCTATTTTCTGAGCAGAGTTTGAAAGACCTCCTTTGTTTTAGATTGGAAATGGATGTGCTCTAAATTGGGTATTGTCTGGTTCAGCCCCCTTTACTGAGAACTTCAATCCCTAAATAGAGAAAGAAACCTTGGGGAGAGGAGACGTCAGGGGAGTAGAGAATTCTGGATGTCTTGGAAATACATGTACATATTAATAGGGGAATGGCTGCTGATTTTTTCTGGGATGTATACTGTAACTCTCTGACTTAAGTATATAGTATGAAGTGTAGCACCTTTACTGAGCTGCAGCAAATCAGGGCTATTTGTATCAAATTGCTGAATTTCTCAATTCAGAATCTCGCAAGAGATCTAACGTTAGTTTCAAGTGTTGTACTGCATGTGGTTGCAACAGGGAGTGTTTAAGCTTATGTTTTACTCTAGAAGTTGTAAAACAAGTTTTAAACATTTTCCCCCACCACTACAACCATAATCATCTCATGTTAAAAGCAGTCTGCTAGGAACCCAAAGCTGTCAACTGCATTTGGTAATTTAAACCTTTACTCTTCCATGGCTACTCTTTGCCTATTACAAAAGGCTCTGGGAGAGAAGTTGCATGTCCAAAATCAGCTTCCTTTATTCCCTCCTGGTTTGAGAGATAGCCACGAATGGATTTGAAGTAGAGTAGAAACACTTTGGCAGCTAAGTGGAGGCCAGATTTGAGGCATATGGAGGAAGATTAGAAAAGGAAAGACCAGTCAGTAGGTTTTTGTAATATGGCAAGCAAAAGGTGATGAGGACTTTGAGTACTTCAGTGGGAATATTGATTGAGAAGAAAGAAAAATTTGAAGAATTTCTAGCAAGCAAAATTGGCAGGGCTTGGTGATATATTGGAAAAGGAATGTTAAGGGAAAAGGATTACTCTAAGGTTTCTGCATTGGGTAATTGAATTATTCATTGAGTCACTAACTGAAGAAATAAATCTAGAAGGATTTAGAAGGATTAGATTTGAAAGCTAGGAATGTGTGGAAAATTATGAGTTCTAGTTTGTGCATTCTAAGTTTGAAGTGCTCATGAAACATCCAGTTGTTTACATGCAAAAGTATATGAACCTGATGCTGAGCGAGAGATGAGTGGAGATACAGGTTTAGAATTTCTCAATTTATAGATTATTAAAGCAGACTTCCCAGGGAGCGAGAAGAAGAGGCATGAGAACGGTAGTCATTTAAAGATAGAACCCTAGGAACACCTTTGAGTGAAGAGCATGTAGGGGACAAGGGAAAACTTCCCCTTTTCCTTGTGAAGATTCACTAAAAATCACTGATAAAATGCAGATTAATAGGGGAAAAAGCATACAAATATATATATATTTTTCAAAGTCTCTGGCTTTTTATTTTTATTTTATTTTATTATTATTATACTTTAAGTTTTAGGGTACATGTGCACAATGTGCAGGTTTGTTACATATGTATACATGTGCCATGTTCGTGTACAGCACCCATTAACTCGTCATTTAGCATTAGGTATATCTCCTAATGCTGTCGCTCCCCCCTCCCCCAACCCTACAACAGTCCCCAGAGTGTGATGTTCCCCTTCCTGTGTCCATGTGTTCTCGTTGTTCAATTCCCACCTATGAGTGAGAACATGTGGTGTTTGGTTTTTTGTCCTTGTGATAATTTGCTGAGAATGATGATTTCCAATTTCATCCATGTCCCTACAAAGGACATGAACTCATCGTTTTTTATGGCTGCATAGTATTCCATGGTGTATATGTGCCACATTTTCTTAATCCAGTCTATCGTTGTTGGACATTTGGGTTGGTTCCAAGTCTTTGCTATTGTGAATAGTGCAACAATAAACATACATGTGCATGTGTCTTTATAGCAGCATGATTTATAGTCCTTTGGGTATATACCCAGTAATAGGATGGCTGGGTCAAATGGTATTTCTAGTTCTAGATCCCTGAGGAATCACCACACTGACTTCCACAATGGTGGAACTAGTTTACAGTCCCAGTAACAGTGTAAAACTATTCCTATTTCTCCACATCCTCTCCAGCACCTGTTGTTTCCTGACTTTTTAATGATTGCCATTCTAACTGGTGTGAGATGGTATCTCATTGTGCTTTTGATTTGCATTTCTCTGATGGCCAGTGATAATGAGCATTTTTTCATGTGTCTTTTGGCTGCATAAATGTCTTCTTTTGAGAAGTGTCTGTTCATGTCCTTCGCCCACTTTTTGATGGGGTTGTTTGTTTTTTTCTTGTAAATTTGTTTGAGTTCATTGTAGATTCTGGATATTAGCCCTTTGTCAGATGAGTAGGTTGCGAAAATTTTCTCCCATTCTGTAGGTTGCCTGTTCACTCTGATTGTGGTTTCTTTTGCTGTGCAGAAGCTCTTTAGTTTAATTAGATCCCATTTGCCAATTTTGGCTTTTGTTGCCATTGCTTTTGGTGTTTTAGCCATGAAGTGCTTGCCCATGCCTATGTCCTGAATGGTATTGCCTAGGTTTTCTTCTAGGGTTTTTATGGTTTTAGGTCTAACATTTACGTCTTTAATCCATCTTGAATTAATTTTTGTATAAGGTGTAAGGAAGGGATCCAGTTTCAGCTTTCTACATATGGCCAGCCAGTTTTCCAAGCACCATTTATTAAATAGGGAATCCTTTCCCCATTGCTTGTTTTTGTCAGGTTTGTCAAAGATCAGATGGTTGTAGATATGAGGCATTATTTCTGAGGGCTCTGTTCTGTTCCATTGGTCTATATCTCTGTTTTGGTACCATTACCATGCCGTTTTGATTACTGTAGCCTTGTAGTATAGTTTGAAGTCAGGTAGTGTGATGCCTCCAGCTTTGTTCTTTTGGCTTAGGATTGACTTGGTGATGCGGGCTCTTTTTTGGTTCCATATGAACTTGAAAGTAGTTTTTTCTAATTCTGTGAAGAAAGTCATTGGTAGCTTGATGGGGATGGCCTTGAATCTATAAAATACCTTGGACAGTATGGCCATTTTCACAATATTGATTCTTCCTACCCATGAGTATGGAATGTTCTTCCATTTGTTTGTATCCTCTTTTATTTCGTTGAGCAGTGGTTTGTAGTTCTCCTTGAAGAGGTCCTTCCTGTCCCTTGTAAGTTGAATTCCTAGATATTTTATTCTCTTTGAAGCAATTGTGAATGGGAGTTCACTCATGATTTGACTCTCTGTTTGTCTGTTATTGGTGTATAAGAATGCTTGTGATTTTTGTACATTGATTTTGTATCCTGAGACTTTGCTGACATTGTTTATCAGCTTCAGGAAATTTTTGGCTGAGACAATGGGGTTTTCTAGATATACAATCATGTCATCTGCAAACATGGACAATTTGACTTCCTCTTTTCCTAATTGAATACCCTTTATTTCCTTCTCCTGCCTAATTGCCCTGGCCAGAACTTCCAACACTATGTTGAATAGGAGTGGTGAGACAGGGCATCCCTGTCTCGTGCCAGTTTTCAAAGGGAATGCTTCCAGTTTTTGCCCATTCAGTATGATATTGGGTGTGGGTTTGTCATAGATAGCTCTTATTATTTTGAGATACATCCCATCAATACCTAATTTATTGAGAGTTTTTAGCATGAAGGGTTGTTGAATTTTGCCAAAGGCCTTTTCTGCATTTACTGAGATAATCATGTGGTTTTTGTCTTTGGTTCTATTTATATGCTGGATTACATTTATTGATTTGCATATGTTGAACCAGCCTTGCATCCCAGGGATGAAGCCCACTTGATCATAGTGGATAAGCTTTTTGATGTGCTGCTGGATTCAGTTTGCCAGTATTTTATTGAGGATTTTTGCATCAACGTTCATCGAGGATATTGGTCTAAAATTCTCTTTTTTTGTTGTGTCTCTGCCAGGCTTTGGTATCAGGATGATGCTGGCCTCATAAAATGAGTTAGGGAAGATTCCCTCTTTTTCTATTGATTGGAATAGTTTCAGAAGGAATGGTACCAGCTCCTCCTTGTAGCTCTGGTAGAATTCAGCTGTGAATCCATCTGATCCTGGACTCTTTTTGGTTGGTAAGCTATTGATTATTGCCACAATTTCGGAGCCTGTTATTGGTCTATTCAGAGATTCAACTTCTTCCTGGTTTAGTCTTGGGAGGGTATATGTGTTGCGGAATTTATCCATTTCTTCTAGATTTTCTAGTTTATTTGCGTAGAGGTGTTTGTAGTATTCTCTGATGGTAGTTTGTATTTCTGTGGGATCGGTGGTGATATCCCCTTTATTATTTTTTATTGCATCTATTTGATTCTTCTGTCTTTTCTTTTTTATTAGTCTTGCTAGCGGTCTATCAATTTTGTTGATCTTTTCAAAAAACCACCTCCTGGATTCATTAATTTTTTATAGGGTTTTTTGTGTTTCTATTTCCTTCAGTTCTTCTCTGATTTTAGTTATTTCTTGCCTTCTGCTAGCTTTTGAATGTGTTTGCTCTTGCTTTTCTAGTTCTTTTAATTGTGATGTTAGGATGTCAATTTTGGATCTTTCCTGCTTTCTCTTGTGGGCATTTAGTGCTATAAATTTCCCTCTACACACTGCTTTGAATGTGTCCCAGAGATTCTGGTATGTTGCGTCTTTGTTCTCGTTGGTTTCAAAGAACATGTTTATTTCTGCCTTCATTTCGTTATGCACCCAGTAGTCATTCAGGAGCAGGTTGTTCAGTTTCCATGTAGTTGAGCGGTTTTGAGTGAGTTTCTTAATCCTGAGTTCTAGTTTGATTGCACTGTGGTCTGAGAGACAGTTTGTTATAATTTCTGTTCTTTTGCATTTGCTGAGGAATGCTTTACTTCTTAAAATCGGGACCCTTAATTTTTTTTTTCTCAGCAGAAATAACTGATTTATTCAACAAATATTTATAAAATACTTAACTGTTGATGAGATAGTCTTACGTGTGGGACTAACAGCAATGACAGTAAGATAAATAGCCATCTCTTCATAGAACTTGTAGTTGATATTCTTGATAAACTTTAAAATAAAGAAATTTTTATAACAAAATATGTAAATTTTTATTATTTTAATTATTGAGTTCTTACTGAAAAAAATAAGATAATACCTTTATAGTTTTATGAATTTAAATTCTGGTATTTATGAAATCATTAGAACAATAAGAAGATTAAATTAAACCAGAAAATTATTCTTAGAACATTTTCAGGAACACCTTTAGTTTTCAGATTCTTTCATTGTGAACTCATTAGTTTGCACAATTAATGAATCATCTGAACAAGTCATTTGAGAATTCTTGCCTTGATTTTATTGATGAGGAAATTGACAGAGAGAAGAACAGTGCTTTGTCCAAGGTTATCTAATGAGTTGTGTCAGACTCAAAGTCAGAATTCCTAGTTCTTGTTTCTTTCCTTATTTCAATAACACCCTAACCCCCAGGATCATCTGTAAGTGCTTGTCAACATGGTTTAATTTTATGAGATCCTAAGTCTTAAACATTAAGATGCATTTTATTATGTAGACAAAAATAAATTAGAAATTAATTAAACAGGAAGATTTCCATTTGGAGTGGTCTATTGAACTAATCTGTGTCTTTCATTTTTAGAAATATGACTTTAAATGAATATAAAATCATATAAATATATAGTAAAATCCTTTTAAAAATTGAAATTCTATAGTTAACCTCTGCATCAGACCTTATTCTTAACTAAAAGTGTTTGCCTGTGTGGTTAACTGGAATAGAATTATAAAGGTAGAATTAATTTATTGCATTTACCAATGCTAGATGAATATACACATATAGTAAAGCAGGTAATTAAATAATTCCATGCTAAAAATTGGGATTTGGGACTATAAATTACCCAATAACTACCATAATCCTCCTTCATTTGGTATATATTGACTAAACTCAAAATTTTTAGTTAATACAAAATGGGCTGTGCTGACAATAGTAAGAAATGAAGGATTGGTTCATTTTAGAAAATCTAACTTTGTGCAACACTAGAAAGATGGCGGAGCAAGAGCAAAGAAAAAATCCCTTTGTTCCAGAAAGTCTCCTGAAAAAGAGGAAAGCTTATCAAGCCCTCGAAGCCACCCAGGCAAAGCAGGCACTTTTGGCAAAGAAGGAGCAGAGGAAAGGAAAAGGGCTCAGGTTTAAGTGACTGGAATTATTCCTACATGACTCCTGGCAGCAGAAACGTGACAAAGTACGTCTCAGATGACCAGAAGTGAAACCTCATGCCTTAGAATTGCCAGATAAACATTCCTTGGCCTTTGTTGTACGCATCAAAAGGATTGATGGTGTGATTTTACTGGTGCAGAGAACCACTTCAAGACTTCGCCTAAAGAAAATGTTTAGTGGTGTCTTGGTAAAAGTCACCCCCCAGAACCTAAAAATGCCACGTATAGTGGAACGTTATGTGACCTGCGGATTTCCAAATCTGAAGTCTGTCCAGTAACTCATTTTGAAATGTGGACAAGCCAAGGTCAAGAATAAGATCGTTCTTCTGACAGACAACACAGTGATTGAGGAGCACCTGGGGAAGTTTGACATCATTTGCTTGGAAGACCTCATTCATGAAATTGCCTTCCCAGGGAATCATTTCCAGGAGATCTCATGGTTCTTGCACCCTTTCCACCTTTCAGTGGCCCGTCACGCTACCAAAAATAGAGTGGGCTTCCTCAAGGAGATGGGCACACCTGGCTATCGGGGTGAACGCATCAATCAGCTCATCTAGACCTAGGTGCCGAACAGCACTACATTTTTATCAATGAAGTGGAAGCATGTGTTTCCTTTTTTTGGGGGAATTTTTATCCAGAGAAGATTATTTCCTGCGTTATCTTCAAAAACTGGAAAGGAAGGGTCAAAAAAAAGACAGTACCTGGCCGGGCGTGATGGCTCATGCCTGTAATCCCAGAACTTTGGTAGTCTGAGGCAGGTGGATCTCCTGAGGTCGGGAGTTCGAGATCAGCCTGACCAACATGGAGAAACCCCGTCTCTACGAAAAATACAAAAATTAGCTGGGCATGGTGGCGCATGCCTGTGATCCCAACTACTCAGGAGGCTGAGGCAGGAGAATCACTTGAACCTGGGAGGCAGATGCTGCAGTGAGCCAAGATTGTGCCATTGCACTCCAGCCTGGGCAACAAAAGCGAAACTCCATCTCAAAAAAAGAAAAGAAAAGACAGTAGCTTATGTTCATGGCAAGCACCTCTCATCACAGTCCAGTTCCAAGGAAAAAATTCCAGCGTTTTCTCAAGGCTACAGAAACCAAAACAGCATGGTACTGGTACCCAAACAGATATGTAGACCAATGAAACAGAACAGAGCCCTCAGAAATAACACCACACATCTACAACCAACTGATCTTTGACAAACCTGACAAAAACAAGCAATGGGGAGAGGATTCCCTATTTAATAAATGGTGCTGGGAAAACTGGCTAGCCATATGTAGAAAGCCGAAACTGGATCCCTTCATTACACCTTATACAAAAATTAACTCAAGATGGATTAAAGACTTAAACGTAACACCTAAAACCATAAAAACCCTAGAAGAAAACCTAGGCAATACCATTCAGGACATAAGCATGGAAAAAGACTTCATGACTAAAACACCAATAGCAAGGGCAACAAAAGAAAAAACTGACAAATGGGATCTAATTCAGCTAAAGAGCTTCTGCACAGCAAAAGAAACTATCATCAGAGTGAACAGGCCACCTACAGAATGGGAGAAAAGTTTTGCAATCTACCCATCTGACAAAGGGCTAATATCCAGAATCTACAAAGAACTTAAACAAATTTACAAGAAAAAAACAACCCCATCAAAAAATGGGCAAAGGATATGAACAAACACTTCTCAAAAGAGACATTTATGCAGCCAACAAACTTATGAAAAAATGCTCATCATCACTGGTCATCAGAGAAATGCAAATCAAAACCACAATGAGATACCACCTCCAGCCAGTTAGAATGACGATCATTAAAATGTCAGGAAACAACAGATACTGGAGAGGATGTGGAGAAATAGGAACGCTTTTACGCTGTTGGTGGGAGTGTAAGTTAGTTCAACCATTGTGGAAGACAGTGTGGTGATTCCTCAAGGATCTAGAACTAGAAATACCATTTGACCCAGCAAATCCCATTCCTGGGTATATACCCAAAGGATTATAAATCATTCTGCTATAAAGACACATGCACACGTATGTTTATTGCAGCACTGTTCACAATAGCAAAGTCTTGGAACCAACACAAATGTCCATCAATGATAGACTGGATAAAGAAAATGTGGCACATATACACCATGGAATACTCTGCAGTCATAAAAAAGGGTGAGTTCATGTCCTTTGCAGGGACATGGATGAAACTGGAAACCATCATTCTCAGCAAAGTAACACAAGAAGAGAAAACCAAACACCTCATGTTTTCACTCATAAGTGGGAGTTGAACAATGAGAACACATGGACATAGGGAGGGGAACATCACACATCAAGGCCTATCGGGGGTTGGGGTCCTGGGGGAGGGATAGCATTAGGAGAAATACCTAATGTAAATGATGAGTTGATGGGTGCAGCAAACCAACATGGCACATGTATACCTATATTAGAAACCTGCACGTTGTGCACATGTACCCCAGAACTTAAAGTATAATAAAATAAAAGAAAGTTTAACTTTGTTATCATGAAATCATTTTGTAAATATTATATAATACACATTACATGTTATATATTTAATATATTTGATATATTAGTATATTGTATATGTATATAGATATAGCTGTGTATATACGTACATACTCAAATACATACAACACACAGACTAGGAAATGAAATAGGTCATGGATCAAGGAATCACCAGTTTTTAAAATCATTTTATTCACATACATATAGATGAGAAAAGTGCATACATTATACTATGAATTTTCACAAACTGAACATACTGTGGAGATGCATTTTACCTTTAACTGAAAACATTTAATTGAGAAGTTTAAAATATATTATTAAGAGATTTCAGTATATATTGAATGAAAAAAGTTTTAAAAGCCAAACTTGCTTTCTAATACTTTAAAAATGTTTTCCAGGTGTCTTTGATGTTATTTTCAACAAAAGAAATATATGCATTTTCCAAAGTCATGAGATGAGGCATCTTTCTCTTGCTCTTGACAATGGCATTGTCACTGGAATGGTGTGTAGTAAATTTTCTTTTTGCCATATATCAATAGTATTATGTCTGTATATTTTTTTGTATAAGATACATTTATAAGATTACCATTTCCTTTTGGCTTGTACTAGCACTTTTTTCATTCTGTTTTGTTTCACTAATTGTTGAGACTGTGATGCATAAATGGTTCCAAATTTCAGCAATTGGAATTTAGACAAGAAAAAGTAGACCAATTCTCTAATAACATTCAAAATTTTAATGAGCTTTCAAAAGAAGACTGACTTCTCAATGGCCCTTTTAGGGACCATATTGTTGGAGAAAAAACAATAATTTTTTATAGTTATACCTTGTGTTGCTTAGTTTAGATTTGAAAAGTAGCATTTAATGTAATGCATACATGTTATTTATTTTTTAAAATAATACATTGTACGATAACTTTAATGCACTGTTTTAAGTGCTTAATATGTATTACAATATTTCATTCTTAAATCTACTAGATGAGATAATCCATTATTATTTGTATTTAACAGAAGAGGAACATGAAAAATAGGATTAAGTGAGTTGCACAGAGTCACAAGCTAGTAAGTGTGGAAGCAGGAATTTAATATAGGCAGTCTGACACTAACACCAGTGCTACAGCTTCCTCATATAATGCTATACAATAATTTTTTTTTTTTTTGAGACAAGGTCTTGCTCTGTTACCCAGGCTAGAGGGCAGTTGGCATGATCAGAACTCACTGCAGCCTCGAATTCCTGGGCTCAAGCATTCTTCCTGCCTCAGCCTCCCAAAATACTGGCATTACAGGCTGATTTCAACTCATGGGATGTTATTTAACCTAAGGGAAAATAATACTTATTGAAAAAAAAACCCACCTTGTGTATTTGTATGCCTGAAATTCTGACTAAGTGATCAGTCAGTCAGATTTTTCCATGAAGCCTTTTCTTCTCTGCTCTGGACTTCATAAGGTACCCTACACTGTAGTTCATAGCACATTCTGATCAGTATGGAGCCTGGTCATAGTATATGCTTAAGAAATATGACTATGGATATGGAATCTACTCCATTGAATTAAGAGTTGAAGAAATATCTCTTCAACTACTATATTTTTCTAAAATCAAATTAAGGCTACCTTAAAGCCCTTATTCCACTAGGTTGCAGTAGGTTGGTGGGAGATTTCATTTTAGTTACTATGGGACTCATCTTGTTTCACAGAAGATTTCATCTGGTATGGTGGGCCTCAGAATATCTGGTGACAGCTGTCATAGCTTTGAACCACACTGGTTACTGAGATGTGCTCATCCAGTGTCAGATGGTTTCTTGCAGATCAATAGCTCTGCCGCCTCCCTGCCATACTTGGGCAATAGAACTTTGCTGAGGTTGATAGACTTAGTGTTTTGGATCTAGCCATTCAAGAGGCACCAACGACTTTTCCTCTTCACACCCTACTGCCTCCCTGGGGAACTAGAGGGAGATGGGGTGAGACCTAAAACGCTGTCCTGAACAATAGTCATGTCTCAATGTAGCATAACCTTCTCAATTTGTTTCATTTTTGAAAGCAAAATTTAGGAATGAGATAAAATTTCTATCGATTTCAGTTTTTAGTCCCAAATACTCTTAAATTAGGAGGACACAAATGAGAAAATGAAAAAAAATGATAAGATACATATTAGGATCTTATTAAATTATCCTGCCAATGAAGTTATTTTTCCAACATTCTTCCATGGATTCTGAGAAATCAAGAGAAGGAAGTCATTGGAGCAAGTCATTGGAATTAAGTCTGGGGAATAAAACCTACTGAATTTCAAAATCATGAGATTTTATAAATAGTACAAAGTTTCCATAAAATGAAGTAGACACCTGTATATGTATATAATGTGATTACATTAAATTTTTTTTTTCTGTTACTAATTTAGAGGGTTTTTTTGTTTTTCCTTTTAGGTTAGTGGTGAAGCCACCACTGAGCTGCGGGTGCTTTATCAGCCTAACCGCTGTGCACTTCTTGAGTCGGCACTGGTTCCTGGTCACACAGTTGTTTTTGATCGTCATGGCAAAATAGCTGATGCATCATCAGCAGGCTATGCAAATCTTTCAAAAGAATTTGTGATTTTTGTCAAGGTAAAATGGAGAAAGTTATTAAAGTTTATATTGCTAAATCCCAACTTTCTTTTGCCCTATTGAGCAAAAGTCTTAAATTGAGTCATAATGCAGTAATCGAATCACTTCCCACTAGGTGGCATTGGTGCCTATTTCCATTCTGTTTGGCAGACTTTGAAAGGCAATAGAGATGACAGCTTTAGTAGCAATGACACTCTGAGGGGATTAATATCCTGTATGTAATTGAAGTTGGAGATTTAACTATGGATGTGGGAATTCTTAATAAAAAGTTAGAGAACCTTGCATTTGGGAGTCAAATGTGTATATTGAACTTTTCTAACAATTAGAATTTATACTCTTTGAGTGTTGTATACATTTGATCCTTTCATAATGCTTATTCTTTTTTCTTTATGTGTTTGTGAATCTATCTTAAAATGATATTATATAAATATAATAGCAATTATTTATGAGGTTTCCCATTTTATTCCAGGCATTTATTGAGAATTTCACCACACGGTGAGACTAAATTTAATCATCACAAAAACACTGACAAATGCTATCTGTATTTGAAACGCGAAGGAAAAGATTTTCACTAAAAATAATTATCTTAACTAGTATAGCATAGTTATTAAATCAATATTCAGCTAAAGTCTACTTATATTTAAAACCTCAAAGATATTGTAGGTTCATTTCTAGACCATTGCAATAAAGCAGATTTCTCAATAAAGCTAGTCACACAAATTCCTGAGTTTTCCAGTGCCTGTAAAAGTTATGTTTACTACACTGTAGTCTATTAAGTGTACAACAGCATTATGTCTAAAAAATGTACATACCTTAATTTAAAAATATTTTAGTGCTAAAAAATGTTAATGATCATCTGAGCCTTCAGCAAGTTGTAATCTTTTTGCTGTAGCGGGGGGTCTTGCCTCGATATTGACAGTTGCTGATGAATCAGGGTGGTGGTTGCTGCAGATTGGGGTGGCTGTGTCAGTTTCTTAAAATAAGACAACAATGAAGTTTGCCACAGTGATTGACTCATTCTTTCATGAAAGATTTCTCTATAGCATGCAATGTTGTTTGATAGCATTTTATCCATAGTAGAACTTTTCAAAATTAGTATAAATCCTCTCGAGCTGCTGCTGCTTTATCAACTGAGTTTATTTAATAGTCTGAATCATTTGTTGTCATTTTAACAATGTTCACAGTATCTTCATCAGGAGTTTATTCTGTTTCAACAAATTACATTCTTTGCTCATCCATAAGAAGTAATCTTTCATCTGTTCAATTTTATCATGAGATTGCAGCAATTCAGTCACAACTTCAAGCTCCACTTCTCATTCTAGCTCCTTTGCTATTTCTACCACATCTGCAGTTATTTCCTCCTCCAAAGTCTTGAACCACTCAAAATCGTTCACGAGGTTTCAAATCAAATTCTTTCAAACTCCTGTTAATGTTGAGATTTTGACCTCCTATCCCCATGAATCATAGTTGTTCTTAATGGCATCTAGAATGGTGAATCTTTTCCAAAAGGTATTCAGTGTACTTTGCCCACAGCCATCAGTGAAATCACTGTCTATGGCAGCTATAGTATTAGGAAATGTATTTCTTAAATAATAAGGCTTGAAAATTGAAATTACTTCTTGATCCATAGGCTACAGAATGGATATTGTGTTAGCAGGCATGAAAATAACATTAATCTCCTTGTACGTGTCCATCAGAGCTCTTGGGTGACCAGGTACATTGTCAATGAATAGTTATATTTTAAATTGTTTTTCTTCTGAGCAGTAGGTCTCAACAGTGGGCTGAAAATACTCAGTAAACGATGCTGTAAATAGATATGCTGTCCTTCAGGCTTCATTTTTCCATTTCTAGAGCACAGGTAGAGTAGATTTAGTATAATTCCAAAGGGCCCTTGGGTTTTTGGAATGGTAAATGGGCACTGGCTTCAACTGAAAGTCACCAACTGCATTAGCCCTTAACAAGAGAGTCAACTTATCCTTTGAAGCTTTGAAGCCAGGCAATGAATTCTCCTCTCTAGCTATGAAAGTCATGTGTGGCATCTTCTTCTAATAGAAGGCTGTTTTATTTACACTGAAAATCTGTTGATAATCTCATCAATTATCTTAACTAGATCTTCTGGGTAACTTGCTACAGCTTCTCCATCAGTACTTGCTGCTTTACCTTGCACTGTTATGTTACGAAGATGGCTTCTTTCCTTAAACTTCATCAACCAACCTCTGCTAGCTTCAACCTTTTCTCCTGAAGCTTCCTCACCTCTCTCAGCCTTCATAGAATTGTAGAGAGTTAGGGCCTTGCTCTTGGGGTTAGGCTTTGGCTAAGGGAACATTGTGGTTGGTTTTGGTCTTATATCCAGGCCACTAAAACTTTCCCCATATCAGCAATAAGGCTGTTTAAGTTTCTTATTATTCATGTGTTCACTGGAGTAGCATTTCTGATCTGCTTCAAGAACTTTTCCTTTGCATTCACAACATGGCTACCTTACACAAGGGGCCTAGCTTTAGATCTGCCTCAGCTTTTGACAGATCTTCCTCGCTAAGCTCAGTCATTTCTAGCTTTTGATTTAAAGCAGGAGATATGTGACTCTTCCTTTCATTTGAACACTTAGAGGCCATTATAGGGTTATTGATTAGACTAATTTCAATATTGTTGTGTCTGAGGGAATAGAGAGGCGAGAGAGAGATAGGGGAATGACTGGTTAGTGGAGCCATTCAGAACACACACAGCATTTGTTGATTAAGTTCACTGTCTTATATGAGCATAGTTTATGTCCCCCTAAAATAATTACGATAGTTAACATCAAAGATCACTGATCACAGATCACCATAACAGTTATCATAATAATGAAAAGCTTGAAATATTGTGATAATTACCAAAATGTGGCACAGAGACATGAAGTGAACACATGCTGTTGGAAAAATAGTACTGATAGACTTGCTTGATGTAGGGTTCTCACAAACCTTCAATTTAAGAAAAATTATCTGTGAAGCAAATAAAGTGAAGCACAATTAAGTGAAGTGCAAATAAACAAGGTATGTGTGTACTTACAGTATAATAAACACTTTCTCACATTACTATTTCTCCCAAAGCAACATAATTTTAACTCATACATCTCATGTTATTTAGCTTAAGGTTGAACTTAAGGTTAATGGTTTCATAATACTCAAATGTAACTATTACATGTATACACACACACACATATGTCTTTTTTGTTGTTGAACATTTAATCTCTCTCTTTTCCCACTTCTGCATATGATACTGTAATATATACTTTGACATATGCCTTTGACCACATCATTTATTATTTTCTTAGCTTAGAAAATTAAAAATTGAACTTAAGGGTTAGAACGTGAAACTTTTAAGGCTCTGGGAACATACTGCCAAATTTATTTCTTCAGATGTCCCAATTTTTACTCCTGTGAAAGTTAAGCCAACTATAAAGTTAGGGGGAACAGTCTATAATACTATCCTCACTTCTGACATCAACCACAGAGTTTGGGGGACCCCGAGACCACTATCAAGGCTTGATAATTCACCGGAAGAACTCACAGAACCCATTGAAAATTGTTATACTCAAAGTTACAGTTTATTATAGAGAAAGGATACAGATTAAAATTGGCTAAGCAAAGAGACACATAAGGCAGAGTCTAGGAAAAGCACCAAACATGGAATGTGCACTGGTTCTCTCCCCATGGAGTCAAGGCAGAGGTACTTTCTCAGCACTGGTGTGTGACAGTATGCATGGAGTATTGCCAGCCAAGGAAGCTTCCCGAGCCTTGGTATTCAGAGTCTTTATTGGGCTTCCATCCTGTAGTGAGTCCATGTGGCTGGTCTCAGTCTCCAGCCTCTCAGGAGGTCACTTAACACTTTCTGACTCAAAGCCCCCTACCCTAAGTCACATTATTACTATCTGGCTGACCCAAGCTCTGCAGGCAAACAACAACACTCCTATCAGGCATGACACTCCAAGGGTAAAGAGATTACCACTCAGAAGCTGAGGCGAAGGTCAGACTTCTCTGGGTAAAGTTAAATTCTTAGTACCCAACTAGTTTCAGCAGTGTAGGAAAACACCCACCTCACTGACCTCAGTGTTGTTGAGTATGGTCCTTAAGGAGAAGAACTTTGACAATTTTCTAGAGGAACAGATATCCAATTTTAGCTTTTTTTTTTTTTTGTATTACTAGCATGGATTACTTTTCCTTATGTTTGTTCACCATTTGTATTTTATCTTTTGTGATTTGTGTATTTATCTATTATCAGTTTTACTGTGTTAGTGTATTTCTAATTAACTCTCAAGAGTCTTTTATATCTTCCTCTTAAATTAATGATTACATAGGATTTTCTTAAATATATCTTATTTGTATTTGATATCTTTTTACATTCATTCCTATATGCATACATTTAAATATCCATAGAGAGTATTCCATAATTCAGTTACTCTTATAGCATATTTTTATTGTGCTTTATATTAATATTAACATTATTTGTTTAAGGTGATAGTAAATTCCTTAAGAGAAATATATGTGTTTTGTATCTTTTAAAAATCTCTGTAGCATCTCATGCTGGCCTTTATACTGTCAACAAATGATAACTGAAGTAAACCAACCTCCTTTTGTTTACTTTTGCATAGCAGTGACATTGTTTACTTCTTTTGCTCGTTTTCAGCCACCAAGCCTCCTGGTCACTATGGCTTCAGTAAGAGAATTGCCTCTATAGTTGTCTCCCTCTAGCAAAACACGAGCCCGTTACTGACTGCCTTTCTGTTCTGTTTGTTGCTCTGAAGGGGGTGTTCCTCAACAGTGCTGTGGTTCTGCTTGCTACAAGCCTGTGTCAGGCCCTGTGTCTCCAGCCTGATGGAAGCTGCACTGGAGTGGGAAGCCAGTCTGAAAAATCCTACTGGAAAGTGCATAAAATCAGCTCTGGGATTTGCATGTTTGAAAGTGTGAAAAATGCACAAATGTATCTAAGAATCAAGGATGGCCGATGCGATGGAACAGTAAGCATCTGCTCTTGTTTCTCTCAGCAAATGTTTAAGACATTTGCCAGTTGTAGACATGAGAATAGCACTTTCTGAGTGGGTTTTGGAAATTGAATGTTACATGTGGTGGTCTCCCTTGACTGGTATTTTTAATAAGTGAGGAGAGCAGCCACATGCCTGGTATGATAAGAGAGGAATCCTGACCCTCTAGATAGGGCCTCTGAAATGTAATGTATGTACAAATCACCTGGGAATTGTGTTAGGAAGTAGATTCTGATTGAGGAAGGCTGGCGTGGGACCTGAGTGTTTACGTTTCTAACAAGCTCTCAGCTGTGGCTGCTGATGCTGGTCCATGAATGATGCTTTGAGAACCAAGGTTCTAGAAAGGCCAGCTCAACAGTGTCTCCTTACTGCTCCTTTTGGTGCCTGAATTTCCACCACTGGAAACCCTGTACTTGACTAGGAAGCTATTTTAAATTCTAAATATTAGGGGTTTTTCTTTTTGTATTTTTATTTTTAGAGACAGAGTCTCACTCTGTCACCCAGGCTGGAGTGCAGTCATGCAATCTCGGCTCACAGCAGCTCAGGTGATCCTCCTGCCTCAGTCTCCTGAGTAGCTGTGACTACAGGCGCATGCCACCATGCCCTGCTGATTTTTGTACTTTTTGTAGAGAGAGGGTCTCGCCATGTTGCCCAGGCTGGTCTCCAATGTCTAGGCTCAAGAGATCCACTGCCTTGGCCTCCCAAAGTGCTGGAATTATAGGCCTAAGACACTGTGCCCAGACAGGGGTTTTTCTTTAACACCTTGAGCCTTAGGAGGGGATGTGGAAGACAACTAACATAACAGTTTATATATATTCATAATTCTTCTGTGGGGTGAGGAACAAGTAAGATTGCACATTTAACCTCCCTGTTAATGCTCTCCATCTATTATTGTTTAAAATAGTTTAGTTTAAATTAGATCTTCTGAATAAATTCTGAGGTCCGCCCTCTCCCTTCTTACCAGTCATGATGTCTAGCTATAAGGAAGAACTTGCATGAGCTTCTTGGGGTATGAGGAGGGAGGACTTTGACCTTTCATGGTTCCCAGGGTCCCTGTCGGTGCTGCAGACTGGTGAGTTTGTGTCAGGTGAGCTGCACTGATGCTCACAATGCAAAGGCGAAGCACATGCACATACACACGTGTAGTTAATATCCCTGATCTACCCACAAGTGCATAATGAAGTAGATTTTATCACCATTTCACAGAAGAGGAAGCCAAGCTTAAGAGACAAACTCATGCTTGTAGTCTTTACACTGGTAAGTGGACTAATTGGGATAAAAATGAGTAACATTATTACTATGACTAGACTAGTTAGAAGTACAATTTCATCTAATGTTCAGTTACCCCCTAGGACAGAGTGTCCTGGGAGGAAATCAGTAAGTAGCCTTCCTATCCTCAACATTCACAAGTTATACAAGCCTTTCCCTTCTGGGGCTCGCAGGAGTGTTCAGAACCATGAGATAATGTGTCACTATGTAATACATGCTTTTGTGTTTGTGTTTGGAAGTTGCTGGGCAGAGTTTCTAGAGGCACAGGTAAGTGTCACTCCAAAGTGGGAAATGGGTCAACATTGGAAATGTTTATCTTCCCCGGGTAGTAACCAAAGGGATAGCTCAGTGGTTGCTCACTTTCTATTTAGCTGCCTCATACTCTAGCTGAATGGTGATTTCTGGTTTTTTTTTTTTTTCTTTTTTGAGACATAGTCTCACTCTGTTGCCCAGGCTAGAGTGCAGTGGCGCAATCTCGGCTCACTGCAAGCTCCGCCTCCTGGGTTCATGCCATTCTCCTGCCTCAATCTCCAGAGTAGGGACTACAGGTGCCTGCCACCATGCCCAGCTAAATTTTTGTGTTTGTATTTTTAGTAGAGACGGTGTTTCACCGTGTTAGCCAGGATGGTCTCGATCTTCTGACCTCGTGATCCACCTGCCTCAACCTCCCAAAGTGCTGGGATTACAGGCGTGAGCCACTGAGCCCAGCTGAATGGTGATTTCTTGGTTCTTCACTTCCAGCCTGTATGCCTCTCTCTGACTCTTCCATTTTTTTTTTTTTTCTCAGTGTGCTGGTTATCTTTTTCTTCCCAGTGAGTAAACTTCCTCTGTAAGTTTTTAGCAGAATCTTTTTGTCCTACACTTAATATTCATGCTTTTTCTTCCTATTTGTGCTATGGGTGACTCAGCTCTATCTGATGGGGCTGAGGGACTGGAAGAAGTCCTTGGCATTCAATTGAAAGAATCTGGTGATCACAGGAAGTTGGATGGAGTTGTACAGATTAAAACACAGAAGTATTATCCTGCCACAAAGAAACTATTGGCATGCTCATTCTTCAGATGCTGAAGCTGAGTGTGAGCCTGGTTAAGTATCTCACCCAGAGTCCCCAGGTAGCCTTAGAGCTGAGGCTTTGTCCAGGTTTGCCCACTTCCTAAGGCCCCATTGTGGAGGACTGAGAATAACAGGATGGAGAAACTGGTTTTCCCCCATGAGGAGACCAGAGTCAGGATACATGAGGCAGAGGTGATTCTAAACACAAAACCAAAGTTTTCTTTAGAAATTTCCCAAGAACCAGCCTTGTTGACAGCATGTCAGGTGAGTGAGTGGCTCTGAAATGGGTGGGAGAACACTCTGTGCCATGCCAGCCTACGTTGTGCTGCTTTGCATCAATGTTGGAAGCCCCTTCTGTTTTCCCTTCCTGAAGGGCTTCACAGGATGAAATGCCAGGTTCAGGACTTCTGTGTATGTTGGAAGGCAATCATGCTGAGCTGAGCTGAGCTGAGGCAGGCAATCATGCACTGGAGTTTCAAACCCAAGTATCACTTCTTCTTAGAGATATTTCACAATTTGAAAAAAGCCAGAGGCATTTATTCTGTTTGCTTTGGGGAAGAGATAGCCAAAATGGAGAACCCAGTGAAATTGATTGATAAAGGTGAAAGAGCATAAATGAGTTGGTTACACAGAATTTGATATACAGAACATTAAAATAAGAAATATTGCACATAAGGCAGAGATTCTCTAGGCCTTTTGGAGATAAGCACACCATAGCTAGGTTACATGAGCCTTGTCCAGAGGGTTAAGGTCACTCCTCTGAGGCCTCTGAAGGCAACACATGTGTGTAAAGTAGTAGCTAAATGCAAAAAACACTGGTAAGGGGAGCTGTGTAAAGGGGCAAACCAGAAATAACAGGTCCATATATGCTGGGGTGTTACTCAAAATACTGTATTTAACAAGCAGTTTGGTACACTGAAACTCCTGGAGTGCAACCTTCAGGACAAGCAAGGAGCAAGGATCCTTGAAGGTCCAAGATGTGGATGAGGTATTGGCTGGCCATGCCATCAGGGCCCCATGTTTTTGTGCTGGGATCCAGGCCCTGACGCCTAACCCTGGCAGTGGGCTGTGACCTCTAGGGGTTCTCCCATTCTAGGGCAACCAGAACATGAGGGAGACACAAGGGGGCTTAGACGATGGCTATTCATCATCCAATATGAAAATATTGATGCAGGATATTTTCTTGACCCCTTTGCAGGTCTTGCAACAGGGGTGCCCATTTTACTTAGCCTGCCCCGCTCAACCCTTCATGGGAGGGAGCACGCGAGCAAACAAGTGCAGGCACTGGAGCAAGTGAGTGCAAAAACTGGCCAGCTGCTTTAGCACCAGCAGGAGCAAACTCTGTGCAGGCCCCATGGCAGCATCCAGATGGGGGTGCCTGCAACCCCAAGGTCCCAGAAGGGGTGTGTTACAATGCTCTGTTAGTCCCACCGTCTGTAGACAGCAGTGTGTTATCAGTTCTGTGGGCCCTTTGCCTCGTTGTGTAGGGCAGCTGCCCTCCACTGGTGAGGGCAAAGGGCCAGTGTGACAGCCTTTTTGGCTACCCGCACTTGGTGCATCCTGAATTTTTGTCCACCACCCAAGAAGAATGAGGTCACATGGACAAATTGAAGGATGGTGAATGTGGAGAATTTTATTGAGCAATGAAAGTCGCTGTCAGCGGAGAGGGGAGCTGGAAAAAGGATGGGAAGGGCAGGTCACTCTACCCTGAAGTTAAGCCACCTCTGCCTCATCCAGCCGCTGTCTCTGAAGTCAAGTTGCCTCTCCCTGATGTCCAGCTGCTTATCCTCTCTACCGACTGAGTCTGGGTCTTTATAGGCACAGGATGGGGAGGTGGGGCAGGCCATAGGTAGTTTTGGAAAAGGCAACATTCGACTGGTAAAAAGACATTATTCAGAAAGAAACAATCAGGAGAGAGCCGACACACAAGGATGGAAGTTTTCACTTTGGGCTGTGGGTTTCAGGCTTTTCACCTCAAAGGTGGAGTTTTGCCAGGGGCCACTCCTGTCTGCCTAGCGTTTCTCTGACTCCTGTTGCTGTCAATATTACAGTATTTAAAAAATGTATCTGGCTCTACCAATGTGTATCAGTTCAGTGTCAATCCCCAGAATAAGGTGAGGTGAGTGTAATCCTTGAGGATTACAGAGAAAATACTGTTACTATGTTTTTTTAATAGACATTTGTAAAAATCTTTAGCTTAACGTTAAGGTTTTGAAGATCTTCCTGGCCTACATCATACTGTACATCGGTAACTTTTGCCCTTCTGCCTCCTAAACTCAGAGGCTCAGAGGCTCAAACATTCTCTAGAGGTTTCTAGCTTCCTATTATTTCTGTTAAAAATTCCAATCCTGTTCTTGGAAGATTATTGCATTGGAAAGTTATTGCTAAAAGATTTGAAATTTTACACAGCCTGTCCATAAAGCCAGAAGCTCTTGAATACTCTGTAAATCATAGGAAAGTGTGGCACTGCTTTGGCCAGTGGTGAATTCCCTGATACTATAACCAGATCAGCAAGACAAAGGGAGGAGGCTGACTGTATTTTTAGTGTCTAACTGCATTCCAAGGCTGAGCGAGCGCTCTTAGGTTTGTAGTAACGCCTCCTAACCCTAAGCTCACACAGCAACCAATTAGGAAAGCAAACACCTGCAGCAGGTCTTCACCTAAAACTGACCCATGTAAATGATCTTATGACTCCTTTTGTGTAGTTATTAAAAGATTTGCCAGGGATGGAGAGTTTCTTTTCTAAATTTAATGATTGTAAATGTAGGAGACAAAACATGATTTTTTTTTTTCACCCATTGCAAGCTTCCCGGCTGAGACCCATAACAAAAAAACAGATTAATAAGAGAAAAGCATACAAATTCACTTCAATAAGTTCTGTGTAGCTCAGGAGGCTTAAGAAATGATCCAAAGACCTAGGGAAAACTTTGTAATTTTATAGATACTTATGCAGAAGTATAATTGGAGAACCAAAGGGTATGATCTAATGGTAATGAACTGTGGGGAACTTAGTAAGGCCTGTCCAGGTTTTTCTTGGAGTCACTGTGTGATATTTCTTTCCTCCAGGTATGAAGTAAGACACCTGTCACATGAAGATCTTTAGGGGAAACAAGGAGAGGGAAGGTCAGAGAGGTGACCTTTCCAGGTTTTGTGGGCTGGTTCCTGGGAGAAGAAGCAAGAGGAATTCTAGTTTCTGTGGCCTACATCGGGAGAGACAGGGGAGAGGGAATTTCAGTTTCTATGGCCCACTTCAGGAGAGAGTGGGCTGGAGAGGGTCTGGGAGACCGTCCTGCTTCCACAGTTTTCTCATTTCCTTCAGCTTAAAATACTCACTGTGCCAAGATGCCATATTTTAGGGTAGTGTTTCCTGCATTCCATCATAAGTATCAGGCCTGGTCCAGAGCTGTGGTGTCCTAGCTCTTCACTGGGATTGGCCCCTTGAGTGTGGCTTCTCACACATGCTGTCACTGAACATCAGGGTTCTCCTGTGGGTCACCAGTTGTTTTGTGCATTAACAATATGTCATTAGCAGAGGCCTAAAGGAGCACTCTGAGCCTACCTCCTGATGGTGTCTGCCACTCAGAAAATATTGATTTTTAACCTTTACTCTGGTACTTTTATAGAGAAGAGCCTCCACAGAAAACTCCTCATTTATGTTTTACTTCTGCTACTTCCATTGTAGTGTTTTCTTTGACTTGTTTAATGACTCATTGATTTCGTTGTCTTACTTTAAAATTCTCCATCTCAAATTTTGGTAGTGAGTCATTTTACTCAAAATGCCTGTGCTTCCTTGTTCTTAAGAAATAGTATTGATACATAACAACGAAGCATATTATTTTTCACTTTCATTATATCTGACTAAGAACCACTAGACTGGAATGACATTACCCTTGAAAACAGAATGAAAACAGTCCTCTTAATTACCCTAGTTTGCGTATGTTTAGAGGCTATGGTAAGGCATGCTTATAATCTCCAAAGGGATTTAAGATGCATTCAAAGGTAAATGGTAATGCATGGTCATGTTACTATACCTTAAAAACCCAACAGTGCCTCAGTCCTGGTAGCTACTCAAGAAATGCTTTTTTTTTTTTGTACTAAATTGAATTGAATAAAAACATTAATGGTTCCAACATGTCTGCTGTTGTAAATTTGGAAACATTTTTATAGGCAAATACACTTACATTTAAATAAAGTGACACTGATCCTATAACAAATATTTCTGTTTCTGTTACCATGAAATTTTTATCTTGTATAAGTAAATCACCTTAATAGATTTGATGTAATCGAAATTCAGGTTAGTAACAAACAGCAGGCCGTTCATAGGGACATTTGTAAGGGTGTTAATTTAAAGAAGAAAAATAAACTTTAAAATAACATGGGTGGAACTCACTAAGCATGAATACAAAGGAAAAAAAGATGTAGGAATTGTAGGAAAAATAAGCTCAAGTGTGATCACTGTAACCAAGATATGCACACAGACATACCCCACACTGGCAGGATACTTGTCTATGGGCAAGAGTTTAGTTTGTAGAAACTAGGAAAGATTCTCTCATTGTGGATTTGTCTAATTTTGCCTCTTCATTCAAAGTATATTCTACGCATGCAAATTAAAAAATTAAAGGTAATTCATATTTATAAGAAGTTGAAATATAAAAACACATGAAAGCATATAGATGAAGTTAGGTTTACACGGTGCTAGACCAGTGGGTTGGAAAGTATAAAATTCAGTGAAAGTCTTAGTTTTATGTAAAAATTATAAATCGTGTTTTACCTAATCAAAAAATTTAAAAAACTTGATCTGAATAAAATTGTGTTTACATACATAGCTACATGCAAGATAAATTATTTTGTTTGAATTTTCTAAAAAATGGTCTTACATTTCACTATTACTGAAATTGCCTTTGCAAAAATTATGTTAGTGGGAAAAATCTGACGTAGGAAAATTATGGCAGTGAAAGAAATTTGACCTAACAGATTCCATCTTGCTTCTAACCTGCAAACTGTCTTCCTCCATGTCCTGGGTTCAGGTGATTCTCCTGCCTCAGCTTCCCGAGTAGCTGGGGTTACAGATGCCCACCACCACGCCCAGCTAATTTTTGTATTTTTAGTAGATACGGGGTTTCACCATGTTGTCCAGGATGGTCTCAAACTGCTGATCTCAGGTGATCCACCTGCCTCAGCCTCCCAAAGTGCTGGGATTACAGGCGTGAGCCACCGCACCCAGCCTGTAGTTTAACTTAGAAACAAAGATAATAACAGTCCCTCTCTGTAACAAACCCCTTCCTTGTTTAGGCACCAGACAGACTTGGTAAAACTAACAAATTAGCCACAAGATTAAAAATTATGGCTCAGGAGTCATGCAGCCAGACTCCAGACCTTTCCAATTGTTCCTATGGATAACATCACTATTGTAAAATCTAAGATTGGAGTTTGGGGTATTTTTCAGACCCTGCATTCTGATGGACCAGCTGGTGCCACCCACACTAGTAAACTGGCTCAACTAATTATGTGTCACCCACCCAGGAACTGAAGACAGCAAGAAGACAGCTTCAGCTCCCTATGATTTCATCCCTGACCCAACCAATCAGCAGCATTCCCCACTCTCTAGCCTCGTGCCTGCCAAACTGTCTTTAAAAACCCTGGCCTCCAAAAATTTGGGGGAGGTTAATCTGAGTAATAATAAAACTCCAGTCTCCCATTTAGCCTGCTCTGCATGCATTAAACTCATTCTCTGTTGCAATTCCTCCATCTTCATAAACTAGCTGTATCTGGGCAGCTGGCAAGATGAACTTGTCAGTGGTGACTTTGTTGTAGATCACAGTCTATGTATTTAATCTTTACAGCATGAAAGAGATTTGAAGAATATACAGTGGGCCTTAAGGACAGCAACAAAGATTTCCCCTATCAGGGGCAAATAGCCTTTAAGAAAGGAATAAATTGCTGAGTGATTCATCTTGGAAAAGAGAAGGCATAATAATACTCCAGTGTGTAGAATGTATACTACTAGGATGTGGGCACCACAGTGGGGAGAGTTTTGTTTGCTTTGTTTATTGAAATATCCCAAACTGTACAGCAAGAACTGACGTTTTGGTAAGTGCTTGACAAATATTAAGTATGAAAAGTTAAAATATCACTTGGGTGATGGTAACTAGGAGTTGTTCTACTGCAACAGAGCCAAATAGAGGGAAATGGGCATTAGATGTTATGGTAGCTTGCAGTGGTGTGAGCATGCATCAGATATTCTAACCTGGCTATGTCTAGTTGCTGTTTGCTGCAGATGTGTAGGAAGGCGCACCTTTTGCAGTCAGAACTCATGTTTTATTTCCCATCTACATCTCTTTAATCAGTTTGTATTTGAGTTAGGGATGAAGCAGAGATTTTTAAATGAAAGCAGGAAAGAGGAAATAAAGGAAACTAAAGGTTTATTGTTTTGAAATGTAGTTATATTCAATTTTTATTATTTTCACTAATTATACTTAGTGGAGGTTAAAAATACCATTCCTTCAGGCACTGTTAGAGGGGACAAATACGCATACCACATTGATCTGGAGAACAATAGTTAATTGGTAATCCCTTTCAAGTTGTGGTTCAGGTGTTTCTGCGAAGGCTCAGGAGAGGCAGGTTGATTTGAGCAGAGTGGGTGAGTAGAAGTTTCCTAGAATGGTGAATTTTAGAGCAAGAGAATAATTCCACTTTTCTTTATCAAAGAGAGGAGAGGACATTACATGAACAAATTATGAGATTAGAAATTAGTAAAAAGAAATTTAGAGTTAACAGATACTGAGTTTCTACTGAAATGCAGAAACTGCTCGTCACTAGTGCTACAGTAGATATACTAAGACATGCTCCCTGCTCTCAGGAAACTTGTGATTTAAAAGGGGAAAAGAAGAACGTAAACAGACAAATACGCCATAGTGTGCAAAGTTCAATACCAGAAGTAAGTACCAAGTTCAGTGTTGGTTTGGAAATTTTCTATTGTGTAAGTCATGAGCAATTCCTTGAGATCTTTAATGTAAAATGACATTGATTTTTAATACGTTATCTGTTCTAAGTTTGGGGAGATAGTGGTTTGGGAATGATATTCAAGTTCATAAATCTGGCCTCACTGTGGAAGATGTGCTAGTTTATTGAGAACCGGAAGTTTGGAAGAGTAGCTACGAGATTACTATAATGAAACACAGTTTGGCTGAAAAGCCCATAATTTATCTAAAGTGCACTAGTAATCCTAGTATGTTCCAGTGTGCTTAGTTTGACTGATGGATTTCTTTTTTTCTGTCAGAATATGCTTGTATATCTTGGTTTCTATCTAGTTGAAAGATTAGTCCTTTACAGGTCAATAATAATTTTTTTAAATTATTTATTCTTTTTTTCTCCTTTCCCTCATCCTTGTTTGATATCTTGGTACAAAGACTTAAAAAAAAATCATGGAAAAAGGCCACGGGACATAGACCATTCTTGAGGTCCACACTGGTCTTTACTGAAGTGTGGCTGATTTGGTTTGTCCCTGAATGTGGATATACCAATTGTGTTTAATTTCAAATATGACTGATATTATAATCAGAGCATTTTGGGCAACATAGGGCTTGAGAGTCTTGCATAACCTCTGGTCTTAATGGTCCTAACTCAGTGGGCAGCTTGTAGCAAATCCAGCCCTCTCCCAGATCTCCAGTCCTCTCAATAATTGAGTCTGCCATTAAGGCATGGGATAACTTCTAGATCTCCTGATGTCTCCATGTGAGCTGCGGAGAAGCTAGGAAGCTGTATCAGTGTTACTTTCTCAGACTCCCTCCTTGAGCATTTCTAATCCATCTTCTGGATGTCCCCATGTTGCTCTAGTACTATGCTAAACACTGGGATACTCTAAGGGGAGTGTGTAAGTTTCCTGGGATAGCCCCTCAGCTGTTGAGATTCTCTCCCAAAATATATGGATGATTCTAATGCCCCTTATTTCTTTGCTACACCAAGAATCAACTCCAAGTGGAGTTGTCTCTCTTCTAGTCATTTGTCCCAGGCCCCTCCTTTCAGAATCGGATGCACCTCTCTTCTTGTGGGGTGGCAGTTTTCTCTATGTAATATATGGTATCTACCTTTTCAGTGGCTTCATCATTTAAACTCTCAGGTGTCCCGTCCTCCAGGTTCTAGGAATATTTTCAATTTTGGAATTTCTTTTGTCAACCATTTTCTCTCTCAATAAACTTGCTTTTACAAATAAAAAGCACCTTTTTAAATCTTAATTTACTACAGATTTGTTAAAACCCTTCCATTTGGAAGCTCAAAGCTGAGCAAAGATGTTTTTGCTCTAGGCTGGATTCTTCTTACGCCAACACAATGAGTATTGTTGATTTAGTAGGTAAGAGAGCCTTGGAAGAATTAGCAATGAGAATATATTAGTTAAATAATTCACAAATATTATCCTTACTTGAGTTAGATCTAGGAATGAGGTGATGGGGCCTAAAATCTGGGAAGTAATGACAAAACTGGAGAGTTTGAGTCAAATTTGATAGATCATGTGGATTACTGAATATTAATGGCTGATTGAATATTGGTGGTGAAATAAAAAGACTAACTTTCAGTAAACTATGAATAGATGGGAACTTTCTCAACTTGATTAAGAATACCTACAAAAAACTTGCAGCTAATATTATACTTAATAGTGAGAAACTGGATGCTTTTTCTTTAAGATCAAGAACAAAGCAAGGACATCTCTCACCACTCCAATATTATATAGGAAGTCTTAGCTAATCAATAAGACAGAAAAAGGAAACAAAATGTATACAGATTGGGAAGGAAGAAATAAAACTCTCTTGGCTCACAGATGATATTAGTCTTTATGTAGGTAATCCCAAAGAATCAACAAAACAATTTCAGAATCAGTAAGTGTTTATAGTGAGGTTGCAATGTACGAGGCTAATATACAAATTTTCATTGCATTCCTATATACTAGCAATGAACAATTGGAATTTAAAATTAAAAACATAATTCCAGTTATATTAGTATAAAAATGTACAAATCTAACAAAATATATTCTGGATCTCTATGTGGAAAACTAGAAAATACTGATGAAAAAAATCAAAGAAAATTTAAATAAATGGACAGATATTCCTTGTTTATATATTGGAAGACTCAAGGTTGTTGTCAGTTCTTACCAACTTTATCATAGATTCAATACAATTCCAGTCAAAATTCCAGCAAGCTATTTTGTGGCTATCTATAAGCTGGTCCTGAGTTTATATGAAAAGGCAACAGACCCAGAATAGCCAACATAATACTGAAGAAGAACAAAGTTAGAATACTGAAACTACCTACATTTAAGATTTGCTATAAAGCTATAGAAATCAAGACAGTGTGTTATTGATGAAAGAAAAGGCACAGAGATCAATGGAGCAGAATAGAAAGCCTAGAAATAGACCCACACAAATACAGTGAAGTGATCTTTGACAAAGGAGCAAAGGGAACTCAATGGAGAAAGGGTAGACTTTTCAACAAATGGTACTGGAACAATTGGATGTCCATATGCCTACAAACGAATCTAGACCCAGAGCTTAAACATGTCCATGAATGTTTGTACCAGCTTTTTTCATAATCACCCCAAACTGGAAACAACCAAGATGTCCTTCAGTAGGTGAATGTGTAAATTTTGGTACATTGGTACAATGGAGTATTATTCATCAGTAAAAAGAAATGAGCCATGAAAAGACATTGAGGAAACTTAAATGCATATTGCAAGAAGCCAGTATGATAAGATTACATATTATACCATTCCAATTATAGGACATTCTGGAAAATGCAAAGCTATAGACACAGTAAAATAATCAGTGGTTGCTAGGGGTTTGAGGGAAGTATGGAAAGGATAAATAGATGAAGCATAGGGGATCTTTAGGGCAGTACAGTTATTCTGTATGCCATTGTAATAACAGATACAAGACATTATAGATTTGTTAAAACCCACAGAATTGTATAGCACAAAGAGTAAACCTTAATGTATGCAAATACATCATTTAGGAGGTTTGGGAATCTCAGGAAACAACACAGATGGTCTATGGTAAGGCCCAAACTTCCTATGCTGCAACAAACTGAAGCTGCTTTTCTGTACTTACCTTCTGTATTGTTCAGCATCATTAAGGTGCTTGTTCATCCATACACCATGCTGCCTATGGCCCCTCTGTCTTAGTTTATGGTGCCCCTCCACCTGAAATTTCCTATCCCTACCCCCAGCTCACCTTCCCCTACTTATTATCTGTATATGTGGTTGTCTTCTCTACTCGACCATGAACAATGCAAGGCCAGAATCTTATTGAATTTAGAACAAGAACAGAAGATAGAAATTGCTTACTTTATAAAAAGCGAGAGAGAAAGAGAGAGAGACTCCCTTGGTTCTTACTGAAAGAAGCTCACATTTGAGGGGAGACCAGAATATAATTTGTATCACAAATAAAATACTAGTTGCTATTGGAAATTTTAATCCATCCTTACAAAAGTCATTAGTTGGGACTGAAATCCTATAAAGAAACTTTTAAAACAGTGAAAGGCAAAATATTTTCTAATATTAGATTATAAATGGCTTAAAGAATGGAGAAGTGTTATAATAATCTGAGGGTGTATAGATTACTGCTAGGCATTCGATTCTTGAATATTTTCCTCTACAGTCTTTGCATCATTTGTGTGCATGCTGTTTATGAAAATTCAATCTGGAAAATGCAGAATAGCACAGAAAATTGGTTTACATTTAAATGTAAATTGACTTATGGTAAGAATAGCACTTTTCCCACCATTTTAGAGTATTTTCTAAAAGAAAAGTTCCACATTTTAATGTTCTACATTCACCCATAGAGGTGAGCAACTCTAAAATGAAATACAGCATATACAACACTCTCCTTAGTTGAAGCTCTTATGCTATTCAGAGTTTTTTGTCCAAAGGCATGTGTCCTTGCCTCAACCCATCATGTGGTCTCTGTTTCTGGATCTTGTGAAATAGGATGAAGCACACAGGGCAATTTACGTAAAAAGGCTCTAGATTTATCATAGTGATTCGAAACGAGACAAAATTATATTCTTTTAAAACGACTGGTTTTAAATTCTGTCTTTTAGGACTTGCTCACATTTATTGAATCATTTTGTATTGATTGTAGGGTACAGGAGATGTTGACTGTCATTTTAAAATTAAGAAGAACTTGAAGAATGCATCCATAAGCCTGGAATCTACGAAGAGCCCAGGATTGTTTGTTGGACTTCAGTCAGATGGGCAGGCAAAACCAATGATTTATACCAAGGATGAGAATGTTTGCTTCTATCCACAAGTCATCCAATGTATGTTTACTCTGAAATGCTTTGATTTTTGGTTTGCTTTATGATGGTTTGTGTACAGTGTCTGAAAATTTCATCACATTTTTACTAAGCAAATCTCTGCTGCTAGGCTTTTTTGTTTGTTGTCATTCCAGAAGCAATGGAAGGAAAACATAATGAAGACCAGTTGCCTCAAGTTTTCAGATAATTAATATTAGGTATAGAGTTTTTGCTACATTGAACTTCTTTGTAACTTTGAAAGTTATGTGTGTGCATTCGTGTGTCTGTGTACATGTGCATGTTTGAATCTTTGTTTTTTAAGGATAGCTTCATGTACCCTGAGAGGGATGAGGCTGTTAGAAATATTCTCAGATTCATTGCTATTAATTTTTAATGGTTGCAGTATAAAAAGAGATGGAATAAAGATCAACACAATTGGGATTTGGATTAAAAATAGGATTTGGAAAAAATTTCAAGATAGGACAGAAATGTGAATATTTTGAAACTGGTTTCTCTCATATCTAAGTTCCTGTTCTCTAGCAAATTGAAATGAAGATATGAGGACATTATTTAAACATGTATTTGTGTTCAAACCTTAAAATGTGTTTGAACACAAAGGCTAGTAAAGTAACTCTATTGTATTTTTCAATTACCTTGAAGTTTAGATTGCTATCTAATTTTTGCTTGATATGGTTCCCTGAATTTTGGCTTACTCAATATCTGTGTCATTTTCTTAGTCTGACTTTTGTTTAGCTTCTATTGGCTTATGAGAGTACATGTTTACTGTATGTGTATATATAATATCCCACAGAAGATAGCTTAGAATAGGAATAAAATGAGCCTGATGTAACATGATGGTATATTTGGTCCTGTTCTTCACTCTATCTGCATCAACTTCTTTTCAGCCTTTAGTTGCTTTTTTAAAAATTTTGCAAACTGTTGGGCTAGTATACCTGAGTTTACTGCCATCCATACCACCACTCCCTCCACCCTTCATTTTCCTACAGGCTGTCACAGAGTGGCATTCTGCCTTGACACAGTGAGTATGCCATCTGCCTCTGGAGCTCTGAAGGGAAACAGGTGACTTCAAAGCTAGCAGAAGAATACAGGAGTAGAAAAAGAGCAGTGGGAAATAGCTAGCAGGGGTCAGCTGCCATGCTGGAAGAGCACAGGGAGAAAACAGAAATGACCAGAAAGCAGGTAGAGATGAAAAGGTGAAAAAGAAGAGATTGAAATAATAGAAAAAGAAATGAGAAGAAGAAAAGTAATTTGTGGCAAGACATAAGAGAGAAATAATAAAAGGCCACATTTGTCAACCTTAGGGTATTAGTACTAAAAGAACCAATAGAAACAAAGCCATTCTTCTTTACAGCCCCTAAAATTTAGTTCTGTTACTATAGCATGGATGGTTTATGTTTTCTTCTCTATTTACTAGAGGCAACCTCCTGCTTTAACAAGGGCAAGAATGCAGGAGACATTGCTTTAGAAATTTTATTGAAGATTCATGAATCCTAGGAATTCTGAGGAAGGGTTTGAAAGCATCAACATTTCTTCAAAATACAAAATAATACTTTCCAGTTTCACAAGAAGAGCATTCCATTGGGATTTCTGAGTGTTAAAAACTCTATCTTAGGGGATTTTGTGAAGAGTGACAGAATGTTTATGTAAAAGTTTGTAGGGCCGGGCACTGTGGCTCACGCTTATAATCCCAGCACTTTGGGAGGCCAAGATGGGTGGATCACTTGAGGCCAGGAATTTGAGACCGGCCTGGCCAACATGGTGAAACCCTGTCTCTACTAAAAATACAAAAATTAGCTGGTCGTGGTGGTGCACGCCTGTAATCCCAGCTACTGGGAGAAGAATCACTTGAACCTGTGAGGCGGAGGGTGCAGTGAGCTGAGAACGCTCCCCTGCACTCTAGCTCCAAAAAAAAAAAAAAAGTTTATAGTAATTCTCCAAGTCATTTTATTATTTTAGAATGGTTTTTTTTTTTGTGTGTGTGTGTGTGTGACGGAGTCTCATTCTGTCCCCAGGCTGGAGTGCAGTGGCGCTATCTCGGCTCACTGCAAGCTCCACCTCCCGGGTTCACGCCATTCCCCTGCCTCAGCCTCCCGAGTATCTGGGACTACAGGCGCCCGCCACCGCGCCCAGCTAATTTTTTGTATTTTTCGTACAGACGGGGTTTCACCGTGTTAGCCAGGATGGTCTCAATCTCCTGACCTCGTGATCCGCCCGCCTCGGCCTCCCAATAGAATATTTTCTAACTAAACTATCTACATATGATAGATTGAGCCTACACTATGCCAAAAAAGTTCACTCCCCAAAACATTTGGGAGTTTTGAATTGTTTATATTTTAATACAGAGATAGAGCAGCCCCCGAAAAAGTTAAGCTGAAACTTTTTTTTTCAGCTTAAACTTTTCCTCATAGTTGTCTAGAAAGCAGAGTTAAAGTTGTGAGGCACCCTGACTGATAAGGGGACTTGGATAGGGTAAGAGATTGTGGTAGGAAGAGAATCTAAGTTTACATCTCAAGAGACTCCACCTGTTGCCCCCAGACATGCAATCTGAATGAGTGTGCACCTCAAGTAAATGTCTACACGCTGCCTGGTCTGACATGGCACACCATCACGTGGAGGGCACAGCTCTGCTCAGCCTACAACGAGGGCAGTCTCATTGACAGGTTCCACCCACCAAACAGCAAGAGGCTCAGAAGTATAGCAGGGTAGAGGGACAAGGGTGGGATTTCAGCACACAAGCTCTGAGAGCCAGACTGCCAGTGTCCAGGTCCTGGGTGCGGGGAGCTTTTGCCAGTGGTATGCTTTCACAGCTCTTGGACCACCTGCCTCTGTTCTGTCAAATGAGGACCAAGAGTACCTTCCCTCAGTTGTGGTGTGAGAATTACGTGAATTAACATATGTAAGATGCTTAGAATAGTGTCTGGTACTCAGCAAGTGCTGTGCAAGTATTTGCTGTTATGATTATTAAAAAGAGGAAGAGCACTTCATGGCATTTTTTTTATCACTTAAATAGAGTCGATAGATTTCTAAAAGACAAGAGATTCCGTCTCATCACCTCTTTTAATCACTTTGCATATTTCCTTTCTCTGTGATTGATTTTTTTCATCTACAGTTTGGTAAGGATTTGGTTTAATTTACTGTGTATTGGGAATTTATAATACAAGTCATTTATCCCACTACCATTTAACTGTTCTTGCTAGCTTGTGCAGTAAAACCTCTTCACTCTCTATTTTCATGAATTTATATTCGCAGTGTATACATGAGAAAGTGTGAAAAGATCTGACCCCTTGGGCTTATGTGATTAGTTATTATACTGAGCCCATGGAGAAGATTCTCCATTGATTATCCGGATATGTGGGTGATTTGAAAGTTTTCTTCATTCTGTTCCTCCAGATAATAAGCCTGCATTTATAATTCCGTAGAGTAAGACCACACTGCTAGGTATTGTTTTAAAAAACTGTAGATCAATATAACATGTAACTTTTTGCTAACTTCAGTGTACTATTACTTTTATAGCATACTTAGGAAAGAGTGAACCTATCTATGTTTTTAGAAGTATTTTAAGAGATACTTGACTTTTGCACAGAAATTTGCCTCCTCTTGCTCTAATTCCAGCCCAGTTTTATGGTATGAGCCATCCTCTGTATATAAATCATGAGACTCTGGCTATTAGTAACCCCTCAAAAATGCAGGACTGAAGATATGGTTCAGATGTTACTTTTTTATTACAATAAGAATTTCTTTCAGGTTCAAGTCTTATGGAAGTTTGCATTAAAATATGTTTGGACATTTTATTTTTGCTTCATTCTAGTCTGCTAAGATCATTCAAGCATAAAAATCTAAATGAAATACTGTCATATATCCAATTCATAAAATTCTGACTATGTATATTACGGTCTTAGAAAAATATGACAAAATATGTTTCAGATGATAAAATAGACTATATGGGTTTAAAACATATATGCACTAATATGACACTATAATAATTGCTATTATGTAAGTTTTCACTTGTTTTACTTTTAAAATAGAAGGTATTCAATAAAACAAAAGACTTTTCCTAGTTGATTTTGTAGATTTACTGCCTTTATAGTCTGGTAGATCTTGATATAGCTTAAATTTTGGATATAATGAGGTACTACCTGAAGTGAGTCACTAATCATCCAAATCCAGCTGTATATGTAACATACACCTTTTGATAACATCTCTACCTAGACAGCTCTGGTTCTTTCACCTTCACCACAGGTTTTGTTTTACATTGCTAGTGATACAGTTTTCACTTTTTTTTTTAAATTGTAAAAGTCAGACAAAGGGCTACTAAGGGTTGCTACAATTCAGAGTATTGTATTATTGGAGGGTCACTTTGGTACTTGGCTTTTGAACATCTTTCTGTAACCCACCTGGCCTAAAGACAAAATGGGAAGCCTTCTCTACAGAGCGATAGGAACTTGCTGGATGACATTTCCAGAAAATGTCTTCCACTTTCTGAATTCCATACTACTGTGTTGTATAAAGAGATATTGGTGTACTTTTTGAGAAGTGGAGGTAGAATTAATGAGAAGCCAGTGTGGGGAGGATAGAGAGGTAAAATGCTCATTCTTGTTTCACAGTTCTGCATAGACTGGCCCTGTTGTGCAACCCTTTTTGGGCTTGTTTCTAATGGACTGGCACATTAATTGTTTTCTCCTCTGTGCTCCCTATGCACGTTGTGCTTGTGTCAGTTAAAGCGCTCATCAGTATCTATCAGAGGTCATGTTTATGTGGTCTCTCTCTGGGCTGTAACCCCATCAATGTCAGAAGCCATTTCTTATACATTGATTTGTTCCTCATGCTATACAGTGACTGGAAGATAGTTTATCTCTTTGTAGATCCTGAATTTCTATATTACATTGGTAAATGAACTCTTAGTTATATATAAGAATCTTAAATTTTTTTCCTCTACAATTATTTATTTATTCTCCATGAACATATTTCTAGTTATTTCTATCTTCTTTTTAATGTTTTAAAGTTCCTTTATTATCGATTTTTAGTGTCTCAGCATTGCATTGTATATAAACCATATGGAAAAACTATGTTTTAAAAGGATTAGTATTTAAAAGCTTATTATTGTCTGAAATGATATCTTATAACACCTGAAGGATATAAATAACAATGTAATCATGGGCAGTTCTTCAGCCACCAGTATTGTATAGTCTGCACCATCACTCTGTGTGATAAGTGTCGCTAATTTCTACTAAGCATACCTTTGAGGTTGTTATGCTTTCTTACTGTGTGAGTCATCTTACATCGTTGACTGCAATTGTGGTATTAAGAAGTAGTTGTTCTTACTCTTTATCTTATAGAATCAGAAATTTACATAATTTTTTGTTGCTGATGAGAACTCTAAAGCCATTCATAGTGTGAATTACCACCATTTAAAAACTCAATATGCCTATGCCTGATCCTAGAAAATGAACACAAACAACTTGAATTTGAAATCCTAAATATAAATAACACTTAGGAGCATATACTATAAAGTTGAAGTCATTATTTAACTTAGAGATACCTATTTCTAAACAAGACTCCAAAACAACTTGCTTCTAAGTAAAAGGTAGAAAAGTAGCTAATGTTTTCCATTACTTATAGATATGTGTATATTTTGTTGATTCATGTATTTCAGTAAGGTCACATGAAATCCTGTTTGAATGACGTTTTAGTTTCCCCTTTTGAGGAAGGCAAAGAACAAGATTGTTAAAGAAGTTCCCATTTAGAATCTATAAGAAAAACATTTTGAATAAGTTGTTTGATTCATATTGTGATGTTAACTATCGTTCGGATTTGCAAAGCAATGAGTAGGTTTTATAGGGATGCCACCCATGCACAGCCTGCTGGTAAGAATAAGAAGTCATTTTCTGTTAACTATGTAATTCTGAGTAAAGAGATTTGACTAGGCATTGAAATGGAAACAATAGCAAAAATTAAACTTGCATAGCTGAACATATGATGAGTATTCTGAGAAGAAACAAGTGATTTTGAAAGGATGGCATCTTTTAAAATCTTAATTTCAGTTGGCAGAGAAAACCCAATGGGAATGTCTGCAACACCCAGCCAAGAAGAAGAAAAGATCCATGAGTCAAAAAAACAGAAAAAAATACCCCCAGAATCTGAGGCTAGGAGTCCCTTACCTTCTTCAACTGCAAGTAAGCCACAGCTTTTGCTTTCATACTTTTGGTTTGTTTGCTGCATTATTTCTTCCTGTGGCCATTGCAGGAAGACTATTAAATTATTTTTACAGCATATATTATGTTATACCACATGGACTGCTTGTAAGCTGTTATCTTGCTTTTTTATGCCTTAAGTTTTATATTATAAAGAATACATATATTTTTAAATGTGTTTCTTTGTCTTAAATTTAATGTTCACCCAGAACAATGAGTTGAAAAGAAGATAGTATTAAATTATAACATCAATTGGACTATCACCTACAAAATATTTTATGAATATATTTTATGAAAAACAGTAAATTCTCACTAAAGTCTAAGCAATGAAAAAAATAATTTCTATTTCTCTGGTATAGAAACTGAAGCTTAAAAAAAAGTGCTCTCGGTCCCAGAGGCTTAAATTCCTAGTTTCTATATTGGTCCATTTGATAATTTTTGTTGCTCTTAAATGTATTAACTTTTATCTGACGGGAAAGTATAATATATGATATCTGACAAATTCCGTGTATCAGAATCTAGTCATCTTTGGATAAGATGAAATAGGGGACCATCTCTGGGGGACCATTTTTTTAAAACCCGTCTTGGGAGACAGATAAATTATAATGTTACCTTTAAAAAAGTGATTTTTAAAAATTAGTTATTGGGTATGCTAGCTTTTCTTTTAGATAGTAATATAATAGACGTCTCTTGTTGACCATCCTAAGCTATTAGCTCATGAACATAGGGAAGAGAAATTAGCCTTTTGATTTTTGCTGCAAAGGACTAGTCTCAGTTTTTTATTTCCATGTCATGTCTTGAATCCATGGAGCAGTGTGAAGAATCACACTGAATGAGAAATATGTGCTTAGTTAAAATTTCTCACAGCAGAATTCAGTCTTGTGTCAGGAAGTAATGGTATCTAAATCAGGGATGGCCACCTCAAGTAAAATTTGAATTGGTTGAAAATAGCATGCTAGCCGAAATCCCTGGGGGATAGATACTTTTTTAATGAGTGGCAAAATGCTTATGAGAAAACCTTCTATATGTCTTATGAAAATTTGTTCTGGCAAAAATATTTTTTAAATGTTACCATTATGAAATTTTTAAGGATTTTTTTTACTGAGGCTGGCCAAGTAATTTGTAAAAATGACAAAATTAGGCTTCATGATAAACATAGACCTTTTCAAATAATTATTTCATTTAATTCAACATTAAATATGAATTGTGTGCCCATTAAATGTCAGATGTTATAGGTAAAACAGACTTGGTCTCTACCCTCTTGAATTTGATAGGTGAGCTGTTCAGATAAACATTAAACAATCACACAAAAATGGAAGGCTAAAACCTGATAATTGAGATGAAGGAAATATCCAGAGCATACGAGACACAAAATAAAATTTAAGTCAATAATTAATTGTAAAAAGACTTATAAGTTCTTCATTGTGGTTAATGGCAATACAGCAGAAATGGAGAGTGGGCCAAAGACTGAGAAAATGGAGACTGAGCTCAGTTTCTTCATGAACTTTTTAAAACTTTGACCTGTCACAGATTTTGGCCCTGGATATGAAATCTGGGAAGTCCAGATGATGAAGCTCCTCTAAGGCAAATGCCACTTATAAAATGCCCATGATATGGTTAAATTTTGCCTTCTCTGATTGCAGTGGGAGTGGTTTTATAAGCACCCATGATTTTAAGTGAGGAAAAAATGTCTTTATGTATGAATATTTCCCTAGAAGTCTCTCTCTCATCTGTTACTGAGTAATTAGATCATGATTCCCTTTAGTTGTCTTTTTTCTACCTCTATCAAAGGACTGCAATAGTTAAAAAGTTGCTTCTTGCAAGAAATACCTTCCTCTTGGTTTTGCACCTTAGCTGTCAAGACAGATTTGGGTTGCATTAGCCATTCATATTAAAATATGTTAGTTGAAAAACACTTTAGAAAACTTATTTTCTACTTTTAAAGATATCTAAAACCAAATATCAGTTCCTTAAGAATGAGACTATGTTTGTCCACCCACTTTTGGGATAGGGCAAGATGTATAGTTTTGGGAATGAGAAATTATAGACAAAATAAAACTGTTCTGTCTTCATTCAAAATGCTTATTTATTAAGAAGAAAGATGGAACTTTTCTCATCTACATCAAAAGGGCAAGAGGATTTAGAACTTAAAATAGCACATATATGATAAATAGTTATTTTGTAGTAGTTAAGTAGAGATATAGTGTCATTAAATTTGCAAGGCTGTCATTTAGGTCTAAACTGCATTATGATATTAATTTTGTTAGGGTGGTGGGGTTGAGGAAGGAATCTTATTTTTTTAGAATAATCTTTTTATTATGGAAAATTTTAAACACACACAAAGGTAGAGATAATGGACAAATGAACCCCCATGTACCCATCACTCAGCTTCAACAATGATCAACATAGACGTAGTTCTGTCTTAGTTATGGTCCTTCCTGCTATGCCCTACAATGTCCTCATTTAATTATTTTAAAGCAAATATAAGACACCATATTATTCATAAATACTTCAGAAATGCCATATTTTAAAAATTATTTAAGTGAGAATATACATTACTTCTGCATAATTTTAAGTTTGGAAACACTGCATTTAAACACATTCAAACCGAATATAAAAAGAGAAGACTTATGATTTGATGCTCTGAACTGAAATTGCCCTTAGATATCTTTCCGGCAACTACCTATTTCTATAAATGAGAAAATCAAGACCCAGGAAGATGAATGTTATGCAGGTCTCAGCTCCAGTCGCTTGTCTCTGTGCATGGGCACTTGAACAGTGCAGTGCAGCCATCCTGCCAGTCCATCATCTGTTTGTGGTGGCATGTTCTACAGTGTTGCCAGGCAAATCCTAATCTGTGCCAAAGTCTCAGCCATGGCATTTTCTTTCCTAAATATGTTTAGGTGCCAATACTTTAAAAACAAATAAACCTGGGCAGAAAAAAAATCTATTATTAAGTTGAAGTCTTCCTTAAAAACAGCAGTCAGTAAATTCTGAAAAATCTTGGGTAGTCATGTTTGACTAAAAATAATTTCATTCCGAAAAAAAGTAGAACACATCAAGCATACAGGAAAATCTTAAAATTATATCAACTTACTACTCCCCCAAAGAGCACTTTAAAATCTATTTATGCTTGTGCATATATGTATGTATATACACTTGTAGATTATATTAAATATATCATTTTGTAACCTTCTCAGTTAATAGAAGGTACTAATCATTAAAGAATTTTTCATAATAAATATTTTAAATAAAATTTAATAACTACAAATAATCCATTTTGTTGACGTAGCATAACATATTTACCTATTTTCTTATTATAATTTGTAATGGATGCTCATCTATATATTATTTCATTAGAATAATTCCCATAAATGGAATTACAAGATAATGAATTATATTAATGGTTATTCTTGTTGTAATTTTTGTGTCCTTTTTAATATAAAAAATAGCACTTGGCATCCAGAGTGAACTATAGTTTTATTTTTTTTAATGCTTGTGCTGTTGTAAATTATATATTGTAAAGGTAGTGTAAGTTTTCGTTCATCATAGATTGAGGATTTGAAGGGACCTCTGACACATCATAAGCAACATAGAGGTTCACAGGAAGAGTGCAGAAATAAGCCATTCCATTTCAGATAATCCTAATCACTTGAAAGTACCTCCCTATGTTGAGCAGAAAAACTACCCATAAATTCTTTTGGCCTATAAAAAAGTCAATATCTTCTTCTATAAAACAACCATTGTTGTTTTTTCTTAGTATATTCTCATTTCCTCTTAGTATATTCTTCTTATATGTATATAAATATACCAAAAGTGGATTCTTAGTATTTCTCTTTAGTATATTCTCATCTGTGTCAAATATATTGCTTTAATAATTTCTTCTTATATATGGTTTTAGACTCTTCACCTTTATGAATATTTCTCTTAAAGTGTGAATCTCCAAGTAGGAACCTGTCTTCTCATATAATCTGAACAGTTTAGAATAATGGTATTCCTTTTATGTGACCTTATACATCAGTTAATACAGTCTCAGCTTGGAATACATGTTTTGGGCATTTTTATTGCATTTCTGGTTTATATTAAGATCATTAGGATATTTTATTCATAATATCCTTTCAGTGTAAAACATATAACTGATCTTTCAACCAAGACACAGACCTTTACCTTGATCCTGGTTAGTTTTTATCTTCTTGGTATTAATCCAATGGGCAAGCATGTTAGGATGCCTTTGATTATGTGATCCTGTTTTCTGTGTTAGTTATCTCTACCAGCTTTGTGCATCCTGTGCTTTGTATCCCTTAATTGAGAAACTGGAAATTTATGAATAAAACAAGACTATGTTAATTTTGTAGAAATAGATTTCATCTATTGCAAGATAACTATAGGGGGATGCTTTCACTGTCTTATTTTTTGCAGATTATATGTTTTGAAATTAGGGTTTAAATATCTGATATTACACTATCAGATATTAGGACACATTTGTTTTCAGTTGTTTTCAATGACATGTTAGAATAAATCAGTTTTCTCAAATACTATCTTGGAATAGCATATAGAGGCTATAAAATCTGTCCTTTTATGGCCACACTCTGATGGTAATTCATGCTTTATGCTGACCTTAACTTTAATCAACCCATGAACTATTAGAATCAGCTAGTTTATTACTTATTTCTACAAGTAATTTATTTTTTTCCACTAGAGCTTCAGTGGACTAGCAGCAACACAAAGTAGATTAACATTTTTTGTTTTTTTGGTCTGAGTCAACCTGATTGGTGTTTAATTAAATTGTTCAGTCACCCTCACAGGGCATGTTTTTGAGTCATCTGTATAATCTTAGGTACCACAGATTTTATTCAGGGTGACCGAGAAGGAGTCTATTGACTAATCCAGGGTCCCCATTAAATATTCTCCTAGCTTAGAGTATTTTAAACTTCTGGTCAACAAAAGCAACTGCTTTTATGGTTCTCAGTTCTCAGCAGAAATTTATAGTCTGAGACTAATGGACGTTGGTTATTTCCAAAAGATCATGGTATTACATGGTGTTCATATTTAATTGATAACAGTACAAACTTTAATACATCATTCTGCATTATAGATTATATCATATTTAGCCATCAATTTTTATAATATGAGTGTACCCTGACAATGTGTTATTTTTGTGCAAATGATGCAAGAACATGTTAATGCAGGAATAAGGGGCCTTAGAGGCTGTCAACTCATTTGCAGATTAAATCAAACAAACAAGCTGAACACATACACACATAGATTTGTGTTCATTCATGCACGGACATGGAAAAAAAATTCAGACTAAATAACTGTGGTCTCTTGATTTCATTTCAGAGTTTGTTTCTTTGTATGTTTGTTCACTGTCTAGTGTCTATTGTTTGTTCACTGGCCTTCTTACCTCAGTCTGTCCCTGCTACAGTTCACCCTGTTTCAGACCGATCTTTCTAATACTTAGCTCAGACCACCACCATACTTTAAAATTGTGACTGGCTCTCTGTTGCTTGCAAAAGGATTTGCCAACTCCCTTCCAGCTTGGCCAGTGCCTTCCACGATCCTCACATTTCTGTCTCTCCTCTTCACACATAATATCTTGTGTTCAGCTGAACATTGGCACCTGCAGTTCTTCCAGCATGCCTGCTGCTGCAAGCCATGCACATGCTGGGAATGCTGTCCCCTCTGTTTAGAATGCTCTTCCTGTCTTTCTGCGAAATTCTGAGCCATATTCCTACATCCAGCACTAAGGTTTCCTCTGTGAAGCCTTTTCTGCCCACTCCTCAATTACTCACTTCCTGCCCTCCGCTACACCTGAACTTTTCAGTAGTTTTTTATTTGTTTGTTTGTTTTCCATGAAGGTATTTGAATATTTGAAATCCAGATATTTATATGTCTGTTTTCACCACTGGATAGCATGTATCTCCAGGGTGAGACTCTCATTAGTTATCTTTCAAACTTTTCATCAGTTCTGTTATTATGAGAGCAATGAGCCCAACACAATGCCCAGCAAATAATAGGAACTAAAGTTTTCTTTAGTTGAGTGAAAGTGATTCTTTTAGATGAATAAGATATCCATAAGATAGTAAGTAAGTGAATGATCGACATCCTAAAATGTCAGCCATTGACCTAGGATCACCAGTTTCTCTCTGGAACTCATGGATGTGCTGTGGAGTCTTTGTCAGTAGAGATCTGGTAATGCAATTGCCTGGGCCTGAGGAAATTCCAAGTGTGTTTGACTAGAAATGTCAGGCACAGTGGCCAAATGTTCACATGTAACACTGAGTTTTGAAAATTAGATCATGCCATAAAATTTTGTTGGACCAATTTTTGTGATCATTTCTGGGTCAGCTACTTCTGATGTAAATGGCATGGGATTCACACTTGCTCTGCCTGGGTTTGAAGTTTAGTTCCCTGTTACTTCCTGTGTAACTCTGGGCAAGTCACTTCACTTCTGAGTCCCAGTCTGTCCATCTGCTTAATAGGGGACAGCACCTCACAGGAGTAGTATGAGGGTTGAGTGAGAGTGACATGATGATGAATGTTAAGTGCTTAGGGTAGTGTGCAGCGCAGAAGAAAACCTCAGATGCTAGCAGCACTGCTGCATCCTGGTGAATTATGTTTAGGTGAACACGGAATGCCTATCAAGCTTGTTTAAGTGCAGGTGCGTTGCAGTTAAACATCCCATAGTTTACTTATTATGTGACTTGGCTATATTATTTAACTTCCCTGCTTCTTTTCCTCTTCTTAAAATGAGCATCATAATTTGACTCACCTTATGAGTTTGGAATGAGGATTGAATGAGAAATGCATATGAAACATGCAACACAGAACCCTGCATATAATAGGAGCTTAAAAACAATTAAATTGTTCAGTCACTCCCACAGAGATTACCCAGAGCTGTTATACTGACAGAGATTACTCAGCACATTCTAGAGAAAGAAACTTTTAAAAATGAATGTCAGTTCTTTCATAGCATTTGTTTTTATTTATATATTTTTGCATGGTTTTTATTTTAAAATTAGTTCATTATAGCTTAGCAGGAAGAATTTCTTATTTTCTAGACTTGTCATCATTGTTGGTAAGATCCTAAGTGCTGCCGAGGGCTGCCTATAGTTTCAAGCTACAGAATTAAAGGAAGGAGATCAGCTCTGGCTACCTTTTAACCATTTGACATGAAGAACTTTTGCCTCATCATCTTGGGTATATAAGATTTCAAAGTGGAAATATCAGTTAAGAATTAAAGTGCATTTGGGGTACTTTCAGACAACCCGTGCAGAGTAGCTTGGGAGATGCCCTCAGCATTGTCTGGCCCAGTATCTCCTCAGATGAGACCACAGGCGAAAGGGAGTGTGAAGAAGACAGCCATTCTAGCTTGGGATGTCATGGCATTCTTTACAAACAGGAGTGACTGTGTTTGGGCACTGCTGGTTGCTAGAGGATGCATTGTGAAACACAAGTGCTTTGCATCCCTGCTGTCATGGACAACTGCTCTGAGCACCTCAGGAACCATTTGTATGTGTGAAAATTCTCTCTTTAGTTCCAAATCCTTTCCATTGCCCACGCCAGTAAGGTATTTTTTAATTTTTTCAGAAATATTTCAGAAAATTTTTCTTTGCCCTCAATTTGCCACTTACCTATTTTATGTGAAAACATGTTTTAATTCCCCTTTTTTGTTACTTTATATGGTGGTAGTTCTATATAAAATATGTAGGTCAAGCAGGCAGCTTTATGAAAAATCTGTGGCCATGGGACAGAAACTCCAGTTTGCCTTCCTGTGCTATAGCATTGAGGATAAGTGAAAGATTGCCATGTAGGTCAGATGTTTATTGTTCGAATCCAGTTTACTTCGGTGATTGAGTTTCAGTTGACCAGAACCTTGCTGTGAGGAGACAAGCGCAAATCAGCTCCCTGGAGTCTTCACAGTGCAGTGCCTCCTGCTTGCTTCACCCTACCCTGCCCAGTTTTCATGTCCTTTGGCTCCAGTGTGACAAAGGATTCTGTCAGCCTGATGTTATATCTGATCTGCCACTAATGCTTTTTTCCCCCATAGAAGAAATCAGACATTTCCAAAGTAGTGAGACTCTTCTGTCAGAAGATGAATGGAAGGTGTTAGTGCTGACAGGAAATACAGGAACTCAAGCCAATGTCACTCTCTGGGTGTATGGAGATAAAGGAGTCACTGGGCCAATAAGTCTTCGCAAGGACAGCTCAGAGCAGCTCTTCCTTCCAGGACACGAGGATGAGTTTCAGGTAAACAACACTGGCAGTAATATTTTCCTGTGAACATTTCAAAGACATTTCTGTAATGTAGAAGTGTGTGTGTGTGTGTGTGTGTGTCTCCTATATAAAATGAACCTCTGGTCTTTTAGAATGCCTGTAAGTTAATAATGCTTATTGTAACAATCAAAGGAAATATTTTTGCTCACATATCTTATTCAAGCAAGGAAAGTTGTAGAAAAATTTGCTTTCTTTAAAGACAGTTTATTTTAGGCCATGGGTTTGAAACTGGCCCTATAAACTGTCAACTTCAACTCAATTTATAACCGGCTTATAAGCTGTATAGAGATTATTCTGGTAATGAAAACTCTTCTTTTATATACTTGCATATACTTATAGATGTTGCTCAGCTGAGCTATACAGGTCTGAAATTATTTTCTTTTTATAAAATTATTTTTCATCTTTTTAATTAAAAAAGTCTTGAGAATGAAATCATTTCCTTGGCATCTTCACAGGCCATGTTTTGAAGCTTTGCCCATGCCCATTTCTAATTTCTCTCTCCTTTACTTCTTAGAGTCAGAGAGCACTGGGCTGCTTAAGTTTGCATGTAGCTGGTTGCCTCTCCTTGTTCCTCAGAGCTTTGGCCAAGTTTCAATTAGGACAATTACATTCCACTTCACTAATTCACCCTTCCAGCCCCACTGCCTGTGAAAGCTGTGTGGCTCTTTGGTGTACTGTTAAACAGCAGTCATTTTCTCTGGAGGGTATTCCTTTTGCATCCTAAGGCTGGCTAGAGAATAGAGAATGATTGAGGACAACTCATGTCACCAGGAACCCAAGGCTATTTGGGGCTACAGTACCTGGCAATCACTAATACTCAAATGGTTTCTAGATTCTTAGACCTGAGCCTGTCATTCTACTTTTGTAATCATTAAAGTTAATTTTCGCTGAAGAAAAGCAGTTGTCTGCAGTTGTGGAGGAGCACTTTGGCTCCTTGCACAGGCAGCCATACCTTATACAAATACATATTTCAAAAGATTATTTGAAGATAATTGTTTAGAATTCAGAATGTGTATGTATGGTTAGATCCTTAAGTCACCCCACAAAAGTCTAATTTTCTCATAATATACCTTGTGGTATATGTATTTATATGCTGATAAATCCTATCAATGTTTTTCTGAAAAATTTACTTAGGGTCAAATCTTGGAATGGATGGTATAGATTCTCAGTCTTGATTGCACATTGGAATTACCCAGGGAGCTTTAAAAACTACTGATGCCTGATTCCACCTCCAGAAATTCTAGTTTAATTTGCCTGAGGTACAGTCTGGGTATTGAGGTTTTTAGATGTTCCCCAAGTGATTCTAAAGTGCAACCAAGGTTGAGAATCCTGGATATAGCACTAGACTGCAAATCGGATGAGCTAGATTGGAGTCCTTGCTTCCCACATGTTAGTTATGTGACCTTGAATATGCCACTTAATTTCTCCAGGCCAGCACTATCTTTATGTATAGAATACAGGCAATAAGATCTTTTCTTTCTAAATTTTAAGGTATTGTGATGACAAAAAGAGAAAATGTGTATAAATTAAAAAAGGAATCCTATTGACATACGGTAAAACTCATAAACTGGTTAAGAACAGAAGCCTTGGAGTCAGAGACCAGGTTCAAATCACCCTCTCACTAGTTCTGTGACGTTAAATAGACTGATTATCCTTACTAATCCTCAGTATCCTACTTAGCACAAGGTGGGTAATAATACTCACTTAAAAGCCTTGCTGTGTAGTTTAAAGAATGCCTGGGAAGGTGTGTGCCGTGCGCTGCACCTGGTAGATGGGAAGTGCTCTACAGATGACAGATTACAGGCACCAAGGACTCCCTCTGCTGGTAAATGGCTCAGGATATGTTTTCTACTGGCCTCTGTCATTTACTGTGAAGTGTGAATAGCTTTAGATTATTACCTCAGTGGTGGAGATTGGGTCTACACATGGAAGCCCCCAGGAGTGTAGAGTCTTGTGGACTCCAGGCCAGCAGGATGGGCATTGCCTGGGATCTTGTTAAACACACAGAATTTGGGTTCCCATCCCAGACCTACTGCATCAGAATCTGCATTTTAACCAGATCCCCAGGTAATCTGTGTGTGCACTAAAGTTTGAGAAGCACTGGCCTAGGGGTTAATGGGCACTCATAAGACTGGGGTCTTATGATAGTTTGAGAATCCTAAATTAGAATGAATTGACACATTTATACACTCTCTTCTCTGTGGGTATTGATTCCCTTGTTCCTTTTCATTGGCATCATTTGCCACTTATAAGTTTGTCTTTCATTCTCTTTTCCTTCTTTCCAGTCCTGAAGTGAGCATATAGCCATTTTTGAGGACAATGTGGGATATTTTATTAAACTTGGGTTCAAATTTTACTTTTGGAACTTTCTGTGTATCCAGCTGTGTATCCTTAGACAAATGACTTAACCTGTTTGAATTTCTTCATCTTTTAAAGTAGACACTTAAAAGAGCCTTACCCTTCACAGGGTGACTGTGTGGATTGGAAGGGACAAGCATGTCAAGTCTTTCCCCCCTGGCTGGCACAGACCTGAGTGGCAGTTAGTTCTGCTCTTCTGCCTTAACAGACAGATAGGTATCAAGTCACATATGCTTGGTAACCAGACTGTTCAGATATCCCTTTATTGTTTTCACTTAAATTGTGGAGAAAGGAAGTTTACACTTAAGTGCTAATAGATTCTTGGGACAATGAAAGGATATTTAAAGTGTGGTTTACCTTTTAGAGACAAACTAGCCTCAAACTGGAGGATAACTTCCTGCTTCCTCTGGGAGGAAGAGCTAGCCTCTGAGTTCTGCCACTGAAACCAGCTCTGGGAATAAGGAAGTGGGGGGAAATTGGCTGTTGGGGATTAACATCCCTATTTTCCTTCTTCCCAGTTGAGAACAGCATAATTTCTCTTGACCTGGCATTGAAACAGGCCCAGGTCTGTTCTAGCTGCTGCAGTCTGTAGGGGAAAGTGGTGGTGGGCACTTAAAAAAAAGAATTCTAAGCATGGGAACTGGGTATGAAAAAGGAGTTCTGATAGTTTCTGGGTGATTTGACTGTCCCAGCTCTTTCAGGGTCTAGTCCATAGGTAGGCAATGTCTAGTCAGACATAATATGCAAGTGCCTGCCTCTTTATATCTCTAGTCTGCAGAGGTAGATTGGTGCCTGTAGTAGAAATAATAACAATGGCTATTATTGAAGCCATTAAGCAATAAGGTGGTATATTACATTTAAAAAAAATCCTCACAGTTCAGTGTCCTGGACATATTTTATTATACTAAAAATATCTGCTTATAAGTCTGTCTCCCTTGCTAGTCTGTATATTTCTCCAAGTTAGAGATTGTGCCGTCATTTTCATCTTCGCATACCTGTGGACTTGCACATTGTTTATTGTTTTAATATACATTTATTTAGTTGAACTGAAAATTTTATGCAGAAAGCATTATGTGACCATTCAACAGATAAAGAAATTGAAGATAAGAGAAGTAAAAAAAACATACTTTACTCAGTTTACAAAAACATATTTTACTCCGTTTGCAACAGCTAGGCTTCCAGTTGAGCTAAAAGTGATTCCCAAAGCCAGTTCTCCACAATGCTACCTGGATTAACAAATACTCTTGGGCCACATCAAAAACTAAATCAGCACCCATATTCTGTGGGCAGGTTTGCTTCTCTTCCTTGAACGTAGAACATCTATATCTTAACCTAGGTATCATCAAAGACAACAGGATTTTCAGAGTACAAGGAAGTTCTAGACTCACACTTTTCTTAAGCTTGTAGAAATCACCATATTTAGCTTTTCTTTGGCGAAAATTGTTTTTTTTTTTAATTTCTTAAAATACAAGCCCATCTTTCTGTCATTGGAACTCAGAAAGTGTTGGCTTCCAGTGAGAAATGTGTGGTAGTCAGAGAACTGAGCATATGTGTGTTCTTCATCCTGTTCTCTCATTTGACTCCTTCTGCATATTTTTAGTCAAGTCTCATGATATTTCTGTCTCATACTCTGTGTCTGTGAGGTTCACTGATTGTTTCTTGAGGGCATTTCATTTCTAGACTCTGAAAGAGTTCCTGAGAGCTTTTTAACTATTAGGAACAAAAAATGCAGTTAGTGTAAAAAGAAAGAATTTTTTAATGTGCTTAATTTAAAAAATTCTGATAATTTTTTTCTCCTTTGCATTTCATTCAGGTTGAAATAAGAAACACTGGAAACATATATAAGATAAGGATAGGACATGATGGAACCAGTGAGCAACCCGAGTGGAACTTGCAGAGGGTAATCATGTCACTTATTTTTTTCTTCATAGTTATTCTCTGATGAAAAGAAGCAAGCTGGCTATGTAAAGCAGTGAAAACGGTATTTTCCTAATTACAGATGCTCCTTGACTTACAGTGGGGTTATGCCTCTGTAAACTCATGGTAAATAAAAAATATCCTAAGTCAAAAATGAATTTAATGCCACTGACATAGCAGATAGTTCTCTACTTACTATGGTTTGACTTAAGATTTTTCGACTTATGATGGCGTGAAAGCGACATCTATTCAATAAAAGCTGTAACCCATCATGGGTCATACAGAGCTCTCTGACTTATGATGGGTTACTTCCCAATAAACCCATCATAACCTCAAGAAATTGTAAGTTGAACTGTGGTAAGTTGAGGACCATCCGTATTGTAAATAATGTGAACAAAATTTTTGTGGACATAACACTCTAAACAAATATGGTTCATTCTTGCGAAAGGTTTTTTTTAATAGCATATTTATGGTTATATTTGCAAAGATAATCTGTTCATAGAAATCTGAAGAATACGGTGAAGTGTAAGAACAAAATGAATTGTTATTCATTGATCATTAGATGACCACTCGGTGGTGCATTTTTTTTTCATATCTTTTTTCTATGAATCTCTTTCATGGTTCCTTGCAGACTCGTGTGCTTTCTGTCTCTCGGTATAGATATAGATACATACACACACACATAGCACATATATATGTGTAAATATCAATGTAAAATATAGCCATGTGCCACATAGGATGTTTTGATTAGCAATGGACTGCATATACAATGGTGGTCCCATAAGATTATAATGGAGCTGAAAAATTCTTACTGCCTAGTGATGTCACAGCTGTTGTAATGTCCTATTGTAATGAATTACTCATGTATTTGTGGTGATGCAGGTGTAAACAAACCTACTGTGCTGCCAGTTGTGTAGAAGAATAGCATATTCAATTATGTACAGTACGTAATACTTGCTAATGTAAGCAACTGTTACTGGGATGTGTGTTTTATATATATGTAATTTAATATATATAAAAATATATTTTATATATATACATATAATGCCATATACTTTTAATCACTTAGAGTGTACTCATTCTACTTATTAACTTATTATACTTATATTAACTCATTCTACTTATTAACAAAAAGTTAACTGTAAAACAGCCTCAGGCAGCCTTTCAAGAAGTGTTCCAGAAGAAAGCATTGTTATCATAGGAGATGACAGCTTCATGCATGTTGTTCCCCTGAATATCTTCCAATGGGTCAAGATGTGGAGGTGTAAGGCAGTGATATGGGTGAACCTGACATTGTGCAGGCCTAGGCGAATGTGTATGTTCATGTCTTTATTTTTAACAAGAAAGCTTAAAAAGTAAAAAAAAAAAAAAAAAAAAAAAAAAAATTAAGTAGAGAGCCAGGCGCAGTGGCTCACACCTATAATCCTAGCACTTTGGGAGGCCAAGGTGGGTGGATCATGAGGTCAGGAGTTCAAGACCAGCCTGACCAACATAGTGAAATCTCATCTCTACTAAAAATACAAGAATTAGCTGGGCGTGGTGATATGCACCTGTAATCCCAGCTACTCAGGAGGCTGAGGCAGGAGAATTGCTTGAACCTGGGAGGTGGAGGTTACAGTGAGCCAAGATCACACCACTGCGTTCCAGCCTGGGCGACAAAGCGAGACTCTGTCTTAAAAAAAATAATAATAAAATAAGTAGAAAAAAAGCTTATGGGCCGGGTGCGGTGGATCATGCCTGTCATCTCAGCACTTTGGGAGGCCGAAGTGGAATGGATCACCTGAGGTCAGGAGTTGGAGACCAGCCTGGCTAACATGGTGAAACCCCATCTCTACTAAAATTAGCCAGGCGTGGTGGCAGGCGCCTGTAGTCCCAGCTAGTCGGGAGGCTGAGGCAGGAGAATCGCTTGAACCCCAGAGGCAGAGGTTGCAGTGAGCTGAGATTGCACCATTGCACTCCAGTCTGGGGGACAAGAGTGAGACTTTGTCTCAAAAAAAAAAAAAGCTTATGGAATAAGAATATAAAGAAAGAAAATATTTTTGTATGACTGTACAGTGTGTTTGTGTTTTAAGCTAAGTGTTATTACAAAAGAGTCAAAAAGTTTTTAAAAAATTAAATGTTTAATTTATTATGGAAAAAAGAAAAATATTTTTTATGAATTTAGTGTAGCCTAAGTATACATTGTTAATGAAGCCTACAGTAGTGTACAATAATGTCCTAGGCCTTCACATTCACTCACCACTTACTCACTGACTCACCCAGAGCAACTTCCATCCTGCAAACTCCATTCATGGCAAATGCCCTATACAAGTGTACCATTTTTAATCTTTCATGCTCTATTTTTAGTTTACCTTTTCTCTGTTTAATATGTTTAGATTTGTAAATACTTACCATTGTGTTACAATTTCCTGTAGTACAGTAACATGCTACACAGGTGTGTAGCCTGTGATCAATAAGCTATACCATATAGCCTAGGTATGTAGTAGGCTATTCCATCTAGGTTTGTGTAAGTGCACTCTATGATGTTTACACAATAATGAAATTGCCTAACAATGCATTTCTTGGAAAGTATCCCCATTGTTAAACAACACATGAATATATATAAAAACATATGTATAAATAAATACCTTAAATATGTACATATAAATACAAATGTGTGTGTATATATATATATATATATATATATATATATATATATATATATGTTTATATGTGCTTTGCCCTTTTAGTGAAATTGAATCATGCTATGTATGCACTTTGAGATCCTGGTTTTTTTATTTTTTCATTTTTATTTAATCATGGCAGTAATAACAATAATAATAATAATGAGTATTTGTTGAGTGCTTAACATATGCCACCTACCTTACAAATACCACTGTATTTCTGCCTAATAGCAGCTCTTTGATTTAGGTACCATTAATATCCTATTTTACATATGAGAAAACTGAGGCTCGATCAAGTTAAGTAATTTGCCTGAGGTTCCTCAGTAAATGGTCTTATTGTATGTTGGACTCCAGAGACTGAGATCTTAAGCACTATCATTGGGCCTTAAGTTTATTTTCAAAAATAGATGGTAATTAAACACTTAAAAGCCTTGAGATTTCTGTATGGAAGCACTAGATTATAGTGGAGTCAGATGAAATGGTTTGAATCATAGAACATCTTTGCTTTCTGGCTTTAAATACTATATCTGTCACTGGTTCCTTTACAGTACAAGATATGTTATTCCAAAATGCTTCAGGTTTAAAATTTGGAATACCACTGATAGAGTCTAGCAAAATGTTTCTTTCTTTTTAAGTGTTTCTTAATTTTATCTGTGATTTTTATTATTGTATCTTTGGTTGTATAATAAAAGTAATTGAGAAAAATGTTAATTTTGCTGAGGTGTTTATTGTAGTATTTCTTAGGACATGCCTATATAATGAAATGTTTTCTAATAGTTCAGGAACAGGTAAATATGTTCCAGTCAGTAAGTCAAGAAATATCTACTTAGCACCTAATACATGCCCTGCATTATGCTAGATGATATGGAGGATTTGAGGAAACCATTTGGTGACTTTAAAGTTTTCTATTTAGAAGCATTGAAAGAATTCTAAGATGAGAAAAGCAATGACCTTTTAAGAAGATGCAAAAACCATGGAACCTGCAAAGTGTAGTAAAATCAGAAGCTCTGTGCCTGTGAATTACTGGGAAAGGTGAGTCAGAACTAAAATTTTAGAAGAAACTTACCCATGAGTTAAGTGGGCCTGAAGTCAATAGCATGGATGTGCTTTCTCTGGGGCCTGTGAGTGAGAAAAGTGGTTGAGGGGTATAGCAACATCACTACGTAGTGATTCTTCAACTGGAGGAAAAAACATCCCCAGCAGAAGCTGTCCAAGGAAGGAGCACTCAGTCCTGGGAACCAAGGGAGGCATCATCCATTCCTCTGGTCAGTGGTAAAGGCTTCTGTGAAGAGTAAAGTGGGTAGAACACTAATTAATTGATTGAATTGAGCAGCTAGAAACTGTCATTACCAAAGCAATGTAAGAGAAGGGACTTTTCCTACACCTTACTTTACTTTTTATTGTGAAGTGATTTCAAATTTATTTTAAAAATTGCAAGAATGGAAGAAAGAACTCAAATTTCACTCAGATTCCCAGTTGTTAAGGTTGCACTCCATCTACTTTACCATTCCCTGTTAAAATATATATATATGTTTGTGTGTTTATATGTATGTCTTAATCGTTTGACAAATATTTACTGACATGAAGTCCATTGATTCTTTGGCTATGTAAATATCGTATTCACCATAAAATTTTTACCCACTAATTTTAGGATCCATTGATGATTTTTGCCTTAGTCAGTTATTACTGTGATGGTGGCCAAATGGTGATTTTTATATTCTATTGTTATTTCTCTATTTATTAATTGGCATTCTACTACAAGGTAGAACTTTTTCCTTCTCTCCATTTCAAAATTTCATTTATTTATTCATACCAGCGTGTACTTGCAGATTCTTACTTTATTTGATGGGTTAATCTTTATTAACATAATTTACTTTGATGCTGAAATCATCCTTCATTTTTTCCTGTAAGCCCCTATATTTTTTTCACATGTCACTGTCCGTTCTACGAGGACTTCTTTACTTTCTGATTTGAAAAGATGTTTCAGGCTTATCTAGTACTTTCTTTTCCCTAGCCCTGGAATTACCTATTTCTCAAGGAGCCCTAGTTTAATTTAGTGGAGAATGGTTTTTAGACACCAGTATTTACGTGAGCAATTCAAAGAAGTTACTTTCCCCACTAATGCCCATTCACCTCAGCCCTGAGGCCGCTTCCCATGATGTAAAAAGCCAGCCATGCTTCTGCTTTCCCAAGATGCTCCCCAATAAATGTTTCCAGTGTGGAAAACACTGAGTTTCCCACATGAGTTTTGGAAACACTGAGTTTTTCATTCCTCTCTTGGAAAGTCACAATGCAAATAAATATAGTAAAGGTTCTGGGATGCCCTGTGGTAGGGAAATCTGTTTAACAGCATTTCCAAAACTAAATTCACCATGGGGTCATATTTTTCAGGTAAAATCTATTAACATTCTATGAAAGGAATATTGTGCATTACTGTAGGGGTTTGAGGCATTTGGGGTTTGATTTAGGAAAAAGATATGACCATGGTGCAGAGGCAGTAGCACACATATTATATTAGGTGATGTTGTGACAAGATTGCATGTGGAGGAAGTTCCCTCCAGCAGTAATCTGTCCAGAAGCCACAGCGCAGGCCTATACTCAAAAGGGGAAGAGGGCAAGGGAGCTCCCTAGGGAGCCTAGGTGATGCCTCTGAGTGCACAGTGGGGACATGAGTCAGAGAGCCCCGAAGGGAAGGTTATGAAATATTTCATCCTAAATATGTAAAATAATTTGTTCCCCAATGAAAGGCAAAGTGTCTATTTGCAAAGCTGAAATAGTTTCCTTGTGTTCGAAGGATGATTACATAGACTGGAATTTGTCAGACACAAGCCGTTTGACCTTGTTTAGGTAGAGTCACTTGATAAATACATAGACCTACAAATATTTTATTACCATCTCTTGCAGCCCTATTCAAGCATATAGAAAAAATTCTGTATAGGTGACTACCATCTTCTGTCTGATAATTAAACTCCAGTCATTATTTCTTCCCTCAGTATTTCACAAATACACTGGAAGTTTATTGCTATACGGTACAAAATTTTATTCCTCCACGTGCATTTGCTCTGTGGCAAAATTCAGTAATCTTTATGTCTTTTATATAGTCTTCTTAATCAGTATTTCCCTTTTCTTATATTGCATGGACCATGCTAGTCAAATTAACTTTATATTTTAGGACAGGTTAGGGCCAAGGCAATTTTTAAATACATAGATTTCAGTGTGTCAGGGTGGGAGAGAGCACATCAAGTCTCTCCTTGGACTTTGGTACTAAAATAAACAATAGCACAGATTTGTACTCATATTCAGAAAACAATTGTACTCGTATTCAAAGTGTTTTATCAAGTATTACTAGAAGACTTAATAAGAGTTGGAAGAGTTCTGTTGGTCGTTTGAGCATGCCAACATGACTAAGATGCAGTTCTTGTCTTCAAAGAACACAATCTACCATTAACCTGACTATAAACCAGATTGTGCTTAGTTATCCATTAAGTTGTCATTGTAATTGTCCCAGTGAAAATGGCACATGCTGTCTCTACATCTGTCTTCCAAAAGATTTATGGAGAGAATTAAATTGATTTCTCCCTTTTCTCAGGTTCTGAGAGGAAAGGTTGGGTAACCTGACCTAGATGTTATATTCTCATTACTGAATTCTAACATGTTAATTCAGACATTGTAAGTACCACCATATGTCTGTTCCAGTCAACTATTTTTAGGATATGTATTTAACGACTTGGTTGAAATTTTTAAAAGTAATCCAGGAATTTTAAGTTTCTAAGAAACAAAAATGAGTTTTTATGGTAATGTTCTCTTGTGAAACAACTAATATTTGCTGTTGTAAATCAGCAGGGGGAGCTCAGCAAATGAATTTTAGTTTTTACTGAAGGCATTCCTAAAATTGTTCCTATTCATTTAAGAAACTAAAACAAAATGCTGAATATTTTATGTGATAAAGGCACTGCTGTTTCTTTTTCCTTTTTTTTTTTTTCCAAGCACTGTGTTTGTTTGTTTTCAAGGAAAATGAATGCATGTTTCAGTGAAAAAATGGTTTTGGAAATTAACTCTTTTTCTATTTCTCATCTACCCCAACATAAAGTTTGGCTTTGAAGCTTAATATCAGTGCACTTTTTCTCATCCATATCGACTCTTTCATAGTACTCACATTTGGCAGTTCTGCATCAGAGCTAAAGCAAAAGTCAAGGCTTTGGGTCTTTTTAGTATTGATAGAAAAATACTAGACGATGCTTCAGTCTGAAAGCCAAAAGAAAATACTATTTCCAAAAAAGAAAATGATTGTTTTCACAATGACCAAAGGCTGCCTTTTGTGGACTTGGAAAATCTGAAAGTCTGTCATTATTAGGACATATGTCATTATTAGGATCATTCTCCCCATTAATGATCAGCCATTTATAGCCAATAGCTATTGTTCATCTTGTGATAAACAATGCAAGCACTTATGGAATGCTTTTTTTTGGGGGAAGCCGTTGTTTCTAAACAAGTGTTTGTTGAAATCATTCCTAGTGTCCCAGATTAAAATGGGTGAAAACCTAGTTTTTGACATAGCATTTTGAGCAGGGAACACCTGCCCATTTCATGATACTCTGGTACTTTGGGGCTTTTGATCTAGTGGTGGGTCATGTGATGTCATTCAGAGTCTTAAACTTTTATTCCTTGATCATACTTTAGAGGCCTTTGTGAAGGTCTGACTTGCTATTTCAGCCATATTAATGCACACTAACCAACTGTGCTGTCTAGCGTCCAAAACACTGTTGTAGAATATTAATCCAGGTCATCATACTGATTTCAGGCAATGGGTAGCTTCTACCCAAAACAAGATGGCTATAACTGAACATAGACAGATAGTAATTAACTTTGAATATTAAAAAAAGAAAGATAAGCATACATGTTAGCAAATGCTGTTAAATAAAACTAATAATTGTTTTTAAATCTTAGGTTTTCTTTTTTTTATTCTCTGGAATTGACTTTGGCTCTTTCAAATTGAGGTAATAAACTTTAGAGTTGAAGTCAAAAGACTTGAAAGATGTTTAATTTCTAAAAAGTTAAAAAATCACTTTTTCTCTAGGTTTTTCTTACTATAAAATAGGGCTCAACGGTACTTGGTATCTCACAAGTTGTGAATATCAAGTGAAAAAAATAAATGAAACATAATCAGACCTTTTTGATTCCCTCATCCAACCTGCTTCTCCTTTAGTCTTGTTCGTCTGAGAAGATGGTGTCAGTGTCTACCTAGTTATATAAGCCAGAACCCTATGAATTTTCCTAGATTGTTTTATTTCCCTTCCCTCCAAAATCCAATCCCTCAGGAATCTCCTGCTGACTCTATTGCTGAAACATACCTCAATTTTGTCTATTTTTCCTCCATCTTATTACCATCACTTCACTCCAAGTTGCATTTTTTTCTCTTCTCTCTGCTGTAAAGATCTCCTATGATAGGCTTCCAGCTTCTTTTTCACCCCCCTCAGTATCCAGATTTCAAAGAGAAGCCAGAGTGATCTCTTATTAACATCAGTCAGATCATGTCCCCTCATGTAATCTGTCCCCTGCCCACCTCTTTCTCGTCCCCTTCTCATGCTGTGGAAGCCACACTGGTCTTCTCCTGCTTTAGAGGTCCTTTGCTATACAATCTAAAGGGAGCCCACATTTGCTCTTGATCACATCAGCATGGTTTATTTTCTTTATAACACATCCCTTATCTGATATTTTATATTTGTTCATAGTCCGACTTCCACTAGAAAGTGAGTGACTTGAGAACAGGAACTTTGTATTATTCAGTGTTATAATCCCAACTCCTACAGTATTGCCTGTCATGTAGTAGATGTTAAACATTTGTGGAATGAATGAATAAATAAAACACATTTTGTTTATTTAACAAATATTTATAATATGTGAAGTACGGCTGGGTGCATTGGCTCATGCCTGTAATCCCAGCACTTTGGGAGCCCAAGGCCAGAGGATCTCTTGAGCCCAGGAGTTCAACACCAGCCTGGGCAACATGGGAAGACCCCTGTCTCTACAGAAATGCAAAAATTAGCTGGGTGTGCTGCAGTGAGCTGAGATTGTACCACTGCACTCCAGCCTGGGTGACAGAGGGAGACCCTGTTTCATATATATAGCCTGGAGAGTCTTGGAGGTTTGACCCATTCACACAGAATTAGTAGCGAGATAAGGCCAATGCCCCTTCTCTTGGCCCATGGCCTAATGCTCTCTCCAATGTCTGGGCTGCCTCTGCAGCACATGTTTGCTATACATTCTGGATAAATAGACTCAAATAGAATAGGAATTCTCTTGAAGCTTTTTGATTCTTCTAAGTCTTTGAATTGAAGTGGGTCATAGGTTTTGGTGAATTTGTTATTATTTTAACCTACTGCTGGTTAATATGATATGGTAACCTACTTGATATGAGCCCCAGGCAATCTTGAGATTAGCAAAATTAGGTAAGAAATGCCTTATTTTTTTGAAGTTTTAAAGTATCTCATAAATATTTCTAGTTCCTTTTCATTTCCAGTTACTTCTTCACTTCAGGGTTCTAGAAAGAACCACATAAAGGAAATAGCAAGTTCTGAAATGCGGTAAGAAAAATAGTTTGTTTTTGAAGATTTTCTAGTTCAGTGAACAGCAGGAAGCACCAGCTTCTTTTCACAAAATCTCCAGGCAAATGTTTAATCTCAAAAGACTCCAGTAGTTTATAGAAACATTCTCAAAGTTGTGCCAGCTTATTTGAACCAAAGATAAATTCATGTATTTGATAGTCCCTCAGTCAGTTGTAAATACCATAGTTGGTCCCCCTTGTACAGTCCTTGATAACAAATAGGGTATTATCACAAGGCACAGGATGAGAAATAAGGATATTTAGAGTCAAGCTTTGACTTTGTGTCTGATTTGCAAGAACACTTAAAATGTTCCGTATGAACACATTTAAACCTTATTATATTTTCATATTTCTGGCTATACAAAGAAAATACTAATGACTGACATGAGTGCCCCATCCACCATCCCCAGTATCAGATCTTATAGAGTACTATAAATACGTTGTGTCCAACAAACGTGTTGGTGACTATTTGCCTTTATTTTTTCAGAAAAAGCTTTGTGTATATGGAATCTGTAATGAGAGTAGAAGTATTTTTTTTTGTTTTATAGAACAAAGGTTTATGATATTTCAGGGTAGGATTTCTAAAAGGATTTTTTTCTAAACCTTTCTCATCCTAATATATTCTTTGTGTTCTATCCAGTGTTTATCTTACATCCAGTGTTCAGTAGACAAATGGCCACATGGGTAGCTCTCAGAAAGTATTTGTTGACTCTGGTTCTATATCATTTCTCCTCCAAGAAAAGATAAGATTATTTTATTTATTTTGTTTAGGATTAAATACAATTTGTGAAAAGTATTTTATAAAAAAGGATCGAGACCATCCTGGCTAACATGGTGAAACCCTGTCTCTACTAAAAAATACAAAAAATTAGCCAGGCGTGGTGATGGGCACCTGTAGTCCCAGCTACTTGGGAGGCTGAGGCAGGAGAATGGTGTGAACATGGGAGGCGGAGTTTGCAGTGAGTCGAGATCACGCCACTGCACTCCAGCCTGGGCAACAGAGCAAGACTCCATCTCAAAAAAAAAACAAAACAAAAAACAAGTAGAATACAAATATAGATGGTGGCAATTGTTGTTGGTTATTAATTGCATTTAATCAGGATGTGGAGTGAGGCTATGGCAGAGGGCAGTTGGCTCACTCTGCCCTCACAACCCCAAGTCTTCTGGCCATAGTGATGACCCTCCTTCTGACCCACTGGACCTGATCCTTGCTCCATTGATATCTAGGTTGACATTAAAGGCAGGCACTAAGGACAGTTAGAGAAGGGGCTCAGGGAGGACATGAAAGAAAAGATAAAGCCTTCAAGAGGAGTTGGGACAGTGCCGGTCCCTATAGTTTAGAGAGGAATGGCCTCCTTTTTCTTAAAATTTCCTGCTTGAGGTACAAAGAAGCAGAATAGGAGCCATTTTAGGGAAAGCAGACAAGGATTACACAGTGATCTAGGGACCCAGGAGACTAGAAGTGCTGGAGAGCTTTCTTGGGAAGATGGGATGAGTGGGAGACCTGGCTTAGAGGACAGCTTTGGGATTCCAAAGCTTTGGAGGTTTCTTTTTTTTTTTTTGAAGTTAGAGGTTTTGCCTTTTGTTTATGAACTCCTTGACTGATGGGCTAGAGAATTCATGGAGGGGCCCAGGAGAGAGGAAGCAGGAGAAGCTACTTCAGATTGGCTAAGGGTAGGAGAGCCAAAGGAGACTGTTAGTTGTCTTCCCAGATGGTCGTGGTCAGCTCTCCCAAGTACAGTAGGAGTCAGGGAATTGGAATAGAATTTCTCATTCTGGTAATAGAAAACTGAACGTTTGGCTGAAGTTTTCCTTGGGCATTCTCTAGGAGGATGTTAAAGAGTGAGGAACCACAATCCCAAATAATTTTTAAGAATTCTGATCTCCAATCTCTGAGATTAATTTTGATACTATTATTACTAAAAACAATAAACATGTGTTGAGCACTCAGGGTATACCTGATCACTTTTAATGTTTATACCACAGAAAGGCAGATATTATCATAATCCTAATTGAGAACATTGAGGTTTTGAGAACTAGGCAATTCCCATATTACATAGCTAGCATGTGGATCTGGAAAGAAGTGATCTTACTTCTAGGCACAAAAACCGCCCTCTTACTGTTAACTTGGAAAATTTAGATGTTCTGAAATCAAGCTCTTTTACAATATTCCTAAGTATCACTGAGAGGAGAAGCCAGCTGGACTTCCTAGGTCAAGTGGGGACTTGGAGAACTTTTCTGTCTTACAAGAGGATTGTAAAATGCCCTAATCAGCACTCTGTAGCTAGGATTGTAAAACGCACCAATCAGTGCTCTGTAGCTAGCAAGGGGATTGTAAAATGCACCAATTAGTGCTCTGTAGCTAGCAAGGGGATTGTAAAATGCACCAATTAGTGCTCTATAAAAACGCACCAATCAGTGCTCTGTACCTAACAAGAGGATTGTAAAATGCACCAATCAGTGCCCTGCACAACTCACCAATCAGTAAAACGCACCAATCAGTGGTCTGTAAAACGCACCAATCAGCAGGACTCTGAAAGCCAATTGCAGGGAGGATTGAAAAAGGGCATTCTGATAGGACAGAAATGGAGCATGGGAGGGGAAAAATAAGGGAATAAAAGCTGGCCACGCCAGCCAGCGGTGGCAACCTGCTCGGGTACCCTTCCACTCTGTGGGTGCTTTGTTCTTTAGCTCTTCACAATAAATCTTGCTGCTGCTCACTCTTTGGGTCCGTGCCATCTTCAAGAGCTGTAACACTCACTGTGAAGGTCTGCGGCTCCATTCTTGAAGTCAGTGAGACCACTAACCCACCGGAAGGAACCAACTCCGGACACATCGCCACCCATTCTTGAGAAAGTTCTGCTTTGGAAAATAACTTCCTATGGCTAATCATTTATAGTTTACAAACTGTTTTCCAAAAGGTGTTTTGATCTCATTTTATTACATAAGGCACTTATCAACTTGGTGAGATATGATGGCAGTTTTGCAAATGAGGGCCTGAAGATGAGAGGTCCTCTTGTGGAACTTTTATAAAAATGCTTGGTGAGCTGCCATGTTTGTGATGGTTTGTTTTTGAACTGTGTGGTGGGAGGAAGTGCTTCTGACAATTTGTACTTTGCAAACATTTAATCTTTGATTTAACTCACCATTACAAGACTGCTGTTGCTCACTGATCCACCAAAAAATGAGGTAAAATAAACTTTCTTACTTGTTTTCATTAATCTATCTTAATGTATGCATAGCTCACATTTATTTCAGTGGTTAATGGTCAAGGCCATACATCTGGTAAATAGCAGTGCAAAGACATAAACCAAGGTCTTTTAATTCAAATCCATGTTTGTTTCACTTGCCACATGCCTTTTACTGAGTCCTGCCATTAGCTATCATGTAACGGGGCTTAAACATTGTGGTCGTCCTGGAATTTTGCCCTTCTTACTAATTTAACGGTTGAAAAAATATTTTGTGAAAATAAAAACAAACATTGCTGGAGATTACCTAGATTCTTTGTTTTTCTGTTTCGAGCCATCATGACTTCGAAGGTAAACGGAACTCACTTAGAGCCCTCACTGTGGAGGCTTTTCAGTGGTGTTCGTGGGGTTGCACTTAAGTCAAATCAGTGAGGCTCTCTTATCAGTGGGCTCTTCTAAGGTTGAAGGGATGGCGGGGCCTCAGAAACCAGAGGCTTCTTGCCAATTTGCATGGAGAGGTTAATGTAGAGGAAGAACCTGTTGAAGTTTTAGGTAGTATGACCTTGTAATCGCTTAACATTGTCTTAGGTTCTTGGAAACTGTGACTTCAAGCAATACTTGGTATAACAAAACTAATTTACCATTGGCTAACTGAAATAAACAAGAGTTAAATTTCTAGAGCATATTTCTGGTCCCAAAAACATCTCCAATCTTCTGAAGTCCAAAACACTTCAAATATTAATCATTGAAATAAATGTGAGCTATACATAAATGTAATAAAGATTAATGAAAAGAAGTAAGAAAGTTTTACCCTATGTTTGGTCAATCAGTGAGTGATAGCAGTCGTAGTTATGGTGAGTTAAACCAAGGAATAAATGTTTGCAAAGGGAAATTGTCAGGACCACCTCCTTCCACCATGCAGTTCGAAAACCGTCACAAACATAGCAACTCGGTGAGTGCTTTCATCCCCTAATTGTTTATTTTTGTACATTTGTATGATTATTATAGACGTTACAAATTTTTATTTGACAATCATTTGTATTCATTCCTTCATTTTTCAACCTGCTTATTCCAGTTCAGAGTTGTGGGTGGGCAGAGCCTGTCCTGGCAGCTCAGGGTGCAAGGCGGGAACTGACCTGGCCAGGACGCCATGCCATCATCCCATTGCAGGGCACGCTCATACCCACACACTTGCATACCCCCCACACTCTCACACTGGGACCATGTAGACACACCAGTTTCTCTAACATGCAGAGCTTCTGGATGTTGGAGGAAAACTGGAGGACCTGGAGAAAACCCATACAGATTTAGGGAGAACGTGCAAATTCCACACAGACACTGGCCTCTGTCTAAATAAAGAATGATATAATCCAAAGAGAACATTTCCAAGTTCAGTAGAATATATTATACTAACCTTTTTAATATTAATGTATGTATACATATATACATTTCACTAATGTTAATATGAAGTATTTGTATAGTTTATATAAAGTTTTACACATTACATATAATCTCATTTAATATCCACAGTAACCATATGAGATAGTCATTATTTCTATTTTAAAGACCACAGAAGTGGTATTCAAAGTGGTTACATGATTTCTCATGGTCAGTTGGAAATGCCAGAGCTAGACTTTGGTCACAGTTTTTCTAGCTGTCCAGTGTTCTTTTCAAGACCTCTTGCCTGGAGCAAGTAAAGATACAGTCGTCACTCATTAATGGTCAGGCGTGCTGAGTTAGTCTGTAACCTGTATTGACAAATACCCATTTCACGTAGTTATTCATTTAATCATTCGTTCAACAAACGACCCAAGGACAGCCTTGTGAAAGCTTGTGGTAGTATTGAGATGGGTAGGACATGGTTCCTTCCCTCAAGTCTGTCAAATATTAGCTGTTAAATCATCAATGGGGAGGCTGCCATGGATCACAAAGTAGGGTTACTGAACCAAACCGAGGGCTCACAAAAAACTCCTTAGAAGAGGTTATGTGTAAGCTATGAAGGATGGGCAGACTCATCACGGTAATGAGTCAGGATGAAAACTGTTCTAAGCAGAGCTACGAGTGTATGTGAAAACTGGTATGAGAGGGAATGTGGCCAGGTTGAGGAACCATGAACAGATCAGTACAACTAGAACATAGCACATGAGGGAGAAGTATCTAGCAAGATTATGACCCAACCATGAACTGCTCATTGTATTGAGGATTTGGGATTTTATACTGTAGGAAGGACTGTTGAAAAAAAAGTTGTGTGCAGTGTGCAAAATGATCAGATTTCTGTTTTAAAATAGTCTCTCTTGAAACAGGCTAAAGGCAGGATTGGAAGAGAGCAGGAACAGCAGACAGTGGGTTATGGCAGCAAGCTCGAAGAATAAGCCATCTGAGAAATGGTGGCACCTGCTCCTAAGGCCAGGAAGCAGAGGAAATTGAGGAGGGACAGGGACTTATTTAGAAGATTAGCTGGAATCTTAAAAGGATGAGGACATTTTTATCTATTGTGATAGGAGGCAAGGCAAACAATTGTGGGCTTATTCCTGGAAGTTCTCTGCTAGTCTGTTGGCATGTGAAGGGGAAGATAAAGGGAAGGGGCCTTTGTGTGGAACAGCCACCAAAGGGGCTGACAAGGGGTCTGTGGAGGATTCACTGGGTTGGGGGGAAGGGCAGCTGCCTGCATGTTGGAAGGTGTAGGCATTTGGTCTGTGGCAACTGGGGGTTTATTTAGAGCCTACAGATGTTATAAATACACTTAAAAGGCATTCACTTTTTTTTTCAAGTTCTGATGTATTCTTGCTTTGGTGACTAATATGAACGCAAGATCTCCTTTCGAGTTCTCTTAGATTGTTTTTTTTTTTAAATCACTACCACAGGTGAAATTGAGAGCTTTGAATCTGCTAGAGTCCATTTCAAATCTTCATGCCTCCATTTTCTTATCTATAAGATTGAAAGAATTTTACAAGTCCGATTGATTAAGGTTAAAAGATAGTTAAAATAAAGCACTCAGCATAATATGTGGCAAATAAAAATTGCCTAATAAACAACTGATGGCACTTCTACTACTGCTACTACTGCTACTGCTACTAGTAAGTTGGTGCAAAAGTAATTGTGGTTTTGTCATTAAAAGTAATAGCAAAATGGCAATTACTTTTGCACCAACCTACGACTACTACTACTAACAACCATCACCGCTATCACCATCATCAGAGTATGCAGTACACTTTTGAAATCCCTGGGATGCATTGTGAATTCCAAGTTCTTTGAGAAATTGGAGATGACACAATTTGGTCATTTTTTCTTCTAATTCCAGGTGACCATGCAACATATGAAAAGCAAGAAGATCCTAGATTTTGCAGCAAACGTATGGCTGTCTCGGATTCAGGCAGATGGGGATGTTGTCTGTGAGCTTCCTGTAGTAAAAGGAGGACAAGCTATTTTTCCATGTGTGTTTTTAATCTTCAGTAGCATCTATTCCATAGACAAATTGTTTGGTAGTTGCTTAAATTTGCTTCTAAGCTATTTAGTTACAGAATATTTTTCCTGCTTCTAAGAGAGTTGTTTTACTCTTGAGAAGTGACTTTTTTAATGTCACAGCATGAGTTGCTGGTGGATCTTAGATTAAATGTAATCTCAAAATTGTTCTTGTGGCCCAGCTACAGTCACAAAGGCTGAGGCTGTGAGAGACAAGAAATGCCATGGCTGCAACTCACCTTAGCTTTGCCTGGGGCCAGCTTACCTCCTCGCTTGATTTGTTTCCTCATCAAACCTTACATCATTTTAAACTTTAAACATAATGTACAATAACAGTCACCTTTACCACTAAAATACTAAGCATAAAATGTCCTCTTATGTCATACATAGAAGAACAACCTTATAAAAAATCTTTTATTTCTCTTTCTGAAAATGCAATAAACCTTCTGGCCTTTTGCAAAAATGCCCATGTATGATTAAAAATAATTAAAGCTCAAAAGTCTCTCAATAGACACAGAAAATCCAGATTACAGGAATTCTCATATATGTTTTTCTTTTTTTACTATAGCCTGAAAACCTATGGATCTGGGTTCTGTTTGTATGGATTTCAAGGTAATGTATTTCCTCTTATTTTCTCTCCCTGTTGCTTTGCCAGTAGTGAGATACCAGGTTGACGTCTACACTGGGCAGCTGAAGCATGCAGAGACGGAGTCTGAGGTTTTCCTCTGTCTCTTTGGGGAGAGGGGAGACTCTGGCCTCAGACAGCTGTACAAATCTAACATGCAAGTAAAATTTCAAAGAGGACAGGTGAGTCTATACAAATAATTTCCCAGATTCTTAACAATCTCTCTGAAGATGGCCACATATGATTTAAAATTTAAAAGGCGTTTGGCACTCTTCAAATTGTAGTTTTAAGACATCTTTAACACATTTTCCTGACCTGACTTCCTAATGTGCTTTGTTTTGGAAGTTGTTCTTGCAAGAAAAATGGGACATACTAAACCAACAGTATATAATAGAACAAAGAAAAGATATTAAAAATTAGTGATCATGTGAGGAAAAGAAAAAAATGAACTCAAAAGACAAGGAAAATATTTATGAATGTGCTCTCTCAGGCTTGAAAGATACAAGGCATTATTTTAAAAGATAAGGCCATAGAAATGCCATTATACTATATTTCATATAATAACACAATGACCTTTAATCTATAAAACATTTTGAATGGGGCCAACTGTGTTATTTTCACACCTAAGCCCCTCCTTATTTCCTTTTGTCCTTATAGACAAACATAAGTCTTTCTATATAGTAGATCTTTGAGAAGTTGCAGTAGGATATTGTTAATGTTATTTTGTTGTATATGGAGAGAAGGTACTATTTGAGGGCCTGAAATTAAGTTTGGGGATTATGTAATCTAAAGGCATATTTTTAAGAAAGAAGACTCCTTAAACCAGTTAGAGAGTGCTGTTTCTCAGACTGTTTGTTGTAGTTTGTGAAATATTTTGAAACATTGGATATCTTAAAGCTCACCTATACATTTGTCACTGTTGATTACACAAAAGCTTTCATCAGAATGAATAGGAAAGCCAGTTCTGCTTTGAGTGAGTCAAAAGCAAAATTAGGCCTAACTTTTGCTATCAGGAATGAATTATTAATTTTAAGCAGAAACAAAATTTTAGATGCCGTGGTATTATTATTAATATTACGCTAAGTGATCAGCGAAGTGATCTCCTACAGAACCGTGCTGGCTTTGCATCAGCCCCAGACTCTTTCACCTGACTACTTGAGGATAAATGGCAGAGGCTCCATGTACCCTGGCTGCCTGCTAGTTGGCTGCCAGCATGTATCATTTTGCAGCAGTGCTGTATCATGGGACGTTACCTGCTGAGATTTTGCAAGTCATCTTCATGATTGATCTTCCTCAGTTCATCATTGTGTTTAGCATTTTCCAGACAGTAGGGAGGGTGTATTGTGGATTGAAATTAAAATTGGGTAGGAGATATAGTTGCAATCAGTGTATAAAGAAGAGTACAGTGAGGGCTTAGTGGTATCTGCTTTTAAGTTTAGAATCAGAGATGTAAAAGTGTTTTTCTTCCCTGGTTCATTTTAGATTTTACATTTTCTGTTATTTTCCTCGGTGCTTGGGATATAATGGAAATGCCAAATAATTTCATGAGTTTTGTAGTCCAGAAACTGTGGTAAGAGTCTGAGAGTTTTATTATCAGAATTTGTGCATACCTGCCACATCTCACATCATAAACCACTCATTGGGCTAGTTGTCATTTTCTCTACAAGGTGTCCTGGCACGATAATAAAACATAGCAATATATGTAACAGACCAAATTTAATTCTGTCTTCAAACCTAAAATTACTTTAAGATAAAAGAAGAGACCAGAAAGCTGACTCAGCCTATCTTTCCAGACCTCAAAGTGTTGTAGTTTGGGCTTGTCCCAAAGCCAACTGAGAGACAAAGACTTCAGTGAGGGTAATTTATCTGGGAGATAATCCCAGTAAGCACTGGAGAAGTGAAGGAGTGGGAACAGTGAGGCAGGAAAGGAGAAAAGCCAATACAGGGATATTAGTGAGCTGGTTACTGCTGTGGCTACCTCTTCTTGCTAGAGAACTTCAGAGAAACTCTGTGAAACATCTCTCAGATTTGTCCCACCAGGGGAAGCCCTCAGACACAGAAGCAGGAGACAGGAGATTGAGATAGAAAGCTATAAGCACACTGAAACTGTTTATCAAAGCAGCAGATGCACCTAGAAAGTCCTAGAAATGGATCCAGAGGTCATGGGATGGGGCATCACTTGCATTTGCTACAACAGGTGACCTGCCTCATGAAACGTCCCTTGTAAAGCCGTGCTGAGAATGCAGGACAGTGACAATGAGATGATCTGTGCACACATGAGAAGATGCACAAATATTCATCATCTGGTTTACAGAACCATCATTACTGGACTAGTAATGGTTTTGGTCTGGACTCCACAGGAGGTTTCCATCAACAGCATGGAGCCAATAGTTGAGACAGCATGGAGCCAATAGTTGTAGTGTGTCTTCAAATATCAAATTGAAATTTAACCTGGTAACAATGCAGGGAGCAGTTAAGACAGCTCTCCACATAGGCAATACAAATGATACTAGAGTAACATTTTTTACCATAGAGTAGCAGTAGCTAACAGTCAACTATCATTTCTGGTAACTTTTCAGACTTACTTAAATTCATGATCCTTTCCTCAGATAACTTTAGGACGTTTATTCTCGACAACAATCTACGAGAAAGTAATGTGTGAAGGAGTTCTTTTGATTTTAATCAGTATAGCACTGACTTTAGGTCCTGAATCTCTCTGGAAATGTCAGTGTATTTTTGATATAACAAACCAATTCTATTTAGGAGTGAAGAGTCCAGGCTACTCTTTTACAACAAACCCAAGAATGTGCTCTATTTTCATCTACAGAGGAAGGTGCAGGGGAAGGATGTATTGAAGGAGGGAGGGAAGGAGGGAGGGAGGGAGGGAGGGAAGGAGGGAGGAAGGAAGGAAGGAAAGAAAATTTGTCCCACATGTCTCAAAGCATATCAGTACTCATAGAAAGGAAATGTGCTGTACATTAGCTGCGTGGTTGTCAACCTGATGCCCTAATGAGCTGCTTCTCAGAGTAGGGGTCTAACGAGAGAAAAGTGTTTGTGTTGGGATTTCTTTGTTTGTTACTCTGGATGCTACTACAAATGGAGAAAATAAAACTGCAAGAGTGAAAAAACAGCCAGAAATATATTTTTAATAGATAAAAAGTAATTTGCTTATTTTTCTCACCATATTGCCCCTTTTGATGCTAACTACAGTAACATCTCTTTTAAAGTATTGTGCTGCTTCTGGCAGTCGTTTAACTATTATTATTGCCTGCATTTGTCATGCCTCGGACTCTAGTTATTTCTGTGGGTTTTTTTCTCTGTCTCCTGCACCAGATTGATAAATTTCAAGTAGCAGCAGTGTCGCTTGGAAAACTGCAGAAGGTGCTGTTGCGCTGTGAGGCCAGTGACAAATCACAGTACTGGTACTGTGAACAAGTCATAGTCAGAGAGCCCGGCACCACATCCGAGTCCATCTTTACCTGTCAAAGGTAATGCTGGTCTCCAAGATACTTCAAAAGAGTATGCTGCACTGTGGATGATGCTGTGTGTGTGTGTGTGTGTGTGTGTGTGTGTGTGTGTGTGTGTGTATCTTTTAGGTCACGGATTTGTTTCATTAACTCAGATTCCACACCATGAATAACTCTTTGATTGCTTAAATAATCTTTTGCTAGACATTGTAAGGAAGACTTATCTTATAATTTCTTATTACCACGATGTTGTGTGTGTCACAAAAGGACCAAAAGTTTAATACTGGAAATTATTACATAAATAGTGAGAATATTTGTTTAACTGTTGGTTTCTTTACATTACTAAAATTGTAGTGTTACAACAGTTTCATAAGGAAATTAAGTGTGGAGAATATTACAGAGAAGAACTTTCAGAGCAGAATATAAGAAAGACAAACATTAAATTCTAGGTAAGTTGGACTTTCCTTGAGCCCCATGAGGGTCAGTCCTGAAAGCAGCTCTCTAAATTCCTGACCTGGCCCTGTACTGCCTCGGCTTGAGACACAGGTCCCACATATACTTCCTTCTTCAAATCTCCTCATAGAAATCCCACACCTTCTTGCTTAAGAAAGTGTCACCTGTTTTTCCAAGAAGAAGCCTGGTTCTCTAGATCTTTACTGAGCCCTGCTGTTTCTCAAGAAAATGCTTAGCTTCGGCTAGATGGGCAATCATGTTTATTGTTGCTTGGTCTCTCAGTCACAGGGAATAGGCTGAGCCCTGACTTACAAATTGAGTTAAAACCCAATCTGTTGTGGGCATGGGAATGAGAAACTTGAGGTTCCATTTTGAAAATTTGAATCTTCAATATCGAGGGCTGCCCTGTATCCTCTTTTTCCAAATAGGTAATCAACAGGAAATGAGATAACAAAGTACAGGCAAAATAGGGGCAAGCAGAAATTCAAGGGTTCGGATTTAGCCAAGAAAATTGCAACTTTAAGTACTAAGCAAAAAGTAAAAATAATGAGGCAATTCAACTAAAAATCCTAAAGGCATGCCACTAAAACCTGCAAACACCCAAGATGATTGGAGCTGACTGCAGATGAACAGAAGCGGTGAGATCAACAGTAGCCCTCGTCTTTTTTGCCTTTTAGTCATTAAATTCAGTCAATTCCTTGTTCATAGTGTCTGCTTAATTCATCCTTTCTTTTATCTTACTACTACCTCTGCCCTGATTGATGCCCTTGTTCATCAAGACTAGCTCATCGCAGTCGTCTTCCAATTTTCTTCTGTGTCTTTCTTTCGCAGCCTACCTGCCCACAACTTCCAAGCTAGCCCTTCTATGGTACTAACTAGCATCATTCTGACTTTATCTTTTCTTCTCTCATGTCTCCTTTGTTTTATTTTGAATTTTATTCTTTAGTATTTTATTGTATAGCTTTGCCTGAAAATGTTTCAAGAAAAAATATGGGGGAAAATAATGTTCTAAAAGCTATATTTTAATCACATCACTCTCCTGTTTAAAAACCTTCAATAATCCTCATTGCCTACCACAAAAGCAAAACTAAACAGAACTTCCATTCAAGGCTTTATAACATCTGACTCTATATTTCCCCCTCCAATTTGTTTTTATTGCTGTCCTCTTACAAGATCTTAGTGAAATTAGACCCCTATAATTACCTAAACAAGTTCTGTTCCACTCTGCTTTTGTCCCTCGGAGTGCTAGTCTTCACTCAAGAGGACCTTTCCTTGCTCTCTTCTCCCCATTATAATCCTGTCCATCCTCAAGTTCCAATTCCAATTTGGCCTGTAGTATGACTTAATTGGCCAAACTACAAAGATTTTTTCTCTTCTCTCAATGTGTACTCAGAACTTAGCACAGCACAGGCACCCCCATCTGATGAGTAACACATAGCACTGAAGAGGACTTGGGTGTCATTTCCCAGCCTGCTCCCACCCACAGCACACAGGCATCTCTGGGGCACTGGTGGAAGCTCTGTTTTATTCCCTGCATCAGAAGAGGTAGAGTGTGCTTCATCCAGGACTTTCATCTTATGTTCTGATATAGTTTGTCACATTAGTTTAGCTGATTTCTTTTAAATATGAAATCTTCTGGTGGGTAATTTAGATGCAGTCACTGCCACTGTCCATGTCTACACATACATTTCACATCGTCACCCATCATTTCTTGCGCTACCTTACTTTTTTTTTTTTTTTTTTTTTGAGACGGAGTCTTGCTCTGTCACACAGGCTGGAGTGCAGTGACTCAATCTCAGCTCACTGCAACCTTCACCTCCTGGGTTGAAGCAATTCTCCTGCCTCAGCCTCCCAAGTAGCTGGGATTACAGGCATGTACCACCATGCCTGGCTAATTTTTGTATTTTTAGTTGAGACAGGGTTTCACCATGTTGGCCAGGCTGGTCTCCAACCCCTGACTTCAGGCAATCCGCTCGCCTTAACCTCCCAAACTGCTGGATTACAGGCATGAGCCACCGCACCTGGCCCCTGCACTACCTTACTTCTTGTTTGTGCTGTGCCACCATGGCCTCCTTTGGAAGGAAGGAGCATAAGTGATAGCTTAATTATTATAATTTCAATGGGTTGTATCTGAAAGAATTTTAGTTTCAAAATATATTGAACAATCCCAAATAATGTAACAGATATAAAATATTAAATGCTAATATTTAATACCCTGATCATAGTAGGTCCTAAATAAATGGTACCGAGTGCTCATTCATGTAATACCCTGATGAAGAAAGTAAGTTGCAAAAATAATTGCTTTCTATTATGTAGCTATACAGAGATGAGACAGTTCCTACTTCCTTAATTCTTAAAGGAGCAGAAGAGTATGGCACCAGGAATAGAACTTGGGGCACAGCAGGTTCCTTTCTACTGCAGAAAAAGGCCATTCTGAAGCCACTTATAGTTACTTCTGTCTCCCAGAGCCTTTTCTGTGCATATGAGGTCAAGGTCAGTGTCCATGGAGCCTGGAAGGCTGTTCTGAAGAGAAAGGAGAGCCATGGGTGCACGCAGGAGCTGGAGTGGACAGTCCTGGCGGGGGAGCTGGGTAGGGTATGATGCTGGGCATGTTCACTGTGGCTAGTTAGTTCTGGGGTACAGGCATCCAAAATGCTCAGGTGCACATCACAGAAGGGAAAAGGAAAGAAAATCTCGGTCATGCTCCTTGGAGTTTCCTCAGAGAACAAGAATTTACAGCACAGCTGAATTAGGGCAGAGAAAAAGACCACCGAGTGCTTGTCCCTTTTTGTGGGCTCGGGGGAAATGCTTAGGTGAGACACAAAGCAGAGCCGCGTGAGGAGACTGCTTGTATGCATCACAGAGGCTGCCTGCGAGTGTGCGCATCCTCCTTTCCTTTTTCCCTCTTCAACTGAACACCCACGTCCTTATGGCTTTATTTTATTTCTATGCCTGAAGGTATTATTTTTCTGTCTTTTGTACATTTAATATAGATAGGGGTATACATCACTGAATTTCTACCATTTACACTGGAGGTTTGGCTATTTGAGGTTTGCAGCAAACAAAATTTTATTTGAATAAGGCAGACATTCAACTGACTTTATGAATTAATGCAAATATTTTCATTTAGTATTTATATTAGCTTCCTGTGGCTGCCGTAACAAATTGCCACAGATTTGATTGCATTGAACAACTGAAATATATCCTTTTGCAGCTCCTGGAGGCCAGTGATCCACGATCCAGGTGTCATCGGGGCCTCACTGTCTCGGAAGGCCTGGGAAACAGTCCTTCCTCGCCCTTCCCACTTCTGCTGCATGCTCACTGTCCTTGGGTTTCCTTGGCTTGCAGCTGCATCACTCCAGCCTCTGCTCCGTTGTCACATGGCTGTCTTCCTTTTGTGTGTCTGTGTCTCTGTATTTCTTATCTTTTTGTAAGGACACTGTCGTCATTGGACTAGACCCATCCTACTCCAGTATGGCCTCATCTTTACTAATTACATACCCTATTTCCAAACAAGGTCATGTTCTGAGGTTCTAGGTGGCCATGAATTTTGGGGGAACACTATTTAACCCAGTATACTTTTTGAGTGGATTCTGTAATGTATTGTTTAGCATTAAATTAGGGAATCTCCAGATTTTTCTGTGTTACCAAACTTGAACTATTGTGTATGCATGTGTATATGTGAGTCTTGACTTTAATGTGAAATTATTAAAAATAAGTTAGCATCTATCTTTTAATAGAAACAATGTCATTCACAATATATATTTGATAACCTACTTGACCTAGGAGGGCCTGGAGACAAGGAGTGCCAAAAGCTTCTCAATGTTGCCTTTCATAACTCCTGGTTTGGGAAATGACATTGATAGGAGCTTGCAGAAGCAAGTTATTTGAAATAAAGGCCCTACCTAGGGGAATTCTAAATAGAAGGAGAATTTTTAAATGCAGAAATCAATCAGTTAAATGCAAATAACTACAAATAATGACCAACATGGAGAAACCATGTCTCTACTAAAAATACAAAATTAGCCGGGCATGGTGGTGCATGCCTGTAATCCCAGCTACTCGGGAGGCTGAGGCAGGAGAATTGCTTGAACCCAGGAGGCGGAGGTAGTGGTGAGCCGATAGTGTGCCATTGAACTCCAGCCTGGGCAACAAGAACAAAAACTCCATCTCAAAAACAAACAAACAAACAAAACGAATCTAACTTGACTTGTCAAAGCAAGGCAGCATGACCAGCTTTGTCCTCTCAAAACCAAATTGTAGTCAGATAGGTGGAGTGACCCTGAGGCACATTCACCTGAGGAATAAGGACATAATGCTCCACAGCGTTCCTTAGAGTTGACATTGCAGTTAACACCTTTAAAGTGTTCCCGTCTCATTTCTATTCAGGATTCATGACTTTAAAATTTTTTTTTTTGAGAAAGGTTGAGATTATCTCCTTTGTGCAAAGTATAAGAAAAGAAGACTTTAAAAGCTTTCCACTATGGCTAGAATAGACTATCAGCAAATCCTGAATACCTCTGGTAGGTGGAATGCCACCTCCACTCCAGACTCACGCCCTTTTCACGGTCCTCAGCACCTTCTTATTAATTGTTGAAAAAAAGAGTCTGTTGTTCCACCGAAACAATTGTGGGCCCCCTGCAGGCAGGTGAGGCAGGCCTTCGGGCAAGGCAAACTAAAGGCCTTCTTTTCATCCTTGAGATCACACTCTGGGGGAACCTTTGCAGCCAAAAGCTGGCCTTGGCCACACAGCAGGCCTACAGCTCAGCCAGGGCCTGGCAGACACTTTCTTCTCTGCTCCTCACTGGCCTTCACTGTGTTCTCAGCTGGTGCTGTTGGATCTGAGTTTACCTAACTCATGGCCATTCCGTGGTGCCTGGAGTCCTGTAGGCTTTCATGGGTATATTTACTGGTGAGTTGACAAAAGATGCGTCACCTCTGCCAGGAGATATTTCCTGAAGCTACAGGTTGGGAAACTCATTTTCCTGTATACCTTTCACAAGGCGTGTGACATTAACTCAGCACTTACTACATTAAGTTATATGTGTGTGTTTATGTGTCTGTCCTACTCCTCTAGTTCAGTACACTTTTCCCCAAGGTTGGGCTGATGTCTTATATTTTTACTTTCAGCTCCTATCGTTTCTGAAATAGAAGGGAACTAGGTTAAATTTACATGTGTAATAAATTCAACCAAAATGCATGCATTAATCAAGACACTATAAGCCCAAAGGGAAATCATATTAAAAGACAGATTTGGAATTAGAACACAATTTAAAAGGTTTAATTGTATCTTAACCTCACTATGACACATATAAACAAAATTGTCACTTAATACTCATTTTTAAGTGTTAATGACAACAAGAAGCCAAAGAGTAATTCTTAGAATTAGCATGAGTTAAAAAGAAAAAAAAAAAAAAGACGTGTCCTACTGGTATAGATTTTTAAGCAAAATGCAGTTTACTTGTCTCAGGATCTCACTCTTGAAAAACTGAAGTGGCTAGTTGGCCAACCACACCGCAAGGGGGCTCCGCCTTGACGGCCTGGCAGAGAGCGGCGTTTCTGCTGCTCTATCACTGCAGCCTCACACACCAGCAGGCCGCATCTCCATGCATGAGATTCTTCCGTGGAAGCAAGGCTGATAATCACCCCTGTACCATCCCATCATTATTATTCACAAAGCATTGTCCTTGCTTAATTGCCTTGTGGCAACTCTAGCGGTTATTCCATGAAAATCAAACATGAGGCGCATGCTCTTAGGAGGTTGTAATCAAGACCTTCAGTGTCCACAGGACAAATACACAGAACATAGTAGGTACTCAGAAAGTGTGTGCTAAATTAGTGAATTAGTTAGTAAATCATGAGCTGAGCCTTATACAGAACAGGGCTGAGTATATCATTTGTGGAGAGGGTCAGGAAAAGAAGCAGGGGCAGCCCTGTTTGAACAGCATCCTTCTTCTGTGTAAGTATAGTTGGCAAGAGAACTTTTACACCTAGGCCAGCTCTGCCTGAAGGTGTTAGTGTGTGGTGAATTAAAAACATATTATCCCCCTACCTTGGCCATTTACCTTTCTAGGCTTTTCTTCCAATTCTCCTGAGTAGAGTACGTTTCGCTTCTGTCTCTAGACATTCTCCAGGGATATTGTTACTCTTTTCCCTCATTTGTTTTAGCTCATTATATTCTTTCTTCTGCTTACTGAAATTCTTATCCCTCAAGGCCCAGGATAAAATGTTATCCATGCCATGAAGCTTTCTCTGCTTGCCCAGACAGAAGTGTGTTCATCCTTACCCTCTTTAAATTCCTCCAGCACTTGACTTAGACCTTTATGCAATTCTTGCCAGACAATGCACTGCCATTGTTTGTGAACGTATTTGTCTCAGGTACCAGATGATATGCTTCTTAAGGGTAGTGTCTCATAAATTTCTCTTTATTTTCCAGTATGGCTTCTTGTACCAAGTATGGATTTAGCAAATATTTATAGATAGGAATGGGGAAAGGAAGGAAGGGAAGGAAGGAGGGAGGGGGGTAAGGACGATGGATGGAAAACACAGTGGAATCTCAAGCTGGAAGAAACCTTAGAGGTCACCTAATCTTTGCATGAGTTCCCTCTGTAACATACTCAGATGTCTCATTACGAATAATTTATGCATTTATTTATTTTCAAAATAAGTCAGCCTGTCTACAAATGGTTTTATTTTCCCTTTCTGGGAAAAGAGGGGGAGATGATGAATGATATAGATAAAAAAAGATGTTGAAATTTTGATAAAGTACAGAAATGTAAAATACAATTTTTATAGGGAGAAGGGAATAATAAAAATTATCATGAGGCAGTGAGCAATCATTTAACTTTACTGATTTTTTTTTTCCTGAAAGAGGCCACTATTAATCATTTCTTGCTATTCTGAGCATGTATTTGTGCTGCTGCAGATTTCTGTGCTCTTCTTTGTCAGTTTACGCCATTCCTTGGTGCGAAAGTGACAAGTAGTGATGGTGGGAAACTGACAGAATGAGGTGCAGGGATGAGTCTTGTTCATTTTTTGGGGATGGGGGTGGAGACATAGAATCTTCAAATATTTCTTCTGCCATTTTCAATGTGAAAGTGTGCCAAATATAAAATATATCTCAGACTAAATAAAATCTGTACTACTCCTTACCTCGTTATACATCTTCCCCCAGCAAAACACCCTATATGTTTTAAGGCGGGAGCACCCCAACACGTTCCACAATTGTCTACTTTAATCTTAAAAGACTAACAGAATTTTTGCCCCTGTCTTTGTGTTTCCTAGCTAGGCCAGTGAAAGGGAGCTCCCTGGTGACCTAGGGGTTTAGGCATTCTTTAGCTGGTGGCTGCAGAGAATGGATTGTGTTCTTGGTCAAGCAACCTTCTCGTGCTTGCTTTTTATTCCATTCCTTTAATATCATCACTGCACTTCTCAAGCCACACTGCTCCAATTCTCCCATCTGTTCATTGGCTTTGGGGGAATTTTCTTGTCTTAATGTGAAAACTTGCTTCACTATCCAAGGCCTACTGTTTTATGGCACATCTGAGAAAAGTAGGATGGTTGTTTGTTGACTGGCAGTCACCCCAAATATATTTTCTGTAACACAACTGTGTACAAGGCACTGTGTTTGGCAGTCAGGAAATGCAGTAGTAACTATTTTACCATAATACATTTATGTATGTTTAATTCTGTATCCTTTGTATAGGTAAGGTTATTATCCATAATTTATAAATGAGGAAACTGAGGGTTACAAAGATTAAGGACATGGGGCAAGGTTGCACAAGTAGTAGATGTTGAAGCCAGGTTTTGAAACAAGGCAATCTGACTCTACTTGAAATTTAAAGTCTGTATTCTTTTTTTTTTTTTTTTGAGATGGAGTCTTGCTCTGTCACCCAGGCTGGAGTTCAGTGGAGCGATCTCAGCCTACTGCAACCTCTGCCTCCGAGGTTTAAGTGATTCTCCTGCCTCAGCCTCCTGAGTAGCTGTGATTACAGGTGTGTGCCAACATGCCTGGACAATTTTTGGATTTTTAGTAGAGATGGGGTTTCACCATGTTGGCCAGGCTGGTCTTGAACTCCTGACCTCAGGTGATCCATCTGCCTTGGCCTCCCAAAGTGCTGGGATTACAGGTGTGAGCCACCTTGCTGGGCCTAAAGTCTGTATTTTTAAACATGAAGCTGACTGTCTTTATTCTGGCATGTAAAGTAAACTCTTTACATACATAACAATGTAGCTGGAAAGATGGGATACATAAACCAAAACATAACTAATAAAGTAAGATTGCATAATTAGGGGCTAACAAAATGTGCAAAATATATTGTATGTGTGTTATTAGGCTCCAGAGGAGGAAAGAACACTGTGAGCTAAAGTGGTCAGAAGGAAATGGGATTTCTCATAGCTTTGGAAAAATGGAGAGATGAGCAATCCTGACAGCTGGGTAGGACTGCGAGCTCACAGTTCGCCTTTATACCCCACACCTTCCCATTATCTGCTGATTGCAAGGCTAGTGTGGTGACGTCAGTCCTACAGCTCAGACTCTTAAGTTCCTTGACATTGTCAGATCCTTGAGTAACCCACACACAACCCCTGCCGCTACCCCATCTTGTCCAGCAGCCTCCTGTGCGTCAGCCACGTGGAATCTCATTGGACTCTGTACCTTTGCCAGTGCTGTTGTCTCTCTCTACGGTGCCCATCCTGACCTACTTATTGTCCAACCTTCAGCTCAAGTATCACCTCTTTGTTTAATTTTTTTGTTCTTCATTCCTTTGCACTTCCCCATTCCTGCAATTGAGTTGGTCAGTCTCTTTTTCTGCTCCTATAACATCTGTATTTAAGTGTCTCACCACACTTTGTTACATTTATATCTTTACATATCTGTTTCCTTCTGTTTTACACTGGAAGCTCCTCAGGTCACGTTTCTTCTCTCTTTTGTTTTTCTTGTAGTCCCAGCACTTAGGAAAATACCTGCCCACACAGGGCACTTTCTAAGTATGTATTGAATGGATAGATGGAAGGATGGAAGGAATGAGAGTATGTGTAAGTGTGTGGGATAGCAATAACCGTGGTTTTTGTGGTATAATAATAAAACTGATATACCATGTAATACTACAAAAAAATGCTTGTACACGACTTTTCATTTCAGCTTCACAACACTGCTATGAGGCAGGTAATTTAGTCAAAGAAAGTAAGTTTCAAGAGGGTAAGATCACAAAGCCAGTAAATGGCAAAGCTGGTTTTCTGAGTCCAATCTTGACCTTTTCTTCAAAAGGGAGCTTCTAACACTAAAGTTTACCTGGTTTAGGGGGAAGCTCCAGGAGGATCAGCTATTAGCTCACCCTAAGCACATTTTCCAGCATGATAATATTTTCACCAACTTTATGGTTATATTCTTTTTTTTTTTTTTTTTGAGACGGAGTCTCACTCTGTTGCCCAGGCTGGAGTGCAGTGGCACAATCTCAGCTTACTGCAAGCTCTGCCTCCCAGGTTCACGCCTTCTCCTGCCTCAGCCTCCTGAGTAGCTGGGACTACAGGCGCCCACCACCACGCCCAGCTAATTTTTTTATTTTTAGTAGAGATGGGCTTTCACCGTGTTAGCCAGGATGGTCTCGATCTCCTGACCTCATGATCCACCCGCCTTGGCCTCCCAAAGTGCTGGGATTACAGGCATGAGCCACCACGCCTGGCCAATGGTAATATTCTTTTTGCAAACACTGAGGAAGAGATTTTAGAGGAAGCCAGGTGAAAGCAAGACAGAAACTCTCATAGAGGAAATATTAAAATAGGAAGTCTATTTTTCTGTGCCAAGTTTCCCTGCAATCAATGTGCAGGCCATATTTTCTAGGCTGGCCCAGGTACCATGCTCAAAATCTGAAACCTGCCCTTGCCCTTTTATCCAGCTTGGTACTGGGAGTGCTCTGCTGGAGCCCCAGTTGCTTTTACAGGTGATAGTGGTAGAGGACTGACAAACCTGGAGAGGTGGGTGGTTAGCAGGGTTAGCAACGTATATATTTCGTTCTTCAAGCCACAGGTATGATTCTTACCATTCTTAGTGCTATGATGAATGTGTAATAGGATGGATTGTGTTTGACTATATAAAAAGCAACTTTATAGTTAACATTTAGTGTGCAAAATTAATGCAGAATCAACCTTATTTTAAAATTGAGAAAATCAGAAATTAATTTTCTCTCTATTTTCTCCTCTCTCTTTCTTTCTCTCTCTCTCTTTTTCCTCAGATGGCTTCCTTTCATGTCTCAGGGCATAATTCATTCAGAAATTGAACTTTATCTTCAAGGTGAGGATTACTGAAACCATCAGTAGAAGAAAGTACAAGATGATTTTGTTACATCTGGACATCATGGAACACTATTCCCCAGTTTTCCTCAGAACATCCCCTTTGATATTTATCTTTTATTATTGGATTTATAGTATTCCTCACAGTGAAATAAAAACATATGTAAAGCTGTGTCTTAGAAATGTTGTGTGCCCTAATTGAAGTTAAAAATCAACTTAAGGATTTGCCTCTGTTAAAGAGTTAAACTCACGTTTCTTCTTTTCCCACTTACAATGTCATCAGACAGATCTGTTATTAACTGCACTTCACTTTTATTTTTGCAGAAATGCAAATAAATCATCAACCTAAAATACAAGAGGAAGCAAATGGTAAATGTTGTTGCCACTTTTCATCTTTTAATCATCTGAAATAATCCATTTCTGTTTCAAGATTACCAGCCTTACACATTTTTTATAGTACATTCTTATTGAGTTTAACTATTGATTGAAAAATACTTAAAATGAACACGGAATAAGCATTATAGTTGATTTATAAAGAAACTAACAGCAACTTTAGCTCCAAATGCTTTTTTCCTTAATGCTTCTCTTCAATAATTTAAATATATATGGAAAATAATTATTTTCCAAATGGTTAAATTATATTAACTTCTTTTTTTTCTTCCAAATAAGATTTTTATTAACAAAAAATTGAGATAACTTTATAAAAACACAGTATATTTAAAAGTGTGGTTACTTTTTGTGACATGAAATCATGGTTTTAGGCAATTTGAGATAACGTAAAAGAAATACTCAACTTGTAATTTATTTACGTTCTCTCAAATTGCCTAAAACCATGATTTCATGTCACAAAAAGTAACCACATTTTTAAATATACTATGCTTTTGTAAAGTATCTCAATTTTTTGTTAGTAAAAATCTTATTTGTATTATAAATTACAAAAATCAACTTGTAATTTATATTAACTTCTTTTAATTGTACTTTTTAAAAAACTTATTTGCATATTGGTTTCTTAGTTTTCTTTTAAAGTCTTTTGTAGTTATCTTTTTCTATTAGGTCCTCTTCAAATCAATCTGCAATTATAGTATTAATATGTTACATTTTTAAAGTTGATCTGAATGAAATGGATAAATACTGTTTACTAATATGCATACCAGGTTACCACATCTCTATGTTTTCAAAAATGGATGTACTTTCTACAGTGGTTTGAAACTAGGCAAAGGTTAGTGCTAACATTATTTTATTCATGAAGTCCTATAATGATGAGGATGGCTACTGAGACATAAACAGTTCAAGCTTAAACTAGCATTCTTATCTATTTATATTAGGAACTGTGTTTCAGCTTAGTTTTTGTTATTTATTTTGTAAGGAAAAGTCTGTTCATGTGTCACACTCTTAGGATGGTCATAATTTTACTAATGTTCCAGAATTTCTTAATAATTTTAAGGGACCTCCAGAGGTCTGTGTCTTACAATAAACCGTCAAGTAATAAGGCTTGAAATGACATTCTAAGTAGAAAAATTATCCATTAATACCAGAACTTGGTGGGGCATATGTGGGTAATAAAGGCTAATAGTTTTAAAATGAAGGTTATAATTAAGGCTGAAAGTATCAGAAGTCCTTTGTCAATAATGTAAGACATGTAATCAACATCAGTGATGTCAAACATGAAGTTGCAATGTACAGGGAAGGTGTTGACCTAGGACTTTGTTAGATATACTTCATCAAATTTGATTAAATTAAGCTATTTTAAAATGCTTCCTTCTAATTAATTATTTCTGTTGTCTTATTTTATGGCCTCATTAAAATGTATATTTTTTATAGTTCAAAAGTAGATTAGTCAAAGACTAATGAGTTTGGTTAGTTCATGATACAATGTCATTGTGAATGGTTCTGTCTTATTTCATTTTTAAATTCTAAATAATGCAACCTTTAATATTTCTTGGGATATGATTCTGGAAATACATTAGTGATCTCATAGTTATGTGAATGAGCTAATTTATGGTGTGGAAAGAACCTTGAAAGGTTAAGCAGTCTAATCTATTGAGGCAGTGTTACATTGTGGTTAAGAATGTTGAAAAGCAAACATGAGTCTTAGATTTTGAAAGTATATGAAGCACATGTATGTCATTTATGCCCTTCTATGTAGCTTTAGGGGGAAGAAAGTAGACCAAAATGCTATTTAAATTTAAAGGAGAAAAGGAAAAAGGACTCAACTAAGTTATTTTTACTTTCATTTTGAGGTGATTAACACTAAGTACAATTATGCACCATTACTAACTCTTAGCCATGTTTAATTAATTCCCACAATCATCTGGGACATGTTTTCTAAACCTTGACACCTTATAATCTTAAATATTTATAATTCATATAGGTAAAATCATTCTTCATAGCAAAACTAACTACATTACTCAGTTAGACTGAACTTGGTTGTGAGAGAATGTTTTCAGTATCCATTGCTGGATTGAGTTTCTTCATTGTTATCAGTGCCTTTGGCATATTGCTCTTATATCCAGCCACATAATAAACCCCCTCACTAACTCCAATAAATTTATATTAATTATATAATAAAAAATAAGTTTAAATTCTAGTTCTAGAAGTTCTTTCAAGATACAATTTGAATGATCTATGAAGACCATATCATATGTGAATAACGACACCTTTTATTATCCTCATATGTTGTCTAGGTCCCTGGTACAATGTGGAATAGAAGCAGTGATGGTAACATTAATAGTGAATGTGTATATTATTTGTTGTGTAGTCTAAGTGTTCCAGAAAAATTTATATATTTCATCCTCCAGTAACCCTATGGGATAGGTTGTATCATTATTCCACTTCACAGGTGATGAAACTAAAGGACAGAGAGGTTTTTATAACTTGCCTAAAGTCACACAAACAGATTTAGAATTTGAATGCAAGTGGTTCAACTTCAGGGATTGTACTGTTCTTGCTTTAGAGGGACTGATTTTCACTGCCCACTGCCCCCAGTCACTAAAAATGTGTGTGTGAGAGAGTATTTATCTTCTGTATCTTTGGATTTATCTTGTTGTGTTATTTTTTTAACCTATTAAGCTAGATTTAGCTTTTAGCCTTGTTTCAGGTCCAAGTGAAAGGATGTTTTTAATTGTCAGGGGAGATTATTATTGTTATTATATTTCATATTACTCTTTTCTCAACCTTTGTGGGGACAGGTTGGGTTTTTGATAAGCTCCTTTTACTACCACTTATTTGGAGCCCAACTTTTCACTAAGGGTGTATCCCCCTTTGGCTTACTTCAAAAGTCTCAGGTCCAGTTCCCACACTTGTGTGGCCATCACCATTCATTCTCCTGGCTTGGAGTGTTGGCATCCATCACACCTGCAGTCCTCACCTTCTCGTTTGCTGAGTGCTCACCACTCACTTTCACCTAGTGGCCCCTTTTATTATTATTATTAATATGCAGTGGATAATTTTTCTTACTTCCTTGAGATTAGAATAATGTACTGAAAACAATTTTTGTTGTAATTTATCCGGTATCTCATTGCATTTTAGTGAGATGGCTTTAAAAATACCATCTCAGGTCCAGGTGCGGTGGCTCATGCCTGTAATCCCAGCACTTTGGGAGGCTGAGGTGGCCTGATCACTTGAGGTCAGGAGTTTGAGACCAGCCTGGCCAACATGGTGAAACTCGATCTCTACTAAAAATGCAATAATTAGCTGAGTGTGGTAGTGCATGCCTGTAATCCCAACTACTAGGGAAGCTGAGGCAGGATAATTGCTTGAACCCAGGTGGCGGAGGTTGCAGTGAACCTACATGGCACCACTGCACTCTGGCCTGGGCAACAGATCAAGACCCTGTCTCAAAAAACTAACTAACTAAATAAAATACCATCTCAGGAAACTGTGGCTCAGAAGTGTAAGAACCTTGTCCTCAGTCAAGCAGTTAGTAAATGAAAGAACTGATATTGGAACTTAGCTCTTAACCATTATACAAAACTGTTTCATTTTAATGACTCAGCTTCCTACATGCACTCAGGGATTTCTGACTTGAGGGATTTAAAAATTCTTGGAGCACTTACTCATTTATTTATAGGCAATGCTAAATCTTTGCAGTATGATCATTAACAATTTGGTAGATTATGTGTGGCAAAGATTATTAAAATATTTTTTCTCTCCTCTCAGTTCTGTTACCTATACATGCTTGGCTGGCCTCACTGCGCAAATAGTGTCTGCTCAAAGAAAGAAAATTAAATTTAATGATTAGTCTCAGCTAAACATGATTAAGAACATAAAATATTCTATCACATCATCATGCATTCTGAGTCAACTATAGATAGTTTTGTATTGCCTTTTACTCCGATCATTCAGGGTACAATTTCCTGTGGTGGTGTGGATAATGACAAGGTAACAGCCTACCCTTTGTGTTGGAGCCTTCTGCCTGTTGTGTCAGCCTCATTTCCTCCACAGGAAGACACACCGTGGCACCGGGGAGCCTGGGCAGGCCTCAGGAATCAGTATCTCAAATGAGTGTGCATAATTTGTGAAGCTGAGATGCCAGAGGAACCATCTTCAGGATTGCTTCATCAGTCCCAACATACAGAGCCTGAAACTAGGTTAATGAATTCCAGCAGGGCTAAGTGGGAAAAGAGAAGTCAACTTGTGAACAAGTTTAGAATCAAAAGGAGAGAAGGTGAGCCAAGAGGAATTCTCCCAGCAGAGGCCAGATGTTGCTGTGACTTACTGTTTGGTGCCTAAAACCTTTGGCACAGGCATGTCAGGAAGTGTTAAGTGAGCAACCAGGAAGACAGTGCAGTGCTTCTCATGCCCTGGCTGGGTTTAGCTTCATTTGCTCCCAAATTAAATAGCTAGTGTTTAGTTTTTGTTTGATTCTAGAACATTGGCTCACACCTTTTTTTTGGTTTGAGACAAAATACCCATAACTCAACATAGCAGTGGAACGGAATGGATTTGACACTGAAACAGTAATAAAATACACTCAGCATCTTCAAATATCCAACAGCCTTGCAGAAACATCACCATCAAAAGCCTACTCCTCAATCGCTTTGTGTTTATAAATAATTTACAGAAAGCATAGAAGGGTTTGGGGTGAAATAGACTTACTCAATCAGAGTATGTCTTGTTAATCTGAAGCAAGTTTTCTAAACCTTGGGACTACTGACATTTCAGCTTGGATAACTTTTTGTTGTGGGGGACTGTCATAAATATCAGGGTGTTTGGCAGCTTTCCTGGGTTCTACTCACCCACTGGATGTCAACAGCATGCACCTAGTTGTGATGACAAAAAAAAAAAATGTCTCCAGACATCAACAAATGTCTCCAAGGGGCAAACTCACCCACAGTTGAGAACTGCTAACCTAGAAAATAGTGGTTCTGCTGCAAAAGTGGTCAGAGAGGCGTGGAGATGGGGAAGTCTGGGAAGGAGGATGTGGGAGACTGTTTGCTAAAAATGTCTGTGACTGCAGCATTTCCTGTGCTCTTCTGAACTCAACAAAAGGTGGAATCAACTTGGGCAGACATTTGAAACTGCCTTGACTAACTGTGTAAAGCAGAAATGATACTATGTGACATTTTTGCTGTACACTATTAGGTCATAAAAGATGATACCACTTCTGCCTGGCTCGCTTTCTGGGAATGTTAGTCTTTAGAATCCAGCCACTGTCCTGTGAGAAAGCCTGGACCTTATAGAGAAGTCTGCATGGAAAGGAATGAAGGCCATTGCTCTGACCCCTGGCTGTGCTTGCAGCCAGCACCACCTTGCCAGTCACATTGAGAGAGCCATCTTGGAAGCAAATCCTCCCAGCCACAGCTGAACTGCCCCAGTTGACACTATGTGGAGCAGAGATAATCCTTCCCTGCTAAGCCTGGTCCAAATTGCACTTTCAAGGGCATAAGAAATGATTGTCATTGTTTTGCGCCATCAAGTTTTAGGATAGTTCGTTATGCAGGAATAGATCATGGTAGCAGTAGAATTGGTAGTGGATAGGCTCATACAGACCTGCATACTTAGGTCAAGACTTGGATTCTAAATATATTGAAGATCATGAATTTCTCTCCTAATGACCAGCACACAGTAATGTGGGTCTGAAAGTAGATTTGAACCTAGTAGATTGCTTAGGATGTTGGGACACAAAGAACTCAGGAATTGTTAGCAAATGCAGTTGGCCTTCTGTACTTGCAGGTCCTACATCCCCAGATTCCAACAACCACAGATTGAAAAGTTCCAGAAAAAAACCCAAACAATAAAAAATAACAATATAACAACAGAAAGTAATACACATTTAAAAAATACTATTTATACAGCATTTATACTGTGTTAGTTATAAGTAATCTAGAGAAGATTTAATGTATATGGGAGGATGTGCATAGGTTATATGCAAATATTGTGCCATTTTGTTGTTGTTTTTGTTTGGTTAGTTTATTTTTTAGAGACAGGGTCTTGCTCTGTCACCCAGGGTAGAGTGCAGTGGCATGATCATAGCTCACTGCAGCCTTGACCTCTTGGCCTCAAGGGATCCTCCTACCTCGGCTTCCTGAGCAGCTGGGACTATGTGCATATGCCACCACGCCCAGCTAATTAAAAAGAAATTGTAGAGACAAGATCTCACTGTATTGCCCAGAATGGGCTTGATCTTCCCACCTTGGCCTGCCAAAGCACTGGGATTACAGATGTGAGCTACTATTCTTGGCCAACTAGGCCATTTTCTATAAGGGACTTGAGCATCTTTGGATTTTGATATGAGGGGGCATCCTGGAACTAATCTCCCTGGAACACCAAAAGATGACTATAGTCAAAGGAAGGCAAGTCAAGTTTTCCATATAAGCCAAGATAAGGTGGGTGATTAAAGAGGCAATAGGACGTGGAAGAGGTTTGGCAGCAAGTATCAAGGATACACTGGAAGGGAATTTGGGATGAGGACAAGGTGGAAATGCCAAGGCTGAGCTGCTAGAATCCAGGTTGAAAATGATCACAGGGAACCTAGGGCACCTGGAAAGAATTTGATATTTGACTGTCACACTCTCCTCCCTGTTAAGGGTCAAGATTTGAGGTGGAGTTGAATGTACTAAATAGGCAGGGGATGCATGGTAAACTGCACTAAAGTATAGTTGTCCTACCTGAATAGTGATACGACAAGCTCTCACATGCGGGTGTTGAGTGCTCTGGTTAGCAGTGCTGCTGCTCAGCGGCTGCTGAGTGTTCTGGTTAGCAGTGCAGTTTCTGAATCTTGACTGCACCACTTACTCACTGCATGGCTTGGGAAATCACTGTATTTCTTTGTGCCTCGGTTTCTTTCCGATAAAATGTAGGTAATAGTAGAAACTCTTAGGATTATTGTGAGAATTAAATAATATCCATAAAGCACCTTGAACAGAGCCTAATATATCTTATGTATCCAATAAACACTAGCTTTTAAACTGTATGTTTCACTTGTAATGGAACCTATCCCTGTCTTGAGTGCTGTGGCTGTAGTCCCACTGTGCACGTGTTTGGACTACAGCAAGCACTTCCCACCCGGTTGGCTGACTCTGTCACTCTTTACTACATCATACAATAATCGGTGGTAAATAATCACAGGAATAACAAGAGATTCGTCTTAGACCAATATCAAGATAAAATAGGTAACAGATTCATTTCTGATAATGTTTGATGGTTGTTTTCTGGACTTAAAGTGGAGAAAATTGAGCACTGGTCGAAACCATTTTAATCTAGGAAGCATAACTGTTTCTAATTCGGTGTCAAATTTATCCCAACTCCTGTGGTAGTCAGCACAGAATTTCTCTATTGCTTTACATGTATAATAGGATTAATGATATTTGTCTCCTGAAAGAATAAAAATATTTGTAAAGCACTTAAAAATTAAAAAAAATCTCATGATCCTCTTATGAGGTTGTATTTTGAAGGACTTGTGAATTTATATACATAGAATTATTTGGAGATAAAATTAATAAAAATTAGAATAATCTGTCTTGTTTACAGTATCTTTGCTAAATCTCATTTAAATATATTTACATGACCTTGAAAATGTGGATCATACAAGGTCAATATTGTTTCCATTATCTTTGTGCTAATAATAAGATCAATTATGAGGCAAATAACAATATCCTTGTCCTTTGTGTGAAAAATGACACTAATGACACATCATCAGAAGGACTTGTTTTTGTTAATTGATAAATAGTTATATATTGTGCTGAAATAATCTTAATAGTATCTTGAATATCCTTCCTCATACAGGTAGCCATGCTTTTCAAAATACATTTTAACGGATCCCAAAACGTTTCATAAATCACCCATTCGTTTTTTGAAAGGCTATTATGTGCCAAGTGTTGTATTAGGCACTGAGAATACAGAGACATTTAAGGCTAAAATGTGCCCTTCAGGGACTTACAATCTGGGTGGAGAGTGTCCTATCTATCAAGGCACTTATTTGCATGTCCAAATGTTGAAGTGTGCCAGGGTCCAGTATAGGCATGAGAGGGAGGGTGGTTCATTCTGGTTACAGGGAGGAATGTTTGTTAATGCTTCTTCTTCTTTTTTTTTTTTTTTTTTTGTGAGATGGAGTCTCACTCTGTTGCCCAGGCTGGAGTGCAGTGACATGATCTTGGCTCACTGCAACCTCCACCTCCCGGGTTCAAGCAATTCTTCTCCTTCAGCCTCCTGAGTAGCTGGGACTACAGGCATGCACCACCATGCCCGGCTAATTTTTGTATTTTTAGTAGAGACGGAGTTTCACCATATTGGCCAGGCTGGTCTCGAACTCCTGACCTTGTGATCCGCCCACCTCGGCCTCCCAAAGTGCTGGGATTACAGGCATGAGCCACAATGCCCAGCCATGTTAATGCTTCTTAAGAGAAGGTGACCTTTGAGCTAGGATGTTCACTAGTGAGAGGAGAGAGGTGAAAGAGAGGACATTTTGGCTAAAAGATTTTAGTCCAAGTCCTGGAGGAAGAAAGGAGCCTTTTAGGATAGCTGAAGGCTGGCACAAGGGAAGGTCGCTGTGTGAGAGGGAGGCTGTAGAGGGGGTCAGTGGCTACTTGGAGGTGGGTGTTATGGGCAGTGGGCATCAATATTATAAAAAGAGCTAGATTAGACATTTGACAGGCATACCAATCTATATGTAATATTACGTCAGCATGGATGTAATGATAGAGAAAGTTTTATTTATTCCGACCTCTCCTCACCACCTAAAATCTGGGGGACTCTCACAGGGCTTTTTTGGAGGTGGATCTGTTCAACTTTTGAACTTTATCCCCCCAAGTCACCTGCAGTTCTCCTCCATCTTTCCCTGTCACAACCCTCGACTTCTCCGCCAAGTAAGAAACAAACAAACATTTCACAAACAGGGCTCTTGGTCTTTTTAGGCTGTCTTAATCCACCCCTAATTATTATAGTCAGGGAAGTGAGAGGCTGCAGTCTGCAGAGACGTGCTGGGTTTTTTCGCTTTCACTGAATCTTCCTGTGTCCTCCTCTGTCAAGGTAAGAGTCATGGGAACACGTTTGCTGTCCAATGAGGCAAAGCAGACTGTCCCATCATTTTTATTATTGAATTGCAGTCACTTAGGGCAAGCAGATGTGAAGAGTGTTTTCCCTCAGTATGCCCAACTAACAATTGCATGTAAGAGCTTAATTCACATGCATCTTCTCTGCATTTCTTTTGAGTATTCAGTGGGTAGTTGCCAAGTATCTGAAAACATGTCTAGACACAGGTGTTTCTATATTCAAAAACAGGGTTAATTTTCTGAACTACAAAGTCAAATGCATGTAACCCTGTAACAGAATACACAGAATAAGGTAAAGAAAAAAATGTTATGATCTAAGGAAGGGCTATTGAACTTCACTAGCTGTAGCAACTTTGCTCACCAAAATAACTCAACCGTGCTTTCCTGAGAATACACTTCCAATTGATAAGAAAACATTGGGAAGGAAACAGTTAATGACAGGTCTGCAATCTAATTTTTTCCTCTACCAGGGATACATGAAAGAGGTGACTCAGTCAAATCCCCTTGCATACATACTAATAACTAGACATCCTGATAGAAATGCTAACGGTATTTATAAGTAAAAAGATAATGGAGAGCCCTTATCTGTGAAATGCTTTCAGCAGCTATTCTAGTTATCTATTGCTGTGTGAAAAACCACTCCCAAACTCAGTGGCTGAAAACAATAATTTGTTATTATCTTTACCTTTCAGTGGGTTAACATGGCTCAGCTAGGTGATTTTTTTGCGTGGAGCTTCTCACACAACTTTAGTTAGTGCTGCAATTGCAGACATCTGAAGAGATATCTCCCCCATGCTGCCAGCTGATAAGCCTGGGTTAGGCTTTTCAGGCCATATGGTCTCTGTTGCAACTACTCAACTCTGTTGTTGTAGTGTGAAAACACCCATGTACAATACATAAACAAATGAGCATGGCGTCATTCCAATGAAATTTAATTACAAAAACAGGTGGCAGGCTGGATTTGGCCCATGGGCCATAGTTTGCCACCCTCTGGACTATGATGTCTGCAAGGGAAGAATGCTTGTCCTCTGTCCTGCTAGTGAATCATTAGTAAACTCGGTGTTAGGTAAGACATATAAACTGTGTGGTTTGATTGATCATCGAACTCACTTCTTCCCTTAGAGTCTCTCGAATGTTAAACACAATGTGCATAATGTGGACGCAATACCTGTAAGTCAACTTGTCAACAGATATTAATTTAATTCCAATTGTTGGCCTACATTACACTTGATGTTCCACATTCATGGATTCAACCAACAGCAGATAAAAATATTTTTAAAAAGGAAGGTAGTGTCTGTACTGAACACGTACAGACTTTTTTCTTGTCATTGTTACCTAAACAATACATTCTAACAACTATTTACATTGCATTTATATAGTATTAGGTATTAGAGGTAATCTAGACATGATTTAAAGTATACAAAAGGATGTGTGTATGTTATACAGAAATACTACACCATTGTATATCAGGGACTTGGGCATCTATTGGCGTTGGTATCTATGGGGGTTTCTGGAACCAATCCTCCACAGATACTGAGGAACAACTGTAGGCTGAAGTTCGGAATTCTCTAGGTCAGTTTTACATATACTGATTGCACGTGGTTGCATGAGAATGGAAATGGCAGAGCACATACTTCTCATTGTAAATATGGAAGATCCTGTTAGACTTTACTTCATTGTTGAGAAGAAATCCGAATTTATTAAGGAATATTTGGAGATCATAGAGTATATCCAAACTACTTTAAAAGTATTTTTAACACAAAAGGAAAGTAAGCCTCCTAAGGCTGTGGTTTCCAAGAAAATTTCCTTTTATCTACAGTAGGGTTTATTTAAATGAAAGACATTGCTATAGTATCTCCCCCAATTTAAGCTTGGAAAAGAGAATGAAAGGGCACAGCCTGAGTTAGATTGTCAGTAATGGCTTATTGCATAGTCAACGAACTTTTTTTAAACCTTTCAAAACATTGTAAATATAAGATAAATATTTAGACTTCAATTACGTGGAATTTTCCTTCTTCCTTTGAAAACTCTAATAGAAGTCATTTTCCAAAGGGATTAACAGATGACAACATTTTTTGATATGAGTCCTTGGGGTTGAATAGACAGCAGCTATAAGGCAAAGGAAAAAATAAGGAAACGTATAGATAAAATATCTGAAGTCATATTCTTTTGATTTTTTTGGCGAAAAAAGTTTTGCAATAGAAAATTACAGACAAATACTTGTAATTTTGGCACACATACAAGCAATACAAAAACTGTAAACATATTTTTAGCCCTGTTATAAATAAATTATTTCATAGGGCAGTGGAACTTTTAATTTAAATATAAACTCAGAATGTTCCTCTATGTTATTTTCTACAAGTGTTCTCAACTATTTTGTATTTTAGGTAGTGAAACATTCTTAGAGAAGTTAAGTGATTAGATTTTTAAAGGATGAAATATAAAATTTATTTTTTTTCCAGTTGCAAAAAAGAAAAATATGCTTAGGAAAACTTGAAAGTGAATAAAAATAACTGCAGATGATGTTCATTAGTTATTCCACCCTTAAGGCCTATGTCATCGTGACATGCTAATTCCAAAAAGGAGGAACACAGACATATTATATGAATCAATGGTTCCTTGCTATTTGCCTCTATTTCAGTAAACAAGACATCCAAGCTTCTATGCAAACTTATTCCCGTCCCTCCCCCCATGATAGCATGACAGCAGGCCCAGATGGCCGGGGAAGGAGATAAGGATGAGATAGGAAAGAAGACCTACAAAAAAGGAAAGAGATCCTTCAACTTCTTGAATTATGCATCAAAGCACAGGTGTGAGGTTTTCTGTAAGAATTAAGTTATGATAGGATTCTCAATGGGACTTAGTTTTAGATTTGCATGTTTCTTATTTTCCCACATGAACTGTAGTTCCTGAAAGCTGGCTGGCTGCGGGGTAGAAGTAGCAGTGCACCCTTTTGAGTTCTGCTGCCCCTTTGGCTTTCGGTACTGAGGTACTGGGTCCATCTTTCTTAACAAAGATGACATTATGCAAAATTTATTTGATGCAAGTTTTATCAAACTGTTGAGAGATCTTCAAATGATGTTTATGTATATACAGACAGTGGTGGGTGGGGAGTAGCATTGTGTTTTTAAAAGAAAATCACATCTTAATGAAAGAATTACTGAGAACTTGGTGGGCAGAATAGTGGTGGTTTTAATTGTATTTTGGAAATATAAAAAATACAAGGTTGTAGGTTTATGGGGCCTTAGAAAACAACAGTAACAACATCTTCAGATTACCCCTGCACTCTAGGGACAGGCTGTGATGAGTAGAGGTGCATGCACTGCACAGAGTTCTAACTGGCAGGACTTTGTCCTTTGCTGTGCTTGGCTGTGTGGTGTGGACTCAGGGTGAGAGGGGTTCATTGCTGTGGGTTGATGATGTAGTTTCCCAAAGAAGTGCACAAAATAATAAAATGAAGACTTATTTTGTCTTTCTAACTAAACCAATCATAAAACAACTCATAGATCTTTTTAAGTTGTTTCCTGTCATGCTCTGCTTGTCTCAGCCTTTCTGTGCTCTCAGTATCACTGCAGCAGGAAGCTCAATGATCCCTTCTGCTTGCATGATGCATTGTCTTTCTCTATTTCAAACGTGTCTTTTCTTCATCCTCCCTCCCCAAGCCCAATTCCTTTTGCCAAGACCTATTTATGCAGTACAGCATTTTCTTCCTTACTTGTTGGTTTGTTCCAACTTTCAGGGAACTCCAGCAATTTTTCATGAGAAAGAAAGTTCTTTTTTGCCTTGTTTTTATATCTTCTACATCCTTAGCACTATCTGCTAGGATCACCAAACTGTGTTACTAGTGTAGCTTGATAGGACTCTTCTCTAGTACAGATGATGCCTTAACATCAGGTTATCAGGATGCCTGTCATCCATTCCCATCCCCAAATTTGACAGTTATTTGCCTAAATAAACTCCTAAGTATTTCAGCTAAACACTTAGTGCTAAATGCCTCCAACTCCATTGTTTTGCCCAAAATATGTATTGTTCTAAAAAGCCCACTACTATTTGTTTTGTAGTTAAGCTACAATATTTCCAAAACTTTTTTATATGCTAGCATTCAAGGAGGAAATCCATGATAAGCAATTATTTTAGTACTTGATTTCACGAACTATTCATTTCATAACCAAGTAGATTAAGTAGAAATCCTTATTTTCCTAATATTAATGTGTTTTTCCCCTATACTTTTATATTGATCTCCTTTTTCCTTTGCAGATGGAGACTGGAAGGTGACCATTGTCACTGGGGATCTTGAAAATGCCGGCACCACGGCAACAGTGTTCCTTTATGTCTATGGAGAAACAAAATGTTCAGGTCCTATTATTTTGGGATCTGGGAAACACCAGCTGTTTAACCCTAACACTGCAGATATATTCAAGGTAAAAATGATACAGCTATAACTTGTTTGCTAAGATATATTGTGATATACATCCCCGAAGATGAAATGGAGTGTAATTTTTTGTTGTTCTTTTGGTATTGCATTTGCATTAAATTTGCTTGGTGTATGTGGCATGTTTTATCCCATGGGAGCTGGGAAACAGTAATAACAACAGGGACGTAGGATTTTTGTTTCTTCTTCATTTTTTTATTTGTATAAAGGCAAAAAACTACATGCATTTTAGAACATTTAAAAATTAGAGTGGAATAATTTACTACTAATCCTATTGTCAAGTTGAGCATTTCCATTTTTGAACATCTGTCTCAGTCTTTGTTCATACCCATACATGTTTTCCACAAGCACACTAACACATATGATGGAGCATGATGGTATGATGGAAAGGTGGTGCAGGCCTAATGACTAAGACATGGGCGAAACGGTCAAATGGTCAAGATTCAATTGCTGACTTTGCCATTTACAAGCATGGTGACCTGGACACATTATTTAACCTTTCTGTGCCTCACTTTCCTCAATAATCTTTACTTCGTAGGGTTAGAATGAGGATTAAATTAATTAATCCTCAATGTAGTATCTGAAATGCTCAATAAATGTTTGCTATTAATATTGCACTACATAGGCAATTTTGTAGCACCCTGTATTACATACAATATGGCCATTACATAGTCTTCTAACTTAAAATTTGTATTGATTAGATACTAAGTAATGTACTATGAATAAATAGAACACTTTGGTAGTGTTGGACATTTAAATGGCTTTCAAGTTTTTACTATTATAAATAATGCTGCAATGAACATAGTTTTAACCTTAGCTTTCCTCTTATTTTTTTAACCAAAGCTACCTATTTTCCTATGACAAACTCTGGGAAATGGTATTACTCTTGATCCATTTTGAAAAACTATGGTGTAAAAGTATCTGATTTACATAGCACATTGCCTCCAAAAACATAGTAAACACTGGTAAATTTTAATGGTTATTAAATCCTTATGACATCCCAAATCATGTTATCTATTTCTGCCATACAACATATTTAATAATTTTAATTAAAATTTATCAGTTTATTTGTGCAAGTGAGAGTATATAACTGTGGATCTATGGAAGTTGTCTTCATTTCTTTTTGTTAAAAGTGGTTTTCTGCAATATAATTCACTCTAACATTCATATCATAACATTCATTCATTTTTTATTATTTTTTAATTTTTTTGTTTTAAAGTTTTCTTTTTAATTGACACATAATTGTATATATTTATGGGGTACAGTGTGATGCTCCAATACATACATATATTGTATAATGATCAAATCAGGGTAAAAAAACATTTACCCATTTAAAGTGTATAAAGTGTACAATCCTGTGAATGTACTAAACAATCACCACAATCTAATTTTAGAACAATTTCATCACTCCAAAAAGAAGGCCAGTACCCATTAGAAGAAACTCTCCATTTTCCTATCTCCCAGCTTTAGGAAACTAGTAATCTACTTTCTGTCTCTACACATTTGCCTGTTCTGGACATTTCATGTAAATGGAATCATGCAACATGGAGTATTTTTGTCTGACTTGTTTTACGTAGCATAAAGAATGCTTTAAAACTTAATCGGTGTTGTAGCATGTATCAGTACTTTATTCTTTTTTATGGTTAAATAATATCCTCTTATATGAATGAACCACATTTTATTTATCCATTTACCAGTTGATACAGATTTGAGTTGTTTTCATTTTCAGCTGTTGTGAACAATGCAGCTATGAACATCTATGTACAAGTTTTTGTGTGAACATGTTATTGTTTCACTATGTATGTATCATTTCACACATAAACTTGGGTATATACCTAGGAGTAAAATTTCTGAATCATATGTTTAACACTTTGAGGAACTGCCAAACTGTTTTCCAAAGTAGCTGCACCATTTTTACACTTCTACCAGCAATGTACAAGGTTTCATCTTTCTCCACATCTTTATTGACATTCGATATTATCTGTTTTTTGATTCTAACCATCCTAGTGGATGCGAAATAGTATCTTATTGTGATTTTGATATGTATTTCCTTAATGACTAATGATGTTGAGCACCTTTTCATATGCTTATTGGCCATTGGTGTGTTTTCACTGGAGAAATATCTATTCAAATGACTTGCCCATATTTATACTTGATCTTAGCCAAAAGGCTGAGAAGCAACGATTTGCCCATTTTTAATTGGATCATTTGTCTTTTTATTAATGAGTTTAAGAGTTCGTTATATATTCCCAATATGAATCTGTTATCATATCGATAACAAATATGTTTATTCAACAATGAACAGCCCCAAGATAACAAATAAAAAAATATGTTTTACAATTTTTTCTCCCGTTTTTTGAGTTACCTTTTAACTTCCTTGCTGGTATGGATTTAAGTTACCTTCTAGTGTTCTTTCAAATCGGACTGAAGAGTTCCCTTTGGCATTTCTTGTAGGGCAGGTCTGCTAGTGATGAATTCTCTATTTTTGTTTATCTAGGAAAGTCTTAATTTGCATATGCAAGTCTTGGTTGACAGTTTTTTTCTTTCAGTACTTTGAATATGTCATCCCACTTCTTTATGGCCTTTATGATTTCTGATGAGAAGTCAGAAGTTAACCTTATTAAAGATCCTGTACATATGATAAGTTGTTTATCTTCTGCTGCTTTCAAGATTCTCTGCTTGTTTTTGGCTTTCAAAAATTTTACTGTGTTGTGTTTAGGTGTAGATCACCTTACTGTTGGTTTTAATAGTTACTGTGGTTGCAAGGTTGCCAGTTTTCAAGACTATTGTGGAGTTGGGGAGGGTGGTAGAGAGCAGATCAAAGTACTTATAAGGTACCCTTATGTTTCTACCAATGTTCGTCGTTTTCATTGAATACATGCTCCTCAATTTGTTATAATCCTTTGATTAATTTTCAGAGTTCTAGATAATTCCATTTCAATAATTTTTTTATTGCTTTTGTGGAGCACTGGATTTATGGAGAGTCTCCGTCTGCCATTTCAGAAGTCCTGCTCTGCTCTTATTATCTTGATCATATTTTGTTATTTTTAATTCAAGTTTCTATTTCTCCATGAAATCTTCCATGATTTCTATAACTTGCTGAAGATAAATAAGAACTGGCCCAATATAAATTTGGATTTGAGGCTATGTCATGTGACCAAATCCTTGGAATAGAAGAGCCACCATCCAAGTGGCTCTTGAGACATTGGCTATCTTATTGTCAGAACAGTGAAAATTTCCTTTTATATAACTGTTCATATGGTAGGTGACAATGAAGGGTAACTGTAATATTCTCCTGACCCAGTCATAGGCCTTGAAGAGGAACTTGGTTGTAGGACTTCATAAAAGAAGAGGATTCTAGTTTTAAAAAGGGCTTGCAAAATGGTGTCAGTGGCTTTGCAGCAATTTTGATATATACCCTCTATAGACTATAGAGTTCAGCTCTATGGTTGCACCTAGAATGTCACTAAGAGCCAAAATGAAGGAAATTAAACATCCTCAGGAAAACAATCAAGGCAAAATTAAGAGCAAAATGTCCATTACGGCAGAAAGTTGGAGAGAGTAGGCAGAGAGGAGTTTCTAGAGAACAGGGACTAGACCTAGTTCACTTGCTAACCCTTGAATCTGTTTATTGCCTGACATAGACTAGACACTCATAAATATCCATTGAAATCATGAAAATTTAATAAAAATGACTTTGCTGAAATTTGTTTAATATTGACTGCTTTATCTAGGGGGCGTTCATTGTTGAATTTTTCTTGTGATCCTTCTCACTCTGAGGGAATCATAAAGGCATCCATGTATCTTATATTAATATTATTTACTTATAAACCTGCCCAGAAATTTAGTTCGGCTTTTTATTGCATTTTTGCAAATTGAAACGCTAAATAGTATTCTCCGTTGCTGGGAAAAAGTTAGTGCTTATGCCGTTCACTCCTAGAAAGTTGCTTTCTGCTTCTGCTTTACTATTGTATGAAGTCAATTAATTTTGTAGATGAAAAGGTTTAATATTTATTGTGAACTCCCAGGGCACTTGCCTAATCATTGAATATCCCTTATGCTCCTTAGGATTGAAATGGTTAATACAGTTTTGCCTTTGTAAAAACAATTTATATCACCAGCAATGAGAAGACCTATATTTGACCTCCAACTCTGCTCTTTACTATATAAGGAAATATGGATAAAGCACTTAACATTTGTAAGCTTTAATTTCCTCCTTTGTAAAATGAGTGCAACAATACTTTATAATATAACTATGCAGACTGAAAGAGTTAAACATCAATGCACTTTATATAAAGTATAAAACACTCTTATCATTATGCTCTTTAGGCTGACTCTTATGATCCTGCCCACAAATTGTGGTAGACTTCCTGATAGGATGGGGTTTAAGATAATTTTTCAGATGAATGAAGGCAGGAAGGCAGCTTGGCAGATGGCTGGTGGGTGGCTATTTCTGGCATGGGGGTATGTGTAGAAATGTCTGCAGGCTGGAGTAGGAGGAAGGAATATAGGAAAACAAGACTAGGTTGGCTGAGCTAGAGCAAGTCAGTTGAGTATGTAATATCAAGAATGTTTATCTGGGTCTTTTCAATGTTTAAAAGTTAGATGTCCATGTGGGCCTACAAACTATTAGCCATTAGCTAGATGGGTGTTAGCATGTCATTTTGATTTTGGCATAACTCTGTATGACTTTCTTTTCTCTCCTCCTTCTTGTCCTCTTCCTTCTTCATCTTCTTTTCCATTCTTTCCTTTTTTTTTGTTTTTTAGGAATCCTAAAACTTGGAGATTGGTAACATTTTACATTGACTTCATTCAGAAGTTTAGGAGTGGCAGCACTAAGCAGTTCCCTGTTGACATGTTTGACTTTCCTGTGGATGGCAGATCCTAGGGACAATTTAACTTAAACTTTTTCGTTAGTTACAAAAGTTGAAATATTTTTAAAATGGCATCTTCTACAAATTTTCAATTATAGATACTTATTAAGAAAAGTTAATAACATTGTTCCCCTTAAATAGAAAATAAATTGCAGAAATAAAACCCCAGTTCAGATGATATCAGCAAGATAATAGAATAGAATTTGCTTAGCTTCAGTACTCCTCACAGGAAGACTAACAATCATCTACAGAGAAGAGTGCCTTTGTGAAAATCCCAGAAACTGGGGGTGAGGCTGATGCACCCCACAGAAATGAGAAAAAGTCTCATTAAAAGGGTAAGAGAAGCAGTTACACTTTGACTGCTTCACCTCTCCCTCAGGCTGGCATGGCATCATACCCAGCTAGTCCTAGATGGACATCCAGCTTTTCCAAAATTTTGGGGTGCTTCATGGGAAACTCACTTCTGCTTTCCCCTACAGGGTATACTGAGGGACTTGGCAGGGCTAGATTCTATGGGGTCAGCCAGGAACAAAGAAGCATGGCAGGGGTTCACAGCAACCAGTGCACAGAACTTGGCGATAGCACTGCATCCCTGCTGTTAGCATTATCACTGACTAACCAGAGAGCTTAGTCAGTGTCTCTGCCTAACCATGGAGCAAAACTAGTGGTACTGTCTGGCTAGAGAATACAGTCTGCAGTTATGCCTGTCTTGGGTTCCAAGCCAGTGGTCATGCCAAGCCATGGAGCCTAACTTACAGCCCTGCCTGAGCAATGAGCCAAGCCAATGACCCTGCCTGACTCTGGAGCATATCTTGCAGCCCTGCCTGATCAGGAAGCCTAGACAAAGACTCTGCCATGACATAGAACCCAGCCTGTGATTCCACCAGGGAAGGCAGCCCAGCCAGTGACCTTGACCAACTATGGGGCAAACCTGTGTCCCTGCCTGACCAGGGAGCTAGGCTAGCAATCCAGCCTACCGTGAAGCCCAGTCTATGGCCCCTTTCAGCTGTGAAGTTTAGCTTACAGCCCCACCTGACAATAAAACCCAGCCTATGGTCTTGCTAAATTGTGGAGCATAGCCTGATGGAACAGGGAGTCCAGACAGCAAACCCACCTAATCGTGGAGTGCAGCCTATAACCCCATCAAACTGCAGGGCACAATCTACAGATTCTCCCAAACTGAGAGCCCAGTAGAGGTCCTCACTGACTGTGGAGCACAGCAACAGCTCTGCATTATCAGGCAACCCACCCAATAACCCTGCTGAACTGTGAGACACAGCCTTGACCCTACCCAATTGCAGAGCCCAGGCTGCAGCTAACCCCAACTGCAGAGCTCAGCCTGCATGAATGTGGAGACCAGCCATGAGCACTGTCTGGCCAGAGAGATTGGTTAGGTCTCTGACTAGGAGTGATTGTGGAACTCAGCCTATAGCCCTGCCTAATCATAAGTCCAAGCAGCAGCACTTCTTGGCCAGGGAAAGCAGCCTATAACTCTGCCCAACCAGAGGCAATTGTGGAGCCCAGCCAGTGGCTCCATCTTGCCAGGAGCCCAACCAGAAGTTCTGCCTGACTACAGCCAGGTCAGCAGACCTACTGGTTGCAGAGACCACCTTGCAGCTCCACCCAACATCAGAGCATGGGCAGATGTCTTGCCCAATTGGAGACCTTAACAGAAAGCATAACCTACCTGTGAATGCTACCAGCTGGTCTGTCTAAAACTCCAGGCTGGGCTGATGGGTGAAGGTCTTTCCCTGCCAAAGTGAACCTGTAAAGTCTGGAATACCTGATTGCTTCCTTAAATGCACAGTCACCAATGCAAGAATATAAGGATCACAAAGAAGTTGTGGTAACATGAAACTACCAAAGAAGAATAATAAAGCTCCAGTAGTTGATCCTAGAGAAATGGAGATCTACGAACTGTTTGACAAGGAATTGAGAATAATCCCTTTAAACAAGTTCAGTGAACTTCAAAAAAAAAAAAAGGTAGACAACTAAATGAAGTTAGATAAGCAACACATGATCAAAACTATTATAGAAGTTCAACAAGGACATAGAAACCATTAAATAAAATTAAAATTCTAAAGCTGAAGAATACAGTGAATGAAATGAAAAATTCAGTACAGAGCTTCAACATTTGACTCAATAAAGAAGAAGAAAGAATCAGTGAATTTGAAGACAGGTCATTTGAAAATATTCAGTCGGTGGAGCAAAAAGGAAACAAAATAATTTTAAAAAGCGAAGAAAGGTTATGAGTTAATGGGATACCATCAAGTGAAACAATATATGCATTATGAAAATTCCAGAAGGAGAAGAAGGAAAGATAGGGACAAAAAGCCTATTTAAAGAAATGATTACTGAAAACCTTGCAAATTTGGGGAGAGAAATAGACATTCTGATTTGTGAACCCCAAGTGTCACTAGACAGGTTGAATCTGAAATGTTATGCACAAAGCAAATTATAAATAAATTGTCAAAAATGAAAGACAAAGAGAATTTTGAAAGCAATGAAAGAAAAATGATTCATCATATACAGTGGAGCCTCCACAAGACTGTCAGTGGATTTCTAGCAGAACGCTTGCAGGCTGGGAAAGAGTGGGATCATATATTCAAAATACTAAAAAAAACCTGCCAACCAAGAATACTGTACCCACCAAACTTGTCCTTCAGAAATGGAGAAATAAAGATTTCCCATCCCAAAGTGATGAAGGAGTTCATCACTTTTACCTTCCTTACAAGAAATACTCAAGGAAGTTCATCAAGTTGAAATGAAAAGACACTAATTAACAACCTAAAATATATGAATATATGAAACTTGTTGTAAAAATAAATATATATAGTCAAAGGCAGAATTCTCTAAATTTTTATTATGGTGATGCATAACTCATTTCAATTCTAGTAGAGAAGTTAAAAATGTATTAAAAATAACTAACAACAATAACTTGCTATTAGATATACATAAAATGCAAATTGTAATATCAATAACATAAAATATTAGGTGTGAGTTAAAAGTGTCATTTTATAGACAATTAAATTTAAATTATCTGCTTAAAATAGGATGTGAAAATGATAAGATATTTTATGCAAGTCTTATGGTAACCACAAAGAATAAACCTGCAGTAGATACACAAAAGATTAAGAGACAGAGATCAAAGAATACCAACACAAAAGTCATCAATTACAAAAGAAGACAATAAGCAAGGAAGAAAGGAGTAAAGGAAATATAATCAGAAAATTAACCAAATGGCAAAGATACGTTTTTAATTATCAATAATTACTTTAAATATAAATGGATTAAATTATTTGATGAAAAGATGTGCAGCATTTGAATGGATTAAAAAACAAGATCCAATAATAAGCTGCCTATAGGGGACTCACTTTAGCTTTAAAGACACACATAGGCTGTAGTTAGGGATGGAAAACACTTTCCATGAAATGATAATCAAATGTGGGCACGAGTGACTATAATTATATCATACAAATTGACCTTAAGCCGAAAACTGTCACAAGAGACTAAGAAGATTATTACTTAATGATAAAGGGATCAATTTATCAAGAAGATAGAACAATTATAAATATTTATGTACCCAACACTGAGCATCTAAATATATGAAGTGAGTACATTTACAACAATAGAAGTGAAAGGAGAAATAAGCAACAATATTATAATAGTAAGGATCTTTGATATTAAACCCTCAATGACGGATAGATCATCCAGATAGAAAACTGATGAGGAAACCATGGGTTTGAACAATACTGTAAACCCAGTGAACCTAACAGACATATACAGAACATTTCATCCAACAACAGAATACATACTATTCTCAAGGGCACGTAAAATATCCAGGATAGATCATATGTTAGGACACAAAACAAGTCTTAATAAATTCAAGAAGATTGAAATTACATCAAGTATCTTTTCTCACTACAATAGTATGAAACTCAACGTAAATGACAGGAAAAAAATTGGAAGATTTACAAATTCATGGAGATTAAACACACTTCTCAATGATTAAGGAGTCATGGAATAAATCAAAAAATAACTTGAGACAAACACAAATGAAAATACAACATACCAAAACTTATGTGATACAAAAGCAGTGCTGAGAGGAAAGTTTATAACTGTAAATGGCTACATTATGAAACAATAAAGATCTCAAATAAACAAGCTAACTATACACTTCGAGGAATCAGAAAAATAGAACAAAATAAATCCAAAGTTAGCAGAAAGAAGGAAACAATAAAGATTAGAATGGGAAAAAAAATGAAATAGAGAGTAGAAGAACAATAGAAAAGATCAATAAAACCAAAAATTAGTTTTTGGAAAAGATAAACTTAAGCCTCTAGCTAGACTAATCGAGAAAAAAAGTGGGAGAACTCAGATAAATAAAATTATCAATGAAAAAGAAGACATTACAACTCATACCACAGAAATACATAGGATCATAAGAGACTGCTATGAACTATTATGTGTCAACAAATTGAATAACCTAGAGAAAACGTATAAATTTATAGAAACATACAACCTAAAAAGATTGAAACATGAAGAAATAGAAAGCCTGAATACACCAGTAATGAGTAAGGAGATTGAATCAGTAATCTCCCAACAAGGAAAAAACCAAGACCTTTAGTCTTCATTCTGAGTTCTACCAAACATTTAAGGAATAATTAATGCCAAACCATCTCAAACTCTTCTAAAAAATCTAAAGTGGAGGGAATACTTCCAAACTCATTTTATGAGGCCAGCATTACCCAGATACCAAAGCCAGACAGGATATTAGAAGAAGAGAAAATTACAGGACAATATTCCTGATGAATGTAGAGGCAAAAATCCTCAACAAAATACTGGCAAACACAATTCAATAGCACATTAAAGTATCATTTAGCGTAATCAAGTGGGGTTTATCCCTGGAGTGCAAGGATGGTTCAATATGTACAAATTAATAATTGTGATACACTGTATTAACAGAAGGAAGGATAAAAATAATGTGATCATCTCAACAGATACAGAAAAAGCATTTGACAAATTTCAACATGGTTTTGTGATAAAAACTCTCAGCATATTTAATATAGAAGGAATGTATCCAACCTAATAAAGACCAAATATGATAAACCCACAGCAAACATTATACTCAATGGTGAAAAGCTGAAGGCTTTCTCTCAAACATCAGGAACAAGATAAGGGTGCCTACTCTTGCTACTTCTATTTAACATAGTACTGGAAGTGCTAGTTAGAATAATTAGGCAAGAAAAAATAGGGCATCCAAATCAGAGAGAAGGAAGTAAAATCATCTGTTTGCAGATGACATAATCTTACATATAGAAAATTCTAAAAATTCCACCAAAAAGCAGTTAGAATAAACAAACTCAGTAAAGTTGCAAGCTACAAAATCAACATTTAAAAAATCTGTTGCATTTTCATACATCTCTACACTTAAAAAAATAAGTCATTGTTGAAAGAAATTAAAGTATGTACAATTAAACGGAAAGATATTCCATGTTCATGGATCAGAAAAATTAATATTATTAAAATATACATATTACCCAAAGCAATTTACAGATTCAGTGAAATTCCTATCAAAATTTCAATAGCATTTTTGACAGAAATATAAAAAACAATCCAAAATTTCATGTGAAACCACAAAAAACTCTAAATAGTCAAAGCATTCTTGAAAAAAAAGAACAAAGCTGGATGCATTGCATTATCTGATTTCACACTATATTCTAAAGCCATAAAAACTAAAATAGTATTTTTATTTTATTGGCATAAAAGTAGACACAAAGTCAAACGGAACAGAATCAAGAGCCCAGAAATAAACGCATGCATATACGACCGTTTGTCAATATTTGACAATGTTTGTCAATATTTGACAAGGGCACCAAGAATGCACAATGGGGAAATATTACCTTTTTCAATAAGTGGTGTTGGGAAAACTGGATATCCATGAGCAAAAGAATGAAATTGGACCCATGTCTTATACCTTTCACAAAAATTAATTATAAATGGATTAAATACTTAAAAATTCTAGAAGAGAAAGAAACCATAGGCAAAACCCACTTTTCCCTATGTTTTGGCAATGATGTTTTTGGCTATGACACCAGAAGCACAGGCAACACAAGCAAAAATACACAAACGGGCTGTATTAAACTAAAACGTTTCTGCACAGAAATGAAAATAATCAGCAAAATAAAAAGGCAATGAGTTGAAATGAAATGGGAATGGGAGAAAATATTTGCAAACCAAATATCTGATAAGGGATTAATATCCCAAATATATCAGGAACTCATTCAGCTTAATAGTAGAAAAACCCAAATAATATAATTTAAAAATGGGAAAAGACCTGAATAGACATTTTCCCAAAGAAGACATAGAAATGGCCAACATGTACACAAAAAGGTGCTCAACATAACTAATCATCAAGGAAATGCAAATTGAAACTGCAATGAGATACCACATCTAACCTGTTAGTATGGCTATCATCAAAAAAACAAGAGATAGTAAGTTTTGGTGAGAATGTGGAGAAAAGGGAACCCTTGTATATTGCTTGTGGGAATGTATCGGTACAGACATTATGGAAAACAGTAAGGAGAGGCCTATAAAATTAAAAATAGAGCTACCATATGATCTGCTTCTGTGTATATATCTGAAGGAAACAAAATCAGTATCTTGAAGAGATATCTGCACCCATGTGGTCATTGCAGTGTCATTCATAATAGCCAAGACATAGGAACACCTTATCTCTCCATCAATGAATGAATAGATAAACATAAATAAAGCCAAAAAAGACCTAAAAACCCTAATACAGGTGCAGAATATACTATGGAAAACATATCGTTGATTTTCAGAAGGGTTAAATTTCCTCAGATGGGCTAAATTTTAGAACAAAAATATTATTGGCTTCAGATATCAATCATTTTTTATTTATTGGAGGACAACTGAAAGAATATGGCATGGCCTACTCCTTAAGAAGCCAAAAACCTTTGTGGAGAGGGAAGATTAAGGTTGTTTGCTGATGTCTGCTCTGAGCTGGATGATAGATATTTAGCAAAACTGAAACATGAAAGAAAAAAATATCATTCTCTAATCCCTCTCTGCTGACATCTTCTTTTGAAAGACTAACATCTTTATTTGTGGACTTGATCATATCCTCCTCTGTCTCTCAAAATTGTGACCCATTAGCCATCCTTATTTTTTCTTGCGTTTTCAGGATTATTCTATTTAGCCCTTGCCTTCAACCTGCCAACAGGCTTATGTTTTTCCTGTTCTAAATGTGACCCTTACTCTACTCTTAGGTTACAGTTTTCCTTCTCTTTGCAAATCTTCAAAGTACTAACCCATACTCATTCCTTTACCTCTTTCTCTTTCCATTCTCTCTTAATCTTGCAATTTGGAATATTATCTCATCATTCTATTTAAACCACATTTTCTAGGATCAGCAGTGAGATTCTGATTCTTCTTCAGCTATTTTTCTCAATTGGTAGCCAAGGAATTATCGGGTGGACAGATAGTGCAGTGATAGGTGTGAGTATTGGAACCAGATATCCTGGGTTCAGATTTTAGCTTCTTGACCACCTGTGTGTTTGTGGGCAGTTATTTACCATTTTATCCTCTGTAAAATTATTAAAAATAATAGTACCTAAGAGGATTGTTGTGAGGATTATGTGGGTATATAAAATCAATGTAAAATTTTCAGCATATAAAAGGGCATGTAGTCAACACTCAAAATTCTTAAAAGTATTTGTATTGTGTTTGGGAAGCAAAGAGACAAAAGTGTTTCAGGAAAATGTAGGTGACAGTTATAGGTTGAATTGTGTTCCTCTAGAAGATATGTTGAAATCCTTGATACCTGTGAATATGACCTTATTTGGAAATAGGCTCTTTACAGATTTAATTATGATGTAAGTTAACATGAGGTCATGCCAGAGTAGGCAGGGCCTTGATTCAATATGACTGGTGGTGTTATAAGAGAGAAGAGAAGCATCGAGAGAGAACACTATTTAGTGACAGAGGCAGAGATTAGATTGGTGAGCTGTAAGCCAAAGGATGCCAAAGATTGACAGCCACCACCAGGAGCTAGAAAGAGGCAAGGAAGGATTCCACCCAGAGTCTCAGAGGGAGTATGGCCTCATTGACGTCTTGATTTCAGACTTCCAGGATCCAGAATGGTGAGAGAATAAGTATCCGTTGTTTTAAGCCACCCAGTTTGTTATGAAAACCCTAGGAAATGAATATAGAATCCAACAGTCAGATGCTTCACAGAAATGAGGAACGAAAATGGAAAGAAAATGGTTAAATTTGCCAACAAAGAGGATGTTAGTGCCTTTCAAAAGAGCCATTTTACTAATCTTGCTGAGAGATATTATAGGGAATGATAGAATCTATCATGGGGTGAAGAGAAATGGTGGTTCTGGATATAGAGCCACTTGATCATTACGTTTGTGAGAGGGAAGCAGGTATTAGAGAGAGCACAACAGTGTAAAGAGTAGACTCCTTTTTAGGAATAGAAAAATTATCCATTTTTGCATGAGAAGAAGGTGGCACTGGAGAGACATTTTTGTATGTAACACTGCTGAAGACAGTTGGAGTAAATGTTAGAGTCAGATCCTTCAAAAATCAAGAGATCTACTTTCTTAACAGCTACCAAAAATGCAGTTGGAAGAATAGGTTTTATAGAGGAGGACGGCACCTCTTCATCATCTTTGAGACTAGAAATTAGGCTAGGAAATAGTTGTGATAATAGACGTTAAGGTAGAAATAAAGTACAATCAGTTTGGCTGTAATAGTTTTGGAAATGTGAATTTGTTCCAACATAATTGGTATATTAAAGAACAGTGAGCCTAAGTGGAATTTCACATTTGCTTATGCACATTTTATCCATGAGAACCACTAGATGAGTGCAGAAAACTCTACCTAGCTGAACTGAGTCACATAGGACTAAACACACACACACACACACACACACACACCTCAAACACCTACCAGCTACCTCAGTCCACTGCATGTGTTAGGAACCATGCTTATTCACATCTGATGTTAAAACTATCCTTCCAATTTCAGATAACCCTTCTTCCACAACTTGACAATAACTTACAAGCTACAGTTGTTTTCACACCTCTTTCAGAAGAAAACTTCGTGTCTTTTCAAAATAAAATATCATATTTATTATAGTATTTATGTATTTCTTAACCATTAATATGTATATAACTGTGTTGCCATTTTTATTAGGTTCCTATATTTTTTCTGATGTCATTGATGAAGTTTCCAAGTGTTGTTTCCCAACCTTTTTTTTTTTTTTTTTTTTTAACCATAAGCCTATGGTTTTTATTGTAAAATTTTGCAGTGTGGTGATTTTAGACACATGTCACATTATAGAACTGGCTATACATATAGCAGGAGCTCCTCCTGGATGGTCTGATTTCCCTTTTATTTATTTTTATTTGAGACAGAGTCTTACTCTGTAGCTCAAGCTGGAGTGCAGTGGTGGGATCTTGGCTCACTGCAACCTCCGCCTCCTGGGCTCAAGTGATTCTCATGCCTCAGCCTCCTGAGTAGCTGGGACTACAGGCACGTGCCACCACGCCCGGCTAAGTTTTTTGTATTTTAGTAGAGATGGGGTTTCATGTTGCCCAGGGTGGTCTCAAACTCCTGAGCTCAGGCGATCTGCCTGCTTCGGCCTCTCAAAGTGCTGGGATTACAGGCATGAACCACCACACCCAACTGGTGGTCTGATTCCTGAAGTATAGGAGAAACCAGCAATATTTCTATGAGTGGAATTTCATTTGCCCAAGGTAATGAACAAAGAGAGCGATAGATTAGAAAGTCTATGAAGACTCCAGGAATACATTAAGGAAACAAGGAAAACTGAAGTCCTCACATTGTCTTAATTTTGTTGGTTCTATTATCTACTTGTTCCCTGAAACTTAATTATCAAAAAATTCACAAATTGTGTCATGTTGGTTAGGTTAATTAATAAATAGAACTTATAGTTCAAGTAACTTTCAGGCATAAGACAACAGAGGCAAAAGATCATTATCCTCAGATGATTTATTTTGAGGGCATTAGTGTTCTTATTGCATGTTGAGCCACATAAATTTGAAGTGATTTGTCCTCAGAATATTTCAATTATTGTAATGTATACAGGAAACATTCTTCATCTTTTTAGTTGCCACTTAAGGAAGAAAAAGTAAATTATAAAGTTGTTCTTATCCTGGCTTGACAGTATCACACATACTTGTACATCTATATTAGTCTCTATTTTTGTTTTCATCTTCATACATACACATACATAACATACATATTGTATATGTAATGTTAACATATACAATATTTGTTATATTTCTTTTTCTATAGAACTATGATAGCAAAAAATGTTAATATTTTATATACAATTATTATATTCAGCTTTTTTGGATTTGCTTTTTCGGATTTGCTTTTTCCTACAGCATAATATATAAATAATACAATTGTGAAAATAAATGCCTATGCATTTTGAGACTATGTTAATTAAGTAGAAAAGCTTTTTATTTTAAAGATGAAATCTTGAAATATCTTGGTGATGTTATTTGCTATTATAATATAAAAGTAAAATAACAGAAAGCTATATGTGATTGAACTTAACACTCTATAAATTTGGTAATAATTTTCCATTTTAATTCAAAAAGAAATCTCCCAATAATCCAAATACATTCATTCAAAAAACATTTATTGCGATCTGTTCTTTACCAAATACCATAACAACAGCTTTGTCTTTCTTTAAAATTTATGAATATTTTTGACTTCTCTGTATCTTTATAGTCAATGGGTTTCTTGTAGATAGTATGGAGTTGGGTCTTGCTTATTATCCTACCTGGCAGCCTGTCATTTCACTATGTTTAGACCATTCTCATTTAAAGTGATTATTATATAATTAGAATAAGATCTACCATCTTGCTAGTTGTTTTCTATTTGTTCTTCCTTTCCTTTTTCTCCCCTTTTCCTGCCTTCTCAGGATTTAACTGAACTTTTTTTAATGCATCAATGTTATCTCCTTTTTTGAAATTATTTATACTATTTTTTCTTTTATCAAAAGCTTTCTACTGGTTTCCCCATGGTTTAGAGTGTCTATTTTAAAATAATCTGAGTCTCCCTTCAAATAATATGCTACCCCATGTGCAGTATAAGGGTCTTAGAATAATCCAAATTTCTACTTCCCATTTCTTATAGCATTGTTGTCATACATTTCACCTTTATATATGTGTATACATGCAATATATAATAACTGATTTTATTTTAAATAGTTATATTTTAGAGAATTAAAAATGAGAAAAATAATATTTATTTTACTTTTATTCCATTTACAACATTCTTTATTTCTCTGTGTAGACCAAGGTTTCTGGCCTATACCACAATCCTTCAGTAAGAAGAATTGCCTTCAATATTTTTTGTTGAATGGATCTGTTAGAAATACATTTCCTCAGTTTCTGTTTGTATGAGAAGGTCTTTATTTATTCTTCATTTTTAAATGATGTTTTTACTGGATATGGAATTCTGGATTGCCAGTTTTTTTTCTTTAGTACTTTGAAGAAGTCAATTTATTGTCTTCTCTTTGCATTTATTCCAAAAAGAGTGCTGATGTAGTTCTTATCCTTCCCTCTATTTATAATGTATCTTTTTGTCTAGCCACCTTCAAGATTTTCTCTTTGTCTTTGGTTTACAGCAATTTGTATATGATTTGCCTCTGTGTGTGTTGGGGGGGTGTGTGTATGGGTGTGTGTGTGTATTAGTATTTATCCTGGTTGGTGAGCTTCTTAGATCTGTGATTTGGTTTCTGTATCTAATTTTGAAAATTTTTGACCATTATCTTTGGAAAATATTTCTCATGCCCTGTTCTCTTTCTTCTTTTTTCAAGATTCCAAATGTATGTATATAAGACTATATGTTTGATATTGTCCAATGTTCTCGGATGCTCTGTTCTATTATTTTTCTATTAACAAAATCTTTGTGTTTCAATTAACCAATCTAAATATTCATTGATTCTTCCCTTGGCCATGTTGAATCTGTCAATGAGGCTGTCAAAGGAATTCTTCATCCTTGTAACTGTGTTTTTGATTTCTAGAATTTTCTTTGGTTCTTTCTTACAGCTTCCAATTGTTTTACTGAAAGTACTCACCTGTTTTTTTATGTTGTCCACATCTTCCATTAGAGGTTTAAACACATTTAATCATAGTTATATTAAATTTCTTGTATGATAGTTTTAACATTTGTGTCATATCTGAGTCTGATTTTGATTATTGTTTTGACTATTCAGATTGTGGTTTCCTTGCCTTCTCCCAAGCCTTGTAGGTTTTGTTGTTGTTGTTAGAAGCTGGATGTGTTGTATAGAACAGTAGATAGTGAAATAAATACTGTTGATAATTGGAGATAAGCACACTTTCCTTCTGCTCTGCATTTAGTGGAGGAATTTGTACTAATGTAACCATTACTTGGGCTGAGTTTAAAGTCTGTTGTTGCTATGGTTACCTTCAGTGTAACTTCACGTTCCTTTAGTAACACCTTATGTTTAGGATATAGTCTAATTTGCCAGAGAGTGTTTCTCAATATTTGCTTCCCAATTGGCTTGGGTCTGTCTACCTGGCTTTGGCTCTTCTGGTTTGTCTGTTGCAGCTCACAGCTGTATTCCACTGTTATTTTTCCTCAACACGTGTTAATGTAGTGTTGAGAGGGTGGGGCAGTTGTACGTTCTCAGATGTTCTGATTAAGCTTCAGTCTTAGCCAGGCGTTGCAAACCTTCACAAGTATTCCCGCTTCTCCTCCAGGCGTAGTGGGCCTAGGATGTGTTTTTGCCACTCCCCTCAGAATCACAGACTTTTTTTTCATGGTGCCCTTTCTTAGTTGCAATGTATTTTTATCAGTGCCCTCAGGTAACAGTTTTTGTTTCTCTTCCCTCTGCAAATTACATCTTCTGTTCCACAGGGGAGATAGAGGAGACAGATTCAGGACTTCCGCCTTGGCTGCCGTTACTACCCCCAGCCAGAAAGAGAAGGACTCTTTCTCGGTGTTCACCTCAACCTTCCCTGCAAGTGCCTGGTGGGGTTCTTGGAGGAAAAGTCTGCAAGAGAGTGCAAACTCTTATGCTTCCCATATCCAGCCTTTAGCAATTTGTTGGAAATTTCTAGGTGCATTCTTTACTGGTGTACAGGACATCTGTAGGCATCCACTCCAGGTGAGCACATGCTTAGGTCCTGTTTCTCTCTGAAGAAACCTGTCTCTCTCCAGAGTTTGGTTAGATTTTTACCCTGTAATCTAGTTCTCCAGGAAAGTCATTAATTTGCAGTTTTTCTAGGTTTTTCTTTGTTGTAAAAGTGACTCTGTCTTCCAACTCTCTACATCTCTGAGCTCACGCTATGAATATTTAGATGGGTAGTCAGATTTATTTATTTTCTTTTTATTAGATTTTTATAGAATTGTAGTCACTAAAGAGCTGCAGATAATATATAACATTTAAAAATGTATAAAGGCTCAGTAACCCAGCCAGGCAAATAAGATGTTATTTAGAAACATAAGTCCACTGTTCTCCATTTTCTCTGAGAAGAAAATAAATAATATAGACTGTAAAAAGGCAACTTAGAGACATATTTAAGAAAGACCTTCTAAATAGTAAAGGTAAAAATAGCCTTGTAATGTATTTATTATAGATTCTTTTCCTATGACAATATTAAACAACAACTGAGGCATTTTCAGTATGTCCTGATTCAGATGAATCCAACCTATAAGTAAGAGAATGGATCCATAAAAGACTGTTTAATCATGGCATTCAATAGAAAATGTTAAGCATTTGAGAATATAGGCTTTTTAGTGAGGATAAAACAAAACAAAATGAGAAATACCTTCAAATTTCAATTTGGAGTGAAGAGACCAGAAAATCTCTATCAAAGTTCTTAGGAAAGATATGATGAAATCTAAATAAAATGTTTTATCCACTTTCTCAAAAAGCATTTTAGGAAAACCAAATTGTTCTTTCTTTCTGAAAGGTAAGGTCTTCAAAGGCTGCTATTCATTTCAATGTCGTTCAGCAAGTATTTCTATGATACACACAATAGGTTTAACACCGTGCTCAGGTCTCTGAAGGGTACAGAGCTATGAAATGAGAAACAATCCCACTGAGAGAAAGGACATAAACACATGACACAGGCAAGATGCCAGAAGTGTTATGAGTTAGTGCCCCGTTAAGCAGGATAGATGCAAAAAGCTTTATGGGCTCAGAGAAAGGATCTACAGTTCTCTCTTGGGATTGGATGAAACAAAATCTTCTATAGCTGTTGACTAGTGGACCTTTCAACTGGGATCAGGGTGTGCTGGATGTGTGTTCTATAGAAGCAAGGTAGCTTACTAAGCTCAAGAGAGAAAAAAGCTTGTCTTTCTTGGGATTCATAGCTTTTTTTTTTCCTATGCATCTTTGTGCTTCCCATGTAAAATTCTCAAACTCAGTCACAGCAACATTTACCCTTTTTGTGAGTATTTTCTACATCTTCTCAACTTGCCTGGAAACCAAGACTACAAAATATTATTTCTAAAATCTCATTAAAAACTTTGTCTTATTTTTTAGTCTAATCAGTTTGTTTTTCAAATGAATTTTCGTAGCTACTTTTGGAGTCCATGTGATAAATGGACTGGGACTCTATATGAACATGTTCCTCACTGTCTCGTGGACGGGACTGGAGAGAGACACGTAGACAGAATTTTGGAACTGTTGATAACACAATTAGATGTCACAGATGAACACGGGAAAAATGATGAACACTACCTTGTAACACCGGGGATTATGACCTATCTCCTGAAGAACATGAAAATTATTTTGACTCTGTAACAGTTGATGGATTTGAGATAACTGTGAAGACTCCCCTAAGAAAACCGAGGGTCCAGGAAAATGTATAACAAATAATGATATTACACTATCATCCTCCAGATGCTATTCAGGGAACAATGTTGTTGAATGATTTCCTTAAAAGAGTTGCTTATTGTATAAATGAGTGAGGTATATCTTTATTTACTATTACAAAGGATTTCCAGGGTATATTATGTAGTGAAAAAAGGTAAAAACATGTATGCTACAATTTATTTAAGAAAAGAAGTGTTATGGGAATATACGCATATTCATATTTATATATACATAAATATTACATGTATACATGGTTTTTAATTTAAAAATAAACAATGGGCCGGGCACAATGGCTCATGCCTATAATCCCAGCACTTTGGGAGGCTGAGGTGGGTGGATCATGAGGTCAGGAGTTTAAGACTAGCCTGACCAACATGGTGAAACCCCGTCTCTACTAAAAATACAAAAATTAGCTGGGCCTGGTGGCACACACCTGTAATCCCAGCTACTCAGGAGGCTGAGGCAGGAGGATCGCTTGAACCCAGGAGGCGGAGGTTACAGTGAGCTGAGATCACCCCACTGCACTCCAGCCTGGGCAACAGAGTGAGACTCTATCTCAAAAAAAATAAAAGAATTAAAAAATAATAATAAACAATGGAAGGTAAACTATAAGATAATAAATGATTACATATGTGGGGGGGGGCTAGGTTAGAGGGGTTAGTAGGAAAAACTAAGCTTCTTTGAATAAACTTTGTTTTGCAACTCCGATTTAAAACATATAAACATTTTATATAATTAAAAAAATTAATTTAAAAAAGGCAACTTCTAAAAGTAAAAGGAAAATGAAACAAATGAACCTGTATAGTCAGATGATGTAAGCACACACAGCCAGACACTATTCCAAATGACGTTAAGGCCCACCATTAAGGTTTGACTGCATAACCCTTGTAGGGTAGACATTCATCATTTTGCCGGTGCTAGTTTTGATATGGATGACCTGAGACTGTTGTTTGTGTAATGTGGGATAAAGCACATGAAAAATCACACAACTGTAATTGAGAACCACTTAATTTTTTTTCAGTGATTTCAAAAAGGCTAAAAAAAAATGATATTGACAAAAATTTACCTGGCAAAAAGAAGCAGTAAGAAAAGCAAGGGTTACAATTCTGACAACAAAAAAACATTAAAACCAAAAAGTATAAGATGGGATAAAAGATACTTCGTAATGTTAAAAGCTACATTTGATGTAACACCAATACATTAAATAACACAGCACTCATGTGAAACAAAAACTACACAGATGCAAGGATTTGGGTAGAAACCCAGTCATATAAGAGATTTTAATATATGACTCTTAATTCAGGACAGATCAAGTGTTCCAAAAGTAAGCAATTATATTTTAAAAAGTCTAAGCAATGTAATAAATAAGGTAGCTCTTTTGTTTGTATGCATTATACCCTAATAATGGAGACTATTTCCTCTTTTCAAATTTGGGTGGCAATATAAATATGGGTGTAGCTTTCAAATACAGATGCTTGGGTTTCACCTGGGATCATATGATTCCAAGGTCTGAAAAGCTGCCCATATTATTCTGACTTTCATCAGCATCTGAAGTCACTGACAAAGGAGAGAGAATCAACAACACTGGCAGTGCCTGAATTTTGAGAGAAATCTGAACAAAACATTTGATACTGAGATTGCTTTAGATCATCCTGGACAGAGAGTTTTTATAAACATCCCTGATTATTCTCTGTCAAGACCATTTAACTGTTTTCTGAATATCGTTTCAATAAATATGCTTATTTGCTAGTTATATAGTATATAATTAGTTATGCCTGGCTATCTATTTATTTCTATCTCTAAGCTATCTTTCAGATGAAATGTGTATATTATGGCAGAATTATTAACATTCTTCACCAAGTTTGAATATTGGTCTCTAGCATCACAGTAAATAAAATTTGTGCTCTCAACTTGTCCACAGAAATAGATACCACAATAAAATAAAATAATACAAAATAAACAGTGGCATATTTCACACCCATGACTTGAATCCTATTATTCTAAATGGCTTACCTGTTGTATATTATACCCTGTGAATTTGTGCCATGTTAATTGGACCTTGTTCCAAAAAGTGACTGAGTTTATACAGCTGGAAAATGCAAGCAACCTGGTTGGACTCTGGGTGTTTTGTTGGTATATTAGTTATAACATCCTGGCGATGACACCAGGTGCATGCCCATGGAGTGGAAATGTTTTCCATTTCTCTAGTTTTTTTTTTTTTGTCATTTTCTGCAGGTGCCATGGAAGGCAAATGAATGCTGTTGGTGATCTCCAGGCTATTAGAGAATCCAGCCATTATATATGGCATCTGAAACTTTGTGAATGAGGGCTCCTTATGGCTAGTGATCAGGTGTGTTTCCCAGCAGCCTTCAGGATATGTTAGGTGCTAAAAGATAATCTTTGATTCCTCTGAGTGAGTCCACCTTCTCTTTTGCAGAATGTTTGTATCTAATACAACAGAGGAAGGTAATAAATTTATTGTCAGTGGTGTTTTTATTATTTTTATTTTTATTTTCTTTTATTTTTTGAGACAGAGTCACACTCTGTCACCCAGGCTGGAGTGCAGTGGTGCAATCTCGGCTCACTGCAACCTTCGCCTCCCGGATTCAAGGGATGCTCCTGCCTCAGCCTCCTGAGTAGCTGAGATTACAAGCGCCTGCCACCATGCCCAGCTAATTTTTGTATTTTTAGTAGAAACGGGGTTTCACTGTGTTGGCTAGACTGGTCTCGAACTCCTGACCTCGTGATCCACCCGTCTTGGCCTCCCAAAGTGCTGGGATTACAAGCGTGAGCCATTGTGTCTGGCCGGGTTTTTTTTTAACCTCAGCATAGAGTCAACTGGAGAGTTTAGCGATGGACATCCTTTCAGTGTGGAATCATGGACATTTATCTTAGTTAGAGCTGATTTAAAACACCAAAAACCCATCTCTCTTTACAAGGTTTCCCTGGCTACATCTTAGCAAAATGACATAACTGCTTTTTGGCAGGCAGTGTGGCACTAGCTTTACATTTGAAATTTCACAGCATTGTCATTTTTTTCAACTCCCACATTTGTTTCATGAATGCAATTCATAAAGTTATATACCTTGCTACATGTGAACATAAGTGTTTTAAGAGCTCACAACTTAGATAATCAGGCGTACAACTTACTTGGTGATAGTTTTGAAGATAGAATTGGAATATTGGTCATCATAAAAACTTAAGGAATGGCTCATATATTTGCCTCCATTTCTTTCTTTGTATTTTTACAAAAAAAATTCTTTGTTTTTAACAAATTGTAATGGGTGAAGAGGAACATTTAGTACCTCAAGGGGAGATGGATAATTATCTTCACCCTGAGATAATACCATTGTTAAGGTTACCAAATGCTAACTATGTTGTCCCCAAAATAAGCTGAGAGTGCATCAGTTTAAGTCACGTTTCTCTTTAAAGTCTTATTTGCCAAAAAATTAGATTTCTAAAAGAAAAATTGAACAAAACAGGCACGTTCTAGGTGACAGAAATGTTTCATTCTTGTTTGTATGAGAATGTCAAAATTAATATCTATTGACCACCTGCAAAGGGCAAGGTTTGTTTGAGGTATTCTACTTGTGTCATATAATTAAATCTCCTCCACCTGTTATGAGGTAGGATGCAAAAGGACAGGTAACTTGTAAGGAGCAATGGGCACACAGCTTTATGAGGCCAGGTCTGTCAAGCTCCATCAGCCTTTCATTATATATTGTTTGAACTAGAGACTGAAGTAGTCTCAAACATTGCAAAAAACAGAAAGAAGGGTATCGCTAGTCCTTCAAAGAACAAATTCTTTTGAACTGGAAATTTTATTTTCCTTTTTTTAGTTAGAAGAAATTATGGTAGTTACATGGTTAGAGTCTTAACTTGCTAAAACATTCCAGAGCCTAGGTTGACATCTCACTAGATCCTTTCACTCTTTTGACCACATATGTGTAAATGCATGCTGTATTCAATGTGTGTTTCTGATGCTTGTCTGTTTATTTGTTTGTATTTGAGCTTTTCCGTTAACTTAGAGAGGTACCTGGATGTAGGGACTGTATTAGTCATGGTTCTCTAACCATGCAGAACCACCAGAATGTGTGTGCATCTCTATCTACCTGTCTGTCTGTCTATCTATCTATCTATCTATCTATCTATCTATCTATCTATCTATTTATCTATCTCTATCTATCTATCATGAGAGATTTATTTTAAGGAATTGGCTCACAATTCCTTAAAATTGTGATTGTGGAGAAGTAGATTCAAATACTGCAGTGTGGGCTGGCAGGCTTGAACCCAAAGAAAATCTGCAGTCCATGTCCAAGTCCAAAGGCCATCTGCTGGTAGAATTACTTCTTGCTTGGGGAGGTCAGTCTGTTCTATTGAGGCCTTTAACAGATTTGATGAGACCCGTCCACATTATGGAAGGCAATCTGCTTTCCTGAGAGTCCACAGATTCAAATCTGATCTTATCCAAAAAAAAAAAAACACCTTCTCAGGAACACTTAGAATACTGTTTGACCAAGTATTTGGGCCCCATGGCCCTGTCAAGTAACCACATGCAATAACCATCATAGCGTGTAACCATCATATCATGAAACTTCTTTCAACAACCGAATGAACAGGGGCTTATAGAATATGGGGTTCACTGAGGTACAAGAAAATTTCTCTCCTCCCAGAATCAGGAGCAGGAAAATGGTAGTTACTTTCTGATCCTTCAAGAAGCCATTTACCCTCAGTAAACTGGAGTCCACTGCATGGAGGCCCACTGCCCTCTAACTACCTGACTTCCCCGCGGCTCTGCACGAAGGTGTCTTAAGATGTCTGGGGCAAATGGAAGATGGTCTTCCCTTAGCCCACTGTCCAGGATCCCTCAAGTGCCCAGAGTGTGGAAGTGGACATCTTTGCATTCCCTGACATTCTCCACAGATTTGCCATCAGCCTGAGCTTTGAATAGTTGTGATTTAATACTGAGGTTGCTAGCATGTGGGGTACAGGGAATGGGAGTTAGAATCCTGATCTTCTTAAGAACTCTTAGCCTATTTTATGGGATTGGAATACCCAGCTAGTTGTTACAGAGCATGACTCTAGAAGATGTGAGCAAAGCTCCCCTTCCTTTCATTTTTCACTTGACCATTATTTTACCATTTCTTTGTTAAAAAATGTTTCTTCTGCTTCCAATTGTTAAGTCAGAAATAAAAAGAAAAATGTTACTCCTGCACGGGTATAATCTCATAAAATTTGGAAGGGACTGATGAACAGACATTGGTGTATAGTTGCTTACCTCTTTGTTCATCTTTTCTCTCTGGAAACTCTGACTACTATGTTACTAGAGTAGCCCTTGATGGCCACACCCCGTTCTACCTAGATCAGCTTCACAGAGCCCACTGAGGTTTGTTAAGTTCCTTATGTTTAACAACATTATCTGTCCTATAGCATAAACAATTAGTACATATAATTTTATAATGCTAATGAAGAAGATAAGCTACCAATGAAGCTAAAAGCTCTAGTTCTACCAAGTATTTGAATAGTTGTAGTATTTATGCAAATAATTTCACTTGGCACTTCAACCTATGTTCCTTAACAATTTAGCTATTTTTTCCTGTCTTTATATACTCTGGGCAATAACTTTTGCTTCCTTCACTGCCTTTACCTAGAAAGAAATGTGGCTCTATACAAGATTGAATTTGTTTTTGTTAACTTGGAGCTCTTTCTAAAGTTTAGTTGTACATATAGCCTGCTAACATGGTATGCCATCATAAATAAACAACTCATATTCTTACTCATACATTCTCTTTCTTCATTCTGTGATGCAAAACTTGGGTTGGTATCTGTGGGAGTTATGTATATGCTTCCAAAAGAGGCCAAATTCTCACAGGATATCAAAATAGCCTAGTGAGATAGTATCAGCAATGGGGGTTCAGTGGCAGAGATGGAGTCGACTGCTGGCATCTGAATTATGTATTAATAAAAGTTAGATTCATGCAGTATGCTAGTAGTAGCAGACTGTGTTGTTCATAAAAGCCTTAAATTCAAACAAATTCTCTGTATGTATTTCAATCTTATGCCAGAAAGACATGCTGTACATAAAAAAAGACTGTTTCTTTCACAGCCATTGTACTGTAAAGAAAATAAGATTCTATTTTGTTTGGTGGCTTTGCTAGGAAAAAAATAGCACTCGCTCCTAGAACAACTTTTTGCAACATACTTTGATCCCAAGGACTACATGCATGCCATTTGCCATGGTTAGGTTGATGCTGAAAAGTAAGTGGTGACTTCAGCTATATTATTTAAGGTGGCAATAAGAAAGTCATTTGTGATGCAGTGTGATAGCGAAAGCATTTTTTTCTCTGAATTGCAGTGTGAACGAGAGTTGAAAAACATTTGTCAGTATTCCAGTTGGCAAGTGGTACCATTTTAATAAGTCAGTATTGCCGAGAGTCCAGGTAAAAGCTCATCTGAAAGTGAAATGCACTGATGAAAGCTCAGGCCAATGAACGCTTTCACCACTAGAAACAGTATGCCTATGTGTCTAGAGCACATATATGAGAAGCCTTTCAGAATGATGCACACGCCTGACCATATGCTCTAGTGAATGCCATTAAAATCCCTTCTGGTTTTTCAGAAAAAATAAACATAATTACATTTGGCACCAGCATGAACTTATTTTAGAATAAAAAAGATACTAAACAATGTTTCAAAATGACTGGGGTTCTAGAGTACCCTGCTTCTCATAAGCAATCAGCCTGAGAAGATGAGAACTCAGGTGGCTGTTTTGATCCCAGCATAAAGATTTTAGAAAGGGTATTTCTGAACATTCATAATACTTAATCCTATTATTTGGGCAATTATTTCCTTACACATGGCAGGTGATCACTTTGTAAATAGATTTTTTAAGTCCCACCACTCTATCTTTTGCTTCTTGCCTTTGTTATGATTGAATTTGATTGTCAAAGTGCTGTTCCCGGAGACCATTGAGATCCCCTTCATAGGCGTGATGTCTCTTGAAACTCACCATATATTGAATTATTTTTTTCCTTCTATTGGGAAACAGCTGGAAATAAATTGACTGTTAACTATTGTTCCCAAGCAAGTTCCACCAAGGTCCATGTGTTCCTTTTTCAGAAAGGTAAATTTCACATTATGGCAAGAAATGAAACATGTAATGTTTGCACTGTTTCTGTGGAAAATCCCTGTTCCAACACTGTGCCTGCTTGCTGTTTAATGTTGTTCCTGGAGAAGAGGGAAGGCTCGGTCCAACATGCCACAGAAGATTCACAACTGCAGATCACCACTGTTGATGATAGAAAAGGGCATAAAAGGTGGCACCATTCCATTCTGCTGGCTTTGAGGCAGAACCTGTTAGCAGGCCAAGCCTTTGTTTTTGCCACCCCAAGTAGTAAGAGGTTCAAATCTGCGCAAATGCATGGAAGAATAGGAAACACACATACAGAGGGCCAAACCCAGGGTGGTGATTTTTAAATGCTGTGAAGTATAGTTTCATATAGAGAATTAAGAGATAGCAGAATAAACCCTTGTTGGTTGTTTCTAGGTCTTTTGCTACCCTGAAGCATCCTCATCTTTGCTTATTTTAAAACAACCAAAATAAAGCCAGTTTAGAGAAGGGAGAAGCCCCTGATCTTGAACAAGCACATAGTATGAGGTTCTATCCATTTTGTTTTGCTGTGGTGTGCTTTGCAGCTTTCCTTAGAATTGTTACTGCTGCCAACTCAAGCCAGGCCTGTCTTCCCATGTCTGCACTTCACCAGCATCCTTATTATAGGGCCCTCCTGCCAGGCTGCTTCCTGTAATGATTATCCCCAAACCCACCTTTAGCAAATTATCAACACTATTTGTAATTTTAATAACAAAATGTAACATTTTCTGCCATCCTAGACTATTTTATTATTGCTCAAATCAGTCTCCAACCTAAACTATTTTAAGTCAACATTTTCTATACCTGCACAGCCCCCTCTTGCAGTACTAATCACATTAGTAATTAACATTTTAAGATCTGCAACCATTTCTGAGCTGTATGCTCTGGGAGGGAAGAAGTCGTGTCATATGTATGCTTCTTCGTCAGTACATGGCACCGGACAGACATAGGACTTCAAATATCTGTGAAATGGGTAAAGTTAAGTGTGAGTTCAAATTACATATTTCAAAGTTTAGATATCCCCAGCCATTTTTAAAACTGGTAGAATCAGGGATTCAAAAGGTTGGGTGTGCGAAACATTCACTAACATTTCCAGGTTTTAACTGATTCAAGTTCATATCTTGAGCTTGACATTTTGATGCTTTTCATTGAACTTAGGATTTGACAGATAATTTCAAGCTGAAAGCTCACTTACCGCATATTGCCTTCCTTCACACTATTCAGCAAGACTTGGTTTCTGGGTGTTCCTCACCAAAGCTCTGACTTGGAGTCTTGTGGAGGTAGCTCAGTTATAATTAAATAAAAACATTGTATAATTGAACAATATTTGTCAACTCAGTTTCAAGAACAGTTTGTATCTTCTTCTCTAAAACTAGTCTATAAATTACAGAGTGAGCACAACCATACTATATCGAGACCAAGAGAAAAACTTATAGATGTCATCAATACAATAAGAAATATGTACGTTTGTCAGATTTTTGTTTTCTTTTATTTATGTAGACACAGAATCTCACTCTGTCGCCCAGGCTGGAGTGCAGTGGTGTGATCTCGGCCCACTGCAACTTCTGCCTCCCAGACTCAAGCGATTCTTGTGCCTCAGCCTTCCGAGTAGCTGGCATTACAGGCATACGCCATCATGCCTGGCTGATTTTTGTATTTTTAATAGAGACAGGGTTTTGCCATGTTGACCAGGCTGGTCTCGAACTCCTGGCTTCAAATTCTCCACCCACCTCAGTCTCCTAAAGTGCTGGGATTACAGGCGTGAGCCACTGTGCTTGGCCTTTGTTTGCTTTTAAAATGCATATATTAATAGTTTCTGTCAGTGTTTTGGTTCCTATGATATGGTAATATATAGACTCAGTTCAGACATGTCATCCTCATGCATGGCTTCTCAATAACCAACCTTAGAAAGATCCGTAAAGTTATTTAATTTTATTTTAAGCTTTCACTTCCAATTCTGTTTTCTTTTGCCTCATAAGCACATGTTAATTTTATCTTCCTAAAATTCTACTGGTTCTCAGGCATAACAGCAGATTCTCATTCACATGATTCCAGATATCTCTCTCTCTTCTATGTATCTATGTATCCATGTATCTATCTATCATCTATCTATCTATCTATCTATCTATCTATCTATCTATCTATCTATCTCTCCGTCTTCTATCATTTATCTATTGAATTAAAAAGTAAAGGAAGCAGGAATGATATTCTTGAGACTCCTCTGAAGATTCCAGCAGCTCGCTGCTATAGTTATTTCAGGTTCTTAAATGCCTGTGGTAACTCATTCTTACTAATCCATCTGGCCAACAGATTTTATTGGTATTAACACTTCTGTGCCACAAGTCAAAATTTAGTTTCTGCTCTCATTTTCTGTAAGAATCTTATTGTGGATAATGGTGAGGAGGTGTTAACGGGAACCCAGTCCAACTTTTATACTTTGCAGAAAGTGAAGCCGTAGGCATTGAACTCTAATTACACCTAAATTGTCTCGAGCAGTTCCCGAAGTCTAGTAACAGTAGCCAATCAAATCAACATCTACATGGTTCCCATGGAATACTTTTCACTCTCCTTTATCTGGACTCAGAAACTGAATTAACTGACAGCAAGTTAGCATGCTAGGGAAAGAATCCTGGCTTTCAGGTTTGTCACACCATCTTGGGGGACAGAGTTCATTGAATAGCCTGCCTAGACACCCAGGGATGCACCTCCTCAGTGCTTTGCCTCAACTTTACTCCGTGGTTAACCTTTGCCCTGAATGCAAATAGAAATCCATGCCATGGTAAAAGCAGGCCATTGCCCAGAAATAGGAGAGTAGTTGAATGGATACTGCTGGCCTACTGAAACTTACAGCAGAATGAGAAAAACTTTTCCACTCCATGGATATAAAGGACATTTAAAATTAATTAGTTTTAACATTGCTTCATTATTTTCTTTTGCAAACAAGATATTATCTAATTCCGTGGAAATATTCTATAAATATTTGTGAGCCAGCCCTCATATGTACAGTCACATGGACATCCTCGTGCACACAGCATTTACACACATGCACTGGATAAGCACAGGCTGTGTCTACACAGGGGGCGAGTATGTAGAAAATGCAGGGGCTGGAAAGATAAGGAACTATTTGAAATTATGTTTGCTGTTTCTATTTTTTGTTTTCCTATGTGGATCAGGTTTATCTCTCAGAATAGAATTGTCCAAATGTTTTAGCATGTGGTGTGGTAAGGACAGGCAATATGAAATCTAGTCATCTGGAATTAAAATTTCCTGCTCTGAATCTTAGAGGCTGTGGGGAGTTGAGCAAATGATATAACCTCTCTGAATCTTAGTGTCCTCTTTTGTAAATAGGGAGAATTATGTGTATCTCATATGGCTCCAGTAAGGATTTAAAATAACTTATGTAAAATGTCTGGCAGAGAATCTCCTTACCTCAACAAACAGGCCTATTGTTCTTGTCCATGTTTTCAGTATTAAACCAGATAAATTTTGACTCTTAACTTTTGACTTGGTTTTGGATGTAAGATTTGGTTAGTTTTAAGTAAAAAGTCAAAATTCTTAGATATGTTAGGCGCATATTTAAGACATTTTCTTGTTGTAACTCTGAAAATGAATGGGCCCATGAAAATCTCTGCAAAGTTCACAAGGTATGAGCCTTAAAGTGGATATCTGCAGAGAATGAATGAGCACTCAAAAGTAAAAAATGAACAAAAATAAAAATAATGCAAAATAACTGTACTGTCCCTTGAAAGTATTTCAGACTATAGTATTATATAACATGGAGTGGTTGCTGGTTTTTCTGTAGAGAACAAGAAGCCATAATGGATAATCATTGGAACATATAAAATCTGATGTTTTCTTAGAGTTCACTGATTAGACTCTGTACAGAATTGGTCCTGGTATGGAACTCAGCATCTCTGCAAGGAACACTGGACATAGAATTTAGTCTCCCAATTTGCCCTATTATGTTTTCAAAGCTCTCTCTCAGGTGTGCTGGTTACTTAATGTTCTTTCATAATCGTTTACTCTGTTAAGTTGACATTTGATGCCACTCAAATCACTTCAGCTATTTTGTCCTTCTTTGGAGAGGTTTGCTGCTGATCACAGAATGACAGTGCCCATGGGCTCATTAAAAAGAGTGCAAATTTTGCCTAAAAAATAAAAAAAGCTCCAGTATGTCTTTGGAAACACCAACATGCACACACTCTCTCCCCACCGAATGCCACCACCTGGCCACTGCCATAGAATTTTGTCGTTTGTGAGAATGGCTTGAACCTAGGAGGCAGAGGTTGCAGTGAGCCGAGATTGCACCACTGCACTCCAGCCTGGGTGACAAAGCGAGACTCCGTCTCAAAAAACTAATAAAAAAAGAATTTTGTCCCTTGTGATTGAGCTATTCTTTTATAAGTCAAGTGGTTTAAGAACTAATTTCAAAATAGTTTTATAATATGCTTATTTAATAACTCTTAGTCATAGAAAAATTGGTTTCATTTTTAAGTTAAAATCAACCCTTAACTCTCTTCTTCAAAGAGGCATGCATAAACTTTTGGAGTTAATGGATGTGTTTGTTACATGGATTGTGGTTGTGGCTTCATGCCATGTCCAAACCCCTCAAATTGTATATATCAAATATGCAAAATTTTTGCAAATCAATTACACCTCAATAAAGCTATTAAAATAAATAAATTAAAAACTCTCTTCTTATACTTTTCTTAAATGAAATACCAAAATAATCAATTAACCAATACTTAATATTTGCATCAACTCAAGGAAGGAGTACACTTTAAATATTCTAGACTATGAATAGGACTAATATTGATTTGCTGTACTCCAGACAATGTTGCTTGGTAACAATATTCCTTACATAAAATGTGAATATTAAGATAGATTACAAACGAAGTCTGGAATTTTCTTCAGAATCTAAGATGGCACATTTTAAAACCTCTTAATGGCAGACAGATGGGTTGGATAGCATCAGAAGCTTCTTTCCAACCCTTTAATTCTTAGAGTATTTTTACAAAAACAGAAGTGTGTGTGTATGTGTGTTTGGTGTTTGTGTGTGTGCAGAGAGAGAGAATGCTGAATACCAGGCCGATATTTTAGATTTTAAAAATAGATGTCTGACTTAGAGTTCTGTTTGCTAATGTTAATAATTTTCAGAAAGATAGTTCATATTTGGCTCAGCTGTAGTAATTATTATAATGGGGATTAACTTATGTCTAGACATGAACATTTTGCCTTTGCTCTGAGTGGTATTATTACTTCAGAAATTTTAATACACCATGAATATGAACCTGTAGCACACTGATGTATCCCAGTTTGACTGTAACACTTTCTGAGCCTTACAGATCTCTTACCTACTAGCTTTGTGATGATTGCTGAGTCCTAACTGTTCTTTCACAGGTGTAAATGTGAAGCCTTAGGGGATTCAGCTTACAAGGAAGGTAGATTCTTAAAAATAAAACCCTCACTCTCCAATTATAAACAATCCCAATGAGAGAAAAGGGAAAAGTATTTAATAAAGTCACTGACTACATAGAGATTTCTTTGATGAACTAGAATTTTGAAAGCTGCATTCTAAAATGCATAAAGGGGCAAAATTAAGAACCCATAAAAATGAATAGCAGGAACTTTCCAAAAAGGTCTCTGTAAGGCTAAAAGCTCCATACTACTGCAGACATGGAAAATGCTAATGGCCATTAAAAGCAAAGACAAAGGAAGGAGTCCCCTGCTTTGATCAAATAGATATAAGAGCAAGGAAAAAATACAACTGCTAAACTTTGACTGGACTTTTAATGAAAAGTCTCTAACTTGGAAATATAAAGGCAAATAAGGTGGAATTTCAATCTAAGAAACTGAGGATTTTGTGAGATAAAATATGTGGCTTAGGATGTAGCCCAAATATTTAGGATTATTCTCCTTGCCTTCATTTCCAACATCGCCATCAGGGTCACCACCTTCTCTTGCCCAGACTCATGTACTAGTCTCTTACATAGTCTCTCCTGGCTTTTACTATTACTTCCTTGCCATCCTTCTTTTGCAGAACAGTCAAGGAAATCTTTTAGAAACATAAACTGGAACATGTTATCTCCTGCTTTAAATCCTCACATGGCTTCACATCCCTGCCTGAGGGAACCACCTATCTTTTCATCCTTCATCCATTCTGTGCTTCCCCCAGGTCCCAACAGCCCAGGGAGCTTCTCTCTGCTCCAAGCTTGACCACTCCAAACTCATTTCCACTGTAGGTCCTTGAAATGGTTATGGTAGTGAGCCCCTCTGCTTGCAGTGCTTTCTCTCCTGATATCCACCAGCTTAGGAGAGTATCTTTTTGTCATTCAGATCTCAGCCTGAATATTACTTTCTTGGAGAGCCTTTCGCTGGCCACCCTATCTAGAATGACCACCCATTCAGTCTCTTCAGAGGACTGAGCATGTCATTGCTTTATTTCTCATTTGTGTTCATTGTCTGTCTTGTCTCATTAGACATCTCTGAAAGTAGGCTCCATATGGATAGGTGCCCTATTTTATTCATTGCTGTCTCTTCCCAGTCCCTAGAACAATGGCTGGTTAGATAATAAGCACTCAGTAAATGTTTTTAGATGACTGAGAGACAGACTGAATACATGGCTAAGAACTGGGAGAATTGAGACAAAGAAGATCAGGTTAGGGTTGGTGTCTTGGGCATGCTTTTGGAGGAGATGGGATCAAGCTGGACTTTGCCCAAGGCTTGGAAAGGTGGAGGGGAGACTTGGGCACACATTGTGAGCCAGGGGAATGTTAGGAGAGAAGATACTGATGGAGGAAGCCTATAGCTGTTGGCAATGGTGACAAATGAGCCTGTCTAGAAGGCAGAGAGTGGTAGGGAATGAAACTGAATGGGTGGAGTCAGAGTAATGGTGGCGAGTGTTTGAAAACTAGACAGAAAATGCTGATACCTCTGTGGAAAGTAGAGTATATTTATTTCTATGAGCAAAATAAAACTATATTCAACACAGAGGAAATTATGTTACAATATAGGTGAGGAATAAACAATTTCCTCACTTATGTAGGGAGACTTTCTTTTTGTTAAATGACTCTAGAACACCTCATTATTCCATCTGTTAATTTTACTGATGTTCACACATGTATGATGTACATAAAATAAAATATTTTTCTCTAAAAATAATATGTACTCTTCATTTTAATTTATTAGACTCAGGTGGTAGTATTGCAAAGTTCCACTAGCAGAGAAAGTCATAATTAATATGCAGCCTATTTCATTTTATTTTCACAAAGGAACTATGAAAGCATAACTGGGAAATGTGACTGCCCCTTACAGAGCTTGTATTTCCTGTCATAAAACTTGACCAAATGAAATGCCCACAACCAGAGTTTTTCTATAAAATTAGATAAAAACAGCAAAAAGCCCCAAAATCTTCAACGCTTTTTAAATTTGCAAATATGCAGTATGTTAACAACAACTGCTTAGGTGATTTTTCATGCCAAGGTCATCTTACACTGCCTTGGCTAGGTATGAATTTGACTGACAGTTTTAAACCAAATGTTCACTGAAGTCCTGCATTCTTCATTTGCATGCATCTTATGCAACCTCAAACTGGCTACTTTAGCTCAATTTCCTCAACTGTGAAATGGATTCAATAAATAGTGTCTTTGCAAAAATGCAAACTGTAGCTGAAATAAGCCTTATGCTAATGATGGCCTGTTCTGACAGGAGATTTCCTGTTCTTTCACTTCCATCAACCCTAAGAGATGCTATTTCATAAAAACCTATCAGATTTATTTAGCTTGAGACTCTTTGTTCAAAGTGGCAGCTATATCAAAACAAACACACAGATTCAGTAATAATGAAAAGTTTTGACATAGAAAACTAAGGCTAATGACAGACCTCTTGATGCAGAAGGACTTCTAAGTGGAGGTGAGTCAAGATGTCAGGCTCAGCTTTACTTAATGAGGCAGCCTGCCTAAGGAATGGCAGGAAGGGGTGTCAGAGTGTCCTTGCCTTAATTCTCAGAACTTGAGTCTTAGGGTTTATGCCCACTGGAGAAAGGCAGCTACCTGTCTTTGTCCTGTGGATCTACTTTGAGAGGTGAATTACTATTTGTCCTGCATTTTCTTTAAGTGAGAAAACCTTACTGACAGGATCTCAGAACAAGGCAAATACTGCAAATCCCAGAAACCACAGAGCAAAACAAGGAAATCAGCAATGATGGAGTGCATTCTGTGAGGAGAGTCTTCAGGTCTGAAGGCTTAAGTAGGGGCAGAAAAGAGAACTCAGAATGCATTGCTTACAGTGCCAGGATGTTACAGAGGAGCGGGTGGGGACTGGGGATGGGAAGAGGAGGGGGAGGTGAAATGCACTGGAGGGCCCAGAACACATTCATTATAAACTTTCTACCCACATATCTCTCTCTCTCTCTCTTCCTCCTTTTTAAGACCAATAACTCTTAAATTTGTGCTTTTGAGGCTATTTTCTGGATCCTGTAGGCATGCTTCATTCTTTTTATTCTTTTTTCTCCTCTGTGTATTTTCATATAGCCTGCCTTCACACTCACTAATTCTTTCTTCTGCTTGATCAGTTCAGCTGTTGAGAGACTCTGATGCATTTTTCAGTATGCCACTTGCATTTTTCAGCTCCAGAATTTTTGCTTGATCTTTTTTATTATTTCAATATCTTTGTTAAATGTCTCTGATAGGATACTGAATTCCTTCTATCAGTTATCTTGAAGTTTGTTGAGCTTCCTTGAAACAGCTATTTTGAATTCTCTGTCTGAAAGGTCACATATCTCTGTCTCTCCAGGATTAGTCCCTGGTGCCTTATTAGTTTGCTTGGTGAGGTCACATTCTCCTGGATGTTCTTGATGTTTGTAGATGATTGTTGACGTCTGGGCATTGAATAATTAGGTATTCATTCTAATCTTCACAGTCTGAGCTTCTCTGTACCTATTTTTTAAGAGAAGGCTCTCCAGGTATTCAAAGGGAATTGAGTGTTGTGATCTGAGTCTTTGGGCACTGTGGTAGTATCTGCATTAGGGGGCACCATAAGCCCAGCAATGCTGCAACTCTTGCAAACTCATGGAGGTACCACCATGGTGGGCTTGGGTAAGATCCAGAAAATTTATCTGGAATACCAGGCAGAGTCTCTCATTGTATTCTCTCACTTTCCCCTAAACAGAAAAAGCCTCTCTCTCCATGAAGGGCTGCCTGGGATTGAGAGAGGGGTGACACAAGAATTTCTCAGCTGGGAATGTGCAAGAAGTACTTGATATAGTACTGGGTCTCACGCAAGATCCGCGGTGACTACTGCCCGAGTACCACTGATTTTTATCAGGGCCCAATGGCTCTTAGTCAGCAGGTGGTAAATCCTGCCAGGACTGGTCTATCCCTTCAGGGCAACTTCCCTTCTGGCCAAGGATGGATCTAAAACTGCCATCCAGGAGCTTAGACCTGGCATCAGCGTCTTTAGGAATCTGCTTGGTGCTTTATTTTATTGTGGCTGAGCTGGTACCCAAGCTGCAAGACAAAAATCCTCTGTCCTCTTCCCTCTCCTTTCCCCAAGCAGTGGAGTTTCTTCCTGAGCTGTGCTGCCTGGGGCTGGGGGAGGGGTGAGGCAAGCACTCCCTTGGCCACTCCAGCTTGTGTTGCACTGGGTTGTATACATTGCAAGATCACTGGCTCCAAGTCCAGTGAAGTACCAGGACTTGCCACAGAATTGCAGTCCTTGTGGCCTGACTGCCTTTCAAATTTATACAGGACCCTAGACTGCTTTAGTCTGCTGGTGGTAGAGTTAGCTGGAAATCGAGTTTCTATTGCTGGGGTGGAGGATTCCCCTCTGGCTGGGACTGCTCTAAATGCTCCCTTCATGGGCACAGGAAGAATTCTGTCCTGTGTTGTGCTCTGCTGTGACAGGGCAGCACTGAGTTCCATGGCAGAGTCTCACAGTCACTTCACTGTCCCTTCCCCAAGCACAAGGATTCTCTGCATGCTGTAGGGGATGTGGAGGGCTGGTGTGGGCAGTGCAAGATTGTCTTTTCGGCCATCTTCAGTGTCCCTTTCCCTGATATGATCTTAAAACCAGGTACTGCGATCACTCATCTGATTTTTGGTTCTTATGATGGTGTTTTCTTGTGTGGCTGGTTGTTCAATTTGGTGTTCCTGAGAGGGGAGGATCGCTGCGGGCCATCTTTCTCCACCTCCTTCCCAGAACACACTCAGGAAATTGACATCCTCAGAAGAGTAAAAGAAGACATGGCCTCCAGGAATCCGCAGGAGGATCCAGGAGGAGAGAATATCCTTAGGCGAAGCAGCAAGATGAGGGATGAAGCTGGAGATGGCTTAGAAACAAAAACACAAAGCAGAATAAAAAGCCATATTTAAAGCAGACGAGTATAGAATAGCACTGCCAAAGGTGGACTCAGTGATGAGGGACACGCCAGAAATTACCTCCCAGAATGATAAAAAGAGATAGAAAAATAGAAAAGAGAAGGTAGGTGTAGAAAACAGAGAACAAATGGTAAATAAGGTGTTTCAGAAGAAAAAACAAGGGGAAATATAGTAATAACCATCAAAAATATGATTGCAACAACCTTCTGTAGTTCTAGAAAGACTATCATATATAAATGAAAGGGCTTGAAATGAGTAGAAAGAGATGCACACATCCAGATACACTCTGATAGCTTTTTGGAAAGCTAAGGATAATCCCACAGGTGGACATCCAAAAAAAACAGATGCTTGACAAACCATACAAATGACTTACATGAATGTATTTACACTGATTTCAATAGGCTTATGTTATCTAAAATAAATTCTAGTAATCATGGGGGTTTGATTCCACATTCTGCCTTACTCTACATAACAGAGGCCAATTTAGTACTTTCTAAACCTGGGTACTCTGATATGTAGAAAGCAGGTACAGACATTTACCTCTTATGTTGGTTGTGAAGATGAAACTACCAGTTAGTCATCCTCAGTGGTTGCTGAAGTCTCACACTCTAAGAGCAACTTAATGTGTTAAACTGGAAAAAAAAAATTAGTATGAACTCATGACCTTAAAAAGATACCTATTTTCTAATTGTCACCGCTAAGTACCCCAAGGGCAGCTGTTCGTTCATCTACCACCAGCTCTCCTGCGTCCTGTACTGCCCATATTTTGCCTCTGATAATGCACACCACTAAAAAGAATCAGGGTACCTGGGAGGAAAATTGATTCCAGTGTTCAAGCAGGAAAAAAAATGGATTGGTCTAGAATATCCTTTTGTTGTCTGAAATCAGCTATTGCTTCAAAAATGTCAGGACCAGTGCTAAAGGACAGAAGAGCAAACTTAACAAGGCTTCCATTGGCTAAGCTGCAAAGACCATCATCATAATAGTGATAATAATCATAGTAGTTAATTGAAACAAGTTGAGACTGTGAAAAGCCATGCATTAGTAATTATATTTGAAAGAGAAAAGTGAATATAAAGTGTACAAAATGTAGTTGTAATACAGAGAAGGGTATATATAATAGTTTAATTATTTATTAGTTTTAACAAATAAAGGAGTGTTAATAAATGAGATTCCTGTAAAGCACTGTGCCATTTGAAATTTTAATAAATTCACTTCTATGAAAGAGGTAAACATTCTGCAAAATGCTGCTGAGAAAATTTATCCAGAGAGTAGCATATTTGATTGTAGGAATTTTATCTTTCAGTGTATCTACTATGATTTTGTATAATAATACCGATGTAATTCAGTATAGCATAGTTCTTTATTACCTGGAATATGAAAGAAAGAAATTAGAAAAAACAAATTATTAACAATTTAGTTTAAATGATGGGTAAATTCCATCTCTTCTACATTTTGTAAATTGTTTATATCTTCTATAAATACAAATGTATTAAAATTCAAACTGCACATTTATTTTATGGATATTTTGAATATATGAGTATTTTACTTCTCATTTTTAATTATGTATCTGTTTATGAGGACAAAAAACAAACTTGTTTCTTTGTCTGTGGCAATGAAGGGAAAAATATAGAGAACTACGCAGAGTAATCCAAGTAGTCCATGAGAAAGCAGGTATTACACCAAGTTGAGGAAGGACTGCCTCAGCCCTGCAGGCATCAACATTAGCCAACTAAAGAAGAGTTCACCGTGTGTCCCAAAATGGTGAATTAGCCAAATACCTAGAGGAGAGCTAACTATACACATGCAATCTCTCATCTCTTAGGATGAGACCTCTAGGTGGCTCTGCTAATTGTAACAAAATGGTAATAAGTAAATTTCATAACTTTTGTTTTTAAATAATTACGTATTCCTTGGAAGTTGCAAAGATAATAGAGAGGCCTTGTGTACCCTTAACCCATTTTCCCACAGTGGTTTCATCTCACATAATAATAGTTCAGTATCTAAGCCTTAGTACAATGTGTGTGCATAGTTCTACGTTGTTTTATCAGGTGTATAGCACTCGTGTGACTCCCCGCCGCCCCCTCAGCTGCAATGAAGATCTGGAACTATTCCATCCTGAGAAAGCCCTCCCCGGTGGGTGCTGTCCCTTTACAGTCACAGCTCCCCCACCTCCACCCTGCCTACTATCATCTCTGGCAAACATGCTTCTCTTTTATATCTCAATAATGTTTAGAATGTTATATAATTGGAATCATGTAGCATGTGACCTTTTGAGACTGGCAGTCTTGTTTTCTTCTTTTTTTATTTTTTGACATGGAGTCTCCCTCTGTTGCCCAGACTGGAGTGCAGTGGCGCCACCTTGGGTCACTGCAACCTCTGCCTCCCAGGTTTAAGCAATTCTTGTGCCTCAGCCTCCTGTGCAGCTGGGATTACAGGCTTGTGGCACCACACCAGCTAATTTTTGTGTTTTTAGTAGAGACGGGGTTTCACCATGTTGACCTGGCTGGCCTTGAACTCCTGAGCTCAAGTGGTCCACTCACGTTGGCCTCCAAAAATACTGGGATTACAGACATGAGCCACCATGCCCAGCCAGTTTGCTTTTTTTTATTGCTGAGTAATATTTTATGGTATGGATGTATGGCAGTTTGTCTGACCATTTACCTATTGAAGGACATTTTGCTCATTTCCAGTTTGGGGCTGTTATAAATAAAGATGCTAAAATAAATATGTATGAGACTTTGTGAGGACATGGTTTTCCATTTCTCTGGGATAAATTCCCAGGAATGCAATTGCTAGGTTGTATGGTAGTGTATTATGGAAACTGTCAAAGTATTTTCCAGACTGTACTATTTTATCTCCATCAACAACATATGAGAGATCTGGATTTTTTTTTCCATCCCTGCAAGCATTTGATAGTCACTAAACTTTTATTTTAGCTATCCTAATAAAGTTGTGCAGTGATATCTCATTGTGGTCTTAATTTGCATTTCTCTAATGCAAAACATCTTTTCATATGCTTATTTGCCATCCATACATCCTCTTTGGTAAAATATCTCTATATCATTTGCCCATTTTCTAATTGGATTGTTTGTGTGTTTTTTTTTTAATATTGAGCTTTTAGCTGCTAGTAAACCTAACAAATTAAAAAAGAGAAGATAAATTACTAATATTAGAAATGAAACAGAGGTTATCACTATAGATATTGCAGACGTTGAAAAGAAAATAAGGGAACACCACAAACAATTCTACCCATAGTTTGCCAGCTTAGATAAAATGGATCACTTCCTCAAAAAAACAAACGAGTACAACTCACCCAATATGAAATAGATTGAAGTAGATAATTTGAATAACCCTATAATCAGCAAGGAAATTGAATTTTTAATTTAGAAACTCCCAGAGAAGAATCTGTCGGCCCATAGATGGTTTCATTAGAGAATCCTACCAAATATTTAGAGAATTATTAGTTTTTGCACAGTCCTTACTGGAAATCAGAAGTGGGAATACTGTCTAACTCATTCTATGAAGCCATTATTACCTTGATCACTAAAACGAGATAAACACATCCCCAAAAATGGGAAACCGCAGACTAATTTTCCTCATGAGTATAGATACAAAAGTCCTTAACAAAATATTACCAAATAGAATTCAGCATCCTACAAAAAAAGAATTATATACCGTGACCAAGTAAGATTTATCCAGGCATACAAGTTTGCTTAAACATTTGAAAATGAGTCAGTTGTAACCTGTTATATTAATAGGCTAAGAAAGAAAAATTGTATGATCATGTTAATTGATGCAGAAGTAGCATTTGACAAAATTCAACACCCATTCATAATTTTTAAAACTCTCAGAAAAAATGCGAATATCAACTTGACAAAGAGCATCTACAAATACTCAGAGCTAACACTATTCTTTTTCTTTCTTTTTTTTTTTTAATTTATTTATGAGATGGAGGCTCGCTCTGTCGCCCAGGCTAGATAGAGTGCAGTGGCGCGATCTCCGCTCACTGCAAGCTCCGCCTCCCGGGTTCACGCCATTCTCCTGCCTCAGCCTCCCGAGTAGCTGGGACTACAGGCGCCTGCCACCACGGCCGGCTAATTTGAGTAGAGACGAGGTTTCATTGTGTTAGCCAGGGTGGTCTTGATCTCCCGACCTCGTGATCCATCCACCTCGGCCTCCCAAAGTGCTGGGATTACAGGCGTGAGTCACCGTGCCAGGTCGCTAACACTATTCTTAATGGCAAAAAGCTGAATGCTTTTTTCCTAATGGAAAAGTTTTGCAAGGCAAAACTGCCTGCCTTCAACGTTCTTATTCAATACAGTGGTAAAAGTTCAGGAAATAAAAAGCATAGAGATTAGAGTTCTTGGGCACGTATTATTGTGTCTTTAGACATAAAAACATGATCCATCAAATAAAAAAGTGATAAATTGGGCTTCATCAGAATTAAAAACTTTAATATGTGAAAAACCTCGTTAAAAGGATGAAAAGACACACTTCAGATGGGACAAAATATTTGCAAACTACGTATATGACAGACAACTCTTACCTGTTAGGTGGAGTGTTCTATACATGTCTATCAGACCCTGCTGGTTGTTGGTATTAGTTCTATATCTTTCATGATTTTCTGTCTAGTTGTTTTATTAATTTGTGAGAGATGGATGTTGTGGTTTCCAACAGTACTTGTGGATATGTTTATTTTTCTTTAGTTGTATCAAGTTTTCCTTTACATATTTTGCTTGAGCTATATAAGAGATAAAATAGGATGGCTCATGCCTGTAATTCCACTGTGGGGGGCAGAGCAGAGGATGAATGCTTGAAGCCAGGAGCTTGAGACCAGCCTGGGCAACATGGCAAGACCCTGTCTCCACAAAAAAAAAAAATCAGCCTGGTGCAATGGCTTGCACCTGTAGTCCTCGTTACTTGGGAGGCTGAGGCAGTAGGATCACTTGAGCCCAGAAATTGGAAGCTGCAGTGAAGCAGGATTGTAACCACTGCACTCCAGCCTTGGTGACAGAGTGAGCCTGACTCAAAATTAAAAACAAAAACAAAAAGCAAAAAAAGTTGTAATAAGAGATGGTTGACTAGAGAAAAAGGCAGCTTAGCCTGACAATTGACTCAGGTTTAAAACACGTGGGATAAGCAACCACATTTGAGAAGCTGGCATTTGAGCAGAATCTTAAAGAGTGAGAAACATTTTTGTAGGCAAAAATGTAAAGGAAGGGCATCATGAACAGAAAGACAAGTCCTTGATGCAGTACTTGGAGAATAATGTAGATGGCTGTGCCCCCCACATTGTCTGCATTATCATTGCCACCTCCTGGAGGAATGCTTTTGAGGGATAGCACTGATTTATCTTCTGTCTAACCACAGAAGTCTATGCATAATTGAAATTGTTAGCTTTGCCTACTGTGGAGTTCTTTGTTCCATGATATTTCTTTGAAGATACAAGTTGTTTCAGTTTTTAGAGAATAACCATTATAAAGAATTTCTGTCATCAATATAAACATGAGTTGCTTAAGTATTACAGCAAAGTTTAAACTCCTATGAAAATTGCAGAAATATTTTTTACATCAAATAATCCAATCATAAATTCAGTCTCCAATGTAATGTATATTTTACAAACTTGAAGAGAATTGCCAAGTCCTCATATGTCACTCAATCCAAACCCTACAAAATATTTACAAAAAAGACCATTAAAAGGATCTGCATTAAACTTTTCCTGCTTCATGTTCAAAGTTTAATACAGCCATGCCTTGCTTAATGATGGGGATACCTTTGACAAATATGTCACAGGTAATTTTGTCATTGTGTAAACATCATAGAGTGCACTTGCACAAACCTAGATGGTCTAGCCTGCTACTCGCCTATGCTATATGGGATTGCCTACTGATTCTAGGCCTTGAACCTGTACTACTAAGTACTGTAGTCACTTGTAACACAATGATAATGACTTACGTATCTAAACAGAGAAAAGGTACAGTAAAAATATGATATGAAAGATAAAAAATGGTATACCTGTACAGGGCACTTACCATAAATGGAGCTTGCAGGACTGGAAGTAGCTCTGGATGAGGAAGTGAGTGAGTGGTGAGTGAATGTGAAGGCCTAGGACATTACTGTACACCAATTTATGTAAATACTGGACACCAAGCCTACACTAGATTTATAAAAAATATTTTTCTTTCATCAATAACAAAGTAACCTTAGCTTACTGTTTGATTTTTCTGTAATAACACAGCTTGAAACACAAACACATTGTACAGCAGTACAAAAATATTTTCTTTATAGTGTATTTTTTTTTTTTTTTAGACAAGATTTCACTCTGTTGCCCAGGCTGGAGTGCAGTGGTACAATCGTGACTTACTGCAGCCTCCACCTCCCAAGCTCAGGTGATCCTCCCACCTCAGCCTTCTCCCAAGTAGCTGGACTCCAGGTGCGTGCCACCATGCCAGGCTGATTTTTAAATGTTTTTCTAGAGATGGGGTTTAACCATGTTGCCTAGGCTGGTCTTGAACTCCTGGGCTCAAGTAATCCTCCTGCCTCAGCCTCGCAAAGTGCTGGGATTACAGGCGTGAGCCACTGTGCCAGGCTACATTTTTTATTTTTAAAAGTAATTAAGAGAGGCCGAGACGGCAGATCACCTGAGGTCAGGAGTTCCAGACCAGCCTGGCCAACACGGTGAAACCCTGTCTCTACTAAAAATACAAAAATTAGCCAGGCGTGGTGACAGGCGCTTGTAATCTCAGCTACTCGGGAGGCTGAGGCGGAAGAAGTGCTTGAACCGGGAAGGCGGAGGTAGCAGTAAGCTGAGATCACACCACTGCACTCCAGCTTGGGCGACAAGAGCAAAACTACGTCTCAAAAAAAAAAGTAGTAATTATTTTTTTCTACTTTTTAAGCTTTTTTGTTAAAAATAAGATATAGATGGACACATTAGCCTAGGCCTACACAGGGTCAGGACCATGAATATCACCATCTTTCACCTCTGTATCTTGTCCCACTGGAAGGTCTTCAGCGACAAAAACATGCATGGAGCTGTCATCTCCTATGATAACGATGCTTTCTTCTGGATACCTCCTGAAGGACCTGCCTGAGGCTGTTTTACAGTTAGTTTTAAAAAATAAGTGGAAATATACTCTAAAATAATAATTAAAAGTACAGCATAGTAAATATATAAACCAGTAGCATAGTCATTTATTATCTGCTATGGTTTGGAAATGATTTGTTTGGCCCCACCAAGCCTCCTGTTGAAATCTGACCCCCAGGGTTGGAGATGGGGCCTGTGAGAGGTCTTTGGGTCATCAAAGTGGATCTCTCATGAATGGCTTTGTGTCGTTCTCTCAAGTGTGAGTGAGTTCCTGCTCTTAATTCTCAAGAGAACTAGTTGGTAGAAAGACCTTGACACCTTCCCCCTCTCTCTTTTGCTTCTTTTCTTACCATGTGATCTCGGCAGGGCTCCTCTTTGTCTTCTGCCAGGAGTAGAAGCTTCCTGAAACCCTCACCAGAAGCAGATGCTAGTGCTGGGCTTCTTGTGTAGTCTGCAGAACAGGAGCCAAATAAACCTGTTTTCTTTATGAATTCCCCAGCCTCAGGTATTCCTTTATAACAACACCAACAGACTATGACATTATCATTATCAAGTATGTACTGTACATAATTGTATGTGCTATACTTTTATATGACTTGCAGTGCAGTAGGCTTGTTTACACCAACATCACCACAAACACGTGAGTAATGTGTTCTCTACGACATTATGACGGCTACGATGTCACTAGGCAATAAAAAATTTTCAGGTCCATTATAATCTTCTTCTTCTTCTTCTTTCTTCTTTCTTCTTCTTCTTCTTTTTTTTTTTTTTTTTTTTTTTTTTTGAGATGGAGTCTCGCTCTGTCACCCAGGCTGGAGTGCAGTGGTGCGATCTCGGCTCACTGTAACCTCTGCCCCACCAGGCTCAAGCGATTCTCCCGCCTCAGCCTGTTGAGTAGCTGGGATTACAGGTGCCTACCACCATGCCGGGCTAATTTTTGTATTTTTAGTAGAGACGGGGTTTTGCCATGTTGGCCAGGCTGATCTCAAACTCCTGTCAGGTCCATTATAATCTTACAAGACCACTGCATATATGCAGTCCATCATTGACCCAAATGTTGTTATGCAGTGCATGACTATATATAATTTCTAGATAGGAAGTGGATTTGGTTTTGCTGGGCTTGAAATGTAAACCTTCATGGTAAACCTGCCTCTGCTTCCTGCCAATGGCTAATGCCATATGCTCTTGCTCCACCAAAAAGTTTTCCAAAACATCATGGGAACTTTGGGAAATAGAGCATATATTTTTAAAAATACGGTTTGTTGAGAAATTAAAGAATTAGATGAAACCAGAAAATAAAAGCATCCATTATAAATACAATCAATAAAAATTTATATTAATGATATTAATAAAGTGTACAAAGCAGAAGAATCACAAGTATGTTTTTGGAGGAGACAGAACATGGAGAGAACATCTGACTTTTGATATATTTATGATGGAATTACATAATCAGGGTTCTAGATGAATATAAGGAGGCTCTCTGGATGTTCAGGATAGGTATTTGACACCATTTTACCTCTGGTATATCTATGATCATTCCAAAAAAATACAGAAAGATCAACAAATGTCTATGTTCTTAAGAACTGACTGAACCAAGTAAATATTAAAAAATCATTTGGATAAATAAGCAGAGAGACTTTAATTCACTAGATTTTTCCCTTATCTGGTGAGAAAAGTCACTGGAGTTCTCAATTATTTGATCAAAAATTTACTAAGAATTATATGAATAGATCATGTGGAATGATTCTGGGGAGGGGGAAAGGACAACACTTTCTCCCATAAACCAGTATAAATTTCTCTGAATTAAAATTTTATATCCATTTAATTTGGAAAAGCTACACATCTCAATGTTCTTAGAATTAAAAAAAGAGTATGTATTCTGAAGCTTTTGGATATAATGTACTCTGAATATCAGTTAGGGCAAGTTGGTTGATAGTATTGATAGTGTTCTATATTCCTACTTATTTTTTGTAAATATCTATCAATTATTGAGAGAAGATGTTAAAATCGCCAAATATGATTGCGTATTAGTCTATCCCTTTTATTTCTATCAAGTTTTTTCTTCCTGTTTTTAAGCTCTATTAGTAGGTACCTTCACATTGAAGATTATTATATCTACTTGCTGAATTGACTCTTGTCATAAAATGACCTTCTGTATTTCTTTTTTTTTTTATACTTTAAGTTCTGGGGTACATGTGCACAATGTGCAGGTTTGTTACATATGTGTACATGTGCCATGTTTGTGTGTTGCACCCATTAACTCGTCATTTACATTAGGTATATTTCCTAATGCTATCCCTACTCCCTCCCCCCACTGACCTTCTGTATTTCTAGTGACATTTCTATTCTTAAAGTCACTGTTATCTAATGTTAATATACAGATGCAGATTTCTTATGCTTTGTGTTTTCTTGGTATCTCATTTTTCCATCCTTTCCTTTTTTAGCTGTCTGTATCTTTATACAGTACAGTTTTTATATATAGCATATTGTTAGATGTTACTTTTTAAATCCAGTCTGATAATCTCTGCCATTTAAATAAAAAGTTGGATCCATTTACTTTTATAAAAAATTGAGTTGAAATTCACATAGCATACAATTAACCGTTTTGAAACGTACCATTCAGTGGCAGTTAGTACATTTAGTGGTTCATGTTATGCAGCCACTACCCTGTCTAGTTCCAAAACATTTTCATCATGCCAAAAGAAAAACTCTGTACACATTCAGCAATTACTCTCCATTCTCCCCTCCCTTTCAGAGCTGGCAACCAGTAATCTGTTTTCTGCCTCTTCAACTATTTCTAGATATTTTATATCAATGGGTTCATTGAGTACATGGTCTTTTTTATTTGACTTGTTTCCCTTAGCATCATGTTTTTTGAGTTTTATCCATGTTGAAGCATACATCCGTACTTCACTTCTTTTTATGGCTGAATAATATTCCTTTGTTTGTATATATCACAATATGTTGATACATTCATCAATTGTTGGACATTTGGTTTGTATTCACATTTTGGCTGCATAGACTTTGTTGCTCTGAATATTTATGTACAAGTATTTGTCTGAATGCCTGTTTTCAATTCTTTTGGGTATATACCCAGCAGTGGAATGTTGGGTCATATGGTAATACTATATTTAACATGATGAGAACTACCAAATGTTTTCACATAGTGGCTGCACCTTATTGTTGTTTTAGAATTCTTTATATATTCTGGATATCTCAATCTTGTATTAATTTGTTTCTCCTTTCTTTCTCTTTTTTGGGATAACCTATTGTTTCTTTTTTTTTTTTTTTTTTAACATTCAATAGTATCTTCTCCTTTGGCTTATTACCTGTGCCTGTTTTTTGTTTTTGGTGGTTTTTGTACACATTACAATATGCATTCTTATCACATAGAGTAAACTTTAAAAAGTGCTATCCCATTAATATCCCTTCAACCCCTTATGCTATTACTGTTATGTATTTTATTTCTACATATATTACAAACCCCATAAAACATAAAACATCCTATTCCTCATTATATTTGCTTTAAACAGTCCATTGATTTGCATAAAATTTAATAAAAGAAGAAAAATTGTGGTTTATATATACCCTTTTATGTATAGTATATTTACTATATCCATGCTCCTCCTTTTTTGCTATACATTTACATGTCCATCTTGTATTATTTCTCTTAAACCTGAAGAACTTCTCTTTGCATTTTTTGTAGTACAAGTTGGCTAGTTATAAATTTTCTTAGCTTTTTTTAATGAAAAGATGTTCATTTTACCTTCATTTTTAAAGAATATTTTTTGCTAGATATGAAACTTCAGTTTGACAATGTTCATTTGTTCTTAGAACTTAAAAGATGCTTTATCGTATTCTGGCCTGCGTTATTTCTAAAGCAAAAATAGCCACTATTCTTACTACTATTCTCCTATATAAAAATAGTATTTTTCTTTGGCTGCTTTTAAGAATTTTTCTTTCCTTTTCATCAGTTACTATGATCTTACTAGGTGTGATTTTCTTTATATATATTTTGCTTGAGATTCACTATGATTGCTTTTTCTGTGGGTTGCTGTTTTTCACCAAAGTTGAAAAATTTCAATAAATATTTAAGTATTTTTTCTTCTCTATTCAATCTCTTTTTTCCTTCCAGGAGTCTAATTATATATATGTTAGTTTAATTGATACTGTCTCATAGGTTGCTGAGATGCTGTTAAATTGTTTTACTAATTATTTCAATATGGATAATTTCTATTAACTGTCTTCAAGTTTACTGACTTTTTTGTGTCTAATTGGTTATTTTATTCCATTAATTATTATTTCACTTATTGTATTTTCTAGATCTAGGATTTTCACTTTTTTAATATAATTTCTAGATAGCACTTGACAATGCTTATCTCTTTACTCATTATATTCCTCTTTTCCTGTAGATTATATGGCATATTTACTATATTTTAATATCCTTGTCTGCTAATTCCAACATCCATGTTATTTGCAGGTGTATTTTTATTAACTCCTTTTTTTATTGACATTATGCAGTTTGTTCATACGTCTAGTAATTTTGATTGCATACTAGACCTTGTGGATAATAGTGCAGTAACTCTGTATTCTGTTATATTCTTCTGAAGAATGTTGAGTGCTGTTAATTTGTGGATCACCTCGAATGTAGGGGTTTGTTTTTATGCCTTGTTAGGACAGGGCTATTTCAGCTTTATCCTTAGTCTTGAGAGAATCTTTTTAGTAAAGAGATGTAGTTGTCATTTCTAATGCATGGTACTTCTAGGGATTTGATGGAAAGCCTTGGGAATTTATCATGCTTTTATAACTTGGTGTAACTCAAACTTTAAAGTCTTTTTCTAAAGTCACTTGTGGTAAGTAACAGCTAGAATTGCCACTCAGTTATTTTAGCCTTCTGACTTGTTTTCTCTTTGAGCTCCTTGCAGTCATACCTGCATGTGAATAGTGTAGTCATTGGTCTAGGATTTGACTGGCATTTACATGCAGATTTGTATCACCTACTTTTGTTCCCTCCTTTCTGGGATCTCCCCTCTTAATTTCCAGCTTCTCTGGTAGTTCCAAATTAGTTCCAAGTTCATTCTGCCCATTCTTCAGAAGATTAGACTGTGTGTTTCTGCTTGAGTTTTAGCCTTGTTGTTTCTCATAGAATTGGAAATGCCCTCATGCAAAAAGCTATACAAATATAGATATTGGCTATTTTCAAGGGTAAGGTCTTTTCTCCCTCATTTAAGGTCAAATCCCTGGCTTCTCTGCCTGCTTTGTTTGTTTTACAGCGCCCTCAAGCAGAATTTATTATTGTTGTTGCTAGAGAGTTAGGTCAAAATAAGTTACCCTTCTAGAATAAAAGTGGAAACTACATGAAGAATTGATTACAATCCATTTATATTTTGCCAAGATGTATCAAGATTTACTTCAAAATCCAGGAGAAATATGACTGCTATGTTAGAAAAAGTTAAAGATCCATATCAGGGGACCTTGGCTTTAACCTTAATCACGCAACTCCTTCAAAAACATATCAGGACTTTGTTTTCCAATAGAAATCATTCACTGTTGAAAATATAGACTTCGTAATGAAATATAAGCCATATTGTTCATTCATTTAAATAGCAACTAATTGGATTACAAACTGTTATTGTTAAATTAAAAAAATACACACACAAGCATCAAAGTATTAATAAGAACATTTTCCCAGTTACTGGGGCTCAGATACTTATAAGGAGACTGTTATAACACATCATCAAAACTTTGCAAATTATTATCAGATTTTTATGCCCACCAAAATTTTGATAGAAGCCAAAGAGAACGAAGGAAACACATGAAATGAAAAAAAATCAACAGCTATATGATTTATTTAACATATGTTTAAAGCAGTCTATTCTCTGCCAAATTTTGTGTAAATACTAAGGGTAAAGAAAAGAAAGACAGAGCTCAGATCCTCAAGGAGTTAAGGGTCTAGTGGGGAATGCTAAAAATGAACAAAGGACTTAAGACTAAAGACGTAAGACTGAAACTTAAGACTTAAGTTTAAATTTTCTCAAGAAAGTAAGACAAGGGTATTTAAGGTACCCAGAATTATTTAGAGCTAGTAGCTCCTAAATCTTCAGAGGCATCATAACTCTAGATAATCAAATGCGTGAGAAATCTGCTCCCTCTGAAAGTCAAGGTCAGAGTCAGGGGTTCCGGAGTAGGAGAATATGATATTCTGTGCAGGGAAAAACCCACTAGAACCTGAGATCACTTAGATTCTTGAAGCCTTTTAAGATTTTTGAGGAAAGGGCTTTTGAATTCAGCTTTGTGAATGACACCAAGACTAAAGAATAAAGCATTTTTTAAACCAAGGACCCCTGTTTAGTTTCAGAAGGAAACCTGAATACTCTAGGCCATAAAGCCCTTGTAGCCTTTAAAAAAAATCTAAGTATCATTTACTCATTAAGCCAGGAAAGTTTTATTTTCCAGTTCTTTAATAAGAAATTTTTACCCAGGATGTGTAGAGGAGAAGAGTATCATTTTTCATGTTGTATAATATAACAAATTGTCTATGCTTTGGGAGTTTTTTTTTTTCCTGTGGTGTTGCTTCCTTTTAAAATTTACCCTAATAATTTTTAGTGTTTCTAACTTGTTAGAACTCAAGTTTTTAGTTTATACTTCTACATTCCTGCCCTGAGTTGAAAGCTATAGTATTTCCTTGAAGGGCAATCAATATGTAAAATGAACTGTCCTAGATGACTTGAGATGCTGAGTTAAGATAAAATGTCCCAGATTGAATTCAGTGATCACAAAGCTAATTGGTGTTCCAATGTTTTTCTCCAACATATGAAAGTGTCTTAAACAGAGGATACAGACTTTGCACAACATGAAATTTGCTCCTAGAACTTAAGTTTTAAAAATAACTTATTTACCATTTATTGAAAAAATACTACAGTTTCATGTGGGTTTAGGGTATCCTGGTTAGAAAAATCCTACATTTTGGAGTCACTGTCCTTTTTTTGTGTGTTTTCAAATGTAGGAAGTTAAATGTAGAAAACCAAAAACAGTTATATGCAAGAAAAATTTCTAGGCATATTACATTTTTATTTCATTAAAACTGAAGTGACTCAGGTTGATGTATTAAACCAGAACTAAGTTCCAAACTAATTTGACTAATATATTAGAAGCAATTTGGAAGCAGTCTATAGCACTAGCCATGCTGTAGTACAGTCATTTCAGTTCTGGTTCTAGTTGGCTAACCCAGGCATGCACAATCTATGGGTAATTTAGTTGCTATGCCATGACACTATTCAGTTATTATTTACAAGAATATTTGTGAATTACCAACAGAATTAGACACAGGGTTTATCAATTTTAATTTCATTTATGATGGCCAAACTTAGTTTTAATTTCCTTCTGTGAGTGCTTGGACCCATTTTCTGTCCTGTCTTTAGATTAGATATATTTAGACCACTTATTTTTGTTATTAATACAAAATTCTGACTCATAAAAAAAATAGCTGCTATATTTATTGACTTCTATCATACTTTGTAAGATTGGTACTATTGTAGTATTCAGATGGGGGCACTGAAGCTTAGAGAGGTTGAAAAACTTGCTGCAGTTCACACAGCCAGCCAGGGTACAAGCAACTAACTTTCAGACTCAGGTCTGTCTGATATCAAAACCTGAGGTTCCATATTTCTATGAAGAGACCATGTTATTTTGCCTTAGGGTGCATTTTGGAGCTTGGCTACTGATTTCTATCATATTCCTTCTATCAGCAACTTTAAGGGGGATTTTAGGAGTCCTGTACTTATCTGAACTAAGCACCAATGTTAACATTTTTTCTACGTGATAGAATTCCTATAATCACATTGTTCTAGAAATAATAGGAGGGGGACCAGCTATTTAGCTTGACTGTGATGAACTGTGTCTCTGTGCACCCAGACTAGAGAGCATTTTGGCTACAGGACAGAATTTATTCAGAACAATTATCACCAATATGACAACCCAAGGTTATATTATCAAGAAAAATATTTTAGTAGAAAAAGGTAGCAGGTCTGGATAACGGGTGTAATTTCTGTGATGATGAGACCATTTATGGTAATACCAAAGGGAGAAAAGATGTTGCAGGTCATTGTGGGGATTAGGGCAGATGAAATATCAGAAGGCAGATTAAATGGTTTCTAATTATAGTATGTGGCAGTCAGAATTTTGGCCTCATGATTTTTGGCCCTGGTGTTAATCTTATGACTATGTTATGTTCCATGGCAAATAGATTTCGCAGAACGTAATTAAGGTTACTAATTAGCTGACCTTAAAATAGGAAGATTAATCTGGTTTATACAGTTGGGCCTACTCTAAGTTATACATGCCTCTAAAAGCAAACATTTTTCTCCCAATGGTAGCAGAAATTCCAAACGTAAGAAGGGTTTGATGTGCCCTTGGTAACTTGGAGATTCAGAGGGCCACATGTCAAGGAAACAGGGAACTCAATCCTACAGCCTCAAGGAACAGGATCCTGCTAACAGCGTGAATAAGCTTGGAAGCGGAAGCTTCCCCAGAGCCTCCAAAGAGGAGTCCAGCCCACCCAGTGCCTTGATCTCAGACTGGGTGGTCTTAAGTAGAGGCTCAGCTGAGCCACATGGTGCCTGTACTTCTGACTCATGGAATTGGAAGACAATAAATGGGTCTTATTTCAAGTAATTAAGTCTGTGGTAATTTGTTACAACAGAAATAGAAAACTAATGCAGTACATAATTGATCAATTTTTTTTCATATGACCCCTGTAGGAATTTTCAAAAGAAAAATATTGCTTATTCTGGATAATAAATAATACCTTAGAATATTTGTCATACTGAATAATTATGTGTTCTGGGGGGTGCAAAGGAATACAATCATGTTACCAACACTTCTGTAGAATCACAGCGTGAACCCTAGTTTAAATCTAGGTGTACATATGGTCTCTTCCTCAGGATCTCACTGTAATGGGAAAATTCAATCTTAATAACACCAGAGCATAGGATTGTCTTATTCTTCAGGTCTACCCACTGAATGAATAGTGTGTGATAATAATTACAATAAAATATGCATATTGCAAGATAGTAATGGTGAGTTGCTAAAAGAAAGGATGTAATGAAAACTAGCTGGATTTAATTTATTGGTTTTTCCATGGTCAATGGATACATGCTTCACCATATAGAACAGCATTTCATGGTGTTAGAAGTAACTGGTTCTAAGGGAAATTAGTAAGGAGTATTTATGATAAAAAAGTAAGTAGTGAGTTCAAAATGGAATATGAATTTGGAAATTGGAGATGTAGGGAGTTTTAGTTCCCTTTTATCCTTTGTGTTGCAGATTAATCTCAAAGATATTGGTGAAATCTATAAAATACGTATTGGACATGACAACACTGGAAAGAATCCCAGGTGGTATCTGGAAGAAGTTAGACTTGAAAATATAGCCACATATGAGCTATTTTGTTTACCTGTTGATTCCTGGATAGCTGAGAATGAAAATGATGGCGATCTATGGAAGGAAATACCCATCATGGGACCAAAGAAAGCACCTTTGCCAGGTATATAATTTCATTTCCTTTGTGATGTGTATTGAAAATTAAAATAATTGAGATGATTTAGAATAGGGGCTGGCACCTTTTTCTGTAAAGGACCAGACAGTAAATATCTCACACTTCGTGGGCTATAAAGTCTCTGCCAAAACTGCTCAACTCTGCCAGTGTAGTGACGTGGCAGATATAGATAATATGGAAACAAATGATGTGGCTGTGTGCCAATAAAACTTTATGTGTAGACTCTGAAATTGGAGTCTCATATAATGTTTATTTGTTAAGAAATAGTATTCTGGTTTTGATTTTTTCAATCATTAAGAAAAATCAAAAGCATTCTAGCTCCTGGACTGTACAAAAATAAGTGGCTGGCAGATTTGGCCCACGGGCCGCAAGTTGTTTGCCCACCCCTGATTTAGAACATTAGGATTAACACCAGTATGTCTGTTCAGAGGTGACAATATATATCCAAGAATAGATGTGTGTGTTCAGCTCATCTTTCTGTAATCTGCTTTGCTACCCATTTAGATGTGACTTTCTTCTTAGCTAATTATGTTAACAAATGTCAGCAATCATGAACTTTGTAGCACCTGAATTCCTTTACTGAGTATTTTTTCTTTTTTGCTTGAAAGCAAACTCACCCAATGTCTTAATTTTCTCTCTGTCCATTCCTGGTATCTCTAATAACTACCTTCTTTTTGCTTCCACCACTGGAGAGAAAACCTTATTTCTCAATGGATACTGATAGCCTCTTTGTTCGGAATGAAATTACTGTGTATATGTGTGTGTATATGTGTGCATGTATGTGTTTGTGTGTATGCGAGTGTTTGAGTGTATGTGCATGAATGCTTATATATGTATGTGCGTGACAGAATGTATGCATGTGAGTGTTTCAATGTATGTGCATGAATGCTTATATATGTATGTGCGTGACTGAATGTATGCATGTGTGTATATGTGTATGAGTGTGTGCATGCATGTGACACTATGTATATGTGTATACGTGTGTGTGCATATTCCTGCATGCATATGTGAAAAAGTCTGTGTGTATGAGTGTGTGTGTGTGTGTATTCTTAGTGTCCTGAATCTCTCTGTTGTATTTGATACTAATACTCATGATCTCTCATTTAAGGAGGCAGAGGTTCTTAGAGGCTCTGGAACCAAGTCTTGGCTTGGTGATGTGATTGGCTGTGTCATGCAAGCTACTTAGCCTCCCTTAGCCAAGAATGCCTTGTCTGTAAAATGGTGATAAATAGAGCTTATGTCACAGGATTGTTTTCAGTACATGAGATAATGCATTTATAATATTTAGGATGATGTACTTACAGTATACAGCAGTGTTCTTAGCATACAATAATTCCACAAGAAATACTAGCCATTACCATCATCATCATTATTAAATATTTCTCCAACCTTGACCTTCATCACGTGGTACCAGCCTAGTTCTTTGACTGTTTCATCCAAGTTTTTCTCTTTATATTACTGGCCCTACTTGGTCATTTTGCCTTGAACAGGTGGGTTTAAATGCTTGATTCTTTACTCCCCTTTGAGCCTCTCTCTAACTTCTATTGTTAATTCTACACAAAAGAATGACACATTTTCATCTTCAGTCCTGTCTTCTTTCCTGCCTAGAGCCCCAGTGCTCCATTAGGTGTTTACCATCCCATCATCTTTAATACCCACTCATTCAACCATTCCACGCAGATAAGGGTAAACACATGCCTACAAACAGGTCTCAGGTGGCTGGTGTGAGCCAGGAGTAATGAGCACCAGAGGAAATCCTGATGATTCGGATAGGGGTCCTGTTCTTTAGAAGTCGTTCTGTCTTCATGGCCATAGTTACCATCTTCAGTCTAATGACTCCGCCTCTTCTGGCCCCTCATCAGTTCCTTCTTTTCAGTAGCCCCTGGAAATCTTTGCTCAGCATTTCAGTGATTCTTTGAACCCTCCCTGTCCCTGCCCTTCACCTCCTGCTGATTTCCTCAACAATTACCAGAGGAACTGGGCTTCTCTCCACCAGCATCTCCTTGATTAGCCTTATATCCCAGCTGGTACTCCATCCCACATACTCTCAATCTCTGTTAGAATGGCACAGAACACATGGGTACGTGCCCCCAGATACTAGTTGATTAATTCAGACACAGCAAGAAAGATTTGGGGTAAGTCCTGCTTAATGAAATGATAAATGTAGAATAATACTAATGCTTTATATTTGTATATATTTTGACAGTTTGCAAAAACATTCTCTCATATAAGATTTCATTTAACACATCATAAAGCTCCTGATTCTAATGGTTCTTTGTAGCTGTTCTGCAGTCATGTGAAGGTGGCAGTGGTATCCAGGGATGCCCAGAAAATGATGAAGTGGGAAAAATGAAGGGGTCCTAAAAGATTTAGAATTTTGGTTTCTACCCTGCATGTCTCAGGACCTATCTATTCTATTCACCTCATTGCTAACATGTCAATAATTCATTCTAGTTTTGAAAAATGATGTTTAAAAAAATATTGAAATCCATGGTACTGATAAGAAACAGAAGAACTCTGATGGTGTGCTATATTAGATATTTCTTAATTTGTTATTTTTTTAATGGCTGCATTATTATTATTATTATTGAGATGGAGTCTCTCTCTGTTGCCCAGGCTGGAGTGCAGTGGCATGATCTCGGCTCACTGCAACATCTGCCTCCTAGGTTCAAGCGATTCTCCTGCCCCAGCCTCCTGAGTAGCTGGGATTACAGGTGTGAGCCACCTCACCTGGCTAATTTTTGCATTTTTAGTAGAGATAGGGTTTCACCATGTAGGCCAGGCTGGTCTCGAACTCCTGACCTCAGGTGATCTGCCCAAGGCTGCATTATTTTAAAGTGAACTTTAAAGTCTGTTATACAACTCTTGTATTTCTTTCAGTTACCTCTATCGGAGCACATTTGTTACATGCAAAAAAAAAAAAAATGTGGAAGGCAGTTGTGTTTTTTTTTTTTAATTTGAGGTCCAAGAGAAACTTCATTGTATCTTAAATGAGCTATTGATTTTGGGTCCATTTAACTTGAGCAGCAATAAAGGCTCAGCATGTCTTCCCTGCATCTTTCTGTTCATCCTTTCTCCAGACTAGCTAATGAAACTTTATCCATTAGCATTTCCCATTTAAAGGGGGTAATTTCTTAGCTGAAGCACACTAACCATTTCTTAAGGTATTTTCTCCAGCAGAAGAATATAATGTAATAATGATACTTACAGCTAATCTGACTAAGTTTTCTCATTTTTCTCAGGCTCTGACATATCAGTCCAGTTGCCCCTTTCCCAGATTAAATATTTGCACATTTAGGGGGAAAACATTAAAACAAGAAAATGAAAAAAATAACACCCCAATATTCAGGAATTAAACAGAGACCAAAACTCATGGGTGGGTAAGGAGTGGTCTGGGCATGCTGAGTACCATCTTTTGGAAAATCATCTTGGTGCCATCCAGAGGCTCATTTATTATTCCCATGACATCAAGGAAAGCCCACAGTGGTTTCAGACCAATGAACTGATACTTCCTTGATTTGGCTTTGAGAAGAGAAGGAAGGAAATGTTGACCTTCAATATTTTGGGATTGTCTGTCCCTCTGTCAGAGCATTCTCTAGCTGACCATGGGAAAAACACAAGGAGTGATGAGGAGAAACTTTTAAATTATGAAGCTATTATACTTATCTTGGAGTTGCCATGCTGGTAAAGTCCTAGGGATGCACTTGAGGGTTGGGTACTTTTTAATTTAGTAGCACAAAAAGAGTGGTTTTCCAGGCAGTTGGCACTTACACTCTGAGCTGATTAATTTTGTGACATTGTCTTTATTTTCAAAGGATTGCTGGAATGTTTTCAAAAGAAAAGTGTTTTGAGACTACTAGTCTATAAGTCATCATTCTTTGGGGGCTGAGCTACATTGCTGGTGGGATTATAGTGATCTCCTCCCAGAGGCCAGCACTGCCAAATGCAGCTTGTTTCATGCCTTTCTCTGATTTATTCACCATCCGCGGTGTTGGTTGGGAGCAGCCCGGAGGAGATGCCGATTGCCCTTGGCTTGTTGTCCTGAAGAGTCTTTAGTTAACGGCCTGGCAGTGATGCTTAGGGCTGATAAGAATGCTGACTCAGCTCGAGGCGGCCTTGCCACATATTCTGGCTCCAGGCTCTCTCCAGGAGAGATGGATGATAAAAGAAGGTGAGGTTCGAGGCCACATCTATGGGTGAAGAAATGTTTGATGCCAGACTTTGGCAAGTGGTCAGAAGGGCTTTACTTCAAATCAAGAAATAACCATCTGAGAATGTATTAAAGTACCATCATATTTGAAATATGCCTACTTCAAAATATTTGCATTTATGAAACTTGAAGTCATGAGAAAATAAGCCGAAATGCCTGCTGACAACCTATAGCAAGTTTTAGATAACAACTGAGCTAAATTAAAAAAAGGACAAGCTTTCTTTAATGCTTTAGCCTTTATCACAGTACTCGTCAATATGTGAGGGGAAAACATGGGCTTCAGAATGATTCAGACCTTTTCATCCACGAGAGAACTATAGCTCAGATACACAGCATCTGGCGGCAAATCTAGGTCTCCATCACTGGCTATGTGAATCGGGGCAAGTGGCCAGGTTTTCTGAGTTTCTGTTACTCTCTTTGTGAAATGGGAAATACAACATCTATTGCCAGAATGATTACCATTTAATCCACCATCGAAACCAGCACTCTTTTTGAGAGCAAAGAAGGGCTCTGAATCATTATTTCAGGACAGCAGTGTCAGTGAAGACCTTTCTAGGCAAACCAAGGCCATGGGACTCCTGTGGGGTTTCCACCAGGAGCACGGCAGAGCAGCACGATAGGTGCCAATCACAGAGGAGGCATTCACTACACTAAATTCATTCCTTCCCCTCCTTCCTTTGCATCATTTAGCTGTTATCATGGGAACACTGGTATCACAAAGAGCACTTTGGGATTAGTATAGGCTGTTCTCAACCCCACTGACAGAGTGACCCTCTTAAAATGTCAATCAGATTATGTCATTCCTTTGCTTACAACCCTCCAAAGATTTTCTAACTTACTAAGAGTAACAGCCAAAGTCATCACAATGTCCTACAAGGACCTACTTGTGTCCCGCCACCACCTGCTGCCCCCAACTCCAGCCTCTATCTCCCTCGTGGCTCTGGCTTGCATCCCCAGAGCCCTCAGGCCCCTGCCCTTTCTGTCCCGTCTTCTACCACAGGCCTTGCCCAGGCCTCTGCATGGTCAGCTCTTCATCTGTGCTCAGGTCTCTGATCCAAGGGACGTTTCCAGTGCTGCTTTCCTGGCAACCTTCTGTAGAACTGCAAGAAACTCCACTCCCCTCCCAACTGTGGCATCCCTTTTCTCTCTACGGCTCAGACGTACTTCTTTTGTGTGTGTGTGAGACAGAGTGTTGCCCAGGCTGGAGTGCTGTGGTGCAATTTCAGCTCCACTCTCTGGGTTCAAGGGATTCTCCTGCCTCAACCTCCTGAGTAGCTGGGACTACAGGCGTGCACCACCACGCCCAGCTAGTTTTTGTATTTTTATGTATTTATGTATGTATGTATGTATTTATTTATTTACGTATTTTTAGTAGAGACAGGGTTTTGCCACGTTGGCCAGGCTGGTCTCAAACTCCTGACCTCAGGTGATCCACCCGCTTCGGCCTCCCAAAAGGCTGGGATTACAGGTGTGAGCCATGGTGCCCGGCCCAGAGGTATTTCTTTTTCAACAATCAGATATGTACGTTCAACCAAGAGGCAGAGGATGATGCAGCCCCAAACCGCCGCCGTATATGGTCTTGGATCCCAAACCTTCAGTGCAGACTGGAACTGAACTGTCTGCACATGTTTAACGCTGAATCTCATTTGCCATCTGTTCCTGAGATCTGATTTTTTTGGGCCGTATCAATGTGATCTCACCACAATGAGTGCTCTGAGAGCTTAATTCTTGGTGACCTGAGAGAAAGCACTAAAACGGTTCATTAATTAAATCAAAGGGAAGCTTCAGCCTAGGGGTTTATCTTCGGGAAGTTTGGTCGCTCTGACTGCAGAGCTCCAGGGCCCTTGTTCCCACCCTTGCTCCAGTCCTGCAGGGGCTGGTAGCCATCCCTGCACAGCATCGCAGGGCTCAGGTGCAGAGGGAAGCAGGCCCGCTGTTGGGAAAGGGGGCACCTGAGGAGTCCCTGGGGCAGTCATTAGTGTTACCTAGGCGCTTTAGAGCCTCATGGCTAAGACTAAGGGACTAGGGAACTCCCCAAAACACAATTGCACTCTTTTTTCTGATTAGGAAAGGTTCCACAAAAAATACCCATGTTGACTAACAATATTGTGTGCTCTGTGATAAGGCTGAGGGCATCAGTGAGAAGCTCATGGCCTTTTAGCCTTCTCCTTGAACTTTATGGTTATTTGGTTATGTCCACCAAGGTAGGTAGAACCTGAAACTTGCTCAGAACTTTTTCCCGAGATGAAAGAAAGTGTCCTGAGAGAGCATGGCCCCAGGATGATTTACCAGCTGGACAGAGTTGGAAGCCCGGGTGGCCCAAAGAACCCTTCATACCACCTTCTCTAAATTGAGGACCTAGATAAATATTTAGCTCAATTTATTTATTTATGTAGCTTCAATTTATTTATTCAGCTCCTCAATTTATTTACTTTTAATGGCAAAAACGCAGTTACTTTTGCACCAACCTATAGAAGGACCTGAGTGGAGAATCTTCTGGTTAGGGTCCTAATTAAGATGTAAGGTCTCATGGATTTCACTGGGGTGTAATGCTGTTTGCCCCTAATAAAGGTTGTGGAGTCCTCTGTGTGTGCGTGTGTAGACATGCTTGTCTCTGTGTGTGCGTATGTGTGTGCGTGTGTAGACAAGCTTGCCTCTGTGTGTGCATATGTGTGTGCATGTGTAGACATGCTTGCCTCTGTGTGTGCGTATGTGTGTGCATGTGTAGACATGCTTGCATACATGTTTGCACAAGGGCACATCTCTCTAGGTAAAGTCCCATAGATCGTTTCCCAATAAAATATGAACTATACATATTGTTAGGAGAACAGGAGTCTGCAACATTAGGGATACAGCTGGAAAAATGATATTCTTATGTGATCCTATAGTTGATTTGTTAAATGGAGAATATTTCCCGAGCAGATTGAGGAGATTGAGAAATCTTGGATAGTTTGGATGGAAGGAGAATGAATGGCGCCACTGGGTCACTCTGTGTAAAGGAGATGAGGAGGCATTCTAAATGAATTCTCTTAGGGGGAGCTCCTCTAGCCCACTGTCTGGCATGAAGGGCTCACCATACTAGGTCCCCACCTCACCCCTCTTCAGTCACTCCACAGGCTGGTGGATGGCACTCCTTAGGGACGGTCAGAGTCTGGGAAGCGAAATTCTATTGTCCACTCCACTAACACATATGGACCTGGGTCTAGGAGATGTGGCCAAAGGGCCAGAAGCTGGGTGGCCCCTGGGGTGAACTGGGGAACAAGAACAAAGTTAGGAAGGAGGAGACAAGTTCCAATGACTATCGGGGAGGAGCACTTTGGGGCTGGGGTTGCAGAGTGCCTGGGAAGGTGGCCTAGAAAGGGTGCAGCTCTGGGTGAGGAGCAGCCGCTGCCTTCTTTAGATGATTCATACCTGATCAGTGGTTCTCTGGCGACTAGCAGAGTACGGTGCACAAGACTCATCAACGGATGGATGAAAGAGCACTTCTTTATTCAGCAGATATTTATGTATGCTAGGAGCTGGGGATTCTAACCTGAAAAAACATGAGCCCTGCCCCTAGGAACACGGGAGTTAGGAGCAGGGAAACCAAGACGCCCGGTGCACGGATGAGTGGACTTCTGCAGCAGTGCCCTCAGAAGTGGCAGCTCGGGCTACAGAGAGTCCTGCAGACACAGCCATTGCCTGATACAGCACTGATAACTTTAAGTGACCTTAATAACACAATTACCAAATATTCTTTCATGCTTTATTCAAAATTATCCTAAATTGAGGAGATTGCTTCCTTTTAGGGCATTTCTCTGGCAATAGCTGCTTAAATCTAGAAGGAAAATTGCCTGGCTCAACTAATTTATTATCACTTCCTATTACTGACAGATGGCTGACTGTGGGTGAGGCAGCCGCCTGCTCCTTTGCTTCTGGGGCCAAAATTCTGTGGTCCTCAGTACTTCTTTGCTCATGTTCAATCGCAACATCTTAGACTAGGTTAGAAGTGGCCCTTCCTCCTGAAACATCTACTGGTCCTAATGTTCTATGCATTTATAGACACATATAGAAGTCTGATAGGGGAAGACTCAATTCCATTCAACAGATAAACTTCTGGTCTCTAAATAGTGAAGTTACTCCATTCCAGCCAGCTTTGCGAAGGGCTGCCCTCATTGCCACATGTCTGCAGTTTTCACTTTACCTTGTGTAATCAGAAATGGGCCACCAAGGGAAAGAAAAACTTCTTGGCCGAAGAAGAATATGAGATGACCGTTACAATGGAATCCAGATTAAAGACAGAACTATGCTAAATATAGTATATATTATAAACAATTAATTGGCTTCAATTCCTTTATACATTCATTTGAGAAACAGACACGTGTCGTGTATAAGGCCATCTTTCTAGACATGGTCCAGGTTACTGCTATATCTGCATTGTTTTCACCATGATGTGGTGGATTTGAATCTTCATAATGATAACTTTGAGGGGTGCAAAATATAACCTTTTTCCTTCTCCACAACTGATTATAGTCTACAGCCCTTCCTAAGGAAAGTATTGCGTGTGATGGAAATATTCCCTATCTTGATTGTGGTAGTAGTTCCAAGACTGTATGCATTTGGTAACACTCATCAAACTATATCTTAAAAGTGAAATTTACTGCATGTAAATTATATTTCAACATACTTGACTTAACAAATAACCCACACCCTTGTTGCTACTGATGGTGGAAATCTTAATCATTTTGACTCCAAATAAACTCAGACACTTCCAGTATAGAGTTGAATTTAGTCTCTTTTGGTCTAAAACTGACCAATTCAATATACTTTCTTCTCATTTCTGCCCCTCTTAATACTCCATACGGATACCTTAGTTCCTGGATATCATCCTCATGTCTGAAGGTGCGAGGGCCACCTTCAGTTCTCTTTGGCCTTCCCTGAGGTGTCTCATTCTGTTTGTCTTTGGGAGTCACCTCCTCCCTCATTGGTAATGTCTGCTGAAGGAAGCACACATCACACCACAGCTCTGGTTTCTGTGCCACCCTAGCTAGAAAAATGTGTCCCTTTGGGACTGTCACACTGATCTCAGCCATTCCATGCTTCTCTTAGCAGCAGGGATGAGAGCTGATGAGGGCACTCTGTTGCCTTTCCTCTCCTCCTGGCTGCTTGGTCAACAGGATGCTTCCTCAGGGCTGCCCCCAAGATCCAACCCTCAGCATCTGCTGGTGCATCTCTCAGGTCAAGTCAGAGACGCCAGGGAGGGAGGGAAGGAGACAGAGGGGAGGGAGGGAGATAGAAAAGGGAATTTTTTCTCCAGCACTCTTGTAAAAAAAAGAGAGAGATTTTTTCAAAAACTCTTACAATGAATAGTCACATTTTTCACAAGTGATGTCTCTTCTAAGATTCTTTCAGTCTGTTTCAGAAATCAGTGGACTTTTTGTTCTAGACCTTACTCAGAACTGTCTTCCCCCAAGAAATAAATGTCACTCCCGGAGGCCCCAGGGCCCTCAGGGCAAAAAAGAAAAATGTAGGGAAGAAAAGTCTCAGCTACAATCTCATAATTGTATCCTGATATGTTTGCCAGAATGATGGTGATAATAATGATCTTTTGGCAGATGGAATTCCAGTTCTGAATGGTAGAAAGCAGGGCTTTGTTCTGGCTGCGTTCATTTTAGATTGTGCGATCTTTCCACTGGCTCTCTGAGACGAGGCCATCCAGGCCATAGGCAGCAGGCACTATAGCTGCTGACTGGTGAACTGTACTCGGTTACCTTTAGGCTCTGGGAGCCCCTCTACTCTCTTGGTTGATTGCTGATAGATATCACAGGCCCTTGGCCTTATCCAACCTGCTGCTATTCATTAAGCTGTCATGGTTCTTCACACTTTCCTGCTACCACTGTCTCTGTTTCCCAGCTCAGGCTCTGGGGCAGTGTGTGTGGGGTCCACTTTTTGGGGACAGCTAAGTAGCCCGCACTGTTCAGGGCTAGTCCCCGGAGCAGTGCGGGGCTCTGAGTAGAGAATTGCAAAATGAATCAAACAGCTGCTGCTTCTCTTCCCTGCAGGTCTCCTCTCACTTCTATTACTTCTGTGTCTTTGGCCTCTAGTCCTGTAAAAAATATATATAGCTTTTGTTTTGATTTAATCTGCTCTTAATTTTAGAAAAATTTCCCACAACATGAAAGTACATGTGATCGCTCTCTCTCCCTCCTCTCCTGTCCCTTCTCCCTCCTGTTGCAGTTTTGCTCTCATTTCTCCATGCCTCACCTATGTGTGGGCTCAGATATCTGGTGCAGGCATCCTTGGCAGTCATCTCGGGCAGCAAAAGTTCCTGAGTGAGGAGCTGAGGCAGCAGGTGGAGCTTAGGAGTCTCTGGCAATTTCCACCTGCTTCTGCACTCTCCTCTGAGCCCCAAGGCTTGTGGGCTCCTTGGCTTCTAAGGAGTGCCTCCTCCTATCCTGTTCTTCCTGGGGCCTGAAGACAAGGTCCTGGTGGAGTGCTTGCAGGAGCGGTAGGGAGAGATAAACTTCAGGTGTCTGGTTGTTGATATGTCCTGATCATCCTCTGTCCCTGCCTGGTGTGGATTGGGCCCAATGATATAGCTGCAGATAACACAGATGCTATCTGGTTTAAGGCTCTTCTCCCATACACACTGCTGGACAGAGACTCCTGTATCATCACAGAAATATGAACTCATAGCCAAAATAATGTAACATCTGTATAGTACAACTGTGTCAAAAGAAAATAGAGACTAGATCATGATGCAGTGGTATTATAACAAAGAAACTAAAAATTTGAAGACTTATAATGAACATATTTAAAGAGATAAAAAAAGTTTAGTGATGAAGAACAGTTCTTTCCCAAGATGATATTTTTCTTTTATTTCTTTTTATTTTTTTGAGATGGAGTATCACTCTGTTGCCCAGGCTAGAGTGCAGTGGCACGATCTCGGCTCACTGCAACCTCCACCTCCTGGGTTCAAGCTATTCTCCCACCTCAGCCTCCCGAGTAGCTGAGATTACAGGCGCCTGCCACCACGCCCTGCGAATTTTTGTATTTTTAGTAGAGATGGGGTTTCTCCACATTGGCCAGGCTGGTCTTGAACGCCTGACTTCAAGTGATCCATCCACCTCGGCCTCCCAAAGTCCCGGGATTACGGGTGTGAGCTACTGCACGTGGCCTAGGATGATATTTTAGAGAAGTTTCATAATGACTGATAAGCTCTCAGACCAGTGACACTAAGCCAGGTCAACCATTCTTGGGTGTGGCAAGGCTGTCCATTAAGCAGGCAGAAGTTAGGGAATGCCAACACCTGGAACTCTGAAGGAGGCTACAGTTCACCTGTGCATTCTTATATAAATTAAAAAAAAATACCAGAAGTACATTGTATTTTCTGTTTTTTGTTTTTTACTGGTTCAACAACCAACCAGGAGACTAAGCAGCTGAGTTCATTCATTGCAGTAAAATTGGACTGGAAAAAAAAAATTAAGTCATTGTGCTTGGACAAATTTTTTGCACATCCCTCTCCTAAACTTCTAGTGAAAAATCCTATCATCCCCCTTCCCCAACCATGTGACATTTTAAATATATCCTTATGACTAAGCAATTATATGTCCCCATGAAAAGCAAGTATATTAAAAAAAAATTCTGTGCTTGCTACAGTAAGCAGAGACTGAAGAATCCAGGGATTAAGGATACTATTTATGGAGCTGTTAATGCTTGGAGTTGAGGCTGATAAATCATCATTAACAAACACTTAGCAAAAATTTGGGCCTACAAAGATGTTTGAAAATAAACCTGCAGGTGAAGATTTTGAAAGATTTTTGTGCCACTAATAAGATCATATAAATCTTATTTATGTAGTCTGCACATTTATAAGCCCAAAGAATGAATAAGTTAAAGAAATCAGACATTAAACATGCTGAGCTTTGATAATACATGGGTTATGCATTCCTTGACAGATGGGGGAATAGTTAAAATGGTAATAAATAATAAAAAAATAAAGATGAGAGTGTTGAAGATAACGACATTGCAAACAAAAGTGAAAAAATAGTGAAAATACATAGTGTAGCTATCAATTGAATTGGGTGACAATTGTGGCAAATAGGAGGAAAAACATTTTATGCTGTGCTTCTGGCTTTGTCATATAAGGTTTTCATAAGCACCTGAAGTTAGTTGCTAATTGTCAGAAAGGAAAATTTAACATCAACCATGATAAAAAGAAATTTTAAAAATTTGGCAGAAATGTCCAACATAGATGGATAACCAACAACAAATCTACTTTTTCAAATACTTTAAGCTAAATGACAGTGATAGATGCAGTAATAGCCACTTCTAAAAAATGGCACTTTAAGAAGATTATCTGTAGCCTGAATGACAGGTATTAGTAATACCTGTCTTTGAATATATTCAGGTAAAATGATCTCCATTCTGGAAAACATTGACATCTTGAAATCTATCCTCGTATTTTTTCAAGTATTCTAGCTAATTTTAAGTTCTCTTCTTACATATTTTAGACTTATCATTGAGCTCCCCCAGGAGTTCATCTCCTTCTATATATCCTTCCCTTGAGGTCAGATAATTTATCAGCCTTGTACTTTTTTACAATAGAATGAATATTTGTTAGCTAGGGCATATGGCCCTGCTTTTAAATCAACAACTTTGAGCTTTGACTTTTCCTGCCCAAGGAGAAGGACTGAAGAAAGGAGCTGATGCAATCTTTGCTTACTCAGAATTGTTTACAACACCTGATATTTTAGGGTGTGTCTAAGTGACATGTTAACTAAGCATTATTTAAGTTCTCCCTTTGGGTTAAGTTAGATAAAGAAGAATTTCATATTGCCTTAAAGATCAAGAAAAAAAGTCTGAAATAATTTATTGTTATGAATTTAGCATTAAAAAAGAATTTACATGCTTTTGTTGTACTACTATAGCAAATGCTTAGTGAATCATATTATGTAGTATAATGAACACGAAGTCAATGTTACAGATTCCAGCAAAAATGTCTGTTTCTCCAGGTGGGGTGGGTGGAATTGTGTATTGTTCATCTCCCAATTTAAACTATGTAACTCTTTTTGACTCGGTTTGAGAATAAAAGTTAGTGCTCAACTATGATAACCACCTTGTTCTAAATTTCTGGTACATTTTCTTTCTTTGAATTATTTAGATGGCAAGTACACGTACGTGTGTGTGTGTGTGTGCGTGCATGTGTGCATGTGCGTGCATACTTTTTGAGGTGCATATGTATTTAACCTAATCAATTGGAGCAGCTTCTGGGGACACTGTGTTGAGAAGTATCTGAGGCCATGTGCAGGTTAGCAGGAAGCTGCATGATTTCATTAGGGCCGTGTGATGGTTGAGGAAGGGCTGAGTGTTGCTTTTTGTGCTGTCAATATGGAGTTTGTGTTCTAAATGCTTTTTTATGTATACTTTCAAACACCTTTAACTATTCATTTAATTGTCTTACTTTATATCTGTTTTAATATTTTAAGGTCTCCCTTTAAAAAAATCATAAGCAAGTTCACTCTTCATCTGAAATTTAAAAGATTTCTCAGTGAACAGAAGCCTGGTTTCTCTATGTGAAGATGTCAAATCATGCTGGTCCTCACAAGCATCATACTTGTTTTCATGAAGAATTTTAGGAGAAGTTTTCACTTAATTCAGTCCAGGCAGTTCCACATGTTGTCAGACCAGCTCTTCTTTATAGGTTGCTTGAAATATTTCTTTGGTTGTCCTAAATTCATGAGAAGTGTTCTAATTTTCTGCTTACACTCAGCTGGGTTTCACTCTGGGGTATTTTTGAATATGTAAGCCTGCACAAAGAAACTGATGTATCTTCTCTGCTTATACCATTTCCCAATATACCACATTTGTCTTTATAAAGGTCAGGCATGATGGAAACAGCCAATGTTTCTCACTTACCTTGTTTCCTTACTTGTTGGATTTTCATGTCTGAGTTCTTCGGAAAATGTTAATGTGAATTTCTATAAATGTAACTGCTCAATTGCACAAAGTATGATTTATAAAGAGTTCTAAGATCTTGGAATAAAAAGTACTCATTGTATCCCAGATATTATTCTTACTAGTAATATCAGCAAGAACAATCGCTTTTCTAATTATTTATTTCTATCAATGTCTCAGAATTTGCCTTAATTCTAAGGACAAATACAGTGGATTATAATTTGCTGGTACCTTACTGGACTTTTTGAAAAAATATATATTTAAATTTGCATCTCTCTAGGATCTTTGTTTTTTTTTCTCCGTCAAGAGGGCTATTAAAAATCTCCATTGTTAGAATAATCTCCAAGAAGTAGCAGCATGAGTGACCAGCTGTGATTAGAACAGCCAGACTTTAGGGGGAAAAATGCCCACTTTCATCTAATAAAGAGAGAGGAGAGTTTCTGTTTTTTTAAAAAAATACATCTTTTCATAATAACTGTGAAAGTGCAGTGGTTATTGAAAGTACATAATTGCTAACAATAATTATTTTGAAACAGTAGTTCTGGGAATAGCTGAGTCTGTATGAATGAGGTAAACATTAAGTAGCTGGAAGTATGTTTGAAAGGGGGTACATAGAAGAAAAAGAGTTGGGGCCAAGTATCATCAACTAGATGAAAGAACATTCTGATTTCCTTGCAGAATATCTAACTACATTCAAAGAGATAAATAAAAATGAGAAAGATAATATCAGATTTCTTACATTTCAGTGGTGCTTTATGAGATTCGCATATACACAGGCACAATGACAGGTGCAGAAACAGAGTCTAATGTATTTATCAACCTCATCGGTACCAGAGGTGATTCAGGAAAACGAAGACTTCATCAGTCCAAAAACAATGAAATCAAGTTTCAGCGTGGACAGGTAATAGAAACAGGTCTTCATCAGTTTTTACCGACTATCGTTCCTTTAATTTATTTAACAAAAACACACACAAACAGAAAATTTCTGAGATGCTCAGTTGATTCCTGTGAGGAATTCAGGGAGGTGTGGTCATTTCTTAGTGTGCATGTTATTGTTCTGGAGTTGAGTAGAGGATGGGACTTAACTCAACAAACACAATATTCTACTTCCAGATAGGGCAGACTCAGCTATAACAAAATGAACATCCTGCTGAGAACAACTAGAAACATTTGATAAAACATCTTTTAAACTGGTTTTAAAGGTATGACAGAGCTACCCAGGCGTTTAGGGCTTGAGGGCCCAAGATCCTGGAGAGAAATAAAGTGCAGAGGAGAACATGGTATCAGCATGGCTTTCCACCATTTGTAAGGGGAAGCTTGGAATCAAGAAGCCAGTCAGAAAGTAGCAGTGGAGGAGTGGAGAGTCTGAGATGCTGTTCAGAGATTTAGGAGGCCTCATGGGGCTGGGATTTCTCACTTGAAAAGTGGCGATAGTGTGAGTCCTCTTGAAGCAGATCAGGGACAGGTCCTGCAGCTCGTCATTGAGAGCAGTGATCCCAGGAAGCAGCAGTGAAGGAAGGCAGAGAGAGAGAGAGACGTAAAGAGGAAGACTCAGTGGAAGTGTGCATTCTATAAGTCACTGCTGTTGGCAGCAGGGACTGGATCACTCTAGGACCAGAGCCACCAGACTGGGCACCAGGAGCAGCAGTGATGGGAGCAGCCTTGGGGGACAGAACTCATGTCTTATGGCCGTGCACAGATAAACTCCATCTCTGCCATTGTGGTTACTCCATCCATGGCCCATGGCCCATTGCACCACAGGCACTGAGGTGGCTAAGGCAAGACCTCTAAATAAAAAATTATAAAATATTATTGGAAAAAAATTTAAAACATACTTACATGGGAAGCTGAGGTAGGAGAATTGCTTGAGCCTAGCCCAACTTAGCAAGACCTCATCTCTAAAAAAAAGAGAGAAAGAAAGAAAGAGAGAGAGAAAGAAAGAGAAAGGAAGGAAGAGAAAGAAAGAGAGAGAGAAAGAAAGAGAAAGGAAGGAAGAGAAACAAAGAGAGAGAAAGAAAGAGAAAGGAAGAGAAAGAAAGAAAAGAAAAAGAAAGAAAAAAAGAAAAAAGAAGGAAAGAAAGAGAAAAAAGAAAAAAGGGAGAGAGAGAGAAAGGAAGGAAGGAAGGAAAAGAAAAGAGAGAAAGAAAGAGAAAGAAAGGAAGAAAGAAAGAAAAGAAAAGAAATGAAGGAAAGAAAATAAAAGAAAAAGAAATATACTATGTTCAGGGACTCAGTATTATAAAGTTCTTCCTGCTGTCTAATGGATCTGCAGTTTTAATGTAATATCAATCAAAATCTCAGAAACTTTTTTAAACAGAAATTGGCAATCTAATTATATAATTTATGTGGAAATGCAGTCAAATACACCTAAAATAATGTTGAAGAAGAAAAACCAAGTGGAGGAATTACAGTACCAGGTATCAAGACTTATGAAATTAAGGTAATTAAGACAGCATCAATTTGTACAAAGAAAGTCAAATATAGCAAAGAAACAGAAGACAGTCCAGAAACATATCCACACATCCTAATGTGCAGCATCAGAGAAAGCACTGAAAAATTTCAACAAATTTTTAAATTGGATATTGTTATAGAAAAAAATCACAACTTCTATTTTACATCAAATCCCCAAATCAGTTTTATGTAACATTATATCTAAATGTGAAAGGTAAAACAATTAAATATCTAGAAGACAATGATGCAAGAAAATCCTCATAATCTAGGGGGTTGATTAGGACTTTAAAAGTGTTTAATTGTGGGCTGGGCACAGTAGCTAATGCCTGTAATCCCAGCACTTTGGGAGGCCGAGGTGGGTGGATCATTTGAGGTCAGGAGTTCGAGACCAGCCTGGCCAACATGGTGAAATCTTGCCTTTACTGAAAATACAAAAATTAGCCGGGCGTGGCGGCAGGCGCCTGTAGTCTCAGCTACTCAGGAGGCTGAGGCAGGAGAATCACCTGAACCCGGGAATTGGAGGTTGCATTGAGCCAAGACAGCACCATTGCACTCCAGCCTGGGTGACAGAGAAAGACTCTGTCTCAAAAAATAAATGAATAAATAAAATTAATTGTGGCAAAATACACATAACCTAAAATTTATTTTAACCATTTTGAAGTATAATTTTCTTACAGTATAATGGTTTAAGTACATTCACATTATTGTGTAAGCATGACTACCGTCCATCTCCAGAACTCTTTTCATTTTGCAAAACTGAAACTCAGTATTCATTAAACGACTCTCCATTCTTCAGTCCTCCAGCCCTTGGCAACCACCATTCTACTTTATGTGTCTATGAGTTGACTACTCTAGGTACCTCATATAAGTGGAATCATACAGTATTTTCTTTTTGTGACTAACTTCACTTAGCATAATATCCTCAAATTTCATGCATGTTGTAGCATGTGACAGGATTTATTTCCTTCGCGAGACTGAGTAGTATTCCATTGTATTGTTCATGCATGTTGTAGCATGTGAGAGGACATCTTTCCTTTGAAAGGCTGAATAATATTTCAAAACATTTCATGTTTTGTTTATCCATTTACCCCGTGATGGACACTTGGGTTGCTTCCGCCTTTTAGCTATTGTGAATGATGTCGCTATGAACATGACTAGACAGTTATAAGCTAAAACTTTAAAGACAAATCAGAAAGCATAAAGGGGAAAAAGATAAATTATACTATTTTAGTATTAAAGATTTCTGTTCCTCAAGATACCATTAAGAGAGTAAAAAGGGAAGGCACACAGTGGGAGAAGATATTGTAAAAACATACTGGCAAAAGACTTGTTTGCAGACTGTGTATAGAAAACCACAGAGCAACAAGAAAAAGACAGAAAACCCTATTTAAAACATGGGCATGACACTTGAATGTGTGCTCTACAAAAGAGGGTATCCAAATCACCAATAAACATAAAAAGCCTACCCAGCCTTATTAATAATCAGAAAGAGTCAATGAAAATCACAGTGAAGTGTTACTGTGCATGATCAGATGGTTAAACTTAAAAAGAATAACAATAAATATTGATTCACCTGTGGAGCACTTTGAACTCTCGTATGCTTCGCATACGGAGTGCATATTAGTATAAGTATTTTTAGGAAGTGAGACTTACTATACACACACACACACACACACACACACACACACACACACCCCCTATAACCCAGCTGTTTCCCAACATAAATATATGCAGATATCATGAAAAGACCCATATAAGAATGTTCTGAGCAGCATTATTCTAGGAATAATGTTTGTCTACAAATAGTAGAGTGGATAAATAATTTCGAGTAATATTCAGTAATGAAAATGAACAAGACGCTGCTGAGCAAAATGGCATGGATGAATCTCACGTTGAATGACACAAGCCAGGTGGAGCAAGAATGCACTGTAGGATTCTGTTGATATATGGTCCCAGACAAGGCAAAACAAAATAAAAGTGCTAAAAGTCAAGATAGTGGATATCGTTTGGGGAGACAGTGACTGAGAGGGGCATGTTGGGGTCTTAGGTGCTGATAAGGCTCTGTTACTTACATGGATGTGTTTGTTGAGTGTGCATTTGTAATTTGTATACCTGTATCTACTTCATAGTTTATTTTAAAACGTCCTATGCGTGTGTATGTATATGTATGTACATATACATATTTCAATACATAGTTTATTTAAAAGTAAAAGATATTAAGAGACAGAACAATGTGGAAAACACCAATTCTGGTGATAGCTTCCTGAGTCTGAGACTTGGCTCCTCACACACTAGGTGTTGACCTGGGACAAGTAGCTTAACTCTAGGTGCCTCAGTCTCTTCGACTGTGAAATGAGAAAGTGAGTAGTACTGACCTTATGGGCTGTTGTGAGGATTCAATGAGTTAATATATGAAAAACACTTGAGAGAGTTTGGCACTTACTCATATAGTACGGATTATGAGCTGTTATTATTAGTAAGAGTAGATTTAAAATAAATCTCCTAATTACGTTCTAAAAATCTTTTTCACTAGACTCTGTGACTTAGGAGAGCAAGAATTATATTCTACATGTTTTTGTGTCTCTCACAAAGCATAGTGTAGAACTTTGCACATAAAATAGTAATTTTTATAGTAGTAGTAAGAATACTATATAGTATAGTAACAATATAGTATCAATAGTAATACTATTTTTTTTCTAGAGAAAGGAAATATCCTAATGGTCACTGAGTTTATTTCTTTATTGTACAGGTTGATATTTTTTCCATTAAGGCTGTATCTCTCGGAAAATTGAAGAAAGTTCTGATTAGTCATGATGGAACAGGTCCAGGTAAGATTTAGTTTCTTGGTAAGAAGTTTATTTTGCAAATTTATGAAAAATCGTATAAGAAGCAGGTGAAAGAACAGGAAAATGTACAGGTCATATAAAATTCAGATAAGAAAATAATCTTATTTTATATTATATTTAATGTAAATATATGAAGTTATATTTATATATAATTTACATTGAATATATTATAATTATATTTATATACTATAATTATAATATATTTATAGAATATATATTTATAAATCATAAATTTACATTAAATATATTTAATGTAAATATTTAATGTAGATTTATGATATATATTTACATTAGGTATATTTACATTAAATATAATGTAAGGTTATAAATGGTCACTAATTAAATTATATAGTGACCATTTATTGACTGAATATATTAAATTATATACATTTACATTAAATATATTTAATGTAAATTTATGAAGTTTTGTCAGGTTGAGTTTATTACATGACTTGTACAAGCACATGATTATATTACACAGGAAATTTCCTAGAAAGACAAAAGCTTTGGTGTGTGCATGCATGTGTGCATGCGTGTGTGTGATCTCCAGACACCCTGGGCATTCTTCACAGTTGCATGTCTGTTGTGTCTGTCCCTGTGTTTCCCTGGGTCCCTTATCCCACACTCTTCAGCAAACGCGCTGCTTGAACACCATCCCTGATCCGACCTTTCCCTCCATGTCTTCTCCCCAGGCACAGCTATCAACCAAGACCTGTCAATTCCACTTCATTCATATCTTTCCTACTGGCTCCCTTAGAGCTATTAAATTCAAACTTCAGTTCTACTGCTAAAATGTAACTCTATATTATAACTTATATCATAGTACTGAAACCATTTATCACATTGATTTCCATATTCCTCTTTTCTTTCTGCTAGATTTTGAGTTTTTTAAAGGCTAGAATTATGTAGTATTCATCTTCATTTTCCTAGTGTCTAGTATTGTGCCTGACAGTATAGTTTAATTAGTGACCATTTACTGAATGAACATATTTAAATCAGTGAAATGATTTTCAGTAAATCTCTTTAAAATGAATGGGAAGAGCTTAAAGTGGCCATAGTGACAGAAACCAAATGGAGCAGAAGCAGAAAAGGTGAGGTAGCAGTGAATAGAAAGAAAATAGACACATAGTTCAACGAGTTCAGGATCGTATAGAGGAAATTATTAGAAAAAAGCAGAAGTAAGAAATAGAATAGAGGAAGGAATGACATAATATGCTTCCTTCTATACATGGTGTCACTGTAGAGTGGTGTTTCTGTAAGGTGGTGTCACTGTAGAGCAATGCCACTGTAGAGTGATGTTACTGCAGAGTGATGCCACTGTGGAACATTGCCACTGTAGAGCACTGTCACTGTAGAGTGATGTTACTGCAGAGTGATGTCACTGTGGAACGCTGTCACTGCAGAGCACTGTCACTGTAGAGTGATGTTGCTGTAGAGCTGTGTCACTGTAGAGCAGTGTCTGTAGGCTGGTATCACTGCAGAGTGCTGTGACTGTAGAGTGGTGTCACTGTAGAGTTGCATTTCTGTAAGGTGGTGTCACTGTGGAGCAGTGTCACTGTAGAGTGGCGTTTCTGTAAGGTGGTGTCACTGTGGAGCAGTGTCACTGTACAGCAGTGCCACTGTACAGCAATGTTACTATAGAGTGATGTCACGGTGGAATGTTCTCACTGTAGAGCAGTGTCACTGTAGATTGATGTCACTGTAGAGCAGTGCTGCTGTAGAGTAGTGTCGCTGTAGAGTGATGTCACTGCAGAGTGATGTTACTGTAGAGGAGTGTCACCATAGAGTGGCTTCACTGCAGAGTGGCATCAGTGCACCGCCATGGCACTGTAAAGGAGTGTCACTGTAGAGCAGTGTCACTGTAGACTATGTCACTGTAGACTGGTGTCACTGTAGAGTGGTGTCATTGTAAAGCAGTGTCACCATAGAGCAGCTCACTGCAGAGGGGTGTCATTATAGAGTTGTTTCACTGCAGAGTGGTGTCACTGTAGGGTAGTGTCACTGCAGAGCAGTGTCACTGTGGAGTGTTGTCAGTGTGGAGTGGTATCACTGTAGGTGGTGTCACTGTAGTGCAATGTCACTGTGGAGCAGCACTGTCACTGTAGAGGGGTGTCACTGTAAGGTGGTGTCACTACAGAGTGATATCACTATAGGTGGTGCCACTGTGGAGTGTTGTCACTTTGGATCAGTGTCACTATAGGTGGTGTCACTGTAGGGTGGTGTCCCTGTGGAGTGTGTCACTGTGGAGCATTGTCACTATGGAGTGGTATCACTGTAGGTGGTGTCAGTGCAGGGTGGTGTCACTGTACAGGGTTTCACTGTAGGGTGGTGTCACTGTAGCAGTGTCACTGTGGAGCGTTGTCACTATGGAGTGGTATCAGTATAGGAGGAATCACTGTAGGGCATTGTCACTGTAGAGCAGTGTCACTGTAGGTGGTGTCACTGTAGGGTAGTGTCACTGTAGGGTGGTGTCACTGTAGAGGGGTGTCACTGTAGGGGGTGTTACCGTAGATGAGTGTCACTGTAGACGGGTGTCAGTATGGAGTTGTTTAACTGTGGAGCAGTGTTACTGTAGTGCTGGGTTGCTGCAGAGTGGTGTCACTGTAGAGTGTGGTGCCTTTTAGATTACTTTTATGAAGGATGGAAACTTTTATTGTGATTTCCTGCTTTTGCCCCAAGCCTCCCTTGCCAGCAGCACATGGATATTCAGGATAGCTAGTTACAGTCAGAGCTGTAGACTTTGGCATGGATTGGAACAGAACAGTTAGTAGAACCCCCAGACTCTTGTTTTAAAAAATTATTCTCAGACTCCTCTTTGTGACATGGGATGGAAACAATGTTAGAACATCCAACCCACATCCTAAAAAGCCAGAATTGAGGTGCTGTAGAGAAAACTGCCACCACAACATCAGGGCAATCACTATTGCAGGCAAAGGAAGGAGAATTAGGCATTTATTTGAAGAGGTAGGCTGCACATTTGAAGGTGAAAATATTATAGCCAAGGTTGTTTGATACAAAGAATAAAAATGACAGAAGGAAGAATGAAAGGGACATTGTGATTTTAAACATGTTTACATGGCTAATTTACTCATATAGAAATGGCTTTGATGGAGGGAGCAATAAACTTCCAAAATACTGATTTTTTTTTTAAGGAAATACTCATTAACAAAAAAATGTGCAGGTACGGGAGGGACAATAGTGAGATTCTCAAGTTATTTTTTTCTTTCCATTTTTAAGAAGAAGCCACATACAGTATTATTCTTTTAACCCAAATACAGTTATGTCTAGGGTTATCTAACCACAAATGGAATATAGAAAGCTTCAGTAAAGACTCAAATTTGTAGCAAATTTGTAGAACTTCAAAACATTTAGGAATTATCTGAGTATCTTAAATAAAATAGATCCCTGGGCCCACCCCAGAGATTCTGCCTGTGTGGGTACCAAGTAATCAGAGGTATATGTGCTTTTCTGTTTGTCTCTTGCAACACAAGCACCTCCAGGGGTCCCGATTCCAGAGGTCCTCAGACTGCGTCCCCAGGGTTCTTTGTTGAGGGACTGCAGGATGCCAGTCCCTGGGTGGATGCAAATGTCAGTGAGATGCATGGGGTGTCTGTGCTCACAGGCAGGGCCTATGGTGACAGACACATATGAAATACTTACATTAAGTTAGAATGAAGTATGATAAATATTTGAAAGTAACCTTCACAGTGCTATTGTCCATTTGACAAAGGGACCTGGAAGAATGTAAAAACCTTCACAGGAAAAGAAGAAAATGTGGTAGGTAGGCTGGAGGTGAGGGCCAAGTTTTGGCTGGATATTTGGAAATTTCAATGGGCTTCTCTGACTGGTGGGATTAGGCTATTTGAAACTCAGTTAAGGAACCCAGTTAAAGCAAGTGAAAAGTAATTACTATAACATGATTTTAAAGTTCTTTAATGAAACTACCCTTCCTACATTCTGAATACTCTTTACACTAAAAGAAAAGTATACCATAATAGAGTATCCAGGTTACGTTCTTTTCCCATATTTTCTTTTCAAACTGTGTATTATTTGGAGTCTGATAACCCACTACCTAATGTAAGCCTGAACATTACCAGTACTGGTGGTTCTACCTGTGTTCACCTCTCCCACAAAGTATCCATCCTGAGTTTTAAATTTTTTCATGATTTCAAAAACCTTTGCTTTAAAGAAAGGCTTTACTAATCATGTGGGGATACTTGAAAACACTGATAGTTTCTGTGCCTTGTAAAAGTTGTGATGTGCCATATGCCCTCTTTTGTGACATGATTTTTTTAACTCAACATTGTTTCCAAGATCTACCCACTTTCATGTGTAGTGCAATAGTTGATTTTCACCACTGTGTAATATTCTATTGCATAGTAATACATAATTAATCTGTCCATCTCTTGTTAATGCATAGTTGTGTTGTTTCCAGTTTGACTGTTACAAACAAGCTGAAATAAACATTCTTTTTTTCTTTTCTTTTCTTTTTTTTTGAGATGGAATCTCACTCTGTTGCCCAGGCTGGAGTACAGTGGTGTGATCTTGGCTTACTGCAACCTCCATCTCCTGGGTTCAAGCAATGCTTCTGCCTCAGCCTCCCGAGTGGCTTGGACTACAGGCTCATGCCACCATGCCCAGCTAATTTTTTGTATTTTTAGTAGAGACGGGGTTTTGCCATGTTGGCCAGGCTGGTCTCAAACCTGACTTCAGGTAATCTACCCGCCTTGGCCTCCAAAAGTGCTGGGATTACAGGCATGAGCCACTGGGCACAGCCTGAAAGAAACTTTGTAATGCACAGAAGCAAGAGTTCTTCTAGGAGGGTGGTTCCCAACTGGGGGCAAATTTGCGCCCTAGGGACATTTGACAATGTCTGGAGGCTGTTTTGGTTGTCACAGCTGGTAGGTGTTACTACCAGCACATAGTGGGTAGAAGCCTGAGATACTGCTAAGCATTTTACCACCACAAGAGAGTCACACAACAAAGAATTATCAGGCCCCAAATGTCAGCAGAGCTGAGGCTAAGAAACCTCAGGTTCTAAGGTAAATCCGTAGAAGTCAGTTGCTAGGTAGGTCAAAGGATATGATCATATCTGGGTCTCTAAGATAAACTACTAGTTTCAAAAGTGATTCAACTAAGTTTTTCTCTTACCTACAGTATATAAGAACTTCTATTACGTCATATGCTCGCCAACACCTGGTACACTTAATTTTTGCCTTTACTTTACGTAAGTTGGTATAAAATAGTATTCTCTTTGGCCCTAATTTGCATTACCCTGATTTCTAGGAACAGTGAGCATTCTTTCTTCTTCTCTTTTTTTATCCTTAACTGAATTTCTTTGTCTGTGGAAATACATGTTCTTGTCCATAATATTTAGGGTAAAGGTAAAGGTCCTCTAATAAAAAGTGATTTACAAAAAAGATTTTTTAAAGATAGCAGAGTATTCCACACACAGGTAACAGCCGCAAAGAGAGAGCCATTCCCAGCCAGCCATCAGGGACCAGGTCCTTCCACCTTGCTATTCTTCCATCACCTAAATCTCCTCTCCTCTGTGTGGTCAGAGCTGGTTACAGCACATGAAAGACGGAAAGTCCCCTGCAACACTGTCTTTTGAGCATGGAAGATGGCAGCTGCGCATATGACTTCCGGCCACATTTCATTCCTGAGAAACTAGTCACATAGTTCATCTGTGGCTGCAGAGACATCTGGGAGATGTGGGCCTCTCGCATTGCAGAAATGCCAAGAAAGGGAGAGCAACTAGCAGTGACTGGCACTGTATCTTCTCTAGTTAGTGTTATTTTTAATGGCTGAAATTCTTAATTTTAAAGTAGTTTAAGAGTATAGTATAATTTTTAAATTATCAGCATATTTTGTGTCTTATTTAAGAAAGTCTTCTCTACCCCCAGAGTATTCCAAATGGATATATATATATATATATATATATATATATATATGCAGAATCATGTGCTGCATAACCATGTTTCAGTTAACGTGGACCACATATATGATGGTAGTCCCATAAGATTATCATGGAGTTGAAAAATTCCTATCACCTAGTAACATCACTGCCTTTGCAATATTGCAGTGAAACACATTACCTTTTCTATGTTTAGAAACACATATACTTACCATTGTGTGACAGTTGCCTACAGTATTTAGTACAGTAACACGCTGAACAGGTTATAGCCTAAGAGTATAGGCTGTGCCATATCACCTAGGTGTGTAGTAGACGATACCATCTAGGTTTGTGTAAGTGCTCACAATGTTTGCATGATAATGAAATCACCTAATGACGCCTTTCTCAGAATGTGTCCCTGATGTTAATGACTACAGTTTATACATCCACATACATATATTTTAAGTCTTGCTTTTAAGATTTAAAATTTTACTCCATCTGTAATTGATTTCTATGTATGATACGAGGATGGAATCAACTTTCATTCTTTTCCGTATGGATCATCAATTGTACTACCACTCTGTATTGACTGCTTCGTCTTCACTTGAGAGCTCTACAAAGTCATCTTTATTTTATACAAGAAGTCATTGCTTTGCATGGAATCTATATGCACAAATTTCAGTTGCAATGATTTATTTAACACAAATCCCCAAACAGCATAGTTCAAATTTCAGCTACCATGCTGTAGTAACTGCAATTGCATAAGTACAAACTTTGCTGCCAGCTTTTTAGTCTACAAATCACTATGTGGATAACAGATGCACATTCTCATCAGCAACCAGTCACATCACTTCTTCCAATGTCTGTCTGTTGGTGCTGGGTCATGGTGCATTTCTTATCAGTATATGCCTAGACAGCAAAGTGTATAGTTGTGTTGCTTCCTTGTTTACCAATAATGAATCCATGTGACAGTTCATAACAATATATAATTGAAAGATGAAAGTGTATCAAAGAAATGAAAAGTGGCAATGCTGGAAGTGAAGTTCAAATCTAAAATAAATGGGGTTATAGACATAATTTACCACCATGAAAGTGTTGACACTGCCACCATTTGAGAGACTGTAGATTCGCAGCAAGAGGAAATTAATGAGGGGAATTGATGTCCATGGATGAGGAAGGTGGTGGTGACAAAAAGGACGAAGGTGTCGATAAAAACTTCACTTAAAGGAATTCTGAGATATTTTATGACATTGAAAACACAAAGAAAAAAATATTGTAAGCTGATCCAAATTTAGGAGTTTAATAATTTGCTAAGATGCAAAAGATGCTTCCTCTGTATTATAAATTATATGATGAGAAAAAGAAGGCAAACACCAAACAGAAAAAATAAAACATTTTAATTTTCAGTGTTACTAATGTTTTAAATTATAGTGCATTAAATATTAGTGTTGCTACTTTTTATTTTTTATAGCCATTTTAAATTCACAGTAAAGATTTTTTGATGTTTTGAAAAAATGTTTACAGATCATCAAGCAGTCATAATTTTTCCCTGTTGATTATTAAGATGGCTTGCATAGTTTCAGCTTGCAGTTCTTGTTATGGTTCCACACTAATGTGCAGAGCAGCGCTGCCTGTATCAAGTTTGTGTGAAGGGGAAAGGTTAATTCTGAATTCATTTTCTGTCCCATAGTCAATTTATCTATGCCAGCCCCAATTCCACATTGCCTTGATTGGTATAGATTTACAATAAATGTTGATAAGTGGTAGGGTGATTCCCCTCCCTTACTCAAGATCAGAAGTGCTTGTGATATTCTTGGGCCTTTATCATCCACATGAATTTTATTACCAGCTTCTGGATTTTCATGTAAAACACTTTGGTGAATTTGATTTAATTACATTGAGGTTTTGAATTAGTTTATGAGGAACTGACATCTTTATGATATCTTCCTACTTACCAATATGAGATAGTTCTACATTTATTTATGGCTTTTTTTGCTGTCATTTCCTACATTTAGATGATTTTTCTATAAATTATACTACATCTGATTTTAAATTTACTCCCAAATTCTTAAATTTTTATAGCAATTCAACATTGTAACTTTTATTAAATTATGCTTTTTAACCTTTTCTCTCTGGTTAATAGAAATACACTGGATTTTTATGTATTAATTATATTTCTAACAATTTTTCTCATCACTCTTAATTCTATATTCTGTGATTTCTTTGGGTTTTTAAGTTAAGTCATATCTTCTGTGAATAATGACAGTTCTGTCTCTTTTTTCTATACTTATCAGTTTTCCTTTTCCTTTCTTCTTTCCCTCCTCTCCTTCCTCCCTTCTTCCCTCCTTCTCTCTCTCCCTTCTTTCCTTACTTTCATTTTTTCTTTCTTTAATTGTATTGACAAGTACAGTAATCAATAACTTCTAAATTTTCACTATTAAGAATGATGATTGATTGTGACTTTCCATTACTATTTAAACTTATAAATCTTCTATGACTTAACATAACTGAAATGCATTTATGTGAATTTACTTCTCTCTTTATTCTTGGCTCATGTGTTTTTAAATAATTTTTTTTTAATTTTATAGAGAGTTTGGGTCCCTATCTTCTCTTGTCCTCTGCTTCTAGTACTCTGAGTAATTAGGTTGCTCACTCACATTTTCATTTCTCTACGGGCATAATTTGCATGTGCATATTTTTGTACCTTGACATGTGTACTTAAAAAGGAACATTTGGAGGACCTATGAATAAAATCACAATGCTGGTATTTTTAAGCTAAAGAGTTAAATAAATCTCCTTTGTCAACTGACACAGGTAATGGATGGTTTCTTGGGAGTATTGTTGTTAAGTCTGAAGATGAAGACAGCAGTGAAGAGGTGCTGTTTCTATGCAACAGGTATGCTCTTAATGCATTATTATGCAAAATTATGCTCTCTTTGTCCAATTTATTCCACCTGTGTCCTCCAGCATGCCTCATCCCAGCTGTTGGACAACATCATTCCCTCCCTGAAAACCAGAGCTGAAGGCCTTCTCTCCTCAAGAAGCTGTCCTTTATCAGCACTAGTAATTCTCTCTTCTTTTGTAATCTCTAACATTTTTCTCTTCTGAAAAAAGTATGGTGAAATGGAAAGAAATTGGATTAGGACTTAGAAAACAGGTTCTTCTTTCTGTTTCTAAAACACATGCTAAGCTCCCTGCTAGTACTGTGAACTTGGGTACCACTCTTAACTTCTCTGAGGTTCAATGTCCTCATATGGAAGATGGCAATAATACCTGCTTCCCCTAGTTCATTTGAATCATTTAAACTCAAATGATGTTATATATGTGAACTGTGAACTCTAATGCATTGTACTAAAGTGGCGTAGATGTAATATAACAGGAGACTTAAGTGGCAAGGGTAACTGTAATTCCTTGGCCGGGTGGTCATAGGTGAATCTCTTAAACTTCTGATTCTCAGTTTCAAAGTTTTATGAGAATGATTAAATCTTCTCTACCTACTTTATAGAGTTATAATAAGTAGAATATCAAATGCACCTTAAAACAAAATGCACTAAACATAGAAATTATGTAGTTAAGTTCCCTCCATTATTAACCAATCTACAGAATATGTTGATCCATTTGATCAGTCATTATGCAAGTAGTAATTGACCACCCACCATATCAAGAAGTGGGATAGATAATGGAGATCCATCAATAAGGCAATCCAGTTTCTGTCGGCAAGGACCTATGGTCCCCACATGGGAACATGGGAAATGTTAACGACATGAGGGCAATGAGAGAGGCTTATATATGCTGTGAAGACCTGGGTGTCAAGGTGCTATGTCTATGTGATTGCATGTTCCTTGAATCTAGAGAACTCATGCATTGTATATATTAATTTATCCATCCATTTAATATGTTAATTTATCCATCCATTTATTTATGAAAAAATATTGCCTGCCTGCTAGGTGTTAGGTACTATACCAAATCCTAGAGATTTAGAGATAAAAAAGTAGAGTTCTTGTCTTCAAAGAACTTCCAATTGATGCTCAATAAGGGAGGAGAGATGTAACGCTACATGAAGCTGGAGAGCTGAGTGTGCTCTGAATTTAGTAGGTGGCTCAGCATCACTATTCCCTAAAGTGAGGGACACTCTTCAGATATGCAGAGATGCACATTGGTTGACTGACTGGATTTTACCTTACTATAGTTTCGATTCTAGGAAATAGTCATTCCTTTGAAACTTAATAAGGAGTTGAATTTTGTATGAACAAAATGTGTAGCACTTCTCTGATCATCTGTTTGTTTCTTTTCTCAATGCACTTCCATTTAAAGTGCATGTAGTAGTAGCTATTGCCATTTTATGAAATTCAAGCTCTAGGAAGAGACCTTGTATTTTTATTTTTGAAAGAAATCTTAGTGAATAGGGAATAGAAGGGGCAAAGATTGAAGTTTTTTAGCACCAGATTTGGATTATAATGGCATTACTTACTAGCTCTGGGAGCCTCAGTTTATTCTTATGTAAAATGGCAGTAATGACACCTATTTTGCAGGGTTGTTTGAGGATTTCAGACAATGTATATAAAGTACCTACAAAAGTGTCCTGCAATTATTAGAGGCTCCATGATGGTAAATGTTATTGTCACAGAAACAATTTTAAAGAAATTTTTAGACATGATACTACACATGCAAATGAAGGGAGAAAACACACCTTTGTTTCTAGATCATGTGTCTAGTATTTAGAACTCTCAAATAATTGACTAAGTTTTACTTTTTAAATATTGTATCTGCACAGTCCAATATGGTAGCCACTAGTCACATATGGCTAATTAAATTTAAATTAATAAAATCAAATCAAATAAAAATTCAGTTGCTTGGTTGTACTAGCTACATTTCTAGTGCTGAATAGACACAGATGGTTAGTGACTACCATATTGGCCAGTATATATACAACATTTGGTTTTATATCACATCTAGATATTTGGTATCATATGAAGCTGTGTTTAATATTTTACAGTGTAGTTTATTGCTCTGAATGTGATGGTACCAATGAAATAATGTAAGTAGTAAATATAAGATTATTATTTTTCTAGAAGTGCCACATTTAGCAAAGTCAAAAGGCATCCAGGGCAGGTGATAATGGTCACATTCTCTTCCAAGCCAAAATTAATTTTACTGGCAATGCAGAGGAGTAGAAATCATGAAAGTGACTTATTTCTACATTTTAGAATAATCACAAACCCTAGAAATTGGACTTACAGAAACAAAATGACGCAGATGAAAATATTTAAGATGGTTTATTGTATCATACTATCATATGGAATGATATGCACACTGGTGTATCATTGCACTGTTATCATTAACTATAGCAATATAAACTGTTTTCCTTGCCTTTTCTCTCTGAGGACCCAGGGTTAAATAAGTATTAAAAAATTATCTTGCTATTCCATCAGAAGTGGAAGAAACCATAGATAACATTTAGTTTCATGGTTTGTTTGACAGATGGGCAAACTGTGACCTAATGAGATTAATGGCATGCACACCTCAGACCCATTAGTCAGAAAGCAGGGGCTCTTGGTTCCTTGGCCCTCTGGAAAGTTTTAATTTAGTGTCTATCAATCTGTTGTTTCTATGATATAACTATGATTTTGTGAATTATCTTCTACTGAAGAATTCCCTGCACAAGATATCAAGTTTACTATAAAATTGTTTTGTCAGAAAGTTCTACTTTCTGGAGTGTTTGGAGCATTTAGATGACATAAGCTTTACTGTCTTCCGCAGTATAGATTATCAAGTACTTAAATGCAAGTCCCCTTCTAATTATGGGAAAAGAAAAGGTCTCCGAGAAGGAGGTTATTTATAACTTTATTTGTGGAGTTTCAAAATAACCAAGATATAGAGGGGTTACATTTTGTGTTGTGGGAGCCTCTAAGATTTCTGCACCCATCTGTTGTATTGCTGTAGAGAAAAATCAGAAGAATATCCATCACTAGCATTTACTGAATGCTTTCCAAGGAATAGGCTTCATGGTAAAGCCAGAACTGCACACAGATACTCATTTGATCCCCACAGCCAGCCTACAGGTAGACTCTGTGATATTTATATTTCAAAGACAAGGAAATTGTCTTTGAAATATAAAGATAGTAAATTTTTTGCCTGAATATATTAATAATTGGTGGAGTCAGGATTCAGATCAAAATATATTTGACTCTAGAACTGTACTGTCTCACATGGGAGCCACAAGCCACATATGTCTACTGAACTGTGGCTCTTCCAATGTAGGTATAAGATACATTCCAGATTTCAAGAGTGGAGAATAAAAAAGAATGTGATACAATTTTTATACTGATTACATGTTGAAATAATAATCTTTTGAATTTATGAAAATTCAAAATATTAATTTTACCTTCTTTTTACTTCTTTCCATATATGGTTTGTATTCTAGTTCTCTTGAAGAGTGCTGTCCTAGAGTCTGAGGGTTTAGCCACTGTGTATACCTGCCAGTCACATGACAGGAGAAAATAACAGCTACCACTAAGGAAACTCCAAGTGAGAAATTTTGACTATGTTAGAATATTTGTAATGTTACCAGAGGACTTTTCTAAAAGCCAAAATTTTAGAGTGAACCAATATGACTTTGCAATTTGAGTGTAGGAAAAAACTTGCCGAAGCTGGACTGCTAAATAATCTGGTGTGGCTTAAAATCTTAAATCCTTTTTTAAAATTCTGATCTCTCTAAAGGCCTCTTTAAATTCTTTCCATATGTTTTTTTTTCCTTTCTAACTAATGAGCCTCCTTTCAATGCTCTCTCATATTAATTATCTTCTTTTTTTTGCATGGCAGATGGCTAGATGAGTACCAAGATGATGGCAAGACCCAGCGGGAATTGCTCGCAGAAAGTAGTCCCAGTGCAGTAGGAGAGACTGGGTCTACCATCTCCTGAAAGGGCCCACTTGGGCCTGTCGCTCCAATATGCTTCAAAAGGCTATTGATCTGATTGTGATAGTGCATTTGTCTTTTGCTTGGGCTGGAGCAAACACCTGGGGAGGGTCAGTTTGTGTTGGACCCACTCATTGTTTCTGAGAACTTCCAAAATTGGGAGGATGCACTGACAGCCTCCGCCAACAGCTGACCAAGATCAGCCCCTGGTATCTGGGGTACCCATACTGCTGCTGCTCACCTCCTCCCCCTCCTCTTCCTTCACCTTTTCTTTCCCTTCCTCCCCACTCTTCCCCTCCCTCCTCTCCCTTCTTTCTTTTCCTTTTTCTTTCAGAAAATCTGACTTACTGCTAAGGTTACTGAAATGTCTAAATAAGTATTCTTTGTAGAAAATAACTGAAGAGGTACCTAATAACATTTGATGCATGAAAAACACTTTTATGCAACCTATGTTAATTTTAAAGTGGAAGTTTTATTGTTAGACAATGGTATGTCTCTCTCAGAATTAGTGGTAAAATCAATAAGAAAATGTAGAAAGAACCCAACCAATTGGGTTACTGTGTGTTCCCAGTGCACGTCCTGTGGGTCCACTTGCAGTTTGAGCTTCGAGCTGGTGACAGAGTCCTGCAGGCAGAGAGCAGCAGAGCGCAGGGCAGATATCTCACATCCATCGGTCACTTTTTCTCATGAAGCCTCAAATACTTGTCAACTTGGTGCCACAGGTGCCTTCTTCTAATCCGTTAATTTGGCACATAAGCTAAAACTCATTTGCCAGCCCCGGAGAGGTCAGGATGTAGCTTTTGATATCAAAGACACCTGTCTTTGAATCTCTATTTTGCCCCGTGAGGTAGATGCTATCATCACCCACATTTTGCAGATGAGGAAACCGACACATGGAAAAGCCAAGTGACCTGCCCAAGCTTAGAGAGTGGAACAAGCAGGAGAGCCGGGATGTGACCCTAGAAGTCTGACTTCAGAGCCCGTGCGCGTCCACACTGTGACCTTGGCCCTCCTGCCTTCCCTGCTTGTTTTTAGTATCCCATGAAATCAGGCAGAGGGGCCAAGGAGGCAAATCTTGCATACCACCTTCATGATTTTTGTCGTCTGCAATAGTACCTGTACTAGTATATGCTTGATATTTTCTTCCTTGAACTGTGTCTAAATCAGTGTATTTAGAGGTGAAGAGAGCTTGGCCTCATCCTAAATCATATTCCAAATATCCATGAAATCACTGATTTAATATGTCATTACATTTTTTCCTAAAACACATTAAAATAAATCTATGTCTAACAAAAATTTTAGGTTAGTCTATATACTACCTAAAATTATTTTATAAATATCTAGTAGTCGGCACATTTCACCATTACGGTGTGTGTGTATATGTGTGTGTGTGTGTGTGCATGTGTGTATGTGTGTGTAGAACTTAACTCTGGCCTGGCAGATCATTATTAGTAAATAATGTTCAGTAAGTAGATGCTGTTGTTATAATGGTTTCCCTTTTACTAACCCATGACCAAGAACTAATCCATTCCTTAGAAATGGTATATTTTTACATCTGAGGATGAAAATACATCAAGAATACGGCTTCAGTGATTTGAAGTTAAAAACAGCCTTTTTTTTTTCTAAAGTGTCCAGCAGACCATATTACAGGTAAGAAAAATAAGTACAATAGTTCTCCCTTATTGGTGGTTTTGCTTTCTGAGGTTTCAGTTACCAGAAGTCAACCACAGTCTGAAAATATTAAATGGAAAATGTCAGAAATAAACAATTCATTCATTTTCAGTTGCATGCCATTCTAATCAGTGTGATGTAATCTCATGCCATCCTGCCCTGTCCCATCCAGGATGTGAATATTCTCTTTGTCCCGAGTATCCATGAATCACTTAGTCCTAGTATTGCAGCACTTGTGTTTGTCACCCTTATTTTACCTAATAATGACCCCAAAGTGCAAGAGTAGTGACTCTAGCAATTCGGATATGCCAAAGAGAAGCTGAAAAGTGCTTCCTTTAAGTGAAAAGGTGAAAGTCCTTGTCTTAATAAGGAAAGAAAATAAGTTGAATGCTAAGTTTGCTAAGACTTATAGTAAGAACAAATATCTGTTAAATTGTAAAGACAGAAAAAGAAATTTGTGCATAATATAAATAGGGTACAATACTATCCATGGTTTCAGATATCCACCAGGGGTTTTGGAACATATCCCCCAAGGATAAGGGGGACCACTCCAGGCTGCACAGAAGCTTGGAGAATCACTTCTTGCCCTTGATGACATTTATTTCATGGTGCCCTGCCCAAAGCGGATACTGAACAAACACACTCATTTACTAAGCAGAAGCTTGTGAAGCATCTCCCAGACACTGGGAATAAACTGGCAAACAGCATAGTCATTTTCCCTGCCCTCTGAGGGGCCAGTGTTCTAGCAGGGACCTGAGTGAATAATGTGCGTTCTGCAAACAGAGCCGAGGCGCCCTCCAAACTCTCAGGCCCTGCGGAGGGAGAGAGATCTTGTGCTCAGCTTTGTATATTCAGTTCTTGGCATACCAGGTGCTCTCTGCTAACTTGCAGGCCCTATGGAAGGAGAGAGATCTTGTGCTCAGCTTTGTATATTCAGTCCTTGGCATACTGCCTGCTTATAGTCAGTGCTCTGTGTCTATTAAATACATGAATCATTCTTGCCTTACCACACAATACACCTTATTAGAGATTGAAATATTAAATGATTCCCAATTCAGTTTATATTTGTGCAGAATAAGTATTCACAGATAATTACACTCAGTGCCTCTATTTTTACAAACTTTGATGCAACAATACAGTTTTATTCCAAACGTAATCCTGCCCCTTTCTCCCCACCCTGCCACAGTTCAGATTGGAGTTGTCTATTTCCTAATTCTATCCAACAGAACATTTACAATTCTTCTCTTGAGGGGGGAGGTGATGTAAATACCAATTGGATCCATTTTATGTGGATTCTTGTTTATTTTATCCTTATAGTGCTCATTTCTTAGACATTGTCCACATTCTGGGACTGTCTCAGTCCAAACTCCTTACATAATAGCTATTCCTTGAAAACTGGAAAACTAACAGTGAAGCTATATTTATTTCTAGGTTTTCAGAGACAGCAAAAAATTATTGACAGTGCATAGCACAAAGGCAGCAAATAGATTCTTAAAGGTTGGGTGAAAAGAGGCATTTTGGTCATGTCGTTTGTTTTTTCTTGTGGAGTGAATGATGTAAAACCCTCATCCATAAACCTGACATGCATATCCTTTAAAAATGCTGGTGAGTGGTAGACAAGTGCAAAAACAAAGACCAGAAAACAAAATGTGGCCCATTTCATGGAGCACGACAATTGCCTAGCACAACTCCTGTGTCTTCATGGGTTTGCTTGTATCTGGGTTAAAAGCAAGATGGAGCAAAGAACACTTTTATCTGATGGATGCATCCTCTATTTTAACCAGCAAGTTATCATGATGGTGCAATGATGATATGGATGGCCTTCAGGTGCTAAAGTGTTTTCATATAAACTTCGCAAGCAGATTTAAGTTATGTGTTTGTTATAGCAAAGGATGATGTAGCTTCTTTGTGGCTGTGGGTAAAATAATGTCTTGGACAGCTAAGCTAATTGTTCTTTAATAAGGAGAGAGGCTCTCCAGAAAGCCCACCAGAGTTAGGTTTATCCTGCAAGTCATCGGGGCTGATAATACTTTTGAACAGTTATATTTTAAGTTATTTTTAGAAGCGAAGAAACAAACACTGCAAAGTAGGCCCTCCTCCACATCCAGGTAAGCTAATGTTTTCTAAATGGAGGTTCCTTTTCATTCTTTCAGGCAGTGGGATAGAGTATACTAGAAAAAGATCCCTGGGTTCTGAAATTAATCTTGATTCTCTACCACAAAGGGTGTGAAGCCCTAAGAATGTAGCATCAACTTCCTTGGGCCTCTGTTTCCAGGCCTCTATGAGGATGACTAAAGAGTACCAATTAAACTGATTACTAAGCTTATAAATATATCAATTACTTGATTATAGGGGCAACATTAATATTTGCAAGCTTATTCACATCAGTTGATTGAAACTTTACAAACACACCATTCCCTAGGCCTTTGCCCATGTTGGTTTCTTTGCTTGGAAGGGCCTTCCCTTCTTGCCTGGAAAATTCCTATTCATTTTCTAAGACCATGCTTGATGTTCTTTGAATCAGTCAAAACTAAGGCTCCCCCATCCTCTGTGTTTCCATATTACCCTGTCCTTCTCCTCTTACTATAATTAGCATTTTACATAGTGGTCATGTATCTCAGTTCACAAACTCAGAAGTGTGACAAATATTACTTCTTTTGTTTTCTGTATGTCAGCTTAATGTTCAGCTCCTAATCTCTGTCACACAGATTCGTAGAAAATTCCTGTTCTTTTCTTTTTTTTTTTTTTTTTGAGACCGAGTTTCGGTTTCGCTCTTGTTGCCCAGGCTGCCTGGAGTGCAGTGGCGCGATCTCGGCTCAACTGCAACCTCAGCCTCCGGGATTCAAGCGATTCTCCTGCCTAGCCTCTCAAGTAGCTGGGATTACAGGCGTGCACCTCATTTTCAAGCATAATTGAGGCACATTCTCCTTTCTAAGGGGCAAGAGAATCCTAGAAGCTTATACTCTGTTTAGAGAGAAAAATGCTTTTCTTCCAAGTCTATCATTGTCCCTGCCACAGTCTGTTTTCTCTCTGGACCACTCACACAGTACTAGACTTTTTGTCATGACTGAGAACCCAAGTGCCTCAGGACACTCCTTTCTAGGCTGCTCTGCAGCCCTCCCCTAAGAGGAAGGGTGCATCTTCTCCAGGTCTCTCCTTACTCAAGACAAGATATCTCACGGGGATCCCGCAGCTGTGGGGCTCACAGACCTCTTTTTTTCTGGCCGATAAAAATCTCTTTTCTTTTCCCTGTTGCTTCTCAAAAGCCCTCTCCGTTTTTCCTCCTGTATCAGTACAACTAATACAAGTTATTGGTTTTTTTTAAAGTGTTTAGATTTTTATAGAAGACTGGACGTTGTTTCTAGTATGAACATGATGAGGGCAGACAAAAGAACTTTCCCCTTCTGTTGTTATTCAAATTAATAAAGAGAATGGAAAACCTATTGAGAGGTGACAATGTGCTAGCAGCCCTCCCTCGCTCTCAGCGTCTCCTAGGCCTCGGGGTCCGCTCTGGCCGCTCTGGAGGAGCTCTCCAGCCAGCCGCTGCCCTGTGGGGTCCCCCTCTCTGGGGCTGGCCGAGGCCGGAGCCGGCTCCCTCTGCTCGCTGGGAGGTGTGGAGGGAGAGGCGCCGGCGGGAGCCCGCCGGGCGCTCGCAGGCGGTGGCGGTTCCGGGTGGGCGCGGGCTGGGCAGGCCCGCACTCCATGGCCTGCAAGGGCCTGCTGGGCTGGATTAGGAGATGAGCTCCCTCTGGGCTGCAGGCATGCCCAGGCTAGGTGCCGCAAAGTCCCGCCCACCAGTTGGGCTTCTGGGTCGGATGGGGACCTGGAGAACTTTTCTGTCTAGCTAAAGGTTTGTGAAGGCACCAATGAGCACTCTGTGTCTAGCTGAAGGTTTGTAAATGCCCCAATTAGTGCTCTGTGTCTTGCTAATTGGGTAGGGGACTTGGAGAACTTTTGTGTCTAGCTAAAGGATTGTAAACGCACCAATCAGCACTCTGTGTCTTCCTAAATGCTTGTAAATGCACCAATCAGAATTCTGTCAAAACGGACCAATCAGCTCTCTGTAAAACGGACCAATCAGCTCTCTGTAAAATGGACCCATCAGCAGGATGTGGGTGGGGCCAGATAAGGGAATAAAAGCAGGCCACCTGAGCCAGCATGGCAACCCGTTGGGGTCCCCTTACATGCTGTGGAAGGTTTATTCTTTTGCTCTTTGCAATCAATCTTGCTGCTGTTCACTCTTTGTGTCTGCGCTGCCTTTATGAGCTGTAACACCATGAAGGTCTGCAGCTTCACTCCTGAAGTCAGTGAGACCACAAACACACCAGAAGTTAGAAACTCCGGGCACACCATCTTTAAGAACTGTAACACTCACTGCAAGGGTCCATGGCTTTATTCTTTAAGTCAGTGAGACCAAGAACCTACCAATTCTGGACACACTATGGTCTCCAATTTCAGTGAAAGCAGGACTTAGTGAACACCTGCAAACTCCCGGGTACACAGTGTGTGGCCTGCAAAAGCCACTGACACAGACAAAAGCTAAAGGGCCAAGCAGTGGCAAATCTCAGAAAGTGCCAGCAGAAGTCCACTTCCCAAGGTAGTGCGGCCTATCGGGAGGTACAAAAGCTATATTTTAATTGATAACAGCTGGAAAAGATGTGTGCCTGGAGCCTGATGGAGAGGAGGGTTGAGATTAGGCGGAAACTGTGTAGAGGAAGGTGGAGTAGGGAATGTGTCTTTGAGGTCGTTAATCGTTAAAGAGTTCCCACAAATAATTTGCCAAGGAAAAGGAACAGTACACAGTAAAAACAAAGCTAAGCCTTAAATAAAAACAAAAAAACAGTAATAAGTATCTGCAGAAATAACACATATCTGACACAGCCTTTGGATATTGGAAATGTCAATATAGATGATAAAAACATCTGTAGCACTACTTCAACAGGTTAAAAAATATCTTCTGCTGTAAAAAACTATGAAATTAATCTAGCATATTGAAAAGAAAAACAACCAAACGGGACTTATGGAAATTAAAAAATAGAATACTTAAAATTTAAATCTAGGTTTATGTGTTTAACGCAAATTAGGCTCAGTTGAAAAGAAAATTTGTTCACTGGAATATAAACTAGAAGGAATTTTCTAGAATGTAGCAGAGAAAGATAAATAAATGATATGTATGATGGAGAAGTTTCCAGAAGTGTTGAAATATATCATTTCACAGATTCTTCAATTTCCAGGTGATCAATACATTTCAAACTGGATTCAATTAAAAATATCCACATCCAGAGCCAATGTAGTAAAATTGTTGAGTATCAAAAACGTACAGAATATTTAACAAACAGCCTGAGAGAAAAGCTAGTTACCTTCAAAGAAGCAGAATGTACAAGATCAACAAAGAAAACCAGGGAATGGAGTAATACCTTCAGGGTACTGAAAAATTATGAAAATAACCTAAAATTTTCTAGCCAAGGAAAATATATTTCCAGAATGAGACCCAAAATGAAGATATTTTCTTTTTCTTTCTTTCTTTTTTTTTTTTGAGACGGAGTTTCGCTCTTGTTGCCCAGGCTGGAGTGCAATGGCGCGATCTCGGTTCACCAAAACCTCTGCCTCCCGAGTTCAAGCGATTCTCCTGCCTCAGCCTTCCTGAGTAGCTGGGATTACAGGCATGCACCACCATGCCCAGCTAATTTTGTATGTTTAGTAGAGACAGGGTTTCTCCATGTTGGTCAGGCTGGTCTCGAACCCCCGACCTCAGGTGATCCACCTGCCTCAGCCTCCCAAAGTGCTGGGATTACTGAGCCACCGCGCCTGGCCTAAATGAAGATACTTTCAAGCATAGACACAAAAATTTTTAATAGCAAACTGATAGAGTTTGCTATTAGTCCCTCACTAAAGGACATTCTAAAGCATGTACTTCGGGCGGGAAGAAAGTGACTCTGGATGGAAAGGCTGAGATGCAAGAAGGAATGATGATCATGGGAAGTGGAAAATATGTAGACACGTCTAAGATAACATTGGCTGCATTGAAATATTGTTAAAAATAACATGAGATAAAGTTGAAACAGGAAACAACAAATAACACATAAGTCTGTGAGTTGGGTGAGGGTAAGTGAAGCACTGTATTCTAAAGCCCCTGGATGATCTAAAAGGAGGATGGAGGTATTTGATTTAGTATGCTTGTTTGAATTTCTAGGGTAACCACTGAAAGAATAAGAACAGAATAAAATTTTCAAACAAGTGTAAGTGTGGTGAAAAGGTTTAATCCATCGGGAAGATATTACATAATTTTAAATTAATGTTACTAGTAATATAGGCTCAAATGACATAATGCAAAAATAAGCATACATACAAGTAAAAATAGATACATCCTGTTTTACATACATAATAGTATAAGAAGATTTTAAATATGTACTTCTCTTGGTAATTGGGAAAATAAGGAAGAAAAAAAGTATTAAAAATATAGAAGATTTAAATGACATGATTAACAAAGGCCATAATAGGGATGTGTAAAACTCTGCATCTGACAAATGCCAATGCACATTCCTTTCAGATATATAAGTAACATCATAAAAATTGGGTATGTGTTGGCCCATAAAACAGTCATAAAATTGAATGAAATACAGATACATCAATAACATGGATAGATTTCATAATAAATCATAATTGTATAATGTTGAATAAAATAAGCCAGTAACACAAATATATGAGTGTATTTACGTTTATATAAAAGTCAAAAGGAGGCAAAAATTTCACAGATGATATTTTCTTACACATATATTATATATTAAACTATTTTTAAAGGCCCAACAGTTATTACCAAAAAGGTAAAGAAGATGGTGGTGCCTGCGAGAGAAGGCTGTGGCCCATGGCGGGCCTTCCAGGCAATTGACAGTGTTCCTTATTTGACCTTTTTTTTGATGGCTACATGAGTGTTGATTTTATAATTATTCTTTATGCTTTCATAGGTGTTTTTGTGGTGAAATATACGTAACATAGAAGTTAGCATTGTAGCCATTTTTAGGTGTACAATTTAGTGGCATTAAGTCCATTCACAGTGTTGTGTAACCATCACCACCATCCATCTCCAGAATCTTATCATCATCCCAAACAAATGCTTTGTGGCTATTGAACAATGTCTACCCACTCCCCTGTTTCCTGTAGCCCCTGGTAACCTCTGATCTACTTTCTGTTTTATTAATTTGCCTAATTCTGGACATTTCATATAAATGGAATCATGCAGTATTTGTTCTTTTGCATGTGACTTTTTTCATTAAGCATAATGTCTTCAAGGTTCATCCATGTTGTAGCATGGTTGAGAATTTCCTTCCTTTCTAAGGCTGAATAACATTCCATTGTATGGATAGACCACATTTGGTTTATCATCATATATGTTTTATGTAAATTTCTGTCTTAATATTATATCTAATAAACAGAAAAACAATATAGAAAGACATACAAGAAAAAAATTTTAAAATAGGTTATCTGTGGTAGAGGAGGGATGGGAATAGGGAGAATGAAAGACAAGAATAGAAATAAATCTTTTTGTGCCATTTGATGGTTTTGAATCACTCAGTTTATCACCTATATAAAAAATTAACAATAAATAGTTGATGGGTTAAAAAAATAGAATAAATAAGACCTAGTATTTGGTAGCTTATTTATTTATAGGGTGACTATAGTCAATAATAATTTAATTGTACATTTAAAAATAACTAAAAGAGTATAATTGAATTGTTTGTAACACAAAGGATAAATGCTTGAGGGGATGGATACCCCGTTTTCTGTGATGTGATTGTAATGCACTGCATGCCTGTATCAAAGCATCTCAAGTATCCCATAGACATATATGCCTACTGTGTATTCACAAACATTAAAAATTAAAAAAAGAATGGTTCAATGAATAAATGATTGAAAATGAATGGGGAGTATCTTAACTACCAACGCACATATGGGACAGATGTTCAGGGAGCCTCAACCTTCCTCTTTACCAAAATTATCAGGATAGAGAGTGACCTAGCCTGATCTCCTGCCTGAAAGGAGGAGATGGAGGAGGAACAAATGAAAGAAGTCAGGAATTAACAGCTCAAAACTGTTCCCGTTATATTAGTCTATTTTTCTCTTGAGAGCAGGACTTTTTATCTTATTCATCTTTGTTTTCTGGAACACAATGCTTGGGTCAGTACAGACACAAAAAAGTTGTGTTTTGCTACTGGAAATTAAAATTTAGGAGTAATGAAGATTAATAGGAAAGCTGAGAAAATTGAAATATTTTGGGAAATTCATCTTGCTTGCTTTTTTTCCTCCCAGCAGTTTTGGTGATTCTGTGTTAGTCCAGTGAGATACTCTTAGAAAAAAGATCTGTGAAGTCTCTTGTTTAGCCCCGTGTCACTGTCAGTTAATAGAAAGGGACAGGCTTCTCAGAAAGACTTAGGAAGTTAGAAATGTATGGTGAAATGACAGTCCCAGCAGTGGTGGCTGGAGCACACCAAAAGTGCTCACCACTGTCCTCTGAGGGCTCTGACCCTGGGCATTTGGCTGGCAAAGCTCAACGCGGTGTTTCATCAGGGGCAACTAGCTCACATGGACCCCATGAAAATGCATTCTGACTCCCAGAAATTAAGCACCTATTAGGAATATTACACTGATTACCCTATAGAGAAAGGAAGACTCAGGGTGGGCTTATAAAGTGTCCATTTTTGTAAGCTTTCTGGCTAAGGTATGTTGCTACCAGTCTCCCCATTGTCATTACTTGTGTAACTTATTTTACTGCTAATCTCCTGTTAGAATTAATGATTACTGGCTCCTTTAATTTTAACAATAAAATTGGCGATTGTTGGAGAGAGGTCAAATTTAAGCATCACACAATCATTTCAATAGATTCCCTAACACTTAAAAATCCACTCCCCAACCCTGCTTTTTTATTTCAGTGATATAGCTGGAGGATGATGTGTCAAATTGAATTCCACGGGCCCTTTATTAGCGTTTACTGCATTTTGCCTGCCCAGCACCCATTCCCCACTCTTAAGAACCCCCCACTTTCCTTTTTAAAAACCAGCTCCTCCTAATGCAAGGGACTGTATTCTTCTTGTCTTGTCCTTTTGGCTGAGGGCAAGGCTTGTGACCCAAGCAAAGCTAATACTTGGACTTTAAATCTTCAATGGCAAGAGACTAAAAAATAGTATTCTTGCCTCACACAACAAAGGGTCCCCTCTTCCCCACAACCAGAGTGTTTGTTGTTGAGGTGTCTGCCCTTGGGCCAAGTGAGCCGTCTGGGTCCCTCCCACCCTGCCACACTGGCTCCACACCCACAAGCTAGTCCTGTCAACTGCCTTCCTACAGTTACTCAAGATTTTCAGGTTGGGTGCAGTGGCTCACACCTGTAATCCCAGCACTTTGGGAGGCCACGGTGGGTGGATCATTTGAGGTTGGGAGTTCGAGACTAGCCTGGCCAACATGGTGAAACCCTGTTTCTACAAAAAATATAAAAAATTGGCCGGGTGTGGTGGCGTGCACCTGTAATCCCAGCTACTCAGGAGGCAGAGGTGGGAGAATTGCTTGAACCCAGGAGGTGGAGGCTGCAGTGAGCCAAGATCTCACCACTGTAATCCAGCCTGGGTGACAGAGCGAGCTTCTGTCTTAAAAAAAAAAAAAAAGAAAGAAAGAAAAAGAAAGAAAAAAAATGCAGCATTAGTTACTCTTTCCTGCAATTAATTAAAGGATTCCAACTAATTCAAACACTTTGCTCAGCCTGCTTGGGTCCTACTTCCTTTTTCCTCCACCCTGCAGTGTTTTCTGCACGCCATCCCTCTCTTACAGACCTCAATCACTGACCCCCTCCCATCTCCTCTCATCTGCTTCCTTTAACTCCAGCCTTGAGTGTGTGTGCTGGCATGGGCATTGTTTTAGGATGGAAGTCCTTAAACAACAGGGTAATGGGCTTTTGCTTGTTATGTTTTATTACTTTTTTATTACTTTGAAGATTATGTGGAAATAAACAAAAGCTATCCAAATGAGAAAAGCAAATGCTATCTTTTCTGACCTTGCTGTAGCAAGGGAGTCAGCTACCATCGCTTGTGTTTTGGCAGAGACTCACAGGCTGGCAGACGGGTGGAAAGGTGGAGAAGAGGGAAGGCTCCAGGTGTGCCTTGATGAGGCTGTTGGCCTGGGGAAGCTGGAGGCGGCTAACTAGCTGGGGCATCCTATGTAACTGGTTAGGAGTACATATTTGGCTTTTTCTGGTTAATCTTTAGGTGCAAATGGGAGCAAAAAACAGAATCTGATCATGTTGATCTCATCTTGACTGCTGGGGGCCGTTGCTACTGAAGTTGTGTTTTGGCTTCCTGGGTTGGTTGCTGCAGAGTTTGGGGGTCAGAACTCTATTGTCATGTACAGTCTGCTTATTGTCTCTTTGTTTAATTCAGTCTCTCAATTAGCACTTGAGTTTTGTGGTTTAGGTTACTTATATTTAAGACTCTTTCTCTATACTTTTGTTCCCCAACCTCTTATTTTCATTTCCAGTGCAAAGGAAAGGAAATGATAAGAAATAAAATTCTTTGCCCAAAGACACCCGTTAAAACTGAGACTTCTAGTTTCTAATCGCCTGGCATTTTTGTTTTGTTTTACTAAATGGAGATTAACTTTTAGTTGCTCTATGTAGTCTCTAAATGCAGGTGATCAGGACCTGATATGAAAAGGTTTTAAAATTCCTTCTGAAACACGTCATCGACTTCTGAATACATTTACAAATGAGTCTGCAAAAATGACTAAGTTTTCTTTCCTATATGACTCTGATCAAGATATTATTTCCAAATGTGCTTATACATAAGAATGACCTGGAAAAGTTATTTAAGATGCAGACCTCCATTCCTCTTGTAGACTTAATGCACAAGACTTTCTGGAGGTGGAGTCTGAAGCTTTTTGTTGGTTTGTTTGTTGATGTACAAGAAGCACCCTGGGTGACTCTCATGCAATCTGGCAGGTACTGGTCCTCAGGCTGACATCTGGCAACCTTTGAATTAGGAATTTCACTGCAACATGTTGGTGAGACTGACACTGTCACATCATTTACCCCTTTTGCAAATGTTGCTGTTGACAGCGTGTGCACATTTACATTGTGTTTCCTGAGGTTTGGAAATTGTACAGCTTGGGGGATTTCCAGTTTACCACTGTGTGTGTGTGTGTGTGTGTGTGTGTGTGTGTATTTACTACACTTGGAAGGGGAGACAGGTGAAGGCAAAGCGTGTAAGTCAGGCTGTGTTACTTTTGTCCTTGCCAAAGGTGCTTTCCTGAACCTGGAACAAGTATGAAAAACAAAGCTTCACAATGTTAGAAAGTTCAAGGAAGAGCAGAGCTGCAGAGTGCCTAAGCACAAAGGCATGTAACGTTTCCCAGTTAATTTGATGAAAGGAGTTGCTGTATCAATTTAACCACAGTGCTTAAAATAGCTTTTGCTCTAAATTCTTTTGATCACTGGCAGTGCAAAAAGAGACAAGAAACGTTCCATACTGTGTCAGACAATAAGTCACTCACTTCTTCCAGAGTTGTTCTTGACTAAATGTTAGAGTTCCCCTCAAGACTCTCCTGCCACAGTCCACATACTCAGAGCAGGACAAAACCCAGCAGATGGGGGCTCTGTTGCTGGTGCAGGGTTTCTCCCTCTGGAGGGGCCCGACACTGACCACTCACATGTTGTCTGGATCTTCAAAAGGATTGTCATCAGTGAAGAAATGCACTGTCACTGCCGGTGGGTGTGAGTTCTGCAGAGACAGCCCTGGCTCTTGCAGGCTATGATGTCTGGAAATGCCGTGTCAGTAGGATACCCATGACCACTTCATGACACCCTGGCAGCTCAGACACAAAGGTCCCATGGGGAAGCGTCAGCAAAGGACGTTTCTTAGCCATCGCCTAGTACACACTCCTTAGATATGGCCTCATGTATCCATGCAATCATTCCTTCATTCAATAAGCATCACAAAGAATGTGGTGTCACCTCCTATGAGAGCTCCTGCTTCTTCGCACCGGGGTGTGTGCCCCAGTCACTTGCTATGCTCTGAGCTCCCTGAACTCTGAACGGAGGCGACACCAAGCTACTTGCAGAGATTCTGACTTACAGAGTCTGTGCCTGTGATCACGAAGTGCACTCGGGATTGAGGAACCCTTTCTAGAATGGTCTAAGATTCTCAATTACAGTGTAACACATGCTCCATCAACCTTGGTGCTGATGGGAGCTGCAAGGACCTTGTTACTAATCATAGGTTCACAAACAGAGTTTGAAAATGGTTTCATGTTCTTTATAAATTGAAGCAGACTCTGTCACTTATTGGCATTTAGATTCTTATGCTCTGTTCTAAAACATTTGCCTGAATTATCTCATTTAACACACAATCCAAGAGACACAGACTTAGGTCTGTAGTAAAGATGGAACACTGAGGCACACAGAGACTAAGCTCTCTGTTCGGTTTATCCCACCCTGGGCTGTCGGACCTGGAATTCAAGCTCCACGGTTTCCCATAGGGCACAGAACCTGTTGCATAACCATTTATTTGAGGCACTCCTTTTTCCTCTTCAGGGATCTTGAGCTATTTTCCAACCATTTTATCCTGAAGCCAACATGAACTTGGCTCTTGTTGAGTGTGGCACATCCTCCCTTCTGTGTGCTAGGGAGTGCTCCTGCAATCTGCACGTGCTTCCTTTTTCATCTATCTTCAGATCGTACCTGTCTTCCAAAATCCAGCTCTCTTTCTTACTATTCCTTTAAAGTGTACCATCCAACAGGTCTAGTGTCCCTGAATACATCTTTAGTATTCAAAATATTGGCCTTGGAGAAATACCATTTGACCGAACCATCCCATTACTGGGTATATACCCAAAGGAACAAATGTAAGTCATTCTGTTATAAAGATACATGCACATATATGTTCATGCAGCACTATTCACAATAGCAAAGACATGCCCATTAGCAATAGACTGGATAAAGAAAATATGGTACGTATACACCATGGAATACTATGCAGTAATAAAATGAAATGAAATCATGTCTTTTGTAGGGACATGAATGGATCTGGAGGCCATTATCCTCAGCAAACTAACGTGGGAACAGAAAACCAAACACTGCATGTTCTTGCTTATAACTGGGAGCTGAATAATGAGAACACATGGACACATTGAGGGAACAACACACACTGGGGCCTGTTGGGGGGTTGGGGAGGAGGGAGAGCATTCAGGAAGAATAGCTAATTGATGCTGGGCTTAATACCTAGGTGATGTGTTGATCTGTGCAGCAAACCACTGTGGTACATATTTATCTATGTAACAAACCTGAACATCCTGCACATGTACTCTGGAACTTAAAATAAAAGTTGAAGAAAAAAGTTGAAGTAAATAAATTAATAAAAGATTGGCTTTGGGTTTGCCTTGTAAATATTTGGATCAATAGTATTATATAGAGTAGGGTGATTGAAGAAACATGGCCATGTTCTTTGTAAAACTGATACAAATAAAGAACGGTCATGCAGAGTTAAAAAGAAAAATCTCAATTTAACTTTTAAGTTAAGCCATTTCAACTTGTATTGCACTATGATATTGTTGCAGGAATTTTCCCTAGTTCCGCTAAAGATGGGGTCCTTGTCAGTCCCATGGCTATGAAAATTTAAGCTCGCAGATGGTTTGAAGGGTGAGTAAGACAGGGTTTTATTGGGTGAAAAGGGAAGAAAAAGGAAAGCAGAGAACCTCCGCAAGGACAGAGTCCCTGCTAGAGTCATATTACTATCTGTAAAATACAGACTATTTGCCCTAAATTTGTCAAAAGTATTCTTCTGGCTTTATCTGACAGTTGATATATAGATTGGTAATGTTTATTTGCTTCTTTGTTTTTATAAATTCACCTTTCCACTTGAGAACACTTACTATCTCTACTGTCTTCATGATGAACAAACTCTATGGTCTCATATGATGAGGACAAGGTATTATTTTCAGTCAACTTGAAAAACTCCGGTTTATGTTAAAAGATGATTTGGTTGCCTATGTTATTTTCCTTGGAGTTCTATGGTTTCAGATGTTACATTTAAGCCTAATACATTTCAGTTAAATTCTGTATATGCTATAAGACAAGGGTCCACTTTCATTCTTCTGCATGTAGATATCCTATTTACTCAACACCATTTATTGAAGAGATTATCCTTTCTTCATTTTGTATTCTTGGTGCTGTTGATGAAAATTAGTATACCGTATGTGCGTAGGTTCATTTCTGGGCTCTCTATTTTGTTCCATTGGTTCACATGTCTGTTTTTGTGCCAGGACCATATTGTTCGATTACTATAGCTTTGTATTGTAGTTTAAAATCAGGGAATGTGATGTCTCCACCTTTATTCTTCTTTCTCAAGTTTGCTTTGGCTATTCAGAGATTTTTGTGGTTCCATATGAATTTTAGAATTGCTTTTTTCTATTTCTGTGAAAAATGTTATTGGAAGTTTGATAGGGACTGAATTGGATATGTAGATTCCTTTTGATACTATGGACATTTTAACAATGATTTTGGATATGACACCACAAAAATAGGCAACAAAAGCGAAAGTGAGTGAGATTACATATAACTAAAAATCTGCACAGCAAACAGTCAACAAAATGAAAAGGCAGCTTATGAAATACGGGAGAAAATATATGCAAACCATATATCTGATAAGGAGTTAATATCAAAAATATATAAGAAACTCATATAATCCAAAAGCAAAACAAAACAAGCAACAACAATAAAACCCAAATAACCTGATTAAAAAGGTGGCAAAGAACCTGAATAGATATTTCTTTAAAGAAGGCATACATGCCAGCAAGTATATGAAAAGGTGTTCAGTGTCACTAATTATCAGAGAAATGCAGGTCAAAACCACCAGGAGATATCACCTCACATGATAGAATGAGTAATCAAAGAGACAAGAAATAATAAGGATGTGGAGGAAATGGAACCCTTGTACACTGTTGGTGGGAATGTAAATTGGTACAGCCATTATGGCAAACGGTTGTGAAGGTTTCTTTAAAAATTAAAAATAGAACTAACATAGAATCCAGCAATTCCACTTCTGGGTTTATATCTAAACATAATAAAATTAGTATCCTAAAGAGATATATTCTCTCGCATGTGTACTGCACTACTCACAATAGCTAAAGTATGGAAACAAGTGCCCATTGATGGATGAATGGATAAAGAAAATGTGGTGTGTGTATGTGTGTGTGTGTGTTGTACATATATAAATGTCAATAATAAATACATTGGTATTCATTGTGTTGTGGTACATATATATATATAGTATATATATATATAATATGAAGAAAAATATACATATTATTCAGGCATAAAAAAGAAAGAAATCTTGCCATTTGAAACAACATGGATAAACCCCAAAGACATTATACTAAGTGAAATAAGCCAGACACAAAAAGACAAATACTATATGATCTCACTTTTTAGTTGTGGAGTCTAAAAAAGGTGAACTCTTACAAACAGAGTAGAATGATGATTGCTAGCAATGAAGAGTGGGTAAAATGGGGAGACGCTGATGGAAGGGTACAAACTTTCAGTTATAAGAGAAACAAGTTCTGGGGATGTAATGTATAGCATTGGTGAAAATGGATATGCTAATTTATTTGATTGTGATGATCATTACATGATGTACATGTATATTAAAGCAGTCTGTTGTATGCCTTGAATATATGCAATCTTTATTTGTCAATATTAAAAAAAAACATGACTTGGTTGATTTGAACAACGTTGTCTCAGATACTTTGGAATCATTTTTTAAAAATTCAGACTTATTAAGGCATAATTTTTTTCTTTTGCAACTTTTATTTTAGATTTAAGGATATATATACAAATGTGTTACCTGGATATATTACATGATGCTGAGGTTTGGGGCACAAATGATCCGATCATCCAGGTACTGAGCATAGTACCCAACAATTAGTTTTTCAACCCTTGCCCCACTCCTTCCCTCCCCTGCAGTATCTACTGTTCCCATCTTCATGTCCATGAGTATGTGATGGGTAGCTCCCACTTATAAGTGAGAACATGTGGTATCTGGGTTTCTGTTCCTGCATTAATTAACAAGGTATAATTTACATACACTAAAATTGTACCCTTTATTGGTGGACAATTTGATGAGTTTTGACAAATGTGTCTAGTCACATAAACACCACCACAACCAAGATATAGAATATTCCTATTATGCCAAAAAGTTCCCTTGCATCTATTTTGTCTTTTGTCAAACTTCTTTCCCTACTCCCAGCTCCTGGCAACCACTGATGTATTTCTGTCCTTGTAGTTTTGTCTATTTGTGACTGGCTGATAAAGGAATCATACAGTTTAACACTTTTTATGTCTGGCTTTTTTCACTTAACATAATGCTTCTGAGGTTCATTTATATGGTTGTATATATTATTAGGTATTTCTTTTATTACTGAATAAGTGTTCCATTGTATAGATATACCACAATGTGTTTATCTATTTATCAGTTAGCCTTTAGGGCTGCTTTTGTTTGGGGCTATTATTATAATAATAAAGCTGCTATAAATATTTGTGCAAAGGTCTTTGTGTAGACATCGCTTCTCATTTCTTTTAGGTATGTGTTTAGGGGTGGAATTGCTTGGTCATATGGTAAGTGTATGTTTAACTTTACAAGAGACTGCCAAATTTTTTTAAGTGTGGCTGTACCATTTTGCATTCTCACCAACTATATATGAGAGTTGTACTGCATCTTCTTGCCAACACTTGGTACTATCAGTTTTCAAATTTTAGCCATTCTAGTGTGCATTGTGGTATCTCATTGAAGTTTTCATTTGTATTTTTCTAGTGACTAATAATACTAAGCATCTTTTCAAGTGTTTGTTTTTCATCTGTATCTCTTCTTTGGGGTGTGTCTCTGCAAATATTTTTTACATTTTTTCATTAGATTGAGACTCATTTTAAAATGTCTTTCCTTCTTTTCCAAATGTTGATCAAGAAGAGGATGTACTTATCTCTTTACCCAGATTTCTTGTGTGCTTAAAATGAGAAATACTCTTCCCTCCCAGTGCCCCACTGTCTACCTTTTAAAACCAGGATAAGAGAAAAAAGAACCCTTGGGAATGTAGCCGGAAATATGAGGAATTATATCCCATGTCCCCAAGTGTCCATGCGGACACTTTGGCATTCTCCATTCTTTGCTTAGTCCTTCCCATGTGAGTAAAGTTGGTACAAGCAATTGGTGAGTAATATGGGGAGAAATGACCTTTCCTGCTCCCTATCAGGCAGGTCTGGCTTTCCAGTGGACGGTCATTCTCCCTTTTGGACACACTTCTGTCAGTCCCTGCTCTCATGACTCAGCAATGAGAGACAGACAGTGAGCAATTATCCACATAGCTGGCCCATAAGGGTCTGCACTGGAGACCCAGTGTCCCCAGGGTAAGTCACAGATTGATATCTCATCAGTGCATCAGTGCTAAGGCATGTTCTCCATTCAGAATACCAAGTATAAAGCTCATAGTTTGAACCTCATCTGCTGCCTGTGTCTTTTTCTCAATTTATTTGGAACCAACTGGTGTAAGGAGTGTAACTAGCTCCTGGTCATTTCAATGCAGTCTTGAATGCATGCACTATTTATGGGGTGTTGTCCTTGCTCCCTCCCTTCCATTCATTCTGTAAACATTTACCAAGTACTTACCATGCTCTAGGTACTGAGGCATTAGGGCTTTGGAAGTGTAAGTGCTTGACCTTGGAAGATTAAAATATATTTTTATGGGAAAAGGAAAGGAAACATGTATATTATACATTTTCTTAGAGCATCTTTTAAAATCTTTGTCACATCTACTTTCTTCACTCTGCCATTGGGTAAAAATAGAAAATTTTTATTCAGTCTTTGATTTCTTTAATGCTTAGTCTATTCCACTTCTCAAAATGTATCCTTCACACAAAGCAACTAACAATATTGAATGTAGGGATAATTTTATCCAGAATATTTTACAGGTTCATGTTTGCAAACGTTATCACCATTAGATTTTAATGTCTTATAGAAGTCACTCTGGTCTGTTTAGTATGCAGTACTTAGCTCATCACAGCCACTGCAGTTATGCATGGTTTTTTTCTTTCTTCTGAGACATAGTCTTGCTCTGTCACTCAGGCTGGCGTGACATGATTCATCAGGGCATGATTACTGCTCACTGCAGCCTTGACCTCCTGGGCTCAAACAATCCTCCCACCTCAGCCTCCTGAGTAGCTGGGACTACAGGTGTGCGCCACCATGCCCAGCTAATTTTTTTTTTTTTTTTTTTTTTTTGTAGAGAAAAAATCTTGCTCTGTTGCCCAGGTTGGTCTCCAAATCTTGGCCTCAAGCAATCCTCCTGCCTTAGCCTCCCAAAGTGCTGGGATTACTGGAGTGAGCCACTGCGGCCAGCAATGCATGCTTTTTAAACAAACAAGCTTTAAATGATTTTCCACAGTTAGAAATTTGAAATTTTTTTACAAATATTCTAATTGCACTTATGACTTAGAAAATTAACCTGGAGTCCATTTAAATTTTTGGTATGATATTTCTCATCTTCAATTTTTTTTAAACTTTGTAAGCCCTCTTTAAGAATGCAGAAGAATAGATCATTATGCTTGAAGGCCCCTTGATGCTGACAAACATCCAACATTTACACCTGTCAAGCAGAGAATGGATTGTGCAAGTGTAGACACCTGAAGACTCTGCCAAAACTAAAATATCTGATATAAACAGGTTATTTACAGTCCAAAGGGAACCATCATAATCCTCATTTGTTAACTGAGGACAAGATGTTCTGCCTGGAGCTACCAGTGAATTCCCTGTAAGCCATTTAGAGAGGTTCTTTGTATATTATATTGTAGAAAATCGACAGAAAGAACGAGACCATTTACAGGAAGGAACTTGGTGCTCATTTGATTTGGATACTTTGTGCGTCTCCTGTGGCCTTTGAAATGAAAAATTTCCAGGATTGATTGGGTGTGTGTTTTAACTTCGTAGCACATTCAGTGGACTGTTTTGTAGAGCAGGTGGTCAGCGCTGTAACACTTATCCGGCCCTGTCTCAGGGACTTTGCATCATCCACTTGGACCTGTTCCCGTGGGTTTCCTGTGGTTCTGTCTTACCCGGATGTCAGCCCTAGAGTCGCCTACACAGAAGGCTTTGCTGGCCACTTCAGTCGCCCCCTTCCTATTTCTCCTGCCCATGGTCACTTATCCCATGACCCTGCCATGTTCTCTGTGGAACCTAACATCCTCCAAGACAGTACATATTTACTGGAGTATTTGCTTATTTCTTCTCCTCACACTACAACATGAACTTTATAAGGGCAGTGATTCTGTCCTGTTCAGCACAGAATCCCAGGGATAGACTAAGGCCTGACTCAGAGTACCTGCCCATAATAATTGATGAAGAATTGATTACTAACTGATTCCCACTTAGAGCTAATCAGACCAGATAGCTGTCCCTTTTCCAAGTGGGATATCTTTAAATTATGGATACTTTTCAATTGAGCCTAATATTTTGTAAAAAAAAAGGAGACTAAAGCTTCCTGTGGCTTAAAAGTATAAGGTAGCAAACTGGTAGGTCCCTCATCCCCAAAGCTCTGTTAGTCTGTGCCTGCCCAACCCTGCTGACTACTGGTCTTTGTTGAAATACCAAAGCCATGCCTAAAGGGCAGAACCTTCTCTGCCTGCAGAAATTGGTCTCTTCTGTTGTGGCTAGGAAAGGCTCTCCTCTCCTGGTGACAAGGAAGGGCCCCTCTGAAAGCTGGCCTTAGGCCAGTCTGATGTATCATATAAGAGCTTCCCCTTTCAGATGTTACTGCAAAATACACTTTCTCCAGTCACATCCCTCTCCCATGCCCATTTATACCCGCCAGAGTCATTGGGAGTAGGATGGGTTCCTCCTACTTCCCGGGGTGCCAAAACTCTCATAAATGACTGCAAGTTATTTCATGGTCTGGTTGTCATATAAAAACTATGTAGCCTGAGAATTTAATGAACAGATCGAACAGAAAACATAATTATATTTCCCCAGTCTCATAACTCTCTGATCAGAAATATCAGCTATAGTTTAATACCACTGAATCCATCCTTTAGGGGAGACAGTTCAGCAAACTGTTAACATTTGTTTTACTTTCAACTTTTTATGGCGTTCTACTTACTATATATTTATATTTGGATGGGTAACTCACTGGCCACTTAGAAACAGAATGCTAAGCTTCTTATTGGTCAGGATTTGTGAAGAATTGAGATACGTTTCATCCTTGTTTGCACGTGATCTTGCTAGAACATTTGTCTTCTCAAAGTGATCATTTTAAAAAATTTTGATGTTTTTCTTTCTGAATGAATTGTGATGTTTCATCCATTTTAAAATGCTATACAATAATCAGAATAGCAGGGTACAACATTAAGAAGTTGATATATCATGGAAAACATTTCAATTAAAAAGATTTGAATGCATACGTCCTGTCATTGCTAGTCCTTTTTGTTGCCTTTATCAATAAAAATTGTATGGGAATCAGAATATTCCTTTCTGAAGAAAACTGGAAGCATTCAGTGAATCTTTAAGCCTTTAGTGGTCTTTAACTGTGGAATGATGATGTCACGATGAACAGAGCAGTTACCTCATATGGGGAGTAAATTGCTGACATGATAAAATATAATTTTTCCCTAAGAAAGTAAATATGAGAAGGAGTAAATTGGATACAATTTTTGGAAGCTCATTATAAAATAGAAGTTTAATATGTTCTGAGTGGCAAGGAAGAAAAATGTGGCAAAGAAATCAAGCAATTAACAAATAGCTAGGAGCCAATGGTTTGATGAATTTAACTAAAATAGTAAAGCATTAAAAATCTGTTTATCTAAGAACATCTTAAAATTAGTGAGTAGGAGGAACGTTGGGTTGAAAATGTATGTCTGTTTTGTTATGTAGGCAGTGAAAAACATCAAGTGAAAGCCATGACTTTGGGAAGCCAAGTTTAAAATAAAAGCCATTTTGACAGCAATCCAAGTCACTGAGTACAACAAAATACTCTTTTAAAGGACTTCTGGGTATCTTTAAAAGTTTATATGCAACTTGTGTGACCAGGTCCTATTGTGAAAGAGGGGAAACATATATATCCACAGAGACATTGCTGTTCAGAATCCCTTTTATTAGTAAGAACTAGAAGCTCACGGGATGATTGTAGGTTGCAAAATATTCCTGTCCATGAGTGGGCTGACTTGTAAGACTATCTTCCTAAACCGAGAAATTTCAAATATAATTTTTTTCTGAAAGATTCAGTGTGATCAATGACATGCAAGTTGAGAACTGAGTGGAATGCAGTGAAAGACATAGCTTTTAATGGTTCTGTGGAAGGCATGCTAATTACCCCCATAGGAAGTGTGTACGTTCCCTTGAAGCCATGTGTTTGCCTTTAAAAAAGACTCATATTCATGGGGGCAAATGCTGAGTACCCTCTTGGAAAGTTTTCCTGGTCTGCATTACTCCCTCTGCACCTAGGTATGAGTTTACAAGGTCACTTTTTCCATTTGTAGTATATTTTATAAAAACTTCTTTGTTATTTTTATAATTTCCCCTTAAGTTTCCAAAATGCTTTTAAGGTTTTTGAATAACAGAAGTCCTATTAACAAAGCGTATAATTTCTAAGCAGAGAAAGGCAGTCTGCTTCTACTGACAATTTTCCTCATGCTGCATGAACGTCAGAAATCCTCTCTCAATATGTGCTAGTTCCAGGTTCTCCACAAGCAGAGCAGGTAGGCTACACAGAGTTAATGAGGAAAAAACGCCTACCCCATTCTTTGTTGGGGATCTGTTATTCTTCCTAAAATTAGTTGAACTGGTGGTAAAAAGAATGATATTCTGGTCTCAGCTTTATAATTTGTTGGCCAGTTGGCCTTGAGTACATCATTTTATCTCTCCAAAATTCATGTATTCCTCTGTAAAGTGTGGTAATATTGTGCACCTCTCTGAACTTACAGCAAGGATGAAGTGAAATAATGTGGGTAACATTTTCCTTGAATATGAAAATGTTAATAATAATGATAGTAACCATCACATAGCTCATTTTAAAATTCTTGATCTCATGATGAGAACAGGCACAGCTCTCTCTGGGCAAAGCTAACTACAATGCTGTCTGATGCTCAAGGGCTTCAGTAACTGTTCCCCCTTTGAGTGCAATCTGTTAACATGTGCTTAACTTTCAGCTCTATCCTTGATACAAACCCTTTTGTAACATCAGAGAGCAGAGGTTTCATACTGGGTAGCCTAAATTTAACTGGCCTATTGGGGGCGGGAATTCTGAGAACGAATTTCCTAGAGACTTATGACCACTGTTAGTTTATGACCACTGTGGGGTCACCGTGGTTGAGGTTCAGTAAAGTAAAGCTCTCTGTAACCTAGAGCTGCCCAAGCTTTTCCTTTATTTTGTTTCTAAATAATTGACTGAAAATGAGTTATGTAATTATATGTGATATGCATAAATGTTTAATCATAATGGTATGATTAACAGTAGCCTGTTGATTATTCAATATACGGATTATTAGCAAAATTATAAAATAGACTCCAAAGTGTTTAATAACATGTTTGAACAAAAGTGAACAGTATAACCCTAAAAGTAGTCATTGAAACTTCAATGACACTATCAGAATTTCTGATCTCAAAATTGTAAAGGTAAGGGGAGAGTGTTAGAATATATTTAATTTGTGACTTCAAACATATGTCGCTGATGCTTTATTAAAGAGAGAACACTATATTGGAGCTAACTGTTACTAAAAATTGTCAAGTCTTTGGCCACATTGTCAGATCTAATAGGGGACATCTGAAATTAATGGATCCTCACTGCTATCCTGGGCAGTCTTTGTCTTCTTGGACATGTTGACATTGAGCCACAGGCAGGGTGAATAATGATAGTTCAGGGACAGTTGGAGTCCTGTGCTCTAGAGGCAGCAAAAGCAATTGAGTCACTTCAAAAAATCTGTGAATCTTCCTGGAAACTGTAATGTCAGATAAGCTAACCAGCTCTGCAATTTTTTCAGAATTCACGATGGGTCAGAGAGTTCCTGTAAGGGAGACAAAGTGGTCTACGGTGGGCTTCTACCCAATGCAGGTGTCCAGTTTGAGCCTGAAGATCTGAACTGTTTTTATTAGTTCAGCCTTGCCTTGGTTTCTTTTCTAAAATTTCAGATTCAAGGTGTCCAGATGGCTTGTTACATTGGGGGAAGGAAAAGCTTAAATCCTGTGAACCACTTGATTTCTAACAAATTGGCTTTCTCAGAGCTTTTAGTTAAAAAAAATTCTTAGTCGAATAAAATAGTTAAGCACATCTCTTCAACAAGTTTCTACAATCTGTCTATAAACAATCACCATTACCACAAAGGGCAAACACCATACCATGCTCAACTAAAGTATCACATAGACCAATCATGATTAAGGGCACGAGAATTACAAAGGAAAAGACTAAACTTGGCTATTTTCTATGTCTGCATTGTTGGGGCTCAGAACACAATATCTGAAAGTATGGCACCCTGACGTGCTGACTTTGAACTGAAGGACGTTGGAAGGGCCTCGGAAGCAAGTTCTCTCTGAATTTCTCCTGCCCTCTTGTCCCTCTTTTTCCTCCCCCAGGTGAGTCATAGAAACCAGGATACTTATTCCATGGGTTAAGCCAAAGAAACTAGAATGCCCCTCCCCCTAAGCAAACCATAAAGCCTAGAAAAGTCATTCTTTCCCTTTTCCCTTGAAGACTCTCATTCCAGTGGGGTCACTGCCATGTATAAGGTATTTTCAAAAAGTTCATGGAAAATGCATATTGTGAAAAAACATGCATGGATTTCAACAATTTTTGCACAAAAATAAAGTCATACTAACTTGTTATAACACATCTGAACAGCCTCTAGTTTGAGGCATGAAGAAGCATAAGACAGCTGAAGACAGCCCTTATCAAAGCAACATGAATTCTGTTACAATTGAAGCAAGAACAAACATCAAATTTATGGTGAAGCTCGGTGGAAGAATGACGAAATCACTGATGCTTTACAAAAAGTTTATGGGGACAAGTCCCAAAGAAATCAGCAATTTACCTATGGATAATTCATTTAAGGAGGGGCAAGAGGATGTGAAAATGAAGCCCACAGCAGCTGGCCATCCATATCAATTTGTGAGGAAAAAATTAATCTTGTGCATGCCCTAATTAAAGAGGACTAGCGATTAACAGTGCAAAAAATAGCCAGAACCACAGACATCTCAGTTGGTTCAACTCACACAATTCTGACTGAAAAATTAAAGTTGAGCAAGCTTTCCACCCAATGGGTGCCAAAACTGTTGTGTCCAGATCAGCTCCTGACAACAGCAGAGCTTTCAATGAAAATTTTATGCAAGTTGGATCAAGATCCTGAAGCATTTCTTTGAAGAATTGTAACAGAAGATGAAACATGGCTCTACCAGTACCATCCTGAAGACAAAGCACAATCAAAGCAACGGTTACCAAGAGGTGACGGTGGTCTGGTTAAAGCCAAAGTGGACCAATCAGGAGTCAAGGTTATGGCAAAAGTTTTGGGGATTCTTGAGGCATTTTGCTTCTTGACTTTCTGGAGGGCTGAAGAAAAATAATAACTACTTGTTCTTAGAGTGTTTTGAGAAAGCCAAAGCTTTCACAGTAAAACTTCCAGGAAAGCTTCACCAGGGAGTCCTTCTTCACCACAACAATGCTCCTGATCATTCTTCTCATTAAACAAGGGCAATTTTGCAAGATCTTTGATAGGAATACGTTAGGAATCCATCTTACAGTCTGATTCAGCTCCTTGTGACTTCTTTGCATTTCCTAATCTCAAAAAATCTTTAAAGGGCACTCATTTTTCTTCAGTTAATAGTGCTAAAATGACTGCATGGGCATGGTTAAATTCCCATGACTCTTAGTTCCTCAGTGGTGGATTAAGTGGCTGGTATCATCATTTACAAAAGTGTCTTCAATTTGATGGAGCTCATATTGAGAAATAAAGTTTATATTTTTAAATTTTCATCTTTTAATTCCATTTTTCCATGAACTTTTTGAAGCTCCTCATACTCTGGGGGAAATAGTGCTGTACAAATAGGTCAAGAAGAATCTGAACAGACAGGACTTGCTGGCTTCCCTCCTCATTCTATTACCAAAAGTTCATACCCTTTTATCCAATCACATTTCCACATAGCTATCCACTTTTCATGACACCTAAGCATAGAAATAGACAGTTTTCCCTGGGTCTTTTGCTATTCATTTCTGAAGGCTCCTGTGTTACTTTGTGGCAGAGTTTATGTAAACTTTTTGATTCAATAAATTTGTTATGCTTCACTCTTATTAACCAGTCTGTGGTTATAGGAATGTCAGCTGTGACCCTCGTGATGGGTGAGGAGAGGTATCACACCTTCCTACCCCCTACAGCATCAAGTGGAAAGGCAAGGCCTCAGACCAAATTCCTGGTGCATGATTCTGTGGGAACTAAATACAATGACCTTATATTTGACTTGAATGATTCACTGACTATGTCCCTTTTACTCTTTTATTGCTAGTGTCCAGGGGCAAGTAAATCTTTTTTGATGAGTCACCTTTTATAATGCCCAAATTTTACTTAAAAAAATCTTAGTGGAATTCAATTTAAACAGCACTAAATAATATCATTTAGTTATATTAGCTTAACAAGTATTAACCAACCTAAGTTCCCTAGTTTGGGGATTACCTAACAGTAGTTAATAGTGGTATGTTAGCTAATCAGTTTTCCCCCAAAATGTTCCATGGCATGCCCAACCACAAGTTGCATGCCTTCGGAGCATTCTGTCCAAAAAAACACAAGTTGTACTAGAAACCTTCTTTTTTCTTGTCCTGCTAGTCCAACACAGGTTTTTAAAGGGCAGCTAATCACTAAATCAATACAGAAGTAATTTTTCTTGCTTAATAATTCTAATCAGGTACAAGCAAAACTTCTAAAATGAATCATAACTTTTACAGGCTACAATAGACAAACAGGTTGACTGGCTGGTAGTCTTTGGGGTCAGAATGACCAGGGTATAAATATTAATTCCCCTACATATAACTGAGCCCCAATTTGTTTATTCGTGAGATGGTCTTAATAGTACCTAGTTTGCAAGGCTATTGTGAGGATTGAATGAGGACTACTTGCAATAGTGACTGTTACATAGTATGGTGACCAAAATTATAGCTGTTAGTATCATTAATAGCTTAGAATCTATTAATATATCTATTATATAAACATATAATATATAGCCCAGTTAATACATCCACTTTCTCCCTGCCTCTATTGTAGATTGCATCCTGGATGTGGCAGACATGTACAAGGTTCAGGTCAGCTGTGAGGCCCCAGCAGTCTTTGAGGGCTGGCATTTTAAGTCTCTCACATAAAAAAAGAAACACATAAAACACGAAGTGAACTTTGACTGTAGCTGCTGGTTCTCTCTTAACAGAGAAGATAGGGTATTGGCTGAAGAATTCTCTACAGACGGAAAGGACCAAAACATTTTATCAAGTAAAAAATAATGGTGAAGACAAAAACAGCATCAACTTGGCTTTGAAAACAAATCAATGGAGCATTACATTTTACCATTTTCCCCTCCTCTTAATATGTGCTTATGCTTATGTGCTTCCATAATGACTTTGCAAATGCGGCACTTTTCAATGTTAATGACAAGTTGAAGTTCAATTTTCAAATAATTCTAAGATTGTAAAATCTCATATACAGTCTTACTATTAAGAGATAATACATGTTATTCAAAGGTATAAGCCATTGTTGTTAAAATTTTGTATTTAATATTTTGTTTCCCAGGTTGAGATATATGAAAAGTATTTATTATAACCCAATAATGAGTTATCTTATTATTGAAAGTGTTTACATAATCCTTTATATGTACTTGTTTCTAAAATATGTTAGAAGTGCCTAATCATGATGCCTGACAAATCTGAGAAAAATTATAGAACAAAGTTACAAGAAAAATAAAGATATTGCTAGTTATCTCAATCTATTACAGTATGGATAAAATTAATTGTTAAAATGTATTAAGAAAATATTACTGATTTCCAGGGGGAGGGAGAGATGACTAGATGGAGCAGATAAGACATTTAGGCAGTGGAAATACTCTGTATGATACTGTAGTGATGGATACATGTGATTATACATTTGCCCAAATCCACAGAATGTAAAACACCAAGAGTAAATAAACCCTGAAGTAAACTATGGACTCTGGGAAATAATGATGTGTCAATGGAGGTTCATCAATTGTAACAAATGGCCCAATCTGGCAGGGGAAGTTGATAGTGGGGGAGAATGTGCATGTGGGGACAGGAAGGGGATATATAGAAAATCTCTGGACCTTCCTTTTAATTTTATTGTGAACTTAAAACTGCTGTAAGAGGAAAGTTTTATTTTTAAAAAAGTATATGAAGAAATTAGAATATGTCAGGACCTATATGTTTTTGTTTTCCCCACAACATCAAATTAAGCTATATATGAATTGACCTGGATGATGATCTATTTACATGGGAGAAAATGATTTATATTATCTAAATTGGAGAATTTCAGTTGACACCTGTTATTTTTTGGTGTGTACCTTCAATCTTCATGTTCATTTTTCCAACCGTTATAACATTTTTGCATTTATTTCAATCAAGGATGTCAACAAGGTTGTGTTGTTTGAACTTTCTTTCAATTTTAAAAAATAACAAAATACCTTGCTTTTCAGTATTCTTTGCAAGTTTACAAAGCATTCTGACATGTTTTGTCTCAAATAACCCTGAATGTTAGAAATTAACAACTCAATAGAAGAGAAAACGCAATCTCAGTGAGTACATCCAGACACAGGGACAGCGAGGCTAAGACCCATCAAAGATCATATAGTTGGTAAAAGTTTTGGCCAGAACCATAATTATGGATTCTTAATTATCAGTAGATAATTTTCCGTTTAAGATTTTTATCTTACATTGATCAGAAACTGACCAAAAAAAATCCTTCTGATAATATTCAATCTTTCCCCCATCTCCAACGCTTCTAATTAGAGTTTTGCCCATGATTTGAGACAATAAATAGGACTTGACTGTGCTTCATTTTTTCCCCAAAGAGTCAGTGTAGAATAATGGGTAAAAGTATGAATTCTGGAGCAGAGCATGATCACACAGATGTGAATCTAAACTCTGGTTCTACCATCTATGAGTTGTGAGACTTTGGGCAAGTACTTTGTTGGTTTGTGGCTCAATTTTCTTATCTGACAAGTGGGATGATAATGATTCTTATGAAGGTGAATTAAATGACTTAATACTTACAAACAGCTTAGAAGAGTTCATGGCACAATAGTAAACATTATATGTGTGTTACCAAAAACATTGGTATTTTCTCCTACTTTCTGTTAATCTTTTCCTTCTAAAAAAACTATCATTTAGAAGGTCATTAATGAACATGGGTTGCCAAATTACATTATAACTTTTCATGCTCTGTCTCCTTATTTCCCTCTGAACTGTTCCATCAAGTACTAACGAGCATCCATTCTTTGATGGAACATTTACTCTAGTTGGTACCACTTCTTCAATAAGCTTTTACATTCTCTTGCTTCTACTACATTTCTGACATTTTCTCAGACTTTCTCATTCTGTTCTTCAGCTTAAGGTGTTCTTCTTGGTGAATTATCTGTAATCTTTATTAGATCTTCCCACTCTCATCTTTGGGGAAATTAAAAGAAATTATCTGTCTATCTATCTGTCTATCTATTTCTCTATCTATGTATCTATTGATAGACCCAGATTCATTTTATTCTAAGATCTTTAGCTGACTATTGGAAACATCTACATGGATATTCTGCCAACATCTTTAAACCTAACATATATCTGTATCTATATCTATGCCTACCAATCTATCTATCTGACCTTTACTTTACAGAGTTGTTCCTTCTCATGTTTTCTTTACATTTACCAGTTGAATAAATATTAATTGAATGAGTATTCAAATGTTAAATTGAATAACACTCATAGACATTTACTCTGGGTTTTCTCGTCTATAAAAACAAAGAATTTGAACTTAGTACACTTTAACACCACTTACAGCATTAAAATTCTCTGTTTATGTGAAAATGAAAAGAAAATGTGTAATTTAGAAATAATATACAATTATGGAATTTCTATGAAATTCTAACGAAACTCCTTAAAATCAGTGATAAAGAGAAAAATGTTAAAATTAGATGAGAAAAAAATGAACACAGCATACACAATAACAAAGAAAAACAGCAGACTTCTTGCTTGAGACAATGCAAGCAAAAAGACAGTGGAGCAACAGGAAGAAAAGAAAGAAAAAAGATAGAAGGAATGAAGGAAAGTAGGAAGGAAGGAAAGAAGGAAGGAAGAAAAAAAGAGGTTGTCAACATATAATTCTATACTCAGTAAAAATACCTTTTAAAATAGAAATGAAACACTTTTTCAAATATATAAAAGCTGAAAGAATTCCCTACTAGCAGACCTTCAGTACAAGCAATATTAAATAAAATTCTCCACACAGAAGGAAAATTATATCATTTGGAAATATAGATAAATGCAGAGAAATGAAGAGCGTATGAAAATGCTAAATATGTAAATAAATATAACTGTGATAATGTGTCAAAAAAGCCTTTAAATGATTAGTAATGTTTCAACACTGAGTACAACTTTTTATTCAATAAATCAAAGGATTATTTTTCTTATAATCATGAGTAGTAAAAACAAAAAAGATAATTTCTTTCATAATAAAAAGGGATTTTTGAACACCAAGCTAAGTACTGAAGAAGATTTTAATTCTACTTTTAATGTGGACTCAATGGCATTATATTTTTCAGTTGATAATAATTTACGTTTTAAATTTATTTTTATACTCTCCTAATTTCTGATCCATACTTGCCTATCTTTTCTCCCTGGATTCTAATTTTTCTTTTTGTCTTCTGCCTCAGCTTTTTCATTTATTCTTTCTACTTTCAGTTTTCTCATTCAGTCTATCTTCGTGGCTTCCTTTCTGTTTAGCAAAACGTTTTGAAAAGAACTTTATATTCTCTTTCTAAAGCTGGTCATAAACTCAACAAACTTAAGAATACTGAGACATGACTTAAATACTTTCTCAAGTGTGAAATATAAAATTTAATGTTGACCATCAAGCACATATTTATTGAGTACCTACAACGTATTATATTAGATATTTAGGATACCTTGATGAATAAAACAAAGTAAGTTTCATAAGCTTCTTAATTTTACATTCTAGGGGAAAGGACAGACCATAAACAATAAATATCATAAATTATAAATTATTATTTTACATTAAAAGGTGATACAGGCTATGAAAAAAGATTAAAGTAGGGACAAGTAGATGACACTGGGAGGTAAAAGTTGTAGTAGTAAGTGAAGTGATCAGCTTATTCTTTGAAAAGTGAGATGTGGGGGAAAACTTGAAAATACATGCAGACACAAGGACAGATAGGCAAGGGCCAGGGTCATAAAACAAGAGCATGTCAGAAGTGTCCAAAGGACATCAAGAAGACCAAGGTGGCTAAAGTAGAGCAATCTGGAGAAGAGCTGCAGGATAGGAGGTCAGAAAAGTAATGATGACCTGGTAATGTAATGCTTTATAGGTCCCTGAAAAGACTTTTACTCTTTTGTTTTGTTTTTTGTAGATATGGAATCTTGATATTTTGCTCAGGCTGGTCTCAAACTTCTGGCCTCAAAAAATTTTCCTACCTCAGCCTCCCAAATTGCTGGGATTACAGGTGTGAGCCACTGAGCCTGTACTAAGATTTTAACTTTTTGTGAGTATGATGAGTCCTGGATGAGTTTTGAGTATAGAAGTGACATGATCTGACATACTTAAAAAAAAAAAATTCTGATAACTTTGTTGAGAATTGATTACAAGTGGCAAAGGGGCAAGAGCAGAACCAAGAAAACCTTTTGTAATTATTCAAGCAAGAGATACTGGTGGCTTAGACCAAACAGTACCAGGAAGGTGGTGAGAAGTGATTGGATTCTGGGTATATTTTGAGGGTAGATTCAATGAAACTGACTAATTGATTTTATGTAGGATGTGAGAAATGGAGGGAGAGGGCAATGAAGATGCCAAGATTTATTTGCACAACTGGACATACAGAGTTGCCTTCAATCTGAGATGGGAAAGATGAGTTAATTAGATCTCTCTTGGGCATATGAGTGGAAATATCAAGTGGACAATATATCATGCAAGTCAATAATTTAGGGGAGAAGTCCAAGCTAGAGAGGTAAATTTGGGTATTGTAAGCATATAGATGCTATGTAAAGCCAGAGGCTGGATGGAATCACTATGAGAGTAAGTGTGGACGGAGATCAGAAACTGCCCAAGAACTAAGCCCTAGAATTCTCCACTGCTAAAAGATCAGAGAGAGAATAAAGAATCTATCAAGGAGGTATGATTGTTTTTCTCATTTTTCTACATTTAATCTTTGCAATCAAAGTTTATGCCATATGTAAAAAACATCCCTGCTCCCAGTTTCATGTGGGACCAGTGCTCCCTTCTTTGGAGCTGTGCAGCTTCAATGGATGATACCATGTGAGACTCCTAGCAACGTGTCCTGTAGGATCCTGGAGATGTTCCTTTCACCACACTGCCTTATGAGGACAGTCACTGGGGCCATGATGTGGACTCTTGAGATCATTGGCTGTTCAGTGAGACAGAAGAGGCTTGCTCACCTCTTATTAGTTCTGTGAGCAATGCAATCTTCTCAATTTCCTCATCTTTTAAATGGAGATAATAATCCTACCACATACTGGGTTGATGAGAGGATTAAATAAATCAATGAATTAATGTATGCCAAGTGCATGTAAAAGAGTGATCACTCAACAAAGAAGCATATCCTTCTCCATGTGGGGCACTGTGTTAGAACTGAGGGTTTGCGTGGACTATAGCAATGAGCTCCCTCCACTTCTGGGGCATACATCCTCCACAGGAAGACAAATGGTAAACAAGCAGATGTGACTCATAAAACTCAAAGTGCTACCAAGGAAACAAATCAGGGGCTGAGATAGAAAAGAGTGAGGGGAAGCTACTTTTCATATTTATTTCATATTTAATTTTCACAGCAATCCTGTGAAGTGGTATTAACAACACTGTTTCAAGATGAGGAAGTTGTGGGATGGAACTGTCACATAGCTATCAAGTGGCAGAAGAGGGACTCAAATCCAGATGATCGAATGCTCTCCTGCTGCCTAGGCCACTGTGCTTTATTTGTATTTGCATATTCTTGCAGCAAGTGAGGGGTCTGTGAATCTTAAAAAAATGCAATGATTATCCAATCTATTAAATTAACTCTGTGCCTTTATATAAATGACCCCAAATGAAACTGAACAGGAGGAAAACCATATTTTTGAGTATAAATATGTACTGTCCCATTGCATAAAACATACACCTCTCAGTAAGCATATGGTGATTACTATTATCCATGTTTTACAAATAAGGAACTGAGGTCTGAATCAAAGACTGACTCCATAGCTCAGGCCACTGCACTCCCCTGGCATTGGCAGAGACTCAAAGAGGAAAGCTGTCAAGGCACAAGAGAGAAGGTCCTCCTGCAGCCAGAGGCAGCTTGGGAAGACAAGCACTCCAAGACTAAGAGTAAGACTAAGGTCTGGATATCCCCAAAGACTCTTACAGAAAGCTGAAAAATGTGGCTACCATCACTTTTCCCCAGCTAGTAGAAAAACTTATTTCGAAAAATTCTATGTGATAATGAAAAGCTCAATAAGATTTGATGATTTAGATAATGAACAAATGAAATTACTTTCATGCTAAGTCAGGCTGACTGTTCAGTAACCTGCTCTGCCATGAGGGCCTGTCCCAAGGATGAGCTGCCTGACACGCTGTCTCCTCTTGACAATTTACAATGCTCCTGTGCACTAAAGACTCTTGAAGTACCATGGCAAATGCAATTTCAGTCTCCTTCAAACCAAGATTTATAAGCCTGCTTGACTGCAAAACTCTCTCTAACCTTAGAATTCCTATCAGCTTCTCACCAGGGTGAACTTAGGCATAATGGTGTAGAGGAAAGAGCATAAGCGTTAATAATTAGACTTTAAACTCATTAATTAATTAATTAATTCATGCACAACTGAATGTCTACATGATCAGGCATAATGTCTTGGCAGTATGAAAAACGATGACATAGTCCTTGTCCTCATGGGATTTATATTAGCGGGGGCAAGGGCCAGGAGGGGAGAGAGACATATCAAATGTAATTATGAGAGAATGTGCTTAGCGGGCAGTCCATTTATTTATTGAACAAACAACTGCTGCATGCCCACACTGCTGTTGTCTCTGGTTTAGAGTCTCAGAACACATTGAATAAGAGACATAATGTCTTTAATTTTACAAAAATTACATTTTAGTTGAGATGCGGAAGATAATAAGTTATAAAATAATGTCAACTGAGACAATAATGAAGACATTTTAATGAAAATGAAGGAAATTTAAACAAGATGATAAGATAAAGAGTGATTAAAGCCAGTGATTATTTTAAAGTATCTATGTGAGGCTTATATTGAAACTAGGAGGGACTTTATAACTTTTTTCATTGGTAAAATAATACATTCACATTTTAGAAAGTTTACAAAGTCCAGAAAACTTTTGAAGACTTGCCTTCAGTAGCTATGTATACCATTATAGTATTTACTTAATCATTTTCTCATTAATGGGTCAAAGGGCACATGCACTTCTAGAAAGATCTTTTACAGCTATACTTTCTCATGTAATGATAAATGTTAATGTGAAAATTATACCCATAAACCAAAAACCTATTGAAGAATCCCTATTAGTTTCTTATTAAATTTTAAATCATTGAACTATTTATATCTTAAGCTAAAGATTTAATGATAAATTATTAGTGGAATCAGATTATGCTCATAGTGAATTGGACAGAGCTGACCAGTCTTCAGTGGGTCAGTTAGTATAATACTTATTAATGGATGGCTATTAGGTTTGAGTATATTAGCCAAGTTTATTTTTATTTTTCCTTTGCTCACTGAATTGACCAAATAGTAAAAAGGCAGGGCTGATTTGGTCTCACTTAAAGATAATCAAGCTCCTTGTGTTTTTGAAATTGAGCAAATTCAGAGCTCTCAGTAGTATATTGTCAAGATTCATTGTCTTTTGAACTCTTTTCTTAGCAGTTTGTTAAAACTTGTTAAAGTTTTAAAGTTGTTAAAGCTTGAGTTGTCAAGCCAACAGCTCTTAAATTGTATCTTAAAATCAGGGGAGGATTAGTCTTAGTGTTGGATTGTGTTTGTGGGGAGAAACCATGGGAAAGATCTGGAATTTCTTAATATCTGACATTTTGAAGGAGAGGGAGTTGTTTTAGGGTTTCACTGTACCACAGTTCCTTAAAGAGTTCTAAAATACTAACTGTAGCAGAACTTGCTTGGATACCAAGAGAACAAGCTCTATAAAAGTTAAAATCAATGGTAATTTCTCATAAGCACAAAAAATTTCTAAGTAAAATGGTAGGATTTTTTTCCTATTGCCCATTTTTGGAGATTAATTATAGGAATAGCTTATGCCCTTTAACAAACAGTTCTACAGGGAAAGAGTTGACATAACTAGCTGACAAGAAAAAATATCTGGAAAAGCTTAAAAGATCTAAAAATGCTCAAGTGTTCAATGCTTTCTGCAATAAAAGCAATACAGTACCTATGGCAACAATCTTCCCAGAGTTCTGCCATACCTGTACAGTCATGCACCACATAACAATGCTTCAGTCAACGACAGATCGCGTATACCACAATGGTCCCATAAAATTGTAATGGAGCTGAAAAATTCCTATCACCTAGTGACGGCAGCCTTCCTAATATCCTACCTGCTGGTGGTAATGTTTGTGCTCTGCTGTAGTATGAATGTAAATAGCACATACAATTATGGACAGGGCATGATACTTGATAATGATAATACGTGACTATGCTACTGGCTTCTGTATTTATCATATTGTACTTTTAATCATTATTTTAGAGTATACTCCGCATATATATATATAAAGTTAACTGTAGAACAGCCCTTCACAGGTCCTTCGTGAGGTATCCAGAAGGAGGCATGGTTATCACAGGAGATGATAGCTGCATGCTTGTTGTTGCCCCCGAAAACCTTCCACTGGGACAAGATGTGGAGGTGGAAGACAGTGATATTATGATCCTGACCCTGTGTAGTTCTCAGCCAATGTGTGTGTTTATGTCTTAGTTTTTAACAAAAAAGTTTAAAAAGTAAAGAAAAATTTTAATAGAAAAATGCTCATAAAATAAAGATATAAAGAAAATATTTTTGTTTAGCTGTACAGTGTGTTTATGTGTTAAGCTAAGAGTTATTACAGAAGAGTCAAAAAGTTAAAAGAAAAGTTTATAAACTAAAAAAGTTACAGTAAGCTAAGGTTAATTTATTAAAGAAAAATATTTTAAAGTTAATTTATTGTAGCCTAAGTGTACAGTGTTTATAAATCTACAGTAGTGCACAGTAATGTCCAAGTCCTTCACATTCATTCACCACTCACTCAAGGACTCACCCAGAGCAACTTCCATCCTGCAAGCTGCATTCATCATAAGTGTCCTATGCAGGTGCACCATTTTTAATCTTTTAACTGTATTTTATTGTACCTTTTCTATGTTTAAATACACAAATGTTTACCATTGTGTTACAGTTGCCTGCAGTCCAGTGTGTGCGGGGTTGTAGCCTAGGAGCAATGGGCTGTACCCTATAGCCTAAGAGTGTAGTAGGCTCTACTATCTAGGTCTGTGTAAGTGCACTGTATGATGTTCACACAATGACACACAAAAAAGCCTAAAAATGCATTTCTCAGAACATATTTCCTTGTCAAGTAACCTATGACTGTACAAACAACCTACAAATACAGCTTTTTTTTTTTTTTGAGACTGAGTTTTGCTCTTTTGCCCAGGCTGGCTGGACTTCAGTGGCATGATCTCGGCTCACTGCAACCTCCACCTCCCGGGTTCAAGCCATTCTTCTGTCTCAGCCTCCCAAGTAGCTGGGATTACAGGTGCACCACCATGCCAGGCTAATTTTTGTATTTTTAGTAAAGATGGGGTTTTGCCATATTGGCCAGGCTGGTCTCAAACTCCTGACCTCTAGTGATCTACCCGCCTTGGCTTCCTAAAGTTCTAGGATTACAGGAGTGAGCCACCGCGCCTGGCCAAATACAGCTTTGTTTAGACTTTATAATAATTGTCAGCTCCCAGTCCTTGCATATTATGACTTGATCTCATGCTTTCTCCTTTCTCATTTCTCCCATTTCTTCCATGTATTTAGGGAAAAAGATTGATCTGGACTCCACCACAACTTCAAATTGAGGCGCACTCCCCAGGCTTATGGAAACAAACACCATCAATGTGAGTTGGACACAGACCAGATATGACATCGTCCACATGGTCTTTTATGGCACTTGGATCTCAAAGAGATGGCCCTGCAAATTATAGGAAGTAGAACACAAACAAAAGTGATATAGCTTTTGCTTATTAATTGAATATCACCCAAGAATATTTGAGAATGCTCCTGACTCATGGAGAAATACTAATTAATTTATGAGTATTGTCACCCTGCCAAGGGACAGTCTCCGTTAATAGTTAACCTTCACTTCTTGTTTCTTCTGCTTTCACTACCAAATATGTGTTTTTGTGTTGCTGTTTTGCTTTAAATTTCCTTTTCTTCACAAAAAAATGATGTCTTCATGACTCCACATACTGTTATAAATTATATTTTTAACTCATATTGGTCTTACAGCACCCAGAAAAGGCACCTCTCAAAGACCACTCCCATGGTGGCTGGAGGTCTGAGCCCCTGAACCTCTCAGACTTTAAAGATGAGATGATTCATTTTAATTCTATTTTTTCATAGTCACCGGAGACCGAGACACTTTTTAAAGCTAATTTCTACAGCACCAGAGTTCTTGCTCATAATGGGAAAGAGATTATGGGAGAAATGAATGTGTTACTGGGTTTATGATCTTGTCCTGTCCTACTGACCAGCAATCAGAATTCTTCACAGATCATTGACTTTTTTTTTTTTTTTTTTTGAGGAAAACAAATTCCTGTGAGTTCTGGACATTGAGGACCAGAATTGTATTTTACATTACTAAGTAAGAAATATCCAGAATTATCTGCTTTGTAAAGTCTGTTAAATATTATTTATGGAGCAGGTCTTGGGTTTAGATGTTAAGCATTTGAATACACAAATGGACGCCTTGCTGGTTTTGTGGGTCGGCTGATAAGAGCTATTAGTGACACTCGTAGTTAGCGAGTTTCTTCAGTGTTGAAGGGCTTACATCAATTAGGCTGCATAAGCATCACCCAGGGTATTTGTTACAATTCCAGTTTCCAGGCCCTATGTCTTGGAAGCTGCATTTTTTAAACAAATGCAATACATGCACACATATCATTGGAACAACTGAGCTTGCCTCTCCAGGTCAACTTTAAATGAAAAATGTCTGTTGACTGTCTACTCCTGTAGTACCTGGCAACTCTGAGACAGAAATAATCAGAAGTTATCCAGTGTTTAAACTGGAAGGGTTCATTTGTTTTTCTGTTTTTTTTCAGAATATAAGGAAAAATATGATCATAATATAGCAACTGCTTTTGAAATCTTCATTATCTAGATATTCAATACTGTTAATTTAATTACAAGTTCTACTAATCCATTTAAAAATGTATATTTTTGCCAATTGGGAATTAATGAAACAATTAAGAAATTACTATATTGTTTCTCTTAGGCAAGGCTTAGAAACAAAATCATCAAGGCTCAAGTTTCTGCAGTGCAGTGAAATGATCTTCAGGAATCAGAATTGATCACAATCTGCTGTCCAAATTTGAATACATTGATCAATGACTTTTTTTTTTAAATAATCCTATATTTTATTTACAGATGCATATTATATATATTTTTGTTTGTTATATTACTTTTAATTTTTTTCACATTTAAGTGTTTTCTACAAAACATACAAAGATAGTTAATGAGATGTGAACTATGATAAAAAATACAGGTATTGAACAAACACTGAATCTGTTTACACATAGGACCTAATATTTATCAACTCTGGATGATTATGGTTACAAAGAAGAAATATACATTCATAATTTTTGTAACATAAATATAACACCAAACAAAAAATGGAAAGTAATACTTAGGGAAATAGGAGGCTACTTGTTTATGTGTATGATAATCTTATCTTCCACAGTGGAGATTAAAATACTTGAAGCCGATAGTTGAAAGTACTGCAACTTCTTCAGTTTTTCAGATTTGACTTTATAAGTACAGAATAACTTAGGATAATTTAGGAACTAATATTTCTTGTAATAAAAAATATTCAAACTTCAGCAATATCTTTAGTTTTACTTCTATTCATTGTTCCTCAAAGTCAAGTAAAAAAAATGTAATGATTTTATTAAGAACAGGTTTATAAGACGACACTATTTTATTCTCTAGATTACCTCTCTCTATCCATCCATAAATAGGCAGAGCCAGACACCTGAAATGGTTTTCTCCAAACTGAAAATATTAATTACTTGGAGAGAGGGAAACATGTTAGTAATTGTTATTTTTTAAAATTTGAATTTGTATGGTAAGAATAAAAATATTTGCAAAAAAATAATGTAACCAGGACCAGGCACGGTGGTTTTTTGAAATTTCATATTTCCTCCAGGTGAAAGCCTGCTCGTCCTTAAATTGTTCTTGAACTTTTTCCACTTCGTTTGTGTTCTTTTTAAAATCCCTTGTCTCATACTTTCTGTTTCTGCCATGTTGTATTTTATTGCCTTAAATATTTTGTAATATAATTATTGTACTATTTTTTCTTTTTTTTTGGTATTTGAGACAGAGTCTTGCTCTGTCACCCAGGCTGGAGTGCAGTGACGCCATCTTAGCTCATTGCAGCCTCAATCTCCTGGGCTCCAGCGGCCCTCCTGCTTCAGCCTCCCAAAGTGCTGTGATGACAGGCATGATCAATGACTTTTTAATGTATCAACAAGATAGTAAGCTGATCTGGAATCTGGACCAATGGAAATGAGATTGATGACTCTTACATGATTAAGACAAACATAATATCCTCCCAGCTATTGTCAAATATTCCTTTTAATAAGGCATAAGATTTCTTATTGCTTTTGAAGCTCATTTCCTCAGGGAAAAAGCAAATGTTATCTGGCTAAAGTTCTTAACCTGCAAATATAGCAGGAAGTCCATGTAGGCTCTCCTCTCTGGGTCTAAACCAGTAGTCTAGCACATTCTGAAGAACCAGGATGATTGTTTTATAGTAATTGAGTTCTCCCCTGGTGCTCAGAGAACTTTGTAAGTGATGGGGGCATGGGGGTTCATGGGGCATGAAAGCTCATATTCATGAATTTAAGTTGTATTAATTGGAATTTAAGGAAGACTCACCAGTGTTTTATGAGATAAAATATTATACTGACTCAAAAAATACGGAGGGCAGTTTGTTTTCTTCTTTCTCCCAGGAGGTGGGATCAATATGCTTTAAGTAGCAGAGAAGTCTGTGCACTCCTTCCTCCTCCACACCATACCTGTTCACCCAAGTTAGGAAGTGGGCTTGTATTGGTTTTGGCGGTATTCTCATTCTCCCGCTGTCTTTCTCTCTCAGCTCCCTGCATACGGAATGTTGTTTGCTACAGACCTCCAGACCTGGACTGTCCAGTATGGTAGCCACTAACCACAGGTGGCTCTTTACATGAACATTAACTAAAATACCATGAAATTTAAAATTCTGTTCCTCAGTCCTATTAGCCACAGTTCAACAGCCACAGAACACAGATCCAGAACATTCGTATCAGTGCAGAAAGTTCTATTGGGCAGTACTGATCCAGACTCACATGTAGTTTTCTGCCCACCAGACTACCCAGATTTGGCCCAGGCAAATTGAGCCTGCTTGAAGTGGCTTGCAAGAGCCATTGGTGAATATCCAGGAACTTTGCAGGCCAGTTAGTAATGCACTGGTAGCTCAAAATTGGCCATGGTGGGAGCATCTATACCATGGGAATGGTCTCAATTAGAGTTTTTTTTTATTTTTATAGAGATAGGATCTTGCTCTGTTGCCCAGGCTAGACTGCAGTGGTGCAATTATAGCCAACTGCATGCAGCCTCCACCTCCTAAGTTCAAGTGATCCTTCTGCCTCAGCCTCCCAAGCAGCTGGGACTACAGGTACACACCACTATGCCTGGCTAATTATTTTCCTTTTTAATTTTATTTTTTATATGGACTGGGTCTTGCTACGTTGCCCAGGCTGATCTCTAGCTCTGGCCTCAAGTGATCCTCTCACCTTGGCCTCTCAAAGTGCTGGGACTACAGGCGTTAGCCACCATGCCTGGACATTTTTTTTTTTTTTTTTTAATAAGAGGCCATTAACTATTACACCACTACATGACAATGTTTATTTTAAGCACTTACAAGGAAGAAACAACCCAGAAAGTTGATGCCCTTACCATGGGGCTGCTCAGGTGACATCCTTAGCAGGGCCACCATCCTCATACTAGTGGATATTAAAACCTGGGGTAGCATAGGTAGCATAGCTTATAGGAAGAAGTAGGGAGTTGCAGTGCTCAAAGAGATTGCGTTATGAGTGTTCTAGTTCGTAAATAGTCTTAGTAGCTTCTGTCCTACTTTTCAGCTACATCATATTACTCTGTTACAATAGTACTCTAGAAGAGCACCCATGCTATATTAATATAACACAAGTTGCATTTGTCAATTTAAATTTCCTGGTACTTAAAACAAGTGAAATTAATTTAGTAACATATATATTTTAACCAAATACATCCACATCATTATTATTTTAATACATAATCAATATTAAATAGTGTTAAAGGAGACATTTTACATTCTTACTTTTTCACAGAAAGTGCATGTCTTTATGCCCATAGTGCAGAGCAATTCAAGTTAAACACATTTCAAGTGCCCAACAGTCACATGTGGGTAGTATTAGACAGCACAGCTCTAAGTGAAAAGGATAAAACAGTTTAATAATTGGCGAGGTAGGACTGGTAGAACTTGGAGAGTGATTAGATGTGGGAGAGACTGTACATCTAGACTAGAGAGAAGCCAAAGGGAACACTCGGGAGAGGCAAATGGCTATCCCATGGCAACCTCATTCATTTCCATGGCTTAAGCTCTACGGAGGCACAGAATGCTCCCATCTTCAGGTCTGGCTATGCGCCTGCATCCCGTATGCACACTGTCTTACATGTGCGACCAGAATCATTATCTTTACCTGTAGAGCTGCTGTCCCCCGACTTCAATCTTGTCAAACATTACAGGCTAAGACCCCCAGCTGCCGTCCCTCTTGCCACCTGAAATCTGCAGTTATTTTGCCTCCATGATATCTTCCAGGTACCCACCCTCTAGTGCTGTCTTGGTACAGAAGGCATCACACTGGCCCAAACTGGTCTAGTATCTGAGTAGCTCCCAGCTAGTCACGCTGTTTTCTCAATGCATTCCCTTTCCTATCATCCTTCGCCCTGCTGCAAGTTTCCATGCCAAACGGCATCACTGGTCCTGTGGCCACACGTTAGGTAGAGAATAAGATCAAACTTCATGTAACATCACATGACTTTCAAGGCTCTTACTCCCCCCATCTCTTCTCTAGGACTCCTCCTTCACTCTTCTCGCTGCTGAAACTCTTACTGGCTCTGCCCTGCACCCTGGACTTCTCACTCTGTGTTCACTGATTTACATGTTCTCATATCTGTGCCTCCAAATCGTCCAACTGCTACTTCTCAACAGAGCCACTCTTCCTTAGAAAACCATCACTCAGGCAGGGCGCGGTGGCTCACGCCTGTAATCCCAGCACTTTGGAAGGCCGAGGGGGGCAGATCACGAGGTCAGGAGATCAAGACCATCCTGGCTAACACGGTGAAACCCCGTCTCTACTAAAAATACAAAAAATTAGCCGGGCGTGGCGGCAGGCGCCTGTAGTACCAGCTACTCCGGAGGCTGAGGCAGGAGAATGGCGTCAACCCGGGAGGCGGAGCTTGCAGTGAGCCGAGATCCCGCCACTACACTCCAGCCCAACGACAGAGCGAGACTCCGTCTCAAAAAAAAAAAAAAAAAATCCATCACTAAACGACCTTCCGCCTGGGGATGGGTAAAACAACCCTTATGCGGGTTCAACACCTGCACATGAGCGTCACTGCCCTCACACCATGGCATTGCTATCATTCTCATACGCGTCTGTCTCCTCCACCCCACCCCGGGACTGTGCTCAGCCCCAGCATGCTGTCGACCATCAGTGTATACTTGCTGCCCAGCTGCTTTGGGAGCTTTGCCAGATTTTCCTGGGTAGACCTTCCACAACATTCCTCCGGGGCATTGTTTGGTTCCTGTGATGTCTGGGGTGTACCTCTGGTTCGACCTGTCAAATCCTGTGCACTCTGTTTGTTCCAAGTTGTTTGCTCTGTGCCCACAGGGATCCTCCCTTCAGTTGTACTCCCAGCTTTGGGTCTGCAGAGTCTGGCTCACACCTGTAACCCCAGCACTTTGGGAGGCCGATGTGGGAGGATCACTTGAGGCCAGGAGTTGGAGACCAGCCTGGGCAACAGAGCAAGACCCCGTTTCTACACATTTTTTTTTTTTAAATTAGCCAGGTATAGTGATATATGCCTGTAGCACAGCTACTTGGAAGGCTGAGGTGGGAGGCTTGCTTGAGGCCAGGAGTTCAAGGCTGCAGTCAGTGAGCTATGATGATTGTGCCACTACACTCCAGCCTGGGTGACAGAGCAAGACCTTATCTCAAAAAAAAAAAAAAAAAAAAAAAAAGAAGAAAAGAAAAGGAAAAGGAAAGAAAGGAAAAAAAGAAAAGAAAAGAAACATGTTTGGGTCGCTTTTGCTGATGTGCCATAAGACAGGAAATGCAGGAGGGAATGTTTTCTAATTACCAGGGTTATTCCCTTTTAGTGCTGCCTACCGTGGCTCTATGCCTGGATACAGTAGGCCACTCCGAGAGCTCCCTCACCAACCTTTCAGCCCCCTCATTGCAAGGAATGCATTGAAAAAACACCATTTCGAATCTGCCAGTCATTTTTACCTTTCAACTTCAAAGTACTTCTCTTCTATCAACTCCTAGGACCATGCCTTATCTTTGAGTTGTTCTGAAAACTTTTTTTAAAAGCAAATATACATTTTAATATGATATTTGTCCCCCAAATGGGGGACCAAGTTATTGAATACCCTCCTTCCAGAGGAAACCAAGGCTGAGACATCAAGGGCTCCCACTTTGGCATTCGAGAGATTTCTGGAGCTCATGGGTCCCTTTAGCAAAGCCTACAGCTTTAGAAAACTTGCTATAAAAGGACTTGGTGTCCTGAACCCAGCCTACCAGGGCTGGCAGGCTGTTGCTGTTTCCCTGCCTGCATTCCACTGCACATTAAACCACGTACTGAAACTGATAAATACCAGGAAGTGCTATTGAACCGAAGGGAAGGCTATTTAACTCCGTTCCAAAGCTATATGTAATATTTATGAGGAGGACAACTTTAGCCCTACACTCAGAAAATCTCTGCTCAGAAAATTACCTATAACTATTGACCATAGCCCTAAAAATTTATGGATTGGTGCTTTTTAATATTATTTGAATAATTTTAACTGATAGCATATTTAATGTTTGTTCTTGTGCTTGAACAGAAGCTAACCATATGAAGTTTGCTAGTTACACTAAAAATTTGCCTTCCCTTTTATGGGTTTTGTGCACTTTGCAATAAGAAAATCAGAACATTATTTTTCTCTTATCAACATATGTCATTGCAGGCATGACACCTCTTCGTTAGATATATTGATTTTAGATTTAACCACCTCTCCCCTATCTTTTTTTATTCCTCTTTTCTCAAGACTATGCAAAATTGTGTTTTTTCAATAGCATTATGTTCTTTTTGGCATTTGAGAAGTATTTTATATAATGACTGCATCAAATGTCACAATATTTGGAATTGAGCCCTTTCATTATATCATTCAATATGGAAAGCTTATGAGAAGAGCTGCAGGAACTCATTTAAAAATAAATATCCTGAAGATATTTTTCCTATCACCTGTGAACCAAAATAACTGTCAGCATTGTGTCTTGTCCTTAGCTCCACTCCCTCTTTAATTTATTTTGACGATCTCTCCATCAGTCATCTTGCAGGTATTGCACATAGCCACTTTCAGACGAGTCTTGTTTTAAGCCTTTGTTTTCACTGTGTGGATTAAACATCACCGTGGGATCTGGGCGAATCCATGAGATCCTGGAAGGAGGGGGTGCATATCGTGACTGGGGTGCGTGGTGGCATGATTCAGAGCGTCCTGAATGTTCAAGGGTGCTGCCGGAAAAAGACGAAAAAATCCACAATTAAGACGAAAAAATCCACAATTGCCTCATGAATTGCCATTGCATTTTTTTTTCTCTTTTCAACATTGTATTCAGGCAAGAAGATTACTGTATGCACCATTCCAGACCAATAGAATCACTCAAGACAGAGAAAATGACAGTGTTTTTCCCACTGGCACCCCTCCATCTATTGCCTTTTTCTAGTTCTGAAGACTGTGGCAACTTTGAAGAATGACAAATTATCATTAGCAGCATCCCCAGCATTAGCTCCACATCATTACCTCAGATATTTATTAATCAGATATTTATCAAGATGCTACTGAAATATAAAAATAGAAAACATGACTTCTGCCTTCTATGTGGGCTCAATCTCTTTGGAGAGATAAGACACGGGCGCCTTTGCCAACATAATAGCATAATAAAAATGTGGTAATTATAGTTAAAATCATTATCGCCATGTAGTGTTGACTTGTGTTTTCTTACATGGATAAGGCTGAGCATCTTTGCATAGGTAGCCATTTCCACTTTTTAAATTGAAAGAGCATTTTTCAGCTTATTTTTCTATAGCACCATTGGCCTATTTTCCCCTCTATTTTTTGATACTCTTTATATATTTAAGGGATATAACCTTTATTGTGAGATAAGTTACAAATACTTTCCCTAGTTATTATTTTTAATTTGTAAATTATTTTTATGACAGTGTGATTATTTCAACTATATTCAGTCTTACTTGAGAACTATCAGTTTGGTTGTACTTAAGGTTAGGATGCAACCTAGATGATCCTGACAAGATGAGACAAGTTGTTTTTAAAAACTTAAAATTTGTTATCAACACTGGAGAGCCCTTGAAGACTGAAAAGGGAGGTGACCTGGTGGACACAGGGATTGGGTACAGGGTAGACTGAAGGGGAACTGGGCAGGGAGGCAGGTAGGAACTGTTTTTCTTGCTCTTGGAGGGCAGAGGAAGATGCGTGCCCACTGTGCTCTTCTGAGACAGTGGAGGCTGGCCGGAAAACATAGCTCTCACGTACTTGACAGGGACCAGTTGGGAAGATCAGTCATTGCTGACTGGGGACACCCTTGTCATGGAATGCTGAGGGCAGAGGAGGCTACTGACTTAGGCAGAGTTTGGCTGGGCCAAGACCCCTCCCTGCTCCACTCCTGTCCTGGAGCTGGGCACAGTGTCCATCTGCAACTTTCCTGCCCTTGAGCCCATGCACTGCTGCCCTTGGTAATTAGCGGAGCCTGAAATTCAGTCAGCCAAGGCATGTGCGTAGGTTGCAGTCTAGAACCTTGACTCTCCTTTCTCCCTCCCTCCCTTTTCCCCACAGCTCTCCCAGGCTTGACAGCTCTTTTAGGAATGCAAGCTCAAAGGCCACCACCCCCTTTGGAATAGCCACTGGCTATTCTTGGAAAGGCAGAGGACTCTAGCATCTTTAGCAGACCTCTAACCAACCAGCAACAGCCATGTCTCTATTCAAAACCCAAAAGAGCTGATTATCTTTCAATCTTCCCATTATAAAGTTACTCACCCTTCTCCCTCTTAAAGAAAAGTAACTGAGTGTCTTCTGGAAAGGACTTATTCTCTGTCCCTTCCTTCATCATCATGGGGCAGCATGTAGGAAACTAGAACAATACGGTCACTGGTTTAGAGCTGAATTCCCTTTGGGAGTCAAGCCCTCTTTCAACAGAGTGGGAAAGACATGTAAATTTAATGTCTAGGAGAAACCCTCTGTGTGTCTTCGTCTCGCTCTCCATATGCATACATATCCACACATACCATACCTGTGTATACATATATGTATGTGCATGTGTGTGTTATTCCTTCTTTTTTTCTTTTTATGGTTTTGGGAGTTTGAGGATTTCTCTTTCTCCAAGAATAAGCTGTTGGTAAATATTCTATCCCTTCTCTGTGACTTCAGTTTATCTCTGCATTAGCTAAGCACATACATTCCCCGTGCTCTCATCACACATGGCCAGTTGCCAGTTTAAATGAAGTGTTTTAGTATAATTTTGGAAGACAGTCATGCACCACTTAACCACAGAGATATGTTTGAGAAGTGTGTTGTTAGGAGATTTTGTCCATATGCAAACATCACAGAGTGCACTTTCATAAACCTAGATGGTTGAGCCTACTACACACCTAGGTTATACGGTAAAGCCTGTGGCTCCTAGGCTACAAACCTGCACAGCATGTGACTCTACTGTATACTGTAGGCAATTGGAACACAATAGCATTTGTGTATCTGAACCCAGCTAAACCTGAAACAGATATAGTAAAAAATAGGGTATTATAATCTTATGCGACCTCCCTTGTATATGCAGCTTGTTGTTGACCAAAACATCATTATACAGTGCATGACTATATCTGTTCAATCTTTTGGCTTGAAATCTCAGAAGGCCCACCCCAAAAGGGATTCCTCTGTTCAAATCCACTGACTAACCAGGTTAGACTAATGAGGCTGTCTTGTGTTACTGAATGAAAATGCTTTACCTATAAACTATCATTTCAGAAAGAAAATGATGAAATTCAGATATTTTCTTTTTTTCAGTTTAAATAAGATATAAAGGGAAGGAGCTAGCTAGGCATTTTGTGAATGTGAAGTCCTTCTGGGATTTTGAAGTCATCCTTGATCAGATTTTAACACAGAGAGAGAGAGGAGCTGAAAGTTCACATCTGAAAGGGATGACTACTTCATAATACATTTTGGTTTTCTGATGAGAATTTATCTGCTGGAAATAGACACAGTTGAAGCAAAGTAAAAGCCTATTGTGACTTAGGAGGAGGGCCATTTTGGTTCTGTTCAGGCTTTGTTTCCCTGGTTGCATGTAAGATGAGAATCATTACTAATCTAAAAGGAGAAAAAGTGAATACTACTACTAGAAATTGAAAAAAAAATCACTCCTATCATGCCTATCAAACAGTGTGACACCAGTACTCAGAAGGGAGGTGAGTCAAATTCATTAAGTGCTCTCTGGCTTAAAAACCTATTATGTAAATTAAAGAGCGTAATATCCATTCCAATCAAAACAGCAGAGGCTTAAAAATAGCTCATAAAACAAATATTTATCCAAAAATGCAAGAAAGTTTCTACCCATAAACTGATACCAATATTATTAGCTGTTCTTAAACAGTGAAGGGAGTTTATTTGATCTCAAATCAGATTTGTAAGTCATAATGCCCAGGTTTCTTAGACTTGACTTTCTGGTACACGTTCCATGCATAGATTTCAACTGAGCTCCTTGAACTTGCCTTTCAGTGCATGGCTCTAGTAACCCGCAATACCTCTGTTCTGCTCCTGACCCTGCAGGAACCTTCCCTCTGCTGGTCTTGGGAAACCTTGGCCTGCGTACGTGCAACCCAGCCCTCAGCCATGGACTAAGGCTCATCACACAGATTCAGGGGTCACCTCTATGCAGTTCTCTCCTGTTGGGGTCCTGCTCTGTGGATTTCAGCCTCTTGAGATGCTCCAATGCTGATCTCTGCCTCCACAGCTCAGCAAACATCTTGCTTAGCGTGGACTCCGCCCCTTGTGCCATGTTAAGATGTGGTTCCAGGCAGAGAATGGGAACAAGAGGCACAACTCGGAATTTCTCCCTCTCGGGGACTGCGGTTCCCTCTACTTGTTGACCCAGGCTGCATCATTCAGTCCTATTTTATACTTGTTCTGGTGGGGACACAAGTGCGGTTCCAGGTTAAAATAGAATAATTTTCCCACATATTAGCTCTTTTCACACTATTGCCTGATGTCTAGGCATTATCAGATGTATTATAGGGTGTCCTGGAGTTTTTTATGATGTACTCTAAATTATATTTTGATATTGATCATAACTAGAAAATCATATAAGGGTATTCTAGATCATGCTATGGATGGCTAATTTATAACATAGCACTATTATATTAAGGTATACACTGCATGTACATCTGTGTTTCGATTTGTGTTGACATTGGTAGAACTTGCCTTACACTTGCTAAATGAACAAATCTCAGGGATGGACTCATGTAGATGATGTAGCTTGGTCAAGTAAAGGCCAAATGGCCTTATAGTTTGCCATACGGAGGTTTTATAATGGACTGATTAGAGAAAAGTTGAGGGAGAATTGAGTTTCTATGTGCTACAATGGTGCTAGAGTCTGAATGTCTGTGTTCCCCCAAAGTTCTACTGTTGAAGCCCTATCTCCCAAGGTGATGGTATGAGAAGGTGGGGCTTTGGGCGAGGTGATTAGGTTATGAAGATAGAGTCCTCATTAATGGGATTAGTGAATTCACCCCTTCTAGTTGGTGAGGACACAGCAACAAGTGTGCCGTCTATGAACCAGAATGCTGGCCCTCGCCAAACATTAAATCTGCTGGCATGCTAATCTTGGGCTTCTCAGCCTTCAGAAAAGTTTGTGGGAAATAAGTTTATGTTGTTTATAAACCACCCATTCTAGGCAAGGATACAAGGTAATATAAATATGTCAAACTGAAAAGAACCTGCACCCCAATAGTTTGTACACTGGGAAGTCATGATTTATATTCAGAAAGCAGTATTATCAATCCCATTAAATATGTGTAGATAATTTGAGTTGTATTTTCTCAACTTTAGTGTTGTTTTCATTTAATTTGTAAATTTGGTTTTGGTTTAGAGTAATATCAGAACTATTAATAGAAGCACAAGCAATTTATTTATACCTTATGTTTTATGTGTGCATGTTTAAGGAACATTATAACAAAAATAATTAAAGTAACACTAAGGAGTCCATATAAGTTTGTTTTTGTTATTGTTTGGTTTTGACTTTTGTAGAGATGAATACATGACCTAGATTTGAGCAGTGCTACATGGTATCATGATATGGAGTTCATTTTTGTTTTCTACCCTAGTCTGCAATCAAGGTGTCTGTCATTTTTGTTTGTGCCAAAATCTACATGAGATGAATATGGGAAGGGCATTGCACTGAAGTTAACCCTGGATTTCAGACCAGATGTACTGCCACGGAATTGATCTTTCAGGCCTGTGTCTCCCTGACCATGCAAGAAGAACATCACCATTCCCTTCCCATCCTATTGTTTCCAATTAAATACATTCTGCCAGAAACATTTGTCAACTGTAAAACTCTGTGAAAATACTTGAGGCACCTTCTTAGTAGTGCGTTGTGATAACAGCAATAAATTATTTCTTAGAAGGCTTTCAGTGATGTTTCAATCCATATGGAGTATTTAACCTTTTTAAATATGGTTTAACCTGCACCCTGATAGTACTTCATTACCTGTATATCTATACGCTTAAGACAATACTTTATTCATATTTTCTTATAGATGAAAACATCATTATGTATTTTTTGATCCAAAATAACAGATATTGGCTATTATTTTGTGTAAACAGAACAAAAGTTTACAAAAATCACAAAAAGAGATGCTGATGGGAAAAAGCAGTTTAAAACATAAAGAAGACTCAGAGATTAAAAAGAAAGAGATTCAGAGAGGATTAATGCCGGTGCAGGAAAGATACAGAATATTACGAAGCAGATAAAAGTTAATACTCCAGATTTGTACAGATTAAAGCTGACATTATTTATTAGACAACTGTCTTCAATCAAATGCCCAGGACACATAAGTTCATAAGCACTACTGATGTCATTGATAACTTTCTGTGTTCAAGCTCCTAAGAGCAACTGTGCTTTTCTGGTGATTTGGCATGAGGTTCTTGGCCAGCATTGATATATAACCCCAGTCATTCAGAATTGAGTGGTAACAATCTTCCTCAGAAACATAAAGTACCCCAAGATTCCAGATTTCTAATGCCAAATTCTTGGTTTATTCATTATTTTTATACCCACATATACAATAATTTTAAAACACTTTTAATTTTGTAACAACATTGATGAATTTTTACTAAAAACCCAAGATACAGTCAGCCCTCCATCTCCGCAGGTTCCACGCTTATCCATGAATTCAAGCAATTGTAAATTGAAAACACTCCAAAATTACACCAATAAAAAGTAGCAATACAGCAATAAAAATAATACAAATTAAAAGACCAGTACAGTATAACAGCTGTTTACATTGTATTAGGTATTATAAGTAATCTAGAGATTATTTAAAGTTTACAAGAAGACGTGCATTGCTTATATGCAAATACTACACATATAAGCACACAGTTTTATATCAGAGACTTGAGCATCCATGAATTTTGGTATCCTCCAGTGTCCTGGAATCAATCCCCCATGGATACTGAGGGATGTCTGTACCCAGTTCTAACATCACACTGGATGCTTATAAGCATATATGGAGTGTTTCCATGTGGCAGGCAATGTGCTGCCTACTGGGAATCTATTGACAAATAAACTATGAGTTCTATCTTAAGAACACAGGGCACAATGGATGGGAACAAATATCTAGGAAAATATTTAGAATATTGTATGTTAAATTTAATGCTAGGAGAACCATTTAAACAGATAGCACAATGAAAAAGAGATTAAATGTATTTGGGGTAAGTAGAGAAGGATTCACTGAAGAGAAAATTTCTGAGCTGGGTTTTGAAGTATGAATGGAAGTTTTCTGTGCAGATAAGCAGAAATCATTTTAGCAGAGAGAACAGCATATGCAAAAGCAAAGAGGCTTGAAGTCACATTGCACTTTCAAAAAACTAGGGGCATTATAAAACTCCTGAGTTTTTAAGAAAGGGACAGTGACACACAAGAGAATAAAGGCAGAAGCCAGATCCTGTTAAGGAGCCTAGGTTTTATTCGAGGGTCATAAGTCATGATAGCATAGAAGTTTTGCTGGGGGTAGGCTGAGGGAGGACAGTGTGGAGTCCTGTTTTCAGGGAAAAGGAGCAAGAAGAGGAAGGTCTGCTAAGAGGACTGTAGCACCTACTAGGTTCATATTCGTACCTCAACCAAGAAGAGGAAGAAAGGGAAGATGATAGCTAGAACAGGGAACAGAGGCTTAGTGGGTGTTTGTTTTATTTAAAAATGGGAGAAACTTGAGCTTTGGGAAGGGAAGCAGAAGGGAGGAATTGAGAATCCTTTCAGTTATGGCAACAAGGCAGATGAGCGAATGCATTCCTGCCCTGGACACATGCGTGGCTTCTGAGCAGATACCCAGGGAAGTGTGAGCATCAGTGCAGAGATGCAGTGGTGGGCCTGGGGCTGAGAAAGAGGGCAGCATGCAGGGTCTGCCTGCAGAAGGAATGGTGGCTCCTCTTAGCAGCACTCTGCCCTTTGACCTTGGAGGTAGCGCCAGAAAAGAAGTCTTGTCTCTGCTTGGGCCTCTTAGTGGAGGCTAAAATAAAAATTAGGTCTGCACAAATGTGTGTAGGGTGTGCTTCCCCTCTCTTATTCTTAACCTATTTAATAAATAAATAAACTGAGCACTATTTTTAAAATAGGGAGATTTGAAACAATTAAAATTACAAGAAATAAAAATATATCCACTGAAATTTAGACCCACTGAAAAATATACCCAAGAAATTTCAATATTCTTGAAAGACAGAGTTGAAGACATTATGAGAATGCAGCAGAATGCTAAAAACACTCTGTTACCAAAATGCAAAGAGACTACCAATCAAAAGCAAAGCAAAGCAAAGCATAACAAAACAAAACAAAGCTGAATAGGTCTCAAACAACTGTATGGATATTCAAAAACATACATAAATAATTCGTGGATCCAAAACTCAATGGAAATATGAAGTATGAAAAACTAAACAACAAAACGCACAACAAACATAAAATCTTTTTAGATGCATCAAATTTCCTTTGAAGGAAATAAATTGTCCTCAGTGTATATTTTCAAAAAGAAAAAAGATTAAAAATGAATGACCTCACCATTCAATTAAAGAAGTTAGAAAGAAATAAAACACCATAAATTTAAAAAAGATGAAGGAAGAAAATCATAAAGAAAAATCAGAAAATAATTTTTAAAACTCAAGAATAGCGTCGGTAAATCCAAAAACTAGTTCGATAAAAGAATTAATAAAGTAGACATGCCTCTGGACAGAAAATAAATGGAAGAAACTACATAAACTTATAATATATATATATAATTTATATGTAATATATATACATTTCATATATATGTATGTATAAAACATGTACATTTATATAAATCTAAGTATAAAATTCTAAGTAAAATATTTACCAACTTTAGTTAGTAATTTAGTAATAGTGTCAATAATATGTTATGGTGCCAACAATATGAATAATATGACATGAACAAGCTGGCTGTATTCCAATAATGCTGTATAATTATACAGGCCTTGAAAGGCCATCCCTACAGTTCTGTAGGACCAGAAAATGCTGATGGGAAACCCAAAACTTTGAGGTCATCCCACAGCTGGCTATTTGACTCTGTCTCACTCATTTCCGAAATTTCCCTGCTGAGAAAATGTAGGAAAAAGAAATAGATTTCATGATTTCCTTTGGGAATCACTTGACAAAGGGAGAACATATATTTTTGGACAACTTATTGGAGACTCCTGACAGGTCATCTGGCTAGAGGGGGAAGTGGGAACTGAGGCTCCGAGTTCCAGAAGAGTTTTGTGGGTTTTTTTTTTTTTTTTTTTTGACAGGTCTGGAGTGCAGAGGTGTGATCATAGGTCACTGTAGCCTCAAATTCCTGTGCTCAAGTGATCCTCCCACCTCAGCAACCCAAGTAGTTGAGACTATAGTCTCACACCACCATGCCTCGTTAATGAAAAAAAAAAAAAAAATTCTTTGTAGAGATTGAGTTTTGCTATGTTTCTAGGGCTGATCTTGAACTCCTGGATTCAAGTGATCCTCCTGCCTTAGCCTCCTGAGTAGCTGGAATTACAGGTGTGAGCCACTATGCCTAGCCTCAAGAAGAGTATTTAATGCAGCTTCTTATATGGTATTTTTGTAGACCTATAAAATCCTACTATGAGTAGACTGCTGTGGTGTAAGAAAAAAAAGCCAGCGTTGACATTGCTGGAATTTACAACAATCCTGTATCCCATCTGGTTGGCAATGAGGACTACTGAAGTTATTGAGTTGGTAGAGAATCAGCATCAAACACAGGTTTCTTCTTTACACGAGTGTCTAAAAAAATGCTGCATAGGCTCAATAAAATTCAACATTCACTCATGTTAAAACCACCACCACAACAAAACCTTAGCAGCTAGCAATCCCCAGGGAATGTTCTCAACTTAATAAAGGATATCTACCAAAAATCAGCAGTAAACAATGAGAAAAGGAAATAACAATTAAAAGAATATACATCAGAATAGAATAGGAAAAATAGAATTGTCTGTATTCACAGACAATATGATTGTCTACATAGAAAGTCCAAAAGAATTTTATGCAAACAAGTAGGTTTAGAAATCATTCTGGATTTAAGATTCATTTTTAAAGATAAACTACATTCTTGTATGCCTGCAACCACTAATTAAAATATAATAAGTGAAAAGGAAAAGTATCAGATTATAGGAATAAGTTCTACAAAAGATGTGAAGAAAAATAAAACTATTTAAAAAACAAAATTGTGAGGAAAAATATGGTGGATAGGAGACAGGACTAACTTGCAGCTCCCACTTGGATGGACAGAGCAGCATGTGGAGACCCACATAATGAACTTTCACTCCAAGAACTACTGCAGGAACATATCAGGAAAGCTGAGAGAATCCACAGACTCTTTGAAGGAGGTGGATTGCTTCTGCAGGCTCCATGGGACCACAAAGGAACTGTGAATCTGCTTTGCTTTCTCAGCCAGAGGCTGGTAGCCTGTGGCAAGTGCTCAGCCCTGGTCACCAGCTGCCTGGAAATAAACTCAGTCCTGTTGGTGGGGGAGCACAGTGGGAGTGAGACTGGCCTTTCAGACTGAGGGCTGCATGGGAGGTGGGCGAGGCCTGTGGCCGCTGGCTTTCTCCTACTTCCCTGGTGACCTGTGTGACGCAGCACAGACATCCATAACCCCCCTGGGAACATAACTTCATTGACCTGGGAACCACAGCCCCATCTCCCACAACTGTAGCAAACCCCACCTAAGGAGAGCCTGAACTCAGACATGCCTAACCCTGACGCCACCTAATGGTTTTTCTCTATCCACCCTGGTAGCTGAAGTCCAAGGACATAACCTCATGGGAGCTCTAGGGCCCCACCCACTGCCTGATCCTGCCTATACAACCACAGCTGATACACTCTTGAAAGTGCCACCTCCTGGTTGGAGGCCAATCAACACAAAACCAGCATACCTAACAAAAATACAGTCAAGGACCCTCACAGAGTCCACTTCATTCCTCTCCTACCTCCACTGCAGTAGGTGCTGGTATCTATGACTGAGAGACCTGAAGATGGATCACATCACAGAACTCTTGGCAGACACTCCTCAGTACCAGCCTGGAGCCCAGTGGCTCCATTGGGTGGCTAGATCTAGAAGAGAAATAACAATCACTGCAGTTCAGCTCTCAGGAAGCCCCATTCCCAGGGGAAAGGGGAGAGCACTACATCAAGAGAGCACCCTGTGGGAAAAAAGAATCTGAACAGCAGCCTGTGAGTCCTAGACCTTCCCTCTGACACAGTCTACCCAAATGAGAAGGAACCAGAAAAACAATTCTGGTAAGAAGACAAAACAAGGTTCTTTAATACCCCAAAAGATCACACTAGCTCACCAGCAATGAATCCAAACCAAGACAAAATTGTTATATTGCCCCAAAACAAATTCAGAAGGTGGATTATTAAGCTAATCAAGGAGGCACCAGAGAAAGGTGAAGCCCAGCTTAAAGAAATGTTTTTAAAAAATGATACAGGATAAGAGTGAAAAAATCTCCAGTGAAATAGACAGCACAAATAAAAAACAATCACAACTTCTGGAAATCAAGGACACACCTAGAGAAATACAAAATGCACTGGAAAGTCTCAGCAATAGAATCAAACAAGCAGAAGAAAGAAATTCAGAGCTTGAAGACAAAGTTTTTGGATCAAAGCCTCCAAGAAGATTGGGATTATGTTCAACAGCCAAACCTAAGAAAAATTGCTGTTCCTGAGAAAGAAGAGAACTCTAAATGTTTAGAAAACATATTTGAGGGAATAATCGAGGAAGACTTCCCCAGCCTCGTTAGAGATCTAGGCATTCAAATACAAGAAGCTCAGAGAACACCTGGGAAATTCTTTGCAAAAAGACAATCACCTAGGCACAGAGTCATCAGGTTATCTAAAGCCAAGACAAAGGAAAGAATCTTAAGAGCTGTGAGGCAAAAGCATCAGATGAAATATAAAGGAAAACCTATCAGATTAACAGCATATTTTTCAACAGAAACACTATAAGCTAGAAGAGATTGGAGTCCTATCTTTAGGCTCCTTAAATAAAATGATTATCAGCCAAGAATTTTGTATCCAGTGAAACTAAGCTTCTTAAAAGAAGGAAAGATGCAATCTTTCTTAGGCAATCAAATGCTGAGAAAATTCACCACTACCTAGCCAGCACTACAAGAACTGCTAAAAGGAGCTCTAAATCTTGAAACAAATTCTAGAAATACACCAAAATAGAATGTTCTTAAAGCATAAATCTCACAGGAACTATATAACAATAACACAATGAAAAAAACCCAAGGTATTCAGGCAACAAATAGCATGATGAATAGAACAGTGCCTCTTATCTCAATACTAACATTGAATGTAAATGGCCTAAATGTTCCATTTAAAAGATATACAGTATGGCAGAATGAATAAGAATTCACCAACCAAGCATTTGCTTTCTTCAAGACTCACCTGACACATAAGGAGTCACATAAACTTAAGGTAAAGGGGTGATAAAAGATATTCCATGCAAATGGACACCAAAAGTGAGAAGAAGTAGCTATTCTTATATCAGACAAAACAAACTTTAAAACAATAGCAGTTAAAAAAACAAAGAGATACATTATAGAATGATAAAAGGACTAGTCCGAAAGGAAAATATCACAATCCTAAATACATATGCACCTAACACTGGAGCTCCTAAATTTATAAAACAATTACTACTAGACCTAAGAAATGAGATAGATGGCAGCACAATAATAGTGGGAATTTCAATATTCCACTGACAGCACTAGACAGGTGGTCAAGACAGAAAGTCAACAAAGAAACAAGGAACTTAAACTCTACTCTAGAACAAATGGACTTAACAGATATATACAGAATATTCTACCCAACAACTACAGAATATACATTCTATTCATCAGCACATGGAACATTCTCCAAGATAGACCATATGATAGGCCACAAAACAAGTCTCAATAAATTTAAGAAAATCAAAATTATAGCAAGTACTCTCTCAGACCACAGTGGAATAAAATTGGAAACAACTCAAAAAGGAACCCTCAAAACCATGCAAATACACGAAAATTAAATAACCTGCACCTGAATGATCATTGGGTCAAAACCGAAATCAAGACTGAAATTTAAAAATTCTTTTAAGTAAGTGATAATAGTGACACAACCTATCAAAACCCCTGGGGTACAGCAAAAGTGGTGCTAGGAGGAAAGTTCATAGCATTAAATGCCCACATCAAAAAGTCTAAAAGAGCACAAAATAGACAATCTAAGGTCACTTCTCAAGGAACTAGAGAAACAAGAACAAACCAAACCCAAACCAGCAGAAGAAAGGAAATAACAAAGATCAGAGCAGAGCTAAATGAAATTGAAACAAACAAAAAATACAAAAAGTAAATGAAACAAACAGCTGGTTATTTGAAAAGATAAATTAAATTGATAAACCAATGGCAAGATTAACTAAGAAAAGAAGAGAGAAGGTCCAAATAAGCTCACTTAGAAATGAAATGGGAGATATTACAACTGATACAACAGAAATACAAAAGATCATTCAAGGCTGCTATGAACACTTTAATGTGCATAAACTAGAAAACCTAGAAGAGATGGATAAATTCCTGGAAATATACAACCCTCCTAGATTAAAGTGGGAAGATACTGAAACTCTGAATGAACAATAACAAGCAGTGAGATTGAAATGGTAATTTAAAAATTGCCAATAACAATAACAAAAAGTCCGGGACCAGAAGAATTCACAGCTGAATTCTGTCAGATATTCAAAGAAGAATTGGCACCAATCCTATTGACACTATTCCAAAAGATAGGGAAAGAGGGAATCCTCCCTAAATCATTCTATGAAGCCAGTATCACCCTAATACCAAAACTTGGAAAGGACATAACAAAAATAGAAAACTACAGACCAATGTCTCTGATGAACATAGATGCAAAAATCCTCAACAAAATACTAGCTAACTGAATCCAACAGCATATCAAAAAGATAATCCTTTGTGATCAAGTGAGTTTCATGCCATGGATGCAGGGATGGTTTAACATGCACAAGTTAATAAATGTAACCATGTAAACAGAATTAAAAACAAAAATCACATGATCATCTCAATAGATGCAGAAAAAGCATTTGACAAAATCCAGCATCCCTTTATGATTAAAACCAATAGCAAAATTGGCATAGAAGAGACATAACTTAATGTAATAAAAGCCATCTATGACAAACCCACAGCCAACCATATACTGAATGGGGAAAAGTTGAAAGCATTCCCCCTGAGAACTGGAGCAAGACAAGGATGCCCACTTTTACCCCTTCTATTCAACATAGTACTAGAAATCTTAGCCAGAGCAATCAGACAAAAGAAAGAAAGAAATGACATCTAAATCAGTAAACAGGAAGTCAAACTGTCGTTACCTGTTGATAACATGATCGTATACCTCGAAAACGCTAAAGACTCATCCAAAAATTTCCTAAAACTGGTAAATGAATTCAGCAAAGTTTCAGGATACAAAATTCAATGTACACAAATCAGTAGCCAAACAACATCAACAAATGCATCAACAGCGACCACGCTAAGAATAAAATCAAGAACTCAATCCCTTTTACAATAGCTGCAAACAAAACAAAACAAAACAAAAAAAAAACAAAAAGCAAAAAACACTTAGGAATATAGCCAACCAAGGAGGTGAAACACCTCTATGAGGAAAACAACAAAACACTGCTGAAAGAAATAATAGATCACACAAACAGATGGAAACATATCCTATGCTCATGGATGGGTAGAATCAATATTGTGAAAATGACCATACTGCCAAAACAATCTACAAATTCAATGCAATTCACTTCAAAATAACATAATAATTCTTTACAGAACTAGAAAAAACAATCCTAAAATTCATATGGAACCAAAAAAAAAAAAAAAAAAGTCTGCATAGCCAAAGCAAGACTAAGCCAAAAGAACAAATCTGGAGACATTACATTACCCAACTTCAAACTATACTATAATATAAGGCCACAGTCACCAAAACGTCATGGTATTGGTATAAAAATAGGCACATAGACCAATGGAACAGAATAGAGAACCCAGAAATAAAGCCGAATACTTACAGTCAACTGATCTTCGACAAAGCAAATAAAAACAAAAAGTGGGGAAAGGACACCCTATTCCACAAGTGGTGCTGGGATAATTGGCTAACCACATGCAGAAGAATGAAACTGGGTCCTCTTCTCTCACCCTATATAAAAATCAACTCAAGATGGATCAAAGACTTTAATCTAAGACCTGAAACCATAAAAATTCTAGAAGACAACATTGGAAAAACCCTTCTAGACACTGGCCTAGGCAAAGACTTCATGACCAAGAACCCAAAGCAAATGCAACAAAAACAAAGATAAATAGATAGGACTTAATTAAACCAAAAATTCCATCAAAATGTGGGCTAAGGACATACATAGACAATTTTCAAAAGAAGATATACAAATGGCCAAGAAACATATGAAAACATACTAAACATCATTAATGATCAGGGAAATGCAAATCAAAACTGCAGCGCCATACCACTTCACTCCTGCAAAAATGGCCATAATCAAAAATTAAAAAAAAATAGTAGATGTTGGCATGGATGCAGTGAAAAGGAAACACTTCTACACTGCTGGTGGGAATGTAAACTAGTACAACCACTAAGAAAAACAGCATGGAGATTCCTTAAAGAACTAAAAGCAGAATTACCATTTGATCCAGCAATCCCACTCCTGGGTATCTGCCCAGAGGAAAATAAGTCATTATACAAAAGATACTTGCACACACATGTTTATAGCAGCTAAATTTGCAATTGCAAAAATATGGAACCATTCCAAATGCCATCAATCAAAGAGTGGATAAAGAAAATGTTATACACACACACACACACACACACACACACACATATATATACACACACACATCCAATGGAATATTGCTCAGCTGTAAAAAGGAACTAATGGCATTTGCAGAAATCTGGATGGAATTGGAGACCATTATTATAAGTGAGGTAACTGAGAAATGGAAAACCAAACATCATATGTTTCCACTCAGAAGTGGGAGCTAAGGATAAGGACACAAAGGCACAAGAAGGATACAATAGACTTTGGGGACTCAGGGGAAAGGGCGGGAATGAGGTGAGGTTTAAAAGACTACAAATTGGGTACAGTGTACACTGCTCTGGTGATGGGTGCACCAAAATCTCGAAAATCACCGCTAAAGAATTTATTCATGTAACCAAACACCACTTGTTCCCCAAAAACCTATTGAAATAATTAAAAAACAATAAAATTACAGACCAATAAACTTTATGAATAGAAAAAAATACAAAATTATGCTTAAATATATACAGAATAATACTGTTTTCACAGATGAGATAACTTAATACTCATATTAATTTAATAATAGCTATGATTTTAATAAAACACCAAGAAGACTATCAATCTATCTTTCTCTCTCTTCCTCCTTTCTTCTGATTTCTCCCTCCCTCCCTTCCTTCTTTCTCTTTTACTTTCTTTTCTCTTTGTAGAACTTGGCCAGTTGATTCTAGAATTTATGCAAAGTAATCAAAGACCAAAGAATAGCTAAGACAATATTGGAGAATACCTGAGAACAACCCTCCTAGATAGCAATATGCATTTTAAAGTTTAGTAGTTAAGGCCCATGGTATAGACTCAGGTTTAACCAAAAAGAATGAGGCAAAATAAAGGGCTGAACATAAACCCAGGAGTGTAACAGAAGTGGCAACACAAATCAGTGGTTGTGGATGAATTTTCAACAAGTGGGACTTGATTATCAACACTTAGAAGAAGATAAAATCTGATCACTACCTAACACCTGTCAAATTCAACAAGTGGATGTCCATTAGCCTATGGTTGTCACCTTATTCGTACTATGAGTTTCTCTATAACAAACTTAGTGCCTAAATATATATGTTATAATCTAACTTACCACTTAAAAAAGTAAAAGCCTAATTTAAGAAAATACTTTTTGTAACAAATAGCTGGGTTTCTGCTAATCACAGACAGCCAAGCTTCAGCCAATCACAGGCAGCAAAGTCATCACACTGTGCCCAAATAACGTAAATGCCTAACTGTGGCCAATCAGGTGATTTATCTGTTTTGTATCTGAGCTTAACCTATAAAAGCTCACCACTCACACCACTGGGAAGAATTATCTAACTTCTTCTGGTTCTGGGTGCTGTTCAACTCATGAATCATTCTTTTCTCAAATAAACTATGTTAAATTTCATTTCTCTAAAGCTTTTCTTTTAACAAACTATATACCAAAATCACACTTCTGTGAAATACTAAAATGTGAAAAATAAAAATTTAGAAGTATTAGAAGAAAATATAATAGAATATTTATATTTATTATAAGGAAAGATAGCTTAATCAAGACACAAAGATTTTAATGAATAGACATATTAAAATAAAAAAACTTCTGTATAATAAAATAGAACATACTAGAAATGAAAACATAAATCTCTGAAAAAGATACCTGCAATTTATGTAGATGAAATATTACTATGCAAGTTAAACTTACACAATTCATACAGCAAATAAGATATTAGTATCCTCATAAGAAAAAGTGAAAACCCTGATAGGCAAATGGTTAATGGATATGACCAGGTAATTCACAGAAGAGGAAAACCAAGTGCAAGCACTGAGGAGGATTTTTCAGTCTTGATACTGGACTGATAGAACAGGTAGGACCCTAGGACAAATAAGAAAGGAAAATGAGGGTGATGGAAGACAAATATTGAAGTAACTGACATTATGACATAGGTTAGTTAGGGAATGAAATGAAACCAGCAGAACTGATTAAAGGCTAATTGAAAAAAAATAAGGAGATAAATATTGTCAATGAGCAGGTGTAGAGGAGGTGAGGAAATGAGCAGCCAGCTCTGTTTGGCCCATAATGAGAGAATGAATTCTTACTACTTAAGATTTCAGAGGTTTGAGATCCCTTATGATGACCAAGCCCAGAGTTTGCCCATGAAGGCAGTAAGTGAAGATGAGTGAAGGTCATTGGGCAAGAGGAGATCAAGAGGTGGATGGGTCCATAGAACACTGGAATTGCTGGAATGAGAGACAGTTTTGGCATAAAGACTGTAGTGCTTAAAAATTCACCATTTTATTTAACCCCAGTTTAATTTCCACTATAAACTAGTAACAGAAAAATAAGAATGTAAAATCTTTGTCTTTGACAGATCAAAATTATCCTGTGTATTGACCACTAAGTTAATCTAATCAGAAAACTGTGTTATTCTACTTCCCTTGAGAATACAAAAAATAATGTAAAAATATCAGTCTCTTTATTTGGAGGAGATAGAATATTGGTAGTAATCCAGCAACTCTCACCCTAAGATTAGTGGATCTTCATACATTTTCTCTTTATTCTCTATAAAGTGCTTGATTACTAATTGATCATCCACCATTTCTTAGTTCTGCACTTCTGAAGAAAAATACCTCCAGGAAAAACATTACTTTTCTTCCTTCCTCATATATCCTGCTCATGATAAGATTAAGTGGTTACCCAAGTTTTGGTTTCCTTCGGTACACTTTGCATGCTGTTCTCAACTCCCGAGACTTAAAAATCAATTCTAAATCATTCTCTGTGGCCCTATGAGCTCATGCTGGCTGCATGCTGAGTATTTAGAGTCTGTAATAATTGATGGGGCTTCTAGTTTTCCTTTAAGATACACTACCTGTCTTCCTCCACAAGCTCTCATGTGTCATCTTACTTAGTTATGCATGTCCCAACAGCTGACAAGCAATGATATGCTTAGTGGAACTTTAAACAGAGCATGGATGCTTTTGAAAACACTGTATATCGTTGACAGCAGCTCTGCTTAAAATTCCTCAGTACCTCTTACAGCAGTGGAGTTCAGAGTACCTGGCTGAGACTCGGGGTACCTGAATTCCCATCCTGGCTGGCCATTCACTAGCTCTGCATCCAGGGGCAACTCAGACTCCCAGCCCTTTAGTTTCTCCATCTATTAAAGTTTCCTAAAACCTTCAAAAATAAGAGAGTTATTTGAATTGTGTCAGTGTTGTATTTTTAAGACGTTAAAGGAAATCAATACAAGTCAAATGCATGCAAAAATATTCACAAGCTGCCAAAAAGGGGAGTAAAAGTCACATTTTAAATCAATTGGTGCACTAAACGTTACATTGTTCATTCAGCATTCCCAGGGTGCTTGTTTTAATCACAGGTGGATGCTTTCAGAGTTGGAATAGTGCAGCCAGTCAGGCTGCAGCAGTTCACATTGCATCCTGGATTTTTAAAAAGGCACAGTGTTTTAAAACTTAAAATAATTAACTGCAGTGGCTGGGCGCAGTGACTCACGCCTGTAATCCCAGTACTTTGGGAGGCTGAGGCGGGCGGATCACCTGAGGTCAGGAGTTCGAGACCAGCCTGGCCAAAATGGTGAAACCCCATCAAAAATAAAAAAAAATTAGTGGGGCGTGGTGGTGGACGCCTGCTACTCGGGAGGCTAAGGCAGGAGAATTGCTTGAACCCGAGAGGTGGAGGTTGCAGTGAGCCGAGATCACTCCACTGCCCTCCAGCCTGGGCAACAGAGCGAGATTCCGTCTCAAAAATAAATAAATAAATATTAATTAACTGCAGGCTGACTACACCACTTTGTGATAGGTTAAACATATCAGGGACATTTAATGAGGAGCTACTATTTTAACTTCTTGTATTATTCCCGATTAATTCTGTATTGATCTTCAGTAATAAGCAGAATTTAATTCTCTCTCTAAAATAGTGAAGTAAAAACAACATATTAAGATAGAACTGCATTCAGGTCTATGATTTCCAATGTGTCTAATCCTTATTATTATTGTCATTTTATATATTTATTTATTTGAGACAGAGTTTCCCTCTTGCTGTCCAGGCTGGGGTGCAGTGGCAAGATCTCGGCTCACTGCAACCTCCACCTCCAGGGTTCAAGCAATTCTCCTGCCTCAGCCTCCCCAGTAGCTGGGATTACAGGTGCCCGCCACCGTGCCCAGCTAATTTTTTTTTATTTTCAGTAGAGATGGAGTTTCACCATGTTGGTCAGGCTGGTCTCGAATTTCTGACCTCAGGTGATCTGCCCACCTCAGCCTCCAAAGTGCTGGGTATTAACAGGCCTGAGCCACCGTGCCTGGCCTATTGTCATTTAAAATAAATCTTTGTCTTCCTTAAAGAAAATGATTAAAGTCTAGGCTTACTAGTAGGTTTTCATTTAGTATTATTTAGGCTTGTTACAATTAACTTCCGTTTCTCAAAGCAAGTGTTTGCGTGGGGGTGGGGGAATAGTAATTTCCAAAGAATTATATTGATTTCAAGGATCTTATAAGTTAGGAGGTTTGGGGTTACAGTCTTATCATTCTCAATAGACTTCCTTATCAGAAGGCATCAGTGTTCACTGAAGAAAGAGAAGTGAACATTCAAAGTGTTCACTTCTGAGTGACAAACCAGGAAGGGAGAAATATGGTGAAAATGGCTGCAATTTTCAAACTGCTTGTTATACTTTCCAGAATTTCAGACTGGAGTCTGCCTACACTTTAAATCATGAGATATAAAAGAATGAAGCCCCGTAGAAAATATTATTTCCATGTATTAGTTTCTATTTCAATTTAAAAGTAGCTCAGCTTGTTCAGATTGGAGTCCAAATATAAACGGGTGTGTAATCTCAACACATGCTGCCACTCGAAAACATTTACTTTGTACAACATCAAGATGAACACTCTGCCTCATCCTGACTGAATATTATAAAATATAAATCAAAATACTGTTTGAACCTACTTCAGCAGTATTTAGAAAGAAATTCTAATTTATTTATCATCAAAATCCAATAGTGATTGGAACACTATGAGCAAGAAACATACTTGGTATCGCCCATACGTCTTAATACTACTTGGCACTCAAGAAATTTTTGTATAAATGAATCTTCATTCATGGTTTTACGATGCATGTTAATACACACCCAAAGGCAAGGAATACAGGGATTATAGAATCTCATATTTCCTGAGAATTACCTTTCAATTTTCACCTATAAAAGCCAAATAAAACATTAGCTCGGAGGTTTTGTGGATGCGACATGTGAAATTCTCCCCTCCTCTGCTGTAACTCTGTATCTTCCATGGCATTCGTCTGCTTTAATTCTGGTCTGCACATTAGATATCAATGTAAGAAGGTGTTACACAAAGGATTGATTCAACAGTAAAAAGAACTTTGAGACATGATTATATTAATGCACAGGCCCAGGAACGTGACACAGAAAAGCCTTTGGGTAGAGATCAGCAAGTGATGTTTCCACTGTCATCCAAGTGGTCTTTTCTAATTGTTCATTCATATTACAGGACATTAGCCAGTTTCTGTCTCTTGGGAGTGTGCTTTCTTGCCAATTAAACAATAAACCCTAAGCCTGTTTGTATACATTGGTCACCCTGGGTAGGGTGATATCCCACATGAATAAAATGTATCACTATTTATCCAGGCTGAAATATCGAGATGATCATGCTGCTCCATTTTCAGAATCTAGCTTTCTATTTCAGGTACTCCATGTGGCTCTTGACTTTAATAATATAGTCATGCTCTGAGGGTTCACAAACAGTAAGGTGGATCATAAACATTTTTTCAAAGAATGTGATTAATTTTGAAAAGTGTGCATTTATTTTTGCCAGCAATTTTTTTCTGACTCATCTAGTTCTTGGCATTCACCTCTAGGATTTCGGCAGACAATGTCGTTTATTATCCAGAGAAAGAGACATTTCTTTTTTCTGACTGTGTGTATTTTGAACATCATACTTAATTATTTACCATCTAATGTAAAGAATCACTCTCCCTGTTAGGATTTCCATGATATGGGGTAAGCGATAGTAGCCATTGACCATCATTCAACTTTATGGTAACCACATCAAATTTTTAGTAAGGCTGCATAAAATCTGCTTCTTACATGTTTTTATTTTCATATATTGTGTTTCTTTTGTATGGCTCCTTTCAAATGTGTCATGGTGCACATATTTGTGATATAATACCATTCTATATTAAAAATGGAAGGCTTTGAAGTCATGCTTTTACTTTTTAATTTTCTTATTTTAAGTTGGTAAATGCAGCCGTATATCCAATGCAACTGTTCAGAATAGACTGTGGCTTATCCAGAAAGGAGAGTGATTATTCTCTCACAAAGTGTAGGCCTCAGGTAGGGTGGCCCAAGCCTCCATGAAGCCATTGGATCCCCAACTTCTCTCTAGTTATTGGTTCTACCACCTTTAGGGTGAGAACCACAATCCTGCACTCTGAAGAAAGATGCCATTTCTCTGCCATCATCAGTTTCAAGCAGAAAGAAGGCAAAGAAAGGGAAAAGAGGAGAAAGTGTCTATGCCAGCTAGTCTGCTCTCATTCAGAAGCCTCCCCAGTAGCCCTGCTCCTCCAGTTGTTTGTGTTTATATCTCTTCAGCCAGGACTGCTCCCACAAAAATCCTCAACTTGCAAAGGAGGCCAGGGAATGTAAATATTTTCCTGCACATATTACCACCCCAAGCAAACTCAGGTGATATAGGAAAATAAAAGTAAGTAGGCAACAAGCAGTCAACTGATTTATCCAGAAACACTAAATAAAGTTAGGATGGACAATCAATAGAGTATATCAGTGGATGCATCTTCATAAATCTTTTATCTTTTGGAATAAAGAAGATCTAAGTAAATGGAAAGTGATGACAAATATACTGCAGCTATAAAATTGTTTCATGTTGATAAGAAGTGAAGTGTTGAGTGGGAAAAGAGCCAACTGCATGCAGTCATGTGCTCTTTTCCAGACCCTTGGCATTCCAATCAGCAATGCTGAGATGAACACCTTTGTTATCTACGCGTGAGGTCAGAGTGACCATTTGAAATGTGACACTGAATACTGAAGGTTATTTAGACCAAAATTATGGATTGTTTTGTAACCAGACCCCTTGAGATTTTAGTGCCCTAGCATGTATAGTGACTAAAATCATAAAAATTCTTGATTAGGCCCTTGCTTGCTTATACATGTAAACCACTCACTTTTTGCACAGCATCCCTTGTTCCCACAATATAATTATAAACTACTGATACATTGTTTCTTTGTCAAGCAAAATAAATAAATAAATAAATAACTTCAGGGTCACAAAAAATTTTGCAGAAGAAATAAATGTCTTTAAGGACTTGTGACCAGCTGCTGATGCCCAGAAGTCTGGCTGCTCAAGATGTTATCTGAGACTAAAAAAACAGACTTTCCCCTCAGTTTCCAGAAACTGAAACTCCCCCTCCCTTACTCCCTAGCCACATGAAAACTCCTTACTTCATCGCTTTATTAAAATGTATCAGAGCGATCTTACTCTCACACCTTCTAGCTTTGGCCAAATCAAATAAACCTTTCTCTATCTCCAAGCACTGTGTCTCAATGTTTGGCTTCAAACACACATCGAATACACAAACCTAAATTTGGGGTTCTATGACAGTGTTACCAAAATCAACTGTCTGAGTTGGGGCAGAGTTTCTTTTTCATTTGTTTTTCTTCTTTTTGTAGCTTATTTAGCATGTTAATTATCATTAGAATGTTAAGGGTTTAATTTTTTTAAGAATTGTCATAAAGTTTACAGGAAATAAACATGTTCTCCCTTATATATTTCAACCAGATGATTTGTTCCTGGTGAAACTGTCGTAAAGAAAGGCCAAACCTCTACCTTCTCTCACTGAAAGTCATATCAATCTTATTTCAATCTTAATATTTATTTGACTTAACTAGGGAAAAAAAATGGTAGTTTCTCTTATAAAACCAAATTTCCAACTACAGCGTAAATTTACCTAATTGTCTGGGACTACCAAAAGCTTTCAAGATACATAGATAAAGCCATAAAAATTTTATGTGTTTCTTTCCCACATTTGTGTGCTTATTATTTACATAAGTTTGTTTAAACCTATTGCATCAAATAGTTCATTATAAAAACTTCTATTATATATTACATCTTATAAAATGTTGATTATTTTCTACCTCCTAATGAAAATAAATTCATGATTATTTCATACAATGAAAATGAAAAACAAATTTCTATGTTGATTTGAAAGTGTGTGAGAGAATCCTTTTTCAGAATTGTTTTAGGGAAATGGAGCAAAAGAGTGAAAGCAGCTGAACTGGATGATGCCAGAAAAGCTACTCATTCTCTCTGCCTCGGTTTCCTTATCTGTCATGCTTTGCTCATGGAGTGGAGTGAGAAGAAACTGAACTCTAGGGTGCCTGGCAGAGAGACTGGCACTGGAAAGTACCTGGCGGCCATTAGCGTCTTCATTTGTCTGAGCCTGCCCTTCCCAGCGCTCCATAAATTGCCCTGTGTTCTTGGACCCACTCACACTTTCTTCCCTACACTAATCTCTACTCCAACCCCGACCAGCTTCCAGATGCTTTGCTGATGTGCTGTGTTCACTGTTAACGCGACTCCCCATCTTGTCAACCCCCATTCCTCTCCCCTCTGTTTATCCAGAATGCATTCTTCTCTCAGGGCACCTGCAAGACCCGCTCCTGCCCAAGAGTTCCTCCCATGATCTCGTGCACAGGCCCATTTTACCCTTTGCTGAACTCTCATAACACAACATGTCTTTACTACTCGTTTTGGCACTTAAATGCTGGCAGTGAGGTTTAAAGTGCCGCAGCAAATATACAACGCAATATGAAGGGGAAAAACTCTTTATGTAACAAAATTTCCTCTGCATTGACTCCTATGAACAATATTTACACATGTGAATTATTATTATTTCAAACTTTAGGACTAAACAGGCACGTGATATGATAAATGAGGAGAGTCCACGAATCCCTGTGTCATGCGGCAGTCCCTGTGGTGAGTGACCGACTCTGTTGGAATGACATGAGAATCTACAGCACAGAAAATTAAAAATTTGAAAAAGGACTCATATTTGATAGGTTTCTTTTAAAAATATTAATTTTAATCACATGTTAGGTTATTGAGAGAATTTGAAAGAGTTCACTGAACCAGATAAGAAAACACAGTGTTAGATCGCTGCCCACCGTGGTGTGATTTGCCATTTTAACCCAGACAGATAAAAAAGTAACATAACCAAGAGATGTAGAAGGAAACCTGTGGTCGGAACATTTGGAATGACTTCTCAGACATTTGGGTTTGTAGCAAAACCAGAATTATCTAAGAAAACTTATTTTGCAACATTCTGCCAAATCCCAAATGCCAGAGAATCTTGGCAGACTCCTTGATAATTCAGTCTAGCTCTCAAAATCATTTTCCAGAGACCAAGTTTTGTGATGCTATATGCAAGAGGAGTGTTGAAAGGAAGCAAAACTGCTCAGATACCATCCTTTTTTAGAAAAATGCCAGCAACCAAATATGCTTTGAATTCCACTATGGGAAGATTCTTGTTCATAGTGCCTTTCTATTCACTTTGGTTTTGTGTCATTTCACAGTTGCATGTTGAGGGCATGGTGCTATAATTAAAGTTTCTTTTCTATTACCTCACCTATGTTGAAGAGGGGAATTACGCTACGGAAAATACTGTTCAGTATTGCATATTGATTTGTTACATTTAAATGAATACATGTAGTATATCATTAACAGATCAGAGCCTTTAAGGAATATCTTGCATTTCCTTCTTTTATGACATTTTAATTTTTATTGACAGTGAAATGAAATTAATTGCTGTAGTCAATGTAATAGAAAATCTTCATGTAGCTGAATTTCATTGTTTCATAGGTAAGGGGTTAAAAATCTAAGGAATACAGAAAATTTTAATTTTTAGATTAGGACCAAATCTAAAAATATGACTCAGTAACTTTAGAGTTAATTTGGAAATGTCATGTGAGCTTGGGGCTTGGAAAATAACTTATTTCTTAGCAATCTCACTAAAATGGCCTATTTCTTTGACCAATAGCAGTGCTCATGTGAAATCATCCAATATACCACCTTCTTTGGGGTTATTTTCCAGATAAGGAACCCATTTCTTTCAGAGTAGCTAATTCCATTTTGAGGAACAGGAAAGAACCCAAAGGCTCTTGGAATATCTTACTATTGCAAGTAAGCAAAGACTTTTTAAAATGTCTAAGGTAATACGAAAAGCCAGCTGAAACCTGCTGCGCTTCTCCAAGATGTGCATATTGACCACCAGTTTTTTTTTTTAAGTGATTATCATCAATGGTAACAAGTTGAGTTTGTGTCTATGAAAAGCCAAAGACTCAAAATGATACTCAAATAAAAGTTTAAAGTCTGTAAGTGCTGGTTTTAATGCAATGGGAGGGAATATAACACGACACTTATTTTAATGAACTTTAACTAGGCATTGGCACACTTTGAGTGTTTTATTGTTTCTATCAAGTGTATGTCGGTTTATAAATTACTTTATATATTTTTCTTTCCCTGCAAGTAGAAATGTCAAGACAGAAAATTTTGAGTAATCTGAGTGGTTCTGGAGAAAGAAAAACTGCCTTAAGAGTAAAAAGAACAAATGATCTCCTGGTGGTCAACACTATAACAGGGTGGAAGGAGTCCCACAGTGAGTGGCAAACTGATAGATAAGCCACAGGTCATACAAGACACTGTACACATAAATCACTGCACAGACTCTCTCCCTCTGTCTCATCTCTTGAGAGAGAAAATTTCAGGATTTAAAAAAATAATCCCACTAATTATAGCAAAATACTAATAAGACATACATCAATTTGCAATATTGGTGACCCATCAGGTCAATATAAGATATTGACGGGATGATGAATTGTGAAACTTGAAAGTACATCATTTTGGAGAAAGGTTGCATTTAAACGAAACTGAAACCTGTGTGAAAGGCATGAGCTTTAAAAGTTCTACAGAGGTAACACTCAAAGCTTATCTATAAAATGGGGGCGTGTTTGAAGACCACAGGAAAGAGAACTTGCAAATGCCATTTCACTGGTAAGATTGCTAAAAACGGAGGAAGGCAGAGAATATTGTTCTAGCCCTCGGAAGGTGTAGGAATAAATATCAGGTATAAATACGGTGCCAGATCGGCCCAGGCAGGCACTGTTTCAGGTTCTTGCCAGGCAAGGCAGAGTCTGGAGCTGGTGCATCCTGGGTGCCAGTCTGCCACTCACTGCATCCCCAAGAGTCCCACCCCACTCTTGTATTATTTGCTCAGAGGCCTTTCTTCTTTTTTCTCACCCCTCTCTGCCTTGCTACCCTCCACGTTTCTTCTCACCATCCTCCTCCCCCACAACTGAACACTCTTCTTTATTTCATTATGTTCTTTTAAAATTTAGGGGAAGCTTACGAGACAGTATCCACTTGATTTGAGCCTTTTTTTGTGGTTAATGCGTATAAATTTAAGGCATGCTAGTACAGTTTTGTTACTTAGATATATTGTACAGTGGTGAAGTCTGGGCCTTCAGTGGAGCCATCACCTGAATAGTGTAAATTGTACCCAATAAGTAATTTCTCATCCCTCACTTCCTCTCACTCTCCACCCTTCCTAGGCTCCAATGTTGATCATTCCATGCTCCATGTCTACATGTGCACACTATTTAGTCCTCACTTATAAATGAAATGCAGATTTTCTGGGTTCTTCTGGAGACATAGATTTTCCAGCCACTGTTCCCTGCGTCAGCTTCTCATTGGATAGTTAGCCTAGACTATTTTGGAATTTAGAAAAATGGGCAAAGCAGGGCTCCTTCTGTCTGGAGGAATCATGCCCCGCATGCCACTTCCGACTGCCTTTTCATGTGGCTGGCTCATGCCTATTCCAGATTCATAAGGGCAATCTTAATATCCTAGGACCTGCAACTGTGGGTGACTCCCACCACTTCTGTGGCCAGTGATTTAACGTCTCTGAGACTTACATCCTTCTCGTTAGAAACTCAGGGACCTTATTATAATACTGTTACTGCAGCATAACCCCAATTCTTTCAGGAAGCTCAAAAACCTGTGAAACTAACCTGTGATCCCACCTGTGCTTGCTTAGAGAAAGGAAGGCCAATGCCCATAACCACGAACCAGCCACGAGATGAGCTGAGCTCAGCAGTGGTGCCTTGACCTGAATTCTTGCTTCATTACCATGCTAAGATCTCTGCCCAGTGGGAAGAAGCATACCTTTGACATAGGGTTTTTCTTGGCAACTTTGCCAGCCAGAGACCTCTGGCTGATGATGCCCCTGCCCAGGTCTCACTTGGCCCCAAGTTCACCACAGGAGGTGCCCTGCTCACTTGGCCCACCAGGCCGCACCTGACTTGTGCCCCAGCACGGATTCCATGGCCACTGTGACTGCATGCTCAGCCCCTGGCTGGAGGGGGTGTGTGGGTGAGTAAATGCAGGGTCCAGCTGGCCACTCCAAGCACTGGCATAGGAGTGGACTCCATGCAAAGCTTGTGGCTGGACCAGGTGTGTCGCAAGTGACTCCTCTGGCAGACTTTGGTGTCCAGATGAGGGGAACGTGGTGGCACCCAAACAGGGAAGCCCATGACCCTGAAGCCGCAGAGCAGCTCTTTCGGTGTGCTATTACCTTTTTTTTTTCTTATGGTCTCTTTAATGTAATTTATTTATTTATTTATTTATTTTACTTTAAGTTTTAGGGTATACACAACGTGCAGGTTAGTTACATATGTCTACATGTGCCATGTTGGTGTGCTGCACCCATTAACTTGTCATTTAACATTAGGTGTATCTCCTAATGCTATCCCTCCCCCCTCCCCCCACCCCACAACAGTCCCTGGTGTGTGATGTTCCCCTTCCTGTGTCCAGGTGTTCTCATTGTTCAATTCCCACCTATGAGTGAGAACATGCGGTGTTTGGTTTTCTGTCCTTGCAATAGTTTGCTGAGAATGATGGTTTCCAGCTTTATCCATGTCCCTACAAAGGATATCTGCAGACCGATGGTTGGAAGTATGTTAACAGCTCTATCAGTTCTGTTGCCCTGCTCCAGCCCATGGCTCCTGGGCTGGCTCAGTCCTGCCACTGCTTCCCCTCTTGTGGGGTGGCTGCCCTCCAGTGGCAGAAGGTGGAGGGCCACAGTGTTACAGCTTTCTTTGTATCTGCATCTGTTGAGTCCCGAGTTCTTGTCTCGCATCCAACAAGAATGAGGTTATGCTGAGAATTGAAGGGTGAGGAGGACAGAGAAGAATTTTACGGAGCAATGAAACAGCTCTCGGTGGAGAGGGGACGTGAGGGTAGTGCCCCACCTGAAGTCAGGTGGTCTTTCTCCCAGTGTGGCTGGGTCCAGGGCTTTTATGGGCTCAGTATGGGGTATTGTGGGCTGATTAGTTTGTGAATATGCAAAAAAGGCTAAAACAAAGGCACCATTCAAAGATGGGCACAACAGTGTAAAAAACCAATGAGGGAAGGGCAGGTTTATGTAAAATTGGTGAAGGGTGGGGATCAATCAGAGGAAAATGTGCCAAACGAGAAGAGAGGTTATCAATTTGGTCTGTGGATTCATCTGAGACTTATACTTGGCTTTTGGGCTTTAAACTGTCTTTGGTTTGAAGGCGGGGATTCACCAGGGACCCACCCCTATCTGCCTAGGGATTTGTCTGCCTCCTGCCACTATCACCTTGCTGGGCACAAAAAGTGTTGAGTGCACAAGAAATGATATAACTGCACAGACTTGGCTGGGCACAGTGGCTCACACCTATAATCCCAGCACTTCGGGAGGCTCAGGTGGGTAGATCACTTGAGGTCAGGAGTTCAAGACCAGCCTGGCCAACATGATGAAACCCCATCTCTACTGAAAAAAAAATTACAAAAATTAGCCAGGCATTGTGGCACATTCCTGTAATCCCAGCTACTCAGGAGACTAAGGCAGGAGAATTGCTTGAACCTGTGAACCTGGGAGGTGGAGGTTGCAGTGAGCTGAAATCATGACACTGTACTCCACCCTGGGGGACAGAGTGAGACTCTGTCTCAAAAAACAAAACAAAACAAAAACACCCAAACTCCACAAACTCCAGCCCCTCCTGGAAGAACCCCCCTTTCCCCAGGAATCCCTGCCCTAGTCTCCACCTATCTGCCCTAAGACCCTAAGAGCCCTTAAAATCCCCCTTTGCCCTTTCTCCCAGGGGAAGCAAGAGCTCCCCTTCTCCATTTCTTCATCAAGGAATTGAGTTTCTGCTCTGCTTTGCTGAACCTGGTCTTGTTCTATTGGTGTGAACTACACAGACCAGGGTCAAGCGACTCCCCTGAAGGGTGGGTAGCAATACTACCATTAGCAATGAGTACTATGCGTGAGTACACACTGTGTGCCTGGAGGTGTACTAGATGCTTTACATATGTTATTTCATTCCCTTCTCCTAACTTTCACAGGTAAGTATAATTATTCTCATTTTACAGACATGGCAACTGAAGAGACTCTGAATGAGTTTCATAGAGTCAAAAGTCAAATGATGACCAAACACCAATCTGACTCCAAAATACTTGCTTCTGCTGCTCCACCTCATAGCTGCCCTCCAATGACCACTGTGTGCAGAACACAGCAGCACAGTTTGTTCAAACTGTAGATCAAAGCCAGTTCATTTTAAAAATGACACTGTGATGGAAGGAAATCACAAAAAATAGCCAAGTGTATCACATATAGTATTTTTTTACAAAATTTTATTCATTTATGAATGTGTGTGAATAGGATTACAACATAAAAGAGCTTCTCATTATTGTCACGGTAAAAAATGTTTGAAAATTGTTGCTATTGTGTTTGTCAACAGTACCAGTAGTCTCCAAAAAAATAAAAGCAAAACACACACACACAAAATCAGTGGTATTAACATGATCCAATGGGTTCCGGTAAGACATCATTAGCATTTCTATTTATTAAATTTGTTTTTACTGTTAAAAATATGAAAGAAATTAAGTTTGACAAATACATGAGGGTGGGCACTATCTGCATTTTGTATCTGTGTTTCATAAAATATGAAAAGTTAAGATAAATTGTGCATTTTATAATGCACTTTCAATTAAATTAACTCTCACAAAATGGACAGATGGCTAAAAAGGAATCTTGCAAAGAAACTATGGTGAAAGTTAATGTCAGGCACAGTAAGAAATAAAAGCATTACTACTCATTCCATACCTGATATTTGTGGGCCATACTACTAGGTAAAAGCAAATGGAAATTTGACACAAAGTCATGCCAAAAAAGCACCATAAATTGTGAAGAGTGTTCAGAAAATGGAATTACGTCCACTATCCTTAACAATAAATTTTTTCTTAAAGTAGACATAATACCTTTTGATATTAACAAAAAATGGTATGGAGCCATCCCATCAACATATGCAAGGCATTTAACAACTGAGCCTGTAGATTATGAAAACAAATGTCAGCATATGTTTATGAAGTCTCAATTATGCAATACACAATTTGTATTTTATGAAACTTCACCAAACTTTATAATAAAGGTTTAAGACTTCATCTTGATTTTTTTTATTTTTATTTTTTTACTAATAGCAGAAGACATAAAGCCACATATGCTTGGAGAAACATTTACTCTTCCTGGTTATAGCAGTAACAGTAGCTAAAGTGACAAATGGGTAACAATATGAAAACAAAGTATATTCTTTTGCAAGATACATATATTATTGGAGTATACGTAGAAAATATTGCTTAAAATGGAAAAAGCATGTATTAAAATAAATTATCCAATTTTGGACAAATGCTTACTATAGGGTTAGATGGAAGTATATGCAAATGTTTCTAATATGTTATAGCTATGATAGTCAATAGCCTGTAAAGAAACTATGAAAGGTAATAAAAACCACTTTTTTTGTGGACTGCTAAAGGAAAGAGGTAACAGAAAACATAAGAAATAAATGATACCTTTAATTAAAATAATATTTTGTGGAAAAGATGTGTCATTGCCAATGAAGAAATTGCTTTCACATGAATAAAAAAACAGAATATCATGACAAGGTTATAGAGCTAGAACCTCTTATAATATTTTATCACTAAATTTTTCATAGGCTCATTATTACAGCAAAGAAGCTGAACCCAGGAATGTGCAAAGTTCTACACGACAGTTAAACTTTAAAATACGACCCTTAAAACATGGTAGACTATTTACAATATTTGGTAATGAAATGGGGAGTGATCATTAAAATATCTTTAACATAGGATTCCCTTATTTTTTCATGGAAAAGTACTTAAAGTAGTGACTGAACTCAAAGATGTTACTTTTTTATTTACAAAAAAATGGCATTTCAAAGTTGCAAACATTTTCTATGATAAGTTACAGATCAGTATTATGCTACCAAGCACAATTTAAAAAATGCATTTAATTATTATCTCGAGATTAAGGTGACTTAAAAAAAGATACAAAATTTTACTACTTTTCAAAGAAGCTCATGCCATAAAGAGAGAATTTTGAAAATGGATATCAGGAAATATTTTCTCCTTTATATTATTTGTAAAAAACAATACATGTGCTACCTATAAAAATATTTGTATAGGCTGGGCGAGGGGGCTTGCACCTGTAATCCCAGTGCTCTGGGAAGCTGAGGTGGATGGCTTCAAGCCAGCAGTTCAAGACCAGTCTGGACAACATAGTGAGACCCCGTCTCTACAAATTTTAAAAATCAGTTGGGTGTGGCGAGTGTGCCTGTAGTCCCAGATACTCAAGAAGCTAAGGTGAGAGAATTGCTTGAGCTCAGGAGTTTGACATTATAGTGAGTGATGATTGTGCCCACTGCCACTCCAGCCTGGGAGATAGAGTGAGATTCTTTTCATGAAGCACCTTCCTCAACTGTGATGGTCTAAACCCAAGTATCTAAGTAAGCAGAAATTAAGGCCAGGCGTGGTGGCTCATGCCTGTAATCCCAGCACTTTGGGAAGCTGAGGCGGGACGGTCACTTGAGGTCAGGAGATTGAGACCAGCCTGGCCAAGATGGTGAAACCCCATCTCTACTAAAAATACAAAAATTAGCCAAGTGTGGTGGCACACACCTGTAATCCCAGCTACTTGGGAGGCTGAGGCAGGAGAATCGCTTGAACCTGGGAGGCAAAAGTTGCAGTAAGCTGAGATTGCGCCACTGCACTCCAGCTTGGGAGACAGAGCCACTCCGTCTCAAAAAATAAATAAATAAAATAAATAGTAACAAATAAATAAATAAATAGAAACTAAAACCAACACTTCAAACTGATGTAACAAAAACATGTTGAAAATATTGAGCTATTATTTATAATAATATGAGTTGTGGTTTCAAATAGACCAAAAATGTGAAGGTCTTACCAATGGAGAGATTTATTCCCAATGCATTGACTCAGCACAGATTTTCCGGATCAGTGGCTGACTGTCCTCCACACTGTGACTGCAGGAGCCTAGGCTTCCTCCATCCCAAGGCTCCACCACCCACTGTGGTTTTGCATCATCTGTATCCAGCCAGTGGAAACAGAAAGAAAGGAGGAAAACACTGGCTTCTTAAAAGCTTTGCCCTGGAGATAGTACATCCATTGGATGAAATGTTGTGGAATAGGATACTCATGCTTTTTCAAAGCATCATTCCACAATTTAATCATTAATAAATTGCAGTGCTTTACAATGGAGAGACCCAGTGGATTCCACCTTAACCAAGTGAACAAATTTGATGTTACCAGTTGTAGGACAAATGACACATGTGACTCTTGCCAAAAATGTTGACCTGAATCAGGAATAAAATCAGACAAATCCAGTTTGTGGGACATTCTACAAAACAACTGGTCTTGATTCTGAAAATATCAATTTCCATGAGAGGCAGAAAATGGTGCAGGGGACCATTTTAGATTAAACAGATGAAACTGACATGGCAATAAAAGCAGCACATGGTCTTTGTTTGGATACTGAATTTTCAAAAACTGAGTTATGAAGGCTATTTAGAGATAATTGGGAAAATTTAAGTATATACTATATACTAGATAATGTTATTGTATCAGTGTCAAATGTGTTGGGTATGAAAATGGTATTGTGTTTATATAGGAAAGTGTTATTAGATACATACTGAAATATTTTGAGGTAAAACGTCATGATGTCTATAATTTATTTTTAAATGATTACCAAAAATTATGTAAGTATGTATACACGTATTATATTTGCATATGTCTAGCTAGCTAACTATGTGGAAAGATAAAGCAAATATTGAAAAATGTTACAATTGGTGAATCTACATATAAGGTGTATGGAGGTTCACTCTAGTAGTCTGAATTATCTGTAGATTTGAAATTTTTCAAAGGAAATAGTAAAGAAAAAAGCATATTCTTTTAGAACAATATTACTATTATTGTAGATGCTCACTTGCTTGACACATGTACATAATGGTTAATTTCATTATTATCATTGACCTTTACAGAATGCAAGGTCATATTTGCACTTACTACTAAGTATTCTGCTTACATGTATAAATTAAAAACCTTAGGGAAGGAAGCTGTCAGAATAGAGAAAGAGGAAGAGAAAGAGAGATAAATTTTAGTTAAATGAGTATCTTCCAGATAGACATAGAAATATGTAAAAGGGAACATATAACTAACATAACATATCATTTCTATGATATTTCAAATCTCAACACACAGCACATTGGCTGTGATTTCAAAATGACTCTGTGTTTTTTTGGCTAATGACTAATGAAAACTGCCCCAAAGCAAGTAGTATATGGCATAGGAAGGCAGATGGCCGCATAAAATTTAGGCACAGGTAATAAATCTAGTGTTGATAGGAAAAATTACTTGTAATCACCAAAAATAATAGTAAAGAGTTATCTAAGACTAGTTGAATTTGTGTGTACATCTGGGATGATTTTCTTTTTCTTACAGCTTTGGCTTAAAGACATGGCCATGGAGGAAGAGCTAGCCTTTCCAGCTGTAGACATGAAGGAGTGGGTGGCCAGAGGATGCACCCGCCTGGGGAGGGGTTGGCCTTTGAGGCTGCAGTAAGCTCCTAAGTCTCTCCCCAGTTGTTGTTTGTAATGCATCTCATCTCAGGTGAAGACAGTCAATTGCAGAAGCCTCTCTAGGACACCTTGATTTCAAAATACTTCATCATATCACTATTTTAGAGATTAGTGGTTTCAATTTTATTTCCCTGCTTACTATTGTAGAAAAGCAGCATTTTGCGTTAAACACACTTTAAAAACCTATAATTTTTTCACCACAAATGCCTACTATCTAATGATTATTTGTTTTGGAAACTTAATGCTAAATAAAGAAGAGGTATTTAGAACAAATGGAGAGAATTTTGACAACATAATTTGCAACACTTTAGATGAAACAATGTATGTACATACCAGTTTGTGCACTGTAGACAAAAGGAAGGAGTCTTTGTGGCCCATGGAAAATATACGTTTGTATGTCTGCTTGGGAGAATGTTGATTGAGAATACTACACAGGGCTGGCTGGCCAATGGACTTCAGAGCCAGACCATCAGTGACAGTGCATAGTGAGGGGTTTTGTGGCATTTAATGCCACAAAGAGTTGATGCAACCGTGATAAAATATTTCTGACATGCTGACTAAGGAGCATACACTGTCTAACTGTGTGTTGTCATCTAGAAGACATGATAAATGATCATTATTGTCCCGTGTGAAAAGTGTTAATGCATTGTGATTGGAAGGGTGGAACCTCTTTCTCAGACCACATTAATTGGAGGTGACAGCAATTACCTCCCCGACCATCTATTCCACATGCCTCTAATTTAGAACAAAAAGTACAAATATAAAAAGTACAAGTTTTCTTATTTTTATTCATAAAGTTCTAGAGCTAGCGAAGAAACTGTAACTACCCAAATAGAAGCAATGTTTTAGTTTTAAACAGAAAGCTGAATTAGAATATAGATTTGGGCTTTGGGGAAGCATCTAAAATATTGACAATGTATAAAGTCATTAAAGAACACTGAATAGGGTAACTCAATCTAGAAATATTCTTTATAAAGTTTTGAACATCTGTGTGGAAGTTTGGAAGTTTTTGGGGAAGCAAATATAATTGCACTCATTATCATATTTCAAGGAAACATACCCTTGACAAAATACTTTCCAATATTAATTCTAGATCCAGGAAATAACAATTATCTGTGAATAAGGCTTTTTTTTTAGTATTTGCATTAGCAGTGACCTTTAGGTTGCCTTGCATTAAGTTTTTTCCCATTAAGTTCTTTCTTTACAGATGTGCTTTGCTTGGCGAGCGTCCATACAGAGGTATAATCTCTTTCCCAGGATAAAGGCACCTTCATTCCCTATTCGAGGAACGTGATCATTCGTGTAAAATAAAACTCAAGTGTTCTAGCATAAAGGAACATTTCAGAAAAGGAGAGATTAGTAGAAATAACAGAAGACAGTTGTGAATGTAAATTCTTATATCCCAGCTTACTTAGAATTCAATTTCTTTAACAAAGGCAATTAAAAATAATTTATTTAAAACCATATTGTAATATATATAGAAGATTAATTTTTAAAATGAGTTTATTTTAAAATATTTTGCTAATTATATTTTAAGTGAAGATTTTTTAAATGGGTGTTTTTTTTCTTGATGGTTCCTATATGTTGGTGTTTGAGCTAACATTATTGTAAACGAGTAAATTGTAGATTGTTTTACTGAAATGTCAAGTCTTGGAAATTACAATCTACATAAAGTACCTGTGAAGACACTATAAATTCTCTTTGAACAATTAAATTGACAACTTAAAATACCATAAACATTATATTCACAAGGGAATACACAATTCACAATGGGAAAAAGAGTCAAAACCAAGTCTGCTGATACAAAAGTAAAACCAGAAAATTCTTTAAGAAGCATAAATAAAAATAAATAAGAAAAAAATTAGTTCAATAACTAATATGAAAAAAATTGATAGTATTAGGAAGAAAATCTAAGAAAGAACTTGCAGCTAACGCTAAAATAATACTCTAACATTTATCCTCCCAACTTCTTAATTTGCTCCCAGTGTAATAGAAGAGTTCTCAACTTTTTTTTTTTTTTTTAATTTTAGACTGTGGTCAATTTAATTGGGAAAATCTACTTCACAGTTCCTACTTTTCAGGAAAAAAGAAGTTAGAGATAACAATTAGTATCAGAGTACAGCAATTATTTCAGAAATTATTTATAAATCCGCTTCAGCAGTAGAAATAAGGTTTTTGAACTGCAGACTATATATATCTTAAGGCTAATTATTGGAAAATCTTAGGCTAAAATATTGTTGAAGAAAGTTGACATTGCTTCCATTGGTGAATTTTAAACAAATAATCCATAGTCATCTAGATTATTAAATTAAAACAATTGAAAACTGTAATTAAAAAGTAACAGCAAATCCTGACCAACATAAGACGGTATTGACAATACCCTCACTGACCATCCCCTGGAACCTGTTGAAAATTTACTAACTATACATGCTCTAACCAACCCAATGAACTTCGACAGATCAATAAATCTAAATTTTTCCATCCAAACTACCCATTTTTCTTATAAGTAATTACACCTGAGATGTACTTTTCTTTGGTCATTGAGTTTTTACATTATAACATTAGCATATGGAAGGAATGAAGTGGGAGAGAGAAAATGAGAAAAGGTAACATTTTAATTATCTTGCTTTACTTAGGGTCCCCTAGGAAGCAGATCCCAAGATGGGATCAGAAGTGCAAGAGACCTTTTCAAGAAGGAAGCAGGAAGAGGTAAGGAAGGCTTTCATACTATAACATAGGAAGGAGGGAGGGAAGGATTCAGTGGAGAGAGATTTGAACTGCAGCAGAGTTCTGACAGAGATTTTTCCAGGCCAACAGGGAACCCTCAAGCCAAAGTTATGGCTTCACGTAGTCTCATGTCTCAGCAGAACAGGACTGCCTCAGTACCCTACCATGCCCAGTCCGAGCTGAGAGTAGCCAGCAGGAAGTGTGGCCACAGAGTGGTGGATCCAGAAGGCAGCAGCAGAGGCCAACACACAACTGTGTCCCCTGCAGCAGGAAACCTAAGTGCTGCATTTTCATTCTCACTGCAGTTCCCTGTCTTAAACTGCACAGATTCACTTCTCCATGCAGGTTTGGGAGTAGCTCCTCTATAATTCCTATGGGCTTCTTTTCCTGAGAGGAAACTTGGAAAAGGAAGCTTAGTGGGAGGACCTATAGCTTCTGCGGTTGCAGTTGATCTGGGCGCTACAACTAGTTGTAATCCTTACTATCCTGCACTAATCATCTAGATTTTTCTTACCCTAGCTATCACTTTGTGGCTTACCTGGTGATGTGACTCAAACCTTTATTTCTCAAGGGTTTGAGCCCTTGGCCATCATACACTTCTCAGGCTGAAGTTACTGCTCATGTACATTCATAGTTATTGTGGGGCAAGGGAGTATCTAGAGACACTCAAGTAGATCATGTAGGCTCCACACGTATTATCCCCATGTGTAAAGCGCTATCTATGTTAGGAGTGCCACCTCCTCCTGCAGATCAGAATGGTAATGCCTACCACAGTGATGACTGTCTTTCTTGTCTACAAAACCCTGGGCATAAAGGGTCAAAGTTCCCTGGCAACAGCCATAACTTGCAATTCAATAAGACCATTAAGTGTCCTCTGGAAAGAATGTGCCCCCCAGGGGGCCAAGAACTCCAGCCCAGAGCTGTGGGAATTATAAGTATGAAGCCCCCCAAGTGGATCACTGAGAACAATGGCAAGTAGACCCATAAAGTCTCCCTATTGGGAAACATAAAGGTTTCTAATTTGATGCATCTACCGTATTGTGAAGGATAAGAGTTGCCATTAAGCTGTCAACTCAGCTTTCTTTAGAAGACCATTTCAGTGCTCTGTGAAGCTGGCTGCTTTCAGATGGTGTAGCATGTGATATGACCAGTGGATCCTGTGGTCATGGGACCATGCTTACCTCTTTTGCTGCAAAATGATAGATTAATTCCCTGGATGAATGCTATGATGTGTGGGAGGTGTGCTCATGGATCAGGCCTCATGTAAGCCCCAGACAGTGATATTGGCTGAAAATATGCAGGCAAGAAAGCCAGACCCAAACCCTGAATGGGTCTTTATCTGTGTGAAGATGAATTTCTGCCCTTTGAAGACAGAAAGGGCCCAATGTAGGTGACTTGCTCAAGTGGCTGGCTTTCTCCTTGAATAATATTATTTGGTATCAGGGACAGGGCATTGATCTGTCTTGCTGACAATGAGACCTTCAAAGGCATAAGTAGCTAGATCAGCCTTGGTAAGTGAGAGTCCAGGCTACTGGGCCCATATACAACTTCCATCTCTGCCCCCATGGTGACCCTTTTCATGTATCATTGTGCTAGTTCTATGAGTTCCAGGTGCCAATAACAAATGGCTTCAGCCAAATGGCTGCATCGTTTTGACTACTTAACTGTTCAATGACTCTTCTGGCAGATGCTTTCTGCAGTATGTTAATATGTGATATGATAATCTTCACTCTTGGTGGCCACTCTCAGACATCTGTCTACATGCCTCTACCCAGACCTCCTTATCACAGTTCCCTCTTTTTCCTCCCCAGATCAGGCCACTGACCACTATCCAGTCATCTGGATATGATTTTTTTTCTTGGATCACTTCTCTTTCCACCTAAAGTTGTCTGTCAGTTCAGAAGATTTTTTTCCTCTCTATTGTCTTTTAAGTCCCCTTCTCTGTGTGGTGGTGGTGAAGTCTCCATCATTTTAGGTGAGTACTCATTCTCGGTGGACCTATTCATGAACTGAGATTGGCCCTCTCCTCCTTCACATTTGGTCATGTGAGGATACCCACACCCCATCTGACTACAGGTGTGAGTTGGGGAACACAATGGGTAACTGGGTAATGTGGGCATCTAGGCTACCTGCTCTGGATGCTTACTCATGCCCTTCTGTCCTACTCAGGCTCAATCTCAGATGCACCATATCCATTGTACCATCAAATCCTACTGGGCACATATGGCTTTATGACATGCTGGGTCTCACAGAACCCTGCTCACATTGAGCAGTTCTGCACAATGGTTTGTTGATGCCCCATGGGCAAGTCTTCTGCCTCTGGCAGGATCCAGGAATACTCCAGCTTCTCAAAAACTATATAATTTTCTGCTGCTAATGGCATTGCCTTGCTCCAGCATCCCAGAGGCTACATTCTTATTCTCACCCTGGGACTTGCGTTGGCTGTGTACTGCATCTCTCCCCACAACTGACATGGACCAAGTCATAAGACTGCTTTGAGCACAGGCCAGACTTACTACAGAGCCCTTTTCTGCTCTGAGTCCTTTCAAATTTGGCAGCATTTTGTGTCTCCTGTATATGGGCTGGAGTAATATTCTCAGATGTGGAATGTATTGTGTTCAGAGCCCTCAGAGGACAACTGGGCCTTGGGTTTCCTTCTTTGTGGTAGGAGATGCAGGATACAGCAATTTTTCTTTAGCTTTGAATAGGATATCACTCCTTGTCCCAACCCCCAAATGCTGAAAGCTTCAATCAATTGGTAAGTCTCTCAATAGATGATAATCTATAAAGATTATTGTTCTCTGTACACATGTCTTACTAAGGCTTCTAGCACATTAAAGCATAACAGGCCAGGTGTGGTGGCTTATGCCTGTAATCCCAGCACTGTGGGAGGCCGAAGTAGGCAGATCACGAGGTCAGGAGATTGGGACCATCCTGGCCAACATAATACAAAAAATTAGCTGGGCATAGTGGCACATGCCTGCAGTCCCAGCTACTCAGGAGGCTGAGGCAGGGGAATCGCTTGAACCTGAGAGCTGGAAATTGCAGTGAGCTGAAATCGCACCACTGTACTCCAGCCTGGTGACAGGGCAAGACTCTGTCTCAAAAAAAAAAAAAAAAAGTATAATAGAGGACAGGAAAGCAAGCAAATAAAACCCCAAAGCAAACTTTAAATGAATATTTTTGCTCAATCTATGTGAGTGTAAGAAATTTTTAATTTTCTTTCCTTTTCAAAATGAAAAAGAATGCACCTGTAAAATCAATGGTGGCATACTGTGTACCTGAGGCCTTATTCATCTGATCCAGCAATGACATCATGTCCAGCACAGCAACTGGATCAGGGTTGCTACTTGGGAGAAGTTATGGTAGTTAAGATTTATTCTCTGAGAGCCATCAGATTTCTGCAGAGGCCAGACTGGCAAATTAAATGAAGATATGATAGAAGCCACCTGTATTAGTTTCCCGAAGCTGTCATAACAAACTACCACAAATTTGGTGGCTCAAAACAATACAAATTTATTCTCTCACGTATCAGGAAGCCAGAAGTCCAAAATTAGTTTGTCGTCAGGGCCATACTTTCTCTGGAGGTTCAACTGGAAGATTCTGCCTTTGCTGCTTCTGCTTCTGGCGGTTGCTGGCTTCCCTGCAAGGTGTGTGCTCACATTTTTCTGCTCCATCTTCATTCACATCACCTTCCCCTTACTCTGACTCTTCTGCTCTCCTATCTGCTATAAGGACATTGTCATCAGGTTAGGACCCGCCTGGATATTTCTGGATGAACCACATCTAAAGATCCTTAACTTAAATATATCTGCAAAGACCCTTTTTCCAAACAAGGTCAAATTCACAGAGTCCAGGGATTTAGATGTAGACCTATCTTTCTGGAGGCCATCATTTAACCCACAACACCACCACTCTTGCATCTTTGAGATCCTGAAGGAAGGCACTAATCTGTCATTCCCCCTAGAGCACAATATTACTTTCGATTTGCTATCCTGGCTAGAGTCTGGAAAAGGGCAGTTTCAGAGGATTCTCCTTCTCCTTTCTCACTATAGTAGCCAAGGACCCAGTGTGAGAATTATTCCAGTTGTTCATTATATAAATTCTAGTTACACATTTGGGAACTTGGGAAATGACCATTGGGCCTATGTGGGCTGGACTTTATCTCATCAGTTAATCCCTCACCCCCACCAAAAGTTCCCATTCGAAAAGGGACCATGATGACACATTGGATCTTCAGTTATAACATTAGTTGAGACCCATTTTCAGGTAGTGTTCCAAATGTCTGACTGTCCATTCACCTTCCCTCAGTGTACATCACCCAAGCCAGTGCACATAAGTCTCTGGGACAGACTGAGAGCATCATTAGAATATATACGTTTTGTAGTGTTTTAAGATCCTTCTTCCTAGGGGCCTGGACACTTCTTCAGTCAATAGATTCTAGATCTGAATGTTCACTGAGACCTGGGAACTGAGAAAGAGGTTGTGATTTTTTGGGGGGCAACTGCCCTCAGCCTTCTTCTCCCCATTCTTGTCTGTTTGGGTTGCAGATGCCAAGTAACATCATAGTTGATGGCCCTTCCCCTTCTATTTTATCTCTGTGGAATCATTCCTCTATTAACAAGATCTACAACCCCCGGAGGCCAATCCCAATGGGGTACCATCTGTTGTTGCTAGTCACGGCAATTGTGAACCCCTGGCTTCAGGTGGTTAAGTTCTGCCACCAGGTCTGTATAATTTGGAAGTGCCATCATTCCCATGCATGTGAAGAGCTGGCCTAGGACAGCCTCTCCTACTGTCTTGCCTGGTGCAGAAGAGCCACCACTGAGCTTCTCAGTGATGGTGGTGCCATTCTCACCAGTACATTCCCTATGGCCTTAGTGAAAAATGTCCTCTGAGTCCTTTTGTGGAGTGTAATCCCCTGGTAAGTCTTATAGCTTCACATAAAATATCCAACCAACCCCTATCTCCACCTGAGCTTTTTAGTCCTTACCCTACCACCTGACAGGGTACCTTGGGCATTTCCCTTTGCTCAGCATTGGCCACCGCCTTTTATAAGCTTCTAAGAGCCTCCATCACAGTGAGTCTTCCCATTCCCCTCATCCTCGCCAGGATATCAAATTTCATGCCCCAAGAAAGTTTCTTTATATTAATAGATTCTTGCTTATGCAAGTCCATCCTCCTTTCCCTTCAAGAGCTTTCCTAGTACCCAGCCAGATAAAATGTCTTTGTGGCGTTGCGCTTCATGTTTTCCCCAAACCTGAATCATCTCACCTACAAAGACAGTCCCCTGCACATGACTTTTTCCCTGAATACCACCAGTGAAATGTTTAATAATTAAGCCACTAACTTATGCCAGGAACTAGTGGGACCACACCAACTGGTCAGGCTGGCATCCTCTGCACCCAGTGGGCTGGGAGTGAGCTTGTCCCACATCCTGAGCTCATAGACTATCTCCCTGGACCACTCCTAGTACACTTTCTGTTAGTCTATGTCTCTCAGAAGGCAGGCACAGACAGGATTATTCATACAAGAGATTTATTAAAAGAAGGAGTGGAAAGAGGTGGAGTTGTTTCCGGACTATGCAGCAGGTCTGGCACCTATGGAAGGAGAGAGAAAGGAAAGGAGATTGCAGTGCAGTTCCAAGAAAGTTTTGGCCAAGCCCTGAGAGAACACCCATGAGCCCCAGAATTGCCCCTTAGAGGATAACCCCGTCAACATGAGACAGATTCCAGAGGCTGGCAGAGGGACCAGAAGGTCAGTAAGCTATGTCCTGCAGAGGTGTGTGCCGCATATTTTCATGACTGCCTTATGCATTACTAAAATAAGAATGAGTGAGAAGCATAATTTTGTAGTGGAACAAAACTGAATTTGAATCCTTTGCTTTTTAACTTTGAACAGGTTCTTTTAACTTTTTCTGAGTCTTGATTTTTTTTCAGCTGTAAAAATGGAGATATTACTACCTCTTTCTTAGTGTTGTGGCACGTATAAAACATGATGATTTATATAAAGCCCTTAGCACATGATATGGTTTGGCTGTGTCCCCACCCAAATCTCATGCTGAATTTTAGTTCTCATAATCCCCACATGCCGTGGGAGGGAGCCAATGGGAGGTAATTTAATCATGGGAGCGGTTACCCTCATACTGTTCTCGTGATAGTGAGTGAGTTCTCACAAGATCTGATGGTTTTATAAGGGGCTTTTCCCTTCCTTCGCTCTGTCCTTCTCCTTGCTGCTGCCATGTGAAGAAGGATGTGTTTGTGTGTTTGCTTTCCCTTTCACCATAATTGTAAGTTTCCTGAGGTCTCACCAGCCATGCTGAACTGTGAGTCACTTAAACCTCTTTCCTTTAGAAGTTATCCAGTCTCAGGTATGTCTTTATTAGCAGCATGAGAACACACTAATACAGCATGGTTTCTGGTACATAAATGTTAGTTCCTCTAAGTTTTGGGATACAAGAGCCTTTACACTGTCTGAACAGCTGGCTGTTTCCTACTTCTGCTGTAGAATGTGCAAAATGCAGTCAATCATGACAAAAGGAAACTCCTTATAATTTGTATGAGGAACACAGATAGACTTACTAAGTAAGTCCGTCTATATTAGTCAAAATAGTATATAAAATATTAATAATGCCATAGAATGCAGACAAACAATGTCAGTTAAACATTACTTTAGAATCTATAATTACTAATACAATAACTTTAATAACATTTATGACAAAGAAGAAATGGTGTACGCTATATGTTTTGGAGTTTCTTAGTAGCTAGCTCTTTTGAAAGTCACAACCCATTTCTCGTAACTCTCAAAATAATGTTCAAAGGAAACAATGACTTTGTCATAGATGAGTAATTCGTTCTCATTTAGTGGTTAATTTAAGAAATTGCAGTTTCATGCTACTTATTGTGAATTTAATGTTAAATTGTAGATTAACTTTTTTATCTTTGGCCCAGTTGCTTCTATTATCATGAATGTGAATTCTAAATATTTATTTGAAAATGTCTCCTTTAAATTAGGTTGATCATTTTATGACTATTCAATTTTGAAAATTTTATATTATCAACCATTATGCTATAGAAATCAATACTTCCATAAGAGAAAAATTAATCCTTTCATACGGAGAAAAAACCAAGAAGGTAAACATGATGCATAAATACTGCTTTTTAAATAATAAGGAAGTGTAATGGAAAATATAATGAGAATTCATTTAAAACAATGACTAATTGTGTTTACTGGTATCTAATGACTAGGAATTGTTATACCAAAGTCTGAGTCTCTCAGTTGAATTATGTTGTAGGGAAAAAAAATGTGAACAGAATCCACATAGTCTAGATTTTTCTAAGTGAAGAGTCATCTAGACTGACAAAAAAATCTGTTCTTTTTTTATTGGTTAAAGAAAGAAAAAATAGCTTTGAGGGCAAAAATGAAGGTAGTAGTTATACTATTCTACCTGCTGTGTCTCTGGTGCTTTCCTTAGAGAAGCTGTAGTGATGCAGACAGGAGTCAATCATGGTTAAGGATTCCTCTTCCCATTCCACAGTCACCCTTCTAGGTGCTCTCTGACTGGTAAACTTTATACCAGACAGCAGGTTTCTGGGATGGGCAAGGAGAAGTTAGACTGGATGCCAAATTGGTCATGTCCCTCTGGCCTCAGGCACCCCTGGATCATGCAGTGGTTGGCAATGACCAGTCTGACTCCTCTCCTCGCTCCCACCTGGTCCCCTTATGCCTCCCACACACTCACCCACGTGCCTGCCTACATGTGTACCAGCCAACAGAGTGTGGGGGTGATTATCTGAATACATCAGCCTAAAACACAGCAACTAAAAGATTCATTTTTAGTTAGAAAGTTGGAAAAATACCAATCTAATTAATTACTTAAATTTTCTTTGAGAATTTAAAATTGTGTTGTTATAGCAGTAGCAGAATGAACCCAGGATTAAGAGATTGAGCCTCCATGTCGTCTTACAATTATTGTGTAGGAATTATGATCAGCTTTTTCACAATATTTTGGGGACCTAATGAATCAGATGCAACTAACCTTATACTTGGGGATAAACATCTCACATCTCCTCTCTACCTTAAAATCCATCTGCTTTATTACCTGTATCATTCTGCTTATGTCCCAAACGTCTATAGCACACTTCTCCCCCAGTCTAACCTTCTGATCCCTTCAGTGTGCCCTCACTGGAGGCAAGTTGGTGCATGAAAATGATTATAATGGTGATGAGATACGGATCCCCTCAGCTTTCAAACAGCATGGGGCCAAAATCTTTAGGCTGGTCCTATCCGGTGTGAGAATTGTACATTTTATTCAATATGCTGACAAATTCTGACATATTATTAATATATGTGTGAAGGCATGGAGAAGCATTGTCCTACATTTGCCCATGACCTTTTTCCTCTCTGCCTCCTCCAGAGCTCCACCCCTTCTGATCCTGACCCCCTCTAGCTTGCATCTTCAGTCTGTACTCTGTGCCCTTTCCCTAGGGACACAGCCTGATCAGGTTTGCCCAGTCTAGCATCCCCAAAGCAAAATGAGCACATACAGATGCTGCTGCCCCTTTCAAACTTCCTAAATTACCTGTAACAACACATAGAATGAAAAACAGCAAGAAAACCCTATCTTTAGTTAAACTTGGGGGTGCCTGTAAACTTAAATCACAATAATTGAGGAAGGGTCACCAAAAGTTGAAAGGAAGATGAGTAAGAGTTGAGAGGATGCCTATGGCTAGAGATCTCAGACAAACTTTCTCAAGAACAGTTTTCTACTCAGTTTTCTAAAGCAAGTGTTGTATCCTAAAAGAAAAAAAAAACCCTAGATATATAGATAAAGATATAGATATATTCCTTCTTCAAGGCAATGACAAATTGGTTCACAAATTGGTTGTAGCATTTTCCTCAGGCCCATTTTGGCAAGGAGGGTGGAAAAAGAAGTGGGGTAGGCACGCCATATTTTTAGGAAGCAGTCTGTTGGTGAGGGGAGAGGAGAAGGGCTCTCCATGGAGAGTAGCTCTGTCACCACTGGTCTTGTAGCCTGGGGAGAAGTGAAGGGCTGGATACTTCATTCACTTACAAAAAATTCAGTCATGAGGAATTTCACTGTGTGCCAAGGAGGATTCCGGACAGCCTTAAAAACAGCCCTGGCCCACTCATCATCTAAACTTCCCACCTGTACTGGTCCAGGAAGAACTATTTCCCATTCAAAATTCTTCTACTCTGAATAGAACACACCAAATAATATTTTTAAAAAAGGAAACAAGACAAGAAATAGGAAAAATAAATTGAAGGTGAAGATCGCTTAGAAAAATACTGGATGGAAACAGTGAAAATCTTGCCCAAACATGTTTTTATATATAAATTCAAAAATTCGATAGAGTAAATTTACTATAAGATATAAATCAAAGCAGAAATTTATTACAGCATATTAAATGGCTTCTAGAAGAAGAGAACTACTACTTCTTCTGGGTCCTGAAACATTGTACCACTCCTGGGTAAGAACTCACCTCAGAGAGGAAGCCCCAAGCAGTGCTATGGTCCCTGCCTGTGCTCTGGTCCCCACCAGCAGATGAATACCCATGTCCTTCCTGATACTCAAGGTGCTGGTCACTAGACATTGAGCTGCTACAGGAAATCTCTACAGCACTCTCACACTTGCCAGCAGAAATAGCAGAAGCAAGGCCCCCATCTCACCTCTGCCACCCAGGAGCGTGCATCTCATTCATCAGACCTGAGTCTTCTGGAATCCTGGCTGTAAAGGAGTCTGCAAATTAGAGCCTTTAGCTTTTCAGCCACTGCAATACAGGGCAACAGTTAAAAGGAAAGTAGATAGGGTCAACCTGCCATATCTATCAGAAAATACTTAAGGATAATACTAAGGTAAATAATAGAACCAGTGAAATACGGGTGGTGTAAGAGAGTAAAGAGAGTGGATAATGTATAAATACATGAATCCTATCTTTGCTTATGTCAGGTAATAGATATCTAACACAATGCTTTTCAGGGCCACAAAGAAAAGAATGTGCACAATGCAGCATGTAGATGGGCCCTGCCTACTGCCCTGTTACCCATGACATGTCTATAAGCCATTGTGTAATATGCTGCGAAATACATTGAGGAGGTCTCTTCTAAAGAATAAGAGAATTGGCTGGGCGCGGTGGCTCATGTCTGTAATCCCAGCACTTTGGAAGGCCGAGGCAGGTGGATCACGAGGTCAGGAGATCGAGACAATCCTGGCTAACATGGTGGATCACGAGGTCAGGAGATCGAGACAATCCTGGCTAACATGGTGAAACCCTCTCTACTAAAAATACAAAAAAATAGCTGGGCGTGGCAGCAGGCACCTGTAGTCCCAGCTACTTGGGAGGCTGAGGCAGGAGAATTGCTTGAACTCGGGAGGTAGAGGTTGCAGTAAGCCAAGATCGCATCATTGCACTCCAGCCTAGGCAACAAGAGCAAAACTCCATCTCAAAACAAGACAAAAAAAAAAAAAAAGGCATGAAACAGCTTTATGTGTACCAATACCAAATGGTATCTGACATATACATTAAGTAAATGCAGCCAAGTAAAAATAATTTGTGTTAAAATGAAGACACGTCATGGCATACATATGTTTTGAATGTTGGGGAACCTGTGCTGGTGACCTCCATCTCCTCCAGGTTCATGCTTCTTACTTCTCTGCCCCTGTGGCTCTTCTGGGAGGTTGACAGATGGGTTACATCACTGAGCTCTCCTGCTTTCTGGTTTCCTGTTAACCTCCACAAATACGGACCACCGAGAAAAGATTGGAGGGGGTGAGAAGAAGGAATCCAGGGACTTACTACCCACTCAGCTTTGCTCCTTCCCTATGGATCATGATGAATTGCTTATGGAGAATGTATGGCCTCTTATCTAGTTACCAGATCTAAGCCAGGTTCTGGATATAAAGCCTTTTGCTTGGAGGATCAACTGAGATATGACTCTGTATATGGTTTCTTCTCTCAAGACTTCTCCCAGAGGCAACTTGACCATTTATCAGGGTGACTGCCCTAGGAAAAGGGAAATAACTAGATTATTGAGGGATTATTGTTATTGGATTTAAATGATTGCTAATAACCAGAGACCAGAAATACCCATATGGTAGACTAGTCAAAATGGGACCTTATGGAAGTCAAGTAATAGATGACATACTGGCTTGAGTCTGTCTCAGAGAGGGTCTGTGGGCTTATTCTGTGGTTATTTCCCCAATGTCTGAATATATAGTGGGAACAGATATACTTAGGAACTGGCAACATGTTCAAGCTGATTCTCTGGCCACAGGAGTGAAGCTGATGTGAAGGGCCAATCTGAAGCTGCCTTTAGTTCCAAGATGATAATCTGTTAGAATTTGAATGTGTTCCCCAAAAGTTCATATGTTAGAAACTTGGCCCCCAATGCAGCAGAGTTGAAAGGTAGGATCTTTAAGAGGTGATTGGGTCATGAGGGCTCTCCCCTCCTGCTTGCATTAATTTGTAGATTAATGGTTAATGGGATACCATGGGAATAAGTTAGTTATTATAAAAGTTAGTCTGTTATAAAAGCCAGGTTGGTTCCCTCCTGTGTGCCCCACACCATGGCATGCTTGCACCACCTGAGGACTCTGCAGAGTCACCACCAGCAAAAAGGCCCTCACCAGATGTGGCCATTGACCTTGGACTTCCCAGCCCCCAGAACTGTAAGAAATAGATTTATCTTTTTCCATTTTTTTGGCCTAATTTATATTTATTTATTTATTTACATAGTAGTTGTACAAATTTTGGGGGTACATGTGATATTTTGATATGTATAAACAATGTGCAATAATCAAATTATGGTAACTGGGATATTCATCACCTCAAACATTTATAATTTCTCTGTGTAGGGAATATTACAATTCTTCTAGCTATTTTGAAATATATGATGAATTCTGGTTAAATACAATTTCTTTACTGTACTGCTGAATTAGAACTTATTCCTTCTATGTAACTGTGTTTTGTACACCTTAGTGAACCTTTCCCTAATGTATGCTTCTAGTGCCTTTGTCAAAAATAAACTGGCTGTAGGTGAATTGAATTATTTCTGTGTTTTCTATTCTATTCCATTGGTCTATGTGTACCATGCTGTTTTGATTACTGTAGCCTTGTAGTATAGTTTGAGGCTGGGTAGTGTGATGCCTCCAGTTTTGTTCTTTTTGCTCAGGATTGACTCCTGTGTCTCTGTTATAGCAGTGCTGCTGGCAGCCCTAAATCAACCCTAACTCGGGTGTGACTGCAGGAGTTTTTTATGCATCTTACAACTTGTAATCAGTTTTACCCTACTCTGAACTGTATCACATGATACCCTCAGCTTCCATCACTACCTAACAAGAATTACCATGTGTCCTCATTTTTAGCAAAAATAAATTGCATGCATTGAGAAGAATTTGAAAGCTTATTAGTGAAGGTTCAGGGATCATCTGTATGCTACAGCATATGAACTGTAAACACTGGTGTTGGCACGGTGAGATGAAATTGATAAGCTTTGGAATGGGTTGTGGTTGAAATCCTCTCTTTAAAAGATTCTTACAGATAGAAATTAAAAGCTGCTATTAACCACCTTGGTATTTCTATATTGATCTTTCTGTTAATTCTGAAAAAAACAAAAATCAAAAAACCCACAAACCATATTTGCTTAACAGAATTTTACTCTCACATTCAAAGACATGTGACTATACCTGTGTTATTTCTATAATGTGTTCTTGATCAGTTACACACATTCACTCTGCGTGCAGTGGACAGGACGGGTGAGACAGGTGCCAGTTGAACATCTGCAAGAGCGTGCTGGGTGTTATCTGGACCAGATGGCCATCCAGCATGGGCAGAAGCACGCAAGCCTTCACCTCTCCCAAGCAGCAGTGCTTTGATGTGAAGTTAAGGGTACACAAAGGTGAAGGGAGTTGAAGATCCTTGGCTGTATCAACAAAGAGATACTGCCTGATTGTAGTCAAGGTGAGCTGTCATTGCCAAACAACTGCTGGCCACAAATGGCTTTTATTCCCAGTTTTATAGTGAGTGTGGAGGGGGCAAGAGAAGGGGAAGGATGCTTTTTTTACACAAACACTTTTGGTGATACTGCTTTATATATTTTAAAAACTTATCCTTTAAAAAAAGTAAACTCTATGATAACATGTAGTTAAAGAGCTTAAATAACTAGCTTCTTACAGATGTCCCCAAATTGTGTATTATTATTATTTCAGATGATATATTATTTAAAGAAAAGGATCCACACACAAAGCAGAAGCTTCCTTATTTACTCAAATTAAACAACCTAACATTAATCCTTTAAAATTTAATGAGATATGTAATCGCCCACATTATGACATGTCTTGGGGAATGCTCCATGTGCACTTGAAAACGCTGCTCTTGTTGGGTGTGGCGTCTCTTGCAAGCAACTAGATTAAGAGAGTTTATAGGGTTGTTCAAATCTTCTATTTTTTTTGGTCTAATTGTTTTATCAATTACTGACAGACAAGTGTTCAAATATTCCACCATAATTGAATTTTACTATATTTCTGCCTTTAGTTATCTCAATTTTAATGCATTTATTTTGAACCTCTATTATTTGCTAATAACACATCTAGGATTATGTCTTCCTAGTGAATTGGCATCTTACCTCTGATAATATTTCTTCTCTTGAAGTCTACTTTGATGTTAAATTGGCCACATCAATTTCTTGTGCTCAGTGCTTCACAGACTCGAGTCTTACTTTGGGCTTTTTGTGCGCATCGCACCCAGAGAGTTGACTATGCATTTGTGGTCTGTATTCAAGGACTTTTGAGATTTTGAAATTAACCAACTGGATACACACTACATTTGGCTAATACTCTAAAATGTTTGGCAGACTATGTGTTCTTGATGCTTTATACATTTCAACAAATGTCCACATTATTTCAAATAATAGTAGCAACAATAAAATATAATGAGGTAGCCCTAGTAAAATAGGATTTTGATTTTTCAGATTTTGATTTATCAGTGTCATTCTCTTATCTGTGGCAACAAGTTGCATAAGGTAAGTTTTGGGGAAGAATCAGGGAGAAGCACGAGGCAAACAGATTGGGCCTCATAAAGTCTCAGTCATTTCCAAAGTGCAGGAGTGATGTGTGTCGCTTCACTGTCTTCCTCTTAAATATATTTGTGAACCAACAGACTCACTCTTTTAATGCCAGCAATTTCCTAAACAAAAACAACTTTTTATTCACCCACGTAAGATACTAGATTTTTTGGAAACCAAAGGAGAGAAACCTAAAGCCACAACAGTAGTTTCAAAGGCATCAATTGTAATGTTCCCTCAAATTACCTTGTCAAGCTCTTGGACTGATTTGTCTTAGAAGTTAAATACTTAGAATGCTTTGAAATGGAAACAAAACCATAATTCCTTGCCTCTTTGTATTTGTTGAATGTGTGTAATATCCTATTGCAAAACTCGATTCAAAATGCTTGCAATAAAATATTTTGTTTGTCATATTCAGAGCAGCAAGCTAAAGGTAACAGTCACAGAGCTTGGTCTGGTGACTTAAGCTATCATTTAAGGTGCTAAGGACACCCTTTCCAGAAAGTCCAGGAAGCCTAAGCCTACCTGTTTCGTGTGGAGTAGGGAGTGCTCTGTGCAGGTGTCTGAAGACTTGTTTCCGAGATTTACCACTTAGCACATGTTTGTGAGCTTGTGCAAGTCATTTATACCTATTGAATGATGTCTTTACCTGTGACATAGTGGTAAACATACCTGCCTTATAGGCTTGTGTAGGATCATGTTAGGGGAACTGTAAATAATTCAGTATGACTAGATCATGGGGTTGGTTTAGGGGAGAGGGGAGCAAAGAGGCTAGGACAGAAAACAGAGACCAGATGACAAAAGACACAGAAAACCATGGGAGGGACCTAGGACTTTATTCAGCAGGTTTTGCATGAGTTAGATGTTTATAACTGAACTGTGCATCTTTTAATATTATGTTTTATTCTCAATTAACCTGTTCACTTCTTTGTGAAGTCTCTAAGTAAACAGCATCTTCAGGTATCCTTAGGGAAAATCACACTTTATTTCAAATAAACTTCACCTCTAGCAAAGACACTACTTGATAACATTTCAACCAAGGACAAAAACTAAATAGTCACACTGAATGAACATTGCCTAAAATACATGTGGTCAAATTCATCACAGGCATTAATAGAAGACCAAAATTTACATGGGGCAATCTAGACCTGTACTGTACAATATGATGGCCACTGATCACATGTGGGTGTTGAGCACTTGAACTGTGGCTAGTCCAGATTGAGATGTACTCTGAGTGTAAAATACACCACAGATTCCAAGTGCTTAGTATGAAAAAACATAAACGTAAAATCTGTCATTAATAACTTTATACTGATTATAAGTTGAATGAGAATATTTTTGAATACTGCATTAAATAAAATGTATTATTATAATTAATTTCACCTGTTTCTTTTACTTACTAGGAAATGTAAAGTGGCATATGTGGCTCCCATTCCATTTCTATGAGAACACATTGTTCTGGATCATTCTGGAGCGGTGCTGGAAACAGGCAATATCTCAGTACCATTCTTTTCACTTCAGATACTTTCTGAAGAATAAATAAAGGTACTTGAAAACAAAAGTTATGTATATTTTTATAATTCATGGAGCAAGTGCAGTCTATATTGAAGGCCATGTGTATAAGTATCTTTTTGTGTTTGTGTTTGAAAGAAATAGATACTGGAGGTCGGGCGCTGTGGCTCATGTCTGTAATCCCAGCAATTTGGAAGGCCAATGAGGGTGGATCACCTGAAGCGAGGAGTTTAAGACCAGCCTGGCCAACCTGGTGAAACCCTGTCTCTATTAAAAATACAAACATAGCCAGGTGTGGTGGTAGGCGTTTGTAATCCCAGCTACTCGGGAGGCTGAGGCAGGAGAATCACTTGAGCCTGGGAGGTGGAGGTTGCAGTGAGCCGAGACCATGCCACTGCACTGCAGCCTGCGGGACACAGTGAGACTCTCTCTCAAAAAGAAAAAAAAAAGAGAGAGAGAGAAAAGAGAAAAGAAGAGAAGAGAAGAGAAAAGAAGAAAAGAGGAAAAGCAAAGAGACACTGGGAAATCACCGTGGAGTCTAATGAACTTCCCCACTAAAGCTTGAGCCCTGAGATGACCTTTGTAGTTTGCTGGGAGCAGGATTTCTGTGCTGCAGTGCAGGTCCCAGAAGACTTTCTTTGGATAATACAGGTACATAAGATGACAGTACGAACAGATGGGAAAAGAAGGCCACAAAAATAGTTGGCCTGCAAGACACAGATGCCAAAAATGGAGACATCTGCCACTGCCATCAAGGAAAATGTTAAAAAACATTTGCATTCTCTTACTTGTTGTGTTTGTATGTCTCCTTTATTTGCAAAGTCCTGGAGGACAGAAACCATACATGGGCCCAGCATGTTGTTCCATACAGACAGGAATTTGATCACTCCTTTTCAAAGATAAACTCTTAGCATAATCTGGGTTTGCTCTGTTACAACAGTGTTAATGATATGTACTACTGCAGAAGAATCCTAATTTTTAAACAAATTTTAGCTGCTAAGTCTCAGCATTGAAGATTTTACATATAATGAAAAATTTACCTCTTGTGAAGTTTTATGAAATGATGTATGAACTGTAAGGTTATTATTAACTTTATGTTAGTTATATAAATTAGTTACATAATGACAGTAAGTTATTACTAAGTGTAAGAGAGCAGGAGACTGCTAGCAGAGTCAAACTTCAAAGTTATCCCAGTTCAATCCATTTTCACTTATGTAAACATGCAAAAGATCATTACCATAGTTCCAAATTGGCTGTTATGTGTTCCAGACATATAATCCCAAAGAGGTACTGAAGTTGGATTTTGCCTTTTGACAAAAATATCTGCCACCTTGGTTGACGTGCTAAAAATGAATGCACAGTTCAAGTGTTTGAGATGCTGAAGATAATCCTCTGATTACATCAAAATTGCTCTGCAAGTACAGAAAGAGTAAGCAGATTAGATCCTGATCCATTTGTCCTGGCGATAAAGAAAAAGAGCAAGGAAAAAAAAAATGCTAAGTCTCTCCTTTGAAGGTTTACAAGCCTATATCTAAGTACATCTTGTTGTTGTTTTTCTTTATAAGAATAGAAAGAAAACTTCTTTATCAGTTGTTAAGTGCCAAAGTGGGTAGGATGATGAAACAAACAGAAAACATTAATCTGCAGGCCCACCTGCCAATTTCACCTTCATCTTCCTGCAAAAGATGAACACATTTTAGTCAGTTTTAAAATGAGTAAATCTAAAAAGCTTCTGCACAACAAAGGAAACAATTAATGGAGTAAAGAGACAGCCCACAGATTGGGAGAAAATCTTTGCAAATCATATTTCGGGAAAGTGGCTGATGTGCAAAATATACAGGGCACTCAAACTACTCAATAACAACAAAACAAGATCCTATTAAAAATGGGCAAAAGACTTAAAAAGACATTTCCCAAAAGAAGACATACAAATGACCAATGGATATATAAAAAATACTCAACATCTCTAATCATCAAAGAAATGCAAATTAAAACCACAGTGAGATATCACCTCACTCCTGTTAGATTTGCTATTGTCAAAAAGATGAAAGATAACAAGTGTTGGTGAGAATGTGAACAATAGGGAACCCTTGAACACTGTTGGTGGGAATGTAAGTTGGTACAGCCATTTTGGAAAACAGTATGTAGGTTCCTCAAAAAAAATAAAATTAGAATTACCCTATGACCCAGCAATCCTACTGCTGGGTATATATCCAAAGGAATTAAAGTCAGCATGTCCAAGAGATATCTACACTCTCATGTTTATTGCAGCACTGTTTACAATAGCCAAGAGAGGAAAACAACCTATTTCCATCAACCAATGAATAGATAAAGAAAATATGATACACACAATAGAAAACTACAAGGAATTCTGCCATTTGCAACAACGTGGGTAAACCTAGAGGACATTATCTTAAGTGAAATAAGCCAGGCACAGAGCGAACAAATACCATATGCTCTCACTTATATATGAAATCCAAAAAGTCAAACTCACAGAAGTAGAGAGAGAATGGTGGTTACCAGTAACGGGAAGGGTGAGTGGTGGTGGGGTTGGGGGTGGACAGGGAAAGGGGTGATTTAGGTTAACAGGTACAAAGTTTCAGTCAGATAGGGGCAATATGTTCTGGTGATCTGTTGCACAGCATGGCGACTATAGTTAACAATAATGTATATTTCAAAACAGCTAAAAGAGGGGATTTGAAATGTTCTCACTCCAAAGAAATGATAAATATTTGAGGTAATAGATATGTTAATTAGCCCGATATGATTATTTCACAATATAGACATGTATCAAAACATTATGTCATACCCCATGAATATATCAGTTTATAACAAAATATGACAATAATTACTTGTCAATTAAAAATAAAATAAAACAATAAAAAGCTTGCTTATGGGGGTCTCAGTGGCAGGCCCACAGGAACGGCTGGAACTTGGTAATTAACTGCTGCTTCTGGATCCTCAGCAAAAGACAGTAGTGATTCAAAACCATGTTCAAAGAGGAGAGTTCCTGGAATAATAATAATAATTCAACCCTGAAGGTTTTCACAGCTGTTGTGTGAATTGGGCATTGCTGCTCTCTTGAGCTGTTAAGTATGTCAGATTTTCTTATGAAAAACACAGAGGGTCCCACTGCATGGAATGTTCAGGTCTGAAGAGCTTAATAATAATCACACTCATTGGTTCTATGCCCACCCCACAGGGGTAATTAGCTAATTGTCTGTGAAGCCCTTTGAAATGAATATGCTCAGAGTCAGAAGTTGAGATACATGCTTGAACTTGAACGGATGTCAGGAATATTAGATTTTTATGTCAGTCCAATAGCACCAGACATAAAATAACATACATTAATGCATTATCTATTTAGGTACATGATCATCCTTCCCACCCATAAAAGCTGTTTTTTTTCTCCTTGCCTATTTATATAAGGGACTATTGTTTTCAAACTGCCATTATTAATATTGAATTTCCTACAAAATATATTGTTTAACAGTCTTTAATTTTTTAAACATGTTTTATTTTTATCCCTTCCTTCCTTCCTTCCTTCCTTCCTTCCTTCCTTCCTTCCTTCCTTCCTTCCTTTCTTTCTGTCTTTCTTTCTTTCTTTCTTCTTTTTTTTTTTGAGACAGGATCTTGTTGTGTCACCCAGGCTGGATTGCAATGACAAAATCATAGCTTACTGCAGCCATGAACTCCCAGGCTCAAGCATTCCTCCCAATTCAGCCTCCTGAGTAGCTAAGACAACAGGTGCACCACCAAAACAGGCTAGTTTTTTTTTATTTTTTGTAGAGACAGAGCCTTGTTGTGTTGCTCAGGCTGGTCTCCTGGGCTCAAAAGATCCTCCCACCTCTGTCTACCAAAGTGCTGGGAATACAGGTGTGAGCCACCACACCTGGGCTTTAACTTTTGAATATATACTTGTTGACTTGATCTTCTTCTGACATTAAAAAACAGCAAGGTAATTTTGATAGATTTGTTTAAAACATACAATAAACGAGACAAATATGAATGACTAAAAATGGTGCCATAGAAAATCTTCAGCTATTTTTTTTTTTTTTTTGAGATGGAGTTTCACTCTTGTTGCCCAGGCTGGAGTTCAATGGCGCCATCTCAGCTCACTGCAACCTCTGCCTCCCAGGTTGAAGTGATTTTTCTGCCTCAGCCTCCTGAGTAGTTGGAATTACAGGCACGTGCCACCATGCCCAGCTAATTTTGTCTTCTTTTTTTTTTTTTTTTTTTTTTTTTTAGTAGAGATGGGGTTTCTCCATGTTGGTCAGACTGGTCTTGAACTCCTGACCTCAGGTGATCCACCCGCCTCGGCCTCCCAAAGTGCTGGGATTACAAGTGTGAGCCACTGCGCCTGGCCTCTTTAGCTATTTTTAACTCAATTTTTCTTTGGGCAGATGCATAGATCCACTGAATATTTTAACTGAAAGATGCTTGATGATCAGTCAACGAAATCTTTCATTTTCCATAAGTTAACTGTTTGCCTCTTGGTTGCTTCCGAGTTTCTTGAGCTTCCAAGGTCTACCTTGGTCATAAGCCCTGAGTCACAAGGGCGAGTCTCCAGCTCCCTCACACACCATTCCGTGGGCCTGACTCAGCCATTTTCTGGCCTCTAGCCTCGGAACCCAGCTCTTGCAGCTGTAGCCCTCTGTGTGCACAGCTTTGCCCCACAAGGACACACCCCACTTCCTTCATCCTAAACCCCCTGATTAAAAGCCTGACTGTGATGATTTGGGATGACAGAAGAAAAACAGATCATGACAATCTATTTCAAACTAAGTTTTTGAGACTCATCCTCAAATTCCTGGACCATTTCCACCAAGCCTCACTTCTCTATCTCAGTACTAAGCTTAACTAAACATAACCATTAAAGTGCCTCTCCTGAGTGGAGGAAAGAGCAGAGAAATCCTCTCCCAAAGAGCAATGATATCCTCCTCCTAGGCCACTGAGCCCTATATCTAGCCAGGCTTAAAAATACAGTATCAATGTGACATATTCCTTCCCATGACCTTCAGATGAGAAGTCTGGAGATGCACAGACTTTTGCCCAACACCACTCAGCCAGGGAGCTGTGCAGCTGGCTTGCAACTGGATTTCCAGGTTCCCACCCAAGTGCATATCTTACATTGCAGCAGACCAACTGCAAAATGAAACAAGAACACCTTAACTGAGGGTAAATATCAGAGTGTCCACAAAGGGGGCACTATTAAACCATAGGTATCAGGAAGCCCAGTTGTGCCCTGGCCCGATATTGACTTGCAGCCTGTCTGGGGACCATATCTTGGTGGTTTGTGTTGCTCCAATGGCATTCTAAAATAGAGGATATGTTCAGTGTTACTTCGGCTACAGCATTTTATTGCCTCCAAAATAGAAGATGCCCATCTGGGAGCACCTGATGTTATGAAGAGCAAGGGAACAAGCGCAGAATAATATTAAAGCCACAGGGTTCTAGCCAGAGGCAGACCAATGCTTCTGGGCTTACCATTTGGACAGTCATAGAGGCAATTTATATCACAGCCATTCAGCAACTACTGCATTATCTTTCCCAGCTCTGTTCTTTCTCAGAACAAAAATTGTATAATTGAAACAGTAGGTATTTTACCACAACCCCTGGGTCATAATTTGAATAATAGATGTTTATCGTAAGGAATTTTTCACCCTCTCATCTGCTGAGATTTGTTCTCATAAAGTACAGATGGTGACAATGGAAGCAGGACAGGGTGAGGTTAAAGTGAACCGAGAGGGACTCTGGTTATAGGCTCCACAATTCCAGATCAAGTGATGGCTGTGGAGTAAGCACAGCCTTATGCATTGAGGACCCAGATTTGAGGTCTGCACTCATTAGTTTTGGGCAAGATTCTTAACCGCAAAGAGCATCAATTTTCAAATCTGTAAATTAGGATTAGTTTAACTAATGCCTACTTATAAAATTGTTGTAAGGATTACGTGAGCCAAGAGGTATAAAGACACCAAGTAAACTGGCAAACATTCCTCAAATGTTAGCTACCACCAGCGTCTTTTATCTCAAGTCTGAGAATTATAGGCCAAATAGGAGGAGACTACAATCTGATAAAGTCTAAACTTATAATGAGAACATGTATGTGGAGGGCTCATTATCTATTGATGAAGATTTGCAAAGATGATTGTTAAAGAAATATTCAGTTACTTGACATAGAATACCAAAGAAAATTTTTTTCAAAAATTTAATTTTTAAATAAAAGTTCTATGATGCACTTAAACTTCTTAAAGGAACAAATGGCTTAGTCACCTGAAATCAAGGCAGATAGTTTTTGCCCAAATTCAGTAGGTGTTTTGATATAAGCAAAGTTAAAATCTAACTTCGGTCTGTGATATGAGAATGTATAGCTCTATTTTTGATGTTTCTTTTCATTCTACAAATCATTCAAATACGTGATTGGTGTCCTTTGGAATTTTTGTAATCAAATACTTGGTTAATGTCACAGACATTTAATTGCATGTTAAGTGGTTTATTAGTCTGTCTTTGTTTGAGTATTTACAACTCAGGAACTGGGAAACTGAAGTTGCTTAGAAAAGTTACTGACTCATGTCACAGTGACAGCTACCTGGTGAGCCATGATCTTTCTGTCTGGCTTCTTTTACTTATCATATTTTCAAAGTTCATCCATGTTGTAGCATGTATGAGTTCTTCATTTCCATTGTATGGATATGCCACATTTTATTTATCTGTTCATCAATTGATTGACATTTGCATTGTTTCCATCTTTTGACTGTTATAAAGAATGCTGCTATAAATATTCGTGTAAAGGATTTTGCATAAACACATGTTTTCAATTATCTTGGGTATATACATAGAAAGAGAATTGTCAGGTCAATGGTAAATGCTACATTAAACTTTTTGGAGGACTACTAGACTGTTTTCCACAGTGGCTACAACATTTTACATTCTCAGCCACAGTGTACAAGGGCTTCAGTTTCTCCACATTCACATCTAGAGTTGTTATTTGACTTTTTAATTTTACCCATCATAGTGAGCATGAACTAGTATCTCATTGCAGTTTTGAATTACACTGTCCTGATGGCTAAGGATGTTGAACATCTTTTCATGTGCTTTTTGGCCATCTGAATATCTCCTTAGGGGAATTTCTACTCAACTCCTTTGCCATGTTTTAATTGGGTTATTTGTTTTTTCACTGACTAGTAAGAGTTCTTTATGTATTCTAGATACAAGTCCCTTCTCAGGTACATAATTTGCAAATATTTTCTCCCATTCTTTGGGTTGCCTTTTCACATTCTGAATGGTTTCATTTAAAGTACAAAAGTTTCTAATTTTGATGGTATCCATTTTTTTTCTTTCTTTTCATGTATTTAGTGTCATTTAACAAACAATTGACTAATTCAAAGTCATGGAGATCTATGTCTATGTTTTTTTCTTAGAGCTTTATAGTTTTAGCCCCTACATTTAGGTCTTTGATCCATGGACATAACTTCATTATTATGTAATGGATATACTATTGTCCCAGTAATATTTGTTGAAGATAATTTTCTTTTCTCATTGAATTGTCTTGGCAGCATTATCAATAATTAGTTGACTATACATATGAGAGTTTTTTTCTGTATTCTTAATTCTACCCCACTGCTCTATATATCTATCCTCATTCCAGTACCACATTGTTTTAGTTTCTATAACTTTATAGTAAGTTTTAAATTTTGGAAGTGTGAGTCCTCAAACTTTGTTCTTCTTCTTCAAGCTTGTTTTGGCTATTCTGATCTCTTGAATTTCTATGTACATTTTAAGATCAGCTTGTCAATTTTTGCAAAGAAACCAGGTGGGATTTTGATAGAGATTACACTGAATCTGTGGATTAGTTTGGGTAGTATTGTCATCTTATCAAATTTAAGTATTCTGATCCATGAATGTAGGTATCTTCCCATTTACTTGGATTTTCACTACTATTTTCAACATGTTTTGTACTTTTCAAAGTATAAATTTTGTACTTTTTTTGTTAAATACATTCCAAAGTATTTTATGATCTTTGATGTTATTGTAGTTAGATTTTTAAATATCATTTTTGTATTGTTCATTACAAGAATATAAAAATATAATTGATAATAAATGGATTCCCGGGCAAGATGGCTGAATAGGAACAGCTCTGGTCTGCAGCTCCCAGCGAGACCAACACAGAAGGCTGGTGATTTCTGCATTTCCAACTGAGGTACCCAGTTCATCTCATTGGGACTACTGGTTAGACAGTGGGTGCAGCTCACAGAGGACAAGCAGAAGCAGGGAGGGGTGCTGCTTCATCTGGGAAGTGCAAGGGGTTGGGTAACTCCCTCCCCTAGCCCAGGGAAGCCATGAGGGGCTGTGCCATGAGGGATAGTGCTATCTGGGCCAGATACTATGCTTTTCCCACAGTCTTCACAACCTGCAGACCAGGAGATTCCCTTGGGTGCCTACACCACCAGGGCCCTGGGTTTCCAGCACAAAACTTGGGGATTAATTGGGCAGACACCGAGCTAGCTGCAGGAGATTTTTTCATACCCCAGTGGCACCTGGAATGCCAGGGAGACAGAAATGTTCACTCCCATGGAAAGGGGGCTGAAGCCAGGGAGCCAAGTGGTCTTGCTCAGCAGATCCCACCCCCATGGAGCCCAACAAGCTAAGATCCACTGGCTTGAAATTCTTGCTGCCAGCACAGCAGTCTGAAGTTGACCTGGGATGCTCGAGCTTGGTGAGGGGAGGGGCGTCTGCCGTTACTGAGGCTTGAGTAGGCAGTTTTCCCCTCACAGTGTAAACAAAACTGGGAAGTTTGAACTGGGTGCAGAACCCACCACGGCACAGCAAAACCACTGTAGCCAGACTGCCTCTATAGATTCCTCCTCTCTGGGCAGGGCATCTCTGAAAGAAATGCATCAGACTCAGTCAGGGGCTTATAGATAAAACTCCCATCTCCTTGGGACAGAGCACCTGGGGGAAGGGGTGGCTGTGGGCACAGCTTCAGCAGACTTAAGTATTCCTGCCTGCCAGCTCTGAAGAGAGCAGCAGATCTCCCAGTATAGTGCTTGAGCTCTGCTAAGGGACAGGCTGCCTCCTCAAGTGGGTCCCTGACCCCCATGCCACCTGATTGGGAGACATCTCCAAGCAGGGGTCGACAGACACCTCATACAGGACAGCTCCGGCTGGCATCTGGTGGGTGCCCCTCTGGGACAAAGCTTCCAGAGGAAGGAGCAGGCAGCAATCTTTGCCATTCTGCAGCCTCCGCTGGTGATACCAAGGCAAACAGGGTCTGGAGTGGCCCTACAGCGAACTCCAGCAGAACTGAAGCAAAGGAGCCTGTTAGAAGGAAAACTAACAAACAGAAAGCAATAGCATCAACATCAACAAAAAGGATGCCCATGCAAAAACCCCATCTGAAGTTCACCAATTGCAAAGACCAAAGGTAGATAAATCCATGAATATGCGGAAAAAACAGCGCAAAAAGGCTGAAAATTCCCAAAACAAGAATGTCTTGTCTCCTCCAAAGGATCACAACTCCTCACCAGCAAGGGAATAAAACTGAATGGAGAATGAGTTTGACAAATTGACAGAAGTAGGCTTCAGAAGGTGGGTAATAACAAACTCCTCTGAGCTAAAGGAGCATGTTGTAACACGATGCAAGGAAGCTAAGGACCTTGATAAAAGGTTCCAGGAACTGCTAACTAGAATAACCAGTTTAGAGAAGAACATAAATTAGCTAATGGAGCTGAAAAACACAGCATAAGAACTTTGTGAAACATACACAAGTATCAACAGCTGAATTGATCAAGTGGAAGAAAACATGTCAGAGATTGAAGATCAACTTAATGAAATAAAGTATGAAGACAAGATTAGAGAAAAAAGAATGAAAAGGAAAGAACAAAGCCTCCAAGAAACATGGGACTATGTGAAAAGACCAAATCTATGTTTGATTGGTGTACCCGAAAGTGACAGGGAGAATGGAACCACGTTGGAAAATACACTTTAGGACACTATCCAGGAGAACTTCCCAACCTAGCAAGACAGGCCAACATTCAAATTCAGGAAATACAGAGAACAGCACAAAGATACTCCTTGAGAAGAGCAACCCCAAGACACATAGTCGTCAGATTCACCAAGGTTGAAATGAAGGAAAAAATGTTAAGGGCAGCCAGAGAGAAAGGTCGGGTTACCCACAAAGGGAAGCCCATCAGATTAACAGTGGGTCTCTCTGCAGAAACCCTACAAGCCAGAAGAGAGTGGGGGCCAATATTCAAAATTCTTAAAGAAAAGACTTTTCAGGCCAGAATTTCATATCCAGCCAAACTAAGCTTCAAAAGTGAAGGAGAAATAAAATACTTTACAGACAAGCAAATGCTGAGGGATTTTGTCATGATCAGGCCTGCCTTACAAGAGCTCCTGAAGGAAGCACTAAATGTAGAAAGGAAAAACTGGTACCAACCACTGCAAAAACATACCAAAATGCAAAACCATTCACAGTATGAAAAAACTGCATCAAGTAATGGGCAAAATAAACAGCTAGCATCATAATGACAGGACCAAATTCACACATAACAATATTAACCTTAAGTATAAATGGGCTAAATGCCCCAATTAAAAGACACACACTGGCAAATGGGATAAAGAGTCAAGACCCATTGGTGTACTGTATTCAGGGACCCATCTCATGTGCAAAGACACATAAGCTCAAAATAAAGTGATGGAGGAATATTTACCAAGCAAATGGAAAGGAAAAAAAAACAGGGGTTGCATCCTAGTCTCTGATAAAGCAGACTTTAAACCAACAAAGATCGGCATTTAAAAAAGACAAAGAAGGGCATTACATAATGGTAAAGGGATCAATGCAACAAGAAGAGCTAACTATCCTAAATATATATGCACCCAATGCAGAAGCATCCAGATTCATAAAGCAAGTTCTTAAAGACCTACGAAGAGACTTAGACTGCCACACAATAATAGTGGGAGATTTTAACACCCCACTGTCAGATCAATGAGACAAAAAATTAACAAGGATATTCAGGACTTGAAATCACCTTTGGACCAAGAGGACCTAATAGACATCTACAGAATTCTCCACCCCAAATCAACAAAATGTACATTCTTCTCAGCACCACATTGCACTTATTCTAAAATTGACCACATACTTGGAAGTAAAACACTCCCAGCAAATGCAAAAGGACAAAAATCATAACAAACAGTCTCTCAGACCACAGTGCAACTAAATTAGAACTCAAAATTAAGAAACTCACTAAAAACCACACAACTACAACCTGCTCCTGAATAACTACCAGGTAAATATGAAATTAAGGCAGAAAAAAATAAGTTCTTTGAAACCAATGAGAACAAAGAGACAACGTACCAAAAATTTCTGGGACACGGTGAAAGCAGTGTTTAGAGGGAAATTTATAGCACTGAATGCTCATTTCAGAAAGTGGGAAAGACCTAAAATCAATGCCCTAACATCACAATTAAAAGAACTAGTGAAGCAAGAGCAAACAAATTCAAAAGCTAGCAGAAGAGAAGAAATAACTAAGATCAGACCAGAACTGAAAGAGATAGAGATATGAGAAAACCCTCCAAAAAAAATCAATGAATCTAGAAGCCAGTGTTTTGAAAGGATTAACAAAATAGATATACTGCAAGCCAGACTAATAAAGAAGAAAAGAGAGAAGAATCAAATAGACGCAATAAAAAATGATAAAGGAGATATCACCACAGATCCCACAGAAATACAAACTGCCATCAGAGAATACTATAACCACCTCTATGCAAATAAACTAGAAAATCTAGAAGAAATGGATACATTCCTGGACACATACATTTTCCCAAGACTAAACCAGGAAGAAGTTGAATCCCTGAATAGACCAATAATAAGTTCTGAAATTGAGGCAATAATTAATAGCCTGCCAACCAAAAGGAGTCCAGGACCAGACAGATACACAGCCAAATTTTACCAGAGGTACAAAGAGGAGCTGATACCATTTCTTCTGAAACTATTCCAAACAATAGAAAAAGAGGGACTCCTCCCTAACTTATTTTATAAGGCCAGGATCATCCTGATACCAAAACCTGGCAGAGACACAATAAAAAAAAGAAAATTTCAGGCAATATCACTGATGAACATTGATGTGAAAATCTTCAGTAAAATACTGGCAAACCGAATCCAGCAGCACATTAAAAGCTTATCTGGCTGGGTGCAGTGGCTCATGCCTGTAATCCCAGCACTTTGGGAGGCTGAGGTGGGCCGATCATGAGGTCAGGAGTTTGAGACCAGCCTGACCAACATGATGAAATCCCATCTCTACTAAAAATACAAAAATTAGCTGGGCGTGCATGTCTGTAATCCCAGCAACTCAGGAGGCTGAGGCAGGAGAACTGCTTGAACCCAGGAGGTGGAGGTTGCAGTGAGCCAAAATTGTTCCACTGCAGTCCAGCCTGGGCGACAGAGTGAGACTCCATCTCCAAAAAAAAACAGGCTTAAGCACCACGATCAAGTCAGCTTCGTCCCTGTTTCAACATATGCAAAACAAAAAACATAATCCATCACATAAACAGAACCAATGACAAAAACCACATGTGTATCTCATTAGATGCAGAAAAGGCTTTTGATAAAATTCAACATCACTTCATGCTAAAAACACTCAATAAACTAGGCATTAATAGAACGTATCTCAAAATAATAAGAGCTATTTATGACAAACCCATAGCCAATATCATGTTGAATGGGCAAAAGCTGGAACCATTACCTTTGACAACTGCCACAAGACAAGGATGCCTTCTCTCACCACTCGTATTCAACATAGTATTGGAAGTTCTGGCCAGAGCAATCAAGCAAGAGAAAGAAATAAAAGGTATTCAAATAGGAAGAGAGGTTCTACTATAAAGACACATGCACACGTATGTTAATTGCAACACTAGTCACAATAGCAAAGACTTGGAACCAACCCAAATGCCCATCAATAATAGATTGAAGAAAGAAAATGTGGCACATAAACACCATGGAATACTATGCAGCTGTAAAAAAGAATGAGTCCATGTCCTTTTCAGGGACATGGATGAAGCTGGAAACCTTTATTCTCAGCATACTAACATGGGAACAATAAACCAAACACCACATGTTCTCACTCATAACTGGGAGTTGAACAATGAGAACACATGGGCACAGGGAGGGGAACATCACACACTGGGGCCTGTCAGGGGGTGGGGAGCAAAGGGAAGGATAGCATTAGGAGAAATACCTAATGTAGATGATGGGTTGACGGGTGCAGCAAACCACTATGGCACATGTATACCTATGCAACAAACCTGCACGTTCTGCACATGTATCCCAGAACTTAAAGTATAATTTAAAAAGAAAGAAATGATAAATGTTTGAAATGATGGATGTGCTAATTTCCATGATTTGATCACTATACTTTGTATGTATCAAAATATCACTGTGGGGTGAGGTGGGTGGATTGCTTAAGATCATGAGTTTGAGACCAGCCTGGGCCACATGGTGAAACCCTGCCTCTATTAAAACTACAAAAATTAGCCTGGTGTGGTGGCATGTGTCTGTAGTCCCAGCTACTTTGGAGGCTGAGGTAGGAGGATGGCTTGAGCCTGGGAGGCAGAGGTTGCAGTGAGCTGAGATCATGGCACTGCACTCCAGCCTGGGCGATAGAGCCAGACCTTGTTTCAAAAACAAACAAACAAACAAACAATCACTATGTACTCCATAAATATGTACAATTATTATGTATTAATTAACATACATAAAATATAGAGCTTATGATGGGATACAGAGAGGAAATTGAATTGAGAACTGGGGGGGATAAAGGAAAAAGGCAATAATTATATTTAAAAATTTAAAAAGTGGGGTTTAACATGGATAAATGATGATAGCTTGCTAAGAAATTAATATTATAAACTCAATTCTGTACATCTGAGGTTAAAAAAGAAGTCTCTGCTAGTAATTCTCTGAGCTATACCACTTTTGGAAATAATTACACTTTTATTTAAATATTATAGTTTGGTTAAGTTGTCTATACATACATAAAATAAATGTAATATTTTTGCTTCAATCTTGAATAAAATTTGTTTTCAATGAGAAAAAGAAATATGATTGATATTTTTGTATTGGTCTTATATTCTGAAACCTTGCTGACTTAATTTATTAGTTATAATGCTTTTAAAAAATATTATTAGATTAAACATGATAAGATTAATCATATTAAAATTTAAATGTCAATGGCATTTAGTATGTTGTACAGCCACCAGTTCTGTCAAGTTCCAAAATATTTTCTTTCACCACAAAAGAAAATCCATAAATGTCCCACAAGCAGTCACTTCCTTTTCCATTCTACTTGTAGCAGCTGACAACCATCAATCAGCTTTCTGTATCTACGGATTTATCTCTTCTGAATATTTCATAAATATGGAATCAGTTGACCATAGGTGTATGGGCTTATTCCTGGACTTTCTATTCTATTTTTTTGACTATATATTTATCCTTATGCCAGTACCATACTGTTTTGATTACCGTAACTTTGAGGTAAGTTTGAAATAAAGAATTGCGAGTCCTTTAGTTTTGTTCTTTCCAAGATTCTCATGACTTCATAGTTCCATGTCTTGCATTTAAGTCTTTAATCCATTTTAATTGGATTTTTGCATGTGGCAAGAGGCATTTCCCTTTGCAATTCCATATGAATTTAAAGATCAGCTTTTTTATTTCTGCCAATTAAATAGAAGAAAATTTCCTTCTATTCCTAGTTTTCTGAATTTTTCTTTTCTTCAGAAAAGGATGTTAAGTTTTGTCAAGTGCTTTTTCTGCATCAATTGAGATGTTATTTTCTTCATTCTATTAATGTGGTATATTCATAGATGTTTTATGTTTTGACTCACTCCTGTATTCCTGAAATAAATTCCCCTTGGCCATGGTGTATAATACTTTTACTGTTACGTTGGATTTGGTTTTCTAGTATTTTCTTGAGGTTTTTTGTATCCATATTTATAAGGAATATTTATCTGTAGTTTTCCTGTGGTGTTTAGTCTGGCTTTGGTATTGGAGTAATACTGGTTTCAAAGAATAAGTAAGAACTGTTTCCTCCTCTTCTATTGCCTTTGTATGTAAAAAACTTGAGAAGTGTTGGTGATAATTCTTTAAATCGTTGGTAGAATTCACCAATGAAGCAAACTGGCTTGGACCTTTTCTGTTTGGAAGTTTTTGATTACTGATTCCTTTACTTTTTTATTATTTGCTTAGTAGTCACCAGTTTACAACAAACACCCAAATCTGTAACAATCTAGTTTGAATTGACACCAACATAGTTTCTTCACTCCTATGTAAGGTCCATCCCCCTTATATTGTTATTATCATAAATTATATCTCTGTATATTATATGGGTATTAACATATATTACTGTTTTATGTCAACAAAATGTACTATTTTACTAATTTGTCTTTTTAGGAAATAAAAATAATTTAAAAACAAAAATACAATAATACTGACTTTAATGTTTACATATATAGTACCTTTTCCAGAGTTTTTAATTTTTGTATGTGGCTTGGAGTTACTGTCATACTGTACTTTCATTTCAGTCTGAAGGACCTTTTTATTCCTTACCTTTTGTAAAGTAGGCCTACTGGTAAAGCACTCCCTCAATTTTTGTTTCTTTAGGTGTGTCCTAGTTTCTCTCTCACTTTTTAAAGATAGTTTTACCAGATATAAAATTCTTGGCTGACAGTTTTTTCTTTCAGCACTTAAAAGTTACATCCCACTGCCTTCTGGCCTCCATATTGTCTCATGAAAAATTGACTAACAGTCTTATTTAGAATGTCATGTGCATAAGTCTCTTCTCTCTTGCTGCTTTCAAAATTCACCTTTGGCTTTGGCGTTTGACAATTTGGTTACAATATGTCTCTGTGTGAATCTCTTTGCATTTTTCTTTCTTTGAGTTTAATAAGCTGGTTGGATTTGTAATTTCATGTCTCTTATAAAACTTCATGAGTTTTTATCCATTATTTTTTCAGATTTTTTTTCTGCTTCTTTTTCTTTGTCCTCTCCTTCTGGGATTCCTACTATGCAAATGTTGGTATCCTTGATGGTGTCACAGATGTGTCTTAGTTTCATTCTTTTTTTCTTTCTTCTACACTGACTGCATAATTTCAATTGATCCATCTCCAAGTTTGCTGATTCTTTTTTCTGCCCATTTAAAATGTGCTATTAAAATTCTCTAGTGAGTTTTCAATATGTTGTTATGTTTTTTAGTTCCAGAATTTCTGTTTGGTTCCTTTTTATAATTTCTATCTCTTTATTGATATTCTCTGTTGAAATGTCATTCTCCTAGTTCCCTTTAGTATTTTGTTCATAAATTATTTAGCTTTTGAATATATTTAAGGTCATTGATTATAGTATTTATTTGCCTAATAAGTCAAGTATCTGTGCTTCTTTAGGGATAGTTTCTGCTCAGTTCTTCTGTGAGCAGAAACTTCTGTGGGCTATAGTTCCTTATTTGTTTTCATGCTTCATAGTTTTTTGTTGAAAACTGGAAATTTTGATTATTATAAAGTCATAATTCTAGAAATCAGATCACATTCTTCTCCTTCTTAGAGTTTGTTTTTGTCGCTTTCTGTGCACTGTAGCTATCTGTTTGATTAGTGAGTCTTCTGTACTATTATTATGAATTTTGTTTTATTTGTCATGTGTGCTCTCTGAAGTCTTAGTTCCATTAGCTTGTGTTCAACTCATATTTTGACAGAGATTTTTATAACTATCAGGAGGAAGCAGAAGGAAGAAAGGAAGGAAGGAAGGCAGGGAAGAAGGAAGAAAGGAAGGAAGGAAGGAAAAAAGAAAGTAAGGAAGGGAGGAAGGGAAGAAGGAAGGAAGGAAGATGGGAGAAGGGAAGGAATGGAGGGAGAGAGGAAGGAAGGGAAGGGAGGAAGGGAGGAAGGAAGGAAGAAAGAAGGAAAGAAGAAAGAAAGAAAGGAAAGAAAGAAAGAGAAAGAAAGAAGGGAAGGAAAGAGAAGAGGGAGAAGGAGGGAGGGAACAAGCGAAAAAAAAAACCCTCTCTCAATATTTGCTGACTGGCTCTGTGTTGGAACACTCCTTCAGTGCTTTTTCAGGCTGTTCACAACTCTTTCTCAGCCTTCACTTCCTGCTAGAACTGAGTCCAAAGATCAGCCAGAGATAAAAGCTTAGGGTCTACTCAGGTCTTTTATGAGCATGAATCCTGACTAAGACATGTGCGTGGCTTTCTAAATTCCCCAGTATATATGAGCTCTTTGAATTCACCAATTTCTTTAAGAAAATTTTCTTATATTTTTCTCTTAGGCTTTTGGCGCTATATTTTTTCCCTCAACTGTAATCTTTTGCCCCGGGTGACAGCAATTGCTCATTTTCCTTACAATTTTTTCAAGGGGATGCCCACTTCTTTTCTTCTCTTAGTGAGCTCTGAGTTGGGAAAAGCAAGGGAAAAGGCTTTGCCTCATTCCTTAATATAGCCTCCAGACAGATTAGAACAACCACAATTTTTTTTTGCCATTCCAAGATGGCCAAATAGGAACAGCTCCATTCTGCAGCTCCCAGCGTGCTTGACGCAGAATACGGGTGATTTCTGCATTTCCAACTGAGGTACCTGGTTTGTCTCATTGGGACTGCTTGGACGGTGGGTGCAGCCCACGGAGGGCAAGCTGAAGCAGGGCAGGGCATCACCTCACCCGGGAAGTGCAAGGAGTTAGGGGATTTCCCTTTCCTAGCCAAGGGAAGCCATGACAGATGGTACCTGGAAAAACAGGACACTCCTGACCAAATACTGTGCTTTTCTAATGGTCTTAGCAAACGGCACACCAGGAGATTGTATCTCGTGCCTGGCTCAGTGGGTCCTGCGCCCAAAGAGCCTTGCTCACTGCTAGGGCAGCAGTCTGAGATTGACCTGTGAGGCAGCAGCCTGGCAGGGGGAGGGGCGTCCGCCATTGCTGAGGCTTGAGTAGGTAAACAAATCAGCCAGGAAGCTTGAACTGGGCAGAGCCCACCGCAGCTCAGCAAGGCCTGCTGCCTCGGTAGACTCCACCTCTGGGGCCAGGGCATAGCTGAACAAAAGGCAGCAGAAACTTCTGCAGACTTGAACCTCACTGTCTGACAGTTCTGAAGAGAGCAGTGGTTCTCCCAGCATGGTGTTTGAGATTGGAGAACAGACAGATTGCCTCCTCAAGTGGGTCCCTGACCCCCCATGTAGCCTAACTGGGAGACACCTCCCAGTAGTGGCTGACTGACACCTCATACAGGTGGGTTACCCACAAAGGAAAGCCCATCAGACTAACAGTGGATCTCTCAGCAGAAACTCTACAAGCCAGAAGAGAGTGGGGGCCAATATTCAACATTCTTAAAGAAAAGAATTTTCAACCCAGAATTTCATATCCAGCCAAACTAAACTTCATAAGTGAAGGAGAAATAAAATACTTTACAGACAAGCAAATGCTGAGAGATTTTGTCACGACCAGGCCTGTCTTAAAGAGCTCCTGAAGGAAGCACTAAACATGGAAAGGAACAACCGATACCAGCCACTGCAAAAACACACCAAATTGTAAAGACCATCGATGCTAGGAAGAAACTGCATCAAGTAACGGGCAAAATAACCAGCTAACATCATAATGACAGGATCAAATTCACACATAACAATATTAACCTAAAATGTAAATGGGCTAAATGCCCCAATTAAAAGACACAGACTGGCAAATTGGATAAAGAGTCAAGACCCATCAGTGTGCTGTATTCAGGGACCCAACTCATGTGCAGAGACACACATAGGCTCAAAATAAAGGGATGGAGGAAGATCTACTAAAAAAATGGAAAGCAAACACACACACACACACACAAAACAAAACAAAAAACAGGGGTTGCAATCCTAGTCTCTGATAAAACAGACTTTAAACCAACAAAGATCAAAAGAGACAAAGAAGGCCATTACATAATGGTAAAGGGATCAATTCAACAAGAAGAGCTAACTATCCGAAATATATATGCACCCCATACAGGAGCACTCAGATTCATAAAGCAAGTCCTTAGAGACCTACAAAGAGACTTAGGCTCCCACACAATAATAATGGGAGACTTTAACACCCCACTGTCAATATTAGACAGATCAATGAGACAGAAAGTTAACAAGGATATCCAGGACTTGTACTCAGCTCTGCACCAAGCAGACCTAATGGACATCTACAGAACTCTCAAACCCAAATCAACAGAATATACATTCTTCTCAGCACCACATCACACTTATTTCAAAATTCACCACATAATTAGAAGTAAAGCACTCCTCAGCAAATGTAAAAGAACAGAAATCACAACAAACTGTCTCTCAGACCACAAATTAGAACTCAGGATTAAGAAACTCACTCAAAACCGCACAACTACATGGAAACTGAACAACCTGCTCCTGAATGACTACTGGGTAAATAATGAAATGAAGGCAGAAATAAAGATGTTCTTTGAAACCAATGAGAACAAAGACACAACATACCAGAATCTCTGGGACACATTTAAAGCAGTGTGCAGAGGGAAATTTATAGCACTAAATACCCACAAGAGAAAGCAGGAAAGATCTAAAATCGACACCCTGACATCACAATTAAAAGAGCTAGAGAAGCAAGAGCAAACACATTCAAAAGCTAGCAGAAGGCAAGAAATAACTAAGATCAGAGCAGACCTGAAGGAGATAGAGACACAAAAACCCTTCAAAAAATCAATGAATCCATGAGCTGGTTTTTTGAAAGATCAACAAAATTGATAGAACGCTAGCAAGACTAATAAAGAAGAAAAGAGAGAAGAATCAAAAAGGTGCAATAAAAAATGATAAAGGGGATATCACCACCGATCCCACAGAAATACAAACTACCATCAGAGAATACTATAAACACCTCTACACAAATAAACTAGAAAATCTAGAAGAAATGGATAAATTCCTGGACACATATAACCTCCCAAGACTAAACCAGGAAGAAGTTGAATCTCTGAATAGACCAATAACAGTTCTGAAATTAAGGCAATAATTAATAGCCTACCAACCAAAAAAAGTCCAGGACCAGATAGATTCACAGCCAAATTGTACCAGAGGTACAAAGAGGAGCTGGTACCATTCCTTCTGAAACTATTCCAATCAATAGAAAAAGAGGGAATCCTCCCTAACTCATTTTATGAGGCTAGCATCATCCTGATACCAAAGCCTGGCAGAGACACAACAAAAAAAGAGAATTTTAGACCAATATCCCTGATGAACATCGATGCAAAAATCCTCAATACAATACTGGCAAACCAAATCCAGCAGCACATAAAAAGCCTATCCACCACGATCAAGTCAGCTTCATTCCTGGGATGCAAGGCTGGTTTGATATACTCAAATCAATAAATGTAATCTATCACATAAACAGAACCAAAGACAAAAACCACATGATTATCTCAATGGATGCAGAAAAGGCCTTCAACTAAATTCAACTGCACTTCATGCTAAAAACTCTCAATAAACTAGGTATGGATGGAATGTATCTCAAAATATTAAGAGGTATTTATGACAAACCCACAGCCAATATCATACTGAATTGGCAAAAACTGGAAGCATTCCCTTTGAAAACGGACACAAGACAGGGACGCCCTCTCTCACCACTCCTATTCAACATAGTGTTGGAAGTGCTGGCCAGGGCAGTCAGGCAACAGAAAGAAAAAAAGGGTATTGAATTAGGAAAAGAGGAAGTTAAATTGTCCCTGTTTGCAGAGGACATGATTGTACATTTAGAAAACTCATCGTCTCAGCCCAAAATCTCCTTAAGCTGATAAGCAACTTCAGCAAAGTCTCAGGATACAAAATTAATGTGCAAAAATCACAAGCATTCCTATACACCAACAACAGACAAACAGAGAGCTAAATCATGAGTGAACTCCAATTCACAATTGCTACAAAGAGAATAAAATACCTAGGAATCCAACTTACAAGGGATGTGAAGGACCTCTTCAAGTAGAACTACAAACCACTGCTCAATGAAATAAAAGAGGACACCAACAAATAGAAGAACATTCCATGCTCATGGATAGGAAGAATCAATATCATGAAAATGGCCATACTGCCCAAGGTAATTTATAGATTCAATGCCATCCCCATCAAGCTACCAATGACTTTCTTCACAGAATCGGAAAAAACTACTTTAAATTTCATATAGAACCAAAAAAGAGCCCGCATTGCCAAGACAATCCTAAGCCAAAAGAACAAAGCTGGAGGCATCACACTACCTGATTTCAAACTATACCAAAAGGCTACAGTGACCAAAACAGCTTGGTACTGGTACCAAAACAGATATATAGATCAACGGAACAGAACAGAGGCCTCAGAAACAACACCACACATCTACAACTGTCTGATCTTGGACAAACCTGACAAAAACAAGAAATGGGGAAAGGATTCCCTGTTTAATAAGTGGTGCTGGGAAAACTGGCTAGCTGAAACTGTAGAAAGCTGAAACTGGATCCCTTCCCTTCCTTACACCTTATACAAAAATTAATTCAAAATGGATTAAAGACTTAAACGTAAGTCCTAAAACTATAAAAACCCTAGAAGAAACATAGGCAATACCATTCAGGACATAGGCATGGGCAAGGACTTCATGACTAAAACGCCAGAAGCAATGGCAACAAAAGCCAAAATAGACAAATGAAATCTATTTAAGCTAAAGAGTTTCTGCACAGCAAAAGAAACGACCATTAGAGTGAACAGGCAACCTGCAGAATGGGAGAAAATTTTTGCAATCTACCCATCTGACAAAGGGCTAATATCCAGAATCTACAAAGAACTTAAACAAATTTATAAGAAAAAAACAACCTCATCAAAAAGTGGGCAAACGATATGAACAGACACTTCTCAAAAGAAGACATTTATGCAGCCAACAGACACATGAAAAAAATTCTCATCATCACTGGTCATTAGAGAAATGCAAATCAAAACCACAATGAGATACCATCTCACCCCAGTTAGAATGGTGATCATTAAAAGTCAGGAAACAACAGATGCTGGAGAGGATGTGGAGAAATAGGAACACTTTTACACTGTTGGTGGGATTGTAAACTAGTTCAACCATTGTGGAAGACAGTGTGGCGATTCCTCAAGGATCTAGAGCTAGAAATACCATTTGACCCAGCCATCCCATTACTGGGTATATACCCAAAGGATTATAAATCATGCTACTATAAAGACACATGCACACGTATGTTTATTGCAGCACTATTCACAATAGCAAACACTTGGAACCAACCCAAATGTCCATCAATGATAGACTGGATTAAGAAAATGTGGCACATATACACCATGGAATACTATGCAGCCATAAAAAAGGATGAGTTCATGCCCTTGTAGAGACATGGATGAAGCTGGAAACCATCATTCTCAGCAAACTATCCCAAGGACAGAAAACCAAACACCGCATATTCTCACTCATAGGTGGGAATTGAACAATGAGAACACTTGGACACAGGGTGGGGAACATCACACACTGGGGCCTGTCATTGGGTGGTGGGGTGGGGGAGGGATAGCATTAGGAGAAATACCTAATGTAAACGACAAGTTAATGGGTGCAGCAAGCCAACATGGCACATGTATACATATGTAACAAACCTGCATGTTTTGCACATGTACCCTAGAACTTAAAGTATAAAAAAAAAAAAAAAGAACAAACACAATATTTAAGAAGAAAGTCTGCTATGCTCCCTCCAGAACCAGGAACCAGGGTCCCACACTGGGAATCTGAATTGCCATCTTAAAGATTGTCACTGAGCCGGGATCTTGGATAGAGAAAGAACAAGCAAAATACTGTGAAGCTTTATTATCACTTTTAAATTGCTTTATTACCACTTTTAAATTACTTTTTCTTGATTCAGCATTTACTTAGTTGCTATGAACTTTTTACTGTTTTTTAGAGCTATGACAAAGTTGGTTCTGAGAGTTTTTGCTTGATTTTTTGATGTTCCTGTGAAGGGATAGAACCTTTGAGCTATCTACTCTACCAGTTTTGCTATAATAACATCACTCTTCTAATCATTTTTTTAAATGGGATTGCTTAGAATCCTGTATATAAATGCATTTCATATACATATGGAGATGATTTTGTTTCTTCCTTTCCAATCCAGGTATTTTTTTTTCCTTGCCATATTTCCCTGGCTGAAGCCCCAGCACAATAGTAAATAGAACTAGTGAGAGCAGACATTCTTATCATGTTACTGATCTTAGGGGAAATGCTTTCAGTCTTTCACTATTAGATATGCTGCTTGCTATGGGTTTTTCATAGATGTCTTTTATAAAGTTGAGAAAGTTTCCTTTTATTCCTAGTTTGTTGAATTTTTTGTTTATTTTTGTTCTTGATATTGTTTTTTAATCAAGAGTGTTGGATCTTGTCAAGTCCCTTTTCTATTGATATGGGGCATTCCATTAATTCATACATTGAGTTGACCATGTGTGTCTTAACCAGTTTAGGCTGCTATGACAGAACACCATGGACTGGATGGCTTAAACAACAGAAATTAGTTCCTGAAAATTCTCGGAAATGTGAGGCTAGAAAGCCCAAGATTAAGGCACTGTTAGATCCAGTGTCTGTCCAGCGTCTGGTGAGGGCACTCTTCCTGGTTTGCAAATGGCCATCTTCTTGTTGCATCCTCACATGGTGGTTGGGGTGGGAGGGTTGGGGGAGAGAGAGAGAGAGGAAACAAACTATCTCCTGTCTTATTTTTAATAAAGGCACTAATCTCATTTATAAAGGCTCTACCCTCATGACCTAATTATCTCCCAAAAATTCTACCTGTTAGTACCATCACACTGGGGGCTAATTTTTTTTTTTTTTTTTTTGAGACAGTTTAGCTCTGTAACCCAGGCTGGAGTACAGTGACGTGATCTCAGCTCACTGCAACTTCCACCTCCCAGGTTCAAGCGATTCTCCTGCCTCAGCCTCCAGAGTAGCTGGGACTAGAGGCACGCACCACTATACCCGGCTAATTTTTGTATTTTTTGGTAGAAACGGGGTTTCGCCATATTGGCCAGGCTGGTCTCAAACTTCTGACCTCAAGTGATCCACTAGCTTGGCCTCCCAAAGTCCTGGGATTACAGGCTTGAGCCACTGCACCCCACCTGGGGGTTAATATTTTAACATATGAATGGCGGGCACAAACGTTCAGTCCATAGCAATGTGGTTTCTGTTCTTTATTCTGTTGATATGGGGCATTCTATTAATTCATTTTCAAATGTTAAAAGAGGCTTGCATTCCTGTGATAAATCCCACTTGGTCATGGTGTATAATTTTTTTTTTTTTTTTTTTTGAGACGGAGTCTCGCTCTGTTGCCAGGCTGGAGTGCTGTAGCAGATCTCGGTTTATTGCAAGCTCCGCCTCCTGGTTTCACGCCATTCTTCTGCCTCAGCCTCCCGAGTAACTGGGACTACAGACGCCCGCCACCACGCCCGGCTAATTTTTTGTATTTTTAGTAGAGTCGGGGTTTCACTCTGTTAGCCAGGATGGTCTCGATCTCCTGACCTCGTGATCCGCCCTCCTCGGCCTCCCAAAGTGCTGAGATTACAAGAGTGAGCCACTGCGCCCAGCCTAATTTTTCAATATATTGCCAAATTTAGTTTGCTACTGTTTTGTGGAGTTTTGTATCTATATTTACAAGGGAAATTGGTCTATAGTTTTATTTTGTTGGGACATCTTTCTCTGTTTTGGCATCAGGGTAATATTGGGCTCATAGGATGGGTTGGGAAGTGTTTCTTCCTCTTTTAATTTTTTTGGAAGTGCTTATTATGTATATGTGTTAATTCTTATTTAAATATATGGTAAAATTCATCACTGAAGCCATCTGGACCTGGCATTTTCTTTGTGAGCAGTGTGGTGTTTTTTGTTTGTTTTGTTTTAGTTGCAAATTCAATTTCTTGTTATGGTACTGTTCAATATTCTCTTTCTTCTTGAGTTAGTTCAGTAGTTTGTGTCTTTCTAAGAATTTGTCAGTTTTATTAAAGTTACCTAAATTGCACCATGCAATTGTTCTTAATAACCCCTTATAATCCTTTTTGTTTCTATAAGGTCATTTTTCTTTTATTTCTGATTTTAGTAGTTTGAGTCTTCTGTCTTTTTTTGCTTGATGGATTAGTCTATTTGGCCTGCCATAACAAAATACCAGACTGGGGACTTAACCAAAATTAACTTTCTCACAGCTCTAGAGGCTAGGAAGTCCAAGGTTAAGAGTCCACCTGATGTGGTTCTTAGGGAGGGCTCTCTTCCTGGCTTGTAGAGGGCTGCCTTCTTGCCGCACTCACACAGGGCCTTTCCTTGGTGCATGTGTGGGAAAACTGAGGTCTTTGATGTCTCTTCTTCTTAAAAGGACAGTAATTCTATTAGAGCAGAGTTTCACCCTTGTGACCTCATTTAACCTCAATTATCCCCATGTAGGCCCTGTCTCCAAATACAGGTACAGTCACATTAGGAGTTAGGGCTTCAACACGTGAATTTTGGCGTCTCATGATTCAGTCGGTAGTACTTGGTCAGTCCAGCTGAAGTTTTATCAATTTTGTTGACCTTTGCAAAAAAACAAAACAAAAACAAAAAACCCTGGTTGTGTTGATTTTCTGTATTGCTTTAACTCCTACTTTTATATTCATTTATTTTGTATACATTTTTGAATAATAGCCACTATGCCAAAGTTTGGGAATATACATGAAGAAGTCGTATATTTTGCCCTCATGGAATGCATTGTCTTCTGCACTAGTTTCACATTTTAGCATGAATAAGTATCTTCTTGTAAGATTATTCGAAACTGAGTTGATCATTTATAGATATATTCTTTTAGTAGCTGGGCTGGCCGATACCGTGTAGTTAATGTTACCACTGCATCAAACACCAGCTGAAATGGAGTGTGCCACGGAGGAGGTTTTAATGTGCTAAATGCATTTTCACTAAAATACGAAAAGTGATCCCTAAGAAGTTGCTTTGTTTCTCCCTGAATATCTTGAACAGCACTTTTATTGATCTGTTTCTAATTTTAGATCCTTCAAATGGGCCAGCTTAGTAGACACTTGTCACTTGGACACAAATGTGTAGATATGGTTCAAGTGAGCTATAGGAGATTAAACTTGGGATAGGTGATCAGTTGGCAGGATTATAAGGTCATGGACAATCATCTAACTTTTGTGGATCTCCGATTTCTCCTCTTTTTATAAGCAAGCTTCAATTTAAACTACTCTATATGTGTGATTTTCAAATTTCCAATGTTGTGAGGCCTTAGTTTGGATGGAAACACACTCTAATTCATTGTCTAATGTAATCATTTTATTCTTTCAAAGTTTCGCAGAGACTAAAATACTAGAAAGGTCAAAGCAAAAAACTGATGTCTGTAACAAGGAAAAAGCAGCTCAGTGCTGCCCGAAGAAGTGAAATCACGTTTTAGTAAAATAAACATTACTCTTAATAAAATTAAGTTTAATTAATAACTGAAATGGAATTGGTAATGCTGAACTTGCCTACCTTTAAGTACCTAGGTAGAACCAGAAATCTCAGATGGTATGAATAATTACAGCTGTAAACATTTGCACACTTATTGTGTGCTGGGGTTCATTAACACTCTGTATGTATCTTCTCTTATCTTTCTCATATTTACACTGGGAGATAGGCACTACTGCTATGTCTTTCTTTTCTAGAGGATAATGGAGGCTGAGAGACATTAGACAACTTGCATAATGTTCCACAGGTGATCACTGCTGTCGGGGGAAAAGGAACCCAAGTCTTTTCTTTGTTTGAGACAGAGTCTCTCTCTGACACCCAAGCTGGAGTGCAATGGTGCTATCTCAGCTCACTGCAACCTCTGCCTCCCAGGTTCAACGGATTCTCCCGCCTCAGCCTCCCGAGTAGCTAGGACTACAGGCACCTGCCACCACACCCAGCTAATTTTTGTATTTTTAGTAGAGATGGGGTTTCACCATGTTGGCCAGGCTGGTCTCGAACTCCTGAAGTCAAGTGATCTGCCTGCCTCAGCCTCCCAAAGTGCTGGGATTATAGGCGTGAGCCACCACACTCAGCTGGAACCCAAGTCTTTCTTCCAGCAAAGTGGGTAATCTCAGCTCAGTCACACTTAGGTTTCCTATTTTTATAGAAGTGAAAAGTAAGCCCTAGAAAGCTGCTTTAGCAAGGCCAAGGAAAAGGTTATCTTTGTGATGAAAAGTTTGCTTTTTTTGAAAATGACCCAGATTTCACTCCTCATGCTTTATTGCTCACACTGTTCTACTGAAAAATACCATTATTTCTTTAATTTGCCTTTTTAAATCACATGTGGTTTCATCATGCCATCCTTATGGAAAACACGACATTTATCACATCTGATAGTTGCATGCACATGGACATGCATGCACAAACACCCAGACCCACACCCTCACTTAGGGACCCTCATGGAGGCTCTTCCATGCCACATACACAGCTGGAAACATGGGAAATGACAGACTTTCAACATATATAGTTTCTATTTATAGTGTTGGAACTAATGAGAGTGCTTCAAACTAAGATTTAAACCTAAAGTCACGGACAAAGAGTTTTGTGTGTCATCAAATCATATGGTAAAATCAATGACTCAAAGGTCTCGAATTTGTTGTAGCTCAGTGTTTCACTGAATATGAAAACTAATTTGGTCAAGAAGCCTCTCCTTTCATTGCTACTGGGCAGTGCCCAGGGTTGGACGCTGTTGCTGAGGAATAGGCCATACTGTAGAGTCCTCACCAGCCACTGGGCAGAGGAGGCTTTGCAAGAAGGAAGAAGAGGAGGGAAACTGGGTGATACTTTTTAAGATTTGCTGACTTTAGCTTGTATTTTTGTTCTTCTGAATTATGGTTATAGCTTGGTGTGAGCATTCCAAGGTATTATTTTATAGGCAACTTACTTCTGCAAGGAATCAGATAATTGCTTTTTCTTTTTTTTTTTTTTTTTTTTTTTTTTTGCACATGTCTTAAATCCCTTTGTGGCTGTAAGAGGGAAAAGATGACCAGGTGCCTTGTCTTAAAGAGGACAGTCCTTTGTTTTCATACTTTCTCTTCCAACCTGTTCTATGGGATTCTCCCCACAGATGCTTATTTTTCTCAGCTGAAAGCATCCTTCTTCCCAAACCTCACTTTATTTGCCCTCTGCTGATGCTTCTCCAGCTTCTTTCCTTTCCTTCCAGCTCTCTTACCAAGAACCAGTTCTTACAGTTCTGTGTCTCTTCACTCAGGGCCAGCACAGTGGTAGTTGGGAACACAGACTTCACAGAGAGGGCGCCTCAGTTCAATCCTAGCTTCACCACTAAACCACTCTGTGTCACACATATGTAATATATTTTTAATTTATAAAACAAAGATGAAAACAGTACCAACATCCCAGAGTTTCTGTGAAGTTGAGCCATATAAAACACATAGAGCCATATAAAACACAGCATTGCAGCACGTGCCTGGCACTTAGTCAATGCTCGTCGTAACCTTGCTCTCCATCCTATGCTGATGGAGATATGTAGGAGACACAAATATAACCCCTAACACACAGAATCATTTAAGATGGGTGCCTCATTTCCTTCATTTAGAAAACGAGCTGATAATTCCTGTCTATATCAGAGCTATTTTCAGCGTTTGAGCTGCACCAGTTTACAATTCCTTCACCTTCTGATGGTAAATGAATTCTTCACAATTGTTGCCATATTCTTTAGGAAATAGCTCACTGCTTCATTAATCAAAATAGAATAACACTGGCCTAAATGAGACTCTACGCCTTCAAAATGTAAGTGTCTTCCTCTGCAATTTCTGGTAGGATGTTTGAAAATGACCTTGCGCTCCAGAGAAACATGTCAAAGTCCCAGAGGGACACTTTTCCTTGGGTTAAGTAGTCATCACTTTGCCCTGAGGCCACAGGTGCTTCAAAATTCAAAGAGGAATTCTCCTTTTGAAGATAATATGTTGCTCTAAGAAAGATTGCATGTCTAAGCAATTTCTTTCCTGGTGTGTTATAACTGATTAGAATTAAATTACATCAAGGGCAGTTAAGGAATTCACAGTGAATAACAGACTGACCAACTTATGCCAATTTATTAGATAAAACTGTGCAGAGTACAAATGTTATTTTCTTTCTCTTTTCCTATCTTAACAGACATCTTAGTCTCCCTCTTCAGAAGTGGCAGTTTATTACAAGAGTCCTGGCTTTCAGCCTGAGAACCACAGGTGTAAATAGCAAATGCAAGTCAGCCATAGGGTGTAGCAGTATCCAAGAGTCAACATATCCTTACACTGGCCTACTATTTTAGTAACTGCTAAGGACGTTACTGGCCTGCAGCAACATTATGGATGCATTTCCAAACTCCTGTCTTACCAGACTTACCAACCTGGCTGGTGGTTTCTGATGAAAGAAATGACTAAAATTCGAAGACGGGCTGTAGTTCGAGATCTGTCATACCTCAGAGTGAAGGAGCTCAGAAAAAAACTTTGTCTTCTAAGCTCTCTGAGTTGATGGGCTTTAAAATGCCACTTGATGGGCTTTAAATTGTAATCTTCTGCTCCTGAACTGATCTCATAATATCTAAGTGACTCTGAGCATGTAAATTGTGTGCCTCTGGGAGTTGGAGCTGCACTTCCAAGCCTGGGGAAACAGTGGGGACATAGCTCCACTGTGCTGTATCTAAATCCCAATAAAGGCAGACTGAGAGCAAGGAGACAAGGAGCCATACAAAATTGCCATACCTTTTTTCTCGGGCTTTACCAAGACTTCAAAATAAGCATTTATCTTGCAGAAATATTGACAAGGCAGGGCGCGGTGGCTCACTCCTGTAATCCTAGCACTTTGGGAGACCCAGGGGGGTGGATTGGTTGAGCTCAGGAGTTTGAGACCCGCCTGGGCAACATGGCCCAACTACTCTGGAGGCTTGGGTGGGAGGATTGATTGAACCTAGGAGATGGAGGTTGCAGTGAGCCGAGATCTCTCACTGGTGCACCCCAGCCTGGGCAACAGAGTGAGATCCTGTCTCAAAAAAAGAAATGATTGGGCTTAGTGTTTTTGTCAGATTCAAATTTGACAGAAGAAAAATTAATTGTATTGAGTTCTTCCATCATTCCAGGCACACTTTGTATGTATTAAACATTTAAATTTGGAAAGAATTATATAATTTAGGTGCCATCATCTTCTTTTTGTAAATGAGGAAACTCAGGAACAATTAAGTTAAATACCTTGCTCTTGGTGATAAAGTATAGCTAGAAGATTAAAAACCAAGGTTTGAACCCCAACCTTAAACCTAATCCTAAACACAACCTTAACCCCAGACCTAAGCCTAAATCTGAACAACTCTAGCCCTAACTTTAACCCAAATCCACTTTCTCCAAAAGCCACACACTGAAACACTATGCTATAATAAACTATTACATGCTGATCAATAGTATTTGGAAACTAGTGGAATTGTTTAATACAAAATAAAATGCATGAAACTACTATTTGGTGAAAATTATAAGATAATTATATTAAATAGATTGATGAACTCCATGAATGACCAAATATTCTGGCTTTGGGCTAGTAAGTTAAGAAAGATATTTATTTTTATTTATTTGTATATTTTTTTAAAAACCAGTCATTTACCCTGACAGAAGAAAGATATTTAAAAGGTATATTTGTCATTTTTGCCCAAGTTCCAGGTAGCTATCAAGTAAAAAATGTTCCCAAGACTAGAAGCTGAAGCATTTTTAAGGGTAATCAAAATGGGATTTTCATTTTGAAAGTTGCATTGGCATTCAAAAAAGTATTCTTATTTTTAATAAGACTTATCCTGCCTCAAAGACGCTAGTAAACAGCAACTATATTTTACCATTGAAATGACTGCTGTCAAAATATTAAATTAGTTATAAAACAGTCCAGCTACTGGGAACATAAATATCAGGTCTGTTGTACCCCAAAGATTAGCAAGGTACAAAAGAGAATGGAAAACATCAACATTCAAATGTATTTGCCATGGATGGAAGGCTCATTTAGAAAATGATAAATTCTTCCCCCTTGTGAGCCAAACACCAGCTGTAGGGGCAATGGAAATTAAATTTCACATTCAGTTTTATATTCAAAGACGGTAACAATGAAAATCAAATTCCGGATCCACAAATAGGTGAGGTAAGTCAGGCAAAGTGATTGCAGAATAATACATTCTGCTGTCCATTTTCAGGATTTTGCCCCAGGAGCATTTAGAATAGTTCTTATACATCACATAGGTGCTTAATACCTACTTGTCAACTGAATGAAGGAAAAAAGTCATCATGGCTGATCTATGTATTTGAATGGATGAAGAGAGAGAGAGACTTCAATATACAGATGAACCATACATATCACATAATTTTACCTTAGCTGCATCTTTGAAGAGCATGAAGAGAGGATAATACACTTTTCATGTGTTTAGTTTTATTCTTAACTGAAAGAGACATAAGTTGCTTCAACTCATTAAAGAGTCTAAACATGTCAAAAATCACTTCCGATAAAAATTTCTGTTCAAAATAAAATTTCTTTAGGAGTAATAACTGGAGGCTGAATCTATGAACTGTAACCATTTATGTAAATTGACCAGATTATTTAAGTTGACAAGATATTTTGGTAGAGAAGGAAAAGAGGAATGCAAAACAGCAAGTTGCGGCCTTTTCCAGTCTGTTCCCTTATAACAGTAGAGGCCACTACTGAGCGTGGTCTTCTGAAAGTACTCAGCGCTAATTCAACGCAGTCACCATTGCTCGTCTTTTCTTTCATGGGGACTGAATAGTAAGATTTACCATGTATTTCAAGTTGGGCTAGCTGCTTCATAGAAATATGTGACAGAATGCATAAAAGATCATGTCACTCTCTTAAATCCATTCATTGGCCTCTTGTGTCCTCAGAATAAAATCTTACATTCTTCATAGTGACTTCCAAGACTCTCTCAGAATCTCCCCACCCCTGATTTATTACACTACATCATTTTCTGTCATTTTCTCTCTTAATCACATCTTCAGTCAATATGTTTTGCTCATAATATTTGGTTCCATTTCTTTTTGCTTATCACCATTTATAACCATGGATCCATAGGTATGTTTATTTGTTCAGTGCCTTTTCTTCCATTTGACCAGGAAGACAAATGATTTAGAATGTGTGCTTGTTAAATAAATGAAGGAATAACTCTCAACTTCAAGGACACTTGGAATGTTTTTGGGGGTTAAAACTATAAGCATGAAGCAGAGAATTATACAAAAGAAGAATATAAAATATGCAACATTCTCTGACCATATTGTATTATTGTGAGCGATCTACAGCAGAGTCTTTGGAGAAGGTCTGGGTGGGCATTAGACCTGAATGGGTATTTTAAAAACTGATGGAGAGAGGTTGTTTAAATTGGGAAATGACATGGGTAAAAGCTCAGACGTAGGAAAGATAATTGCCTGTGAGGGAGCCAGTAGGGGAAGGAGAGTCGACCAAAACAGAGAAAATAGATTTGACCAGGTCAACATTTGAGGTGTCAGAGCACTTATGTCAGATGACGCTCCTGAGCCCTGACTTTGCCCAGGATGTGAACTTCAGCACAGGCATGATGGGGTACAAGTTGTACACAATTACCAGAACTTTATGAACTCCTCTGAGTAATGCACTCAAGACACCATAAGCTAATAAAAATGTGAGAGCAGCTGAGGCCAGGGCCTCTCAGACAATGGGAGAGCCCTCAGCCAACTCTTTTTTTTTAGATTCATTGTGTAATAAAAACTAAAAAAATACAAATAATCTTACAAAAATTTTGATATATTTTGCTATGCTCATTTAACATAAAACAGTACCAAAAATTTGCAATGTAGTGTAATTGTGCTAGTCACAAAATAGGAGATTTTGGAAAAAAAGAATACACTATTGAGGATGCAGTTTAAAATAAAATAAAAGCTTAAATTTGTATAATGAACATCTTTGTATAGCGTCAACCGAAGAATACTTTAAAAGTCTGAATTCGAGGCTGCACTATTTGCGTGTGCCTGGCACTGTCCATGGTGCTGAGCATAGCACGAGGAGCAAGGAGGAGGCTCCTCACAGAGCTTATGGGCTGACTGGAAGAGAGGTGGGCCTCCTCTTGGAACTTATGAAGTCATTCAAGGCCCAGTAACCAACACTGAACTAGAAAGAAAGTGGTCAAACTTTAATAAATGTTGGAGGAAAAAAACCATTAAAAATGTAAATCAAAGTGGCTCTATGGTAGGCTAGGGCTGTTGATAAAAAATGGCAGTATTAGAAGAGAGACTTATGGGCACAGATTATAAGTCAGGTTATATATTAATATGAGTTTAGGGTGATGGTAAGGTAAACAAGTGAGAAACTACTTAAGGTTTTAAACATATGAAACTAAAGAATAATGGGCAGACGAGAGCTGGGGTTACCACGTGAGAGTTCTAGTTGGGAAAATAATTACAGGTGCAAAAAAGGGCATGGGGGACAGATTTGGCATGAGGATTTTAAAAAGAATTAAACACAGTGCTCATATTTATCTTAATTCTTCCCCTTCTCCTAAAAAAGAAACAGAACCTCAGTTAAGGATGAACTAAATCATAAATTGAGACTGCATGTAGGTAACACTGGAATCACAAAAAAAAAAAAGAAAAAAAAATGGAGTCAATGATGGCTACACTGAGACGTTTCCCAAAAGTTCACTTTCAGTCTTCACCAAGCCCAGGGCCTCCACTCCTCTTCCCCTACATGACTCTCCTCTGGCTGAAGTCAATGTGGCTAGTTCCTCCCTGCAGCTGTATGCTTGCTAAGAATAGTTTGATCACTGTGTGCATATGTTGAGAAATAGCTACAGAGACAATTAGCAATTTAGTGTTTTGGATTAAATATTGCCCTATTTTCTCAGTTATCTTTTCAAAAGTAAATACTCCTTGATGTTGAGATATACTAAGTGATTAACATCTTGGTGGAAATTAACTTTTCAGTTTTTTTTTTTTAATTTTAAAGTATTTAATTGACAAATACAGACTGTGGACAACATGGTGATTTGATATATGTATACATTGTGTAATGATGATCAGAATCAAATTAATGAACACATCTTCCACCACCCATGCTGTACGCTAGAGCTCCCGATCTCATTCATCTTATGTCTGATTAAAATTTTTCTTTTTGATGGTAGAAATTTTTGTGCAGACAGGATATTTGGGTTGGTGTGAGACCCCATGGAAAAGATGAGTGGAGTAAGGATGACAAATGTAGTGCACCCATGTGAACACTGAGCCCACCCAATTCACCACCGAGGCAGCCACATTCAATAGGATGTTTATAAACAGATCATCTGAAGGACAGGATCTGAAGCATCCAAGGCCAGCCTGCCAACAGCACCTCTGCGGACTCTAACCACTGCAGACAGGGATGTCGGCCCAGCGCATTGCAGCCCTCACAGGAAGCAATCCCATTCCAGAGCTCCTCTCACACCCACTGTGCTGATGGGCCTGGCTCACAGGCTCCATTCTCTGCTTCTGAAACCATTCCTTTCTAAGACATTGGAGTTGGATTCCCTAGGGCATGCAGCCCAACTTAACTCCTCCCTACAGTGGCATTAACTTACATCAGAGCTGCACAGTGCTGAGTTACAGTATTGGCCACACCTCATTTTACCATCAGGACTAGCCTCAGAAGGACAATAGTTTAGATTCTTTCAACATTCACTGAAGGCCCCACACTTGATTATGAGGCTCTCCTTGCATGCCAGGTTCGGAGCTAACCTGGGGATAAGGGATAAGCAGACAGAGCCCACTTCTGTGGCCTGAGGGTTCTGACTGTAAGCCCAGGGCTCCTGCATAAACCATGGCATCTGCCCAGGTGGACTGGGAAGGACCTCTCTAGATAAACAGATAACTTGTTTGGCATGCTGTTCAAAAGGCTTTATAAGTAAATTAATCTTCTTTACGTGAACAAACAGTGTATGCCTCCAGAGCCAAATTGGTACTGAATTTAGTGATTAAACAACACTATCTTTTCTTACTGAGCACTTCACATTTTGTGAGTTCTCTCAAAGTTTGAGTTGTTGCTCAGTATTCTGGACAAGAAAAGGAACAGATCCTTCTATTGCATCCAGGGGCCTTTTAATAAACATCACCACTGTAAAGCATTGTCATCTTGGCTGCTCCTCATCTGGAGTGCCCCTGAATGCACAGGTTTTTCTGTGGCCATGAAGGAATGCAATGTCTCTTTTGTCTTTAGGCTGTAGCTTTGGATAGACAGATTCCTTTTTTCCTTTAGATGTGTATTTTTTCCCCTTCAACTAAAATGTTTTGGGCTATCACGGGTATTTCTCCTGGGTTATTTTCATATGAGTTACCTACTTGAGAGTTACTAAAACAGTCATTCTGAAATACAGTTGTTTATTTCTCCTCCCTGAAAAAAAAAATTCCTTTTAAGAAACCAAACTTTAATATAACATCAATATGACAATGCAACAAATAACTTCTTAAATATAAAAAAATCATAAATCACTCTTTTCTTTACATCTGAAAGATAATAAATTAAAATATAACCTTCCCTCTTCCCCACTCCCCCCAAAAAATGGCACAAGAATATTTATTTTTTTCTTTGCTCCTCAAATTTGTCTTTTAGTAGTTGAGAGCAGATGAAATCTTTTATCACTATATTTAGACGTCAACCAGGCAGGTTGCTGCCATGGTAACTGCTGCACAAAGAAATGCTAGCAAGGGAGGGGCTTGTGGGCTCTAAGGAGGTACTTACTTAGTGCCAACCGAGAGAGAGTAAAGATGCTACCTGATCAAGGCTTCCAGCAGCTCCTCTACCCACCTGTACCCACCTGCCTGGCTGCATATGCCAGCTGCTTCTGCATCCACCTGCAATAGGGCAGGCAGGACTTCTGAACACCACCGCCGCCTCTGTGCAGCTAATGTCTGTAAAATAGGGAAAGATGGTACAAAGGAGTCCCTGCACTCCAGGACCCCCACCCCACATCCAGGTTACTCTCTAATCCCCAACAGTGCTGCCTTGGCTTTAAGCAATCCGACTCACCTTGAATCTCAGGATAACTCTAGACGCCCACTCTGTAATAAGAGATCAAATAAGTATATTGCTTTGCATGTTTATCTCATGTTATTTCAGCACACCTACCGCATGGTAAGAATTCACAGGGCTGGCCGGTTGTGGTGGCTCATGCCTGTAATCCCAGCCCTTTGGGAGGCCGAGGCGGGTGGATCACGAGGTCACGAGATTGAGACCATCCTGGCTAACACGGTGAAACCCCGTTTCTACTAAAAATACAAAAAAATTACCCGGGCGTGGTGGCGGGTGCCTGTAGTCCCAGCAACTCGGGAGGCTGAGGCAGGAGAATGGCGTGAACCCGGGAGGTGGAGCTTGCAGTGAGCCGAGATCGCGCCACTGCACTCCAGCCTGGGCAACAGAGCAAGACTCCGTCTCAAAAAAAGAAAAAAGAATTCACAGGGCCAACAAATTCTTAATTAGGGCTTGCCTTTTTCCCAACACTGCGTTAGGCACTAGAAATAGAAAAGAAAAGAAAAAAAAGACAGGCACGGTTATTCTTTTCTTGGAGCTTAAATTCACTAAGAGAGAAACACGATAAAACACAATAATAAACAGCAGTAATCAACATATAGTAGACATACATTTTAAAATGCCATATTTCTAAGTGATGTGAAGATTCCAGAGAGGCAGTTGTCATCGGAAGGGGCCGGTTGTTGGGTGGAGAGCCAGGAAGGGTGGCTCTGAAAGGCTGAAATGAATTGAGACTTGAATGGCGGGAGATTAGCCATACCAGATATGGAGAAAGGGCAATGAGGGGAGGTCAGTAGGTGGAGAGATGCGCCTGCCTGTTCCACAAAACAAGCCCAGTGCGGCGGGAGTTAGGGAGTTCCCGGCACAAACAAATTCGCCCTTGTCTAGTCACCCCCTGCCTGCTCTTCTGGAGCGCACTTGGCTTCAGGCAGCCCTTCAACAGCTCTGGGCGTCCCCAGGAGGTGGTCTTCCGTGAGATCTAAAAGAAAGAGCTCACGTCTACCGGAAAAGTGTCCATTTTCCTGACTTCCTGAGAGCTCCAGCTCATTGCAAGTGAGACAGAAGCCCAGAGAGGCTCTTGTCCTTGGAGACTGAAAGACGCAGCTGAAGTGGTTGCAGCTCCTACAGGGCAAGGAAAAAGGAGATGCTTGATCAAGGGCTGCATTCTGGCTTTGCAGCCGCCTCCCAGGGACTCTTGTGGCATCCGCTGCAGCCTCATTTCCTGCCCGCCCGTAGGCACCAGACTGCCTCAGCCTGAGTGCTGGGGCTGCCACAGTGACCCTTATGCTGATGCCAGAGTGATTTGGAAAAACTCTCGGCTTCTGTCATTCTTGTGTGGCTGTCTTCTTTCTCTAGGGCTCAGGAAATCTGGGCCATAGGCAGCACCCCTGGCTTCACATCCACCTTCACTCTCCAGCCTTTGACCTTGCCTGGAGCACCCCCACTTTCGCTTCCTTTGGGAGGAATTATTTCTTTCTTGTCCAAGAGCCTCCTTAGTTTCTCATGTGGTGGTACCTACCCCTATCAATCTTCCACAGTACAGAGAAGCCTCAGAACAGACCCAGCATGGGTTCAAGCTCGTTCTTTTAAAGAGCATTTACGTGTTAATCTGTCACCGGTGCCCCTCTCCCCAGCACTATTCAGGAATGCTTGTGTGGATTGGACAGATTTCCATCGTGTTTCTCAGAAAGGAGTAAGAAAGCCAGTGGTTTTCCTTTTCTGGATGGTAGGGCTTTCTCTTCTTGTTTGATTACAACAGGATTTACAAGATCTAGGTGACAGTACATTATCCTTCTATCCAGCAGAGTGGGCTTACATAGAATAGAGGAGTCTTTTAGTAAAACGTGTTTTACTGACAAAAGAAAAGGTTTCTCAAGCCTTCACCCAGTTTCTACCTAGCCTGGTGGCAAATGCTGGAAAAGGAGAAGATGCAGAATGCATAGGAATGTGGGGGGTGGTACCAAAGACAAGCCTTTTCTTAGACTTGCCACTTGGCCCTATTCTGTGTCTAGTGGAGAATAGGAATTAGAAACCAAAGAATTGATGTTCTTTAAAAAGAAGATAAGGCACGTAGGCAGGGCACATATGGAGCTATAGTTGTGGAAATATGCTTTTCGGTCTGAAATATAACTTATTTTATTTCATGTGAACTTACTATTAAAATGGGGGAAGTGGATCTACCTCTTTGAGAAACTGACCTTGAAATAGTAGGAAATTTATTATTCCTCACATATTCATGGGAACTTTGGAAAGAGTCAAGACATTTGGCAACCTGCTCAGGAGATATTATGGGATGCCTACCAAGTGGAGGATACTGTGCTAAGACTTTGGAGTGGTTGAGCCCAAGCAAGGGCAGAGCGTTGTTACTTCTTCACTCACCTAACTGCACATTTATTGAGCGCCACTGGGTAATTTACCTCTGACGGTTTTTGCTTCTGTTCATATCTGTGTTATTAACACTTTCTCCAGGGTTTCTTGTGAAAAATAAATGGGATAAAGTTGTTTAGCAATACTTGTTAACAGGTAAGAGATTGGTAAACAGTTATTTCTCTATCCTTTGCCACACTTAGAATAAAATAATAAATTCTTTGTGTGGCATTTATGACCCTTTTTAAAACCAACCCACATACCTATCTGGTCTTATTTCCCAGGACTTCCATGTCTGGAGCGCCTATGAGAACAGTGTACTAGTTTGCTGGAGCTGCCATAACCAAGTTCAGTACAAACCTATTACCTCCCAGCTCTGGAGGCCAGGAGTCCAAAATCAAGGTGTTGGCAGGAGTCCAAAATCAAGGTGAGGGCTGTGAGGGCAAGATCTGTTCCAGGCCTGTCTCCTTGGCTTGTAGATGGCCATATTTTGTATGCATCTTTCTTGTTTAAAATTCCTTTCTGTATAAGCCCACCAGACATACTGAATAAGGGCCCACACTAATGGCATTATTTTAATGTAACTAATCACATCCGCAACAACACTATTTCCAAATAAGGCAACACTCTGAGGTACTGGGGGTTAGGACGGCAGCATGTGAGTTTGGGAGGGAGACAGTTTAGCCCATGACAAGGGGTCTTGTTTTTCTTGCAGAATCGGAACTCACCCTGTTCTCCTCTCCACTCTTGCTCTCTCTGGTCTCCTAAAATCCTTTCCTAGTGAAATTTGTCTCCTCCTGCAAGTCAAATTAAATGTTCACATCCTCTGTGGAGCTTCTTCTGATTTCTTTAACTGAAATTCACTGACTGCTTTTGAATCACACATGCAATTATTTTACCTTATTTAAAAAATAATTTTATTTTAGTGATTATTTTCTATATCACTTCTTGTATAGTACAATTCAGTTAATAAATATTTTAATAAATGAAATTATTTGTGAAGATGTTTCTTCTTCCTAACTGGGCCGTAAACTCTTAAATTAAGACATCATGTTTATACTTTTCATAACGAATATATTTTTTTAAACACAGATCCTTGTACGCAGGGGAGAAGAACAGAGACAATACTCATGTGGGAAAGAGGAAGAGCCTTTGGGGAAGGCCTCATTTAGACAAGGCTGCAGAGGATGGCTTTTCCTTGGTAGACACTTCAAGGTCCTCTACCTGTTAGCTTTGAAAGTTGGTTCCAACCGCAAATGGAGAGTAGTTTTATCTAAAGATAAATGCATGCATGGGATTGATGGAAAAAATCAGAACATCGATGTATTAACTCACAGTGAGAAATGAACTGTCATAAACACTGAAGGGCAGTGTCTTCTGATTATCTCCTATGGAAAACCAGATATAATCAAAAGTTTGCTGGATGAGCCTGGAGTCAGACCAAGGGAAAATCAATAAAGGATTTGAATATTTAATGGTATCAGTTTAAGATAGTCTGACAAATTCATCTCCATGGTGTCAGCTGCCAATGGAATAACATTCTTGAGTCTATCGGCTAAATGAGCAGGCACTAGCAATGTATGAATCTTGAGCTATTCTTCCTCTTTGTGTAATACGATTATTCTGAGTTTTATAATCTGAGATCACACCTTCCTTTTAATAACCAAATTTAAAATACTTTATGGCTTCCCTATGGCGTGACTATAAACAATTCAGCCACCTCTCAAATATTTCTGAGAATTTCTTGTCCTGCTTGTCATTTATTATCTCTCACTCTAAACTACTCCCAAGTTGCCTTGTTAGTCACTGCTTGCCATCTTATTACTATCCCTGTATGTTGCTTTAGCTAGCACTAGTTCAGTACCATCACTGTATCCTTCCTCTTTCTCCCTTACAAGAGGGTCACTTGACTGTACTCGTTAACTAGTTTGCAGGAAATCTGCAGGGAATTTCAAAACAGGAAAGGAAAAAATAATCAACCAGATATCACCGCTCCCAAAGAGCACTGGCCATGGTCCATCACAGACTATCCGTTAGTGGCAATTTCTCTACCACCATGTTGTTGAAACTCCTATCCTACTCAAATTAGAGGCCTCTTTTCTATCTTCTCTCTTGCTCTCTTCAGCCCCAAAGTTCTCAAACTGCCCTCTCCAACCCATATGGAAAAACAATAGCAAAATTCCTTCTCTAGAGAAAAATCCCAACCACATTCTATGATGGTGCTATCATTTCCAGAAAATGTTTATTAAATGCTTACTGTGTACCAAATACTATGGAGGGGGAAGAACAAATATGGCCCATGTTCTTAGGAAGTATTCATAAACAATTTTACAAATGAGTGCATTATTACAAAGTGAGGTTAGTGTTCTGAGAAAAGAAACATGGCACTTGGGAACATTTAACAATGGCATCTGGGCACAAGCGACTCCTCTGGCAGGGAGTCATGAAATACTAATCAGTGGACAAGCAGGATTAAAAGGTAGAGAGAGGGGCAGGTGGAGAGGCACAGCCCCCAGGCAGAGAAAGGCACTGCATGGGAAGGTGCCTGGATCACATGGGAAGCTAAGAAGTCTAATGTGACTAAGAGCAGAGGGGCAGAGGAGAAAGGTGTGAGCCCAAACAGTGAGGCCAGTGGCAGAGGCAGAGAGGCCAGACCATGTAGGAATTTAGAGGCCTGCTAAAGCTTAGATTTGAGTTTTGAAAAAATAAAAATAAAAAAGTCACTCTACCTGCAGCATGGAGAATGAGCTGGAGGTGGACCAGAGTCTGTACAAGAAGATAATCCAATTAAGAGATGATGGATGTTAGAATTAGGAACAACTACCAACCAAAGTGGAGAGATGAGGAAGGATTTGACAATTATTAAGGGGAGAATATCAATAGGAATCAGTGATGGATTAGAGATTATCAGTAAAAGAGAGAAAAGCCACAGACATGATCCCTAGACTTGAAATTGCACATCTGAAAAGATGAAAGTATCGTTAAATTGAAATAGGAAATTTTCAGAGAAGAGCAGAATTTAGAGGCTAAAATTGTGGGGTGAGTGTTGGTCATGTTGAGTTTGACATGCCTCTGAGACATCCAAGTAGAGTTTTTGGCTGGATATGCTGACTGGAGCTCAGGAGTGGGATCTGGGCTATACTTATTTAAGCAATATTTGGCTTAAAGAGGTAGTTAAGGGTAGATGAGATTGTCTAGGAAGATAGTACAAAGAGTCAAGGGGAGCTGAGAAGAGCAGAGGGTCTAAATGTGAGCTGTAAGAACCAGCACAGTTCATGAACAACTTGTCCACCAGAAGCTCTCTATAAAGCACAAGCAAAGCAAAAGGACAGTGTTTAGATAGTGATGTGTGAAAAAGAAAGGTTTTGGTTATCATTTATGTAATTTAGTTGGGGGAGTTTAAATGAAGATGGCAATAATAAGGTTGATAGACATGGATTATACTAGAGAGAGAATAATTGATGACTTCAGGTCTCTGAGGCTTAAAACACTGGTGCAGGGATTACCCGTGGATAGCAGAGGGAGTCTGCTGAAACACGGCAGGAACAAAGTGGGTGTTTCCTCCAATTTTGAGACAGAGTCTTGCTGTGTCTCCCAGGCTGGAGTGCAGCAGCACAATCTCCTCTCACTGCAACCTCTGCCTCCTGGGCTCAAGCGATCCTCCCACCTCAGACTCCTGAGTACCTGAGACTACAGACACATGCCACCATGCCCAGCTGATTTTTGTATCTTTTGTAGAGACAGAGTTTTGCCATGTTGCCCAGGCTGGTCTCGAACTCTGGGGCTCAAGTGATCCTCCCATCTCAGCCTCCCAAAGTGTTGGGATTATAGGCATGAGCCACCATGCCTAGTTGAATGTGGGTGTTTCTAGACACAGGTTCGGTGACAGGTTTGGACAGTGAAGAGTGTTTCAAATGATAGCTTCAGCTTTTTCTAAGTAGAAGGTTAAGTGTTCGCTTAGTGAGAGAGTTGTTAGGTTAAGTTGTAGGTTGGAGGAAAGTGGAAACATTCTGAAGTGGTCATTGGAATTGGTGGAGAGATGCAGTGTGGTGAGTCCAGGTTCAGCTGGTGGTCCTCAGCCTGCAGTGACACCACCGTGTGCTTTGCAGTGTTCTTGCAGCGGTGGTGAAGGTGAAGAGTAGATGGGAAGAAAGCAGATAGAAGGGTTAATCCAGGTTTTCTCCAGAAGGCTATGATGAAAAGAAGGAAAAGACAGTTCAGATATTGGCAAAACTGTCTCTAAAAGGAGGACTATGGAATCAAAGTTGGATAAAGATGGAAACAAGGAGAGCGGAAGGGAAAGTTGGGTGACTAGGACACAGCTGAGGCTTTCTTGAAGGCCCACTGTAGCCAAAACACCACATACTAGGAAAAAGTAGCAAGGCCATGAAAGGCAAGGCAGCTCTGGCAGTATGTGGAATACTCAGGGGTGGATCAGTTTCAAGGGGTGAGTAGTCCAGGGAGTGACTCTGAGAATGTTGGCTGACGTGGAGAGAAGAAAATCTTTTTGCAGAAAGAAGTCAAAGTACTGAAAGGCTGAGGCATTGGATGGGCCATGGTAATGAGAGCAGAAGTGCAATTAAGGTTCTCATGATCTCATCCTATCTTTCCAAACTAAATCCTGCACCATACCTCAAACCAAAAGAGTCCATAGGCATGTTTTTCCAATCTGAAGATGAGCTTTTTCCTAACTTGTTTCCATCCTGAGTGGTTTTTTCCGTGACATCAAACATATAATATATTTTCCAACACCAATTCTCCAGTTCTCAGACACTAGCTGTTATGGACCGAATGTTTGTGCCCCTTTGCCAATTCATACATTGAAACCCTAACCCTCAGTGTAGCTGTATGTAGAGTAAAAAAACTTATTAAAGATGGGACTCTGATCTGATAGGATTAGTGTCCTTATAAGAAGAAGCACCAGAGATATCTCTCTTTCTCTCTTTCTCTGTCTCTGTCTCTCTCTCTCTCTCTCTTCCCTGCATGCATGCACCAAAGAAAGCCCACGTGAAGACACAGGGACAAGGCAGCCGTCTGCAAGCCAGGAAGTGAGTCCTCACCAGAAACCAACCCTGCTGGCACCTTCATCTTAGACTTCAAGCATCCAGAGCTATGAGGAAATATATTGCTTTTTATTTAAGCCACCCAGTCTATGGTATTTTGTTATGAAAGCTCAAGTAGAATAATACACTAATTATCCAGAGCTAGTGCAGACCCCACAGGTTAGCAGATTCAGCTGAAGATTGCCCTTGCCTTAGATATCAGCTCCCAAGTGTACCTGCCCTTCTGTCTGTCATGGCTATAAGTCCAAAGGCTCCCATGATCCTTCTTCATTTTCATAATTCATTACAGCAACCCACAGAATGCAGGGAAATACTTACAATTACTGGTTTATTAGGAAAGATACAATTCAGAGCACTCGAATGGAAGAGAAACAGCGGGCAAGGGGAGTGGGGAGTCCATGCAGAGCTCTTGTGACCTCTCCAAGCATGTCACCTTAACAGTACCTCATGCATTCCCCAAGGGAGAGGCTCTCTGTACCATCATTTCAGGAGTTTTATGGAGGTTGCATTACATAAACATGATTGAGTAAATCATTAGCCATTGGTGATTCAATCTTCAGCCCCTCTGTCATCCCCAGAGGTTGAGGAATGGGCTGACAATTTCAATTCTTTAATTGCACTTTGGTTTTTCTGGTGACCAGCTTCCATCCTAACACTATGTAGGGGCCCACGAAGAGTCACCTCATTAGCATAAACTCAGGTATGGTTGATAGGGGCTTGATAGGAACTTATTCCTACGATTCTTGTCTTACAAGAGGTTCTATCATCCTTATCACTCTGGAAATTTCAAGGATTTTAGGAGCTCTGTGCCAGGAACTAGGGACAAAGACCAAATATTTATTTTCTGTTATGCAATACACACTCTTTGGATGCTGACATGGCTACAGACAGCTCTAGAAATAGCAGCCACAGCTTCTGCTGCTGTCTTCATGGATGGCCATACCCTCTTCTTTTTGACCAAGCAGACATTCTGTCAATGTTCAGCTGCAATCAAACCATACTGGTGTAACAGCCATCATCTCTTTCCAAGATGACTTTCTGGATTTCTTTTCCAATTCATTATATCTTGATTTTAATCTTCAACTCTCAGAATTCTTTTATTGCCAAATTCTTCAGGGATACTTCATGGTAGACTTCATATACCCAATAAATAATGTATTGAGTGGGTAAGTCCCACAAGAGCACAGAAATAAATAAAAAGATTAAATGGCTACTTTTTGGTTACTTTTTATAATTGTTCTCTGTTTGAATGTTTCATATTAATATGTAGAGAGGAAGTTCATTAATTTTTATTTTGTGTTGCTTAAATGATTCTGTGTGATATCTATAAGTGCACCTATTTGACTACTACTTTCCATATCTAATGCTCACTTTTCTGTGCTCAAAGATAAGCTGCCATAGGTCTGATTGTCACCTGCTATCAGTGTCTTGGCAAGTACATACAATACTGTATTCTGGGATAAAACAAACTACTCAAGAAGCCACAATTAATCTCGAAATTATTTAAATGAAATGATAAACCATTACCATAGAAATGTTCCAAATTGATAAAGTGTTTTTGGACTTACTACCTGATGCCTTTAAAACATACATTGAGTACCTTCCCTTGCCTAAAGCATCAGGTTTGTAATATTAACTTTGTCTTATGAATAATGACATATACACAAAAAAAAGCTTCAGGTGATTTTCTCAGGGTGTTTTAAAGTTTAGAAAGGAATTTGGGTTTTTCCTTTTTCTTCTTTTGGAGAAGAGTGGTTAATTTACTAAAGAATACTAAGGTTGTTATACATTATATATTTCAGAGTGAAACCCATTATAAATGGCATAACAGCAGCACTTGTTCATAAGATATTGTAAATAGCCTTTTCTAAAACTCGGAAGGATCTTAGTTTTATTATTAAATCAAATCACATAGTTTTATAGATGAGAAAGTTAGGTCACCGAGAGCAGCCTAGATTGAAATTCACACTGGGCTCCCCTAGACCGACAGCTCCCTCCTCTTCCCAGAATGATAAACGGCCTTGGAAGCAACAAATCAACATGAAGCGGGCAATGCCAGTTGTATTCCCACTTCTTCGCCTTATATTTTACTAGCAAACTGCTCAAAATTTCTTTTTCAGAAATAATGTATGGCTTTCAAACTAAGTTGAGCTGCCACACAGAGCCCAGAGATTCTACACTTGATATTTTTTATTACAAGCATTTGCAGCTGGGAATCATGGTGACACCATGGCAAGCAGTATGTCTTGAAGTCACGCAGATAGAAAGCAGCAGGACCTAGTGGAGGAATAATGAGCTCTGGGGTCAGGCAGAGCATCCCTCAGAGTTGTGACTTGGTCACCGTGAGACTCTTGGTTGCTCAGAGTCCTGACTGGACGAATCACTTAACCCCTTTGAGGCTTAACTTACTCATCTGTCAAATGAGAAATAAGTTGCAGGGTTATGTAAGGACTAAATGTACAGTGTCTAACACAGTCAACACAGTCGAAGACGCTGAATAATTGAAAACTCTTAAAGTTGTTTCTGTATTTTTGGTCGTTTACTAAGTGACCAAATTTTCAAATTTCGGCAAATTATTTAATCTCTCTGAGACTGTAGGCTCATTGGCAAAGTAGAAAAATAATATCAATCTTACAGGATCGTCATGAGAATTAAATGATAAAAATACATATAATAGCCTTCAATATATATTTCTTCATTTTTTTCTGCCTGCTTTTCTCCTGCCAATAATGTGTCTGGTTAATCTCAATTAGTGATGAGTTTAGATTGAATTTTCAATGAAGAACTTAATGGCAAGGGTGTCTATGTCTTCATTTTAGGTGGTACGTCATTGACCCTTACACTCTAAAAGTCAGAACCACTAATGGATTGAGTTGTGGTTTCCTTGATTTTGGGAAGCACCTCTTCCAAGAGGTTTCTGATGAAAGGTTCTTGCATTAATCATTGAAACTCTTAACTCTGTGGAGAGTTGGTGATGTTTGCCCTGGAAAAGCTTACACATCCACTAGTATGTAAAATGTTCATAATATAAGTTTTCAAGTTTATCTCACAAAGAGAAGAGGCTGGAGCTTATGACTCAGCCCCCAGTCTGGAGTCAGCTGGTTTTCCTAGAATGAAAGTTTGGCCACGCGTCTTTCAGGGTGCAGAGAAAGATTTTGTCCTTGTTAACCGTGATGTAAACTCTGGCAGGTGAATGTGTTTAGATCAGAAGCAGTTGCCTTTGCACTTTTGCAAACAGTGGATGTGAAAAAGGGCAAGGTCTTGACTGGCACTTGGAAAATATTACTGTGAGAAAGGCACCAGTGGATACAAAAGAACTGCTATTTCTTTTTTTTTGTTTGAGACAAAGTCTCACTCTGTCACCCAGGCTGGAGTGCAGTGGTGGGATCTCGGCTCACTGCAACTTCAGCCTCCCAAGTTCAAGCAATTCTTTGCCTCCACCTCCTGAGTAGCTGGGATTACAAGGCACCCACCAACATGCCTGGCTAATTTTTGTATTTTTAGTAGAGAAGGGGTTTCACCATCTTGCCCAGGCTAGTCTTGAACTCCTGACCTCGTGATCCACCTGCCTCGGCCTCACAAAGTGCTGGGATTACAGGCGTGAGCCACTTCACCTGGCCAAGAACTGCTATTTCTGACTCAGACCTGCCCATAAATGAAAGAATATTTGCTGGTTACACTAAAAATTACAGGTGATTTCTTCTTCTTTTTCTCCTTCTTAAAAAATCTTTCTTATAAAAATTACTAATTTGTTCATACTTTTCTAAAACAGATTTGGGAGAGAAGTGATACAGCCAAGCATTTTTGTTGTTATTGTTGTCAGAGAGCATCATAACTGTTTCCACTGTATAGCAAATAAAAAAGCTTGGACTAGACTCAGCATAACAGACAATGCTGGAGTCAGCAGAACTTGATTTTATTTTGGAACTTACTTATTGGGAGAATTTGGAAAAAGAAAATAATGCATTCACTCCAGCAACAACAAAAGTTAAATTCTGAGACAGATTGTGAAATTAAATCGGATGATCCATGCTTGTAATACTTATCACAAAACCTAGCATCGTGTACAGAACAGACTATTCCTGCATCTCATCTTGTTTAATTAGAAAACACAATTGGAAGTTCAGGTATGCCTGGATACTTATTAAATCCATTTAATACTGTTCTCAAAAGATCCTAGTGTCATCCAATTGCAAACAACAAACTGCTTACCTCTTATGGATTTTATAATTTTTCATACTTACTCTGCATTATTTCCATGGTATGATAACCTGATCTGCTGGTGTTTATGAGTATGTACATTGTTATCTAATTTTTAATTATATAGCTTTAATTTTATTACTTTTTTCAGAGGAAGTGTATCAGTGTCATCTGTTTATAACCAATTAAGTTATGGACTATGTGCCATTAGCAACCTTGAATAAGTCTTGATAGTTTAATAATTCTTATAAACAACAGATATTCCAGAGTCTGGCATGAAGTACTTTATGAACCACAGGACCAACAAAAGCTTTCACTGACTCTACTACAATATCATAAGTGAAGAAGTTGTATTTTGTGGTATACAATTATATCTTCTTCTGTTTTAAGTAATTAGTTTGATATTAAAAGTATCCGATTAATTCAGAACATCCAAACCAGTGAGAGCAATGATTATGTAAATGAAGCATAAACAATTAAAAATGAAAAATCATGAGTGTCTGGATCTAAAGGCTTTCAAAACACTGGGTGTGTTCTAGAACCAGTTCATCTTCAGAGCAGTGTCTAGGAGGGTAAAGTTAAGTAGAAAATCACATTGTAGACTTCTCAGTTTAATCTTCATCTAAGTGATACTCAACTGCCTAACAACAAAAGAATAGGTGTGCTCATTATCATTTAGATGCTGTTTTACCAAAACATTAATTTAGATTTCAATCCCCTTTTCAATTAAAAATTCAGGAAAGCAAAAATGTAAATGCCTTGCCACGGACACACCAATATTGGAAATTAGGTGAGACAGATGCCCTGCCACCTATCTTGTATCTAGTCAGATGTTAGTTATTAAGACTATGTGAACATTTTCTCTTGTTAGAAAGTCCTGCTACATTTTCCTCTGCTACTCAAAAATAAAAATAAGTTTAGAGAATATTGTCTGATCAAAATAACAGCCGGGCACAGTGGCTCACATCTGTAATCCCAGCACTCTGGGAGGCTGAGGCAGGTCGATCACCTGAGGTCAGGAACTCGAGACCAGCCTGACCAATATGGCGAAACCCCTTCTCTACTAAAAATACAAAAATTAGCTGGGCATGGTGGAGGGTGCCTGTAGTCCCAGCTATTCAGGAGGCTGAGACAGGAGAATGGCGTGAGCTGCGATCATGTCATTGCATTCCAGCCTGGGCGACAGAGCAAGACTCCGTCTCAAAAATAAATAAATAAATAAATAAATAAATAAATAAATAAATAAAATAAAATAAAACAAACATTTTTATTTACTAGAACCATTTCTTTTTGGCTTTTAAGTTATTGTCTGGGGGCCAGGTGTGGTGGCTCACGCCTGTAATCCCAGCACTTTGGGAGGCCGAGGCGGGTGGATCACTTGAAGTCTGGAGTTCAAGACCAGCCTGACCAACATGGTGAAATCCTGTCTCCACTAAAAATGCAAAAATTACCTGGGCGTGGTGGCACATGTCTGTAATCCCAGCAACTTGGGAGGCTGAGGCAAGAGAATTGCATGGACCCAGGAGGCGGCGGTTGCATGCTGCACTGCCCAGATAAATACTTGATTGAAACAAAGAGAAAATGTATTTCCTTTTTCTGGATTTTTTGGCTCTCACAGTTGTTATATTTATTTTACATTTATTGTTACCTGATATAATTTTGTCAGAAGACACATGGTAAATATTCCTAAAGTTTCAAGGAGAGCCAGTACAAGAATGTGAAAAATCTAGACTAGGTACAAGAACATGACTTGGGGAGTGGGGAACGTTGGCATCTGGAAAGATGGAGTAGGAATACTTTTCCATATTCCTGCCGCTTAGCGCAACTGAAAACCCTGGACCGTGTATGCAGAACAACCACAGGAAGGTTCTGAAAGATGGAGATGGAAGACCAACAGGGACATGGGGACACTGGGGCCTGAGGAACAACCCTGCGTTTTTTATTTGCCTCACATATCAGGCTGAATAGTGGACAGGCTAACACCTGGAAAGGCCAACCCTCCAAATAAAATTTCCGCTCCCTCCAGACAAATGACAAGGAAAGGGCAGCCTACAAAGACAGAAAAGCTTTCAAACAATGACCACTCTACTCCAGCCAAACACCATAGAAACAAATGGGTCTGCTTCTTCACTCCCTGCCACCAAAAGCTGAATGGACAGGCCATATTTCCACACTCCCCAGACCATAATAACTTTCCCAAATGCCCTGAGCAGAGTGATATCAGAGAAGAAGGAGGAGAAAGCCAAAACTCTCATCCCCACTGGAGGGTAATGAGGTCCCTTTTCCACAAGATGACAATGAAGACCACATTGGGATCCTGGACTTCCAATTCACTGGCAGTAATGAGGTACCCTTCCTTCCCCTATCAGAAGAGGATCAGTGAAGTGTCAGGACCTTCACCACCACTCAGGGGCAGCAAGGATACTCCTCCCCACAGTGTGAGCGGAGGCCACATGGGGCACAATGACAAAGCACTCCTGCCACTCCCAGCCAGGGTGGTATCTGTGGGGACCCAACAAGGGGCAGTAGCTCCTATCCCACCGAGTTGTAGTGAGGATCACTCCCACTCCAGGATCAATACAGGTCAAGTGGGGAAACTGTACTTCCACCCCCTACCTGGCAGTCATGACACAGTGACCCCCACCCCCACTCCTATTAGAGTAGTATCAGAAAAGTCCACATAAAACAAAGGATTTAAATAAGATCCAGAGTTTTAGAACATAATACCCAAAGTATTATGTAATTAGAAATCACTCATTATGCTAAGAATCAACTTAAATGAGAAAAAGCAATCAATAGACCAAAAACACCAACATGGCAGAGATGTTAGAATTATCTGGCAAGCATTTTATTGTATTATTTTTATTTTTATTTTTATTTTTACTTTTTGAGACAGGGCCTTGCTGCCACCCAGTGACATGAATGCAGTGGCATGATTATAGCTCACTGCAGCCTCAACCTCCTGGGCTCAAGCAATCCTTCCATCTTAGCCTCTGGAGTAGCTGGGACTACAGGTACACATTATACCTGGTTACTTTTTGTATTTTCTGTAGAGATGTGGTCTTGCTTTGTTGCCCAGGCTGGTCTCAAACTCCTAGGCAATTCTAGGTCTCAAACTCCTAAAGCAATCATCCTGCTTCAGCCTCCCAAAGTGCTGGGACTACAGGTGTGAGTCACTATGCCCAGCCTGACAAGGATTTTAAAGCACCCATGGTGAAAATGATCCAATGAGCAATTATAAACAACCTTGAAATTAATGAAAATATAGAAAATCTCAGCAAATAAATACAAAAAAGAAGACCAAATGGAAATTTTAGCACTTAGAAAATACAGTTACCAAAATACAAAACTCAATGAATGAACTCAAGAGCAGAATGGAGGAAAGAATCAGTGAACTGGAAGACAGAACAAGAGAAACTACCCAAGCTGAATAACAGAAGGAAATAGACAGGAAAAAAAAAAAAAGTTCACAGCCTTAGGGACCTGAAGAACCATAATAATAAAGATCTAATGCTTATGTCATTAGAGTCCCTGGAGGAAAGTAGCTAAAAATATTTGCAGAAAATAATGGCTGAAAATTCACCAAATTTGGCAAAAGACATATGCCTATAGATTTAAGAAGCTATATGATCCAAACAGGGTAAATCCAAAGAAATTTATATAAAGGCACATTATCGTCAAAGTTCTAAAAAGCAAAAATAAAGAAAAACACTTGAAAGAAGTTAGAGAGAAAGAAAAGCTTACATTTAGAAAAAAAAGCAATTTGAACAACAGCAGATTTCTTATTAGAAAACATGGAGCCCAGATGAAGAAGCACAATATTTTTAAGAGCTGAAATAAAAGAAGTGTCAACTAGAATTCTATAGCCAGTGAAAATGTCCTCCAGGAATGAAGGGGAAGTCAAGTCATTGTCAGATGAAGGAAAAATGAGATAATTTCTTGCTCACATACCTACCTTAAAAGAATGGGGAAAGAAGTTCTCTAAACGGAAAGGAAATAATAAAAGAGAGACTCTTGAAACATTAGGACAGAAGAAAGAACAAGATAAAGAGAAAATATATGAATGAATATTAATTTTCTTCTTTCTGACTTATGTTTGAAAGTTGAAACAAACATTATAACACTGACGAATGTGATTCTCAATGTACGTAGAGGAAATACATAAACAATTATAAATGGGAGAATAAAGAGATGGATTTCTACACATCACTCAAGCTGGTTGCCTCAGGAGACTGAAATAAGCCATATATACACATGCACAAACACACTCACACACATACACAAATATGTGATATATAAACCACTGAAAATCTTTGTATACAAACTTATATAAAGAGATACACTCAAAAAATCTATAGATAAATAGAATTACTGGAATTATAAAAATAAATTCAAATAACTCAAAAAAGATAAGAAAAGGAAACACAGAAACACAAAACAGAAAGAACAGATAACAAAAAATAAAATGGCAGATGTAAGCCCTATAATGCCAATAACTCCATTAAATGCATCAATTCAAGGACAGAGATTGGTAAATTTAATTTTTAAAAAACCATGACCTAACCATATTCTGTCTACAAAAAACTCTCTTCAAATATAATGATCTAGATAGGTTAAAATAAAAGGGTGAAAAAAGGTATACCATCAAAACACTAATCAATATTAAGCAGGGTGGGTATATTAATATCAGATAATGTAGACTTCAGGTCAAGGATAATTACAGGGACATTGAGGGCCATTACATAAGATCACTTCTTGATCTATCCACCAAGAAGCATAGCAATCCTGGTGTATCCACCAAACAATAGAACTGCAAAATATGTGAAGCCAGAACTGATACAATGAAAGGAGAAATAGACAAATCCACAATTATATGTGGAGACATCAACATCCTTCTTTCAATTACTGACAGAGCAGCTAGACAGAAAATCCAAGGATAAAGAAGAATAACACAGCAGCTGACATTAATAGAACATGTTACCTAACAACAGAATAGATATTCTTTTCAAGTGCCCCAGGAACATATACTAAGATAAAACATATCCTGAGTCATGAAATAAACCACAACAAATTTAAAAGAATTTAAATCATTCAGAGTGGACTGTGTGACCACAATGGAACCAAACTAGAAATCAAAAGCAGAAAGTAACAGGAAAATCTCCAAACACTAAACAACACACCTCTAAATAAGCCATGAGTCAATGAGAAAGCCTGAGGGGAAAAATGAAAATTACATTTAAATGAATGGAAATTAAAATACAGACTATCAAAACTTTCAGAACACAGGTAAAGCAATGCTGAAGGAAATTTGCAGCACTAAATGCTTACATTAGAAGAGAAAAATTTTAATCCAATAATCTAAGCTTTTACCTCAATAAACTATAAATATAAGATCAAAATGATCCCAAGGAAGCAGAAAGAAATAAATTATAAAAAAGCATGTATCAATGAAGTTAAAAACAGAAAAAAATCAATAGAGGAAATCAATGAAACAAGAACCTGGTTCTTTGAAAAATTGATAAAATTGTCAAATCTTTCACAAGCTTGACAAAGAAATAAAAGATAGAAGACAATTACTAACTCAGGAATGAAGCATAGGATATCATTGCAGACCTTACGTACATTTAATAAGGAAATGCTACGCACAACCTCACAAATGTAAACTTGACAACTTAGATGAAGTGAATCAATTTCTCAAAAAGCGGGAACTATCACAAATCACCCAATATGAACTATATCATCTAAATGGTCCCAAAGTTATTAAGAAATTTATATCCTTAGGGCCGGGCGTGGTGGCTCATGCCTGTAATCCCAGCAGTTTGGGAGGCTGAGGCGGGAGGATCACAAGGTCAGGAGATCGAGACCATCCTGGCTAACATGGTGAAACCCCGTCTCTACTAAAAAATACAAAAATTAGCCGGGCGTGGTGGCAGGCACTTGTATTTCCAGCTACTCCAGAGGCTGAGGTAGGAGAATGGCGTGAACCCGGGAGGCGGAGCTCACAGTGAGCCGAGATCGCGCCACTGCACTCCAGCCTAGGCGACAGAGTGAGACTCCGTCTCAAAAAAAAAAAAAAAAAAAAAAAAAAGAAAAGAAATTTATATCTGTAATTTAAAACTTTTCAAAGATTATGGATGGTTTCACTAAAGAATTCTTTGAAGCATTTAGGGAGAATTGGCATCGGTGCTACACAATATTTTCCAGAAATAGAAGGAACACTTGCCAATTCATTTTATTGAAGGCAATACAGAAACCAGACAAAGATAGCACAAAACAAAACTACAAACAAATACCCCTCATAAGTATAGACACAAAAATACTTAACGAAATATTAATTAATTTAATTCAGTGATACAACTATTTATACATACCTTAACCAAAATACGTTTATTCCAGGGATGCAATACTGGTTCATTAATCAAAAGTCAATGTAGTCCATCATATAAACATAAAAATCACATAATTCTATCAATCGATGAATCATTTAACAAAATTCAGTACTTATTTGTGGTTAAAATCTCAGAATATGGGAGCATCAGAGTAAATAAAAATTAAATAAAAAATAAAAAAGAAGAAAATCTCAGAACACTACGAATAGATTGGATGTTCCTCAACTTGACAAAGAATACCTACAAAAAACCCACAACTAATATGGTATTAATGGTGAAAAATGGAATACTTTGTCTTTAAAATAGAAAAGAAGCAAGAATGACTAGCTCTATCACTGTTATTGAAATAGTACTAGAAGTTCTAGCCACTGCAATAAGGCAATAAAAAGAAACAAAGGCATGCAAATTGGAAAGGAAGAGGCAAAAATTATATTTGCTGATGATGTGATTGTATGTGTAGAAAATCCCCCCAAAATCTATTAAAAAAAACAAATATTTTAGAACTAATAATTTAATTCAGCAAGGTGACAGGATATGAGATCAACATACAAAAATCAGTTGTATTTCTCTATACCACATGTCTACAATGGAAATGTGGACACTGAAATTAAAAATATGATAACATTTATGATCCCTAAAATATAAAGTGGGGAAAAACTTATATGTAAATCTAACAAAGCATATAAAAGACTTTTATGTTGAACACTACAAAAAGCTGATAAAAAGAAATCAAAGAATATCTAAATAAATGAAAAGTAATATCTGTTCATAAACCAGAAGGCCCACATAATATCAATTCACCCTAAGTTGATATACAAGTTTAATGTAATTTCTATCAAAATAACAGTAAGATATTTTGTAGACATAGAAAGTTATTCCAAAATAATATGTGGGAAGGCAAAAGAGCTGGAATAATTAAAACAATTTTGAAAAATAAGAATGAAGTAGGAAGAATAAGTCTATCAACTTATTATATAGTTATAGTGATCAAGACTGGGTGGCATTGATGGAGGGATAGACATATAGATTAACAGCACAAATTAGAAAACACAGAAAAATCCCTACACAAATATGCCTAACCGATCTTTGACAAGGGTTTAAAAGTGATTTAATGGAGGAAGGAAAGTCTTTTCAACAAATAGCACTGGAGCAATGAGACATTTATAGCAAAAAAGAAATAAACTTCAGCTTAAACCTACCACCTATGCAAAGCAAATTAACAAAAAAAAAACGGAAAATGTTCAAGATGGATTATAGGTTTAAATGCAAAATATAATAAAACAATAATATGTTTAGAAGAAAACAAGAGAAAAACTTCAGGGCCTATTGTTCACCAAGAGTTCTGAGACACAAAGAACACAATTCATAAAAGAGAAAAAAATAATAAATTGGACTTCGTTAAAATTAAAAACATTTGCTCTGCAAAAGACCCTTTTAAGATGACAAAAAGACAAGCTATGGACTGTGCAAACCACATACCTGTCAAAAGAGTCATCTCTAGATTATATTTTTTTAATTCTCAAAGCTCAATAGTAAAAAACAAAAAAACCCAATCCAGTTAGAAAATAAGCAAAAAGCATAAAGAGACATTTCACTAAAGAAGTTATAGAGAGAGCAAATAAGCACATTAAAAGATGTTTTGCATTAGGAAAATGCAAATTAAAACCACAATGAGGTATCACTGCACACCTGTTAGAAAAACTACAGTTTAAAAATAATTGATAATACCAAATGTCTGGGAGACACGACACAGAGAAACGCAATCTCTCATTCATTGCTTGTGGGAATGTAAGATGGTAGAGCCACATTAAAAATTAGCTCAGCAGTTTTTTAAAAGAAACTAAACGTACACTTAAAATTGCCCTTCTGGACATTTATTAAAGAGAAATAAAAACTTAGGTCCACACAAAAACCCATGCCTGATTGTTCATAGTAGCTTTATTTGAAATAGCCCCAGAGTAGAAAGAAGAAAAATGTCCTATAATAGGGGAATAGTTAAACAAACCTATACCATGGAATACTACTTGGCAAAAGAGAAGAATGGACAAAAATGAAAAGGAATGGAACAACTTGGATAGACCTCGAGAATATTATGCTGATTTTTAAAATCCAATATAAAAAACTGCATATTTGCTATATGATTCCGTTTACATAACATTCTTACAGTGACAAAAATTGGACTTCAGAGATGAAGAAAATATTAATTCCAGGAGACAGAGATGGTGAGGAGGACGGCAAGGGATGGAATCATTGTGCATCTTGATTTCCACAGTAGTTACAGAATCTACACATGTGATAACATGACATAGAACTAGGCACATACTTTATATCATTGTTAGTTTCCTAGTTTTGACCTTGTGCTCTATGTAAGAGGGAGTCAACGAGAGAAACTGGGTGAAGGGTACACAAGTCCTCTCTGTATTATCTTTGCAATTTCCTATGAATCCATAGCTATTTCAGAACAAAACATTTAGAAAAGTTCCTAATTTGGCTGTGATATTCTATGGAACTCACAATCTATATTGACATCCTGTGCTTCAGAATCAAAGGACTTTTAAAGTATATATATATATATATATATATTTATTTTTTTAAGTGAGGGGGTTGTTCAATCAGGTGTTAATTTGGGTCATTGCCTTCTAGGTTCTTATCCCATTAACTTGGAAATGATCAATAAAGTACTACTTGGGCTGACGACTTTGAGAAGCAACACGTACCTGTCTTTATTATTTTAAAACGCAGAATAAAGCAACAATGGACATGTTTAGTCATTCTATAAATAAAACACTTCCTCTTCCTTTTAATGGAGACAGATGGATCGAGGCCCTGCTGAGTGACCATTAAGGGAAGCACTGTCTGTGAGGTCTCTAACTAGCTGTATTGAAAATGATAAATGATCCTAGAGGCTAGTATTATCTCGTTGACATTTTTCTCAAAGCACTACTTTTTTCTGTATGTTTAAAAATTTGTGAAAAGCCATCTATTACTCCTAGATTTAATTCTAATTAAATTGGAATTCATTTGGTTTTTGTTTTAGAATTAGCATAACTTAAAGCAAGTTAAATTTTTTCACACTTAAAGCTTTTCTAATAATGCATAGCTAAATGTGACTTTGCAAATTGCTCTACTTTCACATCCTTCAGCATCCTTCAGTGCTACTTTCTAGTGCCAGGGTGGCTCAGATCATAAAACTAGAAAAGACCTCACCCACCATCTGGTCCAGAGGTCTGGAATTGGCAGCCAATAGGTATGTTATCTCTTGGAACTTGACTTCTTTATTTTCCTGAAATGTGAATGTCTTTAGATTGGGCATGGGGTCTCCCATGGGCCACAGCTCATGCCAGCATCTCTGGGTTACCTCCACTGTTTTTCCCACGACCCCTTTCCTTGGTTGGAATTTGATTGTGAAATGCTTCCTCCTTCTTCAATACTCCCACAGATGGAGAAGCAGGGTATATTTTATCAAGGTCACATAGCTAATTCACTGCAAAACTCATAACATGCCCGTGTCTCAGTCTCGTTCTGCACTTACTCTAATGCCCTCTATACCCCAGAGACATTTTTTTAAAGGGGTTGTGGGGCAGGGCTGGTCCTGAAGAGACAGCCAGAAACCTCACATGTACAGAAGGATTTCTTTGTGTCCAAAAATGCTTGAAGGTGCAGCTCAGCACAAGACCCAGGCTGAGTACAGAGTGAGTTCTTGTTGCTTAATGTGGATCAGACCTGACGGGAGACACAGCCTGCCTCTCCACCAGCTTCCTCCCACCTCCAACCCCAGTTCAAATTGATTTTGTGCTTCCTGTTTTTCTGTGCTTGACAAAGGAAGCAAAAGTAACATGCTGTCAGTGGGTAGTTGCCAAAAAGCAAAGTGGCCCAAATCACCCCCTTCAAATTTCCAACTACAGTTCAAAGTTGTCGTGCAAGCAGCCACTGCAATTTGCTAATAAAATGCTAAATCATTAAGGTCTTCTTATTTGTCTACTGATTGTTTAAGTGGGATGTTATGACAGAGAAGTATTGGTGCTAGTAGTATCGACCCACCTACAGGGTGTTCTTAAGCAGGCAACTCCACCATAGGCATTCCACTAACTCTGATATATTGCCTGTCATAGCCATTTCATCGTGACCCTTGACAGTCTTTTAGGAACTTTAGCGTTCTGGAAAAATTGAGAAAATAGAGACTTTCATATAAAAATAACATTAATAATTATGTATTAAGTGGTTTCCCTGAGCCAGGTAAGATGCTAGGATTTTGGCCTATATTATTTCTAACACAGCAATGCTACACATAGGGATTGTTATCTTGCTTGTACATTTGGTGAAAATTGGGCTCTGAAAGGTGAAGTCACTCTTCTAAACTCTCATGACTGGTAGTGGCTTTGTCAGAATTTGAACCTAGTCCATCTGAGTTGGAGTCCATGCTCTTAAATATATTGGTACATTGCTTAAGAAATAACTCAAACTTACTTGATCATATTTCTGGTATCAGACTTCTGGGGTGTCAGATAAGGAACGATGGCTGAGTGAGTGAGTTGGAGAGTTCCAGCCTTCGCTAAAGCCAGTTCTCCTCCCATTGGTAACAAGGCAAAGGACACTGGGAATGGAGTGAGTCCAGCAGAGCAGCGTCCCCCTGTGATGTAGAAAAAAACACCCATGATTCATGCACATGCTTGGCACTACCCAGAGCCCAATGCACACTGCTGGTGGTCTAGATACACTTGCTGACCCTCCAGCCCAAGCCTCCAGGGAGGCTGAACAGAGGAGAATGGGGAATATTGGCATTAGGAAGGTTACTTTGACACATGGTAAAACACATAGTGTTAAAAAATAATAGTCAAGTTTTTTAAAAGGTTAAGTAAATTACAGAATGGTTTTTAAATTGAGATCCATGGAGATGTCTCACCAGACAGAAGGCTGGAGAAAGAGACAGGAAGAAGAGTAGAGGGAACTGGAGTGACAACACATGGGGTCCCCACTGGCTTTGAGCAAAGAGGCATTTGTCTGTCATTATACATTCGAGAAAATGTATAAGCTTTGTCCAATAAAGAGAGTATTCTATGTGGGAAAAACCCTGAAATAGGAGTTGAATTGGCCTGAAATATCTGGAAACCAATCTGAAATGTTCAACTTAATTAAATTAAATTACTTTAATTTAATTTAATAACTAGAAAATCATTTTAGAAAAATTTATATTTCTTGACGATTCAGGTCTCTTCTTCTCTGATGTGGTTGAAATGTGCCCCTCAAAATTCATGTGTTGGAAATTTAATCCCCAGTGCAACAGTGTTGGCAGATGGGGCCTAATAAGAGATGATAAGGTCACGAAGGCTCTGCCTTTATGAATGGATAAATGTCATTGCCATGGGAATGGGTTAGTTATCTCGACAGTGAGATTGTTGAAAAAGTGAGTTCTACCCACTCTTGCTCTCTTGCTATCTGGAGTGCATGTTCTCCTGCTGCCTTCCTCCATTGGAAGACACAGCATGAAGGCCCTCACCAGATCCTGGCAACTTGATGCTGGACTTCCCAGCCTCCAGACTGTGAGGCATACATTTATTTTATTTATAAATTATCCAGTCTGTGATATTCTCTTATAGTGACACAAAATAGACTAAGACATACACACTCTCTCTCACTATTCATTTAGAAAGTAGGATTATTTGACACTAAAACTATCCTGACTATAGACCTCCTTCTAGATTTCACCTTGTCAGCAGAGCTTGATGCACTGTAACCACATGCTAACTCTCCATTCATGCATTTCATGGATTAGCTTTCTGTCAAAGGGCCAGCCATTATATTCCACTGAGCAATTACTAACAACATTCCTTCTGTCATCAGGGACTAATAGTTTTCTTGCTGCCTTTGCTCTGAGCTTCAAAAAGCCTCTCTTATTTTCATGGATTTTTTTTTCCCACCCACAATACCTTTTTCTTATCCATGTCTTCATTCATTAATCCTTCTTATGCATGACTCATTTTCCCTGTGTACAAGACAGCTCTCTTGGCTGCTTCTACGCCAATTGTTTTTTCACTAAGCTTTGGGTTCATTTCAAAGTCTTTCTAAATACCTGTTCCCCTTTCTTTCCCTTTTCATTTCCTCTTAACATTATTTACTTAAAGCATTTAAAAATGAAATTTCAAAGCCCTTCCCCAGACTTGGCTCTCATCAGCTGTGTTCCCTAGAGAAGAACAAGGTATCATCAAAAATTAGATAGAAAATCTAGCATTGTTTATATTTCAGTTCAAGGAACATTTGTTGAATCCTCCTACTTAAGTCACATGCATAGTACATAGAATCGCATAATTAAAATAAATTCTCAGTGCCAGAAACTCTCCGGTCCAGCCTCTGTATTCCCATAACCTTTGTCCTGGCGACTTGCTCTCAGCATATAAGCATGCCTCTCCCATACACACATACACACACATACACACACACACACACCCCTGAACCACACTCACATACAATTGATGCTGTCAGCTTCACAACCAAGCTTTTTAAAATGAAATATTATATTTCCTGTCTTCACCCCTTCAACTCCTATTAAATGTTCTAATCCATTGCAACTTTCTCCATCTGTTAACATACCACCCATACTACTCCTACTTTTTAAAAAATATAACCCACTATTAAAAATCCTCTCTGATTATTCACCCTGCACTTGCATGTATTTATTTGTAAGTCTGCTTTCCTTAGCAGACTGATGCCCATGAGGACAAGCATTACATTTAACTTTGACTTAAATCCTGATTAATTACTGTTTAAATTGCTATTAACTGTGTTTAACTTATAAAAACAGCGATTTTGGTTCAACCTACTATTTATGTGTTCTTAGCACGAAATACAGTGAGTGGTACAAAGCTTAAGTTCAATAAATACTCAATAACCGAATTAATAAATAAAATATCCATAATTTATAGACTTGCAGAGTAGCTGTTGCAAACTTCAAAACTTACATTTATTTTTCCAAATGTATCTTTTCTTAAATATTTTCTTCTCAAAAGCTTCAAGAACCAAAATATATTTTACTAAAAGGAAAACCTATATATATATTAGAATCTAATATATTGTAAACCTTATTCTGTAAGTGTATAAGAAATCACATTATAGATTTTAGAAATAAAACATTTAACTAACATTGTTATTATATTACAATTATTAACATCATAGTAAAAATTTGGAACTTATATTATTTTTTATGAAAATTGTTTCAACTTTCTTTCAGTGTGTTTCCTTAAATGAAAAGATAATACTATAATTGAGAAGTAAAGTTTACATTTAGAACAATAACCTATAAGTCTGTTTCTTATCACAGGGCAGTGTTTAAGAATCAGGTGACACTGATTTCTAGCCATTTTCCTGAGTTGGAGAGTTTACTTTACCTTAAAATTTTATCTTTGGAAACATTTGAGGCACAAAGATCTTTTCTCTAATCAGAAACCACATCCAAAAAAAGGTAGAAAGGTATTCTACCTTTCATTCTTTCTAGAAAATGCATTTCATTTTTCCTTTGCCTGAGTTAATAATGTTTTTCCAATTCTCTTTTTAATGGCTTGATCGTGATCCCGGACATTATTTTTGTTGCTCTTATAATTTTTTGTCCTGGAGGGTGTTGAACTGGGCAAATTATATCATATCATCCTTTATATTATCAAATCAAATGTATTATTTAAGTAAGCTAGAAGAGTTGAAGGAAAGTGTATTCAGTACAGATAGCTGGAGACATAGGAAGCCTTTATATCAAGCAGGAAAATTATGGCTCAGACATTCACCATGTAAGCATGGAAGCCAAAGTCCACCCTGGGACTGCACTCCTATTCGCCTGAGAAAGCCTGGGAAGTGCAATGGAACAAGTGTCACTACTTGTGCATCCTTGTGGGGGAAGGACACGCTCAGGTGGATTTGTTTGCCTGTCTTCTGTGAAAGCCTATTGGAAACAGAGGGTACAGCAGTCCTAGCAAAAGGAGAATTCCAATAACAGAGGGAAGGAAACAAATCATTATTGTTCAGAAACAGTGTTGTATACACCTTTACATATCCATTTGTATACAGTATTGGATACAATTAGGTAACCTATGGAAGGCTCAAAATTCTGTTTTTCCAAGAAAAGTCCAAATGACAGTGCTAACTAGATGGAAAAATGTTTATAATGGTGCAAATATCACATTGGCTGATTCATTTCAAAGAAAGAACTCAACTTTCTAAAAGGGAAAATGCTCATGTAGAATTGTGTGCTAGAAAAACAAAATAGTTTGAAGCCAGATGAGGTAGATTAGAATTGAATTTTGCAACTTTGGGCAAATTGCCTGAGTCTTGGGACATGGCTTCCTCAAATGGAAATCAAAATAAGAATTTATGCTTTTAACAATGGATAGATCAACTAGAAAGAAAATTAATAAGGAAATACTGGACTTGAATTGCACTTTTGTCTAAATGGACCCAACATACATTAGTGGAACTTTCCATGAGCAGCAGCAGAATACACATTTTTCTCTAGGCACGTGGATTCTTCTCCAGGATAGACCATATGTTAGGCCACAAAACAAATTTTAATAAATTTAAGGAATTGAAATAATATCCAGGATCATTTCAGATCATAATGGAATGAAACTAGAAATCTACAGCAAGAAGAATCTTGAAAAACTTACAAGTATGTATAAATTAAACAACAACCTCCTAAATGGCCAATAGGTCAAAGAGGAAATCAAAAGGAAAATTTAAAAATATCTTGAGACAAATGACAATGAAAACACAACATACCAAGACCTATGGGATGCAACAAAAGCTTAGCTGTTCTAAGAAGAGCAATAAATGTCTACACTTGAAAAAGAAAAGAGATCCCAAGTATATATTCTAACACTAAGCCTTGAGGATGTAGAAAAAGAGCAAACTAAGCCCAAAATTAGCAGAAGGAAGGAACTAATAAAAATCAGAACAGAAGTAAATCAAATAAAGAAAAGAAAAACCACAGAAAGAATCTATAAAACTAAGGGTTACTTTAAAAAAATAAACTAAATGTAAAAACTTTTAGCTACTTTAAGAAGAAAAGAAGACTCAAAAATAAAATAAAAAAATGAAAGTGAAGTTACAACAGACACCTCAGAAATAAAAAGGATCCTAAGAGACTATTATGAACAATTATATTCCAACAAATTGGGTAATCTAGGGGAAATAGATAAATTCCTAGAAAATACAACTTACTAAAATTGAGTCAAGAAGAAATAAAAAGCCTGAATAGACCAATAACAAATAAAGAGATTGAAGAAGTAAGCAAAAACTGCCCAAAGAAAAGCCCAGGACCAGATGGCTTCCCTGCTGAATTCTGCCAAATATTCAAAAAAAGAGTTACTACTAATACTTCATAAATTCTTCCAAAACTACAGCTAGAGGAAATACTTCCTAACACATTTCATGAGGCCAAAATCACCTTGGTACCTAAGCCAGACAAAGATATCACAAGAAAAGAAAACTATATGCCAATTTCTCTGATGAACATTGATGCAAAAATCCTTGATAAAATATGAACACTGAATTCAACAACATATCAGAAAGATTATATATCATGACCAAGTGGGATTTATCTCTGGCATGCAAGTCTGGCTTAACATACACAATCAATCAAGGTGATACATCACATTAGTAGAATGAAAGATAACCACATGATCATCTCAATTGACATGGAAAAAGCATTCAACAAAGTCCAACATTCTTTCTTGATTAAAAACTCTCAATAAGTTAAGTACAGAAGGAAAGCTCCTCAACAAAATAAAGGGCATTTATTTTAACTCCCACAGCTAACATCAGCGGGGAAAAACTGAAAGTTTCTCCACTAAGATCTGGTACAAGGCAAGGGTGCCCACTTTTACTACTATTTAGCATATTACCATAAATACTGACAAAGGCAATCAGTCAAGAAAAAGAAATAAAAGGCATACAGAACTGAAATTATCTCTATTTGCAGATGATGTGATTCTATATGTAAAAAAACCCAAAGATTTTACCAAAAAAATCCTGTCAGAACTAGTAAGAGACTTCAGTAAAGCTAAAGGATACAAAATCAACATACAAAAATCTGTAGTGCTTTCACACACAAATAATGACCTAGCTGAAAAGAAATCAAGAAAACAATCCCCTTTATGATAGCATGAAAAATACTTGCGAAAAATTTAACCAAGGTGAAAGATTTGTAACTATAAACTGTGAACTATAAAACATTCATGAAAAACATTGCAAAGACACAATAAATAGAAAGATATCCAAAACCCATGGGGTGGAAGAATTAATATTGCTAAAATATCCATACTACCCAAAGCAAGACATAGATTCAACACAATTGCTATCAAAATCTCAACAACCTTCTTCACAGAAACAGAAGAAAATCCTAAAATTCATATGGAAACATAAAAGACCCCAAATAGCCAAAACTACGTTGAGCAAAAAGAACAAAGCTGGAGGCATTACACTTCCTGATTTAAAATTATATTACAAAGCTAAAGTAATTAAAACAGCATGGTACTGGCATAAAAACAGAAACACAGACCAATGGAACAGAATAGAGAGTCCAGAAATAAATCCAAACACACATGGTCAACTAATTTTTGATAAATCACCATCAAGAGGACATAATGAGGGAAGAACAGTCTTTTCTATAAATGGTGCTGGGAAAACTGGATTTTTCACATGCAAAGGAATGTAATTAGAATCTCATCTTACATGATATGCAAAAATCAGCTCAAAATGGATAAAAGCTCTAAATGCAAGACCAGAAACTATAAAATTCCCAGAAGAGAACACAGGGGAAAAGCTCCTGGACATTGGCCTTGGCAATGATTTTCTGGATATCACACTAAATGCTCAGGCCACTAAAGGAAAAATAAATAAATGGGACTATATCAAACTAAAAACTTTTCTACAGCCAAAAAACAATTAACAAAATGAAATGGCAGCTTACAGATTGGAAAAAAACAAATATGCAACCCATACATCTGATAAAGGGTTAATATCCAAAATATGTAAAGAACTCATACAACTCAATAATAGAAAAGCTAATAACCTAATTAAAAAATGGGCAAAAGACCTGCATAGACCTTTCTTCAAGGAAAACATGAAAATCACCAACAGGTATATGAAAAGGTCCTCTACATAATTAATTATCAGGGAAATGGAAATCAAAACTACTGAGATAACACCTCACGCCCATCAGGATGGCTATTATCAAAAAGTCAAAAGACAATAAATGTTGGCGAGGGTGTGGAGAAAGAGGAACTCTTGTACACCACTGGTGGGATTATAGATTGGTACATTCTACATTGGGAATGTAGAATGTAGATTGGTACAGCCATTATTAGAAATAGAACTACCATGAGCCAGCAGTCTTTCTTTGGGGCATATACACAAAGGAAATGAAATCACCATCTCATAAAGATATCTGCACTCTTATGTTCATTGCAGCATTATTCACAGTAGCCAAGATATGGAAACAATCTAAGTGTCCGTCAATGAACGAATGGGTTAAAACACCTGTGGTATATACATACCATGAAATATTATTCAGCCCTAAAAAAAGAATGAGATCTTGCCATTTGCCACAACATGGATGAACTTGGCATTATGCTAAATGAAATGTTAGACCAAAAAAATGCATAATCTCACTCATGTGGAATTGTTTTAAAAAAATTCAAACCTACAGAGCTGGAGAGAGAACAAAACAGTGGTTACCAGGGGCAGAGTGTCGGGAAGAAATGGGAGATGCAGGTCAGAGGATACAAAGTAATAGGAACATAGAATGAGCAAATCCAGAGATGTAATGTACAAAATGAGGACTAGAGCTAATAAAATTGTACTGTATTTGGGTTTCATGCTAAATGAATACATTTTAGCTACTCGTGCCACAAGAACAACAAAAAAGAGGTAAGAGTTGATAAATATGTAAATTGGAGTAACTATATGAGTTGATAAATATGTAAATTGGAGTAGCTATATGAACTGATAAATATGTAAATTGGGATAAATATATGAATTGTTAATATGTAAATGTTTGACTCTAGTAACATTTTTACCATCTATATGTATCCATAACATCATGTTGTATACCTTAAATGTACACAATAAAACTTACTTTAAAAAATTTAAAAATAGCATGATTGTTACATTCAGCAGTATTTGATGTTCAACATGCAGCCATTTGGACTTTCTAAAGTTTAGTTAAATAATAAACCACTTGAAACATGGGAGAAAAAAGAATTCATGCTTCTCAGGGGGTATTGTGAACATTGAGCCTTTGAAAGTGTTTTGTATGAATGAAATCTGGAACTAATGTTAATGACCTTAGCTTCTACTTTCAGAGAGGTAGTTAGCAAGCTACAGCATAGTTGCCTGCTTTTTAGCCCTCTGGCAGCTGCCTTGTATTTGCTCACTGGGCCTTGAAAGAAGGTCATCAAAGCAGAAAGACTGGGGTGAAGCCAGACCTTACTTTGAATCCTGGCTCCATTACTGACACGTTGAGTAACCCTTAGAAAGTTATTTATTGGGAAGGTAGTGTGTGTGGTGGTCAAGTGAATTGAGTATGTGTTTCGAATTTCATCTCTGTCACTTAGCAGTCTTGTAACCTTGGGGATGTTGTTCAACCTCAATTAATATACTTGTTAAATGCAGATAACAATGTATATATTTCTCTTAGTATTGAGAGGAATGATAATAATTCGATATTCATAGCCACATCTGATGGAGACTCATAAAAGAGAGTTCATTTGTGTTTTTGAAATGAATCAATAAGTTTTATCCTTAAAACTCACCAGACAATCTGGTGTGTAGGGACGTTGGGAGGAGGACTTTTAGCAAATAGGTAGACTTGGAAATCTTCCCCCATATGTGAGAAAAGCAAACTGTCTCATGAAGGGTCAAATGTTTCTGCAGAGCTCAGGACACTAATTCCCACACTACATTCCCGTACCACATGGACTGACTATGACTATGAAATAAACTTAAGAAGGAATAATGCTTTAAACATAGTCTCCTGTACACCCGTAAATATGGGTTGTCTTTGGAGACTCTGGTGACTGCCTTTATGGTGCACAATTCACATTGTTAAGACACAAGGCAGAGGTTCTAGCAACTGTAAACCCTGTAGATCCTTCTCAGTCTCCAAAAAAGGGCAGGGGATGAGACATGTTCACATACAATGAGATGAAAAGCCAAACATCAGAGAATTGAACTCTGCCATCTGGGGCCTATTTCACATTTGTCATGAAATCCGGGCACGGATCAATTAATGACAGGCAGCAATACCAGTTGTGAAAGGTGATGCAGCGTCATAAATAACATGGTTTGGGGCAGAAAGAACCGGAGCTGCAAGCTGTCTTCTGCCTGGAGATTCAATTCTATTTTTCCATATTCTATTTGTGACCAAAAACACAAGAAAGATGTTGGAAGCCCAGCTAAAACTTCTTATGACTGGAAGCACATGCTACCAGAGCATCTGTCTCTCTCTTTATTATAGCGAGTCATCAGTCTTCCACTGGGTGAGACCTAACCAATCCCTCTCCTTACAGACATTTAGGTTATAATAATAATAAAAATAAATAACTATTATTATCCATAGAGAGCTTCATAGTTTGAAAAGTCCTCTTTTATATATTAGCTCATCTACTTCTCACAATAATCCCAGTGAATAAATGCTATGCGTTATAGGACAAAAACATTTGGCTGGAATTCTAAAATAAATTCTTGGTTAGCTGTCTACAATCATCACATATGTTGAAGGAGATGATCTCATAGAATTATCCAGGCAAAGGAAGACTCTAATACTATGCAAAGCTTCAGTTCCAAATCATTTTACTATGGCAAAAAAAAAAAAAAAGGCTGGACAAAAGGTAAGATTTCTTTCTTCTTTTAAATCACTTTCCCCTGATCTTATGCTTGTTCCCACCCACTTGATCATGCAGAGATAAAGTCACCTTTTCCTAAGTGTGAGGGTGATGAGCTGTAAGAGAGAAAAACATTCCAAAATGGAAAAAGGAGACCTAAACAAGATCAAGAAGTAAATAGATAATCTAGAGCCATCAGTTTCACAGAAAAGAGAAAAGCAACAACTCTGTTCTCTGTCCCAAAGCTCCACCTCTGGCTTACTACCCAGGGGTGTCATTTGCGTGATATTTCTCAGCAGTTCTCCTCTACAGAAAGGAGAAGATGGAGGAGATTTTGCACTCCACTCATGAAGGATCCAAGTGATGCAATGTCCCACTCAAGAAGGGAGAAATGAGATTGCCATACTAGCAGAAAAAATCTTTTCTTCGTCCCTCTGAGGCCAGTTTTCCAAACTAGCCTCTGCTTCTTTGTATTCATGTCATAACAATTGACATTGACTCTTCACACCTCTGAAAGGTATGCTTCTGGTTAAGATGTGGAAAAAGATGAGACTTTCATTCCCTTGATAACAAGCAGTAAAACCTGGGCAAAATTTTGAGGGTGTTTTCGACAGGGTTAGCAAGGAATGGTGAATGCAAGTGAGCCTCGATGCACCAAATTAGAAATTACCTCTAAACAGATAAGCCAAAACCAGTGGCAGATTGCATAAATAGGACCAGGTACCTAATATAGTTATTGTCAGGCAGAAAGGTTAATTAGCTGTAGATAGAGAGGCATTGTAGAAATTAGGAAAAAACAGCTAAGCCTTAGACCACAGTGTAGGCTGGCAACACTGATACTTTTTTTTAATTTTTGATAAAAATTGTAGACCTATAAATTCAAAGAGCTGAAATAATTATTCAGGAGGAATAACTACCATATGACAGAGGGAGAGAGATTTCTAAAATAAAAAGACAATTAAAAAAAACCAAAAAAACATTAAAATAGCAAGAGAAAATAACACGTTGCTTAGAGATAATCAACAATAAGAATTATAACTGATTCCTTATCAGAAACAATGTAAGTCAGAAGATAATAAAGTGACATCTCTATAGTGTTATAAGAAAAAAAGATAACAACCCAAAATTCTATTATATTATTCCAGAAGAATAGTCTTCAAACATTAAGGTGCAATAAAAATATTTTCAAATAAATGAAAGCTGTGAGAATTTGTCACCAGTATATTTGCACTTTAAGAAAGGCTAAAGGAAATCCAGTTGTCTCTTGGTATATGTGGGGGATTGGGTACAGGACCCCTCTCTATAAAAAAAAACTGTGCATACTCAAGCCCCACAGTCAGCTCTACAGAACTCACAGTTAAGTAGAGTCTGCCCACTGTATGCTGATTTCACATTCTGCTAATACTGTATTTTTGATTTACTTTTTGTTGAAAAGAATCTGTGTATAAGTGGGCCTGTGCAGTTCAAACCCACGTCATTCAGGGTCAACTGCATTTCAGAAGAAAGAAGTTATACCATAAAGAAACTTGACTCTATAGGAAGAAATGTATATATGTATTAGGTAAATACAAAAAAATAATTTTTGCTTTTTATATTTATGTTAAATACCACTTAATTTTTTTATAGAAAAATAAGCAAAAATAATAATATATCAGTGGGTTATAATGTGTAGAAGACAAAAATTGACAGCAGTCCAAAGGATAGAAGGAGTGTAGATTAAAGTACAGCATTGTATTATTTTACAGAAAGTAGTATAATATTATTTTAAGGTTGATTGTGACAAGTTCAACGTATCTATAATAACTGCTAGAGAAACACTAAAAGTAGAATAAAGAGGCATACCTAAAAAGTCAATAAATAGAAGACACAGAATACTAAAAAATACTTAAAAAGGTCCAAAATAAGGCAGGAAAGGAGGAACAAAGAAACAAATAATGGATGGGACAACCAGATAAGAAATTTAAAAAAAAATAGCTTTAAATAAAACCTTATCAAAAATAAATTAAATGTAAATGAACTAAATGCTATCACTAAAATTCAGAGATTTTCAGACTGGATAAAAACATAGCATATTATGTTTATAGTTTCAAATATAAAGACAAGTTGAAAGTGAAAGATGAAAAATGATATAAAATATAAAGCACTGAACACAAGAAATTGATGTGGCCAAATTAACATCAGGGTAGACTTCAAGACAAGAAATATTATCAGAGATAAGTTGCCCATTTCATAAAAATAGAGGCCAATTCACTAGGAAGACATAATCCTGAATGTGTTTTTAACCAATAATAGAGGTTCAAAATAAATGCACTAAAATTGAGAGAACTAAAGGCAGAAATATAGTCAAATTCAATTATCATGGAATATTATAACACTTCTCTGTAACCAATTGATAAAACAATTAGGCCAAAAAAATCAGTAAAAATATAGAAGATGTGAACAACACTATCAGCTGTCGTAACCTAATTGCCTTGTAGAAGACGCTCCACCCAAGAGCAGCCTTTTCAAGTGTGCATGAAGAATTCCCCAAGATATGCCATAGAGTGGGCTATTAAATATCTCATTAATTTTTTTTTTTTTTGAGATGGAGTCTTGCTCTGTTGCCAGGCTGGAGTGCAGTGGTGCGGTATCTGCTCACTGCAACCTCTGACTCCCTGGTTCAAGCAATTCTCCTGCCTCAGCCTCCTGAGTAGCTGGGATTATAGGCACGTACCACCATGCCCAGCTAATTTTTGTATTTTTAGTAGAGACGGGGTTTCACCATGTCGGCCAGGATGATCTCGATCTCCTGACCTCATAATCCGCCCACCGCAACCTCCCAAAGTGCTAGGATTACAGGTGTAAGCCACTGTGCCCAGCCCTCATTAAATTTTAAAGGATTGAAGTGATATGTATTCAAAACCGTTAACAACAAAATGTTGTGAAATTCCGCCTACAATTAGAAATTGAGCAATGAATACTCTTCAAGGAAGAAATCACAGAGAAATCAGAAAATACTTTGAATGGTGGTATGAACATAGCATATCAAAATTTATAGGCTGCAGCTAAGTCAGTATTCAGAAAAAAAAGTATTTGTTGGATTTTTATATTAGAAAACAGAACTGTTTTAAAGTCAATGACTGTGCTTCCATATTAAGAAACCAAGAAAAAAAGCAAATTAAACCCAAAGGAAGTAGAAAAAAATAAAATAATAAAGAGGAGAGTAATAATCGATGAAATAGAAAACAAACAATAGAGGAAACCAACAGAACCAATAAGTGGTTCCTTGAAAATGTTATTAAAATTGTTAGATGACTAGCAATGCTGTTCAAAAAACATAAAAGTGACCAGTTACCAATATTAGGAATAAAATGGAGGATATAAGTATTGATCATACAAACAATAGGGAAGCATATTATAAACACCTTTATGCCATTAAAATTTACTGGTTACATGACATGGACAAACTTCTTGAAAGACATATGAAGAAACAGAAAATGTGAATAACTATCTGTTAAATAAATTGAATTGATGATTAAAAACCTTCCCATAAAGAAAATCTCTAAGCTCAAATGTCTGCCATGAATAATAGCAAGCTTAGACAAACTCTTTTAGAAAAGAGGAGAAATTATTTCTTCCCAACTTATTTAATGATATTAAAATAGCTTGACAACAAAAACATGACAAGGAGCATTATAAGAAAGGAAAATTAGGCCGGGCACGGTGGCTCACGCCTGTAATCCCAGCACTTTGGGAGGCCGAGGCAGGAAGATCACAAGGTCAGGAGATCGAGACCATCCTGGCTAACATGGTGAAACCCCGTCTCTACTAAAAATACAAAAAATTAGCTGGGCGCGGTGGCGGGCACCTGTAGTCCCAGCTACCCGGGAGGCTGAGGCAGGAGAATAGTGTGAACCCAGGAGGCGGAGCTTGCAGTGAGCCGAGATCGCGCCACTGCACTCTAGCCTGGGCGACAGAGCGAGACTGCGTCTCAAAAAAAAAAAGAAAGGAAAATTAAAGACTAATATTCCTAATGAACCTAGACATAAAAAGCTTTTACCTAGTATTAGCGATTATGCTAAATTATATTTAAATATATAATGTAATTAGTATATATAATGTAATTATATGTAAGTTATGTAAGTATATATAAGTATTTATATAAATTTAAATATAGTTATATATTTTTAAGTACATATAAGTACAAATTATTGAATTAGTATAATTTAAGTTATACTAAATATATATGAGAGGACTTCAAACACTTTGTGGAAAATGGAATTAAAAGACGAAAACAAGAAATGCAAAGTTTATTTTTCAATATAATCTCCATCAAGTTCAAGACAATTTTGTAAGTGATGATACCAGCCATTTAAGTCATCCCTAAATAACTGAGAGTCCTGAAAATTTAACCATGTCAATGCAGTCTTTTTTATATTATTAACTGAAGAAAAATAGTTGCCCTTTAAAGATATTTTTAAGATTAGGAAATAAAGGGAAGTCAGAAGGAGTCAAATTAGGACTGTAACATGGACACCTAATGATTTCTGACCAAAACTCTCACAAAATTGCCCTTTGATTAGAGGAATTGCAGGAATACCATTTTGGTGGAGAACTCTCTGGTAAAGCTTTCCCTGCCCTTTTTTTTTTTTTTTTTTTTTTTTTGCTAAAGCTTTGGCTTTCCCAAAATACTGTCATAATAAGCCAATATTATCATCCTTCAGCCCTCCAGAGAGTCAAGAAGCAAAATGCCTTGAACATCCCAAAAGCTATTGCCATGATTTTCGCTCTTGACTGGTCCACTTTGGCTTTGACTGGACCACTGCCACCTCTTGATAGTCATTGCTTTGATTGTACTTTGTCTTCAGGATCATACTGATAAAGCCATATTTTATCTCGTGTTAAAATTATTCAAAGAAATGCTTCAGGACTTTAGTCCCGCTTGTTTAAAATTTTCATTGAAAGCTCTGCTCTTGTCTGCAACTGACCTGGGCACAACAGTTTTGGCACCTGTTGGTGGAAAGTTTACTCAACTTTAAGTTTTCAGTCAGAATTGTGTAAGCTGAACCAATTGAGATGTCTGTGGTGTTGGCTATTGTTTGTGCAGATAATAATCAGGTTTTTTTTTAGTTAAGGCACAAGCAAGATTAATTTTCCCACACAAATTGATGTGGCTGGTCTGCTGCTGTAGGCTTCATCTTCAACATTATCTCATCCTTTTTTAAAATGAGTTATCCATATGTAAACTGCTAATCTGGGGGACAGACATTATCCGCATAAACTTTTTATAAAGCGTCAATAATTTCAGCATACTTCCACCAGAACGTCGTCATAAATTGGATGTTTATTTCTGTTTCAATTTTAGCAGAATCAATATGGTTTTGATAGGGGCTCTTTTAAAACTGATGTCTTATCCTTAGTTCCTCAAACTAGATCTGTTCAGATATGGTATAATATGATAGTAGTATATTTTAGTGCAAAAAGTAATTGAAATCCATGTATAGTTTTTTGCATAATATATATTTTCCATGAACATTTTGAAGACTCTTCACGTGTGTGTGCGTATGTGTGTATGGACAGTGGGGAGGAAGAGAGAGAGTATGAGGAATTGCTTTATGCAATTATGGAGATTGACAAGTTCCAAGATCTGTAACTGGCCAGCTGGAGATCCATAAAAACTGATGATGTAGTTTCAGTCCAAGTTTGGAGGCAAGAAAATCCAATATCCCAGCCTGAAGACAGTGAGGCAAGAGGAGTTACCTCTTGCTCTTTGAATGGTCAGCTCTTTTGTTCTATTCAGAGCTTCAGTGGATTGAATAAGGCCCACCCACATTAGAGAGAAAAATCTGTTTTTATTTTATCTACTGATTCAACTGTTAATCTTATCCAGAAACACCCTCATAAACTCACTCAGAATAATGTTTGACCAAATATCTGGGTGCCCTATGGGCCTGTCAAGTTGACACACAAAATTAATCATCACGCTCCCTAAGATCAGGAACAAGACAAAAATATTCCCCTTTCACCACTTCTGTTCAACACATAATGGAGTTACTAGCCTGTGCAATTACATAAGAGAAAGAAATAAATGGCATAAAGATTGGGGAAGAAAAGTAAAGTTGTCTTTATTTACAGATGACATGATTATGTATGTAGAAAACTCAAGTAAATCTACCCCAAAATAAAAAAGCTATTAGACTTAATAATTAAAGTTTTTGAGGTAATGAGATGTAAGATCAATATACAAAACTCAATTGTACTTCTATATACTAGCAGCAAACAATTGGTGAATGAGATTCAAATAAAACCATTCACATAACAGCATCAAGGAACATAAAACAGGAAACAAATAATCAAATGTGTATTAAACCTTTACTCTAAAAACTATAAAACATTTCTGAGATAAATTACAGTAGACATAAATAAAAAGACATAGCATATTTATTGATGGGAAGACGTAAACTCTCCCCAAACTGACCTATAGTTTCAAATAAATCTCAAATCAAATTAAAATAGCAGCAAGTACATTTTTGGTGAAGTTTATAAACTGGCTACCAAATTTATATGTAAAAGCAAAGGAGCTAGAATAGCCAAAACAATCTTGAAGAAAAAGTTGAAGTCCTTACACTACTTGATTGCAAGATTTACCATAAAGCTATGGTAATTGATAAAATTTATTATTGGTGAAACAATAGGCAAATATATCAGTGGAACATAATAGATCCCACAAATATTCTCACTTATAGTTACCTTATTTTCACAAAAGCATCAACAATTCAATGGGGAAATTTTTTTCAAAAAATTCTTTTAGAACTGGTTAACCAATTGAATAAAAGTGAACTTTGACAGGTACATCACACTTTAATAGAAAATTTATTCAATAAAAATCATAACAATTAACTCAATAAAATGCAATTTTGAAGGCAACTAGGCATCAATATAGGATAATATATTTATGACCTTTTGGTAGGCAAGGATTTATTCTAACACAATGAAAAAGCAAAGGATGTCAGCAAGATGGCCAACTAGAGATACCTGCCATTTGTTCTCCCCACTTAGCCACAAAAAAAGGACCAAAAGCAACAAATAAACAGCTAAAATTTGACTGGAGTATTGAAGGGAAAGAGCTGGAGTACAGTGGGGTAGTGAAGAGGCACCTGTGGTGATTGGAAGTTTAGGAAGGCAGAATGGAGGCACTTGGCCTCTGAAGCCCCATCTTCCCCATCCAGATTAGATCTGCCTGGAATCAGGAGGGACTTCCTGTTTTGGGGAAAAGGTAAGCACAAGATCCCCGGTGACCCCCATTACCACCAAAAACACTTACAGTCCTTACAACAGAAGAAACCCAGTCCTTGCAAGCCCTGAGCCCAGTTTGGAGAACTGTCAGGAATTCATGCAGCTGCATTGCCGCAGATTAAGAGCACAAGATATGCACTCCCCACCCCCTACACAACCCTTGTGAGTCAAGCTGTTGCAGCATGGTACCATCATGAGACCAGAGCCACCTCTGGAGTGCATCATGCTGTGGAGACCAGTAGCCACTGCACTGGGGCTCCATCTTCATTCCACCAAGCCCACAGAGGTGGTGGAACACCACAATTCCAGCTGTGTGGAGCCTGGGCCCAGGATTGGCTGTGACTCTGGTCCGGCACAGCAGAGAAACCAACCCCTGCTTCTTCCCTTCCCACTAGAGGAATAGATTGGCAGTACTGTTGAAGGCAAACCCACCTTTGAGTTGGCCAAACTGCTTCTTGCCCTTTCTCAAGATGGAGAGGCCCCCAAGCCTCCAAGCAGCTGATAGGTTCCCAGGCCAGAGGAACAGCTATGCACTCATGCTCAGAACCTGAGAAACAGACCTGCAGAATCCCCACCAAGCACAGCCTGCTCAATGGGCCTGCACCTATAATCAGGGACTAAGAAACAGTCCCACAGGCCCCAGGCCAGCCAAGTAGTCAAGAGTTTAAACTACTGCAAGGACAAAAAACCAAACACCGCATGTTCTCACTCATAGGTGGGAATTGAACAATGAGAACACTTGGACACAGGAAGGGGAACATCACACACCGGAGCCTGTCATGGTGTGGAAGGAGGGCGGAGGGATAGCATTAGGAGAAATACCTAATGTAAATCACGAGTTAATGGGTGTAGCACACCAACATGGCACATGTATACATATGTAACAAACCTGCATATTGTGCACACGTACCCTAGAACTTAAAGTATAATTAAAAAAAAAAAAAGAGTTTACAACTTGAATGTGAGAAACAGCCCCATGGGCCACTCCTGGTGGGTAAGTCCCAGACCAGTCAAGCAGCCTTGTTGCAATGTCACAAGCCTGATGCAGGGCCTTGTGCCCACAGACACCACCCCTAAGACCACCCAAGCAGCCTTGCACCAAGATCTCAGGCCAAAGAAGAAGAGCTGTTCCTAGCAGGTATGCCTTCCACATGCTTGCGTTCCTAATCAGAGTAACAAGCCTGAGGCCACAACCCCAGCAAGTCAGATCCCAAATTGGTAGATGCACTGTTAGCCTCTGAACACCACGATATGAGAAATATCTCAGCAAGCACCCCCGACAAAGCTGTACTACCATCACTACAAACTCTCTTAGCCTAGGCTACTGAAAACCTCACAAATTCCATCAGTGTGGATTACAACTGAAGAAAGTAAATGGAGAATGAACTACTCCATTCACTTAGAAGCAAATCCAGTTCATTCTACTAAATTGACACCCTAAGACTCATTCATAGGAATAAGTCTTTCTCCATGAAACCTACTTCATAAAATTGGAAGAGGCAACTTCTCTACCAGATACATAAAAATCAGTGTAGGGCACATCAAACAGGAATAAGGAAGGAAACATGATACTCCAAAGGGAAACAATAATTCTCCAATAACAGCCCCCAATCATGAGAAAATATATGACACACCAGAAAACAGACTTCAAAAAAAATCTTAAGGACACTCAGTGAGATACAAGAGAATACAGATAGACAATTCAACAAAATCAGGAATACAATTCAGATTTGAATAGGAAATTAAAAAAATATATATCATTAGAAAGAACCAAACAGAAATTCTAGAACTAAACAATTCAATGAATGAAATTTAAAAAAAATACAATTGCAAGCTTCAACAACATACTAGACCAAGTGAAAGAAAGAATTTCTGAAGTTGAAAGCAGATCTTTTGAAGTAACACAGACAGTCAAAGAAAGAAAAGAATAAAGAATAAAAAAGAATTTAAAAGGCTACAGGTTTTATGGGACATCAGTAAGTGAAAAAATGTTTGTGTTATGGGCATTCAGAAGAAAAAGAGAAGGTGAGGAAAAGGTATGTAATGAAATCATAGCAAAAATATCCCCAAGTCCTGAGAGAGAGATGGACATCCAGGCAAAGGAAGTTCAAAGAACTGCAAATAGTTTCAATGCAAACAGGTCCCCATTCAGGCAGAGTATGGTCAAGCTGTGGAAAGTCAAATACAAAGAATTCTAAAAGCAGCAAGACAAAAGTATCAAGTCAAACCTAAGGGAATTCTCATTAGACTAGCGGCTAATTTCTCAGCAGGAACCTTACAGGCAAGGAGAGAATGCAATATTTCAAAGTATTGAAAGAAAAAAAAAGCTGCCAGTTAAGCATATTATGGCCAGCAAAGCTGTCTTTCAAAAGTGAAGGGGAAATAAGTATTTTCACAGACAAGCAGAAACTAAGGGAATGTATTACTCTTAGACCAGACCTGGAAGAAATTCCCAGGAGAGTTTTACTTCTGAAAGTGAAAATTCAATACCATTGTGAAAAAACACACAAAACCATGAACCTCACAAGTAGAGCCAATACACAAAGGAGAAAGAGAAAGGAATAAAATGTTATCACTACAGAAAACCACCCAACCTCAAAAATAAGCAATAAGACAGGAATCAAGGAAAAAAAGACATACAAAACAATCAACAAAATGACAGGGGTAATTCCTCAAACATCAATAATAATCTTGAATGCAAATGAGTTACCTTCCTTATTTAAAAGACATAGACTGGCTGAATGGATTAAAAACACAAGACCCACCTACATGCTGCCTACAAGAAACTCACCTCATCTCCAAAGACACACAAAAACTGAAAGTGAATGGATGGAAAAAAAATCCCATGTAAATTTTAACCAAAAATGAGCAGGACTAGCTATATTTATATCAGACAAAGCAGAATTCAAGTCAAAGGTATAAAAAGAGACAAAGAAGGACATATAACAATAAAGGGATCAATTCAGCAAGAGAATATAACAATAGTAAATATTTATGCACTCAACAATGGAGCACCCAGATATATAAAGCAAATATTATTAGATCTAAAGGGAGAAATAGGCCCCCAAATAATAGTAGTTCTGGACTTCAACACCCCACACTGAGCACTGGACAGATCATGTAGACAGAAAATCAACAAAGAAACAATGGATTTAAACTGCACCACAGACCAAATGGAATTAACATTTACAGGACATTTTACCCAACAGCTGCAGAATATGCATTCTTTTCATCAGCACATAGACTGGCCATATATTAGGACCCAAGGCAAATCTTAACATATTTTTCAAAGTCAAAAATCATATCTGACCACAATGGAATAAAATTAGACATCAATAACAAGTGAAACTTCAAAATTATACAAATACATGGAAATTGAACAACATAATTCTGAACAAACAGTGGGTAAAGGAAGAAATTAAGAATAAAATTTAAAATAGAAACACAATATACCAAAACCAATGGCGCAGCAGAAGCAGTATTAAGAGGCAAGTTTATAGCAATATATGTTTACATAAAAAAACTAGAAAGATTTTCAACAAACAATCTAAATCATTAAGTTGTTCACTGCAAGGAACTACGTATTAGTCAGGGTTCTCTAGAGAGACAGAACCTAGAAGAACAAAGCAAGCCCAAAATTAGTAGAAGGAAATAAATAATAAAAACCAGAGCAGAAATAAATGAAATTGAGACTTAAAAAACAATACAAAAAGATCAACAAAACAAAAAGTTGTTTTATTATGCCTGGCATGATAGCTTGCACCTGAAATCTTAGCTACTCAGAAAGCTGAGGTAGGAGAAAAGCTTTAAGCCAGGAGTTTGAGACTAGACTGGGCAACATAGCAAGACCCCATCTCTTTAAAAAGTTGTTTTTACGAAAAAATAAACAAAATTGACAAACCATGAACTAGACTAAGAAAAAAGAGGAAAAACATAAATAGATAAAATCAAAAATGAAAAAGTTGTCACAACAGATACCACAGAAATACAAAGGATCATTACGAACTAGTATGAATAAGCCAATAAATTTGAAAATCTGGAGGAAATTGGTAAGCTTCGGTACACATATAACCTATCAAGACTGAAGCAAGAGGCAATAGAAAACCTGAAAGAGATGGAATCAGTAATAAAAAGTGTCCCAACAAAGAAAAGTCCAGGACTGGATGGCTTCACCACTGAATTCTGTTGAAGATTTAAAGAGGAATTAATACCAATACTTCTCAAACTATTCCAATAAATTGAAGGGGAAATAATTCTCCCTAATTCCATGAGCTAGCATTACCCTGATACCAAAATCAGACAATGACACAAGAAAAAAAGAAAACTACATGCTGATGTCTCTGATGAACACTGATGCAAAAATACTCAAGATAACACTAGCAAACAGCAACTAACAACACATAAAAAAGATAGTACACCATGATCAAGTGGGATTTATTCCAGAAATGCAGGGGGATTCATTATCTGCCAATCAATAAACATCATACATTACATCAAAAAAATGAAGAGTAAACACCATATGATCATCACAATAGATCTAGAAAAACATTTGATGAAATTCAACATTCATTCATGATAAAAACTTTCAACAAATTAGGTGTATAATAATAAAGGCATAATAGAGGCCATATGTGACAAACCCACAGCTAACATCATACTAAATGGGGGAAATCACGAAGTTTTTCTTCTAGGAACTGGAACAAAATAAGGATGCCCACTCTCACTACCTTAATCAAATGGTAATGAAAGTCCTTTCCAGAGCAATTAGGCAAGACAAAGAAATAAAAGCCATCCAAATTGGAAAAAAGGAAGTCAAATTGTCCCTGTTTGTAGATGACATGATCTTATATATAGAAAAACTTAGACTCGACCAAAAACTCATACAACTCAGCAGCAAATTCAGTAGTTGCAGTATCCAAAATTCATATACAAAAATCAGTACTGTTTCTATATACAAACGATGAACTAGCTGAAAAAAAATCAAGAAGGCAATCCCATTTACAATAGCTACAAATAAAATAAAATAAAATAAAATGCCTAGAAATAAATTTAACTAAGGAGGTGAAAGATTTCTATAAGGAAAATCACAAAACACTGATGAAAGAAATTGAAGAGAGTACAAACAAATGGAAAGACATCCATGCTCCTGAATTAGAAGAATTAATTTTGTTAAAATAACAATACTACACAATAAAATCTACAGATTCATTGTAATTCCTATCAAAATACCAGTGATATTATTCATGGAAATAGAAAAATAAACAAATTGTATAGAATCACAAAAGAACCTGAATATCCAAAGCAATCATGAGCAAAAAGAACAAAACTGGAGACATCACACTACCTGATTTCAAAATTTACTACAAAGCTATAGTAATCAAAATAGCCATGGTGTTGCCATAAAAACAGACACACAGACCAATGGAATGGAATAGAGAACCCAGAAATCAACCAACCTATCTACAGCCAACTAATTTTTGACAAAGTTACCAAGAACACTCATGGGGAAAGGACAGTCTCTTCAATAAATGGAGCTGGGAAAACTGGATATCCATATGCAGAAGAATAAATCTAGACCCCTACCTCTCATGCTATATAAATATCAACTCAAAATAGATCAAAGAACTAAATGTAAGAACTGAAACTTAAAACTACTAGTAGAGGCCGGGCGTGGTGGCTCACGCCTTTAATTCCAGCACTTTGGAAGGCTAAGGTGGGCGGATCACCAGGTAAAGAGATCAAGACCATCCTGGCCAACATGGTGAAACCCTATCTCTACTAAAAATGCAAAAATTAGCTGGGCATGGTGGCACACACCTGTAGTCCCAGCTACTTGGGAGGCTGAGGCAGGAGAATAACTTGAACCAGGGAGGCAGAGGTTGCAGTGAGCTGAAATGGCGCCATTGAACTCCAGCCTGGGTGACAGAGCAAGACTCCATCTAAAAAAAAACTGCTAGTAGAAAATGTAGGGGACATGCTTCAGGATATTGTTCCAAGGAAAGATTTTATGAATGAGAGCTCAAAAGCACAGGCAACACAAGCAAAAACAAATAAATGGGATTATATCAAACTACAAGCTTCTACACAGCAAAGAAAACAATCAAGAAAATGAAAAGACAACCTACAGAATGGGAGAACATATTTGCAAACACTCATCTGACAGGGAATTAATATCCAGAATGTGAAAGAAACATAAATATCTTAACAACAATAACAATGGTGGCAGCCAAGATGGCCGAATAGGAACAGCTCTGGTCTACAGCTCCCAGTGTGAGCAACGCAGAAGATGGGTGATTTCTGCATTTCCATCTGAGGTACTGGGTTCATCTCACTAGGGAGTGCCAGACAGTGGGCGCAGGACAGTGGGTGCGGCACACTGTGCGTGAGCTGAAGCAGGGCGAGGCATTGCCTCACTCGGGAAGTGCAAGGAGTCAGGGAGTTCCCTTTCCTACTCAAAGAAAGGGGTGACAGACGACGGGCTTAAAAAATGGCGCACCAGGAGATTATATCCCGCACATGACTTGGAGGGTCCTATGCTCATGGAGTCTCACTGATTGCTAGCACAGCAGTCTGAGATCAAACTGCAAGGCAGCAGCAAGGCTGGGGGAGGGGTGCCCGCCATTGCCCAGGCTTGCTTAGGTAAACAAAGCAGCTGGGAAGCTCAAACTGGGTGGATCCCACCACAGCTCAAGGAGGCCTGCCTGCCTCTGTAGGCTCCACCTCTGGGGGCAGGGCACAGACAAACAAAAAGACAGCAGTAACCTCTGCAGACTTAAATGTCCCTCTCTGACAGCTTTGAAGAGACCAGTGGTTCTCCTAGCACGCAGCTGGAGATCTGAGAACGGGCAGACTGCCTCCTCAAGTGGGTCCCTGACCCCTGACCCCCAAGCAGCCTAACTGGGAGCCACACCCCAGTAGGGGCAGACTGACACCTCACAGGGCCGGGTACTCCTCTGAGACAGAACTTCCAGAGGAACAATCAGACAGCAGCATTCACGGTTCACAAAAATCCACTGTTATGCAGCCACGGCACTGATACCCAGGAAAACAGGGTCTGGAGTGGACCTCTAGCAAACTCCAACAGACCTGCAGCTGAGGGTCCTGTCTGTTAGAAGGAAAACTAACAAACAGAAAGCACATCCACACCAAAAACCCATCTGTACATCACCATCATCAAAGACCAAAAGTAGATAAAACCACAAAGATGGGGAAAAAACAGAGCAGAAAAAATGGAAACTCTAAAAAGCACAGTGCCTCTCCTCCTCCAAAGGAATGCAGCTCCTCACCAGCAATGGAACAAAGCTGGACGGAGAATGACTTTGACTAGTTGAGAGAAGAAGGCTTCAGACGATCAAACTACTCTGAGCTACAGGAGGAAATTTAAACCAAAGGCAAAGAAGTTAAAAACTTTGAAAAAAATTTAGACGAAGGTATAACTAGAATAACCAATACAGAGAAGTGCTTAAAGGAGCGGATGAAGCTGAAAGCCAAGGCTCGAGAACTACGTGAAGAATGCAGAAGCCTCAGGAGCCAATGCGATCAACTGGAAGAAAGGGTATCAGTGACGGAAGATGAAATGAATGAAATGAAACGAGAAGGGACGTTTAGAGAAAAAATAAATAAAAAGAAATGAACAAAGCCTCCAAGAAATATGGGACTATGTGAAAAGACCAAATCTACATCTGATTGGTGTACCTGAAAGCGATGGGGAGAATGGAACCAAGTTGGAAAACACTCTGCAGGATATTATCCAGGAGAACTTCCCCAATCTAGCAAGGCAGGCCAACATTCAGATTCAGGAAATACAGAGAATGCCACAAAGATACTCCTCAAGAAGAGCAACTCCAAGACACATAATTGTCAGATTCACCAAAGTTGAAATGAAGGAAAAAATGTTAAGGGCAGCCAGAGAGAAAGGCCGGGTTACCCACAAAGGGAAGCCCATCAGACTAACAGCAGATCTCTCGGCAGAAACTCTATAAGCCAGAAGAGAGTAGGGGCCAATATTCAACATTCTTAAAGAAAAGAATTTTCAACCCAGAATTTCATATCCAGCCAAACTAAGCTTCACAAGTGAAGGAGAAATAGAATACTTTACAGAGAAGCATATGCTGAGAGATTTTGTCACCACCAGGCCTGCCCTAAAAGAGCTCCTGAAGGAAGCATTAAACATGGAAAGGAACAACTGGTACCAGCCACTGCAAAATCATGCCAAAATGTACAGACCATCAAGACTAGGAAGAAACTGCATCAACTAACGAGCAAAATCACCAGCTAACATCATAATGACAGGATCAAATTCACACATAACAATATTAACTTTAAATGTAAATGGACTAAATGCTCCAATTAAAAGACACAGACTGGCAAATTGGATAAAGAGTCAAGACCCATCAGTGTGCTGTATTCAGGAAACCCATCTCATGTGCAGAAACATACATAGGCTCAAAATGAAAGGATGGAGGAAGATCTACCAAGCAAATGGAAGACAAAAAAAGGCAGGGGTTGCAATCCTGGTCTCTGATAAAACAGACTTTAAACCAACAAAGATCAAAAGAGACAAAGAAGGCCATTACATAATGGTAAAGGGATCAATTCAACAAGAAGAGCTAACTATCCTAAATATATATGCACCCAATACAGGAGCACCCAGATTCATAAAGCAAGTTCTGAGTGATCTACAAAGAGACTTAGACTCCCACACAATAATAATGGGAGACTTTAACACCCCACTGTCAACATTAGACAGATCAATGAGACAGAAAGTTAACAAGGATACCCAGGAATTGAACTCAGCTCTGCAGCAAGCAGACCTAATAGACATCTGCAGAACTCTCCACTCCAAATCAACAGAATGTACATTCTTTTCAGCACCACACCACACCTATTCCAAAAGTGACCACATAGTTGGAAGTAAAGCACTCCTCAGAAAATGTAAAAGAACAGAAATTATAACAAACTGTCTCTCAGACCACAGTGTAATCAAACTAGAACTCAGGATTAAGAAACTCACTCAAAACTGCTCAACTACATGGAAACTGAACAACCTGCTCCTGAATGACTACTGGGTACACAACAAAATGAAAGCAGAAATAAAGATGTTCTTTGAAACCAACGAGAACAAAGACACAATACACCAGAATCTCTGGGACATATTCAAAGCAGTGTGTAGAGGGAAATTTATAGCACTAAATGCCCACAAGAGAAAGCAGGAAAGATCCCAAATTGACATCCTAACATCACAATTAAAAGAACTAGAAGAGCAAGAGCAAACACACTCAAAAGCTAGCACAAGGCAAGAAATAACTAAAATCAGAGCAGAACTGAAGGAAATAGAGACACAAAAAACCCTTCAAAAAATTAATGAATCCAGGAGGTGGTTTTTTGAAAGGATCAACAAAATTGATAGACCACTAGCAAGACTAAAAGAAAAAAAGACAGAAGAATCAAATAGACGCAATAAAAAATGATAAAGGGGATATCACCACCAATCCCACAGAAATACAAACTACCATCAGAGAATACTACAAACACCTCTACACAAATAAACTAGAAAATCTAGAAGAAATGGATAAATTCCTCGACACATACACCCTCCCAAGGCTAAACCAGGAAGAAGTTGAATCTCTGAATAGACCAATAACAGGCTCTGAAATTGTGGCAATAATCAATAGCTTACCAACCAAAAAGAGTCCAGGACCAGATGGATTCACAGCCGAATTCTACCAGAGGTACAAGGAGGAGCTGGTACCATTCCTTCTGAAACTATTCCAATCAACAGAAAAAGAGGGAATTCTCCCTAACTCATTTTATGAGGCCAGCATCATCCTGATACCAAAGCCTGGCAGAGACACAACCAAAAAAGAGAATTTTAAACCAATATCCTTGATGAACATTGATGCAAAAATCCTCAATAAAATACTGGCAAACTGAATCCAGCAGCACATCAAAAAGCTTATCCACCATGATCAAGTGGGCTTCATCCCTGGGATGCAAGGCTGGTTCAATATATGCAAATCAATAAATGTAATCCAGCATATAAACAGAACCAATGACAAAAACCACATGATTATCTCAATAGATGCAGAAAAGGCCTTTGACAAAATTCAACAATGCTTCATGCTAAAAACTCTCAGTAAATTAGGTATTGACGGGACGTATCTCAAAATAATAAGAGCTATCTATGACAAACCCAAAGCCAATATCATACTGAATGGGCAAAAACTGGAAGCATTCCCTTTGAAAACGGGCACAAGACAGGGATGCCCTCTCTCACCACTCCTATTCAACATAGTGTTGGAAGTTCTGGCCAGGGCAATTAGGCAGGAGAAGGAAATAAAGGGTATTCAATTAGGAAAAGAGGAAGTCAAATTGTCCCTGTTTGCAGATGACATGATTGTATATCTAGAAAACCCCATTGTCTCAGCCCAAAATCTCCTGAAGCTGATAAGCAACTTCAGCAAAGTCTCAGGACACAAAATCAATGTACAAAAATCACAAGCATTCTTATATACCAATAACAGACAGAGAGCCAAATCATGAGTGAACTCCCATTCACAATTGCTTCAAAGAGAATAAAATACCTAGGAATCCAACTTACAAGGGATGTGAAGGACCTCTTCAAGGAGAACTACAAACCACTGCTCAAGGAAATAAAAGAGGATACAAACAAATGGAAGAACATTCCATGTTCATGGGTAGGAAGAATCAATACCGTTAAAATGGCCGTACTGCCCAAGGTAATTTATAGATTCAATGCCATCCCCATCAAGCTACCAATGACTTTCCTCACAGAATTGGAAAAAACTACTTTAAAGTTCATATGGAACCAAAAAAGAGCCTGCATCGCCAAGTCAATCCTAAGCCAAAAGAACAAAGCTGGAGGCATCATGCTACCTGACTTCAAACTATACCACAAGGCTACAGTAACCAAAACAGCATGGTACTGGCACCAAAACAGAGATATAGATCAATGGAACAGAACAGAGCCCTCAGAAATAACGCCACATATCTACAACTATCTGATCTTTGACAAACCTGACAAAAACAAGCAATGGGGAAAGGATTCCCTATTTAATAAATGGTGCTGGGAAAACTGGCTAGCCATATGTAGAAAGCTGAAACTGGGTCCCTTCCTTACACCTTATACAAAAATTAATTCAAGATGGATTAAAGACTTAAATGTTAGACCTAAAACCATAAAAACCCTAGAGGAAAACCTAGGCAATACCATTCAGGACATAGGCATGGGCAAGGACTTCATGTCTAAAACACCAAAAGCAATGGCAACAAAAGCCAAAATTGACAAATGGGATCTAATTAAACTAAAGAGCTTCTGCACAGCAAAAGAAACTACCATCAGAGTGAACAGGCAACCTACAAAATGGGAGAAAATTTTCGCAAACTACTCATCTGACAAAGGGATAATATCCAGAATCTACAATGAATTCAAACAAATTTACAAGAAAAACACAAACAACCCCATCAAAAAGTGGGCGAAGGACATGAACAGACACTTTGCAAAAGAAGACATTTATGCAGCCAAAAAACACATGAAAAAATGCTCACCATCACTGGCTATCAGAGAAATGCAAATCAAAACCACAATGAGATACCATCTCACACCAGTTAGAATGGTGATCATTAAAAAGTCAGGAAACAACAGGTTCTGGAGAGGATGTGGAGAAATAGGAACACTTTTACTCTGTTAGTGGGACTGTAAACTAGTTCAACCATTGTGGAAGTCAGTGTGGCGATTCCTCAGGGATCTAGAACTAGAAATACCATTTGACCCAGCCATCCCATTACTGGGTATATACACAAAGGATTATAAATCATGCTGCTATAAAGACACATGCACACATACGTTTATTGGGACACTATTCACAATAGCAAAGACTTGGAACCAACCCAAATGTCCAACAATGATAGACTGGATTAAGAAAATGTGGCACATATACACCAGGGAATACTATTCAGCCATAAAAAATGGTGAGTTCATGTCCTTTGTAGGGACATGGATGAAATTGGAAATCATCATTCTCAGTAAACTATCGCAAGGACAAAAAACCAAACACCGCATGTTCTCACTCATAGCTGGGAATTGAACAATGAGAACACTTGGACACAGGAAGTGGAACATCACAATCTGGGGACTCTTGTGGGGTGGGGGGAGGGGGGAGGGATAGCATTAGGAGATATACCTAATGCTAAATGACGAGTTAATGGGTGCAGCACACCAGCATGGCACATGTATACATATGTAACTAACCTGCACATTGTGCACATGTACCCTAAAACTTAAAGTATAATAATAAAAAAAGACATACATGTGGCCAAGATGCATATGAAAAAAAGCTCAATATCACTCATCATTAGTGAAATGCAAATCAAAAACACAATGAAATACCATCTTATACCAGTCAAAGTGGCTATTAATGAAAAATTTTTAAAAAACAGATGCTGGCGAGGTTTTGGAGGAAAGGAACGCTTATATATTGCCAGTGGGAGTGTCAATTAGTTCAACCATTATGAAAAGCAGTGTGGCAATTTCTCAAAGAATTGAAAGCAGAACTACCATTTGACCCAGCAATCCTATTTCTGGATATATGCCCAAAGGAATATGAATCGTTCAATCATAAAAACACATACATGTGTATGTTCCTTGCTGTACTATTCACAATAGCAAAAGACGTGGCAGCAACCTAAATGCCACATTGTCTCTTTATCAAGTCTAAATGGTAGACTTGATAAAGAAGATAAAGGATAGCCATAAAAAAGAGCAAGATTATGTCCTTTGCAGGAACATGGATGGAGCTGGCGGCCATTATCCTTAGCAAGCTAATGCAGGAACAGAAAACCAAATATTGCATATTCTCACTTATAAGTGGGAGCTAAATGATGAGAAGACAAGGACACAAAGAGGGGAACAAAAGACACTGGGGCCTGCTTGAGGGTGGAGGATAGGAAAAGGGAGAGGATCAGAGAAAATAACTATTGAGTACTAGGCATAGTACCTGTGTAACAAAATAATCTGTACAACAAACTCCCATGACACGAGTTTATCTGTATAAAAACCTGCACATGTACCCTTGAACCTAAAACAACAGTTTAAAAAAAGAGGAAAAAAAAAGAAATCATTATTCATGAGAGAAAGATAAAATCACAAGGAGATATATTTTTATTCTACTAGAATAGCTAATTAAAAGGGCTAACATCACTAAATGTGGAGGAATTAGAACTTTCATACATTATTAGGGTGAATGTACAATGGTACAACCATTTTGAAAAGCAATTTGCCAAATCTTTACAAATGTAAACACGGAACTCTCCTATAACAAAGCAATACCACATTCCCATATCTGCAGGAAAATGCTTGTGTAATAATGTTCATAGCAGCTCTCTTCATAATTTCCTATAACTGAAAACAACACAAATGTCCATCAGTAAGAGAATGGAGAAATATATGATGCATTCCTACAAATAAATACTTGTCAGTAATAAAAACAGCCAATAACCAACAACATGGATACATCTCAAAAACATAATCTGTTCAAATAAAAAATACATAAATAGAGTATGTGCTATAGGATTTCATTCATGTGTAGTTTAAAGAACGGGTAAAACTAATTTACAGTGGCAGACATCAGAATAGTGGTTGCCTCTTATTGGGGAGAGGATTAGTGAAGAAGAGGAAAAAAGGGTTTTCTAAGTCAACATTCTTCATCTCAAACAGGGTGTTGAGCACCTGGGTACATGCATTTGTCAAAACTCATGAACTATAAAATTAAGATTGATGCACGTAATTGTGCAGTAAATTATGATGACATTAAGGGAAGAGAAAAAAACACACTTAGACCATCTACTAGGTCAGAAAACCATCCTCATCTCTGTTATCTTGAGTTATGCTCACCTGCATCAACCAACAAAGCCCAGCAGATGAAATTAAATATTGTGTACTGGATTTCAACACTGTTCATAAAATAGAATAACAGCAACATAAGTGGCTTAAATTTGTCATCATCTCATAAATGTTTAGTCGTATTCATTAAATAACTCTTTTGAATCTTTCTAACTAATTTAGAAAAATGTAAATTACAAGACATGCACAAAGCTTCTTCCCTCTCATATTTTCCTTTTGCTCAGCCTTGGCAAAAGTGTTCCATTCTAAGGCCTGATGTTGAGAGGTGAAGCCGGCTGGGCTTCTGGGTTGGGTGGGGACTTGGAGAACTTTTCTGTACAGCTAAAGGATTGTAAACACACCAATCAGCACTCTGTCAAAACGGACCAATCAGCTCTCTTTAAAAAAGGACCAATCAGCTCTCTGTAAAATAGACCAATCAGCTCTCTGTAAAATGGACCAATCAGCAGGATGTGGGTGGGGCCAGATAAGGGAATAAAAGCAGGCCACCCACGCCCACAGGGGCAAACTGCTGGGTGGTCTTCCATGTCTTGGGAGCTTTGTTGTTTTGCTATTCACAATAAATCTTGCTGCTGCTTGCTCTTTGGGTCCGCACTACCTTTATGAGCTGTAGCACTCACCGCCTAAGGTCTGTAGCTTCACTTTTGAAGCCAGCGAGACCACAAACCCAGCAGAAAGAAGAAACTCCTGACACATCTGAACCAGAAGGAACAAACTCCGGACACACCATCTTTAAGAACTGTAACACTCACCGTGAAGGTTGGTGGCTTCATTCCAGAAGTCAGCGAGACCAAGAACCTACCAATTCCAGACACAATGTGAGCTGGGGTCACTGGCTGGTAGCTGAAGGTCAAGTCGGCTTCCACTGGAATTCATCCAGCTGTTTTCTCCTGGAAAGAGGAAATAAGCTAACGCTGACACTAGCCCATCTTCATTTCAGTTTCAGGAGCCAACTGAACACAGCCGTGGACTGTAGCCACCACATCTGCAATATGTCCAAAGCACTAAACCCCAGAGCGTAATGACACCTCTGCAGTAGCCAATACCCCTAGTACATTTTTGTAAATGTCCCCCTAGCAAACGGGCTATTCCAGAACCAGACAATACTGCCATCAAGATCTGTATGTCATTATTAGCTGGACAAGAGAACAGAGACAGTGGCTATGTCTGTTGTCTAGCAGGAGGAAGCAAATAGAGAAAAGGGAGGAGAAGAAAGATAAAGGGATTTTAGTTTTTGTTTATACCAGTTATCAAGACTCTATCACCAGTGATTTTATTTTATTTTAGGAAAGTCTAAAATAAAGGCCAGGGCTGCTCTTGAACAACTGGCCTCAAGGGCTCCACCTGCTTTGGCCTCCCAAGGTGCTGAAATTAGCAGAATGAGCCACCATGCTTTGGGCACACCAGTGATTTTAAAAATGCATTTGGCGGCGGGGCGGGGGGCAGGTGGCTCACGCTTGTAATCCCAGCACTTTGGGAGGCCAAGGCGGGCGGATGACGAGGTCAGGAGATAGAGACTATCCTGGCTAACGCGGTGAAACCCTGTCTCTACTTAAAAAAAAAATATATAAAAATTAACTGGGCGCCGTGGCGGGCGCCTATAGTCCCAGCTACTCGGGAGGCTGAGGCAGGAGAATGGCGTGAAACCGGGAGGCGGAGCTTCCAGTGAGCCGAGATTGCGCCACTGCACTCCAGCCTGGGCGAAAAAGCGAGACTCCGTCTCAAAAAAAAAAAAAAAAAAAAGAATGCATTTGGGGCAAGTTAACCATAAATAGGTTAACTACAGAATTAAGATTTCCTCAACTGTACTGACCATCTCCTCTGCAGGAGAATGCCTCCTGAAACTGTGTTTCTAACTACCTTTAGAAACTTTAAATACTGCCAACACTGGCGCTAGGGTCTTCCCTGAGGCTTTTTCATTCTCTTTAGCATCCTTAATACATATTTAAAGAACACTCTTTTAACCTTTCTCTTTAGCAGTTCCATTCCGGATGCTTCGCTCCTGAATTGAATAACTCGTCTAGGACAACCTTTCCGTCTGTGAGCATTTGTAATAGAACGTTTTCCAAGCAACACCAATGCCTGCGTCCTTCGGTAAGGGAGCTAAAAAGAAAGAGTACCGCTGTTTCATTCACCTGTGTCCCAGAGCCGCTGCTCAGAATCTCTCTCTGCCTCTCCAAGGGCAACCTGCTTGTCCTCAGAGGGATCCTCCTCCCTGTTGTACTCAGGATGTACACATCCAGGACTGCAGCCACTTTTGCTGCTTGAGAGACCTAAGTGAGACTGCTTTACCCCACCCGTGAGCAAGCTTCTCTCTCAAAACTTTACCTCTTAAATAAAAATGGATCCATGAGCTGTGCAGCTGCTCCAGCTTGGGGCTCCTGTGTGACCCAGCAAATAACCAAACTCAACTTTGGTTTGCTGAGCACTGTCAGGCATTCATCATTCTCAGGAAAAGGGACTCAGATAGGATCCCAAATCTTTGATTGCCTAACATAGCCAAAGCCCAATAAAATCCTGGGAAAAATAAATGCAAGAGGACACTAACGGCAAAAGCACATTCTGCAGGACTGAGTTCTAGCTTTGGGCCTAAATTCTAGCTCGGCTCTAACCATTGTGAGTTTGAGTGATATATAACTAGACTAGGGAGGACAAATTAGTGAGCTGCATGCTCTGGGACCTCCTGAAACACCCCTGGCAGACACTGATGATCCATAGTGACCCAGATGTGGCCTCAGAATCCTTCCCGACACAGCACTTTTTGGTACCGGAGAGGAAACCTATCTACAACCTTGCACTAGATTAAGCGTAGACCTAAGAAGCCTGTCCATTGGCCTCTGTCCTAGTCTTTGTTCTTTCTTGTCTTTGGAGGGTGGGCAGGTGTTGTAATGAAGGAGGTCTCTTCTCTCCAAACGAGAGGCATTCTAAATCCCCTTGTAGCCCTAGAAGAGAATTCTTAGAAATTCTTAAAATTAGGGATACAAAAGGGCCTGAGATTCACCAAACAATTCTCCAAGTAGAAACAAGACTTTTTAATGCTTTACCCCAAACTGTGTTCTGGATCCATTTCAGATTGCTTCCTCTCTCGGCTAGCACTGGCAGGAAGGGTCATAGTGGGAGGGAGGATTGGAGTCTCCACTCATGTTCAAATGTGTAACTAATTGTAGGGATTTGCATTGCCATTGTTACATGAAAAAATATTGTTATATCTTCATTTTAAAGATTAGAAATCAGAGGCAAAGGTCTTGAGGTCATAGAGCCAGCAGGGGTCAGAGCTGGACTGAAAAATGCCCATGGCCGGGTGAGGTGGCTCACACCTGTAATCCCAGCTTCTTGGGAGGCTGAGGAGTGAGAATCCCTTGAACCTGGTTGCAGTGAGCCAAGATCCTGGCACTGCTCTCCAGCCTAGGTGATGCAGCAAGACTGTCTTAAAAAAAAAAAAAAAGCCCATGGTGCGGGTCCCTTGCTTCAACCTTCTCCTAGGTAGTCCCCTTGACAAGAGGACTAGGAATCAACAATGTCTGTGGATCACAATAGGACTGGGCTTAACAGTAAACTGAATGATAATGTGGGCTAATGAAAAAGCCCACCACCTCCTCACCACTGCTCCTTCCGCACAACCTCCCCTCACATACATCTGCCTCAGCCCCAGTGCCCTGGTCCCTGGCACTCTACAATAAAGAATTCATCGTTTTGGAGTAATCATAGCTTCCACTGGCCATTCTTTTTTTCCCGTCAAGATACCCCTGAAAAGAATACACTTCCTTCATCACTCTCACCTTAGCATGGTAGTAGGCTGACAGAAGGCTTTTCTCTAGCACAAAACTTACCCCAGCTTTAGGGATGCACTAGCTACCTTGTTAGAAAAAAGGAGAGTATCTCCTACAAAGGCAGAAGGAAGCTTGGACTTGACAGCTGGACAGAAAGAGCTCCACCCCCTAATACTCACTCAGGTGTGGTCATCCCCCTGTGGTTTCACTTTTCTTGTTTTCAGTTAGCCATAGTTAACTGCCGTCTGAAAATATTACATACAATAAGATACTTTGGGAGAGAGAGAGAGACCACATTCACATAACTTTTATTAAGTATATTGTATTATTATAAGTGTTCTATTTTATTATTAGTTACTGTTGTTCATCTCTGCTATAGTTTGGATGTTTGTCAAGTAAACCTCATGTTGAAATGTGATTCCGTATGTTGGAGGTGGGGCCTGATGGGAGGTGTTTTGTTCCTGGGTGTGGACCCTTCATGAACAGACGGATGCCCTCCTTGGGAGTGGGAAGACAGTTAATTGTCTCTCCGTTAATTCTCAAGAGAGCTGATTTTTAAAAAGAGGCCGGCCCCTCCCTACCCTCTCTTGCTTCCTTTCTTCATGGGATCTGCATATGCCAGCTCTCCTTCCCCTTCTGCCATGAATGGAAGCAGTCAAATAAACCTCTTTTCTTTATAAATCGCCCAGCCTCATTTATTCCTTTACAGCAGCACACATGGACTAAGACAGTTCTTCCTGTGCCTAATTTACAAATTAAACTTTATTATCCATATGTATGTGTAAGGACAAACATAGTGGACATGGCATTTGGTACTATCTATGGTTTCAGGCACCCACTGGGGGGTCATAGAATGCATCCCCCATGCTTAAGAGGGGCTTCCTGGACTAACAGCCTGGCCTTTTCTAGATGAGCACAGATTGGCCCAGGGCAAGGAAGATGACTCATAGATTCTACTAAGTCTTGAATCTACTTGTCCATTTTAGCTCTCCTCCGTGGTGGGGAGTGGGTAGTCCTCCTCAGAAAACAAAGGCTTTCCAGAAGACAAACTTCCAAGCTTGTTACCTGAGTTTAACCCATCCTTTTTCTTATGCTTTCTGGCTAAAGTGCTAACAAATCTCATTTTCATATTGATTTACTTGGCAGAAAGTTCATTATGAACACTGATAAGCCAGAAATTCAAGGAAAAAAAACTCAGCCTCTTCCATTATTAATTAAAAAGAAAAAAAATTGGCTGAGTGTGGTTGCTCACATTGATAATCCCGGCACTTTGGGAGGCTGAGGCAGGAATTATCACTTGAGGCCAGGAGTTCAAGACCAGACTGGGCAACATAGTGAGACCCTGTCTCTGCAAAAATAAAATATTTAAAAAAAAATGAGAAAGAAATAAACAAATTTTAAAAACAGAGCCGACTCTGGTGCTGAAATCATTCCTAATTCTCAGGTGACAAAGGGCCTGGATGCAGTCTGGGGACATATCAAATGAAGGTGCGTGCAAGTGACACTAAAGCTCCAGGACGTGATGCAGATGTCCGCATAACTGGCTGGGACAAAGAGCGCATCTGAGCCTCTGCAACTCTCTCATCTCAGGACCTCTCAGACCCCTTGGAAGAGGAAAGGTGAGTCTCACATCCTGTTATATTAAACCTATTAGCGTTACTCACATGACACTATCATTCTCTTCAGGTTCTGACAGGAAGGAAATCTTTGTAAAATGTGATATTTATGGGTCAGCTACTTTCTTCCTTTTTTGAGACCCCGAGTATTTTCCACTGCTTCAGCTACCTGAGCATAGGCCAAGGAGCAGGCTGGGTGAACATGGGGAGTGTTGGCTGTCCGGGCAGAGTCAGGTATTGTGATGGATGAGCCTTGGCTCCTGTTCCTTGGAGTTAAACGCTCCTATCTTGTTATATCTGTTCTCTTTCCACCCTCCTGCTCTGTCAGTAATTCCTGTGCTGTGCCCGTGATAGGTGTGCAGGTCTGTGACCATTTTCTGAAGTTGTTTTCTTGATCTTCTTTCCCCATTTATTACTAATCAGTTCCAAAATCCTTCAAGATTTTCTTTGCTACCGAGAGATGTTTACCTTGACAACCACATTTTCAGGCTATATCTCCAAAAATAGATTTACAAAGGAAGAAGACAGAGAGACCAAGGCTAGCAAAGGGCTTCTTACACTGCTGAAGATATTTTTAAATGTCAAATCGCCAATGGACAAGCTACTAGAGAAGGAGGCCGGGAAGGAACATCAAGGGGCTTTAGGGGGGCTTGGTGGAGGCCACAGAGAACAGCAGGTGGAGGGGCAGGACCAGGATCTGAATCCCGAAGACCTGAGCTTCCCATTCTGAAAACAGAGCTCAATAATAACCTGCCCTACTTTTGTCAGAAAGCATCGTGTTAATTATTATTACTGGCACAGCCTATGGAACCATACTTCTTTTTTCTCATCTGTATGTTTACAGTGCTCTAGAAGAAAGAGTCTAATTTGATATTTATTGCCATCTTTTAAATAACAGATGATGAGAGATAATATCATATTTCAAAACTAAAAAGAGGGTGAACTTGAGCATCATGACAACATCCAAAGCACTTATTACATTTTACTCCTTTCCATCTCTGAATATCCTGTGGACAGAGGGCAAGAATAATAAAAAGTAAACTATCTGACTAGATTGGACATTTTCTTAAATTGCGGTTCCAACCATGTCGCTTTCCTGCTCAAAACCCTGCAAGCTGAAATCCCTTCATACAGGACTAAGCCCTCCCGTTCAGCTTTTTATTTTACATCCTAATTGGATGACTTTATAGGTTCCCAAGTTTACTCTGCCCCCTCCCAACTTCAAAATCTTCACCTGTCAAAACCCTGCTAATTCTTCAAGGTCCATCTCCAAATCCCTTCTTGATTCCTTCTCCTTGATATAAATTCTATCTCTCTCTGTTCCCTTAGGGCATTTGTGGGTTTTGTGTGTGCATTCGTGTGTGTGTGTGTGTGTGCACTGAATCCACTGTGCATTATAGTAACAATTATTTGTACCAGGTATGCCGGTGTCCGAGTGTAGGTGCCTTCCTAAGGGACAGGTGGATTTGTTCATTATTTGGCTGCCTCTTCAATTCCTAACACTGTTGGTTGTGCAGTGTTCCCAGTATTAAATGCCTGCTTACTGAGTCCATTTGTCAAATTATAACTGAATGGGGACCTCATCCCTCCACGTACCCCACTTCAAAGTTAGGAATTATCAGTTAATAACTTGGAAACTATATGTTTCATGTTTGAAGAACAGAATATTAATTCTGAATGGATGCACAAAACATCCTGTCATTTTTCTATTTGGAGCAGTCACCACCCTGACCCAGCCTAGATCGTGACTTTTAATGCTCTGACTTTATGTTTTAATAGCCCCATCTCTTTCTATTTTAAAGTCTGAGATATTCCATATTAAAAAAAATCTGGGACAACTAGAGAGAATTGAATTTGGGCATAATGGAAAAGGACTTGGTAAGTCCTCCTTATGCAAAATTTAACTGAATTGGAGTTATCCCAGATATCTATCAGTGTCTTTTATACTCAAAGAAACTGCCACCGACTCTGTTACTAAATATGTGCAGCAGGAAGGCTGAAAGACCAATGTGACCAGCTGTCCTTTCTGCAGTGCATTTGAATGAAGGCTGTTCTTTCCTGAGCAGCTGTAGATGCTGTTTGCTGAGCGTGTTGCTATTTTTGATACTGCCTTCTTCAAAAGAAGAAAAAGGAAAGAAAGAAAGGAAAAGTCACACCATCTTTGACAGCCCCATACCCAGCTGCTCTCTGTGCACCTTCCCCAGGCTTGGGACTATAAATCAGCAAATATTCCTAGATTTTCTGTTCCATTTTCAGCTCACTTTATAGCGATTGCTACTAATTGAATCTATGGTCGTACATTTGTCTCACATCTGGATCAGCTGAGAAGTTGTAAGCAATGTTTCAGTAGAGCCGGCTCACTGGCTGCATTCCAGGGCTTCATTTTTTTGTTCCCATCTAGCAGCTTATTAACGGGTATTGGTTTCTGGGTGACACTGGTTAAACTGCCCAAAAAGATTCATGTGAAGTCTGGAGGCGAATCTGTCTCCTGGCCACATGGCTGCAGGTTCCAGCATTCTGTCAGCATTTAGATCTTCTCCAGCTTGACGCTTCACTTGACCTGGCAGAACCTGCACAGGCAAGGCCACCATCTTGATTGATCTCTCTGCGCTGTGGTCTACTGATTAGACAACTTGCCTCTTGGGAAGCAGAGTACAATGACTGCTTCCAGATCTTTATTAGCAAAGGAAATCTTTGGCTTTCTGCAGCTGCGTGTGTACCCTCTATTCCCCACAGCTCACTCCCCTATTGTGCTGACTGGCCAGTCTAACATAATTGCTTGCAGAATCCTCCTGGCTCTAGACATTTATACCTCTGGCCTACATTAACAGATGTTAGAGAACATGCACTCCTGCCCTCCAAACCCTCCAGCATCACTAGGGTACCTTGTTCAGCAGGGCCCACTACCCCTCAGCAAAGCAGCTCAGGCCTTCCAGCTGTGACCTTCTTAGCCAGCTTCAATATTCTTCTCATCTGTCAAGGACTTCCTACAAGAAAACAAGGCCTCTCTAGTATTTCCCAGTAAACAGTGCTCAATGGAAAACATTCTAAATTATTCGTATGAAACTTATAAACTGACCACAGTGTAACTGAAATAAACATACAAGATCCTTCAAAGGAAATCCTACTCCTTCACCTCTTCATGGTGAGGTCTCTGTGGGGTAGGGGCTCATGGTGAGGTCTCTTTGGGGTAGGGGCACAGGCGTGGCTCTGAAACTTGGTGTCCTGAGCTTATCACCAGCCTCTGTCTATTGTGAGCTCACAATCTTTGGAAGCTATTCGTCTTCTCTCTTTCAGTTAAGTCATCTGTACAAGAATAATAATAGTACGTACATTGTGGAGTTGGTACGAGAAATAAATGATTTAATATATGTGCATATTATACAAATAAATATAAATTAATTAAGCTATGGAAAATTCTCATTTACATAAACAATTTGTATGTAGTTTATAAAAATCTACTAAATCCATAGTTTTCAGAGTGTTTTAGCTGGCCAAGATGTTGCCAGCACTACCAGATGAATTGCTTTGATCAGTTTTTATGATCCTCCCTCCCCTTCCTGGTTGTGATCATGATAAAGATTTTTTGAAATCCTTGTCTTTCCTCAGCAGCTTAAAGGTCAAGGAAAAAATTATGTAAAATAGTTAGGCAGCCTCTTCCACCTATGGTTTTAAAATATCAAAGGCAGATTGTCTACCTTTGTGAGCCAATTTCTGTATATGCAATAGTTGTTACTAAAATATTAGTGTGCAGAAAGACATACATTTCAATCAGATTTTAGTGAGCATTTGCAAATGCACTTAAATATGCTGGAGTCTACCATTGTCTTCGTGTGCTTGCCATAAGTCAAATCAATGAGTTACACATCAGCATTTCTCCTTTGAATGGTGGTAGAAAAGCATATTTCTTATATTTTGTGAACACAAATCAACTAGACTGTCGTGATTGCTTAGGCCAAGAAAACAATCACTCATGTTTATTAAATGCCAGAACTATGCTGAAATGTTAATGAAGAAAGAACTGAGTCTGTACAAACAAGAATACATAGCACTGTTCTTTGAGATAAGTGTTTGTATTAGTGGAAAGTTACAATTTAGTGGGGCCACATGATTTACAACAATCATAATTTTATCAGTGAAGTAACTGAAGCCCAAAAAGATGAAGACCACAAAGCTAATTGTCCTTTAACCAAGTTCCTTCCTTTCAACTGCACTGCTCAAGTCAACAAAACAGCTCTCAAATAGAAAATACAGCCAGTGTGAAGTGCTCAAAATAGACATCTGTAATCCTTATTAGGTGCTTGCCAAAATCTCAAATATATTAGATGAGTAAATAGAGTGCAAAGCCTGAAGGTGATGAAGTAACTTCTACTTTAAATCTGATCTATTTAAAAATCTCTGTTTTTCTCAGGGGGAAAAGAAAATCTCTGGCCAGGTTTCCGTGGCTCATGCCTGTAATCCCAGCACTTTGGGAGGCCGAGGTAGACAGATCACTTGAGGTCAGGAGTTCGAGGCCAGCCTGGCCAACATGGTGAAACATCGTCTCTACTAAAAATACAAAAATTAGCAGGGTATAGTGGTGGGCACTTGTAATCCCAGCTACGCGGGAGGCTGAGGCAGGAGAATTACTTAAACCAAGGAGGCAGAGGTTGCAGTGAGCCGAGATTGCGCCATTGCACTCCACACTGGGTGACAAGAGCAAAACTCTGTCTCAAAAAAAAAAAAAAAAGACTGGTTGTCTTACCTGGCCAGAGCACCAAGATCTACATTGTTGGGCTTTACTCACATTCTTTAATAGCATTTCACAGTAGGAGAAGCAGGAAAAATTAAAATGTAGAAATTGGTCCTGCATTGCCTCATGTTGCTAATTTGATGTGATTCACTAAGCTGCTGTTTGGACTGCACTTTAAATGAGATCAAAACTCACCTTCAGGATTTCAGGCTTATCCTCAAAACCCCCACCACTAAATAACTTTCTAAAATGATCTGAATGGTTTATGTTATGGCTTTTGGTATAGGGTATGAGGAAGATAATAAATACTTCTCAGGCAGTATTTCTGTACAAACCTCAAGCTAGCGGTAAGAAGAAAAACAGAGAATCTTTATCTATGTCTGAATGTGCAGCATATTAAAATATTTTGTCACTTGAGTATTTTTCCCCTACAGCTTGTGGATGTTTGCTTTTTTAAAGTAGAAATTATAGAAATATCCAGGGAGAAAACACAGTTCACAGTTCCTTCTTTGCAATACATATTTGCGTTTTTGTCTTGGAGTGAAGCCATCTTATAATTTATATAGTCTTCATCTATTGATATACTTTCACTTTCTACCTCTGGGATTTCTATCTTTCATCACTATATTAAATCAATTGAATGAAGATTCTTTTGATTCTAAGAACTTACTCTAACTTATAATAAGTTCATATTAGCTCAACTCAAAAAAAAGGAAATTTGTTGGTTTGGGCCTATGGGAAAGCCAGAGGTAGACTGTGGCTCAAGCAAGGCTGGATCTACAAACTGAAACAATGTGGACAGTTTCTCTCTCTCAATTATAATTTCTTTTTTTCATAATTTCTTCTGCATGTTGGCCTGATTACCTCTTCGTGAAGATGTGCTTACTCTATTTTAGCAGGATGAAGGGCAAGGTGGAACCTCAGATTTACATGCCAACTTGGTATCACTGGTAGGAAGAGACTCTCTCTTTCCTTTCTACAAATAGCAGTCCAGGGAATGGGCTCTGAATGGCCTTCTTGAGTCAGATCCCCAGTAGATTAACATGTGCTGCCAAAGGCATGGGTGACTGTTACACATGCAGCCTGGGTCACATGCCCACCCTTCAGATAGAGGTTGCAAGTGGGGCACCATCGCTGGTATTTCCATCAGAACCTCAAGGAATGGGTAAGGAGTTCTGCAAACAAAAGGGAGTGCCGAAAGCAGAAGAAAAGATAGGTGAAAATGTGCTAGGCAGACCCAAAACAGTAACTGGCGTGTTCGGCACACTTAGCTTTGGCTTTTTTAGCAGGGTTGGCCTAAAGATGAGACACATGACCCCAGTAGGCATGCTACACTGCTGCTAGTGACCAACCCACCATCTGAGGGGCATCGCCTTCTTCAGCACCTCAAGTGTTCTTTACTCTTGTCCCTTATACAAGCTCCCACTTTATTCTCTGCAGGAGTACGGGGCAGCTTTCCTGCCAAGGGCCAGGAAGTAGACCGCTGAGGTGTGCCAAAGGCGATACAATGGCTGCTGGGAAACATGTATAGTTATCAGAGCACAGGCTTTGGTATCAGAAAGGACACACATTCAAATTGTAACGAAGAAACAGGTTAGTTGCTTTCCACATGAGAGTCCAATTAACAAGAGCCAGGTCTGATACAAAATAAGTGAATTCATTCTGAAGTTAGCTTGGGGAAGGGGCACAAAATGTTCCGCCTTTAAATGTGCCACTCCACCTCTGGAGCAGAAAGCAGGCACTTATATAAGGTTGCGAAGAAAATGAGTAAGGACAGGGGTACACCTGCTAGCTTGGTGTCTTATCTACTGGGCAGTTGAGGTGGTGCCTTCCTGGGCAGAAGGAAGCTGTAAAAGTGTTCACACGGGCATGCTTTCCATGAGCCCTCCTGATGGATGAAAGTTCCGAGGCAACCCCATGGAGGTGAGAGTTCCATGGCGGCTGTGCTTTAGTCCAAGAAGAGATCTGTCTTGGAGCACACAGAACTTGACCTGTATGGAATGTCTGTGACGGGGCAGGTAAAAGGCTATACTTGCATTTCTGAAGGGCTAAGTAGGAAACAGGGAGCCCAGGAATACGAAAAGAAGAGGGAGAGGAAAAAAAAAAAGCCACCTCTAGAACAATGGGGGCACTACGTTACAAAACCCCAGCTTGACAATTTAGCAATTTTGTGACTGATTTTTCTGAGCCTCAGTTTCTATCTCATTGAGTTGTCAGATCTGGTTGAAATATTATTTGTAAAGCATATAGCATAGCACCTGGTGACAGGTAAGCTCTTAATAAACAGTAGCCACCATTATTATCAAAGATATTATTATTATTTCCCTCCTTCCACTTCTCAAGCTAGGAATAAAGAGCAGCAATTTGGGATGATGGAGCCCTCTTGAATTAGGAGCTGCCTAGTACAATGACATACACAATGTGATATAGGTGCACAAAGCTTTTTCATACAATAGCTTTGTATTCTCTCATTTAGCCTTCAAAGCCCCCACTGAGCTGGATGCCATTAATATCTAGTTTTCAGGTGAGGAAGATGACGCCCAGTGGGACTGTGATTTTATTAGGTCACATAACTGGTAAGTCACAGAGACAGGATTCAAACGTAGGCTTTCTGAATCCAGATTTTGTTCTCTCTTAATTATACCACACTGTAAAGACCTATTTTTCTGAGAGCCCAGCGTGTGCCCTGCTAATCAGATGGCATAATGGGCAAGAACAGGGCCCGAGAAGACCTGGAGAATTCTCATTGGGTCACCAAGGTTTTGAACGCTTTTACCAGGGATGGTTCCAGAAGGTGATAATAGCTGGCAAGCTGTGACCTGTTGGAGGGAAGAGAGGAGAGAAAAGTTAAGAAGAAGGAAAAGAAGCAGAGTGGAAGAAAGAAAGGGATTAAGGTTGGGGTGAGGAAAATTAAAATCTAACTGATTAGAACTAGCAAAAAGCCAAAGTAATTTTTTAAACCTTAATGTACTTTTTGATTAAAGAAAATCTTTGCTCAAAGGCAAGTATTACTTAGACAGCCTAAGAAAGGAAAACAAATGATAATGCCCATTATTTTTGAAATGAATTATAAGATTTGTCTGTGAATCTTTTAGATTTTAACCCTTGGGATGTGATATCCTTAGGGATTTCAATAAACACAGACTTATTTCACTTATTTATTTCATCCTCCTTTCCATATAAAATCCCCCAATTTTAATTTATATATCCTGTTACTCAAAGTATCATCCTCTAAAACACTCTTTATCCAATATTGACATGGAGATTTCATTTTTAATTACTATTCTAAACCCAATTTTCAGCTTCTCTGTTTTTCTCTGATATTTTCACCTTCTTTCAGGAAAGTCTTGAAGCTGTCTTGAAGAGAATGGCAAACACGTAGAGATGAGGCATGCAATATACACTTGAGATCTATAAAACGCCGAAAGATGCATCTATACGATGAAATCACAAACCTGTCATCTGATCTCTTCATTTTTATTCATCTAATTTTTATCTTTTGAGTTTCAGCCATTCTCTTCCCTACATGTGCAGGCAAAAGTCAGAGAGTATGCATGTATGAACAAAAGAAATGTCATAGAGGCTTCAGTCAGCCATTCCTTTGAGCAAAACTGTGCTGGGAGGAGGAAGGCAAGACTGAGGCCTTGGACCTCTGCAGCAAGCAGTTCTACGATAACATGGGAGCGGAGGCCCTGGCTTACGTAATTTCAAAGTAAATAGAGACTAAAAGTGAACTTCCGGTTTCCGATCCAGGAGGTAAGAAGCTTGGAAATCATTTCATTCATCTACCCAGCAAGAAAAAAAGCTGAGTGAATGAAAACTAACAACTTTCTTAGATCCATCAGATAACTAAGATCACAGGACAACCCTCCGCTCTTCAAATTAGAGAGGCAGACGGGCAGATGGGGAGGATCAGGACTTAGTGGCACAGGAGCCCAAACGCAGAAACCCTCAGGGGAACCAGAACCGGAGTTAGAATTGACTAATTGCTGGAGGCTCAGTGCAGACAACGCTGAGGGTTAAAAGCTCCAGGGGGACCCAGTCATGGATGGAAGGAGCCCACACTTTTTTGAGTTTTACCTCCTTCTAGGAGCCCTAGCAGGTTCTCATGGTGAAGATGAGAGAAAATTCCCCTCATGTCTCCATGGGCGGGGTGGGAGTGGATGGGCTGAGGGGGTTGGGGGTGCTTTTGAAAAACTCCAGAGCACTCTGTCCTTATAAGTTCTGCCCTCAGGAGACACAAGCCTGGGAGCCTGGCTGAACTGGGGGAAGGGAAACACAACTCCAGGCCTCTCTTGCCTGCCTCTTCTCACCCAGGGGAAAACAAAACAAAATAAACAAGACAAAACTGAGAAGCACTTGTGAAGATCATACCCCAGGGACACAGGCTCAGGAAAAGACTGAGACCCAGTCCTTAGGATTAGCAAAACTAAAACATATCAGGAGAGACAAATGTTCCAATAAAGTTTCTTTTGTTTCTAGGATTTAAAATCCATTCATACTTGCTCAAATATAATGAAAAAGTCTTCTTTGAAAGGAAGCAGAGAGGTCTTATAAGAACTCGGTGTAACGGGGCAGGGGGTCAGGGGGGGGGGTGGGGGAAGTGTCTCTGAGGCCAGATAAAGGGCACTACTGGAGCCTACATGGCCTGTGCCCTCAGCCTCCCCTCTGTGACTCTCCCTCCCTGTCACCCTCACTCCCTCCTCTGAGCCTCACTGGCCTCCTGGCTGTGATGCCAATATGCTGGGGGGCCCTCTAGCTTAAAGCATTGGCAGGGACTCCCTCTGCCTGAATTGTTCCTCCCCATCTATTAGCATGACTCACTGCTTCTCCATTCAGGCCTTTACTCAAATGTCACCTCACGAGCGTTGACAGAGGCCTTCCTTAAGGATCTGATGATGTTCCTTGTTCCTAGCTCCCTTACCCAGCTTTATCTGTCCTCAGAGCCCTTATTAGCACCCACTTGAACAGTAGCCCCTGCTAACCCACGGTGGGTTTGTTCCAAGAGCCCAGTGGATGTCTGACCAAACCCTATGTACACTATGTTTTTTCTTATACATACATGCCTATGATAAAGCTTAAATTGTACCTTAGGCACAGGAAGAGATGAACAACAACAAATAATAATAAAATAGAACAATGACAGCAGGTTCTCAAATAATGTCATTTTGTTCAATGTTGTTTTATTGATGATTTTAAAAAATCAGCTCCTGGCCGGATGCTGTGGCTCACCCCTGTAATCCCGGCACTTTGTGGGGCAGAAGCAGGTGGATTACTTGAGGTCAGGAGTTCAAGACCAGCCTGGCCAACATGGTGAAACCCCGTCTCTACTAAAAAAACAAAAATTGGCTGGGTGCAGTGGCACATGCCTGTAATCCCAGCTACTCAGGAGCTTGAGGCAGGAGAATCATTTGAACCCGGGAGGCGGAGGTTGCAGTGAGACAAGATGGTACCACTGGACTCCAGCCTGGGCGACAGAGTGAGACTTTGCCTCAAAATAAATAAACAAATAATAAATAAAAACATCATTTCCTGCCAGATCCACTGCATGGATGGAGTTTGCATGTTCTCCTCATGTCTGCCTGGTTTTTTGCCAGGTTCTCCAGTTTGCTCCCACATCCCAAAGCTGTGCCCTTTAGGACAACTGGCATGTCTACATGGTCCCAGTGTGAGTGAGTGTGGGTGTATGTGTGAGTGAGTGTGGATATGGGCGAATGCAGTTGTGTGTGAGTGCACCTTTGTTGCGGGAAGTCAGGGACCCCAAATGGAGGGACTGGCTGAAGCCATGGCAGAAGAACATGGATTGTGAAGATTTCATGGACATTTATTTGTTCCCCAAATTAATACTCTTATAATTTCTTATGCCTGTCTTTACTGCAATCTCTAAACATAAATTATGAAGATTTCATGGACACTTATCACTTCCCCAATCAATACCCTTGTGATTTCCTATGCCTGTCTTTACTTTAGTCTCTTAATCCTGTCAGGTGAGGAGGATGTATGTCACCTCAGGACCCTGTGATAACTGCGTTAACTGCACAAATTGTAGAGCATGTGTATTTGAACAATATGAAATCTGGGCACCTTGAAAAAAGAACAGGATAACAGCAATGTTCAGGAAATAAGAGAGATAACCTTAAACTCTGACTGCCAGTGAGCCGGGTGGAACAGAGCCATATTTCTCTTCTTTCACAAGCAAATGGGAGAAATATTGCTGAATTCTTTTTCTCAGCAAGGAACATCCCTGAGAAAGAGAATGCGCCCCTGAGGGTAGGTCTCTAAAATGGCCCCCTTGGGTGTGGCGATCTTCTATGGTTGAAACTGTAGGGATGAAATAAACCCCAGTCTCCCATAGCACTCCCAGGCTTATTAGGAAGAGGAAATTCCAGCCTAATAAATTTTGGTCAGACCGGTTGCTCTCAAACCCTGTCTCCTGATAAGATGTTATCAATGACAATGGTGCCTGAAACTTCATTAGCAATTTTAATTTCACCCCGGTCCTGTGGCCGTGTGATCTCACCCTGCCTCCATTTGCCTTGTGATATTCTATTAACTCGTGAAGTACGTGATGTCTGTGACCCACACCCTATTCGTACGCTCCCTCCCCTTTTGAAAATCCCTAATAAAAACTTGCTGGTTTTGCGGCTTGTGGGGCATCATGGAACCTACCGACATGTGATGTCTCCCCCGGACGCCCAGCTTTAAAATTGCTGTCTTTTGTACTCTGTCCCTTTATTTCTCAACCCAGCTGATGCTTAGGGAAAATAGAAAAGAATCTATGTGACATATTGGGGGTGAATTTTGCCCGATATCTGGCTGAATTTCCCCCGTGAAATACTGGGGGTGAATTTTGCCTGATATCTGGCTGAATTTCCCCCTATACACCTTGCGATGAGATGGCACCCTATCCAGGGCTGGTTCCTACCTTGCACCCTGAGCGGTTGATAGGTTTAGCCACCTGCCACCCTGAACTGCAATAAGTGGGTTGAAAAATAAATGAATGAATACAAATGGTTACCATGTAAAAATATTGTAAAAAGTATACAATAATCATGCAAATACACAACAATATACAATGCTGGACGAAAGCAAGCCACCATGTTTATGATAGTTTTTTTTTCTTTTTTTTGACAGAGTCTCGCTCTGTCACCCAGGCTGGAGTGCAGTGGTGCGATCTCGGCTCACTGCAGGCTCTGCCTCCCAGGTTCATGCCATTCTCCTGCCTCAGCGTCCTGAGTAGCTGGGACTACAGGTGCCTGACACTACACCCAACTAATTTTTTTCTTTCTTTTTTTTTTTTTTTAAGGAGAGATGGGGTTTCACCGTGTTAGCCAGGATAGTCTCGATCTCCTGACCTCGTCATCTGCCAGCCTCGGCCTCCCAAAGTGTTGGGATTACAGGTGTGAGCCACGATGCCCGGCCTTGTGATGGTTTTTGAACTGCACGATGTGAGGAGGTGCTCCTAACAATTTTTTCTTCACAAACATTTATTCCTTGATTTAACTCACCACCACTTTGACCTCTGTTGCTCACTAATTCACCAAAAATTGAGTAAATCATTTTCTTATTTGTTATTAATCATTCTTTTTTTTTTTTTTTTTTTTTTTTTGAGACAGAGTCTCGCTCTGTCGCCCAGGCCGGACTGCGGACTGCAGTGGCACAATCTCGGCTCACTGCAAGCTCCGCTTCCCGGGTTCACGCCATTCTCCTGCCTCAGCCTCCCGAGTAGCTGGGACTACAGGCGCCTGCCACCGCGCCCGGCTAATTTTTTGTATTTTTAGTAGAGACGGGGTTTCACCTTGTTAGCCAGGATGGTCTCGATCTCCTGACCTCATGATCCACCTGCCTCGGCCTCCCAAAGTGCTGGGATTACAGGCGTGAGCCACCGCACCCAGCCTTAATCATTCTTAAATGTATGTACAGCTCACATTTATTTCAATGTTTAATATTAGAAGTGTTCTGGGTCACTACTTAGTTTGGTGACTTTTTTAACCAGTAATGTGTTGTAGCAACTGAACTCTTGCTTATGTCATTTGCCATGGGGAAAATGGTTTTCTTATAATTAATTTTGCTCCAACAGCTATTGTAATAAACATGTAAATGGTCTCTGTCTCTCTCAAAATATCTTCCTGTACTGTACTCATCCTTCTGCTTATGAAAGGGTGAAATGATCAAATGCTTACCTGATGAGATGAAGTGAGGTGAGCGTTATAGGCATTGTGATGCAGTGTTAGGCTACTGTTGACCTTCTGCTTTGAGTGATTCTGGTTCCTCGAGCCTTGACAACGTCAATGGATGAATGTCAGGATCAGGCGATGTTGATGGTGGGGAATCCTCAATAGTAGAAGGTTTTTTGGTTGAAACTTTCTGGAAGAACACTGTAATCAGAAGGTGTTGTCTCTTTTTAACTCATCAAAGTGTTTCTGCAGAGGTTTTAATCCTTCATTGATCATATGGGTGACTTTAATGCTGTGTTCCATTTAAGAATCATATTCCACAATTTTGTCCTTTAGAGTCTGTGCAACTCAAAACACTTTGGCAAATTTTGGTAATTTTCATATTGCTGGTTCAGCTTCAGTTCTTCTTTATCTTCCTTTTCCTCTGCAGAGGACTCAACAAGTTCTTCCAATTCTTCATTTGTTAATGCTTCTCAGTGGCCTTCAATATGTTCTTTCATGCTTCCAAGCATGTTGGCAAATCTTTCTTCACCAACTTGTCTTGCTTCACGAATGGTCTTCCTAATTTCTCTGATGCTCCCCAGAAAGCCTTTTAAATTATTCAGGTCAGCACTCCATAAGTCTGTCCAGTAGCCATTTACAGCTTCTGGTTGTAATCCATTCATTGCAGCTTTGATAAATGCTGTTGCATCAGCACTGCATTATGTTCAGATTGGTGTTTGCATTAATTGCTGATCATGTGTGATCAAATATCAGGCAGTTGTATATTGACTTGACAAATCAAATGATGCCCAGGTAAATGAGCTGAAGCAATAAGATTGTATTTGGAGGTAAAAATATGACCTTGACTTTTCATTTTCACAGCAAACAGATTCAGGATGGCCAAGTGCGTTGTCTATTATTAATAGGACTTAAATTTCAACCCTTCCTCTTCCAAGTATTTTGTCATTTCTGGGATGAAGCATTGGTGGAACCATTCCATAAACAAGATGGCTGTCACCCACACTTTCTGATTATGTTGCCAGAACACAGAGACATAATTTTTGTTTTTTGAGAACACAAGGGTTTCTTGTTCTGTACACTATGCTTGGCTTTGTTATATGCCCTGCATCATTGCTACACAGCAGCAGAATTGATCTGTCCTGCCATGTTTTATGCCCCAGTGTCTCTGTTGTAGGTCCTCTTAGGCGTTTTCTTCCAGAAGAGCCAGTTGAAGCCTTGCTTTGGATGCTAGTCTTTCTTCTTAATCAACTCTTCATTGTCAGACACAGACTTTCCTGTAATTTTTATAGTTTTCAGTTTAAGCCCATTCCTGAATCTGTGTAACCATCCCTTACTCTCTATGTAACCATTCCTTACTTTTAATAAATGGCTTGGTGTCACTCCTTTTCAAGGACCCCTTGCTGAAGGCTTCACATAGGCTCAGTGCTTTCTGGAGCACATATTGCCATCAATTGGAACATGTTTTATCTTCATGTATTCTACTCTCAAAATTACAACCATAACAGGCCCATTGCCCGATGCACGTGGCAAATCAATATACCAAGTCATGGGGTTGCTGCAGAAAAAGAAGTTTAATTATAGGGTCACTGAATGAGGAGTTGGAGAAAACTTCAAGTCCGTCTGCCTGAGGAGTTTGGCACTAGGGTTGTTAAGGATTTTGGAGTGGGCTGAAGTGTGGAGATTGTTGGCTGGCCGAAGAGGACAGGGTGAAGTCATGGGACAGGGAGAGGAAGAAATTGTATGCTCATGATGTTTCCTTCCTTTGTGGGGATCTGCAGACTGGGTGGCATTCGCAGTTTTGCTACAATTTGGGATCCAAAAAACATCTTAAGCAATTCTTAAAAGCTTTATGAGTCTAACATAAGAAATCCTATCTAGCTTACACAGAACTCTTATGATTCTAATGTCAGAGATCCTACCTATAGGAACAATGGAAATGCAAATGGTATCTACTGGGCCAAAGGGCAGCTTGATTAATGCTTAATTATAACTATACTATTAATTATACTTCTGTCCAGAATTTTTGTTAACCCTGTGAGGATGGCTTCAAAATTTAATGCCTTTTCTATCTTAACAAAGCACTTATCAGACACTGTGGCTGTAACTTTTGCAGTTGAAGTATGACAACAAAATTAGCACAAATTTCTTTTGCCTCCTTTATAATTTCACAGATAGAAGATTTGCTCTTACTGTAAATCCTAGCAACCTCAGCATACAATTTTTTTTCTTGGCTTATTAAATTGAGAACTTTCACCTTTTCACTTAAAAAAAAAAGCAATTTAGGGCTCCTCTTTGGCATATTGGAATAGCCAGCCTCACTACTCTTTTGCTTTAAGGCCACTATTAAGTAAAATAAAGGTGACTTGAACACAAGCACTGCAATATTGTGACGGTCTATCTTATTACTGAGAAGGCTTCTGAGTGACTCACGGGCAGGGACTGTCTACAGCACAGATGTGCTGGACAAAGGCAGGATTCGTGTCCAGGGTGGATGGAGTGAGAGGACGCCAGACTTTGTCACACTACTGAGAATGGTGTGCAGTTTAAAATGTATTAATTGTTTTTCTGAAATTTTCCATCTAATATTTTCAGGGGTTGACTGGGTGTAATTGAAACGTCAGAAAGCCAAATCGTGGATGAGGAGGGACTGCTGTATATGCCTTTCTGTTTATTTGTTTTCTCTTTTCACCCTAGAATGGTTCACAGTAGACTCTTAGTAACTATTTGTGAAGTATTTGTGGAATAATTAAACAAATGGGTAAGCAAAGGCAGGTTTTAAGGGATACCAGAGTCTATCACCCCAAAATATGCCTCTTTGGCATATGAATTGTTTTGAGTGAAAGGCCATTGAGAACCAGCAGAGGAAGGAAAGATTCTAAAAACAGCATCTTCCTTTTGGAAAGGAAATTTACATTTATAAAGGAAATTTTCATTTTTAGAGAGATCTGCCTCTCTGCACTGGGAAGAGGGAAACTCTTAACAACTCTTAAGGATGAAGAAGGCACAGACTTAAATCAGCATAACAAAACTTACTAAACAACCCTGGTACCAGGGCACGGCAGATCACACCTGTAATCCTAGCACTTTGGTAGGCCAGGGCAGGTGGATCACCTGAGGTCAGGAGTTCAAGACCAGCCTGGTCAATATGGTAAAACCACGTCTCCACTAAGAGTACAAAAAAAAATTAGCCGGGCATGGTGGAGGGGCACCTGTAATCCCAGCTACTCGAGAGGCTGAGGCAAGAGAATTGCTTGAACCTGGGAGGTGGAGGTTGCGGTGAGCCGAGGTCGTGCCACTGCACTCCAGCATGGGCAACAGAGTGAGACTCCATCTCAAAAAATCAAAACAAAACGAAACAAAAAACAACTGTGGTTTGCCTTACTTTTCCTGGTCACCTTCCCATAGCTTGCTTCTTCCTCATCCAGAGGCTGCAAACCCCTTTTCCTTTAGCCTAAGATGGTAGATAAGCCTAAGTTCTAAACACCCCCTTTGAGCTACTCATCTCTGGGTACTGTCGTGTGTCACATGCATGATGTGCATGTTAATGAACTTCTATTGTTTTTCTCTTGTTAATCTATCTTTGCCCTGTCTGATTCAGTATAGAACCCTAGGTGGAGAATCTAAAATGGGTAAAGGAAAAGATTTTTCCTACCATACAGTACCAAGTCGGCTGTAGAGATGAGCTTGGATCTTACTGCTGCCTTTTAGCTTTGAGAAAGAAAAAAGCCTTTTATCTGAGGAATGCAAGCCCCTCTAAATTATCAGGCCCAGAGAGGCATTTAAAATGTAAAAGCGGTTATGTCTCACTTTCCCTGTGCTTAATAGTTACCTCTGGAAGCCACTTGCTTTGCAGGCTCTAAACTGATGCCTCGTAGCCATAAAATGCCACATACCCTGTAGTTCAACAATGTATAGCCAGTCACTAACCAGTGTTATTTCTGCAAACCTAAGAGAAGTCCTGGTGAACAGCTTTTGTAATCACTCTCATGAGTCATCCTTTAGTTCTTTAATGACTTGATCCTCGCTTTTGTTCTCTGGAGCACTCCCCAAGGCAACTTGGAAATGTGTCCTGGACTGCAGTCCTTAACCTTTGCGCTTGAATAAACTCTCTTTCAACTACATTCTGACCTTTTTGATTACCTTAGGTTGACATCTTCTCTCTGTGTGTTTGCTTAATTTCTCTTGTTCTCCCACCTAGCTTCTGACTCACTGCTCCCTATGACATTGGGGAGCAATCACCTAAAGACCTGCACTCAGCCTCAGCTCTGATGTTAGATCCACTGAAATGTTTATCTCCACCTGCTACTTTCCTAAGTCTCTTAGTTCAGGGTCATTACTTGTCCAGCAGGAGTTTTTCTTAGTTCTGGGTTTTCGTTTTTGGGGGGTGCGGGTGGAGGAATGAGGTATCACAGACTCTGTACCTACTTCTTATAGGTTGGGATTCTTCTGGAGGGAGTATGGAAGGAGAAGGAATGCACTTGAAACATGTCTTGTCAAGGTAAGATTTCAGTCAAAGGAAGGAACTAATATTTACTTGTGGAGCCCCTGCTAACTGCCAAGCACTGAGCTCAGCATATGGAAAGCAATTCACTCAACCTTTCTATCCACTTTCCAAGCTAGATATTATTCTCACCATTTTCACAGAGAGGTGCTTGTGGGAAAAGAGAGAGAGCTCTCTGGGGTCTCTTCTTAAAAGAGTACTAGTCCGTCACATCAGAGCCAATCCTCCTGACTTCATCTAACCCTAATCACCTCCCAAAGGCCCTACCTCCAAATACGGTCACATTCGGCATTAGGGCTTCAATACATGAATTGGAGTGGGGGTGGTATAAACACTTGGTCCGTAAGATAGGCCAATCCAAATAAAATAAGAAAGATAATTAATATGAAGATACCATTAGAGTGACCACCTACCTCCTGAGAGTCTGTTTCCTGCTTGAATCCATATGACTTCTGAAGGACCTGGCACCCAAAAAGGCAGACTTGGGAACTCAAATGGAGACTTCAAAACTGAAGGAGATCTTTTGTATAATGCCACTCAATTTAAAATTTTCCAATAGCGCTTTCTGCATAGACAAAATATGAACTGCTGTTCAAACCCAAAATGTTCCTCCAGGTAATTCAGCTGCTCTCCTTGCTCCAGTGTGGTCCACAAATCCTTATTGACTGTCATACAAAAGGTTTATGAACCAGGAAGAAAGCCTATAGCTCAAGAAGCATCTCATTGATAGGAAACATAAAGTGGGGATTTTCTCTTGTCCTGAAATATCCAAATAATCCATCCAAAAAGATGAAATAATAAATCTCTCACTTGAGCTCTTCGCTTTGCTTTTATCTTCAGATTTACTTCTCAATTGTCTCATCCTGGTACAACCAGCTCAGAATCAGACACTAATCTGTGTATGAATGATATACAGCAGGACAGGGAAGGGAATGAGCATTTTTCAAACACCTGCTCTCCACCACACTTTATACATATTTCGTTGTAGAACTACCGAAACCCTAAAGAAAGTGTGTCCATAATGGGTATACATAGGTGAGAAAACTGAGGCTCAGAGAGATGCAGCTGTTTGTCTGAACAATCCCTGGTTAGTCAGAATGCCAGCTGCGAAACCAGGGATCATGTGCCGGCATTTTTGCTACCTGAGCTGTTTCCCAGAAGCCTGTAACATTGAAATCGGCAGGATTTTAGTCACTCAAAATAGGTTGTAGTCTCTTAACAAGCCTTTGCAAAGCTTTAAAATTCCTCTAGGTCAGGATGCCAGAACAGTGCTTATTAGATCTCCCTCATCCAAAGGCTGAGAGAGATGGTTGTGGAGCTTCACCCATCATTTGCTCGTTATCATTGAGACTCCCAGGACTTAGGAGTGCATTTTGGTCCTTCAGGGATACTAAAGGTCCCCTGTGAGAGGCCGCTTTCCATCTCCTTGGCAAGATGCTTCTGTGCAGGCTTTTGGCATTCTGCTGCCTTGCAGTTGAAGCCTCTACTTCCTTTCTCACTACAGACGGTCCCAACTTACTATGGTTTGACGGTTTGACTTTACCATGGTGCAAAAGCGATATGCATTCAGTAGAAGTGGTGTGATAGATACTCTCTCACGATGCTGGTAGCATAGCCAGAGAGCTCCCAGTCAAACACATGGTCACGAGGGTGAACAGCTGATGCTCTAGAGTGTGCTGTGCTGCTGGATGACTTTCCCCAACTGTAGGCTAGAAGTGTTCTGAGCACGCTTACAGAAGGCTGGGCTCAGCTATGGTGTTCAGTAGGTTAGGTGTGTTAAATGCATTTTTAACTTAATGATATCTTCAACTTATGATGGTTTTATCTGATATAACCCCACTGTAAGGTGAGGAACATCTGTGGTCTGAACTACACTTTGAAAGAAGGTATATATTGTCCCTGGATTTTTACTAGCAATTTCTATATTCCTCAGTATCTTCCATTCACCTACATAATGCACTCAACCAATATCTTAAAGAAGTCACATATTTATTCCTGCAGCAAAATTTTATACCAAACAAATAATATTTATAAAAATTAAAACATAATAAAGTTCTTCACAAGAATCCCAAATCTTTTTCTTCTATCACCTCACAGCACCTAAGAAAACTAGGAGCAGAGAGCAGGTTTTCAATGAGTATCCACTGTGTGTGTGTGCCTTGGGGAAAGTCTTAGACGACAACCAATTATTTCTTCAGTGTGTTGGATGAATCACAGAAATAGCAATTTAGTTCATTTTCAAGACATAAGCAGGATAATTGGGTTTCAGATGAAGTGAGGATTAGTCCTTACAATTAGGGAACGTATTTGCTAACCGCCTCTTGGATTTACAGTGGGTTGTACCGATGGCCAGCAAGTTTTTCTCTCTCCCCGACATGGGTCGCTGGTGGAGTGTGAAAGCAATGGACTCCTTGTTATGAAGCTTTACCCATGAATCTGCTTTTGGGTTTTCCAGCATTTATTCTTCATGTACTTCTCCTTTTTTTTCCCCTCAAGTAAAAGCTTATTTTATTTCTCACATTTCTTCACCTGAAATTATAAGCATATTATTATTATTTTATGAAGCATGTCAAAACAATACACTAATAGCATTGTAGTGTTTAAGGCTCTTTAGTATATAACCTATTTATAGGCAATAATAAGTAGCTTTGCTAGAATAATGAGTAAATAAAGAAAAAATGAAGACACATGCTGGCAGTTTGCCATCTTTGTACATTTTCTATATTTGCAAGCTAGTTCATGGGCAATTCTTTGAATTAAGAAATTGTCCTTACATCTAGTAGCTGATTGTCCATATGGCTTTTAATAAGATGATATGAAGGAGTGATGATTATATGTGGACACATCCTTTTTTCTCCCAGGAATTTTTTACTGGATTTATATGGAGAAACATGGCATTGTGTTAAATTAATATAGTTAAAAGCTGAACTGGATGTGGTGATGACCTTTCCTCCTTCTCTTTCCAAAAGTTCCCAGCTGTGGACTTTGAGTGGGAGTAACATTATTCTCTGCTGTAAGGGTGAGCCTTGGCTTAGTCCAATGGCTGTGTTTCTTCTGTCTGAAATTTGTCATGGATGAACATACATTGCAATTTGGGCCAATAAGACAGATGTTTACTAGGGACTCTGGAAAATTCATTCTTTGGAGGCTGTCAGAAGAGAGATAATTTCTTTCTCTGGATAGTGTGCTATGGGATTTGAGGTTGAAGCTGCTGCAGCTATGTTGCTGGCCAGAGGGGGTCATCCTGGAGATGATGATCCCACGCAGAGGAAGCCGATGCTGAGAGACTTTGGGGGAAAGAAAGGCTGATCGTAATGACCCGGGAAGCTCTGGATTCAGTCTCTCCTGAGTTAGATCTGCTATTCTTTAGTTATGTTAATCAATATATTACCAGTGTTGCTTAAACCAGATTGAATCATACTTTCTATTTCTGGCAACCAAAGCATGCCAACAAATGTAACTTTCCAGCTACCCAAGCAAGAGAATCCTGCATCTACTTCACATTGATGGTAGTTTTTAAAGAGCCGTCTCCCCGCCCCCACTTTTATTTTTTGATTTTTCTATGCCAGAAAAGCCTTAATTCATTTTTTTTTTTTTTTTTTTTTTTTTTTTTGTAGAGACGGAGACTCACTATGTTGCTCAGGCTGGTCTGAAACTCCTGGCCTCAAGCCATCCTCTCACCTTAACCTCTCAAAGTGTTACAATTAGAGGTGTGAGCCACCACACCTGGTGGCTTTAACTTTATTCAAATTTTCAAAAGTAATTTAACCAAGATGCTCTATGGAGTTCCTCACCTGCCTCTTAAATGAGTTTGAGATTCAATTTTTCAATCAGAGTTTATTGACCACATACTATGTAAGTAGCCATCACCCTTTCTTCCAAAAGAGCACTTCCATTTTTATGCAGCTAAATATATGAACTACTGATTTGGTCTAACCTCATCCTGATGATTACAGAATTGAGCCTAAAGGAGGCTAAGTGATTTGTTTGAGGTCTCCTGGTAAATTTCAGAGTTGAAATGAAACTCCTGGTTTCTTGATCCATGATTCAGTGGCCTTTTGTTAGATTCTACTGCCTTCTCACATTGATTGTCACTACTTTCGATAATAATTATGATATTATTATTTTTTTCCAGGCTTTAATATCCAAATCAGTTTGGTCTGCAAAAATTGAATCAGAAAGCTAACAAGAACTGACTTTCCTATGAAATTTCTAGCACTTCCTATTTTCAGACAAGCTAGAAATACCCCGTGAACAGCCTTTCTCATGAGATTTGGCATCTGCCTCTTGCTATGATCAGAAATAAAAAGTGTAGAAGTTGGAGAAAATTAACTAGAAAAATACACCTGAAATGTCTTGGGTCTACATACACATGGGAATTTTCAAATATCAGACCCAGGTCCTAACACTGCTCAAACTCTGTTGATTTTTCCCTATAGACCAAAGGTTTGTCTGGACTTGTCGTGTTTTCACAGTGATCATTTTCCTATTTCGAAGCGCTATATGTTGTGATAATAATAATTTCAGAATTGAGATGAAAATTCTTTTTTTGCTTTTAACAATCAGATTCAGAAATGATTATTTACTGATCATCTCCTGTTAAGTTGTGACCTTTCTCCCAAAAGAAAACTACAGGGTCCACTTGGACATTGATCTTGGAAGTTTCTCTGTGTCCTGAATGGTAATAATGCAAGTGGCCCCTGATAGGATCCGAGAAGACAAATAAAGACATAAAATCAGCCCTTCAGAAATATAATTTCCTTACTTACTGCTGCAGTAGGGACTGGAATGGATTTTAACTCCAATCCCAGGAGTGCAGTCGGGTTACTTAGTATCAGTGTTCATTATACTAAACCACTTTGTGATCCACTATGTGCTTTGTTTCATTCCTGTGCCTTTCATTAGTTGTGTGTAACATAATTCTCTTTGATGCCATATTTGATTTTCATGTGTAAATAAGCCCTGCCTAATCTATTTGTTTTCCTTTAGTGGCTGTGTTGCTTATTGGGGTGGAGGATTCACCCTCTACCTCATCTGTCCTTTGTCTGATGAGTGTACTCATCTGGGGCGGATCAGCATGGGAAATGTATCCTAATCTTAAAACTCACTCAAAATATGTTGTTTTTATTGTGATCAAGTAGTGAGGGTAGTCACTTCCATCTCTTATATTAGAGACTGTCCTTGGAGACTACAGTCCCAGGCTTTCAGAGAGCAATGCCCAAGTTGCTTATATAAATGGAATGTTGGAAAAATCAACTGAACGAATAACTATAAATATTTTATTTGAAAAGAAAAGAGGAAGTATAAACTGAAGAATGGGGTATCCCATTTTAACAAAGAGAAAAAACATTTCTCTTTCTGCCGTGGAGTGCAGTGGTGCCACCTCGCCTCACTGCAACCTCCGCCTCTGGGGTTCAAGCGATTTTCCCACCTCAGCTTCTCAAGTAGCTAGGATTACAGGTGTCCACCGTCACTCCCAGCTAATTTTTGTATTTTTAGTAGAAACGGGGTTTCACCATCTTGGCCAGGCTGGTCTCGAACTCCTGAACTCAAGTGATCCACCCATCTCTCAAAGTGCTGGGATTGCAGGCATGAGCCACCATGCCCGGTCTCTCTTTCTGCTTTCTAAACTTTCTAATATGTCATATGAATATTTTATATAGGAGATTCTGGATAGGCAGATATATAGGTAGACAGGTGGATAGATAGATAAATGGATATACACATATATGCGTGCATGTACTTAATTATGAGGTATTTTTAGTATGTAGATTACTCTGAAACATTCATTAAGTCAGGAAACAAATAGGAGATTTTTTAAAGCATTAAGGTAAAAAAGATCTGTAGAGAAATTTAAAAAATTATACAGACAAATATTTATTAAGTGAATCCTAATAACTTTGATTCTATCTCTTTTGGCCATCATCACGCTACAAGAAAGTTGTTACCCTGTTGTCTATAATAGTTAAATGATGGACAGGATGCAACAAGATACTGAGTCTTGTTCAGTTGAGTCTTTTCCAACAATGCACACTTGAATACATCCACTCTAGATATATTAGAGTTGTTCCTGATATAATTAAAAACAAACACTGCTCAAAGTTTCCTGATGGTCAAATCATGTCAGTCATCTCTTCTATGGTGTAGGCACCTGCAATGAACCCTCACAGTGTGATTTCAGTATAATGAGCTTAGTAGTGCGGCTGAGTGCTTTGTTTTAAAATCCTCAAAATACAAGTTTGGTTTGCTCATCAGTTTCATCTGACTGATTTACTTAGTTGGTAAGCACGATCAGAGCCAAATCCTGCCCTAAGAGTTTATGTGTCCTGTCACTGTGGACCAAGAGGGAGCAACACTGTCCTGATACCCCAGGGGCTCTGGTTAGCAGCCAACTGTGTGGTGATTGACCCAGTGTTTCTGAGTGACGATCACTGTCCTCTTTCCCACATTCACCTTCTTTTACAAGTCTCTCTGTTCATGATTTCAACACTACTGGACACATAACCATCCCCAAGGATGGCTTGGCAAGGATCCTTTGGTATAACCAGGAAACACCAGGGCTTCCAGCTTATCCTGCTTATCAACAGTGACATTTTCAGGATTCAAATGCAACACAAAATGGGTCTAGAGTGGACTTAACTCAGGCATCTGAAGCTCATCTCTATTGACTCCAGACTCTATTGATCCTAGAACCTCATGGCAGTGAAGACAGGTCTTGACCCTCCTCACTTCACCCTGGTCTCTGATTCTCTTCTTTCCTAATGAAGTATCTTTTATACTAAAACCTATGACCTATAGATAAAAAGCTGTAGACATCCCCATTTTCTTGATTCAGGGAAGCCATTTGACTTCGTCACGTTCCAAAGATAAGAAACTGAATCCAATATTCAGAAGAACAAAGTCTGACTGACCTTAGTGCCTTTGACCTTGATGACACCCACAGTTTAAACAGCACCAGACTCTGTGAATGAAGCATGTGCCAATATCATGTATAATCCACTTATTCAAAAACATACTTGTGTTGAATACATGATGTGACATTTGCTCTGTAACTACCCCCTGGATGTTGGAATTCTCGGGGAGGCTGTACTGGGCGGGCAGTCCACACAATATTCACTATGTATCCACAGCATGCTTCAGCAAACCAAATTTCTCATTTGAATCTGCCTTCTGAGAGTTATTTCATCAAAACCATATTTCTCCTTGCACTTGTTCCTATGTGAAGCAGACAGTTACACCTAACCTTTGTAAATTTAGAAAATAAAAATTGCATTTGAGTAGAAAAAGCATTTGGTAGGCTTTTCAGGCTATTTAACTTAATTATTTCCATTAATCCTCTGTATATTTCTAATGTATTTACACATTTCCTTAAGAGTTTTACAGCATCTCAAATAATATCATTGCATTTTGGTGGATGTTTTACTAAATAATGTCTGTTTGTTATCACCTTAAACAATTTGTCATGATTCAATTTAATTCAATTGAAATCAAATTCTCCTGAAATTGTTTATGTAAAAGATTATCAAATATTTTATCCATCCTGACAAGTGGTTTATTATAGTTCTACAATTTATGGGTAACACACACTAGAGGCTTGGGGAAGCAGGGAAGCAGCAGGAACATTAAAACATTAAATACCTGTTATAATTCTGTCTGGGTGTTGAGTGTTTTTGCTTGTTTTGGTTAGGTTTGAGGATTTTTTTTTTTGAAAGTACAGTATAAGCTTGAGTATGACAGAAAAGAGAATTATCCCAGCATTGTACATTTTCATTTTTATGTTTTATCTTTTTATCAGAATGATTAAAACCAATTTCAATCTACATCTAATTTGCAAAGAAGAAAAGTTGAACTGCAAAGCCACTGGGTTTTTCAATATCTTCCAGTTTTAGACAAACAATAGGGAGTTTCCATTTCCGCTGCTTTCTGCATCTTCATATTTTCCAAGGCATGCATGAATCACCTCCGTTTGTTATAATGCACTTTCTCAAGGAACTTTGGAACTTAATTAGGAAAAAGGAGCTCAGCAGCGGCTGGAGCAGGGCCCAGTTCTCTCCAGACTTCAAAGGGAGCTCCTGCTGGGAAGGTGATTCAGGAGTAGGAAAGAAGAGGTGAGCATGGGGTCTCTGGACCCTCTGGAGCTGCTCTCTCCACTACCTTTGAATGAACGAAGCCCTGGGAGCCAATCTAGAAGCAGATTAAGGATAGTGAGGATCAAGTGCTGTGGGACAGAATTTGCTCACATCAATACCAGAGACATTGATGTTAGAGCAATTCAGATTTTGATGGGCCCATTTTTCCCTCATCATCTTTTTACACCTTGAATATATCCCTTTAGGTGGACGGTTTTGGAAATTCTCTTCTCTCCATGTACTTATCTTCTTGTGAAATTAATTACACATAATTCACTAAATGTGCCATGCATGATTTCATGCACATGTCTCTACTCTGCTTCCCTGCTGAATTCCTGCTAATTCTTTAGGAGCCCTCATCACACATCATCTCCTCTGCAAAGCTGTCCCTGATTCCAGAGTTAATTATACACTACTTGAATTCTTGTTTTATGTTATATGTATCGCTAATATACTTTTCATGTTATATTATTGGTATGCATGTTTATTTGCCAAGGTAGAGCAAAAGCTTTTTGAAAGAGTGATCTACATCTTCTCCGCATTTTTTTTTTTAATTTGAGACGGAGTCTGGCTCTGTAACCCAGGCTGGAGTGCAGTGGCACGATCTCAGCTCACTGCAACCTCCACCTTCTGGGTTCAAGAGATTCTACTGGCTCAGCCTCCTGAGTAGCTGGGATTACAGGCGCCCGCCACCATGCCCAGCTAATTTTTTTGTATTTTTAGTAGAGATGGGGTTTCACCATGTTGGCCAGGCTGGTCTGGAACTCCTGACCTTGGGTGATCTACCCACCTCAGCCTCCCAAAGTGCTGGGATTACAGGTTTGAGCCACTGCGCCTGGCAATCTTCTCCACTTTTTATACTCACCCATCGGGTACCAGAATGAAATTGTGATTGGCTGGATCTTAAAGTCCAGCGTCATTTAAGGCACCGCTATGCTCACTCCCTGCAGCTGTCTACACTTAGAAAGTGTGCCCTCCGTGTTTGTTGCATTAATGAAGTAATTAATTTGAAAACTTTTGGCCACACTCTTGATACTTGAGATCTGTGCTACATGTGTGATGATCAGTTTGCGGTCAACTAAGAGAGATGCTCGGCTCTAGGAATAATAGACCTTAACAGACAGAGCTACTGCATCTTCTCTGGTTTTCCAGAAAATCCCCCTGGAGTAGGCGCTGCATGAATATAAATAGCGGGGTCCACAAAACACCAATGCACCCTCCATATGTTCATTCACACAGAGACCCACAGGCTTGGAGGACATGTCACATGTTAGGCAGCTAGCAAGTAGCAAAGAAGGGACCAGTGCAGAGGGAACTTGACAAGAATTGGTGGCAGTCGGGATTTCTGATGTGACATGAAGCCAATAAAGCTTTGATTACTACTTATTCCCTCTGTTCCTTATCACTAGGCACAATTTAGCCTTTCATCTTTCTATATCTCCTTCTTTATTAAATAGAACTGGCAGAGGGCAACCTGGATCTCTTTGTTGTAAACCATAATGCCTTTACCTTTACCCTTTGTAGAATTCCTTGATGCCAATTGTGGGGAAAGAACCTTCCTTGCCTCTTCCAGTTTCTGGTAGTTCCTGGCATTCCTTGGCTTGTGGTGACATCCCTCCTACTGCTGCCTTTGTTTCACATCATTTCCTCCCTTGTGTATCTGTGTGCCCTTTTCTGTCTCTTATAAGGACACTGTCATTAGATTTTTTAGGTCCTACCCTATTAATACCAGGATGATTTTATCTCAATCTTTTCCTTAATTATATCTGCAAAGACTCTGTTTCCAAGTAAGGTTACTTTTTGTTGTTGTCGTTTTTTGAGGTGGAGTCTCGCTCTGTTGCCCAGGCTGGAGTGCAGTGGTGTGATCATGGCTCACAGCAACCTCCGCCTCTTGGGTTTAAGTGATTTTCCTGCCTTAGCCTCCTGAGTAGCTGGGATTACAGGCATGCACCAGCACACCTGGCTAATTTTTGTAGTTTTAGTAGAGACAGGGTTTCACCATGTTGGCCAGGCAGGTCTTGAACTCCTGACTTCAGATGATCTACCTGCCTTGGCCTCCCAAAGTGCTGGGATTACAGACGTGAGTCACTCACTGTGCCTGGCCTAAATAAGGTCACATTCTAACCTTCCAAGTGGACATGAATTTGGGGAGACACTCTTTAAGCCACTACAATGGAAAAAAAGTGTCTCTAAAAGTGGCTTGAAAGGTGGCCCCTGTCCAAAGAAGGCACATGGTGCACACTGCATGCCCTTCCCACCAGGCTGCCCATCCTCAGCCACTCTCCACTGCCAGCAAACCTGAGCTGGGGGGTCAGTCACCTGGCCACCTGTGAGTGAGTATATTCCTGATCCAGTGTCTTCTCCCAATACATCCTTTATTCTGCCCTCCCAGGCATATGTGAACACCTGGAATAATGGAATCCAGTGTGCAGAAAAGCCCTGCCTTGTGCCATTCCTGCATCTGGAAGAGGAGCACCCAGAAGCAGGAGGGGATGCCCTTGTCTGTGGTTCCATGCTATCTAGTCCTGGGCTGGTTGTGCCATGCTATGCCCACTCCCTCTATTTGCCTCATTTGGTCATTTCTGCAAGTTCATCTCTTTATTAAAACACATCGTGTTCTTTCCATTCCTCCTTCTATCCCTCTTCTGAATTCCCACTGATCTCTCACAGAAATCTTTCCTCTTTCTTGTCTTACTCCCTCTCCCCATCTCATGTGCATTTTATTTCTTAGCCCTTTACATCCCCAAAGCCCTAAAGTTAAAAATACTAGTGATATATCTGCATCAACAAAAAGGAAAACTATAAATTTTGAAGTAAAATCAGAAGAAAGAACCTGAACCATCAGCTTTTAATGCCCCTGAGAACAGGAGGCTGTCCACTCTGTCCCCCAGGTGAATGAATATCAGAAAGACTTTTTTTCAAATTTCCTCCTCCCAGAAAGAGAGGAAAATGTGTTTTTCTGATTAGTGACAATGGAAAAAGCCTCTTCCTGGTTCTGTCTCCTCCAGCCCCTTATCTAAGGGAAACACCCTTGGGTAAGAGTTCAGTCTTCTCTACACATCCCCCTGCAGACAAGTCGTGCAAAGCCAGAGCCAGGGACCAAGATTAGGAAGTTTAGTGCAGATGGATGGAAGCCACACTACCCAATGCACCTTAAAAAAAACATTGAAGCTGATATTTTGACCTACAGATGTGTGAAACTTGTTTCTGGTTCTCAATTGATTTGGAACTCAGAAGACTAGAATGGGATGCTTGTAACTCTTACCTGCAAACCACAATAATTGAAATTGGAAAAAGCAATCCCATTGGCCTATCTGTAAATTTTCAAAATAAAATAATATGTGTTCCACCATTATAGAGAGCAGGCACCATATTTTTTTTTTATTAATTTGGGCAGGATTGTGCTGTCCATTATGGTAGCCACCAGCCACACATGGCTACTGAGCGTTTGAAATGCATGGCATGGATTAAGAGGTGCTGTAAAAGTCACATACACAACAGATTACAATAACTTGGTTAATAAAAAGTAAAATATCTCAGTAATTTTTATGTGGATTATATCCTTAACATAGCAATATTTTTGACATAAGGGCTCAAATAAAATGTATTATTGAAATTTTTAAAAAAGAAGTGGGAAGGTCTCCTTCAATATATTTACAAAACCCTCCTAGGTGTTTTTTCCTAAAAGTTGATGAATTTATTGGTGTAAAGTTGCTTATAATATGTCCCTATCATACACGTGTGTACTTTCAGCTCTATGCAACTTATCACATGTGCAGGCTTGTGTCTTCCCCACCAGTCCAGAGGCAGAACATTCTCACCATGACAGGATCTTTTTGTAGCCATCTCCTCCATCCTTAACTCCTGGTAAGCACTAATTTCTTCGTCGTTTCTGTATTTTTATCACTTGAAGAATATTCTCTAAGGTTATACCACAGTATATAACTTTTTTTTTTTTTTTAGACAGAGTCTTGCTCTGTCACTAGGCTGGAGTGCAGTGGCGCAATCTCGGCTCAAAGCAACCTCCGACTACCTGTTCAAGTGATTCTCCTTCCTCAGCCTTCTGAGTAGCTGGGATTACAGGCACGTGCCACCACGCCCAGCTAAATTTTGTATTTTTGGTAGAGATGGAGTTTCACCATGTTGGCCAGAATGATCTTGATCTCCTGACCTCGTGATCTGCCCATGTCGGCCTCCCAAAGTGTTGGGATTACAGGTGTAAAAACCACACCCGGCCCACAGTATGTAACTTTGAACTGCTGAGTAGTATTTCACAGTGTGAATGTACTGCAGTTTGCTTAACCATTCACCCATTGAAAGGTGTCTGGATTGTTCTGTGTTTTTTTTTTTAGGATAATTACGAATAAAACTGCCATGAACATTCCTTTTCGTGAAAATGTAAATTTTCATTTCTCCAAGATAAATGCCCGAGGCTGCAATTGCTGAGCCCTATGGTCATTCCATGACATATTACCTTTTAAATTCTAGTGGAATTTGAAGTGACAGCCTCTCTTTCACACTGGATATTGATAATTTTTGTTTTCTCTTTTTCTTGCTTTTAACTTTATTGATTTTATTAATCATTTCCAAGTACCAGTTTTTCCAATTTTAAAAAACGACAAATTTTAGAGTAGTTTTAGATTTACAGAAAACTAACAAAGATGGTACTGAGTCCCCATATACCTCTCATTGAGTTTCCCCATTCATGACATCTCACATTACTATGGCACATTTGTCACAACTTAGAAATCCACATTGGTACAATACTTTTAACTACCTCATAGGCTTCATTCACATTGCACTGCTTCATTCACTAATGTCAGCTCCAGGATCCCATCCAGGACACAACATGACATTCAGTCATCACATCTCCTTTGGCTCCTCTTGGCAGTGACAGTTTTTCAGATTTTCTTTATGTTCAGTGACCTCGACAGCCTTAAGAAATACTGGTCAGGTGTTTTGCAGGATGTCTCTCAATTTATGTTTCTCTTTTGTTTTCCTTATGTTTAGACTGGGGTCATAAGTTTTGGGGAAGAAAACCACAGAAATGAAGTGTCCTCATTCCATGTTGACAGCGGCCATCCCTTTTGATGTTGATCTTGATCACCCCGCTAAGGGAATGTTTGCAATATTCTCCAAATAAAGTTATTCTTCCTCTTCCCACACTTTATTCTTTGGCAGCAAGCTGCTAAGCGCAGGCCACAATAAGAGGGGCCTGGTGGGAAGAATTAAGTTCCTTCTTCTGAAGGGCTCATTTACTTTTCCATTATCTTACTTTTCTCTCAAGTACCAGCTTCTAATAGAAATAAAACTCTCTTGATAAATCTTAATTTTTTAATAATAAGTGTCAGTATGGAAATGATATGTTTTCTGCTTTTCTATTGCAAATTTACGTTTCAGCGCTGTCAGGGTTAAACAGGTTTTATTGGCTGTCTTGGGGATTTAATCACCATTTATCATTTGTTCCTATTGGAAAATGATGTCAATCTTTTGATTGACATCAAATCTAAACCTGTGTTCAATCTTTCAATTGACTTCAAATCTAAACCTGTGTTCCCAGCATTTGAGATACTTCATTTTGGACCCTAACCTACATTCTTTGTGGTTTTTTCCTTTACTTAGTTGATATTGCTATGCCAATATGGAAATTAAAATTTTGGGACAACTCAACCCCCTCAATTCCTCTAATGACAATTGTTGGTACTTGTATCTCTTAGCACTAACCTGCTCCTTCTTCAACTAACTTTTAAACTTTAGTCTTTTAACATTGCCCTCACTTTTTCTGAACAGTCATTTTTGCTGATTTTTTGAGTAGCATTTCGGCAGTCTCTATGCTGTTCAAGCTTTAGCATTTCAAAAGCAACAATTATAGTTCTAACAATCCTCAGAAGAGCTGCAGAGTATTTGTCTGGGAAAGCTTTTTCTAGAATATTTATTAAATGTCTGTTAATATGCCAGACACTGTGTTAGGCTCTGGGCATGGAGTATACATGAGAGATTAGTGGACTATCATAAATCAGAAAGGTTTTATACAAAGTCGCCCTTTAATTCTCCACTCTGCTACCATAATGCATATTTCAAAACACAAAACCAGGCATGCCACTCTTTTATTTTAAATGCTTCAAGAGTCTCTGTAGTTTTGGGAGAAAAACATTACATCCTCTTAACTTATCCCATAGGAATTGTGGTATTGGGCAGTCTTTCAAACTCTCAAAGTCTTATTTGACTCTCTCTCTCTCTCCTTCTTTAAATAGTAGTAGTAGATCTGTCTGGGTTTATTTCACAAACGTGTAATGAGGCTTTAGTAAGGCAATGTATTTGAAAAACATAGGGCATAACATAATTTTATTTCCTCTTGGTTGTAAGCTTTTAATCTCATAGTTTAACATTACATTACAGAGCCATGTGTTATTCCCTTTATTAAATGGATATCTGGAAAGTTAATTACAAAAACGGATTTTGCAGCCTGGGCAACATATTGAGACCTCATCTCTACAAAAAATTAAAAAACAAAAATAGCTGGGTGTGGTAGCACACACTTGTAGTACCATCTACTTGGGAAGCTGAAGTGGGAGAATCACATGAGCCCAGGAGGTTGAGGCTGCAGAGAACTATGATCATGCCACTGCACTCTAGCTTGAATGATAGCTGAGACTCCATCTTAAAAATACATAAATATTTTTGACTATTTCCTACCATCCTCCCTGATCCCCCTGATTTGACACACAATTCTCTCAGCTAGATTCTTGTCTTCTTACTGGTCTTTCTGTTTTCACCCTTGCTTCCCTACCCTCAGCAGAGCAGTCAGTGATCCTTTTAAAAAGCATGCCAGATCACACTATTCAACTACTCACTGACTGCTCCTCAGAGCTGGCTACATAACTTGTGGGGCCCAGTGCAAACTAAAATGCAGGACCCCAGCCAGGGTCAGGGAAATAAATCCCCCTTCCCATTGACCTCCACCCCAACCCACAGTGGCTAAGCAATTTCTAAGAGAGTGTGGTCTTTACCTGGACATGATCAGCACCTGGATCCCAGGTGGGTGACAGGCCCCAACTTAGTCTTTGGCTGAATGCACCTGGTGCTGCCAGCCCAGGGAGGAGAGAGTCACCCTTTCTCATCCTGAAATGTCATGGGGCACATGCTTGACTCTGACACCCACACTTCTATGCCCAAGCCCCCACTGGGGTGGTGGGCAATAGCACAGAGGGAGTAGCCAGGCAGGCTACTCCAGGAGGTAGTTAGTAAGCATCTGGAGTCCATCCTAGGAAGACAGGGAGCCAGGAGCATATGTGAGCTGAGGCTCCAGGTCCCTGGCACATGCTCTGTCATCCCATTGCACTTCACTTACAAAACACACATTCAAAGATAAAATGTTGGAGACATGAGAGCACTGAAGCATGAGGACATTCTGAGCATGGAGCCCTGTGTACCTGCTCTGGTTGCACACCCATGAAGCCAGCCCTGGCTTATAGTTGTCCAATATCTTGTCATCTTGCACACATGAAAAGGAGAGTTTTTGTATTAGCATACAAGGTCCTACATAATCTGACCCCCAGACAATCGGTTTTTCTCTAACCCTATTTCTGACTCCTTAGCTACTCTTTTCATCCACTCCAGCTACACTGTTCTCCTTACTAGTTCTCAAACACACCAGGAAAGCTACTGCCCCAGGGTGGTTGCATGTGCTGTTCTTTATTCCTGGAATGTTTTTTTCCAAGTAGCCATAAGTCTTGTTTCATTTTCTTTACACCTTCACTTCATATCCTCCTTTGGCTATCCTTATTGTGAGTGGGGTACTCTCCTCCCTTCATTCAGATACCTAATTCCTACCTCTAGGCCACCTTCAAGGCGGTCTTGCTCTGTTACCTGCCTACCTAGGGCCTTATAATTCTGATTTCCAATCCAAGATTCCACCTCACTTTGTGGTGACAAACATGGGGAAACAGGATAACTTCTCCATTCTGCAGAGAGCCTACACACTTCCCACTGAACTCTGAACTTATCCTAGTAGACGCCAACACAGAAGCCACACCAGAATATGCATTACTGCTAACATCTGACTGGGCCTCACTATGTTGCCTAGGCTAGTCTTAAACTCCTGGCCTCAGGCAATCCTCTTGCCTTGACCTCCCAAAGTTCTAGGATCATAGGTGTGAGCCACCACACCTGGCTTCAAAAATGTAATTTGAAGTATTTTCTGGCAGATGAGACAAGGGGTCTAAGAAAAAGATATAGTCAAGGATGACGACCCTATTTTGGCTTGAGAAACTTAAAGAACAAAATTGTCATTAAAGGAAATGAGGAAGAAGCAGCAGATTTTGAAGGGGGAAGATCTGGAGTTCAGTTTTGGATGTTTTAAATTTGAGATGCCTAGAGGCATCCAAGTAGAGATGTTGAGAAAGCAGTTGGGTGTATTCTGGGATCCAGGGGGTTTCCAGCCTGGGGAAATAAATACAGGAGTCACCAGCATATAGGTGTAATTTTAAACATGACATTTTATGAAAGTATCAAGAGAGTGAGAATAGGTAGTGATATGGTTTGGCTGTGTCCCCACCCAAATCTCATCTTGAATTGTAGTTCCCATAATCCCCATGTGTCATTGGAGGGACCTGGTGGGAGGTAACTGAATCACAGGGGCAGTTACCTCCATGCTGTTTTTGTGATAGTGAGTGAGTTCCCATGAGATCTGATGGTTTTAAAAAAGGCTTTTCCCCTGCTTAACTCAGCACTTCTCCTTGCTGTCGCCATGTGAAGAAGGACATGTTTGCTTCTCCTTCTGTCATGATTGTAAGTTTTCTGAGGCCCCCCTAGCCCTGCAGAACTGTGAGTCAATTAAACCTCTTTCCTTTATAAGTTACCCAGTCTCAGGTATGTCCTTATAGCAGTGTGAGAATGGACTAATACACGTAGAGAAAGATATGAAGACTGAACCAGCTTAAAGGTAGGAGAAATGAGAAGAAATTAGCAAGGGACCCAGAATTAGCAAAGAAGTAGACTTCAAAACGGGAAAACCCCAGAGTGTGTGATATAGTGAAAGCCAAGGGAAGAGCAGATTTCACTGAGAAGAGAAGGTTCTACCATGTCAAATGCCACTAGGGGGTCAAGGAAGGTGAGACTGAAATGTTCAGTAAGGTGGCAATAGGCTGCCAGCGACTTGGTAAGAACAGTTCCAGTGGAGCAATTGTTGGTTTATTTGAATGTGTTCAAGAGAGGATCGAAGAACAGGAATTGAAGAAAGCAAGTTTAGGCAACTTTAGAGAGCTTTGTTGCAAAAGGTTTCAGGGAAGTGCAGTGGTGACTAGAAAGGGAATTGGAATCAAAAGTTTTGTTTTGCTTTGTTTTTTAACTAGTGGATACATAGGAGTGTGTTTGTACACTGATGTACAGGAGAGAGGGAACATTGATAATTGAAGCAATGAGTGTGGAATTGAGCTCTTGAGCAGTAAGAGGGGTGGGGGCTGGTGAACAGCAAGGGAGTTGGCCTTGTAGAGCAGGAGGCTGAGTGGTACACGTGCTGGCAGGTGGGCAGAGAAGGTGCTGAACGCTTGTGTGGGTTCTGCTCTGGTCGCTTCATCTTTCTCAGTGAAATAGGAAGCAGAGTCATCAGGGGAGAGTAAGAATGGGGAAGGAGGTGTTTAAAGCTTGAGAAAGGAAAATATAAAAAGACATAATTTAAAAGAGCAGGAATGCAAATGGACTGGGAAGATGAGGTGTGACTGTGGAGCAGCCTTTGGGTCCACTTCAGGGTAAAGGTCCAGGATAGAAAGAAGTGCAGTGTGCAGGGCCACGCCCCTTCTCCAGCTACAGCCAGTTACACAGGGTCAGGCCTGATGTAGGTGGAGAACAGAGTTTAACCAGGGCTGGTGTTTTGTCGAGTAAGAGGGACAACAGAGATGAGGAAGTGTGTGAGAGGTGCCTATCATGATTGAGCATGGAATTTACATCGTGTAAGAAGAAAGGGGGGGCATGAAGGGGTTAAGGGACATGAAAAGGAGGTAGAAAACAGGTCCAGGGGTACAGGAGAGAGTGAGCTCATGAGTTAGGAGGGGTTAATCAGAGTGTGAGGTATGTAAAGTGGAGATTATGAAGCTGTTGAGTAATGCTAAGGTTTAGGTTATACCAGCTGTCTCCAACCCTTTTGGAAGTAGGGACCGGTTTTGTGGAAGACAATTTTTCCACTGGGGTTGTTGGGGGGATGGTTTTGGGATGAAACTGTTCCACCTCAGATCATCAGGCATTTGTTAGATTCGCACAAGGAGGACACAACCTAGATCCCTTCAATGTGCAGTTCACAATAGGGGTCGCACTCCCATGAGAATCTAACGCCTCCACGGATCTGACAGGCGGCGGAGCTCAGGTGGTAATTTCACCCTGCCTGCCACAGCTCACCTCCTGCTGTGTGGCCCAGTTCCTAACAGGCCACTGACCTATACCAGTTTATGGCCCAGGAATTGGGGACCCCTGGGTTATACAATGAGAATAAATCTCTCAGATTGGATGGAAGACAAAATCATTGATGGAGAGATCACATTTCTGATAGGCCAGGAATCTGTAAGAAACAACAACTGATTGTGATGCAGGTAGTCCAAGGACTGTGTTTTGAGGAACTCTAGTTTTAAGTAGAGATGGAGAGCCAAACACAAAAGTTTAGAAGCCAGAAGACATGAGGGGGCTGGAAGAAACAGGAAAGATATTAACAGAATGTTGTGTGTGGAGTGTGCTGGACACAGCGTTAAACAGTTCACATGCCTCCTTGTTATTAGTATTAGTATTTGTTTCTGGCAACAAGACCAAATTCTAGAGATCATTATTGTCTCTATTTAACAAACGATGAGCATGAGGGACAGGCAAGTTAAATAACATGCACAAAGATAAGTCCAAACTCTGAACTTGCAACCATTATGTCCACCTGCCTTGACAGGTGCAATGATTATGATAGAGCAGTTAATATTAAAATCTATATCCTAAAATGTGATTACTAGACTTATGAGATTAGAGACTCTTGAGAACAGTATTGTATACAAAGCCCTGTAATATACATGATCTCATCTAATCCTCATATTAATCCTGTGTATTAATTTGCTAGGGTCATGGGGCCAGTAATTAGCAAAGCCTGGATGTGAAGCTCATCCTCTGACCTCCTGCTTGTAAACTCCTGCCACTAACTACCCGTCACCATTACTTTCCAGATATGGTTCAGACAGCAACCTTAAAGAGACTTTTGAATAAATGTATTGATAAAGAAACCGTTACTAGTTATTTCTTTTTAGAACCTAACATAAAAAGTTTCATAATTCCTGTGTTTCCATGGGAACATTCGTTAGCACAGAATGCAGCATTCTTCCTGTCATGGAATGTTCTTTCTATAAATTCATGCATTCACTCAACTAATATTTATTGAGCAAATAGTCTGTGCATGTGCTGTGCCAGGTGCAGAGGATACAGTCGAATAAGAAACATCCTGTTTTAGGGGAACCTTTAGTCAGCCCCAGGTCTTCAGCACCTCAGATACTCTGCAGGGCCTTTTCATGCCTGGTGTAATTTAAGACACTGCATTTGACCTAGAATACACTCCATCCCTTAGGACCCAGTTACCTAAGAGATCATTTCTCTCCCTAGTGGTTTGGCAGAGAGTAAGATCAGCAGTAGCACCCTGGAGATGGAATCTTAGATTTGGACTCCGGAGAAATAGAATCAGGGTGTTTTCCAAAAAAGGATTCTTCTACTCCAAGAAGACCCAATTTTAAAGCTGGATTTAAAAATATACCCGCTTGCCTGGCATACTAAGCATCTTAGTGGGACTGTGTTGCCCCTCAGCCATCACTTGGCTATTCCTTTCGCTAGAAATACCGGATTTGTACATGCCATGTAATCGTGTAGAGACTCTATGACTCAACACCCTCCTGCCAAAATGTCAGGTCAAGGCCAACCAAGGGAGGGTCCTGGGCACCAGTCTGTGAGAATAAAAGGCAATGAATCCAGAGCGTGGGGCAAATTCCACTTTATCCAGGTTGGTGATGACACAGCCCTTGATACGTAGCACACAATGCGTGAGGCGGCTCTTTCCACGTGCAGAGAAATCCGTGCACTTCTATTTCATAATGTTACTCATTAAGAATGGCACTGTGTACTAGTTCGAACTCACCTGGCGCCTACCAGAGAGAAGCGGGGGTGGGTGGGGGGTGTCATGGTTTGCCTCCTGATTTAGAAGATCCAACTGGTGCTCCTAGTGGCAGTGTAACTCGTGTTGCCTCACTTACCTCCCAAGTATGTGAGTCACAGTATAATTTAAGAATTACACTCTCTATTTCTTACATTTGCAAAAGCTAAGTGAGACAAATCAAAGCTTAAGTTTCCTTATTAAAAAAATGAAGATCCTATATTTTATTGAGGTTTTAAAAATCTCTTAAAACCACAACATATTTTGTATTCTCCTTGAATCACTCCGATCACAGATTTAATTTTTCGAGTCATTTCTGGAGTTGTGGGACCACACAGCTAGTTTGCAATCCCTATAGCTTTAAGAGAAGGTATTTCTAGTTTTGGAGTAAGGAGTAAGGGAGGTGGCGCCTGCTCCGGGCTCCGCCACTCCCCGCCCGCGGGCCGGGGGTGGGGTGGCACTCGGTTTCCCGCGGCTGCCGGCCGCGCCCCGCGCCGCCGCCAGGGGTGCTGCGCTTCCCACCTGCCGCAGGACGCCTCGAGGGCCGGTGCGGTGCCCACTGGGCTGCCGCTCCTCCCGGCTCAGAGCTTTCCAGCCGCCGAGAACGTGCGAGGGACCCCGGCGTCGGGCAGGGGCCTGGGCCGCGAAGGGCGGGAGCGCCTCCGCACCTGCCTGAGCTCAGGCACCCCCGCCCGCCGGAGAAGCCGGGAGCCCTCGGAATGCCGGCTGCCTCCACCGAGGGCGCTGGCTCGGGGCTCCCAGCGGACCCGCCCGCCCTCAGCTGCCGGCGCGGCACCAGGCTCCGCGCTCCGAGCCCCGTACGCCTTTCTCTCCCCTGCACTCTCTGGCAAGGCCGGGCACGCCCACTGCCGCTGCTGGCCTCCGAGCCCGGGCGCCCGAGTTACACCCATTCTCCCCACCATCGTCGGCCAGAGCCGCGCTCCCAGCCCTTCTCCAGGTGCTGGCGGCTCCGACCGGAATACAAAGAGGCCTGCTCCTCCCTGGCCCTTGCTGCCGCCACACCCGTCCGTGCCCACTCTCCGCCGTCCTCCGCGAGGGCTGCACGCAGGGACCCCTCCTCTCAGCGCGCTCCTCCCCCTCCCCCAGTGTCGCTCAAATCCACCCAGCGTTCCGAAATCCCGGGAGTGGGGGCCTTCGACTGTCACCCTCAGGCCCCCTTGGCCGCTCCTCCCGGCCCTTGGGACCCGCCAGGGCAGTCCCCCAACCCCCGCCCGCCGCTCCTCTCGGTCCCGGCCCCTCCTCCGGGTCCCTCCTCCTCCCTCGCCCCTCCCGAGCCAGGGTGGGAGCGACGGCAGCTGGAAGAGAAGGGATGAGGTCATCCTCTCCCTCGGAGTCAGCTGGTGGAGGAGAGGAAGCGGGAGGAGGGAGCGCGCGCGAGGGGAGGAGAGGAATGTGCAGGTCCGAGGAGCGCCGCGGCGGCCGCTGCTGCTCCTGCTGCTGGCGGCGGCGGCGGCTCGGGCGGCAGCAGCGAAGCCGGGACGGCGAGGAGCGCGGGCGGCGGGCAGGGGCGCGCGCGGGGCGCCGCGAGCAGCTTGGCTCCGCGCAGGCAGCCAGGCGGCGCTCCTGCCGGCCCCAGGCGCGCCGCTAGCCCGGCCCAGCGCCCAGCCCGGCGGGCGGCGGGCGGCGGCGGACGGCAGGCGAGCCGACGCAGGAGCAGGAGGAGGGGGAGCCGCACCGCCTGGGAGGGAAGCCGGGGCGAGGCGAGGAGGTGGCGGGAGGAGGAGACAGCGGGGAAAGGTGTCAGATAAAGGAGGGCTCTCCTCCGGTGTGGAGGCATCATGGCCGCTAAATCAGACGGGAGGCTGAAAATGAAGAAAAGCAGCGACGTGGCGTTCACCCCGCTGCAGAACTCGGACCACTCGGGCTCGGTGCAGGGATTGGCTCCAGGCTTGCCGTCGGGGTCGGGAGCCGAGGACGAGGAGGCGGCCGGGGGCGGCTGCTGCCCGGACGGCGGCGGCTGCTCGCGCTGCTGCTGCTGCTGCGCCGGGAGTGGCGGCTCCGCGGGCTCGGGCGGCTCCGGCGGCGTCGCCGGCCCGGGCGGCGGCGGGGCGGGCTCGGCTGCGCTGTGCCTGCGCCTGGGCAGGGAGCAGCGGCGCTACTCACTGTGGGACTGCCTCTGGATCCTGGCCGCCGTGGCCGTGTACTTCGCGGACGTGGGCACAGACGTCTGGCTCGCCGTGGACTACTACCTGCGCGGCCAGCGCTGGTGGTTCGGGCTCACGCTCTTCTTCGTGGTGCTCGGCTCTCTGTCGGTGCAAGTGTTCAGCTTCCGCTGGTTTGTGCACGATTTCAGCACCGAGGACAGCGCCACGGCCGCTGCTGCCTCCAGCTGCCCGCAGCCTGGAGCCGATTGCAAGACGGTGGTCGGCGGTGGGTCTGCAGCCGGGGAAGGCGAGGCTCGTCCTTCCACGCCGCAAAGGCAAGCATCTAACGCCAGCAAGAGCAACATCGCCGCGGCCAACAGCGGCAGCAACAGCAGCGGGGCTACCCGGGCCAGTGGCAAGCACAGGTCTGCGTCCTGCTCCTTCTGCATCTGGCTCCTGCAGTCACTCATCCACATCTTGCAGCTCGGGCAAATCTGGAGGTACTGTAATGGGTGGGGGAAAAGGGAGGCTTGCTGCTGCTACTACATCCCCACTGCTTTGCTTTTGCACGGAAATCTTTCAGGGTTGCTTTGGTAGTAACCCTAGTCACACTCTTCCAGTTTTTTGGGTTTCTTTTGAACTGGGGCTTGCATTTTTAAAATTTGCAATCTCAGTCTAGGGTGGGAGGGAAGTGAGAAGCAAGGGAAGGACAGCAAAGTGGTTTCGATCACCTCATCCCTTCTGTCTTCCCACTCTGCCTTACTGGCTTCTTGCTCTTGGCATGCCACAACCCCCCTCCCCGCTTCCCCATTTTTAGTGATATTGTTTCAGTGAGTAGGAGAGGATTCCTGTCACATCTTCTAAAATTCCTTTATTATTATATTGAATTTGAGGTGTGTGTTGCCATTTGGATGGTTTCTTTTGTTCCCTGGGGAAAAAAAATTGCTAATTCTAGTGAAATGGGAGTTGCTGCTGCTCAAAAGTACCCACATATTAATGATCACTGCTGGAGAAGTGCTTTACTCAAAGTAAAGATCCTAATAGGCAAATGACTTTGTATATATATATATATATATATATATATATATATATATATATATCCCCGAGCATGATTCAGTAAGCTTTATGGGGCCCAGATTTACTTTTAGAGTGCCCTTTCTGATTATCTTGCAATATCTCCATATCTAATTTCTCATATAATTACAAGCCTTTGGAAAAGGGGTGGGGCACCATGTTAACTTTAGTTGTACTTGGTATCTTCGTTGGCTACTTTGCTGCTTGTCATCTGATCTACCAAGTCTTTTTACACAGGGATCACTTCAGTTATAAACTGGAATACAAGGCTAAACTTGGGCAGAGGGAAACCACCACTTGAACAGTCACTGCATGGACTTAGGAGCAGAATGAAATAGTATGCTCAGGAATACATTCTTTTGACTTTTATATGCTACTAGCAGATTTCGAAGCAATATTTTACATCTATAAAAATTACTTATATGGAAGTCTATAGATTCTAACATGTCAGAGCTTTTTTGGTTTTAAAATAACTTAGTAAACAGGTGGTATAAGCGAAATGAGGACAATTCCTAGAAAGTACACCAATATGGGACTACACTCTGTGGTACTGGTGCTCTTTTTCAATTTTATTTGTGGCTATTTTTGTGATAAAAGATGTGAGTTCTTGACTATGCCGAAGTATCACCTGTGGAAACAAGTTAGAGGATTTGTGGACTAGAACCACAAACTTCTTTTTATTTATGATGAACAACCATATGTTCACCTGAGAAGAGCAAGTGTGGTGATTTCACAACCTTTCCTGGGACCAGAGCTTTGTAAAGCAGACTGAACATTGCCATAGATGGTGACCTTCCAGATTGTGAAACATTTTTTTTCAAGCACACACTTTCTGAAAAAGTGATATTTGATATGTAGTCAGACAAATTGATGTTGGAACCTTCATACATATTTTGGACTCAAAGTAACTTTTTGAAATTCTAGTTAAATATGATAGCTATATTTCCCATGGATGACTATTGGGAAGACTTATAGCTTGATGCTCTTCAAGTATGATGAAGGACTTAAGTGCTTAATTTACTTACTGAAATTACTGACTGGCTAGGATGCATCTGATTAGCATTTCTAATCTGATAATTTGGTAAATTAAGCTTAACATTCCATTTGTTAACTTTTTCAAACTTTATCAAGATTTGGAAATCACTTAATTTTAACCACCTTTCAAGTTTCTAGACTTATGTAAATAATTCAAATACTTCTCTATCCTGTTAACTGAAAAACTGTAATTTTTTTTACAGATTGATTCTTTATGAAAAATCTGATATTAAATTCTGTGAACCGAGGAAGTCCTTTTAATTATAGTTGTGTTTACTATACCTTCTAAACCAAACATCTCCCCAATTGAAAAATGATTCTTAATTTTCTAGGGGAATAATATACAGAATGTGAGAAATAATTAGGAAAAGATATGAGCCTAAAAACATGTCAGAGAGACCATAGCCACTGGGCCAACTTATCATACAGAAAAGTTATTTCAGAGGTAGGGAGTGGGGGCGGGGAGAGAAGGGATGGAAGGGTAAGGTTTGAATGTAGAAAGAAAACCGCAGGCTGTCAGACAAATGTATTAACTGACCCAGACTTGGAGAAACTGTGGTCACACATGGCTCCTTTTAGTTAAGCATTTCTATAGTATTTTCCTTAGAGGCTTTAAAGTTAATACTGATAATGCATGATCATCTAGGAGGAATATTGTAGTTGGAAATATTATCAGATATAATATTCTGGAAATATTTGTCAACATTTTCAGAATAATGTGTGTAGTAGATAAGTTTGAATTATCATCTAATCTAACTATTCTCAGATTCTGATTAAAATATTTGGGGGATGCCAGAGTAATCTGGTGAAAGCGTGATCTAAGACTAATCAGCATCATTTTCTGTTTATGAAGTATATTTTTCAAAAAAACAAAACTTTAGCCTAATGTAGGAAGTTGGAAAGGGATAAGAAAGCTTATGGAACTTAACACTCAGATGCGCTCTAATATGTTTCTATTTCTCTGAGTGTTGAACATTCATGTGGAACTTTGGGGGAGTAGACGCATCTTTGCTAATAAGCCGACGAAGTGCAACTCATCTCAGATTTTTCTATTAGACTCACTATGATTCCTTAAATTAGAAGCATCCCTGTGCCTCTTCTAGCTTTTCTTTTCAATACATTATACACAAATATTGCAGAAACACCAGAGTACTGAGTGGTTCAAAGCACAGAGGTCATTATTCATGTTTTAACATGCTACTTTCTGGGATCAATAAAATAGATTTTAGCTAGGTTGGTAACTGCTTCTTGTGTTTCCATGAAATTCTAATTATTTTAGGGAAGGACCAGATTCTAAAAGCTTTCTCTAAATACAGTCTTTTGAAATAACATCAAAGCATTTGCTTGTTTAGAAATAGCCATTGAAACATTGTGGGTAAGATTTGCATGTATTTATACATATGTTACAATGCAACTGCTAAAAGCAATGATACATATTCATTTTAATTAAAGTTTACTAATGGGAAATTAATGGCAGCTTTTAAAGTCGCAGGAGGTGAGCTTGGGAAAGAGCTATTTGAAATAATAAAGTGAATTTTTGCTACCATGTGAAAAGAGCAATTATGACTTTAAAGGAACTGTGCCTGTGAATGAATGCGAAAGTACTTTCCTTTCTTATTTTTCTCATATGATTCCAGAAATTACTAAGAGTGCAGTTTAGCCAGTGGGAATCACAAATTCCCTAAGAGAACAGTTTTTAGTCCTCATGCTTTTGATCAATTGCCTCCAAATGTCTTTTTCCTTCAGAAATTATGAAGTTTACTCTTAAAACTCTACCTGAATTTCTCCTATGTATGTATGTACATAGTTAATTATTTTCCAGAAAATATGCACATTGTAAATAATGAGTCAGTGGATGGTAGAGTGGGGAGCATTTTCACTATTCTTACTCTTCTGGGTTTTGTTTTTGAGTCTCCATCATGAGAGTCATCTGGGAAAAATGTGAGGAAAATGCAGTTTTTTCTGCTCTTGTCATGCTTGCTATTCCAGAAGGCACTGATTGTGTCCCATGTTCAAATAAGTTGGGAAAATGACAGATTAAACAAAGTTAAACAGCTCTCTCTACAGCAGGACTTCTCAGAGCCTTTTATAAGCTAAGGTACAGTTATCAGTTAAGTTTTTAAAGTCACATCTATTAAACATTCTTATAATGATGCATGCAAAGCACTTGGATAAATATGCCATTCTTAAAACTGGCCAAACAAAAATAATAACAATTTTATTGGCACTTTAAAAATATACAAATGTTTTTTTCTACTTTTTATGTCATCTACATTTTAAAATAACCTAAAAGAAAATTATTAGTATCTGTATATGTGAGACAACTGTCTCAGAGAGGTTAAGTAAGCGGCTTAACCTCTTAATAGGGTCACCCAACTATTATGTAGTGTAGTTAGGATTAAAAACGGGGCCCATTTTACCATACAGTCTATGCTTTTTCTGGCTGAACTGGCTACCTCCAAATGCCAACTTGGATAATGATGACAACAATGTATAAAAATAACAATTTACCTTCACTGTGGATGGCAAAGTGGGAAAGGGAGCTGCAGTTTAGATGGATTAGGGGATCTTTCCAATAACACACTGGTAGTTAAACAGTAAAACAGAGACTTGAGCTTAGCTCTTTGAACTCCCAGTTCATTGCCTAACTTACTATACCATTTGGACATACTGAGGTTGTTTTATTAAATCCCAGCTAAGGAACATGATCTCGTAGTAGTTTTAATGATTACATGGCATAATGTATGTGAATATGTGAAAAGTTAATTACAAATGATAAAGAGGTTCTAGAGATAAAGAATGGGTAGAAAAACTAAGGAGGATATAGGTTACACCTTTGACTATTAAAAAAGGTGGTCTTCAATTCTGAGTTAGTCCTGAATTCTGATATAGATTAGGCAAGATTGGTGCCATTTGCTGAGTTTATCAAATGGTTATTTTCTGCATATATGTGTTTCCTCTCTATACATATAAATTAATTAGTCATTCAACACACACTGAGCACCTGCTATGTGCAAGGCACTGTGCTTGTTACTAATTATTCCAAGATGAATAACATATATATATTTCAAGGAATCTACTCTCTAATAGGGAAGACAGAAAAGTCAGTAGACCATCTCAATAGAAGAAAATAAGCACGATAGAAACAGGAAACGCAAACTGCCTTGATGGTTCAGGTAAGACTCTCTGGAAGAGGGGATATCTGAGCAAAGGTTTGAGGGATGAGAAAAATCTGCTTTCTGAGTAAAGTGGGACATTGACTTTAGAGCCCTGGATGCAATGTGTAAAGGCAGAGAGGCAAGAAAGAACAAGGCAGGTTAAGTGCATGCTCTACATATGGAGTGAGGGAGGGAGAGTAGCTAGAGATGAGATGAAGAACTAGTTGGGCCAGATAATGAAAGGAATTTAGATTGTATTTTGAAGGCATGAAGGAGTCATGAAGGATTATAGGGGGTGAGGACTGTTAAGAAAAGTGTTAAAACACTGTTTTATTCAAAGGAATGGCAGAAAGTTGAAAGCTTCAGAGGCTATGTCATTATTCATCTCTGACTCAGTCATGTCTCTGTCATTCATGGAAATCTATTGGCTTCACAGGCTTTGAGTTTGGATGTCATTGGGACATATAAATAGACCCATCATAATGGGAGAGTCATTTTTCAGAAAAACAAGTTGGTTGAAAGTTTTAATTGTATTTATATTAAAATAATATTAAAGTAAATTATTGGCAAAACTTTCTTTGGTGTTACTATTTGAAGAGTTATTTTCTTAGGATACAGTGGTTTTTACCTTATTGAAAGTTAGTTCTTCTGATCCATAGAAATATATTCCTTATGTTTATTAGTCACATTTAACTGTCCAGAGAGCTTCTATGTTCTATTTCTTATTTGACCCTTTGAATGATCTTGGAGGTAGCACTTCTATTTTGCAGATGTGGAAATTGAGAGAGAGAATTTTAATTGTTTTCCTCCTTGGGTCATATATTTCTGGACAGATTTTAAGCTAGAACTCAATACTGATATGGGAGGGGTGAAAGCAACATGGAAAATGGCTGATGGTACTGAGGATGATGAGGTAGAAGAGAAGCCCGAAAACTTGAGAGCTCCATAGTAAGTGCTGAACTGTTGTAACCTGGAAGAGGCATTGGACTTTTGTGTAGGCCCCCTGGGACAAAATGGGTGGGACCTATAGGAAGAGATTTTGAATTGATGGAAGGAAGAAGTTTTTTAGTAGTCGAAGATATTTGCAGATCAACTGGGCTTCCTTAGAAGCAGTGAGTTTCCCATCACTGGAGTGTCGAAGCATAGTCAGGAAAATTAGGTAGAGATGTGGTAGAGAGACTAACTCTCATACAGAGGGTTGTACCAGAAGATCATCTTCCAGCTCTGAGATTTTGTGATAATCTCCATCATAACATGCTGCTCCAAACATATTAGACTAACCTTTGCTTTTTTGTGGATGAAAGAAGTAGAATGAATTTTCGTGCAACACTATAATTGTGCCACTTTAAAATCTATTCGTTGGTTTATAGACTCAGTATCTTCCCTGGAGCATCACAAATCCATATGCCACCCCTGAGTGCTGGCTTTGGCATCAAGATCTCTGAGTTAGCTGACAGGTATAAATCCACACACAATCAGACAGCTCCTTGTGCATTTACCTGGGTTTCTGTATGAATTGGAATAATTTATGTATAAATCTCTGTGGTGGGTATATCTCTGTGATGTCTTTGCAATAACTAGTGCAAAGATTGTAAATTTTTTCCATTCACTTGAACTATGAAGTGTTTACTTCACAAGGGTAAATATTTTTATACTTATTACTCCCCAACCGACTAACTTAACAGAACAGTTGAATGTGTAGCATCTGTATACATGTATACTATCAGTTTTGAACAATGTCCACAAATCCTTGGAGCAATAGCTTTGAAAGTCTTTGCTCAATCTCTTACAAAATGTTTCTTCATGATTGAGTATCCAAGCACACAACTTGCTAGTAAATATATTTTATATGTTACAGTTTGAATGATATAGTCCACCTATGAATTTAAGTAACACAATCACTGTCTAACAAATAATGTACTGATTCTCCTTCACATGGACTTACTGGCTAATCTGATTAGTACATTTCTTTACTTACTTTAGAAATTTGTATGGAACAACTAACTGGACCTATGGAAGCAAGACCAGAGATTAGAGTTGGATTTATTATTCTTATGCATTTTCACATAAAAGGCTCAGTATGGTGCTAGTCAGGAGGGAATGTTTTATCAGGTGTGATCTTGCAATGTGTAATTGTTGTTGGAATTTAGGGAAAATTATATTTAATAATACTCTATAAGAAATATTCTCTTAAATGGCATTGCATGATTCTGACCACCATAACAAGTGACCTCATCCCAACAACATGATGGTGTCCTTGGTAAGTGACAGCATGGCTGGTCAGGAAGGAAGACCATGGCAAGTTCTCATGAAGTTAGTCTAGTGGTTGTGGAACTTAAGGTAAAAGAATACATACTCAGTGAATATCTGCTGATCTGTGAATAGAACCCAGGCACTATTCTTTCTTCTTGATGAAGGTGTAGCTAAACTTACTACTTAGTGGCTTCTCTGAGATTCTAATGGTGTGGTGAATCAGAAAAGGTGCAATGTCATCTGGGAAGGATAGGAAAAATTACCCCAGCTCTTTTTTTAGATTACTAGTGTTGGGAAAATAGGGGTAAATTTTGTGAATCGCTAGTTACACTCTGAGAAAAATGCAGCTGGAAGCCCAGCTTTGTATTCCTGGTTTTGCTGATAGAATAGTCAGGGTGGAGAAGCTATCTGATAGGTATTTTTCATTGAATTCTTACCTATACTTGACTATCTGAAAATATACTTATATATGGAAGAATTTTTGGTATTTTTTATGCTTCAGTCTACTCAAAACGTTTGCAGCCTCCACTGTTACTACCACCACCATCATCACTGTAATTCTTATCATCATAAAACATCAATTCTACATCTAGTATATGTATAGAACTGATATAGATTGCTGATTGTAGGAGAAACTAGAGAAAGATTAAAAGGAAAATCCCTGAGGTGGTCTGAGTGACACCATTAGGTCTTTTTTAACCCTAAAATAGACGGAGAGGGTCATAGTTAGAATGTCAGTGATAAAGCTTATTTAAAGAGGCATCTGTCCTTTTGGGAATTGGACTAAATATGGGGTATCAGAAGAAATGATTTGGTCTCCAATAGCAGCAGATTCCAGGCAGGCTACCTGACTGCTCTGGGTCATGTGCCATTGTGGGTGCAGATGACACATACGGCCCAGCTCCTGGAGCCTCATAGACTAGATCTTCTTTTGGTTTCCTCCTTCTGGGTCTTAATTTTCTATCTGTATGATGCGATTGGTTAAAAATAATATCCTAGGTTCTTTCCAGGTCTAAAGTTCTGATTCTGCTCTTATTATACATTCTTTTCACTTGCCTAGTACCTAGGGTATATGCACTAGAATGTCTACAGGTGTTCTAAGACCACTGTTGTAGGCTTTCTCTGTTTATGTAAGTCCAAGGGGATATACAAGGGACTTTCCAGGGTTGATAATATTAGTGTCTAAACTCCCAGGAACTGGCATGGTTCATACATAGAGAGTCTTAAGCGTATTTACATAATGCAATTAACCTTATGTCATTTCCAAATTTTAGCTATAATCAAATAAAACAATTTTCATTAAAAACACATATCTACATATTCGAAATGATGTCAAAAGTCTTCCGTGTCACTGATTCTAAGATATATACCATATAGACTGGAGAAGCCAAAATTGCCATCTAGATTTCATGTGGTGAGGTATGCATAGCTGGAGTGCTGTGATTAACAAATAAGAACAACGCTTCACAGGCTTGAAAGAACTATCCATTATGTCAATGAGAAAAATGGTTGCCAGAGCTAGATTTGCTTTTAAATTAAAAGCTTGTCCTGGGTCACACTGTCACTGATTTAATATTCTGAAAATTGGATTTAAAATTGGATTTAAAACAAAGATATGACATCCAGGCCTATCCTTGTTAAAAATAGGGGTATGGTGCACTCTGCTAGAAGAACAGAGCATTGCATTAGCCTTCCCTGAGAACTCCCTGGGGATAGGAATTCCCTGGATTCTAGGTTCTTAGAAATCTGATGTGAAGCTGAACGATTTTTAACCCCATGCCAACATTTCAGATTTAAAATTTTTAAAAACCTTAAGCATCCGTTTTAAAATTATCTGAACAAAGTATGTCAAACTATTTTCTCATCTTTATGATTCATAAGTAGGCTGTTTGAATCAGTTCTACTTCTTTTGTTTAATTTATACACATGCCATATTTCCCTGTTGGGGAATCCTTTTATATAAACAGAGCAGTGGGCATTGTGTGGGGTGAGTAACGATGAGTCAAATAGAGAATCATGCACATATAGAAGTAGGATCTATAGGGAACACCACTTGAAAAAGACTTGAGATGACTGGTTTGACTTCCCCTCAAGTCCATTCTATTTAAGAAGGACAGAGTTGCCTTTCTGAATCACCAATCTGACAGATTTCATCCATGTGAAAGCAGTCTGACTTCTTTTATCTGCAGTACAGGTAATAGTCATGAATAAAGATCTCAGTCTGGGGCTGAATTCTTTACTTTTCAGGTTTTTTTTTTTTTTTTTTTTTTTTTTAGGGAGCAGAGAGTCAATAATCAAAGCAAAGGTAGCAATCGTAGCAATAACATCAACTAAATGATTCCCTATAACTTCTATCATTAGTTCATGGCATAGTCACTGTATCAGTGTGACGGTAACAATGAGGAAATGATCCTTTAGTGAGGCAAGGAAAGGATTTGTAAAGGCTTTTTTTGTTTTGATAGACTTCCAGCTCATTAATTAACTTCCTGTTTTGCAAGAGTAAAATTAATAACAATCCATTTTTAAAATGTAGGCTAATTCCAGAAGACTGTCCCAAACAGTTTATAATACCTGAATTTGTTATTATAACATAAATTAAGAGGCATGTCTCAATAAAGTTTTGTATTTCCAGGAAATCTACTACTCGTAAGAGTGGCAGTCACAAATACATACCTTGTGGGATTTTCTTCCTGATGGGGTGATGGCTAGGTTTGAAAACTTGAGTTCTAGAGGGGTGTGGGTTTCCTTACCTCATCCTAAGGAAAGCACCAATATTAGTTGAGTTCTTACTTCTGAAAAGTCATAAAGAGTTACAATTATTTAAGGATATAATATCTACCTACTTTGAAATAAGGTTGGGATCAAATGAGAAAGAGGGAGGAAGCCTGAAGGTTTTATCTAACAAGCATGTCCAAATACTCTAGAAAATATCACTGTGTTGCCTTCTCTAATCTGCTAATAGGAAAGTAGCATGTTGTCCATAAGGCATGCATCTGTTAGCTAGTGGAAGAAAAATTTAGCCCTGAGAGAAATGAACAAAAAGAAATAATTTTATTCCACAATCAGAGAGCAGATTTTCAGTTCTTAGAAGGAGTAGGAAAATCGTACTGACCTCCATTATGAGATACATCACAGCTAAGCTTAAAGCAGGGCTTCGCCAGCCAGGCCAAGCTCCTCTTAGATGAGTTTTTTCCAGGGGCAAAGAAAGAAAAACTTGAGTTGTGATAATGGTCAGGTTTATGAGGTCAACTTGATATATATTTATTTAATTTTTATAGATTAACTGGGTGCATGTACAGTTGTTTTACATGGATACATTGTATAGTGGTGAAGTCTGGGCTTTTAGTGTACCTGTCACCCAAAGAGTGAACATTGTACCCAATAGGTGGCATTTCATTCCTCGTGCCCCTTCCACCCTCCCACCTTTTGGAGTCTCCAGTGTCTGTTATTCCACTCTGTATGTCCATGTGTACCCATTGTTTAGCTCCTACTTAGAAGTGAGAAGATGTGTTTTTTGACTTTCTGTTTATGTCATTTCACTTAGGATAATGACCTCCAGTTCCATCCAGTTGCTGCAAAAGTCATGATTTTACTCTTTTTAGTGGCTGTATAGTATTCCATGGCATCTATGTATTACATTTTCTTTATCCAGTCTGCTACTGATGGGCATTTAGGTTGATTCTATACCTTTGCTATTGTGAATGGTGCTGCAGTGAACATACACACACATTTGTTTTTATGATAGAACGATTTATATTCCTTTGGGTATATATCCAGAAATGGGATTGCTGGATCAAATGGTAGTTCTATTTTTAGCTCTTTGAGGGATTGCCACACTGCTTTCCACAATGTTTGAACTAATTTAGACTCCTGCCAGCAGTGTATGAAAGCGTTCCCTTTTCTCTGCAACCTCACAGGCGTCTGTTATTTTTTGACTTTTTGATAATAGCCATTCTAACTGGTGTAAGATGGTACTCTTGTGATTTTAATTTGCATTTCTCTGATGATTAGTTGTGTTGAGCATTTTTTTCATATGTCTGTTGGCTGCTTATATATCTTCTTTTGAAAAATGTATTGAGAGCACCAGTGGGGTCAGCAGTTTGTGCATGTTTGACTGAGAATTTTATGTTATCAGAAGTGTACAGGAAGTCAGAGTCCAGAGGGTGAAGGCCAAAGCACATCATCACAAATGGGGCCAAAACACATCATCCCAACCCTGGGAATCCAAGCAAAGGCCAGAAATAAGCTTACTAATTGAAGAGGTGGGTGAGAATCTGAAATCAAGGACATCAAGACAGTAAACCATGCCCATGCTTCAAAATGTAAAACTGAAGAGAAATTTGTTTGATTTATATTCACAATAGATCTACTTCTGTTCCAACTGAGGGGAGGGCAGAGAGCTGGGACTGCAGGCAGGTTCTCACTCAGGGACGTCAACTGCCTGCAAGCTCATGAGCAACTCATCTGCTAAACCACTGCCTGGTCACTAAGATCAGTTGCTGAGAATAAAATGACTGAAATAAGCAACCAGTGTTAGCCCCTTTATTCATGGACTCCACAAACATCTGCTTAGGGTCATAGTAAGGAAAATGCATTAAAATAATATGTTTTCAAAAAGTCTACTCACTAGGAAAGCAGCCTAGTCATGGGCATCCCCCCTAAATCTCTTTGTGATGATGCGCCAAGGACAGAGCTGTGGGCTTGTTACTGAAGGTGGAATCTGCAAACCCAAACTGTCAGCATCTCTTGGAAGCTTCTCAGACGTGCAGAATCTCAGGCCCACCCTAGCCCTGCCAAATTGCCACCAGCATTGTAGCAAGATGCCCAGGTGATTAGTATGCACATTAGAGTTTGAAAAGCATGGAGCAACTACTGCTGCTACAGAGGAGGGAAATTTCAGCTCAAATGGTCAGAAAGGCTAATGTGAGCTGGACATTTATGGGAAATATGGTTGCTCCAGATATTTGTAACTGGCTTTCTCACCAAACACCTAGTATGAGCTAGGTTATATAGCAAGTGTAGTATAGCAAGGGTTGTTGCTTGGAAACTTAACAGTGATAGGTGCATACACACACACACACACACACACAAATGAATCTCCTTATAGACAATGCTTTAAGCAAAATGTGAAATGTTTTGAATGGCAAAAGAAGTGAAAGATTGAAGTCTTTATTGAAAGTCCATTATTTGCTGGGTGTGGTGGCTCACACCTGTAATCCCAGCACTTTGGGAGGACACGCTGGGCGGATCATGAGGTCAAGAGATCGAGACCATCCTGGCCAACATGGTGAAACCTCATCTCTACTCAAAATACAAGAATTAGCTGGGCATGGTGGTACGCACCTGTAGTCCCAGCTACTCTGGAGGCTAAGGCAAGAGAATTGCTTGAACCTGAAGGTGGAGGTTGCAGTGAGCCGAGATCATGCCACTGTACTCCAGCCTGGTGACAGAGCTTCATCTCACACACACACACAAAAAGTCCATTATTTTATGGTTTTATGTTGCAGAACCAATCTCTAAGAAGATAATTAAGCACATTGACTGCCTACCTCTCACAGTTTTATGCAGTACTCAGACCTTATGTCATTTGGGCTTTAGGACTGGAGTCATCAAAGTGGACAGGAGGTGGTGAGAGAGGGACCAGGCCTTCACAACAGTGGTGGATGCTGAGGGAACCATTGGCTTCAGAGTAACCAGACACCAAGAATAGAGAGTGAAGAGCTCTGACCAAGACATGATAGTGGTTGTCTTTGCTCAGAGAAGTGGAGTGGGCTGGTTCTGGGCTTATTTTTATATTTTTCTGAAAAAGAAGTAGTGAGGGTGGACAAAGTTTGTGTATGCTGGCTGGATGGAAGGGATAGTGGAGAGCGAGGCTGGGTTTCTGAACATTCCTCTGCCTTAGCTTTTAATCTCCTAGACTGAAGAGCCTCTGTATCTACACGGAGAAAGAACTGAGATAGGAACTGAGGAAAATTGAACTGGGACTCCAGGTGTGAAGGACTAATCCCCAGCCAGGAGTTAGCTGCATATTTAAATAAAACAATACAGAAAGAGTTCTGGTGAACAACCTGCTCCCTGCACTTCCCCTCCTCACAGTGACCCCTGAGGCCCACAAGGCACAGGTTTACTGTAAGGAGAAATAGGATGGCTCAGTTTGATGGCATGCTTCACCATTTGTCTTCCTACGTGAGAAATGTAACGTTCAACAATATGACAAGACATGTCAGTGTCTATAGTTTAGAATAAAGGGATAATGAGAATGATGCCTTATAAAATGCATATTTGTGTAGACATGTTATTGATTTCCTTATTTCACATTAAACAAGATAGAAATGGATGACCTTCCCAGAAATGCCTCTTTTCAAAGTAATAGTTTTCTGATTTCCCTTTCATGTAAGAGCTGGTGTTGCTATGCTGTCACTTTTCTTGCTAGGGTTCCCTCCCCCATCTATGTGCTGGGAGGTGATTTTTTGGTTCAGTGTTCTTAAATGTTTCCATGGAGAGTTACTAAGGTAATTTTTTTAAGTCTCCTCTTTCAGTAGGTGTGGTCACCCCACATGGCTTTCCATATGCTTGCTACTACCCACCTGTGTCCGCTGAGCACTTGAAATGGGCTGGTCCCTATTGAGATGTGTTCTAAGTGTCAAATACCCAAGGGATCTTAAAAGACTTGATGTGAAGAAAAAAGATAATATCTATCGTATTATTTTTATTCTGATTTCACGTTGAACCAATAATGTTTTGGATATACCAGGTTAAATAAAAAATATATGATAAAAGTTAATTTTACTGGTTGTTTTTTACTTTATAAATATGGCTACCAGAAAATTAGAATTGTGTATGTGGCTTGCATTATTCTATTCTATTGGACATTGCTGAGCTAGATGATGTCAGATCTTTTTGAGGAGTGAGAAGAGGGAAATCCAAAGTGAAATATTTCAAAATACTAGATAAGAATTTACTAGAAGTTACCAGGGAAAGGGCAGTGAGTTATTTTGCTGCTGAGGCAGGTTTACTTAATGGATTTTGCAAATAAGATTAGCTGCTGGTAAAAATGGACTCTTTAGGAGACAAAATCCCTAATATGAGTAAAGCTCATTGCCTTCCCTGCTTCCTGCCTTGCTTAAGGCCGAGCAACATGCTGTGCTTATTTGGTGGATTAATAAATAGTACTTGATGATGATGATAAGGAGTAAATCTTTGTAAGTGCCATTGTAGCTTGCCATGCACATTCATTCTGTTAAACCATCCGATCTTCTCATCAGGCTCCCAGGGTAGGTATTATTGCTATTCTCATCTGAGGATGAACCAGCTGAGGTTCAGAGAGGGCAAGAGACTTGCTCAAGTGCACACAGCTACCAAGTAGCAAGTACCTGGGCTCACTTTCATGACTTTTGTTTCCGAATCTCATGCTTTTCCCACTATATCTTACTATTCCAAGGTTAATCCAAGACTCACCTGGAGAAGCATTTCTTGACCTTTCAGACTGTGCTAAAAATGGTAATGAGTTCAATGTTACCATAATATCAATGAGAACTAATTAAGACCAATTATGGGATTTTCTGCTGACCACCAGGGTGACCACCAGCTGTTGGACTCAAATTTGAGTCTTCACTTAGTGCTGTTAAATTCTCAGCTATAAAATGTTGGGTGGGAGTGAAATCAGATCATTTCCGGATCTTTTCTAGTTCTGCAGTTCTATGAAAACTGGCACCTAAACCGAGAATATCAATTCTTTTTATATACCTTATTGAATATCTGCGTGTGGACTGATATTCACATTTTATTGACCTGGGCTAGATTTCTGATAAACTATTCCTGGGATTGATGTGTCACACAGATTTCAAACACGGAGACTATAGGTCAGTTTTATCTAAAATGTGTCAAATTCATTTGATACCTACTGGTAAAATACATATTATTTCCATTGGGAAATGCGTAGTACTAAAGAATGCTAAGTATATTCCATTCCCATGTGAATAGTACATCATTAGCTTGTATTTATATCCTCATTTTGTATGTAGTCATGCTTTGCATATACTAGCAGCATTCTACCCCACATATGTTCATGAATTATGAATTCTACTACAAGCATTCAAGGCAAAGCTCCTCTGTCAGTCACATCTCTCTCTCTCTGAGGCCACTAGGATTTATATCTATGTGACATACTTCAAACTGACCTCCTAAGACCTATCTCAGAGGACCAACTCTAACAGTCCAGCATAGGCAAGTGCTAGAAGATTCATCACTCTCAAATGCATGCAATTCAAAATTTTCAGTATCAGATACAGCTAGTCTTTGTATAAACAATGCCAAACGTTCATTTCTAAAAATCAAAAGAATTCCCTTGTTCCCGTTCAAAAGATGCTTCTCAAAAGTGAATATGACTTGCGTTGAAAGGGCTCACCAACTTTATTCTGGTCCTTATTTTAATTTCTTTGTAGCATTCCATGAATAATTGTGCAGTATCATTTTTCTTTTAGTTAAATGATTTTATTGCAAAGTATGTTTTTTTTTGGAGAGACTAGGTGATTTCTAAATATGTTTTTCGAAGTTCATGGCACAAAAATTTGTTCTAATTTACTTAGATTTTTGATACTAATATGCTGTAAGAAACATGAAAATCTATAGCACTTTTTTTTCATGATTTTCTTCCATATATACATGTGATCATGTAGTTATATAGGTTAGGATGTGTGGGTAAAAGCAGACATGATTTAATTAAACTCAGATACTGTGGAGTGAAAATGCCTTCACTCATTCATTTAATAAATATTTACCAAGCATTCACTCTAAGCAGGCTCTGAGCACGCACACGTTATTAAAATGTGCTCTCTGACTTCAAGGAATTCACTGTCCTGCAAGAGTCTGCCATTTATAACTGTTTATATCCCAAAGGTGCCCTGCATTATCAGCAAGGGCAGAGAGAATGTAGTCTGGGAAGGGACTCCCATACTGGGAAGTCCCTCCCAGAAGAGACTCTCAGACTGGGAAGTCCCTCCCAGAAGAGACTCTTAGACTGGGAAGTCCCTCCCAGAAGGGACTCCTGCTGGGAAGGTTTCACAGAGGTAGGAGCTTTTAAGTGGGACTTAAGAGAATGTTAAGCAGAAAAAAAAAGGAATGGGCAAAGATATCTTCTGCTGTGTTGTGTAGAGGGCTGAAATGGAAGGGGAGAGGGAGAGAAGGACAGCAGATGAGAAGGGGGTTTGGGGCCAAACTAACCAGCAACTTGGGCGCTCTCTTAAGGAATCCGAAGTTGACTGTGTTGGGGAATGCGCAGCAATGAGTGTCAGGGGAGGCTCACAGGCCACACTCAGACATGTATTTTCAAACAGTTTCCTTTTCAAAGTGGGAAAGAATCAATTGCAGTTTGAAAGTACTGGAGAAAGAAGTTTCCTGTACTCTTCAGAGGTGGGGAAAAGGAAGTGTGAGTGAGGGGTGGACTTGAAAAATCTTCTGAGCTTTAAAAGGCTCCATAATGAGTGGAGTGAAAGCATTTAAGTGGGCTTGGCTGAGTTCTTACTAAAGATTCTGGTAGTGCTGGTTAAGAACTCTACTTAATGAATTATTGGAAAAGGCATAAACATAAACAGAGTTGGGAGCATGTTAAATAAAGATGCTCTGTAAATGCAGGCTGGGCAATTAAAAAAGATTTACCAGAGTAAAGCTTAATACAGTATAGTGGATAATTAATGAGCCTGTGACAACTCAGTAATAACTACCCTGAACTTTTACAATGGTGCATGAACATGTGTGCAAGTCAGAAGGAGGGTTTGTTTTCACAGTCAGCTCCAGTTAGCTAGGAAATTTCTCGACAGAAGTTAATTAGGGATTCCTGGTAATGGAGCCTGCTGCTTAACCAACCTCCTGTGCCAAAGGTAACTGACTTTGCCATTCATTCATGGGTTTCTTGTTGAGCCTAAAGGGAGTTTGGTTGTAAATTTGATTCTCCCTTTTCTCAGTTCCCTAAGCTCTCACTGTAGCACATGTTTTGAGTTTAAGTAGGGCTTACCTTTCTTACTTTAAGAAATGAACTTCTGTTTGTTTTATAGGCGGGTGAACTCCACCCTGGAAAGACCTCTGTTGGTGAGCTATAGGTGCCTGACTGGTCCAGGAAATTCAAATTATTAGGATGTGGTGAATTCTCTGTCTTTGATACTTTGGGAACATGGGTTAGAAACTGCTCAGTAAATATTCTTAAGAAAATGGTACTTTTGAGACCCCTGTCACCTTTTATTTCAGTATATCTTCATTTGGGAAGTTTTCGGTTTACAGAAGAATTGAATGGAAAGTACCGAAAGTTCCCATATGCCCTCTTCCCCTTCTCCCACCCACCATTTCCAGTTTCCCCTATTATTAACATCTTGCATTAGTATGGTACGTTTGTTACAACTGATGGAAAATATTGATATATTATCATGAACTAAAGTCTATAGTTTACATTAGGGTTCATTTGTTGTGTTTTAAATACTTGTATGATGACATGTATTTATCATGACGTATCATACAGAATAGTTTCATTGTCCGAAACCTTCCTTGTGCTCTGCCTAATTCACCTTCCCTCCATCCCCACAAACTCCTGGCAATGACTGGTGTTTTTACTGTCTGAAGTTGTGCCTTTTCTAAAATGTCGTGTAGTTGGAATCATATAGTATGTAGCCTTTGCAGATTGTCTTCTTTCACTTAGCAGTATGCATTTAGGATTCCTCCATATCTTTTATGGCTTGATAGCTCATTTGTTTTTAATGCTGAATAATATTCTGTTGTCTGGATGTACTACAGTTTATTTATCACTTCACCTATTGAAGGACATCTTGGTTGCTTCCAAATTGTGGCAATTATGAGCAAGGCTGCTATAAACATCTGTATGCAGGGTTTTGTGTGGACATAAGTTTTCAATTTATTTGGGTAGATACCAAGTAGCATGATTGCTGGATTATATGGGAAGAGTGCATTTAGTTTTGTAAGCAACTACCAAACTGTCTTCCAGAGTGGCTGTACCGTTTCACATTCCCACACTTACCAATTTCTGAGCACCTACCCTGTGCCAAATGACCCTATGTTGGGCAACAGAGTAGTGAACCAGGGCACACGATGTTATTCTAGAAAGAGTTAAGATACCGTGAACTTGTCCAAGTTACAGACACACTAAAATTAGGGAGTAGTTTGCTGTTTAGAATTTATGCTTTATAGTACAGATCACATAATTATGCTTGATGAGAAATGGATAAAATAATAAAAATTTAAATTACTGTAAAAGATTGTATTTATTCTAGTGATTAGGTAGTTCTGTGGAATTATTCTGCTGGACATGTAGACATTGAGTTCTGGTACCAACTCTCTAGATTCACATGGGGGAAATAAAAAACTATTGGAACAAAACTTGTCTTTGTACCTTGGGAATTAGTGATTTTTGTGGGTTTTTAAACTTGCTCAGTATAATTATTACTTTACAAATGTAATTATGAGGTAAATAATTTTTATGTTACAGAAAAAAGGCACGGCACAAATACAACATTACACACACACACACACACACACACACACACCCCTTTGACATACTTTGGAGCTCTGCCTGAGAGTTGGACAGTTGCCCTGGGGTGGCAGCCTGATTCACTCACCTCTGCTCCGCTTGGGCTCTGCCTCTAATGGACCTGAATGGAGAATGTATGTATAAATGGCAGAAAATCTTCTTTTTAAAAAATATTTTAAAAGGCCTTGCCAGAATCTATAAATTGTTATAGTATTAGCTAGGATTGAGCTGAATTATTTTTATAATTTTTAAAAGCAGATAATGAATTAAAAATTTCATCCTCATTTGTTTGACTAAAGCCAACAAATAAGATGGCCATGTTAATAATTTTTGGCCTAAATTATATAGTCAGATAATTTTCTTGTTTACTTTGTACTGTATAGAAACAACTTTGGTGTCAAATGTCAGTGTCACATGTCAAAGTAGTAGAAATGTCTTTTCATTTTGCATAAAAATTTGTTTCATCTGTGTTCCCAAATTTGTTAATATATCTTAAACCTTTTTGGTTTTAAAATTTTATACAAATATCTGTGAAACTGAAAATTTTACATGATGCATTATGACTATTTTAATAAGGCTGAGAATGACACTAAAACCTTATTAAATTAATTAAACATAATCAGTATTCTATCTGGTTGACGCCTCTTAGCTTTGAAAGGGATTGAGACTTTTACCTCTCAGGAGTGAAAATAATTTGTAAGTCTGTTGATTAGAATGGAATGACTTGTGAATAGTCAGTATGTGAGCATGTCTTTCTGTTTTTGGAATTAGCACGTGTTAAAGAATCACGTTTTCGTGTGCTTCAAAGGAAAAACAAAGTTCTACCTGATTTAGAGATGAATGCTCTGAAATTCCACTGGACAAACGTGAGATGCAATAACAATTGAATGAAATATTGTTCAAATGAACTCTATTCTAAATGCTGTGACTTGCAGCAAAGTGCCTGCCCTTTTTTTTTTCCTTCTGTTTAAGAAATGATTAATTAAACCTGTAGTCACCTGAGGAGTTTACTGTGGTCACATGGAGGGGGTCTTCCAGCGAATGAGAGGAAAGTGAACTGGAAGGATGGGTGAAGACGGAATGGCAGGGTGTGGATTGAGCTTCATGGGGTGTGTGTACAAGCTCCTCTCTGAACCCACTTGTACCTGACATTTATCTGTTGGCTTGCACTTCTTTCCTAATACCTTCCACTTACTGTGGAACAGGGTTATTGATTCAGATTGACTCTTGGTTTTATTAGCCTCACACTGGTTAGTTTCTTTTCTAAATTCTGCCACTTTCTGAAATGTGCTCCTCATGGAAAGAGAAACACTTTAATTTGCTCACAGTAGTATCCCCAGCATGTGGTATGGTATATGGTCCATGTCATTTAATACATATTTATTGATTGAATGAATGAAATGGAAATCAGCAAATTATTAGAGGACTTTATATTCATTCCCATGAAAACTGAGTAAATTCCTCATTTCTAGATACTCTGTTTTACTTGTGAACCTCATCCACAGAAATGAAAAGGCATATGATGCCCAGGACGTTCCCATGAAGCATGCCCCTGGCCTCCTTGTTGAGTTTAGCAGCTGGCATCAGGCCAGTGGGTGGAAGGAGTGGATTTCTGCAGTCAGCACTCCCTTTGAGCCCAGAGCATAGGCTCAGGAATCTCAGAACCCTTCAGTCCATGATGACACTGCATTGTCTAAGTCTGCCTGTTGGTTCCCTTCGAGAACATCTCAGGAGCAGCTATCCACTGAGAAAATGGGAGTACCTTCCATCCCAGACTCAGGACAGGCCTGGCCCTTAACAAGTAGCTTTGGTCCTGCTGGTTTCACTGCTCCTTCTCAGAAGCAGCCTCGGACACGTGCCTCTATGTAATATCCTCCTGCTGTGTGTGTGTCCCACAGGGGACACCCCCGCACCTCCAAGTGACAGCCATGATTTATTGATTTATCAGTGTGCTGATCCCATTCTTGTTTTCTCTTAAGGACTGAGAGCAAACAAGTGATGAAATTTGCACCATTTTTTTAGACTCTGAAACTACAATTTACAGTTAACAATTCTCATTGGACAAAAATCAATGGCAAGAGTAATCCTAGCATCCCCCTAATCTTGACCTGCCTGCATGTCACCATAAACTGTTTTTAGGTATAGCAATCCCATGAGATCTACTTTTTTGTTTTGCCACTATCTTTAAAACAAGGTGAGTTTTCTTGTCTTAAATGTGGCCCATACCCTCTCTCTGCCCTCCTCAAAGCTGTCATCTTAACACCATGCAGATTTACAAATGCCTCCCCTAACTTCCCCTGATTTCTCCTGCCTGACTTGGAATGCTGGCTCAGACTTTCCCAAGCTGGCGACGCTGCTCACTCTCCATGTGGTTCCTTCTGCTGTGCTCCTTGGCCATTCATCTACTTGCTTGCTCCTATCACCACAGCCTCTTCTCAGCTCTTTGTGGAACCTTCTTTAGTAGAGCAAAACTACATTCCTTCTCCCCAGCCTCTGGTTCATACAGAGTAAACAGCATTGTTCCCTGAAGGCGGGACAAAAGGAGCTGTGGTGGTTTCCCTTTTCAAGGTTCCTTTTAGTTTGTTTCTGAGCAGCAGCGCTGCTGTAAGATTTAAAGCTCATGATTGTTTATTATTATTACTGTAATATGGTATCTCCTCGCATTCAGTTGGTGTCATTTTTAATCTTTTCCATTAACTTTTAAAGCTACATTTTTAAAATCACAATTCCTTCTGTAACATCAGAGTAAGCGTTGAGCTTCAGAGGAGCTTTCAGCATCTCAATAATTTAGTGACATTTGGCCATGGTTTTTGCTGTTTTCTCAGACATACATGCCATCCAAACCATTTTCAATATCCTTTTATTTTATTTTTTATTCTTTTTAGATACAGCATTTTGCTCTGTCACCCAGGCTGTAGAGCAGTGGCATAATCATAGCTCACTGCAACCTTGAATTCCTGGCCTCAAGCAATCCTCCCACCTTAGCCTCCCAAAGTCAATATCCTCATTTTTACTTGGAAAGCTAGATGGAGATTTCTAAGTGCAATATAAGATAACCATCATTTTATTCAAAGGTGATTAGTCTATCCATGCTTGAAATATTACATTTGATAATTCATCAGAGTATTTAATAAAGTTCTATCAAGTGCTAGGCAGCCAATTGTGGCAACATCTAGCCTCTGCTAATTCTATGAAGGTATTTTAAACTCATAAGTTTTAACATGAAGCTGTTTTCCTACAAAATGCTGTTGATGGTAGAAGTAAGTATAACAGATCTTACCTATTTTTAAAAAATCCATTTTAGCAAGTGCTTCTCATAGGGTTATAGATCGTAAGAAGTTCTATTTGCAGTTATTATTATTAACTTGCTGGTTTTTCTTTTCTTTTTTCTTTTTTTCTTGAGATGGAGTTTCGCCCTTGTCACCCAGGCTGGAGTGTAGTGACACGATCTCAGCTCACCGCAAACTCCGCCTCCTGGGTTCAAGCGATTGATTCTCCTGCCTCGGCCTCCCGAGTAGCTGGGATTACAGGCATGCGTCACCACACCCGGCTAATTTTGTATTTTTAGTAGAGATGGGGTTTCTCCATGTTGGTCAGGCTGGTCTCAAACTCCCGACCTCAGGTGATCCGCCCGCCTTGGTCTCCCAAAGTCCTGGGATTACAGGCATGAGCCACCATGCCCAGCCTTGGTTTTTTATTTCTTCACAAACATTGCCCATTAATATGGTAAAATCCTTTTACAAAATAAGTAAAGGAAAAGCCATAAACAGTCCAAAGACATCGCAAACTGGAAAAATTTATTTGCAATATATTAAACACAAAAGCCTATTTTCCCTAGCATCAAATTTCTTACCAATTAATAAGAAAAAATGGCCAACAACTCGTTTTAAAAAATGAGCAAAGAATATGCAAAGACAATTCCCAGAAAAAAAAAATCAACATACAAAAAGATGAACAAGTTCATTTATGAGTAAATAAATCTGTCCTTGTTTTAAAATTCTGTTTGTATCTGCTCAATATCTAAAATCTGCCTCTCTTGAAACCAAATACAAGGCCCTTCTAAGTGTGAGCCCTGTGTTACTACACAGGTTGTATGTCCTTGAATTGGGCCCTGTTTGTAGTCCTCACCTGGAGAGGTGGAGAATTTTGTATTCCTTTTTTTTATGAGCAGTTATTATAGATTGGCTCACTGGACACCCACACCAACTCACTTCTGGTGCATCTTATGTGATAGAAACTGAAAGCTACAGAAATAAATTAATTAATAAAAGAAAGAAGGAAGGAAGAGAGTGAGGGAGGAGGAAAGAAAAAAAAGTTTCAGCCCTTTCATGCAGCTAGAGAACCCATTTCTACCAAAAACTTGTATTGGTGGTAACTTGGAATGATGAAGTGAGCAAGTTAAGGTAATGGCTGTGTGCTGGGAAATGTTTTGTTCTTCTGGGGAAACAGTGACGGAGATTCTAATGTCTTGTCCCTGTTGTCCTCCTTTGAGCAGCAGGTCATAGCTCCAGTAGAGCTGCTGGAAGTAAAGTCTCCATTGTTGTTCATCATTGTCCAGCTGCATTGCTCCTGGCCATGGGGCATCGAGGCTTGGTTCTGCAATCCCTCCAGAAATTCTTTAAGTCATATAATATCTTGTAATAAATCTTTCTCTACTTAAACCAGCTGGAGTGGATGCAAAAAATACAATTTAGAAGGCAAAATTGTGCTTTGGCAGTCATAGGGTAGAGGTGGAATATGATGGGGAGAACAGAGGTACATAAAGAAATAAGCCCATCACAACCCAGAGAAGTTCCATAAAAAGTTCCCATCAGACTTTCAGTTCTAGCTACTTCACTGCTGAAAAATACAGTTTGTCAATTACAGCTAAATTTGCTTTGGGGTCTCCCTACTGGAATCCCATAAAATGCTATTTTTAGGCATTCACTCATTCATTTAGTCAAATAGCATGTATCAATCAAGTGCTTCACCAGGTTAACCACGATTAGAGAATTCAAGTGACTTTGATTTATGCAATGTCTTTTCCTTAAAATGTACAAAAGCCCAAGTAATAACTTGCTATTTTCAAAAAATCTTAAACAGGAATCCTTTTTATAAAACAAAGAGAGTTCACAGGTAAACAGGATGTGGTTTCTGACCTTCAGGGAAATTTCATCCAGTTGGATAAACAGATCAGAAAACTAATCATACATAGCAAGTGATGAGTCCTGTGCTAGTGGGTTGCATGGAGTACTGTGGGAAGACAGTGGCATGCAAGAAACTGGTTAACAAACTCAAGATTTCTCCACTTTTCACCTATTCTCGTATGAGCCAGCTAAAATGCCCCCCAAAAGAAGTGTTAAAACCTACTGAAGGCTATCATTTGCTATCATTTAAGTTTAGGTGCCTAACTCTTTTTTTTTTTTTTCATTTTTTTTAATTTTGAGACAGAGTCTCACTCTGTCGGCCAGACTGGAGTGCAGTGGCATGATCTCGGCTCACTGCAACCTCCGCCTCCTGGGCTTAAGCAATTCTCCTGCCTCAGCCTCCAGAGTAGCTGAGATTACAGGCATGCACCACCATGCCCGGCTAATATTTGTATTTTTAGTAGAGATGGGGTTTCACCATGTTGGCCAGGCTGGTCTCAAACTCCTGAACTCAGGTAATCTGCCCTCCTTGGCCTCCCAAAGTGCTGGGATTACAGGCGTGAGCCACCATGCCCAGCCTGGTGCCTAACTCTTTTTTTTTTTTAATTTTATTTTATTATTATTATACTTTAAGTTTTAGGGTACATGTGCACAACGTGCAGGTTTGTTACATATGTAAACATGTGCCATGTTGGTGTGCTGCACCCATGAACTCGTCATTTAGCTTAGGTATATCTCCTAATGCTATCCCTCCCCCCTCCCCCACCCCACAACAGTCCCCAGTGTGTGATGTTCCCCTTCCTGTGTCCATGTGTTCTCATTGTTCAGTTCCCACCTATGAGTGAGAACATGTGGTGTTTGGTTTTCTGTCCTTGCGATAGTTTGCTGAGAATGATGGTTTCCAGTTACAACCATGTTCCTACAAAGGACATGAACTCATCATTTTTTATGGCTGCATAGTATTCCATGGTGTATATGTGCCACATTTTCTTAATCCAGTCTATTATTGTTGGACATTTGGGTTGGTTCCAAGTCTTTGCTATTGTGAATAGTCTCGCAATACACATACGTGTGCATGTGTCTTTATAGCAGCATGATTTATAATCCCTTGGGTATATACCCAGTAATGGGATGGCTGGGTCAAATGGTATTTCTAGTTCTAGATCCCTGAGGAATCGCCACACTGACTTCCACAATGGTTGAACTAGTTTACAGTCCCACCAACAGTGTAAAAGTGTTCCTATTTCTTGACATCCTCTCCAGGATGTCAAGAACAGGAAACCTGTTGTTTCCTGACTTTTTAATGATCGCCATTCTAACTGGTGTGAGATGATATCTCATTGTAGTGCCTAACTCTTAAGCAGGGCCAGTGCTCTACTAGAACTTCTGTAGTCTCAGCTCTCATGCACATAGAAGTGCAAGCATCCCACTGAGAGGTAACTGAAGACACTCACAGGCTGCTGAGCTGGCCTTGACTTGGCTTCAGCCAAGAATGGTCATTCATGTGTCTCTGGATGAAGACACAGGGATGCAGAGTGACTTAGTCAAGTCTGACTTTGAGGCAAGCCTTCAAAGTCAGTATTCAGTTACTTCATCTTGTAAAAGCACCACACTTCATGTGACAAAGTAAGTGAAAAAGTAGCTGAGTCTGTCTTGGATGACTGTTTAAACTCATTTAAACATGTCGGAAAAAAACACAAAAACCAGCAAACCAAACGTACCATGATTGCTGACATTTCAGCTCTTTATGTTTGACCTGTGCAACAAACAGACAGATTCTTGTTTTCTCATTCTGGAGAAAGCTTATGGGAGGTTTCTCTCCAAGACAATGAATGACACAGGTAATCAAAGTGCAAATGGCACCTGCTGTCATCCATGCAGCAGTACTGTTATTCAGGATGTTGAAATGCAGATGCTTAGTCAGGAGGTGGATTGAGGATTGGAATTTGGGAGAGATGGATACCAACATTTTGTTTATAGGATCGTCTAACCAACAATGGTGATAGGCTCTCAATCTTCATCAGCACAACCACAGGAGACCTGGAAGCTTCTACAAATATTCTCACATGCCAGCTGAATTTAGAAGACTTTTGACTCAGAATAAGGTAATATTAAACTTACAGTGAGAACAATATTTTTCATAAAGTTTTTGAGACAGCACGAACATCTGTTGAGTTTTGAAAATGGAGAGAGAACCCAAAGATTTCAGGTTAGAGGAAAATATAGTTTTTTCTTTCTGGTTACAAGGCTGGTTACCCATACGATATTCTGAGTCAAGAAAAGAATTTTCTAAGACAAAGAAATAATGCCCTCAAAGGACTTCTTTCCTGTAGGCAAATTCCAATGAAAAAAATTCTCCTATCCGTTCTCACTCCTGCAGGTCGGGTGCCGGGAGGTAAAACTGCCTTGCACTCTGAGCTGAACCTCCTGATGAGGAGAGGTGGGGTTACAGTTACATTTCAGTTTTACAAACCATTCTCTTTACTAACCTGCAATAGTTTGACCTCATTTGTGTAGATCTTAACTCCTTGACTGTGGCTTGTTTAATGGATTTAGTAACATGGAAACCCAAGTAAGAGCCATTTTGCTGAAGTGTGGTGGCAGAGGCCAGATTTTTGAGAGTGGTGGACAGACTCGGGGTGAGAAAGTTGACCCTGAGGACCAGAAGAGGGGATGGAGAGGAATATAGGTCCAGGAAGGTAGGAGTCTTCAGTTTACTTTTTCTTTAGGGCCTTATTGTTATATTTTACATGAGAGAGTCTGGAACATGTTTGAATATAGTTGAAAAGGGTGAGGGAGGTGGTGGGAGAGGGAGAGGAAGATTAAAATTGACATGGATGATACTGGAGACTGAGTTTTATTCTACCTGTAGGGTTTCTGAGACACAGAGAGGAGCGGTGTTAAGAGCACGTGTGGAAGAAATGGTCTGTGTTGGGTGGAGAAAGGAGGAGACAGGTGCAGATTCAGGGATTGCTGTCCATCTGGTCACTTCCATTATCTTTGAATTAGGAGGCAAGGCTATCCGCGGAGGTGTGGGGTGTGGGTAGAGCAGGATTACAAGTTTGAAGGAATGATGGTTGAAATCATCACTTAAGAGAATGGAATAATAAGCTGACTAGAGAAACTTTTCAGCTCCAATCAGCTGTTTTGATATATCAGGTACTATTATTGGCATCAAAGATATAGCAACTTACATTCCAGAGAGGAAATACAGATATACTCAAAAAAGCTAATAAATAGGTAATATGTCAGGTGTTATCTGCTACAAAAAAAGTAATAAAGCAGAAGGAAAAGAGAACAGGGAGAAGGGTTCCATTTTATACAGAGTGTTCTGCTAAGGTGACATTTGAGCAGAAAGCTGAAGCAAGTGAGGAAGTCAGCTATGCAGAAACCTGAGACAGGAGCATTCCAGGTAGCAGTAACACACCTGGTACAGTGACAAAAGCAAAGGGGCTGTGTGCCTGGAGCACAGGGAGCAAGTGGCATCAGAGGAGGAAGGAGGGACAAGCAGGGAGCCATGCCCTGGAAGTCTTGTCAGCCAAGGTGAGGACTTCGGATTTTAATTTGGGCAATTGGGAAACTCAGATTTACTCTATCTGCCTCATACCAGCCCCTTTGGACAGAGCCTCAGTTTGCAATGTCTGTGCACCTGGTTCCTGGCTTTGCCTTCACAGTGTTCCTAGATGCCAATCTGTTAGGTCAGGTTGACCAGATGACTAGGCCCCCATTATCTATGAGGGGGTTCATGTAAGTTGTAGTGTATATGTGCACGTGTGTGTGTGTGTGGACATGACACAAGTTTCTTTGGTAAAGGAAGTAAAAGCCCTGACAATCTGAACATAATCTATTGACCTTTCACGGCCTTGCTACTCCAAGTTTGACCTCACCTTCTTGTTAGAAATGCAGACTCTTGCGGTGGCTCACGTCTGTAATCCCAGCACTTTGGGAGGCCAAGGTGGGCGGATCACCTGAGGTCGGGAGTTTGAGACCAGCTTGACCGACGTGGAGAAACCCCATCTCTACTAAAAACACAAAATTAGCCAGGCATGATGGTGCACGCCGGTAATCCCAGCTACTCAGGAGGCTGAGGCAGGAGAATCACTTGAACCCGGGAGGCGGAGGTTGAGGTGAGCTGAGATCACACCATTGCACTCCAGCCTGGGCAACAAGAGCGAAATGGCTGTCTCAAAAACAACAACAACAACAACAACAAATGCAGACTCTTGAGCCACGCCTCAAATCCATTACATCACAATCAGATTTTGCATTTTAATGTGTTCCTCAGGTGATTCATATGCACTTTAAACTTGAGAAGCCTGACTTTAGAGATCCTCAAAGAAAACAGGAAGGTTTTCCTCCTGCATTTAAGTTCATTTTTCAGGGATCCTTCTCATTCTAAACACATTCTAACAGGCCTTCTCTACTTTCTCTGAATGAAGTGGAAACATTTCTATGATTACTTTGTTACACAGTGGAGCATACATCTAATTATTTGTGTAGTGGGAAATCATTCCTTTCTCTCTTGCCTATTCTCAAGATCCAGATCCTTTTGTCTTTCTAGATAAGAGTCCTCTCGCCTTGCAGTTTGAATCTCTTCAGCACATTAGATGCCTCGCATTAGCATCCCCTGAACTGAGTGGAGTTAAATAACTCAGTGCGCGATTGACATGCTCATCACAAGGCCTTTGTAAAAGATATCCCAGCATCTTCTTGATATTGAGTTCAGTAAAGGAAGTAAAAGCCCTGACAATCTGAACATAACTTTTTTCTGTTTCTTTTCTTTTTTTTTTGAGATAGAGTATTGCTCTACCGTCCAGGCTGGAGTGCAGTGGTATGATCACAGCTCACTGCAGCCAAAGCTGCATAGCCAGGACTGCAGGCATTGGGCCACCATGCCCAGCCTCCCTAATATTTGTTACAGTGAGCATGCTGTTTACACATGGCCTGTGCACAGTCTTAATGAGAGCCATTCTGGGGATAAAATGATCAGATGTCTGCCCTAGAGGAGCAGTTTCATATGGCAGGTGTAGCGCAGAGCCCGAAGGGTGTGGCACTACCAGATCATTGGTCAGGCCATGGGAATGTCCAGGTAACCAGCAGTCAGCAGTCATTATAGATGGGCAGAGTTTGGGAACATGGCCTGACAACAATGGGTTCAATTTATTGAGCTTGTATCATGCACCAGGCAGTGTGCTTCACATTAACGATCTCCTTTAATTCTCACAGTCACTACAGAATATGCACTGTTGTTCCATTTTACTAAGAGGTTGAAAGAGAAGTTAAGGGGCCTGCCCACTATCATATAATTAACAGGGAATGCTAATTTTCCAATCCATGTGTATAGTTGTCCCCCCTTATCCACAAGGAATACACTTGAAGACCCCTTGAAAGTGTGGATAGTACCAAACCGTATATATACTGTTTTTCCCTATATGTACATACCTATGATAAAGTTTAAATTAGCCACTGTAAGAGATTAACAATAATAACTAAAAATTAAATAAAACATTTATAACAATATACTGTAATAAAAGTTGTGAATGTGATCTCTCTCTGTGGCTCTCAAAATATCTTACTGTACTGTACCACAGGTAAGTGAAACCATGTACAGTGAAACCGAAGATATGGAGAGACTACTGTGCCTGACTCCAGGGCCATATTATTAACCTCTGCACTAGAATCCCGTGTCAGAAATTGAGCTCGTCAGACCATTAACTTCAAGGTGGTGTGGCTGCTGGGTCCTAACGTACTTGCCTGGTGAGGAGTTCCTAAGTGGGAAAGCCTGGGTGTAAAGGAGGAGTGGTGCATCCAGGATGTTCTCAGAATAGAATTCTACTAAAAGGAATGGGCGTCCGAGGCCCAGGATCAGGTGAGTTACTCAAACCAGGGTGTCCCATCTGTGCTCAGCTCCCTGTGCCATGTGATGGGGGGCCATTCTCCGATTTGTGAGGACAGCTGGAAGCACATGATCATCAGGTAAGCTTAGTCCTGGCTAGGGTGGGTTGAGCCAGTGGGTGACAAGTGACTATGTGACCAGGTTGGTCCTTGAAAGATGACTGAGGTTTGGACACCTTTGCGGGGTGGAGATGAGAGGAAAGAGAGAGAAATGCATTTTTGCCTGAGCAAAAAGGGGCCTTGTTTGTCTTGTTCATTTCATTTATCTAAATTCATGTTCAAGAAAAATACGAACAATTAATGGAAAACAGCCACAAACTTATGGAAAAGCAGATAGTGGAATACACAAGAAATTTTTAAGAGTCTACAATAAAGGGTAAGTGTGAGTTTGGAAAGAAAACTTTTTAAACTGCTCTGGCTAAAAACTGCTGGGCCAAGACCTGGAAACAGCAGGGATGCATCTCATCTTGCACAGGAATGTGGATAAATAGGTTTCAATGCATAAGACATGTGAGTCTACCCAAGGCACACACATGCAGTTTCCATCAAATTCCACACACTCGGTTCTGTTGGAAATAAGCATGTCATCTGTGTGATTCAGTTCAATGGTTGGTCTAATGGATTAGGATGAAATGCTGCTTCATGAATAGGAATTGGGTGCTGAGGTATCTCGTGTCTGTGAATAAGGTGAGAGTGACTGATTCTTGCAGTGGTTGATACTGGCGATTACCAAGTAATAAGTTAACACTCCAGAGCCTAGGGAATATAAGTAGTGTGAATTAATATGACAACAATAGTTTGCATAGGAAGACTGAGAATGTGCTAACTAGCCAAAGTTGCTGAAATCTTAATTAGGTATTTTGATACATAATGAAGGATATTTGCTCACCTCAGTAACTGTCATCAATTAAAAGAGATGGACAGGGAGAATTACATTGCACTTAATTTTATCTGAATATTTAATCACCAATAATGGAGATGAAAATTTATGAGATATTTTGACATTCTGGGAAATACAGCAAAGTTAATATTGTTAGAAGCTTCTCAGCTGTGCATTGCTCAGAAGTGAAAACGTCCATAACAGCTATAGAGACTGGGGAGATTCACAAATTCAACTTTTTAGATCATTTGGAAGAATTTTCTCTCCAGACAGATTTTTTTTCCTAAAACAATTTGTCAATTGTTTTTAATTACTAAATTTCAAAGTAAAGACTGTTTATAACAGCTAATTACAGAAAATAATCATGTCCTCACAATGCTAAATTTATATCTACCATATATTAATATTTGCTCCCAAATGGCAACTGCCCAGGTCAGCTGAGCTCACCCGAAATTCTAGAAGAGAAAGCAGGTGAAGATCAGAGTAGTGGATGCTATTTGGAGTGGGACCTTCCTTTCTTTTCTGTTTTTCAAAGTTAATTTGATTTATCAAAAAATATTTATGTGATTATGAGAAGCTATTTGTGTGTGCTCATGTAGATGACAGTAGCCTGTATATAATTTGTGAGGGTAAAGAAAGCAAAATGTAAAAAGAAGAGATGTATACATTCATGTGCCAATGCTCCTTTCATGTAAAACCTAGGAAAGGACAAAAAAGAAGGCAGAGAAAAAGTCAAAATAATGTTAACTACGTTCATTCATGCATTCACTCTCTCTCTGTTCATTCTTCCCAGCATGGCAATGAGCTCCATTTTCCTGGGTGTCTCTTACATAGTGGGAAGAGAGACATGGGGTGGTCAGAAGACCTGGCTTCTGCCTTTATCACTGCCATTTATTAGCTGCATGACTCTGAGGAAGTTACAATCTCTGAGTTGCAGTTTCTTCATTTGTATGTGGAGTAATAATATCTGTAACCCTGCCTTGGTGGGCTCTTGCACCAAATGAAGCAAGTTGTTTTGTGAAACTTCATTTAGCTTATACCCTTTGTTAAAATGCACACATATACTGAGTGCTGTTCACCACATTGAGCAGATTCAGTGGATGATGTCATTTAATTCTCGCAACCCAAGCCCTAATAAGCAGACAGAGAATATGGGGTACAGAGTACTTTGAGGGCACAGAGCTAGTAAATGGAGAAGCTGGATTTTTTTTTTTTTAGTTTTTTGACAACATGCATAGTAGGAAATACATTTTACAGTCTGAATCAGTAGAGGTAGATATGATAAATATATGCATACCTGTATCTACACATATATGTATGAATGGAAAAACAAAAATTTCAGAAACAGTGTAATGGCAAAAGCCGCAATTACATTTGTACCAACCTAATATACATGTAAGTCTACACACATACATGGCTTGAAAGTAATGCCAAAAATCACAATTACATTTGCACCACCCTAATATATACAAATATATTCTAAATTGAATATATTCTGTTCTATATTATTTCTTTTTTATGATAACATACTAAATGGATTATACAAATCAATTGTGATGCACAGTTTTTAAAACACTTATCTAAAGCCTACACTCTTTAACCACTATGTTGTAATCCTTCTATTTAGAGCAGATCTTTATACATAGTAGATATGCAATATATATTTGTTGGATGTTGTATGAATAGGGACAGAAAGAATGAAATCTAAGGGTCCCCCCAAATCATATCTGAATCGGTGGCTTCACTCTTTGTCCATCTGTAATGTTAACTCTTTTCCCTCAGTTGATGACAAGGAGCACAGTCCAACATGTCCATTGCTTTCTGTATTGCTTTCTGCTTTCTCTGTCATCGGAGCTGTCTACTGAGGAAAAGCCAAGGACAGATGGCTCCCTGGATAGAGGAGTCTTCAAAAAACAGGGAGAGTAAAGTCAAAGCTGAGATTTTCCAGTTTATGCCCATTACACCTTGTACACCTCCTCTGGGCACCTTCCTGACCCCTGACCCAGCAGGCCGGTGCACTCACACCCTTCCTGCATGTTGACCACTTCCTCTCTCTGGTCTTTGGAAGTGGAACAGCTCTGAAGAAAACATTGGATATAAATATTTTCTTTTTCTCTGAGATTTCCTTTCAACATGCTCACTTTTTTTTTTTTTTTGTTTTTTTGAGACAGAGTCTCGCTCTGTCCCCAGGCTGGAGTGCAGTGGCACGATCTTGGCTCACTGCAACCTCCGCCTCCCGGGTTCAAGTGATGCTCCCACCTCAGTCTCCCAAGTAGCTGGGATTACAGGTGCACACCACCATACCTGGCTAATTTTTGTATTTTTAGTAGAAACAGGGTTTCACCATGTTGGCCAGGCTGGCCTCAATCTCCTGACCTTGTGATCCGCCCCCCTTCGCCTCCCAAAGTGCTGGGATTACACGTGTGAGCCACTGTGCCTGGCCCATGCTCACTAATTTGTCTTTACTGCAAACAATTTACAATATACTCACCATTATTTTATAATCAAGACACATTGTTGGATGTGCCTGGGGTGAGCAGGGAATTATTTTGGCAGCAGCAGATGCACTTCCTTCACAGAGAACAGTCTCAACTTGACAAATACTTGGGGTTGAATGAATGACTCTTCAAGTATTTCCTCAGTTTCATGACTGCTTTTTAAGCATTTTAAACAAAGATCATATCCTTTAATTTTTTTCCTCACACCAGCAAACTGTTATGCACATGAGAGTTTTGAGTAAGTAGTAGTATGTGGGTAATAGTGTATTGAATATAATATCAACGCTCCACGAATAGTCTAAATGCCTTTAATGACTGTGTTATCAGAAAGCTTGGCCAGCAGTCAAACAATAATAATTGGAAGAGTTAAAACATATAGATTTCGATCTTTTTTGCTCCCTAATAACAAATGAATTGTACATCCTCTTTTTACTGTGGGTAAACCTGATGTGTTTTAACAAATTGGTTATGCTTCTTTAGTGATGGAGACTTTAAAATGGTAGATATAAAAAAAGTGAGAAAGTCTGTTAAATCATTTTAGCTTAAGTTTAAACAACTTTAGCTCTTAAAATACTTCCAAAAAACACTCTTGGGCTTCCCACATGTATTACAGTTTTAAATTAACAACAACTGGCATATCCAGAAAAGAATATGTAAAAAAGAAAGCATTCAAAGGCACCCATCTTTGAGGCATAGAGAGAGAGCTAATTACAATATAGCATGAATAAGTGCCTGTTATCTCTGCTGAGGACAGAACTGGAATGAATATATGGCCTTAACTCCAGAAAACCGATAATGTTAGACATTTCTGAAAACAATAGTTTTTAGATTCTGGAGCTGAACTTATAGTGTAAGCATTTTATGTCTAGTAATCTCCTAGACTCCCAGGTCAACTCCTGGGAAGATAGCCCAATAATCTGCTAGAAAAAAGGTTAGAAGACCTTCTACAAAGTCAAAAGAAAGTTGGAGGTGGGAATGGGTTAGGGATGTGAGTAGAGAGAGGAGGGGAAAAAAAAAAGAAAACTTGTGAAATTCCTTGGAGGCCTTTCAACCTCTCCCTAAAGATTTTAAAATTTACCTTTAAAGTGATTACCTCAATTGTCCATTATTTACCAGTCAATTATTATATATTGAGCACCTGCTGTGATCAAGGCATTTAGTTAAATCCAAGAGGAATCTAAAGAATAGCAGGTTTCCTCAAGGTCTTTTAGGGATTATTATATAATTGGAAAGGAAAATATAAAAATATCTGAAATTAATAATCTGAATAACTTATAACCCAAAGCTAAAAATGTTAAGAGGTTTAGATGCTTCACAGAAGAGAACTTTTTTTTTTTTTTTTTTTTGAAATAGGGGCTTGCTCTGTTGCCCAGGCTGGAGTGCAGTGGCACACTGCAGTCTCAAACTCCTGGGCTCAAGTGATCTTCCTGCTTCAACCTCTCAAGTAGCTGGGACTACAGGTGCATGCCACCACACCTGGCTAATTTTTATTTATTTATTTTTTTTGTAGAAACAAGGTCTCATTCTTCTGCCCAGGCTGGTCTCAAACTCCTGATCTCAAGTGATCCTCCCACCTTGGCCTTCCAAAGTGCTAGGATTACAGATGTGAGCTTGCCCTTCACAGAAAATTATAAAAGACCCAACCTTGGAATGAAAGAAAAATTTGGATAGTAACAATAATAACTTTATTATCTAGTATAAAGGGCACACCCAACTGTATTATTTGTATTAAAAAGATTGTTCTGGTATCTTGAAAGTGTGGCTGTTTTTACATGTCTAATTAATAATCTCACACAGTGAAGGAGCTGTCTCATTACCTTCTTGAAGCCCGCCATGACTTTGGCGTTCTACAATGTATACCAAGGAGGGATGACTAATTCCAAAGCAAATGTCCGTTCATGCTCAGTCCAGAGGGTTCCTTTTTTTTTGTTCTCAGGCTGTCTCACCAGTTACTCCTTTATTGATATTTAGCTCATTTATGTAAGTTTGCCAGCTCAAGAGAGATAATAGGTGAGGGAGAACTTGAAGTCAATGGAGGCCACAAGGCTTTTGGATCATCTGTTGATACCAAAACCCAATTTATTCTACCCCTCCAATAACGAAACCAAGAGCATGTGCTCTGGGAAGAGGAAAGAGAGAGGAGCTGGGCAAAGTGGAGAAATGCGAGAAGTTTTTAAAGTCAGCTCACAGGAAAGTATTTAGAGAATCATCTCAGAAAAAAATAGAATAGATACAAATGAAGTCTTTCTTAGATGCTCTAGAAATATATTAATATAACAGTGGTTGCTAAAGAGCACTTAAATATTTCTAAAGCATGATGTCTAAAAATTGAAGCTAAGTGCCACCAAGCAAGGGATGTGCTTCTAATTAAAGGTAACTGTCAATTTGTGTTTCTTTTTATGAAATGAGGCCTACATTCAGCTCATTTATTTATTCAACAAATATTGTTGAGGGTCTACCATGCACTGGTCACTGTACTAAGGGAAGGTGATAGAGTTTCTAGATGGAGATGCAGGGTTGAGGGAGGTGGTTCTTTTGCTTGCTTCATTTTGCTCACTTTTTATTTTTTTGGAGATGAGAGTAAATTGATGTTGGTTATGAAGGACCCCATGTAAAAAGATTAAGTTGAATATGCAGGGATGAGAGAAGATAACTGTCTAATTAAGTCCTAGAAGAGAGTGGAGGGATCAAGGTTGAGAACACAGATTCAGTGACCACCCTTAAGTAAGAAATGACGTGGCTCGTCTGTCTGAGATCTTTAAATTCTGTGCTTAATCTGTGCACAGTAAGGAGTGAAAGTGTACATGGTACCTGTGTATATTTTTTTCATATTGGGACAAGATTCTATAAACTCAAATTTGAATTCTCCTACAGCTGTCTGGCTTCAAACTCTGTTTCATCCTATTAAAAAGGGGGCAGTAATATCAGTCCCATATTTGTCCCAGGGGGATCCCACGTGCTGATGAGAAGGGACTTGCAATAAGGAAATGTAAGAAGTGCTGGCTTAGGCCGGGTGCAGTGGCTCATGCCTCTAATCCCAGCATTTTGGGAGGCCAGGGCAGGTGGATCATGAGGTCAGGAGTTCAAGACCAGCCTGGCCAACATGGTAAAACCCTATCTCTACTAAAAATACAAAAATTATCTGGATGCGGTGGCGGCAGGCCCCGGTAATCCCAGCTACTTGGGAGGCTGAGGCAGGAGGATTGCTTGAAACTTTTAGTGAGCCACTGTACTCCAGGCTGGGTGACAGAGCAAGACTCCGTCTCAAAAAAAAAAAAAAAGAGTGCTGGCTTAGCACCTTTGGCCCTAACGGAAATAGGGTTCTCCTAAAACAGATGACTCAGAGAACATCCTTGACATCAATGCCGTATTCAGAATGAAGATCTTGAAAAGCAGACATGTAATGTTAAAAAGAGAATAGTAGCTGTTTTTTTTTTTAACAATGCTTAATTTCTTTGAGAGAATACTGAACTCCTGAAACATCCAATTCCTCATTTGCAAAATGGGAGTAATGATGATTGCTGCCTCAAAAGGTTTGTGTGAGCATTTCACCAGCAGATGTATTTAAAGTATGCCTGGCAGAGAGTATTTAGGAATGCTTAGCTATTATTTATCTCATCCTCATCAATAAAAAACAATGATAAAACCTTTTTACTTAATTAAATATGTACACCATTAAGCACATATCCTTAATTTACCAAGTTTTATGTAATTAATATATTTACAAATCATTGCTTTTCCACTTTAATTAGCTAACAGTTAATTTCTAAGGTACCAAAAATTGAGACTCTTACTGAGAAAGATTCTCATCCTATTTTATTTATTAAATTAGAAAAACAGTACCTCTTAAGAGTTTACCAGGTGAATTTCTTTTAGATGAAAATTCTCCCTCAGTTATTCCTGGGTTGGTATCTTGACTGAGTGTCTTTTCTTCTTTATTTATCTCAAAGGTGAGTTCCATCTGCAGACTCTAATAAATAATGATTAGTTTCAAATCATAGATTCCATTTTAACTCTTAGGAAGGGAAGTGTGACAATTCAGGAATGTGGTGTTCATGGAAGTCTGTGAAAACTTTGTGTTTGGGTCCATTCGTTTGTTCACACACTGTTTAAGACTTTTGTCTCCTGATGCCACATGTGACAGAGAAACTTCTTCATTTTGCTCATGACAAGATGCTCCTGTTGCTGGGGTCCCACAGGGGTCTCAGTGCCTGCAGATCTCAGTTTAAGGAATGGCTTCAGCCCAAGAGCTTAGGGCACAGTTCCCCAGGCTCTTACCAACACCATGATGCAGTTATTCTTCGCTAATAAAAGGTGGGCTAGAAAATGCATTGCTCTGGGGTTTTCAACTTCTGAGTTTGTTGTTGTTCATATTGGAATGGACATAAGCTTATGCCTGCAGGGATGTCTGGTGTATCAGATGTCTGGAGTGTTGCTCCAGCAGCTCCCAGAGCATGGCCTGAGGGTGCTTGGCCCTGGGCTGGCTGTGGATTCGTGGGCCCATCCTGCGTTATGCTTGAGGCAGGACCTCAGCTTGGTGATGAAGGGCGCCTTGCCCATCAACTGTGGCCTATTTTTAGAAGAGTAATCTCTGTCAACTAAGAAAATAAAACTAGGATCATTAGGCTGTCTGAGAGACCTTTCAGATGAACTGTAGATGTTCATTTGTCCATTTTTATTGTGTTGTGACAAGCATTTTTTAATAAACAGTTTTATTGAAATATAACTCACATACCACACAATTCACCAATTTAAAGTGTACATTTCAGTACTTTTAGTATGTCCACTGCGTGTGAAAACATCACCACAATCAATTTTGTAACACTTTTGTACCCCACAGAAGAAACTCTGTACCCATTAGCAATCAGTCCCCATTCCCCTCCCACCCACGCCTTCCCAGCCCTAAGCAACCACTAATCTTTCTATTTCTATAAATTGTGCGGCAAACATTTTATTTTAAACTCCGCACTGGGACCGCCCTGCCTAGCAGCCTGGCTGTCGCAGGACCGCCTCCCTCCTCCTCTGCCTCCAGCCCCCTCTCCAGACGCATCTCCTGGAGGTATTCTTCTTCTCTTCCCCTGTGTCCTGTCCCTCCCGTGCCCCTCAACTGTGGCCGCTCTGGCATCGCTGTGGGCCACAGTGGGGAGGTCGGATTTCTCCTCTGCCCTCCTCCTCCTCACCTTCCGTCTCTACTGGGGCCCCAAATCCCATCTTCCTCAGGGACTTTAGGGTCACACGAGTCAGAAACCTATGAAAACCGATGCAATCAAAGGAGAGAAGAGTGGGGGAAGGCCAGGGGAACCCCAGTGCAGGGACTTGGCAGTGGGGGTTGATTCTCGTCACCCTCTGCATCCGAGTGGGCCTGAGCTCTACTTTCTGTCTCTCTTGGTGCTTCTGCTTCTCTCTCTCTCTCTCTCTCTCTCTCTGTGTGTGTGTGTGTGTGTCTCTCTCTGTGGACTGGCGTCTTCTGGTCCTCTTCCTCCCAGTCCATAAGTAATAGTCCCTAAAACAGCTTGACACAGATTCAAATCCCTGAATCTCAATTATAAGCTCCCAGAAAAGAAAATGAGTTGACTTGGACTGAATTGGGGCTTTGAATCAAGCAGCTCTAAGGGGCATAGAGGGGTGGGGGGTCCCGTGCTCACTGCATAGTCCGCAGGAGCTCTACCTCCAAGTGGGAGCCACACGCCTGCAGGGTTCAGAGCAGACCCTTCCCCAGGCCCCGCCTCTCTATTTCCAGGGGTGATAAAGCCATCTCTGGGCTGGCTTAAGAGACTGAGGGCTGAACTCAGAGCCCTGCCACCCCCAACAGCCTTGCAGCCTCCCTGGTGACTTTCTGGGCTGCTGGGGAGTCTTAACTATTCTCTCCTCCCTACCTCCATTCTTTCCCCCACAGGGAGCCCACTGGCCTCACTGCTGCTCTCCTGAGCGCTTTGTCTTCTCCTGCTGATCTGCTGGTCAAACGGCAGAACTTCATGTCATTGAAACTTGCTCTTAGACCTCTCCTCGTAGGAGAAGTTGCCATTCTCCTGGATAAGGAAAGGGTATAGTACACACTGGTCTCTTCAGAGTACTGGCTGCCTGCCCTCTTTCCTACTTCCTCATCCTGATTAACGGTCTGTCCTGCCTCTTGGCAACCCGTTGGCGCTCCTTAAGTTGTCTGTGGCCCACTTGATCCTCCCAGGTCCTCCTGAAAAGCAGGCCCCAGGGCCTCCAAACCACATGCAGGCCAAGAACATGTTCAAAATGAAGAGATTTCTATATTTTAAAATATAAATGCTTACTCAATTATATTTTAAAACTTTTTATTTCAAGTGTACCATAGCTTAGATTTGGAAAGTTGACCTCTAGAAATCTAAACACAAGAAATAACAAAGTGGGACCAAAAGTGTATTAATTCTTAGTACTCAATAAACTTTAAAAAAAAATTTCCAGTTTTGGTAAATAAATCCAGCAATCTTCTAGACTTTGAAGCTAAACAATTGGGACTGACATTTTCTGTGGCTGTCATTGTTGCTGTTTAGTAAGCTTTTATTGCATGTATGCGTGATGTGTAACATACGTGCACAAACAAACACAGTGAAATGCAGCTCCAGGAGCATCTACAGAATGAACCCTCTCATATCACCAGCATGTGGACGAAGGAGCAGCGCCTGAAGGCCCCTTTGATGCCCCTGCTAGGCAGCGGTCCCTTGTGGGTGACCATGAGCATGGCTTCTAATACTCTGAATTCATTTGCCTTTTTTTTTTAGCTTCACATGAATGGTATTATACAAGATATATTCATTTTTGTCTGACTTCTTTCACTCAAAGTTGAACTGAAGAGACACATTCCTGTTGTACGTTGTTATGGTTCACTTATTCTCATTGCTGTGTAGTATTCCATCTTGCAGATTTGCCAAATCACTCTATTATTGCTTCATGTTTAGAAATTTATTTCCAATTTGGGCTGTTAAAAACAGTGCTGCTCTGATCATTTGAATGCATTTCTTTGTTGAACACATGCACACATTTCTCTGGGTATATACTTGGGAGTGGAACTGCTGGGTCCTAAAGTGTGTATGTGCAGACACTGCCCAATAATTTTTCAAGTTGTTTTGCCTTTTAATAATGATTTTAAAGTATAAAAAATTATCTCACATCTGATAAAATTTTGATTTTTCCCAAAAGAGCTAACATAATTCTTTATGTTGTTTTACCTCTTAATAATGATTTAAAAGTATAAAAAATTATCTAACTTCTGATAAAATTTTGATTTTCCCCAAAAGAGCCAACATCTGTGTAATGCAATAACTACATTTTTTCTACTTCTAGAAGAAAAGGAATCATTATTCAGAGAAGGAAATGGCACAGAAGAGATTATAATTTTTCGATTAAAAGGGGCCATCAAGGTCTTATAGGACACTGAGATATGAAACACACACACTTGGTGGTGTGCCCGTAGTCACAACATGAAGGACAGTCAGGAAAGGATGTGCCTCCAAGTCCCAAGAATGACCCATGTGCTTTTCTTTGTTATTCAATTCTACAGACAAGTGTGGGTTCTTCTGCGGGCATGTCAGTACACTAAGCAATGTGCGAATTTCCGGTAAATACAGCAAAGAGCCTTGTGGCGTAGGAGCCTCCCCTTAGTGGAAAACCAAATCTCTACACACAGTAATTTTGCTGGAGTGAATTTTGGCTCTTACCAGACTTCTATCTCTAACAGGTAATCTATCATTTACAACAACTTGGCCCCTTTCTCTCTGCTTTTTATTACTTCTCCCCTAATTCAAATCCTCATTACTTCAGAGCTGAATTATCGCAGCAGACTTTTGGCTAGGTTCCTCATTTATAACTTCTGCCCTCTCTAATCTATCTCAGCCTATTTCTGATCAGATTAGTCTTTATAAAACAACACATTCATTTTGCATCTCTTCTTGTCAATATTATTTAACAGGAGTTTCACACCCAAATCCCTAGGGGACCTGGTAATGCAAATGTGTAAAGGCCAGATAATGGCCTTTGCAATGTTAAACATCTAGAGAATTATGCTTTCTTTAATTTTCATTGAAACCCAGGGATGTCTTGGTCTGGGTTTCATTTCCTGATTTGACAAAGTCTGTATGGAAAACAAAAAAAATTTACTTTAAAAAAAAAATTCTATAATAAGAAAGCCAACAGCACAAGCCCACCTAGAAATAGTGCTTGAAACCCAGGGAAAACCCATTTAAAGAGAGCCGTCTGCAGCTATTCAGCTCCAGGCAACCGTTGCCATGATGGATTTTGGCCTAGTGCTGTTAGATCTTCCAATTTTTCAAAAGAAATTGGAAAGCCAGATTTTTCTGTGAAATTTCCTGATATTTAAATTTTGGCATCTAATCCAATTTTTTTTGGATAAAACTTGTAAGTCATAGACAAAACAAAACAACATAAAAAAGAGGTTCGGTATGTGAAGTGTGGTTCTCGAGCTGCCTGTTTGAGCTCTGCCCTGTGTAAGATGCCTTAAATGCATTCACATAATCCCAACAGTCCTGACATGGGAAGCTAGGCCACCCTCCCTATTCACAGTATTACCACTATTTTATTTTATTTTATTTTATTTTATTTTATTATTATTTTTTGAGACAGAATTTCCCATTGTCACCCAGGCTGGAGTGCAGTGGCGCAATCTTGGCTCACTGCAACCACCACCTCCAGGGTTCAAGCGATTCTCCTGCCTCAGCCTCCCAAGTAGCTGGGATTGTGGGTGCCTGCCACCATGCCCGACTGATTTTTGTATTTTTAGTAGAAACAGAGTTTCATCATGTTGGCCAAGCTGGTCTCAAACCCCCGGCCTCCAGGGATCCGCCCGCCTTGGGCTCTCAAAGTGCTGGGATTATAGGTGTGAGCCACCACACCTGGCCTAGTACCACTATTTTTTATTCTCCCCAACATGTACTTCTGCAGGCAGATTGGATCACCCCTTCATAGAACACGCCTACTCATTCCTGTGGTCATCACGTTGGTCATTTAAACATTTTAATCCACTCACACGCTCTGCAGACATCTACTCCATGTCCTTCTCTTCTTGAATGCTCCTCTGACATTCTACTCCACCTATGAAGCCATTCTTAATACTTCAGTATACATTGATTTATTCTTTTTCTGAACAGAGTGTATTTAAAATCACTGCCACTACAGTTAATACCTAAAATTTTTTCTCAAAAAAAAAAATGTAATTTCCCTAAGAGGATTGCAATGTTTTAGATTCATTCTGTAGTGCTCCTCCTCCCAGAAATATTTGGCATAATTTGGGGCACTGGAGAGAGTGTCCAATATCTGGCCGATTTATACAAAATGTGAGATGGCATCTACAGCGCATCAAAATGATCCAAATATTTTTGCAACTTTTTGAATAGTTGCAATATATACATACTTTTTAACTCAAGCTGTTTTATTTGCTATTCAAGAACCTAAAAGAGATTTAAATAGTCTGGATTTTGAAATAAACTTCTCTAATTACATGTATGCTCATGAAAGTACATTTCTATTGTCCTTAAGAACAAGAGCTATCTGTTTACATCTTTTCATCTCATAAATTTTGTGTGCAGTAGATGCAAAATGAATGCATAGCAGCCCGCCAGTTCACTCCAGTATCTCATGGGGAGATTTGAGTGGTTTCATGTTTGGAAACAGATCTATCTGTGAAGTAAAGACATATCACTCATTTTGATTTGGAAAAAATGTTTTAGGTTCATGTGGTAATGTAGACATTATCTTTGGCTTATGTTTATTGATTGGGTGAGATGTGAAGGAAAACTGATGCTTTGCAAATGGGAATTATGAAATGACATTGTAACCTGAGTCATCATAGAACATGAAATGTGATCTAAGGCCACACTATTTTTGCTATACCTTTTATGTTTCATAATTTGACTTGACTACTAGTGTTCTAAGAGGTCTGAAAGATGTGTTCCTTACCTACTTTAAAATCAAGCTTGAAATTACCAAAGAAAAGCCGAGACTGCCTGGGAACCTTCCTAAACCGCTGACATGAGCTTGGCAGAGATGACTGACGGGAAGGACTGTTCAGAGTTGGGGACAAGAAGGGACCTGTTTTCCAAGAAGTTAAGGAAAGACTTTCTAAAAGAATGTTCTTACATATAAGTATAATGAGGTGGAAATTAGTTTCCACCATGACAAATACCATTCTTTTACAAAGTACCATATTTTCTAGAAGAGTGCTTTCCACTGCAGAACTTTCTGCAGTGATAGAACTGATCTGTGTCTGTGCTGTCTGACATGTGTCTATTTGCACACTTGAAATGTGGCAACGTGGCAATTGTGATTGAGAAATTGAATTTTTAATTTTAACTCACTTAAATGTAAATAGTCACATGTGGCTAGTGGCTACTGTATTGGACACAACATGCTGGAGGAAACTGTATCTTTTTCATGTCTTTTAAAGGGGCTTAAAATAATTTTTTGCTCTGCTGTCTGGGTCAAAGACCCCAAATATTTTCACTGAGGGCATTTGCTTTTTAATTTCTCAAGGTGAAACGTTTTTAGGAAGAAATAGGGTGTGGGCAGTGCAAATGAAAGGTGGGACTGGCCCAGCTTCAGGGATGTACCACCTTCTGCTGTCCCTTGATACAGATGCCCTTTGGGTAGGGGAGGGGGCAGCTGCTTCTGCCCACGCTGGAGCTCCCTTCTGGAGAGATGCACATAGCAGCCGATGTTGCAGTTTAGAGGTAATCATTCCACAGAAGGGAAGCCATGCAATATCCAACACAATGAAATGCTGTTTTTGAAAATAATTTGGGCACTTTATTAAAGCCAAAGGCCATATGATATGATAGGTCACAGTATTCAACATATTCATACTTATCACTAAAATAGGTTCTGGAGATCTTTAAAGTCAAGCATTTGTTTTTCAGTGTATTTTATTCCAGTAAATGTGAGAAACAGGTATATAAGAAAATCAAGCTTCAATTAACATGTGCTGTGACTCAAACAAAAGAAAGGAAAGCTTTACTTAGAAAAAAAATAACTCTTCAGAAAATAACAGAAAATGTGAACTGTCAGTTAATACAACAGCCAGTAGCCATAAGCAAGAGATTGGGAAAGCCTTGGGCCACTTAGGTGGACCAGCCTCAAGAGTGAGCTGAGAATGCTGAAATCACATTAAAGAGAGGAAAGTCTCTCCTATTTTTAAAGACACTTAGGGAGGAGAGCTAATAACCTCTTTCAGTAATTATGCCTTTTAATTATGAAGCACAAACTATTTTGTGCTGAAGCTCATGATTCAGATTCTAGTTCACATGCTTTTGAGGGGCCTCCTTGCCTCCTGGTGGGGTAGTTCCTGTCCGAGGAGGCAAGAGGCTTGTGGCCTGCTTGTCCCTTTCCCAGGCCTCTAAATCTGTCTCTTTGGCTTGAAATGTAGTGCGTATTAGAGCACTGGCATCGAGATTTGGGGAGAATTTCTATGAATGGATGCATGTGATGGCAGGCCCATAAATTACCAATGATGCACGAGAAGTAAAATCTCATCTTTGAAGCTTTGGTCCTGTGGGCCTATTTTGTCCATTTTATGATTGTCCATCACAAATATGACATTGTGCCAAAAGAGAAAAATGTAACCAGATGAATGACATAAACCAAGAAAAAGAAGGCTATGACATCTGTGAGCCAAGATGTCTGTTCTTTATGGATCCATAGCTGTCTCTGTCTCTGGGGGACAAGACTCTTGGACTCTCAGTGGGGACAGGGGCTGGGACTTCTGGTGGCCTTGGTCTCTCATTCCTCATTTCTCTAACCTGTAAAAAAAGGAGGTGGCATTGAATTACAAGTGCACTGGTCCATTTTACAAAATTGCAAAAAATGCATGAACACCGAGTGCTCAAGTGGTTCCATAAATACAGAGCTCTGATATCTGAATTTTAAGATGGAAACATTTCACAAAGGCATATAGCTTCCTTTTCTTAAAAATTACCATAGCTCCAGCCTGGACAACATGGTGTAACCCCGTCTCTACTAAAAATACAAAAATTAGCTGAGCGTGGTGGTGCACACCTGTAGTCCCAGCTACTTGGGAGGCTGAGGCACAAGAATCACTTGAACCCAGGAGGCGGAGGTTGCAGTGATCCTAGATCACACCACTGCACTCCAGTGTGGGTAACAGAGGAAGACCCTGTCTAAAAAAAAATATATATATATATACCATAGCTTAGGTTGACCAGTAAATGACAATATGACAATCCAATCCCTATCTCCTTGATGAGGACTGTGCCTCATGTTCAGACCTAGAATGCAATGAGGGCTTTTTCTTTTCAGTTATTGTTAAGTTATCGGGTCAAATAATGTAAAATGCATGTCAGAGCATGAGGTATTTAAATTCTGGCCTCTTTATTTTCCCCAGCAAACCATGTTATATTTTATCCGATTTAATTACTTTAGGATTATAATTTATTATTTGTCTTTGAAATAATTAAAGATTTTTTTCTTTTCTTTATTTCCTTAAACAATTAACAGCCAACTCTAAACCCATGAAGTGGTCAATTAGCTCAAGTGGAAATTAAAATTTGGCGCATCTATTTTAAGGTCGATGTTGTTTTATTTCCCAGAGCTGGACTGCAGACTTCCTTGGCTCTGTCACAGAAAGCGTCCTTAGCAGAGAATGGGTTTCTCTTCCTACTGAGGTGCTTCCCCACTATGAATTATTAAAGACTTGAGGATGAAAGTGTTATTGAAGACAAAAGTACAAATAAGCCAAGTGCACCCATGTCTTAATTAGATGACATTGAAGAAATGCTGCTCAGGAAACACATTTACTTTTTTTTTTCCTTTACTTCTAAGGTGTAGCCCTATTTAATCTTTGCCTAGAAACAAGTTTGTAATGAATGTATTTGGATAACGGGCAGCATGGCTTGGCCTGAGCCTTGCAAGCAGAGCTGCTGGCTGTGTCTCTGCCATTCGAGAGTCTATGGCTTCTTTATAACTTGCTAGACCCATCCAGCTATCCTGATTGTCCCTCATATTATCTAACTAATTGTTTCCATCATTTACTTTAGTCAACTAGTTCTCTCTTTCAGTTGACTCCCTTTTTCTAGGTGCTAGGGAACATGAAAAAATATAATACTAGAGCTGCCTTACGCTGTGACGTAGGAGAATCTGAAGGGAGGTCGGGGTGGGGACAGGAGCAGGAGATGATGCATTTGAAAGGCTTAAAACACACAAGTAGGAGAGCAAGAGAAACAAAAGAAAAGAAGTGGGCCTGGATGGGGTGGTGGGGAGCCTTTGGCATCGAGAAAAAGTTTAAATTTATACATTACATAATGTTCATCAGAGTTTCTTGGCAGCACGGGGATGGTTTTTGATAACTAACAGGGTGATCGTTCTCAGAATGGTTGTCAAATGGGAAGAGCGTTTCAGAAGATGCCCCAAGCTCTGGCCTTTGGAGTATTTATAGCTTAGCTGAGCCCATAGCCGGACAGCAGCCAGCAGGCTGGGATTAGGAAAAAACTAGCTGATATATTTGAGTCTAGTTGTTTGTTAACTATTGCAGAAGCAGGTGCTGCCTTAAGATGTACCTCATGAGCACCTTTCCTAGGAGCATGTGGTGCTGGATCTAAGGAAACTTGCCTATCAAAAATCATAGTGAGGGCCTTGGCTATTTATGGATAACCAATCCATACAAGGGGAAACCATATTGACACATTCTTTATATTGGAAAGGCTTGCCTTCAAAGGTGCACCACGGTTCAAGGGGAAAACCTGCTCTTCAAGCTCAAAGATTTAGATCCAAGTACTGGCCATTCTACTCCTAGATGTATCATCCCAGACAAATCAGCCTAAAGCTTCTATTTTTCATCTGTAAAATGTGGGACAATATTACCTGGATTATGCATTACTGCTCTAAGATTATATAAACACCATTTCATGGGTTATTTGCTAAAATTGTTGTTGATCTACATAACTAGGTCTTCAAGTTAATCAGAGCAATAGTTTAAACACTGAACATTGCTAGGTAACTGTAACTGTATTTCTGTGCCATTTTTTTCTCTTCTTGTTTTGGTTCAGTTTACATTAAAATCTGTGCTTATAAGTAAAACACAGCAGATTTATTGCAGGCTGATGCTGGTATGTTTTAGTATATGGGTTGCTAAAGAAGAAAGTAGGAGGAAGAAAGTTGTTAGCAGAGGGTTAGATTTAACTATTCCAGACTACGTAGATAAAATATAATTTGAGCATGCAACGATTATAGTATGGTTCTTGTAAAGATATCACTCATACTTAGGAAGTCGTGCATGACCCTTCATAACTCTCCCATTCCTCAGCTCACCCCCGGAACCCTGCCAGGGCCCTCTGCTCCCTATAACTGCACCTGTCCGTCCTTCTTCCCTTTTTCTGCTCAGCAAACTCCTCCTCACCCTGGAAAATCCAGTTCAGATGTTACCAGACAATTTTTTTTGTGTGGACATGCATAACCCCTTCTAAGCATCTCTTATATAACATTTATGACATGTCACAGCCATTTATGTGTTTTTATACCCCAGTAAAGTTCAAGCTCCATGGGTAGATGATGGTGTCTTTCTCATGGTGGTCTCCACAATACTGGTGCATAGTAAGTGCCAAAAGTCATTGGAAAAAAAGAAGGCATATATGGAAGAATGGAGAGTGAATGAACACATTTGTCTACATTTATGTCAGCAAGACAGCTAACATTTCTCCCTGCACCATTCCGTCTAACCTTTTTAAGAAACAGATGCTTTAGCCAAGGTATGATTGGTTGGAAATCCATCTCTAATTTTGGCAATTACTCAACTTGCACTCAGTATTTAAAGGAAGTTGAATAACAGCAGTGTATTAGTACTTTTTGTCAGTGTAAGATTGTCTTTTATTTATCATCTCTCAAGCTATAGGTAATACACACCCCAAATCATCTCCAGACAGTTAAGGCAATATTAGCAACATACGAATATTTAAAGAACAAGAATAGCACCACTATCTTGTTAAATCTAGAATTTATACTTTCATTTCTGGCCTGCCAAGCAAACTTCACAGGACATTATCTGACCTTAACAATTATCTGATCTAACACTGACAGTAAAAGAAGCTGAGGCTATGGGAAAAACAGCAGGAATACAAGGTGAATTTCTATCACCAACTTCATCTGAAGCATAAGACATGCTGCCAATTGTACCGCAAACTTCTGTCTCTCCTCATTGTCTCATACATGACATGACTACAAAATGATCAGTGAATAAGCTGCACATAGAAATTCAAGCATTATGCTGCATTCCCAGCACAAATATCTAGCTATATGACAAAAAATAGATTATCATAATCTATTATAGTAGAGTGTACTTAAGAAACATTTATATATTGTTTTTTATAAGTATAAAAGTAATACATATTTCTTGTAAACACTGAAAAATCTAGAAAGGCATGAAAAAAGAAATGTTAAATTGCTGTATGCGCTCCCCTCACTATCAATAATTTTGTGTATTTCTATTGAAATGCAGAGACAGAGACAGGTCTACAGAATTGCATGCTACTATTTTCACTAACACTTCATTATCCTCATATCATTAAATAGTTATCAAAAACATTATTTTAATGCCTTATTAATATTCCAATGAGTGAATTCACCAAAATTTATTTGACCAATTTAGCCATTTCCCTAACATCGTCACTATCTTTACTGTCAAAATACAATGAAGAATCTTGCAAGTATTTCTTTCTTGGTATTTTTATTTCATTAAATTAAATTCCTAGAAATGTAATTGCTGGGTGACAATATGAGGATTTTTAAGGCTTCTGATTTATAATGGCAAATTGCCCATCTTATCTGCGTTTTCTAAGAGCAGCAAGATCCACTTAAATGAGAATAATTTCTACCCTTCCAATAGAAGAAAAGTAGTTTTGAAATTACCCTTACCTAGAAAACTTCCAAAGAAAAGGGAATATTAGCAAAATAAGGTGCTTCTAACATGAACTATGTTTATGAAAGAGGACTCTAGATCAGATTCACCAGAGGTTAATGAGGTACTAGCTTTGATAGTTTTATTATCTTTACATTTCCATACTGTTTAAAGTTAGATGATAGATTCTATGTAATTTTAAAGGATTCTCCAGAGAGTTTTAAGGCCTGATTTGAAATCCAATAAGATGTTCATTATATACCATATATCTTTGCTTTACAGAAAAATGGCAGGTTTTATACAGAACCATTAATGAGGTAAAAATTAAGAAAATAATGCACAGGTTATGAAAATTTTTTTGTCTTCAAAGAATGATAAATGAATGGTCAGTCATTTACATTCTAAATTATTAATTCTTATAAAGGGTTGATTACTTTTTAATTGATTCTTTCCAACTTTCATGTAATTTAAATTATATACCAAATCTAGCAATGGTACTCATCCAAACAAAAAATGAGAAAAGCTGATAATACTAATGCTTTGTGAAGCTGGAAACACCAAGATAACTGATTAAAAAGTAGAGGGAAAAAAATCAACTGATTTGTTTTGCTCTAATACAGTTCAGTCATTTCAGTATTCAGATAATAGGAGATGACATAACGTTTTGGACTGAGATACTGAAATCCAATTTAAGCTCATCCCTTAACTACATTTGAGCCTAGGCAAGTTACTTCATGGCTAGCACCTCAATTACTCACCTGTGAAGTGTGAGCATTAAATGATGCAGTGTAGCTCTAGGGTCTAACTTGAAGTCTGGTACCTGTTCTTTATAGTATGAACCCAGGGCTTTGGGGTTAAAATGGAGAAGCACTAGAGGCCATAGCTTCTATTCCAGGGGATGTCATTGGACTAGTTCTTTCTGGAGCTCCCATAGGAGGATCCAGGCTCACGCTGGGTTGACCTTAGTGTGCTTCCTTGTTTGGGAATGATCCAGACTCAAGGTCCACACTTGCCACACACACACTCTAGCATCAAGGTGACCTTTTTTGAGGGCCTCCCAGTTTTAAAATTGGACGAGTTGTTTGTGTTTACTCAACTTACAAACAATTCTTGGTCCAACTGAGTTATAGAAAAGCTTTTGCTGGAGCAAACATCAAAAAATAGACATTTTTGGTGTTTTTACCTTCTAGTTTTTCTCCCGAGGGAAGATATAAGAGAGAATGAATTAGTTATTTCTCAAAGCATTGGACTCTTAATGGAAGAAAATATTCAAAGACTATTCCATGACCTTGTGACCTTCGAAGAACATATACACCAACATTTCAGCCTGCCAGAGAAAAGAAGAGGAGGAAATTAGCATTGCTGTTTCTAGGAGAACTACCTTCACAAATATGTGTCCACTACAATGATAAAAATAAAATCAATGTGGGACAAGTTGAATCACATGTTTCTTCATACTTTATGATACGTGATGAACCCTGAGAATATGCCTTAAGAGTTCCAATACAAAAGTAACATGCTTGGATTAAGAAGAATTCCTTTCTCTTTGAAAGGCTTACTTTGATGACAAATCTTAACTGTTAAGTGCCCAGTGCTGATATCCTCCTGGGCATGGAGACAGAGATCAAGTGCTTGGTACAGACAAATCAAAGATTTCCTCTGCCACTAGCTGATATGCTCATGCTTTCTTGATACTATGCGAATCCACTTGGAAAAAAGAAAGCAAGACTTGTTAATGCAGGAAGATATTAGACATACAGGCAAATCAAAGATAGAGGGGAATTGATAAAGCATGTTGGCTTAGAGTATAATTTTGATGCGATGTATTCCCAGGAAAAGTAAACACATTGATAAACTCATTGCTCTTGATCTTCCTACACAGTTTCTATTGACATTTCTTTCAGCTCCAGGCACAGATTAGAGAGTATATGGCCCATTGATTGCATTTAGGACTCTTAATGACAGGAAAGAAGATTGAATTCCTCTCCCTATATACATAGGGAAGATTAGTAGCATTTCTGATCTTAACACATTCTTGGATTTGCAAATCTGTTTTCGGAATCTGTTACTAATTCAATAATTATTTCAGGGGATGCTTTTATTGTAATCCTTAAAAAGTTGAAAAATGTTATGCTATATATGACAATTTAAGTTATAGTTTTGAGCCTCTATACAAATAAAATTTTGAGAAAGCTGTTTGAAAAAGGCTCACATCGTTCTTGTGTTGTGATGCTTTCCATATAATATCAATCATATGTTTTACAAACTTGAAGCCTAGCGAGAGTTGATATTCTTATTTAGAGAACATTTTCTATTTAAATTTAATTTTCTACTTTTACTTAGTTTTTAAAAGTTAAATATTCCCAAGAAAAATGTACTTAATGCCAGTGACATCAGTTATTAGATTCCACCAAACCATGTCCAATGTTGGATAGGAGACAGTTAACCTGCACCCATTTGCCTTTCCTGGGCTTTAGACTTTGACAACATTCTTTGTATATTCTTGGTACTGGGCAAAATCCTCTGAAAAGCTTTCCAGGGAGATATACTGGGGCCAGAGACCTATTTATCACAACCCTGCACTTTAATAGAGACAAGAAGCTCATTCCCATCATTAGGTTATTAGCAGCTGCAAATAGCCTAAATTCACTTAAAAAGTGTTCATAGAAAGTGGTTATAATTAATTAAAATCAGCTTGTTTATTGAGAAGAGAAATAAGTCAATTAAATAGAGATTTGGGAGTATGTATTGACTGGGAAGGATCACTATAAAATTTATATTCACACAGCCCATAAAATGTCGCTGGTGTACGACGTGAGGACCAAATCAGGGAACGTCAGTATAAACATGGCAGAATGGGCACATGGGTCTTTGTAGCAGTTCAAGGAGCTCTTTCCTCCATCCCAGGAAAACAGATGACTTCTCTTCTTCACCCTTTCTGCAGACCAGAAGTTGATTCTCTAGAGAAATTGATTCAGAGGCTTTGGACATGAGTCCAAAACAGAGTAGGGTTTGAGGTGTCAGTCTGAAAACACATTGAATATAATGCTGCGCGCTGATCTCCAAGATCCCTGCCCTCTTCCCACATTGCTGCTCCCAGACAGCTGCAGCAGCTGTGTACCCCTCATCCTTTTCAGAAGAAAATGAACAACGCTGGTGAAAATACAACCACATACTCTTCAATGTGAGCAGACAGCTAACGATGACCAGAAGGTAGAACATCCTCGATGCGAAGCACAGACCAGAACAAATTAAAAAATGAAAGAATTATTAGAAATAACATAATATGGGAGTAGAAGATTTCAAAATAGATATACATTTTAAAAGATATTACATATGATGTAAAATAACAGGATGTTGTAAAAACAGGAACGTCAGAAAATAATAAAGTGCTCTTGGGAATTTAAGATAAGGTAGAAGTGTGAAAAAAAAAAAAAGAAGTCGAGGATTTGGAAGAAGTTAATGAATTTCCTAGAAAGTAGAACAAAAAGATAAAGGCATTAAGAGAGAGAGAGAGAAAAAAAAATCTAAAGTTCTAAATTAAAAGGGACCATCAAACACCCAGCCTAATAAACAAGGAAGAATGCATATACCCACCCGAATCAAAAATATTAGAATATCGGGGACAAAGACTAAATACAAGTGTTGGGAAAAGATGAGTCACCCACAGTGAATAGCTTTCAACCCTGGCATCAACAGCAGATAACAGGAAACAGCAGAGATATACTCTAAAATTCTGAGGGGAATATGATTTTCAATATGAAATTCTATATTTAGCCAATTTATCCATCAAACATAAGAGCAAAATAAAGACACTTTCAGACATGCAAGAACTCACACACAAAAAAATATCACTCAAAAACCTATCTTAAGACACTGCTAGAGACTGTGATTCTGCCAAATTAAGAATTTAACTGAGAGTGAGTAAGACATATGAGATACAAGAAACCGCTTCAAACCCAGGAAGGTGGCCTTTAGGAGGAGATAGTGTTGATGGGAACTGGGAAGTGTGACTGTGGGAGAGGAGCTTCCGCAGGGAAAACAAGGCTTAGACTGTTTAGTATTGTTTCTGTGTATTTGGTGGGGGGCGGGGAGGAATCTTGCTAGGTATTTGGCAGATCTGTTGGAACACTCAGGGAAAAAAATAGCAATAAATGTAAGAAAAAAACATGAAAATATGCAATAATTTTGAATCCAAATGACCGCGTAAAGACTCGTAAGGACTTGCAGTCAACAGTGAGCTCAAGGTAAGACGCTGCGCGCATAGTCACGGCGTAAGATGGCGAGGTGGGGGTGGGGAGAGGGAGGAAGGGCGGGGGTGGGGTGGGGTGTGTAAGTCAGATCTTTGCCTTCTGTAACAGGTGTTCACTAATAGTTCATTCTGTAACTGTGTCTAAGTTTCATAAGACAACAAATAGAAACATAAAGAGTTTGGCGATAACTGAAGAAATGCCTAAAAAGGGTTAAAAGTGCTTGGGGTATGGGATTGGGCATCCTAACTAGAAAAGAATGGAGTGTGGGCTTGTTTTTTTTCCCCCATTGTAAGTCTCTTAATACTATTTCATTTTAAAAAATAAGTTTAAACGTTAATAAAAGTTAAAAAGTTCTTAAGAAATGAAAGATGGGAAAAGGGATGTATGCTTTAAGTGTTCAGGGAGCCAAAATCCTGTGACATGCCCCCTGGGCCAGCATGTAAGGTTCACCTGTAGGAAGATTACACCAACAACACGTTTCCGTAAACTTTCTGCATAAACAAGTCTCTGAGAAAATTGTTAACAATTGGATGAAACTGGTATCCAAAATACAGTAACAGTCCATAAAATATGAAGCAGAGGAACACACCTTGTCTTCTGATTTGGCGCTCAGTAAATATGTACATAATCACTTTTCATTGTGTTTGAAGTTTCATGCTGTATGTTAGTGTCTGCTGTGAAAGCTTCTATAACAACTTTCCATGACCCAGTTGTCCTATGGAATTGTAGAACAAACCACCACCTACATGTCTGACTTAAGGCAAATCACGAACCTTTATGATTTTTAAAAATCTGTTGACTAACATTGATTGTATCGTACATTATTTATAGAGATATTTATGAATAGGTTTAAAAATAGAAGTGGAGGAAGCTTCAAAGTGGAACTTATTCAGTTATTGTAAAATTGGAATAATGTGTATTGAAGGAATCTCTTTTTCTTAGGAATAAAGAAATTATGATAAAGAGATAGCATCATCTAAATAACACTAGATAACATGATAAGAGGGAGATGTGGTCTGTTTTGTTATTTAGAACATTATTTCAACTCTTAATGTGTGCTTATCTTCTGCAAGATGAGAAAAGCTTATAATACCTCTAAACGTTTTTGGAAATACTTTTTTTTTTTAAAGAATTTTGCCTTTTAAAAAAACTTTTAGGTTCAAGGGTACATGTGCAGGTTTGTGGTACAGGTAAATTGTGTGTCATGGGGGTTGGGTATACAGATTATTTCATCACCCAGGTAATAAGCATAGTACCTGATGGGTAGTTTTTTTTATTCTCACCCTCTTCCCACCCTGCACCCTCAAGTAGGCCCCAATGTCTGTTGTTGCCTTCCTTGTGTTCATATGTACTCAATGTTTAGCTCCCACTTACAAGTGAGAACATGCAGTATTTGGTTTTCTGTTCCTGCATTAGTTTGCATAGGATAATGGCCTCTAGCCCCATCCATGTTGCTGCAAAGGACATGATCTCTCTCTCTTTTTTATGGCTGTGTAGTATTCCATGGTGTCTATGTACATTTTCTTTATCCAATCCACTGTTGATGGGCATTGATTTCATGTCTTTGCTATTGTGAATAGCAATGCAATGAACATACGTGTGCATGTGTCTTTATGGTAGAATGATTTATATTCCTTTGAAAATATACCCAGTAATGGGATTGCTGGGTTGAATGGTAATTCTGTTTTAAGTTCTTTGAGAAATCACCCAACTGCTCTCCACAATGGCTGAACTCCTCACTGGCAGTTTGTAAGCCTTCCCTTTTCTCTGCAGCCTTGCCAGCATCTGTTAGTTTTTGACTTTTTAATAGCCATTCTGACTAGTGTGAGATGGTATCCCATGGTGGTTTTGATTTGCATTTCTCTAAAGATTAGTGACGTTGAGGATTTTTAAATGTTTGTTGCTAGTGTGTATGTCTTCTTCTGAAAAGTGTCTGTTCATGCCTTTGACTACTTTTTAATGAGGTTATTTTTTGCTTTTTGATTAGTTTAAGTTCCTTATAGATTCTGGATGTTAGACCTTTGCTGGATGCATAGTTTGCAAATATTTTCTCCATTCTATAGGTTGTCTGTTTACTCTGTTGGTAGTTTCTTTTACTGTGCAGAAGCTCGTTAGTTTAATTAGGTCCCATTTGTCATGTTTTGTTTTTGTTGCAATTGCTTTTGGCAATTTTGTCATGAAATCTTTGCCATATCCTATGTCCAGAATAGTGTTTTCTAGGTTATTTTATAGGGTTTTTATAGTTCTGTGTTATACATTTAAGTTTTTAATCCACCTTGAGGTGATTTTTGTATATGGTACAAGGAAGGGGTTCCGTTTCAATCTTCGGCATATGGCTAGCCAGTTATTCCATTTACCTTTCCACATTGCTTGTTTTTGTTAACTTTGTTGAAGATCAGATGGTTGTAGATGTGTGGCATTATTTCTGAGCTCTCTATTCTGTTCCATTGGTGTATGTGTCTGTTTTTGTACCAATACCATGCTGTTTTGGTTACTGTAGCCTTGTAGTGTATGTCGAAGTCAGGTAATGTGATGTCTCCAGCTTTGTTCTTTCTGCTTAGAATTACCTCGGACATTCTGGCTCTTTTTTGGTTTCATATGAATTTTAAACGTTTTTTTCCAATTCTGTGAAGAGTATCATTGGTAGTTTGATAGGAATAGCATGGATCTGTAAGTTTCTTTAGGCAGTATGGCCATTTAAACAAGATTGATTCATTCTGTTCATGAGTATGGCATGTTTTCCATTTGTTTGTGTCACCTCTGACTATTTTGAGCAGTATTTTGTATCTCCACAATTCTCATTGTAGAGATATTTCACCACCCTGGTTAGCTATATTTATAGGTATTTTATTCTTTTATTGGTAGAAGTAGTCTTTTAATCCACAAACATTTATTGAATGTCAACTCTATGCCATACATTTCAAAGCACTTGGGATATGTCGATGAACAAAGCAAACATCCCTGCCCTCACAGAGCTTAAATTCTAGCAGACAAGACAAATACTAAGCAAAATAAATGAGTCAAGTATACACACACACATTTTATATTACAAGGCAATACGTGCTATAAAAACAGAAAGATGAGTATGACGGGGTTGTAGGGAACATCCAATTTGAATATTATGAAATGGCATCTGTATCTTTTGAGCAAAAACTTGGGGTCATGTTGCCCTATATAAGAACAGTTTAAAGGGAATGATGAAAAAGTCTGAAGGCACGTGAGTAAGTGAGAACATGGGATGAGGAATGACTTGTAAACATCAAGTACAAATGACCCTATAAAACAATTTTCGTGCCAACCTGAACATCAAAAAAAGGCAAGATAAGATTCCATTTGTCTGTTGGTTTAAGATGGGAAAAATAATAGTTGGTAGAAGTAACCCATGAAGTTGAAACTGAAGAAGGAATGAGATCTAGAGCACAGAGAAAAGGACTAGCTAGAGATACATGCGAGGCTAGTTCATCTGTGGTCCTGGCTGCATAGCATCGCATATAGACTCAAGTAGTGATGTGGTAGGAAAGTTGACATGATGCTAGGGATGGTTCTTCTCTGATCACTTCTTGTCATGAGATTATTGGATAAAAGTCAGGATGTGGGGAGGTGCTATTGATCTGAGCAAAGAAAAGAATGTAGAAAAGAAATGATGTAGGAATGTAGAAAAGAAATGATGTAGGAATGTAGAGAATTGTCTAGGAAAGTAGGGAATTAGTGCACTAAGGAAGTATGCATGATTGGAAGCATAAGGGTGTAGTCATGAGTGGGAGTCAAGGGTGTAACATGAGACCATTGGCGTGGTTGTATTTTTACTCCAGCCATATTCAGCTCATGGGTGCAGCCCTGAACTAGGCAGAAAGTTGAGTTTATTTAAGATGTGGTGTTTTCAAGTGAGAATGCAGCATTGTGTATGCAAGGAGTGTTTAAATTAGTTGCCATGTAATTTGCAATATAAGCTGGAAAGGAGGGGAGGAAAGGTGAGAGACAGTGAGGAGGGAGTAGGATCAGTGGATCAGGAGGGTTAGAATTAGAGGTCTGTAGGCATGAACTAGAAGTAAAAGAGGCAGGGGTAATTTAGTGGGATGGTGGGCCTAAGATTTCAGATTGGTTGCTAACTGCAGCTTTTGGCAAGGACAAGGTCTAGGGTGAGTCCAAAGGCCAGAGTAGGCAGGGTGTTATAATTTCACGAAACACAGTTCCTGGCAGAGCCTTCCTTACTCCCTCAGAGGGATTCACATGCCTCACTCTGTTTCCGTAATTCCCTATGAGTATGCATTGTATTTCATTTTCATTGTTGTTATATTCGGTTGAACCACACAAAATGGCCAATGTTTGACTGTTTTGCCTGTAAAAAGGGCAGATTCATGTGGCTCAACCTAATGTTTGTACTAGTCTGAGCTGCTTAAGAATAGGGACTGTTACATTTCTCTATTTCTAGCCCTTATCACAGTGTCTCTGGTATAACTGGAATTCATTAAATATTTGCTGAATAAATAAATAAATGCAATTCCATTAATAAAATTCACACAAAAAAGTTTGAAGGCAACATCTGGTGTATTTCGGTGGGTGGAGTTTTTCAAAGCATACTGGAGATTTAAAGGAAAGACAAGGGTGCTTTCTGGAGACATTGGTGATTGTTGAGTAGGTGTGATGGCTTCTTTAATCCAAATCAGACCTGTGTTCTGAGCTTCGGCTTTGGTGGTTATCTCTTCCATTGAGTATTGCCAGCACCTGGACCTGCACAGGAAGTGCTTCCCATGGTGGCTCTGAATGTGGGCTGGGGGTTCCATCCTTCACAGCACGTGGCCATGCACAGGAGCAGCAGCCATCTTTCTACACAGTCATAGATACCACACAGGTGCAATAAAACCGGAAGCTCTCCTTTCTGCTTTAACAGACACAGTTATTTCACTCGCAGACATCTTTCCCAGAAAAAAAAGAGATGCAGATTTAGACTTATTCAAATGTGTTCATAGCATTTTTCTGTGTAATGGGATTGGTTGGTCCCCTCCTTACATCACAGTGACTGTCATAATTCCCTGCTTCTCTCTGAGGTCCCAAGGGAAACTAGAGTCTTTGAGCACCTGCTGGGCTGGGCAGTGATGGGTCCTTTATAGCCACCATCTGAAAAAACAGAAAAGGGCAGGATGAGCAGCGCTCAAAACCTCCCACTACTGCTGCTGTCTGTCCGGTCCTAGACAAGTTGTCTGCATTTGTTAGATGTGGACGAATAGTAGTACCAACTTCTAATGTTGCAGTGGGGATTGGGTAAGTGAATACTTGGACGGTGTTTAGAAGTACCTGGTACCTGCCTACTGGTCACTGAGCAATTCCTCCAGGCAGGTGCCACCCATGGCCACTTACTGCACATACATTCATCACTAAATTCTTTTCTCCACTTCACAGGTTACAAAACTGTGCTTAGCAAAGTTAAGTATCTGAGGTCTTAAAAACCAGTGCATTTCTGTCAGCTCCTCTTTAAAATCCTGTAGTGCTTCCTGTATTTTTGATCAATTCTTTCACAAACTGGCCTGTGCATTTTCTGCAATCTCTGTTTGCTACCACCACAGGCCTTTGATTTGCAGAAGAGCTGGTGGTGCCATATTATTTCAAGGCTTTAGATAGAAGTGTATTCATGATCTCACCTTTATCTATTGGTCATCCTTGTCTAAATAATTCCTACCTGTCTTTCAAAGCTCACCTTGATCACCACCTTCTCCAGGAAGCCCTTCCTAACCTAACTCCATGTCTGACTGTGACTCTTTTCCTCTCCACTCCTGGAGAACCTTGTTCATTTTCTCCTCATGATGTTCATCACAGTCTACTGTGGTCCCTAGAGTACACACCGAGTGCCTCCGACAGGCTGTAAGGGCTTCAAGAATACAACCCACACCTTATTTGTCTCTGTGTCCTTGACATCCAGCACTGTCCAGCACTGTGCAGAGTAGCAGCAATAAGCGTCTTTTAAAATAAGTGAGTTAATGGTGAAGCCTACTGATCTTTGCCATGAGATAGACCTAAATGTTACTATCTCCTGCACAACTTGTAACTGAATGAACTATGTTTCTTAAATTCTTAAGACCACAACTTCTTCATTTGCAAAATGAAATAATAATATCTTCTTTATAAAAGTGTTGTGAGGATTAAATAAGACAATGTATCTAAGTGCTTTACTCAAAGCATGGTACATACTAGTCGTTGAATAAATGATATTATTGTTAATGATTGTTACTTTTAAAGCCAGGGTTCCAAAATCCCTGTTCTTTCCACTACAATTGAAAGTCCCTCCTTGAAAACAAGGTAAGCACACAGAAAGCATAGTCAGTGTTGTGGTCTCAATAGTACAATTTAGGGTATTACTGTGTGAAATTGAACTACCCTTTCAATATTTAAACTACTTGGTTAGAAATGTCCAAAGTCTATGCTAGGTTCTTTTTTCTAATGAAAAAAACTGTACTATATATGCACATATGAAATAGTTATTCTTAGCTGAATTCTACAGAATATCTGAATAGTATGTATCCCTGAACATATATATGGGGCATAATTTTAAAAATATAATAGCCTAAAGTGTTACAAAATACATATTATACAAATATATAATATTGTAAAATGCTTTACATTTTTTATTAATGTCACCATGCAGAGAAAGATCAGAGTTCACATCATTTCTAGTCTTGGCCTTGCCTGTCACGAGGCAAAATTCTTTATGTTGTAATTTCAGTGACAGTAGAATGTCTCTCTCCCTAAAATAAATCCACTCCCCTCCTGTTACATACACATACCTGCTGGGACATCTAAAGCTTAATTCTTTGAACTTAAGCCTCTGATCTCTGTTAACATGAAGATAACCCTGGAAAGAGAAGGCTTTTACTTATTATTAGCTACTTGCTTTTAAGTGTGAGTGGCTTTCAGATCCTTCTATTAAAATAGATCGCATTTAGGTAAGGGCTGCAGGAAGAGAGGATGAGGCCCTGTGGGCCTGAGAGAAAATACAGAAGCAAGTAAATGGCAAAAGAGGCAGCTCCAGTTTTGTTGGTGAGCTGCGTGGTTCCATATAGAATTTCACTTCAATGTAGACTTCTAAATATTCCCAGTTTATTCCTGTGGACTCTGTGTTTTTTTGTTCCATAGCTCAGATAAACATGTTACATAATTTGCATTATTTTAAATAATTATAAATATTAGAATGGGCATGGTGGCTCACACCTGTAATCCCAGCACTTTGGGAGGCTGGGGTGGGCTGATCACCTGAGTTCAGGAGTTCAAGACCAGACTGGCCAACATGATGAAACCCTGTCTCTACAAAAATACAAAAATTAGCCAAGCATGATGGCAGGTGCCCATAATCCCAGCTACTTGGGAGGCTGAGGCAGGAGAATCGGTTGAACTCAGGAGGCATAGGTTGCAGTGAGCTGCGATCGTGCCACTGCACTCCAGCCTGGGCAATAGAACAAGACTCCGTCTCAAAAATAAATCAATAAATGAAATATAAATAAATAAATATTATATAAAGAATGTTAATTAGTACCAATAATGATCATGTGTGCTCTTTAAACTAGAATGGGAAAACATACTTAGAAGTGCTCAGTTCATTAATGCCTGCGTGCATATGCTAGCATGGAAGCAGAAAAAATATTTGCACACACATCCCTCGCACACATGCACACAACTGTTTCAGGAGGCTCCTTTGCCCTTATCTGTGACCCACATTAAGACCTCCACCTTCTCTTTTCAGCAGACCACAGCCCCAGACCAGCCCTACAGGAGTTTGCTCCAAGCGCCACTGGCCTGGCCCAGCACACAGGTTGCCTCGTCCGCCGCCTCCCCACAGCACCTTTCCTGAATTCTGTCGGCATTGAGACCCATCTCCTCTTTCTCTGTCTCTCTTTGCCTGACCCTCGTCCATTCTCCTAGTGGGCAGGATGCTGTCAGCTATTGCTATTTGGAGGGTGAGATGACCCCTGAGTAGAAATAACTCCTATAAGTTCAGAGGTTCAGCCTTTAACAAACTCACATTCCTGTTTGACTGACAGATCTCCCAGAAAGGAAAATAAAAGCACCTTGAGGACAGAGCTGGAAGTAGTCTACCTGGGTATTCTCCACAGCTGCAAGCTCAATGTCCTGAGCTTGCTGGTACTCAGAAAATGTTTAGGAACTTCTTTTTACATTGAGGGTAGTGCTTATGGGCAAAATGAATGCCCATGGGCCTAGCCCTGAGATGGCTGGACAGCAAGAAAGGAGAAAGGACAGCATGGGCAATTTTCCACACATGTTTTAAGTTTACAGGGGGAAAGAGACCAAGAGAATAAGATCAAGTCAAATCAAACCCATGTATAATAATACCATTACCAATTGTTTTCTTATTTTATGTTTTATTCTGATTCCTTCTAACAAAAGTTCACACACACATACACACACACACACACACACACACACGTTCAGCAGAGCTCAGGTTGAAAATAAGTGCCAGTCCTTATACCAAAAAGTAGTATGCTGTGCTTTGAAATTCCTGAAAGCTCATTTGCTGCCTCACCCTCCCTCTCCCCATGTCCTATAGACCCTGTGTTCCGGATCCATCCTTTGAATTCACTCGGAGGCAAGGTGGTCATTTCTTATCAAAAGGCGAAATCTACAAAATTATGGCCCAGTGGCAGAAAGGAAGTAGAATGGGCAGCCCTAGGAAGTAGGATGGGCAGGTCCCATAGAACATGGGACAATGAAAATTCAGTATGCTTGTTCCTCCCAATAGTTCCTTTTTGAATGCAGAGACAAAGTTAACTCAACTGGTCTTTACTGGAATTAGAATGCTGATTGGTGAGTCTCTCAATGTGAGACTAATGACATGTTAGAGGTGTGTTAATGAATTTATGTAAAGGGAGACAAAAGAGGAACCAGGGCTAATCAAAATGCCAGCTATTTTAAGATCTTTGACCATGTAATGACCTTCATACATATTATGCACCATTAGTATTCATGACAATTATAGCTTTTTAATTTTCTCGGTGTTATAAAACATTAATCATCTGTACCAGCAAATAAGATATTTTTGCCTGAATAGTTCATATAAAATTTTGGCAATGCTAAACTTGCAAAGTATCATGAAATATATTTCAAAAAGGGCCGCAAACTGAAACTAATCCACAAAACTCTCACTAAATTCTAATCATTGACAATTTGTGGTGTCATAATCAACATCAGCGAAGAGGGGTTTCAAACTCTTAGTGACTTAAAATCTTCATCTCTTCATCTGAAAATTCATGAAATAAATACAAAAAATTAGCTGGGTGTGGTGGCGGGTGCCTGTAGTCCCAGCTATGTGGGAGGCTGAGGGAGGAGAATGGTGTGAATCCGGGAGGCGGAGCTTGCAGTGAGCCGAGATTGTGCCACTGCACTCCAGCCTGGGCGACAGAGCAAGACTCCGTCTCAAAAAAAAAAAAAAGAAAAAAAAAGAAAAAGAAAATTCATGAAATATGGTATTTGAAGGTCAAAGAGGTTTATGGGAAAATAGGATGTCAATGCTTATATATCCTGAGAAAAAGTAACCACTTGCCTACAAATAAAATGAATCCAGATACTTTCTACCTTTGCTGTGTGTGTATCTTTGCTACTCAGGGTCAAGTGTGATGTTGTCAGAAATGACTTTGGCATTACTCTGAACAAGCTTAATGGGAGCAGGAAAACATACATGTAGTGAGGCCTGTGGATCTGGCTGCCTCTCACATGCAAATGAGGTGGGGGAGGGAGGAAGTAATGATACTGGGGTTTCCCAAATTGTGGCCCAATAAATATTAAATCAGCAATAAAAAATTGCTCAATTCAACTGTATCTATTATATTTGGTTATAGAAGGTATATTCTTTTCTTTTGCCATGATGCACAGCGACTCTGATAATCCTGAGGGATAACTGAACTCTGAATCTACAGAGAAGTTCCAGCACCATCCTTCTGCTGACAGAGCACAAGGAGACAGTCTGGTTGGAAGGGGAACAGTCATCTCTGCTGAGTCTTTAAAGGGAAATATTTTATCTGTTCATTTAAAAAATATGTGTTAAGCACCTACTATGTGTCACACAGTATCCTAGCACTGTGGATACAGCAGCAAAAGCAAACAAACAATAGACAAAAGTGTCTGCCTTAATGGAGCTCACATTCTAATGGAAGGAAACAGAATGAAACACCTTAATAGAAAAGCACATAGTATGTATGATGATGATATGCACTCTGAAGAAAAAATAAAGCAGAGAGTGGCATGAGGAGTTTTGGGTATGCTGTTGGAATAATTTAAATCTCCCTGAGAACATGATGGTAGTGAATTATGTGATATGTGGGAATATGCAGGCAGGGGGATCTCAGACAGATAACATCGCATGTTCAAGGGCAGCAAGAAGGTCAATGTGTCTGGAGTGAGCAGTGGGTGAAGAGAAGGAGATAAGGATGGGACCAAACCCAGTACCATCTGGTGGACTAGAGCACAGATTATCTTTTGCTTTGAATGATATATGAAGCCATTGGAGACTTTTGAGCAGATTCATGATCAGATTTAGATTTTAAAAGGCTCATTTGGGCTAAGTGTTGAGAACAGACTTCAAGAAGGTGAGACATTTAAAGCTTTCAAGGGAGAGAGGATGGAAACTTAGACTAGGATGGAAGGGGCAAAAGTGGTGGAAGGTGACCTAATTCTGGATATATTCTGAAGGTAGTAGCATCAGCAGATTTCTTACTGGACTGGATGTGGGAAGTGGAAGGAAGACAGTTGAATTGGGATGATGCCATGGCTTGAGCAAATGGCAGAATTGAGTAGTTACTTAATGTGAAGGGGAAGACTCTGGAAAGGATGAGTTTTTTGGAGAGGTATATTATAAGTTCTGTACTTGGGTATACTAAGACTGAGATGTTTGTCACACTTCTTTCATGAGATTCAGCGAAGCTGTGTGTCCTGGCCTCCTTGCAGTGAGTCTGGGTTTGTGACTGAGCTCTAGCCAATAAAAAGTGAGCACAAGTATTATGTGTCACATCCAGGCTCAGCTGTGAAGACCTCATGAGTATGATGCTCCAAGCTCTTTCCCCATCCTTAGAGGATTGCTGAAAGGAGAAGGCAGAACCGTAGGACGAAAAGAACCCAGGACCCCAAATAACCAGGTGCAAAGCCACCTGCCAACAAGGAATGATTGCGATAGACTTCGGAAGCAAGACATGAATTTTTGTTGCATATGACCACTGAGATTCAGTAGTTTATCTGCATATAACCACTGAGATTCAGTAGTTTATCTGAGACAGAAATTAGTGTTGCACTAACTAGTACAGTGTCCAGATTGGACATATACTTTTGGGAGTCACCAACTAACAGATGAGTGTTAGAGTCATACAAATGGATGTAATCCCCAAGGTAATGAACACTGATTGAAAAGAAAAGAGGTGCAATGATTGAGCTTGGGGGACTCCAACATTTAGAGACCAAAGAGATGGGGCTGAACCAGCATAGAAGCCAGAGGAGTGGCCAGGGAAGTAGGGCAACCAGGCAAGTGTGATATCCAGAAAACCACTTAAAGCAAGAATTTCAAGGAGTAACCAACTGTAAAATGAAGCTGATGGGTCAAATCAGGTAATAAATTGGTCATTTCATTATGAGAAATATAGGTACTTTTGGGAGATGATTTTATGGTAGAATAAAATACAACCATGAAAATTGGGAAACTCTTAGATTCTTTAAAAATAATAATCATTGTTTAAGAAGAGAATCGTACAGAAAGTCTGTTGTTCTAAATGATAGTCCAGTGAAATATTTATCATTCACTCTCTGAATCTGGAACTCTTCTATTGGCCAAACATTCCCTTTTTCTTCATTTCTGGACAAGTGGGACCCTGAGTAGAAGAGCTGTTTCCATTTCCCTTGCTGTTTTTGGTTTGTGTGTGGTGGTGTTTTTCATCAAAAACGTAGAGGACAGAATGGATGTTTTAAGTTGGGGAGCAGGAGATGAGTGAATCCAATATCATCTGTCAAATCCTTCATCCTGTTTTGTTTCATTCTAAAGTACATGAGAGGCTGAAGGATTATTACCTTATAATAATTTTAAAATGCATCCTATGTTCCCACTTCTGTGCACTTTTCTCTGTTCCTGTGCTTTGAGTATCGGGTAAGTCACTCTGGAAATGTCACTCGCATTAAAATGAATGGTTTTGATCCTCACCTTGGAAAGAACAGATGTCTACTTCCCCTGCCTCATTTCATCTGTTTGCTTTAGTTTTTCACTCTCTTGTTGTTTTTAATTCTGAAGCCTATCCAATGTATCTTCTTCTATCAAAACTGTGGTAAAAATTCTATCAGCTCATCCTTATACTTTTAGAGATGTTTCAAATCTCCTGCTCAGCTTCTCCTTGCTGGTCAGACTCTCTCCCTTCATTATGAGCAAGAAATGCCGGGACTGTCTGCCTTTATGTTACAAATGCAGGTATGGTAATTCACTCCAAGTGTATATGCTGAATATTCTGAATCTACCAGCTTGTCTGTGTCCTGTTAACTGATTAACCAGTCATGTGGAATAGTCCTAGCAAACTGCAGGCCTATGAAAAATCCACTTCACATTTGATAGATCACGTCTTGATGAACATTTCAGAAATTGATAGGTTTATTTGTTTCAAATCATGTTCTTTTAAAAATACTTTCTGGTCCAATTTTTATCTTTCTAGACATGTTGCATACTAAATTCTGAAAGGGTAAGCAATCAGGTTTTTAACACGTGCCCTTTAAAATATTGACATGATTCAATACTTTCATATTTCGTATTCAATTGTTCTTAGCCATTTGCAAGTGTCTTCATATGTAGTTTGAAACATTAGAAAACTTGTCTATCTTATTTCCCTTACCTCTGTGCTGGGTGGCTCGTAGTTCTTTAAGCCTTTCTGCCAGTGGTGGTTTCTAACTAGACTGTTGCCACTGAACGCTGCAGGGAGGAAGGTGGGAAGGGCAGGTAAAATGGCAGTAATGCCCATCCGTGGTTTCATCCCTTTTCAAAGATTGAATCTGAACAGTAAATGCCAAACCCAATATGAAAGTCATCAGTTTAGAGTTACAGAAGGGTATCGACTCAATGTTTTCTCCAGGTCCTGTGTGTTTTTACCTCTCACTTCCAACATAATGCCAGGTGGGCAAGGACCCAGCATCTTATCCTGGATTATGTAGGGGTACCAGGTTGGCCCTTCCACAAAACCATCATGACAGCATGGACACCTGGATCAGGACAGTCCTTTCTCTCTTGTTGTCAGAAACACAGTAGTGTGCAAAAAGATTTCATTTTTTCCCCACGTTCCATCTAACTGTATTTTATTATTTCAAAGAAAGTGGTATTAAACTCTTTCGTTAATTAAATCAAAATTGAAAGTTGTAAAGCCACAGTGGAACTATCTCCTATTCAGAATTTAAGTGTACAACTTTGAATAAGGATATTTGTATAGATAAGAAATCCCAACTAGAAAGGAGTCATCGTGTGCAAGGAATTCCTACTCTGCTCCTAAACAGCATTGATTCTTGTAAGAATAACCAGAATTTGCTAACACTTCTTGAGCCTAGTTTAACTTTTATTAATCTGCCATTTTATAATGTTGCATATATCTTGAGTTATTAAAATAACTTAGTTATTTCATAGTTCAACAAAACAGGCAATAGTTCTCCTTCCTGCTTCAAATTTGTATTCATATTCATATTCTTTATGTACTTCAACCAAAAGTTCACAGCATGTTCTAAACATACCACTTTTGGATTATGCATGATGAGCTAGTCAAGTTTGTAAGAGAGTGTGATGGGCAGAATAACGGGCCCCCCAAATATATTCGTATCCTAATGCCTGGAACCTGTGAACACGTTAGCTTATAAAGCAAAGGGGACTCCATGATGCAGATGAAAATAAGGTTGTGAATCAACTGACTTTCGATCAGGGAGATTATCCTGGATTATGTAGGGGTGTGTTGTCATCATAATAGTCCTAAAAGTGCAAGAGGGAGGCAGGAATGGGGAGTCACAGGCATGCTGTGGAGATGGAGGTATGGGGACATGAGCCAAGGAATGTGGTGGCCCCAGGCAGCAGGCAAGGACAAGAAGACAGATTCTCCCCAGAGCCTGCAGAAGGAACATAGACCCGCTGCTTGATTTTAGCCCAGTGAGACCTGTGTCTGAGAACTGACCTACAGAGCTGTAAGCAAAGTAAATTGTAGGGCTTTAAGTCCCTAAATTTGTGGTAGCTTGTTACAGCACCAATAAGAAATTAATGCAGATATGCATGAGACATATGTATTCATCACCTTCTCTGATTATTGATTACACCCATTTTAACCTGGCAGGCATAACGACTGTCATGATGGGCTTGACTGAAACATTTCAGTCAGCAAACCAAAGATGGATCACTTAGGCCCCACAGTTTGAGTTTCTGGGATAAAGTTTTCCTCTGACTTTCCGGACACGGGCGGGAGCTTGGAACTTGGCAAGGGGTGAGCTGCACGGCTCCTAGTCTGCCCGTCCAACCTCAGAAGGTCAAAGTCTCTCCCCCTCCCTTCTTCTTTAACATGGAACTTTCTGCTTCCTGTCAGTATTATCTGATAATTTCCTGCCAACTCCCCTGTGGTATTTTTGGTATCAGATTATTACATACCTTCTGGAAATTAATATTTCCTGGGAATAGCCAATATACTTACTTCCTAGATTTATATTGCTTTCTACAGATAAGAGCAGAAAATGGGTCAAAATACTTACACATACACACTGTACCGTGAAGAAGAGCTCAGGAAATAGTGAAGATGATTTTCAGTACCTACAATCGAGAAAATAAAAATACATTTCTGAGTAATTAAGAAATATTTGTGAGGTGTTAATGCTGACATTGTATTTAATGGTGAGGCGTTTGATAGAAAATGTGTCCTTACCATCATCTGTTACAGCGTCTGGTGGGAGACACAATGGAGAGAAGGGAAGAGATGAGGCTTGGGGACAGGCAAGCTGGTGCTTGAACCCCACATCTAGCACTCAGCCATAGACTTTTGGAAAGCTTCTCACCAGCTCAGGGCCTCTGTGGGCTCACCTACAACATGGATATGGCAGGTCTTCATACGTCTCCGTGTCATTTTACCTGGTGACCAGCTTAGGTCTCCCTGGCCTTTATTTTGAGCCTTATACCTCTGGAGAGTTGCCTAATGGGACTTGGTTCCTCGTCTGTATGTTCTTAGCACCTAAAACACATTTCCAAGATGAATCCCTTCACCCTTCCTCCCACAAGTTGTCTTTTGCTTTGTTTTCCCTATCTCTGTTGGGCAGCCTGCCAACACTGACAGCCTACACTGTCAGCCACAGACCCAGGCATTGCCCTGCATTTTTCCTCCCCTTCGCCTGACAGCCTGGTCATAAGCCAAGTTTATGTCGCCTTCCAGTATCCCCGAGCTACATTCCCTGTTCTCCATCTGTGCCTCCCGAGTCCAGATCCCCATCGTCCATCACCTGCACTATGGCCACTGCTTCCCGGCTGTCCTTCTTGCCCCACTGCCAGGCTTTGCAATCCATTCCTCCAGAGGGGTCTTTCTGATAGACGTGTTCTATCATTAAAATTCTTCCCTGGCCGAGGCAGGCAGATCACTTAAGGTCAGGAGTTTGAGACCAGCCTGGCCAACATGGTGAAACCTCATCTCTACTAAAAATACAAAAATTAGCTGGGCGTGGTGCCGCATTCCTGTAATCCTAGCTACTCACAAGGCTGAGGCATGAGAATCACTTGAACCCAGGTTGTCGGGGGTGGCTGCAGTGAGCCAAGATCATGCCACTGCACTGGTCGACAGAGCAAGACTCTCTCTCAAAAAAAAAAAAAAGTCCCCGTTTTCCTTCACTTACAGGATATAGGCCTTAGGAAGCTACTCACCTTTTCTCTGCCTCAGTTTCCTCATCTCTGAAATGGAGATCATCATGCTTTATTTTTAAGTAGGTAATATATCTCATGGTACAAAAATCCATCCAGTGTGAAAAATTTTGCACCTACTCTTGCCCCACCCATCCAATTGCTCCCCTGCTCCAAATTGGTAAAAAATGTTATATTTTCTTCTACATCCTTTCAAAATTAATAAAATATATGCATATACACACCCATATGCATATAAATACATATATACAATTTTCTAAAATTCCCCCTTTCCTATAGTATAAAACAAAGACAGAGTGAAAAGCATTTAGAAAAAGAAGCAAACTTGTGCCTAAGTATAAGGTGGATAGCCAAATTGAAAACAGCACAGGTATTTAAAAAACACATGTATGACATTACCAAATTTATCAGGTTTACAGTCTGTCTGTTCATACAGACAAAAAAGAAATGTTCTTGCATGATTATCATAGCCACAAAGACCATGACACATTTTCAGATGTCTGCAATGGAAAATCTGGGAGTAAAATGGCTTTTGTTAGGGTATCAGTGATTTACGGGAAATGCTCAAGGTTTCATTTATCTTGGGAATGAGAGCTAGACGTATGACCCCTTGAGTTTCTATTGGTTGGTTGATCTGGTTTCGTTTCAGTGTTCCATGTGATAGTGTTTTCTTTTCCTCTGACTGTAGAACATGCTTGCTCATCATGGTAGCAGGGAAAAATGTCAGTGTTGCTTGCACACAAATTTTGTAGCTGGAGTGAGTATTGTTGTTATTTGTGTTATAGGAAATGCTCACTTCTTAACCTCTTTTGTCCTGGAGCATAGAATTACTGCAAATGCTCACCCCTGGGAGCTGTCCTGCCCCCGATCTCCCACACAAACACTCAGCTGATAGGCAGACACATTAGCACTTAAGAGTCCCCTTGGCAGGCCCCCTTTCCAGCATTGTGCTGACAATTGGATGGGTACTGCACGCACACTAAAGTCCGCTCCCAGCATGGCACAGGGGCTCCCATCAACACTTTTTTTTTTTTAATTATTGTTGGTATGACCTTATTCCTTCCTACTTCTTTAACCTACTTTCCAAATACTCCCCTTCCTCCATTGTCTTGCACTTCATGCAACATCAATACAAAAATATATATAGTTTATTTTAAAAATGTTTCTTTAGCATTCTGTTTCTGAAAGAACGTATAGCTTTAGAACACATGATACTGTTTCATGCTTTACACCTTTGATTGTGTTGTCCTCTATTCTCCACCCTTCCTCCAACACCTTTTCTGGTCTCCTTATGGAGGAGCTGATTTTTATTCTGACAGTGTTTTCCTCATCTCTGAAACCCCACTGCCTAGCACAGTGCCAGGCACATTGTGAAAAAAGTGTTGAACTCACATAGGTCAATTACAAGGCTAGACACAATAGCCTTTCCCAAGTATACTTGGCTTGTCGGCAGTACCACCAATTAAGAATGCAAATGCTGTCCTACACTGCATTTCTTACTTATCTCCAGCATCAAAGGAATTTGAACAATTTGGCTGGTGGGCACAAGGGAAGGTTATGCCTCACTGTATATATAATCATTTACACACTTAGTGCTCTCAAAAATGTGTCATTCTTTCACAACTCAAATTTTGCATGAAGTATTTATAAAAGATAAAGAAATTGACATATTTTAAGAAAATATTGCAAGAATTACGGATGTGAGCATTTGAAGCATCATTATACATTAAAAATCCATAAAGTTTTCAGAGATACTGCTATTTTGGTGTAGCATCAAATCATTGTTCTAATAAGGAACACTTTTGAACTATGAAATATTATTGGTATCTAGAGTTCGGTGCAGATAATACAATTAAAATGTTTTTATATGATCATTTAAAAAAAAAGAATGCAAATGCTTAGTTTAATGACAAGTTTCCTGTTTCATGGCAGACTTTTTTTTTAAACAATGGGAACACTGAAAAAATATCTTCTAAATTTCTCGCATAAATCCATCATCCTAAGATGTCAAGAGATCTGGCTTTTGTAGGTCAGTTTCTATTTAGAGTAAAAGCAGTTGTTTAAATGGACCTTGACTCCACCTAAAAGAAGAGTATAGCTGTTTTTTCTGCATCCTGCATTGCACATCTCACAAAGAACTAAAGGATGTTGCTTGGACTAGAGGAAAAGGATGGGGACTACATCTTCTGTATTTTGGAGCATCCGGGGCTTCACAAAGTGCTTGTCATAAGGCATTTAACAGTGCTTGATGAATATCTAATTGAACATTTCTATTATAAAAAAAAAATACAGCAACCACCTGGTGATGTTAGGTTAATTCCTACTACCCTTCGTCCATAGCTGAATGGCTCTTTGTTGTAATGTGTTGGATGGTACGTAGGTAAAGATGGGAAGGCCTGGGGCTTTGACTTTTTTCAGTCCTACTTTTTGGGTGGTTGAAGTAGTAACTGTCACTAGTCTCTCCCAGTTGACAGGATAATCCTGCACCACTTAGAGACAATTCAGGGATGGTTTGTCATTCAAGAGGCTTAAGGTGGGACTGATTCGGTGGCACCAGAAACATCTCATGGAGCAGCGTGTGTCACAGCATGACTGTCTCAGCCAACGATCCCATATCATGGCCTGTTTGTCTCAGGTTGCTCTCTAGGATCTCATTAGGGATCTCAAGTTCCTCTCCAGATGAGAAGACAATCAAAGGAGATGTGATGGAGGTCAGCTACCACTGAAAGAAAGGAATTCCACTGGTAGATTTCAGAATTTTACACATGTACACACACTATAATGTTAAATGGTATAATTCAAAATAAGACCTCATAAGATGCTGTTGCATTTGGCTCAGAGTACACCCAAAGACAGCATTTTGAAACTTATCATCATTCACGTGAGATTTGTCAGGAAACTCAGGGAATATTGTGCCACTGTGAATAAGTAGAGATTTAGAACCAAAGTTTCACCTAATGGCTAAAGAGGTTTCAAAGATATTTTAATGAGAAGCTTAGGTTTTGTAACTGAAAGATTCAACAGAAATTGGCTTTGACAGAAAGCAGTTTTATATTCAATATTCTGGTTGCTATGGAGTCCATTTGGGCAGATTATGAGTAATATAAGAATAATATAAACTTCAGCTTCCAAAGACCTGATGCCCTGGTTAAGAGATGCAGTCACTTGACAAGTGAATGTTGACTAAATTTTTAAATGCCCAGTTTTATAATTGAATATTCCTGCTGAAATAATCAAGATTTATGCTTGGTCATTCAGTGACTGAAGAAACCTTATTTAGGCACTTTACTACATGTCTAGAATTATGTCAAATGTTAGTTCCACAAAGAATTGCATCCATTCAGAGTCTGAGCTTTCTTAATGGCTAGGCCAGTGTCATGGAAATAGAGGCACCAAAAAACATGAGCACCGTCAGAATAAAAATAAAATGCACTAAGCTTGATTATGCTCTATTTTAGGTTTTGTCTGTAAAGAAGTGATCTGCTTTTGTGTTATTTATAGAGAAGACCATATCAGTGTGTAATAATACTTAAAATAAATAGTAAATAAATAAAATAATCATGTATCCACTATGTGAGTGGTGCATAAAGTTCTAGGGAAAGTGCACATTTAGATGTTTGGGATGTAAGACCCATCAGACTAGTTATTGTTGTTAGAAGAAATATGTTAAGTCATATAATGGTCAGTTTGCACTCTATAGAATGAAAATATTAATATCCATAAAAATATGACACTTTTTTCTCTATTTGGCAGATAGAGAGTTGAGGCTGTCTTCTAAAGCTTGAGATAAACACACATCCTCTTTCTAGGTTACCTACTGAAATAAATCATAGATACGCAGGTGACCTGTGACAAAGTGCAGATCTATATTGTCAGAATGAAAGAACAATTTGTGCACAATCACTAATATTTATATCTGGCATGTGGAACTTACATTGCATCATTTTTCAAGGTGTTGAGAAGTATGTATTCTATAAATGCAGCATCCAGGGTTGGGGCTGAGCACTGCGACATGGATTAGATCCACTTGTCACTGAAAGAGTTCACTGTGGGGTTCGCTCTGCTAGCCTTGCACCCTGTGCACGGTCCCCAGCCGCTGCCTCCAGAGACATGTTGAAAGGTAGAGTGCTCCACTCCATTGTGCACATCCTACTCACATGGCTGGGCACTGGGGTGTGAGTGTGTGTGCGTGTGTGTGTGTGTGCATATGTAGGAAAACTTTCCAGTTAAATCTTAATGTCCGGTCTTTGGAACACAGAATAAAGTCGCTCTTTCTAAAAGCAATTCATTTTATTTATAGTAGGCACCAGACACGCACAAGACATTGTTACTCTAGACCTTCATAAATGTCCAGTTTCTCAAATGTGGACAGGGTTCTGACTTCGACCTTATTTCTGTTGAGAATCATGTGTTTCTTGTTCAGATTCCTCATGGTACACCTTGGTATACTTTTTACATCTATTAAAATTTCTCCCACAAAATAGCTAATTTTTTTCTCATACATAAATAATGAACTAATGATTGCATGAGAATCATGTGCCCAGGATGATGGTGATAGGGTGAGCTGTGGAAGTGTTGATCAGTTATCTTACTCCGTGGCTCATTCGCTTTTACACACCAATATCTATCTCCAGCAAATGACCACGAGGCAAATTTGTGCGCAGCCAAATCACAAAAGTACCCCATATAATTTGCCTAGTAATTTTCAGATAAACACAAGCAGAAGTGTTAAATCCATAAATGTGAGTGGTCTACCCTTCTTCTTCTTCTTTTTTTTTTTTTCCAGACAGAGTCTTGCTCTGTTACCCAGGCTGGAGTGTAGTGGCACGATCTAAGCTCACTGCAACCTCCGCCTCCCAGGTTCAAGCAATTCTCCCACCTCAGCTTCCCAAGTAGCTGGGATTACAGGTGTGTGCCACCATACCTGGCTAACTTTTGTATTTTTAGTAGAAACAGGGTTTCACCATGTTGGCCAGGCTGGTCTCAAACTCCTGACCTCAGGCCATCTGCCCACCTCGGCCTCCCAAAGTGCTGGGATTACAGGCGTGAGCCACCATGCCTGACCACTTCTTAACTATAAGACAATTTGACTCTAGGGACTCCTAATAACACAGTTAAGTACTGGGCTCCCACCCAGGGGACATCTCAGGCACAGCTGAGTTTTGGGGAAGAATCTGAGTGTAGCAGCACATAAGAATATCAGGAAGAGGATTGTGTGCCCACCTTTTAATCTCTTCATAGGGCTGACCCATGCACAGTTCTCCTGTGGGCTTTGAAAGTTTGTTCCCCAACTTGAGTTAGCTGTGTGTGTCACAGAGTGAGCAGGCCTGTGAGCCCTGGCAGACATACTCCTGCTGGGAGGAAACATGTTCTCTTTGTCATTCCTCGTAGGCAGCCTTCACTAACACCAACTAGGGAGATGTCATTGTTCTGAAGTTATAAATGTCACATTGCTTCTTTCCCAGAGGATTTGATTTTATAGCATGGCTATTGTGGACTTTGAGATGGTTCCAATTTGTTTGGCATTTGTCATGGTTGTTCTTCATCTCCTGAAAGCTATTTTTTTTTAAAGTGTGATGTCCTTACTTTCCCTGCTCAACTCCAGTCCCCTTTCCTCAAATGCCACTGGCCAGAGCTGTGTAGGCAGCCAAGGATCAATGTCCTGCCAGGACCAGCCTTGACTCACTTAAGGACACCTCAGTGCCCTGTGGAGGTGCTCCAAAATTTATATTATTAAGGATTGAAACAAACCCCTTTAATAATGGTGATTTCTCAGGAGAGAAGCCACTGTCAGCAATTTCTGCATTGCCCTCTGGTTTTTCCAAGGTCGCTCACATTCTTGTGCTTGTGTGCATACAAATGGACAAAGCGATAAGAAGCATTAGAAGCCTTCTAGGAAAATTGCTACAAAGCAGAGAATGTTATTCCTTACACTTAATTGTAGAAGTGGACAGTCATATAGTTTAATCCTCTCATTGTCTTGGTGAAGTAATCGCTGAGATACATTAAATAACCTAGTTGAGTGAGCTTTGAAGACCAGCTATACCAGCTATTGTGTGATCTTGGGCTGACAGCTTAAACTGTGCCAGACTCTCCCCGTCTGTAAAATGAAAATGGTGATATCACCTAATTCACTGAGCTGTTATGAAGGTTAAAAGGGTTACTGAACGTCAAACGTTCAGTACAATGCCTATCATATTTTAAAAAGTGTTTTCTATAATAACTATTATTACTAAAACAGATCTCCTGACCCCACCCAGCAGAGGGCTTCTTCTATCATTCTATCATGTGTTCTCCTGGCAAAATAAAACCAAAACCTGTCTTTGTACTGTGGTGGAAGAGAGACCCCTGAGCTGACCATCAGAACTAGACCCCATGGTTTCTAGTCCTAGCTCGACACTAACTAGTTGTGTGACCTCAGAAAATTAACCCAACTTCTTTTGACCTCCATTTCCTCATTTGCAACATAAAAACCAGAGTTGGAAAAACCTTTTGGAACTCTTCCATCTCTAACAGTTCTGGTCTGCATAGACAAAAATGGCCCCGCTTATACGTCCTATCTTGCTTCCTACTGTTGGTTGTCACCATGGCCCCAACTACCTTGGTGTTCCCCAAAGAATAATCCAAGACACTCCTCTCAGTAGCAGAGAATTCAGAATGTTTACTTTTTGGCATCTTGTTGGTGGGGTATGGCATAGTTAAGTGGATTTATCTGAGGACTAGGGAAATATGAATGATAGTGAGAACCTGTTCTTTGTGTTCCCAGAAAAAATTAGACAAGAGGAAGAGGGCTTAAATATGGCAGGAGGAGCTAGACATCATGAAATCAGAGATTGATTGGTATGGAGTCATAAAATATCAAAGTTTACTAGTAGAAAAAAATCCTGACAATAAAAACTGAATTGAATTACCAAACAATATTTGGAATATCTACCTTAGAAACTTTAAAATAAAGCAGGCTAATTTTTCTGAGATGGTTTAACTACAACTCTGTCCAATGACAGGAGCATGACAACATTCCACCTATTCATTCACTCACTCATCCTGCATTGAGTGAGTGACTGCTGTATGCCAGTGCCGACATGCAAGACTTCTCAAAATTTCTTTCAGTTCTAACGTTCTCAGGTTTTAGCAAGAGGGGTATTGTTTTGCCCCAAAACAGGCCATCTCTCACATTTTCAGACTGGTATCCATTTGTGGCTTTTGTGCTGGGCCGTTGATCATTAGAAAGTAATCTGTAGCCTGAAAATGATTGATTTTTAAATAGCCGAAGTGTATTAATCAGCTTTTTGTACAGATTGAAGGAGTATGTTTCAGCTTTGCATCCTTATCTGTAAATGCCAAAAGCACAACTAGCTTGAGGTAGAGTATTTATTCTCTATGTTCTCGCTGAGAAATTGTCTAAGTCGATTTTTGTTGCCTAGATAATAATACAGCTTTACTTTGGTTTCTTGGAGTGCAGCAATAGTACAGAATGGATTATAAGAAACAGTGCACTGTGACTGGCATAATGGAATATTGTCAGAAGACTATCAGTTTTACCCTTTTTTATTTATCTTCTGTGTTATTCCCACTAATATCACATTATAATAAAATTACATATTTGAATATAATCATATTTTCTTTTCAATGAAAGCTGGAAAATTTAGAGAAGTATTTATAGAAGAGTTTCTTCCTCTAGCAGAACCTAGAATAACAAGCTCTCCTAGAAGACCTTAATTATACTCATTCTTTTTGTGCAGTGACATTTAAACACAATGTTATTATAATTATATGCATAATAAGCTATATCTTGATGTCAACACATGGATTATAAACCCTTCTATTTGAATTAAATACTGGTTCAAATTAACTAAATCATCTTAGGTTAGATAGTTGAAAAGATTCATGAGTCGGAGGTAGTTTATAATGACCATCAATAGCAGCACACATTTCAGCATTTGTTGACCATTAATCAGTCAGGGATTATCTGTAAAGGCACAGCTGCATGGAGTGGTGTGTGAATATACCTTTACATGAATGAGCATAAATTGGATGGATATGCAGCTGCTGTATCCAAGTCTTCGTCAAGGAAAATGAATATGCAATGTTGATAGCTCTAATGAATTTTATTTTAGAGAGGTAAAACACCAACTTTATTTGAGAGATAACTCATTCCCTATGTATCTTCTCTGCTAATATAGCTCAGGGGTGTCAGTGTGGCGAAAGGAACTTGGGAGACATTTTTCTAGCGTCACCAGGTATATTCATACAAAAATACGTATTCTTTTTTTTTCTTTGAGACGAAGTCTCACTCTGTCACCCAGGCTGGAGTGCAATGGTGCGATCTTGGTTCACTGCAACCTCCGCCTCCTGGTTCAAATGATTCTCCTGCCTCAGCCTCCCGAGCAGCTGGGATTACAGGCACCCGCCACCACACTTGGCTAATTTTTTGTATTTTTAGTAGAGACGGGGTTTCACCATGTTAGCCAGGCTGGCCTTGAACTCCTGACCTCGAGTGTTCCACCCGCCTTGGCCTCCCAAAGTGCTGGGATTACAGGTATAAGCCACCGCACCTGGCCCCAAAATAGGTATTTTTTAAAAATTATTTCTTTCTCACTAGGCTTTCTTGTCTAACAAAAGAGATTCACTTTTCTCTCAAATACGGAGGAGTTACTTGACACAGATCACAACAGACTTGCTAATGAGTAGTATGAATGAATGATGCCAATGATGGTATCAATGCAAATTGATTGAGGAATCCATTGAATTAAAACATTAAAGTTAGACTTAAAGTCCTATTGGCAGATCTTCTATGAATAGATCCAAGCTCCTACTATGTCTCGAGAGTAAATTTGCAATTACAAGAAAATGAACCAAGTCTTATTTAGGACACCTACTCTGGTTTCTGATGTTGTTTTGGTACTTAAGCTTAAATGTCAAATAAGCATCTAGATTCTCCAGCTCATCCTTTGTGAGAATTAATTGGTTGGGTCTAATATCATCGTTTCTTTCTCTGTGTGTGTCTCATTCTGACCCTAACAACAGTGTCATCTCCTTGCATCCCACAGGTGTTCTCTATGTGTCACTCTGATAACTATTCCACAAACTTTTCTACATCCTCCCCTCATATCTCTACATTTTACACTCCTCCCTTCTCTCTTTTCTCCTCAGCCCCTTCCCTTCTTTACTGTCCTCCTTCCTTTCATCCTTCCAGAAACATGTATTATTTTTATTGAAATATCTTAGCCAAGCTGAGGGACCACTACGGATATGCAGTAGGCATTTGATAGACATTCGTGGAGCAGGTAAGTGAATAATTTGTATGCATTTTAGAAGGGTCATGTGGACAGCAGCATGAAGGTTGAGGCAGTAATCCTATTAGAAGCCTGCTGCATCCCTGCAGGCAGGAGATGATGACAGTGACTTTGGGGATAGAGGAAAGGAAAAAGGTGAAAGAAGAGGAAGTCAGCTGGTAGAATGAAGAGGACTTCGAGGTTGACTTCATGAAGGTCAGCTGTAAAATACAGCTATGGAGCACCGAGAAGATAAGCATTTTTGTGCTGGGAAATTTAAGACCAATCAGCTTAAAAATCTTCTCCCATGTGAATCCTTTTTGAACTCCCTCAGACTGAATTAATTGCTCCCTTATCTTGATTTCCATAATGCTATATGTTATTAAAATATTTGTTTTTGTTGATTTTCAGCATCTAAAAGTTATGATCTCCCAAAGGCCAAGGCTGTACCTGACTCTGTGTTGTTCCCTCCTCATGTATTCCATGACTTACTTGCTATCCATTATTCTTTTTTGAAGTGTCTACTCAGATCTTTTGCTATCTTTTATCAAATTTTTCGTTTTCTTATTGTTCTAGTTTAAAAATTCATTATGAATTTTGAAAGTTAGTTGTTTTTTTTTAATTGAATATGTGGCTTATAAATGTTACCTTCCAGCCTGTGGCTTGCCTTCTCATTCCCATAACATTCTCTTTCACAGAGGAAAAGTTTTAAATTTTGGTAAAGTCCAGTTTATCAATTTTTTTCTTTTATGGATCACACTTTGGGTGCATTTCTTTTATGGATTACACTTTGGTGCATTTCTTTTATGGATCACACTTGGTGCATTTGCAAAAATAAAGATAATACAGATTTTTCTACTATATTTTCTTCTAAAAGTTTCATAGTTTTATGTTTTAGATTTAGTCTATAATCTTTATTGTTAGTGTTTGTACATGAGGTGAGGTAAGTGTCAAGGTTTATGTTTTTACATTTGGATGTCTAGGGTTTCTTTTTGTTGAAAAGGCTTCCATTTCTTAATTGAATTGCTACTTTACCTTTGTCAAAAATTGATTGACTATATTTGTGCACATCTATTTTTGGGATCTCTGTTCTGTTTTACAGCTCTATGTGTCTATGGCTTTACCAATACCACATAGTTTTGATTACTGTAGATTAATAGTATGTTATAAAATTGTGTAATATGAATCTTTCAACTTTGTTATTTTGAAATATTGGCTTGACTATGCTAGACCTTTTGCCTTTCATATAAAGTTTACAATCAACTTAACATATACAAAAAATTATCCTGAGATTTGATTGGAATTGTGTAGATCTGTAGATGAGTTTGGGAAAAATTGAGGTCCTAATTATATCTCCCTAATTGTGTCTCCCAATCCATGAACATGGTATCTCTCTCCATTTATTTGTCTTAAAACGTTTGTAATGAGCATTTTGGTAGTTTATGTCTTTCAGGAATTGATTGATTTTATCTGCATTGTCAAATTTATGAGGAGAGAATTGTTCCTAGTATCCCATTATTATCCTTTTAATGTCTATGGGGTTAATATTGATTTTCTTTTTTTATCCCCAAGATTAGTAATTTCTGATTAGAGTTTATCAATTTTATTGATCTAAGAATCAGCTTTAGCTTCATAGATTTAAAAATACATATCTTTCTATTTTCAATTTCATTGATTTCTGCTCTAATATGTATTATTGCCTTTCTTCTGCTTGCTTTGGATTGGAATTGATCTTTTTTCCTCTGGTTTCCTATGGTAAAAGCTTAGGTTAATGGTTCAAGACTTTTCTTCTTTTGAAAATGTAATCATCAATGCTACTTTTCTCTTATCACTTTTCTCTAATGCTGCTTTAGCTGTGCCCATAAATTTTTATGATGTATGTTCATTGTTCATTTTCATTCAATTCAAAATATTTTAAAGTTTATTTTGACACTTCCTCATTGATCCATGGGTTATTTACAAGTATACTGCTTAATTTTCAAATTCTTAGGAATTTTTCTTATATCTCTCTGTTACTGATTTAGAGTTTAATCCCATTATGACCTGAGAACATGCTTTGTATGATTTCTATTATTTTAAATGTGTCAAGATTTGTTTTATGCCACAGGATGTGGTTTATTAGGGTGAATGGTCCCAGTGCACTTGAGAATGTCTATTCTGCTGCTATTGGGTGGAATGAGCCATAAAGGTCAGTTAGATCAAATTGGCAGTTAGTGTTGTTCAAATCATCTATATCCTTACTTATTCTCTGCCTACTTACTGTATTAATTACTGGGAGAGGAGTGTTGAAGTCTCTTAAGTACAGCTGGGATTTGCCTATTTCTCTTTTCAGTCCTATTAGTGTTCTCTTTATGTAATTTGAATCTCTATTAGGTGTGTACACATTGAGGATGGCTACCTTTCCCCTCCCCCTGCCAGCTCCATCAAGGATGCTTTCTCAGGATTCTTATCAAACTTTCCCGAATGCCTAATAGGGTTCATGGAGAGAAAGCTGACCAGAGTGTGAACACGTTTATTCTGCATCTACAGGGCTTCTCCCTTTTTGATAGCCCATATTTAGCCTATAGCAATATATTAAAAAAAAATTTAGCTGAATCTTCTTAACAGCTTACATGGAGTGTTTGCAATGCTGGGTTTTGTTGGTCCCTGTAGATACCTTTCTGACCCCAGATGCATCTTGGTTGGTTGCTGTCCATCCTTAGTGTTCTCATGGGATTAAGAAAAGTTGTTAATATACTGTTTATTTACCCTTTTCCTTATTGTAAGGGTGGGAGTGATACTTTCAACATCTCTAAGCTGAAACTAGATGTCTCGCAGATAATTTTGAGATTTGAAAATCTCTGTGTTTTTCTTGTTGCCACCATATTACTCAGCGCAACTTGTGCTTTTTGCCCTTTTGCTTCTCTTGTTGTAGGAATCAGAGTCCCCTGAAGCCCTTTGCTGGGAGAATTTTACTTACATCTTTCTGGACATTACCAAGCCTTGACTTTTCACAATGGAAGTTGTGTATTTTTCTGCTGTTTTCTTTCATGTGTATCTGCTCTGTGTGTCTGCACAATTACATTGGCTCTTCTTTGGAAACAAACTTCGTATACATCTCTGTGCCACGCTGGGTTTCACTGTTAAGTACGTGTTAAATAAGGGTGGTGATGATCTCAGTGATAATTTTGGTAAACATTAGTCACCTTTACAACCTCCAAAAAATTACTTCTCCAATGTCAACCTTAACTCTTATGTCTTCTAATCAGGATGTCTGTTGTGTTTAGGTAATATAAATTATTATTCTCGGGTGTAGATCTATTTTTTTCTTTTTTAAGGCTAAATAATTATTAGTCACAGCATAGTAATATGCAACCAAAGGGTTATTTAATTCCCAAAAGTTATGAATATCAATATCTTAATATTCAATAGTGAACATGCCCAACAATGAATGCCAATCATTAATTACAGTTCGTCTAACCTTATACCATTTGAGGTTCAGTTTAAAATTATTAAATAAAAAATGCACACAGCCAAACAATAGTTTCTGCACATAAACTGATCTGAGCCATTGTATTTTTAAGCAGTAACACAAAGTAAATTTATTTTTTAATAGCTTGGTTTGATGAAAAGGGATCAGAGAAATATGGCAATTCTGTTTTTATTGCTTGAGGCAATCTCATTTGCAAAATCATTTCAAATCAAAGTTCATCTATCACTATGTAAACGACATGGAATAATTTTTTCAGTATTGATATGTTTCAGTTGAGAAATCCCACTTCAACCACTGGCATTGAGGCAATAATTCCTGTTGAAAGGTCACCTTCTCATGCTTTATTTCTTCTTAACTTCTTTACACTACTGATGTGCATGTATTCCTTTTCAATAAACTATTTTTCTTATCAGCTGGATTTTCTGATGGACAGAAACAGAAAATAACCATAATTTGAACGCTCTTTTAATAATTGAGAGACAATCCAGGAGCTAATAAAAGGCCTTCTTGCTAGCATACCTGTTAATATAATATTTAGACTAATAGTAATGAAACAAGCTTGAACTTTTTATGAAAAGCAGTTGTAAATATTCAAGTATTATTTGGAATTCTGGAACATTTGGGCTCCAGGGCTTGCCATCACTTTCTATAGCTAGGTAAAAGGTACCTGTTTTAAATACTTAGTTCTGGGAAGAGAACTATGTGCCTCATGGCTCTAGCTGAAATTGCAGATTATTCACTCATTAATGGACAGTGGGAATTTCTCAGAAGAGAGTATAAGAGAGTTTGATTCCACCTAGATTGCCTAGTTGGCCCTCAACTACCCTACCACTTTTGATCATTCTGGGGACTTCATGCAGTCAAATTATTGTTAATTTCATGTGACCCTCTTAGACTCAAAAAAGGCCAGTGGTGTTGTTGATATACCAAAACCTAAAATTGATCATAAAAAATCATTTGTAATTGCCAAACTATATTTTGGGGAAAGAAAATACTTCATATTTACATTGAAATAAGGGTCATTCTAAGGTTTTAGACATTCAAAGTCTAAAACAGTGTGGTACAGGCAAGCTGCAAACACAGTCATTCAGTTTTCCCACCCTTCTGGCTGCAAACCAATTCATCTCCCAGAATAATGTGAAAGATCAACAAGTTTGACCCTCGTATCAAAACTGCTAATTTGTATTTTTCCTAAAGGGCAGAGAAATAATAGTTTAGATTTAAAAGGTCTTCTCTTCTGATTCTTGCACATACATAGGCCCCATTTATTTTAACAAAATGCTTAATTAAGCCAAAAAGATGACCATATCAGTAAAAATTTGAAAACAATATTTGCCTTTAAAAATTCAAATAGAGGCCGGGCGCTGTGGCTCATGCCTGTAATTGCAGCACTTTGGGAGGCCAAGGAGGGCGGATCACGAGGTCAGGAGATCGAGACCATCCTGGCTAACATGGTGAAACCCCGTCTCTACTAAAAATAAAAAAAAAATAGCCGGGCATGGTGGCAGGCGCTTGTAGCCCCAGCTACTCAGGAGGCTGAGGCAAGAGAATGGCATGAACCCAGGAGGCAGAGTTTGCAGTGAGCCGAGACGGTGCCACTGCACTCCAGCCTGGGGGACAGAGTGAGACTCCGTCTCAAAAATAAATAAATAAATAAATAATTAAAAAATTCAAATAGAGATGAACCCCTGACATAATCAACTGTGTATTCTTTTATATAGAATATATACTTTTTTTTCCACACTCAGATGTGCTTAATAATATATCCTGTTTTTCTTGAAGGAAAATATGATCCCCCAGATTAAGTAATAATAGTAATGAAATAAAAGATTGTTATATTTGTAATCAGTAATTATGCAATCACCAAATAAGTGGCTGGTATCTAGGGAACAAGCAATTATATGAGCTATGATTACTAAAGAAGTAATTATGATGGAAGATAAACCTCTCTTAGTTGCGCTATTTTTTTTTTCTGAAGACTGGCATTTACATAATGGTTCCTAATCCACAGAGAATATTTGTTTAGGTCTGAGAGAATGTGTATCTGTCATGCACAGTTTAGTACAGGAACCCTTGCCTTTCACAGCCTTGACATTCTCAATTTCAGCTCTTCATTAGTGGTTTGAAGGACAGTGGCTTCCTGTAACTTTTCTATGGCATGAATTTGAATCACTTGCTGTAGTGTTTCTGCGGGGGAATCTAGACTGCCAGGCACCACACTCCAGTGTTACTCAGGTCCGACATGTAGAGTCTCTTCTCTAGTGGGAAAATCTCTGTTTCCAGGACCAAAAAAAAAAAAAAAAAAAAGAAGAAGAATACCTGCTATTGATAGTGACACAATTAAGGAAATATAGTGAACACATAGATACACTAAAAAGTGGGGAGAATTATAGACTGAAGTTGTTGTAATGAATTTGGAAATTCTTAAGATTCTGAGATCATGATGTCGTAATTAGGAAGGGGCTTTAATGAACTTGGTTGACAGGTGAGTCAAGTCGACCAGTGTCCCCTTCTCAGGAATCTGACCATCAAGACTTGGTTTTAACTGGCACAATGTGACATAAGAACTTTACTTTAGAAATAATAGCACTTAAAAAATTATATTTGGCAAAAATACCTTCATTTCAGGTTATTGTTATTGTTTTCTATTTGTCTCTGTTTGGGGATGTTTTATGTTTTCTTAGCTCATTGGTAATTCTATGTGTTTATTCATGCTGCACATATAGAGAATAAGAGCTATGGTAGGCAGAGAAATTGAGATAAGACAAGATCACCAATCGCTGAAAACATATGATAGATCAAAAGTTGCAAGCAGGTCTCATGAAACATGTCCAGGAGTTAATTTATTTTTTGTAAGCAATTTCTTGCATTTAAAGTGACGATTAATTATATAAACCATTTCTTTTGCAAACATTTAAAGATTGAGTTTTCTCTATGTACTTGGAAATTTAAGTGCTTTTTTTCAGAATGTGCATCCTTTTTTGCCTTTTCCAATGAAGACAAAAATCAAAATAACTTTTGCCTAGTGCCGGTATCATTTTTTAACCTGTTAAAGTAATGCTGTTAATTCTGTTTTATAATATAAGACATATTTTTAAGTAGACACTTGGGTTTGAATTCATAGGAACTTAGAGGAGTATATAGTTGAGTTACAACTAGAATTAAATCTATGAAACACCTCTTGCAACTAATCTTTTAAAGTTGTTTAGTAGTGTTTCATGAGTAATAGTCATGTTTATTGTCTTACTCTTCTAAGTCTTAACCATGAAATGAAGTCGATTTGATTTATTCTTAATTTTCCTTTATAATGGTGGGAATTGAATTTACCAAATTCAGAGTAATTACTTATTTCTCCTAAAAAGACAAAACAACCTCTCAACTTTGAGGTCTTATAATAATCCACAATTTGTCCAAAGTAATCCTTAGTCATTAAAAGAAGCCAAATAGTAAGAATAAGACCTCAAGTTGAGACTATACCCTCTTCCAAGACAGTCGTTCAACAGCTCCTGTCTCGTGCATCCTCTTAAGTTTAAAGACAGGAACGTTTTCTGAAGTGTCTCCTTTGAAAACAGAAACCTGAATTCCTGATATTAACCAAGTAAGTTGATACCTATACAAGAGTAAAGTGAAATACTCAAGAGTTTTTGGGTCTAGGGTCAAACTGCTAGGGTTTAAATTCCTGTTCCAGCACTTTCAAGATGGGTGACAAAATCATGAAGATGCTTAGTAATTGTGTGAGTTGGGCATGTTACTTAACCCTGCTAAGCCTCAGTTCCCCCATCTATAAAATGGCAATAATAATCAAAATACCTACTAATAGAGTTGTTGGGAGGATAAGCAAGATAATGCAAGTTAAAGTCCTTAATACAGAATCTATCCATAACAAGTGTTCAGTTAAAGTCGGTTATTATTATTTATTCAGCTGGAAGATATGGAATGCCTGCTCTGTGGTAGGTGATAGGATTCACAAATCTCTTCTGTCATCTAGATCGGGAACTAGAATCTAAACACACAAGTGTAATTTGAGGTCCAAGCTGAGATAAACAGGATTGGAGTCTTGAACTTCTCTCTCTGCCCTACTACATCCTGGGCTCCTAAGTTGAAGAGTTAATTGTGATTTCGATAGGTTTAGGGTGCCTGTTAAATTTATTTTCATTTATTTCCATTTTTTTTCCTGAGGATAAGCATACCTTGTTATATAGTAAAAGAGCCTAGCATACTCTGAAAAAGGTAGAACTTTGCCTGTCAGCTGACAATCTTTTTAAAACTTCCTTTCAAAGATGTAGTTCTGAAACTTCTTAAGAAACGTCTGCCGAGGCACAGCTAATGTATGAGTACGATCATGCCTCAATGAACGGCGGGGATACATTCTGAGAAATGCATCGGTAAGCGGTTTCATCACTGGGAATGTCACAGAGTGCACTTTCACAAACCTGGATGGTAGCACCTCCTACACGCCTAGGCTATGTGATAGAACCTGTTGCTCCTAGGCTACAAACCTGTATCATGTGTTATTGTACTGAATACTGTAGGCAGTTGTAACGCTGTGGTACTTGAGCATCTAAACATAGAAAAGGTAATATGTTGTGCTATAACATCACAATGGCTAGACTGTCACTAGGTGACAGGAATTTTTTAGCTTCCACTATAATCTTATGGGACCACTATGGTAAGTGAGGTCTGCTGTTGACCAAAACATCGTTATGCTGCACATTACTGTATTTGTATTTGTCAGCACTTTTGTTTCCTGTTCTTTATAAAGTCTCCTTTCTGCCACCATTTGTTCTATGCTGAGTTGGTATCAGTGTGAATCTCATATTAGGAAAAGGAGAGGGAATTAGAAAGAGGTGTTCACATAGCCTAAAAACTCACACGACAGGCACTTCTGTCACATTTCAACTAAGCCATATGCTTTATTCCTTAAAGAACTTTGGTTCTGTTAGTCAGAAAGGTATTCCTGAATTGAAATAAAAATTCTGAATCACCAACTCACTTGCCCGGAGACAAACCTACCGGGAGTATATTGCTAGACTGAATCCACCTGAAACATTGGCTTTAATCTGCGTGTGTGTTTAAACCATTTTGAGATGACTTTTTACTGGAGCATGTCTATGAATGGAGCCTGTGAAGGTTTGTCCTCTGTTTGTGCAGTTTCTTTTCCTAAGCATGTGGGAGCAGAAGTGGGGCTGGAATGGCTGGGCTTGGAGGAGGAAGGACCATCAAGCCCTGTGCTTCACCAAGTAAAATTGTCTGTGCCTAACGATACAGGGCAAACAATTACTAGGCTTCAGTGACTTATAGTAAGACAAGGGCAATAAGGGCAATTCCTTGCCAGTGGTCATAGCTCTATGATTAGAAAAAGAAATATTTCTTTTCAGAAAGTGTGAGGTAGAGAAAGAGGCCTTGGTTTAATTCAACAGTTCTTTATCACAGTTTTTCAAAAAATTTCCCTCACTAGACCCAGCCACTCTTTACAAATGTACATTCCTGGGCCAACTACAAAAGTAGGGAATCAGACTGCCTGAGAGATGGTCCTCTGAATTTCTATGTTTAAGAAGAACTCAGTTGATTCTATGATCACTTAACTTTAGGAGACACTGCTATGTGGGCTTAGATAAAAATAAGGGAATAAAAATGTATTTGAAAAGGCATAATAATTTTAGAAAGGTAACGTGTGGTATGCTGAACAGACAGGGGCCATCACTTGTTTTAAAGTATGTTGCGTTCTGGACCAGCAGCAAAAAGAGAGGAATGCCAGGGTCCAGAGGGCCTCCGCTTTATGGAAACTCGTACATGACGTGCAGCCTTGAAAATCCGAAAATGGTTATTTTTGAAAATATTGAAAACAGTGTGTTTTCAGTCTTTGAAACCATATAGTATAGGATTAGCCTTTTCCTTCTCTCACTTCGTCTTATGTGGACTAGGCTTGCTGATAATGCCAACCTTTTCGTTTTAGCAAAGGGCTTCCATGGATAACTAAAATGAGCCAGAACCAGTTGGATCCACAGGGCTTCCCATCTTTCCTAGGATTTGGTGATGGAGTTTGCCTTAGTCTGTAGCTCTGTGGAAAAACTCCCTTCTGTGCTTTAGAGCCTGGGTGAATAGGAGGACTTCTGAGGGATCCTTCTCCAAGCTATTCATGAGTCTGGAGAGTCTTCCATGCACAGGATAAAGACCACCTCCACCTCCTCCTCCAGCCATCCAAACCCTCCTGGCTTTGCCACCTGCTTGGACTGCTCCTCTCTCCTCCCAAATCGTGCAACCATCTTGAAATGCATTCTACAGCAGGGATTGCAGAGTGGCCAGCCTTCTCTATGGTAATAATATGTGTTCAATTTATATTTACTGGTTTAGTCTTTCGATTTTATCTGAAACCAGATCTATGGCATTAGACTTTTAGACCTTCATTTGTCCACTTTGGCCAGTAGAGCTCTTCTGTGCCCAGGGCCTGACTTTTACTAAAGATCATGATCTGCTCTCTAATGATCTTCCCACTCTTCACAAGTGTTCACTGAAATGGTCTGATGGATATGGCTTTAATGTCTATGTAAATAGTCATTAAGTCGTTCAGCCATTATGTAAAGACACACTGTGACATTTAGACTAGGACACGCTTCCATTTCCCAGTTTCTTTCTCTCCTTCTCTTTTTTTCTTTTAGTACAATTCTTTTTTTTTTTTTTGGGAGTTTCAGAAAGTGTTTTTAATAGTAAAATTTTAGAATAGTCTGAAGATTTTTTCCTTTAATTTTACAATTTTACTATTACATTCTTGACAAAGAATCAGAAGAACATTCCCACTTTTTGACTTTAATATCCACAGCTGCCATTCCTAAAAGTATCACTCTATGGCCTTCAAAAATGCCAGCTACTTTTCTCCCTCCTGGAATCTTTAATACATCTTGAAACTCTAGTCACTTTCTTATCGTTTGTGATGACGTAATGACTTGCTCAGCAGATGTATAATTTATTAACTTTGAGAGAGTTCTGCCTTAAAAGTGTTACTTTTGTGGTTCTGCTGCTGTGTCTATGTACTTGTTGACAATTTACAACTAATGAATTTATTTAGGAAGCAATAAATCTCAAAAATGATTACTTTTCACTACTATATACTTTTGTTTTTATGCTCCAAGTCACTTCTGACTATAATGGTTTGTGGAATGGCTAGCACAGGATTTCAACAAAGTTAAGGGACTTAATACAATTCTTACAAAGTCCCTTAACTTTGTTGAAATCCTGTGCTAGCCATTCCACAAACCATTATAGTCAGAAGTGACTTGGAGCATAAAACTACTAAGATAGAAGGGATATTTTCCCCCTCAAATATTAAAAAAATGGCCACACTGATGTTTATATAACAAAATTTGGGGCTATTTTGAATGATTGGGAGTTGCACCAATTATTGAAAGTGAATGTTTTGTTTATGCAATTTTTTTATACCTACTTATTTTGCAGTTAGGCAGAAAAATAAAGCCTAATGGCTTGAAAAGAAAGTCCAACTTTTTCCGTACTGGATCAAAATTAATCTGAAATACAGAGCCATGTGAATAACAGGAGACTCGGGTTATTGAGGCAGACCCTGAGGGAGAATTCCAGATTTTTCCTGTTGTCAGGTGCAGACCAACACAGCAGCTGGGACTGTATGGGTACATTGTGCACATGTAAAATAAAGCAGTGATTCCTCTGTCCATCTTTAATCTCGGGGTCATTATTCTGGTTAGATTTGTGGGGCAAATGGGGGTGAGAACACATGAAAATGAACAAACTTGTATGTAGGAAGCTCCATTTGATTGAGGAAAACTATGGAATTACAGTGAGGCTGGGCCTTTATGGGAGCGTTGTAGGGTGGAAGAGGCTGTGGGGGCTTTCCATCCCCGTGTGGGAGTGGGAACTCCACTGAGTGAGGCTGTGTGGATGTGTGACCAGCAGGGCCACAGTGTCATGGCTGTCCCCACCCCACCCCAAGGGCCTTTTTTTGTTTCTCCTCCTTCATTCTTCCCTTCCCCTCCTTTCCTCTTTGTGAGATGACAGAAGGCAGTGGTGATGGGAGTGTCCGTATCACAGGAGACCTTAGGTCTTCGGATGAAAAAAATTCAATTATATCGGACTGGGTTAGAACTGCACTTCCCATTTTCCCCCCATTACCCGTCGAACTGTGTGTTGCCTGAGAAGAATGATTTGCTTTCTCTGTGCCCCTTTCTTCTTTTTAACCTTCGTGCTTGCATGAGGATTGATCAGTAGATGTTTTTTCTGTTTCTACACTTCTCAGTCCCTTTCATGCCTTCTCTCTGTGGTTCCCTTGTTTTTCGCTTGCTCCAGTCCTTCTTCCCTCCCCAGGTCTCTCCGCCACCCCACTGCATGCATCTTTCCTTCACTGCTCACTTACAGAGCTGCTGGGATGTTTCCCACCTGTCGTCAGTCCCTCCCTGCCCTGACCTCTCTCTATCCGGCTGAGGCTGGGTCTCTCACTGCCACACATCTTTAGAGCTGCTGTGCTAGGGTGGCTGGGGCCCCCTTCTGGGCCTACAGCTGCTCTCTGGGGTCCATGCGCCTGTGCTCACCTTCCTGATAGATCCCTTCGGGAGCAAGTTATTTGAGTTGTCCCCACTGTCGGGGTTAACAAATGCTGCTCATCTGCAGAAATGAGAGTCCCCATGCTAAAAATAATCTGAAGCAATACAGGAGAGATTGAAGCCTGGCTGTGTGGTTTGCTTAGGACCCCGTGGGGTGAAGCCCCCTCAGGTCCCCAGATCCCCTGCCACAGTCACACAGGCTGGTGCTGAATGGTGCCTCCACCAGTGTTTGGGAGCTCTGGGTATGAGATGGCTGAGGATCAGAGGCTGTGCTTGTGACCATTTGGCCAGCTACCAGGCCACTCTGCCCTCCTGCCTCATAGCCGACCTTGCAGAGTGGCTGGGAATGTGAGGCCTCTTCACTGGCCTTGTTTTCCTGTCCCCTGGGGCCCTGCCGTAGCCTTCCCTAGCACTTAGCCTGAAACCACAGAGCTCCCTGCCTGGGTCCCCCTCCTGTCCACCTTTCAGTCTGTGCCCCAGGCAGTGGTCAGGGCCTGCTCCATCAGTGAGCCACTCTCTTTGAGTACCTAAGTAACTAAATGCCAGGTTGGATTTCTCTGATGAGTCAGAGAAAGAGTGGTTTCTTAGCCCACAGGGCATGGTCTAGCTGTCCTGCAAATTGAGAGTGTGGCGCTGCCAGCAACCACTGAAATGATATGTCTTTTAGCCATGGAGACGTTCCTGAAATATTTTTGTCAGCTCCCATGAACCCTGACTACGACTGGCCAGGCCTCCCTCTCTGGCTGCTTCAGGGAGATCTCAAGGCTGACCCACTTAGAGGACCTCACAGCCAAGGCAAGTAAGGCTCCCTTCTCTCCAGCCAGGATTCAGGCTTAGGTGCCTTCTACCCATATACCACGATTGCAGGACATTATTCTTGCCTTAGCTACTCTGTGGGTGCCAATCAAAGTTACAGAAAGAGACTCGTAGCACACTTTAAGGCAGCGGTCTTCAAACAGGTATAAATATACCGTTGGAAAAAAATGATGGCTCTCAACAGGATATGTGGGCTCAGACTTTTCAGATCATTTGCTTCCTTATATATTGTGCTAAAATTAATCTCCACAGTGCTCCCTTCCTGCTAAGGCTTTCACAGTCAGTCTTTCTCACTTTATGAGAAAGAGATGCACCCATTTGGAGCCCTCTAATAGCCCTGGGGTAGCAAAAACCTCTCAGGTGTCAAACAAAGGAATGATTCAAATATTGATGAAAGAAGTCAGTGGTATTAGTGAGTGGGAGGCAATCTGTGGCTAACAAATCCTTTTACAAGCTAGCTGGTTTCTAATTCTTTGCTTTTCATAAAATTAAAGGAGGGCCTAATCAAGTTGCCAGGTGATAGATGAGTAAAAAAATTATATTCCATGATAGATGTCTACGTGACTGGGAACGTATAATTTGGAAAGAGTACAGTGAATTGAATAGATCTCTAAAAAGAAACTGCTTCTGTTCCCATCTATTTATGCGAACAAGATTTTTTAGTATTTAATTCTAAAAATAAAAAGGGAGGGAAGAAATAGAGTCGATACTGTCCCTTGTTTATTTCAGCAACAAATAATTTTCACCGACAAGTCCATGAACTAACTGGAAAAAAAGCAGTATCTATCTCATATTAGATTCATTTACCATCAGATTTTACTATTAATGTTAATAATTATCTATCAAAAATATAACGTTTATGTTTTTGATGAATTGTACACTAATAATAATATAACAAAAATAAAATTTAACACTGAGAGTTCTATGATCATCTCTTTTACATTTTCATTTTAGTTTGTATACATACCTTTTATTTCAGGCAAGTATAATTGCATGATCAATTAGTTTTTTAAATAAAATATACTATTATATATAACATATATTTTAGTATAATATATAGCCTAAATATAAATAATTTATTATTAGCCTGAAATACAGTATAGGAAGTACAATGGAAATAAAAACTCAAGGAGAAAATGGAGTTATAAAAAATATCTAGTTTTTTAAAAACCGTTTACATATTTTTAAAATGAACAATTTAAACTCCCAAATTGCTCAGATATTTGGAAACCATTGCAAAATTAAAATTGTAGAAGTTAAAATTGAAAATGATGTCAATTATATGTCCTTTACAATTTTTAAAACTTAAGCACTTTTAGGTTTCTACTTTAAATATCAGAGGAGGTGTTTAGTTTTGCATATACAAACAAATATTTGAAGACTGCTATTTATGTTAGCCGCCATGGTTTCTAAACAAGGCTGCCCATCAAAGCACCTAGAGGTATTTTCACATTTTACCAATACCACAGCTCAGGCCACGCCCCAAACCTGCCAAATCAGTCTCTCACCAGATGGCTTAGGAATTTATGGTTTTATAGATGTCTCCGGGAAAGTCAGTGCCATCTGCTGCTTTATGGCACCAGAGGGACACAGCATGCTCCTGTCGGAAACTGTTGCAGAGGGACTCTTCTCTAGCTCTCAGAGCTGAGGGTGGTGTCCTCATGCTGCAGGTCAGGCAGAGAGAAGCCACTCAGTCAAGAGACAGTTTCCCTCTACTTCTTTATAGTAAATATAGCAAATCCCACAGGAACATGTGGGTGGTTGTGCTTCCTTTTTTTTTTTTTTTTTTTTGTTGAGATGGAGTTTCGCTCTTGTTGCCCAGGCTGGAGTGCAATGGTGCGATCTTGGCTAACCATAACCTCCACCTCCCAGGTTCAAGCAATTCTCCTGTCTCAGCCTCCTGAGTAGCTGGGATTACAGGCATTCACCACCATGCGCAGCTAATTTTTTGTATTTTTAGTAGAGATGGGGTTTCTCCATGTCGGTCAGGCTGGTCTTGAACTCCTGGCCTCAGGTGATCTGCCCGCCTCAGCCTCCCAAAGTGCTGGGATTACAGGCATGAGCCACAGCACCTGGCCTGTTGTACTTTCACTAAGGATTTTGAATCCAGATTTGGAAAGTTTGTAATGGAATATCTTTAAAACATTGCATTATTATCTAACAAACTAAGAAAATCAGATTGTAGGTTTGCAAGAGAAAATGTCATATGGGGATTAAGACATGGTTTGCTTAAATAATGTTAAGTGCTGGGGAAATTTAGGAAACAATTGAATTAGCTGAATAAAGGAAAGAATCCAAAAAAAGCACCAGTGCTATTAATATTTAGATTTTCATTCTATTAAAAGAATAAGAATGAATTAGAAAGAGGGAGAGTGAATTAGAATCTTTTAGGACAGCATAAAATGGATAAAATGGACGAAATGAAGGATGACCCTCTTTTTGGTGCTCTCTGGGTGTCTGCCTCTGCTTGCACACAGTGAATGTTATGTGATTGGACGGACGCTAGAAGAAGAAAGGTAGCGTTGGCTCAACAGAGGACTTCCGGCTCCTTCACCTATAGCCATTTCTGGTATGAATGATGATGCAAGCTCAGTAACTAGTAACACAGCCCATAATGGAGACAAGTGGGGAGAGAAAAACAATTCATATTCCCTTACAATAATCTGCTAGTTATGGATGTCAGGAGGGAGAATTGAGGACCTGATGGTTTACACTGCAGTTTGAGGGGCTATGATAATGCCACTGATGCTTTGGGGTAATACCATAAAAGCTGTAACAACTCTTGATGATTCAGCTCAACAATCGTCTCAGCCATTTCCATATATCTATAATCTGATTCTCTCCTGCTTTGTGATTCTTTGAATGGGTTGTCTCCACACACCTCTATATTAGGTGATACATTGCTGGTATATTAATACCATTTAGTAGGATGCGTCCTTAACCACATCAGCTGTTAATGAGCTGCTTGTTAAGGAACTGCTTGCGAAAAGTGGATTTTTGCTACTTCATGGACAAAAAGTATTCACTTTGTGATATCTTTAATGTGATTACATGAATGGATAAAATAAGCTCCATATGAGCTTTCTATTTTAAACTTTAAAATGAAATCTGTCTAACACCAAAGCGCTGGGTTCAGCTAAATTTTTTTTTTTTTTTTGAGACAGAGTCTCGCTCTGTCACCCAGGCTGGAGTGCAGTGGCACAATCTCGGCTCACTGCAACCTCCGCCTCCTGGGTTCACGCCATTCTCCTGCCTCAGCCTCCCAAGTAGCTGGGACTACAGGCACCCGCCACCACGCCTGGCTAGTTTTTTGTATTTTTAGTAGAGACAGGGTTTCATTGTGTTAGCCAGGATGGTCTTGATCTCCTGACCTCGTGATCCACCTGCCTCAGCCTCCGAAAGTGCTGGGATTACAGGCGTGAGCCACCACACCCAACCGGGTTCAGCTTATTTTTAAAAACAAAGTTTCATGACTAAAATTCCTGATTAAAATTACAGTAAAAAATTTTCACTGAAGTTGTGCCTAATTGTATGTTGGGCCTGAGAATTGTGGTACCATAAATAAATAAATAAATGCCCAGACTGAAGGCCTCTACACTGGCCAAGTAAAATGTTTTAATGAAAATCAAAGGTCTTGCTTACTTGGCAATGTCAGGCCCTGATGCTCTGGATCTGTTCTTCATGAAGCGCAGGAACATCTCTATCACGGCTGCCATTGATTCCAATTTGGCAGCCAACAAATTCAGGGCAGAATTCCTCTGCCTGTGCAGATCAACCAGGTTGGGTCTCCGTGGCCTGAGACCAAATAATATAATATCTGCGCTACCCTGATGGGGATTTTATCAAAGTAATGACTGGTTGTGACAATGACATCTACTCAACCTGGGTAACTTGTAGTGTGACGCCAAATCTAAAACATACCTTCCTGAATGTCAATAGCCTTTTTTATGGAATATGGTATGGATGATCAAAAACCAGTATAAACAGTAAAAGAGCAACTTTAAACTGATAATAAGGCATTAATTATTGATGGTCTAAGTCAAGAAAAGTTATAAATATAATGTTATAAATAGGTGCATATTTTTATATGTTATAATAAAATGTATATATAAATATATGTTAATATATTTATTTGTATAACTGTAACTCATATGGGTGCTTTCATATAAGTTGGGAAATGGATTCTTACTTTTGGATACACTTGTCATCAGTTAGAAAATTATAGTAAAATACTGATTTTGCTAGAAAAATTATGTTCATATCTTAGAAAATGTTAGAAGAAATACTAGTATCTGCCAGAAATTTGTTATAATAAATAACAATCATTACAATGTGAATGGCATTCTTATAGCTGTATAATATACAACCCTGTAATAGTGGGTGATAGCCAGAATCCTTTTATGACATTAGGACAAGCATAACAAACACACACTGACCCCCCACTTTGTTATAGTGAGAGATGCTATTATCTTGATGTCTACAGAAAATATAATTTAGCCTTAACTTTAGCAAACTGACAATCTAAGTTTGAACCAGCTATAAACCCCCCATCTTCCTGCATTTGGAAAGGATATGCAAAACAATTTTTTAAAAGATTCAGCTCACGTATAAGGAAGTGATTAAAAACTTATCTCAATGTGGACAACAAGGTTAAGGCAATAAATGCACTTGTAGTACTTACAGTTTGTATTTAGGAAGTTCTTACATATTAACGCAGCATTGTAAAGTGGCTCATTACAGAGCTAGAGGTGATGTACAGTGATAGAAGGTCAAAGGCACTTCCCAAAACAACAGTGGACTGGGTCAGACTTTGTTTACAAAAAAGAAAAAAAAATGGTAAAACTAGAGAGGGGAATATCAGAATTCAGCTATCCCTAGATTGCTAAACTGCATAATTTCCTTTCTGTGATATCAGATTACAGTTAGGGACAGGAGATAATGAATCAAGTGCTTAGCATTGTGTGTAGTTCATAGATAATTGTTAGTTTTTGTCATCATTTCCTTTTATTTAAAGCACCCATTAATAACTTACATCATTTAGGTACTGTGCGCTTTCTAAAATAATTCTGCATATGGTTATTTTAGTTCATCTTTACCACAGACCTATCTGTAAGTTATCTTTAGGTCCCCATTGTGCAGATGAGGGGGAACAGAGGCTCAGGGATATTAACCACCTGCGCAGAGTTTCAGAGTTCATAAGTAACAGGATCTGAGCACTGAGTCTTTGGACTGTTAATTTGACTCTCTCTACCACATGCCAACTCTTCTGATCACAGCTATGGATCACTAACATTAGAGAAAATAAACAAACAACTCCTCTAGCTTGATCAGTGGTCCCTTTAGTGTTGTACTGTAAGATAGCCACATAATAGTAGCAGCTAACATTTATCCAAGGCTTATTACGTGACAGATACTGTGTTATGCACTTTATTTGCATTGTTTTTTAATTTTCTCAGTATCCTGTTGGGTAGGTACTATTATTTTCTCCATTTTTCAGATGAAGAAACCAAAGCTTAAAAAGGTTAAATTTCTTGCCTGAGGTCAGGTAGCTGGCAAGGTGTAGAACCTTGTAGCAGTTATAACCTCTGATTCCAAAGCCCTCAACTCCAAACTGCATCACTATGTCATCCACATCAGACAGTACCATGTGGGTAAATCTGTATCCTTTTTTCTTTTTTGAGACGGAGTCTGGTTCTGTCACCTAGGCTGGAGTGTAGTGGCACAATCTCGGCTCACAGCTGCAACCTCTGCCTCCTGGGTTCAAGTGAATCCCCTGCCTCAGCCTCCTAAGTAAATGGGATTACAGGCGCCCACCACAACGCCCAGCTAATTTTTGTATTTTTAGTAGAGACGGGGTTTCACCATGTTGGCCAGGCTGTCCTTGAACTCCTGACTTCACGTGATCCACCTGCCTCGGCCTCCCAAAGTGCTGGGATTACAGGCGTGAGCCACTGCGCCCGGCCAGTCTATATCCTTTTACAGTTCCAATAAAACATGGTGAGGGTAAAGGTAGCCAGACATGTGATTACAAATACAGTTACATATTCAGAACTTTTGGTGGATAATTTAGGCAATCCTACAATTTATACTTCATCTATTTGCTAAGAAAATTAAGTATAAACATAATATTAGTAAAATGTTTATGGAAATAGAAGTGACCATAGCTTTTCCAAGCACTTAAGACATATGAGTTAAAAAATCACTGTATCCAATAAGTCAGGTTATTCTCTAATTCAGATTTGCAATAATATGTTGACACAGTAGTATGATGTAGTGTGATTTTTACTGTTACAAAAAGAAAGCCTTGCTATGAAAGTCTTACGGGAGAGAGGTATCTGTGGCTGCTTGACTATACATGAGATAATTACCTTCTGGACTTCTGTAGCATATGCCAGCAGAAACAGTAATGTTTTAATATTTTAATAATGGCTAAACAGGTTACACATTTGGTAATAAACTAAGAACTTTATGTTTGTAGACAGTTGCTATTAGCTGTATTAGTATTGAATCATAGTTAACAATGGGCTAACTGAATCATACTAAAATATCCTTTCTATTTATATTAACTAATAATGTAGGTACTACTTATTTGAGAAGCATTTCCTGCCAGTGGAAACATCATATTAATTTCTTGGGGATTTTGTTATTGTTGTGGTTATCTGTTGTTTTTTTAAGGATATGTATTGGCTCCAGCACAGATAATTAAACAAATGTGAATTTAAAAATAAATCAAGTTTATAAAATTGACTTTATGTCTGCTAGTTGAAAGCCTTGAAGAAATCAAGATTAATCAGTACTCTGTCTTTTCAATATATATCTGCAGAGCCTAGAATAAGGCAGGCAAATAAAGAGGTACTGAAAAATATTGTGGCTGCAGTTGAATTGAGAAGACAATGCATCTGAAAAATTGTCATGTCACTGGGACATTTCTATGCCAACAATAGGTATGGTGACAGCCCATGCTGTGATAATGCAAGCTTAGTTTAACCTGCACAGTAAGGAGACTACTCTGTTATATTTATATATCCCTGTCCTCTCTAGACTGGAGAGTAATTTAAAATTTGTCATTTTTCTCGTAGCATTTCTGGGAAAATTGAGACCCAGAGAATGTCTGGAATTCATCAGGGAGGACACAGGTGCTATGTGGTGGGCAGCCCCCTCCTGTCTCCACTTTGACCTCTTACCCTGTCTCTAGAATGCTTGCTATTTCTATGGCTAAAATTTGTGACTTAAGTGGGGAGCTTTGTAACCATAAGCTATAAGAACTGAAGTTTTAGACCTGTTTCTGGAATTTTCCAGTGTTCTGTGTGAAGTGAGGGATGGCTGCATGGCCCAATTGAAAGCCAATGTTCTGATGGCCCTGGATAAGTACTGAAATCGCATGCACATTCCTGCTGAATTGGTACAGCCTCTTGTTGCCTACAAAGTTGAGCATTTATAGGAAAGGATGGTTTCCAATCAATATCTTGTGTCCATATAGGGCATCTATTTGTGTTGTTTGAGAAATGTGTTATTAAATCAGGTGTCCTCTATTAAAAAGGAGTGTCTTTCTTCGGTTGCTAAAACTGAGATATGGTTTATTTATTTACAAAATGGAGGCCATGATATTAGCTTTATTACCCGCATTAAAGAAGAGTAACTGCTCAAGAATTTTCCCACTCAGGCAAATGGTGTGAAGAGGAAAGAACTGGTGCCAACAACTGCTCAGATTCTAATAAGGACAAAATCCTAACAAGGAAGTTGGCTCCAAATTTGAAGGGCACTTGATAGCTTGGACCTGCCTTTTAAAAGTTGGTGAATACATCATCAGTCGGGGGTATGAGGGACCTGAGGGTTCGATATGTCATTACAGCCAGTTGGCTCGTGGCCTTACCAGAAGTGAAATGATTTATGGAACCAGAGTGGGATAACTACCGAGGGAGGCTGGGAGTTGCCTCGGGAGGTTTATAAAAAGGGCGAAGCAACGTAGTTTCTAGGCTGGAGTCATGCCCTGAAAGGATGCCCTCACCAAGGGGCCCCTCCACAAACGTGGAATTCATCTTCAGTGCCTTCCAGACAATTCCAGGCCAACAATTAACATTTCAGGGTTTGCCAAGGAGCGTTAGTTTCCTGCTCAGCATTTGGCTTACTATAAGGCTCTTTAGGTGTGTTTTCCAAAGTTTTGTCATCGTGGCTCACCTGGAAATGATGACCAGCACTTACAGCTGAAGGTCTGGGGTTTGCTGGGCTCCATGCCCTGTGCTGGGATCTCAGCATACTTGTGACTTGTAACTTTCGAGATATTGGAGTACTTTCATTTGGCTAAGATTTAAGTCTGCTTCTAAGCAAAGGCCAGGCAGACTAAAATGAATCATCGTTGATGAAGATTTGAAAAACAAAATGAGACCATTTCTAAAGTCAAAGGCTCAAAGGCAAACTTATTTTTCAAGGTCCAAAAGAGCAACCTTTAGACATGGAGATTTCCAAGCTCATTGCAAAGTCTGCAGAGCAGCCCTGCTGGCTCGTACACCCTGACCTTTAGGGAGAGCCTGTGGATCCAGCCACAGCTGGAGGGTTGGTTACACTTCACTGAACGAAGTTGCAGGCATTTGAAAGACCGAGGAGACTGCTTCACTGAGTGCTTGTTCCCTGTGTAGCAAGGTACAAACAATTTCAGGCTTGGTAAAATGTGGGGTAAGGAGCTTGGCACAGAATAGCTACCAGGGTGTCGGATAAAATGACAGACATGTGTGCCCAGCACAACTGGCACCAGCTGTGATTCATTGTCTGTAATAATAAAGCACTGGCCCGCCAAGCACGGCGCCTGTAACTTGGCTTTGCACTATTGCGCCTGCCATGCTGTCCTCGCTTCTCTGCCCTTCCCTGCCAACCCAGTCCCCAACTGCATCTTCACACACCTCACAGCTGCATCTGCTGGGGAAGGGTTCGCAAAGGTGGGCACGAAGACGACATGGCACAGATGAATAAGAGTTGGCTTTATTGCACCTAGTTACTTTCAGGGGAGCCATGAGCTATCCCTGTGTTTCCCAAGTTCCCTGAAGATAAAGATTACTGCAGGGGTGGTTAGATTTCATAAGAGAGACCTCATCTCAGACCTATTGAATGAGGATGATGTAAGATAGGCTTGGTAGCCTGTGTGTACGATAAGCTTCCAGGTCCTTCTTACTGGGGAGGTTTGAAGAAGATTGTGGCAGGGGCAGCAGTGCTCAGCCTGGGCTGGAGTTAGAACCACCTGGGGAACCTGACTCAGCACCACGTCCAGGCCATACTCAGACAAGTTAACTCACAGGCTTTGGTAATGGGGTCCCAGCACTGCTATCTTTTAAACTCCCCAGGTCACTGGAGGAATGTGTAGCCAACACTGAAAACCACTAAGCTGCAGAAAATGACTCATAAAGGGGTTTCTGGCTCTCGGGAAAATCTGGGTCTTAACAAGCACTCACGTAACTTTTGTGTCCAGAGCACTTTGCAGGGCACTATGGAGATATGTGGCCTTATTTTAAGTAACAGAAAGAACCTCACCTTTCTGGAGCCTTTGATTCACTGGAAGAGATGTGTACATAAAGTGAATCCATAGTAGTTTTGGGTGTTTGTTTTGCTTTTTGTTTTTTGTTTGTTCGTTTTTAGACAGGGTCTTGCTCTGTCCCCTAGGCTGGAGTACAGTGGTGTAATCATAGCTCACTGCAGCCTCAACCTCCCGGACTCAAGCAGCCCTCCCACCGCAGTCTCTGGAGTAGCTGGGACTATACCAAGTGCCAACATACCCTGCTAATTTATTGTTTTGTAGAGACAGTTCTCGCAACGTTGCCCAGGCTGGTCTTGAACTCCTGGCTTCAAGTAATCCTCCCACCTCAGCCTCCTAAAATAAATCCAAAGTTATTGACCAACAAATCACAACGACAAGCAGCATTAAAAATGGAATTAAATGGAATGGACCAAACTTTATGTCGCCATTTAGCCACCGAAATACTTACATTATATATAATTTTTTCTTTTAAATAATTGTGATAAAAATCTTCACACATCTATATGTAATTCTCTGATATTTTGGATAAATTCTGAAGCACAAAAGTTCCTTGACAAAGAGTATAAATATTTGTGAGTGTTGATAAATATTGCCAGATGTCACCCACAAAGGCTGTGCCAGTTTATACCCACGTAGCCCATGTCTGCAACTCTTTTCTACACAAGAGGTCGTCAATAAAAAATGAAACACATGAACAAAAAACCTGGATAATGTAAATCTGAGGATACAGAGAGTAGAGAAAGATTGGAATTTGGAGTGGGTTAAGGAAGGGAAAATTCTTGGAAAGAATATTTTGAGCTGGAATTTCAAACATATAACTTCTCATCCCTGAGAATAATTTATAAAAAATGTAAAAGTACATTTTCTATACTTTTTTTAGTTTCTGGTAATAATAGAAATGACAAAATGGAAGAGAATAAGAATGACTCGGTGATACATTTTCACATTTTGATAGTAGATACAAAAAGCTCTGAGACACTCCCAACAGGGGCACTGTTAGATGACATGGAAGGCAGCTGGGTGGGCCCTTGGTGCCTGGCTAGGCACTGACTCAGATCATGTGTCAGGCGTAATTCGTGTTCCTAATTGCTGCCGACGAACTGTGAAGACAGTTCCCCAGGAGGCTTTCCAGAAGTGCTGTGATTAATGCTAGCACAGCTGGAAAAGTGAAAAACACCCATTTGATTTTGTGCTTTCTTATATTTACTAAAACATAAACAGCAAAATAAAATTTTCCTTATTTTGAGTAAAGGAGATGGTTATTAGGCCAGCCTTTTCTAAGAAGCAAAAATCTTTCTTGCCTAGCTGATCATGTTTTACAATTTTCATGTCATACAACATGCACATTGTACTTTCTGACATTTTATTTTGTTTTGTACTTAAACTATTTGACATGTATTTGTTGTCATAAAATTAGACTCAAATTTGTTGTCATAAAATTAGACTCAAATTTAGAGGCAGAGACTGTTCCTTCTATTCTGTTTTTATAACGAGAGGCTGCATAAAGACTTGGGAAATAAATGAACAAATGTACTTAGGATGACAACAAACCGGAAACAGCAAATTCAGAAAAAAAAGAAGTGCAGCATTATTTTCTTGGGGATACTGGCCAAAGAATGTTTCCTATAACATCTTTTTAAAAAACTAATTATTAGTGAAAAATGTGACCTAGAAAAATCAACATTGTTTAATTTCCATTCTTTTGCAGTATCATTTACTCAATAATTTTAAGAAGGTAGTAAAGCCACAGTAAAGTTTTATATTTGATAAAACATTAGATGTGGGAATTCAAGTAAGTCATTTTTCTCTGGAGCATCTCATGATGAGAAAATGTACGTCCCATATGGTCTTACTGTGTCCGGAATTGGTTCCCTCCGGTGGGTTCTTGGTCTCACTGACTTCAAGAATGAAGTCGCGGACCCTCGTGGTGAGTGTTAGGGTTCTTAAAGATGGTGTGTCCAGAGTTTGTTCCTTCAGATGTTCAGATGTGTCCGGAGTTTCTTCCTTCTGGTGGGTTCGTGGTCTCGCTGACTTCAGGAGTCAAGCCACAGACCTTTGCAGTGAGTGTTACAGCTCTTAAAGGTGGCGCGTCTGGAGTTGTTTGTTCCTACCGGTGGGTTCGTAGTCTCTCTGGCTTCAGGAGTGAAGCTGCAGACCTTCGCAGTTGAGTGTCACAGCTCATAAAGGCAGTGCGGACCCAAAGCGTGAGCAGCAGCAAGATTTATTGCGAAGAGCAAAAGAACAAACCTTCCACACCATGGAAGGGGGCCGGAGCGGGTTGCCACTGGGGCTGGGTGGCCAGCTTTTATTCCCTTATTTGGCCCCACCCACGTCCTGCTGATTGGTCCATTTTACAGAGTGCTGATTGGTCCGTTTTTACAGAGGGCTGATTGGTGCATTTACAAACTGTTAGCTGGACACAGAGTGCTGATTGGTGTGCTTACAATCCTCTAGCTAAACAGAAAAGTTCTCCCAGTCCCCACCCACCCAGGAGCCCACCTGGCTTCACCTCTCATTAGGGCATATATTAATAAAAATAACTTATGAAGCATGTAAAATTTCCTTCATCCACAGCACACACAAAATGAAAAACATTCTTTTTCCTTTTGCTCATCTACATTTATTGAATATCTGCTCTGAGCCAGAGATGAAAAAAAATAAACCTACAATTATGATAAAGAAAACCCCAACTTCTCAAAAAGAGAAACTATCAGATAAATCACAAATATTGCCCCTGAAAAAGTTAGACTGTTCACCTTAGCAGGCATTTGATTTTTGACATACTTACGATTTTGCAGAAACATTAATTTTTGGTTAAAAATATGCAGTTTTGAAGACCATTTTTTTTCGTGGTCAGGAGTAAAGATTTAGATTTGAACTGGTGAAAGAAATCCCATATAGTTATTGCAGAAAGAATGTAAATTTTACTAAAGATGCCAAGGCTTAGAATTACAGAGCATTCTTGCAGGAATGGGAATTGGAAACCCTCTCATTCAGCTGAATAACTGACACATATTAGAAGACCACCCTGCCCCGCGGCATAGTCTGCTTAATCAGGGAGAATCCAGCTGAGTCCTGTGATCCACTTGGCATTTCTACTAGCAATAGAGGCTTGGAAGAGAAATTTCACTCTCCCCAAATTCCCAAACTGAAAGCACGCTGAGCAGGGAAGGAGAGGTCCTGCCCCAGATGGCATGGTGCTCTGCTGTCCCGTTCTCGTCTCCCCTGCCTCACTGGTAAGGACTGTACTTCTTTGCAGCTTCCAAGCTAGCTAGCTGGAATTTATCATCTAGCATGCATGGGTCCTGGGGGCAGGGTGGGGCAGTGGCTGACCGGTGACCTGCCCAACACCCCTGTTCCTCCCACAGTGGGACATTTGTGTCCAGAGCCTATCTACAAATAGAGATTCAGGATGCTGTGTCAATCTCACATTCTCTGTGACCATGCCTTTCCTCAAGCATCTCCCCAACCCTAATTATTCCATTCATTCCCTGCACAGGAGATTGTATCATACTGTACATGTGTGTACTGGGCTTTCTTTTATGTGTGACACACTTGTCAGCCCCATTACATTTTCAGTTCTGTCATAGCAGGGATCTTTATTACCTTGTCATTATCATCCCTAGCCCCAATCCTTCCTCAATTACTGTCCATTCTCTTGCAAAATGTGAATGTCACACCTTATACACACACACACATGCGCGCGCACACACACACACGCGCACACACACACACGTCTTTTGCTCCTATTGAATTTTAGTAAATGGGACACCAATCCTTGTTCATCTTCTCATAAAGAAGAGGAGGAAGAGGAAGAAAAAGAGGAATACAGGGGGAGGGGGAGAGGGAGTGGGGAGGGAGAATCAATTTGGGCCATGTGATTAAATCTAAGAAACCAGAGAGGTTGATTTTAGGGTGTCTAGACCTCACCTCCAGCACGTTCCCCAGGCCCTCTCTTCTTCCTCAACTCCCCTTGTTACAACTGCTTCAGGAAACCATGTCATAAATGTTTGGAGACGACATTTGACCCACAAACTTCCAGCTACCTTGTTTTAGCAGAATGATAGTAGCCTGTGGGCTATAGTGATCCTCTGGTCTAATGTGGGATGTTTTTTATTATTATGTTTATTGTGTATATTTAAGGTGCACATCATGATGTTTTGACAGACATATTCATAAATGACTACTACAGTCAAATAATTAACATATTCTTCATCTCACAGAGTTACCTTTTTGTATGTGGTCAGAGCACCTAAAATCTATTCTTGTTAGCAAATTTCCAGTATGTAATATTATTAACTAGAGTCCTAGTGCTGTATTTTAGTTAAAGAAACTCAAGTCCATAAAACCCAATTCGCTTGTTCTGTGACATGCCTAGTAGCAGAGATATGATGAAAATTCCTCACATTTAGTATTTTTTCCCAATACACCTCTTAGCCATAAGAGAAAATACCTTTAAGTGAAGGGGGTTTCTAATTGTGTTATTTTAGATCCAGTGATTAAGTGGGAATAAAGTTTCTCATTGTTATAGTTTGTTTTCTTTTTTCTTTTCTTTTTTTTTTGAGACTGAGTCTTGCTGTATCACCCAGGCAGTGGTGCGATCTCCGTTCACTGCAACCTCTGCCTCCCGGGTTCAAGTGATTCTCCTGCCTCAGCCTCCCAAGTAGCTAGGAGTACAGGCGCCCACCACCACACCCAGCTAATTTTTGTATTTTTAGTAGAGACGGGATTTCACCATATTGGCCAGGCTGATCTTGAACTCCTGACTCTGTGATCTGCCTGCCTCAGCCTCCCAAAGTGCTAGGATTACAGGCATGAGCCACCACACCCAGCCTAGTTTGTTTTCTTTTGTGAGAGAAACCTTAAAACCCTACCGTGTGGACCCCCGCAGTTTGTCCCCTGCAAGCCTGGCCTGTGCTGATGCATGTGAATGGACAAGCTGCTCTTGGATCAGTCCCAAGCTAATAAGTAAAAAGATCCTTCCAGTGGATGGACACATATCAAAGGTTGTATGTAGAGGATGAAGAGAAGTTTTGCCTTATTTGATAAACTGTAATTCAACACTGTCATTGGTTTTCTTGGTCTTTTTTTCTCTCATGTTTCAAATTAATATCTTCCCAAAAGATCTCCTGTGGCTCATAGGCAACCAGGTTTGCGCTGAATAACCGGCTGAGTAGCTGCAGAAAGCCATCCCAAGCCAGTAAATTCCAGCTCTGACCTCACTCAATTCCACACAATGAACGTGGCCCCAAAGAGGGAGAGCAGTGTGTTTATGTGTGTGTGTGTGTGTGTGTGTGTTATTCTTCTCTCACCTGCTCAGCCCCCACTTGCTAGAGGCATGCACTGAGCTCAGTGCTTTACACATGGGCTCCCACACTTGCTGTCCTCGTTCCCATTTTGCAGACGAGGAGACTCAGCACAGAGATAAATCAATTAATCTGCTCGTCACTTAGAGTCTCACCCTAGCTAGTGATGGGTCTGGAATTTAAACACAGACAGTCTGACTCCAGAGCCCGTGCGCTTAATTCCACGCTGTGCATCCTCCACCTGATTTTATTAAGACACGTTTTTTAAGGTAGAGAGTATTGTGGGGAGGGCAGGGTTAAGGATAGCAATCATAACTGGTGTTGGCAGAGTTCTTCCACACACTGCTGTGGTGTGCTCCGCGGACGTGCCGTGGGGAAGCCAACTTTCTCAGGAGGTCCCATTGTGGTCCATGTCCCACACATGGTTTGTGAGGTTGATGTGGCTGTGAGGCCAGGTGCGTGTTGCTGCAAGGAGCTGCTCATCTGCTCTGCCGGCCAGGAGGCCCATCCTCTTCTTTTCACATCACAACACACATCCCATCCCTTTCCAGAGAGAGACCAGAAGAGGCTTGAGTGCCTGCTGGCCTTCTAAGTAAGATTTAAATGGACAGACCAGTATGAGAACCCATGCCTTTTTCTGATTTTGAACGTATATTTTTTCCTCTAGACATGAGTCCAAGTATTTGGGGCCCAAGAAGACAGAATCTTTGGGAGTACTTGTTTTTTGCAGACCTAGTTATGGAAAGATCCTAAAATTTTCCCAAAGATTGAATGATGAACTCATATTGGTGTCCAGGCCAGGAAACACAGACTTCATCTTTTCTAGAGTTTTATGCCTTCATCCTCTCCATTTTTTTTTTTTTTTTTGAGACAGTTTCGCTTTTGTTGCCCAGGCTGAAGTGCAGTGGCGTGATCTTGGCTCACTGTAACCTCCGCCTACTGGGTTCAAATGATTCTCCTGCCTCAGCCTCCTGAGAAGCTGGGATTACAGGTGCTCGCCACCACGCCTGGCTAATTTTGTATTTTTAGTAGAGATGGGGTTTCATCATGTTGCCCAGGCTGGTCTCGAACTCCTGACCTCAAATGATCCACCTGCCTCAGCCTCCCAAAGTTCTGGAATTACAGGCATGAACCACCACATCCAGCCCATCCTCTCCAATCTTTAATTCTGGTCTTGTAATTTGCATTTGTCTAGGTAGTTACCACACCTATGTGTGATCAAGATTAACTGCTGTGGTAAATGTAAATATTTTTTATGACAGTTTTCAGATCTTTTTCATAGTTTTCATCTTTCTCCCATGAATAAAATGGCAGGTTTGTAAATGATTATAAAAAGAAGAAAAACTATTTTGTTTTTCCGTATTGTTGAGGGATTTGAAGAAGCCCCATTTTCTGGGGTGACACCCAAGTTTTGTTGTCTCATGGCCACAGAGATCAAGGACGTGGACACACACAGGGTGAGGTTTAGAGCAGAAATGTAATAAGTGAAAGAAAGACAATAGCTCTTTGCTACAGAGAGGGGTGGGTCCCAGAAAAATGGGTTGCCAATTCACAGTTTGGATACAGAGGCTTTTATAAGAAATTGACAGGGGGCAGGGTGTCTCATTTGCATAAGGTGTGCATTTCTGGTAGTTCCACCCTTTCCTCCTAGTGCACACATAGGTTCTTAGCTTGAGTTACTCCATGCTACTTTGTTCCCCTGACTGCACATATGTCAGGGGATGAAATTTTCCATTGTGGGCTTGTCTGGGCAAGTATCCTGTGTAGTCTTTCTTAGCTATGCAGCTGTGGGGATATCTTAATCAAGGCCCTGGTCATGTTCCCTTATCTGTGCCTGCAACTTGATTTTTCAGGCTGTTCTTTTGTTTGAAAGAATTTAACCAAGGACCCACCTTAACTGCCTGCCTGATTGGTTTCTTCCTTTCTCCTCTCTCACATTCAAATTGTGTTCTTAAACTATTAGTCAGTTAGAGACAATTTAGATAGAAGGTCCTAAAGCATTCAAATATCATTTATAGTACATCTACATTTATTTACTCAGAAGCTTTAAGTATTGCCATTTTGTTCTTTATATTTCAAAGAAGAGGAAAATTTCATTGTCCCCCCTTTAATCAGATTCAGACTTGGAGATTAAGTCAAGCACTTTGTCAAAATGACCATTGCACACATCAAGATTTGAAATACAACTTCTTTGACAGGTGTCTGCCAGGAATGTCCTACGTTAGGAAGGGAGTACTCAATATTTCCAACTCAAATTAGGTCTTTACTATGGTATGTCACTATATGAATTTCACTTTTTAAAATTACTGTTTCTCTGTCTTTTAATAATTACCATAAGACAGTTTTATTTAATTACTCCATGGGAAAGAATGTGGGCATGGGTTTTCAATTTTTAAGAATTTGTGCTTCCTTTTTCACTCGGGTAAAATAAAGCCATTTAGAGTTACGTTTAAAGTATATCCTGCCCAAATACTAACCTACTGGTTTCAGTTATAGACATGAAAAAATAGTTTTCCACAAGTATTCTTCATTGTCTTTGTCATTGAAAAAGAGTTAAACTCTGTAAAATATTTGAAGAGATTTATTCTCAAGCAAATATGAGGACCATGGCCCATGACAGAGCCCCAGAGGATCCTGAGAACATGTGCCCAAGGTGGTCAGGGTACATCTTGGTTTTATACATTTTAGGGAGACATAAGACATCAGTCAATACATGTAAGATGTGCATGGGTTTGGTCTAACTTGGAATGAGGTGGTGGAGGCCCCAAGGGGGTGGAGGGGCAGGGAGCTTCCAGGTCATAGGTGGATTCAAAGACTTTCTGATTGGCAATTGGTGTTTATCTAAAGACCTGGAATCAATAGAAGGGAGTGTCTGGGTGAAAAAAAAAAAAGGCAGAGGGGTGGGGTTGCAGAGACCAAGGTTCTTATTATGCAGATGAAGCCTCCAGGTGGCAGGCTTCAGAGGCAATAGATTGTAAATGTTTCTTATTAGACTTTAAAAGGTACCATACACTTAGTTAATTCTCTCCTGGATCAGGAAAAAGACATGGAAAATGAAGAAGATTCTCTGTGGAATGTAGATTTTCCCCACAGGAGATAGCTTTGCAGGGCCATTTCAAAGTAGGTCAAAGAAATACATTTTGGAGTAAAATACTTTGATTTTATTCAAGATCTGCTCTCTGTCATGTTGGTATCTTATTGCTGGAAAGAGTCTGTTTGGTCAGTCTTAAGGTGTCTGTGTTAATGTTAATGCTGGTCAGCTGTGCCTAAATTCCAAGCGGAGGGAGGTATAATGAGGCATATCCTACCATCTATTCCCATCATGGCCTAAACTAGTACTTCAGGTTTACTTTAAAATGCCATTGGCTGAGGAGAGGGCCAAAGGCATTTAAAGGCAGCTGGTTGGGAAGCTTAGAATTTTATTTTTGGTTTACACCTTTTTGTTTTGTCCTTAAAAATTCAGAGGCTACTACTATGAGTGCTATTCATGGAATTCAGACAGAAGCAAATCTCGTTACAGCAAAACTCTGCAAAGGATGATGCATTCCTGGGTTTTCTCCATTCTGAGCACCAGCCTTGACCAAATCGTTGGGTGGTGTTCATCCAGTTTTTGTAACAGAATAGCTATACATTAAAGAGTATAGGAATTATTTTAAAATATTAGAATTATTTATTAAAGAATATTGGAATACCAACATAAAATTTATTGAAAAGGATTGATTGCACACTGTGAGATAAAGGTATTATTATCTTTAAAGCAAAATTAGGAATGCTTCTGTTCTCAAGATATTGGAATATCAGGACACTCGTAAGTCTGGGTCTGTTTAGTAAATGCTACCAGTCTGTTCCTTTAACCATAAACGTCTAGAAGCTAGGAATGCCTAACTTTCTGAGAATGCAGCTAAGCAAGTCCCAGCCTCATTTTCCTAACCCTCAGTTAAGATGGAGTTGCTTTGGCTCGAACACCTCTGACAAAATCAGTCTCCCTGAAAATTCAGAGACTGGGGTTTTCGAAGCATAATTTGGTGGGTAGGGGTCAGAGGGTGAGGAGTGTTGATTGTTGGGTCGGAGATGAAATTATAGGGAGTCGAAGCTGTCCTCTTGCACTAAGTCAGTTCCTAGGTTGGAGCTGCAAGACCAGATGAGCCAGTTTATCAATCTGGGTGGCATCAGCTGATCCATGGAGTGCAGGGTCTGAAAAGTATCTCGAGTACCAATCTTAGGTTTTACAATAGTGATGTAACCTCTAGGAGCAATTGGGAAAGTTTAGAATCTTGCAGTCTCTAGCTGCATAACTCCTAAATCATAATTTCTAATGTTGTGACTAATTTGTTAGTTAGACTATCTTTAAAGGTAGTCTGGCTCCCAGGCAAGAAGGGGGTTTGTTTTGGGAAAGGGCTGCTGTCATCTTTGTTTCAAAATTAAACGATAAACTAAGTTCCTCCCAAGGTAGTTCAGCCTATGCCCAGGAATGAACAAGGACATTTTGGAGGTTAGAAGTAAGATGGACTCAGGTCAGATCTCTTTCACTATCGTAATTTTCTGTTATAATTTTTGCAAAGGCAGTTTCAATAGAGTCAATAACAGTTTACTATTAATACTTCTTTTTTTCTTTCTTTCTTTTTTTTTTTTTTTTTTTTTTTTTTTGAGACGAGTCTCCTGTTGCCCAGGCTGGAGTGCAGTGGTGCAATCTCCGCCCACTGCAAGCTCCGCCTCCCGGGCTCAAGCAATTCTCCTGTTTGAGTCTCCAGAGTAGTTGGGATTACAGGCGTGCGCCACCACACCTGGCTAATTTTTGTATTTTCAGTAGAGACAGGGTTTCACCATGTTGGCCTGGCTGGTCTCGAATTCCTGCCCTCTAGTGATTTGCCTGTCTCAGCCTCCTAAAGTTGCCAGGATTGCAGGCATGAGCCACCGCACCCAGCTGTTTAGTACTTATTATTTACTTTGTCAGTTCAGACAAAGTAAAATAAAAATTTAAGTAACTAAAGCACAATTCAGTAAATTTAAAAAGCCCTGGTACCTGTATGCATATTGTGAATAAAAATGCTAGATCGTAAACATGCTGAGGGCAATACCATTTCTAAGCTCATCCAAGTCAATCATGCTGCCTTATTTAACTTTGTAATTTTCACAGTGCTTAACTTAGTGTCTAGTACTATTTTATTTTCTGTTTTTTACATAATTCTTAGCTCAATACCCTACTATAGTGAGTATTGTACATATGGTGATAAAGAAGGAATAAATGAATGAGAAGATTAATTTGTCCTGAATGTCCAGCTATCACTGATCACATTTATACAGGTACATGGACATCACCAAAATATATTGAGTAGTGATGGTTTTTCATTTTAAAACACCACAGATTCATTTAGGAAAGCCCCTCAATCTCATTGAAATTGAAGTTTTGCATCCCTGTAATGACCGTGGTAATCTAGAGTTTAATTCTCTGGCCCAGGGGTGGAGTGGGCAGGGTTGCACTGACCCCAAAGTCCCCTGTTTACCTGTGGGTACCTAAGGGGAGGGGTGAAAGGAGGAGGAACTACCCTCCACTTTGCTGTGTGAAGGAGCTTTTTGCTTGTCTCTGGGACCAGTAATAAAACAAAACAAAGCATCATTTTTTTATGTCTTTCTTGATGTATGAGAGAATTTTCATTTATGAAATACACATATAAAAGAAGAAAATATGCCAGAAATTATTCTTTCTCCAGGGTATGTGTCTTTAGCAACATAGAATAGTAAATTGTGATTCTACCATCAGTTCATATTTCCTATATTGTGAATTTTTAACATCTTTATCATTTGCCTTTTAAACTTACTTGGGTTTAGAGTATGGTTAAAAAAAAAAAAAAATCCTAAAGCCCAGACCAAGTTTGTTATTTTTTCCCTTACTCTTCATTTAGCTGCTGAGTATTATCACATGTGATAGATCATAACTCGTCATTCATCCCCTGTGACATTAGGGGGAACCCTGTAGGGCTTACTACTGAGGTCATAACTTGCCCAAACATGTATAGGTTGTATGCCTAAACTAGTCCAGCAAAGCTCCTTGGGTGCATATAGCATAATAAAGCTTTTTCTGGAATAAGTAGTTAAGAATTATTTCAATCTTAAAATATTTTTCCCAAGGAATAGAAAAAAGACAGCACACCTTACAGACAATTCATTATATGGTAAGAAACTACACAACATCAGTATGAGAAAGAAAAATTTCAGACCAATTGCACTCATGGATACAGAAGTTAAATTGCCAGACAAAATACTAGCAAACTGAATCCAACTAGGATCAAATTGGATTCATCTTTAGAACACAAGAATAATTTAATGTTAGAAAACCTATAAATGTATTTCACCATAACAATAGACAAAAATGTTAAAAAATCTGATTTTTAGATTTTTAGGTTAAAAGCCTTTGTTTAATAATCGTCTTATTTGATGCAGGAAAAAAATAATAAAATTCAACAACTAATTATAATTAAACTTTCTCAGAAACTAGGACAAGAACATATTTCTTTAAACTGAGAAAGGACCTCTACCTATAACAAACATTATTCTTAGTAGTAAGACATTAGAAATATTTCCTTTAAAATCAACAGCAAGACAAAAATGCCCACTAGTGCTGATTTTGTTTTGAGGTATTGAATGATGCAAGAACACAAAATAAATAATGATGGCGATTGAAAAGAAACTGTTTTCTTGTAGATGGCATGATTGTCTACATAGAAAACTGCCCTCTCCCCACAAAAACATAGCACTTACCACTTTATTAGAATCTAAACACATAAGTTACTAAAGAAAAATACATATGATGAAAATAAACCAGACAATTGTGGAAAAATCTTATAAGTCATTGAACATTTTTATAGAGGAATTAATTAAGTGGATATATACTATATTCATGGATAGGAAAATTAAAAATCATGCATTATCAATTCTCTACAAATTGATCAAGGAAAATGTAATCCAGATCCATAGAGTACTTTCACAGGAATGTGACAAATTGATTCTAAAATGTATATGGAAGGGAAATGGGGGCAAAAAAGCAAGTATTGCCAAAACTCTCCTGGAGAAGCAAATGAGGTGGCACATGCCCTGCTTGCTATCAAGCCCTAGTGACCAAGGAATTAAAATTGAGCAATATAGAGTAATATTTTTATGAACTTAGGGTAGAGAAGGATTTTTAAAATATAATAAAAATTGTTAGCCACAGACCGGGCATGGTGGCTCACGCCTGTAATCCCAGCACTTTGAGAGGCCAAGGCGGGCTGATCACCTGAGGTCAGGAGTTCGAGACCAGCCTGTCCAACATGGAGAAACCCCATCTCTACTAAAAATACAAAATTAGCTGGGTGTGGTGGCACATGCCTGTAATCCCAGCTACTCGGGAGGCTGAGGCAGAAGAATAGCTTGAACCTGGGAGGCAGAGGTTGCAGTGAGCTGAGATTGTACCATTGCACTCCAGCCTGGGTGATAAGAGCGAAATTGCATCTCAAAAAAAAAAAAAAAATTATTAGCCACAAAACGTTGATGAGTTCAACAGCATTAAAATTAAGAAGTTCTATTTATAAAAAAAAAAACTATAAAGATAATGGAAAAGCAAGTCATGAGCTGGAGTAAGATATTTGCCATATATATAAATAAGAAAGCATTAGAATTGCAAATAAATAAATATTTTTGACAAAAAATACTGAAAAGAAATATGCAAAAAAGACATGGATAGTCCTTGCCAGGCGCAGTGGCTTACGCCTATAATCTCAGCACTTTGGGAGGGTGAGGTGGGTGGATCACGAGGTCAGGAGATCGAGACCATCCTGGCCAACATGGTGAAACACTGTCTCTATTGAAAATACAAAAACTTAGCCGGGCGTGGTGGCGGGCACCTGTAGTCCCAGCTACTCGGGAGGCTGAGCCAGGAGAATGGCATGAACCCGGGAGGCAGAGCTTGCAGTGAGCCAAGATCGCGCCACTGCACTCCAGCCTGGGCAACAGAGCGAGACTCTGTCTCAAAAAAAAAAAAAAAAAAGACATGGATAGTCCTTTCACTGAAAAAATAAATAAATGGCTGGTAAACATATGAAAATATGCTAAACTACATTAGTAATCTGAGAAATTCAAATTTAAACTACAAAGTGACACCACTTTATATCCTCCGGATTGGCAAAAACTAAGAAGTCTGATAATACTGAGCACTGGAGGAGATTGGAAGCCATAAGATCTCCTACATACTGCCAGTAAGAGTGTGAATTGGTACACCATGTTAGAAAATAATCTGGCTTTATCTCATGAAGTTGAACATGTGACCTAGCCAATGCATTCCTGAGGGAATATATAGCCCAGAGATACTCTTGCACTGATGTGGTATATTCAAAGCATGGACTATTACTCAAAAGAAAAAATGAGTCATTGACAACTAAAAAGAGTTGTGGATACAGGCTCGTTGCTGAAGTTCAGGTAAGTATAATATCCTTTTTTACAGAGTTCAAAATACATAGGAAGACAGATTAGATAGATAGATAGATAGATAGATAGATAGATAGATAGATAGATAGATACACACAGATAAATGCATTCTCAGAAGACTGCTTTGCAATGGCAATAAAATCATAAATATGAATCAGGATGGTAGTTACTTCTAATGGGGGAAAAAGTAAGAAGAGCAAAGGTAAACATATAAGAAGACTTTGTTCTATCCAGTACTTCAATGGCAAAAACAAACAACAATGATAGTAGAAGGTCTTTTATAATTCTTCTCTGTGCCTCTCTCCTTTCCTTTTTGACTGGATGTTTCAAAGCTGTTTGTCTCAAAAAAATAATAGGAGATGGAGAAAGGGAACTGTGGGCCAGCATTCAACAAATGTTATCTCATTTACTCTTCACAAGAACCAGTAAGCTACATATTACTTTACTTACTGCAAAGATACAAAAACTAAAGCCAAAAACGAATAATTATCTGCACAATGTCTTACAGCTATAAAAGCTGAGGTTTGAATTCACATCAGTATTATAAAAGTCCACTTTTGTAACAAGTGATATAATTATGTCATGTGATATGTGGTTATTATCCTTTAAAACCAAAGGACATTTTTTCCCTAGAAAAAGGAAGCATTTCAGTTTGCACTTAGCAAGAAACTCAATTCTTTATGAAACATAGTATGAGGCTAAATGCTCTAAAATTTAAGTGAGGGTTATCCACATATCAGAAGAGACTGAGATACTGTCTAATATACATTTGTCCTGCACAGGTTTTGAGTGATAAAAATAAACAAAAATTACCACCAGAATTAAATTTAAAGGTTAAAAACTGGTCTCCAAATCATTGCAAACAATCCCTTTTAAGTTATAAGAAATAGGAAGATTTTTACATCTATTGTGAAAATGGATTTTAAAATAGTTCCAATGTGTATGGGCCCATAGGCCTTGTTTTTCCTTATGATATAAACTTTCATACAGAACATTTCAGTGTTCAGTCACAAGGCACCTTTATAGCAAGCTATCATATTCTTTGAAGTAAGTATAAATTTGAACAAACAGTAGATAATGATTCTACAGTTTTGGAGATGTTGTTACATTTCTCCAAAAAAGAGCATTCCTCTCATCTGCTCAGAATCATTACTCGGCTTATGAAGAGCTGTTAGTGTTCTGTAGGAATTGTTCTCACATCTGAGACGCACACAAGAGCAGGCATTTGAAACACCTCCAAGGTTCAGATAGATATTTGTCTCGAAGGCCCACCCAGCAAAATTTTAGATCCTCAAATCAAATTCTAGAAGCAGTCTTTTTTTTTTTTTGTAAGATAGAAGGGCCTTTATTCTTTATTCTGGCATAAACGTCTGAAAAAAAGGATAGTCATGAATCCCTTGTTAGAGTTGGGTTTCTGTGAGCCATTCTCCAAGCAATCAGGTGCTCAGTTCTCATCATCTCTCAGTAATTACAGGAAATGGCAGTAATGCCTAAGGTACCTGTCAAAAGCATTGTTGTTTGCCGGGCCCTTAAGTAGTAAATGAAAGCTGATTCATTCATGGACCTGCGATGGATCTTTGTTCCTTTCCCATTCAGAATCTGCTCTTCCCACTTCACTCTGGATGTTTGCAGTTCATGCTGAGAGTAGCAATTCATTCTTGGCAAAGGCTCCCCTATGGCTTGGATTACACAGCTCTTGTGTAACTGAGCTCTGCACAGGAGCATGGCAGGTTGGGGTGGGGCGGGGGAAGTGAGTCGTACTGGTTTTCAGTCTGTGCCAGTTCTCTTAAAATTGATCTGCTTACCAAGGGGCTCCAAAAACTAAAATACCTCAGTTATTTTGTCTGGACTCTGAGAAGGATGTCTCTGCATAATGAATGATATGCTCTCTTCAGTCAATTTCTGATGAATCAGAAATGGACCTCAAGTCTTGCAAACCAACAACCTCTCCCCATCCCTTCTTAGAGCAAACCAGTGTTGACTCCCAGTGAAATAAATTTTTTTTAAAAATCCAAATCTGAGGCTCATATAAATGTAAGCTATTGTATAGATGTTTGCTTTTTTATAATCTTTACTCTTCCCTTTGCTTTGGTGACAAGGGCTCAGAAATAAAGTTAAACTTTTTACATATCTTCTGTTTTATGGGAGCTTTAAGGAAAGAGAAAAACTGGAAATTTCTCCTATGCATTTGTTTCACATATATATACTCCAAAAATTTTCTAGGATTCCATGTTTAGGCAATGGATTTTTTATGGGCACTAATCTGGAATTTTGTAAGAATAAGATTTCGTGATCTATTGCACTGTGATAACCATAGTTAAAAATAATATATTGTATGTTTCAAAATTGCTAACGAATAGATTTTTAATATTCTCACTGCAAAAACAATGAGAAATTGGTGAGGTGATAGATATGTCAATTAGGTTTACTGAATCTTTCTATAATGTATGCATAGATAAAAATATCACTTTGCATCCCCCATAAATATACATAATTATTATTTATCAATTAAAAATAAATAATTTTTTAAATGTATGATAGCATCGAAAACTACAGATTTCATTTTTTGGCCTGTGTAATCAAATGAATAGAATAAACAAATGATTAAGTGTAACGAATGTAAATGCTCTGAAAATGGGCAATTATATTCCACAAGGGAAAGGAAGCAAGTCAGTCTTTTTTGGACACTAAACATCTTATATAAATGCTGCAACGCCAATGAAAGTGAACATAAATATTTAATTTTCTTGAAATATAAAACAAATTTCAAAATGTTTAAAAGGATATAGCATTGTCTGTTCTAGCACCAACTAGGCTTCATGACTAAAGCCCACAGCTCCTGAGCCTGTAGTCATCAAGCCTGGCTCTAGAGGAAGTGGGGCAGGTCCCAGTGTGACTGAAATGGACTCCATAGACTCTCAAAGCTCTCCCACTGGGGCCTTCCCACTGAACTGCACACATTTTTGCTCTCAAACCCAGCCAGTTTGGTTTGAACTCCGACCACCTTCTAGGTCTTACTGTCTCCTTTTTCCCCAGAAGCTGAGCCCTCCATTCTCTTCCCCCAGTATCTGGTTCTAGCATTACCACTTACTGAGTAGGTGATCTTGAAATAGTTAATCTCCATTTTAATCTTTAATCATAATCTTTTAAATGAGGACATTAATATATAGGATTGTTATAAGGATTAAATCTAAAGTACTTAATACAGTGACTTGCATATAGCAGGCTCCACGTTCGTGGTAGATACTATGCTAATGGTTCAATGTGGCCAGACCTTTCCTTACCTGCAATCCATGTCCAATGATTATCTCTTTCAAGAGATACTTATTGTTCCTCCCATCTCCTCATTGGCTTATATGTTTTGAGAATCATTGCCAGCCAAGATTTGATTTGAGTGGCCTTGGAACACTAGAATTTGCAAGGCTGGCCGGCCAATGTGGAGCCCAGCCCTGCTGGTTGGAGTAGTCCTTCTGGAAGAGTCTTCTAGGTTTTTTCTTACTTTTATTGCCTGTCAACCTATGGATAAAACAATACAAAAATTATATAAGATAAGCCGACAATGTGTTTTATGAACCTGGGACACAGATGAATTATGTCAACCTAATCTCTAAAGAGGTGTGGTAAAATAGAAAAGGATAAAGCAACAATAATGACAGTCTTTGTCGCTAAGAAAGTCAATGAGACTGTCTCATTTTATGCTGTAAGGTCCCCACAGGCTTCATTTGCTCTCCTGAGCAGCCCCTCCCTTGAGAGCAGGGTGTGGCGGTTTCCTGGCCCACACACTGAAGGCCCTGGTTTGCACCCTGATGTTTCTGATGGTCAAAGCCAAGGTGATCATCACCTTAGGGCTCAGATGTCCTTGGGGGAACTTTGTGGTGCTCAGACTACACGTTGGTGACCCTCTTTGCATTGGCACTATCGTTCTTTGGCTGAGCTCAGGAAGTTCCCTCTCCCACCCCCATCGCTCTCTTCAGCAACCTCCCCAGTGCAGTGATGGGGAGGGAGACACAAGCTCTTCCAGGGTGCTCTAGTGCCACAGTGCCTCACTGGACTCGCTCGCTGTCTTACAGCCCCTTCTCCAGAGGGTCTCACCGGACAAGCTTTCCTCTGTCAGCTGGGATTTGGGTGACACCAATGGTTGGACACTGGCCCACTCCAGCCACCAACCCCAGCTGTCAGTTCATGAGGAAAGAGGAGGGTGAATCCACCTGTCTCACCAGAGGTAGGACTAGACACAGAGTAGATTCTCTACTCTATATTTGTTGAATTGGAATGAGTGAATTCTTCCTTACAACTAATCTGTCCCAGGAGACTGAGTCCATGGGCCCTGCATATTTCCTGTCCCAGAGAGTGCCCCCTGCCCACTTAGTAACCCTGAGATGTGGGTGCATCCTCTTCTCCACCTTCCCGTCCTTGCTTAAGACTTTTGTCCTGGTACTGTTAGTTGTAGCATGTGTAGTCTCTGTCTTCTCAGATGTTTTCTTAGATCATGTTTTTCAAACTCATTTAAACCATGACCCAGGGAAACAAAAATTTAATGAAATACTCACCTTTCCTGTGGGCGATGTTCTCTAATATTTCTGCATTCTGCTCTGCTCTACTTTTCTAGTCTATTTTATTCTGTCCTATTGCACTTTTAAAACACTGGCCACAGCTCACTGAATTGATTTTTAAACTCCTGAATAGGTCACTGTTCACAGTTTTAAAAAAATACTATATGAAGACCATATTCCAATAAAGCCACTGACATTCAGCCATGACATGCCACAGTCTCCTTAGTGAGGAAGCTTTTGTCCACCTCACAGTCTTCTCAGTTACTGAATCTAAAGTAGATCATTACTATGATTCTTTGTTAATTCCCTTCATAACATTAACAGCAATCCACACGTATTTTATTCATTTGTCTATGTCCTTATTTCTGCCTCTTCAAAATGAAAGATCCATAAAGGTAGAACTTTGTCTTATTCACGATTGTGTTCCCAGCACAAATTCTCTGGTACATCCATGTTGAATGATGGAATGAGTGAATGAAACCCTTACTACACATGTATATACAAGGAAGTTTGGTTCTCTGAGGACATTTTGATTCTCTGTCAATTTTGTGTAAATGATTATAGCTAATATATTTAAAGGAGGGGATTTTTTTTTTAAAGAATATAAGGTCATTCACACCACAGAAAGGGCAGGAGTCAGGCAGCTTCCAGAGTCAAAGTGGTAGATGTAGGGGACTATGTCATTAGGGCAACATCATGAGGTTGAGTTGGCTCCAGTCACTGTTCAGATTCCCAGAAAAGAGCATCTGACTGGCTGCTCTTTATCTCATGGCCCTCTCTTGTCCAGGAGAGGAAAGAGCACCTGACTGAGGTCAAGACTGCAAGCATGAGGAGGCAAAGTTAGGTCCTCAAAGAAAAACCCTGATGCTATCAGCACAGGTAAGGCTGCACAGGCAGAACCAATGGGTGTCAACTACGCATGTCTTTATGTCTGTCATTCTTGCAACAGTTAAATTATAGCCCGGGTCTGATGTTCGCATAACTGACATAAGATTTCTTAGTCTTCTAACCCTTCCCTTCTCCAGATCTATAGATGCCTCCCATGGAAGACCTCTCTAGTACTCTGGTTTTGTATTAGAATTATTCTGAATCTATTTATCCAAAAATTAGTTAATATCCTGTTTTGTGTTCAGTAATATATGGGACACTGTGGAAACTTACAAGATAAAAATGTGACTTCGTACCCTACTCCAGTTTACAGTCCACATGGAGTTCAGACATTTGACACTTTAAGAAAGTGATATAAAATAGGATTGTATCAAAATTTGTAAAGTAAATAATTGCATTTCTTTCATTCTGCATTTCTAGAAAGTAGCTAAAATTTTTCCAATGCATTTCTAGAAAGTAGTTGAAATTCCTCTAAATGTTTGGAGTAGTTATAATGAAAAATATGATTGCTCACCTTCACTGTAAACATCCTTAAACAACTGCTTGAGTTGTTAGTTGATTGAATATAGGGATAAAAGAAATAAAAATGTTTAGAGTGAAGGCTAGATTTTTGTCATGGGTACTTAAGCAGAAAGATATTGTTACCTTTCGCCGGAGGGCAACAGATTTTTGGGGCTGAAGAGAGATAGTTGGGTTTTGGACATGGTAGGATTAAGCTGAGTGATTCTTCACCAAACTTCTCTTTATTCTTTCTGCTAGTGAGCAGAAAGAATAGACCTAGTAGAAAGAATAGACTTGCTCACAAGCAGAAAAGAAAAGGAATCAGAGGAGAGAAAGACAGCTCTAAAATAAATTACTGCATTTGCAGAAAAATATTTAAACCTATTTGTCTTACATTTAGTGAGATGGAAAGAACATTGCATAACTAAATGTGCATAAATATATACATCTGCTTTTTCTACATTTTCTTTTTCCCTCCTCTCTCCCTTTTCATTTTTGCCTCCTTCCTCTAAGAATTATATTCTTTTATTCTGTCAGGTACTGATTATCCTATTTCTTTTTATTTCACACTGGTTCTCATTTTCCCTGAGATATTAAATTTCTACCTTTTAAAATTAGTTCCAATTAATCGAGTCCAGTTTAGCAAATCTTAGAATTAAGAATATGGATAATTGTCAAACAATATAGATAATTGCGGTTGTGTCTTGAAAGGAAGTTTACCTTTCATTGAAGCAATTTTAGAATTTGCAAACGGATATATTAAGATAGAAAATTAAATGATGTTTGGCTCTTGTGTAGTCTACAGAACAGACTCAATGATTTTGTCATAAGACTTAGTTCACTCTCAACTTTGTCACTTACTTTTAATTATTCTTGACTCTCCACAATTGACTGAAGCTATAAACTCCTTTAAAAATAGAACTTCCAAAAGTGTGCTGTATGGAACTTTAATTTCATGAGAATTTGATGTTCAATATTTCGGGATAAAAAAGAATGGCCTAATGAAGTACTGGGTTAAACAAATTTGGCAAATTTCATTTCTCAAGTGTGTTGAGGGTTACTGAGAGATGTGTTATGTAGAACTTCCTAAACTCATTTAACTTTACATTCTTTTTTCCTACAAAGAATCCTAAATGTTTATTATCCCATGGTAAACATTTTGGAAAATGCTAGATTATATTATCTAAATGTTGCTTTATGGCATTTCTTGTTCTATAGAAACATTGGTTTCAAATAATGGCATTTACTGTGCGTGATTTCAGAAGCACTAAAGGGGTTAAAAGACGTTAAGAATAAGAATTAGGTGTTTTCTGTTACTAATTAATGAACGATACATATGTTGATTTGGGTATATGGCATTGTGAATTAAGTAAAATAATTTTAAAGCTTATTAGTACATTATAAATACTTAGAATAAAACATAATATAAAACTTACATTCCCTGTGCTTTCCTTAAGCTATTCAAGTAAATACCTGTGTCTCACTTCGTATTTATGCAACATAACGTCACACAGTATGACTATGCATAATCCCGATTTTACAAACTTGAGTGACTCTTTTACTGCTTCATGTGGCTATTTTTAATTTTGGTAGGATATAATGTTTCAATTCACAATGTACATTTTTAAAAGATGATGACTAACTCTACAAGATAAACAGTTACTTACAGATAAATATATGCATTGTATGGCACAATTGTAATATTTAGAAATTACGCTTTAGGTGGGATAGATTATATAAAGAGTTAACATGGTGTTCTTTGCCTATTAGCCATTTTGCATTGCCCACAGTCTAAATGGGCTATATAATAGAATCATTGCTATCATTGACCCCATCATGGTGCTCAGCGACCAATGGTCCTATTAATGACATTCCATGCCTGGAAATATCTATGGAACCATTCTCCTCCTATGGAGACAGATGGTGGGTTTAACAGTGACCCACAAGGCCAGCCTAGTCGTCTGTTTTCATTTTAGTCATAATTCATCCAGAGCCAGATGCAGAACTATGCATGAAACCATCACATTCTTAGTGAATGCCCACATGAACGTATGCACATCAAGTTTGTTTGAATGCAATGAGTGGTTGTTTTGAATAAGATGACATTGCCCTGCATGGTGCTGACGATTGTTTCCTAGAGAATTTTAGAGACAGGCGCCAACCAGTGAGTGAAACTAGATACTCCACATAAAATGTACTATTATAATGTCTCAAGTGTTTTAGTTTGTTTGCTTTTGTTGAGTAGGAAAGTTTGTTTTGTTCTGTAAGAAGTGAAGAGTATAGGAGGCATTTGGTGACCAGATTTGGCCAGGATCATGAAGGCCAAAGTTTTAGGACCCTTGCCTCTGTCTGGCCCAGACAACACCGTCCCTGACCAGGGTGCCCACTTTGCATCCACAGCGACTGTGGTCCACATGAATGCCTGGGCCAAAATGATCAATGAGTCAGCATTTAAAAAGAAAAAATCCTTCAAAATGTGACCAAGAACCTCAAAGTCCATACTCTGATGAGCTAAGTCAATCATATCTTTAAATACAAAGATTAACAAAACAGAATTTATTTGAAGATTCATGAAAGGAAACAGGAAATGCCGGAAATGTGGTTTAATGAACTTCAAAATAAAAGCAAGAGTATAAATCTTTTCTCAGGTCTATAAGAATTGTGTGCATTAATTCATGGAGGAAAGAAAATGCACTCTCAGTAGGTGATTGAACATATAAATTAGGCTGAAGGAGAAACTTTGCTATGCGTGAAGTTAAAGGCATGGTAAAAGAGGTCTTTCACACTGCCTGTGACCTATGACATGATTGCTGACTCAGAGAACAAAGCATTTTTACACTCAATGTCCAGGAGAATGGTGGTGGGGCTGGAGGTAGGGACAAGACGTATCCATCCTGTTAAGTGAAAAAATCTATCTTCCCAACCCATTTTTTAGAAATCCCTCCGAGATTCCTCCTTCCTCCTTAGAACTCCTGAGGTCCAACAAGCCATCCAGTGTGACCTGTCCTACTTTCTAAACACCTCCCAACTCTACCTTTCCTCCTCATCCCCACTGTCACTAAACTAGTTCATGCCTTCATTGTTCTTGCCCAGACTGCTGAAATCACCTTCTAACAGATCTTACCCTCCCACCTTCCTTTAATACCTCTTGTTTGAAGAATCTTACCACTGACAGCAGAGTATCTTCCTCAAACACGAGTCTTATCCCATTATCCTGTTACCCAGGAGCCTTTACCAGCTATCCATCACTGTTGAGATGAAAGTCAGGAGCCTGAGCAAAATATGCGAGGACCTTGATCAGCTTGCCCTTCCTATCTGGCTGCTTCCCAAAAGGCACCCACAACCTGGCTCACTCTTACTTACCTGTGTACTCCCAGGCATGCTCTCATTCAAGAAGTCCTCTGGAATACTGCAACACCACCCCCACCCCCTTGTGTGTGGTGGCAACCCCCACCTTCTGCCAGTGCACCCTGAGCACAGAGTCCTCGTGGCGTTTAGCACATGCCATTGTGGCTGTTGGTTTTCTCATCTGCGTTGTTCCCTACCCTATGAGCAACTCTGCCATTTGGCAGGCCTCAACTAATTATAGATGTTATTATCATAGCTGAAAGATGTGATGATCCCACTACATTGTGCACAAAGACTCAAAAAGACTTGAAAATCTTTACTTAGTCAACAGATACAATTTCCAGATCATGGTTTCATTCTATAAAGAACCACTGAGGGACCAAGGCAGGCCCAAGACTGAGGGTGGTACCAACACTTGCTCACTACCCTCCCAATGACGTTGCTTGGTAAGAGTTGCCATTACTTTCTCAGATGAGGAGGAGGAGGTGCTCATCCAGCCTGAGGTTGAATCAATGCACCAACCAGTTGTGTCTGAGTCCAAGCCCAGGCGCTCTCCACTTCCATTCAAAGATAATCACTGTCTCTTCCTTAAAATGTGGCAGTAAAATTAATTGCTTGAACTAATAAGACTTGAAAGGGCCCTGGCTGAGCTGCCTGACTCATGGTTACATTGGGACAGTTGGGTGACACTTCTGCAGAGACAGCCTGAGACCAGGTGGAGACAGATAGAGGAAAGGGGTGCAAGTGCTGAGAGCACAGATCCGCCACAGCCACCCCTGTGTGAGTGGGACATTCAATGCAGCCCAGGGACTGCTCCCTGCTGTGCATGGGCATGACCAAGAATGTGCAGCTCAGGCTGTTCTATGAATCCATGGCTTTTGTTGGTTCTCTGTATGCCACATAATATCATTACCGTTTTTTGTTTTTTGTGTTTTTTTGAGATAGAGTCTTGCTATGTCATCCAGGACGGAGGGCAGTGGTGTGATCTTGGCTCACTGCAGCCTCTGCCTCCTGGGCTCCAGCAATTCTCCTGCCTCAGCCTCCAGAGAAGCTGGGATTACGGACACGCACCACCACGCCCAGCTAATTTTTGTATTTTTAGTAGAGACGGGGTTTCATCATGTTGGCCAGGCTGGTCTCAAACTCCTGACCTCAGTCCAGGTGATCCACCCACCTTGGCCTCACAAAGTGCTGGGATTACAAGCGTGAGCCAGTGCACCCGGCCATGTCATTACTGTTTTTAGCAGAGCTGCCACGTGGGAACTGAGACCATCACAATAGAGACAGAGGCATGCATAGCTTTGAATATGGCATATTTCACGATGCAGTCCTTAAGTACGATTTGCTAAACATATTAGATATCAAAAAGAACCACTTAATAAAAAATAACTACTATTCATCTAAAGAGGATGAATCTACAAGAAATCATTTTTAAGGAAAGTCAGATTTTAACTTAGAATCCTTGAAGAATGTCTTTTATTTATTATGTATTATTTATTTGACTTATTACAAGTTCTCATTCTCAGAAGCCTTAGGCACGTATGTGAAATATAAATGGAATAATTAAATCCAATAGCTAAAATCCCCACAAAGAAAAAAAAAATCAATGTAATGTTACTATTTGCAATTTAATTGAAGAAATCACTTAAAACATGTAGCAATTTAAGGAATTTAATAAGACCTTCACCCGCTTCTACAAAATGAGGAGGCAATCTACTGCTGGCCTCCTTCTGTTCTTCTTTATGTAGTAGCGCCATGTCTATATTCTTCATAGCTCACCACAGTTGTAATTACTTTGTTTTCCTTTTGCATGGTTCATTAAATATGTGTTGAAATGTATGTATATGTGTGTATGTACACACACACACACACACACACACACACATTCTCTCTTCTATTTCTATCTCTAAAATATGATTCTGGATTAGGGAATTTATTAAAAGAAAAGCCTCTGAAAAACTCTGATCACGGGGTTCCCTTCCATTCAACTGATGTTTTTCTAAAGAACTTGAAAAACAAACAAACAAAACAAAACAAAACAACAACAACAAAAATACTCCTTTGCAAAGGGAGCTGCTGTCCCTGACTGGAGCATGTTGTCATATGTCCGTGACCAGGTTCCCAAACCCAGCCTACCTGCTCTAGCAGGCTTCTAGTGGGGCTGCTTAAATCCATCCTGTTTGTAAGGCAGGCAGCAGGCAGCCATGGAGCCTGCCCACTCTCTGAAAGGGGCCGGCTGACAGCACTACCCATCCGCCCTGTGTCGATTTCCACACGGCACCTCAGACCAATGCTCCTGGACAGGACCAGAGGTTGTGGAGCAAAAGAGGATAGTGAAGGAAAGAGACAGCTGGGAGACGCAGAGCTGACGCAGGTGAGGCACATCCCTCAGCTGGCGCTCCCTTCCCGGAAACCTGATTGTCTCCGTCAGTCGTTTCAGGCTTCGTGGTATCTAGAGCAGCACTGGACTATTCCGTGCAGGGCTCAGGGCCTGGAACACAGGAAGTGCTCCATGCGCAGTTGTATGGCTGGATGGATGGAGGATGAATAGTGCATGGGTGGATATAATTAAGAAAGGAAAGAATTGAACATTATTTCTTTCATGTAAAAACTTCTGATTCCTCCTGAGTTTCTCCACTTTCACTTGTCTCCTTCACTGTCTGCTTCCTTCCCTTCTGTCACGGATGTATTACTGTCTCCAGTCCTTGGTCCCTTGTGTGTCTCTCTTCTTGCGTCTACTACATTTATGTGGGTTTTCCCATAGGATCACCTTGGCCCCCCTACAGAAGCTTAGTCCTGCATTGCCAACTCCAGCTGGACATTCTCACTTATGCATCTACCATATCCTCAAAGCCGGTATAACTATTGTTAAGTTAATTAGCTTTTTTTTTTTTTTTTTCTAATTCCTTCTCCAGATTTTCCTGGTGCCTGTGTAACTCATGCCCCTTTTGAGCACCTGGCTCGAGGCCTTGGCATCGTCTTTGCTCTGCTCCTCCGTTGCCTGGTGTCCTTTGTTGCGGGCCTTCCTGCCATTTCTCTCACTCTATGTGGGTTGTGTTGCAATCATTTTCTAAGCACACTTCCTGACTCCATTTTCTTCCCACTGAAGTTGATACTATCCACTAAAGAACAATTAATTTTCTCAGATTACTTCTCTGTTCATGTTACTCCCTGATTTAAAAATCTCCAGTGACTCGTTATGGCTTAAGGCAGTGGTTTCCCAGAATGTTAGATATGATAGAGCAGTAAATAAAACAATTAGAAAAAAAATCAAAACTAGAAAAAACTAGGGAGGGGAATCACTTTTATTTCTCCTACTACAGACATGTTTTAAATTACCATCTATGGTGGCAATGATTATGTTTAGAAAGAGACACTTTTTTTTTTTTTTTTGAGACAGGGTTTCTCTCCCATCACCCAGCCTTGAGTGCAGTGGTGCAAGCTCAGCTCACTACAACCTCTGCCTCCTGGGCACAAGCAATCCTCCTGCCTCTGCCTCAGCCTCCCGAGTAGCTGGGACTATGGCATGTGCCACCATGCCTGGCTAATTTTCATATTTTTAGTAGAGACAGGGTTTCACCATGTTGGCCAGGCTGGTCTCGAACTCCTGTCCTCAAGTGATCCGCCCACCTCGGCCTCCCAAAGTGCTGGGATTATAGGCATGAGCCACCGTGCCCAGCTGGATGAGACATTTTAATCTTGAAAAGTAGGAATGAAAATCTCATAATAGAGGAAAAACTGGAAATAATAGAATAATAATAATAACTGGAAATAATGCTTTTATGAAAAGCTCAAACCACTGGTCACCTTTATCTCCTTGTTCTGGTTCCTTGACTGGTGACAACATCTCTGTGCTACACAGAGATCCCGCCAAGCCACTGGTGCTCGGAGTAGGAGAGAGCTTCAACAAGCACTCACGGTCCTTTCATCCATCCATCCTTCCACACTCATCTCTCCTCCTGCCTTCAGCTGCTCAGTCTGATTGTGTCTGAGCTCTGGGGATTTTGCTTAAGAGGCATGTGACACATTGCCTGGTCTCTTTGGGCCTTTCCTTCCTGCTCTTTAAAATGAAGAGTTCGAAACTGACGTTAATGAGGTTTCTTCCGTTGCTAAAGTCTGTATTCAAATTGATTGATTCGTTTATCTAATTAAAGGTGGTATCTATATGTGCACTTAAATCTAGCTTTCTGTCTCATAAACTCAAAATTAAAATATTGAGGCTTATAGGCAAGCATTTATCATCTGAATATGAGGAATGAACTGAAGTACGTACGCAATTGAAACCTTTCCTTATTTACATGTAGTTAGCTTGACATCAGGGAACACCCTGAGTAAAGTAGGAAAATACTCATTTCATACATATTGCTTTAGTGTATGTGTGTGGAACATATTATAATAGAATATCTGCCCTTCCATTTCACTTAGCTATGAAGGCACCAGTGATTTAACGTATACTGTTGTTTTTGCTTTTATCTTATTTTATTTTGATACAGGGTCTCACTCAATTGCCCAGGCTGGGCAGTGATCATGGCTCACTGCTTGTTTTTATCCCCAGCCTGCCCCATCCTTCCCACACAACTAAGATGGGGTTCAAATTGAAGTAGCACAGACAAAAAAAGGGGAAAGGGATGATCGATCATATTTTTTTTTTCAAAGGAATTACCAGGCTTGGGATGTTTAATCTTGGCAGATGGATGCAGTCTCATGAGCCTGTTTTGCAGATTTCCAGTGCTATCTGGGCAGAGCCAAATGAAAAATAAATGCAGGGGAACATGGACACAGGTTCTAGAGTGGGCAATCCCTCCTGCAGAGTGGAAGTCCTTACAAATCCTGTAAACTCCACTCCAGTCTCTTAAATTGGAGAGATTCCCTACCACTCTGTGTACATGAAGAGCAGAGAGTTTAGAGAGCTTGAGATGCTTGGCTGTAATCTATTCATGTGCACATTTCCCACCTGAGGGCCAATTATCATCTCAGATTCATTTAGTTGTGACTGAGAGCTTCATAAACACTTCTTTGATATTGACATCATATGAAACTGATAGATGGGCTCCTAAAAGAAAGACATGGGTGGTTCAAAATGGAATCTTATCTCAATCCTGTCATTCTGACCACAGATCACATCTTGCCCCTCAGGAGTCATTTTCCGTTGGGTTGTACATCCAAGTCCCCTGGCTCTTGTGGCCAAGGGGAGGGACCTCTGGATAGCTCTCTTCAAATAGGAAAGTGGAATTCTCACTTTTGGGGTGGGCAGGCAACTTGCCGGACATTAGTGATGCTTGACCAAGTGCCAGGAAGAGGCCATTAGCTGGGTGCACTGCTGAGAAGAGCCCATTAGCACCCAGCTGCCAGGCCACAGTTTGGAACTTGGAGCAAGCTATATATTCACAGCTTAGAAATTGTGATTCTCTCAGTGTCCTACAGATGGCTTGGAAAGCGTGCAAAGATGAATCATACTCTATAATCATTTTGAAACTTTTTCCCCAAGATATCAAAGAGACAGAAGAAAAATTAAAATTGTGGTCAGTTTCCTGGACATTTTATACACTTGCGGCTGCTTTGGAAACATCAAATTTTTTAAATTTTTATGAACATACAAAAAATCATGTAGAACTTGAAAATTGCCTGAATTTTTCCCACAGTGGCACTTTGTTAAATGCAAAACCCATTTTTCAAAAATTACTCATGAGCTAAATAAAAAATAACAATTATAATGTATCAAACTCTCAGGATGATTTTCCTCCCTATTCTTAAGACAGCATCTGTTTTGCCCTCCAAGTCTTAGGTATTCCCACATTTCCAATGAGGAGATCAGGGACCAACCAGGGTGTGTTTATGAGCTCTCTGCAGCCTGGCCCACCTTCATTGTCTGATTCTTTCTGCTGTGCATTTTGGTCTCTTCCACTCTCTCTGTTCTGGCTCTGTGTGACCCTTGCTCTCTTAATAGCCTCTGTTCTTGCCTCCTTTGCAAGCTATGTTAATCTATGTATTTGCTGCCCACTGTAAGTGGGCATGGACTAGAATGAAGGATGGTGTATCTGCGTGGGAGGAAGTAGGTATCTGGAGGGCTGGATGACTGGTTTGAGGTCACTTTACACTCTGTGTTTTGATCCAGGCAACTGATTGTAAATTAAAGTCACTCAATTGAAAGGGGGAATTCATTATAAGGACACAGAGCTGCCTCACAGAAATCCAGGGAAAGCTACAACGCCTGGCTTCAGAAAGGGAGGAACTGGAGCATTTTTGTTGATCTCTGCAGCAATAATTCAGAGTTTCACCCCAGTTTTCTACAATGAATAAAATTTATCTATACTCCTCATGTCTTCTGGTTTTTGTCCTTTGTCCTTTTACTAACATAGTCTCTTATGTCATTCTAAATTCCCACTGGGGCCATCTGATCTTTTTTTTTTTTTAAACCAGGTCAAAGTTATGGTCAGGCCAGAGATAGCTACCTTTCAGGTCAGGGAACAGCACTTGGTCCCATCACCTGGAAGGGCATGGCCTCATGCCTGCACAGGCTTGCAAAGGAAGTGGGTTCATTGCAAAGGTGTGGGCATGCCAGGCACACAGAGCATGTCTTATCACATGGCCAGGGGCCATGAGGCCTGCCACACTGAGGTGGACCTGATTGTTCAGTCACACTGCATATTTGTCATGGGGGATGGGGACACCCCCAAAGTATGCAAATGCCTGAACTGTGATTTTAAGGAAAATGCAAAATCATGAAGTCTGACATTTTCGGGAACTTTTCCCACATTTGCTTTAGCCTTTCATTTCCTTAAACCCATTGAAACACCCTCCTTTAATATTGGATTAAGAAAATGCAGCAAGCACATACCTGTTGCTAACACACTGAATAAAGCATGAAAAAAAGCAGAAGCAGAAGATTATATTTCAGAGATTGTGATTATTACATTTATGGACTTAGAGATGAAAGATAACAATCAGATAATAAAATTTGTCCTAAATAGGAACCCCAGAATACATGTGTCAGAGCCAGAAGGAGCTCATGGGTCAGTACCAAAGCCAATACCATTATCGATTCCCTGAAGTCCGAATTAATAGCACACAGGATTTAGGAAACTGTGGTCAAGATAGATATTAGCAAAATGTGATTCCTGTGGACCAGGGAGACAGAAGCCTTTATTACCCACAGAGATGCAGCTTTCAATTTCACACTGCTGTAATTTTAACAGCCTGGAGCTGCTCAGACCTGAAAATACTGTCAGCCTTATACCCACCCTATAGATTTGGATATTCTCCTCCAAAAAGAAATTGTTCCTTTTGTACTTAAAGTAGTGCAAAATCAGATTTTTGCAAAAATACATTGTTTTCCATCCTTGTTCATTTATGGCTACCTCGAACATATTTTTCACTAAAAATAAACTTGAATTTTGAACTAAAATTGTTAATAGAAATAGAAAATGCATAGCTTTTTAGATCACCCCAAATTGAGTATCTTTGGGGGCCGAGTCTGAAGGCTGCTTCTGAATTTAAACATCTCCTGTCTGAAGCAGACATTACTAAATGTCTCATACTGAAATCACTCTACATTACACCTCTCACAAAACCTTATTACTTCCAAATTCAAACTCTTGTTAAAATTTGCATCACTCCAGTAGTTATATATCAGTAGGAACACTGGCAATGTTGAGTGATTTTAAGGTAATTGAAGCATATTTATTTTAATAGGCATTGTAATCTGGCAGGCAGTGAAGCAAACACAGGAATATTGTAGCAAATAGGGATACTGAATGGCTCATCATCAAGAATACAATAATCAAACGCATTAAAGACACACAGTGAAAACCAGGTGTGAGGCTCTAGGGAAGCCTCTCAGGACATAGCGCAGACCCCTATGGCTGTGGAGGCTTCAGAGCAGGGTGACCGGGAACATGAGCTCTGCATCCCGGCTCCTTGGCCCTGCCTTTAATACCTGTGTGTTCAATGGGCAAGGGCATCAGCTGCCACACTAGTTTCCTGTGGCCGCCATAACAAATTATACAAACTGGGTGGCTTGAAACAATAACAACTTATTCTTTCACAGCTCAGGAGGCCAGAAGTATAAAATGAAGGATTGGCAGGGTTGGTTGCTGGAGCCTCTGAGGGAGAATCTGTTCCATGCTTTGCTCCCACCTTCTAAGGCTGCTGGCAGTCCTGGTGCTCGTTGGCATCACCCAGTCTCTGTCTCCATCCTCACATGGCCTTCTCCTCTGTACCTGTGTTCTCTCCTCTTCGAATAATGATTCTGGCCATTGGATTTAGGGCCCACCCTGATCCAGCGTGATCTCAGCTTCATCCTGACACTAATTACATCTGCAAAAACCCTATTTTCAAATAAGGTTACTTTCTAAGGTTCCTGGTGGACATGAATTTTGAGAGGATCATGATTCAAACCACTACAGTTGCCTCAAATGTAAAATATGGATGCAAAAAATATCTGCCTCGTAGGTTGTTGAAATGTAGCACTTAATGAAAATAAAGTGCTTAGAACAGTATTTGGTATGTTGTAAGCAGTGTATGTGTTTTAACTATTGTATTAGTAAGTTAAAAGATCACACTACATAAATATGTTTGTTTTTATTTGGCAAAGAATCATTTGCAGGTATGTTTACAAGAACATTACCTTTCCCCACCACACCAACTGTCTCCCTACCTCCCTCTCCTTGACCTACAAACTATCCACCTTTAACAAAAAAGAGAGTTCAGACCTGAAGGCAAAGCTTGGCATGAAATGACGCTGCAGCAATAGAAAGGAAAATGTAAGCCAAACCAGTGCCCAGCCTGATCCTGGGTGATAGAGGACAGAGAATCTGTCAAAAAAGCCCATGACTGCTGGGTGCCAAGTTACAAATTGGCAAGCTTTGTTGGGCCTAGATAACCAACTCACTTTAATTAAATTGCCTCTGATTGAGCTTTGGGCCATGATTTTTCATACTGAGTTTGGCTCTGTGGTGAGCCAGCTCAGGCCTCTCTGCATTAAATTGTTCAGAGGTGTCTTTATCTGACCATATTTAGAACCCCAAAGCTTGCCTTGTTCCAGGCCTGCTTGGCTGGTGTAGTCATCACACCTGGTTTGCACTGATCCTAAAGTGTAACATGTTCCCAGCCTACAGGCTCAGGGTGGCCCTTGCAGGACACAGTGAGTCAGGGCAGGTGGAGAAAAATAAACACCAGTGTGGAACTAATGAGGTTCAGGTGGGAGCCAAAGAAGCCCAGATCCTGGCAAAACAAAGAGAGGTGAGTGATGCTTTGCTGCCTTTTTTCTTCTCCTTACCTTTGAATGGAAAATGGTATTAAAGGGAGGCCTCATGAGGCTGCATACAGTCCAGCCCTGGCCTGGATCTCCAGTGGTTCCTGGCCTTGTACCTCCTGGTCTGCATGAAGGAGCATTTCATGCCTCAGAGATAATCGATTCAACCTGACTCCAGTGCAATCCAGGTGAGGCTGAGACCTTTCCAAATGCAGGTGTGAAGGGAATCACCTGTGCTTGCTTCCCAGAGGAAAAACAGTCAAGAGGCTGGCCCACAGAGCTGTCCTTAGTGGACTCCCTGCCATCAAATGCTGCATGACCGATAAACCTCCCCCTGAAGCCATGGGTGACCAGACTCAATTGTCTAAAGTCAATTCAGCACCCTTGATAGACCTCTGTCATCACACCTGCCCCAGTCAGGCCCTCTACCCTCCTGCATCTCTCGCCCCAGCTCCTCCCCATTTCCTGAGCAACAGGCCCTTTTCTCCTGTTTCTCTTTGAATGTGTCTTCCCCACATCTCACCTGAAATATTGCTATTTGTCTTCTGAGAAGCCAGGCCACGTTTTCATGCCTTGGAGAGGGAGCCAAGGAAAAGGCTGGAGGGAAACCAAGCCACTTTGACCCACCTTGTCTGGACTCTCTCTCCCTCTTTCTGGTGTTTTCAGTCACTATTCCTACCATCTCATTTAATTATCATGGTCTTCAAAACCTTCTGGCAAGCTATCATCTATTTATTGTTGAAAAGCGGGAAATGAATTTCTCCCATGTCCCCTCTGGTTGTGCTTCTTCTTCAAGGTCTAGTTCAATTGTTCCTCTGATTTGAAGTCGACTTCCACTCTCTAAGGCAGAGGTAGTTTTAGTTTCCTCCTCTGAGTCCACATAACTTTATAGAAAACTTTGTGATCATATATCACTCTCCTTCGCGGAGATGAATTCCTTGGGGAGGTGAGTGGGTGCAACAGAGAATACAGTTGACCTTTAAAAAACATGAGGGTTAGGGGCATCAACCCCCCACAAAGTCAAAAATTCACATGTATCATTTGCCTCCCCAAAAACTTAAATAGCTTACTGTTGATTAGAAGCCTTACCAATAACATAAACAGTGGATTAACATATAATTTGTACATTGTATGTATTATATACTGTATTCTTACAATAAAGTCAGTTAGAGAAAAGATAATGTTACTAAGAAAATCATACAGAAGAGAAAATATACTTGCTATTCATTGAGTGGAAGTGGATTATCATAAAGTTCTTCATGCTCATTATCTTATCTTGAGAAGGTGAAGGAAGAGGAGGGTCTCAGGGGTGGCAGAGGCAGAAGAAATCCACATATAAATTGACCCATGCAGTTCAAGCACATGTTGTTCAAGGATCAACTTCTGCATATCTCCACTACTTTCACATCTTGATTATGAGCAGAGGGTCTAATGTATAGTAGAAGAACTAATACAAGGACTAAAGGGGATGAACACTGTGTGATGAACATGATATTTGTTAATTGATTTTATCCTGATGTAGTATGTGAAAATCCATCAAGTATAAAAGACATAATCATTTCATTTTCTGTTACTTCACCTGATTTATGACTGACTCCTTGTGCTTCTAGACTGGTGGAAAATTAGCCTGTCACCATCTGTCTTCTCCCCTCCTCCATCCCCAGGGTAGTGCCTAGCTGAAGAGCTTAGGTAAGAAAAAAAAGGAAGAGGGAAAGAGACAGAAAGAGAGAGAAAGAAGGAAGGAAGGAAGGAAAAAAAGAAAAGAAACAAACAGAAGTCTTGGTCACACATTTCCTCTGAGACAGTGATATAAAAAAAATAAGATTTGAAGGAGCTGGAGATGAAAATGAGAATTAATTTGTAGGCAAAGCAACCCCAAAGTACAATAGCATAAATAGACATTTATCTCTCTCTCTCTCTCTCATAACACAATCCAAAAGTAGATAGGCCACCCAGCCACATGTACAGCTATGCGCCAAGAGGCCAATGATACCATTCTAAGCATGCAGCTTTCATCTCTAGGCCCAAGGCTGCTGGTTTAGCTGCACCATCTTCCAGCCAGCAGGGAGAGGGAAGCAGAATTCAGGAAAAGCATGGCTAAGTGGAAGTGGATCATCATAAAGGTGTTCATCCTTATCCTCTTGTTTGAGTAGGCTGAGGAGGAGGAGGAAAAGGAAGGTTGGTCTTGCTGTCTTAGGTGGCAGAGGCAGAAGAAAATCCAGATATAATTGACCTATATAGTTCAAACCCTTGTTGTTCAAGGGTCACCTATATATGCCAGGAGGGGTCAAAGCCCCTGACCTGGAGTTACACATACCCTAAACCTGATCTGGAGTTACACATACCATTTTTGCCCACTTCCCTGTGCCCTCATCTAAATATGGCCACACCTAGCTGCAAGAGAGGCTGGGATGTAGGGACAGGAGCCAGCCACCAACTGCCCAGCGAAAACCCAGGAGGAAGTGCAGTTCTGTTATTAAAAGGAGAAGGAGAGAATTAAAAGTGGGTCCCAGTCAGCAGTCTGCCACATACAGAGAAAAATTAAAACAACATAAATTAAAACCTCAAATTTCATCCATCCATGTTAGCAACAAAGTGATTCTTATTTTAATAAGTGAGGTTCAGAAACATGAATAATTTATCTAGGTTCATATAGGTAGTAAATAAGTAAATGGTGGAGTTACAACTCAGTTCTCTATCTATCTGACTTTAAAACCTATGCATTTCCCCTAAACTCCACTAGTTGCTGACACATTTTATTCACACATGAGTGAATAAAATTTAAGTTCATCTTTCCATTTCCCTGGTTAACTGGCAGGTTTTATTTTTTCATATTAACCCATATAAAAAACTGTAATAATTTGGGCTCTGTTTTAACATCCTTTGTTCTCCACAATGATTTAATTTATTGTTGCAGTGATGTTTGAGATATCAATAAATTTTTAGGATATTGGAACCTGGAAAACACTATTAGCTTCACCATTCTGTGTTAGGTAGAGATGTCATGAATTTGTGTCACTTTATACATGAAGTATCTTGTTGTTTGGTCACGGGTGATAGCTCAAATTGTGTTCAGATAGAAAAGGAAGGCAACAGATCAATATCAATAAAGCCTGTGCTCAACCATATGATACTTTTTTATATGCAAAAGACATACTGCCTGCAGCCCAGAGCAATTTAGAAATGCCTCTTGCTCACTGAAAACCAAGTAGCATCTTTGCACTGACTTTTAAGCTCTGGAGAATAGGAACATGTCTTTGTCTGCATAACTTACTGCACTACCTTTTGTCTCTGTGCCACTCTCCTTCTGCTGCCCCACCTGGCTTCTGTTGAATTGATTGTGTTCCTCTTCCCCTCTCAGCCTTTCTATATAGACATTCTTCTAATATTCTGCCCTGTAACTGTTCTCATGTGAGGTGTTCCCATTCACTCCCATTTCTACAATAATTTGGAAAAATAACCAAGTTTATACATCTGGTCATGACCCTTCTTGGTATATTATAATCATCTCTTGACATCCCTTCTTCAATTATTCAACCCAAATTCCCATTCCATCCCGCAGCTTTCAAAAGTGGCCTCCTACACACCAGTTGCATGGTAGTTGATACTTCAAGGCAGCTCTTGAGAAGGAGAACTCTTGCAAACCATTTCCTCAAAGTGCTTCTTATTCACACTTGACCTAATGGTCTCTCCCCAGACCTCAGCACCCTCTGCCACCACCAGGCTGAACTAAGTACCCTGCTTCTGTGAGTGTGTATATCTACCTATATCTGTATCAGTGAACCTAGAGTATATCACTGTGTGCATGTTTCTGTCTACCTGCTAAACTGTTAAGATTTTTAAGGCAGGGGTCATGTTCTTGTCCCCAGCATCTGGCACAGTGCCTGAAACATAGTTGATGTGCAGGCAACTTTGAACTGAATTAATCATATCCTTTTCTAACAATGAATTCTCACAAGCCAGCCAATTAGAATACATTTATGAAATGCCCCAAATAGTAAAAGGATATATTTATTTAAAAAAATATAAAAACACAGATCAAATACATAAGAAGCTAAATGAAAGATATTAGACATCAAAGCTAACATTCAAGTACTAAACAACCTATATGTTCTAAGATATATAGTCCATGTGTTTTTAAAAAAATACATTTACAGACATAATGCTGAAGGACTTTGTCACTTATATTGATGAATTACGGGACAGTTTAACTAGCATCTGAAGGAGTATCTGAACCTGACATGGCAGAGAGATAGGAAAGGCTCAAGAGCCAGAGAGAACATGATCAAGTGGAATGGGAGATTAAAACTTTAGTTTTCCAGGAATCATTTGAGCCTCATTATCCTACAGAGGACAATACGGAAAATAAACCTTATTTTCCCCACAAGGAGCATGAGCCTATAAGGAATATTAGTAGATTCCAGGGCACACAGGCAAGGGAATAGCCTCACATCTCTGGAAGTCCATTGCTAAAAAAAGAGAGAGAAAGAGCTTTTCATAAGTAAATTATCATTTCACAAGATAACATACTAACTTTATGGCCGTGACATTTTCCAAGATACATGTGACTCATGTGACTCAGAAATGAAGAAATGATTGAGTTGCACATGGTGAGGAAAGCAACTCCAATATGAGAGACCGTCCTTATTTCCAGTGTTATACTCTGGTTTGTAGGAAAGGTAAGGTATTCTGGAAACCATCTGAAGAGGACTACTTGGCCCTGTCTTATAACAGATGACTTCACATGGTAATCAGACTGAGTCTTCAGCCAGCAGGGCCAAGCAGCCTGTCTATTTTAAGAATAAAGGCTTCAAACTTTCTGTGCTCACATCTACTTTAAAAAAAGAAACCTTCAAAACTAGTGTATTTGACTTTGCTTAACCTCAGACATTTGAGTGCACAGTAGATTTTTTATTCCTAGCCCATCAAGTGTTTGTTATTGGAACTTTCAACCCGTGCATTCATGGACTCAGTCATTTATTCTTTCAACAATAATTTATTGAGCAACTTGTATATTCCTGTTTCTCTTCCCTCATAGATCCCTATCCTCATGAAACACTCAGTGTTTTTTCTGCCCTACAGCAACCTTTGTGGTCCTGGCATTGCAGCTGTTCTCACTTTTCTTTAAGTTGCAGGAGCATTTTAATCATTAAAGTGAATAAGAGTTATTTTTTAAGCCCTGAAAAGCTAGACTTTCTCTGTCTTCACTGCAGTCCATCAGCCCAGGCACATGACCAATCCCTGGGGTATTGGCCTAGGGACTCCTGGGACAGCAGTAAGTGATGCAAGGAGCCTTCAGTGTACCTGGCACTGATATGTATGTTGTTTCCTGCCTAAAGGAGGATTTCTGGCCTTCTGATAAGCCAAATTTGGCTTCATACCTTTTTCTTTCCAAATCTCAATACTAGAATTTCAGGGTTTCAATCATTCCCCTAGGTCTCCTTCATTATTTCTCATATATGGCTTAAGGAATGTGATGTGAATACCTTTCCTTCCTGCCTACCTTGATGTTTCAGATTTCCAGAGGTGGATTTTAATCTGATGAGATAATGTTCATAAAGTGCTTAACATCTAACAGGTAGTGATACTCAGTGAATGATATCTATTAGACCTAGACTATAATAATGATGACAAGTGTACAGATTAAACTCTGCACATAAACCTAGCTCTGTGTAGCAACAGCAAGATGACAATAATAATAATAATAATGTTATGGGTATAGCTGTGTTTATAAATCTGTACATGCTAAACTTTTAGTTATTATTTCTTCTTGAAATGTAAATAATTTTAAAATAATAAACCCTTTTATTCTGAATGGTTTAAGTGCCAGAAGATTTTACCTATGAATGCAGCTCATATTCATTCATATATTCACTATTAAATAAATACTTGCCTCATTCCTGCTTCCCCTCAACTTAATCACATCTGAATCTTTTTTAGTCCCCCATAAGGTTTCAAAAGCTTTGTTCTTGTCCTGATTAGCATGTGTTTCTTCAGAGACACCACTTTGGAGTGGAAGTCAGCACCAGCATCTCCTTGGCAATCTTCTCTCCTGACAGTGTAATTTAAGGTTATGAGTACAAAGGGTCTGGTGGGAACCCGTCTACAGCAGCCTTATCTCAGCTCCATCCCTGCCACATCAGCGTTTATCATCTTCCTGAGTCTCTGAGGGAGACAGACTGGAACTCAGGATTTGGATCACCTGTGACAAAGGAAATGCGAGGAGGTAACAAGGCACTGCAAGAAGGAAGCATAGACAAGATTCTGAATCACTTTGTTCAAAATTGGATATAGAGTAAATAACAGTATTTTAAGATGTTTGCTAAAAATCAAGTAAATGCAAACAGAATAATTGATGAGATGCCATTATCACTTTCAAAATGGCATCGATTAAAAAAATAAGCACTCAGAAGGTTGGTGAGTGGGCAACAGAAGGGACGTGTGCCCACCCCACAGCGGGATGTTGAGTTAGCCCCTGGCTTTAGAAGGCAGTTGGCAGGGAGCCGCAGAGGAGGCATGTGTGCAGAGCTACGTCTCGGATCTAGTCTGCGGGCATTACCAGAGATGTGTCCAGAGAGTTCTACAGAGAGCTGTCTGTTACATGAGGGAAACTATGATGTGAAGTTTTTAAAAGTCCAAAAATAAGAAGTGGATCAGATAAATAATGGCACATCTGAGTCGTGTAAACTATGAAATCACCAAAGTCATGTTTAATAAAACTAATACCTGGGGGTAAAGCAACTTATAAGACAATAGGCCTATTTTTGTTGTATTCCTTTTTTCACTACATTTATTTTTTAGAGCAGTTTTATGTTCACAGCAAAATTGAAGAGCAAGTACAGAGGTTTCCCATATACCATCTACCCCTGCACATGCACAGCCTCCCCACTTATCAACATCCTCCAGAGGAATACATTTGTTACAGTTGACTAACCTGAATTGACACATCATTATCACCCAGAGTCCATAGTTTACCTTAGGTTCACTCTTCGTGGTGTACATTGTTCTGGTTTGGACAAATGTACAATGCCATGTATCCACCATTGTAGTATCTTACAGAATAGTCTCACTGCCTAAAAATCCTCTGTGCTCTACCCATTCATCCTTCCCTCCCTTGAAAACCACTGATCTCTTTATAGTCTCCACAGTTTTGCCTTTTTCAGTATTTTACAGGATGTAACCTTTTCAGATTGGCTTTCTTTAACTATTAATATGCATCTAAGTTTCCTCCCCATCTTTTCATCGGTTGCTTCCAAGTTTTAGCAATTATGAATAGAGCTGCTATAAACATCTGTGTACAAGTTTTTGTGTGGACATAAGTTTTCAATTCATTTCGGTAAATACCAAGGAACTCAATTGCTGGGCCGTTGGTGAGAGTGTGCTTAGCCTTGTAAAAAACTACCAAACTATCTTCCAAAGTGGCTTTAACATTTTGCATTCCCACCAGCAATAAATGAGAGTTCCTGTTGCTCAATATGTGCATTTTAATTGCAATTCTGTAAGGCTCTAGAGAGAAGTAGGCAAAGTCCAGGCCCTGCAGTCAAAAAACTTGAGTTCCAGACACAGCTCTGCCAAGGGACAACTGGAAGAGGAAGGTGACGGTCGGATCTCCCTGCATGGTAGCGATGAAGGATAACCTAGACAGTGCGTGCAAGTGCATTCACAGCACCTGCCGCACACAATAAACACTAAATAAACACAACAGTAATTATTCTATGTGCGTGTGCATGCTCATTTAGGAAAAAGTAGTCAGTGGCTACTTTTGAAAAAACCAAATATCCAATATTCTGGTTCTTATTTTTCTTCTTTGAGTATTTTATAGCTTTTTAGACATTTTTATTTTAGGTTCAGGGGAACATGTGCAGGTATGTTATACAGGTAAATTGTATGTCACAGGGGCTTAGTATACAGATTATTTCATCATGCAGGTAATAAGCTTAGTAACAGATAAGTAGTTTTTCTATCCTCTCCCTCCTCTCACCCTCCAGCCTCAAGTAGACCCCATGTCTCTTGTTCCTTTCTTTGTGTCTACGTGTACTCAATGTTTAGCTGCCACTTATAAGCGAGAACATGTGGTATTTGGTTTTCTGTTACTGCGTTAGTTCACTCAGGATAATGGCCTCCAGCTCCATCCATGTTGCTGCATAGGACATGATCACATTCTTTTTTATGGCTGTGTAGCATTCCATGGTGTATATGTACCACATTTCCTTTATTCAGTCTACCATTGATGGGCATTTAGGTTAATTCTATGTTTTTGCTATTGTGAATAGTACTGTGATGAACATACATGTGCATGTGTCTTTATGGTAGAAATATTTATATTCCTTTGCGTATATACCTAATAATGGGATTGCTGGATCAAATGGTAGTTCTGTTTTAAGTTGTTTGAGAAATCGACACTGCTTTCCATAATGGCAGAACTAATGTACATTCCACCAGCAGTGTATAAGCATTCCCTTTTCTCCGCAATCACACCAGCATCTGTTATTTTTTGACTTTTTAATAATATCCATTCTGACTGATGTGAGATGACATCACATTGTGGTTTTGATTTTCATTTGTCTAATGATAGTGATGTTGAGCATTTTTTCATATGCTCGCTGGCTGCATGTATATCTTCTTTTGAAAAGTGTCTGTTCATGTCCTTTGCCAACATTTTTTTTTTTTTTTTTTTTTGAGATAGAGTCTCACTGTTGTCGCCTGGGCTGGAGTGTAATAGCGCGATCTTGGCTCACTGCAATCTCTGCCTCCCGGGTTCCAGCAATTCTCCTGCCTCAGCCTCCTGAGTAGCTGAGATTATAGGCACCTGCCACCATGCCTGGCTAATTTTTATATTTTTTAGTAGAGATTTTATATTTTTCACCATGTTGGCAAGGCTGGTCTCGAACTCCTGACCTCAGATGATCCACCCACCTCAGCCTCCCAAAGTGCTGGGATTACAGGCATGAGCCACCATGCCCGGCCCTTTGCCTACTTTTTAATGGGCTTGTTTTTTGCTTGCTAGTTGGTTTAAGTTCCTCATAGATTCTGGTATTAGACCTTTGATGGATGCATAGTTTGCAAAAATTTTCTCACATTCTGTAGGTTGTTTACTCTGTTTCTTTTGCTGTGCAGAAGCTCATTCATATTCTTTTTGTAGCGGGGGAAAATTACATATATATTTAATAATCCTATATTAATATAATATGTATATTTAAATAATCCTACTGTGTGGTATAGCAGCTTAAATAAAGGGTCCATACCTTTCCCTGCTAACTGTCTCTGGCTCTCACATAATCTTTAGCTCACTGATTGCATCGCTGTTTTCTTTGCTGTCCTCTTTTCCCTGGTCTTGTTGCCTGTATAGTATCTCTACTTGGATGTCAAACTTGCCAAGTGCAAAGCAGAATTCTTAAATTTTCCACAGAAGCCTGCTGCTCCAAGAGTCTCCCCATGTCAGTGAGGAACTGAGGACCCCTGTTAGAATCAGTCTGAGAGTTTTGATGTCTTTGATTCCAATCTGTCTCTCACTTCACATTCAACCCATCATCAGCTCCAGTTAACTGTGTCTTAGAAATGCCTCCCAATGTAGGCTGGGTGCCATGGCTCATGCTGGTAATCCCACCACTTTAGGAGGCTGAGGTGGGTGGATTACTTGAAGCCAGGAGTTCAAGACCAACTTGGGCAACATGGCAAAACCCTGTCTCTACTAAATAAATAAATAAATAAAATTAGCTGGGCGTGGTGGCGCATGCCTGTAATCCCAGCTATTCAGGAGGCTGAGGCACAAGAACCGCTTGAACCCAGGAGGCAGAGATTGCAGTGAGCCAAGATTGTGTCACTGAACTATAGCCTGGGTGACAGAGTGAGACTCTGTCCTTCTCCCCTTTCATAGCCTCTGCCTTTGTGTTTTTATTTAGGGATGGTGCCTACTTTGTTTTTTGCTGCATCCCTAACACCCAACACCATATCTTGTGTATACTGCTGAATTGAAGAAATCACAAGGGTCTGAAAGAGGACTTAGAGCAAAGTTGGTATGGATAGGAATCTTCTGCTCCTCAGTGCCTCAGGGGCAGTGGACACAATCTGAGGGCAGCCACTAGGGAAGCATAGATAGCAAGGAGAGAGAGAGAAGAGCTTATCACAAGGCAGTATGATGTGGCTTCACCAGTGTATCACCAGCCAGAACATAATTTGGGGAAAGGGATTAAAGAACATCTTGGTCTCATCTATTTGTGATCACTTGTACCTACAGACAAATTGAATGTACTGATCAGCCATGTCAGCCGAGTGGCTTATAGAACAGAAAGTTTCCTCATTCTAAGCCCTTGAAAATCTCTCTTCTACTTACTAAGTATATAACTAATAGCATGCACGTTTTCCTTTGTTTTTCAATCTGGGATGGATAAAGCAGATTTCTCCAAAAACTATTGAGAGTCATGGGTATTCTGTAAGGTTTTGGGGTCTCAAAAAGAAAGACCCCATTAAAGTCTTTTTTTTTTTTTAGTTTACTTTGAGGGGCTTTGGATTCCATTTTCAGCTTCATCAATGACTCAGAGTCGTTCTTTGAATCAATCACTCAACCTTTTAGCCACAAAACTTCCTCATTTGTAACAGGAGAATAATGAGAGCTGCCACAGGTAAGCTCCCAGAGAGTCGTGGAGATCCCTCTTTATTCACTGTGCTCTGGATTTCTTCGAGGAAAATCCCTGGGGGCCGGCTGAGTACAGACCTGCAGAAAGAGAGATAAGATGTCTTAGTGTCTGGAGAAGTCATGACAAAGCCAAGCCAGGAGGAAAAGGGAAAGACAAGTGTACTCCCTTAGGAAACCAGAGCTAAGGTAAACCATCCCAAGTATTGTTTCTTTTTCTTCTTCTTCCTCATGTTCCAATATTTTTAAGCCAAAGAGGAGAAATTAGGTTAACATGAATAGCAGGGGGAGTTCTGAAAGTGAAAATGCACCTCCAATTGTCAGATGAAGCCCAAGGTTCCAGTGGTAAGTGTGGGCAGGAAGACGGAGAAGCTATGAGCTGGAAAGTTTCCTATAATCATCTAGGAGAAGGCCCCTTTTTCCTGCCCCTTAAACTGCCTCCCAAATTGCCTGACCTCAGCTTTGCTATAGGACTTCTTAAAGGAATTATTTTAAATTATTTAATAGACTTTATATGACATTGGTTTTCAAAGTACTTGTATAAACATTAGCTCTTTTGATTTTTACAAATCCTTATTTTGAGCAAAACCATCGTCATCATCATTAATTTACCAATAAAGAAACTGAGTTTTAGAGGGATTAAATGACTTATTTGAGCCCATATGACCAACAGGTGATATAGCCAATAGAAAGCTGGATCTTACAACTATGAGTCCTATATTCTCTTGATACAAAAAATGTTGCTAAACATGCAGGGAGATGGTGCTTGAACTCCCGAGTCACCTTCATGATCTCATTCCCTTTCTTGACATTTTCTGCCAGACTTAAGATCTGGTTTCTTCTGCAGTTCACAATTACAATCACAGTGCTTTATCCTTTCTCTTACGAGTTCCAGAGCCCTACTGGGCTACTCTTTCAGTAACCAGTACAGAACCACTTACATTATTAATTTTAATTTTTCTTTTTCTTTCTTTCTTTCTTTCTTTTTTTTTTTTTTTTTTTGAGACAGAGTCTTGCTCTGTCTCCAGGCTGGAGTGCAGTGGCACAGTCTCGGCTCACTGCAACCTCTGCCTCCCAGGTTCAAGCAATTCTCCTGCCTCAGCCTCCTAAGTAACTGGGACTACAGGTGCGTGCCACTACACCCAGCTAATTTTTTGTATTTTTAGTAGAGATGGGGTTTCATTGTGTTAGCCAGGATGGTCTCGATCTCCTGACCTCGTGATCCACCCACCTTGACCTCCCAAAGTGCTGGGATTACAGGCGTGAGCCACCATGCCCAGCCTATTTTTTCTTATTCACCCCCACCAAAGATCCAATGGAGAGAGGCTGGAAGCCTCTTCCTGGAACATTTATCATTCATCACAAGGAACCCAGTTTCTAATAATATTTTTAGTTTCTTTTTCATAGGCATACAATACTATATAGGCTTTCTAAATAGCTGATTCATCCCCACCAAAGTGCATTCATCCTCTGTTCTGTAATTTAGTTTCTGCCATTTGACATTCATGCAAGCATGTAATTGCCTCTACCTGCATCATAGCTCAGCATTAGCAGACGTGTAAGCCAAGTCTGAAAGTCAGATTGCATTACACACAGCTTGTACCTCCATGTTTCTCAGTCAGTGATAAATATTTTATCATATATCAAAACAATACGTAACACTAGTAGTGTTTATACAGGGCCTTGTGTTTATAAATGGCCCTTCTACTTCTCAAAGTACTCATATATTCACTCTGCTTCATTTATCTTCAGAGGTTTTCTAACTTTTTTTTTGCATGTTTCATAGGGCCACATGAATGTAAATAATGTAAATATTCTTATATAAGCAGATTTATGTTTCAGCATATTTTCAAACTTAATATTCTTTCATGTAAGTTAAACTTTTTTTTTCTGTATTTCTCGGCTTTTCCCTGTCTGGGGTCTCCTGCCTGCAGGCTGGAGTCTCAGAGTGTCCCAGGGCAATGTGACATCCCGTAGACTTGTGACTTGTTTTTTTCCTTATTCTACTTCACTGTCATGTCTCAGTGGAGACATAAAGACGGGCCTTCTGGGACCTTGATTTGGCAAAGGAAGATGGAATCCTCACCATCTATCCTTCGCAGATTCCTTTGGCAGAATTTCTCTCTCTTTCTCTCTGTAGTCAATTCATTAACAATTTTTGTTGATCTTTAAGTATGGTTCCTAAGTCATGGTTAAAACAGGCAATATCCCTGCTTTCATGAAGTTCTTATTCTGGTCAGATACTGTTTGGCTATAGCAAAATGAAGCCCTCTCAAAGCAACTTAAGCAAAAAAAGATCATTGTTGAAAGGGGTATTTCCTGCAATTCAAGGACACGAATATAAACAGTACTCATGAAGAGCTAAAACCTGAAATTGGGAAGTCACTGGAGACAAAGCAATGACTCTCTCGCCCTCTGCTCCTTTTGCTGGAGCCACCTGGGGTTTATGTCTTCTCTTTTGGAGGGTGTTTAGCAACATCAGTCTCCTTTCTGTAGACGCTTTATCTACTCAAGTTACAAGGTCAATATAGTTGCCTAGGCTCAACTTCATGTGACCTCCTAGTCGAATCTGAATTGCCAGTTCTCATGATCGACCCTGTCCACCCAATGGGTTGACTCCCTTTTCATCAGGAGTTCATCCCTGGGCCAAGTGCATGGTGCTGCTTACATGCTTTATGGATTTACGGTTTCAAATTGTCATTCAAGTTTTAAGCTTTGGAAACTTTCTAGTAATAGATTATGTTCTTTCCAGTTGTTTGGCAGCTCCATCAAATGCAGCATCAGTTGAAGATGCACCAAAAAATATTCACAAAGACCTATGTAAAGGTCAATTAGAAAGATTTTGTTTTCAATAAGCCAATGAGGTAGCCATACTCAAATTTAGAGTCTTATTTAGGATTGTCTAGTATTCTGTGGAATTAATGTGTCAACTCTTGTCATTCTTACTTCACATCCATATTGACTACTTTCATTTATATAGAGAATTACACAGTGTTAAATAGCACCATTTGATTTGCGGTACTCTAATGTATAAGAATGTGAGTAGGAAACTGAAACTTCAGTAACCAGGAAACTACTTACTTATTTTTTTTTAGTGCCCTGTGAAGCACAGAAATTATCTGAAAAATTAAGTGTACATCTTTTTTCCTAGCATTAGGAAGTTGTGTCAGCCTTTTCTTATCCACTAAAATCTTAATGGAATTTAAGCTAATATACATTGTTCAAAGTCATTTGTAAGTTTTATAATTCTTTCAGGAAAAGGATCTTAGGTTCCTGATGGTTTCACTAGAAAGTTGCTATGGCTTCCTAAGAAGTGAACTTCCGAGACAGCTAAAGGATAGCTTTAAGTGAATCTAAGAACACATTTTCTTTTCAAAAGGGCTGCAGCAGGTCAGTTTCCAAATATAAAGTCAAAATTATCAAATTATCTCTCTTCTGACAATAACATAATAGAATGAAGCACATTTATTGTAAAGAAGCCCATAGATCCTCAGAAATATCTAAAAAAGCAGGTCATACAGTGCTCCTTTGATTTATTTACTTATTTTTTACATTCTAGCTCTGGCTGCCCTGATTCTGGACCTTTGGATGTCTAATTTAGGGCTTCATAAGAGGCTTTTCTCTAAGGGAGCTGGCTGTGTTCCCTAACTCCTACAAGGACATTTGGAATCACCTTGTGTGGTCCTGACCCATGCTTCTCATTTCAGCTCATCCTGTACATCCTACCTGGCCTAACTGGCTGTGAACTCTCCTGAATTAATAAGATATTTAATAGAGGCAATTTTGCCATTTGCACTTTCTAATATCTAAGACATTCTTTGGCTGCTCATCATCTTATTTGAAATGGAAAAAAATGTACTAGCAACTGTGAATGTCAATTTTAGAATGTTCAATTAAAATAGAAGTGAAGACAACACTTAAAATATACTAGGAAATTTACTCATACTTTTTGAATAATTCAAATAATCAATGATTCTTTACCTTAAAACCATGGAAAACCCTGTTGTTAGGCACTTAGACAGCAAATTGGTGTTAGACCATTTTCAGTGGTCAACATAATTCATCCTTATCTATGGGAGAACCATGTATTCACAGAATACACACAATTTATAAAGCACACTTTGAGAGTGCTAGGAATCCAACAGGGACGAAGTACACCCTCAAGAAGCTGTAGGTATAGGTGTACGTATAGATATATGTGTGGTATAGGTATAGTATAGGCATAGGCGTAGACGTAAGTACAGTTACAGGTGTAGTGTAGATATAGGTGTATGTGTAGGTATAGATATGCGTGTAGGTGTATATTTAAGTATCGGTGTAGGTGTAGGTATAATAGAGGTAAGGTATAGACATTGGCATAGGTAAGAATACAGTCCTTTTCTGTAACCTGTTTTTACCAATGTTATTACTTTTCAGGTGTCATCCAGAACTATGAAAATCGCCCACATTCATTTAAGGTCAAGATTAACGGAGTCAGAGACAGCTTTCAGCTGCTGAATTTTAGAGGAGTTGCTGAATTTCAAATTGCATATAAGTGGCAGTTGGCTCTTTTGCAGGTTTATATAAAATTTTGTCTGCTGCCACTGCCTGCCTATTAACTTTTTTTAAACATAAAGACCATTGAAAGATAATTAGTTATGTGACTGGGATAGAATGGGTCCTATAGATCCATATAGCTTTGGAAAATAGTAAGTAGCTATTTCCTATGAAAGATTTGGAAGCTTAATGAATAAAAATATCCAGAATTTTTTTTAAGTCAAAACTCTAAATCTCTAAACCATGAAGGAAGTTCATTTCCTTTTAAGACAGTAGGTGTGGAGGATCATAATGAACATGAAGTTGTGATTCTAATACCGTTGTCGCTTATGCCTCTTTTGAAATACAGTAATGAGATAGCATTCATTTTGCTTTATGACTCCGCAAATGTTTGGCTTGAGCCACCAGTGAAACACTATGCCAACATAATTTATCGGTCTCTAAAACAAATACATTAACCTTTTCATTCTCAAGCCTGCCTTACTCTAATATCTGGTAACTTTTTATCATGCATTTGTTTTATTTGTCATTATTGGCCAAGATAGCAATTGTTTCACAGCATATTATACTGACTGGCCAATCCCATGAGTACCAGAGCATTTGTATTTCTACAGAAGTATCAGTTTCTTCTCAAATGGAAAATGCTTATTTGTCCCACCTTGGATTAGAATGGATAAAGCTTTGTAAAAATGTTATTCACCCTCCAATGGATTTAAATTATGTGCATTTGTAGAAAACTTCTCTAACCAGATTCAGTGTGTCCCAATGGTTTAAGAAAGAGGGTTTTTCAGGGTGGCAGCAACTGTATACTAAGCATAAGAAAAGCAAAATTTGTCTATGATGTCTTCATTTCAGTTAGATTCTTGCCATCAAGTTGGGCAAGTCTGCTGAAACCTCCTATTTAAAAAATGCAGATGTGAAACTGTATAAACCATTGCCTTTTATCTCCTAAAATTGAAGGATCTCAAACATGTACACTGAGAGGCAAGGACTATTTTTGTTTTATTGTGTATTTTGACTGCCTGCTCTTGGAACAAAGCAGACACTTAAATGTCTGCTGAATACACGGGTAGCTGGCTGGGGAGGAGGGCAACCAACACAAGACGCCGCCCGACCTTGATTCATTTGCCATAGATGGGAAATTAGGAGTTGGTGCAAATAATAATCTGAAATGCATAAAATTTGTCAGTCCACATTCTTATGCATAAACTGACTCAGGTTTTGCTTTGACAGAACTGGGCCATCCCCAGGATACACTGCCTCGATGGCCATATGTAAATGAGGACATGCATTGTTTATGCCAGAAGGTGTGTAGTTTACTGCTTTCTGATGTGTCAGTCCATGGGAAAGCCTCAAAAGAAAGAGACCCTGCTCAAAGTCTGTGAGGAGCTGGGACTTAGCTTGATTCTTTGTCCAGTGGGAGAGGCAGAGGCAGAAGGAATGGCAGAGAATGAAGGTTGATCAAAATCAGAAAGAGTACAGACCAAATGAGATATGCATGGGCTATTTCTGGGGCTCGTTGCCTTCAGCTTGTCCTGCCTTATGCTATATTCAGGCAGGGGATGGAACATAGGGAAGAAAAGTCATCTTGGCCTCCAGCTTTCCAAAAACCAGGGAGAGTAGGATATGATACCGGAAAGCACAGGGAGTGGAAAGAACACAAATCAAATGCATTTGCTTGATTTTACCTGCTTTGTTGAAGAGTTTTGTATGTAGAAACAGAAACTGTTTTGAAAATGGAGCATTTGGGTGATCTGAAAATTTTACTTACTATGCTATGCCTTTTCCTTCCGACGTAAATATTCTCTTCCTTCCTCAGCTCCATGGTAGTAAAAAAAAAAATATGACTAAAACTTTTCACCACCATGGAAGCCAAATGCAATTAAATGGCGACATGCCTCTGTGTTGCTTTCCTGATATGCTTCTTTACAAAGACGATGGATTTAATACCATTTATCTACATAGATGGCAGGGAAGCCACACTTTTTTTTGTAATCTTCATCTATAATTTCTACTGGGTTTATTTTTATAGCTACAATTAAAGTGGCAATAGAATAATATCCAACCCCATAATTTTTCCAACGAACCATTGTGAAAAATGAAAGGCTAGCAGTTCTGTAATATTTCTTTTCCAGCACTGCATAGATTGTGTCTTGTTCCAAGATTCTTACCTTAAGGATTTATGATGAACTTTAATGCAGGCAGCAAGTCACATTTTATTTAGAGAAGATCAAAGCCAAGGAGGCAAAGGGGTTATTGTTTTTGTGACAGTGTTGTGGGGTTCAGAGCTGGTCTCTCACAGATTATTTCATATTTTCTTTTCTTTTTTTTTTTTTTTTTTTTGAGACAGGGTCTCACTCTGTTGCCCAGGTTGGGATGCAGTGGCATGATCATGGCTTACTGCAGCCTCCACCTCCCATGCTCAAGCAATCCTCCCTAGTAGCTGGGACTGTAAGTGCACGTCACCATGCCTCAGGAATTTCTGTGTTTCTTGTGGAGGCAGAGTTTCACCACATTGCCCAGTCTGGTCTCAAACTCCTGAGTGTAAGCGCTTCACCTGCCTGGCCCCCCAAAGTGCTGGAATTATAGGCGCGAGCCACTGTGCCTGGCCTGTCGCCTATTTTCTTGTACACCTTGCCTCTCCTCTCTGTCTTGTGCTTGGTCGTATTTTTCTCTTCAACAAATGAGAGCGCTTGCTGTAGTGAAGTTGTTACATTCACATAGATTAATTCTTTAATCGAGCCTTTCTTCTTATGTTGTGTCAAAAAGAAAGAGAGAGATATATATAGAGAGAGAGATAAGGTATGCTCTTTCTGTTCTCACAGCCCTTCTCTTCCATTCCAAATAAGAAAAATGATTATTCACTTGTACGGTGCTGTGAGAATGGACCTGAACACATTTTAAACACACTGTAACTGTTTGTTCCAAGCAAATAATCACTGTATGTAATCCTGTCACAATTGGTGCTCTCTTATCCATGGCCCACGGTTGTCATGGATTGGGCGTGTGGCAGTTCAGAGAGTACAGGATAAAGCACAAACTTCAAGTGCTTTTCTTTTTCTAGGCAAAATCTATAAATGACCTTTTTCAGTGTCTTGCTAAACAATCTCATGGAACTCGTGATCCTTTTTTTGACTAGAAAGGAATGTTCACGGTTTGATAAAGGAAGCGTCGATCTCAGAACTGCACCTAGACAGTCTCGTTCCTGATGCTAGAAAGGCACTGAGCAGAGGGTCAGGTTGTGCCTGGAGGCTGGGGAACGATATGCCAAACTGTTCGGGGAACCCTAGAACCGCATGCTCTCTAGAGTCAGCCTGTCATTTCACCTCCCCACATGCAGTGGCCTCTGCCTCAGGGAATGAAGCCCAGGCTCAACCTGATTTCCCACAGGTTCGAACTGACTTATTTGTGGGTTAAAAACTTCCTGACTACCAAAGACTCCTCTTTCTATTTCTCCCCACTGGCCCCCAATATTGAAAGATTTTGTCTACTCATGAATTATATTCTGAAATCATGATACACTTTCCCTGTTAGCGGATGTCATGCACGACAACCAAGCTGATGCTTTCCGGATGCTATGAAAGAATCAGCATTGCCACACCCAGTGCACCGAATTTAAGCTAAAGCCAAGCAAAACAAATAGGCTTTTAATTATTCTGCACAACTTCCTTGAGTATCAGTGCAAAATTTCCAGTAAATACCTGTATGTCTCCACAATTACATTCATGAGCTTTTTAGAGAAAACTCTTATCTATGAACATGTTCTCTTTTCTGGCTCTGGATGGTAGAGTGCCTGGGGTTTGGAAATCTGTCAGACCTGACTTAGAATTTTACTAGCGGTGTGGCCTTAGATAAGTTATTTTACTTCTCAGAGCCTACAGTCAGAAATAAAGAAAAAACATAGAAAGTGCCTACAACAGTATACAATGAGGAGTCAATGAATGCAGTATTTTAAAAATTAGGTACTTACTGTCTGCTAGCTATCATCATAATTTCCCACACAATTTCCAGCATTTATCCCAATAACTTTTTATTTTCATCCAATTACCAAATTAATATAATAAATAATTTATTGTGAATTTCATGAAGGCGAAGACTGGGTCTTTTGTCTTTGGATTCTCAGCACTTAGAGTGATGCTTAGGCATAAAGAAAGTGATCAGGGTATGCTTAGTGTATAAATGAACAACCAAATCTAAAAACTGATGTTAAATAATAATAATTATATTTATATATCTGCACACATACAAATGTACAAGAATTGTAATTAAACATAAAAGTAAGCCCCTCGAGAAAAACTACACAAATAGGAGACAGTTAACCTTAAGAGATTAGCAAGGAGCTCTTTGTTTAAGTTTGTGAAGTCATAAATTACATGAGCTGTGATAGACAAATTGCCTGTGGTCAGAGCTGGTGCGATACAAATGAGTGTCCGTTGTCTGCCAGGCAGAGTTGTAGGTGCTGAAGATGGTAGACAAAGGGTATGTTTCCTGCCCATAATGAGCTTACAGAAGAATAGTACAAGAGACACATCGTCCAATCATTCCAACAGAGGGAGATTTGTGCAATGATAGAGGTGTGTCTAGGATGCCGGGGTGCGTCAAGCCCTGGAGTAGAAAAGGGATGCCCCTTTTCTAGGGGTTGTATCTAGGCAGAGTTAAAAGGATTAATAGCTCAGGGGAGCTGAAGGATGAGCTGAGGCTGAGGAAGGCAGGGTAAAAGTATTCCAGGAAAAGGATACTTCACAAAATTAGGTGGAGACTTCATAGAGTCTTATGTTGCTAGAAGGTAAAGTGTGAGGCTGAGAATGAAGGAAGTTGAGACTGAGGACTTGGGTCTTATGGATCTTATTGAAGAACTTGAACTTTATTCTGAACTTTCACTGGTACCTTGAAAAAATTTAAACCAAAGAATGGCATGGCCAGATTGCATTTTGTATGAATCCCCTTGGTGGCTGTATGGAGAATGGATTTGAGAAAGATGAGACTGGGTTCTGGGAAACTATTCAGTGGCTGCATTTGCAATTAGTCCAGGAAACTGGAAACCAAGGCATTGAAGTTGGGATGGAAAGGAGATAGTAATTTGGGAAACATTTAGGAAACAATATCAGCAGAAGTTGGTAATTAATGGGATGTTAGAGTTGAGCTGAGGGAAGAGTCTAAGTTCTTCATTTGCATGACTAGATGTAAGGGTATTTTCTCCATTGAGAGAGAGAATGCTGATGGAGGAATGGGATTTCAGAGGTAGGGGGATGAGGCAAGTCTGAGATGCCTACTAAATGCTAAAGGTGGTGGAGCTGAAACCTCAAAGGTAAGATTTAAAATAGAGTCTCAGTCAGGTCATCTGCACCTGGAAGATGAGAAGTTTTACTTCTGAGATGGTTCTGTGGCATAAACCACGCCTGGGTTGACATGGTGTCTTAGTCCATTTGGCTGTATAACAAAATTTCTTAGGCTGGGTAACGCATAAATAACAGAAATATATTGCTCACACTTCTGGAGGCTGGGAAGTTCAAAATCAAGGGTCCAGCAGATGTGGTGTCTGGTGAGGGCCCATTCTTCATAAATGGCACCTACTTGCTGCATCCTTTCCACCTCTTTTGTAAGGGTACTGATCCCATTCATGAGGGTGGAGCCCTCCTGACTTAATCACTCCCAAAGCCTTCATCTCTTAATACCATCACATTGCGTATTAGGTTCCAACATAGGAATTTTGGGGGAACACCAACATTCAGACCATGCACACAGCTTCATAATGTAAGGAGGAAGCTGATCCAAACAGGAGCAGATTAAAGCCCATATATAGCTTCATTACATATTCTAAGGCTTCCTTAAGAATTAGACAGAGTCAACTCACGAAGTCTGAAATAAAGGACAGGGCATCAAGTGAGTTCATATAATAAATATATATCCACAGTTGAAAATTTAAAAATAGATATTTCTAAAGAGAAAGATGGAGGCAGAAATGAAAAAAGAGAGCAGAGTGGAGGAGAAAGAGAAGAAAGAGCAATTCAGAGAGAGGAAGGGACGAGGGGAGAAAATGAGAGAGAGAGAGAGAGAAAGAGAGAGAAAGGGCATGTACTTAAGAGAAGAAAAAGAGTTCCTGCTCCTGGGAATTTCAAAGCAATCCTGGCCACTCATCTGCAATCTGGAATGAAAACCCTATAGCAGTATGTTTCCTTTCTGCTTTAAGTTCAAAAACTTAAACTTTTATGCAAATATATGCAGAATCAATATTATATGTGTATACTAAATACTCATGGGTTTGCATTTTAAACTTTCAGGAGTATGTTTAGTTATGTGACACTTTATTAATATTGAACTGATACTGTGGCTTTTCACTCTCAAATAAAGGAAACACATTTCCAGGGTTTGAAAAGAGGAAAACGATTGATTTTTGCATTCCGGTGTTTTCTATGAGCCCCTCCAACATCTAAAATGTATCTCAGGTCATATTTGTTTTCTTCATACACAAATTCTGTTCTCTCCTCTGAGGTTGCCTTTCTGTTGGCTTCTTCCTGCCCCCAGTGGGAATCCAGCAGGAGCCACACAAGATGAAACAGTCAGTGAAATAGCTCAGACCGTGGGCTCTGGACTGGATTCCAGCCCCAGTGCTGAGTCCTGAGCTGGTGACCCCAGGCACCTCATCTAACAGCTGTGTCTCAGTTATGTTACTGAAAAAAACAGGGTACCTATGACTGGTGAGCAACAAACAACTCTCCATGAGAATGCAGGTTTTGCTCAGTGGTTTTATTACTTGGCACAAGGAAGGGGGACACTGGGTATATCCTCCAAAGCAGTGTCTTCCCGAGGGAAAGCGACAGACAGGTTTTACAGAGCAATGGGGAGGGAAGAGAGGTTTGGGTGCATCCTCACGTGTAGAGGAGGAGCCCAGTTGCTCAGATGCAGTGAGTGATTAGGCCTGCACATGGATCACAGGGAGGCTTTAGCAAGGTAAAGAGGAACGTTCACTTGGGTTCATCTATAAATTGCTGGGGTCTGTCAGAAGCTGTTTCTAAAACCACTGCATGACAGAAGGCTGTAAAACAGGCTGATTGCTCAAGTCAATTAAATTCCTATAATCCCTGGAGACCCTCCCTGCCTTCCTACAGTTATGAGAAACCTAAAGCGGGAATGACATCAATGTCCACCTCACAGAGCTGTCCGGTGAAATGGGAAAAATTTCAGCAAAGCACTTAGTCTGATGTCTGGTAATGGGTCAACACTCCATACTGAGCAATCATTATTATTATTTAAACAGATTTGATTATTTTTTAATTAAAAGCATCATCATTTAATAGCTTGCTAATGATCATTTGTATTGTTATTCTTATTTAAGGATTAAATCTGCACTCCCGTGGGGCATAGGCCTCTAGCATTGCTGTCACTTCCTTGCTGTCCCCTCCAAGCCCCAAACTCAAAAGTTCAGGACCTGTGGCCCCAGAAAGAGAATGTGCAGCCACCGGGGAGTTGGAAAAGCTGGGCAAAACCAAGATTGGTTTTAGGATCTTCTCAGATTTAAGAATACTCCTTCTTTTGGATGGATGGTGGCTTGAATGTCTTCATCACAAGAGACTGAATTTCAGGACACAGAAGAAAGACAGGCTCAAGGCAGGGGAAGCTCAGGCATTCGTGTCCCTGCCTGCAGGGAAAATGCCTGGGACTCTTTAAGCCACCATGTTCTACAACACAGTGCATGAGGTAAGAGAAGGTGAACTTCATACTGGCCAAGCACTGCTGCACTGCAGATCATAGCACCGGCATCCACTGCGCGGGGACGCACCTGGGGTGGGCCTCGCAGCTTTAGATCCATGATTCTGGGTTCAGGTTGTTCTTGAGAATTTAGCCATTGTAACCCTTGGCTTCCGTGTTTGTGAAATGGTGGTGAAATTACCTAGTTTGATCATGAAGATTAAATTAGATAATGTATGTAAAGGACTTAATATCGGGCATTAACAAACATGATAGGAATGGCAGCTACTAGTGCGATATGAGTTGATTTCGTTCTCCTACCCTATGATGGATCAGTTGCTGAGGTACAGAGAATGACGGAGAGTGCCCAAGGTTACAGCGATTGAAGAAGTGGTGAGGTTGGGGTTTGCCCTTCGTTGTAACTGACTCCAGAGCCCACACTCCACAGCTCTGAGAGGCTGGAGTGCATGGGGACCCTCGCTTGATGTGGGGACCCTGGCTTGATGTGCGTGAGGGTGAAGCACATTCCTGGAGCAGAGGGAAGTGATTCATCTCTCCCGAGGCTCTTGCACTGTAATGATGTAAATTATTAGCCCTATTGATCTACCTATCTGGTCATTTTATGGCACTTTTCAGTGGAGAACCGAAAGGCTTATGCTAATTAATAGTCCTGAATCCTAACAGACTTTATTACATTTAGAAATGGGAAATTCTAATTAAACTTAATGAATCTAATTTCCTTCTGGCCTTTATTCAAATTCACTGAGACCTGCCCTAGCCGTCCTATCTAAAATTTCCACACCACACACTCACCCACCCACCCACTGCCCCTCCCCACCCCTTGTGTATAAAACTTCCTGTGGCTCTTCTCTTCTTTCTGTGTTCACCTTAACACTTATCACTATCCAGGATTCTCTGCAATTACTCCTCTATCTCACTTGCTGTCTATCTCCCCTACTAGGTGTACTTCATGAGGGCTTGCATTTTGGATTTTTTCACTGGCTGTATCATCAACACCTAAAGCAGTACCAGGCACAGTGGGCGCTTAAAGAATACTTGCAGAATATATGGACAAATGAATCCCTATTCTTTCCCCTACAGCTGTTCACTCTTTAACCTGACTCTCTCAGAGATCCAAAATTCTCCAGCTAGTTGAACTACCTCCCCTTTTTTATAATTTGCTTCTAAAATCCCTCATGGTGTTTCATTTCTGTTCCATCACCTATTGTGACCTCAATTAAACAAGTAAATAGACAAAATGGATCTGTTTGCCCTAGAGGTATTGAATTGATTTCTATGAAAGGTATGGAAAAGGCTATTTAGTATTTCCACCACCCTACTGAAGCAGTATTGTTGTCTGGTGTAAATATCCGAGGTTCGTTGCCTCACGCCAAGGAAATCAAGGACATGGACACACATGGAGTGAGGTTTAGAGTGCAGGTTTACTAGGCAAAAGAAAAAGAAAAAAAGAGAATAGCTCACTCTCTTGTGAGAGAGAGGGGCCTGCAAGTGGGTCTTCCAGCTGGTGGCGGAGTGCACAGGGTTTTATAGACAGGCTTGAGGAGGTGGTGTCTGATTTACACAGGGCCCAAAGATTGGTTGGACCAGGTGTCACATTTGCATAGTGCATAGGGAAGCTGGCCACCCCACCCTAATTTTATTATGCAAATGAAATCTTTGCCTGACTGGTGCCATGTAGTCTGCTCCAGACTGCACATGTGGTTGGCAAGGAAAAGGGAAGATGGAGCCGCCATTTTGAACATGCCTGGTCCCAGGTAGCCTTTTCCTATTGGCACAGCTGCCAGCATTCACCTGTGCAAGCTTCTAGCTTGTCTATGTCTGCAGCTTGATTTTACAGGCTGCTCCTTGTTAGAAAAGAAAATGATTTGGGGGCTGCTTTTCATTAAAAGCAAAACTTTATCAAGGACTTCCTTACCCTCACAATCTGTCTAAATAATTTCTTCTTAACTCCTATATCACTACCTGGGAAGGTGAGATGTTAGGGGAACCATATTTTATTAAAGGGAAGAAAAGGAGAGGAAAGAAGACACACAGAAGAAAAATTAGTAGACTAGGAATCAGGGTGCCTGGGTTCTAATGCTGGCAGTTGCTAATCACGTGACCTTGGGAAAGCATTGAACCTTTCCAGAACTAAGCTTCCTCTTCTGGAAAAGAAATGGGTCAGACAAGATACCCCCAAATTCTTCAAAGACCTAATATCCTAGACCTAGCCATATATAGATCTAACTAGCTCTAACATTCTGTGACTCAAGATAACTTAAAATATGTTTTCTAACATCAGAAACACTTTCAGATCTTAGTTTATGCTATGGTTTTTAAAAATATTATTTTCTTTTCTTGGGTGTAAGCATTGATCCAACAAGGTTTAGGTCAAAGATCTTTCATTTTGAATTCCTTTGCGCCCAAGCCAACCCATCATTTTTTGAAGAGTAATAGAAACAAAACTGTCAGGATTTTCAAAATTGATGGAAGGTGGCCTTTGGCAGTCTTTTGAATTTGCTCTCTAGGCTCATGCAAAACATGCAAAATAAAGCTTCAAGCTTTCTTTGAAAATGAAATTGGTTTGAAACTAATAGGGATTTGGAAACAGACAGCTGAGCAGATTTCCTTCTGTAAATATCACGTGAGTTCTCCATGGGGCATGGAAATTCGAGGAATTTAAAAATAGTCTTTGGTCATTAATAGATCGAAGTGTTACTTCTGGAATATGAGAAGGTGATATTAAGTTCTCATCTAAGAAAGAAAAGGGAAGATTTGGCTTTTTTTTTTAAAAAAAAGTATATTCATATAAAGTATCTTTTTGTAGACTGTAAGCAGTATCTTTATCCACGTCCTGGAAGAGAGATGGTTATTAATCTTAATAAAATGAGAGGTCATGAGAGCATTAAGTTGAGAAATTTCAATGAATAAGGTTGAGACGAACTTTTCCCAGATATCATCTGAAAACTGCCTTAGATAAGTTTTAAAATGAGTCTGACTTTGCATAATAATGGAGAATATAGATGTAAATATTTTATGGACATTAACAAATAGGTAGGATATTGATAAATTAATTCTTTAATGAAACATGTTAAGTATAATGGCTCTGACATTTATTAAGTACCTTCTGTGAACTAGTTATTTATATAAATTGCCAGAATTAATCCACGTAACAAACGTGTGAGGGAGATATGATTTTTCCATTAATCTTAGAGGAAACAGGCTCAGAAAGATCTGAACATTTGCTTAAGACAAAATATCTAATAAGTGGTTATTATGGACTGAATGTTTGTGTCCCTGAAAAAATTCACATGTTGAAGCCTTACCCCCATTGTGATGGAATTAGGAGGTGGGAGACTTTTGGAAGTGATGAGGTTTAGTTAAGGGCAGGAAGGTAGAGCCCCAGTGATGGGATTAGTGTCCTTAAAGAAGATAACGGAAAGATCAGAGCTTTCTCTCACATGCACTGAGGAAAGGCCATGTAGGGACATAGTGAGAAGACAACCGTCTGTAAACCAGCAAGAGAGGCCTCTCCAGGAATCAAGTCAACCAGGACCTTGGTCTTGAACTTCCCGGCTTCCAGAGCTGAGAGAGGTAAACGTCTCTTGTTTAAGCCACACACCCTGTGGTGCTTTATTATTGCAGCCCAAGCTGACTATGACAGTGGTAGAGCTGGCATTAGATGCCCACTCTTAGATTTCAAAGTCCATGCCAACGAGGATGTGAGATCAAGAAACTGTCATGGGCTGGAGGCGTCCCGTAGGCTAGATGGATGCACCAAAGGATTGTGGATCACTGTGGTCCACGGGGCAAGAGCATAATGTGGTGAAATCTTTTCCTACAAGAATAGAAACCCTGAAGGCAGGGAGATACCTTCCCAAGTCTCTCACTTCCCCACACGCCCTGCACAGCATTGGCCTCTGAGTCCTGCAGCTTTTTCTCTGTCCCTCTGACCACCCTGCTCTTTCTGCCTCAGTTCAGTTCAGCCCCCTCTCTCCACTGGGCTTCCTGCCTTCAGTCTTGCCCCTTTAGTCCATCATAACCCAGGAGTGATCTCCTTAAAACTCTTAAAACTAGAAATGACTTATGTTACTTTCCTGCTTTAAACCTTTCTATGGCACATGGAGTGTCACTACCCCATGTGGGGAGCATTAGTGTCCCACTCTAAGGAGAACGTATGGATGTGTGACACCACCGTGGCCGTTGTTGCCATCACAAGGTGGTGCCAAGGGCTGTAATCTGTGCCCTGGTCATGGCCCATGAGGTGAGGTCCTAAGTGCACCCCATGTTGTCTTCTTTGTGTGATCTGATGCCATTCTTCTCATTCTCTTCCCTGCACTTTTCCTTAGGGTCAGCCAGATCTGGTAAGTAGGTATGCTCTTCTAGGGATAAAGGCAGAAATAAATACAAAACTAGAGCACTCAGATTTTGAAGCTGAAATAGCATGCGTATGTAAATAATGCATATTTGAAGTAATCACTGTAATGCTATTTATAGCACACCTTTTCACCCAAGGATGGCAAAACAGTTTACAAATATTCTCTTTCTAGTCCTTACTGTATTCCAATATATTGTGCTATATGTGCAATTTTGAGCTATGAATTTCTTTCTTTCACCTTACAAACAATATCTGGGTAATTTGTTGAGTCATTTAACATAGGGTCAACACTTGGGAATCAACGTCTTTTTGAATGCAGACTAAAACACAGCACTTGGCTGAAACAAACGTCTGAGTACTGCAGTCATCAAGCCACACTCAGGGTTGCAGAAATGCATTGAAGAACTTTTAGGGCCACTTCTCATTCTCTTGATTGAAATTAGGAAAATGGTCATTGCAGGTGTATTGAAGGCCAAGGGAGCCTCCATACGTGAGTTGTTTTAAAGGCACATTTCTTCACCATCCAGAACAGGACCCATGGCTGAGGCACAGTACTCCAAAGCACTACATAATGTCTCCCAAATCTCCCTTGCTCATCTTACTGCTGCTATGCTGGCCTCCTTCCATTACTAGAATATGCTGGGCATGGTCTGGACTCAGGGCCTTGGCACCTGCTGTTCTCACTGGCTGGAGGCTCTTCCCCTGCATGTCATCCCAGCTCCCTCCTCACTCCACTTTGGTCTAAAGCAGAATCCTTAATTATCCTTGCCTCCCATCACCCTGCTTTCTATTTCTCCTTTGCCTTTATCAGTATGTGGCAGATTTTATGTTTATTGGTTTATTGTTTTTCTTTCTTTTCCATAATACACACTCCATGAGAACAGAAATTTTGCCTATTTTGTTCACTGTTGTATCTACTAGTGCCTAGAACAGTGCCTGAAACATAGAAGTCCTTAGGAAATATTTGATGTAAGCAAATAGATGAACAAGCTGTCCCTGGCTAACATCTGTAGGGTTACTAGAACAATCAGTATGATTATTCACAACTGTGTTTCACTGGCTCTTCTCCAGATAAACTGGTAAAGTCAATGTCTAAGCCACATTTCGTACCTTAGTATGTGAAACTATGAATTTCCATGAGGTTTGTAATTTTAACTAAGAAATCATGTAAAGGGAAGATACTTTCATGGTTTGCAAGTTGTCCTTAAGGCAGAAACCCTCACACAAAGCAATTAATTAGCATGCAGAATAGAAAACCCTGAATTGAGAATTGCAATGCATCAATATGGTCATTATACATCATTCCTCTTAATATGATTTGTTTCTGTCTACACAAAACATAGACAGAATGTATATTCCTATATATAACACACATGCTTTGTATTTGCTTTTGAAGACAGATTGCTTTTAAGACTTGGGGATATATGGGAAGAATCTCAGTCTTTCCAAATTCCAAACCAAAAAAGTCTCTTCTAGCTGCTAGATGCCAGATAGTTCTGTCTGCTACAGCCAGGTTTCCACAGGCCATATGCATCATCTTAAATTATGACTTTGAAGCATTTCTTTTGACCACTGTGTTCGCAATCATCCTAAGATGTCTGCTTGTGTATTTTTCTGCAAGCCATCTTCCACCCTTATCCTGTCAAGGAGAAGCTATTGAAGCTAGTAGGGTATCACTACAAGCAGATGGATTTTATTCCAGAATCCCATTCCTGGTGAAGATGCACCATCATCAGGACCACTAGCAGTGTCCTCTCTGCAGAGTGTTTTCCAACTGGTCAGGAAATAAAGACTAGGAAATATGTGTCTACAACTGCTTCAAAATGTGCATTTGACACATGTCTGTTTCAGGGCTGAAGTCAGTTTTGGCTTCATGCCAGCTGAAGGCAACTATGAATTATTCCAGAAGGTTAAGATCCCCATGTGGCTCCAAGGCTGGCCTGAAAACGAACCCATTCCAAACTTGGTCCCTCAGCAGTGGGATCCCGAAGGCCAGAGCTGGGTTTGGCAGATGGGGTGAGTTTCTCAGAGACAGAAGTAGGGAAGATAAGTAGGGTGTAAAAACCATGTTCAACCTAAGAGTAAGAAAGGGAGGGGGCTGGGCATAGTGGCTCATTCCTGTAATCCCAGCAATTTGGGAGGCCAAGGCAGGAGGATTGCTTGAGCCTAGGAGCCTAGGAGCCTGGGAAAAATAGCAAGACCCTGTCTCTATAAAAATTCCTGGCTGGGCACGATGGCTCTTGCCTGTAATCCCAGCATTTTGGGGGGGTCAAGGCGGGCAGATCATGAGGTCAAGAGATCAAGACCATCCTGGTCAACATGGTGAAACCATGTCTCTACTAAAAAAAAAAATACAAAAATTAGCTGGGTGTGGTGGCATGCACCTGTAGTCCCAGCTACTTGGGAGGCTGAGGCAGGAGAATCGCTTGAACCTGGGAGGCAGAGGTTGCAGTGAGCTGAGATCATGCCACTGCACTCCAGCCTGGCTGGAGTGAAACTCCATCTCAAAAAATAAATAAATATATAATAAAAAATTTAAAAATTCTTAAATATAGGCATGTAGTCCCAGCTACTTGAGGGCCTGAGGTGGGAGGATTGCTTGAGCCTGGGAGGTTGAGGTTGCAGTGAGCTATGATTGTGTCACTGCACTCCAGCCTCAGTGACAGAGTGAGATCCTATCTCAAGAAAAGAAATGGAAACTTTCAAGTCTGATGATTCGGTGTGATGGGGCAACATGGGAGCAGGTATGAGGCAAAGCTGACAAGGAGTGATGTGAGCGCAGTACAGTGGGGCTTTCTAGGGGTATGGAGCAACCCCTGTGTTTCCATGGCTGCGTCCTCCAGTTGCCTCTGTCTTAGTGCATTGCATGGCACCATCCTCCAGCTGTCTCTGTCTTAGTGCATTGCATGGCACCCCATGGGTTTGACTTAAAGGTCCACAGTCAGAATGGACACAGATTTAATCTGCGAAGAGGGTAATAGAGCAGAAAGAGTGCCCGTGACATTTGCTAATGACAGCACACAGAGAAGGAGAGGCATCCAGCCCTTTTGAAAGAAGATAGAAACTCAATATACTCGTGGAAAAGTTGAAGACTAGTCAGTTGCAACCAGAATGGAATACAAGATGTACATGGAGAGGGAGGGAAAAGCAACCTGTTCAAGTATGAGATCAAAAATGAGAGGTTTTGTGATTTTCTGGACGGCATGGCTGTGTTTTGCTGTTAAAGAATTAAGAAGGAAGCTGAGATTCTGTCTTGGGGCAAGAACCAGAACAGCCCTCTATTCCTCACCCTGAGTGTCCTGGGTGGATCTGATCCTCTTAAAGAGACCCCTCCTCTGAGTTTGTCTAATAGAAAGCAGAGACAAAAAGTGTATATCCTGTATAAATATCATTAGCATCGCATGCCTGTGGGATAGAGTGCATGTTATGTGGTGGTAGTGGCCAAGAGGCATTACAGGACTTGTGTCCCCTAATGATGGCCAAAATGAATTCACGACCTCTCCTCCCATTATGCAATGACAAGATCAAAGATCAGGTAATATTTTAATAATTACTGGAACAAGAAAGATGGAGAAATCTGATGGGGTTGGTGCAGGAAGCATTTTGGAAGTTTTAGTATAACCAGAGCATGAGGATGGTGAGGATATCAAGTAGGTGTGGGAGGTGAAGGGGAGCTAGCAGAAAATCAATGGAGCTAATTCAGAGGCTTAGACAAAAGTGAAATATAATAAGGAATATCCAAACTAGAGAAAAAAAAACCTATGGGTTACTATATGGTGGGCATCTGGTGACCATCCAGTGTTACAAATAAACTAAATTCCAGTCTAGTAAGTAACATTTATGTGACACTGTTGAGGCTGTAAAGAATGTCTGCATATAATGTAAACTGCTTTTTCCAGCAACCCTGTGGAGTAAGTGTAGTGTTATTATCCTCACTTCACAGGCGAGGAAGTGAGACCCAGAAAACTTAAATGACTGTCTCAAGGCCACAGAACAGGTCTTAGTTGGCATAATGCACACCTAGCTGCTGAAACAGACAATTCCCAAAGCAAAGGGACTTATTAATAGAGTTGTATGCTTGCAATCCACCAGTAAAATTAAGTACAGCATAAGGAAGAGGTTTCAGGCATTAAATTGTAACCAAAGTGTTAAGGGTTGTGATAGTTTGGTGGGTTTAGGGTTTTATTCCTATTATCTTTTTTTTCATTTTTGCAATAGAGTTGCATTATTTTTATAATGACTATAATAATTTTACAATTGACAAAAGATTTATAATTTGATAGAAGATCCTCTGATTACTCTCTGAACTTAAGGATAGACTCATCTAAGAGCTTCTTCCATCCTGCACCTCACGTCCAATTATTTCTTAGACAGTAGAAGTGCTCTGTAGGAAGAAGAGAAATCTCATAAGATGTTTGCTGACCTGCTGAATAGTTTGTGGTGATGTATAAACTGAGCCAACCCTATTTCTCTTTTAAATGGTGTTAATTTAGAAAAACAAGTTCTGGCTAAGGGATAAAAGAGGACATATGGAAATGAAAGATTAAGCGATTAATTGAGGAGAAAAAGCTGTGCAGTTGGGCTCTGTCCTATATTGGATGTTCATTACGCCAACTAATGGATAATATATAATTATGAAAAGACATTGTCGGAACAGCACCCAAGTCTATTGATTTTGCCATCATGAGTACATTATGCTCTATCTTCACGAGATTAAAACGAATGGAGAGGGTAACAAGATTCTCTATGAATTAGAGTCATTCATTTTCATTTCGAGAAAGGGAAGTTTGCTATATTTTCAGCATTTTAATTGAGATCTAGCAGATGAGAACTTTACAAGGCAATAATTTTAAACAGAATTTATTTCTATCTTAACAGTAAATTGGTATAATGATACCAATGTTAGTCTCAAGGTAAAATGTTGAAGAGATTTAGCACCATAGAGGAAAGACAGCTTGCAACTGATGTTGATACTGCTAATTGTGCTAGCCAGTCTCGTGTATTTTAATACATGGTAGGTAAAAATGCCGCATTACATAATTAGGTTTTTAAAATTCAGCAGATATTTACTACATATCTACCAAAAGCAAGGCCCTATTTTATAGGTAATAAAAAGAATTTTAGTATATGTTCCTTCCCTTCAAAAAAGATAGTTAGGAAGACAATTAATAATAATAATAGCAACAGCATCAACGTTTGTTGGGCACTTAAAATGAACCTAGCTTTGAGTGCATTGTTTTTACTGGCATTAAATCACTTAATCCCCGCAAGATCCCTGTAAGTGCCATATTTCTATTCCTATTTTATTAGATGAGGAGATGGAGGTGGAGAGTGTTTATCTAGCTTTGTCAGATAAGCAGTGGTTCTACATAAATGAATTTCCAGGTAACTGAAGAAATATTCAAAGCCCCTACATCTATATGTTCTAAATAGACTTCTACATGTTTTAATCATTTTGGATGAACTTGTGCTAAAGTGTGTGCAAAAGTTCCACCTTAAACAGGATTCTGGAAATCTTTCCTTAATGACTTAGGCCACTTATGGAGTACCTCAGATGTTTCCTTTTAACTTGGTGATTTGGGGGCTACAGCTTCTACTGTGCGTGGTGCACAGTAGGATTGACAGGAACCAAAATAGTTAGAATTTTATGTAAAATAAGAGTAAATTATCTCTAAATAAAGCCCAGATGAATTTTCTTTAGACAATGTAATACATTTTTTTAAATAAACTTCCTGTATTTTGGGCATTAGGGCTTTTAGTCATTTGTTTATTTTGTGGTCTCTCTTTCTCACTCTCTCTTTTTTTTTTGTTCTAAGCTGTGTTTTGAGGAGTTAGCTTGTGGAATAAGAGAGTTGATACCATTGCATATGTTGCAAGAAAGAAACAATACTTTTTTTTTGTATAATTGGTGTAGGATCACTAAATCCATACCATAGTTTATAAATTGTTTAATCTGAAATTGTTAATATGGTTCAGAAAGACTTCAATTTTTGGTTCCATGATAAAAATATACATTTATATGCATGTGGTATTATCAGAGTTGTTGAAGGTGTGTGAACACTCCTTTCCCAGAATACTGCATATTTTAGTGAGTGGAGAAAGAATGAAGGGAGGAGGGATTATAAAGAGTTGTCATGCATACACTATGTCATGGTAAATAACAGCTCAGAGCCAAGTGTTGAGAAACTGGCCTTCCTTAAAAAGTTAGCACCCGATCAGAGCTACCATTAGTCTTTAAGAATCAATTCCGCTGCCCAAAAGCTCAGACTGAGTTGACAAAACCTCAAAGGAATCCTGGAATATGGAACCTGTATGTTCTGTCCACTGGGGAGATTTGTATCTTTTTTCATGTTAATAATGGCATTGAGGGACCCTATATATGTTGGTAAATTAGTAAGCATGGAAACTTCAGTTATAGAAATGCCAGTAAATAAGTTCAGAATAGATCAGGGAAGAGGTTAACTATGGTAGGTTGATGATGCAACTGTGCCATGCTTTTGGAAGTGTTATTTTGGAGTCATTGGCATTGCTGTCAAAATCCTTACATGTCATTTAACAGTAGGCCAAATGTGAATTAAGCATCCTCACTACGTCACAGGCCATTTAGGTGTATTCCACAGAGGATGGAACCCTTCTTGTGGGGTGTGTTCCCTGCACTCTGGTTATTCCTTGAGAAGGATGAATGCCACATGCCTAGGGGGTGGTAAAGGGAGTTTGTGCATCAGATACATATTGGAGTGAATCACCTCTGAAGTCCACCTTGCTTCTCTGCAGGTCCTTGCTGTGTGCCTGGCACTGCTATGACTCACTGTCTTCCCCTTTATCATTGTCCCCACCTCCCACATTTACCTCTACTGAGGTCTTGGCTGCTAGTGACCTCCTAGTCATCCTTCAAGTGTCATCTCAAATGCTTCCAGTCTTGGCATCCTCCCCACTCTCCCAGGAAGGGTTAGGAGTTTCCTTCACGAACTGCCTCAGTGTGTCAGACCCAGCTCTGGAGTGTTGATCACCTCGTGTTGTTGTCTATCTGATGATTCCCATTGTGAACATCTCACAAAGGGCACCATGTGTTAACAGACTTATATTTCTGGGGTGTAACATAGTGTTTAGAACATTACAGGTACTTATGCAATACTGTTGGAGTTTGATTCTACTCCTCTGAGAGTGTATGTCCCAAACATACCTACATTGGGTAATGTAAGCTAAACTGCTTTAACAAGAAGCTCCCAAATCATTCAGTGCTGAAGAGTATGAAAACTTATCCTCACAGGTAGCAGAGGTGCTCCATTTTGGTGATAGCTCTCTTTGCAAAGTCATTCATTTCTTCTTCCACGCATGACTTTCAGGTTACTCTGCACATGGCTATCTCAGCCAGGAAAGAGGGGTGAAAGGCATATAAAATAGAATCCATGCTCAGCCTTAAGACCCCTGCCTGCAGGGCTCTGGTTAAGAGTGAGCTGCAATACTTCAACTCATTTCCATTGGCCAGAACATCAACCTCTGACCATACCTAAGAGCTAGGGAGGCTGAGCATGGGCTCTGCTTGTGCTCAAGAAGAACGAAGAACATGCATGTTGGTGGACAGTTGCCATCTTCTCCTCCTCCAGACTTCCCCTTTTTTTTTAAATCATGACCATCTTCCCCATCATTTGGCTTCAAAACATTACAATTATGTTTGCCTTCTAACTCTTCTTTCTCACCTCCCACCTAGAAAGTCTGAAGGTCCTCTTTCAACGTGTGGAATCTCTTTTCCTCTCCGTGGCTTCCTTTATAGTTCAACAGAACATAATACCTTAAAGTGAATCATTAATTAATAGTAAGCTAAAAAGAATGAGAAAGGCAGAAAGCAGAGTGGCTATTACTAAATAAATTTGACCCTAGGGGAAATAAAATCATGGAAGGCAAGGTTAAGTGCACATATCTTTAACTACTTGTTTTGTTTTGAGGATTTCGAAAAGTAGTAATTAAGAGAGAAGGCAGAGAAGGAAAAAACTGGAAATAAAGGAAGACCAACCAAATAGAAAAGAAGCAAAGAATATGCAGAGCCTGCTGTAGCAAGGGAGTCAGTCACCATCCCCTGAGTTTGGCAGAGACTCACTTATCACAGGCAGAGGGCTGGAAAGCTTTATAGCGGAGAAACAAATGGCTCCAGGTGTGCCCTGATGGCGGCTGATGGCCAGGGGCAGCTGGAGGCAGCTAACTAGAAACAGGACATCCTGTGTGAGTGGTTGGGGTGTGTATTTGGCTTTCTTTGGTTGGTCTTAAGTGGGAACTGTGGACAAAACTCAGGGACACAGTCAGTTATTAATCAATTCCCAGCCATTTGGGGCTGATTGTTTCAGCAGTTTTTGTTTAGCTTCCTGGACTGTCTCTAGAGAGCAATCTGACCTCCTGCAAGTCTCACTTACAGCAGGCTGGCTTCCTGGGTTGCTTATTGTATATAAAGGGACAGTTTCCTGGCAAGATGCTACAGATTGTGGGTCAAAATTCTGTTTTTTATATGGTCTAGCCTTGTCCATTTGTATCTTCAGTCTCTCAAGACAATAATGTGAATGAAGAATTTTCTGTTTTATACATAAAGGTGGTGGTGGCAGTGGATGGTGGAGAGTTGGGTGCACAAGTGTTTAGGGAGAGTTTGATCCTAACAGGTACAATGAAAAGAACAAAGAATAAGAAATGATTCTATGCATGACAAGCAACTACTGAAGTGGCTAGGGCTTCTTCATACAGGCATAGATCAAGCTCCATTGCTATCAGAGCAAGAACACAATGGAAGGCTTTTGATCTTTATTAAAAAATAAAATTCAGAGTAAGCTGGTAACTCAACATTAACAAGCAATTGGATAATAAGTAAAGTTTAGAATGGTGTGAGCAGCACCTTAAAGATGTTGCTGGGTAAAGCCACCGTGTCATGAGATAGCCCCATAAAAACAGCCATGGCAAAAGAAAGGTGTTCAACAGAATGTGTGGGCCCTCCATTTGTCACAGAGCAAATGGCAGTCCCCAATTTTCAGTCTAAGCCTGCTCCTCAGGATACAGGCTTAGAACCTCTTTGACACGGCCTCAGCACTTCATACCATATTTCTGTTTATTGCCTGTCTGCCAGCCTGCCCCCAGATCTGCCTTGGAGATCTCTGACTGAATGTCTTCCCTGCCAGTATGTTCAGTGCCTGCATGCCTCTCTCACAGAGTAACTAACCCCAAAGTGTGTTAAATCAGCATACACAGCAAGTGTGACTTTCTACATAAACATTCTCAGACCCTTAAAACTTGCTACCAATGACATCTCTGTTTAGCTACCATTGTGGCAAATAGTTAATTAATTTATTCTGTCCTTTAAAGAAGAATTCCAAGAATTATGTTTTAGAGTAAATTTTAATTAGCTGTAGAATGACTTCCTTTCCTCTAATAAATTATTCATGTCTGGAGATATTTCAACTATTGGGTATAAACTTCTCGGATAAACACCACTGCCTACATTGGAACAATTAACTGAATTTTCAACAAAAGTGTCTAGAATGCCTCAGCCTGTCTCTAAGGGTGTGATGTGGTGATGTAATTCCATTCAATGGAAGAAAACATTACAAGATCTGTTAGCTTCATTTTTCCCTCTAGTAAAATAGGAATAGCATAGAATGGAGATAATGTAGTTTGGAGAAAAGAGGACTGTGTGTGTGTGTGTGTGTGTGTGTGTGTGTGTGTGTGTGTATGTTGCTGCACCCTCACTGACTAAATGTGCTCTTGTTAGATTTGTCACGAGTCACTACTGAAACCATCTTTGCAAAATTATGACTGACACACTGAAAGAGATCTAACTTAACTGACTCCATCTTGCTTCTAACCTCCAAGCTGTCCTTATTCATTCCTAGGCGTAGGCTGAACTAACTTTGGGAGAAGTTTAGTTTATAGTTTAAACAAAGATGGTAACAGCTCTTTCCCAAAGCAGACCTCCTTCTTGCCTGGGGACTAGATTGCCTTTGTAAGACTAACATTAGCCACAAGATTAGAAATTATGGTTTAGGAGTCATGTAGCTTGAGTGTACAAGATTCTGACCCTCCCTAAACTTCTCCTGAGATCAGTGCTTGAGATATTTTGCAGACCCTGCACTTGATGGATCAGCTGGCTCCACTCAGATCAATAAACTGGCTCATCCAATCTTGTGGCCCCCACCCTGGAACTGACTGAGCACAAGAAGACAGCTCCGACTCCCTATGATTTCATCCCTGACCAATCAGCACTCCTGGCTCACTGGCCTCCCCCCACTCGCCAAGTTATCCTTAAAAACGCTGCCCCTCAAATACTCTGGGAGACTGATTTGAGTAATAATAAAACTCTGGTCTCCCACACAGCCAGCTCTGCTTAAATTACTCTTTCTCTATAGCAATTCCTGTCTTGATGAATCGGTTCTGTCTAGGCAGCAGGCAAGGTGAACCCCTTGGGTGGTTACACTACCATCTAGTGGGGCTAAAAGGAGAGGGTAGATATGAAGCCTTCTGATTCTGAACTTTTGCTTTTAAATGGAAGAATACAGGAATGAGGCTTATTTGTCCAGAGTCATTTCATTCACTGTCTTCATGCATAAGATCTTCAGCAAACTGAAATCAGGGCATTGAGCAAGTTCAGGACCTGAAGCAAGATAAAGATGATTACCAAAATCAATAATCCAGAAATGTGAAAAACCAAGTTATGTCAGTGTCTCTATCACTAATAATATATGACTAGTGCTATATTACTTACTAGGGCTGCCATAACAAATACCACAGGTGAGGAGTCTTCAACAACAGAAATTTCTTTTCTCACAGTTCTGCAGGCCAAAGCCCAAGATCAAGGGGCCAGCAAGATTGGTTTCTCTTGAGGCCTCTCTCCTTAGCTTGCAGACAGCAGCCTTCTCCCTATATCCTCATATGGTCATCTCTGTGTGTGCATATTTGTTGAATATATCTGTGGGTCCAAATTTCCCTTTTTTTTTTTTTTGAGACTGAGTCTCGCTCTGTCACCCAGCCTGGAGTGCAGTGGCATGATCTTGGCTTACTGCAGCCTCCGCCTCCCGGGTTCAAGCAATTCTCCTGCCCCAGGCTCCTGAGTAGCTGGGACTACAGGCTCGCACCACCACACCCAGCTAATGTTTGTATTTTCAGTAGAGACGGGGTCTCACCATGTTGACTAGGCTGGTCTCGAACTCCTGGCCTCAAGTGATCTGCCTGCCTCGTCCTTTCAAAGTACTAGGATTACAGGCATGAGCCACCGTGCCTGGCCAAATTTCTTCTTTTTCTAAGGACTCCGTCATTCATACTGGGGACCTTATTTTAACTTAATCACCTCTTCAGAGGCCCTGTCTCCAAATACAGTGACATTCTCAGGTACTGTTGGTTAGAACTTAAACATGGGGAAGTGGGGCGGATAGGCAACAGTTCAGTCCATGACAGTGCCAACTGCAGTCAAGCAGGCTCCTTTATCATGTGCTTGAGTGGAAAACAGGACTCCTGTATTGAAACTAATCTGGGATTACATCTTATTTCCTAGGAAAATATTAGAAAACTGGAATTTGAAAATCTTATTTTAAATTTAATGAGAAGTTTATGTATTTTGCAGAAGATTATTCCTAAAAAATGAAACATCTGTACAAAATATTTAGAAAGTAGATACGGTATTTTTGTTCTAAAGAAAATATTTCCATTTCAAAAGTAAAATATTCATCATTTCAAATTTCTATTTTAATAGATAATTAATAGGAGCAAAATGTCTAATAATGGTTTTTAAAGCATGTGATTAAAATATAATATTCTTATAAGTCTATCTTATATCCTATTGTTACAGAAAAAAGTGTAAATGGATTTTATAGTAATAGATATAAGGAATAATTTAGCTAATATAGTTGAAACAAAAGGGAATACAAGAGTGAAATTTGCTTTTCAGTTACATAGGGAAAAGAATTAAATCACATGGATATCTTTGACTCCTCCAAGATACTGTATAATAAATATATTCATTTTTGGCTGAACAGGATAAATAGCATTGTTGGTTTGGGTGTAATTAAGCTAGAGAATATCAGGGAAGGGTCTCAGTGATGTTCAACCCCACGACCTTTCTTCATAACTGGATCATCCTAAGAATAAATACATCCCCCATTGCAGAATCTAGATCTGCAACATTGATATTTTGCCATAAAATACTTTTTGTTATTTCAAGAAGATATTGCCTATACTCCTCATTAATTTCTTCTTGAACAATTTACTCAGCCAAGAAAAAATTTCCAAAGGGTCCACTGGTTTATAAAGTTCTTACCACATTTATCTAGCTTATACTAATTAGTCCAGGTCACCTGGAATAAGTGTTGATCCTAAGTATAAGGCTTTTCCTCTGTCAGATTCCCCTCAGAACACCTTGTCCTCACTAGAGGACCATGAGCCGGGACTGTCCCACCTGGGCCAGCCTTGCTAAGATCTCCTCCAAATAGAACTTCTGCTTTTCTTCTCCGCCCTGTTGTGATGCTAAAGGTTATTCATGTTAACATTTTGATGCCTTGTTTACATATTAACTCTTCCAAATCTTTCTTAACAGCGCTTCAAATAGTGTGATTGTTAAGGCTCCGGGTAAATTAGTAAAAACAATTTCTTCTTACTAGAGAGACTGAAATCGTTATACACAGTGCATCCCTAGTAATAGAACTACACTTCACACAGCATTTAAAATGTCATTCTTTTCCTGGGTCTCTTAGATTGTATTTAACACAACACCCTCGATGACTCGTTTATTTAAAGACATTGGTTTGGGGATGAACAGTAGAAAGCTGAAGGGACTTTCACCCAGAGAAACAAAGCTGCTCAGCAATAAACTCTACTCCCTCTGAAACAGCAGATTTTGGACAAAATTATTCCAATGATCTGACAAATGCATAAGAAAGTTGAATGCCTTTCTAACTCCCTTTGCTCAAGTAGTCGCTGTCAATACAACAATAGCGATAACCACTGAAGGAATGAGAGCTTTGTGAAGAAATTAATAATCACCCCTCCATCTCTACATTTTTGAGAAGGTAGCTTGAATGCTAGGAAACCACAATGCAATTCTTCACATTAATTTGTAGATAGAGATGCAAGGGTAAAATCTGAAGTAATTTCTGTTTCCTATCATTCCTTAGAACCCCACAATTTCTGAGAATCCTGCTATGAAACAGACAACAATTTTTCTTACTGTTTTCCAAATAAGTGATTACAGAGAAATTTGATTTATACTATTTCAGTAAATATTGGGCACATTAATTACTGTTTTTGAAATGTCAAGACAGAAAGAAATCATCGACTATTATTCTATTTTGCAATAATTCAAAAAAAGGGCAATTTCATTTTTTTTGCAAATTCCAGAGAGGCATCAACATATGAAGTGGAAAGAGAAAGAACAAAATAAATCCAGTCAGACAAACGAAAAGATAAATTCAATTTTAGGTAAAGCCATGCAAACTGTGGTTGTGTCATGGAATATTTGTTTATGTGGAACTATTGGAGGGATTAAACCTATAAGGACTGGGTTTCATCAGCTGTGTTTGTGTATAGCTGAGTCTGACAGCACTTAGGAGAAGAGAGTTAAAAGCCAAGTTGGATCATTGAGCAATGAGTGACAGAATGACTGCTTCCCAGGATTTATGTACCAGCTCCTGCCCTTAAGAGGACTGTAGGCTCCCACTGAGGTCAATATGAACTATGGACATGAGACCCTGTTCAATTATGTGCATCTCTCAGCTATCATGATATGTTCACCATCCATCATTTATAAATCCATGATGCTAAGGTGCTACTAACAAAGGTGCTGAATAAATAATAAATGGAATACAATAGCATATTCACTGATATACTGTTTGATAACAGGCAGAGCTATTTTATATGTATATACACATACAAGTTGAGTATCTCTTATCTAAAATGCTTGGGACCAAAAGTGTTTCCATTTTTGAATTTTTTCAGATTTTGGGATATTTCCATAAACATAATGAGATATCTTGGGGATGGGACTCAAGTCTAAGCATGAAATTCATTTCTACTTTATGTACACCTTATACACATAGCCTGAAGTTAATTTTATATAATATTTTTAATAATTTTGTGTATGAAATAAAGTTTTGACTGCAACCCACCATATTAGGTCAGGTGTGGAATTTTCTACTTTCTAGGTGTGTCGATGCTCAAAAACTCAGATGTTGGAGCATTTTGCATTCTCGATTTTTGAATGAGAGATGCTCAACCTGTACTTACATACACATATCTCCTCAAACACTTCTGGGTTGTGGAATAAGACTACAGAGGGAGGCCCATGTGCCATGTCTAAACACTTAAAAGTCAAAAATGAATCTTACAAATTGCTAAATGAAATATATTCTATTGTGTTTATTCTCCTACTTTGATAAATATACCTTCAAAATGTCAAAATAAAAAAATATGTGAATATTTATCATTATTGCTTATATAGGTCTGAAAGTGAGTGAAATATCAATTGTGACTGGACTTAATTATTAATGCAGGAGTCCTAAGCATTGGGCTATGGATCAGCAGCACCTGCTAAGTAATAAAACAAAGCATACATCCAGTCAGGTGCAATGGCTTACATCTATAATCCCAGCACTTTGGGAGGGTGAGGTGGGTGCATCACTTGAGTCCAGGAGTTCAAGACCAGCCTGGCCAACGTGGCAAAACCCTGTCCCTACTAAAAATCGAAAAAAATTAGCCAGGCATGGTGATGCACACCTGTAATCCCAGCTTCTCGGGAAGCTGGGGCACAAGAATCGTTCCAACCCTGGAGACGGAGGTTGCAGTGAGCCAAGATCCTGCCACTGCACTTCAGTCTGGGTAACAGAGCAAGATCCTGTCTAAAAAAAAAAAAAAAAAAGCATACATCATTCACAAATTATTATCTATTTATTGTAAATATTTGTCTTTATTTCCAAAAACCTCTAATATGTTGCTATAATCAATATCTTCACACAATTTTTGTCCTAAAGATAGTAATGTTAAATTAGGAAGTTTTCTTGGGTGTCGTTGTAATTTTTAAATTGTTTTTTACTAATTTCAGTTTATAAAAACTTCACTTGACTGAGGAAGTACCAACTGGAATTGTCACTGACATTTTTAAAGCAATACTTAGATTCAGAACTCAAGTTCATATTTGAATATTACAATAGATTACATATAATAAGTTGTCATAATTTTATAAAATATTACAAAATATTTTAATTTCATTATATAACTCAACATCACAAAGTACAATTTTCACCACCTCTAGAGGCAATAGCCAAAATCATATGTAAAAATTGGCCTGCACTTCTTTCCTGTTATAGCTACAACTGCATATATAACAATTTAATTGTGTAATGAACTGTTTAGTATTTCAAAGTCTTCTCCAGCTTCTGTGGGCAACTCTTGAGATACTATGCTAACTCATGCGCACCTCAGGGAACCACAGATTGCAACATGAAGAGAAGCAAAAAAACAAAAACAAAAACAAAAACCCAGACATTCACTAGCTTTTGGGAAATAATTATTATTTGAGAACCTATTGTGTCCAAAAAGATGAATTCATTTTTCTTTTCTCTTACCTAAGTGATTCCACAGCTTATATAATCACTGTACATCAAAGAAGTTCAACTCTGATGACAAAGTATCACAAAACTGCAAGGCATTTGGCTGTGATCTCAGACAGGAGATCCCATCGCTGGTAACCAGTGACGTAGGTTGGGGAAGTGTCCTCACTTCAAGCTTTCAAGTGAAGCTTGAAAAGTGTTAACCGTGAGTGTGTTTGTGAACTGTGGGGCTCAGCTCCAGCTTCTCTTTGCAATGTCTAGGGTGCTGTAAGAGACACTGACTCTACACCATGGTTCTCCACCCACAGTGTATCTGTAAATTCCCAAATGATGCTGAGGTGGGAGCACTTTCAGTGGCTCCACTCTCGGCTTGGCAGAGGGCACTTGCATTGCTCCAACTGCGATGTGCTCTTTTGCTCACTTTTTAAATTGCCAGCTGTTGTTTAGGTGAATCTGTGATCCTCTCCTCTATTTTGTTATACATCAGAAGTGGAAAAGGGTAGCAAATTATATAGTTTAGTAGAGCAAATATAGTTTCAACTCAACTGTCATGCTTTGCTGGTTTGAAAGCTTCCTCTGAATCAAGAGCCTTTACTTTCCATGTGGACCACCTCTTCCAATGCTCGTAGAGTGAGCCAGTATGGTGCTCTGGGGACAGCTGTTCGCCTCAGCCCGTCAGCCAGGGCACACAGTCTTCATCATGAAGTCGTGCTCATTTCCTCCAGAATGGGGCCATGTCTTGGAGTGTTGTTCCCAGAAAGACATATCTCTTAGAGACCAGCAGAGATGACTAGGTATGAGTGCAATAGATGTGAACAGCTGTGCTTTTTTGCAGAATAAAGCCATACATTTGCTCTTCTCTTAAATGTAAACCAATGATCATGCGAGGCTGAGATGAATAAGGGTTGACAAAGCTTTCTACATTGTTCTCGAAGAGATACACCAAATTTCTAAAGGTAACAACATCATTAATGATGACCAAATAATCTCCCTTTGGCCTTGTAATGTGTTTGTGTTTCATTCAAATGCAAGCTATCTGATATTAAAAGATTGCCCACTTTTCAAATTAAAATGAAGCCATTTTATGAAGGTCTGTGTCAGGAGAGCACAGAAAAGCGTTCCAATATCCCTGACCAAACGTTGTGTTGCAAGCCTGGGTAAGAATGAGCCAAATTGTTTTTATGTTTGTCAGAGCCATTGTTTCTCTTTCCTTTGGCTCAAAAGGGAGTTTGTTTGTTAGGCGCCCACTGAGCCATCAGATCTGCAACTGAGAATGCTGTCAAGATTCAGTAAATGTGCAAATGGGAAAACCCACTAGGTAAACTAGGTTAACTCAGGTTGTGCTGTTACTTAAACACAAAAGTGTAGTAGCAAACACCCTGCTGTCAATCATCTTGTAAATAACTACATTATTACAAGACTAGGAAAGGTGCTTCTGCAGCCCTCTAGTCCTATGTGCATCTATCCCCCTCATCTTTCCATGATGATGAGACCATATAAATAAGAAGCACAGCTTAAGCCTACAGTTTGCTTGACTATTTCTAATTGTTTTCAATGAGTGGACAGATAAATATACTCACTCTTTACTTTGGCATAACCATTTATAATCCTTAAGGAGTTAAATTCATTTTAAACTAATAGGATATATGGATTTTTAAAAAATACTTGATTTTAGATGTGAAAACATAAATTATTCAGAGACCATTTAATGATAATATGAGGTATCAATGGCCTTACTGAAATCAATAAGAGTTTAGAAAACAAGACTAAATGCCCATTCTATACGTTAAAATACTCTAATATATATAGGTATGAAGACTGTAAAATTTTATCCTAAAAATCCATCCACTTCCTGTTAAACAACAAAATTAAATCTTCCAATGAACAGTTCTAGGTTGTTCGAAGAAGACTTTATTCTGTATCTGAACTAACAGTTTTGTTAAAATGTACTATACAACGAACTACTTGTTCTACCAAGTTCTTTTCTCTGGGAAGAAAGACAGGTCTTTCACAGTGGTTCAGGTTTCAAATGACAATAGACACTAATGGAAAAGTAACATCCTTATTTGCCCCTAGAAAAAAATCAGGGAACTTCCTTGGGTTTTAGTCTTTCCCTCTGCAGGAGCTGGGCATTGACTTTTCTGAGATAATTTCAATATTAATTATTCACGTATTTTAAATAAATTACTAGTGATATTTCATAGCAATACTGGTGCACCTTAAATAATGATCCTCTGACCTCAACTGAGTTGGGTTGCCACAATTAAGTAGTTCATCAAATAGTCACACATATCTTTAAGAGAGGTTGGTTTTGTTATTCTGCAAAATTATTGGTTGATCAGCACCACACACCTCATGTATCTTATCCTGAAGGAATTCATGTGCATAGGGAGAGGGAAGAGGAGGGACTCAAGGTCAAAATGGGAAATGGGAAGTCCCTACAGTTAAATAAGAAAAAATACTGATTTCAGATGAAAAACGTAGAAACATGCATGCCACTCACATTGACCTATGACCTCACAGTCAATGTCAAGTTCATCAACCTGTAAGAAAGGAGGGAAATACAGACTGCATGGAGAAAACTTCTTGTTGTAACTCATTCCACATTTGAGAGTGCTGGGGAACCCTGAGGGAAGTATCTTTTCATTGAAATGCTTTAAGTAATTTCTCTCGCTGTTTATATTCTGGGGTCTTGACATGTTCTGTCAAAAAATCCCCAAATGAAATCCTTAGTATGATTTTTTCCCCCATATACCAGGAAAGACTGCTTCACAACTTTACATCCCCAAACACCAAGCACAGCTTTCAGACTGTGTATTAACAATTCTGAATTGCTCTTTCTTGGCTAAACCTGCATTATTCCCAATGAAAATTGGCAAAGTAACTGTAGGACTCACCTAACATCTTCCTTGGCTTATGTGCTTCCTGCTGGAGCTCGGTCAGTGGAAGCAACAAAGTAACCCTGATGTCAGCTCTGTGAAGTGATTAGGCAGTCAAGTGGGTGTTCCGATGAGATGGGACAGAGAGATTCTGGTCCAAAACTCACTTGAGGGAAAGAACTCTAGCCATAGTTCTTCAATAGAGCAGGGTATTATCCTGGTTCCTTTAATGATAATACAGTCATGTACTGCAAAATGGCATCTCATTTGACTACGGACCTCATATACAACAGCAGTCCCATAGCTTATAATGGAGCCAAAAATTCCTATTGCCTTGTGACATCATGGCCATCATATGGTCACAGCACAATGCATAATTCCTGTGTTTGTGGTGTATCTTAGTCAATTTTCTGTTGCTATAAAGGAATACCTGAGACTGGGTGATTTATGAAGAAAAGAGGTTCATTTGGCTCATGAACTGCAGGCTATATAAGAAGCATGGGTGCCAGCATCTGCTTCTGATGATCATCTCAGCAAGTTTTAAACCATGGTCAAAGTGGAAGAGGGGAGCAGGCATCACATGGTGCTAGATGGAGCAATAGATAGAGAGGAGAGGGATGCCACACTCTTTGAATCAACCAGTTCTCCTGTGAACCAATAGAGCAAGAACTCATTCATTACTCTGAGGATGGCACCAAGCCATTCATGAGGGATCTGCCCCCATGACCCAGCCACCTCCCACTTGTCCTACCTCCAACATTGGGGATCAAATTTTGACACGAGATTTGGAGGGAATGAATATCCAAACTATATTGAGTGACATTGGTATAAACAAACCTACTGCTCTGCCAGTTATACAAAACTGTATAGTAATGGCCTAGGCTTTCACATTCACTCACCACTCACTCACTGACTCTTCCAGAGCAGTTTCCAGTCCTTCAAGTTCCATTCATTGTAAAATTACTATTGTCATGGTACTATGAATGTATGATATATAAGCATACCATTTTTTAATCTTTTATATCATATTTTTACTCTACCTTTCTTATATTGAGACATATTCAGATACACAAATACTTACCATGGTGTTACAATTCCCTAAAGTATTGAGTTCAGTCACATGCTGTACAGGTGTGTAGCCTAGGAGCAATAGGCCATACCATATAGCCTAGGTGTGTAGTAGGCTCTACTATCTAGTTTTGCATAAGTACACTCTATGATGTTCACATAATGATGAAATTGCCTAATGATGCAATTCTCAGAACATATCATCATCGTTAAGTGATGCATGACTGTAATAATTTATTGTGTTATTATCATATGCCTGGCATGGTGCTAAGTGCTTTATTTTTTCATGACAGCTGGATGACTTGAAGAAGTAGCTATGGAATAGTGGACATAGACTGAGAAGGCCCAATTTTAAATACCAGCTCCGTCACCAGCTGCTCTGTGGCCCAAGGCAATTCCAGACTTCTCTGAAACTCAGGATCTTGTCTGTCAACTTTGTACATTAACACTTCCCTCACAAGACTGTGATGTAGATGACAAATTCCTTAGTTTATGTGAAAGTGATTTATAAACTGTAAAGTAGTAGCCAAATGTCAGCAGTGACTTTGATTAAAATTATGCAGCAAATGAGCACTCGAATAGAAACCACCATTCTGACAGCCAGGGCTATTTTTGTGGAGGAGAATGCTACTGATCTTTTTCTGAAGCTGAAAAAGCATTCCAGAATCTTCTTCTTGAGAAATAAACTCCAATAAAATTATAATTAACAAAATATTTGTTTTTGCACATCCAAATGCACATATATTTCTCTATTCAGAATAAAGAAAACTGTAGTTTCATCAGATGCTCTCCTGGAAGCCTGTGAATAACTCACAGTTATTTTCCTTGGGTCTGATGTGAGGCCAGCTCATTTCACAATGATGCTACTGGGACATTACCAAGAAAGAGCAAGTGGACAAAGGAAGCAATTGCCCTTTGGTAAGTTTTTAAACTAGATAACCAAATTGTGATTCTGTGACGTGATCCCTCCTTCCTTCCAGCTCTGCCATGACTACACATTGAAGGATGGATCACAGAAGTCTAATATAATTGACTCATGGGTGCAACATGCCTTCTCTTCTCCTCTTTGGTACTATGCCTAGAAACCTATTTATCATTTGTTTTTCTAATAATAAAGAGAGACACAGAGGCTTGATTTATGACGAGATGATGGCCAAGGTGTTAGGTTTCTTTGTAGGTAATATCTTCTTATTTCTTATGTGAGAAAATACAGAAATTATATCAATAAATTTACTAGGTTATATAATGTGAACTCTCATTAATATTTGTAAATGTTATTTTATTAAATTTTAATGATTCATTAGTTTGTTTCTAAACAACAAATATTTATTTTCTCACAATTTCCATGGGCCCGAAATTCAGGAGCAACTTAGTTGGGTGATTCTGGCTCAGAATCTCCCATGAGATGGGTGAAATCATCTGGGGCTGCAGTCACCTGAAGGCTTGACTGGGGTTGGAGGATACCCTTCCAAGATGGCCCAACTCGTATGGCTACTGACAAAAAGCCTGGGTTCCATGCTGGCTGTTGGCAAGAGGCCTCAGTTGCCCACCACATGAGCATCTCCATAGGTCTACTTGAGTGTCCTTGTGACATGGCAGCTGGCTTTCTCCAGAACAGGTGATTGAGAGAGAGAGAGCCCAATAAGGAAACCACAATGCCTTTTATGTCCTAGTCATGGGACATAGTGATGTGTCCTATGATGTGACACACACCCTGAGCCTGTCCCTCCCACCACATTCCATTCATTAGAAGCAAGTCACGAGTCCCACCTACACTAAAGGGAAGGGGAATTAGTCTCCACCTTCTGAGGGAGGATTGCCAAAGAATATGTAGACATATGTTTATTGCATCAGCCTCAACTCCTTTTCACTCACAATCTACATCTGATCCATGAGGGAGGCCTGTTGGTTATACCCTCAGAAAAAAACCTAGAACCCTACCCTCTGCCAGTAATTCAAATGCTACTCCTAAGTCACTGCAATCTCTCGCTTTGCTGCCCCAAACGCTCAGGCTCTTTTAAATACAGCAGTCAGATTGATCCTGTTAAAAACCAGCTCAGATCATATCACACTGCTGTTCACAACCCATCTCCCTCAGAGTAGAAGCCCAAGATCTTACAATGGTTTGTAAGGGCTTTACTACTTGCTATGTCTTTAAACAAATCTACTTTTTCTCAATTCTCTAATTTTTTTAATGTCAGCTGATTGGATCTCCACACTTAAGTAGTACATCAAGTAGGCACACATACCCATTATGTAAAGTGGGGTATGATTCTACAAAATGATCAGTTGTCAGGGACTTGAATATCATGGAATGGATGTGAGTAGGGAGGTGCAAGAGGAGGGACTCAAGGTCTATGATGGGAAGTGGGAAATTCCTAAAGTTAAGAGATGAATGGGAAAAATAAATCTTTATTTCAGGTGAAAACTTAGCAACAGACAGTATAGAGTGAATGAATGAAGAATTGAATTAATGAAATGGTAGATATGCATGACAGAGGAGAGAAGGAGGGAAGGAGGGAGGAAAGGAGGAGGGAAAGCACAGAGAATAGGTGGAAACAATTTAAAAAATGATATATTTAGAGCAAGGCTTGCTAATACCTTTTAATTGAATTGAAACAGGAAGAGAACTCCTCGAAGAGTTTTCGCGCCCCTTCTTCCAGTACTTCCATACTGTACACATTGCTTCCACCTCTCTGTTAGGGGTGTTCAGGATCTCCAAGTTGTCTGAGTTTATCTGGTCTTGGGGATGCATGGAGATGGCTTTGTCTGGCTCAGTCAGTCTATAGCCAAGTTCTATGGGCCCATAGGGGCAACTGTTTCTGAACGTGTTTATCAACCCCTATACCCCTCCCCCAAAACAGCCATCCTTGATGTCAACCTATTACACCTCTCTTACCTATTCACAGCAGTTTGATGGTGACATTGCCTCATTCAGGACACTAAGAAGCAAATCTGAGTTTATTTTCTAATGCAGTTGAAAGCAGGCTCACAGGAATTCTACAGACATCAATTTCTCACCTACTGTGTGTATAAGTCTATCTGCCGAGCTGCACAGAATCGGCTGTACCTGGCTTGGGAACAGCAGTCACATTTGTTGCCAAGTAAAAGAAAGAATTCTCATCAATGTTGTCAAAGAGCCCCAGTGCAAAACAAAGAGGGTCTCCTCCCTCAAAATGACAATTGTGAAATGAGTGGCTCTGAAAATACAGAGAAAAAGAATGGAGATCTTCTCAGACATAATGAGATCATCTGAGAAGGTCAGAAGATGGTGAGATGGGAGTTGGGCTGTGAAGAGAAATGTGGAGTTTATGAAAATGGGAAGAGAGAAGAGGCAACCCAGAGAATGCACTTAGCCTTCAGGGCTACTGTTGGACACCGCAGGGTCCGTTCTTCCCCTTCCTCATGTGAATGTCAAGAACAGACACCCTTCGAAGGCATTGTACCAAGGGGCAGCCTCTTTGGTCTGGAGTACTGGGTGGGAGGGCTCAATGTCTGGCTTCCTAGGGGATACGGGGGCATGCATATTGTTTTTTGAGGAGCTAGCCCACAGTGAGGCAGCAGTGAGCGTCCCTGGAGAGGGAGCGCCCTCCAGCAGCAGGGCTGTTGGAGGTCCCAGGGCAGGCAGCTGTCAGCCAGTGTTGTTCTGGAAACAGATTTACATGCCTTTCTCACAGCATGCCTTCAGCCAAAAGCTGCTGACAGCAGGGAGGCTGTGCCCTTTTCCTCTTTTTATGGGATCTCATAGCTTTTAAGTTCATTCCTTTAGTGCACACACCTTATTGGGAAACCCTTGAATGTGATGGGCACTCACCTCCCATCAAATGGGGAATGTGTCTTTAAAATACCAAGAATTAAAAATATTTAGAGCTAGATGTTAAAAGGTCTACTTTCTAATGAAAGATACATAAAGTGATCAGCTACAGATTTTTGCTCAGGATTGAATTAAAGCCTTTTTTAAGTATATTAATTCTAGTTATTCCATACCTGTAAAATGTGAAAATTAGGCAAACCAGATCTGGTTGGTTAGAAGCTCTCTGTTTGGTTTTCTGTAGACCATTGAAACTATAGAAGAGAAAGTTATACTTTGAGGTTGGAAATTTAAATGTCAAAATGAGTTATATCAAATAATTATTGGGTGGGGGGGGGGAACCTTCAATAATACAGGAAGAAATTTAAATTAAAAAAAATACAAAAACAAATCACCAAACACTTTCAACCACCGACAAATCAAAATAAAGATTAGAAGTGCCAAAAGTTGGAGCACAAGCTATATATTTAGTAATGTGTTACTGGTTGCTGGAGAATTTGAAAAAAGCAACCTCATATGGGAGCTATTACACTCAAGATCATATTTAGAAAATCAATTTAAATCTAAGCACATTTGCATATTAGAGGCTTCACATGTGTCTATTAACACTATGACTGACATGCTATGCTGGTGAGCGTACCCATTAGGAATCCCAATATCCAAGATGTTTCAGCTTCTCCTAAGAGGCCTTAGGATCCCAGCCAGGGAACCCAGAGCAAAACAGAATCTTGAACCTAATGAGAGATGGAATCTTGGAAATGAGTGCTGCATTGCACCATTGTGCCATCAGACCCTGCTGTCCTGACAAAGCCGGCAGCACATCACTCCAGAGGCTTTCTTTGCAGATTTGCAGGTAACTCACCCTTTGTGGGGAGGGGATCAGCCTCTCAGCCCTCCTTTTCCTTCCTGTCTTCGCCATCCCCGTTCTCCCTAAGGGGCTTACACAAAATGCCATTCCTTTGGGGCTTTGCTCTGGGGAACTAGGTGTGCTGTTGAAGATAAGTATGTTGTTTGCTAACAATCTGCAAGCAAAAATTTTAAAAAGAAGGTTTCCTTGAGTGCTGCCTACCCTAGTTAGCAGGAATAAAGGAACTCTGACTATTAGAACCTGACAGAATTTACTTTGCACAAGACATATCCCCATCTTCCTTTCCTCCTCTAAATCTAATATGGCAAGCTTGTCCAACCCATGGCCTGACACAAATTTGTAAACTGTCTTAAAACATTATTTTTTGTGTGATTTTTTTGTTTTTGTTAGCTCATCAGCTATCATTAGTGTTAGTGTATTTTATATGTGGCCCAAGACAATTCTTCTTCCAATGTGGCCCAGGGAAGCCAAAAGATTGGATACCCCTAGAGTATGGGGAAGCGTATCAGTTTTCAGAGGCAATGTGTCTCCACCAAGGGGACATTCAGTATTCAGTCACATACAAAGATTGCAATTCGGCTTTCAAGGGCTTGGGGAAAGAGCTCTGTTGTTTGTGAAGATTACAATGCCTAGTGACTTAATTTTAGGCTTTGCTGTTTTGCAGTAATTTTAAAAAGTTGCTAAAGATGTTGCCAGAAAAGTAAGGGGTGTAAAATTCATTTAATTCACTTAAGAACTTTATGCTTAAAATTTTTTAAACAGTAGCTTCTACAATGGCTCCTGAAAGTACTTTCTGGAATGAAACCAGATATTTTAATTCACTTGTAAATGTAATTTCAGGTTCATCCTACTAGTATGCCAGATAATAATGAATCTTATACTTGGAGAATATTTAAGCTCAGTACAGAGCAAAGTGTTTTTAAAGCAAATATTCATTGCTTTCTCCAACTGCCATATTTATCTATTGTATTTTTAATACTTTTTTTAATTTGGAGAAAATTAGAGATCGGCATGCATTTGTAAGAAATAATACAGAGAGATCATTGTATGCTTTACCCAGTTTCCCCAAAGGTAACATCTTGCAAAACTTGAGGACAATAATCCAACACAAGGGTCCCTCATGTTATTCCTTGATAGCCACACTCAATTCCCTCCATTCTTACCCCCAGTTTGAACCATGGCAATAACAAATCTGTTCTCTTTGCAAGAATGTTGTATCAATGGAATCATGTAGCACATAACCTTTTGGAATTGGCTGTTTTTATTTTTTTCATTGAGCATGGTTATCTGGACATCCCACCAGGACGTTGCATGGATCGGCAGTTTGCTCTATTATTGCCAAGTAGTGCACCATGGTATAGATGTACCCATCAGTTTTTTGTCATTTACCTGTTCAAAGACACAAGGGTAGTTTCCAGTTTTTTACTATTATGAATAAAGCTGTCATAAACATTTATGTATATTAGTATGAACATAAATTTTTATTTCTCTGGGACACCTTCCTAAGAGTGCTATGGCTAGGTTAAATGGAAGTTGCAGGTTTAGTTTTATAGGAAATTGCCAGGCCAGTTGAGGTGGCTCACGCCTGCAATCCCCAGCACTTTGGGAGACCAAGGAGGGTGGATCACTTGAGGTCAGGAGTTTGAGACCAGGCTGCCCAATGTGGTGAAACTCCATCTCTACAAAATACAAAAATTAGCTGGTCGTGGTGGTGGGTTCCTGTAATCCTAGCTACTTGGGAGGCTGAGGCAGTAGAACTGCTTGAACCCAGGAGGCAGAGGTTGCAGTGAGCCGAGATAGTGCCATTGCCTTCCAGCCTGGGAGGCAGAGTGAGATTCTGTCTCAAAAAAAAAAAAAGAAAAGAAAGAAAGAAGGAAGGAAGGAAGGAAGGAAGGAAGGAGAGAGAAAGGAAGAAAGAAAGAGAAAGAAAGAAAGAAAGAAAGAAAGAAAGAAAGAAAGAAAGAAAGAAAGAAAGAAAGGAAGGAAGGAAAAGAAAAGAAAAGAAAGAGAAAGAAAGAAAGAAAGAGAAAGAAAGAAAGAAAGAGAGAGAAAGAGAAAGAAAGAAAGAAAGAAAAAGAAAGAAAGAAAGAGAGAAAGAAAGAGAAAGAGAGGGAGGGGGAGAGAGAGAGAGAAAGAAAGGAAAGAAAGAAAGGAAGGAAGGAAGGAAGAGAAAGAAAGAAGGAAAGAAAGAAAGAAAGAAAGAAAGAAAGAAAGAAAGAAAGAAAGAAAGAAAGAAACTGCCAAATTATTGTCCAGAATAGCTGTGCCATTTTTTATTCCCGCTTATAATGTATGACTGGTTAAATTTTTTGCATCCTCACTGGTATTTGGCATTGTCATTGTTTTTTAATTTTAGTCATTTTGGTAAGTGTTTAGTGATACCTCATTGTGGTTTTAATTCATTTTCCTAGTGACCAATAATATTGAATTTTTGTGTGTGATGTTAATTCTTTAATTTAATTTTTTTTTTTTTTTTTGAGATGGAGTCTCACCCTGTCACCCGGGCTAGAGTGCAGTGGTGCGATCTTGGCTCACTGCAACCTCTGCTTCCCGGGTTCAATTGATTCTCTTGCCTCAGCCTCCGGAGTAGCTGGGACTATAGGCGCCAGCCACCACGACTGGCTAATTTTTGTATTTTTAGTAGGAATGGGGTTTCACCATGCTGCCCAAGCTGGTCTCGAACTCCTGAGCTCAAGTGATTTGCCCAGCTTGGCCTCCCAAAGTGCTGGGATTACAGGCACGAGCCACTTTATTTTATTTTATTTTAAGTTCTGGGATACATGTGCAGGATATGCAGGTTTGTTACATAGGTAAATGTGTTCCATGGTGGTTTGTTGCACCTATCGACCTGTCACCTAGGTATTAAGCCCAACATGCATTAGCTATTTTTCCCAGTGCTCTCCCTCCCCCTGCACCACCCCCAACAGGCCCCAGTGTGTGGTGTTCCCCTCCCTGTATCCATGAATATTGAACATTTTAAAAATGTACTTATTTGTCATCTGTATATCCTCCTTGGTGAAAATTCTCTTCATGTTTTTGCCCAAGTACTAATGGTAATGTCTATTTTATTTTTTTACCATTGAGTAAGAAAATTTATATATTCTAGATACTATTCCTTTGTAAAATATGTGGTTTTAAATATTTTTTCCCAGACTGTGGGAAAAACAGACTTTGTCTCTTTAATGGGGTCTTTTGCAGAGCAAAAGTTTTTAATTTTTATGTCACCTAATTTGTTAATATCCTTTATGAATTATGCTTTTGGTGTCAAATCTAAGAACTTTGCTCTAGATCTCAAAGATTTTCTCCCATTTTTTTCCTAAAAGTTTAATCATTTCATGTTTTACTGGGATCCATTGTAAATTAACTTGTATATAAAATGTGAGATTTAGGTTAAGGTTCCTGCTTTTGCCTATAGGTGTCTGATTGTTCCAAGCACTATTTATTGAAAATGCTATTTTTCCTCTGTTGGATTTCTTTTATATCTTTGTCAAAAATCAGTTGGTGATATATGTGTAGGTCCATTTCTAGATTCCATATTCTTTTCCATTATCTCTGTGTCTACTCTTGGCCGATACCACCCAGTCTTGATTACTATAGATGTATAATAAGTCTTGAAATTGTGTGGACTGATTCTTCTCATGTTATTCTTCATCGAAACTGTTTTGGCTATTCTAGTTCCTTTGCCTGTCCTTATAAATTTTAGAACAATCTTGTCTATGTCTACAAACAATCTTGCTGGAACTTTTACAGAAATTTTGTTAAAACTGTATGTCAATCTGGAAATAACTGCCATCTTTACTATGCTGACTCTCCCAATCCACCAATGTGGTATATCTTTCAGTTTATTTAGATCTTTGATTTCTTTCACCAGCATCTTGTAGTTTTCAGCATATAGTTTTGTACATTGTATTAGGTTTACACATAACTATTTCATTGATTTGAGTGACTGTAAGAGGTAATAATGTTAGTCTCAGCTCCCTGGTGTTCATTACATGTATGTAGAAATACAACTGAGTTTTTTATGTTATCATACATCTTGCAATTTTGCTGAATTGGCTTACTAGTTCTAGGAGGGTTGTTGTTATTTGTAGATTCTTTGGGATTTTCTATGTAGACAATCATGTCATCTGCAAATAGGGACAAAGTTTTTTGTAGATACTCCTTATCAAGCTGAGGAAGTACTTCTTTATTCTTACTTTTCTGAGGTATTTTTTAAAATCATAAATGAATGTAGAATTTTGTCAAATGCTTTTTATGAATAATTTGATATGATCATGTGATTCTTCCTTCATGGCCTATTAAGGTGGATTACATTGATTTTCAAATATTGAAACAAACTTGCATCTCTGACATAAACCCCATTTGTTATGGTATATAATTTTTATATGTATTGCTTAATTCTATTTGTGAATATTTTGTTAAAGATTCTTTAGTCTATATTCATGAGGGATGTTGGCCTATAGTTTTTCCTTTTGTGCTGTGTCTGTCTAGTTTTGACATTAGGGTAATACTAGCTTTATAAAATGAACTGGGAAGGGTTCTCTTCTATATTTTGGAAGAGTGTATAGAGTTTATGTTAATTATTCAAACCAAGCCAATAAAACCATTTAGACCTGGAGATTTTTGCGGGGAGAGTCTTTAAATTATGAATTCAATTTTTCTTAAAGTTATAGGGGTATTCAAGTTATCTATTTCATATGGGTGAGTTATAGTGGTTTGTGTTTTTTTAAGTAGTTTGTTTCATCTTAGTTGTCAGATTTATATGTACAGAATTGTTCATACCATTCTCTTTTATGGATTTGATGTCTGTGGGGTCTGTAGTCATGTCACCTGTTTCATTCTGGATACTGGTAATGTGTGTTCTCTCTTTTTTTACCCAAACTTGATAAAGATTGGCCAATTTTATTAATCTTTTCAAAAAACAAGCAATTGGTTGCTCTATTTTACTGTTTTTTAATTTCATTGATTTCTGCTCTAATCTTTATTATTTCCTTCCTTCTACTTGCTTTGAATTCATTTACCTCTTTCTTTCTAGGTTCTAGAGGTAGGGGCATGAATTGTTAATTTGAGACTCTTCTTTTCTAATGTGAGTGTTTAGTTCTACTAATTTTCCTCTCAGTACTGTGTTAACTATGTGTCATAAATTTGGAAATATTGTATTTTCATTTTCATTCAGTTTTGTATATATTTTTTAATTTCTTTTGAAACTTCCTCTTTGGTCCATGGGTTACTTAGCAGTGTGTTGTTTGGTGTCCATGTGTTTGGAGGTTTCCCTGTCTTTCTGTTATAGGGTTCTAGCTGATTCTATTACATTCAGAGGACATACTCATTAGTGTTGCCAACTGCCATTTTTTCCATTGTATTTTAAAATCCATATAGTTTGGCCAGGTGCGGTGGCTCACACCTCTAATCCCAGCATTGTAGGAAGCCGAGGCAGGCAGATCACCTGAGGTCAGGAGTTTGAGACCAGCCTGCTCAACATGGTGAAACACCATCTCTACTAAAAATACAAAAATTAGCTGGGAGTGATGGTGGGTGCCTGTAATTCCAGCTACTTGGGAGGCTGAGGCAGGAGAATCACTTGAACCCAAGAGGCAAAGGTTGCAGTGAGCCGAGATTGCAGCTCCAGCCTGGGTGACAAGAGTGAAACTCCATCTCAAAAAATAAAATAAAGTAAAATAAAATCCATATAGTTTAATATAAGCTCTTTTATAAGAAGAAGGAACAAGTGCGAAATTATAAATGTTCAGTTGTAATCATTTAAAAAATATTTCTTATAAAATTAGTGTAAGAAGTTCTTTTTTGAACATGATTAGCTACATTATGGGGAAATAATTCTAAATGACATCACATACATTTTATCATTTATATCTGCTTAAGTTTTGAGAAACACTTTATATATTATTAAAATAAATGCTTTTTATGATTTGATTTTAGTAAAATCATGATGTAATTTTAGTAAAATTGCAGATATTCTATCAGGAAGAAACTGTAAAAGCTTTACCCATTTTTAAGGAAAATATTCTATTCTAAGCCATTTTCCTAAAGAAAATGTTTATACGCTAATTTTGTTTCTTTGCATAGATGGGTACTTATAGGATTCAAAGATAAATTTGAGCTTACAATATTGATTTGACTCATTCTGTCATAATTAATTTGATATAGTGAATCTAGACTCATAGTTAGGAAATAAAATACTTAGAAAAAATAACCATCCAGTCTTGATTTATTTATATCTGCATTTAAGCTGTTTATTCCAGTTACCATCAAAGTAACTTTTCAAATAGGTCATTAACATCTACGTTTTGATATCTTGAAACATTAACCCATTGAAATACTTCACGCCCAAGACACTGGAAAACGGGAATATAAACATTTGGATCCACTGGAATATTTTCAAAGCCTTCTATCAACTTACCTTGCTACATCTTCAACTTTGTTTCTTATTATCCACCATTATGATTTTACAATTCTGATAATTGTCTCCTACCTCACGATTTGTTCATTTCTGTTAGTTTGCTTCTCATTCTTAGAATTCCCTCCCAAGCCCTCTCTATCATCCTCATAAAGACTTAATTTAAATTTTATCTTCTCTAAGAAGCTCTTGAACAGGGACAGGTATTCTTTACAAGGCCACTTGATTGGGTAAATATACACCAACTACTCCCATCTTGATCAAGTGTGTTTTCCTTCATGACATTATCACTTCTCAAGGTATCCGTGTTCCTACCACCTTTTCAGCACACACGCTAATCTCCTCCACCTTACCTCAGTAGTGATGGTGTCTTCCCTGGGCTAAAGGGATGTAGTCGAGGTGGGAGACACTGAGAAAAGCCTTGGTGCACAGGTTATCATATCTCCAACTGGAACGTTAATAGACAACATCTCGTGATTGGCAATCCTCAATGGATGGCATCAAGAGGGGCAATTAACTGCTGACTCTTTGTTCACACAACATCCTGATATGCTTTATTCTTGCTTCCTTACTCCCTCACTGTCTCCAGACCTGTTCCATCTTTTTATCCAGTATCTTAAGATTTGGCAAATTTATTTGTCTAATATTCCTTTAGCATACTTCTATCAGTTAGACACCTGCTTTGGTTACTTAATAGGTGAGTGTTTGCAGCCTTTGTTTCTGGCTGTGCAATCGATGACTCAAGTCTGTCTTAATACCATGGGGGAAAGACGAAGACCTCAGGATATGAGTAGGGAAATTCATGCAAAACCTGTTGAAAATATTACCCAATGAATCCAGTGTCCCTTTGCACATTAAGTTGTCAATACAAAAGTATTGAACTCATATATTTCTCTCATTTTCTTTCTCCTTATTGTTCTTTCTCCATGCCAAATCAACAAGACCAGTTGAGATAATTCATGATAAAAATAATCTACAAAAATACGCATTTTATTATCATTATTCACATATTAATACTGCTAACACTCAGTGTAAGACACGAGGCTAGCTGTAAAGGGAAGGAATCGAGAGGTGATTCTGCCACGAGTTCTCTTCCTCCATTGCTTTCAAGCTCCACATAGGAGGGAAGAGGAGATGAAAATAAATTTCTGTGACAGAAGGTAGTAATGAATGACATGAGAAAGACGGAAAAGTATTATGAGAAGGCACAGAAAAAGGGGATCATTTCCAGCTGAGGACATCAGAGAATATTTCTTCTAGGAGATAGATTCTGATGCTTGTACTTTAGTATTATTAATAAGACTGAGACATTTAGAGATAGGGAAGAGGTATTCCACAGTGAAGAAAGATTGAATTGTTCTTTTGATACATAGTAACTGGGCACTTACTATGTGCTGGTAGCAGGGACAAAGAAATAACAACAATATGTTAAATGATTATTGCATGAAACTGTAAATAATTCAATTTAGCTAGAACAATGGTTTGAACAAAGGCATGGTGGGAAATATGGAATAAAAGTTGTATGTGTGTAAAATAAGATTATTGAGATAAGAATAAGGCACTTACTGATCTGACCCTTTGCAGGGTGTGTTTCCTTGGCACTTACTGAATTTCAAGCTTCTTTTTGGCTAGGACTGTGTCTCCTAAGCGTATTTTTCAAAAAGGATAATAAAATTGCTCAATAGAGCATAAATACTAATTATCTGTCTACTCTTGACGAGCTTATAAATGGGGGGTAGATTTACTGACCACATGTATTCACTTTATGTTTGAGTGTTTTAGTTAATGTTTTATTCCATTTTTATTATTTTGTACTCCACAAATCTATTAATACTGATTGAATAGCATAAAATGAAGATAGTATTTCATAGACTAACAGTTCACCTGTTGTAGCAGAGAAATTCAAAATAATGATGACATAGATAAACAGAAGTTTATTTTTCTCATGCAGAAGTTGGGATCAATGGTCTAAAGCTGGTATGGGGCTGGGCTGTCCTCAGGGGTCCAGGTTCCTTACATTTTGTTGCTCTAACATCCTGGTCACACCTCCACCATGTGATGTTGAAGGTGACTGCTCTGTCCAACAGCAACATACCAGGAATCCAGCATGAGGGGAAGGAGGGAGAGGTGGGGGCATATTCTTTCCTTTTAAGGAAATGCTGTTGCACGTATCACTTCCATTTTCATTCCCTGGTTTAGAAGTTAGTCACACAGCCACCCTCAGCTACTGCTAGTGAGGCTGCAAAATGGAGTCTTTGACTGAACGTCCATATGGCCAGCTAAAATGTGGCATCCCACTATTAAAAGAAAAGGGTAGACTGGAGATTGGGCAGGAGCTAATGGTTTCCTTCATAATTACCTGTTAAGATTCTGAACAAGTAATTTAATTAATTACCTTTTCAAAAGCCTTTTGCACCTTTTTCCATCCTCCAATTTGCCAATACTATTTTTTTTCTTATGGAGAAAACAAATACAGATACCACACAGAAACCAAGCTTTGCAATCCAATTCCAGTGCAAATTTAGAGAATTAATGAACAACAAGGAACCAATTATGCATAAGTAAAAAGGTCATAGTTGAGCTCCTGTTGAGATTAGAAGAAGGAAGTAACAGTTTTAGATGGAAAGAAACTGCCCAAGACTATGCAGGACCAGAGGAGACCCTAAGATTGGAGAAGTCAAGCAGGACTGCTGAGATAAAGTTGGCAATTTTCATACTCACCACAACTGTTGTTTTGTACCAAAACATGTATGTGTTTATGAATGTAGGTAGATGTTCAAAAGAAATAACAAAATTGTATATTATACAAGAAAGAATAAGGGCCATCAGTTAATACATTTGGGTTCTTATTTCTATTTTTAATATTTAGTTGTGTGACCCTGAACAAAATGCTTAACGATTGAGGGTCTCTATTTCTTCATCCATAAAATAGAGATGTTGACTTAGATTTATAAGCAATAGAAAACACATTTCAAAAGCCTATTCTGTGCTAGACTACATTCCAGACATGTAAGTAAATGCTTCAAGGAGCTCACAGTGTCTTGGGCTGGAGGATTGGTGTCTACTCATAAACAGACAATTCCAACATGCTGATCAACACAGCATCAGGAAATGATACCCAAGAGCTTGGGGAGCACATTTAAAAGAGGCTTCAGACTAGAAACGTGAGATTTGATGAATGAGTAATACTGGATTAAAATTTCATTAGCTCAAGGTCCAATACGAGGTTAAATTTGGCGATCAAATTAGAAAGTGCATAAAATGTTCAGTTAAGGCAAGATGGGTTAGAATGGAGCTGTTTCTGCATAAAATATTTGTTAAAAATCAATATATACCAGGTACTCAATGGAGGTTGAAACAGGCAAGATTCCTGCCTTTGAAAACCTACAACATATAATCTAGAATTTAGGATTTTTGAGATTTGGCACAGGGTGGCATATAATCTGGCCATGACCTACTGAGATAAAAAAGCTCATCCTTACAGGGGAAAGGTTACAGTTTCTGCTTTATTGGGAAAGTTATACAAATAAAGAAAAGAGACTGGGAATGTTGTCATAACTTTTTAACACATAAGTTTTTAAAAAATATTTCTCTAATGAAGACATATGACTACTTAGGTACATAGATAATCAAGTAGTTCAAGATACGCCCAAAGGGGGCTCTCTCTAAAGGTACTTTACTCCCAGATCCTATCAACTGAAGCTTTGGGGAAGATGGACCTATTGGCTTTCTTTTCTTTATATATTCATTGTTAAAGCACCTAAAATTTATTTGCAATCTTATTAACCAACTTACACATATTTACTATAGTAAATTAGAAGAAAACAAGCAATAAGAACAAGGAAAATGAAATCATGTAAAGTTCCATCAGCAATTTCATCATCCAATTATAATATTACTTTGTATATACTCAGAATTTTTCTAAACATTGCATATGATTAGTTACATTTACAGTCGATTTTTCTGGCCTTTACCCAGCAAGTTTTTAAATAAAATATTTTATACTGGAAGAATTTCTACAACACCTTTTAATTTTAGCTCTTACGTACCAAAAATAATGATGACAGAATCTCTCACATTTGCTCAACAGTTACAAAACTGGAAATCAAAGAATCCTAGAACTTCCTTTTTAACTTTCTTTTGTAAAATAATGTAAAAACTTACAGAAAAATTCCAGGAATAACACACAGATCACCTATAACCTTTACTCAAAATTCAGCAAATTGAATACATTGCCTGTGTTAGTCCGTTTGCATTGCTATAAAGGAATATCTGAGACTGGATAATTATAAAGAAAAGAATTTTATCTGGCTTACAGCTCTGCAGGCTCTACAAGCATGGCACCAGCATTACTTCTGATGAGGACCTCAGGAAGCTTCCAGTCATGGCAGAAGGCAAAAAGGAGGCGGCATATCACATGGAGAAAGAAGGAGCAAGAGAAGGAGAGGAGGGGGAGGTCCTAGATCTCCTGTGAACTCATTACTGGAGGGAGGGCAGCAAGCCATTAATGTGGGATCGGCCCCCATGATTCAGCACTTCCCACCAGGCCCCATCTCCAACATTAGGGATCACATTTCAACATGATATTTGGAGGGGACAAACGTCCAACCTATATCATTGCCACATTTGCTCTACCATTTTCTCTTCTGTCTGTCCCTCTGTGTGCATGCACACACATGTATATGTATGTACATATATAAACATATATATGTCATGCAAATATAAACACATATATGTGTGTAAAATTTTTTCTGAGCTATTCGAGAATAGGTTGAATACACCATGCCCATTTACCCTTTAATAATTCAGTGTGTATTTCTAAGGAACAAGGTTATTCTCTATTGGAACAGTCGTGTAGTTATCAAACTCAGGGCATTCGCACTGACACAAGACCTTTATCTGATTTACAGTCCACATTCTATGTTGTCAATTGTCTGGCCCTTCCTTACAACATCTTTTGCCTTTCAAACAGGGTCCAGCCCAGGACCATGTGTTGCATTTCATCTTCATGTCTCTTTCGTTTTCGTCAGTCTGGAATAGGTTTATTTCTCTTTCATTACATTGACATTTTGGAGAACACCAGCCAGTCGTTTTATAGAGTGACTCTCAAGATGGATTTGTCTGGCCCTGCTAATTTTAATAAGTAGGTGATAATAAGCACCCTCCAGGACAAAGTGGAGATATTTCTGGCAGCCTGAGGAGCACAAGGCTGAGAGAACAAGAGGGAGCTTGTCACAGATGAGGAAATGAACAAGGCTCCGTGTGACCTCCTCACCACTTGTGGAATTGAAGGGCTGAGGGAGAAGCCAACAGTGAGACCAGGCAGGCCAGCCAGGGTCAGGTGCTGAAGGGTTTAGACCGTGAACTTGATTCTGAAAGCATTGGGGATCACTGGGGAATTTCAGTCAAGGACATAATAATGTTTGTTTCTGAGAAAGACAATGTCTTAAAGATAATTTAGTGACGATCTGAGAGCACAGCAGAGTGAGTAAGAATTCTGTTAAAATTATTGTGATGTGGACTGCAGGAAGACTTGGGGTGAAAAGATGCAACATATTGGGATAAATGTTGTAGAAAATAGAACGACTTGGTGACTTGGTATACAGAGTGAAGAACAGGAAGGGCCAGGGTGACAGCTGGAATTCTGTTGTGTGCGCTGAATGTCAGGTGCCTGATCCTCTAAGGCTGGAGGTGGGATATAGGGAAAGCAGCTCTGAGTCAGAAGAGGCTGAACACTGTTTTGGACATGGTACATTCGAGGTCTCTGTGGGACATCCAAGGGTTGCTGTGTTCCAGGACCTGAGGAGGGAGATTTGTACCGGAGATACAGATTTAGATGTCACCAACTCACACTCACTGAAACCATGGGCTGGAGGAGCTCCCCAGGAGAGGGAGGCCTTCTGGGAGGGGAGGGAGCATGACTAAGGACACAAGACTGTCTGGAGGTGTCAAAGCCCCCGCTGTAGGTGGAGAACCACGAATTCATGGATACCAAGAGCTGATAGGACAACTCTTCCAGCAGCACATTATTGTTCAGGCATGTGAAAGGTGAAGCAGGTGGTTCAGTCGAACCAGGGGTGCAGGAAAGGCATTGACATTATTGATAAGGGAGTCGCTGAAATGATGGATGACAGACTCTATGCTGTGTGTTGAAGGAGGGAAAGATAGATGAGCCTGAAAGATGAGTGTTGGGACCTGGAAGTCTCCATGGGTTAAATGACAGATGCAGGAGCTGAATCTGAGTGAAAATGAAGGCATTATAAACAGCAGGTGGAAATCAGAAATGGGAATGTTTGCGGCTTCAGAATTTCTTAAGTTTATTTCTGGGTGATGACTAGTTCAGGGACAGGTGACAGACAGGAGCTGAGGTGGAGTGAAGGTGGGAGTCCTCGAGGGCAAGGAGATAGAGTGGGCAGGCATCTAAGCCTCAGATGCATTGTCCTCATGGGCATGAAAGCATCTGGATGGAGATGGGTCGTGGAATAGAAAGTGAGTCTATGGGCACTGAGGCTGCAGTGGAGGATGGAAATGAGGGTAGACAGAGGGCTTACACAAGGGGGAGGAGCAAGCATGCGGAAATAGCCCTAAAGGGAGAGAGTCTGCTGGCCACCTTCAGGGCAGCTTTACTAAATGTGGGGGAATAAGGTGCTTCCATCGTGGGGATGCAAGACAAGAGTCAGGCAGGATGATCGCCCCAACAAAGGTGAAGCCATCATTGGAGAAGAACATCTGGAGAACTGGGTTTTCAGAAGGCAGCTTTTGGTCTGGAAAGGAAGGAACAATGAAGGCTCTACACTATAAGGCTAAGAGTAAAGGAGGATTATATTTTAATTTAAGAATAATAGTGATGAAATGAGGTCCAAACTGGTGTTTCTCACTGTTCTCATCAGACACTTTATTTTTTTATTTATTTTTTATTATTATGATACTTTAAGTTTTAGGGTACATGTGCACAATGTGCAGGTTTGTTACATATGTATACATGTACCATGCTGGTGTGCTGCACCCATTAACTGGTCATTTAGCATTAGGTGTATCTCCTAATGCTATCCCTCCCCCCTCCCCCCACCCCACAACAGACCCCGGAGTGTGATGTTCCCCTTCCTGTGTCCATGTGTTCTCATTGTTCAATTCCCACCCAGGAGTGAGAACATGCGGTGTTTGGTTTTTTGTCCTTGGGATAGTTTGCTGAGAATGATGGTTTCCAGCTTCATCCATGTCCCTACAAAGGACATGAACTCTTCATTTTTTATGGCTGCATAGTATTCCCTGGTGTATATGTGCCACATTTTCTTAATCCAGTATATCGTTGTTGGACATTTGGGTTGGTTCCAAGTCTTTGCTATTGTGAATAGTGCCGCAATAAACATACATGTGCATGTGTCTTTATAGCAGCATGATTTATAATCCTTTGGGTATATACCCAGTAATGAGATGGCTGGGTCAAATGGTATTTCTAGTTCAAGATCCCTGAGGAATCGCCACACTGACTTCCACAATGGTGGAACTAGTTTACAGTCCCAGCAGCAGTGTAAAAGTGTTCCTATTTCTCCACATCCTCTCCAGCACCTGTTGTTTCCTGACTTTTTAATGATCACCATTCTAACTGGTGTGAGATGGTATCTCATTGTGGTTTTGATTTGCATTTCTCTGATGGCCAGTGATGATGAACATTTTTTCATGTGTCTTTTGGCTGCATAAATGTCTTCTTTTGAGAAGTGTCTGTTCATATCCTTTGCCCACTTTTTGATGGGGTTGTTTGTTTTTTTCTTGTAAATTGTTTGAGTTCATCGTAGATTCTGGATATTAGCCCTTTGTCAGATAAGCAGTTTGCAAAAATTTTCTCCCATTTTGTAGGTTGCCTGTTCACTCTGATGGTAGTTTCTTTTGCTGTGCAGAAGATCTTTAGTTTAATTAGATCCCATTTGTCAATTATGGCTTTTGTTGCCATTGCTTTTGGTGTTTTAGACATGAAGTCCTTGCCCATGCCTATGTCCTGAATGGTATTGCCTAGGTTTTCTTCTAGGGTTTTTATGGTTTTAGGTCTAACATTTAAGTCTTTAATCCATCTTGAATTAATTTTTGTATAAGGTGTAAGGAAGGGATCCAGTTTCAGCTTTCTACATATGGCCAGCCAGTTTTCCCAGCACCATTTATTAAATAGGGAATCCTTTCCCCATTTCTTGTTTTTGTCAGGTTTGTCAAAGATCAGATGGTTGTAGATATGTGGCATTATTTCTGAGGGCTCTGTTCTGTTCCATTGATCTATATCTCTGTTTTGGTACCAGTACCATGCTGTTTTGGTTACTGTAGCCTTGTAGTATAGTTTGAAGTCAGGTAGCATGATGCCTCCAGCTTTGTTCTTTTGGCTTAGGATTGACTTGACAATGTGGGCTCTTTTTTGATTCCATATGAACTTTCAAGTAGTTTTTTCCAATTCTGTGAAGAAAGTCATTGGTAGCTTGATGGGGATGGCATTGAATCTATAAATTACCTTGGGCAGTATGGCCATTTTCATGATATTGATTCTTCCTACCCATGAGCATGGAATGTTCTTCCATTTGTTTGTATCCTCTTTTATTTCCTTGAGCAGTGGTTTGTAGTTGTCCTTGAAGAGGTCCTTCACATCCCTTGTAAGTTGGATTCCTAGGTATTTTATTCTCTTTGAAGCAATTGTGAATGGGAGTTCACTCATGATTTGGCTCTCTGTTTGTCTGTTAGTGGTGTATAAGAATGCTTGTGATTTTTGTACAATGATTTTGTATCCTGAGACTTTGCTGAAGTTGCTTATCAGCTTAAGGAGATTTTGGGCTGAGATGATGGGATTTTCTAAATATACAATCATGCCATCTGCAAACAGGGACAATTTGACTTCCTCTTTTCCTAATTGAATACCCTTTATTTCCTTCTCCTGCCTGATTGCCCTGGCCAGCACTTCCAACACTATGTTGAATAGGAGTGGTGAGAGAAGGCATCCATGTCTTGTGCCCGTTTTCAAAGGGAATGCTTCCAGTTTTTGCCCATTCAGTATGATATTGGCTGTGGGTTTGTCATAGATAGATCTTATTATTTTGAGATAGGTCCCATGAATACCTAATTTATTGAGAGTTTTTAGCATGAAGCGTTGTTGAATTTTGTCAAAGGACTTTTCTGCATCTATTGATATAATCCTGTGGTTTTTGTCTTTGGTTCTGTTTTTATGCTGGATTACATTTATTGATTTGTGTATGTTGAAACAGGCTTGCATCCCAGGGATGAAGCCCACTTGATCATGGTGGATAAGCTTTTTGATGTGCTGCTGGATTCGGTTTGCCAGTATTTTATTGAGGATTTTTGCATCAATGTTCATCAAGGATATTGGTCTAAAATTCTCTTTTTTGGTTGTGTCTCTGCCAGGCTTTGGTATCAGGATGATGCTGGCCTCATAAAATGAGTTAAGGAGGATTCCCTCTTTTTCTATTGATTGGAATAGTTTCAGAAGGAATGGTACCAGCTCCTCGTTGTACCTCTGGTAGAATTTGGCTATGAATCCATCTGGTCCTGGACTTTTTTTGGTTGGTAAGCTATTGATTATTGCCACAATTTCAGAGCCTGTTATTGGTCTATTCAGAGATTCAACTTCTTCCTGGTTTAGTCTTGGGAGGGTGTATGTGTCGAGGAATTTATCCATTTCTTCTAGATTTTCTAGTTTATTTGCGTAGACGTGTTTGTAGTATTCTCTGATGGTAGTTTGTATTTCTGTGGGATCGGTGGTGATATCCCCTTTATCATTTTTTATTGCATCTATTTGATTCTTCTCTCTTTTCTTCTTTCTTAGTCTTGCTAGTGGTCTATCAATTTTGTTGATCTTTTCAAAAAACCAGCTCCTGGATTCATTGATTTTTTGAAGGGTTTTTTGTGTCTCTATTTCCTTCAGTTCTTCTCTGATCTTAGTTATTTCTTGCCTTCTGCTAGCTTTTGAATGTGTTTGCTTCTTGCTTTTCTAGTTCTTTTAATTGTGACGTTAGGGTGTCGATTTTGGATCTTTCCTGCTTTCTCTTGTGGGCATTTAGTGCTATAAATTTCCCTCTACACACTGCTTTGAATGTGTCCCAGAGATTCTGGTATGTTGTGTCTTTGTTCTCATTGGTTTCAAAGAACATCGTTATTTCTGCCTTCATTTCGTTATGTACCCAGTAGTCATTCAGGAGCAGGTTTCAGTTTCCATGTAGTTGAGCGGTTTTGAGTGAGTTTCTTAATCCTGAGTTCTAGTTTGATTGCGCTGTGGTCTGAGAGACAGTTTGTTATAATTTGTGTTCTTTTACATTTGCTGAGGAGTGCTTTACTTCCAACTATGTGGTCAATTTTGGAATAGGTGTGGTGTGGTGCTGAGAAGAATGTATATTCTGTTGATTTGGGGTGGAGAGTTCTGTAGATGTCTTTTAGGTCCACTTGGTGCAGAGCTGAGTTCAATTCCTGGGTATCCTTGTTAATTTTCTGTTTAGTAGATCTGTCTAATGTTGACAGTGGGGTGTTAAAGTCTCCCATTATTATTGTGTGGGAGTCTAAGTCTCTTTGTAGGTCACTAAGGACTTGCTTTATGAATCTTGGTGCTTCTGTATTGGGTGCATATATATTTAGGATAGATAGCTCTTCTTGTTGAATTGATCCTTTACCATTATGTAATGGCCTTCTTTGTCTCTTTTGATCTTTGTTGGTTTAAGGTCTGTTTTATCAGAGACTAGGATTGCAACCCCTGCCTTTTTTTGTTTTCTATTTGCTTGGTAGCTCTTCCTCCATCCCTTTATTTTGAGCCTATGTGCAGACACTTTATTACCAGAGGCAGAAATGATAAGCTTCATCATAACAGAAAAGAGATAATAACAATAAGATTATTAAACACTTGAAGAAAATAACTGAATTCAAAAATACTTATTTATATTAATGTAAGACTATGAAACAGATTACAATCAGAAATGATGGGAGAGAGAGGCACCCAGATTGGGCTCAGCCAGTGGCGATGGGACTACAGGGGAAAGGTCTAGAACCCACTGTTCTGTATAGCAGCCACTGGCCTTACATAGCTATACAAACTTACATTTTAATTAATGATCATTAAAATTCAATTCCTTGCAACACTACATGCCAAAGATTCAATAGCCACAGGTGGATGTGGCTACTATATTGGGCAGGTCCAATACCAGACATCTCTGTCATTACAGAAAGTGCTGATGGCGTTGTGCCAGCAGGGGAATCTCATATGTGGCAGGGTGGGCCCCAGTTCTCCTGGAGTGAGTATTCCTGGACACCTGATTGCTCTAGGGACCCAGAGAAAGGAGGGGGTCACCGGAAGGCTACAGAGAGACTTCTCATCTCTTACTCCCAAATTAGCCTAAAAAGGTCAAGCTTTTCTGCTTGTTAGAGTGAAGCAAATACTGGACTGGAAGGCAGAAGATTCAGTCAAGTTCATACGTGCCTTGAGTATGTCACTTAGCATGTCTGATTTTTAGACTTTATCTATGTAAATTGGGCATAATAATATTAATACTTCACAATGGCAATGAGGATTAAATTTGACATATTTTATAAAATTACTGATTAGCTTAACAAACACAGCACTGTATAAATATTAGGACTGATGCTGGTGATGTTGGGGAAATTAGCCTAATGAGGTTCTAGCAGTTCTCATTCCCAACCCACCAAGCTCAATGCCCTTCCAATCACTGAAGGAAAAATATATGACTTGTATATTGATCCATGAAATGATCTTACCATTGCCCCTCAATAAAAATAAAACTCTTTCCTACCCCCAATTAGATATCAAAAGCTTTAAATTCTTAATTTTAATGGTAGATGTACCATGTAAGTAAAAGTTAGTTTCAGTGTATTCAACCAAGAAATGTAGGTAAATTGTTTAGTTTTCTCTCTTCTGATTAAGAGAAACTAACAAAAGGGGCTGAAGGGATCAGGTGAAAGATAAGATTTAGATGATGCTTGGAGAAGGCAAATTTTACAAACCACAATTTTGTTTAAAGTGGGGTGTATTTACCTGCTCCTAAACAGAGATGAAAAAAACTGTGCATTTTTGTCCAAAAGCTGTGCATGTGGGCCGATAAACTGAACATGGTTTATAAACATTGAAATGGGTGGTAGGCTGTTTTCATTTAAGGAAATGCTTATTGAAGCTTCATTGTACTTTGCTATTTAGCATCTCCTGCAGGTAGCTATCCAGCTTTCAAGTACAGAGACACAGCAAAAAAGGTCAATGTAACTAAGACTAAGAAAAGCAGCTCCTAAAACAGTACAAAAAGGGTCCATATGGAATCATGACATGGTGATTTGTCCATTTTCATGCTGCTGATAAAGTATACCTGAGACTGGACAATGTACGAAAGAAAGAGATTTAATTAGACTTACAGTTCCATGTGGCTGGGGAAGCCTCACTATCATGGCGGAAGGCAAGGAGGAACAAGTCACATCACATGGATGGCAGCAGGAAATAAAGAGCTTGTGCAAGAAAACTCCCACTTATAGTAGCCATCAGATCTCATGAGATTTACTCACTATCATGAGAACAACATAAAGACCTGCCCCCATTATTCAGTTACCTCCCACCAGGTCCCTCACACAGCACGTGGGAATTCAAGATGAGATTTGGGTGGGGACGCAGCCTGACCTTATCACATGGTATAAAAGGTAATGGATTCATATAAGTGCTCAACTGATTTTTGGCAAAGGTACAAAGGCAATTCAATGACAGAAAGATAGCCTTGGAGATGGAGCAATTGGTGGTAAGATGGATTTCCATATGCAAAATCCAAATTCTCTTGAATTACTATTTAAGGTGTGAGAGCAATTGGACATCCATATGCAGAAAAAAAAAAAAAGAGCCTCAACCTAAGCCTCACACCTATACACAAATTAGATCAATACAGATCACAGACTTAAATGTACATTTTAAACCTATACACTTTTAGAAAAAAAAATAGGAGAAAATATTTGAGACCTAGGACTAGGCAATGAGTTCTTAGATTTGACACCAAAAGCATGATTCAGAAAAGGAAAATTGATAAATTGGACTACATCAAAATTAAAAACATTTGCTCTGTGGAAGACTCTGCTAAGGGGATGAAAAGACATGCTGCGGACTGCGAGAAAATATTTGCAGACCAGATACCCAACAAAGGACTAGTTCCTAGAAGTTACAAAGAACTCCCAAACTCAACAGTCAAAAAACAAACAACCTAAGTACAAATTGGGCAAAAGACAAGAAGAAACATTTTACTAAACAGCATATACAGGAGGGGTGCAGTGGCTCACACCTGTAATAATCTCCCAATACTTTGGGAGGCCAAGGAGTGAGGATCACTTGAGCCCAGGAGTTCAAGACCAGCCTGAGCAATATAGGGAGACACTATCTTTACAAACAATAATTTTAAAAATTAGCCAGACATGGTGGCACATGTCTGGTCCCAGCTACTTGGGAGGCTGAGGTGGAAGGATCGCTTGAGCCTGGGAGGTTGAGGCTGTAGTGAGCTGTGATTGTACCACTGCATTCCAGCCTGGGTGACAATGAGGCCTTGTCTCCAAAAGAAAAAAGAGAATCTATAGATGGGTAGTAAGCTCATGAAAAAATGTGCAACATCTTCAGAAATTAGGGGAGTACAAATTAAAACCAAAGTGAGATATCAACATACACCTATCAAAATGGCTAAAATTAAGAACAGTGACAGCAGCAGTTGCTGGCAAGGATGTGAAGAATCCAGATCACTTATACATTGCTGGTGGGAATGGAGAATGGTAGAGCCACTCTAGCAAACAGCTTGGTAGTTTGTTATAAAACTAAACTAAATACAGTTATCATATGTATTAGTCCATTCTCACACTGCTATAAAGATACTACCAGAGGGCCAGGCATGGTATCTCATGCCTGTAATCCCAGCACTTTGGGAGGCTGAGGCGGGCAGATCACGAGGTCAGGAGTTCAAGGCCAGCCTGGCCAACATGGTGAAACCCCGTCTCTACTAAAAATACAAAAATTAGCTGGGCATGGTGGCATGTGCCTGTAGTCCCAGTTACTCGGGAGGCTGAGGCAGGAGAATTGCTTGAACCCGGGAGGCATAGGTTGCAGTGAGCCGAGATCGTGCCATTGTGATCCAGCCTGGGCAACGCAGCAAGACTCCATCTCAAAAAACAAAAATGAAAATAAATAAATAAAGATACTACCAGAGACTGGGTAATTTATAAAGGAAAGAGGTTTAATTGACTCACAGTTCTGCCTGGCTGGGGAGGCCTAAGGAAACTTACAATCATGGTGGAAGGCAAAACAGTCACCTTTTTCACAAGGCAGCAGGAGAGAGAGTGTGTGTGAAGGAGGAACTGTCAAAAACTTATAAAACCATCAGATGTCATGAGAACTCACTATCACAAGAACAGCATGGGGGAAACTGCCCCCAGGATCCAATCACCTCCCACCAGGTCCCTCCCTTGACACGTGGATATTATGGGGATTACAATTTGCTATGAGATTTGGGTGGGGACACAGAGACAAACCATATCACCATACAATCTAACAATCTGAATCTTGAGTATTTATATCAGAAAAATGAAAATTTGTGTTCATATAAAATCCTGTACCTGAATGTTCATAGTGGCTTTATTTGAAATAATCCAGAAACTGGAATCAGCCCAGACATCCTTCAACAGGTGAATAATGCCCCTCTCAAAGATGTCCACATCATGATCCCTGGAACGTGTGAATATGCTATAGTATATGGCAATGGCAAATTAAAGTTGCATGGAATTAAGATTGCTTATCAGCTGTCCTGGAAATGGAGAGATTCTCCTGGATTTTCTGAGTGGTACCAGTGGAAGCTGAAGAGAGGAGGTTGGAATGTTGCAAGTTCAGAAAAGGCCTACCCTGTTTTTGCTGGTTTTAAAGAGGGAGGAAGAGGCCATAAGCCAAGGAATGCAGCAGCCTCTGGAAGCTGGAAAGGGCAAGGGAATGGATTCCTCCCTAGAGCCTCCAGGAAGAAACACAGCCCTGCCAACTCCTTCATTTTCACCCAGTGACACCAACACAAAAAGTTGTAAGTCACTTAGTGTGTGGAAATTCATTACAGCAGCAATCAAAAACTAATACACATACCATGGCACACTACTTAGCAATAGAAAAAGCACCAACACTCACAACAGATTGGATGAATCTCCAGAGAATTATACTGGGTGAAAAAACCCAGCCCTGAAAGATTACATACTATTTGATTCCACTTAAATCTCATATTTAATATGACAACATTTCAGAAATGGAGGAAAGATTTAGGGGTTGCAAAGAGTTTAGAATGGGAATGGAAGAGAAAGTGTGAGAGGGAATAGATGTCATTATAAAAGGGCAATATGGTATTTGTAGTAATGGAACTTTTCAGTATCTTGACTATAGTGGTGTATACGTGAACATAAATGTGTGATAAAATTGTATAGAATTTAATACACACAAGCACACAAATAAGTACAAGTGAAATGAGAGAAATATAAGTAAGATTGGTGGAGTGTTATCATGTCAATACTCTAGTTGAGATATTATATTATAGTTTTGCAAAATGTTACCATTAGGGAAAATAAGGCAAAGTGTACAAGAGATCTCTGTATCACTTCTTGCAGCTGCATGTGAATCAACAATTATCTCAGTACAATTTTTAATAAAGAATATTGTAGGAAATTGTTATCTTGCTGCTTATTATAGCCACGACTATGGATTGCCTTAGTTAAAACCTAGAATGTAGGGACAAAGCTATCTAATTCGCTTGGTACACTAGCTCCCTTGCCATCATTTGCTGCTAATCATTTAGAGGCTTTTCATTAATGATGATGATATGTCTGAATGTGCCTTATAGCAGAGAATGTTAACCTATTTATGAGGATCCTTAATTCAGGGGGTCCTTCATTCATCTGGAAACTCTAGTCAATATTTGTGTGTGCATGTGTGTCTGTGTGTGTGTGTGCATGTTTTTGAAGAAAACATGTATAACTTTCTAAAGGGCTCCATTACCCCCTCTAAAAAAAGAAGAAAAAGAAAAACACCAAGAGCCAAACTCCTTAGAAACACACTAAGTGTGAACTTAAAAATATATTTCTTTGGAGTGATTTAAAATAATGCTATGCACAACTGCGTCAATATTTTTAAATCGGAGAAAATATGCATGGTCTTTGGTAGAATGGGCTCCGGGGTCAGACTTCCAAGTGCGTGACCTTCAGCAAAGTCCTTATCCTTTCTAAGCCCCAGTTTTCTCATCTATAAAATGGGAAAAATAATACTTCCTATTTTATAGAACATTGTGAGTTTCAAATGAAACAATGTATATGTCATTTAGCATAGCACCTGACACGTGATAAGCACTCCATAAATATTAGCTTATTTCTGTTTACTATTGTGTTTAAAATGGGAAGATCTAAAGATTCAAATTATTCTTTTCAAAGTATCTTTTCAATATAATGGAATAAATGGCATATAATTTTGTAGAAGGGGCACTGGTGTTAGTAGACTTGTTCTGCCATTGGTTCCCTGAGTAAGTTTGGACAAGTCACACTCTCTCTGAGCCTCCACCATAACATAAGAGGGCTAAAAGTTTGGGTGTAAAAAGACGCTTGAATTAACTCAACAGACATTTATGGGAGTTCTTTATATGGTTTTCAGGTTGAGTTCCTCAGAAGCCGACCCTGAGTGGGAGATTCGTGAGAAAAGGTTTATTCCGGAATGCTCAGGAAAAACTTGGAGGAATAAAGAAGTGGGACAGGAAGGGGAAGAAAGGAAAGCAAAGACCCACAGAGGGTGTTATAGGGTCAATCCTTCAGAAAGCTCTAGAGAGACCACTAAGTCACCCTCAGCATCATCTCCACCTGGGAACTAGGGTGCTTATATCCCCACTGCAGCTGGTTATTATTTAAGGGCAGTCCACACTCGCATGAATTCCCAGGCACTACCTGCTCCATGTGTGAGCCAGCTGAGCAAATTCCAGCTGCCTGAGGGCAGCCTTCTGGCAAAGATTTGCAACAGTTGGCATTTTGGGAGTGAAAGCCCACAGGGAGCTCATGTGCCTCGAATTGGTAAAGGGACCCAAGGGAAAACCAGCAGAGCAATGACAGCATATGCAAGCTCTCAGAGCCTTCCTCTGCCTTCATGGATGACACTCACAGTGTCATGGGGAAACACATGAGCAGCCACACAATTGCTAAAGAACTCCCAGGAGAGGGCCTCAGTTCAGCCTGGAGTGTCAGAGAGGGGCTCAGAGGGCCCCCAGGAGCAAATGAAGACAGAGAAATAATTAGTCAAGCAAAATAGGGAAGTGGTGAGAGGGTCCAGCCAGCTGAAGAGAGCATGATACTCAAGGAATTAAAATAAGCCCAGTGTAACCAGATCAAAGGAGCGGGGCAGCTGGAGATGTGGCTAGAAGGTGAGGGGAACCCAGATCATGCAGTGAATCAGGTGAGTTAATTTGTAGGCTCTTAGGGTCTAACACAGTTTGTTACAGACAAGTATCATAGCTAAGAAAAGGGTACAAATTTCTTAATATACAATGGAAATGATAGCCTAGTTTCCTATTAGCATCCCCAGGTTATAGAGAAAAAAGTCATTGGGGACATATCATCATTTTTAAAGAATTGAAGTTGGGTAGATTTAAAATTCTTTTTATTTCCTTTGCATGCTGGAAGGTAAAAGAAAAGTCATATAGAACCTAAAATAACTGAAACTGTCTCTGTAATTTAGCAAAAAAAAAAAAAAAAAAAAAAGAAAAGAAAAAGAAAAGAAAAAACTAAACACAAGAAGAGCTTCTGCAGTTGATTATGTCAATAAAACCCTGGCTTCTCCTTGGTCTGCAGTCCAGAGTCATCTACCAGCTACTGAATTAAAAATTAAATCAGTAGATTCTGGTTAAATTTGCTCTGAAACAGCCTGTTCTAGCACCATTTAATTTCATGGTCAAATGAGGATAATTATTCTAAAAAGCTTCCAGCCATGAGGTTCTTGTGATTTTTTAGTTAAAAATGTGGCCACTTTGAACCCTGTTCTGTGATTTTTAGATGTGGATACAATGAAGTTTTTGCCTTTATTCACTCTGACTCTGTTTTTTTTTTTAATGAGAAAAATCAGCACTTTCCATCTGAAAATAGGAGATTAGACCAGGATATTTCTATCAATAGAGGTTACTAAACCATTTCCTCAAGTTAATAAAATATAATAACAAAAATTCATAGTTGCCAACTTATAATGACACCTTTGTCTTTTTCAAGGTTCATGGAATGAGAACTTTAAGTAATGAATTTGATATTTGTTTCCTTTATTTATATAGCCAATTACAAAGGCAGAATAAGAAGGCATATTTAAGAAGTTGATACAAACCCCACACTATGGTTATTTTTGCCACCTCGGAGATTCTTATCCTGGGATCCCAATTTAGCACTTTTGGTGAGATTTAAACAATAAGTCTCTAAATAGTCAAAACTGCAGGCACTTTAGGGAATGATCATTGGAATTTAGCATGAATACCAAAATTCTTTATGTTGGAATGTCGGTAGAACAATAGTCCATCATTGATGTAATTAACGCCCATCAAGATCTTATTTAGAAGTATTCTCTTTTCATGAATTTTATGAGCATCTATTTTATTTGATGGTATTCTTTTCCTCTTTTGGGTTTAATTTAAATTTTTCTCATAAAACTGTCTCTAATCACTAGAATCCAAAGACAGCTATATAATCTAAGACCCTTTCTATCATCTTCTATTCATAGATGGCGTCAAGACAAGGAGAAAGAGACTGGACCCAGGTTGTTGTGGATCTTAGATGTGGACTCTGTCTCCTCCCTAGGATAGTTCTGAACTAGATTCTTTAAACAAGACAAAACATTTGATTAGTTTTTTCTTAAGGAACTTCATATGACACAGTTGTTTGGTTACATTATTCTGCTTCCTTTCTCTGGTTTTATAGCATTTTAATTGCTGTTTTAATCCTGTGTTTTATATAAAGCATCTATAATTCCCTTGGTGGATAGAAACCATAGAAGTAAAAAGTGTTATTATTATGCATTTCCCAGTCTGTTAGTGCTTTGATAGATTCCCTAATTCACTCTTCAAAAAAAAATTGCTATATACATTGTGTTCTTTTTACAACATTACTATCATGAGTAGGAGGAATATTTTAGGGTAGGATAAACAGTAATTGGCAAGGAGCTATAACATTGATTTGTACAAGCTTCATGTCCAATCCATTCTGAGGATGCTATTAGAGTAATGGGTGAAATGAAGGGAGTGCTGATTTGCTAAATTTACTTCGGGAAAAGATCAAAGTGGTGCTAGGGCTTTGGAGGCACTGCCCCTGGCAGTTTCCTGAGGTGCACTCTGGCCCTTGTGGAAGAAAGAGCACAAGTTACCCAGCGGCAGCATGCATGGTCTTTGGCCAAAAGAGGCCCAAGATGCTGAGAGAGAGAGCAGGGTACTCTGGAAGCCACTAGATGGGGGTGTCTACTTGTTCAGTCTGGGCAAATACCCCATCAACCAGCTGGCATGAAAGAAATAAAGGTTAAAATGAGGGTAAATTCCATATTCCTCAATGCCATTCTTTTACAGAAAGTGAACTGTGTTGAATGTCAAAAGCAACTTCGAGTCACCTGCTGCCTCCAGTGATTTGGCCTGGGAGGATAGCCACTGAGATCTTCTCATGCTGGGGTTTTGGGGGCTCTCGTTTGAAAGCAGCATTCCTCTGGGAAACCAATGAATACAGAATAACGAATTAGAATGGAGGTGAGGTAATTCACCAAGTTTTTCTGCAGAGTTATGAGTGTTTCTGACCTAGTCATTTAAACCCTGGACACCCACAGTTTCCTACCTTTTCAACGAACAGACTAATCTTTGTCCATCACAGCTACCAATAATAATGATAACTTATGATTTTATAAGCAATCTCCAAATGTGATCAGTCCTAAAATAAATGTATCTGAGCAGGAGGAGGGGCAGCAGAAGCAGCTACAATTTCAGGATTCATCCAGCACCAGATGGAAATTCCATCCTTTGGTTAAAATTCTTCTAAGACCTTGGCTGGCTTGTGAACTTGGCAGACCCAATTATTATAGCAATTAAGATTTTAAAATGTGAGTCAAATTATGAGCCAAACTCGTGCCAAAAGCTGGCAGACAGACACCCTGAATTTAGGTCAGGGATGTTGTTCCCTGTACCAGTGGTAATTCAATTACATCCCAGCCCCAGGCATGCAAGTTCCAACCCCAGGAGACCTGGTAGTCATAATAGGTCTTCTCTGGGCTAAAGAAACCCTGGGATGCCCATTCTGCCTGAGGCCCCCCCATCGCTGGGGCACCGACCTCAAGGAACAGCAGGAGAGGCCACCATTTGTCCCGACATTCAGCTCCCGGGGAAACCGCCGTGCTGAGACAAACACCTGTGAGGGCCAAATCTGCTTTGCTATATTTATTACAAAAAGACTCCTGGAGGACTGGCTGGTATTCTGATAAGAACTTGAAGGAGAAATACTTTTCTTTAAGAGTTAGAATTTTTTGACCACAATATTTGATTTTTAGCATTAAGTATTCTGAATTTAAACTACTAAAGAGAGAAAGAATGCGTGTGCACATTAGGGCAATTGGTAACAGGCTCCCAAAGTCTGGGAGCTAATCCCACCTCCCCGACCTAACTCTTGTGAGAGTCATTTCACACTCTGAACCTCAATTTTCCCATCCGCAAAATGGTGAGGATAAACTACATTCAAGAAGGGAAGGCCATTTCTTCTGCAGTGGCAGCTCAGTGTGGAGAAGGCTCTGTGGTTGGAGAGGTCCACATGGAATGTGTATCCAGAGGGACTGTGTTGGAGCCATGCTGACTGCAAGGACAGGAGTGGAGAGAGGGCAAAAACGCTGTGCATTTGCCGTTCCTAAACTAGGTGATTTCACGGTGTCATTTTCATTACAAATGATCTTTAAAACTATACATGCATTTCCTGAGTGTTCAAGTGAGAGAGCAGGTCCAGGTTAGAGCAATGTGTCAACTTGATACCTGAGTGGAATGGGACAGGGAGACCTATTTTAAATGACAGATACTAATTTTATTAGCAGGTAGCTTTAGCACTCATTCATGGACCAGCTGTTGTGTACACAGCACTATTCTGAGCTGCAAGGACACAGAGATAAGTAAGCCAGGCACTAAATGTCAGGTGTTCGGAGTCCAGCGGTTCCAGGGGAATTTTTGTAAATGCAATAAGTGGTTGGGTTTTCCGCCCAGCCTTGGTCAGTGTCCGTGAGGAGCATGTTCTTATTAATATTGCAAAATAAGTAAATAAGATGTGTGGCAGCGCCTAACCTGCTCTCTGGAGGACCTTCTGGAGAGGGCTGTTGCTGGCACTCCCACGCTGAGGCTGTGCCATTCCCAGGAGAGACTCAGCACCCGTTTGAATGGGAATAACTTGCCTGTAGTCCTAGCTAATTGGGATGGTGAGGGAGAAGGATTGCTTGGGTCCAGGAGTTCAAGGCCACAGTGAACTATGATCATGCCATTGTACTCCAGCCTGAGTGACAGAGCAAGACCCTGTCTCTAAAAACATAAAACCAAATGGAAAGAACTTTTTATGCTACAAAACCACCTCATTATGCCCATGCCTCGTCAGTCTAGAAAACCCCCAAGGTGTGTTTAATCAATGTTCTGTGAAAAGGAGAGAGTGGCTACCTATTCAAGAAACACTGGAGTTTTTAATGCACTTTCCATATTTTCCATGCTCTTCTCCAAGTAAAAACCTTAACACAGGAACATGATAGCATCTCTCTGAAAATCCTAAAAATTGTATGGACCCTCATGATTTAGTGTGATTTGAGCTAAAGGCAAGAAGACTCACTAATGAATCTCACAGAGTCCCTGCTACTCTGGGACTTAGATCTTAGCTGGTGGCTAGAAGAAGCCAAAAACAATCACCTACACCGTAAAAAATCATTGCAACATGAATTCAAAATTCAAATGAATGGAGTCTTAGCACCATAAAGGATTTTTCTAATTTCAGATGAACCCATTCAATGTGGCCCCCTCCAAAGTAACAGTGACAGCTCACGCTAATAATTTACAGTCTCTAAAGCACGTTCACAGCCATTTTATCTTATTTTGAAAATCTGTTGAGGGATGTTTCCTACCAAAACACCAAATCTTCCACATCTTGTGACCAGTAGCACCGATTCTCAGGCTGTGAAAAATAGGACAGTCACATCCGATCTCCAGCCTCACCGTGGTCCATCCCACTCTCCTCATTCATGATTCCTGGTATGTAGCGAGAAAGCCAAGGATGAGACAAATAGTTTTGGTTCAGGATTAAAGTCATGAGTTGTCTAGATATACTCCTTTTGTCAAAGGTGATTATAGCATAGATCTATTTAGGACAGAATCTTTGTTAAGAATATTTATGATTTACAGATGACATTGGAAGAAAATCACACATTGATTTTGGTTTAGAAAGATGGTTTACAGAACACAGTAGTGTTCTGAGACTATGTGATTGAGCTAACCCATCCAAATGTCCAGTTCCTCCCTTTTCCTCTGCCCCTTCCTCTGGCCTGCCCCACCACATCCCTAGATTGCAGCAAACCTATCTGAAAACCCAGTTTCCCCTTTACCTGGTTCCTTCCTCCGATCCACTCCACCCTTTCTCTACCGCAACCCCCAAGCATATTTGAGATGACTCAGAGGCATTATGGTTTGGACTGAATTAAAATGATGGAAACATAAAGGAATTCTTACACTGCTTGTATCTAATGAATTTCCCTGGTGCAAATTCAATATTAAATGCAGATTGAAGCTAAAATGGTCCTTAAGGGAATAACAGAAGTATATCGGATGTTAAAGGGACTTTTAATTAAAAGGAATAGCTGGCTGGGAAGCTTTTAATAAATATTTATTTTCAGTGGCTCAAAAAATAAGTCTCCCAGAGGAGGGCACCTACTACCTCTACTACCCTCTAAAATAAGAATTGTTTTTTATGCCAAAGTGTACATAGACATCTGTTCTGGAAACTTAACAGACTAGGAAAAAAAACAAAATTATAGTAATCATTAGCTTGCTTATTTCTGAAAGATTTTATAATCACTCATGTGAAATATTTACCTAAATTACTTGGCATTCTATCATAGATGATGAGTGAACAAAATAATTACTTATATCTAAAGTAGCATTGAATTAGTCTGAGTTTTGCATCTAATGTCCCCGAAATGATTGATCACAGGTAAACAAATAAAAAGCCCCTCCCCCCATTGGTTGTTATTTTTCTAACTTCAGATTTATTGTGTCTTTTTGAGGCTGGGGTTTTAGTCTATGTTTTTTGGGGTAAAGCTTTGATAAATTAAAATACCTCCTCACATTTCATTTTCATTAGAAAAAATAACTCATACTGCATCTGAGAAAGCAGGATTCATAAAATAAAGAGTTTTCATGCTAAATATTAACATTGGCTCTGATTTATTTATGGATAAGAGACAGTACTGTGGCATTTTCAGCTCAGCCCCAGCCTTCCAGCCAGTTGTCATGTCAGACCTCAGTCCATGCTAGGCCCAGGCAGTGATGGAGGGCTCAGTATCTGGAGGTCACCCCATTACTGTGAGTGACAGAGAACCACTGTGGACAACTCAGGCAGGACGTGGTCAACAAAAGCATGATGTCAAGAAAATACTGTGGAAATCACCCAGCAATACAGAGAGTTGATGATTGGCATAGGGGTCCTCATGACATAGGAGGTCCTAACATCAGGGGCTGAGACTCAGGAGCAGAATTCTGAGCCCAAGGAAGATGGCTTCAATCTAAGTGTAGTTGGAGAATCCAGAAAAAATAAAAATAAAAACCACTAAGAAAACAGATAGGAAGCCAGGTCATGAAATGGTAGTACCACACTGTAATTCATTCACAGGAACCAAGTAATAATCCAGTTTATTAGAACCAATGTTCAAGGTTGGACTGAAACCAGTAGAAAGTTAGCTTAATGCTAAGTTGCCTCAATTGTTGGCTTGAATCAATGTCTTCTGACACTAGATCATTTTAGGGTTACTGGGAGACAGGCAGGATGATCATTTATCTTGCAAGTATCTTCCTAAAAATTACCCTGACTGGCCTGAATCATTAGCCCATATCTTCCATTTTATAAAAATCATGACAAATAGGTACTATAAGAGCAGATAATCCTGAGGGAAGTCAAAAGTAGCATTATAAATATCTCAAACATCAATAAATGGTTGTTATGGAGTATTATAAAAATGCAGTGAAGTCTTTCTGTTCATGTCAATGAGAGTTTGTTGAACACCTACTATCAACTAGAAGAAGTACAGGAGGATTTGATGGCACAAACCAAACAATTTTGACCTCAGTGCCTCTTCTCTGTTCTCATTAGCAGTTTGTCCCAAACTCGACCAAACCAAAGTATATCTCTCCATGGCATAGACCCAATCCAGGGAGAAAGCAAAATGCAATTTTGCTTTGGGCTTGCATCACCTTTTTGTTAAATGAGATTAATGCTTGCTACCTGGAAACATTCATTGAGAACCTACTACCCTAACATTACAATGAATTTTTGGAGTACAAAGATGAATACAGAATGGTTACTGTATTGAAACAGCTAACAGTTCAAGTGGGAAAACATACACGCAGAACATTAGAAACAAACATACCTGCCCCCATCAGGCACGCAACCTCCAGAGCAGTGTTTCATATAAGACAGTGCTTCCAACTTTGCAGGAAAAGAGTTGTTATAAGTTTCTCTATTATCAGATGTGACAAATTAACAAGTAGGGCCATGTAGATCCACAACAAGAAAGAGTATTTGAAGACCTAAACAATTAATTTCAATATTAAAATTCAATAGTACAGGATAGCAATGTTCTAGTACAGTACCTATTGTCAAAGCAAAAGAGAGGTGCCTCCCATGAAATCATAAGTTGACTTTTGTTCATTTTCTTCTCTTTGTGGCAGCTTGTTCTCTCTGCAACTAATTTTTTCCATGGAAAACTATTAAGGTCATTGTGACATCCTGTGAAAAAGAAAAGAGAGAAATACACTGACAAAAATTCATAATCAAGTCAGATCAAAAGAACTCTTATATTACTTTTTTTTCCCTGTGATATTTTTCTTTAAAAAAATCAAAAGAAAAGTAAAACCTAGATCTACAAGTTGTGACTTGATACCTACAAGTAAGGTATAGTTTGCGATTTGTGGTTCTTTGGTAGATTTTAAATGGTTTACTACAGAAATGCAAAAGCATTATTCTTTGACCATTAACATAACATGAAATAAAAGGATCTAAATTCATTTCATGTATCAAATATGTCACTCTTTTGATGCACATACCATTGAACTCCAAAAGGTTATTGCAGTGAAGTCATTTGCGATGTTTCTAAAGGCCATTCCATTGTAAGGATAAAAAAATGAAGCAGTTATTTTCTAATTTACATTGATTCATGGGCAAGAAACTGTAACGTGCTGCTGGCCTTCAAAGATGAATATGTTGCAATCTTGTTTCTGGAAGAGCTTACAGTCAGAGGACACAACTATGAAATTCAAGGCACATCATAAAAAATGCTATAAAATATAATGCACATATTAATAATATAACAAAGTATGAAGGACCTACATTAGGCAAAAGCTATTTTCATCTCCTTTAGTCTTTACAATTCTAGGAAGTAAGTTATTTTTATTTTAGACATAAAGAAAAGTTACTTGGTGAGATGAAATAATTTTTCCTTGTTTTCTCAGTTAGGCAGTGGTAGAAATGAAATTCATGTGCATCTGATTGCAGGATCCATAATCTGTACTTTTTAGCAAAGAGTGTGGTCAAGAGGAGGGAGCATTAATTGAAGATGTAGAATAAGGGTGAACCTTAGCAGTAGCCGTTATGTCTTTCTCTCCCAGTTTCTTGCTGGAAAGGTGAAACTTACTTCTCTGTCCTCTCTCATTTTAGCACTTATTTTTCTTGCACCATCTCTTGCAGAACACAAGGGCTTAATAATTCAGCAGCCAGTGCGTTCAATGTGTTATATTACGTTAGGCAGGCTAGAAAGCCTTACTCTGTATTGATCTGAAAAACAGTCATTGAAAAGCAGTGCTCTAACAGTGCAAAACAACAGAGCTGACAGTTGGTTCAAACAATGAGTACTTTTAGTGAGAGGAAAAAAGTCAGAACTTGCTTGACTTCTGTACAACCTCAAGACCTCACCTGTTAGGCTCAGAACTTGCCCTGATAATATGTAGGAGTTAAAGTACTTACCTACCCTTAACTTCCTATCTGAAGGAAGGAAGAGATTTAAGTTCAATGTAAATTAACTCACTCATCACCAACAAAAGATACCCAATTGACGCTGAACCAACCAAGCTCTGAGTAGTAGCTTGTTTTGGAAAAGGGTAGAAGGGGGAGAAAGTTTCTGCTATTAGCATAAATACTATGAAAGCTCACGGTATTTGGCCTTCTTTTCACAAAAGTAGAAATGTTTTATCCAGATGTTAAATTAGGGGCATTATATTAGGTCTGCCTCAGATCCTAACATGATTTGTGGGGAGCATATCCTTCTTTTTTCATCTCCACTAAATATTGCTTGATTCCATTATGCCTGATTCTGGCAGTCTGCATGTATAACAGATACCAAATCATTTGTCAAACCCCAACTCAGTAGTAACCCTTTCTATAAAGTCAGACTCGGTTCCTTCACTGGCATGAGACACACCTTTCTTTGTGTTAGAAACATCAGAAACTACGACAGAAGGCTTCTGTCGTAGTTTTTTATGTATTGGTGTGTCTCCCTCTAAATTTAAGGTAGCCACAAACTCCTTGAATGAAAGGACCATTAATCTGTCTTCTCTTTCCTTCACTTAACTCTTTACCTCCCCCAAACATCCTTCTTTGCATAGAAGAGAAGAGCCAGATTGGAATCCCTCAGCCTCCCACCACCACACCTGCATCTTATCTCTGCTTGCCTCTCTTGTGCCCTGATAGAAACGAGGAGGTAAGCTTCCTTGCATCTAGGTCCAAACATTCTGCCTGGCTTTATTTTTGGTCATTGCCTCCTCCTGCCTTCTTATAACACCTAAACCACTGACTATCCCTCTTCTATTTTGCAGATTCGAGTTCTCTCTTCCAATAAATTCTTTGTCATTAGTTTCAACCCAGTTCCTCTCTCTGTTATTAAACTAAACAAAACAAAATCTTCCCTCAGCAGGCTCCTTAATCACCAGCTCCTCAGCCCTGTCTCTCTGGTCTTCTTTACAACATGAATTACTGAAAGTGTTGTCTACACTTATTGGTGCCATTTCTTAACCTTGACTTTCTGCTCAGCCTACCCCTCCCATGAACTACTTCATCAAAACAAAGCTGTTCTCACGGAGGGTGTTACTGAGTTCCAGGACTCATCTGCACCTGAGACTATAGACCCTGGCCTTGACTCTGGGACAGCATACTCTGTGCTTTCTCCTCTTCATAGTCTGTCTTCCTTGTAGACTCATCCTTCCCTACCTACTCATTAGAATTTTTACCTTAAATGGTGGATATTTTAAAAATGTATAAACTAGATGAAGGGCATCTAGCATTCAGCATATATTTGTGAACCCACCACCTATTAAAAACATATCTTGGGCCGGGCATGGTGGCTCATGCCTGTAATCCCAGCACTTCGGGAGGCCAAGGCAGGTGGATCATGAGGTCAAGAGATCAAGAACATCCTGGCCAACGTGGTGAAACCCCGTCTCTACTAAAAATACAAAAGTTAGCTGGGCGTGGTGGCACGCGCCTGTAGTCCCAGCTACTTGAGAGGCTGAGGCAGGAGAATCTCTCGAACACAGGAGGCGGAGGTTGCAGCGAGCCGAGATCATGCCACTACACTCCAGCCTGGTGACAGAGCGAGACTCCATCTCGAAAAACAAACAAACAAACAAACAAAAAATAACTTATCTTTACAATCTTTGACATCCTTCCTGACTTTCCCCAATTCCACCTTGCTTGTCTCCTCAGTGATAACCACTATTCTAAATTTTGTGTTCTTTATTCTTACACCATTCTTTATAGGTTTACCACATGCTTTTATCCCTAAGTAATTGCTTAATTTAGCATGTTTTTCAAATTTTGTATAAATGGATTCACGTTGCAAGTAGTCTTTCTTAACTCGCTTTTTCACTCGAGTATGTTTCTAAATCTCATTCACGTTCTTATTTATAGCTGTAGTTTCTCTATCTTTACCTGTATATAGTAATTCTTATGTCCATATGTATTTGAATGTGTCATCATTATGATTTATTTATTCATTCCGCTGTTGTTGAAAATTTTCCTGTTTCAAGTCATTTGCTAGTAAAAACAGCAACTATGAACATTATCATACATGCCATCTCTTACAAATGTTCAAACATTTCTGTGGAACAGACTTTTGCTTGAAATTGTGAAACCATAAGGCAGAAGCATTTCTAAATTTGCCTGATATTTTAAAATTATTTTCCAAAGAATTTTAACAATTTATACTCCTACCATTAGAGAAGACGAGTTCTCTTGCTCTATAATCTTACCAAACATGATATGGCCAGATATTTGTTTAAGTTTTACCAGTCAGATGAGTATAGAGTAGTATCTCATTAAGATCTTAATTTATACTTCCCTGCTAGAGTACGTGATATGTCTTTACATTATATTTGCATTTTATTTTTGTTCATTGATTTTGCTAACACTGTCATTTATCTTCTATTCTTTTTGTTGTAATATAGGAACAATCATATTATCTTTCAAAAATGGCAACTCTGTTTTCTATTGTCAATATTTACATCTTGTTTCTTTTTCTTGCATTCTTCCCGTGAGGACTTCCCGTATGTTGTTGAATAAATGTTGTAAAAATAGTCATCTTGTATTTTTTTCTCATATTAAAAAGAAATATTTCAACGTTTTGCCATTCAGTATGATGTTTTCTGTAAGGATTTTGCACTTACCATATATTAGCTTAAGAAATTTCTTTTATAGTTCTAGCTTGCTAAAATACTTTAAATCATGAATGGATGTTACATTATAACTAGTGATTTTTCTGCATTTATTGAGATGAGTATATAATTTTGCTTTTTAACATATATGTGGTAAATATTACTACTATTAATTTATGTGTGGTAAAATTCACTTTTTTTGGTGTAGAGTTCTATGAGTTTTGACAAAGGCACACAGCCCTATACTCATCATTGCAATGAAGATACAGAACAGTTCCATCTCCCAAATATTCAGTAGTGCTACCCCTTTGCGGTCAATCCTAACCCCAACTCTTGCCCTTGGCAATCACTGACCTGTTTTTTTCTCTCTATAGTTTCACCTTTTCCAGAATGTCATATAAATGGAATCATACAATATGCAGCTTTTGAGACAGGCTTTTTTCACTGGAAACTTGAGATTTGAGATTTAGCCATGTTATTGTGTTTATAAGTCCTCTGTTCCTTTTTATTGCTAAGTAGTATTCTATTGTGTGGATGTACCATTTGTCTATCCATTCACCAGTTAAAGGACATTTGGGTTGTTTCCAGGTTTGGGTAATTTTGAATAAAAACCTCTGTAAATGTGTATGTGCAGGTTTGTATATAATTCTGTTTATTTCTCCTGTGTAAATACCAAGAAGTGGGATTTCTCAGTATGAGACTGTGGAACATTGTTCTATGTGTCCTTAATGCTTTGTTCATTTCAGCCCCCTCTCCAAGTCTTTTTTTGTCTTTGTTCTTCACATTGGATCATTTCTATTGATCTGTCTTCAAGTTCACTGACTTCTCTATTATCACTATTCCACTATTGTCTAGCCATTTTTTTTAAATTTGAGATATTGTGTTTTTAAGTTTAATATTTCCATTTAGTTCACTTTTTATTCCTCTGCTTTCATTCCTCTGCTAGGAATGTCAACCTTTTCATTTACTTAAATGTGTTTGCCTTTATCTTATATAGTACAGTTATAATAGTCATTTTAATATTTTTGATAATTCTAACATCTGGGTTATCTTAGGGTTGACATTTTTTATTGTCTTTTTTTGAGACAAGGTCTTGCTCTGTCACCCAGGCCAGAGTGCAGTGGTGCAAATGCTGCTCACTGCAGCCTCAACCTCCTGAACTCAAGCAATCCTCCCACCTCAGCCTCATGAGTAGCTGGGCCTACAGGGGCAAGCCATCATGCCTGGCTACTTTTTTAATGTTTTGTAGAGACAGGGTCTTGCTACATTGTCCAGACTGGTCTCAAAATCACAGGCTCAAGCAATCCACCCACCTTGGCCTCCCAAAGTGCTGGGATTAAGTGTGAGCCACCGCACCCAGCATTTATTTTCTTTGCCCTTAAGAAGTGGCCACATTTTCCTGGTTCTTGAATGTCATGTAACTTTAGATCATATCCTAGACACTGTGTACTGGTCCTGTTATTATCCTCTGAAGTACACATGTTCTCATTATTATACAAACATGCCATTTTCCTCTGACCACGAAGTTTTGCTCAGTGCTCTATTGACCTAATGCCTTTCCCTTTATCTCTTCATTTCTACTTATGGCTTAACTCACTGTAGGGGAAAACTATCATTTATTAAGTTCCTGATATGCATTTGATTTTGTGTTAGAATGCAGTGTTCCAATTAAGGGATATGTGTATGTCTAATTTCTGTAGGAAGAGGCTGAGACTAGGGGACAGGAAATAACTTTTCCAAGATCACATAGATATTAAGAGTCAGCACCAGGTTTCAAACTCAGCAAACTCTGATTCAAAAATCCATTCCTTTACCACTACCTCTCCCAACTTCATGAAACCTTCCCTTCCCATATCAAACTTTAAAATAACTTTGCCTCCTATACAAATATTTTACCACCTTTCTCATCACATAATTCTACAGGGTCACTGATTGTTTAATGTATATCTAATTCATTCAGTAAGAATTAAGGATCCTTGACAGTCAAAACTGAGTCTTCTATTTCTTTTACATACCTTTCAAAAGATGGACCATGTATTTTATGTGCCACAAAATTTATGTGCCACAAAGTAGATGTTAAGTAAATGCATATCAAAGAGATTTTAAAAAATAAATAAAAACCTAGTTAAAGGGTAAAATATGAGGCGTAATTTTAGCACAAAGAATAGACCATTTGGAAGATGTTAGTGTTGCTGTGCTATAATCAGAAAACAAAAATGGAGAAGAAACTGTTTTAATTAACCCTCCTATACATTTGCCTATAGATGTATTCTGAGCTTAATGGATTGGGCTTAATTATCTATACTGCACTAACCTTTGAATGGGCGTCAGGGCTTTCTCACCTCAGGGATTTCTTCCACTCATCTCTTGAATTTCCAAGCAGGGGGGCAGAAAGATGAGTTGTGACCCCAAATCTTCCACTGATTTACTGTATTGGCATGAGCAAATAATTTACCCTGCGGGGTCTTCAGTTAATTTTAAAACTAAAATGAGGAAAACAACTCTTAAATGTCTCCTTTGAATTTGAATGTAAATAAAATATGCTAAACCTAAAGAGCTTTGAAGACTTCTAAGAAAAGCTTTACATAAGCTTCCTTTATTTCTATTTTAAATATTATTTTTTCTTTCCTAAATAATTTTAAGAAGATTCAAGAAGAGGTGACAAGATGTCAAGATATGGCTCACTCCCCCATCATTGTTAGACATAATTTCCTGTCTTCCTGGCCCCAAATGTTATCACTGTGAGGAACAATTGTTTAAAAATTGTCTATGTAAGAGACACTATACAAATGGATTCTATGGGGAAATTTTTACAAAAGAATAAGACCTGGTAATTCCTCTCTAAGAAATTGATATATAGTTGAGGAGATAAAACTTGTTCAGACAGAAAGGAAACTGTTATATAAGGTGGAATATAAATTTCAAATCAGTAGCATAAATGTGCCAGGGTTTATGCAATAGAGATAAGGATGAAGTATGGATTAAGCCAATTGTTTAGCCTGTGATTTTGAATGCCAAACCGAAGAATGTGGGCTTGATCCTGTAGACAACAGAGGCACTGAGGACTTCTGAATTGCGAATGACCTGATAATGAGGGGTATTTTGGAAGATAAATACAGAGGAAAGAATACCGGAGACAGGCAGACCTGTTAGTATACTGCAATTGTTCAGGCAAAAAAATCATATACACCTGGGTGGGGATGTTGGCGATTGTAATAATCACCATTTGTTTAATGCCTACTATGCCAGGCCCTGTCATGAGTGCTTGACATAAATTCTAGTTCTCACAATAACCAGGCATGATCAGTGTTGTTGTTTTATCTTGCAGATGAAGAGTTTCAAAGTGCTTATGTGATTTGTTTAACGAGATTATAAATTAAGTCTCTCTGGTTTGTAAGATATACTACACAATATTCCCCTCAACTGATTTTTTTTCCTTTTTTTTTTTTTTTTTTTGGAAACAGAGTTTTGCTCTGTCACCCAGGTTGGAGTGCAGTGGCCCAATCTCGGCTCACTGCAACCTCCACCTCCTGGACTCAAGTGATCCTCCCACCTCAGCCTCCTGAGTAGCTGGGACTACAGGCGTGCACCACTGTGCCTGGATAATTTTTGTACTTTTTATGGAGATGAGGCTTCACCATGTTGCCCAAGCTGGTTTCAAACTCCTTGGCTCAAGCGATCTGCTCACCTCGGCCTCCCAAAGTGCTGAGATTACAGGTGTGAGCCACCACATCCAGCCTACAACTGGTTTAAAAGTTGTGAAAGTTAGGCGGATTTGAGTTATGAGCTTAGGCAGCAAGATTATATTTGAGTTTTTATGCCTAATTAATTTGACTTTTCAAGGAGAAGACGGCCTAAAGAAGCCAGAAAATAAATGTGGCCAGTGGTCAAATGTGGGATCACAAGATGATTTTGAGGGACAATGAGGAAACCTCTCTCCCTTGCTTCTTTATGCTTGAAGTCATCTTATTCGAGAAAAAGACCTCGGAGGCTGGTAGCCTCAAGAGCAGAAACACAATCACTTAAGATCGTTGCAAGGCGTTTATGAAACATGTCAGATCATTCCAAATGCTTTTGTCTAGCTTGTCCAGAAATCAAAGCATAAGGTCAGTAGGCACCTAAATGAGAGGAACAGGGAAATCATTAGCTTCATAATCATTGTAAACAATTTATAATCATTAACATTACCTCACAATTTGGTTAGAAGTGACCTTTTAAAGTCAGGGCACTTTTATTGAAGTCGCTAGGTTTTCTCCCCCATTTAGAAAAATAAAATGTTTATAATATATGCTCAAAATTCATCTCTTCCTTTGAAGAAAGCCAAAAAAAAAAAAACTTTTTGTTTGGATGGCATCTTTTATGCTATCCCCAAATCAAGAGTGTGAAGGAAAGTAGGTGCTCATAAAGTACACAAACTACTCAAATACCCTGTTTAAGGCAGTTTCTCTTTCAATTTCTAACCATATCATTTATTCATTGCTGGAGATGGCACAGAGGTCAAACTAGAGTTAAAATAAGCCTAATGCATAATAATTCTAATTATTATAGTTCTAAATTGCTTCAAGGTTGTATTTTGCTGGAGCCATACTTGAATGAGACCTTGCAATCAAATAGTATTTGTGTCTTTTAATACATATAAGTATAGCATGTCTTTTCAGTGATTGTCTTAATGTTAATTAACATTCTTTGGTCATAAAGAACCATATTTGACAGAAGAATTTAGCAAAATATCTGGGTAAAAAGAAATGTTCTCTAGAATAGCTTTGACTTTTGTGACATTTTACATGGAGAAAAATAAAGTCTGTCCAACCTTTCAACCAGAACAAATAAGATGCTAGTTGCCAAATTCACATGGATAACTCTAGCAGCAAAAAATTAGATACAGCTTTGTGATAAAAATGCTAGTATCTAGTGGTGATGATGTCAACCAAATCTTAGAAAAGTTCACATTCTTATGGTTATTTGTATTAGTCTTTTCCAACACTGCTATGAAAAAATACCCGAGACTGCATAATTTATAAAGAAAGAGGGGAAATGCCAGATGCTTATAAAACCATCAGATCTCATGAGACTCACTCACTATCAAGAGAACAGCATGGGGGAAACCACCCTCATGATCCGATTACCTCCACCTGGTCCTGCCCTTGACACGTGGAGGTTACAATTCAAGATGAGATTTTGGGTGGGGACTCAGTCAAACCATATCACTATTGATTGAATTTTTCATATGTGGGCTTCAAGTTAAAGGCCCATACATAATATTACTGAAACAGTACATGGTGAATAAGGAAGAGGCAGCCCCTGTCTTCAGGTAGTCCACCTTCACCAAAACATAACATCAGTGTCCCAAACATGAGATACCATGCAAGTGCTATATAATTATTCCTAATGGATCATTGTCTTGAGATGCATCTCCTCACTCCCCACATCCTGTCCTTTGGAAAGTGTGGTCACTTTGACCTTCTGAAGGCCTTCAGCCCATCTAATTCCTTTCAACCTCACTACCATGACCTCTTACTTGAAGAGCACAACAGCTTCACCTGTGTTTCCTGCAATCCAATCTCCTCAGAGTAGCAATTAGATGGGTTCACATTGCACAGAGAGCAGAGCCCAGCCCCTGGCTCCCTCCAGTTTCAATTGCTGTCGCTCATAGTGATGCCACCGCATGACCTTTTTTCTAGTCTTTGAATGTGCCTCACTCAACCCAGATTTAGCCCCTTGTGCTTGCACTGCCTGCAGCTCCCTTCCCTGAATCTTCACAGGGTTGGCAGTGCCATTTCTTTCGGATCTCAGCTTTACTACCCCCTCCTCAGAGAACCTGTCCTTAACTACCCAATCTAATTTACCACCAACACCCACCATGTTTTCTTTTCTTCATAGAAATTATCAATTATCTTGTTGGTGTGTTTGCTCATGGTCTCTCCTCCACTACCTCGCAGACACCCTGGCACAAGGGTCCCTGATTCTCTTGTCCACTGCTCTGTCTCCAGTGCCTAGATCAGTTCCTGGAACAAGGTGGCCCCTCAGTGAATATGCATTGAATCTTCATAACAATCCTGATTTAATAGTGTTGTGTTTTCTTTTCAACCGTGAAACTTGAGTTCCTAAATCTCATGCCCCTGCCCCTGCCCCAGGATAGTAGAACTCAGAGTTGATATATTTAAATTTTGTGAAGAAAAATAGAATGAGGAAAAAGTTGAGAAAAAGGGAGACTACAGTTCCAAATTAGCCTATAGAGTCTTAAGCTTGTTTAACCCAATGCCCACAGCTGCATGTAGCCCAGGACGGCTCTGCATTGCTGCCCAACACAAATTCGTAAACTTTCTTCAAACATGAGATTTTTTTTTTTGCACTTTTTTTTTTTTAGCTCATCAGGTATCGTCAGTGTTAGTATATTTCATGTAAGGCCCACAACAATTTTTCTTCTTCCAATGTGGCCCAGGGAAGCCAAAAGATTGAACACCCCTGGTCTACATAAATATTCTACATGGACTAAGTTTCAGCAATAAAAGTAATACACTAAATAAAAGGGAACATAATCACATTTGACATGTCTTAACTTAGTAATTAGAGATTCTAAATACCTAGTTCTTGTTTACTGGCGTGTACTTCCTAGGCTTTCTGTAGGAACTCCTTCCCTTGTTCCTTCTCTAAAATGTATTGAGGTTTCCAAGTTCCATATGTTATAAGGCTTTGTTTAATCCACTCATGCAAATAAATCCTATTGTTTTATCATCAAGAAGTATACAAGAACATTGCTGTGTGTTTCCCTGTCTATGCCCACTTTCGACTACCAAAAGCACAATCACCCCAGTACATGAGGCAGCATGATGTAATGGAAGATACTAGGCATAGAGGTTTGGTTTAAATATGAGTCTACCACTCTCTTGTTTTCATTTAATCTCTCCAAGCTTCAGGCTCCATATGGAAAATAAGAATAATAACTAATTCTCAGGGTTAATTCTAGGATTATGTGAACAAATATATATAAAGGGACTTTATGAATTGGGTGTGGTTATAAATATAAGGAGTGTCATCATCATCAGTATTATCGTCAGCAGCAGCACTATCACCATCACCATATTTGAGCTGGATCAGACATTACTGGTGATTTTTAATTGACATATAATATTTATCTTCTACCAGAACCAGTCTCAAAAACCAATAAGGCAGTGTAGGTAAGCAGTTAAAAGCATGGGCATGATAATCAAACCTACTTGAGTCTAAAGCCCAGCTGTGCCACTTACTAGGTAGGGGACTTCTCTCCAGTGACCCAATCTCACTAAGACTCAGTTTCCTCACCTGAAAAATTAGAAAAATAAAATTATCTCTACCCCAGTAGCAAGAAATGTGGATTAAATGAAAAAATGCCCAGAAGGGAGTAATATATCTGACACATGGTAAGCAATCAATTATCACTTGTGTAAGTAGTGAATTCCCACAGAGTAAAAAATGGAAAAAACATGCTGTTTTATTAAAAAAAAATACATTGTTGTCCAGAGTAAATTAATTACCTTTAAATCCTCTTAATGTCATGGATTTGAAGGGTTGCTTCTTCTACCCAAAACAACTGAATTCAGCAGTAATGAAGTTATGCTCACTTGCAGCTTTCTACTGAAATCCTAAACTTCCTGGAATCTTCACCTACATATCCCCAAGTCATCCACATCCAAGCACCTTCCATGAGTCTCCATGATAAGGCTCATTCCCTTCCTCCCCAGAAGTCGTGAGTGTTCATGGCATGAAGTACTTCTTCCCTCAGAAACTCACCAATCTTGCTGACCAGGACAAGATGGCAAGAGTGGGGAAAGGACTGCAGTATTGGCTCACATGTGACTGGCTACAATGATCTGCATTTTGTACAAGTTGTGAGTCCATGGAATCATTTGCTTGCTGTACAATCTTTTTTTATTGTGGTATATATACATAATATAAAATTTAATTTTATATTTTAATCATTTTAATCATTTTCAAGTATACAGTTCAGTGCTATTAAGTATATTCACACTATTGTGCAAATATCACCACCATCCATTGCCAGAACTTTTCCATCACCCCAAACTGAAACTGTACGCATGAAACCATAACTCCCCATTGCCTCCAGCCCCTGGTGTGTTGTTTCTATTTTTATTTGCCTGAAGATACTTTCTAATTTTCCTTGTGATTTCTTCCTTGGGCCATTGATTATTTAACAGTATGTTGTTTAATTTCTACATATTTGTGAATTTTCCAGTTTTTCTACTGCCATTGATTTCTAGTTTTATTCCATTGTGATTAGAAAAGATGCTTTGTATAATTTCAGTCCTTTTAAATTTATTGAGACTTGTTTTGTGTCCTAACATATGGTCTGTTCTAGAGAATATCTCATGTGCATTTGAAAAGAATGTGTATTCTACCGTTGTTGGGTGGAGTTCAATAGATGTATTTCAGTCTAATTGGGCATATATTGTTCAAATCTTCTATTTCCTTGTTCATCTTTTTTTTAGTGCTCTATCCATTACTGAAGGTCAGGTATTGAAGTCTCCAACTATTATTGTAGGAATGTCAACTTCTCCTTTACATTCTGTCAATGCTGCAGATATTTAGGAAGTCTGATGCTTGAGGCATATACGTTGTAATTGTTAAATCTGTTTGATAAATTGACCCTTTATCATTACATAAGGTCCTTTTCTGTACCTTATAACAGTTTTATACTTAAAGTCTATAATATTTTGTATGATATTAGTTTGCCATCCCTACCCTCTTTTGGTTACTGTATGAATGAAATATCTTCTATTCTTTCACTTTCAATCTATTCTTAGATATAAGATATGTGTCTTACAGACAGCATGTAATTGGGTGCTGGTTTCTAAATCCATTCTACTAATCTGTGTCTTTTGATTGGGAGAGTTTAATCTATTTATATTCAAAATAATTACCGATAAGGAAGGACTTACTATTATCATTTTGTTGTTTTCTGTATGTCTTTTAGCTATAGCGTCCATTATTTCCTCTATTACTGCCCTCCTTAGTATTTAGTTGATTTTTTGTGGTGACATGTTTTGATCACCTTCTCGTTTCCTTTTGTGTATAGTCTATAGATTTTCTTTTTTTGGTTACCATAGGGATTACATATAACATCCTAAAGTTATAACAAAACTTTAATTTCAATCACACACAAAAACTACTCTTTTACAACTGTACTCATTCACTTTTTATTATGGATGTCACAAATTATATCTTCATATAGCATATACCCACTAACATACATTCATGTTATTTTTATGGATCTACCTTTTAAATCCTGCAGAAAAATAAAAGCTGGAGTTACCAAACAAATTATAATTTTTTTATATTTATTCATGTATTTACCTTTACCAGAAAACTTTATGCTTTCATCTGGCATCAAGTTACCATCTTGCATCCTTTCACCTCAATTTGAAGGACTCCCTTAAAATTTCTTGTAGGACATATCTAGTTGCAAGGAACTTCTTCAGCTTTTGTTTACCTAGTAGTGTCTTAATTTCTCCCACATTTTGAAAGGACAGTGTTGCCAGATATGGAATTCTTAGTTGACAGTTTTTTCCCCCTTTCAGTTCTTTAAATATATCATCCCACTGCCATCTGTCTGCAAGGTTTCAGCTAAGAAAAGTGTTAATTATCTTATTGAGTATAATGTGTCTTGCTATGGGTTTAAGTTTATCATAGTTGGAGTTCATTCAGCTGTTTGTATTTGTATACACGTATCTTTCCTGAAATTCAGGAAGTTTTTGGCCATTATTTCCTCAAGTAATCCCTCTATTCCTTTCTCTCTCTTTCATTTTTTTTTTTACTGGAACTTCCATAATATGTATGTTAGTTTGCTTGATGATGTCTCATAAGTCCCTCAGGCTCTATTTACTTTTTTTCTTCTTTTTTTTTTTCCTCAGACTTGACAATTTCAAATGACCTGAATTCAAGTTTGCTGATTTATTCTACCTGTTTTGAGTCTGCTGTTGAACCCTCTGGTGAATTTTTCAATTCATTTATTATATTTTTTAGCTCCAGGATTTCTCTTTTTAAAAATTTTATTTCTTTCTTGATATTCTAATTTTGTTGATACATTGTTTTCCTGAGTTTTTCTTTTTAGTTCTTTGTCCATGTTCTCTTTTAGCTCTTTGAGCATATATAAGATAGTTATTTTAAAGTCTTGTTTAGTAAGTCTGATGCCTGTGTTTCTTCGGGGTTGGTTTCTGGAGATTTATTTTGTGCCATTGAATTGGCCATGTTTGTCCATGTCTTTGTATGCCTTCTGATTTTGTTGAAAATTGGGCATTTGAACAAATAGCCACCCCTCTATCTTTGCAAACTGGCTCTATGGAGGGGAAGACCTTCATTAATCAGCTCAAACTGAAGACTTAAAGTCTTCTCAGGACTTTTCTGGGCATGCCTCTACCTTGGGCCTATGAGTGTGCTTTATTCTGATTCCCCCATATACATGGCTGCTTTTAAAAATCTTAATTTCCCTAGGAGTTTCACCCCTTTTCTTTCTCATGACCTTAGCTGTTCTATTGTATTTCTCAATCAGTAATCTCTGGCCTCAGGTATCTGTGGGTGTGTAGTCCCCTTGCGATTTTCTTGAGTTATAACAATAGCCTCCAATGGCTTTCTCTAGCCTGAAATTCAAGCTGTGCCACTTTTGGAAGTCTGAGTGCTGAGTTAGGTGACACAGAGACCATTATCTGAAGATGTCCCCAGACAAGGTAGAATGTTACAAATTTGGTCTGATTCACACTCCTGGTTTGTAGAAAGGAGCTGGGGACTGGAGCACTGCTTTCCCCAGACTGTATTGCACCACATCAAGGAGGGGATGGGGCAAAGGTGAGTAAAAATGTCATGAAATGTTGTAGCATTTTAAATTTAGTTTTCTCTTAATGAGGAGATTGGTTGCTGTATATCTTTGACTGATTTACAGTGCTCCTATAAAATTATTTTAGCCACTCTAGTTGTTTACTTAATGTTCACCTGAGAGAACAAGGATCTGGAGTTTCCTAGTGTACCATGTTTCTGACATCACTATACAATTTTAATAGAGAAAAATGAAAGAAGGAAATGAAAGACCTACTAATTAAACAAACCTAAGTTATAAACATAGAGGACATTACCTCATAGATGTCAGAGAGGACTGAATAACCTAGAATGGTGAAGCTCAAGTGTTTGGTAATCACTATGAAGTGATTACATAGAAGAACAGAAGTGTCTGCTGCTACATATGGGGTAAATGACTTCACAAATACATTTATGGAAGTCCTTAGCATGTCTGGAGGATATAAATTAAATCAGGAGAACTGGCATAAGTGCACATATTAATAAGACATAATTGGAGCTTAGGGCTGGGTCATGATAACATCTCCATCTATAACAGTTTCTCAATCTGTGGCCCTCAGAGCAGCAGGATCACCAAATTCTTGATTTTTATCCCTGGTCTACTGTTTCATAAATTCTGGGAGAAGGCTCAGCACTTAGTGTTTTAACCAGCCCTCCAGGTGCCTCTGATGTATACTCAAGGTTGATCTGAACAAACTTGCAGCAATATTCCTGGACCCCTCTCTTCACTCCCAACTTCATGCCGTCATAAAGACCAACCTCATATACCTGTGCATTTCAGAATTTTAAAGTAATTTTAATAAAGCAACTGATGACCTGATGGCCTGAGATGTGTATGGGTGCAGGTGTACACATACAGATAATGTGTGGGCCATTGCTAGAATTACTGTCTTCCACAGGAGGAAGTCACACTAAAAAACAAAATTTCCCTCAGACACATGTCTGAAGGACTGGGGTTATGTGACCTCTAGTCCTGTGTGAAAATCAAGCACTTGGAGCTAATTTTCCTGGGTCCTTTGCTAATGTAGATACTGTTCCTGGATGACTTCATACTGTTTCTGGGTCCTTCATCCATAGGCTTTGGATCAGCTCTTTAGAGATGGATAGCAGTGTACAAGAAAAGCCTCAGCCTATGAAACTGCTCCATGTATGGCAGGGTCAGTTCTACTGCTATTAACTCTGGAAAAATTTTAGACAACATAGGGCCTGGATTGTAGACATGACCTGGGTCTAAACTCAGATGGCTGCTGTCAGTACCTGATAATGTTTTCATCTATGAATAAAACCATGAAGCAAGCCCAGAGGCAATAAAGTTAACAACTATATTAAGGAAACCCAAGAAGCAGAAATCTAAATTCACTAAACAAATTATTTGTGGGGTGCATATATTTCCAAAGAATCATTTACTTCACAAAATGACTTATTATAGAATTATTTGAAGTAGAGAGCTTCTTTGAAGTACTATGCAGCAGTTTAAAAAAAAATCTTTATGTGAATTAGACATACACATGGCAATATCTATAGATCTTAAAAACATGACACTGCGAGAAAAAAATAAAGGAAAATATTTTTAACAAAATATCATTTAATAAAAAATGCATGCCAATAGAACAAATGCAAAAACAAATGCCAATAATGTCAATGTCTTAGAGTGTGATGCATGCAATTATCATGTAAAGCAGCAATCCCACTTATAGTTATTTATTCCAGTGAAAGGAAACCTATGTTCACACAAAATCCTGTATTTGAATATTTGTAGCAGTATATTCATAATTGCAAAAGCCTGGAGACAATCCAAATGTCCTACAAAGGGTGAGTGGATAAACAAACTTGTACATTTATGCAAGAAAACTACTTGGCAATAAAAAGAAATGAATGATTGATACATGCAACAGCTTGGGTAGATCTCAAAGACATTATGCCGAATGAAAAAAATCTAATCTCAAAATGTTATACACCATATAATTCCATTTATATAACATTCTTGAACTGTCAAAGTGTAGTGATGGAAAACAGATCTGTGGTTGTCAGGGTTAGTGTTGGTGGTGGTTAGAACCATAAATGGGTAGCATAATTGAGTTAATTTTGGATTATCTGCATCCTAACTGCAGTGTTAGTTACATGAATCCACATATGTTATAAAAAATTTTATGCAACTCTATACCAAAAAAAAAAAAAAAAAAGAAAAGAAAAACAGAGTACTTATAAAAGTGGGTGATATGGTTTGGCTGTGTCTCCACCCAAATCTCATCTTAAATTGTAACTCCCACAATTCCCATGTGTCGTGGGAGGAACCTGGTGAGAGGTGATTGAATTATGGGGGCGGGTCTTTTCTGGGCTATTCTTGTGATAGTTAATGGGTCTCACAAGATCTGATGGGTTTATCACGGGTTTCCACTTTTGCTTCTTCCTCATTTTGTCTTGCCGTCACCATGTAAGAAGTGCCTTTTGCCTCCCGCCACAATTCTGAGGCCTCCCCAGCCATGTGGAACTTTAAGTCCAATTAAACCTCTTTTTCTTCCCAGTTTTGGATATGTCTTTATCAGCAACATGAAAACAGACTAATACACTGGGCAAAAGTCAAAATAAGGTCTGTAACTTAGTTAATAGCATTGTTCCAATGTCAATGTCAATACCTTGGTTTTGATCATTGTGCTATGGTTATGTAGGATGTTATCACTGGGAAAAGCTGAGTCACATGAGAACTCTATATACTATTTTTTTCAATTTCTATGTAAGCCTAAAACTACTTCTAAATGAAACGATTTTTTAAAGAACAAATGACAACTAAAATAATGCATATTAAACACATTTTAATGGTTGCCTGGGGGAGAAAGGGAAGGCAGATTAGAGGGGGAGGGAGAAAGATATTCCAGAGTATATTTAAATATTTGATTTACAATTTTGGGGGGTACACTACAATTCTCTATTATTAAACCATCAGCACCATGAGGTCAAGAACTGGTTTCTCCCAGTGACTAGCCTAGTGGTGTGCATGCATCAGGCGCACACGAACCTTTATTCTATTATTAAACAAATGAGCTCCTGAACATGTATTTATTTCATAGCTGAACTCCATAAAGCAAATAATCCTAAACTTGCAAGGGTTTTTTTGGTGGAAATCTTGACATTTTAGGAATACTTACTTTAAATATTACGCTTTATATTTGGGTCTGAAACATTTCTGTGTGCCGCAGTTACATCCTGGCCAGCCTTTACCCAACAGTGGATGTGACTGCCATCTATATATTCAGAAATTCAGTGGGAAACAGCAGATGGGGAGCCAATTTGGTCTCATCACTAAAAAGGGCCCTAGTGTCTCCTACTACCAAAATTTGCCTTTTATCAGAAAAGAAATTATAGTCCCTAGAAATATCAACATGGGGGTTTCTGGAACCCAAGCTGGACCCTTGAAGAGAGTGCCCCATTAATCAAGTCATGGGGTTTTGTTTGTTTGTTTTGCTCACCAGTTTTTATATTTTCTTTATCCTCCTTTCCACCTTAAGAGGGTCTGCATGCAATTTAATATTTCTTTATGATATTTTATGAATCAGGGCCATGTTTCTCAACTAGTAATTGCAGTCCTTTCATGTGTAATGAAGGCTGCTCAGAAATGCAGCAAGCTGTATTTTCTCTTCCTTGTTGCCAGTTTATGCCTGGGAAGGGTGAAAACATCTAGGAGGGTATATCATATTAACAACTGAGGTGGAGGAAAGACAGAGGCCAGTGAAAGAGAAAGAACGACAAAGGGAAACGATGAAAGAATTGTATGCAGTGGCAGGGGCAATGGTAAGATAAACAGCTATTTTAATAAATTAGTAAATATGAAGGGAGTGGCTGTGAAAAAATTACATAATCTGAAAACATCACTGAAATACCTAGAATAAAGGCTTTTTAAAGGAATACCCTTTGCTAGCTTGTCTCAGCTCTGAATCCTGTGGTCCTTTTGAGAACAGGATAAGTAGTTTTCTTATTCTTGACAGGAAAGGCAGAATATTTTCCTCACTATGTTATGAGAAAGTCATAATATGTGACATTTGGTTACCTTGCTGCCATATTCAATATGAAGGGTCTTCCTTTTGCTATGAACAGCATGTCTCCCATATTGTCTCTTGCCTAAGCTGACTGGAATCAAAAACTGATTACAGAAATAGGCCAATTTGGCCTGCCCTGTACGACAAAGCTAATTGAACAATAAGAAAAAAATGTAAAACTTTTGTCAGGCATTGTGAAAAGGGAAGGTCACATGGATATTAGAGAAATCTTCTCTTTAAAAAAGAATCTGTTTTTTAAAATGCTAATTGCTTTCCCAAATTGTGTTTTAAAATTTGCATCTTTTATTTGGGCAACTGTTGTTTTCCTAGATCCCCCTCCCACACAATCCTTGGTGAGAAAAATAAAGTTATTGATTCACTTATGGTAAACGTCTTACCCTGGGTCCCTCCAAAGCCCAGCCTGTGACAAGAGCTAGTGTGCATGTGCTGTATTTTGGGTTGTGGTTCCAGGGCACCAGAGTAGGAGCCAAGAAAGCGGCAATGGCTAGCCCAGGGTGCAATGGCAAGCTGGTCACCACTGTGGGGCATGGGAGCTGGACACATGGAGACAGGATAGAGGGGGGCATTTATCCAATAACTCCTCCCATCCTTCCTGGTCAAGGGGTGCCCCATCACATGTTGACACCCTCTTATTTACACATTGTTTCTGACAAGTCCTGGGACAAAAAGTGGGAGCAAACACTGCAACTCAACAAGATGTGGTCAGGTTATACCTGTGCAAAGCCAATGACATTGGCAGTGGCTGGAGTACAGCTGAACTGGGAGGCTGGCCGCAATACAGTAAAGAGAACCGAGAGGACACAATCATCAGCACTTGAAGCCTGAAGCTCCTCAACCAAATTAAGCTTTAGGGGTTGATTTTTGGATATTTTGGATTTACATAGACAATTTAAAAATGCTCAAGAAAAATCATACTTGATTGTTTGGATTCCAGACAAAGCTAACATTTCTTAGGCCAGTAAGATTGCTCCAGATGAAGTTGAGCAATAAGTAAATTGAACTGTTTAATGCAGCTGTTGACCAGTAGATAGTTTGGTGTTAGGACTCACAGCAGGATTCCTTCTAGAAACCAGAACTATAAAGGCTGTTCAGAATGAAATAGTATATCAAGTTCAACTGCATATTGAGGGAACTAGATAGTTCTGACTCAAATAAAATTTTAATAGAAGAACAGAAGGCAATTTAGGCATGAGTAACTGACAAATTTTCCTGGACTGGAAACGCGAGGCTGTTTGATAACATAGGATGCTGTGGCCATGGGGCTGGCTGTGTCTGAAGGGCATGAACTTTGGAGGCCAACACAAATGGCATCTATGCTCAGCTCCACTTCTCATTAGCTGTGGAAACTTTACACGTGATCTAACCCCCCTACAGTGAAGACTCCTCATGGGTCAAAAAGAGTAAGTAGCACCACTTTCATAAGGCTTCCGAGAAGGCTAAGAAAACATATATAAAGCATTTTACCAATTAAGCACATATTTTAGGCAGAAACACTGTTAATTTCCTTTGCCTGATCATGCGTGTTCATTCCGGAAAGCTGACTGGCAGAAGCAAACCTTACAGCTGCCCACATACACAGTCATGCCTCACTTTGATGCATTCCTTCGACTGCCCCTCAGTCACCATTCATAGCCAAGTGGGAAGTTTGAATCTGGGTGACATGGCACCTTCTTTTTCTTTAATGTTAGCAAGTTTAAATTTAATACTAGGCTTTCATAAAACAGGAGGACGTAGGCAGTCCTTCGTTATCTGTGCAGCATGCTAAAAATTGTGTGCTAGACAGTAAATTAGAAAAAACTGCCCTATAAATTTCAATTAATCTTACTTTAGTTTTAATATTTAATATGTCATCATGAATCACATTTCCACAAACCACACTGGAAGTTCAGAAAAAGAATATAGGAATGTGTTAGATTTTTACTATTATGTTTTTTCCAAAAAAAACAACAACAAAAATGCTATTCCCTAAATAAAGCATGAAATCGGTTGGATTTTCCTCTATGACCTGAAAAAGAAAATCAAGTCTTATTGTCCACTGGTGTTGCTAAATTGAATCCAAAGCATGACATATAACTTCAGTTCATAAATGAACAGAATGGTTCAAATTATATCCTAAAAGAATACGTGTACATGCCCATTCTGTATTGATTTATTTTGTGATTAAAAACAATTGGCTAGGAGGCACTGGTTGATAGTAAAATATGATATGGCACAAAAGGAAGGTCTGTATAGCACAATGCTCAAAGACAAGAACAAAAGAAATGGTTTAAAGTCCTTTATATTTGAATGCATACATAGTTAACTGTAAGCTCACAGCCAACAGAGATGCATTTTTAGCTGAGGTTGTGTGGTGTTTGGTGGTGGCATTGGTTCTTGACACATTGTGCATATGTGCATGTGTGTGTATGTTAGAACCTCATAATTCAACTTTAAGTTTCAATTAATGAATTTACATTTAGAATGATGAGTTGGATAGGCACAAAGGAGAGATAAACTATGTACAACAGAATCACCAGCCTAAGGAGCTTGTAATCAAGTGAGACAGTTAAGACTAAATAGCATATGAAGTAATTTGAGCAAATACCTGTTGCACTGGCTTCTGCTCACCAAAGAGCAGATGTCACTAACTGACACCAGTGATCCCAAAGGCCAGCTCAGGATCCTTCCCAGCGCAGTCACCTCCAGTGGGTCACAGTTAGGATGCACAACAAAATCTATTTCTCATTCATGAATTAGGGATCACTCCTCGGCATCAAGACTTTTCATTCCGAGTGAGTTCAGTAGAATCTCAGGGGACAAGAGTCACTGTGGTAGGAAGAGCAGTTAGGGAAAGCTTGAGCTAAACCTGAAGGAATGGTTCTTGGATTTGGTCATGCCTTTTGTATAAGGGGTAGTCTCTACCAAGGGAGGAAGCAGTAGGGACATGAAGGACCAGGGAGAGCAGCCTGCATGGGTCACACATGTGTCACCGCGCAGAGATAACCTGTGAAGCTGGACCTGATAATCGACAACCTGAAGAACTCAAAAGAAGAATCAAGACACAGTGGGAAAATTAGGAACCATTCTGGGGTGTTTGAGCATGGAACTCATGTAATACCAATGGTACTTTTGGAGGATTTATGTCTAGAGAAAGAAGCACATCATTGGGGGTGCTGCGGGGAACCTGTGATACAACTGAGATCAGGATTTGAGTGCAAGAGGTTTATTTAAAGGTGGTCCCAGGAAGTACTAGTCAGAGAATAGGGAAGGGGAACACACAGAGAAACTAGTGTGTTCATAAGCAGGTCACCTTTGTGGGCAGCTGGGACCCAAGCCCACTGGGACTCCTCTGTGAGGCAGTGGTCAGAACCCTTCAGAATTACATTACCTGGCAGGTGGGCAGCAGGGGTATTGATGCTCCCATTCCCACTTTTCATTGGCAGAGGGCTGCTCCCAGGGCATTGGCTCTCCAGTCCTTTTAGGCTGCCCTGCATGAGGTCTACAACAAAACCCTCAGGATGTACCAGAGTGTGAGTGCTACAGGACCACAGGCAGAGACATGTCTCAGGGTACCTGTGCCAGGAAGGCGCCCTGGATTCTCTGTGTTTCCTTCTGTCCCTTTCCAGTAAGGATATTTCTGACTACTCTGCAATGAAGAACTTTCTGAAGACATCTGTGTCATTTCCACCAGCACACCCACCAAAAAAAGATGACCAAAGAGCATGTAGGTTTAGACATCATGGAAACCTTATCTTCAAGTTAATTTCAAACCGATGCCATTTAATTTCCTCCTAACCCCATAGGTGGACAACAGGCCGGCTTTCAAACTCTTGGCCTTGGGAAGGAAGAGACCTCCTGAACATTCACACCTCCCTGAGAGAAGCTGGATCCTTGGCCCCTGGGGCCGCCTGATGTATTTAAGCATGGTGCCTTTTGAAGTAAAACCCTCTCGGTGGGCACTGAACCCACTCATAGTAAGGATGCACAGGAAGACATTAAGGCTGGCACTGTAAGTGAGGGCAGTCTCATCTTGTCTTATGGCTTTAAATACCCTAACATCTCCCAAATAATCCCTTAGACTGGACCTGAATTCCAATGCATGCATCCAACTGTCTACTCAAGATCTCTGCTTGAATATTTAAAAAGCATGTCAAACTTAAACTGTCCAAAGCTCATCATGATCTGTGGATCTCGCATCTAAGTTGCCCCATCTCTGTAAATGGCAACTCTATCTTTCCAGGAGCTCAGGGCAAACATCTTGGAGTCAGCATTGCCTCCTCTTTCTCTCACACCCCATGTCTTCCATGAGTATTACAAATAACGTGTAACATGGTCACAAATCCCACTGGCTTTAACTTCAAAATAAATACCCAGAATCTACCCAGTTCCTCACTGCTATTGTGCAGGTCCTAACAACCATCATCACTTGCCAGGTTATTGCAACAGCCTGCCTCTGACTCTACACTCGCTCCCCTTCATGCCATTCTCAGCACAGCTGCTGGAAGTCCTCATGAGATGTTGGCCTCACTGTGCTCCTCCCCTTTTTAAGCCCTCTAATTGCTTCCCATCTCACTCGCACAGTCCACACAGTGCCCACCATGCCCTATGTGATCAGACCGTCCCACTGCCTCTCTGCTCTGATCTCCCACTGCCCCCCACCGATCTGCTCCACCACTCATCTCCCTGATGCTCCTGGAATGGACCACACACACTGCCACCTCAACGCCTCCTGTTCATTCTGCCTGGAATGTTCTTCCAGATTTTAAACGAAGAGGGCTTGCTTCCTCTTCCTCCTTTGGACTTTGACCCAGGTTTCACCTCTCTAGTATATTTCCCTGCCACACATCTGAACTTGCAAGCCCCGTGAAACTCCTTACTTTCCTTCCTGTCTTACTTCATTATTGGCACTTAGCATAAACTTGTATATTTTATCTTGTACTTGTTTATTGCTTATCTTCCCCATCTAAAATGTAAGTCCCTATTTCATTTGCTGCTGTATTCCCTCGAGAGGAGTGTTGATCTCCAAGTAGGTGCTCAACAAATACTTGTTGAATGAAAGAGTAGAATGAATCAATTGTTTTAGTCAAAGGAGACTTTCCTTTTGGAAACACTGAACTTTTGTCTGTAGGCACAATGCCTAGGTAAAATTCTTTATAGTACCTAGCTTGGAAAGTGATCTCAGAAACTTTTCTCGAGAAGGGCTCTGCATGCTGCTAGATGCTTTGTATGGAGGATCATCCAACTCCTGCCATGGTTAGCACATTGTTTTCAACAGCCCATTTACCAAATTCTTACACCCAGTTGTGGTATGATGATTTTCCCTGGGGTGCTAAAAACAGTTGAGAGCAAATATTGCTGAACCAATAAGATAAGAAAAATTATGGTTCTTATGATGGTGAAAGCTTTTCGCCCTTTCCTGGACTCATCTTCATGAGCTGCTCTGTGCTATATTCCACGGAAGCCATTTCCAGAAACATTCCCACCACAGGCATGGGCAGGCTGTTGGCACAGGGAGCTCAGATGCTTTCCTCCTATTGAATTGGTCTCACAGCCTCTGAAATGTTGGCCCATGAAGCCTTTCGGCATTCCACTCTCAGAAATTAGCTGCCCACATGAAACAGTGATAAACTGTAGACCAAACCTGCCAATGTACGCTGGGAGCAGACAAACATTGTCTGCTCTCCTCCCAGAATCTTGCTGCAGAGGGCACAGTTAATGGCCCCTGCAGACTGGGCTCATGCAGAGAAGGGGCATTGCTGCTTTCAAGAAAGTCCTCCTATTCACAACCACTAAAGTATTTCAGACTCAATCTAGCCAGACCTTGGGTTCTTTTATTCTCCATCTTTGCACAACACTGTATTTTATGTTTTCTAATTCTGACAAGATTCTGGAGAGACACAGCTTGAATTTCTTCTTCCCCTAGAATGGATGAATGAATGAATAAATAATACAATTATAATGAGACAATAATGTGCACAATAACACACTGCCTTAAAAAGAACACAAAATGATTGCATTTGGACCTAAACCTCTGAAAGCGTTCAGATGAGATGGGGTGTGGCAGGTGAAGGTTGTGTGGCTGTAGATGCTGTAAGCATCGAAGCTCTTGGAAGTTGGCACTTTGCTGGTGAAATCAATCCCTGTGATGTGCACTGCTTCTGGACACTTCAGACAGGACCTCAGGGCCACCAGAAACACACAACACCCCAAGTTGTTATACCCCCACTCTCTCTCTCCCCTCCATACTTGGCTGCCCAATGGATGTGACGGGTCAGGCACCCTAGGCCTATGGATTTTTCAGTTATCTTTTAAAACTATAAACATCCATAAATCTGCTAAAGTGAAGCAGTAAAATGCTATAAGGTAGTGCTGTGACTTTAAAAAGAATGAACCACTGCACAAACACATGCACACAGACACTCGGTGCTTTCCTTATTTATCATAAAATCACTTGAACAGGGCTTAGGACAAAGGTTCTGATTCTATCACGATCACTGCTTCCTGAGTTGTGAGAACAAATATTCTGTTAACCCTGTCTGTTTTTTTTTTTTTTAATGTGGCTAATAATTTCTGCCAGTAGCCTCTTAATCATTTGAAGACTTGGATCACAGTCACCATGTCAATATTATGTCAAATAGTAACCACTGCTCTATTTACTTCAAGCCACTCTTCTCCATTTGAATACACATTTTACTGTTAAAATATTTGCATGTAGGAGCTCTACAGAAGAATAATTTGGGGAGAAATGCTGCTTTTGTTAGGTACAGTTGCTATGAGGCGATGCGAGTGCATAGAGAACCTTCCTTCCAAGTTCAGCAACTTCCTCTCCTATTTCAGCCGGACTCACCAAGTTGCCCAAGAGGCCCTGGCCATAGTGCCTACTACAGGAGAAATTATTTAATAGAGAAAAAACTTCTATTACTTCCTCCTCTAGGTCTAAGGAAATGCCTGAAGAGTAACTACTCATGTAAAAAATATCTTCATGAGAGATATGTATAAAATTTAAGCAAAACATATCCCATAGATAAATCTTGTTTTCACATAATAATAAAAAGGAGACCAGGTGCAGTGGCTTATGCCTATAATCCCAGCACTTTGGGAGGCCAAGGTGGGCAGATCACAGCAATTTGGGAGGCCATGGCAGGTGGATCACTTGAGGTCAGGAGTTCAAGACAAGCCTCGCCAACATGGTGAAACCCTGTCTCTACTAAAAATACAAAAGTTAGCTGGGTGTGGTGGTGCACACCACACCTACTTGGTGTAATCCCCACTACTTGGGAGGCTGAGGCAGGAGAATCACTTGAACTCGGGAGGCAGAGGTTGCAGTGAGCCAAGACCATGCCACTGCACTCCAGCCTGGGTGACAGAGTGAGACTCCATCTCAAAAAAAGAAAAAAAAAAGAATAAAAGAATAAAAAGGAAATAAATAAAAATAAGCCTTTATGAAATACAAGATGCTGAATAAGTATGACTGTACTTTGTGTAAGCTTACAATGCCATACGCCATGATGTGTAGCCACTGAAATATGATCTTCTTTGAGGGCCAAAATTAATTCTCCTTATTTCTATCTAGGAAGGAGATGGAGGCAATCAAAGTGCAGCTCATGGGTCAAGTGTATGCAGAGAAACCTAAAGCCTCATTAGTCTGAGAGTCAGTGTTGCCCTTGGGAAGAAAAATTAAAGTGTGCTTAAAAAGGAAAAAGTGGTCAGGTTCAAGGATTTCTTGGAAGGCCCTGTGCATATTCCCCATCTCTCTTTTCCTGCTGTGAATGTTCGTAACATCAGCATGAGCGGGACATTACATGCACACTCATTGCTTTGGGAGAAGTTTGGTGCCTCTGGTGAGAGGTGGTGTGCTTGGGGCACTGAGACAATGACAATGAAGAGTGGAGTGTGGGTCACAGCCTGCTCTGGTACTCTCAGGGTGGAAGACAGCCCCAACTGTCCCCTATGACCATGACCCCTAATGCCTGTGTCAAATAGAAGGTTATCCAATTCATTCACTTTTTTTTTGAGACAAATACTGCATCATTTCACTTATATCCAGAGAAGATATCTAGAGTAGTCAAATCCCGAGAAGACAAAGTAGAATGGTGTTTGTCAGGGGCTGGGGAAAGAGGAGGAATGGAGAATCGTTGTTTAGTGAGTATAGAATTTACATTTTCTTTTTCTTTTTTTTTTTTTTTCTTTTTTGAGACAGAGTCTTGCTCTGTCACCTAGGCTGGAGTGCAGTGGCACAATCTTGGCTCACTGCAACCTCCACCTCCTGGGTTCAAGTGATTCTCCTGCCTCAGCCTTCCGAGTAGCAGGGATTACAGGCATGCACTACCACACTCGGCTAATTTTTTATATTTTTAGTAGAGACTGGCTTCACCATGTTGGCCAGGATATTCTCAAACTCCTGACCTCAAGTGATCCACCTGCCATGGCCTCCCAAATTGCTGGGATTAGAGGCGTGAGCCACCACACTCAGCCCCGCTTCATTCTTTCTCCCTCAATTCACATAGTTTTTTCTTCCTTTGGATGATTAGTGGGAAATAAAGTCTAATCTTGAAACAAGAGCCACTAGGAAAATGTTCTACCATAGAATGTAGGCCAGAATTTTAAGTTATTGTTACTATTATTCACCACAGAATGGAGAAGGCAGAAGCCTAATATCCTGGTACTAAAACAAGGTGGTGTTGTGAGTGTCCTTGTTGCTTAGCTTACCCATCTTAGGATGACAAGTCATACAATTTTCTTAAGAGTAACAAAAACAGAAACCTGTTGAGGTTATGTGTGTGTGTGTGTGTGTGTGTGTGTGTGTGTGTGTGTGTTTAGAAAGCTTTGTAGCCAGGCAACAGAAGAAAATATCACTTGCTGGAATCACTGTTTAGTAATGTTGTTTATTTAAAGATCTTCTGCACAGATTTCACTCTGTATTTTTCAGACAGTAAAAATAACAACTGATAACAGCCAAACTGTTTAATGTACAAAAGATAGCAAAATAAAATTCAATATTAGAATATATTTGCATAGTATCATCATAGGTATTAATGATTTCTTATTCAGCTATGGATATATCAGCAGTTAATGTAACACTCGGTCAAATCTTATTTAGGGATTGAAATATTTATCTTACATATGAACTGTCTGAAACATGACTCACATACATCCCATTTCCCCACAAGTAATGTAAGGATTATGTCAATTATTTCAATTTTAGATTAAATATGTACTAGCTATGTGATCTTTGACATACCAGATGTTTGAGATTTCCCTGCCAAGCTTGTCACTTAGGCCATATTATGTTTCAGTCTGAACTTAGTGACATAGGAGGCTGTGGTTTGAGTCCATGGTGCTGTTTAGCACTTGGAAAATACTGATGAAAAGGAGCTGAGAATTTAAATGCAATTTACATGTTCAGAATCTCACTGGACTTGATTTTGTGCCTGTGTTGTGGAGGGGATGGGTTACATATAGGTGTCCGTGTGCATGGTGTAGTGGGGAGTTATGCATGTGTGTTTTCATGCACATCTTCAAAAATGCTAAGGAAATCACAAAGTCAAGATGTTGTTGGATTGAGATTATGTGGATAAAGTCAGTGCAGAATTCTTGGTGACCTTTGTGATGTAAACAAAACTATATCTTCCCTTAGCATGCTTCCCAGGGCAATAAATAATAAGACTGACCATATGAGAAAATGAATCAGTCATATGGTAAGGAAAGCAAGTGTCTTGTAAAATGTGTTTACCTCTGAAGAGGAGGCAGAACACATTGACATTTCAGAGAGGGCTTTTATCGGGAACATCTCCCATTAGCACTAATGAGAGCTGGGTATTTAATCCACTGTTCTCTCATGCTCATGGCATATTTCATCCTTGATGGCAAGGCCTTGAAACTTTTTTCTGCCTTTAATGATACTCTGTGGTAGTTATGCTAAATTTTTAGCTGTGTATATGGCTTTCTGTGACTTCTCTCTGCCATCTGTATAAATATCTAAGTGGAACTGAAGCTTTTCATTACTGTGAACTTCCCTGACCAACCTCTTTAGAGATATTTTCTTACAACCATGCAGAATCCTCAAAAGGAAAACCTTAGTGAGCCCCAACCTCCACCCTACCTAGCCCCCAGCCTGGATTCCCTGGATTTCAGGAAGCCCAGAAATCAGCTTGTTTCTCAGTAGGATGGTGACATCTTCGTCTTCTCCTCTGGAAGGTCAGTCGAAGCCCAGATACTGATTAACAGACTGATCTAACCCAATGTGACAAAACACCATGCCGGATAACATGCCTAGAGAAAATGACAAGGACCGAAGACGTTAAATCACCTCAGTTATGAGGGGGGAAAAGACCAGCAATCTAGAGGAATCCAGAACATCAAGAGCCACTGTTCATGGCAGCGTGCTTGTCATGAGTGAGGCATGTGTGTGCCAGGCACATCCTCCCATCTAATCCCCACACAGCCTGTGAGGGAGGGACAGCCATCCCTGCCTTCTCAAGGGGTAATTCTGGCTCACAGGATATCGTCTATGAGAACCAGAAGGAAATAATATTTTCTAGATACAATCAGCACAGTTTCCAAGGAGACAAGACTGCTTGGCTTTTCTCTTCAAGTGTGCAAAGGGTCATTTTCCAGGGACTGGCTGTCAGCCATCCTCCTCTCCCCAGTGTCAGAAGTGGACATGGGGTTACAATATAGGACATGAGGTTACAATACAATCCAGGAAGGACCTGGATAGACTGGATGAATAGAGATAATGGATAGGTAGATGATAGAGGGAGAGAGAGACAGACAAACATACACACACACACACACACACACACACACACAGAGAGAGAGATGATAGATAAAAGAGACAGAAAGATACAGAAATAGGTAGAGATCTAGATAGAGTAACAGAGACAGACAGACAAGTAGATAGAGATGTTTACATAGAGATATAGACAGATATACAGATAGAGAGATAGAGATGGATACAGATAGACATATAGAACTAGATAAATACAGATAGACAGAGAGAAAGAGATGAAAGAGAGAGTGGTTTCCACAGACTTTGAGTTCTCTGATACAAGCTGACCCACACAAATCAGAGTCTCAAGATGTCTTGGAGCCCAGGTAGCTGAAAGGAAAATCCAAAGATTAAGGTATCATTGCTACTTTGATTTTACTCCTGAAAAAAATCAACTTATTTTTACTGACATCTAATATTTACTTATTGCTTACTAGGTAATTTATGTACATCATCTCATCTTATTTTTAATTAGTCATTTTTTAACAGGATGGAAACCTAAAGTTTAGAAATTAGAAAGTAATTCCCCAGAGTTCTGGAACTGACAGAGCCATGATTGTTCAGAACTGAAGTCCTTAACCTCTGCACCTATTGTCTCTCAGCAAAAAAGTACGTAGAAGACTGGGAAATGCAGTAAATACCATCTGAGCGTTTTTGCTATGGTGAATTCCAGAATAATGCAAGCTGGACAGATGTAATGTATGATCATGGAACCTGGTATTGGGATATCGGGGACCTTGGCCCAGCTTCCATCTCTCAGCCATATCACCTTGGACATCTGATCCCTACATCCCTCCAGCTTCTGCATCCTCTGATTCCAAGCTAGAATATTATAGTATAAAATATGTGGTAGGAATTTGTCAGTGATTTTGTTACCACGGTCCGTGTTAAATAAGCCAAATTTGAGGATCAGCGCCTGAAAAATAAACACATTAAAATTGAAAATGACGTTCAGGCAAATCACAGAATAATAAATACAAGAGGCTAATACACACCAACGAATGTTAAACCTTAATAAGAATAAAAGTCACTAATCGAACATGCATTTTGTCCACCCATATAATTGGCAATTTTAATGATAATACATAAGGGTTTAAGAAAATAAGGACACTTATCACTACCAATTAGTACAGTCTTTCTAGAGAACAATTTTACAATATATATCAAAAGCTTAAAAAATATGAAAGCTATTTCAGCACTTTAGCTACATGAAAGTTTATTACAGCATTGTTTATGAATTTCAAAAATAACAATGACACATGATCCCACCACTGAGAGATCATCACTTTAATATTTTGGTGTTAAATGTCCTAAATTTTATTCTGTGTGTACACACACACACATACACACACACACTTAAAATTATTAATGGGATACATTGGCTATACTATTTTAACCTGCCTTTTGCCTTAACAATATACAATGAATGGATGTGTTATAATTTGTTTAATACCTTATCATTGGGCATTTGGGTTTTAACCATTTTTTGTACTATAAATAACACAATGCTGTATATCCTCATAGCTAATCCTGAGTGAATTTGTGCGTGCTCTTTGCCTATAGTTATTTTCAAAGAGCAAGAGCATGTGCAGGACACCAGCCTGGCACTTCACATGACCCACCCGCCCCTACTTCCTAAGGGCAGGACTTCCAGGCTGGTAGATGGAACCTTAATCTAGAATATTTTCCTGTGTCATTCTTTGTAAGCTGGACCCATCAAGGAGTTGCTATGTTGTATGGAGGTCTTTCCTCCATCAAAAATTCAGGCATTTTAAAACTCCCCATCTAAAAGTAAAGTTTGATACGAGCTATATAGCACAGATGAACCTTGAGGACATTATGCTAAATTAAATAAGCCAGTCACAAAAAGACCAATACTGTATGATTCCACTTATATCCAGAGAAGATATCCAGAGTAGTTAAATCCAGAGATTCATCCAGAGTTAAATCCAGAGAAGAGAGAAAGTAGAATGGTAGTTGCCAGGGGCTGGGGAAGGAGGGGAATGGAGAATTGTTTAGTGGATATAGAGATTATGTTTTCTTTTCTTTTTCTTTTCTTTTTTTTTTTTTTTTTTTGAGACAGAGTCTTGCTCTGTCACCCTGGCTGGAGTGCAGTGGCACGATCTCGGTTCACTGCAACCTCTGCCTCCCAGGTTCAAGTGATTCTCCTGCCTCAGCCTCCTGAGTAGCTGGGATTACATGCGTGCGCCACCACACCTGGCTAATTTTTTATGTTTTTGGTAGAGATGGGGTTTCACCATGTTGGCAAGGCTGGTCTCGAACTCCTGACCTCAAGTGATCCACCCACCTTGGCCTCCCAAAGTGCTGGGATTACAGGCATGAGCCACCATGCCCAGCCAGTGTTTCCATTTTCTAAGGTGAACGGACTTCTGAAGATGGGTGGTGGTGATGTTTGCACAGCAATGTGATGGCACTTCACACTCCTGAACTGCACACTTAAAATAATTAGGACGGTAAATTTTATGTTATATATAGTTTACCAAAATTAAAACAAAAAAACTCCCCATTCAGGACCTGAAAATAGCTTTTATTTTTTTTTGTCATCCTTGGTTTATAGATGTTTGAACTCTGTATGTGCAGTATTAGAAGGTTTGATTTTGTGTCTTATTATGTGAAACTCTGTGAAACCTAATACTGGTTGTTTTATTCTATTGGAAGAAACCTGTCACCAGGATCAGATTAACTGTGAGCTCAAGGTGCTATAAAAACAAACGTCTCATTGTACCAGAAGAGTTCAAGTCCCTGGGGAGCATGTTTGTAGCTTTTTAGCCTATAGAAACAAACAGCTGGGAGTATACATAGCCTTCTCCCAGAAAAAAACTGGAAAGAAAGTAGCTCAGGGAGGCATTTGTGGGAGTTCTACTGACCATGGAGGTCCTGAATTTAAACCTTCTGTTAGAATTGCAAGGAAGTGGAGCATTTATTCATTAATTTGTTCACTCCCTGCAAACACTGTCTGTGCTTTCTTCACAAGATAGCCAACTCTTACATCTTCACACAGCCAACATCACTGGCCCCCCTGATCAAAGCCAGCATCTTTTCTCACCTGGATTATTGCACTAGTCTTCCGGCCAATGCCCCTACTTTTCTCCTGGCCCTACTATCCTTTATTTTCCATACAATAACCAACTTTGTTAAAATGCAAGTCAGATTCCCTACTTTTCCATTCAAATCTCTCCAGTGACTTCCTGTTTCCCTTGGACAAAAACATAAAATTGCAAATATTGCATGTGTTCAATACATACTCATTGAATCCATAAAAGGATGCATGTTAATTGAGTGCTTATTAATCATCAGAAACTGAGCCAGATGTTTCTTTATAGGGGTACAAAGACAAATGACATTCTTTCCTCTCTGGGAGTTTATATTCTAGAATATGAGATGAACTCACAGATGAATACATACAAAAATAATGTTATTTTTCCCTAGTTAAAGTCTGAGTAAAGATAATTTGGGCTCAAACAATGGAATGGCCAGTTTTACCCGGGTGGGGAGAGAGGCCAAGGGAGAGGGAATTCTTGAGTATTATAAAATAGTAGAGATTCCAGCGTGATAAGGAATGTGTAGAGGCATTCCAGGGCAGGAGAACCACATGAGCAAAGGCACGAGGTGTGGATTCATCTCCAAGGAGCAGGGAGTGTTTCAATGAGTGTGGGAACATAGAATATGGGATAGGGCATAGAGGCCAAAGGTTAGGAAGAAAGGTTAAAACTAAAAGTTTTAAACTTAAATGCCTTCATTTGCATTGATTGACTTTACTGTTTTGTCTTCTAGGCAGTGGGGAGTCATTGAGGTTTGGGTGATGGAAATTGGATTCAATGTATGTCACAGACAGGTCACACTAGAAGCAATGGGAAGAATCCATTAGCGTTTTCAAAGTCAATCAATAAATAGTAAGAACTAGCATTTACTGAATGCTTACTATCTATTAATACCAAGCTCTGTGCTGAGTCCTTCACTTTTATTACATTTAATTCTCAGGTCAACCTATGTGATTGGTACTGTGATTTTCCCCCTTTAAAGATGGACATATTAAGGCAGAGAGATTTTAAGCCCAAAGTCATACCATTAGTAGATTAAAGAACCAAAATAGAAACCCAAAGAATCTGACTTTAGTAAAGGGAGAGGAAAAGAAATATATTAAAGAGATAAAAGCTCCAGAATATAGTTACCAGATGTAAGTAGTAAAGGCCGAAAATGCCCCCTAGATTTAGCTTAATGGATGGACAACTTAATGGATGGAAGTGTCTCCCCAGTATAGCAAATGGGACAAATTTAGAAAGAAGTCTAACAAGGTGTTTTGAATATGTTTGCTTTTATATGATTGCAGGAAATCTGGAAAGTAGATGGGGACATGGGTTTGAATCTCAGGTGAGGGTTGGAGTTTGAGATGCAGACTTGGAAATCATTAAACAGGGGAGGAGAAGTCATGGAGTGAACAAGATCAAACACTGATAGAAAAGTGTTAGGGTTGAATCGTGTCCTCCCTTACAGATACTGAAGTCCTAACCTCATACCTGTGAATGTGACCTTATTTTGGAAATAGAATAAGATCTTTGTCATGATCAAGTGAAGATGAGATCATTGGGGTGACTCCTAATCAGTATGACTGTGTAGTTATATAAAGAAGAAATTTAGACACAGAAACAGACACACACACAGGGAGAATGCCCTGTGAAGAAGACAGAAATTGGGATGATGCCTCTACAAGCTGAGGAATGCCAAAGATTGCCAGCAAACCACCAGAAACTACTGAAGGGTGGCATGCAACAGATGCTTCCTTACAGACTTCAGGAGGAATGAACTCTGATGACACCCTGATTTCAGACTTCCAGTCTTCAGAACCGTGAGATAATAAATTTCTGTGATTTAAACCACAGTCTGTCACACTCTGTTAAAGCAGCTCTAGGAAACTAATACAAACAGGTTGCATATTCATGGAGTATTCAAGGATGATTGGTGATGATCGAATGGAGACTATTTATTCAAAAATGTGCCTGGCAGTCAGAGAATCAGGAAAGGCTATTCCAGGGCTATTCCAAGCATAAGCATGTGAACAGCCATGGAGGTAGAAGAAAGGAAACACCAGCAGTTGGCACTGAGCTCATCACAAGCTGCAGCCGTGCAGCGGTGGGAGAAAGAGATCTGCCCATGAAAGTCCCTGTAAAGTGCACGATAGCAAGCTTCACCTTAGAGTTCATACAGAGCAGCCAAAGGTTCAAGGGAATGATTAAAGCCATTTTGTGTTTTAAAATGGTATGTTCTGCAAATATGGTGACAATGGCAACATCATTCTTTAGTCTACCAAAATTATCGAATTAAAATAGGCAGAGCAACTAGGTTGATAAAACTGAAGAATTGTGGATGATAAAACAGTGTTGAGATACCCCCATAATTACCTAGAGACAAATTAGTGACAACATGTAAGAGCCAATGTGATATCAAAACCATGCAGGAGAAAGCAGAGGGAAGACCTTGAGAACCAGATACTCCCTGAGAAGTGCCCTGAACCAAGCTCAGAGTAGGAGGAGAGATATGGAGGGAGGGTGTTCTCAATGATCCAATGCAGGGGTGAGTCCAAGGAGGCCACAGTGCAACCAAATCTGATGCTACTGGAGCAGGCTGGGTCCTTTAATCCCATTAACTAAGAAACTGAAGGCCTTTCCCAAACAAGCCTCCATACTGAGGAGAATCTGCTGGGAATAGATTCCAAACTGAGTAGGACAGGGACAACCGCAAAAGATGAGAGAGAATGTCCAAATAAAAGGGGGGAGGAGCAGAGGCAGCTGATAGCAGAAAGTAACAAGTGATTCTGTTTACCACTTCATGAGAACACCAGAAGAGTGTGTTAGAGCTGTAAAACCAGCTCAGCTATCCTGGCCCACTCATCCCTCCTAAAAGTATAGGAAACTAAATTAACTTTTAAAACTTAGCAACAAGAAAATTATCAATTATTACAATGAAAAGAAAGTAAGAAAACTAATGATGTTTCTATAGACAATGAAACAAAAAAAAAACACACATGCACAAAATGGATAAAAATCATAAGCAAATACCTCTAAATGAGCTGAAAGAAAATTTTAAAATTGTAAAAGCTATGAAGAACAATATAAATCAGAATTAGAAAAATTCATAAAAGAAATAAGTAGAAAAAAGTAATATTTGACACAAAGGATGATGGATAGGACTCATCAGTATAGAATTTTTTTTTTTTTTTTGAGATGGAGTTTCATTCTTGTTGCCCAGGATGGAGCGCAATGACATGATCTCGGCTCACTGCAACCTCCGCCTCCTGGGTTCAAGTGATTCTCCCGTCTCAGCCTCCCAAGTAGCTGGGATTACAGGCATGTGCCACCACACCCAGCTAATTTTTGTATTTTTAGTAGAGAGGGGGTTTCATCATATTGGTCAGGCTGGTCTTGAACTCCTGACCTCAGGTGGTCCGCCCACCTCAGCCTCCCAAAGTGCTGGGATTACAGGTGTGAGCCACCATGCCCAGCCTAGAATTTTATATTTAAAAAAAAAAGCAGGACAGACATGAAAACTCAACTGGAAGGGATATGGCACTATACACACACCACAGTGAGAAGATGAATAGAAGACGGAGAGGAGGAAAAATCAAGAAGAAATTTGAGATTAGAAGGATTCAAAAGAAACTGTTAGACACAGAATAAAGCAGATATAGCATATATAATCAAGAGGAGGCATCCAAGAAGAAAGACAAAGCAATGGATTAGAAAAAATACTGAATGCTATCATTCAAGAAAAATTAAAACTACACATGGAAACCTGAAGCTATATAATGAAGATACATATCACATTCTTCAGAAAATGGATGCAGAACAGCCGATATCAAGGTACATTCTAATAAAACCATAGATCTCTAAAAAGAAACAAAATATGCTTGGGACTTCAAAGCAAAAAGATCAAGTAGCTTATAAGAGAATGAATGTCAGATTTCTATCAGACTTTTCCATAAGAACACTAGGCTAGTAAACAACGAAATGACAGATTTAAAGGGCTCAAATAAATAAATGGCAGATCTTGGGCCTTGCATGGAATATGCATGAATTCTATATCCATCCAACCTAAGCTTTCGGTGAAAAGCTTGCCTGGATTTTCTGCACCTGCACTTCCTTGCTGTATCTCTGCTATCCTTCGCTCTTGGCATCTGAGAATCTTTGCACTAGGTAAATGCAGTTCATTCACAGACTCTAAAAGTAGGTACCAATCTCCAACTAAAACTGTGAAACTTTTGGGTCTGTGTAACCAAAAGAACCTATACTCACCCAAGGCAAGATTGAGAACTACATACTGTTATAAATATGCAAGAGCTCAGGAAATATTATCCCTATGTACCTTTCTTGAGGGATCTACCAGACAGCAAGCTCCAGACAACCAAATACTGTAGAGACATTGGCAAGAGAGCTGGAGAAGTATTCTAACAAGTAAGTAAAGAAGGATGATGGACTCTGAATATCACCATTTTGCAACCTTGATTGCAATATCATCAGTATATGGTAAGATCATAAAATAGAACAACTAATTCTGATGTGCTTCCTGATGAAAGTACACAATATCACCTGCCAAAAGCAGTCGAACTTGAAGCTGATCAAAATTCTAACACTAATTACCCATTTGCAGAAAACACAAAGGATAGATATGTTAACCACACCATGCAAATACAATCATTAAAATCAAGACAAAGAAAATATGCAAGAAATTTAAAAGGACATGGAAGGATAATCCATGTTGTAAAAAAGACTTAAGATACATATCAAATAATCATCTTATGTGGATCCTGTTTGGACTGCATTTCAAACAAACTTAAAAAATTGTGATAATCAGGAAAATATGAACATTGAGTATTTGATACTGTTAAGAAATTACTATATTTGTAAATGTGATCACAATATTGGTTTTAAAATTATTTTAAATAAAATACTTATAGATGAAATAATGTGATGCCCGGGGTTTGCTTTAAAATAATTTGGTGACAGGACGTAAGTGGAGGTGCAAATAAAAAAGATTGGCAATATGTTGATAACTCCAGTTGACCCTTGAACAATACAAGTTTGAACTGTGCAGGTCTACTTACAGGCAAATTTTATTCCATCTCTACCAACCCTGAGACAGCAAAACCAACCCCTCCTCTTCCTCCTCAGCCTATTCAATGTAAAGATGATGACGATGAAGGCATTTATGATCCACTTCAACTTAATAGATAGTTAATAATTTTCTTTTCCTTATGATTTTAATATTTTCTTTTCTCTTTATTATAGGAATACAGTATATAATGCATATAGAAAATATGTGTTGATAGACTGTTTATGTTATCAGTAAGGCTTCCAATCAACTATAGGCTATTAGTGAAGTGGAGAGTCAAAAATTATATGCAGATTTTCAACTACATTGATATCCCAACCCTCATTGTTCAAGGATCAACTGTACTTACACTGAGTGAAAGGGTATAGTGGATGCATTACTTTATTTTTTTCTCCTTTTGTATATGTTGGGAATTTGCAATAATAAAAAGTGATTTTTTAAGGCATAAGAAGGTTTATATGCACATATATTTTGGTATTTCAGGCTTTCATTCTGTCCTAGGAGAAATCCCCTCATGAACACCGTTAAGCACATAAAGAAACTGACAAAAAAGAATGTATGTAGATCTTTAAAGTAGCAAACCCATTCTCCACCTGAATTTCCACCACATTCCACCTCACGCTTCTTCATATTGCAATTGAGCAGAAGGTCTTTATGAGGACTAAAATTGCAGTGACTTCTCAAAGTGAGCATTTACAAATATGGGTACTCTTAAGCAGTTAACTTTGGACTTTAACTCATAAGCCCCCGAGGTAATTGTTTCTTGTGCTTGCTTGCATATGGTGGCTTGCAGAAAAGAACAACCCTGGAGTTTGAATTATAAACTATCATCACTCATCTCTTTCTTATTCTCCATGTTTTCTTTCTAGATATTTCCACACAATATACTTAGGTATTCGAAGCCGACAGAGTGGGGAGAATGACAGATGGAGGTTTTACTGGAAAATGGTATATGAGTATGCGGATGTGAGTATGCTGCATTTGCTAGCCACCTTTCTGGAAAGTGCTCCACAGCTGGTCCTGCAGCTCTGCATTATCGTACAGACTCATAGCTTACAGGCCCTCCAAGGTAAGGGCTTGCAATTTGGTTTCTGAATTTGGGGAAAGATTGACTGGCTACTTTTGTCACAATCCGAGGAACTGTCCTAATGCCCTTTGTTGACACAGGCCTGTGATGTGTCTGCTGTTTTACATGTGTTTCGTGAATGATGCATGATGTTTTCCTACCATTGCTTCTCATGACTGATTAATTGAAAGACAGCGCATTTTTGCTCTCCAGCTGTCCTCTTAGTAGGAAAAAAAAAATCTTTATGATTTTACACTTGGTCGATGTGGGGATAGAGTCAGTCAACTGAGGCTTTCTGGTTTTTATAATGGTATAATTTCCAAAAGTTGCAAAGAAAGCAGTAACTCTCTCTCTCTGTCTCTAATATACATATGTGTGTATGCATGTATGTGTGTGTGTATATATGGTATTAGAGTAATTCCTACTATTTCCTTTTGATGTTGAGAGAGAGAGAGAGACAATGAGAAAAAGGAGATTAAAAGGAAATGGTACAGATTACCCTAATATTTAAAGAAAGAAGGTCATAAAGGAAAAAAAAAATTTGTGAATGTTTATTAATATTTATATACTATGAAGTTTTATAAAACGGATATTATTATCAGATTAATATCTTTGTGCTTTCTCATATTTGATGATCTCATCAGTAGGACTATTCCAGTTACAGCAGAGCTGCCAGGCATTTCTTTAAAGCCTGCTGCTCAAATCCTTTCTAGAATAAGGCAGCAAGAAGATTAGACAGACTGGTGGGTAAGCAGGTGAATACATGGGCACATGGATGATGGATAAGAGGGCATTTTCTAAGGAAAGCATTTCCTATTAATTTGTCAATCCTGTAACTAAATAGATGCTGTTACACAGTTAACGTATTGTAAGGTGCTCGTTTTGTTTGGATCTCAGCAGGGCCTCTGTGCGCCCCTCTGGGCACATGCTGCTCCCTTGTGCTGGGTCATGCTCCAATTTGAGTTTTGTTCTGGTTGGTCCGGGGAATCTCCTCACTGTCCTTATAACTTTTTATGGCATGGAGCATGCTAGTTTAAGCTGAGTGCTTTAATTTGGGGGACAGAATCAGGGTGCATGTTACCTGTATAGGAAAAGGAAGAGAAAATGTGTATTGGTAGCTGGTGACCCATTTATTCATAGATTCCTGGCCCAACCCTAGTTTCACACTAGAATAGCTTTGGTCCAAGAAGTTTGAGAAGAAGGTCAAAGAGATCCACAATGTATGTTTCTCAATTGCTAGACAGCAAATTGGAGGAAGAGGAAAGTGGAGTCTTTGCACAGAAAAAGAGAAAAGCACGGAGAAGGCAGAAGGCCGTGTGAATTAGTTGTGGATGACTGTTTTTCGTTGCGTCTGGTGGTTGAAGACCATGAGCTGGGCATGCAGAGGCCTGGGCTCTGGCTGTCTCACTACCTCACTATAAAACCTCTCACAGCCACTTAATCTCTCTGGGCCCCAGGTTGCTCAAATGTAAAGGTCGCAAGTTAAACTGGATGATTTCCAAACTCCCTGACAGCTCTATTCTATCTTTGAATCAATGAATTCCCAATAGGCATATAATGCCAGGTATATGTTTTAGGAAATGATCTGTAAACCAGAATACAAATGAAATTGAAAGGCAACATCAAACTAAATCTCTGTCATGAATTTAGTGCTCATCTCCAGAACAACTTGGCAACTCCTTAGTATAATTATACAATTGGGAACTCTCTAGAGGGAGAAAATCCAGGAGCACACGTGGAGGGTTGCAAGTCACCTTCTGGTGGCCTGAGGTCACTGAGTATCTCTACTAGTTTTCTAAAAGATTTGGAAAATTATGGAGAGATTTTTCTTCCAAAGATGATGGAGATAGAGAAGGGAAGGTGAGAGAGGGATCTGAGAAAATGAGGTCACATTTTCAGTTTAAGGACGATACATAAAATTGTACAGAAAAAAAAAATGAGGAAAATGCAATCCTTAGTCTTCATCAGATTATTTATCCTAAACATAGGAACCAAGAGTTAAGTTGCGTTTTTTGAGTCTTTGGCTCTTTCCTCACATCTAGTGTCCCCAGCTAACCGATTAAGCTTGACACATATACGTCAGGTGTACCACAGGCGTTGAATGCCAGACCTCGTCCTTAGCCAAGGCAAGCCTTGCTGTCAAGTTTCAGAATGGCGTAGGGAAACTAGGTTCTGTTTCACTCCAAAGGTGGCCAAAAGACAGGTTGATCCAAATATCACTAAGAATCAATGCAAGTCATTGAGTCAAGAGGAGGAATAAGCCCACTATGTTGATCTTATTGCTACTGATTTTTTAACAAGGCAGGTGGGTAGATGGTTGTGTTACAAAACAAAGAGTGAAAATATCTGACAGTAAAAAACGACAGACCCTCCAGCCAACGAAGACCAGCCCAGGCAACACTCTGTGATTCCTTTTGCATTTTGAAGAGAAACCTGAAACCTGTCTTCAGAGGGACAGCTTCTAAATACCCCTCTGCTGATAGATGATCCCACTTACAAACAAACCAGCTGATAAATTAAATTGATGTGAGTTCTAAGAACAGAGCTGTTCCCCTTTAGGAAAAGAAAAATAAATGTGATAACCTAGTTTGACATGTATTTTCATACATCTTCAATGGTTAAATAAAATTATTGGGATTTACATGTGAAAACACAGCCCTCTGCTATGAATGTAAATAATCAATAGGCATGAAATCTGTAAAGGATTTGCAGATAGCTGTGAATCAAAATATCTAAAACATTCTTATTTAGCAGGGAGAGAATGGTCACTCTGTATGTGACTGTCTAAAATTACTATTTTTTAGGATAGAAGGAAAATTGATCTTTAAACCCAATTTCAACCATCCACCACTCTCTGCAGTGCTTTTAAAAAATAAGAAAAATCAGACAAGAAATATGACATTTTATAACTGTTATTAGGTATTGTATTCTCTTCGTGGAAGCTGGGTAGCCCTAGAACACTGTCAGCTGCTTCTCCTTCCTTATGTAGTCACTCAGTCAGAGGAGCCTCCTCATGCTGGAGGCTGACAGGCCCAGGGAGAACTGTTGGAGCATAATTGTTTCTCCATTTGCACTGGCCCAAGAGGCACAGTTTGGCATCTGTTCAGAGAGCAGGAATCAGGGCAAAGCTGAGTCTCAAACCTGAATATGCAGCTCTTCACGCTCCACAGTCACATTGGACATATTACAGGGCAGCAGCTACTCTCCACGGGATCTGGGATGTCCCAGAGCCAGCTCCCCGCGGAGTATAAGATACACACCAGGAGGCCCGACTGCATGCACGGCTGTACCTGCACAGGTAGTGCTCACTGTACTTCCAGAGAGTTTCCAGTTTACAGGTCGTTATGGTTTTCCAATCCCAATCCCTTATCCTCACTAGGAGAGAGGCGGAGAGGGGAGAGGGACGTTGAGAGGGGGAGAGGAGGGCAGGCAGGAAGGAAAGTGGGATGGGGAGAAGGAGGGAGGGAGACCCCACTCGACCGCGGAGATGGACCATGGCATTTCTGTTAGTGTCCACATGGAGGGTGCTGCTCTCTACCTGTTTAGTGAGGGTGCCAAAGATGCTGAGGAAGATGTGGTCCGAGGCCTGTCAGTTGTATCTTCCAGCAAAATCTCACTCATTCGTTTCACCTCATTTCTACTGTGCTACCCTGGCCGGACCATGTGCACTCCCACCCAGACCCCTGTGGATAGCCCACAGCTTCATCCTCACCCGTGCCCTCTTCCTTCCCTTCTCCTTGGAGCAGTCCTAGAGCCGCTTAGACTCTAATCTAAACTACTTCAGTGTTCCCCTTGGCACTCATTAAAATTAAACAAGATTCCTGAGCAAGTTCCAAGGCCTTTGTGTCACAGCCTTCTCCTCATTAGTCACTGCTCTGCAACCACGCTGCGCTCCTCTCTGTTCTGAAAATGTTCCCATTTCTCTCCCACCTCCAGGCCTTTGCACCTGCTATTAACCTCTCCAGAATATTCTCGTCCCCTCACTCTTAGCCTGTCTAGTTCTTACTCGTCCTGCAGAATTCAGTTTAACCTCCTCAGAGTATCCGGTCCTAACTGCTCGTTCACATTTTTATTTCCACATTAGTATTTCCTCAAGGTGTCCTGAACTTCAGCCCCTGATCTCAGGCAATTTTCTTATCGTTGTTAAGCCTCAATTTGCCCATGAATACTGAGGGATAATAATAGTGCTAATTCATAGGATTGTAGAGATTAAATGAGAGAGTACACACAAAGGATTCGGCAGACCCTTGGCCCATTGCATAGGGCTTCTTAGGCTTGATCTTGCAGAAATCTACCAGGGAATCTTATGGAAAAGCAAATTCTCACTGAGTAGGTCTCAGGTGGGGCCTGAGTTTTAGAACAGGGAAATAACAGGTGAAGAATTTGAGGCATGTGAAAACGGGAAAAATAGTTCAAATTTGAGCTCATGAACCCTGAATTAAGGGGTGTGTGTTAGAAAGGAAGTGCAAGAAACATCGTGAAGAGAGAATGGTCAGGTCTTTTGACAGACAGAGCATGGACCAAAAGAGACCGAAGCTTGAGTCCATTTGACTGAGAGAGAACCTGGTGACAATAAAATCAAGCAGGTCAGCAGGAGCAGCCACTTAGGGGGAGAGCATTTTAGACATTTTAAGCCTGAAATGGTGGAGGACAATCAAGTTAAAAAGTCTTGAGACTGCAGAAACAAAGACAGCTTAAGATAAGTCACCCAGAATTTCAGACCTCCATGTCTGTCTAAATGACGCCAGCAAAGGTAGAAGGTTCATGGTCAGAGTTACCCCATCTGGACTTTTCAATGACCCCAAGAACCTGTAAAATGAGCAGTCAGTTTTAGTTTTGTGATTGTCATATTATGAATAGTTTATTTTGGTTGCACAGACCCAGCCTCCCATGATAGGCAGAGAAAATACCAGTTCATGTACAGACAACTGTCCACAGCCTTCCTCAGCAATACAGCCTTGCTGTATCAGAGCTCCCTGGGGTCAAAGGGTGTGCTCCCCAGAGCAGCCCAGAACACCATGTAGAATCACGGCACATAGCGGATGCTCTCAATGAGGGTGTATAAACCACAGCCCAGGCTAAGTACAGCACAGTCACCTGGCTGCACAGGGGAAACATTGTGCGGAAATAATGCTTCCTTGTAGAGGAACCATCTAAGTAAAACAAACAAACAAATATCTGGCCTTCACTAGATGAATTGTTTGAGTGCCAATCCACCAACCTAAATGTTTCCACTTTTTCCAGAAGGCTTTAGTTCTTTGTTTCCCATTGCTACCTTATCACTAATGGAAAATCTCATCCTACACCCTAAGTGTATTTAGCTGGGGTGTGCTGAGTGAGTTACCAACAAATGCCGTCCCACAGGCCATGTGCCCAGGAAAGCTTTACTGAACAAAAACGAAAAACACCGACTTCTCATTCCTTCATATTCTAGAAGAATATGAAAAAAACTCCTTTTGCCAACAGTTTATCCTGAATACTTCGTGAAAGGAAAAGGGAAACAGGGAGCTGGAAGGGGTTTCTAATTATTCCTCTCCTGTCTTGCATCCTATGAGGCTCCACAGGAAGTCAGAAGTAAAGTTGTCCTCAAATATCCGGCAAACACTGTTACCTGCTAACTAGGGTAACCAAGAAATACCTGAATTGTGAAAAACACCTCATTTGTCCTCTCCTGTTGAGCACTCTTGAGACCTAACACTGGCTTGCAACTTGCCCCACCTCATCGCGAAGCAGGTGGAGACAGGTCCCAGCCTGTCTCCAGCCGCATTTAAATGACCTGGGTTAGAGAAAATCCCAGTCACCCCTGTGCCCAACGCCTTCCTCCTTTGCCCCGTACCACTGTCTTCTAATGTGCTTGCCCCTACCTCTGGATTCTGCAGAGGGGGAAGAGTGCAGGCGAGAGTGCCAGTCTGTGAGGGGTCTAGGCTCCAGGTCCCTCTGGATCTGCCTACTCTGCAGTTGCTATTATCGTAGTTAATTAAAACATTTATTGAAAGCTTGTTTGTGCATGATGGTGTGTGAAGCTCTGTGCAACATTTGTACTAAAGAAGTTCACTTTTTACTAAAAGTTTATAATGTGACGCTATAAACAACACGACAGAACATATTTAGAAACACCCATTTATCTGGGTGCATTCCAGACTGAGTGGTGCCATTTTGTAGAAGGATCAATAATTTGGTTTAATTAGGTTAATTAGTTTAAAATGAGAGGGGGGCTTACAGCACTTCCAGCTCACCTGCTCCGGGAAGGGGCCAGGCAGCCTCTGCCTGAGCAGCCGTGTGTCCATTGTCAGACAGTTCTGATGGACTGAATCACACAGTTCCGATCAGACAGTTCTGACGTCCTTAATGGTACTGGAAGGAGCAGGAAGGCAGCATCAAGGACATCTGGTCCCCTCCTCTATCTGACGCGCGAGTCTTTGCTCAAATCCAACTTTGCCCAGCACATTCCACCCCCGGGCCCACCGCCTCAGCTGGAAGGATGCTCATCATCGCGAGACTCCTACGGGATGAGCCCTCCTCTCCAGCTCTGCTCAGGCCACGCCCTGCTCCTTCTGTAGCGTGTTCTCCCCGATGCCCCTCAGGACACTGAATATTCATGCCAAGCAGGTTGCTTTTAGTCCCCAGGCAGGGTTGTCTGAAGTTGAGCTATGCATTCTGCCAGAGTCAAGCTGGTGTCTGAAACTGTTTTTCTCAATGTCCTTCTTATTGTTCGTTTGGTTGGCTGGGTTTTTGTTTTGTTTTGTTTTGTTTTGTTGGGGTTTTTTTTGTTTTCTGAGACAGAGTCTTGCTCTGTTGCTTAGGCTGGAATGCAGTGGTGCGATCTTGGCTCACTGCAACCTCTGCCTCCCGAATTCAATCAATTCTCCTGCCTCAGCCTCCTGAGTAGCTGGAATTACAGGCCCCCGCCACCACGCCCGACTAATTTTGTATTTTTAGTAGAGATGGGATTTCTCCATGTTGGCCAGGCTGGTCTCCTGACCTCTGGTAATCTGCCCACCTCGGCCACCCAAAGTGCTGGGATTACAGGCGTGAGCCACCACACCCGACCAATTTGTCCTTTTTATTGTAAACTTAGGTTTGCATTACATAATTTAGTTAGGTTAATTAGTTTAACTTAGTTTAATTAGTATTATTAATAGATAAACTGATGAAATATAGTGTGAAAGAGAGTTGTTTCTATGAAATTTATGTTGACAGCTTTTGAAAACTTGGGTAGGACCAGGGCAAAGTGGTGTGTTTAATCCAGTTGCATCACAGCCTCAGGACCCCTGGGAGGACCTTTTGGCTGCCCTGGGATGTGGAGCATGAGGCTGCAGCCGGCTCCACTCTTCCGCAGCCTGCTGTGCGCGCTGGCTGCCGCTGGCCCTTCACGCACGACGTTCACTAGGGTGGCACGCACAGTCTTCCAGTGGGTCCAAACCACTGAGCTTTGTTGTAGTATGGCAGATCATTAGCTGCTGGATTTTGCTTTTTGTGATGATGTATCAAGTAGCATACCACCCCAGACCAGGAAAGTAGAACATGTTAGATAATTTTAAAGAAGGGGGCTGGACGCGGTGACTCACGCCTGTAATCCCAGCACTTTGGGAGGCCAAGGCGGGCGGATCACCTGAGGTTGGGAGTTCGAGAACACCCTGACCAACGTGGAGAAACCCCGGCTCTACTAAAATTACAAAAAAATTAGCCGGGCATGGTGGCGCATGCCTGTAATCCCAGCTACTTGGGAGGCTGAGGCAGGAGAATCGCTTGAACCCGGGAGGCGGAGGTTGCGGTGGGCCGAGATCACACCATTGCACTCCAGCCTGGGCAACAAGAGTGAAACTTCGTCTCAAAAAAAAAAAAAAAAAAAAGGGATTTAGATCGAGGAATGGGCGGCACAGGTGCTGGGAGGGTGAGAGGATGAAAAGTGATGCTCATGAAATCAGGAGATTCGTAACTGAAGGAAGAAGCTCTTATCTGTAGGGCTAGAGGACTGAAGGAAGAGGGCTCAGACCTCTAGGGAAGGGTACTGCCTGAGGAGTGCTGGGTGACAGAAGGGGTGCAACCTCGCAGCTGTGGGGACAGCCATGGAGCCAGCCAGGCAGCGAGGGAGTGGGGCGCACCTGGAACATTCCGGCTGCGGAGGGCACAGGCCGGCTGCTGCTGCCTCCCCTGGGCTGGGACGAGGCTGGGGCCAGGAATGCCAAAAGCAGCGGCTGGCTGGAGACAGGCGCTGTGGAGGCCCAGTGATAATAGGATGCTGATATGCAGAGGAAACCAGAAAGTCTCTTCTCCTCTCCTCCTACCTTCCAACCTCCCACCAGTGCCACCTATTGGCAGAACCCACCGGGCAGCCAGCCAGTCAGGGAGTCCAGAACAGGGTCTGCAGAGTCCCCCCTTTCGGGTGGAGGGAGCTGGCACACACTTCCCATTCTGTTTTGTGACTTGCGTCTGCTCCCAGCTGAGAAACTTGATAACGAAGCTTGTTAAAGCTATTTCTGAGTAACAGTTGGAGGTGAAGGCCTGAAAGGCTATGGTATGAGACAAAAGCAGGCGCTCTAGATCATGGAGGTTGTGTCATGAAAACGCCCAGGCAGCCGAGTCTGGCAACTGACATGTCCTTCCTTAAATGCGTGACCACAGACCTCACGTGGCCACTCAACCTTGTCCAGCAAGCCTACCTTATGTCCCCCTTGAAATTCCGTTTCCTGCTCCAAAATGAACTGCTTCCTACTTTCTCTGGTGGCCTCATATTCCAATGGTCTGACTCCAGTATTCTTAACCTGATTTCAGTAAGAAAATAGAGGCAATAAAACAAGAGCTATTTTATTTTCTCACCCATATGTCCTGCCTTTCCTCTGAGAATATGCTGGCTCCCAGCTAAAGTCCTTCTCTTCTACCCTGGAGTCCACTACCACCTGCTCAATCACCCTGTTCTTGGAATTACCCTCTCTCTCCCTATTCTGCATTATCAGTTTTTCCTCACTCCTGCATCACTGCCATCATCACACAAACAAACATGCTGTAATCAAGAAAACATGGACCCACGCCACCACCCACTACCACATTACTTTCTTGCTCTTCACAAACTGCTTGAAAAATTCATCTTATCCTCTGTCTCCTCTTCCTCACTTCCTATCCTCTGTTTTTGTTTCCTAATTTTTAAACATTGTTTTCAAGTGTAACATAGATACAGAAAAGTACACAGTTGTGAGAAACTACTCCCAAGGTCAAAGGAAGAGCGTTTTCAGCATCACAGAAGCCCTGCTCTTACCCCCTCCTTCCCTGTGTGCCCACCGTTCTACATGTGATCACTATTTGAAAAAATTAGTTTTGCAAGTTTTTGACCTTTATATAAATAGAAACATACATTATTGTGTGTGTGTGTGTGTGTGTTTCTGGATTCTTTCATTCAGTGTTGTGCTTGTGAGATATGATTCCACGTAACTGTAACCCATTCATTTCATTGCTCTACAATAATTTATTGTAAGAATAAATCTCTGTCCATTTTGTGGTTGTTGATGTACACTGGTTTGTTTTCAGCTTAGGAGTAATATGGTTAATGTTACTATTGAATATTTTTAATGTGTCTTTAATACATGTGCACACCTATTACTTCTGGGTTCATACCTAAGAGTGAAATTGCTGAGTCATGGGGTACAGACAGACACACTGAATGTGAGTAGATGATGCCAAAGAGTTTTCCAAAGTGCTGGGACCAATTTATATTCCTACCAGCAGTGTGTGTCTTGAGATTGCTCCAAATCCACTCCAAAACGTGGCATTTTGAGTCCTCTGAATTTTACCCATGGGTTAGTATCTCAACGTGACTTTAATTTGCATCTCCTGATAATAATCAAACTGAAAAGTATCTTTCATTCTTCTTTTTCCTCACCCCCGATCCAGTCCATCAGCAAGTCCTGTGTGCTCCACCTCCAAAACACATCCCAAATCCGACCACCCTTTGCTGCCTCCGCTGATAACACTCTCTCCAAACACCAGCTCAGTTACCCTTCTCCAGTGAACTGGTACCCCCCTTCACCTTTTCCCACAGCCTACTTGCCACACAGCAGCCATAGCGATGCGTTTTGTTTTGTTTTTGTTTTTGTTTTTTGTTTTTTTGAGACAGAGTCTCACTTTGTCACCCAGGCTGGAGTGCAGTGGCACAATCTCGGCTCACTGCAACCTCTGCCTCCCAGGTTCAAGCGATTCCCGTGCCTCAGCCTCCCAAGTAGCTGAGACTACAGGCACACACCACCACACCCAGCTAATTTTTGTATTTTTAGTAAAGACGGTGTTTCACCATGTTGGCCAGGCTGGTCTTGAACTCCCGACCTCAGGTGATCCACCCGCCTCCCAAAGTGCTGGGATTACAGGTGTGAGCCATGGTGCCTGGCCCACAATGATCTTTCTATCACTTCACTGCTCTCGTTAAAACTCCCTGGGGACTTCTTGCTGCAATTAAATGAAGTACAAACTGGTGACAGGCATGTGACAAGGCCCCTGCTGTGGAGCCTCCAAGTCTCCCCACTCTCCCACTGGCTCGTGTGAGTCCTGCAGCTCTGGCTGGCCGTCCTCTGTCTCTGAGACAGGCCCTGGCTGCTGCCCCATCAAGGACCCTGCATTTGCTGGACCATTGCCCTTTCACTCTCCCAGGTCTTCACATAGCTCATCCCTTTCCAATCAGGATGGGGCTCCAACATCACTCCTAAAACACACAGCTCTCCCCCTTCCCACAGACGCCCCCATCTACTTACTCTGCGTGATTTTCTCTTTGGACTTCTGAAATTCTATTCATCCCTATGTTTTATTATTATTCTCATCACCTTTACTAGAGTGTGAGCACCATGAAGCAAGAAGTATAGGAAAAGGCCTATAACATGGAAGGCACTCAAAAGTCCTCTGACTGAAGAATGCTGACAGATTTTTACCATCTTCAGAAGCTACTTCAGTTTGTATTGGCTTTTCAGTTGGACTAGCCAATACAGACTGCTCACAAGTTCCTGTGGAATGTCACAGTGTTATTTTACATAAAGGAAAGGACACAATATAAGTTCCCCTCCTTCAAATGCTGTATTTGTAAAACTTTTACATATTTGGAATTTTTAAAATATTTACTTTTATTCCCTATTACACATATTATTAAAGATAAAATAGAAAACCCAAGTATGCATGAAGGAGAAGGTATAAATCACCTTCCTGCCACTCAGAAATGAAAATCTTGGCTGGTTATGGTGGCTCACACCTATAATCCTAGCACTTTGGGAGTCCAAGGCAGGAGGATTGCTTGAGGCCAGGAGTTTGAGACCAGCCTGAGCAACACAGCAAGACCCCATCTCTACAAAAGAGAAAAGAAATTAGCCAGGTGTGGTGGTGCATTCATGTAGTCCCAGTTACTTGAGAGGCTAAGGTGGGAGGATCCCTTGAAGCTGCAGTGAGCTGAGAGCATGCCACTGCACTCCAGCCTAGGGCACAAGCATGATGCTGAGAAAGGAAAGGGAAGGGAAGGGAAGGGGAGGGGAGGGGAGGGGAGGGGAGGGGAGGGGAGGGAAAGGAAGGGAAGGGAAAGGAAGGGAAGGGAAGGGAAAGGAGGAACGGGAGGGAAAGGGAGAGGAGGGGAGGACAGAGAGAGAGAAAGAAAAGAAAAGAAAGAAAAGGGAAGGAGAGGGAAGGAAGGAGAAAGAGAGAGAGAAAGAAAGGGAAGGAAGGGAGGGAGGGAGGGAGGGAGGGAAAGAGAATAAAAATCTTGCCCCTAAGAAATAATTAAGAATTATATTTTGTTGCTTATCTGTGTAAACTTATTTAATGTTTTAATATATATTACATTAAAATAGAATCAATATTGGATACCAGTTTGTGTCCTTTTTTAATAATACATCACAAACATATATTCATAATAATATATATAGTTCTTCATTTTTAATGACCACATAACATACCAATATATGGATTATCCTTTTCTTTTTGAGTCATTTTCTACTTCTGAAACCATAAGTTATTATATATATTTGCTATAATAAATAATGCTATGATAAACACTTTAAGAACTAAATCTCAGCTAGCTTCAGTGGCACACGTCTGCAGTCCCAGCTACTCAGGAGGCTGAGGCAGGAGGATTACTTGAGCCACAGAGTTCAAGGCTACAGTGAGCTATGATTGTACCAGTGTACTCCAGTCTGGGTGAAAGAGCGAGACCCCCATCTGTAGGAAAAACAACAACAACAACAACAACACTAAATCTTTGCAGCAAGCCTTAATTATTTCTTAAAAATAAATAGCTAAAAGTGGAACTGCTGGATTCAAAGGCAAGCAGGCTTTCAAAGTTTTTTATTATATAATGTCAAATTGGTCATTTTGATGACTATGAAGAGCTCTGTAACATCTCAAGTTTCTGACACAAATGCTCAGGAAGTCAGTGAGGTCAATAAAGGTGACAAAGGCTGAGAATGGGGCAAATCCGTTGAGATTTAGGAAAGAGCTCTTAATAGTGCCCCATCTGAATGTAAAGGGCATAATTCTCAGAAGTGTTCTAATTTCTTCCCTTGTTACTTTATTGTATCCACCTTCATAATAAGCTTTATTAAATCTATTAAGTAGCAGTAGTTCATTAGTAATGAAACAAAATTGTAAGAGCAGCTTCATCTTCATCAGAGACTTGATTTGAACCAAAATTATAAGGAGAGTAGACATAAGCTCCTCAAAACACTTCCCAAAAGTCTGACCAATGAGAAGTTGTGAAGAGCCAAACTTATAAAAATTAGGAGCAGCAGCCCCTACATAGGAGAGTTGTGATTTTTTTCTTTGTCTTTCTAAATATATTACATTTATCCAATAGCACTTAGTGCTAAGCCCTCAGGGTATAAAAGAAAGATGACAGCTCCTCCCTGCCAGGAGCTGGAAAATTCCGTCGAGATGCAAAAACAAGCGTGGCAGCATGATGGGGGCAGCACTCCAGGGCACTTGCACATTCCTTCCCAACACAGTGGAACCACCATACTCAGCACAGAGCAGGCGATCCTGGGTGTTTGTTGAATAGAAGCAAGAATGGACGCCTGGTATGTGACAAAGCCCTATGCTAGGCAAGACAGATACAAAGACACAGCCCCCTGCTCTCCAAAATTTCAGTCTAATGGAAAAGAGAGACCAAAACCTTATTAGAAGTCAATGTGCTGTGTCCTAGTGGTGGTCACTTTGAGGTCCTTTGGTGACACAGAGCAATCTCGTATGCAAAATGGTACAAGGGAAGTAGCAATGCCATGCTATTGATGTTTGAAGGAGGAGGACATCAGGGAGTGTAGAATCAGGAAAGTTTTTGTGAAAATAGTGGCTTTGAGCTGGGCCACAAATTATGCCCAATACTTTGTCAGGAAAAATGATATTCTGTAAGGAAAAGATAGCAATGTGAACAAAACCAGACTGGGGATGCCATATGTGCCCGTGTCTGTGCAGCAATGCTGGTGATCAGTCTCCACAAAGCAATGGAATTGCTGATGTTATTGGCAGCACGTAATTAGATTTATTCCCAACACTTGAAAGAGGTGTTGGGTATCAGAGTAAATCCTTGCATATATACTTTTAAAGTACCACAACCTATTTTCCTGTATTTCTGACTTTTGAGTCTGTCTTTGCATTGTTCAATACTTGGGATACTTGGGAATATCAGTAAATAGATCAATAAAATAGTAAACCACTAGTCTGCTTAATCAATACATTTATGGAGTTCAATTTTAAAGACTCATCACCAACAACTTCATAAGGAAAGAATCACAAAACTCACTGGTGTGTTGGCCATATGGCTCCACTTTATTTAAAAGTACTGGCAGAATAAATGATGGTTGTCGTGGAGGTAATGATATTATTGATCTCTTTATTTCACATTCAGTAGTCTCTTGAGTCATGGTACCACCCCAAGTTATACTTAGAAGAACAGAAAGAAGTTTCTTCTACTTATCATTGATTCAAGTGCTTGAAATCAGCTCTATGGTATATCAACCCCCAGCACAGCTGTGAATAGCTTTGAAGTTGAATCATTTTGAACATAATATGAAATAAGGGGCCTGACTATTTTTAGGTTCTACTTAATTATCTCCAATAATCAAGCACAAATCTTGGTATTTTTCCACTCAGTATTTCTCCTCTCTCCTGCCTCTCCTTCCCTCTGAGGTGTGGTGAGCACACAGACATGTTCAGGCACAGGGAGAGGAGCGGGGTCATGGATGTGGTGGACAGTGTAATTAGTCACGTGCTATGGCTATGGGAAGAGGAGAGCTGGAGGAAAGATCTAGAGCAGTCAGTTCAATCCTGTTTGGAACAAAGAAGCATCAATAAGGAGCTGTCTGCAAGGAATGGTGCCCCAAACACTGGCTGCTTGTTGGCCTTTCCTGTGGTGTCTTCATTTGCCAACCTCTAACCTCCCCAAATTTCAGTAATGTGTTAGCACTTCACACCTTAGAGGAAACAGAAGCCCACATTTATCTGCCATTCACCTGACCTTTAGCCAGTGTGGGAACTTAGAGCTGACGTTTGCTTTGACTGAATATCAACACACTGTAATTATTATTTCTAAACACTAAAAATAACCATGTGAATGGTAATCAGAATGCTTGCTGAGCAAGGACAAAAGGAAAGACGGGTAAGGTCAACTTAATAAAAAATTCAAAAGTGTTTTACTATGGTACTTTCCCAGATAGCTTTTTTTTTTTTTTTTCTAGAAAGCCACAGACAGTTATAGGATCAGGATTTTGTGGCCCAATTTGGATTGGGTAGGTGGGTGGGTAAGGGAAGCTCCCACAACCTCTTAAATAGTTTTCACATCATGATGTGTATATTCTAGGGTATAAATATATTTTGCATTTATTCAGCAGATTGCTATTAGACTGATTTTAAAAGTATTCCTCAGAGAGGTAAGCTAATATTTTCTTGATGACTCAGCAGAACTTAAAAACCAGGATCACTTCCTACTGAGGGATTTTAAAACAGCTTTTTTCCCCCCAGGGTACTGCTCATACACAGGAGGGTATATGTGTGGAATAGAGACAGCCCTGCAAACTGTCAGAGCAGATGCAAGGGGGTTGGGAAGGAGAAGCTGATTCAATTGGTATGTAAACGTTTGTTAGGATAAAATCACATGGAGATTCACTCTTCAAAGCTCACAATGAGCCCTGATTGCAGAAGGACAGGGCCTGCTGAGCTCTGCCTGGCTAAGGTTTTGTCAGCACTTTCATTGTGATCTTAAATTTCCACAGCTCATAACTCAGCTGTAGAAAAAGTCTCAGAGACTACAAGACTAACAAGACTCGAAAACTACAAAAACTTTTGGGGTTTTTTTTAGATGGAGACTCACCCTGTCGTCTAGTCGGGAGTACAGTGGCGCGATCTTGGCTCACTGCACCCGCCACCTCCGGGGTTCAAGGGATTCTCCTGCCTCAGCCTCCTGAGTAGCTGGGATTACAGGCATGCACCACCACACCCAGCTAATGTTTGTATTTTTAGTAGAGATGGGGTTTCACCATGTTGGCCAGGCTGGTCTCAAACTCCTGACCTCAAGTGATCTACCCGCCTTGGCCTCCCAAAGTACTAGGATTACAGGCATGAACCACCGCACCTGGCCAACACTCCAAAAATATTTTAAACATCCATAGTATTACCGGTTCAAATGCTTGGGCAATTTGATGGGGCATGAACTTCCCTACACTAGGGTTGAAAAGTGGGAGTTTCCAGCATAGAGCCTTCAATGAAGGGGCACCTCCAGATATTTGTTATCTAAAACATTGAGTTAAAATTCATATTTTAAAAAATCTAAAATATATCCTCTATGATGTCAATGGAAAACAGGTATTTTTAACAAAGACTTTTGGAATAAATGGTAGAATAAGTAATTGCAAAACACTTTGTCACATCTTTTTAAAGAAATCAACACAGAAAAGCTGTTACAAAAACTATGTGAAGTAAGTTTTATTTTTTTTTTTAATGTTTTGTGAACACAGGAGATCTCTCTTTCAAATTCAGTTTGGCCAGGAAGTTTGATAGCAAAGGGAGTGAGTATTGAACCTTTCAGAATGAGTGCAGTGATTTCAAGTGTACAAATGCTTGGAGGGGAGATCAGATAAGAGCAGGTCAGGAAGTCGGAGAAGTGCGAGGTCTCTTACTCAGGCCAAGTGCGGTAGCACAGCCAAACCAGGAACAGGAGGGAATGATGTGAACTTGATCCTGAAACCCAAGGGTCCTGAAAAATCACTCCTTGTTCTCATCCAGCTACACACCTCCCAAAGACAGGCTGCAGTGTCTTCATCAAGACCTGAAGGAAATCTTCATTATTTAGTGTATATTACAAAATATAATAATGTATCACATTATTACGATAAACATGCAGTGGGCACCTATCCATGGCAGGCGCTGACTTGAATACTAGAAAGTGAGCATGACTAACACCATTCACCCTTGAAGGGCTTACAGCCTCATAAGGGGGAGCAGCATATGAATAAGTGCTTAAGTGGTCCTGGGTAGGCCCAGAGGTCAGTGGACACCCAAAGAGAGAAGTGACCGGTTCCACCTGGAGAGAGTGAGAGAGGATTTGCACACACTGTACCTCAAGCTGAGTTGATAGTTGAAGCAGGGAAAAATAGAAGAGACAACCTAGGGAGAGCTCATTGGAGAAGGCCAAGCGCAGAACTGGTAAAGTGAACCACCATTTAAGGGCCATAGTGGAGAAAGAGCCAGAGAAGAAAATAAGAGAGAGGTGGGTGTATTGGAATCATGTCTATTCCTTAACAGTCCTGCAACAGGAAGAGCATGGGGATGGGGAGTTTCCAAAGAAATGCCCTTGAGGGACCTGTGGAGATGAGAGCTGAAAAGAGCCTGATGGGTCTGACAATTCAGAGACCACAGGGGCACACAGCAGAACACATCAGTGCGAAGTTTAGGAAATAAATGAAGAATGCAAATTAGAGGAGAGGGCATCGTGGTAGCAAGGGTAGAATTTCTAGACTATAAAGGAAAGAATAAAACTAGTGAAGTGGCCCAGAGCACACGTTTTAGGACAGAGACATAAACCGAATGTGACTGTGGTGATGGAGCTGTGAAAAGCTGGTCATGGGAGATGCAGCAGGAGCACTTTTCCTGCCTCTTCCAGCAGTTTGCAGTAACAAGGGTGATGCCCCCAGCAACCAGCAATGGGTGGAGCTGCAACCAGGGCCTGTGCTCCAAGTTCCATCCCACCGGGAAAGGACCTCAGTTTGGAGGAATTCCATTGCCAGTGATCTTTGCTGTCTTCACACAGCGTGTGGCCTTGAGTGTGTGACTTCACGACACTGAGCCTTGGCTTTTCTGATTGGAAAATAATTTTAAAGATCTAAATTGCAGTGTTGTGTTAGAACAGAATAAAATAAACAATGTAAAGCACCTAAGCCATCTGACAACGGAGCGTGCACCACCTGCCCATGTCCTCCTCTGGCCTCCTCCTTGCCTGCCTCCAATGGATAAGGGGAAGAGCGCCCTCAGCCTCTGTCTAAATTTATCAGAAAAGAGTTCCCTCATTCACATTCTGTTTCTCTCCTAAATGGATGTGGACCAATTTAAACTCGTTTCACCTAACCTTGAGGTGAAATGTTACCTCTTCCTGCCCAAGGTCTTGGTCTGGGCTGAGCTCCTTGCCCTCTAGAGCCAGAGCTGACTGCACCTGCTGGCTCCTGTCCTCTCACCCAGGCTGCCCCCAAGGCCTGAAACCTCACGAATCTTCCAGCAAACAGCACTTAGACTTTGCTCTGTCCACTCACCTATATTTTTAGCACAGAATACTTTTAGCCTTGACATTTTTGAAAATAATATTTATGAGGAAATAAGATACATTTTCTTCTTTTTCTTTTTTTTTTTAAATATATTTTTTAAGTTCCAGGGTACACGTGCAGGATGTGCAGGTTTTTATACAGGTAGCAATGTGTGCCATGGTGGTTTGCTGCACCTGTCAACCCATCACCTAGGTATTAAGCCCCGCATGCGTTAGCTCTTTTCCCTGATGCGATCCCCCACACCCTCCCCTAACAGGCCCCAGTGTGTGTTGTTCCCTGCCATGTGTCCACGTGTTCTCATTGTTCAGCTCCCACTTATAAGTGAGAACATGCGGTGTTTGGTTTTCTGTTCCTATATTAGTTTGTTGAGAATAATGGCTTCCAGCTTCATCCATGACCCTACAAAGGACACAATCTCTTTCCTTTTTATGGCTGCATAGTATTACATGGTGTGTATGTACCACATTTTCTCTAACCGTTCTATCATTAATGGGCATTTGGGTTGATTCCATGTCTTTGCTATTGTGAATAGTCCTGCAGTGAACATACATGTGCATGTATCTTTGCAATATAATGATTTATATTCCTTTGGGTATATACCTAGTAATGGGATTGCTGGGTAAAATGGTATTTCTGGTTCTAGGTCTTTGAGGAATCACCACACTGTCTTCCACATGGTTGAACTAATTTACATTCCCACCAACAACGTAAAAGCATTCCTATTTCTCTGCAACCTCACCAGTATCTGCTATTTCTTGACTTTTTAATCATCATCATTCTGATTGGCATGAGATAGTATCTCATTGTGGTATTGATTTGCCTTTCTCTAATGATCAGTGATGTTGAGCTTTTTTTAAGTTTATTGGCCACATGTATGTCTTTTTTTGAGAAGTGTCTGTTCATGTTCTTTGCCCACTTTTTAATGGGGTTGTTTGTTTTTTTCTTGTAAATTTGCTTAAGTTCTTTGTAGATTCTGGATATTAGACTTTTGTCAGATGGATAGACATCAACTTCAATCCATTAAATGTGAAAACTAATCTTTTTTCTCACAAGCTCATCTGTATCATATGTGTGGAGATATTTCCTACAGTTCTGGGAAAGTATAGGATTCCTAAAACTGGTGGCCATATTTTAATGATGTTAGAGGCAGTCTGCACTGAGTGCATATCATTAATTCTAATAAATGAGTCATCAAAAGTCATTATATTTCTTTCTATTTTCTCATCTCTCACCCTCTCTCTCTCTCTCTCTGTCTCTCTGTCTCTACCTCTCTCTCCATACCCCTCTCCATACACACACACAAACACACACTCACACACACACACACACACACAGAGAGAGAGAGAGAGACGGACCCACAAATATACCTGGTGTAACAGGCACAGACTTTCTCAAGCTGTAACACAATATTTGCGAGTTATAATGCCTGATGACAATGGCACTTGTCCCCGCCACCACCACCACCTGGAAAATGAAAGAAGTCTGCAGGTTGCCTCCTCCAGTGAGTTTTGAGGCTCTCAATGGAAACTTGAGTCAAAAAACCCTTGCTGGAAATCTTGTCTCCACCACTTAGTAACTTTCACCTGTGGTGCACTCCTCTACTTCTCTGCATCTGCTTCCTTATCAAAGGAGTGGGGATAGTAACCCATACCTCATAGGCAGGCACCTGGGAGAATTTGCTGAGACAATGTGAAGGGTGGATGCTCTGTCTCATACCTGATATTGGCAGGTACCCAAGAAGTATCTTTTCCTCTTTGTCACATAGGGAATATTTAGCTCTGATGTGTTAGTACAGATTTCAAAGGAACAGACCATTTACAATCCACAGTATCTACCTTACAGCCAAGGCAGCGCTAGCAAATAATCTCAGAAAATGAGTGAGGAATACCTCACTGCTTTTTCCCTTAAGGAGCAACAAAAGAAAGAGGAAAAGAGGGAAACAGGGGAGAGAGAAAGGGAGGAAGGAAGAAGGAAAGGAAAGGAGAGAAGGAGGAAGGAAAAAACCTGAACAACTTGAAATAGGAAAAGTCAGAGAAAAACCCCAGAACACCGTGAGTTGGTTTTGCCTGCATGTCGTGAGGCCACCTTGATGTTCCCTCCCTTGCTACTTGTAAGGACATCTATAGGCTGTGCCTGCGCCTTGTGAATACAGGAGAAAATATGAACAGTAATCTGATATAATCAGACCCCAGAAAGGCACTTCTGGAAACACTAATTAGATTTTCTTCAACCTTGTTTAATTTAGTGAGTTCTAGGAGAAGATCACACCTCTCCTAACACTCATAAAGAGAATTTGTGAGGAAGATTGTGTGCGCGTAATACCTATTCGATGCTCGAGGCAACCTGTTGCCATAGTACCAATCAGATGCTGTCTTCATCGGGGGAATAGAAATTAAAAGTAACAGGGCTTGAGTACAAATGTTTTTGTTTGTCCCCATGAACAGTGTGAATGTTGGGAAAAGGAGATCTGGTCTTGTTGTTATTTTCTGGTTTTGAAACAAGACTACATTAACATGTGTAGAATATGAAATAGTACAATGAATTTAGAGAAACAAAGAATTCCCAAAGAAGTGCATTATTCTTATAAATTTACACTATCAAAGGATGTGGAAATGCCAAAAAAGCAAGTTCTTAATGGTCAGAGTCAGCAGTGTCATCTCAGAGCCAAAGAGAGCTGTCAGTGGCTAATAACGTGCAAATGCAAGATTCGTCTGAATGCTAACTGGCTATTTTTATTGCCTTAGAATTCTGATCTTATATTAAGAGCTATAAAATATCCATTGTGCTTTGGGGAACATCTGTGCATCTGGGTCTCATAATAAAAGAAATATTGAAAATCAAGAGAGGTAGCTTGCTATGGAGAAAAACAAGAGTACGATTAACATGAAATTCAGGAAAGTGGTTGCCTGTGGGAATGAGGCGGAGGGAGGAAGAAGTTTCATAGACATTGGTAATATTTAATTTCTTAAGTGGAAGGGCATTTTATTCTGTTCAAAACTGCACATAGAAATTGCCTATACTCACAATAAAAACTTACATAAAAAGGTGGAGAGAGAGACAGAAATGGAGAATGGGAAGTCAATGGACAGAAGGCAGTGGATTCAAGCCCTGACTCTATGATTCTCTAGCTAAGGGAATGAGCGCATGTCTTACCTTGGCAGAGACTCAGTTTTCTCATCATCTAATATTTTAATACAAATATTAAATGGTCCCAACACCCCCTTCTAGCTTGAACACTAGCCAACTCTATGTATATCACATGGAATACAATATTGCCAAATGAATCATGTTGGGGAAATACTGTCTTTTCTTCATGTAAAAACAAAAACTCCCACAGTCACCATCCAGTCATCCATAACAGCTTACTAGCTGTGTGTGAGTTACTCTCTTATTCCAGGTGAACCCTCATGAGTAACCCTGCTGTTCTTTGAGCAGAATTTTGGAGCTTCTTTTTAGAAGGAAGATATCATTAAGTCAGTGATAGGGCTTACAGTCTGGGGGTCAGATATCCTGCTGGTGGCCGGGAAGAAGACTCCACACTCTTCTCTCTGTCAGCTCATCATGTCAGCTCCTCTGAATGCAAAATATCAACATAATGCACTCAAGAGGCATGTCATTATTTCTTGCTCATCAATTGTGCATCAAATGCTGTCAGGTGCTTCATAGTCCATCCCCCAATACCAAAAAATTACCAAATTTACCAAATTACAAAAAAATACCTCTACTTTTCAGGACTAGGATACTCACCATACCAATTAGAAATGTTTCAAAGAAATGCTCTTTTTAGTTTGCAACATCAGGAAGCTAGAAACATCCTCTTTCCTCATGCATTCAACGCGTTTTTGCAGAATGCCTACTGTGGGCAAGTCCCATGCTGGCTACCGGTTTCTACTTAATTTCTCAGAGCACAGACATGAGATGTGATTACAACAAATGCGCTCTGGGGCATTGCAGCATTTCCCGGGTGCTGGTGTTCACTTGTTCTTCAGATTTGTATGTCCAAGGAGAGCAGATAGAACCAGGCTGCTGTCACCCTGCTTCTGGTTTTGTTGCAGGCTGGGGTCCAGCGGAATCAGGATGCACTTTGTTTGGCCCCAACCAGCTCCTCACTCCACCCGGAGCATAGGGTTCCAGGGCATCTTCGGGTGGGTCCTGGGGCAGAGGCCCTCCCCTCCAGAGGCTGTGGGAGAACCGACCATCCAGGCTGGTGCACCAAGCTCTGAAAACTGGAACAGATTTCTCAGCCTTTCTGAGACTTCATTTATTTCTCTGAAATGGGAAACTACCTCAAGTGTTATGAGCACTGTCAACACTTCTTATAGCTTATTATGACATCATGCACGTTAAGGCATTGAGCTCAAAGCCAGGCACTTAATTCTGACTCAAAAACACATTTGTGCTTCCTCTTCCTGTTCTAACATAATTAAACACACAGTCCCGTGGCAAAGGGAAATTGCCTGTCCCTGCTGTCTGAATGCTCCATTGGTTCTGATGAGAGACTGACTTGAGAAACATTGGCAACATCTGTTTCTCTCAAATATGTGCTAGCATCCTTGAGAAATCATAGGTTTTAGGCACACACTTAAATGAAGGGGAATAAGGTTGGGCACCAAATGTGCTGTGGCATCCTGGGAAAAAAATCAGAAGACCGAAGTCAACAGGAAGCAAATCTGAAAGCAATTCTGCCATGTTTCCTATCATAACCCCCTTCAAAAAGAGTTTAGTGTAAGGAGTGCAAGAGTGCAAGACACTCTCATAATAACCAAAATTATCCAGCAAAGACATGTTCATTTTAAATGTTGAAAGAGAAAGGAAACCCCTCAGGAAATTAAGTTTGAGTTCCATGACATCTTTCTTCTTATGCAGACATTGAGACAACAACAAGAACATTCAGTCTGTTTGAGCTTTCAGCTACTGTATTTTTCCATTTCATTCATTCTTAGTTATTTTTAATGTTTTCAATTTATTCAGAGAACTAATAAGTGATTTATTATGGGAAACTAAGTAGGGTTTACACCCAAATGCCAAGAGAGAAACTAAATTCTATCCACTAAGTCACCAAAAGAAGTGCCTCTTATCAACTCACCCTGTGTGTTTCTAGGACAGGAACCTGCTACTGATTTCGCAGATGTATCTTTGTTGTCTCTAGTAACTGCTCTGTGCTTAGCACCTACTGTTAATTCACGCAGTTGACCTATAACCAAACACTGAAAAGGTGATGTATGCATTTGATAAAAGAGTCAAACTAGGTCATCTCTGAATCTCAGATTGAAAGTAAGTAAAACCATGTTTATTTCAGTTTATAAAATGTTTTATTAATACTCTATCTTCTTTGGTGGATCTAATATTTAGGTAACAGTTTTCCTTTAAAACAATTTCACATCTAAGAATAAATTAGATGCTGATGCATTAAATGTCCGCTTCAAGAGACTTGGCAATATATACATTATATATAGTCAAAAATAAAGTCAGGAATAAAAAATCCAGATTTATTGGAGATGATGAAAAGTAATTATTTTCATTTCAAGATGAAAAAATTAAAATTAAATATGATGTATTTCAGATCTTAGCTTTTATATTTTACCATTCTATTGTCGATTCCAAATTATTTTCCTTCGCCTCTTTCTTTTAACTGAGAAAACTTTTATCTTTGTTGCCAAGGCACATAATTTGGAATCAACAAGGTGTTTAAGTTTCTAAATATGAGAGATGGGATTTATTAGGGAAATTGGCTCACACAATTATGGAGGCTAAAAGGTCCCACTCTAGGCTGTCTGCAAGCTGAAGAACCAGGAAAGTGGACAGTGTAGCTCAGCCAGGGCCAAAGGCCTGAGAACCTTGAGGGACCATTGGTGCAAGTCCTGGAGTTGAAAGGCCATGGAATCTGGACTTTTGATGTCCGAGGGGAGGAGAAGGGTGTCCCAGCCTCAGAAAAGGCAGTGAATTGACCTTTCCACTGCCTTTTTGTTCTATCTGGACCCCCAGCCAATTGGGTGGAAGCCACCCACATTGAGAGCAGATCTCCACCACTGAGACCATGGACCGACGTGCTGTTCTCCTCCAGAAACACCCTCATAGACATACCAGGAAATAATGCTTTGCCAGCTATCCAGATATCCCTTAATTAAGTCAAGTTGCCACCTAAGATTATGACATCGCACTGTAGCATCATTTCATAGAAACACTTCCCCCTCTATCACATCTCTTTCTATACCCACACATGGAATGTGTATTCTTATTCTCATTTCCCAAATTGAGGGTGCGGGGGCACTGAGATCCAGGAGGTTAAATGCCAGGACTAAGGGGAGAGGCCACATCAGGATCAGAAAGAGACCTTATGTTTTGTCTTCCAGTTATGTTGTGTTTCTATTCTAAAGCTTCTCCCAAAAAATTAAATCTTATGCAAATTTTAAATACTACAATTAAAGGAAAGAGTTATGTTTGAAGGCTTTATAACATTGTAATTGGAGATGCCTTTGTCAAATTTTCCCATTTTAAATGGCCAGGAAAAACAATAATTATTTTTCTGATGCTGAGGTTTTATATCTTAGTAGAAGAACTTAAACTATGACTTGTATTCAAGTCTAACAGGAATAGAGGTAATGAATGAAAGTAGTCATTGACCTGGGACAAGATCACTTTGAACATGACACTATTATACAAAGTGTAATATTTATTTTTAAACAACCACTTTTCAAAAGCAGTTGTGCATACATTCCAAAGAATAAAATGCTAGCTACTAGGTTTTGAGAAGCAGAATAAAATATGATACTGAATTACTGAAGGGTGATAAATTTGGGCCGATATGGCTGAGGTGGTTTGTTTTAGAGTTTATAGCAATAAAGGTAATCAGGTGATTCTTAATGTTGCCAGAGTACTGCAGTGGAACTACTAAAGGAAGGAGAAAGGGAGGGTATTTAAAAAGTTCAGATCTTTGATTCTGGAAAATCTCAACTAGGTATTAATTCTATTGATAACTGATAAGCATCTTAAGGGGGGGAAATTCGTCTGTTAAAAAGTCTGTTACAGAAGGTTGGGTGGATGCCCAAATAATACCAAGCTTTATCAGCTTATATTCTGGAGAGTAGTTCCATTTATCAATACTTGATTTCTTTTTAGCATCTGGTTTTTTTTTAACTATTCAGGATTTTAGGTATACGGTCTCATTAATTTCCAAAATATTCTTATGGATAGGTGAATTACAGGGAGAGTCCAATGTGTAGATATCTATGTACCACAGACCCAGGCACATTTGGGTGAGTAAATGAATGAACACATGTTCAAACTAAAACAGACTGAGGCCGGGCGTGGTGTAATCCCAGCACTTTGGGAGGCTGAGGCGGGTGGATCATTTGAAGTTAGGAGTTTGAGACCAGCCTGGCCCACAGTGTGAAACCCCGTTTCTACTAAAAATACAAAAATTAGCCGGGTGTGGTGGTGCACTCCTGTAATCCCAGCTACTCAGAAGGCTGAGGCAGGAGAATCGCTTGAACCTGGGAGGCAGAAGTTGCAGTAAGCTGAGATCTCGCCACTGCACTCCAGCCTGGATGACAGAGGGAGACTCCGTCTCAAAAAATAACAATGAAAAATGAATAAATAAATAAAAGAGACTGAAAGCACAGTTGCATTTGATGCGGCCTTTGCAAAGACCTAGCCTTTGATCTACCTAATTACATCTCTGACCTGAAGAGGTTTCTTATACATCCCAAGTCTCATGTGCAGTTTCTGATTCTCAGTACATATAGCAAAGAGCAACAGGAACTGCTGGGGGCCTAGAAGAAGGACAAGGAGAAGGAGAGGAAATCACTCAGCTGAGTATACGGGGAACCGTTAAGTTAATCCTGGTTTAGGCATTCTGATTATGTAGAAGAGCAGGAATTTGGGTGTTTGGCTTTTAATTTTTTGGAATTTTTAGGCAAATTCGCATTATAATTTGAAATTTGCTAAAATGATTGACAGATATTAAATGGTTAACATTTCTGAAATGATCCAATTTTTCTAATAATTAGAACAGTGTTCTAATTGTTCATGTATTAATTTCATTTAATCCTCCCAGTGGCCTTTAAAGTTCCATTATTATCCCAATCTTATATCTGAGTCTGCTTAGAAGATTGGGTAGATCCTTTATTATCCCAATGTCACTTATAAGGAAACAGAGGTGCAGAAAAATAACTTGTCTAAGGTTATAGGAAGAAAAAGGACAGAACCAGGATTCATATTCAGACAATCTGGCTCCCGAGACACAGCATATGTACCCTTCTACACAATACGGCAAATCATGTTTACTCAGAAATAGTCCCACGTTCTGGCTTATATTTTAATATATTATTAGTAAGGGGAGGCATCAAGTGAGAATTTGGAAGCTTAATCTGCAAGTCTCCCTTTTGAGTTGTCCTAGGTATCGTCGCATCATTTTTGGACACACAGAATGTGATTGCAGAAAAGGGAGACACTAGAGGTGAGGACTTTTCGAGAGAAGGAAACAGCACATGGCAAAGCACAGGACGTGTTTCAGGAAGGACAATCTGTCCTGTGTGCCTACAGGTGGTGAATGAGGGTCAAGACAGGAGCTCGGAGGCTAAGTTTGGAAGAATGTGTTGGAGTCGGGTCTTCCTTCAGGCAGGAAAAGGCATGAGCAAAACCAGGAAAAACATTTTTTCACTTTCTGCAGGAAAGGAAAATGTGTGCTGGGAAAAATGTGTAAGATAGCAAATGTGTTATTTATTTTTTATTATTTTATTGACTGTGTTTAACTTGTCAGATTATGGTTAGAGTAAGAATGGCTGCAGGCTTGGAACAAAAATGTCCTAGAAATAGTAGCCTACTAACTTACCATCTGAACTGCTGAAATATTTTTACCAGGGGAGAAAAAAAATAGCCAAACGTTAGATTGAGAAATGGCAGTTCCAAGCAAGGACTCTCCTTTTTTTGCTGTGTTTGTTTTTAACCGAATCATTGGCTAGAATCACTCAAAAAGCTAAGTTTATTCTGACTGGGGGAGAAGGTCCCTGAACACAGTGAGGTGGAGACATTGACCTACAAATTAATAAACAGGGAATTAGGAATAATGATAGTAAATGTAAGCTGTCAAGAAAACCAACCCAAGCCAGTAGCTGAGAGCAAATCCAATGTGCCTCTAAAAGCATCCATCAGTCTCCAATGTGTGTTTATAAGGCAATCATTCTGACTCTTTAGCAAATACACTCAACTTACAAATTTCAAATATTTTTGGCACCCAAAACAGGTTCCATGGATGAGCTCAGTGATTTATTCTCATGGCTAAAAATACAGCAGGGACTCCTCTTTGAGAATGGCCATCGTAACTAGTGACCATTCTTTTGAATGGCCTTAATACAACAATAGTGTAGCCTCTTTTTTTCAAAGTAGGTATAATTTTTGGAAAATGTCAAGAAAATACAGATTTAAGTCAGGTAAAGAAGGATGCTCTACATTGGCAATATGCTCTAAGGGCAGCTAAAATTTGTGATTATAAAGAAAGATATAGGAGTCATTGACAACATCATATGCTGGTTCTGAAGGCCTTACTATTCCTCTCAGGCCCTGCCTACTCTCCGCCTCATCTTTCTTGTTTTCCCATCACACCCCACTTGACAAATACCACCTATGCAAAGGCTGCGGACAGGCTTCAGAACTCCAGCCTGTGTGGACATCTACTTACTGTTTCCTGGGGCTCACCCTGCGCTCCTCCCATTTTCGTCTGGCACATCCTCCCCTTCAAGAATTTGCACATATATCACCTCCTTTCTGTGAAGCTGTCTCTGAGCCTCCGCACATACCTTACTCTTCCCTTCCCCGCTAAGCCATATGCTTCTGAAAGTCAAGCATCATGCTTTATTTATCTTCAGCTGTATCTATAGCTTCTACAGAGTACCTAGCCCATAAGTATTCAATATCTACTGAATAAGTGAATGAAATAATTTAATTCCAGAGACAGCTCAGCAAAGTAACATCATGGAATAGAGTAGATAGAGCAGGCTTCCAAGAAAATTGCTTTGAAATATCGGTCATTAGAGATTTCATGTGTACATTTTGGTATATTTGTTTTAAAAAATTGGATCCATCTTTGGAGTCTCACCTTTTAGAAAGTACATAGCACATTAGAAATACATTGCACTCATATGCAAATATTTTGCTTAACCTGTTAGAAAGAACCATGAGGAGAGACATTCCATTATACCAACAAAAAGAACACCAAACAAAAAGAACTGGCAATTAAAGTGATAGGAATAAAAATGTGTTTTATGGCTCCTAATTCTTTGTGTTGTCTTTATTTTTTTTCTGTTAATTGCTTAGATATTTCATATGTATAATTTTAAAAATCCTTTTAAAATCATTTTATCCAAAGTGTATTTAAAATGAGTCTGAAGGCAGAAGACAGAGTCTGAAGCCCTGTGAAATGGAATACACCTGTGCCTAATGAAATGTCAAGACATCAAAATGCTTATCCATTTTGTAGGACGAGGAGACAGCAAATAATCACCACCATGATCTGAAACATCCATGATGTTTCATTTAGTAATATTCACATCCTCGGGGAGCCCTTCCTGGGATCAGGGGAGAGTCTTGCATCACCACCTCGTGAGTTCCTGGGTCCCTCGCGGAGTCTTCCCCAGAGTCCACTGCATGCATGATATCCACACGGGATGCAGCAAGCCTGAGAGTCCCTGCAAAGGGAGTTCTGGCCCTGATCTTTTATCGTGGCTGCTTGCTTCCAGTAGTTATTTAGCACACCCCACAAAGTACTGATGAAAGCCATTTTTATAAAAGTCTTACCTAATGGTTTGGATATGGCTGAGCCAGAAAGACGTTCATTCAAATAACCGCCAGGCAGATTGACACCTGTTGCAATGTGTTCCCGCGTTCCTAATTGAGGATTCAATAAGAAGTTTCTGTAGGTTAAAGTTCTACCCAGTATTGCCAAAATGGAGATTGGGAAGGTATTTCCACACCTGCTGCCATTGAAACAATTTGCTTTTAATATATCATGGAATGTAGTAGCGAAGAGGAGATAAGTCTGCAGCTGGAAAAATGAAGCCTCTGGATCCCTGCATTGTACAATGGGAAGTGGGAGTACAGGCCAGTGGACTTAATGCACCTCGTTTTAAATTGACAGGACTAGCTTTTCTAACACATTTATTTTCTTTTGTTTTTAAACAGATTTTCATCTAGGAAGAAACTTCATTATAACATTTATTATGTATCTTAGTCCCTCACTTCTAAAAAATCCAGATCTGATACATTGTATCATATAACAAATGTCTATTGCTTGTGCAGTTATTAACAATACTATATGTTGCATAAAATACTATGCAAGTCACAGACACTTTATATCTTAGTCTTAATGTGGCAGCTTTCTAGTTATTTTAGCTGGGCTCTCTTTGTCTCTTTCCCTGATCTCCCCAGTAAGCTTCCAGGTCCGCTTCTGTAGTATCACACCTGGCTGTTAGCCTCTGCTAATTACCAGCTGATTGCTGTACTGTTTTTGACAACACCCTGTGCATAAAGTACCCTATGGTCTGATCTGATTAAAGTTGTAAGGCATTGCTTGTCTTTGAGGCTGCTCTGACTCCAGGAGCACTCTTCTCAGCCCTCTGGGCTGTCCTTGGCTCTCTGTAAAACCTCCTGGGGATCTGCCATTTCACTCTTGCTGTGACTATCGTGGATCACCTTCTTTATTGCTCACCACCAAGATCTACATTGGTTTTGACAGTGCCCTTAGGCATGAACTTCCACATTCTCTGTTACAGATAAAGTTTGTCCCCTTTGGCAGAGATGCTGGAGCTCTTTCTTCTTATGCCTTGCCTCTTTCCCTAGGCAGAATCTGTGTACTACTTCCCTAGGGCTAGGGCTGTGGTCAGCAACCTGCTTCTCCCACAATGACTCCCCTGCTCCATTAACTGGGGCTCTGGGTAGGAAGGGTAGACCCTAGTCTTCTCAGCTTGCTCCTCCCCAGAAGGACATAGACCTTCTGCCCTCTGAGTGAGCTGGGGCTAGGGAGACCAGGGCCCAGTATTCTCAGCCAGCTGCCTTGCTACTACAAGTGGGAGACTGGTGGGAGAGGGGAACCACATCCTCTTGGCTGTACCCACATGCAACCCAAAACTGGGAGTAATGAGACAGGCCAATAGCCTGTCCCTCTCAGGGTGAACTGTAGCTCTAGACTGAGAGCCAAGAGGAGATGGAGCCCCATCTCTGTTCCCACTCAGAATGGAACTTCTGTCACACTGAGCTGAGAGATGGGAGGGTGATATGAGCAGGTCGTGACTTAAGTGTCACTGTGTCTTATTGTTCTCACAGAGATTTAGTAGATTTTCTTGAATAGATGCTTCACTACTTGGTGTTGTAAGTTAGGACAATTATCAGATTTTAACAGTAATTTTTTAAAAAATAATTTTCAGTAGTTAAATGGTTGTTTCACTAGGGAGGGGGTCTGCTGGGCTCCTAACTCTGCCATTTAGGAAGTCAATCTCTTTCTACTTTTAAATGTTTGCAACCAGGGCAGCCTAAACATTTACCTTCTTTTCATTGCAGGTTCAGAACAATGTCATTTAATATTAACCAATTTGTTGTTTTCTAAATTATAGGTATCCTGGCATCTCAACAAGATAATTTCCTTTTAAGGCCAAAAATGTCTTATTCATAATGACATATTCTCAAAAGGCTGTTTCTGGAATAAAAAAGAGCAACTTTTTACTCTTAAATTTTTACTATTGACAGATGTCTTGATCCATTCAGGCTACTATAAAAATATACCATAGACTGGATAGCTTATAAATAGCAGAAATTTATTTTTCACAGTTCCAGAGGCTGGGAAGTTCAAGATGAAAGCACAGCAGTTTCAGTGTATGGTGAGGCTGGTTCCTCATTCATAAGTGGTGCCTTCTTGCTTTGTCCTCCTGTGGCAGAGAGCAGAAAGAGGGGAAGCAAGCTCCCTCATGTCTCTTTGTATAAGGGCACTCATCTCATTTATGAGGGCGTTACCTCCATGACCTAATCACCTCCCAAAGGCCCCACTTCCTAGGAATTAGGACTTCCACGTATGAGTTTGAGAGGACACAACCATTCAGTCCTTAGCAATGGACTTCCTTAGCTACATCCAACTCATAGGACAATTAAAGGATAGTGAGCTCTACTAATTCCCTATTCAGATCTGTTATCCTCGGCTTACACTCAAGCATTTAATGACACGTAATTGATGATCTCTCCACTAAGACTTCTGTTATGGGTTGAATTGTGACACCACAAAATATGCCTGAGTCTTATGCCTCAGCACCTCAGAATGGGACCTTATTCACAAATAGGTTCCTTGCAGATATAATTAGCTAAGATGAGGTGATCAGGGTGGGGGATCATAATTTAATATAACAGGTCTTCTTTTAAAAAGGGGCAATTTGGACACATGAACACGAACATGCACACACAGGGAGAGAGACACGTGAAGACTGTTGTCTCGCTGCCACCAGCTAGGGAAATACCAGAAGCTGGGAAGGAGGCCTGAAACAGATCCTTCTCCAGCACTTCCAAAGAGTGCGTGGCCCTGCAGGCACCTTGGTACTGGACTTCCAGCCTCCAGAACTGTGAGACAATAAATTTCTGTTGTTGAAGTCACACAGTCTGTGGTATTTGGTTACAGTAGCCCCAGAAAACTAATATATTCTCAGCCTGATAGGAAATGATTTCTTGCTAGCTAATATGTCACTCCAAGTTTCCTGTAACCTATGCAGAATTTATATAATGTTCAGAAGGCCCCAGATTATTATAAAACTAATATTTTACAATAAAGAGCAATATAAGATGAAGACTACATACTGGCTAATGGATTATATTTGTCTCGTGGAATCCATCAGAAAATGATTGGAAGAAGTGCATTTTAATATGAAATTTCAAGGGAAGATGGAATAAATCAATGGCAAATAGTGAAGAAGGAATACAGATATACCATCCACGTGAGAAAAATAAAGTCAGAGCTAGATTGTTATCTCCTGTAGCCTCTACTCCAGAGTCTCGCAATCATTTACTCATTTAACAAATATTTATTGAGTACCCCCAGTTTGCCAGACTCTTGTAGTCTCAGTGCTTATTAAACATCTGTGGAAATGAAGTGAAGTTATAAGCCTGTCTTTAAGTCCCTGGCAACACACTCCCTTCTCTGCTTAGTTACTGCTATTTTCAGGTACTTGGAAACACATCCGTGTCCTCAGGTTCCTAGTGCCTACTGGAGCCCACACAGCTAATATTTCTCTTTCCCCCTCTCTGACCCAAGACTCACGTCAATGTTCCTGCCCAGGGCTGATTCTAGGTTCTAATTGTTATATGGATGTTGTTCAGAGGCCTCTGAAATGCCCCTCAGTCCTAAGGGGAAATGCTAACGGGAAAAAACAAACTTTAACAAATGGAAACTGGCCCGTGGTTATCTCAATTTCCAGTAAGTTTGTCTGTAAGGCCAAAAGATAAACTTAACAACACATTTGTGAGCATGTGGAGGCTTCTGGCTAAGGTTTATTTAAAAACAAAAAGAAAATCTATTTCTTTCTCTAGTTAACTTCTTGACCTTAGATTTCTAGTGATGTTCCTGTGAATCTCATCAAAAAACTGAGGAAGTTAGGTTAATGGTATCATTTGCCAATTTCAATTTAACATTTATGATTAGCAATGGAAAGCCTAATAAATACAATTTTTATATCAGAAAGGAATTACAGTCTTTGTCCTTTATATTTGCTCTTTCATTAGAAGACTCTGAAAAGGGTTTTTTACAAAGTAAATGCTGCATTTTTGTTCCATCAACATACATCATAGTTTACATCAATTGATTGTTTTTCTCTAACATATAGGAAACCTTAATGTTGTAAGTACCTGTAAAACCGACTCTTAGTAACTTTCTCCCTCCATTAGAAGCTGTATTTGCCTAAGTTTAGACTGTGGGCAGCAGGGCTAGAATCTCATTTTGCTAAAGCTCAGTACTGGGCACTTTGGTGTTAGTGTTTGAATCACTTTCTCACATACTGATTATAAAACGAGGTTTTGCTTTCTCCCTGCTGCTGTTTTTCATGCACCATCTTCTGGCCCTGAATCACCTGGCACTGGTTTCTTCCCTGTACCTGGGCAGTGGCCTTGACAATGACTTTGTTCGCTGTACATTGCCAAGTGCACTGGGAGATTTACTTACCTGAGAGAGACCCAGAATATAGTTTTAGAAAAAAGAGACTTCAAAGCCATTCTCATCTCCTTCTTATCCTGCTACCAAATTGTTAAATGTAAAAATAAATTTCAGTTTTATAATTGGCAAGTTATATGGTGAGTTTGATTAAATGCTTTACTCTAAGGAATCAAAAACTTTTACAACATTCTCTGCTGACATATGAAACACAAAAAAAATGGTTTGCATTCCTTACAATAAGAGAAACTGGATCAAAACTACACTAAGATATTCCTGTAACATTGACAGAGGTCCGAATGTCTCACAACATTCTCTTTCTGGGAGGCAGTGAAGAAACAGGAGCTCCCATGTATGGCTGATGGGATGCCACATGACCCCATGGAGTCATACCTCAGAAAGTTACAGGTGCATTCTTCCCTGGCCCGGAAACCCTTCTCAGAGTCTACCCTAAAGATACACCTCCCACAAATGAAGTGATATTTACACAAGTTTATTCATTGTAGCTTTATTATAACAACAAAAATTGGAATCAGCCCAAATGTCCACCACTAAGGAACTAGTTGAATAAATTCTTATATAGCTACACAGTGGAGCATAATGTACGTTTAAAAAGAAAAGAAAAAGAGAAAGAAATCTGTGTTCCAATTGGAGCAATTTCTAGGATATATTGTTAAAAACTGCAAAATTCAAAGAAAAATATGTATGGTATATATCCTTTATGTGAAGAAAAATACACATACACACACATTCTTATGTTTGCAAAAGCAAACACTAAAAGGGTAAACCAAAATAAAGAATATACAAAAGAATAGGAAGTAGGAATGAAAGGATACTTCTCTAAATATACTTTGTTATATAAATTTGACTTTAGAAATATATATTTTCCATATTCAAAACATAAAAAACAAAATATAACTATACCTAAAATATTAAAATAAGCATATGAATTTATCTATAGGCCAAGTTAATGACATAACTACAAAGAAATGACTTGTTTCAAATGTTTTAAACCAGTGTTTTGGCTATACTAACTTAGTGAGACATATTCTAAAGAAAAATAGAGACGCAAAGAAGATCTTACACTTTAATAGTCAATTTTGTAGTTGTAATATTACTATCGATCATTTTGTAACTCTCCTATATAGGGTGTAGGATGGTGGAAATAAGTAATTTTGTTAATGTTGTTAGGAACCAAGGCTATCAGTGTAAAATGAAGGAGTTACAAGCATAAGATGAAAGAAGGTAAGTAAAAAGCTCATTAGTATAGTTCAAGTTTAACTTGTCAGGATGAGCTCATGATTTTTTTCCTGAAGCTTTGTGTTTTGTATGGATGTCCTCTAAAAAGGCATGGAAAAAATGACAACCCAACTGCAATGAACACACCAATAGTCCTGATTGTCAAATGCAGGCATCACTCACTACTGAGAGAGGGCTCCTTGGAGGAATGGTGGGTTCCCAGGCCAGGGGAGGAAATACACAGGCTGAGACTGGAGCATCTTACTGTCCCAGAAAGCAAAGAGGCTACCAAAGACTCATAGGTCACATTAAAAGAAAACCAAAGCCAACACAAAGGGACTTTGGCCAAAGATGAGACAATGTTTTTTAAAAAGACAATTAATTAATTGACTGGAACACATTAAATATATTTTTTAAAAAGTACATTCGAGTTACTATTAAAAATTAAAAGAGGCCGAGCATGGTGGTTCACGCCTATAATCCCAGCACTTTGGGAGGCTGAGGCGGGTAGATTGCTTGAGGCTAGGAGTTTGAGACCAGCCTGGACAATATAGCCAAACCCTATTTCTACAAAAAGTACAAAAATTAGCCAGGTGTGGTGGCGCATGCCTATAGTCCCAGCTATTCAGGAGGCTGAGGTAGAAGGATCATTTGAGCCTAAGAAGCAGAGGTTACAGTGAGCTGAGATTGAACCACTGCACTCCAGCCTGGGCAAAAGAGCCAGACCCTTTCTCAAATAAATAAATAAATATCAATGAATAAACAAGGAAAAGTTCAAAAGAGGGGAAGAGTGGACCTTATTCAACATTTTGGAATTAACTAGGGTACCAACTTTTTACTCCGAAAGTTGGCAATTAAAAGTTAAGAAGTAAGCATTTATCTTGCCTTTCCTGTAAGCACTGAATGCAGGGTAACCAAATTCCCCTGTTGATGAGGGGAAGTTCTTATTAAAAAAAAATTCAGCCAATAAATCTGGAAAGAATAATAGAATTAGAAGCATCATCATTTTAAAATGCCAAATAAAATAATGGATTTAGCAAGGATCATTAAATGGATGAAGCCATTTGATGAAAGATTGATGAGAAACTTCTTGATGTGAAGATCAGACTGTCTTCGAATCATAAAAAGTGAGACAAGGTGTCATATGTCTCCTAAAATAATGCACTATGAAGGAGACATCAACATCTCTTCTTCAGAAAATAACAAAAATATAATTGAGTTACATTTCACCACAAAGAATCAAGCAGAAAATCGTAAAATATGGGATTTCTAAAGGATAATTGGTCTCATTTCTCTTCTGAAGTACATAAGAATAGAATGACATATGGCTGGAATATACTTCTTAAGAAGGAAGGAAGGAAGGAAGGAAGGAAGGAAGGAAGGAAGGAAGGAAGGAAGGAAGAAAGGAAGGAAATAAGTGAAACAATTGTGGCAAAAATATTCATAATAGTTGAAGCTATATGATGGCTATATGGGGGCTTATTATACTAACCTTTCTGCTTTTGTTTGGTTTGAAATCTTAGTAAAAAGTTAAGAAAATGTTTTGTTATATGAAATATAGAAATCTGGGAGCAATTTGGCCTGCTCAACCATCCACAATACAGTTGTAGGCAGCATGATAACTGGCAAGGAAGTTAGGGCCAGAAGTCATCAAGCTGGCTACTAGTTTCAGCTGAAAATCCTAAACATAGAAGTTGAGTTGGTAATAATAAACAAACGTCCCTTTTAAAGACATTGAGTCATCTTAAAGCACTACCCATAAAACATAAATGCCTCCTTTTTCCAAGTAAATAAATGAGATCCAGAATTTTCTCTTCTTTCAAAAAGTCGAGATTGTGCCCATGAGCCTGTCTGAGTAATTCCCTTCTGCCCAAGACAGTTCATCACCAAGTGGAGCTCTAGAATGATGCCTTTATAGGAACAATGAGGATTAACGATGAAAGCAGACCCTGACCATGAGAAGTTTAACTGGAAATGTAGAACAAATGCAATAAATCGATGTAAGAAAACAAAAATAATCTCTCAATTTGGTAGCCAAAATGATAAAACTCAACTGCTTTTTTGAAGCCCAAGAAAACCTAATTCTCAAAAGAAAACCAAACCAATTTTTACATTCACTATTAATTTTAACTAGCTCACCTTCATTCAGTCTCTCTTGGATATTAGTTATGCGCTATCGATATAAGAATGAAGATTGGCATCTTCATTGATGATTCAATGATGTCTGCAAGGAGCTTACTGCCTAATTAGGTATGTAGTCATCTGAGTAACTAACTAGAGGAGGTCCTTAGTATTTGAGGAAAATTAATGCCAAAGAAGAACAAGTTACAATAGCTCTCATAAGAGCCAAACCTCATAGAGCTAAAAAAGTTATCTTTATTTTGAAAAATAAAACTAAGCATTATGAAAATACATTTGTTTTATTATATTTAATAAGACATGGTTTTGACTTACACCGTACACTGATTCATAGAACAAATAATTACACATTGATGGAGGGTATGGGCATCATCTTATCAACAGTTTATATACTGGCATGGCGAAATATCTTTCACTTCCTCTTTGGCTTTCACAGCATGCTCATAAAGAGAGTTATTTAAACACACACACAAGTTTCACCAGCTATTCCATAAGCATTTCTTACTCAATTCTCTTCAAATCATTCTCTCTAGGAGGAGCTACCATGACATTAATTATCACTTTTAGATTTTTTCTTCAATTATCTGGCCTTCATACACTGATTTTCACTTTTCTTGCTTGTGATTTAGAGTTCCCCAGCATCACCAGCATCGGTTTAATCAACTTCATGAAATTCTCCATCTTTTCATCTTCATTTTGTAATCACTTTGCATTGAAATGCCATCCAAAAATCAGCTAGGCTTTCCAGCAGATACTACCAAGATAGTATTAGTCAGGGAGGCATGATTGAGGGAGCTAATTGTGTAAGTGGTCAATTTATTGATAATATTTTACTTCTCTGTGGAGTGCTATAATTATAATGCCTGGGATTATGAATATTCAGGTAATGAGACCTCTTGAATAATCAAAGCAATAGTGTGCAATCTTTCCACCTCAGGGAGGTAGCGAATCACTGAGGAGCTTTATGAAGTGATTTTGGGAGAAGGAAAGGAAAGTTAGGAATTGTTCGAGGAAACTCCTCAAATAATTGTGACAAGCACCTCTTCCCATGAGAACCACTGAGGAAGATGGGGCACATGCTCTGGGAGCTCAAGTTGATTGGATCGGGGCTCACGCTGCATTCCCATGGAGAAAGCAGCACATGAATGGACAGTTTGCAAGCAGAGAATGGAGGCAGAGAGAGTCCAGGAAAGGCATGACCATGAAGTAGAAAAGTGAGGAATTGATTGAGAAATCATAAGTCATGTGGCGTCATGAGAGCACAGGATGTGTACCAGGGTGCAGTCAAACAGAAGGCTGGGGAAGCAGATGGACCCAGCCCACAGGCCATCTAGAGAGACAGAATAAGGAGTCTGGAATTCATAGATAGGTGATGGGAAATCAGTGAGGGTCTTTGAGAGGAGAATGGCCTGTCATTCACCTGCAGAAAGATGGTCATTCACCAGAATGTGTGGGACAAGTGGGCTGGAAAAGCAAGTGATGAGGACGGAGAACAAGTTGGGAGGCTTTTAGGTAGATGGGGCCCATCTTGCCTACACTAGGTCTAGGTGGAAAGCTGGAAGCTGAGCCATCATCCAGGAGGTATGACCTAAGGAACAGTGAAAAAACTGCCTTAAATCTTAGTCTGTTCTGGCGGCTACAACAAATCACCATGGACTGGGTGGCTTCAACAACAGACATTTATTTCTCACAGTTCTCAAGACTGGACAGTCCATGGTATTGAAAAACCCACTGTCTGCTGAGGGCCCACTTTCTGGTTTACAGGCAGCCTTCTCACTATATCCTCACATGGAGGAGAGCAGAGAGAGAGGAAGTGGGTTCCCTCCTGTCTCTTTTTATAAGGAGAGTCATCCCATTCATGGGGGTCCTTCCTCACGTCCTGACCACCTCCTAATACCATGGGGGTATTAGGGTTTTAACACAGGAATTTCAAAAGGACACATTCAGTTCATAACATGCCCTTCCACAAAATGTTTTACCACTGACCCTGATAATAGTGCTGCTCATTTTTACACGACTCAATCTTTCTGGGGGCTCAAGGCCTCTTCTGAGATGCGTGTGCTGTTTGGCTGGGGAAGAGCCCCAGTGGCAAAGCTCTGCCTTATTTTCACTTCTTTATCACCTGGACTGGGTAGATGCCCTGCAAACATTTTGTTGGGACAGAGGGCAAGGGGAAGGTTTTTTTGTGTTTTTTTTTTGTTTGGTTTTTTTTTTTTTTTTTTTGCAGAGGATGAAATCAATGTCACGGAAAACTTGGGGTAATTGGGGATCAATTTGAGAGCTTCAGCTGGCTAAAGGGAAGAGAGGAATGTCACCAGAGTCCCCAAGGGATGGGAGAGAAAAAGAACAGCCCAGAAGAAAGGACCTGAAGAAAAGTTCCATCTATTTCACAGTCATAGTTAGAGCCGGCATCTCTATCCTCTGTTTCATTTCTCACTCCTGGATATTGACTTTAGGACAGGGAGGTAAAGCGGAACTGGAAATATTTGTGTGGTGATTTCTTCAAAGGAGAATGGATTCTGAATGCAAATGTTGGTGTTAATATTGGCATTCCAGCCTTGTTTGTTTTTTAAAATAAATTAGTGAGGCTTAACAGTACTTTAAAAACTAAAATCATGCTTTAAAGACTTTACATGTATTTACCTTTGGATTTTCCAACTATTGTAATGGGCTAAATTGTATTCAGTATAAAATAAAGCATGAAATCTACCAGGAAATCTCTTTGAATATATTTTCCCATGTCTGACAATAACCACTGTCACACTTTCATTTGCAGGGCAGTAGTTTGCATAGAACAGTGTAAGATAAAACAAATTTAGGTTAATTTTCAAAGCCAGTCTTTTTATTCAAAGATGAGTATTTCTCCACATTTTCTCTACGATTGACTGGCCTAATTCTATGTCTGCACAAAAAAGCAGAAAACAAGGCAATATTCCAGGTAACTCAAAAGAAAATTAACTTTTTGCCTCAATTATTCTCTTTAATTTCAAGGGAAAAATCTTTGAGAGGAAGTTTTGTGGACATTCACTGTACTTCTTTGGCAGACTCTGTGTTTGCGTAAATAATATGAGTAGTATTTAAACTTTCTCTTGCCGCAATTATTCTTTCCTCTATTGTGTAATCTCAGTGGAAAAGTTTTCAGGAAACAATGCAGGGAAAGCCAGAGCCCTTCTCACTGCTTTATTCAAAAGATTGCCAGCTCCTACCTGGGAGCAGCACAACCACATTAAAACAAGCATCTGTCTGCTGTGGGTTAGGTTGGGGCTTGGAAGCTTGTGACCTGAAAGCAACAGGTGGCCAAGTGGCACAGTCAGGAACAACCAGGTTGAATACTGTTAGTGGGCTGTGACCTTGCCTCCACTGGAGCTGTGCCCTTAACGAAGTTCAATGTTTTTTTTTTTTCTAGGAACTACTTCCTGCCACTGCACCCCACCACACATGCACACACACATGGGTGCACACACAGGAATGCAAGCAAGTGCACACGACTCCCAAGCCCGTGGGTGCATTCTAAGTCCCATTGTCACAGTCAGCTCATTTTCAGCTAAGCCCTTCATCAATGGTCTTCCAGCTTCACTGCAAGTCCTTAAAAACCTCGGTGTCTTGGTCCAGTTTCAGATGCTGATTCAGACCTTAGCAGATTCTAGGTAGGACTCACGGGCTACTCAGTGGGAGCCTGCAGCCACTCATCATCCCTGAGGGTGGGAACCATCCAAGGGCTCCTCCAGTCACACCTCTCAGGGGTTAATCTCTTTGACATCCCCCATGTATGTGTCACAGCATTATTTGAAATCAGCCCAACCCAAACTGTCCCCTGGCTTTAGTGAAAATCTATCTAGTCTTTTTAAAGAAATGTGATAACAGATACAAAATTTGTTTTTATATACAGAATAAAACCCTGATATCCCCACCAGGGATATGCGCACTTTCAGAGGATGGAAGGGATAAAACTTTCCTCTCCTTTTCAAAACCTCCCTCTATCTCCAAAAGGGCTGCCTACAGCAAAAAGCGTTCCCAGAAGTAGACCTGACCCCACACCTGCTCACCCCAGAGCAACTTTAGAGAGGGAGGTGAGGAGGACTGCCATGGGCCACCAAGCACCCTCGCCATGCACCTTTGCCCCATCCCTACCCACCCAAATGAGGGAGTCATCGGAAGTTAAAGGTTCTTGTTTAGATATTGGTCCAGGGTTGTCATTCTGCAGATATCATTTTATATATTTATGAATTTCTACAGCAGTCTAAAATAGCATGCTATTTAAAAATACATCAGAATAGCTCCGTTCTTTGTTGGTAGGATTAAAAAATAAGGAGAGAGCATCCTTCGGTGAAAGGAGGATGAGTTCCTCCACACGGTGGAGGAGGGCGTGTTCATCTTTGCTTGGGCATTAATTGGCTCTGCGGCTTTAGTTCAATCACTTCACCTCTCTGGACCTTCACCTTTAAAATAAAGACACTGAGTACCAATCAAGCATCAGATTAATAACATCCAGGAGGAGACAAGAAGGAACTGGAAATGAGTGAAACCAGACAGGGTTGTGAGGAAACAGGACTTGATAGCAAAACTGAAGACATTTATATTTAAAATGTTAAAGCCAAATAAAACATGTTGACAAATTCATTGCAAGGGCAGCCAATGTGACCGTTTCCCTGGAGAGTTTTTAAGATTCTCGTTGCTTTCGAATATTATCATCTGAAAAAATAATGTTTTAGTGCATGTGGAGCTCTACAGATATCATGTGGTTTTCTGCAAAAGTTTTGATGTCTGTTGAATTTCATAATATTTCAAATTCAAAAGTTTAGTATTCATCATGGCAATATTTTAGTACACCACAGCACTGTATTTCTCATTCCTCTGAATACCTCTAAGGAAGATTTTCTGGAAGTAGCGAGTGTTGTTCTTTAGGTTTATCACAAAGAAAAAGATTTATTTCTAGTGGGATTGGAGCCTCTCTTCTGACACTGACTTCCAGTGGGGAGTCTGGACTTTCTACAATATTTGTCCCAACAGGACTGCATGCCAGAGCCACCCCACACTCTCCAGGCTTAGCATTTTCTGCGCTCATTATGTCCACATGTACAGAAGATGAATGTCTGCTATGGAAGGAGGCAGAAAGTACCAAAGGAAAAGATAATTCACCCTAAAGTACTACCAACACTTACAGTCACTCTTTCTGGAATGCGCCAGTAGCTAAACAATAGGTTTGTGAGCTAACTTCTTCCTGATGATAGCTCAGCGGTTACAATAACTGTGTGAGCAGAATAGTCCCCATAATCTTGATTTCTACCTGATTTTATTAAACCTTTCTTGCTGTTTCTCTCTGTCATTTAAAATGCATGTTCCTATTCCCATCCCTAACCACATGTGTGGAAATGCACTAGAAACCCTGGGTTCTTAGAATAAGGGCACAGACAGGAATCCAAGTCTGTAATCCCACTTGGCCTCGACAAGGAAACTGTTCACAGCTCTGACATGGGCGCTCGTGCCAATGCAGCCATTGGGAGGGCAGCCTGGCTGGATAATGGCAAGGAACAGACCGAAGGCTTTGTCTGATCTTTCTTCTACATAGGAGGGCTGGGCAAGGCGAGTTAACCTAAGAACAGAAGAGAAGAGGGGAGTGGTCAGAAGTAGGCACGGGAGTCCATCGTGGAGACTTGGTGAGGCTATGAGGATGCAGGCACAAAACCTCCAGGACAGGAGCAGCCTGCTCGCTCACACCTTGGAAGGGAGAATCAGGGAGCTTCAGTATCTCCAGGTTCTGCCCCTCGGGTTTCTCCCACTGCCCCCAACATGCTAAGTGTATGCTGCTCTTCCTTAAAAACTTGCACTCAAGGGCATCTCTGATGCATCCATACCTTTGTCTTTCTCAGCACAGTTCAGAAAGGTGGAAATCTCAAAACACCTATAAAAACTAAAGGAGAATGAAGAGAACTTTGTCTTAGAGAACACAACCACACATAAGTCCACTTTCCAAATGACAGGTTTTAGATCCTGAGGAAACTAACAGGGGTAGCAACATCTGTTAGACCTAAAATCCTCTAGCTCATGATGGGTGCCACTCCTAAGATTCACATGGCACCCCACCATCATCAGACTCCCCATCCCCTAGAAATGTTCTGCCAAAATATTGTCTCTCTCTGAGAAATGCTGAAAAATGTCTAGTTCAGATCTACATACCCATACCTCCCAGGTTCTGGTGTCTGGTGTCCTGACGTGTCTGAGGTGGATCCTCCGAGGCAAGGAATCGTTAGACCATATGGAGAAGCACCTAGCAGTACAGGAACCCAAGTCCCTGCTGAATCATTTTCTCTTTGAGGCTGACACACAGTGAGAGGAGGAATCCCCATGGGGCGGTAATGAGGGAGTCCAAGTGGCTTGAGGAGAAGATGGCAGAGAGACAGCCTGAGCAAGGACAGCTGAGTCAGCTTCTCCCCACACTTCCAAATCCAATGATCTAATCTAAACCCAAAAGGTCTCCATTCCCACAGGGAATGAAAAGCTCTAGAATCCTATAAGTGAAGTCAGCAATGGGCTGCTGAATAACACAGACCCAGATATGTTCACAGACTGCTTCCAAAATCTGGGGTGGTCGTGCCTTGCCTTCCCTCTTCCACGTTGTATTCATAAGATTGCCTGCCTGTCTGCTGCCCTGTTTCTTAAGAGCCTCTCTCTCCAGGAAGACTACTGAAGGCCTTAGTATCATGAATGTGCTCAGAGAATTTGAGTTCACATCTTAAAGGCAGACACAGTGGGAGAAGCCACAAATGGATGATGTATTAACTCAGACATACACACCTAGCACTTGACTCATAGGTACATGCTGCTCATGCTGTTCCTTGTGGATGCTGTACCTGACTAGGTCAAGTCCAGGTGACTGCCCCAGGGAAAGCATGGTATCTGGGTCAGTAACCGTGGAGACACGCAGGCGCCAGCATTTGCACACTGACTCCCCACTTTGGAACTGCAGACATTGGTCTGATGCTTTGTGCTCCACTTGTTCCACCTGCAACCTTAGAGGACATGCCGGCTGAGCTGGCATTTGTTGTGGCTGTCCTGAGGACAGCTCCCTTTGTGATTGAAATGGTCCATTTCCTGCCATCTGGTATCCCAGAGCACACAAGGAGTGGGAGGCATGATGGTTATCATGAATCTTCAGGAGAGGAAAGGAAAGTGAGTCTATGTGAATGACTCAGTTCCTGGAAGTTCACTAAAGCAGCTTCCTTGCACCAGCTAAGGCTGAGGACAAAGGGAGAGATGCAATCACTCAATTTTCCAGCCGGTGGCTAGTGGACCTGCTGGAGGGCTGTCCACAGCTGCGGCTATAGCTCCAGCTGAGGCTCCTGCAATCCTACCTGCAGAACCTCCTTGGGGATTAGCATGATCTGCGTTCCACAGACAAGCAAGCTGAAGCTCAGCAAAGGCAGGCTGCTTGCCAACACCCTCAGAGCTAAGGGGAGAAGTTAGGATTCAAGCCTGGGTCCATCTGGGGCCAAAGGCCAGGTCCTTTCCATTAAGGCAGCCATTCACAAGTGTTTTGTGATCAGGATCCTCTTTTCACTCAAAGATCCCTGAAGGACCCGAAAAGGCCTTTGTTTGTGTTGGTTACACCTATCAATTATCATTACGATGTGGTGATATCATATCTAATCTAATATTATATTAGAAATTAAAACAGGAATTATAAGTACATATTTACTAATTCATTTGAAATTAGCAGTAATAAATTAGCATTACATGTTAACAAAAGTAAACTACTTTATGTAAAATAACTTGACTATTGATACAAAAAAATTAATGAGAAGGACATCATTTTGTATTTTCGCGAATCTTTTTCACGTCTGGCTAATAATAGATGATTCTTGTATCTCCTTCTGTATTCAATCTGTTGCAATAGCAGTAGGTAGCCTCTAGAAAACTCCAGCGGATAAGTCATGGAAAAATGTCTTAGAATTATTATAAAAACAGTTTTTACTTCAAAGACCCTTGGGAAAGGTATGAGGGACCTCAGAGGTCTACTGGCCACACTTTGGGAACTACTGCACTAGGGTACCTGCCCCTGCGTGGAGGATAGAGATTGGAACTGCTCTGTGCTGAGCCCTGGCTGTGTTTGCTCTGGGGCCACCTTCACCCATGCAGACCAAACACTTAGAACATGAACCACTGTGCAAATAGGTCTTAGTGACGTTGCTTTAAGGAACTCAGGATTGAGGTTTCCTTCAAGGACAAGATACCTTCTCACTGGCCAATGTGGGACCAAAAGAGTAGCCCTGTCACTCCTATGGTGTTCACAAGGCCACACTTCTTAGAAAGTGGGGTTAGCACCCTGTGGGAGGCCACATGCACATCCTTCCATACCAGAACTGACCCAGCCATAAGCCCCATCCATTTCTGCAGCTTGTATTCAAAATGATGAGAGACTTTTACTATGATTCAAATTGTTGCTGTAATTTTCACTGTGAAAATATGGACCAGTGCATGTCGTGGGGCAAAACTGTGGGCACTTCCTTCCTTTGTCTTGATCAGGGTTAAGCAGAGTGAGGGCAGCATTCAGGATAATGCCCATCAGAGTGAATCTTCCAGCAAGAGAAGCAGACAAGGGCCACGGGCAGGTTCACAAGCTGGAGCCAGATGAATGGATATGAAAACTAGGCAGGGAAAACACAGCAAATAGAAAGGGAGAGTGGGCCCACAGACCTGCCTAAGTCAGGGTGTGCAGCCACACTCAGAAAACAGACCTCTTTCAGCTCCGTCCAGGTCAGGAGCATCACAAATCAGAATCAGAAAGGGCCAGGAGCAGGCTGGGGTTTGGTTCCCATCCTACGACACTCTTCACAGCCACAGGAGGCTTCTCAGATATCATCGCGGACCTGGTTGTAGGTTGCTTTACCTAGACACCATTCTGTCCCTGCAGAATCTAACCTCATTTCTATAATAGAGTACTTGTACCTATTCAACTTTATCAGTAATTAAACTAAATTTTGTTGATTTAAAAAATGGTATGTCATATCAGCTTCAAGCATCTGCAGATTTCTATGTACATCTTTTTTAAATCACAGTTTTCATTAACTTTGCAAATTTTGCCTTTAGGGTCAAAAAGGATCTCTTACCAGCCAATTACTTGGGCTTTTAAATAGTTTTCCTAACATTTTATTTTCTCGCTTTATAGCTAGGCTACTTCTGTGAGAAAGATCTATAAATTAAGTAAGATAAGTGAATTGGAAGTAACTTTTTCAAACTATGTTTTTTAGGCACCTGTCAGTGAAGGACAAATAAAAAATAAATAGACTTACCTTTAGAAAAATATCACCCGAATGCAGACAACCATTAGCCTTTTGGCAGTCAGCCATCACGTTATGGCCACCAATTAAGAAATTAAAAGGTTGCAGTTCCATTTTTCTCGTCACTGTATTAATCACTCAAGTCTGTATTGAGCATCCACTGTAAGCAAGGCTGGGGAAAGCAAGATGCCTGTCGATACAGTTTAACCTTCCCAGTCTTCTGAGGGTTCAAAACATGCTGTCAGAGCTTCCACTAGCCTCTCCCCACCAACTTTCTTCTCTGTTCTTCCTCTTTTTCTTTTCCTCCCTCTCTCCCTCACTTATTCAACAAACATTTTGTAAGTAACTTTAGTAGTTAGCAACAATTTTCTTCTCAATAAAAAGCTTTATGGTGTTCACTGATGAGACCTGGCAAGTATCACATCCCGGAAGCTCATAGAACGCCAGGGCACACCTGGCTGCACCCCTTCCAACCTGACCTGAATATCGACCCTGCATCACTCGCTCTTCTCAGGCCTCTTTATGACCTCAACCTGCTATAGCCTTGGAGAAAGAGAAGAGCAGAGGGAAGGCCCAGGAGTAGTTTCTGAAAGAGTCTACATGTAGATGTGTATGTGTGCTTTTTTTATTACCTTAAACTCTGTTTTGCAGCATCCTCAGAGTATTCAAAATACGAACACTGTTTCTCTTGGTATCTGTTAACATTACGAGGGATAAATGTGTATGTAAGGAGATAGATTAGATAGATGGGTGGATAGATAGGAAAGAGAGATAGGTAGATAGATGACAGATGACAGATAGATAGGTAGATAATAGATAAGGTAGATAATCACATGACACATAGAGTCACTGAATTTTATAATAAAAAATATTAGAGCACAATCCCTTTGTTCCTTGATTACAGATCAGGAAATGAACCCAAAGGCTTATTTAGGAACCATGATCAGCAGCAACCTTGTCCAAAGCCACCTGTATGTTGAACTCCACTTCTGCCTTGTGTTTTAGGGGGCAATGGTAGCGTCATTTCCCCAGGAGCTTCCAGTCTGAAGAAAGAACAAGCAGACAAACATCCATTTCCATGCTCACTACAGAAAGATCGTTGTGTTCATTCATCTCGCTAACCCACTTGTTATTTTAATTTCTGTGATCTATAAATAGTAAGTCCAACAGTTCACATGCCTGAATCTGCTAAGTCTGAGCATGCCCTGTTTCTCAATATTAAGGATTTGAACAAAGCTCTTAATTTGTACTACTCTGGATTGCTGCTTGTCTTGCTGGCTGCTTTTTGTAGAATATCAAAAGAAAATAGATATCTAGGGGCCAGGAGAACCACAGTAACTCTTGCCAAGGCATTCACCTGTCCATCATGGTGGAGGTACAAAGTGTGTTTGGATTCCACTTCGCTCGCTGGGTTTATTAATGGTAACTCCTGCCTGACAAAGCGACAAGCACGGATTACGTCTTTGATGCTGCGTTGCGCTGCGGCTTTATGTGATTTGACATCTTTGCAAAATGCCTGTCTTGCCACAACGAAAAAAATGTCTGGTACAATTTGTGCAAGAACTTGATGCCTTAATACACTAGATGATTTAGACATTCTTTTAAAGTGTTTCTCTGCTTCATGGGAATGAAGAGCAATTTTCCTGAGACACCAGTGCTAACCCAGCTCTCTTAACACCCGTCGGGCCAGAGGAGAAACCCTCCCATCCTCTGTGGAAGTCAAGTCGTCAGTATTGTCACAGTTGAATTGGACACATGTAGCGAAGAATCAGGCCTGGCAGCCTGGATGGGCAAGCTGAGAGGGGCCAGAGAGAGGACATGGAAATCTAATAGCAGCAGACAGGAGAGCTGCTACCCACATTGGGATTTGCTCCCTGGAAAGCTTAAATTATAGTGATGTTGGCAACTGTCCACATAGCTGCTGCCTTTCATTATTTGCTTTCTGAAAACTTCAAAAGTCTCATCACCTTGTTTATGGTGAGGAGAGCCGAGAGACGCAGCAGGTCAATCACCTCTTGGCTTCCAAGATTCTATCAGTGCAGAGAAACAGCTTAAGAGAGAACAACATTAAAACTTGTCACATGTATGGCATTTGACTCTAAGCAGGGAACAGCCTGCCCTGATTAGCTGGTGAGGAATCCGCAGATTCCATTGATGGTAGCACACTCTTGATACTCTTCAATTCCCAAATTTATTTGATTTTGAAATTTCTTCAACTCCCTTTGATAGTCCAGACTCTAGGAGTCTAGAGAAGGAAGTGAGTTGAGAACACACTTAGTCCAAAAGAGTATGACCTTATCAAAACAGAGACATTTTACAATGATCATTTCACTGCTGCCACTTCAGTGTTCAGAGGCCTCTGTTAAAGGAGAATGTGTGTGATGGAAATAGGCCTCCAAGGCATCTCTGCTGACTTCCTTCTCTGTAAGTGAGCCCTTCCACCTGCATGCAGAAGGGACCAACATCTGGACCCCACAGGAGTGAGCAGCCTCAATGTTATGTGATTCCAAACCATCAGTAAAACACATGTAGATTTTATAGTCTCAACCAATTTGCAATTGATCAGTTGACCCTGATCAATGATGAGATGTCTCTGTTCCTCCTCAGCCTCTGAGTGTATGAAATCTGATCTGAGACATGGCCTTTGGATAAAGTGATTTAACAGTAATAAGACTTGTAAAATTTATTTAATTAATATGATAATGAGGGCAATCAGGGAATTAATGGGAAAGTTTAACTTTGGTTGATCTATATGGTGCAGTTATTGAAGCCTAAGTGCTCCCTAGTTGCATCTTTTCTTCCAGCCTTTCCATTCCATATCAGAAATAGGGGTTAAAAAAGTAATAGTCCCTACCACCTATCAGCATTAACTGTGCTCAGAGCTACACTCAAAGCACCTTATTCAATCCTCGCATCACCTCTATGAGGTAGATGCTGTCACCATCTCATTGCACAGATGAGTCTAGGCCTCACAAGGGCTAAGTGCCCTGCCCACAATCCCACAGATCATATACATAAATATATACATGCAACTGCCAGAAAGGCCCGGGTCTGCCTGGCCCCGGAACCAAGGTCTTACCTACTTCCTGTTCTCCTGCCAAAGAAGCTTCATGTAGATGTCAGCATGTGTGTCAACAACCACTTGATCCCAGCTCCCTCTTTTGGGAGCTCTGTGATTTAGGGCAAATTATTTAATGCTTCTGAGCCTCATTTGCCCTAGCTATAAATTAGGAACAATAACACATGCCCATTGTTATAAAGGCCAATGTCTTTGGCCTTTTGGCCACAAATGTCTAATATGTTATCTGATGCATATGAATCACTCAGTGTCTACTATAGGAAAGAGTGAGAGAATGAATGAAAAAGTGAGACTCTAAGGCCTTTTACTTCTTTAGAGAGTCAGTACAGAAGGCAGGAAGACAGGGAATCATTATTAGCTAACATATTCAATAAGTACATTGTTGGAACTATCCAATACCTTATAGGGGTTCTTAGTAGAAAAGGATTCACATGTTTTTGTCCTTGTTACCCATGTCTAAATCCTGGAGCCAGGAAACCAGAAACATGGCCAAGGACAGCGATCCTTCTTTTTGCCTCTCCAGCCAGCAAACCCCATCATGGCTCATCAGAGGTTTCTGTGGAGTCCTAAGGTGGCTGCAGGACTCCAAATGAACAATCTCAAAATCACAGGGAGCCTGGGGTGTCAGGGAGGCAGCCTCCCGACACAGGCCATGGCCAGAAAGAACTTGGGGCCAGCCTCGCATAGAGAGGACTTAGGTTTTTAAAATGCAGAGGAACAGAGGAAGAACATGTCGGGTGTGAAGCGGGGCTTTCGCACTGCTTCCCAGGAATCACCGCCCCATGGAGGGAGGAGAAGGAACTCCAGGCATTTGATTATGGAGTTACAGTGGTCATTAAAGCAATTTTCAGTATCCCACTTGAGAATTACGGACTTAGAAGAGCTGCAGTGTCACCTACAGGGTCCCGCTGTCCACGCTGCCTCCGCCGGAGTGATGAACCTGTCTGTTGCACATTCACGGGCCTGATGAACTGAGAGGCAGCTCCATGCAGTGAGCAGAGCTGGCCCTCGGGTCAGATGCCCCGGGCTCAACATCGGCTCCACCGGCTCCACCGCACTCTTTTCCCCCTGACACCCGGGGAAGTCTCTGAGCCTCTCCAGGGTTCTTGTGAGGTCTAAGTAAGATCACATTTGTGGAGCACTGGGCACTAGAGGTGCTCACGGAAAAGACCGTTCCTAAGAAGGTCAAGCATTTCAAAGGCTGCTTTCTTCTTGTTAAATATTTCAGTTAAGCAGTCTCATTGAATTTTCTTCCATATGGGGATTTTTGCTTTTATTTTTGCTTTTACACTTTCAGAAGGGAGTATCATTGTGTCCATTCTTTCATGGGAGACAAAACATAAGCAAAGAAAGGCCTTAAAGAGACCATGAAACTAGGGCAACGGATTTCATTTCATGAGGTATTTATTGCAAGTCCATGTGTCACTAACCTGAAGATGTGATCCTACTTTCAAAGGTATGCCCACCACTTTTCTTGTCAGTGAGTGAAGACAGGTGGAGCGACATCCCAGTGCTGTTCCAATGCCTGCCCACAAATGTATGTGTCCCTGCAGTAAGCCCCTATCACACAGGGGAAAAGCAGGCAATTAGTAAAAAAGGGATGAGAGGTTACAGAAGAGCCTTCAGGGAAGGTTAAACAGTTTTGAGTGCCAAGTATATACCACCAGCTCTTTTATCTCATTAATCCTCCTAACGACCCTTGGAAGTTGGTATGATCATCCTGATTTTTCTTCCAATAGGAATGTTGCCCAGAGTTTGCCCAAATTTACACTGCTAGGAAGTGGCAGACCTAGAACAAACAGGAAACAAAAGACAAAGCATGACTCAATCAAAAAAATGCTGGCTCAGAAGTTAAGAGTCCTGGCTTCACTACTCAATAATTCTGTATCATATCTCAAGATGTGGCCCAGGGAACCGCAGCAGGATGAGGAAGACTAGGTGTGGGACAGCCCCCCAGTGGGTGGTGCAGGCCCCAAAGGAACAGACACAACCCAGAGGGGCTGGAAGTCCAGAGCGTCAGGCAGAAGGGCTTCCGGACTATGTGGACACAATGGTCCTGAAAAAGCCCTGAGGTCTCCTGGCAGGTGGCAAAGATTGGCAACCAGGCAATGAGCAACCCAAGCTTGTAGGCTATTGGAAGGTAGCAGGGCCCCAGGCTCAAAGATGGAGCCACAAGCCGGGTGCGGTGGTTCGCGCCTGTAATCCCAGGACTTTGGGAGGTTGAGGCGGGCAGATCACGGGGTCAGGAGTTCGAGACAAGCCTGGCCAATATGGTGAAACCCTGTCCCTACCAAATATACAAAAATTAGCAGGGCATGGTGGCGTGCGCCTGTAGTCCCAGCTACTCAGGAGGCTGAGGTAGAAGAATCCCTTGAACCCGGGAAGCAGAGGTTGCAGTGAGCCGAGATCGTGCCACTGCACTCCAGCCTGGACGACAGAGCAAGACTCCGTCTCAAAAAAAAAAAAAAAAAAAGGAGCCACAGCACCAGGAGGGGAGTGGACAGGGGTCCAGGAGGCTCTGGTGTCTAGGAAGGACTAAGATGCTGGACATAGGACCATGAGGCACAGAAACAAGACAGACACATGGTTGCCAAAGCTGTGAACCAATTCTCAGGCATAAAGCCAAAGCCATGTGTAAACCCTGTGTTGGAGAGGCGTTACAGGCCTGGCAGGCAGCAAGCAGGCACCTGCCTGCCCTAGCTCTACACTAGAGTTTCTTAAATCCCTCCCCTCTAAGGCACATTTCACCTGAGCGAGTGAGACCGAGCTTGTGGGTGGTGAGAAGAAACTTCAACTGTGGGAGCTGTGGGCTTTTATAAGGACATCCAGACATTTCTGACCCCAGGACTTTGGGTAAATTATTTAACCAGAGTGAGCTTCAGTCAGTAAATGAAGAGGCATAATGTGATGATTTCAGTGGCAGCTTGTTGTAAGAATCTGTAAGTGGTAAGACTCAACAAGCGTAGAGACTGAAATGGGATTTGCCTGCAGAGGTCAGTGGAACATGAAACAGTTTTTTTTTTTTCTTTTTTGACACTGCCTAACCTACAGTGTTTAATTTTACGTGAACTCTTAACTTTGATTTGCCTGTCCTAAAATTGGGGATAAAGGAATGAGTTCTTTAGGCATGCTAAAGTTTAAACTAAATATAGCACTCCTATGCTTAGATGGCATACATGGCATAAACACTGAAAATAAAAATCTATGGCCCTAGGATCTCTTTTTAAAAAACCTATAGGAGAAAATAAATAGCTTCTGTTGAATTCCAACAGACAAAGAACAGAGGGTAAGGAAATTCTGATTGCTGAGAAAGTGGAGAAAGCACAGCTGCAGAAGAAACTAAAACTTAAATACTTTTGCTGTAGCAGCCTTTCTGCCTTTAATCTCTTTAATTGACTGCTCCCAGCTACACAGAAGCACATCTTCATCTGTCTGAAATAAATTGTGAGAACAGTCTGACTGGAGCAGGGAGATGATGGAGAATTGCTGTATTTCTGTTTGCCATGGCTAGTTGATTCCTCTCTGTCATTTGCCTTTAAAAAAAAAAAAAGCCTTTTGAAATGGAAATGGTAAAAGTTCTCCCTCTTTCCTGAAGCCCTCTCCTCCCATTTCTTGACTCACCCCCCTTCTGGCTGCATCTCTCAGACAACACCCCATCCTCCACTGCTGCTCGCTGCCAGAAGGTACTCCAATCGGCCTCATCCTTGTCTCCTCCCTTCTCCACTGATTTCCGGGTCCATCCACTGGCTGTGATGGCTTTCCAAGCATGTCTGCATGCTTGGACTGCAGCCCTGATCTCTCCCTGGGCCATGAGCCCCTATTGGGCAGTCAAGGGTATTTCCATACAGGTGACCTGCAGGAGCCTCACACATGTACAAGAACTAAGTCTATAATTGGGTTATAATCCTCAGCTCCAAAGCAGCTACCAGAGTCTCTCCTTCCCTGGGCTTCCACTGGACAGACGCTCCACCAGCCTCTCAGACACCCAGGCTAGTAACCAGGGCCCTTTGTGGACTCACATTCATCCCCCTGTACATGCACACTGTCACCAGGCCTTGAAGCACCGTGCCTCTGCTCCCCATCCGTCCCCATTTGCCCCTGCCTGCCTCTCCCCCGGGACCCTGATGGGCCTCCCTGCCCCAATCTCTCTTACCTAAATCCACCTCCTGACATCCAGGTTTCCTCCCTGTAACACAGGTGTCTCATGACACTCTTCTCTAAAATTTAAAAGTAGTACCTGTGGTCTGCAGAATAAAATCCACCCACCTTTGTTTGGATTCAAACCCACTTTGCTACAAACTGTGTTCTAGGCTGTTCCCCAACCTGGGCTCCATAGAGTGCACACTGTGGGCATGCTGCTCCCCACCCTTCCCAAGACAGATTGAGCCCCTCCAGACCCTCATGTCACTGTGCATTCTTCACTCGTGCCTCTGCCAGGAAGGCCTGCCATCTTCTCACACGCTCTGACTTACAACCAAATCTTTCTCCCTTGCACTTCTGCATCACATTGCCTTTACCCCTATTTAGTAATTATTTCACGTGGTCTTGTACTAACATTAGTTAGCACAAGGGGGCTGCAAGTTTCTTGAGTAGTGAATGGTGGTTTAGGAGGCAGCCCTGCAGAAGAACCCTGGGAACAAAGCCCAAGTCTACCACTAATGAGCCCTGCCTGGACTCTTGGGCAAGAGACCTCATCCCTGTCACCTCACTTTCCTGACCTGAGAGATGAGGATCATAACTGATTTGACCTCATCAAATTCTTGTGAGGATTGAATGTCCTCATATTTGTATAGTGTGTAGCACAGAGCCTGGCACATTTACGTGCTCAGTGAGCGTGAGCTTTGATTTTTAAAAAATTATCATTGTTATTATTCCTCAACAGTCAACAAGCACTCAGTGAGTTTTCAAAATTGAATTCTTCCAAGAAAAGGTGGTCAAATCCAAGAACTCGAGTCACACGCAGAGAATCTAAGAATGATGTGAGGTTGGAATGTTTCTGCTGGCTCTTCAACTGACCACTTGCCTAACCCTGATTCCCAAAACACGTTGTGGAAAAGAGATGAGTGACCCAAGCCCATTGACTCTGTGGGAATGAGGTCAGACTCGTAAAGGAGGCCAGCATTCTCCTCCCCTCCCCTGACAATCAGCGTCTGTCTTCCAGCTGAGTGCAGTGGAATTCGCGAGAGTGCCTTTGCCCTGTCACCAAGGTGGCGAAGTGGCCCAGGTGCAGTAATAATCACTCTCAGTGGGCGCCTGAGCCCCTCAGGCCCAGCACTGCCTGACAGCGCTCTGCTGCAGCCACCCATGAAGGACAGTGACGAGAAATCCTGTCAGCTAAAGACAACTAAGTGCTTTCCTGAAAAAGAAAAGCATCCCTTAAAGATGCTCATCTGAGGAGATTCACATTTAGTCTACCCAAAATCATGTATGGAAACTATTCAAGGAAACATTATGCCACTTTTTAACCTCTTTATGGCAGTTGAAAATTTCATAGAGCACAGAATGGAAGTATTTCTCAGATCTGTGGCTGGCAGCAGGAAAGGGGCATCAGGGTGGACGCTGATTTCCATGGGGTCCTGGAGAGATCCCTGGACTGGTCACTGAGGGGAAGAAGAAAGGAGACAGGAGGGAGAGCTGGCTCGTTTGTGGACTGAGCCCAAAACCAACCGTTTACCAAGCCCCGGTGCTCATCCATGCACTGCGAAAATGTGAACTCATCTCTCTCTAAAGCTGCAGTGGGAGGGGACAACTCTGAGATTTCTAAAGCTCTTTTCAGCCACAAAGTTGTGATTCTATTAGCCATCATGCCAGTTCATAGCTCTAAATAAATAAAGGGGAAAATATGGCTTTGCTTATTTAAATTTTTTTTAAAGCCAAAATCCTTGAAGTGACAATGGCAGAGTCAAGGCTGACATCCAGGGTCCCAACTCCCAGTCCAGTATTCCCTTATTCCCAACATTTGCACCCGGCGCTGCGGTTTGCTTGATGCACACTGCCCCTTCCTTCAGTCTTACCAGGCCATGTGACTCCCATGAAACAGAAACATTTTCAAGCCCTCCAAAATTTATTCACAAAAGGATATGTAAAACAATGGAAACAAAAAGTCCTTGAATACCTTCTTGCTAGTCAGCCTGATTCAAATAGGAGAATTTCAGCTCTGGCAGCATCAAGTGTGTTAAGAACAGGAGAACACTCTGAGCTGCTCTCACGTTTCTGTTCCCACCATGTGTGTGCAATTCCCGAGGAGCCTCACTAAAGTTGGCTACACCAAATGATTTCCTGCCATTCCTGATGAACAATGGAGGGAGGAGAATCATTTGTCCTTTAAGCTGTCCTAGAAGGCTAAGAAGAAATTTCTGGAGCTGTCCAATATGGCTTTGATGAGAAAGTAATTAAAGTCGCCAGCAGAACGATCCTCATGTTTAAGTCAGATAACAATGTCATTGACAGCAACGTTCTGCTCTGAAGGGCAGGGATGGAAGACAAATGAAACCAGATTTACCCTGAGTAGTTTTATTGACATCCTTCTTGTGTCCAGTTACTAATATTTAGTCCACAATTATGCATATATGACATTGTTTTACTGATTATTTCCTCCTTTTTGTGAGAAGAAATGAAGACAAAGAAATTAGTTGCTCTATTGATCCTACGACAGACATATCTTCACTTTTCTTTTCTTTTTCTTTTTTAAATGGAGTCTCACTCTGTCATCTAGGCTGGAGTGCAGTGGTGCAATCTTGGCTCACTGCAACCTCCACCTCACGGGCTCAAGCAATTCTCCTGCTGCTTCAGCCCTCTGAGTAGCTGGAATTACAGGTGCGCACCACCATGCTTGGCTAATTTTTGTATTTTTAATGGAGACGGGGTTTCACCAGATTGGCCAGGCTGGTCTCGAACTGCTGACCTCAAGCGATCCACCTGCCTTGGCCTCCCAAAGTGCTGAGATTACAGGCATGAGCCACTGCTCCCGGCAGTATCTCTTCCATGACAATATTTACTTAAAGTTTCTTTCTATTATTACTTCCTTTTTCGTGGCAGCAAAAGAGCATCCTTTAAATGTCCTTTAATATAACTAAACAAGTTTTTTAAATCTCTGGTTCTGTTTAAGTTCTTTAAAACTTGGTCTGATTTTTTCTTGATGTGTATAATAACCAGAGAGATGCATTTTGCCACTCAAGCGATATTGATGTAGCTCAGGCTCACAGGTCTCACTTAATCCAATCAGTCTCACCGCTTTCCCCTCCTTCCTGTAGCAGTTATATTTTATGTGAGAGGTAACCATAACAAAGTAGTAAGGAACAAGAGTATAAAAGTATAACTTCAAGTAAAACATTGCTTTGCTACTTATTAGTTAACAGTCTGTTAATTGCCAATGAAGACAATCTCATTTTCTATAGACTTTCAAATGATATGTACCCATTGTTACATAAACTGTATTCTTTTGATAATCAAAATATAGAGATTTGCATTAATTTATGATCACATGTTATAAAATTCCTTCATCATAAAGAAATAATGAAGCCATGTCATTTATTCAAGGTTTAACTGTGTCTTCTACAGTAAGAAAGAGAAACCTCAAGCAGAGATTATACTTGGAAGTCAGTTATTAATATGTTAAAAATGTGTGAATAATCAAGGGAAATGATTAGAATATTAAATAGAGGCCTTGTCTAACATCAAGTTGCCTAACTGTTCCTTGGTCTTCAAAGGCAACATTTATTCACATATTTACTAATCAGATATTTAGTCAGCTTTTGCTTCTTGCAAGGCGCATTCCTGGAACCTACAGGAATTCAAAAAGTAATAGCATTGAGTTTCTGTTCTCCAAAAGTTTTATAGACTAGCAGAAGAAATGACGAGTGGCCTAAGAGAGAGCACCCAATAAGATGGAAGCCACAGTTTGTTTCATATGTAATAGATTATGAATTGTATATATTAGATATATAGTATATAATATATGTAAGATATATAATCTATGTAGATTATATATAGAGATCTCTATGTTGAGATTATATATAATATATATATAATCTCAGATGTACTATATTCTATTTAAGTCCAGCCCACAACTAAGGAAAGGACATTTCACAAGTGCATAAAGACCAGGAAGTGGAGATCACTAGGGACCATTTAAGAGGCAGCTGACCACATATACGTTATTTTTCCTGTTTAAATGCTAAGATTCACTGTTGTGCCTAGAGTGATCCATGCAATTTTCCGAGCCATCTTTAATGAAAAGTCTAATAAGGATGCTGGAAAGAGGACAAGAGTGCTGTGTGTCTCTTCCTCTGCCTTCTATCTATTATTAAGGAATAATAATTTTTCCTCCAGCATCTCAAAGTAGACGCCACATTTTCTACACATTCATTTAACTCACAAAGCTCCAGACCAGGCCTTTAATTTCTGTGCCATCAGAAAGTAATGTGGTATTGGAGTGCCTCCAGGACAGAGACCTAGGTGTGCAGGATAGCTGTACATATCTGTTCTTGTTTCTTGTTCAGAACATTTAGTCCTGTCAAAACAGGCAGAGTACATCTTACATCACTAACAATAGTCTGTGATCATGCAGAGGAAAGAAAAGAAATCTTAAAGACAGCTTGACAAAGTGATGTCAGACTATAGGTACTGCCTTTTCAAAGTCATGATTTTATCTGAGATTATTCAGATCAGAAATCAAGGGAGAGTTTTATCCTTCAGAATGTCTGATTACCCTGTTAGGTTCATATAAGGCAGGGAGGGCAAGGGCACCTCACTTGGACAGGGGAGGGTTAAGCTTAGACATTGGCAGAGACTGGAAGAAAGAATATATTAATCCATCAGAAAAACCATGGCTGTAAAAAGTAATGATTATGTCAGAAGCTAAATACATAACAGCAAAGTTATCTTCATGTAATGTAGGAAAAGATACAGATCCTTAGACCTCACCTCACATTCAGCAAGCGTTTATTGAGCTCCTGTTGTGGGCCGGGTGCTGAGTCTTTGGATAGAGAAAAAAAAATCTGAATGTATGTTAATGAACTATTGCTGCAGGAAACCCATGTCTCCTTTTGTATTTGCAAACGATTAAACTCCTTCGAAGCCACTGTTACAGAAGAATTCCTGGTCTCCATTATTTTTATTTTCTAATTTTCAAACAATTAAAACCTCATTAGAAAATTGTTTTAGGACAGGGTGATTATAGGGTGAAAAATACATAGATTATGCAGTCATAGAAACTAGATCATTGTCTTGCGAGTTAAAAACTGTAGACTTGGGCATAAGGCTTCAATTCATAGAGTTATACGAATTAAACAACACAACTCTTGACAGTCTTCTACTGCGGTGCCTGGCGTAAAGTAGCCTTATGGTATATGGATGCCCTCATTATTATTGATAATCATCATGCTAATCAAAACAATGGTCACCTGGTGACTCAGAGGAACGGCAGAGTTGAAGCTACTGCAGTAGAAGCAATATGATTTTGTCTTTAGGAGTAAGTATAGCACTAAGCAATATGAGGTCATATTTTTCCACTCCCGCCATAATTTTTAAGTTTGTAATTAAAGACCTGGTCTGGAGCCCTGAAAGTTAAATGAATGCTTAGAACTAGGAGAACTCTCTAAAGGGAGGCACTGGAAGTGATTAAAGGGCTAAAAAATGGAGCAACGAGAAAAGTCCATAGGTAATAAAGCTACAGAGTATGGAAAAGAGAAAGCTCTGAGGCTTCTAACTTGGGAAACGTAAGACTGGTTGTTCTTCATTTTATTTCGGTGATGTTATAGAAGAAACGTCTGGATTAGCATAGAAAGTTTCAGGATCTTTGCAAACATATTTAGGCCATGAGTCTAAATTACATGCTCACCATGTAATCTTACCCTACCAGTTCCATACCCTGTGTGAACCATAGCTTCACAGTCTCATTCGCTGGAATAATAGTGACTGCAGGGTGCTCAAGGATCTGGCCAGATATTACTTGGCTGAGATCAGTTTTGCTGATAGAAAGTCAGTCGACATCAATATGCTAAGGTGATCGGAGGTGGATTGTTCTGGGCTGCAGGAAGAGCTTGACTCATTGCAGAAGGCCAGCCTGGCTGGAGGATCACAAGCAGGGGGGTGAAAAGAAGAGGACGATGGCAGGGGACAGTGGCCAGGGCCCATCAGTCAGCTCATTTCCATCAATGGCGTTTAGCTATATTGTATCTAGCCAAAAGCTTCCAATCTGATTGTAGCCAGAAATGTATTTTACCTGATACCACAGCGATTCTCTATGAATTTAAGCCGTATGCCCAAGTCTACAGTTTTTAACTCACAAGACAATGATCTAGTTTCTATGACTGCATAATCTATGCATTTAATCCCATAATCACTCTGTTCTTAAAACAATTTTCTAATGAAGTTTTAATTGTTTCAAAATTAGAAAATAAAATAATATTCAAACCTGCTCTGAATATTAGAGTCCCCTGGGGCGGGGTTACATATCACATTGCCCAGACCACACCCAGACCAATTATATCAGTACCTCTGAAGGTGGGAGCCAGGCATCAGAGGTGTTAAAGGTCCCCAGGTGATTTAATGAGCAGCGAAGGCTGAGAACCATTGTCGTCGTGGGTACTAGAGAGGCTTAAGTGAAGAAGCCCCACAAGTGAACTCTAGTTTCTCTCTTCCCTAAATACAGCTTTTAGAAGGCATGTGGGTTTTCCCAAGCGGGCAGTTTAGGAATGGAGTAGATGATGCCTTACAGCCCATTCTGCACCCAGCCACGGTTTAGGAGAGAAGTTTTTCTTTTCTTTTCTTTACATGCTGTCTAAATGGCCAAGCATTTCATAAATTGGTTAATTCGGTTCACACAAGTCTATTCAAAAGGGTACAGTCGAATCTGATGTTCTCTGGCACAAGGTAGACAAAAACAGTTGCATATAGTTGCTTAGATTTTTCTGTTTTCAAATTTTGGATAGAATGCAGATCCACATATAGATTTAGAGGCCGGAGGAGAAAACAAATTAATTGCAAACTGGTCATCACTCTAACAGACTGACAGCACTCCAACTTTCAAAAAAGTGTAGCTGTAGGGTATTATCATTTTGCTGGATGTATGTGAATCACAAAAGTAGAACAACATATCCGATTTCAATTTAAAAGTGTTGCTTTTCATCTTCAATTACTTGTTTTTAGTTTCTGTTCAGAGGTATCATCATTATCTGTTAACCGCATAACGAATGTTCATGCACTACCTTTTATGAGCAAACTGTAGAAAAAGTACAGCACTCTGGGGACCTAGTATGATCTAGTTGGGGAGATCATCACCACAGTTTTCTGCAAGGCAGATGCTGAATGGAATTTGAGTGGTATTGGCTACACCAAGAAGAAAGACAGGAATCTATCAGGAGCTCGTGTCATTCCTATTTTGGGAGCCCACAGAAGGTGTCTTAAGGTGGATCCCCTGAGAAAGAGACAGCGATTTGGGTGCAGAAAATTTACTGAGGTGTGCTCTCAGAAACAACACAGTGAGGGTGGAGGAGGCAGGACAGGACCAGAGGAGCTAGATGGCAATGTTCTTGCTACAGAGGCCTCAGCCCATCCCCCTGAGAGGGAAGCCTTTCAACTGTCCCTTATTAAGGCAAGGGGGTGAGACTTCCTATCTACACCTCGAGTGGCCATTGGATTAGACACAGGCTGTACTCATGGAGGGGGTGTGGATAGCCGTGGCAGGGCAGATCCCTGAGAGGGCATTCAGCTTACAGCCATCAGCAGCAACAGCATTTCAAGCCTGACAGGAGCTCCTGATGGTTCTCTGCAAACACTTTCCCATCTCAGTGAATGGCAAATCCATTCTTCTAGTTGTTCAGGCTAAAACCCTTTCTGCTATTCTAGATTTCTCTGTATGTTTTACATGCACATCTCTTCCATCAGCAAATCCTGCTGGTTTTAACTTAAAAATAGGTCCAGAATTCAGCATGCGTCTCACCCCCTCCGCTGCCCTCATCCTGATCCTATAACTTTGCTCAGGTCCTGGTAGCCTGAGGTACTGGTCTAACCGGCCTCCCCTCTTCTGCCCTGTCCCCTCAGTCCATTTTCAACACAGCAGCCCAAATGATTCTGTGAAAACACAAAGCCAGTTCATCTCACTCCTCTATTCAAAATCCTTCAACATCGTCCCAGATCTTCTCGGACCCTCCATGACCCACCATTCAGTGAGGCACAGGCTCAGTGATAGCGGCTGTTTCCTCTGCCTGGAAGGCCCTTCCTGACACCTGTCCAGCTCCTGCCCTTTTTCAGGCAGTGGCTTGAAAGTCGCCTTCTCATCACGACCTTCCTGCCCGTACTGCTCTCTGATGCTTCTGCTCTCCAATTTGCCCTGCTTTTTTTTTTTTAATTAGCATTTACTTCTACCCATTTTCCCATACTTTTGTTCTTTAGATTTGATTATTGACTGTATTTCCCAGTAGAATATGAGCTCCATCAGGACAGGCAGCGCTTTCTCCTGCTGCAGTTACCGGTTATCTCCAATTACTTACAGCGGTGTCTGACATATGTTCCAGCCTCGAATAAAGAGCATGAAAACCAAGAAGAGGGCCAGGCACGGTGGCTCACGGCTGTAATCCCAGCACTTTGGGAGGCTCAGGCAGGTGGATCACCTGAGGTCAGGAGTTCAAGACCAGCCTGGCCAACATGGTGAAACCCCGTCTCTACTAAAAATACAAAAAATTAGCCGGAGTGGTGGTGGGTGCCTGTAATCCCAGCTATTCAAGAGGCTGAGGCATGAGAATCGCTTGAACCCTGGAGGCAGAGATTGCAGTGAGCCAAGATCACACCATTGCACTCCAGCCTGGGCAACAAGAGCGAAACTCCATCTGGGAGGTCTTCCATGACACAACACCTCATTGGTATTCCAATGTATTGGGCTTATCTTTTAAATCTGACTGTTCTAGACTCCATGATTCAATACGAACTACTAGTTCTAACCGTTTTCACTTTCATGTTTTGTTGTTACTACTGAAATTGTATTCAAATATTTTTAATACATGAGGTAATTGAACTATCTCCCTGAGGCTTTTAACAGGAGTGATACATTCTTAAGTAGATAATGAATCAATAACATGATCTCCTGAGACCTAGTTAGGGTCCTGCTACTTAGCAAATTAATAATGAATTGATTCATTCCTCAGCAGTGTCCAGATTCTCAGTCTCTTCAATAACTGACCATTCTTTTCATCACTTAAGCTTCAAGAAAGTTTTTGTTTGGGTTTTGTTCAGCTTGGTTGTCATTGCTTACTCGGGATACTTAAGAAAATTGGATGGGTAGAGTGGAGAAAATTTTGGAACTATTACTCTCTATTTTTCATTAGCTGCTTCTTCCAATTTCTTCCTTCTGTATCCAACTCTTAAACAACAATGATGACAGCTGGTAACACAATGATAAAAGGACTTTGACGTTAACAGTGAAATTCTTGCTGTTTGATTTCTGAAATAAGGATCACTCCAACAATTGTTATAAAAAGCCTTGGTATATTCAGTCAAGTACTATGACAAACATAGAAAGCACTTGGTTTGTTTTGTTTTGATGTGGTTTGGGCTTTTTTTTTATTTGGATTTGTTGCTACTGTCTTATAGATTAAATCTTTCTCTCTAAGAAAGCAAAAGAACAATGAGCTGAGTCAACCCCAGTGAAAAGATTGTGCATAAAAGGAAGCCATGCTATCTTTCTAGTCTAGAACAACAAAAACAAATATCCAGAAAGATGTTTAGAAAGTTCCTTTGGCTGTTAAAGGACTATAAATCATGCTGCTATAAAGACACATGCACACGTATGTTTATTGTGGCATTATTCACAATAGCAAAGACTTGGAACCAACCCAAATGTCCAACAATGATAGAATGGATTAAGAAAATGTGGCACATATACACCATGGAATACTATGCAGCCATAAAAAATGATGAGTTCATGTCTTTGGAGGGACATGGATGAAATTGGAAATCATCATTCTCAGTAAACTATCGCAAGAACAAAAAACCAAACACCGCATATTCTCACTCATAGGTCGGAATTGAACAATGAGAACACATGGACACAGGAAGGGGAACATCGCACTCCGGGGACTGTTGTGGGGTGGGGGGAGGGGGGAGGGACAGCATGGGGAGATATACCTAATGCTAGATGACGAGTTAGTGGGTGCAGCGCACCAGCATGGTACATGTATACATATGTAACTAACCTGCACATTGTGCACGTGTACCCTAAAACTTAAAGTATAATAATAATAAATAGATAAATAAATAAATAAATAAATAAATAAAAAAGAAAGATCCTTTGGCTGTTGTTGCTCAGATAGTATGATAAACTACACTTTTCTATTTGGTTATCTTTATAGATTGTGATTACTCTTCATTCCTTGTGGTTCAGTGACTAAATCTGATGAATAAAGTTGAAAAATGTAAGGCAGTGGTAAATAGGTTTCTGGAATAACCTAGCAAGTGCTATGCTACTTTCACTTTATAACATGCTTCCCAAAATAACAAGTAGGTAAGTGAAATTGACTTTTTATTCAAGCTTTTAGACAGAATTGAATTCAAGCCCTTGCTTTATTTCTCTCTTCTAATAATAATAGTGATTCTAAAAACACTTCCGCTTGTAAAGTGTTCTGAGGTTTATCAAGTGCTTTCACATATGTTATCCTCTTTGATTCTCACAATAACTTTTTAAAGAGATTAGGCAATCAAACCTCTGGTAGATTAAGCAAATTTCCCAGGGTCACAAAACGATTAATGATGGAGCTAAAAGAAAGATGAAAACTTATCTTTGAAGTTTAAGTCCAGGGATCTTCCCACCTTGCCATACGGTTTACTTGCTGGAGGCAAGTTCATAGAAAAAGAAACTGGATCCAACCAATGGGCCATGGAGCTGACCTGCAAATGTCAGCTCTCCCTGAAGCCTAATGCAGCAACAACAAATAATTCTGACACTAAGAGGAGACATCCAGGCATCGCACCTTGGCATCTCTCTCTCTCTCTCTCTCTGTCTTTCCAGGGACACGTCAACAGACAACAGGCCTGCATGCAATAACAGTCATTGAAAATTAGCTGATGGTAGTTATTTAACAAATTTAGGGTATAAGGACAGACACTGAATAATTTGGGCTACACGCCTGGGTTTTAGACTGAGACTTGACAACAGGCTAAATTGCAATTCCTCCCTCAGTTTGTTACAATAACCAAGTTCAGTCTTAATTGACATCTGTGTGTATAGTGAGTAAATACTGATTTCAGTAATTGTATTTAAATTGAACTGAGTCTTTGGAAGAAAGAATGAGACACTAGGGAAGCAGCTGCAGGTGGCAAATGGTAGGGCTCAGAACAAAACGTCCTTGGTTCCAGCCCCACCTTTGTCTTCGCTAATTCAGTAAGCTCCTGGGAGCCATTTGTCTTCTCACCTTTCTGCACTTACACCAAGGAGAAGCTGTATTGATGTATGTATTAATGTCCCATGAGCTTTAAGGCATAAAACAAAAGAATAACTATGGCCTATATGTGCTGAACATATACAAGACTAAAATATTAGTGGTTCCATGAATTGAGACCATACTAAATAAAATTACATAACATTGGGACTTTTTCAATTCATAAATAAAATTGGCAGTGAAAAAACATTACTAGCTAGTAGAATTGGCAGATATTCATCACCTACAATGTGAGGAATTCTATGCTAAAAGATATAAAAAATATAAAGTTGAAAAGTACACAGCTCTTACTTCCAATGCATCACAATAATATACACACTGCACAAATAAAGGCATAATTTTACAAATGCAATACATACAGTAGACATATAGTGTTGTGTATATGGGTAGAGCACTGGGGATTTAAAGGAAGGAGAGAATGCAATAATGGGAGTGGGGAGGCTGAGGGAGGACCTCACAAACAGTAGAGGATTTGATTTGGTCCGTGAGATGAATATTGCAACATGTACTGGCTGCGGAAGTATATTCGAGACTGAAGGATGTTCTAAAGCAAAGCTAGTGAGGCAGGAAAGCAGAACAGCAAGTAGTCTACATCGAATCCCAGGGAACACAGCAGTGCAAGAGCAGCTGAGAAAGGTAGGCTGGAATCACGTGAAAGGTGGAGAATGCCAGACGGGTGGTTTATTATTAACGCCTCAGACTTTGGGGATAGCATGAGAAACTTCAAGCACTGGAATGATAGCATCAGAGTTGCACTTCAGGAAATTTAATTCTGCAGCAAAGCATAAAATTGGAATAGGAAAAAAACTTGAGGTAAAGAGATCAGTGAAGACAGCATTGCATTCGTTTAATAAGAAGTAACAAGATCTAAATGGGAGGGGTGGCAATGGGAGAGGGGAAGATAAATGGGTGATGGATTGCCTGTCTCTGTGACATCAATACAGATATGAATGTCTTTGAGCTCTATGGAACTGGCAGGTAATAGGCTTATTTAGAAATGACATTAAGTCTAAGACAATGCCCCATGTCAACATGTACATTAATAATATGCATAATCTATTAAATCAACAACAACACACATCTTGAAAGTTATCGTAAAGCCAAATCTTGACACTTTTTTTTTTTTTGAGACAAAGTCTTGCTCTGTTGCCCAGGCTGGAGTGCAGTGGCACGATTTTGGCTTACTGCAACCTCTACCTCCCAGGTTCAAGCGATTCTCATGCCTCAGCCTCCTGAGTAGATAGGATTACAGGCGCCTGCCACCAAGCCCAGCTAATTTTTGTGTTTTAGTAGAGAAGGGGTTTCACCATGTTGGCCAGGCTGGTCTCAAACTCCTGACCTCGGGTGATCCACCTGCCTCGGCCTCCCAAAGTGCTGGGATTATAGGCGTGAGCCACCGCACCCGCCAGTACATAATTTTTAAAAATAGTAGCCAGTTAAGTCAAAAGATGCTTTATTTGCCTCTGTTATGCAATAAAAACGTGGCCCCTGCTTATTCTGAAGTGTGAGCCATCTTTCCTTGTCTGGCTTACTCTATTACTTGATCTGTTACTTGATCTTAAAGGTCAGTTTTCACATCACTTTCTTTGGGAAGCCATGACTATCCCTCAGATTAAGTGCTCCTTCTATGCACGACAGTATGAGCCTCAACTTATGTTATTTCTTGCTGACTAGAACAATTTCTTCATTAGACTATAAACTCCATGATGTCTGGGCATTTGTCCAATTTGTTCTCAAACCCGGCACCAGTCTCAGTGCTTGGCACATAGGAAGTGCTTAATTAACATTTCACTGAAGTAGTAAGTGCTTTCTATTGCAAGACAGATCTTTGAAATGCACCATTCTTGTCAGACCCAGTCAAACTCACAGGTTCTGTCTCATGAGATCAGCAGGAAAGCATTGCCACAGAGGGTCAGGAATAGATTCTCCATGAATCAGTTCACTTGAAAGACAAGAGGTGTTAGTTTGTGTGGATGGGAGCAAACCTTTCCTTTAGTAACTCCATTATCAAGAGCATCCCCACAGTCCCTACATAATCCAAACGCACACCTGGGCCATCCCAGGAGCACAGCTTGAGGGAGCTTATCTGTAGGAGCACATGCAACTGACTGGCAATTAATTTGATTTTGCACCTGCTTCAGATCACCTCGGGGCATTGCCCTGTACCCCAGGAATCAGTTTCTTCAAAGTACAACTTTCAAAAATGTAGGCTTGCCTCTCAAACAACTACCCATATTTCCATGACCAAAAGTCATATTTACATCCTCTATGCGTTACAAAAAGTACTTGTTTTAGACACACAGGCAGGGTGCCAAGTAGACCATAACCATAATTGTTATAGTCAACATTTTTTATAGTTAACATGAGCCAGAATGTGGACTTAACGCTTTCTAGACATCATCTCAGTCTATTCACGCAATGATTCTATCAGTTGGTACTATCATTATGCACATTTTACAGGCAAGAAAACAGAAGCACAGAGAATTTAAGAACCTTTCCAGGGTCTGCTTTTAATATTTTCAGAGATAAATACAAGGCATCTAATAAAAGGCACTGCTAAATATCAACCTGTCAGGCACTAGCAGCCAACAACTGGCAGGTTCTTCTGCCACGAACACTGAGGTTTGTTTCAACCACACGTCAGTATCACAAAGAGAATATCCACAAGGGAAAACAACCTCCTTGTGTGTAATTCACTTTGGGGAAGCTTTGACTCTTCTATTCACTGCCAAATTCCTTGAACCTGGCACGTGTTAGGAATGAAATAGGTATTTGTTGATGAATAGAGTTCAGTCCCTGTGAATGGGACTTCATTACTTCCTGAACTTCAGCGTCACTCTCAGTCACTCCACCCTGTTGCCTATTGCAGATCACAAAGCAGTGGACCACAGACATTTTCATTTTCCCCTTGGCCTCTGGCATAGAGTTTTACATTTAATTAGCTGCCACGGTTTAAAAAAATGGCATACTTTACGTAAAAATGTGGATTTCCTAATTCCCATAAAAAACTGGAACATCTAAATCTCTGCCTGTATTCTGTAATGGTGACAGCTGTGGTGAGCTGTGACTGCCCTCTAATGAGCACACTCAGTTTGCCCCAGTCCTCATCAAGCCCTATTGTCTTAACTCCACATAGAGGCCCTCAATAATAGAGTCACATATGGTCTTACAACCTAGTGGCCTCACTGAATGATATTCTTTTCTGATCCCTGGAGGCACACAGTTGGCTTAGACCTAGAGTAACTAAGATTCCAGCCTAGAGTTAGGTCTTCCATGATTTCAAAGAGCCACAAAAAATGTAGCATCAATGCCAATTCTGGGATTTGAATGCTCACCTGGAGGTTGGCCCCTCACCGTTTGGGAATTTAGTCTTCCTTAGAATCTGTTCTTGCCCCGTTGTTTGTTTCATTCAACGCACTCTCGTCTAGCCTCTCTCATCATCTCGATGACAACTACTACCCTCAGGCTGATAATTATTAGATTGAGATCTCCAGCCTTGATCCTTCTGAGCCTCAGGCTATCACATGCTACTTCCTTTAACATCTTCACCTTTAACTCTTACAGTCACCTCCCAAATGAGTATGTTCAAAGCAGAAAGTGCCCATTCTTCCATCATTTCCTCCCCTGTATCTTCTATCTGTTGGAGTTAGCCCCTCCGTTACCCACGTGAGAAACCTGGGTGGTCCCATAATCTTCCCCCTCTGAGCTCACTGCATTCAAACCCTGATCCCTGATGACTGTGTCAAGCTCATTATCTCTTCTCCATTTGCCTTGCCACTTCCTGGTGTGGGCCTCATACCTCTCAGCTGATCCTCTGTAACAGCCATTCTCTCTGTTCAAGGCTTCTTCAAATCCACCCTGCATGGAGACATCAGAGCAATCAAGCTACAAATTAAATGTAATTGAGTGACCCAGCTACTTAAATGCCATCAGCGGCTTTCCTTTTTCACTCAGTCTAGCACGGGGGCTCTCAGGGGAAGCACCTCCCTCTCTACCCCATCTTCAGACTGGATTCTCACATTTTACTTCCCTCCTCGTTCCTCACCAACACCATACTGCTTTCAGTTCCCTGGGTAAATCATAAATGGGTGACTGGAGCTATCTCTGGGGTGATATAAACACTAAATAGGCAGAGACTTTTGTAAGGAAAACACTTCTTCACAAACATGGAAATGGAAGTCTATACTTGAGTTGAAAAGAATTTAACTTTTCAAACTTAGATATGGACAATTGCACAGAGTTTCTTTTGCTTTAGTGATGCTAGCTCAATTCCTTTTCTCCCCACTGCCTTTGCCTGGTTAATTGCTACTACTGAGTATTTATGACTCTGCTCAAGTATTTTCTTCTCCTGAAGCCTTTCCTAAAACTCATGGCATGCTCACTTGCGCTCTCTCTCTCTCTCTGTCACACATACACACACACACACTCAGAGGCTGGGTTTGGGTTTGGTGCCCTTACTGTACATTCCTTTAAGGTTCTGTCCATACATTTATCACGGAACTTAATAAGTCATATTTAATTATCTTTTTGCATTTATATCTCCCTCACTTAACTTGTACATGCTTAAGAATAAAGGCTGTGTGTTATTCTTCTTTGATCCCCAGAACCAAGCAGAGTAGTTCAAAACTGCTAAACGAATGAATGAATAAATAAGCAAGCAAATGATGACACCAGAAAACATATACACGAGTCAGGCATTAAAAATAGGCTCTGATATTTAGGATAAATTGAGCCGGAGGCAACTCAACCACCAGTTTGAAATTAGATGATATTTTTGCCACCACTAATCATGAAACCAACCCAAACTATGCTAAGAAGTTAAGCAGTTGAATACATTTTGTATTTGTCTAAATGTCCTAGTATAGGCAACAGAATAGTGTTCCTCAATCAGAGAGATAAAATTGATTTTTAAATATTGACTGACTTTCTGTAAATTCATAGATGATGTAATAACATTGTGGAATAATGATTTCCTACCACTGCCTACAGTTGCTATTCACAGCAAATTATTTACCAGAATTTCCAGGTAATAAAAGTGAATCAGGTCAGTGCCACATATAAAATATGGTAATTGCTAGTAACGGTCTCTTAGATTATTACTGTAGTACTACATTTTGCATTATATAAACATGTATTGGATAATAGCAGCATTATTGAATTTGATGTTCAGCAGTTATCTAAAAACACTTATAAATGATGCTCTACTATACATAGAATAGACGTCCAATAACTGGAAGAAGTTTTCTCAAAGTAAAAGTATATTAGATGATTATTCCCAGAAAAGTTAAAAAATAAAAGGATGTGTTAACTCTAAAGTATCTATGTTTAGAGCTGGGTGAGTATGTCAAAGTTGATATATTTTTATGGTATTAATTGAAACCAATTCTTTAAAAAAAATTTTTTTAATAGAGACAAGGTCTCACTATGTTGCCCAGGCTGGTCTCAAACACCTGGCCTCAAGCAATCCCCCTGCCTCGACCTCCCAAAGTGCTGGGATTATAGGCATGAACCACCACATCTGACCCTGGAACCAGTTATTAATTAAAATTTTGGTTACTGGCACATATATAACACAAGGGGAACAAATTCTCACCATTTCTCTAAAATTAAGACAACAGAAAGAGCTATTTGTAATACACACTCTGAATAGTAAGCTCTGTGTAATTGTCCATATTTAATTTTAGAAAGACTTGTTCTTTCAAACTAAATAGTAGACTTTTATTTCAAGAGCAAATCTGCCTCAACAGATGTCTTACTTCCAACAGTGTCTAGCTACTTAATGGTTATATCATTCCAAGTATATCATTTGTTTATTTATCCAACAAATGTTTATTAATCCTTTGTTTCCCAGTGTGTAAAGGTGAAAAAGAGGCAGACACCACTCTCTTATAGTTTATAATCATTACCCTAATCTGCAGATGAGCTCATTGAGACCAACACTCAGGGTCTCACGATGAGGCTACTACAGGCAGTCTCCAAGTACAGATTATCATTTGCGTAGTTAAAATTTAATTAAATTGTATTGAGACAAATAGAATGTTATATAACTTTTTTCAGTCTATGGGAACTGGATGTGATTTATACAACTTTATGTGCTTTAAAAATATTTGTAGGACTTCTGCATCCAGGAAGATGTAGTATACATGCATATCCTATTTTTTTCACTAAGTAAAACTAAAAACCCTGGACATTATATATAAAGCAAACATAAGAAAACTCTGAACAGTATAGAGATTAGCAAGACCAGACAGGGACTTTTGGCGCCCAATGATCAACATAGCAAAGAGTTCCCTGAGTTTTCTTTTTGCCTCATATGTTTCAGATTTGGGGATGACGTCTGGCAACCTGGTAATCCCATCAATCAAAAAGCCCCCAAAAAGCCTGCGCTCTCTAGCCAAATGACCAGGTAGAGAGACATCCCAGCAAGACAGTAGACTTTTAGACAGTTGCCACTCTACTCCAGCCAAACACCACAGAAAACACTTCCCACCCTCATTTACACCGCCAAGGCTAAGCAAGGAGCTGACTTCCACCCTGGTCAGGCTATAACGAGTCATCCCAAACCGCACCGGAGTGGTGTTAGAGAAGAAGTCCGGACTTTCATCCCTGCTAGGCAGCGAGTCTGCTTTTCTCAACTCCCCCGTGTGTCACATGAGACTGCATGGGGAGCCTGAACTTCCACGCCCATCCAGTGGAAACCAGGGAGCCCCCCTACTTCAGTGTAGAGTCAGCAAAACCTGTGCAGGACTTCTATGCCAAAATTATAAAGCACTGACGAAAGAAAGTGAAAGGGATCTAAGTAAATAAGGAGACATACCATGTTCATTAATTTTAAGACTCAACATAGCAAAGTCGTCAATTCTTCCCAAATGGATGTGGGTTTAATGCAATTCCTATCAAAATCTCAGCAATAGTGTTTCTAGATAAAGACAAAATTATTCTAACATTTACATGGAAAAGCAAGTGAACTAGAATAGCTCAAACAATTCTGGATGAAAAGAACAAACTAGTAGGAATCAATTTCAATATAGCTACGTAATCAAGACCCTGTGGTATTGCTGAAGAAACAGACACATAGATCAATGGAACTAACACAATATACCCACAAATATATAGACACACAATATACCCACAAATATATCAAACTGATGTTTTGTGAAGATGTGATGGCAATTTAATATAATAAAAATAGTCTTTCCAACAAATGGTGCTGGAGCAACTGGACATTCATAGGCAATAACAAACAAAAACCTTCAGCCTAAATCTCACTTCTTATACAAGAATTAATTCAAAATGGATAACAGACTTCAGTGTACAACATAAAACTACAAAACCTTTAGAAGATAATACTGATGAAAACCTTGGGGATCTAGAGCAAAGAGTTTTAAACTTCATAGCAAAAGCAAGGTTGATAACAAAAAAAAAAGAAAAGAAATATTGAGGTCGGGTGCGGTGGCTCATGCCTGTAATCCCAGAACTTTGGGAGCCAAGGCAGGAGAATTGCTTGAGGCCAGCAGTTCAAGACCAGCCTGGGCAACATAGCAAGACCTCATCTGTATGAAAAAAAAAATGTTTTAAATTAGCCAGGTGTGGTGACATGCACCTGTCATACCAGCTACTCTGGAGGCTAAGCTAGTGGGGCACTGAGGTAGAAGGATCACTTGAACCCAAGAGTTCAAGGTTACAGCGAGCAGAGCACAGCACTGCATTTCAGACTGGGTGACAGACCAAGACCCTGTCTTTCTGGAAAAAAAAAAAGAAAAGAAAAAGAAAGAAAGAAAAAGAAAAATTGCTAAATTGGGCTTTACAAAACTTTTAAACTTTTGCTCTGCAGAAGACACTGTTAAGGGGAGAAACAAGCTATACTACAGACTGGGAGAATATATTTACAAACCACACATCTGACGAATGACTCATATCTAGAAAATATAAAGAGCTCTCAAAACTCAACAATAAAAAAACCCAAATAATCTAGCTGGGACATGGGCAAATGATATGAAGAGACATTTCACCAAAGAGGATATATAGATTGCAATAAGCATATGAAAAGATGCTCCAAAATCATTAGCTTTTAGGGAAATGCAAATTAAAGCTACAATGAAATATTACTACTTACCTATTATAATGGTTAAAATAAAAAATAGAGATAACATCAAATGCTGGTGAGGATGCAGAGAAAATGAATTCCGCACCACCCCACACACATTGCTGATGGGAATTAAAAATGATATAGCCACTCTGGAAAATAGTTTGGCAATTTCTTTAAAAATGAAACATTAAAATAGCATATGACCAAGCCATTGCACTCCTGGACACTTATGCTAGAGAAATTAAAAATATGTCCACACAAAAACCTGTGCATCAAAAGTCATAGCAGCTTTATTTGTAATACCCCAAACTGGAAACAATCTACATTTCCTTCAACCGGTGCATTAATAAACAAACTGATGATTCAATTTATATAACATTCTTGGAATGCTAGATTATACAAATACTGAGCAGACGATTGGTTGCCAGAGGGTAAATATGGGGTAAGGATGGAGGGAGGTGTTGTGGCTGAAAACGGTGATGGAAATATTCTGCTTCCTGATTGTATCAATATTAATACTCCAGCTGTGCTATCCTACTATAGCTTTGTAAGAGGTCACTATGTTAGTGCTAGGACTGTCTTAGCAAAGTATCATAGATGGTGGCTCAAACAACAGAAATTTATATCTCACTGTTCTGGAGTGTGGAAGTCTGAGATGAAGGTGTAGGTAAGGTTGGTTTCTTCTGAGGCCTCTCTCCTTGGCTTGTAGCTGCCTGTCTTCTGGTGTCTTCACATGTCTTCATTCTGTATCAGTCCTATAGGATTAGGACTCACCCTTGTGACCTAATTTTAACTTAATTACCTCTTTAAAGCCTCAGGCTTCAAATAGAGTCACATTCTGAGGTACTGGGATTTCAACACACGAATGTGGGGCAACAGACACAATTCAGTTCAATTCAGCCCCTAGCAGTTACCATGGGCAGGGAGGCGAACTGAGTAAAGGGTATACAGGATCTCTCCATATTATTTCTTACAACTGCATGTGAACTCACAATTATCTCAAAATGAAAAGCTTCTTTAGAAAAAGATTTGTAAAGGAGTTTGATTAACTAATAAGTCAAATGTAGTGGAAGTGGCTGGACCTTAACTGGAGAAGTAATTAGAATGTGCTCACATTGAAGTTTAGTCTTTTCCCTGAGATAAAACAAAATGTCAGAAGAGGGAAAAAATATCTAAGTGCCTCTGTTTGCTTTATGTATAGAGAGAAGCTTTTTAGTGATGTTAATAGACATAATTTATTTAATTCCCAAAACATCATTAGGCTGTACAACTCCATGTATACATTGAATGAGAATTTATTTCACATTAAAGGGAATTCAGAATCAAAGTTCAAAATGCTTTTAAATGCCAGTATTTAATAATATCAGTAACTACAACTAAAGATCAATTATCTTCACCTTCAGTTTTTCCAAAAAAAAGAGATTTCAGAAAGCAGATTATCTTTAGCTTGAAAACTCATGTTGTTCCTAGTAATTTGAGCATCAAATGTATAAACCTGTGTTTATGTTATCGCAGCCGATTCTTTGTTAGCATTTATCAAAAACATAAGACAGATAGTGTGTACAACTTCTCAATTTCTCAGGGTATTTGACTACTATCACTACATGCAGTCATCTGAAATCAGACGTTTCAGTTCCTAGCATAAATACATTTTATGTATATTTTTGTCATCCGATACTACCTTCTGTATTTTTTCTCAACTGTCTTCTTGAAGAAGCTAACAACCTATTCAAGAAAAATTCACCCTTATCAGATAAGACTCATTTGTTGGGGTTACTCAACTGAACTATTCTAGCATCTGATTCTTTCTTCATGGACTGGAAGAGCAAACCCATTGATCATTAATCCAATCCTGCTCACATAATATTACGGGTTATAGCATTTAGCTCTTCCTAGCATCTGATTCTTTCTTCATGGACTGGAAAAGCAAACCCATTGATAGTTAATCCAATCATGCTCACATAATATTGTGGGTTATAGCATTTAGCTCTTTCTATAATTTCAAATGCCTTCTCTCTGTGGTTGTAAATTTTATCCAGGAGAAGGCTCACTGCAATCTGAGCATTGGCTTGTGTGTGTGCTGGGTGGCTGGGGCAGGAGGAGGGTTATTCACTGTTGCAATGTGTAGTGAACTCAGAAGCCAGGCCACCTGGGTTGGAATCCTGGCTCCACCGTTTACTAGCTATGTGACTTTGGGCAACTATTTTAACCTCTCTGCATTTGTCTCCTTAGCTGAAAAATGAGGGCAATTGTAGCACTTACCTCCGAGGGGTTTTCTGAAGATTAAATATTTGTAAAGTTCTTTAAATGGCACCTGGCAGGAAGTAAATGCTGTGCCAGTGCAGGCCTTTAGTGCCCCTGTGCTGCAGTAAACAGCCTCCTCCCTGTATGATCCTTGCATCGCCAGTTTGCCTTTGTCTTCCATTAGAAAAAGACAGATAGTGAGAGCAAGGCGGTCTTCATAGGAATTGCAGTGATCTTTACCATAGGTGAGTGGTGGATCATTGAACATATCTACACATTAAATATTGCTTTGTAAATATGAAAACGTTTTGAAGAAAGAAATCTGAGGTTTGCAGAAAATTCCATTTACCAGAGGAATTATGTTAGTCATATTCCTATTGCTCCCATTTCTTCTGGGAGGCCTTCTTGTCTGCCTTCCTGAACCTTATTTTCATTAACTTTTTCCCAAAAAAGTCTACGCTTGGCCCTCTAAAATCTAGGCTCTTTCCCTGCTTGATCTTACCTTTCCTTCTACACTAGAGGAGAGGAAAGGAAAGGAAGATCATGGAATGCATGTTTCAATGTGGGGCCTTCTGTGGCCACCAAAGGCCTTTCTGAGTAAAGTAGCAGGTGGGGTAGGGTCTTCACTCATGTCCTGCTCTCGTGATCATGGCCTGCCCTCTGTGTCCAGCCTTCAAGGTGGCAAACTGGCTTGTAAAGGAGTATCACTTTTGTGTAGTTTACTTTATATATTTTAAAATTTAAACCTGAAATTCAAATTCACTTTTTAAAAATTCATATGACACTTTTTTCACAGTAACAATTTTTTTCCCAGCCCAAGAATTATTTCTTATCATTCAAAATACCAAGACCAAAATATATCACAGAGGAAAAGAGCTAACTATCTAAATGCAATTGGTTTATAATTTCTTAAATACTAGTTAACAAACAAGCTGTGCCTTGGAACTATAACACACCAAGGAGAGAATGTGTTTTCATTAATGGCATAAAGTAATAGTGAGCCTATACAGAAGTCGCTAAATGATGACATTACACATAGGATTTAGTTCTGTGCATTATAATTGTGACCAAACAATAGTTAATATAGGAAGAGATAATAATAATAAATCATTAACTTGGGCTCTGTTTACTTTTTTATACTCTCATTTTCAAGATTACTGATTTAAGTGTAGTTTTCTTTTTATGGGTCTACCAATGGTCATTTGTACATAAAGAGAAGTTTCACTTTCTATGAGTCTATTTCACCCAAGAAAAAAGGCATTGTCACCTCTTCAAAGGGAAAAACATTCCTTAAACAAATGAAACCTTTGAAAAGGCAAGTATAACCAAAAAGATCGAAGAGGAGAGAAGGGAGCTAATTGTCTTGTTATGTACGATAGACACAGCAAGTGTGTATTAAATGAGTATTAGGAGGAAGGGTTGCAGAGCAAGAATCTAGTTCTTTGCCTATAATCCCAGCACTTAGAGAAGCTGAGGTGGGAAGATTGCTTGAGCCTAGGAGTTTGAGACCAGGCTGGACAACATAGGGAGATCCCATCTCTACAAAAAATTAAAATAAAAAACATTAACTGGGCGTGGCACACAGGCTTGTAGTCCGAGCTACTCAGGAGACTGAGGTGGAAGGATTGCTTCATAGCCGAGGAGACTGAGGTTGCAGTGAGCTGTGATCACACCACTGCACTCCAGCCTGGGCAACAGAGCAAGACCCTGTCTCAAAAAATAAATAAATAAATTAGCTATCACCAGAGAAAAATCAAGTTCAAGATAAGGTGCTTCACTCTTTATTTTTAAAAGTTTACTTATTAAAAAATAAGTGCATATGTAAAATGTGGAATATGACCACCTATATATACATTAGAGAAAATTAACAATGACCCAGAATGTAAATCTACAGCATATTTTCTCTCTGTTCTCTAAAACTTGTAACCTAATTGAATTAGCTACGAAGGGAGTCTTTGTAGTTTAACCTTATTCGTAGATTTGAATTAGTCTTACCAAAAAGAATTAAATTCAACATTGAAAATATTTTATGTAAAAATTTAATATGAGTTTGAAAACCTTCATCTTGATTGTTCTTACTTGATACCAATCGTGTGTGTGTGTGTGTGTGTGTGTGTGTGTGTATGCAGAAATGGCAATCAAGACTGTTTAGATATTAGTTAATTGGATAAAATCCAATCACAGAATACAAGCCAGATTGAAAATGAGAGTCCATCATGGGATTGGTGATATGGAGACAAAAGCTACACCTCATTAACATGCACAGAATAAACAGTCCTGAGATTTTAGTTTTATCATTATTATTTATCATACAATGTTTGCAAACAGAGTCTCCTGTGGATATGCTGGACTTCTGTGAGTAAATCTGTTAATGGTAATGGGATTTCCACCCACTCAGTGTGGTAAAGATTAATACCACTGTGTTTCGACTTTGCTGCTTTTTTATTTGTTAGTGGACAAACAATTTACTTCAGAGCTCCTTCACACAGTTACACTGTGCCTGCTGATTGCCCCAGAGCTGTCCTTGTCTGTCTTCAAAGGCTACACAGGGGCACACATGGCCAGCTCTCCCTTCCCTGCTGTGCCACGTGGGGTTCACCCTGCAGCCCATCATGCAACTCCTTACTCCACAAAAATCAGCAATGCTTGGGTGTGGAGTTCACTACACACACACAAGCATGCCTGCAGTCACTTCTGAAAGTCTAAGAAATGTTCATGCTTTTGGAAACAGGGCCACTCATACACACACAATGGAAACAGAGGTCTTGGCTGGTCAAAAGATGCCCCCACTTGTCTACCAGATTGTGCATGAATACAGCTTTTGTGTCAGCTGCTCAGGGCTTTCCAAAGCTGCATGCATTTTGTCCAGGTTAAAACATTCAGTCCGCTTATAGGGCTAATATATTAGCTTGCTGATACATTTACTAGGATTAGTTTGAATCGTTGCTCCTTATTACCCATTGTGCCCTAGACCAAAGGCGGAGTCTCTTCCCTTAGAATTGAGTACAATGAAGGAAAACATCCATGAGGGGCAGAAAGGAGACAAGTTTGAAGCTTAGGGCATCTCTCAGACCCTGTGAGTACCCTAAGGGTACTCACAAAGATCAGCATAAAGGGTCCAGCATATGACTGCAGTGGTAGGAAAGGAACTTCAAGGCCAATTTCACCCTTTTTATAGCTTTTTATAGCCCTTTTTATAGCTTTGCCTACAGCTAGACCTAATAGGCAACCTCTTTTTTTTTTTATTTTTTTATTTTTTTTTAATTTTGAGATGTGGTCTTGCTCTTTCTCTCAAGAAAGAGTGCAGTGGCATGAACACAGCTAACTGCAGCCTCAACCTCCCGGGCTCAAGCAATGCCCCTTCCTCACCCTCCTGAATAGTGGGACCCCAGGCATATGCCACCACACCTAATTTTTTAAAAAATTTTTATTGTGATAAGGTCTTGCCACGTTGCCCAGGCTGGTCTTGAACTCCTGGGCTCAAGCGATCCTCCTTCCTGGGCTTCTCAAGGTGTTAGGATTATAGTAACTTCAATCTAATCAAAAGATATACTCAGATATAAGTTAGCTGCCCTGAAACCCTCCACAGGATTTTCAAAGGACTGCTAGTGTTCCATCTGAAGACGGAAAGACACATTCCCTGCAACATTTTCTGCACAGTGAGCTGCCCCAAACAAGCTGCCCTGTTGCAAATCACCTTTCAGTACAGCATATTTTTTCTCAAACGCTGCATATTTATTAAGCACACCATTTTTCCTGCGTATGGAATTCTGTTCTCTCTCAATGTTAATCTTTAATGTACAAGCCATCTTATGATTGGGTTTCAAAGTGAACCATATAATATATTCAATGAGGAACATTTTTCTTATTAAGACTAATTAACAGGTTCTCGATTCCCACAAATGCCTAGGTGCTTTACAGTGATTCTCTTTTCAATGACAATATTTAGCCAACCAAAATTTAACCCTTGAGAGTCCTTCATTACCACAGTCAATTAAGGAGTGAGTCACTGATGTTACATCTCTGCTAAGAATAGTCTGCAGATGTGCTTTTAAGGAAAGAGGAATTTAAAAATAAATGTATTTGACAAGTTCCTGATCAGATGCCTATATTTACCTCAACCAAATTAGAATGGTGTTGCACAGAAGTTGAAGTTTATCCTGGAAAATTCCTAACATGTGTTCAGGTTTGACCTCAGAAGTCTTTTTCCATTACTTCGGAAAAACATTTGGACTTCCTTGGGCCATGCTTTTTCTTATAACTCAAAGAGGACTTTTCTTCCTGTGGTCTTTTGGCCTCCAACCTCACAGACTGACAATTTATTGTGAAGTAAATGTCATCAGAAATAGCTCGGTGTCATGTCTCTGTGAAAGGAGAGCCTCGCTGGCACCAGGCACGGGATTCAGGGGCAACCACCATGCAAATCACTTCTCTTCTTGGAGCCTCCACTTCCCCTTCTCAAAGCCAAAGTGTTGGACTTGATTATCTTTATGGACCTTTTGAGCTTCAAGAGTTGATTGATCCAAATATCACAGAGGGCCCGGTAGCTGGTTCCCTGAGCCCAAAGTCTCTACATTCTGAGGGGGGTCTCAGACACACATTGTATATGCACAGCATGTTTTGTTACTTCCATTGTTAGTTCTGCCCGATCGAGTTTTCTAAACAAGGAAATCTATGTTATGAAAGGTACGGGATTTGCCGTTCCTATTCAGAATTCAACACAGAGATTGAATATGTGTTCTTCATAGTAAACTAATTTTTAAATGTTTTTGTTAAGGAAATAAGTTCTGCATAAAAGTATTAATAATCTCATATCCAAACTGAATCAAGAGATGACTTTAGCAAACTGCTTATTCAATTTTCTTTTATATCTTTTTTATTTTATTCTTTTTAATTTATTTTTATTTTTCACCATGTTGGCAAGGCTGATCTCGAACTCCTGACCTCAAGTCATCTATGTTCCTTGGCCTCAAAATGCTGGGATTACAGGCATGAGCCACTGTGCCTGGCCTCAATTTTCAATATTAAGGGAGGAGGTTTCTACCCCAAATCAGATTTAGAAGTTTACATGTGATTTTTGAATCAGGGTTAAGTAGAGATACAGCTGACAGTCTAGGGATTCTGACCTACTCTCAAGGGTTTACAACATGAGTCCAAGGCTTCCCTCACTCTAATTACGTTCCTAGCTACCTACATGGTCAGTGTTAGAGTCCTGTGGTTAAAAACCTCACCAGTTTCCCAAAAATCATATGGATCTGAGAATGTGAATGATATAAGGAGACGTAGCAAACACTCATTGAGTGCTCACTGTGTAAGCTGCACAATGCTAGTTACTCTACATACATAGTTTTATTTATTGGGAGGAAGTGTTGCATACTGGTATAGATATGGGCTCTGAAATCAGACTGTTCTTGTTTTGCATGTGGCTCACAGACTGGCAATGGTGATTTAGATATGTGAACAACAAGAATAAGAAATTTCTAAAAGGAAACATTGAGTGAGCTGCAAAAAGCAGAAAAAGCAGCAGTGTAAATAATCATGGCCATCTTTTAAAGAAACTAGGGAATTGGGTGAGACCCCAGCTACACCCCTTCAAGGGAGTTAGGGCCTGTGCAGGTCCTCCAAACAAACAAACAAAAAAAAAAAAGAAGAAGAAGAAGAAGAAGAAAGAAAGTAGGAACAGGCAGAAACAAGATGAATAGATTAAAACTGAAAAGGTTCTGGAAGCAATCATGAAGGAAGACGTAACAGCCAGAGTTCCTGTAAGAGCAAGAGAGGGTGGCTTGAGAATGACTCAATGAGCAGGGCTCTAGGAACACATTACCAGACAAAAAAAAAAGTTAACTAAGTCCCAATTCAATTCAAAGGGGAACACCTAGAGAAATGCACTGAAATAGCCTTGCATGCTCAGGGATAATGACTCATAATAGGCTTCTTCCTGGCCTGAAGATTATGAAAATATGGAAATAAGAGATAAAACACAAAGAGAGGATTGTGGTAGCTCATGCCTGTAATCCAAGCACTTTGGGAGGCCGAGGCGGGCAGATCACAAGGTCAGGAGTTCGAAACCAGCCTGGCCAACATGGTGAAACCCCGTCTCTATTAAAAAAAAATACAAAAATGAGCCGGGCGTGGTGGTGAGCACCTGTAATCCCAGCTACTCAGGAGGCTGAGGAAGGAGAATTGCTTCAACCTGAGAGGTGGAGGTAGCAGTGAGCCGAGATTGTGCCACTGCACTCCAGCCTAGGTGACAGAGCAAGACTCCATCTTGAAAAAAAAAAAAAAAAAGAGAGAGAGACTTATAAAAGAAGATGCCAAGAAATGAGACTGCCTAAGTCAATTTAAAGAAGAAATTGGTGATCTTCTATGCCTGACAATATGGCTTATTATATAAAGAAAGAAAACCCTCTGGTATGAAAACTCATAAAATGTTATATAAAATATATCTTAAAATATTGAGACATAGCTGAGTTGGCAGGAATATAAGGACAAGAGAGGCTATAAACAACAGGAAAGCACTATCTGGAGCAACAAGTATGATGCTAGCTTTCACTTGGAGAGCATCTGTTCATTTCTATTGACAGAGAAACTGAGTTTTAATGAGCCCAAGTAATGCAGGAGACCAATCTGAAATACCCACATAAAGCCAGAACCTCAAAGTGTGGGAAAACTAGGACGGGGGTGAGGGGTTGGAAATGAAGGAAACAGTCTTGCATAGGGACCTTGCGTAATTCAGCCTAGACTCTGAGTACAGAAGTAAATAAGATTAAAATGTCTTTTGTGAGAATTTCCAACTACCTGCTCACTCTGACATGGACATGTGTCTTAAGTTCACATTGCTTGTGTGACCTTAGAATCTTCAAGCTAAAAAAGTAATTGAATGTACCATGGGTTGATTTTTATCCCCAAGCACTCATCAGAAGCAAACAAATACTCTTTGAAAAATGCACATTAAATCCATGCCTCAAATAATGCCCACGTATAAAGTCCCAAAGAAGATGCGCTCCTTCCCAATCAAAATTCTCTAAACAGGGAATTCTCTAAAGAGACAAAATTCTCTAAAGGGAACAGACCACCATGAGTGTGAGGCAGAAGACCTCAGCAACAGATTGGCAAAGTCAGCAGATACTGGATCTATTAGATTCAAATATAAAATAAGTATTTTAAATAAAGAAATGAAAGCATGGTGCAAGAATAAGAGGCAATCAGGTAGAGTAGGGACAAATACAATTTCTGAAAGCAAAACATTGAAAAACTAAAATAAAATTTGTATGTGTAGATTAAACAGCAGATTAGATATAGCCAAAGAAGTAATAGGTGAAGGGGAAGAGAAATCTGAAGAAATGCAGCACAAAGAGACAAAGACATATAAAATTATTTTTAATGTCAAAATACATAGATGATAGAGTAAAAAGGGTTAACATATATTTAATTGTACTTCCAGAAAAATAAAATAAAGGAAATTAGAGATAGGCTATATTTGAAGAGGTAACAGCTAAGAATTTTTTAGAGTTGATTAAAGATGTCTATCTTCATACTCAAGAAGCCTAATTAATCTTAACAAGAATAAATCAAGTTAATCCTTAAGTAGACATAGTAGCGTGAAGCTGCAGGACGCCAAAAAACCAAAGATAAATAGAGGAATATAGGGAGCTGTAGGATGCAGAGAAGGATGAAGCCAGATTTTTACAAAGAAATGAGTTTTGTTACTAACAGCTAGGCTCTCAAGAACAGAAATGGAAGTTAGATGATGTCAGAATAGTATCTTCAAAGTGTGGAGAAATTTTAAAAAACTATCAGCCTAGAAGTGTGTATCCAGAATATAGTATGTTTTAGTTACAAGAGTGAAATATATTTTCATAAAACAGAACAGAAAATTTAATATTAACAGACCTTTACTAAAGAAACATAAAATATGTTGAACTCCAAGTAGAATGATTCTATAAAAAAGGTAGAAGATGCAAGAAGGAATTCAGTGGGTGCAAGGATGAGAGAAGATTACTGTGTAGGTAAATCTAAGCAAAGAGTAATGGTATTAAAACAATTTTAAAAAGTCTAATTTAGGGAGAGTTAGAATTTAAAATAGATATAAATTCCTCCAAAAATAATAGCATATTAATCTGGACAGAATGATCAGACTTAAAAGGAGTTATGATGTGGGAATTATTTGGGAGGTGGGCAAATATTCTGATTTAGACCTTAGGTTAAATATGCACATGAAGATTTCTAAGACAATCTCTAAAAGAATACAAATAGAGTGTATAACTTCCAAACTAGCAGCAAAAAAAAATGGAATGAGGGATACATTAATCAATCAAAGGGATGACAAGAAGAGCAGAAAACAAGAGCCCAAAAGAGTGGGCAAATATAAAATGTAAATTATATAGTAGAGATAGATATAAATATATTGAAAATAACAATGATTGTAAAGGAACTATAATCACAATTAAAACATGAGAGCAATTAGGCTCTTTCTACATCTACAATAACAATAATAATGATCCTAAAACCTAAGGATTCAAAAAGATTAAAAGGTAAAAATATGATTAAAAAAGATAGCTGGTACAATTATTCAAGTATCAGGAATAAATAGAAGCTGTCAAATACAACACAGCTAGTCACGGTGGCTCATGCCTGTAATCCCAATACTTTGCAGAGCTGTGGCAGGAAGATTGCTTGAGCCCAGAAGCTTGATCCCAAAAGCTTGATACCAGCCTGGACAACACAATGACACCTCATCTCTACAAAAAAAAAAAAAAAAATGTTTAAAATTAGCCAGGCATGCTAATGCATGCCTGTAGTCCTAGCTACTCTGGAAGCTGAGGTGGGAGGATCACTTAAGCTTGGGAGGTTGAGGATGCAGTGAACTGTGATTGGACTACTGCACTACAGCCTGGGTGACAGGGTAAGACCCTGTCTCAAGAAAAAACATAAAAAAATAAAGTACAGCACATTGTCAGTGATAGAAGGTAATTACAATTAAAAATAAATAAATCACCAGGAAAATATAACAGTTCTAAACTTACAGGCATTTAATAATATACCAACAAAATATAAAAGGCAAAGATTTTCAGAAATATGAGGAGAAATTGACATATTTTAACACAGCTCTCAGTAAATAATAGATTAGTAGATAAAAATGAGGAAGTATATAGAATATTTGAAAAATGCATTTTTTAAGCTTGATCTAACAATGGACATATGGGGAACATTGCACTCGACTCCATAATACATGTTATTCTAGAGTAATGCATGGATCATTTATGACAACAGACCAAATTCTGGACCCTAAACCAAGTCTCAATATATTTCAGAGTTGGTTTCACACAGATACATTTCTTTGACTACAACATTCTGAAGTTATAAATTAATTAAAAAAATATAACTTAATAAGCATTGGTCAGTTAAAAGGCATAATTCTCAACACAAACAGAAATCATGAATCGAAGTATAGAGCATAATGTAAATTGAAAAATAATTTGGATGAAATGCAATAAAAGCATGATATATTATTACTTATGAGGTATAGCTAAAACAGTGTTTAGAAGAAAACAATAAGTTTAAAAATAATATATTGGAAAAAGAAGAAAGACTCAAAGTTAGTGAGTTTGGTATCAAATTAGGAAGTTAAAATAGAAAATAATAAGCCCAAAGAAAATAGAAAAAAATGAGATTATAATTATGAAAACAGAAATAAGTAAAATGGAAAGACACAATACAAAAGATTAACAAAAATTTTTTTCTTTGAAAATAATAACAAATTGATCAATACCTAACAATGATGATCAAAAATTTAAGAGGAAAGCACAAATTTTAAAAAGAAATAAAAAGGGGCATTAATATATTTGCTGAAGAAAAGATATTACTAATAACTTTATGCCTAAAAATTTGAAAACTTGGTTGAATTGGACAAAGTTCTGGAAAAATACGTATTATAAAAGCTGATTCAAAATGAAATAGATACCACTTTATACTCAGTAGGATGGCTAAGACCAAAAAGATAGACCCTAACAAGTGTTGAGAAGGATGTGAACACATTGGAACCATAAAATATCAATGCTGGGAGTGTCACCTGGTGCAGTTGTTTTGGAAAACAGTTTGAAACACAGTTCCTCAAAAAGCTAAACACAGAGGCACCACACGAGCCAGCAATCCCATTCCTAGATATACGCCCAAGAGATTTGAACACATACGTTTCAGAAAAATTTGTACATTAAAGTGCATTATTCATAACAGCCAAAAATAGAAAAAACCAAGCATCTGTGGATTGATGAGTGAATGAATCAAACATAGTATAGCCATGCAACAAAATATTACTTAGCCTTAGAAAGGAATGAAGTACTGATAAATGCCACATGGATAAACCAGGAAACCATCATGCTAAGTGAAAGAAACCAGACACAAAATATCAAACGTTATATGATTCCATTTATATGAATTGTCCAGAATAGGAAAATCCAAGACACAGAAGGTAGATTAGTGGTTGCAATGGGCTAGAGAGAAAGAGGCGTGGGGAGTGACTGCTAATAGAAATGTGGTTTTTTTTGCAGGGGGTGATGAAAATGTTCTGGAATTTGGACAACACTGAATTGTACACTTTAAATAGGTGAATGTAATAGTATATAAAATATATCTCAATTAAAAAGGGCAATGGAAAGCCTAAATGTTCCATAATCACAAGAACATTAATCACTACATTCAAATCTTTCTAAAAAGACATCAGTCTCATTTGGTTTTACAAGTGAATTCTATAAACTTTAACAGACTTTTTATAGGTAAGAAAGTGAATACTACACAACTAATTTATCATGCTAGTATAACACTGATATATAAAACAGCAAAGGAATTCTAAGAAATAAAAATTATAGGACATGTTTCCTATGAACATGGACACAGAAATTATAAATAAGTATTAATAAACTGAATACTGCAATGTACAATAAGAGCCAAAGGCCAGTATCAGGTTAATACTTTTGAATATATATTACTATATAATATCCACATTAACAAATTAATGGAGGCACATCTCAATAGATGCAGAAAAACTTCTGATAAAATTCAACAACCATGAGTGATTTTTTTTTTTAATTCCACAGCAAAGGTCCTGTTCAATGATTGAGGTTGTTTAAAAAATCCTTAAGAGCAAGAGACATAGGGATTAGGAAGAAAGAAACAATACTGTTTGTTTGTAGATTTATAATCAGTTACATTAAAAAAAAAAAAAAAAAAAAAAAAAACAGAAGGAGGGGAGCAGTGGCTCACACCTGTAAGCCCAGCACTTTGGGAGGCCGAGGCAGATGGATCATGAGGTCAGGAGATCGAAACCATCCTGGCCAACAAGGTGAAACCCCGTCTCTACTAAAATACAAAAAAGAGCCGGGCATGGTGGCCTGTGCCTGTAGTCCCAGCTACTCGGGAGACTGAGGCAAGGGAATCACTTGAATCCAGGAGGCGGAGGTTTCAGTGAGCTGAGATTGTGCCACTGCACTCTAGCCTGGTGACAGAGTAAAACTCCGTCTCAAAAAAAAAAAAAAAGAAAGAAAAGAAAAAAAAAGAAAAAATCAAAATGGGCCAGGCACAGGGGCTCACACCTGTAATTCCAACACTTTGAGAAGCCAAGGAGGGCAGATCACTTGAGCTCAGGAATTTGAGACCAGCTTGGCCAACATGGCAAAGCCCTGTCTCTACCAAAAATATGAAAATTAGCCAGGCATAATGGCACACACCTGTAGTACCAGCTACTCAGGAGGCTGAGGCACAAGAATCACTTGAACCTGGGAGGTGGAGGTTGCAGGGAGCTGAGATAGCACCACTGTACTCCAGCCTGGGCAACAGAGCCAGACTGTCTCCAAAAACAAAAAACAAAACAAAACAAAAAAGACTCCTGCCTCATAATACAAAACAAAAGTAATTTCAGATGAATGAGGAAATAAAATATGAAAAGCAAAATGTTAAAACCATTAAGAGAAAGTATAGGAAGCGAACTCAGGATATGGATTAATCTCTCTTAAAATTACAGAAAATGAAAACCATACAGAGAGTTATTAATAAATTCAACTACATTAAAAATGAGTACTTTTTCTTTCATCAAAAGACTTCACAAAACAGGAAAGAGAAGTAGATAAACAGTAGATATTTCCAGGAAATATAATTGGCAAAGGATTAGTATCCAGAATATGTAAAGAACTTTTAATAATCAATTAAAAAGGTGAATGATTTGGGCATTTCACAGAAGAGGAAATACAAATTACTAATAAACTTTGCAAAAATGTGCTCCAGCATTTCAGCAATCATGGGAATATACATCAAAATCATTTTCAGCAAGTTGAAAATTTAAAAGTTACACAATGCCAAGGGTTGGTTAGTATGAGTAGTGACAGGGACTCTTGCGTACTGCTAATGGGAATGTATGTTACTTTATGTATTTTATGTACTATCACTTTAGAAAATAATTTGGCATCATCTATTAAAGTTTAATATACACAGCCCCAAAACTCAGCAATTCTTTTTCTATGCATATGCACTAGAGAATTCTTACACACACATCACTATATAAATACAAGATGATTCATAGCAGCATTATCTATAATTATGTATGGCAAAACAACCTAGATGTCCATTGATTGTAAAAAGGAAAAATAAAAATTGTGATATAGTCATATCATGAAATCCTATACTGCCATGAAAATGAATAAACCACAGCTATATTGACATGTATGAATTTTGTTTTTTTGTTTTTGTTTTTGTTTTTGTTTTGAAACAGAGTCTCCCTCTGTCGCCCAGGCTGGAGTGCAGTGGTGCGATCTCGGCTCACTGCAAGCTCCGCCTCCCGGGTTCATGCCATTCTCCTGCCTCAGCCTCCCTAGTAACTGGGACTACAGGTGCCCACCACCACACCTGGCTAATTTTTTGTATTTTTAGTAGAGACGGCGTTTCACTGTGTTAGCCAGGATGGTCTCGATCTCCTGACCTCGTGATCCACCTGCCTCAGCCTCCCAAAGTGCTGGGATTACAGGTGTGAGCCACCATGCCCGGCCACATGTGTGAATGTTTAAAACACAATGTTGGGTGGGAGAGGCAAATTACAGAAGGGCACTATACTTTGATTATTTTATATGTATTTAATTTTATATAAAGTGACTATATGAATATGTCTGCCCCATTAATATGAGAGTTTTCCTGAACTAAGGAAAACTCGCAAAATATTTTCTCCCTAAGAGAAAAGGCCCTAGAAATCAGAGTTTAAAATTTCTGGCCTGAAATTATGTCTGCTAGGGTAAGTTTTTAGACCATGAACAGATAAAAGTGGTTTCTCAGAGCATGTGCTGTCTAGGGCGGGAGATTAGGGTGGGATCCTTCCCACTCAGCCTGCTGATTGGGCACTATTGCCCCTAGTCAAATCAGAAGATACAATCTGTCCCTCCTCCGCCACACACAAAAAGCCTTTGAGAGAATGAGAAAAACAATTGTAAGAGTAACGGTTACCACAGTAAGAGTAGCAACAAGGTTATTTCAGGCATTGTTATTCATGTACACAGGTGTTCAGTACGAAGCCTTGCTAAATAGGCTGCCATGCTGTCAGCAATGCCAGCTGCATAAGCCAAATCTCCTAACAGAAAAGGCCTCCGACTGCATACTTCTGAGAATCTTCCAAAGAAAAATCTCCTTGTGCTGTGTGAGCCATTTCTGTCTGAAGGGCTGATTGATGGAGTGAGCCAATGAGAGATTACTGTTCCCAACCTGTAGCCTGTGTGCTGCTGCACTTTGTCCTCCTGCCTCACTCCACTCCAATACTTAGCTCAGCCCCCACCCTGAAACTATAGCGTTATTCCCAGGAAGGCAGAAAAAATCTATGCTGAAAGTTCAACTCAACCATCACGTGGAGGTACCTGGCCCAGCGCAAACTAACCTTGGAGCTTTTATCCACATGTTACAATGTGCATAACATGGGCTCAACCTCAGCAGGCACAGCCATTCTGCCAGGGTTTTGGCGCTGGGAGACGAATCAAAAACTTTAACTGACTGATTTCTTTTTTTTTTGACACAGAATCTCACTTTGTAGCCCAAGCTAAATTGCAGTGGTGCAATCTCAGCTCACTGCAACCTCCATCTCCAGGGTTCAAGTGATTCTCCAGCCTCAGCCTCCCGAGTAGCTGGGATTACAGGTGCACGCCACCAGTCCTGGCCAATTTTTTTGTTGCTGTATTTTAGTAGAGATGAGGTTTCACCATGTTGCCCAGGCTGGTCTTGAACTCCTGAGCTCAGGAGATCTGCCCACCTCGGCCTCCCAAAGTGCTGGGATTACAGGCGTGAGCTACTGTGCCCGGCTAACTGACCAATTTCAAGAGGGGATCAGTAGTAGTTCCATTGCGACCAGCTTGCCCAATAAAGTTTAGGGGACAGTGGCTTTATGTTTTCACCATCAGACAAATACCTACACAATGACAAGCAAAACCTTTGCCAGGCAGTATCTTCTGAAAGAGATTCCTGCAGTTATCCAAGGAAATAGCCACTTAGGTCAATGGACGTTTGCAGAGTGGAAGATAGTCTTCAAAGAGCAAACCCTTACAGAAAAGCAATAGTGCCTGCCCCAAATGTATGTTTATTGTCAAAAACCTCAATCCCTCTTTTTAGAAAAATTGGATAGGGAAAAATTCATTAACCCTAGAGAAGTAACTTAGTCCTATCTTTCACCCGATTTTTGTTTGAAATGATGGTATAGCCTACCTGATTGGGAAAAAAAAAAAAAAAAGCAGAGGTTAGGAGTGAGGAATGAAGCAACTAATAGTAAAAATACACAGATCTAGATGGTGAACCAGTGATCTGGACAGGACCTTTATGATCTGCCAGCCAAGAAACCATCAAAGCTAACTGTAGGAATGTGCTGATAATTAAAAGGTAGGTGAGCACAAAAGAATATTAGAAACCATTCTATGTGGCAAGACTGAAAAGAGGATATGACTTCTTAATAAATTAGATAGAAAGTGAGAGCCAAATCCATGCATCATTCCAAAGTTGAGATCACAGAAGGTAGATGCACCCTAGGGCTCTTGGTAGATGGACACTACGGCTCCCCTGAGAGGGGAGAAAGGGAAGATAACACACACAGACTAGCTTTTCAAAAAGGTTGGCTAAGAAAGAAAGGAAAGACCCCACATAATAACAGGGGTGGAAGTAAAGTTTCCATTCAACAAGTGTTTTGATTCTTTTACACTGTTTTGTACAGCTATGTTAGTGTCACTATCTACTATTATCATTATTCTTTCATTAAGAGTTTGTGGAGTACCATGAAATGATATCTGTCCACTACTGTATAATAGACAGCCCTGTAGTCCTCCCTTCACAGAAAAGAAACCGCTAATCACCAGCAGTTCTGTTAAAGATTGCAATAAAATTCAGGCAAGACATTTTTTCTTGAGAACTTCATTTTTAGAGTACTGTATTTTCTAACCTGTAGAATTTTAAGGGACAGCCCATAAATTCCTTTTCTTTCTAGCTGAAGAATTAGAAGTCTGAGACTGGGGAATTTGAGACTTCTTTAAGTCAGTTTTGATGCTTGGTTTATTAAACCATTCGTTTTAAAGGAACGTAACATTAACCTCTCACAGTAAATTGTGTCTGTCAAATACTTTGATATGATGTCAGTTGGCGAGTGAATGACACTGAGCCCCCACCCTCACTCCTGAGATTGAGTCAGCCCCAGTTACAAAGCTTGCTGGCAAGCAAACTGCCTGTCAAGTTTGCTAAAAAGAACAGCAAAAGTGGGAACAGCCAAGCTTGTACAATTTTGCAGTTTCTTTCTTTCTTTGGTATATTTTTAGGTTGCCAGGAATCGATTTCCTCTTCTATGCTTTATAAGTTTCTATTCATAAGCCTGGCAATTTATTAAACTTCATTTTATTCATATAAAATAGTCACTGCTCTGGAAAAGAGTGACTCAATAAAGCGCTCTTCTTCCCATACACCTGGACTTCTAGCCAGAGAACAAGATGCGGTGTGCACAAGTACCAATCAATGAAATGAAAAACACTTTATGAAAAACAAAGCTTAGTCTTGAAAATCTGAACATTTATTTTACAAGTCGCTGATTGAAGGGATTTTTGCAATCAAAATGAATCCAGGCAAACCCATGCTACTGGATTTTGATTAATTAAGCCAAAATCTGCACATCTGCGTAATGTCTAGCTCATAAGTGAGATGGTTTTAATCAGTGAGGAAAATGTGGTTTGGGGAAGAGGCTGCAGGTGGAGTTTGCTAACTAGCACATTTTATTTATTTTTCTCTTAGTGGGTTTCTACTCTTTAGTAAGGTTATTATAATCCTTGGTTTTCTGGTTTCCTGCCCACTATTTATCTCTCCCACTAAAGATCTCCCACATGCCCTGCATAACAATAATCAACTAAAATGCAGTAGTCAACCTGGTAGGCTGAAGCTTTGCTTCATAGAACAGGGATGAAGCTAGAAACCACATTTTGTGCATTATGTCTATTCCTAGCTTCGTAAAGAACCATGGTGAACCAGTCAAGACAGCCATGTATACAAATAAAGAAAATTATTACAAATAAAGAAAAATAAAGAGAGTGTTACTGGAAGGATAAGCAACTGCCTGTAGCTCTGTGATTGAGGCCTTACATATCTAAAAGAGCATTTTGCATTGAACTCTTCCAGTAGCCCTAAAATCCAATGTTATGACTTATTATATAAATAGTAAATGACTTGAACTTTTAGTCATGGTGGTATTAAGAGATTAGCAAATCCTCTCAGGTTAAAAAAAAAAACATATAAAATTGTCGAAAATTGACCAAAGGTGATAACAAATTGAGATATTTATTCTAGATTTATTTATTTATTTATTTATTTATTTTATTTTGCATTCATTCTCTCTTTATATAGACTCTGGTTCTAGAAACAATTCGCCTGCAGCCAGCTGGCTGGACTATTTACAGGCCCATTGCGGGCTGTACTTTGGCCACCTCCCGGCACGGTGCTCAGCTGTGACGCCGAAATAAGTTAGGGCTGGCCGGGCGGTGCGGGGCAGGGACTAGGGCTGTACACACAAGTGCTGGGGGCTCGGGGCCTCACTACTGCCGAGGGCCGGGCCGGGGCTGTAAACATGGCCAGGGCTGCCCTGCCCACCCCTAGTGGTCGGTAACGACTGGAAGCAGAGCAGCCAGGCAAGGTCGGGAGGCTCAGGCGTCCGACAGTCAGCTCTGGATCCGGTCCACCCACTGCTGGGCTGAGGGCACGTCCTGGGCACAAAAGTCGTAAACGCGAGGAGTTGTCTTCACGTCAAAGAAGGCCTTCTCATCCACGCTCTTAGGGGCACCCATGGTGGCCATGCCAGGTGCCACAGCCTCCACCTCCACCTCCACCAGGTCGATGACACCCTTGCACTCAGTGTCCACACGGTGGTCGTAGTAGCGTAGCTGGTGCTTGGTCTTGTCTAACATGAACCAGCGGGCCTTCCAGGGCTTCATGAAGGCCCCCTTCTTGTACAGAGTGCCCTCGTAGGACCTGTTCTCACTCTCAGCTGTCTGGAACTGGCTGTAAGGGTGCTGGTGCTGCCGCAGGCAGCCTGGCGGGAGCCAGATGCGGTCGAGCCTCTATTCTGGTCACTCTCCAGGCTGAGGCTCAAGGTGGAGCCCACGGGTTCCTCCTGCAGGTACATACCCAGCGAGCAGCGGTGGTGAGGTGCGGTGGACACTAGGAGGGAGCTAGGGGTGCCACGTCCATCTGGCCGGGCTTCAAGGCGCCATGCAGCCTTCACGCGGTCCCAGGTGTCCTTCCAGCGCTTAGCGGGTCGGCTCAGCTCTGTCTCCAACCTCTGCAGGCGTGAGATGGCGTCAGGCTGGGCTCGGGGGCAGCTGTGGTAGCAGGGCCACACCACACAGCACCTGCTCTGGGGAGCGCCTCCGTCAAACCGTTCTTCCTCAGGGGCTCAGGGGGTTCCCCGAGCCAGTTCCCAGTCATAGGGAGGGCCCTCGGCCAGCATCTCCTCAGCGCAGAAGTCCTACACTTTCAGGTTGGACACGTTGCTGTAGGGCCGCAGGACCTCTGTGTCCTCGGGTGCATTCATGTAGTTGTGGAACATGGCTGTCCTCTTGCTCATCCGGTCCACACAGAGACCTGCAAGGCAGCTGGCTCCTGCGCTGCCCCTTCTCCTCGTACAGCAGCCCCAGCTCAATGTGCTCATAGTCAGAGTCCAGTAGGAAGGTCTAGAAACAGCGGGACACGTGGTGGTAGCCGAGGAACTTGAGATAGAACTGGCTGAACTCAAACTCCATGGGGAACTGCAGGTGGAGCTGGTGTAGGCAGTCCAAGAACTACAGGAAGATAGTGTGAAGCCGCTGCTCTGTCCAGCCAGAATGTGGGCTCCCCCGTGGCTGAAGCGATGACTGAAGGACAGCCACTCCTTCTCCACCAGCAGGTGGAACCCCTCCAGCGTTCAGTAGAAGGGGTCTGAGAACAGCTGCACCAAGGATACCACATGGGTGGTGATGTCCCAGCCGTCCTCCAGGCCCATCAGCACGGAGGAACTTGAGTCCAGGAGCTCCCCCCTCCCAGCACCGACACCTGCAGCAGCTTGTGGATCTGAATCAGCCACTCTGAGTCCTCCAGCAAGCGCAGGAAGGAGACTAGGCTGGGCTCAGCAGTAGGGCAGCCCAGGACACATGCCTTCAGCAGCTTTTTGAAGCTAGCCTTCACCTGCCGCGCCTGGAATACCTTAATGGGCACCAGCTCTCACTGCTGCAAGGGGTCCGGCCGCACATTCTTGAGCTGGCCTTTGTCCCCGAGGATGTAGAGGGCTGCTTGCTGTGGCCACAGGAAGCCCGGGTCGGGGGCCGGGGGACACCCGTTGGCCTGGGGTGGGGCCATCGCCTCTCTGCCAGCTAGCTGGGAGCCCACATTGGCACCAAGCCCACTGCTGCGCCCACAGGTCCAGACACTGCCCCCACTTACCTCGGGGTGCAGTCAGTCTGGATGCCGCCGCCATGGGGTTAGACAGAGTGGTGACCCTGGCTCTGGGGCTGCCAATGTGACTCCCCACGTGGGCTGAGGAGAAGCCGCTAAGTGTGTTGCGTCCGGACGCACTGGAGTAGCGGGGCATGGAGCTGACAACAGCCTGCAGGTACTTCTCCTGCTCCAGGCTACTCGAGTCTGCCTGGAACTGGCCTGGAGAAGGTGCGTTCTGGGCCTTAAAGAGTCCGACTACACCTATGCCGTACAGGCCCCCAGAATGCAGCAGTACTGCCTTGGACCGCCGGATGCGCCAGCAGACAACGGTGAAGCGGTTCTGGCGGTAGCAGTAGGACACGCGCTGCAGGGCGTTGTCCTGGACACTCTGGGGCACGATCAGCAGCCCCGGGTACCTGCGGTAGATGGCATGCATGCGGTTGACCAGAGAAATGCGGAAGGATTCAGACTTGGCCCGGCTCAGGCGGCTGCTCAGGGGGCCCAGGCCAAGGCACTGATAGTCGCGGCAGCAAGCCCTTTCCACCAGGAGGCTGCTCATGGTCATGCCGTCCGAGGGCTTCAAGGCTGAGGACGGGGTCAGTGTGCTGGGCTCCAGCTCTTCCGACACTGAGATCTCCTCCTCCTGGTCCTCAGAGGGCGGCTGGCTCCAGTGCTCCTAGCTGAGTTGGGGTTGTACTTCTTGCGAGTGACATGCTGCCGCCCGATGGTCTTCTTGACGTTCTTAACCAGGTTCCAGGACAGGGTTCTGAGGGAAGGACCCTTGTTCTTGGTGACTCGGGGTGGCTGGCCGGGTGTGTAGGTAGAGCCCAGGGTGAAGGAGAAGGTGGCCCTGACATCCGGTGTGTACCGCAGCTTATGCAGCTGCTTGCAGAAGAGCTCGGCACTGTCAGACCCCACCTCCTCATCAAAGGCCATTTTCAGCAGCTGGAATGTGCAGGAGCGCAGCTGCAGCCCGTCCTGCAATAGCTGATCCAAAGGGGTCTGGATGCTGATGCATTTCTCCTTGGTCAGCGCGGCCACCGGGAAGGAGCGGAACACCACCTTCTCCCCCACCAGGGGGTCTGTGAGCATCCCCGTGAAGATGACCCGGTACGTAGTGAGGAAGAGGGCGCCCTCAGCTGGGAGCAGTGCTGGCCACCCCGCACTGCCCGCCCTCGCACCCTCCTCACGCCCATCCGGTGGCAGGTAGATGCGCAGGCCATCCAGCACACACTCCTCACCAGACAGCAGGTGCAGCCTCAATAGCTTGGGTTTCTAGATGGGCATCAGCCTCCGGTTCTCCCGCTGCACCGCCTCCAGGGTCTTAATGTTTATCTGGACGATGTCTGGCACCATGACATGCAGCCCCTTGAGGTGGTCACTGGTGACCCCACTCTCTGTGCAGACCTTGTCCACAAAGCGGTTGATGAAGTGGACCACAGCCCCAGCTACATTGCAGGTCTCTCTGTCCTCAAAGCCGCTCCCCGTGTCATAGCTCTCAGCCACACTGCCAGCCATGCTGTTGGGGACCAGGCTGTTGCTGGTGCTCTCCAGGTCACCCAGCTCCTGAAGCAGGCGGCTCTTGCTGCTGTCCAGAGGCAGCAGGAGGTAGCTCACGCAGTTGGTATAGTGGATGGCCTGGCTGAACACTGTGCTCTCCTCCTTCTGCATCAGCTCCTGCTGCTTCTCACCGCTCAGGGATGGCCACAGGCACCACTGCTCAGAAGCCACTTCTAGGGCAGAGTGCTCTCTCATCCTCCTGGGAAGGTGCCTCCCCAACCTCCTGGGCTGGGGCCTGATCCTCGGTGGGCTCCAGGTAAAGGACCCAGATATGAGTCTGCATGTCCCAGTAGAACACGGCCTCCCAGAACTGTGGCATGCTCCACACCACGTGCTCCTGCACAGAGCTGTAAGAGAACTACCTTACCCCTTGGCTCCGCTTCCAGGAAGGCTGTGACCAGAGGCAGCAGAGCAGCCGAGATGCCATGCTTGTCCAGAGAAGTGCAGTCCTGCAGGCAGCAGTTCATCATACTGATGACAAAGTCAAACTGCTGGTGGTCCAGGACCACCCAGTTCTGTTGCACATGCAGGTACAGTTCCCGGGTGAGGCAGTGGCAGGCAGCTCACCACTTCAGGGCCCTCAGCACAGCTAGGAGCAGCTTCTTGGCCTCAAGCATCTTCCCCTCAAACACGTGGGAGATGCAGTTGCCCACGACCTCCAGCTGCCCTGGGCTCTTGACCTGCAGCCTGCTGCACCCATCCAGTAGGGCAGTCATGCGGGGCCCTGAGGGCCCTGTGGTCCTCCTCCCAGCCTTCATGGCTAGGGGTGCACCTTGCATCTTGGCCTCAGCCTGGTCCACGATCCACTGCATGGCGCCCTCATCCAGCCAGGGGAAGGGCCGGGGCGCCCATCTCAGGTGGCTGCTGTCACCCGGCCTCTGCATGTTGTGCATCGCCAAGTCTGGGTACAGGTTCTTGTTCTTGCAGAGCTGCTCTACCAGTTCTTGGATGTGATGCAGGACTCATTGGGGGTGGTTCTCATCCACCCACCTCTGTGCCACATCGTGGGCCACCAGCTCATCAAACAGGTCCGTGGGGCAGTACGGGACCCCACACTCCAACACAAAGAGAGCAAAGGCCATGCCCTCCAGCACATTCATCAGGAAATCGTCCTCCACCAGCCCACACTGGCCCAGGAAGGCTGCCTTATGGAAGCGGATGACAGGCTCCGGGTGAATGCACACGACGTGCAGGCACCAGAGATAGCCCTGCAGCAGCTGATGGAAGAGCCGCAGCTCTTTGTCCTGCATATTCAAGGAGGAGGGGGACGTCATGGGTGGAGGGAAGGCGAGGTCAACCAACTCCAGCTCCGGGTCCAGGACCATTCTTAGAACACTGTGCGTCTGACTCTGCAGTGGCTCTAGCAAGGGTGGAATGTGCACACACTCAGGGATGGTCACCGTCTCTCCATCCAGATCAGCTACAATCACGTCTAGCAGCTCCTGGGTCTCTGCCTGGAAGGCCGCATTGACCCCGATTATGAAGGGCGTGGGTGTGCTGAGGGCCTCCAGCAGCTGGGCCGGCAGGATGGGCACATAGGTGAAGCTGTATCTGAGAGGAAACAGCAATGCCAGGAGGCTCCTGCAGGCATCGGTGAGCTGCTGGTAGCTCCGGGACAGGAAGAGAACCTCGTGCTCCATGAGGGTGGCACAGACCAAAGACAGTACGTTGGTGATGCCCAGCTGGCGGAAGAGCAGGCCACGCTGCAGCTGCTGATGGGCAGGGAGTCGGCCAGTGGAGTCTGGATGACCTGCCGGTCACCAGCCCCCAAATAAATCGTCCTCTACTAGCCCCCAGCCAGGGGCACGGTGCACGTCAGCAGGTTCCCAATTACGTTCCCTGGGAACACATTCAGGCCCTCCACGTGGACGGCATAGATGAGGCCGAGGCTGTTCCTGAACACCTCCGCATGGTCAAGTCGCGACACAGGTACCAGCGTCTTTGGGGCAAACATCTGGGCAGATGGGCAGGCTCTGTGGGCGACAGGTGCGTAAGGCCTCCCTCATCCTCCTCTTCCTCCCACTCAGTGGCATCCTTAGCGCGTGTCGTTTCCTGCTCCCAGAAGGTCAAGCAGCACAGTAGTGGCGCCCGGAGTTGATGTCGGTGAGGACAGCAACAAAGAAGGTCGGTGGATTCCTCTCGGGACACATCTGCCACCCGCTGGACTGGCAAAACAGCTGGGGGAATGGGTTGGCCTCCCAGTCCTTCTCCGGGAAGAACTGCAGAATCTGGCCCTGGCCTTTCCCACTCCCGCGCGGGTGCGGCCTGAATGCCACCAGCAGGAAGTAGTCTGTGATCCGCGCCATGGGGAGGGACGCTGGGCGGGCTCCGCGGCTCGGGGACTCGAGGGCTGCGCGCTCATGGCCCGGGCCTGGCCCTGGACCGCACACCCGGGACACCCCGGGTTCGCTCCGCGGCGGCCGCAGCGGCTGCGGCTGCGGCGGCGGCCCGGGCTCCAGACACCATCTTCTCAGCCAGCTGGCCCGCCTGGCTGTTCTTGAAAATGTTATAGAGCTTCAGGTAAAGGCAGCAGGAATCTGTGGCCCTCTTCGCAAAGACTACCTCCATCCTTCCTCCCCCTCAGTCAGTAAGAACAGTAATTTTACCAACCTGAAGTTCAACACGGAATTCATAAACTTTGGTGCTAGAGGGGGCTGGCTCAATTGGGCAATAGGTCAAAATACTATAGCCTTCCTCGCTAAAAGTGGAAACTCAGTAGGAAACAAAAAAAGAAAGAAGACTTGTAGCTTTTCCAGCTCAAGTTTACAATCACAGTTACAAGTGGTAGACCAATAAGAAATTGAATAGCGAGATCCTGGATATGATACAACCACAGTAGGATTAGATAAGATCACCACACATTTCTGGCCTGCAGATAACCAATGCATTTGTGCAGGTGAGACTCAAGAAAGCCAGGTGGGAAAGTAAGGCCATGGCAGACTTGAGAATGGGAGGACTCTGAATGTGCTTCCTGACCCACACAAAGATCAGTCATCAGGAGGTAGGAGCTTTATGGGTTCAAGGTGCTTGAGAAAAATCTGGCCAAATCTTGACTGATCTCTGAGTTATGCAGACAAAGGGACAACCTCAATAGCTACATGTCATGGGGAAGAAAGATTATACAGTTTAAATCTATGGAAATTACTTAATCAACAACAACATCCTCAGAAAAATTAGTCAGAATTCAGAGTTGCCATAATATATTATCTAAAATTTCCATTTTGGGGCAAAACAATTACTAAGCATGCAAATAATTAGGAAAGTGTGATCCATACTCAGGAAAAAAAGGAATCAATAGAGATTGACTCAGAGTAGCAGCTGGGTGCAGTGGCTCACACCTGTAATCCCAGCACTTTGGAAGGCCAAGGCGGGCGGATCACCTGAGGTAGGGATTTCGAGACCAGCCTGACCAACATGGAGAAACCCTGTCTCTACTAAAAATACAAAATTAGCCTGGCTTGGTGGCATGTGCTTGTCATCCCAGCTACTGGAGAGGCTGAGGCAGGAGAATCACTTGAACCCAGCGGGCAGAGGTTGCGGTGAGCTGAGGTTGCGCCATTGTACTCCAGCCTGGGCAACAAGAGCGAAACTCTGTCTTGAAAAGAAAAAAAAGAAGAAAGAAAGAAAAAGAAAAAAAGAAATTGACTCAGAGTAGACCTAGATGATATATGTGGCAAACAAATAATTAATGAAACGCATGATGTCTATGATTCCATAAATAATCTTTAGAGAGAAATAGAACCCAAATATTGGAAGTGAAAAAGAACCAAATAGAAATTCCAGAGTTGAAAAGTATTTTCAATATGAAGATTTTGCTTGTTATATCAACAGCAAATTTGAGATGAGGGGAGAAAGAAGCAGTAAACTGAAATATAGTTCAGTAGAAATATCTCAATCTGAAAAGTACAGACAATTTTTTTTGAATAAACATAGCATCAAAGGCATGTAGGGCAATGTTAAGCCTACCAACATATGTGAAATAAGGGTCTCAGAAGTAAAAAAGAGAAGGGAAGGGGAAAATAATTTATGTGAAAAAATAATAGATAAAATCCTCCAAAATTTGATGAAAGGCTGTCTACAAATATTAAAAGCTCCACAAACCTCAAATAGGATAAACATATCAGAATTCACACCTAGACACATCATAATCAATGACTGAAATAGAAATACAAAGAGAAAATCTTGAAAAAAGAAAAAAATGACTCATCAGATATGGAAAAAAATATGATTAATAGCTGACTTATCATTATAAACAGTGAAGACCAGGAAGCAGTAAAATGACATATTCAAGTGCTGAATTTTTTTTCCTTTTCTTTTTTTTTTTTTTGAGACTGAGTCTTGCTCTGTCACCCAGACTGGAGTGCAGTGGCACGATCTCTGCTCATTGCAAGTTCTGCCTCGCAGGTTCACGCCATTCTCCTGCCTCAGCCTCCTGAATAGCTGGGACTACAGGCGCCCACCACCACGCCCAGCTAATTTTTTGTATTTTTAGTAGAGATGGGGTTTCACCATGTTAGGCAGGATGGTCTCAATCTCCTGACCTTGTGATCTGCCCGCTTTGGCCTCCCAAAGTGCTGGGATTATAGGCGTGAGCCACCGTGCCTGGCTTTGCTGAATATTTTTAACTGTCAACCAAGAATTCTGTGTCCATCAAAACTATTCCCCAAAAAATAAAAGCAAAATAAACACATTTCCAAGTAAATGAAAACTGAGAAAATGCATTACTAGAAGATTTGACCTAGAAGCAGCACTAAAGGAAGAACTTTAGGCTTAACAAAATATTCCCAGCAGCTTAGGCTTAATAAAACATTCCCAGACAGAAACTAAAGTTCACGGGGAGAAATGAAGAGCACTGGAAGTGATAAAATGTAGGTAGATTGAAAGACCCCCTTTTCCACTTACTTTCCTTTTGAAAATAGACATTTTAAACAATTATTATAAAACTTTATTGTTAAAGTTTTACATATTCATACACACACAGTTAGGTTTATGGATATGTGTGTGTATTTATTTATGACGGTAATAATCAAAAAAGAGGAAAGAAATGGAATTATATTAAAGTTGCTGTATTTTACTGGAATTATGTTAGCATTAACCTGAGGTAGAACTACACACAAAAAAACCATAAAACGTTACTGTGAGAAATTTAAAGATCTAAATGAAAGGAGATATACCATGCTCACTGATTGAAAAACATTATTGTTAATATGACAGTCCTCCCCAGATTGATCTACAGCTGAAACTCAATCCATACGAAAATTCCAGGAGCATTTTTTCATAGACATAGACAAGCCAATCCAAAAAAAAATTATTTGGCAATGCAAAATACTTAGAATAGCCTAAACAGTTTTGAATAAGAAATACAAATTTGGTAAATGTATATTTGAAATGAGATAGTTCCCTTGACCCCTTCATGAGTCTTGTGAAGGGGTTGGCTTGTTTACTCAGCCCACAGGTCTCAACCCCTCATGGGAGGGGAAGCATGCAGGTGAGCAGGTGCAGAGGCTAGGATGAGTGCTTCTGGGCAACCAGCAGGAGCAGAACTCCATATGGTCCCGTGGCAGTGTCTAGGAGTTACCCATGACCCCTGGAGTTACAGTATGCCCTTTTAGTTTTGCTATCCGTGGATGGCTTAAGTATTAGACAGCTCAGTGGAGGGCCACTGTGACAGCCTTTTGCACCCACACCTGGGACCTTGTCCAGCATCCAGGAGGAGTCAGGTTGCATGAATGAATTGAAGGATGGTAAATGCAGAAGATTTTATTGCCAATGAAAGTGGCTCTCAGTGGGATGGGGAGCTGGAAAGGGAATGGAGTGGGAAAGTGGTCTTCCCCTGGCGTTCAGCCGGGAATGTCCCCAGACAAACTCTTCTCTGAGGTCCTACTGTCAAGCTGTCCCTCTGAAGTCAAGCTGCTTCTCACTGACATCAAGCTGCTGCTTCTCTTCTCTCCTTTTCTGCTGCACTGCTTTGCCCCTCTGCCAGTGGAGCCTAGGGTTTATATGGGTGCAGGATGGGGAGCAGGGCAGGCCAGGGTGGTTTTGGAAAAGGCAACATTCAAGGGGGAAAACAGAAATGCACATTCTCACTTTGGGTCACAGGTCCAGGCTTGAGGGGGAGACCTCACCAGCGACCCCACCCTTTTCTACCTAGTACCTCCTACTCATATCACACTGACTAATTTTGATACTAACCATAAAGCTACAGTAATCAAGAGTGTAATGATATTGGAGTAATAAAGACAGAGAAATAAATCAAAGGAACAGAATATAGAGTCCAGAAATAAACTCTTACCTTTATGGTCAATTGAGTTTTAACAAAGAGGCCAAGACAATTCATTAGAAAAGGAGAGTAATTTCAACAAATGATGCTAAAACAATTAAATATTCATGAGAAAAAAAATGATCATAAACCCTTGGCTTATATTAGACATAAAAACTACTCCAAAATAGAACATAGACCTAAATGTAAGTAAGAGCTAAAACTATAAAACTTTAGAATAAAACATAGAAGAAAATCTTTCTGGCCTTAATTTAGGCAAAATTTTACTTGATTGGATACCAAAAGTGTGACTCATTAAATAATATAATTGGAAATTGAACTTCATAAAAATTTTAAAAATCTGCTTTTCAAATGCCAACTTTAGAAAAATAAAGAAAACCATAGACTGAAATAAGATATTTGAAAATAACATATCTAATAAAGGACTTGTGTCCAGAATATATCAATAACTCTTACAACTCAATAATATAACAAACAATTCAATAAAAATAGATAAAATGTTTGAACAGACATTTCACTAAAAAAAACCAAAAACACATACACAGAAATTGCTCACAAGCTCATGAAAAGATACTAAACATCTTTTAGTAACTAGGGAAAAGTAAATTAAAAGCGCACACCCACTATAATGACTGCAATAAAAAAGATTGACAATACCAGGTGTTGGCATGAATGTGAAGAAACTAGAACTCTTAGCCATTGCTAGTGATGAAGTAAAATGGTACAGTCACTTTAGAAAACAGTTTGATGGGGTTTTTTAAAGTTAAATATTAATAATATTAATGTATGACCCACTAATTCCATTCCCAGGTAACTTCTCAAGAGAAATGAAATATGTCTACACACAGTTTTGTCCACAAATATTTCTAGCAGAATTATTCATAATAGCCAAATGCTGAAAAAAAAAAAAACCAAATGTCCATCAACTGGTGAATGCATAAACAAAATATAGTATATTTATACAACTGGATACTATTCAGCAATACAAAAGAATAACAACTGATAGATACAACAATAAAATGAACCTCAAAAATCTGGCAAATAAAGGAAACCGTACGCAAAGACTACCTATTGTATTATTCCAATTCTAAAATTCTAAATAATAAAAAAGGCAAAACCACAGTAACAGAAAGCAGATCAGTGGCTATCTGAAATGGGATGGGAGTGAGAATTGACTGCAAACAGGCATGAGGGATTTTGGAGTGATAGAATATTCTCAAATCGGATTATGACACTGGTTGTGCCACTGAATAAATTTGCTCAAAATCATTGAACCATATGCTTAAAACAAGTGGATATTATGGCTTTAAATTATGCATCAATAAGGCTGTTTTAGAAACCAATAGATATTTATCAAAGAAAATAAAAACAAAAAGTATGGGAGGGTGGAGCCAAGATGGCTGAATAGGAACAGCTTCAGTCTACAGCTCCCAGCATGAGTGACACAGAAGATGGATGATTTCTGCATTTCCAACTGAGGTATCGGGTTCATCTCACTAGGGAGTGCCAGACAGTGGGTGCAGGACAGTGGGCGCAGCGCACCAAGCATGAGCCGAAGCAGGGTGAGGCATCGCCTCACCCGGGAAGCACAAGGGGTCAGGGAATTCCCTTTCCTAGTCAAAGAAAGGGGTGACAGATGGCACCTGGAAAATCGGGTCACTCCCACCCTAATACTGTGTTTTTCCAATGGGCTTATCAAACGGCACACCAGGAAATTATATCCCTCACATGGCTTGGAGGTTCCTACGCCCACAGAGCCTTGCTCATTGCTAGCACAGCAGTCTGAAATCAAACTGCAAGGTGGCAGCGAGGCTGGGGGAGGGGCACCCGCCATTGCTCAGGCTTGAGTAGGTAAACAAAGTGGCCTGGAAGCTTGAACTGGGTGAGCCCACCACAGCTCAAGGAGGCCTGCCTCTGTAGGCTCCACCTCTGGGACAGGGCACAGACAAACAAAAGACAGCAATAACCTCTGCAGACTTAAATGTCCCTGTCTGACTGCTTTGAAGAGAGTAGTGGTTCTCTCAGCACGCAGCTTGAGATCTGAGAACGGGCAGCCTGCCTCCTCAAGTGGGTCCCTGAACCCGGAGTAGCCTAACTGGAAGGCACCCCCCAGTAGGGGCGGACTGACACCTCACAAAGCCAGGTACTCCTGTGAGACAAAACTTCCAGAGGAACGATCAGGCAGCAGCATTTGCAATTCACCAATATCTACTGTTCTGCAGCCTTCGCTGCTGATACCCAGGCAAACAGGGTCTGGAGTGGACCTCCAGTAAACTGCAACAGACCTGCAGCTGAGGGTCCTGACTGTTAGAAGGAAAACTAACAAACAGAAAGGACATCCACACCAAAAACCCAACTGTACATCACTATCATAAAAGACCAAAGGTAGATAAAACCACAAAGATGGGGGAAAAAACAGAGCAGAAAAACCAGAAACTCTAAAAATCAGAGTGCCTCTCCTTCTCCAAAGGAACACAGCTCCTCACCAGCAACGGAACAAAGCTGGACAGAGAATGATTTTGATGAGTTGAGAGAGGAAGGCTTCAGAACATCAAACTACTCTGAGCTAAAGGAGGAAGTTCGAACAAATGGCAAATAAGTTAAAAACTTTGAAAAAAATTAGACGAATGGATAACTAGAATAACCAATGCAGAGAAGTCCTTCAAGGACCTGATGGAGCTGAAAACCAAGGCACGAGAACTATGTGACGAATGCACAAGCCTCAGTAACTGATGCGATCAACTGAAAGAAAGGGTATCAGTGATGGAAGATGAAATGAATGATATGAAGCATGAAGAGAAGTTTAGAGAAAAAAGAATACAAAGAAACAAACAAAGCCTCCAAGAAATATGGGACTATGTCAAAAGACCTAATCTACATCTACTTGGTGTACCTGAAAGTGACGGGGAGAATGGAACCAAGTTGGAAAACACTCTGCAGAATATTATCCAGGAGAACTTCCCCAATCTAGCAAGGCAGGTCAACATTCAAATTCAGAAAATACAGAGAATGTCACAAAGATACTCCTCGAGAAGAGCAACTCCAAGACACATAATTGTCAGATTCACCAAAGTTGAAATGAAGGAAAAAATGTTAAGGGCAGCCAGAGAGAAAGGTCGGGTTACCCACAAAGGGAAGCCCATCAGACTAACAGCTGATAGCTTGGCAGAAACTCTACAAACCAGAAGAGAGTGGGGGCCAATATTCAACATTCTTAAAGAAAAGAATTTTCAACCCAGAATTTCATATCCAGCCAAACTAAGCTTCATAAGTGAAGGAGAAATAAAATACTTTACAGACAAGCAAATGCTGAGAGATTTTGTCACCACCAGGCCTGCCCTAAAAGAGCTCCTGAAGGAAGCATTAAACATGGAAAGGAACAACCGGTACCAGCCACTGCAAAAATATGCCAAATTGTAAAGACCATCAAGGCTAGGAAGAAACTGCATCAACTAACGAGCAAAATAACCAGCTAACATCATAATGACGGGATCAAATTCACACATAACAATACTAACCTTAAATGTAAATGGGCTAAATGCTCCAATTAAAAGCCACAGACTGGCAAATTGGGTAAAGAGTCAAGACCCATCGGTGTGCTGTATTCAGGAAACCCATCTCACGTGCAGAGACACACATAGGCTCAAAATAAAGGCATGGAGGAAGATCTACCAAGTAAATGGAAAACAAAAAAAGGCAGGGGTTGCAATCCTAGTCTCAGGTAAAACAGACTTTAAACCAACAAAGATCAAAAGAGACAAAGAAGGCCATTACATAATGGTAAAGGGATCAATTCAAAAAGAAGAACTAACTATCCTAAATATATATGCACCCAATACAGGAGCACCCAGATTCATAAAGCAAGTCCTTAGTGACCTACAAAGAGACTTACACTCCCACACTATAATAATGCGAGACTTTAACACCCCACTGTCAACATTAGACAGATCAACGAGACAGAAAGTTAATGAGGATATCCAGGAATTGAACTCAGCTCTACACCAAGCAGACCTAATAGACATCTACAGAACTCTCCACCCCAAATCAACAGAATATACATTCTTTTCAGCACTACACCACACCTATTCCAAAATTGACCACATAGTTGGAAGTAAAGCACTCCTCAGCAAATGTAAAAGAACACAAATTATAACCAACTGTCTCTCAGACCATAGTGCAATCAAACTGGAACTCAGGATTAAGAAACTCACTCAAAACTGCTCAACTACATGGAAACTGAACAACCTGCTCCTGAATGACTACGGGGTACATAACGAAATGAAGGCAGAAATAAAGATGTTCTTTGAAACCAACGAGAACAAAGACACAACATACCAGAATCTCTGGGACACATTCAAAGCAGTGTGTAGAGGGAAATTTATAGCACTAAATGCCCACAAGAGAAAGTAGGAAAGATCGAAAATTGACACCCTAACATCACAATTAAAAGAACTAGAGAAGCAAGAGCAAACACGTTCAAAAGCTAGCAGAAGGCAAGAAATAACTAATATCAGAGCAGAACTGAAGGAAATAGAGAAATAAAAAACTGTTCAAAAAATCAATGAATCCAGGAGCTGGTTTTTTGAAAAGATCAACAAAATTGATAGACCGCTAGCAAGACTAATAAAGAAGAAAAGAGAGAAGAATCAAATAGACGCAATAAAAAATGATAAAGGGGATATCACCACCAATCCCACAGAAATACAAACTACCATCAGAGAATACTATAAACACCTCTACACAAATAAACTAGAAAATCTAGAAGAAATGGATAAATTCCTCGACACATACACTCTCCCAAGACTAAACCAGGAGGAAGTTGAATCTCTGAATAGACCAATAACAGGCTCTGAAATTGAGGCAATAATTAATAGCTTACCAACCAAAAAAAGTCCAGGACCAGATGGATTCACAGCAAAATTCTACCAGAGATACAATGAGAAGATGGTACCATTCCTTCTGAAACTATTCCAATCTATAGAAAAAGAGGGAATCCTCCCTAACTCATTTTATGTGGCCAGGATCATCCTGATACCAAAGCCTGGCAGAGACACAACAAAAAAAGAGAATTTTAGACCAATATCCTTGATGAACATTGATGCAAAAATCCTCAATAAAATACTGACAAACCAAATCCAGCAACACATCAAAAAGCTTATCCACCATGATCAAGTGGGCTTCATCCCTGGGATGCAAGGCTGGTTCAACATACACAAATCAATAAACGTAATCCAGCATATAAACAGAACCAAAGACAAAAACCACATGATTATCTCAATAGATGCAGAAAACGCCTTTCACAAAATTCAATAACGCTTCATGCTAAAAACTCTCAATAAATTATGTATTGATGGGACGTATCTCAAAATAATAAGAGCTATCTATGACAAACCCACAGCCAATATCATACTGAATGGGCAAAAACTGGAAGCATTGAAACTTGTGCCTTTGAAAACTGGCACAAGACAGGGATGCCCTCTCTCACTACTCCTATTCAACATGGTGCTGGAAGTTCAGGCCAGGGCAATCAGGCAGGAGAAGGAAATAAAGGGTATTCAATTAGGAAAAGAGGAAGTCAAATTGTCCCTGTTTGCAGATGACATGATTGTATATTTAGAAAACCCCATTTTCTCAGCCCAAAATCTCCTTAAGCTGATAAGCAACTTCAGCAAAGTCTCAGGATACAAAATCAATGTACAAAAATCAAAAGCATTCTTATACACCAAAAACAGACAAACAGAGAGCCAAATCATGAGTGAACTCCCATTCACAATTGCTTCAAAGAGAATAAAATACCTAGGAATCCAACTTACAAGGGATGTGAAGGACCTCTTCAAGGAGAACTACAAACCACTGCTCAGTGAAATAAAAGAGGATACAAACAAATGGAAGAACATTCCATGCTCATGGGTAGGAAGAATCAATAACATGAAAATGGCCATACTGCCCAAGGTAATTTATAGTTTCAGTGCCATCCCCATCAAGCTACCAATGACTTTCTTCACAGAATTGGAAAAAACTACTTTAAAGTTCATATGGAACCAAAAAGAAGCCTGCATTGCCAAGTCAATCCTAAGCCAAAAGAACAAAGCTAGAGGCATCATGCTACCTGACTTCAAACTATACTACAAGGCTACAGTAACCAAAACAGCATGGTACTGGTACCAAAACAGAGATATAGACCAAAGGAACATAACAGAGTCCCAGAAATAATGCCGCATATCTACAACCATCTGATCTTTGAAAAACCTGAGAAAAACAAGCAATGGGGAAAGGATTCCCTATTTAATAAATGGTGCTGGAAAAACTGGCTAGCCATATGTAGAAAGCTGAAACTGGATCCCTTCCTTACACCTTATACAAAAATTAACTCAAGATGGATTAAAGACTTAAATGTTAGACCTAAAACCATAAAAACCCTAGAAGAAAACCTAGGCAATACCATTCAGGACATAGGCATGGGCAAGGACTTCATGTCTAAAACACCAAAAGCAATGGCAACAAAAGCCAAAATTGACAAATGGGATCTAATTAAACTAAAGAGCTTCTGCACAGCAAAAGAAACCACCATCAGAGTGAACAGGCAACCTACAGAATGGGAGGAAATTTTTGCAACCTACTCATCTGACAAAGGGCTAATATCCAGAATCTACAATGAACTCAAACAAATTTACAAGAAAAAAACAAACAACCCCATCAAAAAGTGGGCAAAGGATATGAACAGACACTTCTCAAAAGAAAACATTTATGCAGCCAAAAGACACATGAAAAAATGCTCATCATCACTGGCCATCAGAGAAATGCAAATCAAAACCACAATGAGATACCATCTCACACCAGTTAGAATGGTGATCATTAAAAAGTCAGGAAACAACAGGTGCTGGAGAGGATGTGGAGAAATAGGAACACTTTTCCACTGTTGGTGGGACTGTAAACTAGTTCAACCATTGTGGAAGTCAGTGTGGCGATTCCTCAGGGATCTAGAACTAGAAATACCATTTGACCCAGCCATCTCATTACTGGGTATATACCCAAAGGATTATAAATCATGCTGCTATAAAGACACATGCATATGTATGTTTATTGCGGCACTATTCACAATAGCAAAGACTTTGAACCAACCCAAATGTCCATCAATGATAGACTGGATGAAGAAAATGTGGCACATACACCCTGGAATACTATGCAGCCATAAAAAATGATGAGTTCATGTCCTTTGTAGGGACATGGATGAAGCTGGAAACCATCATTCTCAGCAAACTATTGCAAGGACTAAAAACCAAACACCTCGTGTTCTCACTCATAGGTGGGAATTGAACAATGAGAACACATGGACACAGGAAGGTGAACATCTCACACCGGGGACTGTTATGGAGTGGGGGGAGGGGGAAGGGATAGCATTAGGTGATATACCTAATGCTAAATGACAAGTTAATGAGTGCAGCACACCAACATGGCACATGTATACATATGTAACAAACCTGCACATTGTGCACATGTACCCTAAAACTTAAAAGTATAATTAAAAAAATATATATGGATAAGCACATTTCTTTACCATCTTACTATCCATATAATCAGTTGCCACTTTGGTTTAACTCTTTCCATGTAATATATGATGTATCAGAATGAGTTGAATCAATCCACTATGATTGGAGTTTTAGGTTGTTTCTGGTCTTTTATCAGTAAGTGATTCTAAAATAAACATCCTTATACATTTATTTTTTGTTTGGATATCTGATTAATACCTCAGGATAAATTCTCAAGATTGGGCTAAGTTATTTGATTAAAAAATTTATTAGTTTTTGATTTTGCAAAACAAATTACCACAGACTCAGCAGCTTAAAACAACACATGTTTGTGACCTCACAGTTTCTGTGGGTCAGGGACCTAGTCAGGGCTTGGCTGGGTTTTCCACTCTGTGTCTCACAAGGCTGCATTCAAGGTGTCAGCCAGGGCTGCAATCTCATCTGGGCACAGGGTCCTTCCCAAGCTCCCTGTGGCTGGCAGAATGCAGGTCCCTGTGGGTACAGAACTGTCAGCTCCTAGAGCTCAGTCACCATTCTCTGCCTTGTAGCCATCTCCACAATAGGAAAATGTGTGTCTCCAAGGCCAACAGGACAGCATCTGTTCCTGCTTGGTGTCACTTGCCTCCAGACTCTTTTTTAAAGAGCTCATTTGGTTAGACCAGCCCCACTGAGGATAATCTTCCTTTTGGTTAACTCAAAGTCAAATGATTAGGCACTTTCATTACATTTGCAAAATCTCTTAACCTTTGCCATATTCTGTAACACAAGCACAGGAGTGCTATCCCTTCATATCCACAGTCTCTCCCTCACTCAAGGGGAGTGGATTGCACATGTGTGTTTACTGAGTTGGGAGTTGGCGAGGGTTGGGACTGGGGGCCATCTTAGAAATCTCCCTCCCACAAAGAATTTGCAAATTTATTAAGATTTATGATTTAAATTGCCAGATTTTCTGAAGAACGTTTATACTCCACCGGTAAAGTGCTAATTTCCCCAACACTGGGTATTATCATTATGCTTAATCTTTGCCAAAGACAGGCAAATGTTGTTGGCTTGGAACCACTGGGCAAAGATTGTGACAGTGAGAGAACAAGTATTGAATTCTTTGATTAATAGTAAGATTATTATGGCCTTTGGCAAGTTTTGCTTTTCTTTTGCAAATGACCAGTCCATTTATGTGGTTGTTTTCCTCTAAGGGTAATTATCTGTTACTTGTTTTTTAATAACCTCATGTTGAATATTCAGAATATTAACTATTTATGGTTTCTATAGTATTTTCTTTCAGTGTCTTAAAAATTGGGTTACAGAGACTTATGCCATGTAAAAATTTTTAACTTTCATAATCAGATCTATTAACATTTATGGTTTCTTTTTTATGCTTTAACATATTTTTGCACTGTTTATTTCTAAAAAGAGAGAACCATATAAATCAAATAGGATTTCCAGTTTCCATCACAGAAGACAGGAACTATAGAGTGGGAAATCTTGTACAAAGATGTTTCTCATAATGCATTGCCCATCCATCTTCTGATTGTTATGTAAACCAATTCTTAACCTAAGGTATCCAGCCAGAGAGATGAATGTATCATTCCTCTAAATGACTTGGTCGTGGGAAATATACCACATCATTCTGTTAGCTTTCAGGACGCAGCGTGTCAACTTCAATTATTTTTTTCATTTCTTGTCTTGGACTGTCAGTTTACAGCTCTGAGTATTTGAAAACAGACAGAAGTATGAAGCCAACTTTTTCTAGAGTATTTAGTTTTAATCTTGAGTTTTATCCCCATCTCTGAGCACTATTTCCATGTTATATCTAATTTTTTTTCTTAATATGGGACCTAAAACATGTCTTATTTAAAAAAAATACATTGGATAATCAAGAAAGTATGCCTTTTAGGCAAGATCTCTTCTCCCTGCTGTATTAAAAAATAATGATGAAATATTTCTGTGACAGAAACAAAATCACTTTATATCTATTAAAAAGTTGGTTCAAATCTCTCCTTTTTTATAGATGAATGAATCATAATATAAGGATATAAGTTTCTTAAACCTTCCTTGAAGTCTCAGGCATTAAATGTCCTCATCTATAAAACGAAAAAGTGAAACAAGCTGATCTCTAAGGTCCAGTGAAATCTAACACTCTGATTCGTCTTGATGTTTGACTTGAGGTTTTCTGCTTATATTCTTTCTTTGCCCTTTTCAAATTCCCAGTCTAAAATCTTGCCTTCAAGGTTTTTCCTCTTTTCATTTTCAGATTCTGACTATGCATTCTTGTAAAACATTCCATTGTCACTTCCAAGTCAAATATTCAAAACCAAACTCTTGCTATCCCTCTCGAACTACTTGGTTTCCATATTTATTGGATTTGTACCACAGTCCTTGGTATGCAGGCATGAAAAAAGGAATAATTTTTCATCATCCTTCCCTCGCCCCATAGCTAATCAGTATCTAAGGACAGAATATTTCTCAACTGCAACATCTGTCTCCCTGCCTTTTTCCAATTCCTCCAAACACATTAGTTCTGAGCTGCAGTGTGTCCCTCCAGGACTCAATGTTGAAAATTCTTTATCTTCTTCAACTTTCCTGATACGGTAACTCCACAACACTGTAGCCAGGTTGACATTCCTATGGTTCCCTATTTTTTGTTAGATTAAGAACAATGGCAATGAAACCCCTCTACAATATGTCTCAGTCTGGCTTTTCACACTTCTTTTTGTCTTCCCCATGCTTATGCCCAGTGTCTTAGCCTCCCAAGATCCTTGCTATTAATATTTCCTCATTACACACTATATTTTGCCATTTCCTGCCTTTTAGGGTTGATTTTGAATTTCTATTTTCAGTGTTTAAAGTTTCTGTAAATGTTGGGATATTGACTTTAGCTAAAACAAACAAAAAATAACAAGTAATCACTTTAAATCTGTATCCTACTTCCAAGAAACAATATTTTCATTGGTGCCAAAATAATATATTCCATGTTAGCATAATATAGCAGAACTTAAAAAAAATTAAAAATCTATGTAGAAGACAATGAGGATAGAGTGTGTTAGAGCTGTACGGAATCTTGGGAGGCTCTATTCCAATCTCCAACTTCTAAGGATCAGGGAAGCCAGTAGCCTGACTATAAGCTATGAGCTAACTAGGAACAAATCTTGTACTAAAGATTTGAATGGTTTTCTATTGCTCAGGAAACTACCGAACTCTGCCCTTTAACAGGACCTGGTCAATCATTCACTCAACAAACAGGTTTTAAGTGCCTGCAATGTATCATGTACTGGGTCCTAAGAGGTGAAATATTTAAAATGGCCCCGCTTTCTAGGAATGCAGTCTTGGAGAAGGAATTACACATGGACAAATAAGTGCAATAAGAAGTGCCATGATAGAAATGGTGCATTGTAGACACAAAGGAGGAGGTACTCAGCTCTATCTGATGTAATGGGGGAAAGTAAAGGTTTTCATAGATAAAGTAACCCTATCGGCTTAATATAAAAAGATAAGTAATGTTCACAAGGGTGGACTAGCAAGGAACCATTATTACCGAAGGCACAGAAGCATGCGTCAGATAATAATATTGGGGGGAAATGCAAACAATTTAGAATTCTAGAAGTTAAGGTACAAGACGAGGTGATATGGTTTTTGGCTGTGTCCCCACCCAAATCTCATCTTTAATTGTAGCTCTCATAATTCCCTCATGTTGTGGGAGGGACCCAATGGGAGATAAATGAATCATGGGAGCAATTTCCCCCATACTGTTCTCATGGTAGTGAATAAGTCTCACAAGATCTGATGGTTTTATAAGTGGAAACCCCTTTCACTTGGCTCTCATTCTCTTCTCTTGTCTGCCGCCACGTGAGACATGTCACCATGATTGTGAGGCCTCCCCACTCATGTGGAAGTGGGAGTCCATTAAACCTCTTTCTTCTTACGTTGCCAAGTCTCAGGTATGTCTTTATCAGCAGTGTGAAAACAGACTAATACACAAGATATATCAAAATCAAATTTTTTAAAGCAAGGCAAGCCCCCAGTTGTGAAGGGACTTACATGTCTTACAAAGAAGTTTGGAACAATAACTATCATTATCATTATTATTAGTGAGTATGTGTCAGCTTCTCATTATAATTTATGGATCCTTCCTACTGATCACTTTCTATGATCACTATAATAAGTAATTTACTTTGACAGACAAGGAAACTGAGGATCAATGATTAACTCACCTAAAGCAACATGGCTATTAAATATTTCAGCCAAGATTCAAACTCAGGTCCACCTGATTTCAAAGCTAGACATGAATCACACTATAATCCTCACCTTGAGTCTGTAGACAATGTGGCACCATCAGGACATTTTAAATAAAGAAGAAATGTGAATAGACTTTTGTCCTGGAAAGGTCTGGCAACAATATAGAGTTGCACCATCCAGTACAGTAGCCACTAGCCACATTGAAAATTAAATAACTATTTAATAATTGAGAATTCAGTCCTTGAGGGCAGCAGCCACATTTAAAGTGTTCAGTACCTACGTGTCTGGTGGCAGCTGTGTTGGACAGTACATGTGAACAGTTCCATCCTCACAGAAAGTTCTATCAGGCAGTACAGGTAGACAGGAAAAGTAAAGAGTTTTGTGAGGTGGGGTGAGGAAAGTAAAGAGACTATTACCTAGGACAAGTAGGAAAGGATTAGAGACAAAATAAAGCACTAAGAGCAATGAGTTAAGCCTGTGTTTCCCAAAGTGTGACTGCCCACCCTTTTCCCCTCAACCAGCAGCATCAGCACGGTGTGGAAATTTGTTAGAAGTGCGCATCCATGCAGAATCTGAAACTCGGAGTTGGGGCCCGGCCATCTGTGTTGTACCAAGCCCTCCCAGGGATTCTGGTGTTCACTAACATGTGAAGGCCATGGATTTAGAGGAAGGAACAGAGCTGTAAAGCATGGTACAGAAATATAGACAATTTGGAGGCCAGATGCAAACATGGATGATATGGTTTGAATGTTTGTCCTCTCCAAATCTCATGCTGAAATGTGATGCCCAGTGTTGGAGGTGGGGCCTGGTGGGAGGTGATTGGATCATGGGGCAGATCCCTCATGAATGGTTAACACCATCCCCTTGGTGATGAGTAAGTTCTTGCTCAGTGAGTTCTGGGACCTTCCCCACCCCCTCTTGCTCCTGCTCTTGCAATGTGATGTGCCAGCTCTCCCTTTGCCTTCTGCCATGACTGGAAACTTCCTGAGGCCTCCCCAGAAGCAGATGCTGGCACCACACTTCCTGTACAGCCTGCAGAACTGTGAGACAATTAAACCTCTTTTCTTTATAAATTACCCAACTTTAGGTATTTCTTGATAGCAATGAGAGAACAGACACAAACACAGTGGTGCATACAGGAGAATAAATCTAGGATAACTCCTGGTGGGTTGATGAATAAAAGAGAGATGTTCAGAGGGAAATGATAATGAATTTGAGTTTGAATTCCTAAGGGACATTCGAGTATCATGATCCTGTTCAGTGTCAGCCTGGAAATCAGGAGAAAGTTCTGGGATAAAGATACAGTTTTAGGGTCACTGGGATTAGATGGTAGATTAGCTAGGAATGGAGGGGATAGGTAGCTCTCAATTTTTTTCCTGCATAAATGATAATCATCTGTGTGTCTGTAAAGGATGAAGGGTATATCTGGACTTAGATACAATTCTCCACATGCTAGTTCCTTTTCTCTCTGATTCAAGGAGTCATTTCAAAATGCAAATTCAGTCAGATAGATGTGAATATGTTCTATTTTTAAAAATAAGTGATGAACATGCATTGTTATGCTGACTATTATTAGTATGTATAACTTGTCAAACAAGATACCCAGAATCCTAAAGTGTACAGAGGGAAACGAGACCAGGTCTAAGGGCTGACCCCAGTTCAGTGAGTGTTGGAGTGTGGCTGCAGCAGAGGAACCAGCAACAAGGGGGAGAAAAATGGTCAGAGAGAGGGATGGGGTCCTGCAACTCCAGAGAGGAGCACTTCGTAGACAAGGTGATGCGCACTGTCATATTCCAGAGAGATTTGTAAGACGAAACCTCGGATTTCGCTATTCTGAGGTCACCACTGAACTTTATTCAAAGTCATTTCTATTATTAGGGATAAATTGGCTGATCACCTCAAGAAGATTGGAGTATTCTGAAGAATAATGGGGGGTGAGGAAACGGAGGCACCACAGGTAGATTTATGCTTTGCACTATTACTTGGTTACAGAAGCGTTGTCTTATGTTCTCGGCATCTTACAGAGATTTTAGTGAAACAGGTCTTCTAATTTTTATACTTTCCCTACCCAGGGCCTCAGCATAAGTATGGCATAAAGGGGCTAGCATACTATGAATACGATTACCCCACCCACTAATATTGATCCATTGGTCCTGGACAATGAGCTCACCTTAGTCCTCCATTCACCCAATTGGATTGATTCCCTTCTAGAATCCACTCTCTCCTCCAGTCTTCCTTGGCCTGCCTCATACACTTTAGTGACCTCTCCAAATCCTTAGAGTAAATATAGCTTCAGCTTTAAAGCTGGGACCTTCTCTGCAAAAAATACCTTCTGTATAGTTCCTTATAATTGACCTGGCCTAAATTAATCCTCACACCCATCCTGTGAAGGAAGTAGGAAAGTGTTATTGTTCTTGTTTAGTGGGTGAAAATTGAGGTTCTGTGATAGCCAATATCTTCTCCCCTCCTAAGTCACAAAGCAACAACCCTATCTTATTTATTTTACTAATTTATTCATTCCACATTTTTCCATGAAGGATTTCAGGTACAGGGCATCTGAAAAATAATAAGTAGAATGTCAAGATAACTTGATAAAGTAACATAGATATTCAGCTGCTAAATCTCCACATAATTGGTATAGCTGAGCTTTAAATTTTGTTCTAAGGTTTTTGGCAGCCAAACAGAAAGGCAGACACTGTCAATTATGCAGTTCCTATTTTCAAAAAGGAATAAGTGTGCCAGTTTCTCAGAGGCACCAAAGTACATCCTTGTCTTAGTTCTAAAAGAAACTTCAGAACCATGTCTTTGCATATGGACCATTTCTATAAACAAGTGTAGTGAAACACATCTTATATTGGCTATAATGGTTTACTTTGGTAAAATTTCACTTAAACCCAAAGTTACAACAGATTCTCTTTCCTTCCTTCCTTCCTTCTTTCCTCCCTTCTTTCCTTCTTTTCTTTTCTTTTTCTTCCTTCCTGTCTCTCTCCCCACCCCACCTTCCTCCCTCCTTCCCTCCCTCCCTCTCTCTGTCTTTCCTTCTTTCTTTCAATGAGATATTGTTCTGTCATCCAGGCTAGAGTGCAGTGGCACGATCATAGCTCATTGCAACCTCCAACACCTGGGCTCCAGTGATCTCCTGCCTCAGGCTCTCCAGTAGCTAGGACTATAGGAGCACATCACCACACCCAACTGATTTTATTTAATTTTATTTTTATAGAGACGTGGTCTCGCTATGTTACCCAGGCTGGTCTTGAACTCCTGGCTCAAGGGATCTTCCCACCTCTGTCTCTCAACACACTGGGATTACAGGCATCAGCCACCATTCCTAGCCTAAAACAGACTTATCAACAGAAGCACACTTACTAACTTACTGATCACTGATGGACAGTTACCACAAAGACATAAAACTTTACATATTGGGCTGAATTGAATTTTTATAGTTGTGACTAAATTCTTTGCACCAATTAGCACATATTCCTGGAGTATGCTCTCTCTATAGAGAGTTAAAAATCAGGTAGCCTTTCTAACTCTCTACATATTTGTATACACACTGTGCACACACATATACACACAAAGTCTACCATCTTAAAAGAAAAAAGTATAAATATTTTTCTAGAAAAATCTGTTTCTGAGTTTTCAGGAAATACTCATTGGCTTCAGTGAAATGTCATCTAGTATTTTAAGATACTCCTGGAACAAATAGATACTCAGATGATTAGAATATAGACAAAAATTGGGGGCATTTAAGTTATTATTGGAGCAGATGCTGAGTATCCATCTCCCCTGACTCTCAGGCACTGATGATCACTAACATTTTTAATTAATCACAAATCCCTATGGATGCTAATGAGGCTCTGCCAAAATGGTCCTTTCCCTCACACAGAGTGCTGGAGGAACCATGCACCCAATGCTTTATTCCCGTATCTCATTAGGTAATCTATATCTGGACACCCAGGCACCACATTATCAGAGTGTTCTTCTAAAACTGAATGTTTGTATGCAGAAAACCAGTCTGTTAAAATGCATTAATGAACACCTGCTGGCCTTAGAGTCCTGAGCAAGGAACTGTTCCAGAATATTAAAGAAACAAAGTCATTCGCTCTGTCTTCAAGGAGTTTAAATCCTGTTGGAGAGACAAAATATACTGACATGTTATACAACTAAAAACAATAACCTAAGAACTTATAAATACATGCAAAATAATACAATAAATAGTCAGTGATACTAAATAGTACACGGATACCAAGGCAGTAGGTAAGGGAAATGACTGCTGATAAAATGGAGAGTAAAGTGGTGACCTCTGCCCCCATCAGTTCATACAAAAGTAATGTGAAATGGCACCCAGATGCAGAGAGCAATGTTAGGTAGAATAATAGCCGCACTATATGTGATGGCCCAGGGTTGTGGGCAGGTGAGCCAAATTACACAACATACAGGGGAATTCCATGCCTGAAAATGTGGATTGTCTTATTTCAGACCAGCGATTCATAAATGTTTTTTGCTTATTTTGTTGTTGTTGTTGTTGTTGTTGTTGTTGTTAGGCTATTTGGGGTGATGGGGGAAGGTCTTGCTCTGTCATCCAGGCTGGAGAGCAATGGTGTGATCAGATCTCACTGCAGCCTCAATCTCCCAAGCTCAAGCAATCCTCCTACCTCAGCCTACTGAATAGCTGGGACTATAGGTGTGCACCACCATGCTCACTTATTTATTTATTTATTTATTTATTTATTTATTTATTTATTTGAGATGGAGTCTCACTCTGTTATCTAGGCTGGAGTGCAGTGGCATGATCTTGGCTCACTGCAACCTCCACCTCCCACGTTCAAACAGTTCTCTACCTCAGCCTCCCAAGTAGCTGGGATTATAGGCGCACACCACCACGCCCAGCTAATTTTTGTATTTTTAGTAGAGACAGGATTTCACTTTCTTGGCCAGGCTGATCTTGAACTCCTGACCTTGTGATCCACCCTCCTCAGCCTCCCAAAGTGCTGGGATTACAGGCATGAGCCACCACACCCAGCCTCACACTCACTATTTTTCTAATTTTCTGTAGACACAGGGTTTTGCCAATTGCTTGGGCTGGTCTTGAACTCCTTGGCTCAAGTGATCCATTCACTTCAGCCTTCCAAAGTGCTGGGATTACAGGTGTTAGCCACCGCACCTGGCTACCTCATAAATAATGAGCTCTTAGTTCACTTAGGGTACTTGAAAAACATGCTGATATCGGGATCACTCACAGACAGTCTAATTCTGTGGGTAGTAGGTAGAGCCTCAGAAAGTACATTTTCACAGTTCTCCCAAGGATAGAGTTAGTCTAAGGACCCCAACATGAGGCCCACTGCCTAATGCACTAACCCAAGACCCAGTCATGTGTGACATGAAGGAAAAGCCAGTATCAGAATTCACAGGGCGCCTGACTGTCTTTAGGAAGCAGTACCTGGGAAGGGATAGGAATTCTAGAATGCTCCCCCCAGAGGTCAAAATGCCACTCAGGCAGGAAACGGATATGGTTTTAATCAGTGAAATTGCATGTTAGAAATAAACACATCTGAGCCAAGATGGCCGAATAGGAACAGCTCCAATCTACAGCTCCCAGCGTGAGCGACACAGAAGATGGGTGATTTCTGCATTTCCATCTGAAGTACTGGGTTCATCTCACTAGGGAGTGCCAGACAGTGGGTGCAGCACACTGAGCAAGCTGAAGCAGGGCGAGGCATTGCCTCACTCAGGAAGTGCAAGGGGTCAGGGAGTTCCCTTTCCTAGTCAAAGAAAGGGGTGACAGACGGCACCTGGAAAATCAGGTCACTCCCACCCTAATACTGCGCTTTTCCAACAGGCTTAAAAAATGACACACCAGGAGATTATATCCCGCACCTGGCTCAGAGGGTCCTATGCCCATGGAGTCTGCTCAGATTGCTAGCACAGCAGTCTGAGATCAAACTGCAAGATGGTAGCGAGGCTGGGGGAGGGGCACCTGCCATTACCCAGGCTTGATTAGGTAAACAAAGCAGCCGGGAAGCTCGAACTGGGTGGAGCCCACCACAGCTCAAGGAGGCCTGCCTGCCTCTGTAGAGTCCACCTCTGGGGGCAGGGCACAGACAAACAAAAAGACAGCAGTAACCTCTGCAGACAAAAATGTCCCTGTCTGACAGCTTTGAAGAGAGTATTGGTTCTCCCAGCACGCAGCTTGAGATCTGAGAATGGGCAGACTTCCTCCTCAAGTGGGTCCCTGACCCCGAGCAGCCTAACTGGGAGGCACTGCCTGGTAGGGGCAGACTGACACCTCACACAGCCGGATACTCCTCTGAGACAAAACTTCCAGAGGAACGAGGCAGCAGCATTTGCAGTTCACCAAGATCCGCTGTCCTACAGCCACCACTGTTCTGCAGCCACCACTGCTGATACCCAGGCAAACAGGGTCTGGAGTGGACCTCTAGCAAACTCCAACAGACCTGCAGCTGAGGGTCCTGTCTGTTAGAAGGAAAACTAACAAACAGAAAGTACATCCACACCAAAAACCCTTCTGTACGTCAACATCAACAAAGACCAAAAGTAGATAAAACCACAAAGATGGGGAAAAAACAGAGCAGAAAAACTGGAAACTCTAAAAAGCAGAGCGCCTCTCTTCCTCCAAAGGAATGCAGCTCCTCACTAGCAATGGAACAAAGCTGGACGGAGAATGACTTTGACAAGATGAGAGAAGAAGGCTTCAGATGATCAAACTACTCCGAGCTACAGGAGGAAATTCAAACCAATGGCAAAGAAGTTAAAAACGGTGAAAAAAAATTAGATGAATGGATAACTAGGATAACCAACGCAGAGAGTCCTTAAAGGAGCTGATGGAGCTGAAAGCCAAGGCTCGAGAACTACGTGAAGAATGCAAAAGCCTCAGGAGCTGATGCGATCAACTGGGAGAAAGGGTATCAGTGACGGAAGATGAAATGAATGAAATGAAGTGAGAAGGGAAGTTTAGAGAAAAAAGAATACAAAGAAACAAACAAAGCCTCCAAGAAATAAGGGACTATGTGAAAAGACCAAATCTATGTCTGACTGGTTTACTTGAAAGTGATGGGGAGAATGCAACCAAGTTGGGAAACACCATGCAGGATATTATCCAGGAGAACTTCCCCAATCTAGCAAGGCAGGTCAACATTCAGATTCAGAAAATACAGAGAACGCCACAAAGATACTCCTCGAGAAGAGCAACTCCAAGACACATAATTGTCAGATTCACCAAAGTTGAAGGAAAAAATGTTAAGGGCAGCCAGAGAGAAAGGCCGGGTTACCCAAAAAGGGAAGCCCATCAGACTAACAGCGGATCTCTTGGCAGAAACTCTACAAACCAGAAGAGAGTGGGGGCCAATATTCAACATTCTTAAAAAAAGAATTTTCAACCCAGAATTTCATATCCAGCCAAACTAAGCTTCATAAGTGAAGGAGAAATAAAATACTTTACAGACAAGCAAATGCTGAGAGATTTTGTCACCACCAGGCCTGCCCTAAAAGAGCTCCTGAAGGAAGCACTAAACATGGAAAGGAACAACCGGTACCAGCCACTGCAAAAACATGCCAAAATGTAAAGACCATCAAGGCTAGGAAGAAACTGCATCAACTAATGAGCAAAATAACCAGCTAACATCATAATGACAGGACCAACTCCACACATAACAATATTAACTTTAAATGTAAATGGGCTAAATGCTCCAATTAAAAGACACAGACTGGCAAATTGGATAAAGAGTCAAGACCCATCAGTGTGCTGTATTCAGGAAAACCATCTCATGTGCAGAGACACACATAGGCTCAAAATAAAAGGATGGAGGAAGATCTACCAAGCAAATGGAAAACAAAAAAAGGCAGGGGTTGCAATCCTAGTCTCTGATAAAACAGACTTTAAACCAACAGAGATCAAAAGAGACAAAGAAGGCCATTACATAATGGTAAAGGGATCAATTCAACAAGAAGAGCTAACTATCCTAAATATATATGCACCCAATACAGGAGCACCCAGATTCATAAAGCAAGTCCTTAGTGACATACAAAGAGACTTAGACTCCCACACAATAATAATGGGAGACTTTAACACCCCACTGTCAACATTAGACAGATCAACTAAACAGAAAGTTAACAAGGATACCCAGGAATTGAACTCAGCTCTGCACCACGCGGACCTAATAGACATCTACAGAACTCTCCACCCCAAATCAACAGAATATACATTCTTTTCAGCACCACACCACACCTATTCCAAAAGTGATCACATGCTTGGAAGTAAAGCACTCCTCAGCAAATATAAAAGACAGAAATTATAACAAACTGTCTCTCAGACCACAGTGCAATCAAACTAGAACTCAGGATTAAGAAACTCACTCAAAACTGCTCAACTACATGGAAACTGAATAACCTGCTCCTGAATGACTTCTGGGTACATAACAAAATGAAGGCAGAAATAAAGATGTTCTTTGAAACCAACGAGAACAAAGACACAACATACCAGAATCTCTGGGACACAATCAAAGCAGTGTGTAGAGGGAAATTTATAGCACTAAATGCCCACAACAGAAAGCAGGAAAGATCCAAAATTGACACCCTAACATCAAAATTAAAAGAATTAGAAAAGCAAGAGCAAACACATTCAAAAGCTAGCAGAAGGCAAGAAATAACTAAAATCAGAGGAGAACTGAAGGAAATAGAGACACAAAAAACCCTTCAAAAAATTAATGAATCCAGGAGATTGTTTTTTGAAAAGATCAACAAAATCGATAGACCACTAGCAAGACTAATAAAGAAGAAAAGAGAGAAGAATCAAATAGGCGCAATAAAAATGATAAAGGGGATATCACCACCAATCCCACAGAAATACAAACTACCATCAGAGAATACTATAAACACCTCTACACAAATAAACTAGAAAATCTGGAAGAAATGGATAAATTCCTCAACAAACACACTCTCCCAAGACTAAACCAAGAAGAAGTTGACTCTCTGAATAGACCAATAACAGGCTCTGAAAATTGTGGCAATAATCAATAGCTTACCAAGCAAAGAAAAGTCCAGGACCAGACGGATTCACTGCCGAATTTTACCAGAGGTACAAGGAGGAGCTGTTACCAGTCCTTCTGAAACTATTCCAATCAATAGAAAAAGAGGGAATCCTCCCTAACTCATTTTATGAGGCCAGCATCATACTGATACCAAAGCCTGGCAGAGACACCAACAAAAAAGAGAATTTTAGACCAATATCCTTGATGAACATTGATGCAAAAATCCTCAATAAAATACTGGCAAACCGAATCCAGCAGCACATCAAAAAGCTTATCCACCACAATCAAGTGGGCTTCATCCCTGGGATGCAAGGCTGTTTCAACATACGCAAATCAATAAATGTAATCCAGCATATAAACAGAACCAAAGACAAAAACCACATGATTATCTCAATAGATGCAGAAAACGCCTTTGACAAAATTCAATAACGCTTCATGCTAAAAACTCTCAATTAATTAGGTATTGTTGGGACGTATCTCAAAATTATAAGAGCTATCTATGACAAACCCACAGCCAATATCATACTGAATGGGCAAAAATTGGAAGCATTCCCTTTGAAAACTGGCACAAGACAGGGATGCCCTCTCTCACTACTCCTATTCAACATGGTGCTGGAAGTTCTGGCCAGGGCAATCAGGCAGGAGAAGGAAATAAAGGGTATTCAATTAGGAAAAGAGGAAGTCAAATTGTCCCTGTTTGCAGATGACATGATTGTATATTTAGAAAACCCCATCGTCTCAGCCCAAAATCTCCTTAAGCTGATAAGCAACTTCAGCAAAGACTCAGGATACAAAATCAATGTACAAAAATCAAAAGCATTCTTATACACCAAAAACAGACAGAGAGCCAAATCATGAGTGAACTCCCATTCACAATTGCTTCAAAGAGAATAAAATACCTAGGAATCCAACTTACAAGGGATGTGAAGGACCTCTTCAAGGAGAACTACAAACCACTGCTCTATGAAATAAAAGAGGATACAAAGAAATGGAAGAACATTCCATGCTCATGGGTAGGAAGAATCCATATCATGAAAATGGACATACTGCACAAGGTAATTTATAGATTCAATGCCATCCCCATCAAGCTACCAATGACTTTCTTCACAGAATTGGAAAAAACTACTTTCAAGTTCATATGGAACCAAAAAAGAGCCCACATTGCCAAGTCAATCCTAAGCCAAAAGAACAAAGCCAGAGGCATCACACTACCTGACTTCAAACTATACTACAAGGCTACAGTAAACAAAACAGCATGGTACTGGTACAAAACAGATATAAGATCAACAAAACAGAACAGAGCCCTTAGAAATAATGCCACATATCTACAACCATCTGACTTTGACAAACCTGAGAAAAACAAGCAATGGGGAAAGGATTCCCTATTTAATAAATGGTGCTGGGAAAACTGGCTAGCCATATGTAGAAAGCTGAAACTGGATCCCTTCCTTACACCTTATACAAAAATGAATTCAAGATGGATTAAAGACTTACATGTTAGACCTAAAACCATAAAAACCCTAGAAGAAAACCTAGGCAATACCATTCAGGACATAGGCATGGGCAAGGACTTCATGTCTAAAACATCAAAAGCAATGGCAACAAAAGCCAAAATTGACAATGGGATCTAATTAAACTAAAGAGCTTCTGCACAGCAAAAGAAACTACCATCAGAGTGAACAGGCAACCTACAGAATGGGAGAAAATTTTTGCAACCTACTCATCTGACAAAGGGCTAATATCCAGAATCTACAATGAACTCAAATCAATTTACAAGAAAAAAACAAACAACCCCATCAAAAAGTGGGCAAAGGATATGAACACACACTTCTCAAAAGAAGACATTTATGCAGCCAAAAGACACATGAAAAAATGCTCATCATCACTGGCCATCAGAGAAATTCAAATCAAAACCACAATGAGATACCATCTCACACCAGTTAGAATGGAAATCATTAAAAAGTCAGGAAACAACAGGTCCTGTAAAGGATGTGGAGAAATAGGAACACTTTTCCACTGTTGGTGGGACTGTAATCTAGTTCAACCATTGTGGAAGTCAGTGTGGCGATTCCTCAGGGAACTAGAAGTAGAAATACCATTTGACCCAGCCATCCCATTACTGAGTATATACCCAAAGGATTATAAATCATGTTGCTATAAAGACACATGCACACGTATGTTTATTGCGGCACTATTCACAATAGCAAAGACTTGGAACCAACCCAAATGTCCAACAATGATAGACTGGATTAAGAAAATGTGGCACATATACACCATGGAATACTATGCAGCCATAAAAAATGATGAGTTCATGTCCTTTGTAGGGACATGGATGAAGCTGGAAACCATCATTCTCAGCAAACTATTGCAAGGACAAAAAACCAAACACCGTATGTTCTCACTCATAGGTGGGAATTAAACAATGAGAACACATGGACACAGGAAGGGGAACATCACACTCTGGGGACTGTTATGGGGTCGGGGCATGGGGGAGGGATAGCATTAGGAGATATACCTAATGCTAAATGACGAGTTAATGGGTGCAGCACACCAACATGGCACATGTATACATATGTAACAAACCTGCACATTGTGCACATGTACACTAAAACTTAAAGTATAATAATGATAAAATTAAAAATAAATAAATAAATAAACACAACTGCAAACCTGAATAGAAAAGTATTATTCGATGATTCATTTACTACCCAGTAGACTTTACTGGATGATTATATGTTGGATTTTGTAAAAAATAATTGAACTAAACTCTTTGAACTTAGAAAGGAGTCCAATATACACTCAAAGGGTTATAATAAAATGGAATTGTTTGCATGAAATTTGCTAACTGATAATTTTCATTGAATGTATTTTGGATTTCCAAAACAGAATTTTTATTTTTCATTATTTAGCAGGCCTCAATTAGATATGTTTATTTTCTTAGGTTAAAGACTATAATAATTTCTGAGAAACCTTATGCCATGCTATTATCAATTATATTTTTAAAGGCTTTTCAAATTTGAGATCTTCTTACCCTAGGCACTTTGCAAATGAATCATTGTTAGCCCTGTTCATAATAAACTGAGAAAATTACTCAAATTCTCTAAGTAAATGAATATGAGTGCAAATTGACTGTAGGCTCACTCATTCAGGTGGTGGTAGACATTCATCCTACATCCTCAGGGCTTAGTGTTCTGTATTGTTTGGGAAAAAAATGGGTGTATAATTAGGAACCCGGATTCCAGACATTAATCTGATCAATTTTTTCAGACCACATCTTTCACCCAGCATCATCACTTCTTATTATATTTCTATAATTTCAACTACAAACTTTTTCTAAACTAAGAAGATTTAGTATGAGCTTCCTTATAGTATAGCCCTAAGGTAGCTTTGCAACTGTTATTTAGGAAATGAAAATAAAATGTGGTCATCCAAGAATTTTAAAAATAAGCAAAAATGCAAAGCCAAAAAGGCACATGTTAATGTTAAGAGAGTGGTATGAAACATTAAATTTGGCTAGAAATAAGGTTTTCGTTGCAAGAAGTAATGAGAAATGGGGCTGGAAAACTGAATTGAGCCAAGATATGAAGGATTTAACAGCCAATTTGATCCCCTCACTCATGGGTGATCACGGATGCCAGGTGGAAACACTTGAAAACTAAACAACACCCTTCAAAAATAATACATAGGTAAAAAATGAAGTCTCAAGGGAAACTTTTTAAATACACTGTACTGAATAAAAACAAAAATACAACATATAAAAATGTATGGGACACAGGTATAGCAGTGCTGAGAGGGTAATACTAAATGCATCCATTAGAAAAGTGAAAAGCCTCTCCCTTAAACAAAAAAAAAAGTAGAAAGGGAACAGCAAAATTAATGCAAAACAGGAGGGAGGAAAATAATAAAGGTAAGAGAAGACAGCAATGTAAGTGAAAACAGAAAAATAGAGAAAATGAAATGAAATGAAATGAAAATGAAAAGCTGGTTCTTTGAAAAGATCAATAAAATTGACAAACCTCTCACGAGACTGACAAAGAAAAAGGAGAGAAGACAAAATATGCATATCAGGAATGAAATAAGAAACATCACTACAGACCATACAATATCCAGAGTGAAGCAAGAGAATACCAGGAATAACACTACTCTCATAAAGCACTTAGGTGAAACGAACCAATTCCTTAAAACACATAAGCTACCCCAACTCACCCAGCATGAAAGAGATGACTTGAATAGCCCCATATCTATGAAGAATATTGAATTAATAATTTTAAAACTCCTTAAAAGAACTCTCCAGGCCAAGAAAGCTTTACTGGAAAATTCTACCAAATGTTTAAATAATTAATAGTAATCTACACAATCATCCAGAGCATAGAAAAGGAAGAAACATTTTCCAATTATTTTTATGAAACTCATATTACCCTGACTCTACATGTAAAACAATGCAAAAAGAAAACTCCAGATTAATATCTCTCATGAACATAGATGCAAAAACCATTGACAAAATATTTGCAAACTAGAATTCCACAACATTTAAAAGAGAATGATACACCATAACCAAGCAGGGTTTGTACTAAGGATACAGTCTGATTCAATATTTGAAAATCAATCAATGTAATCCACCTGATTAACATGCCAAAGAAGAAAAATTACATGACATGATGTTTAATTTTATGTGTCCACTTGACTGGACCACAGGGTGTGCAGTTATTTGGTTAAATATTGTTCTGTGTGTGTCTGTAAGGGTGCTTTTGGGTGAGATTGACATTTGAATCATTAGATTGAGTAAAGAAGGCTGTCCTCCCCAGTGTGGGTGGGCCTCCTTCAACCCACTGAAGGCCTGAATAGAAAAGAAAGATTAAGTAAGAAAGAATTCTTTCTCTTTGCCTGTCTTGTCACTGGGCCATTGATCTTCTCCTGTCTTCAGACTTGGACTTGGACTGGAACCTACATCACTGGCGCTTCTATTTCTCTGGCTTTCAGTCCCAGACTGGGACTATACCATCAGCTCTCCTGGATCTGACTTCTCAGCCTCCATGATTGTATGAGCTGATTCCTTATCATTTCTGTTTCTCTGGAGAATCCTCTCTAACACATATGATCATATCAACTGAGGCAGAAAAAGCACTTGACAAAATTCAACATCCATTCATGATAAAAATTCTCAGAAATCTAGGAAGAGAGGAGAACATCCTCAACTTGATAAATCTACAAAAACCTACAGTTTACAATGTACTTTATGATTGAAGACTATATGCTTTTTCTGTAAGGTCAGGAGCAAAGCAAGATGTCCTCTGTGGCCACTGTTATTCAACATACTACTGGAAGTTCTAGACACTGCAATAAGGCAAGAAAAGGAAATAAAAAGCATATACTTTGAAATGGAGGAAATAAAACTATCCCTGTTTGCAGACAGCATGCTTATCTGAACAAAAAATCCCAAGGAATATACAAAAACAAACAAAAAACTAGAACTAAAAAGTTCAGCAAGCTCATAGAATATAAGATAAACATAGAAAACTGAATTATATTTCTACTTGTTATCAATAAACATATGGACTCTGAAATGTAAAATATAATACTATTTACAGTCACTCAGAAACAAAGGAAATACTTAGGTCTAAGCATTTTGTATTTTTAGTAGAGATGGGGTTTCACCATGTTGGCCAGGCTGGTCTCAAACTCCTTACCTCCTGCCCCCCTCAGCCTCCAAAAGTGATCCGTCTGCCTTGGCCTCCGAAAGTGCTGGGATTACAGGCGTGAACCACCGTACCCGGCCTAAGTGTTTCTTTTTCTACTGGTTATAGAGCTGGCTACTGTACTCCTTCTGGTTTCTCTCCATTGGGGTGGTCAGTTGCCCACTGGGGCACAGGAAAGGGGTTGGCTTCTGTTGAGGGCCCCAGGAGCTAAGTATAAGGATGTTCTGGGATTGGAAAAACCAGTGCTGATCATAATCTCAAAAGACTCAATCTGAATGCCATAAGCCCAAAAACATAATTCTGGAAAATGTAATTTTAATTTTGTTCTTAAAAAGCATTTATTTACATTCTTAAAAGGGAATTTAAGAAACATAAAACATGAAAGAATACTACTTCATAGGCCACTTTATACAGTAAAATAGATACATATAAATAATCACATATAAATTTTTGCAAGCATAAACACCCAGGAATTCTAATGACAGTCACACAGGTATAAGAGCTATGAAGAGATGAACCATAAAAAAATCTGTCAGAAAGTGAGGTATAAGTGCGCATCACTTTGGTGCATAATTGTGTGCACCCAGCTTTATAGCTACAGTCGTCTGAAATATTAATATCATGACAGAAAACCTAAGTCTTTTGACCAGATCTATCAAAAACCTCAGTGAGTCACCCCTGCATATGCAGTCACCCAAAGAGCTGAGCTGTCAAGAAATAGTATCTTTTACAACCACAGATGCACAAAAAGAAGATCTCTACATTTATTGAGGAAGTTTTAATGTTCTTATATACAAAGTCAACAATTGTGATAATGTACTTTCCTGAAGTCAAATTTGCAAAAATTGCATGAAACAAATTAGAACTCTCTAAAAGTCTCTGCACAATTATACCTCCAGCATCAGAAATAACACAAAGATGATATATATGGCATAGCCAGTTGGCATTATGTGTGAAGGGGCAGAAGTCATACACAATTGAATAGTTTGGCAGGAGAGATTTCTTGTATTTTTTGCCTGTGTTTTCACTTGATCTTTGAAACACTCACTGCACTTGTATTTGGATAGTGGTTGGGGCCTACAAATTTTGTAGGTATATGCTACCCATTTGAAAGTCTGGTCGCTGCTCAGCAATTAAGCAATTTTCCACCTTCACAGCACCAATAATAATTAGCTTTTAAACTTTTATCTTTCACCATTAAGTACCTTCATACACTTAACTTATCACAGTCTTTTTGTGAGGGAGCAATTTCACAGATCTCTTTTATTGTGTTGTAAGGAATACGGTAAGAAGGAATGAAATTCAGTTTCCCCAATACCAAATTTGTACTAGTCAGGGTTCTCCAGAGAACTAGAACCAATAGAATATGTATATAGAGATATGAGAGGGGATTTATTAGGGAAATTGGCTCACACAATTCTGATGACTAAGAAGTCCCATGACAGACTGTCTGCAAGCTGGAGACCATGGGATGGCTGCAGGATGGCTGAATCCAACTCAGATGGCCTCAGAGCCAGGAAATCCAATGATGTCACTCTCAGTCCAAGGCCAAAAGCCTCTGGACCTGGGGGACAGGTGGTGTAAGTCTTAGAGTCTGAAGGCCAGTGAGCCTGGAGTTCTGATGTTCAAGACAGCAGGAGAAAAGTCTGCCCCAACTCTCAGAGAAAGACCAATTCACATTCTTTATTTGTTCTCTATGAGCCCACAGTCAGTTGGCTGGTGCCCACCAAAATTCAGGGCAGGTCTTTCTCCACATAGTCCACTCAGACTCACACACTAATTGCCTCTGGAAACACCCTCACAGACACACCCAAAATAATGCATTTACTGGGTTTCTAGACATGCTTTCTTTTTTTTTTTTTCTTGAGACAGAGTCTTACTCTGTCACCCAGGCTTGGAGCACAGCGGAACAATCCTGGCTCACTACAACCTCTGCCTCCCAGGGTCAAGCGATTCTCATGCCTCAGCTTCCCGAGTAAGTGGGATTACAGGTATGCATCACCATGCCCAGATAACTTTTTTGTATTTTTAGTAGAGATGGGGTTTCACCATGTTGGCCAGGCTGGTCTTGAACTCCTGGCCTCATGTGATCCACCTGCCTCAGCCTCCCAAAGTGCTGGGATTGATTACAGGCGTAAGCCACTACCTAGTTACTCCTTAATCCAGTCAAAATGACACCTAAAATTAAATTCACGAGTCCTCCCATTGTCAGCCTGGCACCCCTACACATTGTCTTAAAACATACTTCACTTCCAAGTAAAGCCAATAGCAGATAATAGTTCCGCTTAACATGATGCCACCATCCCAAATACAACCAAAAATGCACTAATCCCTTCCACAGAACTCTGCTTTCAGGATTTCCAACTCTGGAATTTTAATCATTCAGGATTGTACATGGGGAATTTTAGACATTAAGAATTTTAGACATTAGTGCTTTTGATCATTCTGTATTTCAACATACGGGATTATGGCCTTTGGGACTGTCTTTCAGGATTATGATCAGCAGCAGATTGTAACATGTAAAAAGTCACGGACAATGAGTTACTCCTACACACCTATTAGAATGGCAGAAATCCAAAATACTGACACCACCAAATACTGATGAGGATGCGGGGCAACAGGAACTCTTATTCACTGCTAAGGGATGTAAAATGATGCAGCCACTTTGGAAAAACTAAACATGCTCTTATCATATGATCCAGGAATCACATTCCTAGATATTTACTCAAGTTAGTTAAAAATGTAAACTCCTACAAAAATGTGCACACAAATGTTTACAACAACTTTATTCATAATTGCCAAACCTGGAAGCAACTAGGATGTCCTTTGATAGATAAATAGATAAACTGTGGTACATCCAGACAATAGAATATTATTCAGCACTAAAAAGAAATGAGCTATCAAGCCACAGAAAGACTTGGAGGAATTTTAAACGTATTGTACTAAGTGACAGAAGCCAATCTGAAAAGACTTCATATTGCGGAATTTCAACTATATGATATTCTGGAAAAGAATGGAGAGAATAAAAAGACCAATGGTGGCCGGGCGCGGTGGCTCACGCCTGTAATCCCAGCACTTTGGGAGGCCGAGGCGGGCGGATCACGAGGTCAGGAGATCGAGACCATCCCGGCTAAAACGGTGAAACCCCGTCTCTACTAAAAATACAAAAAATTAGCCGGGGTAGTGGCGGGCGCCTGTAGTCCCAGCTACTTGGGAGGCTGAGGCAGGAGAATGGCGTGAACCCGGGAGGCGGAGCTTGCAGTGAGCCGAGATCCCGCCACTGCACTCCAGCCTGGGCGACAGAGCGAGACTCCGTTTCAAAAAAAAAAAAAAAAAAAAAAAAAAGACCAATGGTTGCTGGAGGTTAGGGGGCTGACAAGGATGAATAGATGGGACACAAAAGATTCTCAGAGCAGTAAAACCACTCTGTATGATACTACAATGGTGGATACATGGCATTATACATTTGTCCAAACCCATAGGATTTACAACACGAAGAGTAAACCCTAATGTAAACAGTAGGCTTTCGTTAAAAATAATGTATTCATATTGGCTCATCAATGTACTGCATCGGTAACAAATGCATCACAATAATTAATGCAAGATGTTAATAATAAGGGAAACTGGCAGAATAAGGCTATGGAAACTCCCTGTACTTTCTACTCAATTTTCTTATAAACCTAATACCGCTCTAAAAAATAGTCTATTAATTTTTTAAAGATGTAACTTAATAGTAACCATGTTACCCTTTCAAAAACTGTTTGTCAATTTTGCTACAAAAGAGAATTTCAAGTATTTATCTGTTAAGAACAATAGTTACAACAAAAACATGGAGATATTTTTGCAAATTAAAAACCCGTGGAGAGATAAGTTTGGAAACAAACCTAGGACTTAAAAGATGAAGTCCTGGCTCCTCATGTTGTGTTACTTTAGGTAAGTCAGTTACCCTCTTAGACCTCAGTCTAACACTTTTGTTATTTAAAAAAAAAGGATTATTATGATGCATCAAATATTTTATACTAGATCTATTCACTTAATATATTTATGTTTAAGTATCTCGTAAGTAAAATGAATTATTTAAACATTTTCAAATTCTACATAATTCCTAGATATATGTCACCCATGAATATAAACATATATTTTAAATTATATGAACTAGGTAAGTCATCAACATGAAAATCAAGTCAAAATCAATTACACATTAAATTGGTTACAGTATGTATCTTTAACTTACCACCACCATCTATCTTCAAATCACTTTATGCCACTTGATGTATAAAAACTTTATAATAGTATACTTCTGCTTTCCCCTCCCAGCCTTTGTGCTATTGCCATCATACATTTACATGTGTTATAAACCCCCATGGTACATTATAATTGTTTTTGCCTAAATAGTTATGTTTTACATAAATTGAAAGTTTGGAGATCCATTTTATATTTACCTAATCTTTACCATTTCTGACACTCTTTATTACTTTGCATACATCCAAGTTTGCTTCTAATATGCTTTCCCTACAACATAAACTGTCTATAATATTTCTTATGAGATCATTTATAGTGCCAATCTATGGTGACCTAGGTAAAGAATATGCGGTACCTATACCCATGGAATACTATGCAGCCATAAAAAAGAATAAAATGATGTAAAATGATGTTCTTTGCAGCGACATGGATGCAGCTGAAGGTCATTATCCTAAGTGAATTACCACAGGAACAAAAAAACAAATACCAAATGTTCTTACTTAAAAGTAGGAGTTAAACAATGGGTGCTCATGGACATAATACTACTAGGGGAGAGAGGGAAGGAGAGGGGCAAGGGTTGAAAAACTCACCATTGGGTACTATGCTTAGTACATGATGACAGGATCAATTGTACCCCGAAATTCAGCATCACGCAATATACCCAGGTAACAAACCTGCAGATGTACCCTCTAAATCTAAAAGTTGTAACTATTAAAACCAGAAAACCTCACTTCTCACCCCCAAAAAATATAAAATTAAAAATAAAAGACGCTGTTTCATTGTCTCCTGGCTTGCATTGTTTATAATGTCAGCAGTCATCTTTGTTCCTGTGTACGTGACATGTTTTTTTTAATTACTTTTTTACTCTGACTACTTTTAAGATTTTTTTCTCTATCACATCTTTCTAGCAATTTAATACAAAGTACTTTGGAGTATGTATAGTGTGTGTGTGTGCGCACGCGCATGCTTGTGGTTTGTTTTTTCTGCTTGTGGTTTGTTGAGAACCTTGGTTTACAGTTTCCTCAAATTTAGAAATGTTTCAGCCATTATTTCTTCCAATATTTTTTCTGCCCCCCCCCCACCTTTATGACATTCCAGTTACACAAGTGATAGACAGTTTGCTATTGTTTCATAGCTTACTGAGGCTCAGATGGGTTTTTCCAGCCTTTTTCTCTCTGTGCTTCAGTCTAGATGGTTTCTATTCCTATGTATTCAAGCTCACTGACTTTATCTTATGAGGTCTAATATTCTGTTCTTCCAATCCAGTGTATTTTTTATTTCTGATATAACATTTTTCACCTTTAAAGTTTCATTTGGCTCTATTTTATATCTTTTCTTTCCTCATGATGTCCATGTTTTCTTCTACATTCATGAGCACATTTATAATAGCAGTTTTTAAATTAACACTTGCTAATTCCATCATCTTTATTATTTCAGGTTATGTTTCTATCGGCTGATTTTTCTCTGGGTTATTGGTCACATTTTTCTGTAGCTTTACATTGTCCATGATTTTTTATTGGATGTGGCATATTTGGAATTTGAATTTTGTTGTCTTCTTTGAAAGAGTGTTGAATTTTGTCCTGGCAGGCAATTAACTTACCTGTGGATGAGCTTGATGTTTTGGGGGCCTCTTAAAACACTGGTAGGGCACATCTGGAGTATCTTTTATTCTAAGGCTAGTTTAGCTCTACTTTTTAAGACATAGCCTTCTGGGGTCTTTTCTGAATGCTCCAGGTGTTCAATGGGCTCTTTTATGTCTTTGGGGGTTTGTTTGTTTGTTTGTTTGTTTGTTTGTTTTTTATTGCTGGGGAGAGGAGGGGGAACAGAGTCTCGCTGTGTTGCCCAGGCTGGCCTGAGACTCCTAGGTTCAAGTGATCCTCCCACCTCAGCCTCTTGAGTAGCTAGGATTACGGGCACACACCACAGCCCTGGCTTCTTTTATTTTGGATGGTCAAAACGTACAGTATCACAACCGTATGTAAGCTCTGAGAATTGTTCCGTTTACAACTCCCCAGGAGTCTATTTTTGCCTAGTTTATGCATACATGGCAGAGCATTCAACAAAAAACTCAAGAGGATGCCGATGCAGGTTTCTGGAACTTTCTCTTTGCACCACTCCCTGCTCTCCGGTATTCTTCCCCACAAAGTTCAGCCATCTCAGCTCTCCTGAACACTGACATCTGCCTTTTTCAGAGTAATGCTCTACTTGAATTCCCCTTCCCTGTGCCACAGTTTAGAAGGTGTCTCCAGGCAAAGAGCCAGGGCAATTGCTGGTCTCACCTAATTTATTTTCTTTCTATTTAAGATACAGGCCTGTTCTGTTGTTCAGTATCTGAAATTGTTGTCTGTTATATTTTTTCCAGTTGTCTAGTTGTTTATGGAAAGGAAAAAAATTCAGAACCGGATAATTTGTCCATGCTTTATATATTTAGTAGGAGTTTCAAGAATGTCTTTATAATGGGCCAGATTGTCTCAAAAATTACAAGTATATTAAACACTAAATATGTATATGTTTCTTCTTAACCCCAAAATACTAAGCCATGATTTTATTTCTCTTAAACATTTCTATATTTAATTCTGAATTTTACTGGGTTTAAAAGATTCTCACCCATTAAGGAAAACAGTCACCATCCCCATTAACTGAACCACAACACTGATTGTACTGATTGTGTTCTAGGCAGTCCTGAGGGGACTCACTGAGTACTCTTTGTGATTGCCATGTCCATGATGCCATCGCTTAGAAGAAGTGCCACTTGGCCCACATTCCTGAATGCAAGATAAACACATTAATTCTTCTGTCTACTCACAGCAGTGCTCAACTCCAACTCCAGTTGATCGTTTGATCAGATTCTTCATTTGTTTGGTTCCTAAGATATAGACATGTCTTTCTTTCTGTCTTAAAAGGCCTTTAAATTCCATGGAATCCTGCATTTTTTTCAGTCTCGTGATTTACAGATGATGTATTGCTATTCAGTTGAATTTTAGATCTCTCTCCTGGCATTATCAAACTTGCAGCCATAACATCTGAGGTCACTCTCTCAGCACCAGGGGCCTTGTGAATCTGTGAGCACTGTGCCAGCACAGCCTTACAAAGCTGTGGCTCAGACAGGGCAGATGTGATCCTCAGTAGCAGGGCAATTGTAACTATGCCAACAATGACTCTTTGGGTCTGGGGGAAAGTTTCTGTCTATCCACAGTGGACTCTAGAGGATAGTGTGGGCCAAGTGGATATAGTATTGGTTCATTCAGAAAAATACAAACTTCTCTAGGTATCTCAAGCTAGAAAGTGATTTAAATTAAGGAATTAAGAGACAAAATGTGGGAGCTAAAGGAGCAAAAATTGGGAAAGTTGGTGGTTTCCAAAGATGAGAAACATCAGAAAATCATAGCATCCTACCAGGAGTAATGCCCATCTAATTCCTCATTTCTCTTCCCTGATACAGCATGTGAGCTCCAGAAAGCCTGGGTTTTGCTAGCTATTTCCTCTGCAGGCATCTATGCTCACCTCCAGAGGTACTAGAACTGCTGGCACTATTGCAATAGTCTGTAGTCACCTGCCTCTGCCATAAGCAGGGTAGTTTCTATCTTCTTCCCACATTTAATTTGTTATGAGTGCCTCCCATTGCCAACAAGGAATCCCAACTGAGCACAAAATCTGGCAAATGCAGTTTGCAGGTTTCCAGCCACAGTGGCTTAGGGAAGAGTATAAAAGAGCAAGTATGGGTCTGTAGCTATAGCTACATTAAAGCTATGGCTTTAATGACTCTATTTTTGAAAAGCCTGACACATAGGAAACTCTCAAAAAATAACTGTGGTTTCTGTTATTTTTATTTAATAAGCAGTGGCATGAAAAGTCAACCTATATCTGGGCTAACCATACAGGAACAGACTGTAAAGATGACTGTGCCCTTTACCCAATAGTGCTACCCATCCACACAGTTCTCCTTTTTCCATTTCAGGAATGGATAAAACAATGATTGTATTGATTTCCTGCTCACTGTGGTATTAATTGCTTGTGGTCCCCAAACACAATGTAAGTTAGTAATCTTCGTATCCATCCATTTGTTATAGGATTTTTGGGGTGTCACTTCACCAGCTGGAAATCTCTGTGGCTAGTGGTGCCTTTGCCCGAGTTTTGCTCTGTCCCACTGGGCTCATTCTGCCCATTTGGCCTGTCAGGCTGCGTTTGGCTCATGCTACTGGCCTAGATCCCACGCCTGCCAAGGGCAAGCCAGGCACAGAGCAGCGAGGGGTGTATGAGTGGAGTGTGGGGTCCAGGCATGCTAGCTGCTGCTGCAGGGTGGGCAGCTCCAGGTGCCAACACAGGCACTGGCTCCCTGTGAGGGCACAGCTGGACCAGGCACACCACAAGCAGCACCCACAGCTGGCACTAGGGAACATAGTGGTGCCCACAAGCTTGGAGATGCCAGGAACCACAGGGCTCCAAAGAGGGAGTCACAGCCCTGGCTTGGGGAGTTCCCAGGTTTGGGCTCCCCAAAGAGCCACAGCTCTCCTCTTCTTTTCTTCACCCACAACATGGCAAGCAAGAGGCATGTTTCAGCCCTGTTTGTGTTACAGCTCTTTTAGCCCCGCCATTCAATGGGTCCCAAGTTCTTGTCCTGCATCCAGGAAGAATGAGGTATGCAGAGAAGTGGAGGGCGAGCAAGACGAAGAGGAGTTTTATTAAGTGATAGAACAGCTCAGAGGAGACCCAAAGTGGGTAGCTCCTCTCTGCAGCCAGGGTGTCCAACGAGTGTTCAGCTCTCAGCAGAGAGGGTAACTCCTCTCTGTGAGCAGGTCATCCTATCATCGTTTCAGTTCTCAGCAGAGAGTGCCGCTCCTCTCTATAGCTGGTTGTCTGTCCTTTCTCCATCCTCTCTTTGAGTCTGGCTGAGTCTGGGGTTTTTATGGACCTCAGACGGGAGGAAGTGCATGCTGATTGGTCCATGCACAGCCATGGGTGGCCATGGGCAGGCCCAGGGAAAAGCACTACAAGTTCCCCCTCTGGTCTGCAGGACTGACTGCCCTGCCCCCAGGCTTCATGACCTCCCCAGCTGGAAGGTGGGGCATCACCAGGCACATGCCCACTTCCACCCAGGAACCTGTCTGTCTCCTGCCACTGTTCATGGCTCCCAGGCTGTTCATGCTGAGGGGTGCTGGCAGGCCAGCACCAGGCTGTCCTCAATACCTGCTTGGCCTCCCTCCCACGCTTGTCAGTGCCCAAAGTCCAGAGCGGGCTGAGGTAGCAGGGAGCTGGCATGTCAGTGCTGCCTCGAGCATGTGCACACCCAGCCAGGCTTACCAGTGCCTAGACTTGGCCCAGACTTGTCCCCTACTTTGCTCTGAGATTGGAGTGGGCACTGACCACAGGGAGAAGCCAGGCAGTGAGAGCAGGTGCTTCTGAGCCTGCTGCAGGTAGCGAGGGCCTTCCTGGACCCCCAAGAGCACAGAGATGCCTGGGTCTGGAGCTGCAGCAGAGTGGCTACAGCTGCACCCAAGGAGCTCCCGCCCCACCCACTCAGAAGGAGCAGGGCTTCCACTTGTCCCAGCTCCTGCTGGCTCCATGGAGCATGAACCCCCAGCTGTGCTTCCTCACAGCCTGTGGCAGGTGTTCCAGGTTCTTGCTGTGCCCCTCTCTACCCATTCCTCCGTGCCCTACCACATTGGCACGCAGCTCAGCCCAGCCCCATCACAGTGGCTTCCAGGGTCGTGGGCTCCAGGGGGCCTCCCAGGGGTGGATTTGAGGATTGTCTCCTTCCCCCCCAGGCCCTCCCCACAGTGGCGGTGGATGATAGTAGTGACGTAGGGCCAGGGTCTGGAGGAGCAGAGGCTCTGGGCAAGGGAGTGGGTCCCACCCAGCTGCGAGAGGTTGGATTGGGGGCAGCTCAGTCGACTGCCTTAGGGATGCAAAGCACAGGAGACCCACCACTGCCACTACTGCTCCCGCAGCTGCTTCTGCTGCCACTGCTACTGCCTCTTCGCTGCAGCTGGTGGCCACTCCAGATGGCCTGCAGCTGCCATCACATTCACAGTGAAAGAAGTTTTTTACCAAATGTATATATTCACACACCTCAAAAGCACCATATGAGAAATATTTTAGAAAAATTGCCTCAAGCATAACATCAAGGTCAAATTAACTTGAGACTATGAAGTCAGCAATGTTTGCTTAGAAATTAATTCAGTCATTCAGTCAAAGCTCACCTGCTGGCTGTTGCCAAGAGGGCTTTGACGATATGGTCTGTAAGGAAGTGGGACACCGTAGGCATTTGATATATGTTAAGTAATAGTAATGAGGGCAATAAGTACTCGCATACTGAGTGGAGGGAGCTGTTCGGGTTAAGAAGAATGCTTCTAAGCTCTAATGCTTAATGGATAAAGATTAGGACTCTGGAAACCTTTCTATAGTCAACAGAATCATTGTCTCTTATTCACCCTGGCTGCCAATTCCTGGACCAGGGTCTGATAATGCAAATATCTCTTTAAATAGCAGTCTAAAAGAAAACTCATATTGTGTTTCTTTAAAACAAAAAAAAAATTACCATTTGAGCCAACCAGATACCTGGGCTTAAATTCTGATTCTGTCCCTTACAAAAGGAGAGATCTTAAGACAGCCAACCTCTCAGAGCTTCAGTTTACTCATCTAAAAATTAGGGCATTGATAATACATTTTTAAGATTGCACAGTGCTTCTCACATAAGTAATGGGTATTCTTATAAAACCAATCTGCAATTACAGGCAACTTTGGACAAATTTCTTCTTTAAGAAACTACAGTGAAAACCTAGATTCCCTCCCAACTCCCCTGCAAAAACTATGTAGGCTTTTGAATGTGATTTTATATTTGAATCTCTATATGTTATATATCCTACAAGTGCACCTCAGACAAAACACTGCATATCTAATTCTGGTTGAGGTGAGCAATTCATTTTCCTAGTTCAACATTTCTCAAATATTTGACATATTTTCATAAATTATAATCCCATCATTAGAAAGTACCATTTAACAGATCAGAATTTATTCAATATATCTGAATAGTTCTAGGGGAAAATAACTGTGTCAAATATCCATACCAGCCTACCCAATCTGTCCCTTCAGTAGTGATCTCCACCAGAAAAATGAAGCCTGTAAGATCCTGCCCAGGAGCTCCCTAATCCTACACCTCAATGTCCGGTAAATACATCCATCCTGTGTGCATTCAGGAGAGATTCATGCTGCAATACACTTTCGTCCATGAAAATGTCTCTTCTCTTCACTGATCTATGAGAAATATTTTTGAGCTGTAAAAGCAAACTCCTGAACCGTATTTCCCAGATGTCTATTTAACAAACTGCCATTTCCCTATTACGCTAAGCACTTAAACTCAACACTAAAAGTCAAATAAGAGATTGAATATAAATGTATATGTGCTGATCAAAATACAATAATGAAAAAGGCTCTGATAAGGACTCTACAAAATTTGTGGGAGGATTTGTTTGTGTGTGTTTTTAATATGTTTTTAAATGGGCCATCATAACAGGCAGCTTATTGATTATATTTTTTTGACGTTTATAAAGTTGGGAAAATAATAACCAATAATTATTGAATGTTTATTATATGTGTCTGTTCTAACCTTTTGCTTTATTAACTTATTTACCCTCAAAACAATCCAGTGAAATAAGTCCCATTGTTATCTTTATTGTCTTCCCAAGAAGACCCCACTTCAGAAAATGTGAACTTCATTCTTCTAGTTGTTCAGGCAAGACCTTTGGCATCATCCTTGAGTCTTCTTGTTCACACCCCACATTCAATCCAAATTCAAGTAAACAAATGCAAGTGTCAAAGACAAATGTGCAATGTATATTTCTCCTATTTCGAGCCTGCTGGATTATTCCAATGACCTTACTGACCTCCTTGCACTAGCCCTTGTCCCTGCAGTCTAGTGACCACACAACAGCCTGGGATTCTTGTGAGATCCAAGCCGGATCCTGTCACCTCTCTTCTCAAGAGCCCCTAATACCTTCCCACCTCACACCGAGTGAACCCCAAAGTCCTCATGCTCTCCTGCAAGACCCTACACCAGTGGCCCGGGATCTCCCAGACTCAGATCCCCATCCCCGCTGCTGTTCCACACTCAGCCCTCTGGTCACACCCACTCCAGGCTGGCCCCGAGGATTAGGGAGGGAGCCAGAACAGGGGTGCAGGGCCTGGCTTTGCAGGGCTCCGCTTGGGGTTTAAGACTACTCTTTGTTGCTGTCTTGATATTCTTAATAATAAAATATCTCTGAATGTGTGTTTGCTAAGAAAAGACCAAAAGAGCCTCAGCTGGGGACCACACACCTCAGCCTCCCATGGCCTAACCTCCAAGGATGGGCTCTGGCAGCCGCTGCGCCCTAAGGCCCACCTGTCTAACTGGACTAACCCGGTCCCACTGCTAGGGAAGACGGATCCCCATGGTCGCCTTCCGTCCCAGAGTGAACCTGGACAGGGCATGCAGGGGGTCAGGTCATGTGCAGAGGGTCAGGATCGTGCATGTCCCTGGCACCTCTGCTTGGCCCGTGCAGCAGGCTTTGTCACCAGTCCTGTCCAGGCACCGAGCGCATCCTAGCAGGAAGGTTACAGTCTCCAGGGGTCACCTGGCTGCTGTGAAACGGGGTGATGCAGGGCCGGGCACAGTGGCTCACCCCTGTAATCCCAGCACTTTGGGAGGCCGAGGTGGGAGGATCACTTGAGGTCAGAATTTTGGACCAGCCTGGATAACATGGCCATCTCTACAAAAAAATACAAAAATTATCTGGGGCCAGTAGCGTGTACCTGTAGTCCCAGCTACTCAGGCGGCTGAGTCAGGAGGATCGCTTGAGGCCAGGAGGTCAAGGGTGCAGTGAGCTCTGATCCTGCCACTGCACTCCACCCTGGGCAACAGAATGAGACCCTGAGAGAGACAGAGACAGAGAGAGACAGAGACAGAGAGAGAGAGAAGCTCACTACTTTATGTCTATATCCCTAGCATTGGATACTTGCAATGGAAATTCATCCAAATTTTCTGAAAAACTGAGTTTCCACTTTGTAGATGAGGAAATTGGGACTCAGAGAAGCGAAAGGACTTGACTTTCTAGGATCCATCCACTCCCAGGCAGTCTGCCTCAGGGGCAAGATATTCAAGGCCGTAAATAAAGCCAATTTATCTGCTGACATTTCAATCAAACATAAGATGAAATCCTCCTTTTTTCATTTGGTCTTCTCCTGGTTACTTGAGGAAACGTTAACAAATATCTTCAGAATCCAGAAAGAATGTCGACTGACTTCTAGATAGTAATCTTATAGAAACTATAGGCACCAAAGTTAAACATTAAATGTGAAAATATGAAACCCACAGGCTATGCTAAGATAATGTATGGGGAAGCACTATGAAATTTGACATTAAGGTGACATTATCATTATTTTAAATGCCTGGAGCATAGAGGTCCTTTAAAGAAAGGGGTTATTAACATGTTCCTTAAATCAATGCAACTTTTCTCTCAATACTATTTATCCCACTGTTTGAAAATCATTTCCCACCTACCATGTGACACACATCAGATAGTCCTTGGGACCCCAAGGACAGAGTTATTCCACTCCAGAGGGCTTCATTTTTGCAAAAATAATGACTGGCAAATATCTTTTCTGGTGTTATTTTAGAAAATTTACAAGTTAGGAACCTGAAAAGTGTTCCAGAAGTGTGGTCTGTTAACAGGCAGAGAGAACTTGTTCTCCTCACATCTGCAGTGACCTATTGTGAGATGGCCCCTGGGACTGATCACGCCACTGAACTGAGACTTGCAAAGATGATGAAAAGAATTCAAGGCAACTGACTACAGCAGCTTGGCAGAGAGAGCCGTCACACACTAATAATACTAATTTGGTCTTTATTTTTATATTTACACAGCAGTCGGCTGAATATCCAGCTGTTGCGCTGTCTTTAGCAAACAGTTCTCCTTTCTGATTTTGCTTTGTTTTGTTTGGGCTATCACTGTAATTCAGGATGGAGCCTGGAGATTTTCCTCCAGTATGTGAATTTCTCAATCCCTAGGTGTGCCCTCCTTGTGTCTATATGAAACAGAGTATGCATACCTCTTGAAAGTAAGAGGAAAGAAAATAATAGCCAGTGTCAAAAATGTTATCACATTCATTTTCTTCTTTCAACTCTTCCATCTTCCTTCTCTAGAGCTTGAGAGCAAAGGTGAGAGGAAATGGTTTTACTGCCTGAAAGGTGTCCTCGAAATGCTCTGTGCTGCAGGGAGGAAGGGCACGATGAGGAGCAAGCTACTCAGAAGTTCTGGGAAAAGCATCTGCTCCTTCAAATTGGGCCAAAAAAAAAAAAAAAAAAAAAAAACAATGTAACAAGAACATTGCAGCAACAAGGAAAAAATAATCATAATCCTTGAATTCCCCTTGTTTTCCTGGCTTTATTTTTTCTCCATATTTCTGCAAGTGTAAGATATCTTCACCAGTATTGAAAGCCATATTCTTTTCTCAAAGGTCCAGATGACCTATTTTTCTCCCTGAGATTGTCATCAAAGATAGGTGAATGTCATTATGATGCTTATTTTACCACATTGACAAGATCCACCCATTATTCTCTAAGCACTTATTAAGCAGCATGTTAGACATACAGCTAAAAGACAAAGTAGACAACAGTCCTTCTCATCTAGGATCTTACAGTCTAGCTCACCACAGGAGACCCTTATGGAAATTACTAAACCACCCTCCTCTGTCCTCTTCCAACCCTAATCTAGGAAAATTGTATGACACCATCACTATTCCCTCTCATGGGAAGACTGATCACTTATGGGGGCAAAGAGAAGACGGAAACCAACATTTGCTGAACCTTCTGGTGTCTGACAGGGACACGCTAGGTGCTTTTGTATTTACAATCTCATTTAACCCTGCAAAACCCCTAAAAAATTAATGTTGCTATCCCTATTCCACAAATGAGAATGCTGAAGCTCTGCATGCCACGGAGCTATAGGTAGAACCAGCATTCAACTCTAGTTCTAAACCCAGGTTCAAAATACAGCCTTTGCCATTATACACACATGCCTACAAGTAACTAAGAATGGCTCTTCACCCAAAAGATATGTGCTGGCAAGCTGATAGATAGAAACAGGAGAGATGCAAGATAGAGTTACTTGAGTTTCAAATTTACATAACTCTGGAGCCCTGGCAGGTAATCAGTTAAGTAGAACAGACAGGTGTAATACTGTAGAGAATGCCGAGGCTTGTGGCAGATTGGAGGGACTAGTCAATGTAAAGCAACAAATTCAATTTTTTAAAAAACTTTATAGAAACCTAAATGTATCTGGTGCCAAATTAGTACTCAGCGACAGTGTACAACTTCCGCTTGAACTGTTAAGTTTATTAGAAATAGCTCCTGATTGTTTTTATTGTAGTAAAATACATGCAAAATAAAATTTATGGTTTGATATTATGTATATTTTACATAACATGTTAACCATTTTTAAGTGTACGGTTCAATGGCATTGAGTACATTCACACTGTTGTGAGACATTCACTACCATCCATCTCCAGAAATGTTTCGTCTTCCCAAACTGAAATTCTGTACCCATCAAACACTAACTGTTAATTCTCCCCTCACCTCCAGCCCCTGGCAACCACCATTCAACTTTCTATCTCTATGAATATGACTACTCTAGGTGCCTCATAGAAGTGGAATCATGCCATATTTGTCTTTTTGTGACTGACTTATTTCACTTGTTGTAATGTTTTCAAGGTTCATCCATGTAGCATGTGTCAGAATTTCCTTCCTTTTTAAGACTGAATAATTTTCTATTGTGTATGTTGTAAATACATACATATATATATATATATGTAACATTTTGTTTATCCATTCATCCATCAGTAAACATTTGGGTTGTTTCCACTTTTTGGCTATTGTGAGTAATGCTGTTATGAACATGGGTGAACAAATATCTTTTTGAGTCCCTGCTTTCAGTTCTTTTGGGTATACAGTCATCCCTCAGTATCCACGGGGGACTGGTCCCAGGACCCCCTGGGATAGCAGAATCCACAAACGCTCAAGTCTCTTATATAAAATGGTGTAGTATTTGCATATAACCTATAGCACATCTTCCCATATACTCTAAGTCATCTTTAAATTACTTACAATGTACAATACAGCGTAAATGCTATGTAAGGAGTTGGTATAACATATTGTTTAGGGGATAATGACAAGAAAATAAAAGTCTGTACATTTTGAGTACAGAGACAACCATCCTCTTTTTTCAAATATTTTTGATCCATGAATCTTTTCAATTTGAAAAATATATTTTTTCAATGTTTTTCAAATATATTTGAATCCATGGATGCAGAACCCATGGGCAAAGAGGGCTGACTATGTATCCAGAAATGGAATTGCCAGATCATGTGGTAATTCTATGTTTAATTGCTTGGAGAACTGACATACTGTTTTTCATACGGGATGCACCATTTAACATTCCCACCAACAGTACACAAGTGTTCCTATTTCTTCACATTCTCACCAACACCTGCTATTTTCTTTTTTTTTTTAAGTAATAGCCATACTAATAGGTATGAAATATGAAATTATATCTCATTGTGGTTTTAATTGGTATTTCTCTAATCCTTAGTGATGTTGAGTATCTTTTCATGTGCTTATTGGCCATCTGTGTAACCTCTTTGAAGAAATATCTGTTCAAATTCCTTTGCCCATTTCTAAATTGAATTTTGGGGTGGGGAGGTTGTTATTGAGTTATAGTTTTTTTTTAATATATCTTTATCAGACATATGGTTTACAAATATTTTTCCCATTCTATGACTGTCTTTTTACTCTGTTGATAGTATCCTTTGATGTACAAAGATTTACATTTTGATGAAGTCCAATTTATTTTTTTCTTTTGTTGCCTATACTTTTGGTGTCATACCCAAGAAATCACTGCCAAATCAAATATCATAAAGCTTTTCCTCTATATTTTCTTCTAAGAATTTTCTACTTTTAGTTTTTACATTTAGGCTTTTGATCCATTTTAGGTAATTTTTGCATGTGGTGTAAGGTAAGAGTCCACCCTTTTTGCATATGTTTTCCCAGACCATTTGTTGAAAAGACTTTCCTTTCCCCATTGAATGTCTTGGCAATCTTGTCAAAAATCGTTTGACCATCTATGTGGGGGTATATTTCTGGGCTCACTCTTCTATTTCATTGGTCTATTTGTCTGTCTTTCTGTCAGTACTACACTGTTTTGATTACTGTAGCTTTGTAGTAAGCTTTCAAATCAGAAATTGTGATTCAAATTTTTTTTTCAAGATTATTTTTGCTTTTCTGGGACCTCTGTGATTCCATACGAATTTTAGGATGGATTTTTCTATTTTTGTAAAAAATGTCATTGTGATAGGTATTTCTCTGAGTCTGTAGATCACTTTGGGTAGTATTGACATCTTAACAATATTAAGACTTCTAACCCATGAAAACAGGATATCTTTCCACTTATTTATGGCTTCTTTCATTTCCTTTAGCAACATTTTGTAGTTTTCAATATACATACCTTTTGCTTCTTTGGTTAATTTATAAGTATTTTATTCTTTTTCAAGCTATTATAAATGAAATTTTTTCTTAATTTCCTTTTCATGTTTCCATTACATGTATTGCAAATATATTCATGTTGTCCACTGTTAGCATATAGAAGCACAACTGATTTTATATTTATTTTTTATCCTGCAACTTTGCAATATTGACTTATTAGTTCTGTCATGTTTTTTGTGGAATCTTTAGAATTGTCTACAAATTATGTTATCTATTCAGAGATAATTTTAATTCTTCTTTTCTCATTTGCATGTCTTTTATTTCATTTTCTTGCCTAATTGCTCTGACTGGGACTTTTAATACTACTTTGAAGAGAAGTTGCAAAAGTGGGCATCCTTGTCTTTTTCTTGACCTTAGAAGAAAAGCTTTCAGTCTTTTACCATCAAGTATTTTTTTAGCTGTGGGCTTTTCGTTTATGGCCTTTATTATGATGAGGTAGTTTCCTTCTATTCTTAGTTTGTTGAGTTTTTTTAATCTTGAAATAGTGTTAAATTTTGTCAAATGCTTTTTTTGCATCTATTGAGATGATAATGTGGTGTGTTTTCCCCCTCCATTCTGTTAATGTGCTGTATTACATTAATTAATTTTTATATCTTAAATCATCCTTGTATTTCAGGAATAAATCCTACTTGGTCATGGTACAAAATCCGTTTAATATGCTACTGAATGCAGTTTGCCAGTATTTTGTTGAGGATTTTTGCATCAATGTTCATAAGGGATATTGGTTTGTAGTTTTCTTTTTTGTTGTTGTTGTTGTTTTTGTTTTGTTTTGTTTTGTTTTGTTTTGTTTTGTTTTGTTTGAGACAGAGTCTCACTCTGTCGCCCAGGCTGGAGTGCAGTGATGCGATCTCAGCTCACTGCAACCTCCACCTCCCTGGCTCAAGCAATTCCCCTGTCTCAGCCTCCCAAGTAGCTAGGATTACAGGCACACCCCACCACACCTGGCTAATTTTTTTTTTTTTTTAGTAGAGATGGGGTTTCACCATGTTGGCCAGACTGGTCTCCAACTCCTGATCTCAGGCAATCTGCCCACCTCAGCCTCCCAAAGTGTTGGGATTACAGGCGTGAGCCACCGTTCCCAGCTGTAGTTTTCTTTACTTGTAGTGTTTCTATCTGGCTTTGGTATAAAGGTAATTCTTGAATGAAGTAGGAATTGTTCCCTTCTTTTCAGTATTTTGAGAGTATTTGAGAAGGATTTATGGTAATTCCTCTTTAAATATTTGGTAAAATTTACCAGGGAATCCATCAGATCCCTGGGCTTTTCTTTGTTAGATGGTTTTGCCTAACAGATGTTATCTCCTTACTAGTGATAGGTCTGTTCAAATTTTTTATTTCTTTATGATTCAGTCTTGGTAGATTTTGTATTTCTAGGAATTTGTCCACTTCTTTTAGATTACCCAATTCTAATTGGCATACAACTCTTCATAGTATTCTCTTATAATTCTTTTTACTTCTGTAAAATTCGTAGTGATGTCCCAACTTTTGCTACTGATTTTAATAATTGAGGTTCTTTTTTTTTCTTAATCTAGCTAAAGATTTTGTCAATTTTGTTGATCCTTTTAAAGAACTAACTTTTGGTTTTCTTGATTTTCTCTATTGTTTTTCTATTCTCTATTTTATTTCTGCTCTAATTATTATTATTTCCTTTCTCCGGCAAGCTTTGTGTTTAGTTTGTTCTACTTTTTATAGTTTTTTAAGGTGTAAAGCTAGATTATTGATTTGAGACCTTATTTTTCAATGTGAGCATTTATATCTATAGATGTTTTAGCTTAGCATTGCTTTGCTGCATCTATTAGTTTTTGCTGCATCTATTAGTTTTTGCTGCGTTGTTTTTTCATTTTTATTTGTCTCAAGATATTTTATAATTTCCCTTGTGATTTCTTCTTTGACCCACTGGTTAAGAGTATGTTGTTTAAGCCTGGGCAACATAGCAAGACTTCATCTCTACTAAATAAAATAAAATAAAATAAAATAGCCAGGCATGATGGCACACACCCATAGTCCCAGCTACCTGAGAAGCTGATATAGGAGGATCCCTTGAGCCCAGGAGTTCCAGGTTGCAGTGAGCTATGATTGCACCATGATACTCCTGCCTGGGCAACAGAACAAGACCCCATCTCAAAAACAAACAAATTTTTAAAAAATAAAAATAAAGAGTATGTAGTTTAATTTCCATGTATTTGTGAATTTTACAGATTTCCCTCTGCTATTTATTTCTAGTTTCATCTCATTGTGATCCGAAAAGATACTTTCTATAATTTCAGTCCTTTGAAATGGTTTAGGACCTGTTTTGTGGCCTAATGTATGGTCTATCCTGGAGAATGTTGCATGTGTGCTTAAGAAAAATGTATTTTCTGCTGAAGTCCTCTATTTCCTTATTAATCTTCTTTTTGGTTGAACAACCTGATTTTTAAAAACAGGAAAACTAAAACAGATACTAAGATACATGAAGTAATTTGTTTTAAATCAGGCCATGTCCATCATGACACCAAATAATCTTCCTATATCAAAATATATATTTGAACTTTTAAAGCAACTTTTTCAAGAGCTGTCATATGTGGTCATACAGGTTCTGCACTGCTCAACATAAATGTGTGCAAATGCTTTAACTTCTAACTGGCAGTAGCCACCATTTTATAACTCTGAAGTAATTGAAAGACAGAATGAGATTCCCCTTGCAAAACACAGCCTGTATCCTTTCAGAGGTTTTTTGTGTTTGTGTGCCCCCTCTCCCACGAATGCATGAAATGCAAATTAAACAACAGGTGTTTTCTCTCAGTCCACAGGGCATCTGGGAGGACTTAGGACAGTGGGTGATGTAAGGAGAGGACTCCTGAATCAGTCTGGCATCTCTACTAACTAGAGATCAAATAGATAGGCCTGAAAGGCTCACAGCAAAAATCAGATACCAGCCACAAGGTTTCCCACTCAAGACCTCAGCCAGAAGGAAAAGCTGCAGATCAGGCACACACTATAGACCTGTACTGCAGTGCCTTGATCAGTCACTACCCCCAGCAGCAGCACTGACTTCATGTATGCCTTCCTTTCTCTTAGTGTCTTATTAAGAGCCTGGCTGAAGCCCTAGGAAGGTCAACACCCCATCTTCCACCTTGCACCATCTTTGTTTAAGATCTCATCTTGTTAATAGTGTAGAGATAATTTAATGTGCATACCAGTCCATTATCTGCCCATTACCTACTTCCCCTTTCCCTAACTAATATCTGAGAAAAGCTGATTTTGTGCCTGCTTGACTCAGACATGAAGTCCATTCTGCCCTCATTGTGTTTCAACTCAGAGATGAAAAGTCCATACAGACCTACTGTGTATACGAGTTGGTTTAGATTTCTGATGAAGTATATAATGCAAGCAATAGACTGTGAATGCAGCATTTATTGCACTCCATGGAAAATGCAGTGACTATGCTGGTTCACTGCTGACAGAATATTCCACAAGGACAATTACTACTTTCTTTTATCCAATGACAAGAATTATTTAACTCATTAAATTTTTTTTTCACTTTGGCTTCTTGGAAGCTCAGTTAATATTAGCTTAGGGTTGTGGTGTCACTTTTTTTTCTTATTCTCTGTCAATCATTTACTGAGATATGTTTCTTTATGATTATCTGGTTCAAGTCTTTTCTACAAGTTTATCATTCAGAATAAGCTTAATGGGGACTATTGGCCTCAGAATGATCACATGATTGTCACAGCCATTGGACCACATATATAACAGCATTGCCAAATTTTTCAGTTCCTTGTATTGTACTAACCCCAAAAGTCTGAGACATGTATAAACCCAGAGTTTTTATTGAGAACTTAGACTTGGCTTCTTTAATACTATCAAAGCACCCCTATACATATATTTATAAAAGCTGAAAATAATTGATTCTCATCCATTTTCTTTTTTTTTATTATTACTGTTGGATTTTTTTTTATTATACTTTAAGTTTTAGGGTACATGTGCACAATGTGCAGGTTAGTTACATATGTATACATGTGCCATGTTGTTGTGCTGCACCCAGTAACTCATCATTTAACATCAGGTATATCTCCCAATGCTATCCCTAACCCCTCCCCGCACCCTACAACAGGCCCCAATGTGTGATGCTCCCCTTCCTGTGTCCATGTGTTATTGTTCAATTCCCACCTATGAGTGAGAACATGTGGTATTTGGTTTTTTGTCCTTGCGATAGTTTGCTGAGAATGATGGTTTCCAGTTTCATCCATGTCCCTGCAAAGGACATGAACTCATCATTTTTTATGGCTGCATAGTATTCCATGGTGTATATGTGCCACATTTTCTTAATCCAGTCTATCCTTGTTGGACATTTGGGTTGGTTCCAAGTCTTTGCTATTGTGAATAATGCCGCAATAAACATACGTGTGCATGTGTCTTTATAGCGGCATGATTTATAATCCTTTGGGTATATACCCAGTAATGGGATGACTGAGTCAAATGGTATTTCTAGTTCTAGATCCCTGAGGAATTGCCATACTGACTTCCACAATGGTTGAACTAGTTTACAGTCCCACCAACAGTGTAAAAGTGTTCCTATTTCTGCACGATTCTCATCCATTTTCAAAGATTTAGAAAGAGCCTTGAATGTGGAATTGGTCATTTCCATTTAAAAGTCTCTGTCTTGAGAAATTACTGTTCTTTTATTGCTAGCTAGCATACAAATTCCTAATTGAAAAACCTTTACAAGCAGTGATGGCATGAATTGAACTTACTTCTGTCCTATTAGGGACATGTCTTGGTCAGGAAAGGAATGCACGTTGGATTCTTAATGATTTGTGTTTTATACGGTCTGTCCTCAAGGGCTATTTCAGTCCCCAGGATGCTAATAAGCAGTCCCTGATCCAGGTCATTTGTATTTTTTTATCAGCAAAAACAGCATCCAAGCCATACCTCAATTTAGAACATCTCTAAATTCAATTCTGTTCAATTCAATACAACTTATCAAATAATTATCAATTGTGCTAGGCATTTTCTGTTTCTGGAAGTGCAGCAATGAATAGATCTCAGTCCCTACCCTCATGAATGCCACAAAAGAGAAAGACTGACAAGTAGCTTGACAATTAAGTCACACAGAGGAGAAGCTTCTTTCTGGCCACCAGTGGGGAGAGGACAGGATAGGTTTCTCAAAGGAGATGGCTCAAGCAAGCATCACAGACTTGTCAGCCTGGAAGGATGATGGAGACTAGACCCAGATACAGTTCAGAGAACACAAGAGGTTCAAGAGAGAAGGAGGTGGAGGCCCTGAGCATTCCCAGGGGCTAGTCTGGGGCAACCCAAGGTGGGCATTCAGTAAGTGTTTACTGAATTGAACAACTGAGTATAAAGAAATCAGAAAAGAACACAACAGTGTGAAAATGAATGGAGTCATCGCTGCTTATTCATCAGGGTCACCGAACTCAGGCTACAGACTGCCTGGGACAGGGGATTCGTGTACTGACTTGACTTTGAGGTGAGTCTTAGTATAAAGCAACCCTCCATTTTTCCAATGAAAGGAGAACATATAAAACAGTTTTGAAGCCAACTTAAGTATATAAACTTTTGGAACTGGAGATGAAATAGCTGAATGTCAATGTATACTATTTAATTCATTATCTTAGTCACAAATACGAATCAAATAATATATGGATTGAAAAAGTTTACTTCTTTCCTTCATCATCATTTTTCAGTCTTCTAGAAGGCATAGTTGGGGAGCACTGCCTCTGTCCTCCGCTGCCTGTTGAATACGTAGCACTGCTCTGAACAGGTGTGTGAGGCACCTACTAGAGACAACACCTGACCAAGGTTCTTTCTTGCCATTTATGATCTTCAGAACTACTCACTATGTTGCTTTAAGAGGTTGATTTGTAAGATCCAAAACTTAATTGTGAACTCATACTTCCAGGAATGCTTCTTAAACTGAATTAAATTTCTGTACTTCCTTTTTCATTTCCATCTTGTCCTTTGTTTCACTGGTTCTGTCAGTAAATTTCTATAATCAGCCCAAACATGCAATGATTTAGGTCACTTCAAATATGTAGGCCTTCCCAAACAGAATTTTGTTATTTAAAAAATACAGTAATTATCAGAGCACCTCAAAATTTGGCAGGTCTGCTAAAAGGTGACTCCTGTTCCTAGGAGTGTGTATGGGGAAGAATCTCTCTATAATCATCCATGACAAATATGGAAGTAATTTACATTAGCTGGTGAAAGGCTTATTTATCTCTAAAAATAAGGTTATACTAGAAAAGATTGGCTGGACTGGCTTTGGTACTCCTGAACCTGGAAGCTGGCTATCACACGCCAAGTTTCTAAAGGCTGCCAAAGTGCCAGCCATTTCATCCTCTAAGAACCCTAGACTAGAGGGATCCTTAATAGGTCTGATCATCTGTTCTTTCGGCAAGAAAGGCATCTCTCACAGCCAGCGCTTTTCTAAAAGAAAGTTCATAGTGCTCCTGGTTAACCAAGACTGTGAGGTTCTTTCCTTTGGGCTTTGTTTTCTGAATGATGGAGGTAATACCTAGTATTTGTAAAACTCTACACTTTACAAAGCACTTCCACAGCCTCTCTCTCCCCTACTCCCAGCACAGTCCTTGGAGTTAAGAGCAGAACCTACTTGGGCTTCAGGTGACACACCCACACCCAGCAGGCAGAATGGCCCCTGTGTCTCCCCTCCCAGGGGCAGGAGAGACACCCACAGGCTGAGTCCTCAGGGAAGGTCAATACTGCAAGAAGGCCAGGCAGAAGGCCTAGGTGGCAGAGAGGATGGAAAGGGACAAAACGGCTTCCTGAGCCAGGATCCCAGGAGTCCTCCAGGTGGGCAAAGGAGTCCTTCAGGTGGAGAAAGGAGACCCTGAGACCAGGAGAGAGAGGAAGGGGGTCTCCAGGCAGAAGGTGGACGAGAAGCGGGAAGGCGCAATTCTGGAAGGACTTGGTATGTCATTTATCTTGTGGGGACATAAATAGGGAGTCCTTGAAGGGTTTTCAGCTGGGGAGATATTTGATCAGATTTCCATCATAGACAGTTCATTTTAATTACAAACTAAAAACCCCACGGGAGGGAGAGGGGTTACCAGGAGGACAGATAGGAGGCTTCATCTGATGGAGTCCTAAACTCAGGGATGGGCAGATGGGAATGAAGAGGAGTCCACTCTCCCAAAGCCCTGCAGGGCCCCAGTGTGACCCCCTCCCACCCCACATCTGATCCTAAATCCTAAACTGTGTCAGCTGAGATCAAGCTGCTGCTCCGGAAAAAGAGCAGCAAGTTACTCTCCTCTCCAAGGTGATCTTCATCATATTATTAGATGCTCTCATAGTCTGTCTTCCCCAGGAAAAACTTTTTCCTTTTTCAAAAGCCCTGAGCATCTCCCAGAGACAGCATGTAAAGGAGCATGCCAAGTGATGCCCTAAGAGTTGCAGGAGCAATGGCCCAGGTCCCGTGCCCTGCGATGAGAAGGGTGACTGAGAAGGCTGGGCCACTTCTGAGCCCTTGGGGTCCTCACACGGTGGGCTTTCTCCCAGCCAGTCCAACCATTAGAGCAGAGAATGCTACCCATCCATGTCCTCAGGGTATTGAGTTGTTTTTTGTAAATCACCTAGAAAGGCACTGCTGGGCTTGAAAGCACAATTTATTGCTGCATTATTAAATGGTCCCAGCAGCAAGCCACGTTCTTTTTATTGACAGAGTAAAAATGAAGCAACCCAGGGGGTGGGACGCTGGAAAATAGGACAGAAGCCGTGGTTCCAGTCCCTTCCCACCCCAGACACACAGAAAAAGTCCTTTTCCTGCTCCCCCTGAACCCCGCAGGCCAAGGAACCAATTCTATATTCAAGATCCTTAGAGAAAGCTACTGTGTGTAAAAGGTGAGGTATTTTTAAAGGGCATCAATTTCTGCCAGAAATTATTTGCGGAATGAAGCCAGGAAACATAAGCAATCAAAAGCAGACAAAGGAAGTGTCCGTTGAGGTCCCAGGACCTCAGAAGGGTTTGGACAGGCATTCCCTCTACCTTCTGCCTTCCCCCAACCAGCCCCTTGCCCCCAAGTCCTTCCCTTTCTGCCTCCTTTTCAGCATCGGGAGGAACCCCCACATATAGGGACCCTATATTATGAGCTGGGCCATGCCCTCCTTTCTTGTACACAATTCAGGAAAATCCTGAGGAAGGAAGCCACTAAAACCTGCTTCTGTCTCAGATTTCTCTGCAAATCCTGGAACAGCTTCGACTTCGCCCTTCCTTTTTTCCAACAAAGTGGACTCTATTGCATAGGCCTTTAAGCCAATAATATTAAGTACACATTCTGCACAGGTAAATAATGGCCAGTATTTTTCCTCATACTTTGAGCTGATTTTTGAAAATATTATCCTGTCAAAAGCATTTCTTTTATATCTCTAAGGAAGAAAAAAATATTTATTCTGTAGCTCGTACCTTTTATTGTATTCTTTCTCTGTCATGCTATTCTATTCAAACCAACATCCTCCAATAAAATTTCCTTCAATCCCGGGGCATTGAAATGCTCCAGAGGGGGAGTGGAGTGGGGAGGGCAAAACTGCAAGCAAAGCTAGGATTCAGAATGACCAATTATATTTATAGAGAAGCTTTTCTGTTCATAAAGTGCTCTAACAGACACATGGTGTCACTGATTCTCACTCACTCAAATCCATGAAAAATGGGTGAAGTCAAGTGACTCACCCAGAGGCACGCAGCTCCAGAAGTGACCTCTGCATCCTCTAGAGCTCCACAGAAATTGCTTCCCCACCCTCACTGCCATCTTCACCCAAGTATTGAGATAACTCCCGCCTCTGTCTGGAGGGTCCCCTTCCCTCTGGCACACTCTGCCCACTCAGGGATCGTACACGCACCTTGCCACGTGGCTGCCAAAGGTGCAACTGCCTCAGGTGCCACTGCCTCAGGATGATACCTGAGTCCCTTTGTCTGGGATATCATGACCACAGCCTCCTGCCTCCTCTGGCCAGCCCTCCTCAGCCCTGCCTCAGACACACCCAGGCCAGCCTCAGCCACACCTGCAAGCTTTGGCCTGTGCCCATCTCTTCTTGAGCTTCCTTTCCCCTCCTGGACCAAGCCTTAGTACACGGGTTCTCTCTTCTCTACACTGCTCACTATGCTGTAAATATGTATGTTGCAAATATATGTCTGTCTTCCATACTGATTTTTCAGTTCCTCTAGGGAACGATGTTTGTGTCTTTAGTGCCTGGCACTTAGTAGGTGTTCAATAAACATTTATGAGAGGAAAGAATTGAGAGAGGGATGGAGAGAGGAGGAAAAAGTGGGGAGGATATGAGTCTGGGCCTTCTGAGTGCAACCCACAGGTCACTGGAACACAGCTACCAATACACCCCTCCATGGATGGGCACGCCAGTGTGTTCTCTCTGGGGTCTCTCCTTGAGAAACTCTCCCACCACAGGTGTTCTTTCTGCCTTCCTCTCTACCTGGTAGGCAGAGACTCGTTTAAGCAGACTCCCAGCTCTCCTACCAGAAAAGGGCTTCAGGTCTCAAGGTTCACAAATGCAAATATTGGTGCCACCTTGTGTGATCATGAACATCCCACACCAGCACCGCCTCTACTTGTGCCACCTACCCCAACACCTACTGCCAAAGCATATCTTGTGCTCCTTAGTTTCATTCACCCTGGTCCCAGTGTGAGGCAGTGTGAGTGTCACCATTTCTCATCTTCTGGGCCCCCTTCCAAGTCCACGAAGCATGAATAACTCTGAATGTGGGTGAGTGGATAGTAGTTCTCCTTAGAATTCACACTTGATTACAGACCCCAGGGATGCAGACTCACTCTCCCAGGGATGCACTCATTACACATTCCCCTAAATAGGCCAGTAACTGTCAATATTAGTGATGCTTGCGGATGTTTTGTGGCATGTGGGCCATCGAATTCACATGCATGGCAGACTACAAAGGCACCTTAGGGACATCTAGGAAGGAGAACAGCTAAATTTCCATCTCAGAGGCTTTGGCCAGCATGGTCAGGGGTGAGGCTGGGTAGAAGAGCTGCCCTTCCCACAAATAGGGGCAGAATGAAGCACCCAGAGGACCAGCCTGAACCTATCATGCCTGTTCACTCTGCAAGTGCTTGCCTGCTGTCCTGGAAATAATCAGGAAGTGTATCGAGATGTGGCATCTGCGGTCCTTAACAGATACCCACAGGTGGAAAGAGTCCCTTTTCAAGAGGTTTATTCATGTCCATACTCCACCTTGTGTATAGGAGGTACTGACACCAGGAGGTTCCATAGGTTTGTTTGGTTGTTTGGCTGGCCACCGTGCCTCTGGGCTTTCATGCAGACAGCACCACCTATGCCCATACTGTAACCATCTAAAAAAGTTTCTTTGAGTTACCAGGTTTCACAATTGGCCTAAAATGTTTCCATGCATATAGGAAAAAGTGTAAGGACTTCGAAGTCAGAAAAATGTGGGTGTAAATCCTGCTTCTGTTACATGTTAGAAATGTGTCCACCAGTGAAATGAGTGAGGGGCCAGGAAACTGAGGCCCATGGGCCACATCCAGCCCACCTCCTATTTTTTCATCTGTTTAGGTATTTATGGCTGTGTTCTCTCAATAACAGCCAAGCCAAATGCTTGTGACAGAGACCCATATGGCTGACAAAGCCCAAAATATATATCTGGGCCTCTACAGAAAAAGTGTGCCACCCCTGGGTAAGATTATTTCACTTCTCTAATCCTCAGTTTTTTCATCTGTAAAATGGACAAAAAATTTACATTGAAGAAGTAGTGCTGTGAGAAATAAATGAGAAAAAGTCAGACACATAGCAATGCTTGCTTGCTACATGCTGGGATTCTTTTTTTTTTTTTTTTTTTTTGAGAAGGAGTCTCACTCACTCTTGTCACCCAGGCTGGAGTGCAGTGGCATGATCTTGGCTCACTGCAACCTCCGCCTCCTAGGTTCAAGTGATGCTCCTGCCTCAGCCTCCCGAGTAGCTGGGATTACAGGCATGTGCCATCATGCCAGGCTAATTTTTGTATTTTTAATAGAGACGGGGTTTCACCACGTTGGCCAGACTGGTCTCGAACTCCTGACCTCAAGTGATCCGCCCGCCTCGGCCTCCCAAAGCATGCTGGGATCATTAAATGCAGATTAACCTTGCTGTTTTCTAGCCATGTCATTCATGGACAGGTAAGAAAGGGACACAGCTTGTCTTCCTGTCTCCATCCGTGTTTCCCTCTTCATTTCTCGCCTGCCCCTGAAAGTAGAAAAGCAACAAAAAAACAAACAAAAAAATCATTCAGTGTCTTTTTTTTTAAACGTGGGATGGAAAATAAACTTACCCTAAACAAAAACTTAATTCTATTGGGCATCTCAGGTTACTTATTGTATCATCATTTTATTTTTAGTGTAAAATTAATCACGCAATATGTAGTACTGAACAAAGAAGAGGGCCTTCTTGCTTTCTCCCATTTACAGAATTTTTTTCTCAGAGAAAGTATTGTTTAGATAGTTTCAAATTCCCACACTTAAAATATTTGTCTTCTTGAGAAATTTTAATAAAAAACTAAATTTTATAATGGAATGGAGCTATGTGAGATTATCTGAGATATGTTTTCCCAACCAGAAGGAAATAATCTTCCATATTTGTCAAGAAGGAGGAGAGACACTTTGCTTCTCCCAACAACTTCCTCCAACTCTTTTTATATTAAAACTTTTTTTAATTTCAATTCGTTGTTTTCCTTATCATCTCCTCAGCAGACTCACAATTTGCCTTGCAAAGAAGTAGAAATCCTCCAAATGGATTACCAAAAGAAAGTATATCCCTACCAAAACTAAACATATTAAAGCATTTAAATATTTTTAATCAGAACTATTACAAGGTTTAAAACAGAGATAAAATGGCTTCAGTGCAGGGATACTGAGAAAGCCCTAGACCCGGTGGAGCTTGTATTACCTTCCTTCCCTTCACTGCACTCAGCAAAGATCTGAGCATAGAGGTTGTCGTGTTTTTTTTTCAATTATTACCTTCCTTCAACTAGGTTAATTAGCTATGATTCCAGCCAAGAGGTTCTACTGCTTTTATACTTGTAACTAAAAGACAATCTCTAAACACACTGCAGAAATGGGAAACCATTCTGGCTCTGGATATTCATTTTGTGACCTGCTACTCTTAGATCACATGATTCAACTCAAGTATGGAACTGTCTTTCCTCAGGCAAAAATCCAAGAAGACTAGGAGGCCTCTTTTAGATCAGAAAGTGCAAAGAGGAGAAAAGCATGGCTTTCCTCCCAGGTGCTTGTGCCTCTGATCCATTTTGTGAAAAGAATCCAAAATTGATCCTTTGGCCTTGGCACCAATATGGTTGCTACAGTCCTACAGGAATTAGTGTGAGGCAAACCTATTAGGGAGCAGTTGCCTAAAGAGGGGGCAAGAGTTAAAGACCTCCAGGTCCTCCACAGCCTGCCATGTACCCCGTGAGTGTGAACTGTGGGAGATTTGAGATGTCCCTGCACTTGTAAGTCTCATGCTCTGGTTGTTGGTGAAGGTAACCATACCAATCCATTGTGGTGGATGGAGCTTTGGAAGCAGGACTTCTGATGCCTGTTCTCATTGCTAATTACATGAGTGTGGGCAAGTCATTTAACCTCTCTTTGGTTCTGTTTGCCTGTTTGCAAAAAACAATACTTGCCTCAAAGTGTTCTTATGACACTTATATTGCACAAAGGCTGTAGTTGCCTAACATATCACTGTGCACAAAGCAAGGGCCCAACAAATGCTTGTTCCTTCTTAATTTGTCTATGATTATGAGCCTCATATGCACTAAAGAAACTATAAAATTTCTTGACTGCAAGAAATCAATATTATACTGCCATCTAAAATTCAGTATTGTGTTTGTTAGTTGGTTGGTTTACTTAGAAATTATGCCTTTAGGTGAAAAAATTATGGTGAGAGTGTGAGGAGAAGATATATGTGTAATGAATGGTCATGTGATCATCTCACCTCTATAGTAGGGTTATGTTGTAAATCATCCATTCTTAAAACTACTTGTGAGAAGATACTTTAAATTTCCTCTAAAAAATGTTGAAATCAACAGAAAGGACGAAGAAATGGGGAGAGAAAAAGGGAAGTCAAGATGTTTGCAATGATGTTGGGAAGACAGGGAAATGATATGAGAAAAGCTACTGTATGGCAAATGTACTCATTCATTAAAAAGTCAAAAAAACAACAGATGTTGACAAGGATGTGGAGAAAAGGGAATGCTTATACACTGTTGGTGGGAATGTAAATCAGTACAACCTTTATGGAAAACAGTATGGAGATTTCTCAAAGAACTAAAATTAGAACTATCATTCCATCCAGCATTCTCACTACTGGGTACATACCCAAAGGGAAGGAAATGATTATACTGAAAAGACACCTGCACTTGTATGTTGATCGTGGCACTATACACAATAGCAAAAATATGGAGTCAGCCTAAGTGTCCATCAAAGGAGGATTGGATTAAAAAAAATATGGTACATGTACACCATGGAAATACCATGCAGGCATAAAAAAGACTGAAATCATGTTTTTTTGCAGCAACATAGATGGAACTGGGAGCCACTATCCTAAGTGAAATAACTCAGAAAGAGGAGGTCAAATACCGCATGTTCTCACTCACAAGTGGGAGCTAAACAATGGGTACATGTGGACATATGGAGTGGAATAATAGACATTGGAGACTCCAAAAGGTGGGAGAGTGGAGGGGGGTGAGGGCTGAAAAATTACCTCTCAGGCACAATGTTTACTATTTGAGTGATGGGTACACATAGAAGCCCAGACTTTACCACAATACAACATAGGCATGCAAGAAATCTGTACTTGTGCTCTGTCGATATATACAAATGAAAAAATTAAAGTTTTTTTTTAAATGACAGGGGAAAATGCACTAATTTAGGAAGTTAATAGGCAAGCAGAGAGACAGGTGCTGGGGATACCGTGGTGAGCCACAGGCTGCACACCCTCCCTCCTGGAGTCACATCCGTCAGTACCCACGCAGATACAGAGCTACAGCAGTCATGCCAAGGTATGTTAGGACCAATGCAGGGTGTTAGGGGCTAGAAAAGGTTTCCCAAAGGAATGAATGATGCTTCAACTGAAAATTGAGGAATGAGTGGGAATTCATTGGAGAGAGAGGCTTTTCAAGGGCGAGCACAGCATTTTCTATCTGTGGGAAGAGAATGCGGCTTTACGTAGCATTTGAGAAACGGAGAGATGGCAGTGTGGCTGGAGCACAGAGAGGCAGGTACAAGACAAGGCAGGAGAGCTCCGGTGGGCCCAGAGAGCTGCCAGGTCGGGCCTTCCAAGCTGTCCTGAGAGAGTCCCAGCCATCAGCACAGCTGTTCTGACTCTGGAAATAAAGAGAAAGAAGTCAATGAGAGCCCTTTAGTTGATTCCGTATGAAGGATGCATTTGTTGTTTTATTCTCTCTGCTTTTTTGTATGTTTGTAAATGTTCATGATAGTAAATTTTTAAGTTAGAACAAAAAAAAAGAGCCCTTCTCACCAGCTGCAATTTGGTTGTGAATGTGGGCCAGTGACCAGAAGTTTCTCTGAGAGTGCAAACTTTGGCTTGCCTGTCACAGGGGAAGGTTATGGCCTCCTTAGAGAGAAAGAAAAAGACAGGCTCATTCTCTTCGTGGAAGAATCAAAGAATTCGAGCACTTGGTTAATTTACTGAGCCTCTTCCATCTAGAGAATTAGGCTGTACATCCTACGAAGCGTGCTCTGGGGATTTCCACGAATTCTTGTTTACACCCAGACCACAAACAACACAACAGGAGTTCAGATTTTATTACACAGTGATTTGGCATTTGCAGCTGAAACTGAAATTGCAAAGAAGCAGAAGAGAGGAACAATAAAGAACCATGCAAATCTTTTGAACACTTCACTCTCTCTGTGGTTCTGGCTCTACATTTGGAATACTCTTTCTTTTTTTCCTTCCGTCCTTCCTTCTTTTCCCTCTAAGTGTCAATTCTGAATATATGTTAAGCACTTTGCAATGCTCAAGGGGACAGAAAGATAAACAAGTATTTATCCCCGCCTAAAAGACCCTCTGTAGTGAGAAATACACTAATTAAACAAGCACAAAATGAAGCATAATTATAAAGTGGGATCCATGCTCTTAAGGAACAGGAATTGTGTTCTTTCCACGAGAAAGCAAATGTTGTCACCTACAGCCAGATTGCTTCCAGGTATTTCATCGTAGGCCCGTGGGGTTTCAGGTCTCACAGTCAGACACACAGTTCTGGGGCTCAGAAAGGCTGGGAGTCCAGATGGGCATTTGCTGTCTGCTGGATTCAAGACATGGAGTGACTGAGGTCACCCAGAAAAAGGCTGAGAAGGGAAGAGAACTGAGGACTGCATCCCAAGCAATGCCAGTAGCTAAAGGACAACCAGACCAAAATGGGGCAACAAGAAACAACAGGAGGGAAAACAGGAGACACGTCTGAAATAAAGAAGAGGAGAGAGAAAAAAATCACACCAATGGTGTTTCTTGGGTTAAAGGAGGCTTGTTACATGTTTGTAAGATCTGGGGAAGGCGCTCTTATAGAGGAGGAGATGGAATCCAGAGAAAGGCAGGTTAACTGTTAGCGCCCTTGTTTAGGAAGTAGGAGAGTTCGCTTTGGAGAAGGACAATTTTCACCCAAGATAAATGGGAGGCAGGAGAGAGGGAAGATAACCTCTCAAAGTGAGAATCAATTTCTTTTCTATAAAATAAGATTATTGCACTAGGTAAGCTCTAAGGTCTTATCACCTATTTTCACATTTTAAGAGATAATATATAATCCCTTTTAGTCCCCTGTAGCTGTTTTTATAGCTTGATCTTAGAAGCAAGTTTTCATGAGTGATATACTATTCATTATTTTGAAAGAAAAGACTGACAGACCCATTATATATTTTTTCCTGGGGCCACTGAAGGAATCGTCATATTTTAGTATGATGATCCTGAAAAAATACATTGTTCAATGTCACTTATATATTCCTGCCTAGCAATGTAACCATGAAGAAGCAGCAGGTAAACCCAAAATTAGGAACACCTTTTTTTTTCTTTTTTTCTTATTTTCAAGTACTATACTCTTCAAACAATGTCAGTGTCATAAAGTCAAAGAAAGTATTTGGAAATAATCCAGATTAAAGAAAACTGAATTAATACAACAGCCAAATGTAGTACCTGATTCTAGACTTGATCCTGTATAGGGGAGAAAAATTTTGGAATGGACATTGTTAATGTCAATTGGTGAAACTAGAATACTGATAGTGGATTTTTTTAAAGTACTGTGTCAATGTTAAATTGATTGAAGTTGATAACTTTATGTGGTTATGTAAGAGAATGCCCCTATTCATAGGAAATAAACACTGGCATATTTTAGGATAAAGGACCATAATGTATGCATTTAATCGCAAATGGGTGAGAGAGAGAGACAGAGACAGAGAGAGGGCAATGATAAAGTCAGTTGACAATTAGGGCAAATGAAATATAGATGTTCAATATAATATTTCTAGTCTTATAATTTTTCTGTAAGTTTGAAATTATTTTCAAATAACAACTTAAAATACACATTAATAGCTAAAGGAGTGCTCAGAGTCCTGTGTTCCAGCACTGTGCCACTGCATATCAGAAGCTCCAGAGAACTCTAAGAATAAGGCCATGCCTTGCTGAGGAAGTCTGTCTTGGCATTGGAAAAAACTGAGCTCGTATTATTTGTATAAAGAGCAAAAGAACTAAGTGTTCTGTGGCAGTTGTGAATTTGTGAAGTTGTAAGGGTCTTAACTTGTATATGACCCCATATTTTCTGTTCAGCATATATTTGTCTTATAAAAATCAATTGTTAAACAGAAGAAAAAGTAAATAATAATCAAAGGAAGCCCCAGCACGGTGGCTCACGCCTAAAATCCTAGCACTTTGGGAGGCCAAGGCAGGAGGATCACTTGAAGCAAGGAGTTCGAGACCAGCCTGACCAACATGGTGAAACCCCCTCTCTACTAAAAATACAAAACTTAGCCAGGCGTGGTGGCACATGCCTATGGTCCCAGCTACTCAGGAGGCTGGGGCATGAGGATGGGTTGAACCCAGGAGGTGACGGCTACAGTAAGCTGAGATCGTGCCACTGCACTCCAGCCAGAGTGAGACTCTGTCTCAAAAAATCATCATCATCATCATCAACAAAGGAAGAAGAGAAATTCTCATTGCTAAAGCAGAGAATTCATAAAGAGGGTATCACAGGGACATGAAATTTCCCTTTGGTATAGATTTTTTAAATTGTAAGATATAGAGAGAGCAAAGCTGATAGAAAGCCTTCATTTTTCTACGGCTACAGTATCATCTTAACAAGTTCCTGGAGTGTCAAACGCAGGCTGAATTACTCTTTTAGGACACGCAATAAAAGGGGTAGAGATTACAGGGTAATTTGAAGGAGGCTAATGTTTCTATTCTTTTAAATCTGACAACAGATCATATCATCATTTCATGATACTGTGTACTTAAAGTTTTCTTACTATTTTTTCACTGCTTTGGAAAGCAGCCTTAAGTAACGTCTTCCTGTGCAAACTGGTAGAACCATTCTGACCACCCCGTTAACAACCCCGCTTTGGTTGGCGCGAGCCTGACCGGCGGTGCAGTTATCTTCCTGAAGGCGGCGCTGTGCCCCAGCTGTGCTGAAGGAGGCCGGCGTGAAGGAAGGGGAGGGGCGTTCCCGGGCAGAAACCCAGCTGGGCGCCGCGTTTAAAAGCACAAAGGGAGCATAGTCTAGTGAGAAGCTACACGTTTGCAAGTGGTACACATAAGAAGAGAGATATGAGCGGCTTCTATGCCCTACAAAAGCGTCGAAATTAAAAAAGGCACAATCTTTTGTTCTTAAATCCCCAAGTGATAATAAAGATGTTCGCATAGTCATTATCCCATTACCTTTTATTTCGCATTTCTCTCACCTTCTTTTGTCATTTTTTAAACTTTTTCTCCTTCCCCCTCTTTCACTCCAGAATTTGTTTTATAATTGATGTCGATGTTTTCTGTTGCTTAGAAATTAAATTATCAGAAACTCCTTTGTATACTGGTCTCTGACCTATAAATAGCACCACAGCTGCCTGTGACTTACAGCAATTAAAGATTTTTGTGCTAGCCAGAAAAAGAAAAGAAAAGAAAAACCTGAAGGTCCCAGTGTAGCATGTCTAGTTGTTCTGCTGGCTTTATTGGGAGGAAATATGAGAAATGGCTCTTAGAAAATATTTTCCTTATCAATAATTGTTCTTTGGAGTTCACCTTACTCAACGAGGATGTATCAGAAATAATTATTGGGGTTGAATGTATTTCCTGTCAATTAGTGTGGTCTTTTTCCACAAGAGTACTTTCTTTTCATTTTTCAAGGATCATAGACAACAGCTCTTCCCTATAAAAATATTTTTGAATAAAAAGTACCATTTCCATTATAAGATCTTGGCAATCAACATATCTTCTATTATATCCAAAAGAAGAGAAAGGCTTTAATGGGGCCTGGTTATGATTAATAATAGATTTGGTGAAGAAAAAGCCAGCCAGACTTTAAAATAGATGAGACCATTCTTAGTCTTGGTGAGTCTTGGTTCAGCTCATTAGGGAAGCCAGCTGCGATGCAGATTGGCATACCATTTCTGTGACAGAGGAATTTCCCATAAGAGCTCTCTCCTAAAGGAGGCCAGTGTGTTTTTAGGTGAGCCCTGGCCACATCTGGACGATAGAGATGAACTGTGCCATACAGGAGGTGGAACAAGAGTAGAGGAAAACAATACAAATGACTTTTAACATTTGGAAGCCTACTTTTAGAGGGAATACCAACCAAATGGGACCAATAAAATGATAAAATAAGAGGAGTGATTGAAAAATAATTTCAGCACAATCTTTAATCTATGAAGAGCTAAGAGATGGAAGACAGGGAACGGACATGTCTTCTTTTGTGGGAAAGGCAATAAGGAACAGATAAAGGCTGTAGGAAGAGTGCCAGATTGCACTAGGACAAACTGTGCACCAGGTATCACAAGAAACATTGCCAAGGATGTTGTACACACACCTTTTATTTTTAAGAATGCATAAACTGTCTTTTGTGAATAAACTAAATTTAATCCTGCTTACAAGCAGAAAGATAAACCAGGTAGTCCCTAATTTCTTGTGATCACATATCCCCTTCAATCATGGAATCACAAAGCTGACAGGGAGCTTTGGAGATCACACACTTTATAAATGAGGACACCCATTTTGACAATAGTCCAAGGTCATGAGGGTAGTAAGTGGCAAAGTTGAAGCAACAACCCAGTTCTGACAGCCTCCGGTCCATGGTTATTTTCCCACTTCACAAAATTACCTCCTTAGTCCATTTACACCAAATACAGAAAGTTAAACTCCATCCCATTTCCAGGTCTCACACCCATGCTGGGTTTGAGTAGCATTCCTATTAGCTTCATGACTTCTCCATATGGGTGAGCCTTAGAGAAGACAGATACGAGGATCCCCATCTGAGTTAAAACCCAAAGAAAATCCTGGCTTACATGGTGAAACCCCGTCTCTACTAAAAATATAAAAAATTAGCCAGGCATGGTAGTGGGCGCCTGTAGTCCCAGCTACTGGGGAGGCTGAGGCAGGAGAATGGCGTGAACCCAGGAGGCGGAGCTTGCAGTGAGCAGAGATGGTGCCACTGCACTCCAGTCTGGGCAACAGAGCGAGACTCTGTCTCAAAAAAAAAAAAAAAAAGAAATTAAGAGTCTTTGCTGAGGTCAAAGCCAGCCTTCCCCAAGCCCCCAGCTCTGTGTGACTTCCAGGGGGCATTGCTGCAACTGATTTCTGACACACTGTCTTCCTGTTTGCCTTTGTAGGTTTCACAGCGGCAGCTTCCCTCGTGTCCCTGGCCTGGGCCTTGGCCTCCTACCAGAAGGCCCTCCGGGACTCTCGAGATGACAAGAAGCCCATCAGCTACATGGCCGTCATCATCCAGTTCTGCTGGCACTTCTTCACCATCGCCGCCAGGGTCATCACGTTTGCCCTCTTTGCCTCGGTTTTCCAGCTGTACTTTGGGATCTTCATCGTCCTTCACTGGTGCATCATGACCTTCTGGATCGTCCACTGTGAGACAGAATTCTGTATCACCAAATGGGAAGAGATTGTGTTCGACATGGTGGTGGGGATTATCTATATCTTCAGTTGGTTCAATGTCAAGGAAGGCAGGACACGCTGCAGGCTATTCATTTACTATTTTGTGATCCTTTTGGAAAATACAGCCTTGAGTGCCCTCTGGTACCTCTACAAGGCTCCCCAGATTGCAGACGCATTTGCCATTCCAGCGCTGTGTGTGGTGTTCAGCAGCTTTTTAACTGGCGTTGTTTTTATGCTGATGTATTATGCCTTCTTTCATCCCAATGGACCCAGATTCGGGCAGTCACCAAGTTGTGCTTGTGAGGACCCAGCCGCTGCCTTCACTTTGCCCCCAGACGTGGCCACAAGCACCCTACGGTCCATCTCCAACAACCGCAGTGTTGTCAGCGACCGCGATCAGAAATTCGCAGAGCGGGATGGGTGTGTACCTGTCTTTCAAGTGAGGCCCACTGCCCCATCCACCCCATCATCTCGCCCACCACGGATTGAAGAATCAGTCATTAAAATTGACTTGTTCAGGAATAGGTACCCAGCATGGGAGAGACATGTTTTGGACCGAAGCCTCCGAAAGGCTATTTTAGCTTTTGAATGTTCCCCATCTCCTCCAAGGCTGCAGTACAAAGATGATGCCCTTATTCAGGAGCGGTTGGAGTACGAAACCACTTTATAAAGCAAAAGGAGTTGCAGGACCCACAACATCCAGATGAAGGGGTGACAGCAGGGCTGTGGCCATAATGACACTTCATCCTAGAGCAGGGCAGTGAGCCGTGAAGTTCCTAGTGGGACCGTCATCACCATTATCATTTGATCCTGTCGGCTGGGGGCGGCTGGTCTCCTTCCAAAGCAGCTGCACCCGAGAGTCTCTGACTCCACCTGAAAGAATGACGCTGGCTTAATAGGACTCTCCATTGCTACCAAACTCCTCCTGCACGGTCTTGGGTGCACCCACCAGAGGGTACTACTATTATGGAAAAATTTTGCCTCCAATCATTAGGGTGTCTTGATGGCGTTAACTGATCTTTCCATAAAAATAGATTCAGTCATACACACATACACACACTAACACACATAAGTTACACCAGTCCTCTGTCAAAAAAGCTTAGGTGACTTTTCTTGATGCAAAGCTCTGATTCCCACAGGAATATAAAAACAAAGAAAGAGGGAAACATCCCTCGAGAAAAAAAATAGTATTGCTTAGAAAAGAAACCATTTTCTCATTTGGAAATCCATACCATGTGTGAAAATCCTATCCAACGGACAGCAAACCCAAATGTTGTCTACACATGTGTTAGCATTGATGGAGTGGTTCATTTTCTACACATTTCAGGATTTGTTTTATATTTTAAATTTTCAGTTGCGAACATCCTTTTTGACAGAAATCCTATGCAGCCCATGTACGGCTTTCAACAAGACCAAGGAGCTCAATAACTTCATGATGTAAATTAAATAGTAATCATGATTCAGTATTCAATTGCAAAAATGTAACAGGTACACAAAGAGGAAGTGGGGAAAAAGGCAAAATGAGAGTCTGATTCCCAGGCATGTGCAGCGCCCATTGGGACATAACGGCAGTGCGGCGCGAGCCAGAGGAATGGGCTGGAACCGGATCTGTTTCCAGACGCAGAATGAGTGGCTCTGTGTGACCATAGGCAGATGCTGACTCTGGAAGACTCCGTGCCACTCCTTTCTAGTGCCAAACACCATCCAACCACAGGACTGACGTGGAAGCCCCAAACAACTGAGAATGAGTGGCATGAGCCCCCTAAAAGCAGGCGAGAGAACGAGCAATCAAGTTCTCCACTGTGTACAGACTTTTCCTCCCCCCAATCCAAGGTCAAAGTGATGTGTCTTTTAGAGGCTTTGGGACACTTTTTAGTAAGTATGAGCAGACAAATGCAATGAATATGCTATGAAAAAACCCTTCTGAACTGAGAGAGGGCTTATCACTATATCCAGCTAAGATTTGTATTTGAATCATCTGTAAAGTCGCACTCTTACAACAAGCTTCTGGGTTTTAAATACCTCCGTACAGCAAGTAAACGTTCCCCGCTTTCTGTTCTCAGTGTCCTCGGTCATGGTGCTTTTCGTTGCATTAAAAGTGCCGGTCAAACTTTGATAGTATTTTTTTATAGTTGGTGCAGAGTGGAATAACTCATGGATTATTTCAATATTTTTGTAATAAAAAATATAGGGTATACACATAGGCATCATCACATTTTTTATAGACCTGGAATCGTTTAAAATACTTTAAGCATCATAATTACTTGGGATGTCAGAAACTGGTCCACAAATTCCATCAGCCTGCCTCAGCAGATTGAAAACATTTGTCTCTTGCAAGATCACCCTACTTTGCAAGTTGGTGCCCCCAGGAACCTGGCCAGGGGTGCTATCAGAATATCAGGTGAAGAGAGAATCAGCTTAAATAGAAAGGGCTTGTCAAGACTGGCCAATGTTTCCCAGGAAATCAAAGATGTAAATGATTACTTTCATCCATCCATTATAACAAACCTGACCACAGTGGAAGCTGTCTTAAACTTCCTTCCCTGGTTTTATATTAACCCAACTGATAGATTAAGTATTAGTCAAACCACTAAAAAAGAAAAAGAAAAAAGTTTAACTTAATTATTCGGTTATTTGGATCTAATTCACACAAAGTAGTCCAGTTCTCTAGCCACCACCTGTAATGGGTGTGTCATCCAGAGACTGTGTCCCCACGATGACATCCACAGGAAGTAACAGAGGGCTCAACCTAGGACTTCTTTTGGTACAAAGCCCCAAATCAATTTTTTTAAAAAATAGACAATTTTTATAAGTAGACATACTTCCTAGTACTCCATGATTTGATCCTCCAAGCAAGATTTCCACTAAAAAATACTAATCTTTTGTTGGGATGTGGAAAGATTACCTAGTCACCAGTAAAGGCCCAGGAAAAGGCTCTTCTTGTCAGCACATGGTGAAAACATTCCATCCCCACTGGAGAAGGAAAAAACGATTTTGGCAAATTCTTCACTTTTGTGCAGAACCTTGAGTTATTAGCTTCATTGTTTCCAAGACAACTTTTAACTGATGATCTTTGGAAATTGAGTTTCTCAGTTGAACTGTACCTTTGATTCTATGAGTAAATCACAGATTACAGTCTAATAGAGTCAATCAATCAACACAAACCCAACAGGCCCCATCATGCTTCAATCATGTAAGTTCTAAGTTATTTCTCAACTTGATCCCTCATTCAACATGTTAAGAGTCAGAATGAATACTATGTCAATGAAAAATGATGTACTGTGCTTTGACTTGGAGGTGAGATTGGCAGTCAGGAGAATGTAAGGAGGTTGAATTTTTCAGTGATTTCCCAAATACTGTAAATACTCTGTTATCCGACATATTTGGAGATTATGATGTTTTAATTAGGCATGAATTCTTGTTAAGGAAAGAACATATCCATGATGTGATGAATTACAACCTTTCAAAAGATTACAAGAGCAAAACAAGAGATAAATCATGATTTAGCCTTGCTTCCATGATTCAGGAAGCACTACACTGCCATCAGACTGTTGTGGTAATAACAACTTTTACTTGTTTTCTAGATGCACAGATAACAGAGAGTTTAAAGTATTCAGATTTAAAGAGACATCATCAGTGTACAAAGAAACAAAGTTTCATTTTTGTATTTATATTTTAATTCTAACATTTCCTTTTCAATCTGCCATTAAACCCTCCGCAGACAGTAACTGGAGAATCCCAAAGGAAAAAATTGGAAATGCTGGGTTCCTTATCTGCAGGCTCCTTTCTGTGTCTGAGTCCACTTTGATTCCATTTAAGAGGGAGATCTGCTCTTACTCACTTTTTGCATAGGATCAGGAAATTTTCTAAAGGAACAACATTGTAATTTGTTTTACTTTTAAACTTGCATTTCTAAATATGAAACCATGTTTAATGAATATATATAATGTGTGTGTGTGTATCTTAACCATAGTGACACTTTAAGTGTTTGTGTGAAAGAAAAGGAAATAATTTTTCCATGTAAGTCAAAGTTTAGTCTCCCAAAATGACTATGTCCTTTAAATCCTCTTTGCTTATTTACTTAACTACATACTGTCTAGTTCAATAGCACTGACTTTGCAGACACTTAGTTACTACTCATTTGTGATAAACGCTGTTAACCCAACAAATATAATAAATTCTCTTACTGACATGGCAAGAATATATAATTCAAGTATTAGCAAAAGATAATCTGAGGATAAAAGTAAAATGAAGTATTTTATGGTTAATTTCTAAATGCCCAATTTATTTTGCTCTATGAGTAAAGGAAGTGATTGCACAGAACAATTAAAAGTGAATGAGAATAGTTGAAAACTCAATGGCTGTTTTTTAAAAATGATATGTGCCTTTTAAGTGTGTTTGTGTACATACATATATGTATATATACGTACCTATATATGTATGTACACACACACACACACACACTTTCCAACTAAAGTAACAGAGATGAAAAGGATAAAGTATATACTGCTTTTGAATGTATATAAAGTGGTATGTTATGCATATAAATTGTACATAAACTTTTTAGAAAAGAAGCATTTTCCTGCTCCTTTTTCAAAACCAACCCAAGCTTACAGTCCATCTATAAGACCAACACACTTACGAACTTCAGTTGGAAATACCTAAATATAATTCAGCACTTCTTAGCTCGAATGAGTTTTATCACTTCTTAAGGATCTCATCTTTTAAACAGCTGAATAAAATAGTTCTGTGTCACTTCAAAGTTTCTTTCTCTGAACAGATTGAATTGAGCAAAGAGAACCTCTTCTGTCCTTACCAGGATTGTGTAAGGTTACACATTTGCTTTTAAATATACCAAATGCCGTTGATTGGAAACAAGTTCTGACACAATGTTTAGACAAGAATCCAGAGATTTTTTCTAATGAACCATTTTCTAGACTAAATATATGCTCCCTTGCATTTTCCACATATCTTTGCCATTAGCCATTGCTGTTTCTATATAAAGCTTGGATGAGATGCCTGCATTTTTATGTGCTAAGGAGAATTCCTTAAAGCCTTTTTAAAAATAGCTCATACTGTCATTCAGATTATAGCTCAGAGGATGGTTGAAGCGCATGGTGAAAACACAGGAGGACTGGGGTGGTCATTCCTATAATTTCAGTGACAGATGCAGATCAACGTTCCTTTGTCTCGGCAATCCAATGTCATTTTTGAAAACAATCAAAAAGATCGCTTGTGTCAGCTTCTGACTCATAACACTCCTCCCACCTGATGCTCCAGTGTTTCAAAATGGCCAAGGATGGGCGATTCCGCTCTATCCCCCATTTCTGAGACTCTTGTCTGGACCTGTAACAGGCCGTGAAATGCCCTGAGCATTCGAGTGGCATCCCTTCTCCTCACATAGGCACCTGGGTGGCAGCATCAGACCACTGAAGTTGTTGTGTTGACATATGTCTTATCTAGTTGCTGTCCTAAAAATGGGCATGTGGCAAGACTCTCAATCTACAGCCTCGACAGTATCATTACTCATTCTAAAGTAAAACTGCAGAATATGGGTGGAATTGTATAAAAACATAATGAGCCATTTAATTTTGCTAATTGAAGCAATTAGTCTAACATGCAAGCAGCCTGCTCTCACAGCAGAGAGCCACATGGAAGAAGTGCCAAATAGCCATTTGCATTTATATATATATATTGCAGGCAGTGACCTGGCCCCCAAATGTAAAGCTTTTGTCAACCTTGAGGCCTATATTCTGCTAAACAAGAGATGACTTAATGTCCTTGAAATATTTTCGTAATATACTGACAGCCTAATGTCAGAAACGAGCTGCCTAAATCAAGTTTTGCTTTTGGTTATTTCACTTCCCCATAGACTTTCTTATGGTTCCATCTCCCACATTGAGAGTAGCTCACCACGATGGATGGTTTACTGCGCACCTAGTGCTGGACTAAGAGCTGTATCTATGTGGTTTCATTTAGTCCTCACTGCCATCTGTGAGTTAAGCATCATTTACAGATGACAAAATCTGTAAATGGCTTAGAGATGTCAAGCAATTTGCCCAAAGGTCCCACAGCTAGGAAACAGTGGGGCTGAGGGTTGAGCACAGCTTTCAACAACTGCGACTTCTGGGAGCCCAGTGACTCTTCCCACAAAATCTAGTCCTGATTTGGCAAGTCTTCAGAAGAAACAGAATCATGGTCTGATGATCAAATTTTTCCAAGAAAATTTTATTTAAAAGTCAAAGATGTCCTTCAAAATGAACAGTTAAAAATGTAAAAGTCGATGTAAAATGGAAGTCTCTATCACCTGTAACTAAATTTTACCTTAACTCTAACTCATAGTAGGCAGATAAATGCTATTCTTCCATTCCAGGCAACTGTCCCCCTCCTATGGCTCCACTATGTATTCAATTAAGTGATAAATATAAATTAACCTGATGCCATGTCTCTTGTATTTTATATGTGTATGCTGTTTTCATCCAATTAAGCAGACTGAAAAAAAACTAAACCCCATTACTTACTTTGGCATTTTGACAAGATAGAGAGAGAGGAAAAGAAAGAGGGAGGGAGAGAGGGAGGGAAGGAAGAAGGAAGGAAGGAAGGAAGGAAGGAAGGAAGGAAGGAAGGAAGGAAGGAAGGAAGGAAGGAAGGAGATTTAACAAGTCTTTGAAGTGATATTTTCAAATTATAAGGTAATTCTGTTTCACTGCCATAATTTTTCCCTAAATTTTATTTAATATCTTGCAGGTCACAAACTTTAATATTTAAGAGGATTATTAAACCACTAGCTTGAACAATCATATAAGTCTAGGAACCTTATTTTAGTGTTAGATGCCAATAATACTGCAAGTGTCAACCAAATATTTGTTGAATTGAATTATAAAATAATTGATGTGTTCTTTCCCTTCTCACTTTAGATATAGCATGTCTGAAGGTCTGCAAGATGACAGAGTTGTAACCCATTCAATGATATTGTTGCCTAGTAAGCTGTGTGTGTGTTGTTTGAACTGATACTAAAAAGGTAGCTGATAATAAACCAAAAATTTTCTCAACCCTGGTGTTTATTTTTAAAAAATCTTCAATGATCAATATGAATGTAGTGTATTAAAATACAAGTAACTATCTTCCTACTTTGATTTAAGAGATCTTTATGAATTTATATAAAATTAGAAGTCACTGATTTTTATAGGAAATAGCATGTAAAATAAATCTAAGTATTGCTTTATCACTTTATTTTATAGATGAGACAACTGAGATCCAAAAAGAACAGGTAATTTTTGTGATCAGGATTACACAATACACTTTTTTTTTTCCCTGAGTCATTTATTCAACAAGTTTGACCTCTACAACTCATTTGGCTAGGCAATGCACAGTCAAGCACAAAAGGAAAGTTGCACTGGAATAGCTCATAGTCTGGCTATTAGCAGCACAATCATAGTTTTCTGACGCCAGCTCTTACTCTTTTCTACTCTACCACACTGTTTCTTCTCTTCTCAATATCTATATTTAATTCCATATTGAAGCAAGAAAGAAACACAGCTTTTCTAAGACTATGCAGTCATGTGTCACTTAAGGATGGGGATATGTTCTGAGATATGCATCGTCAGGCAATTTTGTCATTGTGTGATGGAGTGTGCTTACACAAGCTTAGATGGTAGAGCCTACCATGCTCCTAGGCTATATGGTAGAGCCTATTGTCCCTAGGCTACAAACCTGTACAGCATGCTACTGTACCGAATACTGTAGGCAACTGTAACACCATGGTAAGTACTTGTGTATTTAAATATAGAAAAGTTAACAGTAAAAAATATAGTATTATTGTCTTATGGGATCGCTGTCATATGTGCAGTCTATTATTGACCAAAATGCCATTGTGTGGCATGTGAGCCTTACAATATACAATTAACATATGAAATAATGATGATGAACATAAAGTAACAATACAAATACAAAAAAAAAACTAGATGACTGCTTATAAAGAGAAAAGTAATTTTATAATTTGTTTATATGACTCTCCAACACTAGATATTTTTAAATTGATATCACAACACACAAAAAAATTGAAATACTCTCTTGGTGCATAGTATTTGATTGAAAACAATCATTTTTGGATAAACTTTGAAGCGATTCTTGAGAACTTATTTCAAGAAAAGGCATGAAATTAGGGAGACTCCAAAGTGAAGAGTTTTCCAATAGGTGACTTCTCTGATTTTTCAAGAAAGCATTCTTCACTAACTGTATTTCTCCAGCATACTGGTTATTTAGGAATAACAAATTTCTGGACATAAACATGAGCTGTTTCTCTAAAGCCTTTCCTCCAATGCCCAGAAGAGCAGCACTGTGCTGCGTGACAATTTCAGGAGTCAGGAGTCAGGAGTCAGGACAGTCAGCCCCAGCTTCCTGGGGAAACCCACACTGGCTTTGGACCCGATTGCATTCTCTCCTGAGTGATTGGCTTCCCACATATATAAGCAGCAGATTGTTAAAGATCACTATTAACTTGTATAACTAATTTTCCTTATGTGAAATAATTCTGGTCAGGGAATATATAAACCCATTGGCCCTCTAAGGAGTAGAAGAAAAGAGAGAAGAAAGTATATTAACTTTTATGAGTACAGAATAATTCAAGTTCCTTAGCGAGTCACATTATGCATTAATAAAAGAGTTGACCTAATAAATGTTACAAGGTACCATGATCTCTAGGTTCATGCCACCATTACCACATTCCTTACTACAATTATTGCTATTTTAGTCATTGGACCAGACAAAATGAAGCATATAATTACTGATATAATATTTGCTAAGCAAAAATCTTGTTTAACGAAAAAAATCAATACCAAAACTAATTAATCAAAATATTAAGCAAATATTACCAGCACAGTACTGACACAAAATTTTCTCTTGTGCTAGTAATTGAAGTATGTCATCTACCCTGTTATTAGAATTTCAGAAAATAGGCCGGGCGCAGTGGCTCACGCCTGTAATCCCAACACTTTGGGAGGCTGAGGCGGGCGGATCACAAGGTCAGGAGATCGAGACCATCCTGGCTAACACAGTGAAACCCCCATCTCTACTAAAACTACAAAAAAATTAGCCAGGCATGGTGGCGGGCGCCTGTGGTCCCAGCTACTCGGGAGGCTGAGGCAGGAGAATGGCATGAACCCAGGAGGCAGAGCTTGCAGTGAGCCAAGATCGTGCCACTGCACTCCAGCCTGGGTGACAGAGCAAGACTCCGTCTCAAAAAAAAAAAAAAAAAAAAAAAAGAATTTCAGAAAATATAAAGTTTTATGTTTTTATTATATTTCCATCTACCAAATTGTTGACCTTCTCCTCCTCTCCATTGCTTAATTTATATTAAAACAGATTTAATCAAATTATTACTTAAGTACTACAAATGTTATCAGATGGAGATGTGGTTAAGCTAATTTAATTTACCTATTCTAGTGGCATTCTGGTATGGAGCTGTATCAAATCAACACTTTTAATTATTTCACATTAATTCATCAAGAAGTTCCAAAACACTACTAAATGTGTTGAAAATATAGTTTGAGTTTCTATGATTGTAATCAAAATTCCTATTTTGATCGCACACCAGTAGAACGCATCTTAACACCAGCATTGCCATTGTGAGTCTAGAAAATGAGCACTTTGTGTGTTGAGCGCTGTTGCATTCACTTAGCAATTAACCTTTGACCTGTGGTTTTCTGCTGAGCCCCTTGTGATTTTTTTTATTCTATTCAAATTGGGAGCAATAACACACCTTAACATAACCAAAAAAAGGAGACCTGTCAGCTAGTGAAAGAATTGTCATTTTATATCATTCTTTCAAAAAATTAAAATATTCAACTTCCCTTATTAACCTTTCTAATGCATTGTACATAAAAGAGGAAATGGATTTCTGAAATATATTTTGAAAGCCTGGGGTGAAACATTTTCCACGGTCTGAATCGGAAGCTTGGGGCTCTGTGGAAAGATGTAAATCCCTCCTGCTGTAAGAGGAGGGAAGGCAGCAGTGAGCTGTCACTCAGAAATACAGTCACCACTGTCACAAAGCTGCCTATTGCTGATGCTATCGATTCCCTTCTTTTTCTACAGAAACATCTTGGAGCTTGTCAAGCTTTACTGGAGGTGATTTGCAGTTAATTAATTCAACAGACACTTTAATCTTGCAAATTCTTGACTTGTAATATTGTAACCAAGCTCCTGCAAGGGAACATTAATCAGTTAGTGAAAAAGGAGCACTTCCGTTCAGCCGTAGTACCATGACGTGCACAGGCCTGAAGAGAAATACCTCTGTGAAGTGGAGCGCTAGTGAATTCCTGCTACCTGCTTCTTATGGCTCACGCTATGAATATTCACCTGCTTCATTTGTTTTTTCCAGTAAACGCTGTTTTGAAAAAAAAGAAAAATATTCCCGGGGGCTTGCATAGCTCAGAGAACGGAGTACTGGGTCGTGGAGACTTGCTTTAAATGGATTCAAATCCACATGTTTGGAAATGAAAATAATGCACTGTCATCTGTTGAATAATTGATCTGTCTGAGTACAGTTGCTGCTTTTATTTCATTTCTTGAGACTACCATTGTCAGCATTGTAATAACCAATTTATAAAAATTGAGTTTTTATTCAGTTTCAGAGGTAAAATCTGCATGGGTGCAGCTACTGAATAATTTGATTCCTGCCTTCTTAGGTGGTGACATTAGCAGTTCCAAACCGAGATCCATTTCTATGTGGAATTGGCTATCCTGTTGCTTCTCAGGCCCTGCAAAACCTTGGTTACGAGCTCAAAGATCACGAATCTGATATTCTTTTTTTTTTTTTTTTTTTTTTTTTTTTGAGACAGAGTCTCGCTCTGTCGCAGGGGCTGGAGTGCAGTGGCACAATCTCGGCTCACTGCAAGCTCTGCCTCCCAGGTTCACACCATCCTTCTGCCTCAGCCTTCTGAGTAGGTGGGACTACAGGCGCCTGTCACCACGCCCGGCTAATTTTTTTGTATTTTTTAGTAGAGATGGGGTTTCACCGTGTTAGCCAGAATGGTCTCGATCTCCTGACCTCGTGATCTGCCCTCCTTGGCCTCCCAAAGTGCTGGGATTACAGGCGTGAGCCACCACACCCGGCCCCGATATTCTTAATGACTAAATTTTCACATAGAGGTAAACAGATCATCTCTTAATTTAATACATGGTTCTTTCTCCCTTGCTTCTGGGTTTTGTTTTTTTTTTTTCAAAGAAAGATTTGAGCTACGAGATAAGAATGAAGTTACCAGAAGTTATCAGGTCATAGTTTCAGAGTATGCAAGAGAGTCGGGCCTTCATATGTTCTTGTAAAGTTTTCTGTCTAATCTTTTGGTATAACAATTTTAGGAGTTCACCCTAGATGAAAGAGTGGAAGTCATCAGATTTGTCAATAAGCAGTCTAGAGGAAAAATGAGAAGAGGAAGAAGCAGGGATTCTTTTTCTTGTGTTTTGAAGATGTTTCTCCTCCCAAAGCTATCACCTTGGTAGTTATCACCAAGATGTATAATAGCAAGCACTACTGAATGATCTTCCCAGTTATCAGCACTAGCATCACGGCGAGTCAGTTTTCAGAACTAGCTCTTGGCGCAAGCCCTGAAATAAAATGGGGACAAAAAGTGGTCTACCACCATGTGACTTATTTTCTTTTTTTTTTTAATTTTATTATTATTATACTTTAAGTTTTAGGGTACATGTGCACAACGTGCAGGTTTGTTACATATGTATACATGTGCCATGTTGGTGTGCTGTACCTATTAACTCGTCATTTAGCATCAGGTATATCTCCTAATGCTATCCCTCCCCCCTCCCCCCACCCCACAACACTCCCCGGTGTGTGATGTTCCCCTTCCTGTGCACGTGACTTATTTTCAATTGCCCAGCAATGAAAACTAACAAGTTAAAGAAAATGTTCATTTTCTGAACCCCAGAGCCCACATAGGTACAAAGATACTCTGTAATGTACAATGAGGTGGCCAATCGTGGGAATATAGGAGCAATAAATAGTCCTCTTAAGCAAGGTTCATGGGTAAGAGTTACTCTAGCAGGATTGGGTGTTGGGTCAGAGGGTATCTATTAATGTAGAGGCCCAAGTATGGTGATGAAGAGAAAACCTGTCAGTGGCTCATCCATAGTATTTGCCTTTTCACAGAGCAGAGAAGTTCAAAATAGTCACAGCCAGTCCATAACTATAACAACAGACATGTCCACTTTGGAAAGGCTAGGGCCTGACGAAAGTGGGAAAACAGAGATGTCAGTGGTGTCATGTCTAAGAGTGACTCTGTCATTAGGGGAACCCACCCCCTGTGATAGTTCTCCTTGACCACTGGTCCCTATGGGCTCTGCAGGAGAGCTTCTCGTGGGTTCTAAGATAAGGTATTCCAAGGTATTGTAAGTTACCCTTGTTTGTAGAACATGAACCACTTAACCATCCCTCCTTTTAACAGCAATGAGATTCAGGGTTACCATGGCCTTACTCATCTTCCCATTGTAAATATATCACAATGTCACAAGAGCCTCTGTGTCCAAACACACTAAACTGGGTTTACAAGCATTAGAATCTTTCACTCATATTGTGAATCTCAATTCTGCCAGTCACCTAGTCTGTGTATCTGTTCCCAAACTGGAAAAAATAATTCTTGAGAGAATAATTTTCAGAATAATGGAGGTGGAAAGAAATGAACAGTTAAGCAATTTTTCAACATAGACAAAACCACTGGACCATTGATAGCCCTCAAGCTCTGATTCTTCCTCCTGACTAAGTTTCTTTTCTTTGGGGGGCTTTCAACATCTGAATTTTCCAGATGATTGCGGAACCATCGTCACTAAACCAAAGTAGACAAGGAGTTATTAAAAAATAAAGACTGTCCACATGACTGCAAATATCCTGATGAAAAGTGGCCAAGTAGATCACTCAAGTGGTAAATTTGGTCTTCATGATATCAAACATACGGATATTTGGAAAAGTCGAGATGTTTGAATCATACAGTTTTCCGTCTGGGTGTCTGGTGTTTCTGGATAGACAGACTGCTCCGGTGTTGTAAGTAATGGAATTGAACTTTCTTGCGCCGTAAGCAATTGCTGGTCATATTCTGCTGCTAAAAGTCTCTTTGTTGTGCCAAGAGAAATAATGCAGAACAAATGTTATTTAATTTTTATTTACTTTCAGCAAACACATGAATGAAAGAGGTCAGGTAGGCTGTCCTGGGCATTCTGGGCCTGGCTGCGGCACACCCTCCTTCACTTGGCCCCTGCCAGGCAAGAAACTTTCTATTCAGTCTTTGCTATCTTTCATAAATTGTATCATTGCTCTTCTGCTGTTCATATCATCTTAGTTATTCACAAAGTCTACTTGATAAAATGGCTCAAGGGAAATACAAGTTTCTTAAGTTTTTATTCTTCAAATAGAAGTTTTAATTTTAAGCATTCCTTATGATATTTTTTAAGCCTAAAAACCATTCAAATTGCTTGACAAAATTATTTCATGGTGAATTTTATAAGGTTGATAGAAGTAAAAGCTATTTTTCCCAAAACAAACAAAATACCATACATAGTTTTTTGGGTTTGGTTTGTTGATGTCATGCCAATTTCCAAGCACCAACTGGTTACCACAAACATGGGAATATTTAGTGATATCTTTGTAGTCATCGTTAAAATTCCTGGGAAAAAAAGAAAAAGTTTACGTCAAAGGAAAATTCACCTCCCACAAGGAAAGTCTGAGATGTTCATCCTGACATTTGCGTTCCTGATTATTTGTGGACATTTCTTCATTGTGACTGTAGGAAGCTGAGCTTGTTTCTCCTAATTTGACACTGGGTTGGTGAGCATTGTCTCAAATTTTGTGCTTGCCTCATTTATGGTCCTGAAGCTTAGCAGAAAAACAGACAAGCTATTCAGACCAGTTTTCTTTAAGAGCACTTATGTTGCAGAACATGATACAAATGATTCACCGTGAGCAGGCACACAGAGTACGGAAAGGTATTCAACTATGCAAAGATATTGAGGGGATTTCCAGAGAAAACTTAAATGTTTTGAAGATTTGTAGGTAGGGTTTTGATTGTGTCACATTCTACACTCAGTGCCAAGTTAGAATGTCTTTATGGGGAAGGCAATAAAGTTACTTGTTGGGTCCTTCCTTCCCTTACAAACAGAATGTTTTTATGAAATCAAATGGATCCTCCACTTTGTGTAGTAAGGACCCCCCAGGCCCCACAACATCATCACTGTGAGTCCTATCGCAGATGTGTGTACCAGCCCAATTCAGTTTTGCTTTTCTTTTTCCCTAAGATTTTTACTTCACCAAATCCCATTTCAAATCTTTTTACCTTCATGTTACCAACAGGATGTTTAGTTGAATCAGCAACAAAGACGTGACAACCTATTGTCCTCCACAAAAGCATGAGTCATTTTATTCAGTGATCTTTGGTAGTACGATAATCAATGGAATTTATGGTGTCGTAGAAAACCAAAAATCCATGTTGAATATAGTGACTGTCTTAAATATACTTAAATATGTTATTCTACAAAACAATATCCTTTTACACTATGGGATGGATTCCTTTCTGGATGCAGGGATGGGAGGGTCTATGGGTCAGTGACTGGGACAAAGGAACTGGGAATCTCTGCACAACTGAGCCCTAATCCCTGGTCCATCTCTCCAGCCTCAGAAACTCACCCTCAGCCTCATTTTCCCCATATGCAAAAGAGAGATATTTATTTACCTACCTCATAGGGGTGTTGTGGAGATTAGCTAGATTTGCTAAAGTGCTTGTAGGTTAGAAAGTGCTGTCATTCCTGAGAACTGGCATTAACAGAAGAGAGCTGTGTGCAGCACGGAGGAAGTGGAGTCTGAGGAATACAACAGCAACAACTCACCAAGCAGAGAATACAATGGTTCTTCATCACTATATAAAACTAACACTTTTCCTTCAAAGGTCTATGTATAATTTTCTTCAATGATTAGCTTTTTAATGAGACAACTCCTTTCATCCAGACATTCAGATGCTTTATATAAGTTGGCAATTTTCCTGTTAACCAAACTGAATTTTATTAAATGTTTATTAAAATGCACCCAGAAAACTTGTCTCCTCCTGATGCCTGAGGGGTTTGCATGCCTGATCCCAAGCTGCATTTTTTCAGAATGCGTGCATGATGCCCCAGTTCTGTACTCATGATCACCAGGTGGCGTTCTGAAATCCACTACTGGGGAAAGATTTTTAACAGATATTAGTGAGATTAGAGTTGGTGTCATTTCCATTGAGTATCCTCTTCACCCCTAAGATGACACATCTTTACAACACAATAAAAGAACGTAAAGCCTTATTTCCACCTGTAACTCCTGAATTGATTCATTTTCACGTTATAACTACATTTCAAATATTTCGGAGAAGTTTTTACACAGGGCTTCAGCTATATACTGATATACATATGCTTACATGTGCTTAGGTGGGAATTCTACTAAAGGATAAAGGACACAGTGTGAAAACAACATCAGAGAATATCCTGTACAACTTCCCCAAAAGTGACAAGTTTTCTTGTACTTAAAAATTTAATCCTGATAAGAACTAATGTGAAATAACATCATTTTGGTTTATAAATATTTGTAATTTTTGAGACATAGAGGCAATATCATGATATAGGAATACATTCATAAAACTAGACTAGCAAAGCAGATAATGTTTTCATGATATGGCTTCATGAGGCAAAGTTGTTGTACATCAATATTATCATTGTGCCCTTATTTAAGGATTATATTCCATTGTGAAAAAAATGTGCACACTCTTAAAAACACAAAATGGGTTTCAGAAAGTTTACCTTGAGAAGTGGGTTTGAAATCATCTTGTGCTTGGAGCTGACATAAGATACGCACTCAATATAATCTCTTCTGGATTCTAAAATCTAATTGGCAGTGATATTTCAAAGCCTTAACATTTCAAGGTGGTTAATTAATATCTAATGCATGGTATTAAACTTTCTGAAGCATGAATTTAACCTAGGCAATTATCTGATTCATTTTTTTTAAAGTTTGTGCTGCCAAACCAGACTGAAGTATTGTTTTTCTGGACTAATACTATGAGAATAGTAAGTGAGTCAAAAAATAATTGGGACTGTCCTTTTTCCCCTGCCCACTTCCTAGTATCAATACTCCCCCAACCAGAAATGCAGCAGAATATCCTTTTTGCTATAAAGGAAAATACTGTGTTTTTATTTGTTTTTGCAGAAGAAAACTGGTGTTGCCTATTTGGACTAGATGTAGGGGCCTGGAAGAAGGAAGTGGCAGATTCACAGGTGGGGTGACCAGGATGGGAGGAAAATAGTGGGGCGAGTATGTCATGGGGAGATTTTGCCACAAAGATACAAAACAGAATTGAAGTGTGTTAGAGCTGGACAACCCTTTGAAATGACAGAGTCTAGATTCTTCACCAAACAGATGAAAAGACAAGTAGAGACAACATGTACTTGAGATATAAGCTATACATCTCATCACTGGAAGAAAGGAGACTTCAGCCTCTTTTCAAGGCTTTCCAGACCACATGGAACTCTCCAGAGCCCTCCTTGAAAGTTTTTAGAAAAACTACCATTTTCAGCAAAGATTCATGTGATTATGCTGCTGAGGACCAGTCATTCTGTAAACATCACATATGTGATGCTTTGTAAATGTATTAATTGTGGTCAATTTTCATGGATATTTCCCATTAACATTGTATTCCATGAACAAGTGATAGAAAACATATGGAAATTCTCTTTTGATCAAAAGGAGTGTCTCCCAATTAGTTTACGTGTGTTAGTATTGCTGACATATTATTATCATCACAAAATTCCTTTTATATCTAGATGGTATCAAATAAGAAAAAAATGCATCATTTGGTCAATTGCTTATTGAAGATCCCAGCTGAAGCCTTTCTTTGGTAAAGAGCGCAGAAAGAGACCATAGCTATTCTTGGATGAGAACCTTGCCTCTACTAAATAGTTTCTGCTTTTCCTCTCTGTAGCCAGACAGCTCAATAGCCTAGGGAGAGTCGATGAAGGATATGCAAATTACATTTTTCCCATTCTCAGAACAAAGACAGCAACCAATGAGCCAGAGGTTTCTTCTCTCTTTGAAACCAAATAGCACGCTGAATTTAGGGCTATGACAAAAATGTTGTTAAAGCAAGAGCAAAATCATCCTTCCTATGGATTCTTTTCTCAGTGTTTACTTAATTCTTTTTGCAGTTTGGATTGGAGTTTCTAGTAATGATAATTAATGCCATTTTACATGATAGCTTCAATGCAGAAATGGTGTGAGCCTGAGTTACAAATGACATGACTAGGGATACAAACTTCGTCTGTACTAACATCCTACCAAGCAGATTGGAAACAAATACTACTACCACTAATATTCTGATGTAATTAATAACATCTAATAGAAAAATAGAAACATCGTGCTTAGCATGAAACCATTGCACAATATAAACCTGCTCCCAAATGGCAAGGATTTTTGCTACCAATATTTGTTCTTAATTCTCCAGTTATTTTAAGTAAATAAGTTTCACATCTAACTACCTCAGCTACTGTTGTTTTATTTAGAAACATGAAACCATGCACTTTGTAATCAATAAGTCTTTTGTTTAACATTTCAAAAGGATATTTGGTGCAAAGCAATTTTCAAAAATTTGTACATGATATACACCACCCAACCTCAGGAGGTTGTACTTAATTTTGTTTGTTTGTTTCTAAGGTTGGTTTTGGGTAAAATCCTCATTTCCACTCAACATCAAGATAAGCTGCTCTATATTTGCTTAATTTGCCTTAAACATTTTGTGCTCCTTTCCCTGTTCAATTTTTTTGTTTTGTTTTAAATCTATCTCTGAAAAAAAAATGGAACAGGTGGCAGGTGAACAGCAAATGGAAGAGAATGGACCAGTAATTTCTCAGTCCCCTGTTGTCAACTATCTGCATGACATTCTGATTGTGCAAAAATGCCATTCCTGTGCTTCCCCCTCCATTACAGAATAAGGTCCGAGAGACCCCACGAGTGTGCGTAGGGAACGGTGTAGACATTTCCCCCAGTATGAGCACAGTGCCTGGACCTGAATGATCATCTTGGCAGTTCTTGTGCTTTTACTTTGTAAACATTGTACAAATGTATTTGGAATTTTATTTGAAATGGAGACTTAAACTAGTTATTAAATTTGTTTCCTTCCTGTAAATATATATATTCAAATTCCATGTATCCAAACATCCCTTTAGCGTTCAGATTGTAAGTGTGTCTTTATTCGCGGGAGGCCACTGTCAGCAGGCAGTGACCCCCAGTGCCCTAGTTTGAAGCACAGTGTGTGGAGTATTTGATGTACTACAGTACCATAGTTATTTTGGTCTGTTAAGTAAGTTGCAATTTGTGATGAAATGAAGTGGAAAGTAGTACTTCATAATGAACAAATTTCCTTGGTTACATGGTTTTTCTTGTAAAACTTAAAGAAAAAAAAAGAAAACTTGAAATTTTATATATTTGGATTTTGTAGTTTTTTTTTTTTATTTAATGCAACACAAGGTACCAAAATCATTAAATAAAGTACACTGTGGTCATTTTAACAGAAGTCTGTGTTCCTGATTCTGTCTAAGTCTAGGAAGAGGGCAGGACACCATAGGTGTTGGATGGGAAGGGAAAGGAGGCGGCCATGTACACAGGCATGTTCCCAAGGCAACACGATGTAAGTCTGAAATAAGCAAAGCTGAGTTCTGTCAAATTTAAAATACATTAAAAATTAAGTTATATCTCTTTTTAGTAGATGTTTTATTTATTTATTTTATTTCTGAGAAGTCCTAAAGGGTATTCCTCTAGAGCTACTATAAAAGCAAAGAGATTTTCAGATCACAAAGGAGCTTAAAAATCCAAATAAATTGTTCAATTATTAATGAACAGAAAAAGTGTCAATGGACAAAAGTACTTTTTTTTTTTTTTTTTTGAGACAGGGTCTTGTTCTGTCACGCAGTCTGGAGTACAGTGGCACCACCATAACTTGCTACAGCCACAAACTCCTGGGCTCAAGTGATCCTCCCACCTCAGCCTCTTGAGCAGCTGGGACTACAGGTACACACCACCACATCTGGCTAACTTTTTATTTTTGTAGGCACAGGGACTTGTTATGTTGCCAGGGCTGATCTCAAACTCCTGGCCTCAAGAGATTCTCCCACTCTGGCCTTCAAATGTGCTGGGATTACAGGCGTGAGCCACTGCACCTGGCTCAAAAGTACTTTTTAAAAAGATTATGTGTCTAAATGTTTGCCTTTTCTAAAAATCAGTGCTATATGTTATGTAATTGTTTTTCTTAAAATATTATATTTTCATTTTAAAGAGTTTTTCTATTTTCTATGCAGTTGGTAAGCATTCTACTGGTTTATAAAAGCCTTCTTTCATAAAATGTTAAATAATAACTGTACCATAAGAACTGACTATATATGTAGAGACTTCTATGGATAACAACTATTAATAGAAACAGATAAGGAAATGATCAGAAGAAACAAAGAAATGAAAAAAAGTCAATCATTCACTCATTATTTTTTACAGTCAATTATTAAGGTCTCCTTTTTTCCTGATTATAATAGTAACACGTTAAATGCACAAACACTAGAAACTCACCATTGCAATGCACTTCTAGTCTTTTTTGAAAGCATTTGTATTTTTATTCTATTAATTTAATTAACTTTTTTAAAAATCACAGCTATGTGCCATGCATGGTATTAGTATTGTAAATATGAATAAAACACATTTTCTTCTTAAAGTATACAGTCTAGTGCGGAAGCAGTTCAGATACACTAATTATGGTGTTATTTGGTGATGCAAAAGTAGAGACATTCATAGATTATGATGAGCGCATCTGACATAGTCTGCAAGGGGTCAGGGTGGAAGAGGGAGCCACACCAAGAAAGGAGCCTGGCCCCAAACCAGAGGATGGAGCAGAGTCCCCACCCCACCCTCACTGAACCAAAATGGACATGAACAAAATATAAACTTCTACTGGGTTGAGCCACTGATGTTTGGGGTTGTTTGTTATAGCAGTTAGGCTTTTATAACTTTTACAGAGCACTCCATGGACCAGAGAAATATAAAGAACTCAAATTGGAATATGATTAGCTCAATTCTCTCTACCTGAGGTCCAAAAACAAAAAGAAAAAAGAAATGGCTATGCATTTTTCATGTTCTCTACAGTGAGTAGATATTGTGATTGTAATCTGAAAACAAATAAAATTTATGTTTAAGGGTAATTTTAAAAAAAAAAAGCATACCAAAATCCTGAATTTGAAAACTTAATTTAGTAAGGAATGCAATTTGCCCCTAATAAATCTAGAAACATGATAAAGTTCCAAGCAAATCCACAAAGGTCTTTTATAAAGCTTTGCAGAATGGTTTTAAACTTTATATGGGACCAGGCACAGTGGACCATGCCAGTAATTCCAGCATTTTGAAAGGCCAAAGAGAGAGAATCTCTTGAGGCCAGGAGTTTAAGACCAGCCTGGGCATCATAATGATACCCTGACACTACAAAATAAAAAATTTTTTTAAAACTTAGCCAGGCATGGTGGCATGCCCTCTAGTCCCAGCTACTCAGAAGGCTGAGGTGAGAGATCACTGAGGCTCAGGAGATCAAGGCTACAGTGATCTGTTATGGTGCCACTGCATTCCAGCCTAGGTGACAAAGAGAGAGACCACTTGCCCTCCCAACTGTTTTAAGTAATAGTAACCACAAGAGTGTGCTACCAGCACAGGAATGTATAAATCAATAACCCCCCCCCCAAAAAAAAGCCCAGAAATAGAGTCTACACATATTAAACAAGTGAATTTAGTATATGATAATTTAAAATCAGTGAAAAAATAATGGCCTCTTCATTAGAAGGTCTTGGGATAACAGACTCACCACTAAGAACATCTTCTTACCCAAAAATAAGATCCTATGAGCTGAGTGCAGTGGATCATGCCTGTAGTCTCAGCTACTCAGGAGAAGGCTCAGGCAGGAGTACCCCCTAAGCACAGGAGTTCAAGGACAGCCTGGGCAACATAGTGAGACCCAGTCTCTAAAAACAAACAAAAACAAGTGCTGTGGGAAATCTGGGACCCCGAATGGAGGGATCAGCTGAAGCCACGGCAGAAGAACATAAATTGTGAAGATTTCATGGACACCTGTTAGTTACTCAAATTAATACTTTTATAGTTTCTTATGCCTGTCTTTACTGCAATCTCTGAACATAAATTGTGAAGATTTCATGGATATTTATCACTTCCCCAATCAATACCCTCATAATTTCCTATGCTTGTCTTTATTTTAATCTCTTAATCCCGTCATCTTCGTAAGCTGAGGATGTATGTCGCTTCAGGACCCTGGGATGATTGCGTCATCTGCACAAATTGTAAAGCATGTGTGTTTGAACAATATGAAATCCGGGCACCTTGAAAAGAACAGGATAACAGAGATTTTCAGGGAACAAGAGAGATAACCATAAAGTCTGACTGCCTGCGGGGCCAGGCAGAACAGAGTCATATCTCTCTTCTTTCAGAAAGCGAATAGGAGAAATATCACTGAATTCTTTTCTCAGCAAGGAATAACCCTGGGAAACTAATGCATTCCCAGGGGGAGGTCTCTAAAATGGCTGCTCTGGGAGTGTCTGTCTTATGCAGTTGTAGATAAGGGATGAAATATGCCCTGGTCTCCTGCAGCACCCCCAGGCTCGTTAGGATTGGGAAACTCCAGACTGGCGAAATTCTAGTCAGACCGGTTTTCTGCTCTCAAACCCCGTTTCCTGTTAAGATGTTTATCAATGACAATGTGTGCCCAGTGGGACATGGACCTTCATCAGTAATTCTAGTTTCGCCCTGGCCTTGTGATCTCACTCTGCCTCTCTGCCCTTATGATATTTCATTGCCTTTGAAGCACGTGATCTCTGTGATCCACTCCCTATTTGTACACCCTCCCCTTTTGAAATCTATAATAACAATGTGCTGGTTTTGCGGCTCAGGGGGGATCATGGAACCTGCCGACATGTGATGTCACCCCCGGAGACCCAGCTGTAAAATTTCTTTCTTTTGTACTCTTTCTCTTTATTTCTCAGACTGGCCAACACTTAGGGAAAATAGAAAAGAACCTATGTTGAAATATTGGGGGCTGGTTCCCCCAATAAACAAGATCGTATTGACAAAAGATATAATTGTAAAAAAGTACAGCTACAAAAACAGTATATTAATATCATCTCAAGGTGAGAAATATTTTCTAAATTTTATTTAAAATTTAAAACAGAGAGAAAAATTATAATCAAAAAGAAACACGAAGCTCCAAAAAGCAACTGATAAAAATAGTGAACCTCACTAGACTGAAAAAAATCTCCTAAAATGTATATACAAAGCTGTTTATAACAGAGAAAGCTGGAAATACCTGAAAAACAAACAATATGCAATTAAACTAGAGTACATCTTCACAATGAAACACCCTATAACAATTAAAAATAACAAATACTAAGGTAACTTTATTGCATTAAATAAAAATATTAATTATTAATAATTCATTTTGAAAGTAAAGAACAAAGAAATAAGTGTCTTGGTAAACCATAAATAAAAAAAAAGTAATATAATTAAGATCCCAAGCAAATAGGCAAAGAATATTTGAAGCGAAGAGAATTAGCTGTAGCTGAATGCATAGCTATCTGAGAATATTCTTGTCTGATACACCAGTTAATCAGTGAGTAAGAAATTGGCAGCTATGGTAGGTGTGAATTGAATTTATCTGACAGATTTTTGAAAAAAGGGTAACCACCTATGGGAATAACTGGAAATTCCTCTGACAGATTTGTACCTAGAAATCACATTTATAAGGCATGATTTGGTCTGGAGAGACTTGAGGAAATGGCTGAGTTTTTCAGACAATCAAAGTGAGTACTCACAAAAAGAGGAGAAAATGGGAAATGATCACCTTGAATCAGTGTGCAGGAAACCGGGGTTGCTGAAGGAGTCTTGCAAAGAAAGCACTTGTGGTTATGCAGGAGTGTCAAAGGTATATCAGTGCCTACTGCATGGAGCAGGATCTCAGTTGAATTAATAGGGAATCCAAAGCCAACAGTCACCTAAACTGTTTAATTGAATCAGTGCTGTCTTTAAAATCCTTCTACGCATTTCCCTGCAATGCTCACATATGACCAAACCTGCCAAGTGCCTTGTCCCACCCTGTCCATTCACATAATAAATGCCCTTGCTGTATTTCCACCTCCAGAAAAAATAACAGCCATAAACTCAGGCCCTCCTCCTAAAAATCAAAATCCATCTGTATGTACAACCATTCTTGCCAAATTTAATATATTTAAGGTTAAATCCCTAGATATTTGGGACTTCCATCAACAATATTTCATGTGTCAGTCAGTGGGAATCCAAAATAATTTCCTGAGGAAAATTTTTACTCTGCATGTCAGGGTAAAGAGAGAGAAACATTACATTCAGACACAATCTTTTGAATCCATAAAAAGATAACAGCCTTAACTCAAGTGCAATGAGCAGCTGAAGCATACAGATCTCACCAAAACATGCTGATGGATATTCCTACCTGTGTTCCAAATTTTTGTCATAGAATATAACCTTATATTCTCTATCACACAATTACTATCTAAAGTTGTCGTAAGTAATTCACATTAAGGAGTCTCTAAGTGGCATGTGGTCCATATGTGTCCCTGTAGCAGAAATCACAAATGTCATATCTGCAGGGGCCAGGTAGGTAATGTAATTGAGGAAAGACTGGGGCAACCTGGAGACCACAGCCAGGTTGGCCCTGTGGCACTAGGTCTTCTCACAGTTCAAGAGAAGCCAAAAATAAAAATGGATTTTTAACTATGAAAACTAATGTTTCATGTTTTCCAGTAATTCAAATAATTACTTTTTTTAAAAAAAATTACATATTACAAACAATGTCTACTGACCAGATGTGGACCTATGGGCAACTGCTTATGATCTTTCTAGGTCTAGATTTTATTTTTTATTTTTGTAAAAACCAGATAGCTTGTCAACCTGGATCCCATCATCTTCCCCCAAAACAATTGCTTTGGGTGTTATGCCACTGGCTTATATTAAAGGACTTTTTACAAATCCGAGCTCACATGTGTTAAATTTGTTCTGTGGATCTTGTTAAGAGTCTTGTTCTCTGTAGTCACATGCTGCCCTCTTTATGAAAACCCATAGAAGAAGCGTCTTTCAGATGTCAGTACCAAAGATAGTCATAACCCTCCGTAGCATTTCTATCTCATAAATACAGTGAATCGAGTGTTTCCTTTTTGCATCAACCCATAAAAATCTCAGAGTAGCCTACCTCTAGAAAAATGTAAATGCATGTGTGTGTGTGTGCACGCGTGTGCACCCATGCATCCTACAGACTTGTTTTTTTAAGCCTTACATTTTTGTTCTCCACTGCCAACTCCACTCTGAAAATTCCTTGTTTTATGGTATGCCAGTATCTTTGAAATCTGCTTCAAATTGGTTTATTTTGACAACTATTATTTATCAATAAAAGATAAAATAGCTAAATCTTAAGAAACTGTTTATTTTGAAAATTAGAAGCATATGAATAAGCAAATTAAAAAACTAAATAAATTAATATTGTTCATCATCAGCCCTGAACCATCTCCCTAACGCCACACAGATAACTTTAGTTGTTTACCAGACTTCAGTACCCAAACATGCCATAGATGCTTGAAATTCAACATTAAGAAATTCAACATAAAGAAATAAAACCACTATCATTCCGTTTCTCTTTATTAATTACACATCATGGTAAATGGCACATCCAGCTGGCAAGCCCAGTGCTGTCTTCAACTATTCCCACCCTTTCCTCTCCAATAGCCCATCTGCCACCAAGTCCTGTGGATTATGGCATCGAAATGTCTTAAATCTTATCCCAACTTTTCTACTTCACACCTTTGTCATTTCTCACCTTAAACTACTAGATTGACTCATATTTCTCACTTGGACAGTACTAACTCAACTTTTATTTGAGTTCTCTGTCCCAACTATCTCCCTCAAGCTTCAGATGCCTGAACAGTTTTTGTTTGTTTTTGTTTATTTGTTTTGAGAAAGGGTATTGTTCTGTCACCCAGGCTAGAGAGCAGTGGTGCAATCACAGCCCATTGTAACTTCCTGGGCTCCAGCAATCCTCCCTCCTCCGCCTCCCAAAGTGCTGGGATTACAGGTGTGAGCCACTGCACCTGGCACCTGGGCAGTTTTTAAATATTTTGTAGAGATCTTTTAAAAACATGTAACTGAAATGCCTGGGCCTCACCTGTGATGGTTAATATTGAGTGTCAACTTGATTGGATTGAAGGATGCAAAGTATTGTTCCTGGGTGTGTCTGTGAGAGTGTTGCCAAAGGAGATTAACATTTGAGTCAGTGGACTGGGAGAGGCAGATCTACCCTCAATCTGGGTGGGCACCATCTAATCAGCTGCCAGTGCAGCTAGAACAAAGCAGGCAGGAGAAGATGGAAGAGCAGACTTGCTGAGTCTTCCGGCTTTCATCTTTCTCCCATGCTGGATGTTTCCTGCCCTTGAACATCAGACTCCAAGCTCTTCAACTTTTGTATTCTTGGACTTACACCAGTGGTTTGCCAGGGACTCTCGGGCCTTTGGCCACAGACTGAAGGCTGCATTGTTGGCTTCCCTACTTTTGGAGTTTTGGGACTCAGACTGATCCACCACTGGCTTCCTTTGCTACTCAGCTTGCAGGCGGCCTATTGTGGGACTTTACCTTGTGATCGTGTGAGTCAAGTCTCCTTAATAAACTCCCTTTCATACAAACATATATCCTATTAGTTCTGTCCCTCTAGAGAACCCTAATACATCACCAATCTATGATTATGGAGTGAGTAAATAAATAGGTGAATGAAGAACAAAGAGGTGAATTAGGCCACTTTCAATCATCTTACATGGTCAGACCCAAATCTTACCCGTCATGCAGCTGTCCAGAAACCCCACAGCTATACAGCACTGTGTGCAGACAGGCCATGGGGAAGCAAGTTACAGGCCAGAGCAGAATCCTGAGAGGTTCACAGCAATCCCTGGGGAGCAGAATCCAAACAGGGTCAGAGAGGTGCATCCTGACACCACACAGTGAAGAGAGGACAGGCTGCTCTCAGTGGGGTGGACAGGAGTCACACTGCAAAAGTAAGCTGGGGGCTTGGACACAGACACCTCCTGATAAGCTGGAGGATGAACACACATCAGAAGAAGCTCCTTGGGACTGGAGGGGTAGAGGGAATCTAGAGAAGGGTGGGATTGCCCACTAAGCTCAAGACTGAATGGGCAGAGAAAGTGGATGGGTTAAAAAATTAGCCACAGTTAGAGGCAAAGCTTGACTCCTTCCCAAGAAACTGACTCAAGACCACTTCCCTTGGTGGTTTTCCTCAGAGCCATCCATTTCAGTCTTAGAAGAACAGAGACTGTTAGGTGCAGAAATGACTCTTCCCTGCTTGAGGGGTTCTTCAGTTTCTTTGGGGAGACATACTTCTTCCTAACCCTCCCTAGGATCAAACCAAGAGGATTGGTTGAGCAGGTGTTTGGTCGACCAGGACCTATCTCTGTATTTTGAATTCCATTCAAGGCAACAAGCAGGACCAGGGCTTCTGGTGGTAAGCACTTGTTAAGCTGGGCCACTCTGATCCTGCACAGCAGTGTTGGAAGGAGAGGAGTGAAAACTTGTCAAAAATCCCCTTTGCCTCAACCACATCCTAATCCATAAAATTAAGAGAAACATCATCAATCACAGAATCCCATTCTAGAAGTCCATGTGCCCAGCAACATCATTCTATCCTCCTTATATACCATGCGGAAAATGGGCGACAGTGCATTGCAGTGAACAGTGCTCCAATAAAGAATGAGCCTCCCCATGTAGACCAAAGGAACAGAATAGAGAGCCCAGAAGTAAGGCCGCACATCCACGGCCATCTTATCTTTGACAAAGCTGACAAAAACAAGCAATGAGGAAAAGACTCACTATTCAATAAATGGTGCTGGGATAACTGGCTAGCCACATGCAGAAGATTGAAGCTGGACCCTTATACAAAGATCAACTTAAGATTAATTAAAGACTTAAATATAAAACCTAAAACTATAAAAACCCGGAAGACAAACTAGGCAATACCATCCTGGACATAAGAATGGGCTAAGATTTCATGACAAAGACACCAAAAGCAATTGCAACAAAAGCAAAAATTGACAAATGGAATCTAATTAAACTTAAGAGCTTCTGCACAGCAAAAGAAACTATCAACAGGGTAAACAGACAAACTACAGAACAGGAAAAAATATTTGCAAACTATGCATCTGACAAAGTTCTAATATCCAAAACCTATAAGGAACTTAAAGAAATTTACAAGAGAAAAATTTTAAAACACTATTAAAAAGTGGGCAAAGGATATGAACAGACCCTTTTCAAAAGAAGACATACATGTGGCCAACAAGCCTATGAAGAAAAGCTCAATATCACTGATTATTAGAGAAATGCAAATCAAGACAATGAGATACCATCTCACATCAGTCTGAATGACTATTACTAAAAAGTCAAAAATAACAGATGCTGGCGAGGTTGCAGAGAAAAGGGAACCCTTAAACACTGTTAGTGGGGGTGTAAATTAGTTCGACCATTGTGGAAAGCAGCACGGAAATTCCTCAAAGAGCTAAAAGCAGAACTACCAACCAACCCGCAATTTCATTACTGGGTATATACCCAGAAAAATATAAATCATTCTACCACAAAGACACATGCACGTGAATATTTATTGCAGCACTATTCACAATAGCAAAGACATGGAATCAACCTAAATGCCTATCAGTGACACAGATTGGATAAAGAAAATGTGGTACATATGTACTATGGAGTACTATGTAGCCATAAAAAATAGAGATATTATGTCTTTTGTGGAAACATGGATGGAGCTGGAAGCTATTATCTTTAGCAGACTACCACAGGAACAGAAAACTGAATACTGCATGTTCTCACTTAAAAGTGGGAGCTAAATGATAAGAACTTATGAACACAAAGAAGGAAACAACAGACACTAGGATCTTCCTTGAGGGTGGGAGGAGGGAGAGGATCAGAAAAGATAACTATTGGGTACTGGGCTTAACACCTGGGTGATGAAATAATATATACAACAAATCCCCATGACCCATGTTTACCTATATAACAAACCTTCACACATACCACCAAACCTAAAATAAAAGTTAAAAATTAAAAAAAATTAAAAATTAAGTACACAATTTTTTTAAAAAAAAAAGAATAGGCCTCCCTAATTAGCTCCATTTCTCTGCCTTCGACTGACTCCTTCAGTCACTCCAGTCTGGCCTCCATGCTCCTGTGATGCTTCTCATCAAGGTCCTCACAGACCTTTCTAAGACAAAGTCCAGGGGATACTTTACTTCTATTTTATTTGACCTGTCATTAGCATGTGACAGCCAGATATCCAGAGGTTATCCTCCACTCCTCCCTCTCTTTCACCTCCCCCCAACATCCAATCAATTACCAAATGGGTCTAGCTTCTTAGTATCTCTCAATTCTACCCATTTCTTCCCATCTCTGTCATCTCCTCCTGGATTGCTACAACCCTTCCAGGTATTGGGTACCATTGCCACCTTTCTTGCCCTATTCCAGTCCATCTCACATAGAAACCAGAACAGTCGTTCTAAAATGCAAATATAACCAAGTTGTTACCAAGTGCTTCATCAGTGGCCTTAAAATAAACTTCAGACTCCCACAGCTGAGAAGGCCCAGCATAGTCCCGACATGGGAAACTCTTTCAGGTTCATCTCTCATGATATTCTTTCTCAACTCTATGTGCTAACTACAAAAAAAATTATTTGAGTTTCTCAAACAGCTCTCTGCCTGGAACTCTTCCTGCTCTTTGCCTCTGATTTTTGACCACCCTTAAACCTCAGCTTCTCTGCCTTCTCCTCCCAGGGGCTCCTAGTGCTGCCCCACATCCTGTCCTTCAGAGCACTTATTCTCATAATTGCCTATTTTCATGTTTTCTCCCTAACAGGTATATTAGCACAATGACAGCTTGAGCTACATGTGTCTTATTGACCATTGCATGCCCACTGCCTCACAAAGGGCTAACATGTAGAATATAAAGAATTTCAATACCAGGTGGTTGATTTTTATTTTTAATCTTTTTCAGGGTATGCTAGTAAGATCATGACAACACAGACAGATTGGTCAGCATTTAGATTTGGGTTAACAAGAAATAGGGTCTATTCTTACATGGGCTGAATTTTTTTCCTACCTTGAAGTTTAAAAAACTTGGACCTCCAGAGTGTTCACAAATATGATCATCATGTATGAATGTCTCTCTTAGTCAGTTTGAGCTGCTGTAGCAAAATGCTATGGATTGGGTAGCTTAAACAACAGACATTTATTTCTCACAGTTCTGGGGGCTGGGAAGTCCAAGATTATGATGCTGGCAGATTTAGTGCCTTGTGGGAGCTCTCTTCCTGGTTTGTAGACAGCTGCCTTCTCGCTGTCTCTTCATATGGCTTTTCCTCTGCACATGTGCATGGAGAGAGGGAGTAAGCTCTCTGGTCTCTTCTTATAAGTGTACTAGTCCCATCACGAGGGCAGCACCCCCATAAACTCATCTAAACCTAATCACCTCCCTAAGGCCCCATCTCCAAATATCATTACATTGGGGGTCCAGGCTTCAACATATGAATTGATGTGGGGGGACTATAATTTAGTCCATAGCAATTTATAACAGCCTTCCAACCACAAATCTGAAATTTTGTCTCCTTTTAACTGAACCTAATTGGATAATATTTTTACAGAGGATTTCTTAAGATTAATACTTCTTGGGAGCACAGCACTAATCAACAGTTGCTAAAAAATTAAAGTCTTTGTTAATTTCTGAGATAATGAATTCAATTGTTAAACTTGTCTTTAACAAGAAAAGAAATTTAGGGCAATTAGGAAGTAAGAAAGTCTTTGCCAAAAACAGCAATTGATTAAAAAAGAAAAGAAAAGTAAAAGAATGCCCTGAAACTGTTGCAGCAGGTATAGATACTATATTTTAGAGTAGCGGATCCAAAATGTTTCAAACAAGATCTATATTGTTTTTTTCATATTCTTTTCTGTTTCTACAGCATATGCATTTCAGCATCTAATCAACTTAATGCAGCCACACTTGGCAAACAACAGCCCTTATACTCTATTTATAAAGTGACTCTCACAATAATTTTAAACAGACTCAAATACTCAGTGACCTTTTGGAAAATATACTCTAACTGACTTAGATAAGATGAATGCTGATGATTGCCATTTTTCATGAGAACCAACGTTGGAAGAAGTACCAGGGAGTTCAGAGAACCACAGCAGGGAGTTGGAAACCCAATGGCATCTGTGGCTTGCTGTGGCCTTCATGTGTGTTGCTGATCCTAATGATAAAGCATGCAGAGAGAAGTTTTAGAAATAAACCCTCACAATACTCCATCTCAACATATCTGTAAAACACCTGCAAGACTGACTTGCTCTGCTGCCTCTTTGTGACTACACCTGACTTTTGCCAGAATAAGTCACCTGCCAGCTTCCTCCCAGTCTTACCAAACTGCCTTGTCTTGAGCATGATCAAACCTGGCCTAGTGATGCCTAAACTCAACCAAGAATTCTCTGCTCCCCAGTAATTTTTATGCCTAAGTTCCTTTAGACACCACACCACTTGGTAAGGTGAGGGGTGGTCTAGACAAGATGAAGGTCAAGACAAGGTGGGGAACTGGGGAAAGGGCACAAAAAGCCATAAACAATCGAAGTCTAGTTCAACCTTCTCCTTTTCCTTTCTTCCCTTATTCTCAATCCCCTACTGCCAGCTCTGTTTCATTGATGTGTGTTATGGGTGGAATTATGTCCCTCCAAAATTAATATGTTGAAGTCCTCACCCCTAGTACCTCAGAATATGACTGTAGTTGGAGACAGAACCTTTAAAGAAGTGACTAAGTTGAACTGGAGTTGTTAGGGTGGGCCCTAAACCAATATGACTGGTGCCCTTATCAGAGGAAATTTGCACACAAAAAGAGACACCAGGGTTGCTCATGAACAGAGGAAAGACCATGTGAGAACACACCAAGAAGATGGTCATCTACAAGCCAAGGAGACAGACCTCACAAGAAACCAACACTGTGGACTCCTTGATCTTGGACTTCCAGCCTCCAGAACTGTGAGAAAATAAATTTCTGTTGTTTAAGCCACACAATCATAATGCTTTTATTATGACAGCCTGAGCAAACTAACACAATATGTTTAATCAAATCCTACTACATTACTGTATGTTTTCTCTTATTTTTTCCTATTGAACAGCTTTCAATCAGGTTTTTTCAATTCTCATGGACCCACCCCATTGCAAGCAGAGAATGACAGCATACACAAAGACACTGAGGCATGAGAGTGGATGGGTTCGGGAAACTACAGGTGGCTCGGAGGCAGCACTGTGATAAGAGGAATCAAGGCATCCTGGAAGCCCTCAAATTTGCAAGAGCCTGTAAAGACCCCAGAAAGTTTGCAGCATTTGATTATCAAATATGATGTTGTTCCCCCTGCATTCATACAAGCGCAGTTTATGTCAATTACACATGTACACGTTTGCAGTCGTTGTTTAGAAAGAGATTGTGATCTAAGGCATTTCACCAGCAGAATTCATTAAGTTAAATATCTTTATAGCTTTCCTTTAGAACAAATTCAAGGAACAAAATATGCACATGAATTCAGTATGAGAGCATTTATCATCACATTGTCAACAGACAAAATTATAACAAATTTAGTTTAAAATATTAATTGGCTATTATTTGTGACTCCAGCATTGGGCAACACCTCATTCTGTAAAATAGAATGAGTGTTCTGATCAGCTGAGCAGAGGAGGTTGATTTTATAGACAAAGGGGCTGAGGAAAACTGAAAGCAGATTGGTCATTTCAGTATTACTTTCCTTATAAAGGTGAAAGCAGAGGATACTTCCTTATCTTGCCAGCTAAAACTAGCCTGTCTGGGGATTTGGCTATTATCTCTCTCCTGATTTCTTGGAAGTTCACGTAAACAACTTAGTTTCAGATTGGTGGCATGGAGCTTCAGCCAGAGTGGCTTTGGTTTAGTCTGCTGGGCCTAGTGCAGGAGCTCAGTCCAAACCAAAGGCCTCCTAAAACTTTCACTTAACACCATGCACTCTTATGAATGCACATCTCTGATCCTCAGTCAGACTAACTGGTTCAAAAACAAATCTCAATAATCAGAAGCCTAGCATTTCCTATCATTAATGAGACACATAGAGAGGGGTAAATATCTAAATTTTTAAAGTAGTTAATAGGTCAATTGACTTATATGTCGGTGGTAAGTAATGGTTAAAAAAAATAAACAACTCAATCACGTGAAAACAAATTAGTTTTTTAAACGGACAAATAACTTGATATTTCTCAAAAGGCATACAAATGGCCAACAGGTTCATGAAAAAAATGTTTCACATCCTTAATCATTAGGGAAATGCAAATTAAAGCCACAATAAGACATCACCTCACACTTGTTAGGATGGCCATTATCAAAAAGACAAAAGATAACAAGTGTTGGTGAAGATGTAGAGAAAAGGGAAATTTATATATGTGAGAATGTAAATTAGTACAGCCATTATGAAATACAGTAAGGATGTTACCCAAAAAATTAAAAATAGAACTACCATATGATTCAACAATCCCACTACTGATTATATATCCAAAAGAAATAAAATCAATATGTCGAAGAAATAGCCACACTCCCATGTTTATTGCAGCATTATTTATAATAGCTAAAACATAAAAGCAACTCAAGTGCCCATCACTGGATGAATGGAGATAGACAAATAAAATGGAATATTATGCAGCCTTTAAAAAGGGAGACACTATCATTTATGACAACATGGATGAACCTGGAGGATATTGTGTTAAGTGAAAGAAGCCAGACACAGAAAGACAAATACTGTATGACCTCACTTATATTTGGAATCTAGAAAAGTGGAAGTCAAAAGAAGAGAGTAGAATGATGGTTACTGGGATGAGGGAAGAAATAGATGTTGGTCAAAGGGTATAAAGTTTAAGTTATGCAGGATGAATAAGTTCTGAAGACAATGTACAGCATGGTAACTATAATTAATATTACTATACTGTACACTTGAAATTTTCTAAGAGAGTAGATCTTAAATGTTCTCACCATTAAAAAAATTATAACTGTGTGAGGTGATGGATATGCTAACTAGCTTGACTGTGGTTATCATTTCATGTTTTCAGGAAACAAAGTACCACAATTAGCTCTAGTAGTGGAAAAGTTGAGTAGATCAATAACAATAGAAGAAATTGAAAAGGAAATCAAAAATAGGAAAAAATACGATTTTCCAGGTGACCTCCTTTGCAGATTTCAGAAATATGGAATTTCTGTGTCTTTTTTAATGTGGTTCCATAACATGGAAAAATAAGGAAATTCTAATTTATTCTAGGAAGATGGTACAACCCTCACCTAAAAATTGCTCATATATAGCATACACACAGAAACTATAACTATCTTTTCTATGAATACTAGATACAACAATTCTATAAAATTGCTATTCAATCCAATGCAGAAGTACACCTTATTTATTTATGTATTTATGTATGTATTTATTTTTGAGACAGAGTCTTGCTGTGTCACCCAGGCTGGACTGCGGTGGTGCGATCTTGACTCACTGCAACGTCCACCTTCCAGGTTCAAGCGATTCTCCTGTCTCAGCCTCCCGAGTATGTGGGATTACAGGCGTATGCCACCATGCCTGGCAATGTTTTTGTATTTTTAGTAGAGATGGGGGTTTTGCTGTGTTGGCCAGGCTGGTCTTGAACTCCTAGCCTCAAGTAATCCACCTGCCTTGGCCTCCCAAAGTGCTGGGATTACAGGCATGAGCCACCACGCCCAGCCTATTTAATTTTAAAGTAAGATTAATTCAAGGAATGCAAAGATTTCTCAACATTACATAATATTCACTGACAGATTAAAGAAAAGTTACATTGTCTTTTCAATAAGTGCTAAAAAGAAGATGTTAGTAAATTTGGCACATACAAAACACAACTCTTTGAATAACCTAGGAATAGAAAGAAATGTCCTTAATCAATTACAGAGTAGGCAGAAAATACAAAAGTTTAGCTCACAATGTACCTATTCTAACATGTTTCTAAGAAATGGCAAGTTCAACAATGACCTATGCCAGGGTCCTTTGTAGCTGGCATGTAACCTAGCTCTGCCAAGCAGAAGCACCCATGTGAGATATTCAAAATTAAGCAATTTAACTCAGGGGCCTTGTAAGAAGAGCTCAGATATTTGGCAATTGGAGTGATAGAGGCACCTGGCTCTCCTGAATCAGCTGCAATAAAGTTTCTGAATGCATTCCTTGACATCACAGTTCTAAATGATGGGGTGTGGTGGTGCTTCCATTATAAAAGTCCGGTGATGTGACTGGGGCTTTCTCCTGGCTTTATCATCCCAGACTGCATTGTTTCTGTGTATGGGGCATCCCAGTCCTGTTTTCAGGCCCACGTAGAAATACTACGAGCTACCTAAAATCCTTCTAAACTAGTTAGAGTGAGTAAAACTAAGAACCCTCACTAGTATATGATATTTACCAGCAAGAGATATTTACCAGCAAACATATTAATTATGAAACATTAGAATAATTTCTATTCATAAATGAACACATCAAGGACAGCTCACTATCTTAATGATATTCAAGATTATTTTACATATTCCAGACAGTGCAATAAGAGAAGAAAAATAAATGAGATGTATTATATTATAAATCCATAAATATATTTGAAACTATCATTATTGGCATGTGACAAATTTCACCTAGACAATATTAAGAAAGCCAGTTGAAAAGCTATTAGAATTAGTGGCCAGGTGCAGTGGGTCACACTTCGGGAGGCCAAGGTGGGCGGATAGCTTGAGCTCAGGAATTCAAGACCAGCCTGAGCAACATGACAAAACCCCATCGCTACAAAAAAAATACAGATGTTAGCCACACATGGTGGCACGCATCTGTGGTCTCAACTATTTGGGAGGCTGATGTGGAAGGATTGCTTCAGCCTGGGAGGCAGGGGTTGCAGTGAGCCAAGATCGCTTCACTGCACTCCAGTCTGGGTGACGGAGTGAGACTCCATCTCAAAAAAAAAAACCTATTAGAATTAGTAAGAGACTTAGTAAGGTGACAGGTACAAGAGAAACACTGTGCTATGAATCGGAGAAAAATACTTTTAAATACAACAGAAATTTAAAAATTCTCATTCAAGTAACAACAAAAATATTTATCTCCACATTATATAGTAATAAACAAGAAAGCATAAAGCTTTTCAAAAAGAACATTTTTTAAATGACCTGAATAAATGTGGTTACATGTGCATTTTTAACATTGTAAATTATCATATCTCTCCAAACTAATCTATTCATTTAATTCAATCACAGTAAAAACCTAAATCAGCTTGCTTTGTGGGCAGCTGTTTTTTTTTTTTTTTCTTTGAAAGAGTCTTGCTCTGTCACCCAGGCTGGAGTTCAGTGGCCCAGTCTCGGCTCACTGCAACCTCCGCCTCCCGAGTTCAAGTGATTCTCCTGCCTTAGCCTCCTGAGTAGCTGGGATTACAGGCGCCCGCCACCACGCCCGGCTAATTCTTGTATTTTTAATAGAGACAGGGTTTCACCATGTTGGCCAGGCTGGTGTCGAACTCCTGACCTCAGGAGATCCACCGGCCTCGGCCCCCCAAATTGTTGGGATTACAGGCATGAGCTACCGTGCCCGGCCTTTTTTTTTTTAATGGCCAGAAATTCTTTGTTGTTGTTTCTCCCATCAAGGGGCAGCAGCCCATGTTCCCTATCCTTGGATCTCAGAAGAGGGGATGTGCTGCGCTGGGGGGAAACACACTTGTCTGGGCTGCCTGGATTCCTCAGAACTAGCAGGAGGAAAGACTAAGTCTGCTGGTCCGAGGAGACTACAGCCACTCCTCCCCTAGGGGCTCAGGCCCAGGGAGATCAGAGTTCTGTCCTTGAGTCCCTGACTGGAGTTGTTGGAGTTCCTGCAGGAAGTCCCTATTCGGTGAGCCGGGAGGGGTCAGTGTCAGGACTGAAGAGGCACTATGGCCAAAGTCGGCCACAGTCAGGTGTGTTGGGTTGTGGGGAATACTTCTTGGGACCAAGCTGTCTAGCCTCCCTGGCTCCAGCAGGGGAAAAGCACAGCCTGGAGCTGTAGAGATTGCTGCCACCCTTCTCCCACCCTGAGAGCTTAGCGTGTTAGGCAGCTAGCAGTCCCAGTGTTGGCTGCCGCCCCTCCCGCAAGGAGCTCAGATGGCTTAGACAGCAGGCAGCTGCAGCTGTGGTGATGGCCGCCCATTCCCCAGGAACTCAGCTTAGGCAGATTCTAGCCGAGTGGCTGTTGAGAATCTGCGCATGTCTGTGGTTGGGACCCTCAGCCTCGGTGGCACGGGCTCACAAGTGGGATCTTTTAATCCGTGGGTTGCACAGTTCTGTGGAAAAAGCACAGTTTCCCAGCCTAGGTAGCACGCTCACTCACCGACTCCCTTGGCTGGGGGATAGGGGCTCCCCTGCCCATGTGGTTCTCAGGTGGGCTGCCGCACCACACTGCTCTTCCTTCTTCTCCTTGGGTCACACTAGCCGCCTAGTCAGTCCTGGTGACAGAACGCGGATACTTCAGTTGCCGGTGCAGGATTCACACTCTGTTTTGGTTCTTTTCAATGGCAGCCTACAATTACTGCTGCTTCTAGTCGGCCATCTTGGCCCCGCCCCCTCTGATTTAATTTTTTAAGTACATACATATAGGTCTACCCAGATTGGGTCTTTCAAGGAACTGATTCATTTTATCTAAGTTCTCAAATTTGCAGGCATAAAGTTGTCCAAAATATTCTTTTATTGTCCTTTTAATGTCCAAGGGATTTGTAGTGATGTCTCTTTTTTTATTTCTGATGCTAATAATTTGTGTCCTCTCCTTTTTTTTTTTTTAGCTAGCCTGGCTAGAAGCTTATTAATCTTTTCAAAGAAAGAGCTTTAGATTTTGTTGAATTTTTTCTATTGATTTTCTGTTTCTAATTTTACTGATTTCAGCTCTATATTTTCTCGTTTCTTTCCTACTTTGGAGTAATTTGCTCTTCTTTTAGGGAATTATTGATTTTACATTTTTCTTCTGTTCTAATATACGCATCCAATGCTATAAATTTCTCTCTAAGCACTGCTTTCATTGCGTCTCACAAATGTCAACAAATTGCTTTCATTTTCAGTTAGTTCAAAATATTTTTAAATTTCTCTTGAGATTTCTTCATTGATTCATGTTATTTAGAAGTGTATTGCTTAAACTCCAAGTATTTTGGAATTTTCCAGACATTTTTTCTGTTCTGATTCCTAGTTTTGTTAACTGCATGAGAGCAGATGTCGTGTGATTTCTTTTCTATTAAATTTGTTAAGGTGTGTTTTATGATGCAAAATGTGGTCTATTTGGGTGAATGTTTCATGTGAGCTCAAGAATAATGTGTATTGTCCTGCTGTTGGATGAAGTTCTCTATAGATGTCAATTATACCCAGTTGATTGATGGTGTTGTTGAATTTAACTACATAATTACTGATTTTTGCCTGCTGGGATTTGTCCATTTCTGATAGAATGGTGTTGAAGTCTCTGATTATGACAGTGGATTCATCAATTTCTCCTTGCAGTTCTGTTTCTGTGTCACATTTTTGTGCTCTGTTTTCAGGCACATACATATTAAAAATTTTTATGCCTTCTTGGAGAACTGACCCCTTTATCATTATGTAATGCCTCACTCTATCTCTGATAAATTTCCTTGCTCTGAAGACCTATTATTAATCTATAAGTGTCATTGTATTTAAAACGGGCTTCTTGTAGACAACATATGCTTAGGTCATATTTGTCACTGTTTTATATTTTTTGTCCTTGTTATTTCTATTTTTGTCTCCTATTCTTTTTCTACCTTTTGTAGTTTTCTTTGTTTGTTTTGTTTTTGAGAAACAGTCTCACTCTGTCGCCCAGGCTGGAGTGCAGTGGCGTGCTCCTGGCTCACTGCAACCTCCACCTCCCAGGGTCAAGCAATTCTTCTGCCTCAGCCACCCGAGTAGCTGGGATTACAGGTGCCCGCCACCACACCTGGCTAATTTTTGTATTTTTAGTAGAGACAGGGTTTCACCATGTTGGCCAGTCTGGTCTCAAACTCCTGACCTCAGGTGATCCACCTGTCTCGGCCTCCCAAAGTGCTGGGATTACAGGCATGAGACACTGCACCCGGCCTGTAGTTTTTATTAAGCATTTTTTAAATAATTTCATTCTCTCTCTCTCTCTCTCATCTTTCTTATCATATTAGATTAGTTATACTTCTTTTTATAAAAATTTCTTTAGCAATTGCCCTAGAATTTGCAATATACATTTATAATAAAAAAATTGCAATATACTTTTACAACTTTCAAGAACCATTATACCACTTCTTATATAGTGCAAGTACCTTATAATAAGAAAATAACCCTAAGTCCCTTCTCCTATCCTTTGGATCATAACTGTCATTCATTTTGCTTATATTTAAATATATATGTGTATATATATTTATTTAGATACATATATGTATATATATTTATATAATATATATCAAATACAGTGTAGAATGTTGCCATTATTATTTTAAATTAACTGTTATTTGTTAGGTCAACTGAAAATAAGAAAACAAAAGTTTTTACTTTATCTTTAATTATTCCTTCTCTCATGCTCTTTCTTTATGCAGAACCCAGTTTCTGACCTATATCATTTTCCTTCTCTGTAAAGAATTGCTTTTAACATTTCTTGTGAGGCAGGCTTACCGGCAACAAATTCTTTCAATTTTTGTGTTTCTGGAAAAGTCTTTGTTTTTCCTTCATTTTTGAAGGATGATTTCTCTTTAAATATTTCACTTCACTTCCTTCTCTCCTGCATGATTTCCGAAGAGAAGTCAGTCAGTTCTTATCTTTGCTCCTCTATAGGTGTAAGGTGATTTCTTCCTTCTGATTTCTTTTAGAATTTTTTCTTAATCTTTGATTTTCTGTAATTTGAATATAATATGCTTTTGACTTTTTTTTTTTTGGCTTTCATCCTACGTGATTTTCTCTAGGCTTCCTAAGTCTGTGGTTTGGTGTCTGACATTAATTTTGGGAAATTCTCAGTCATTATTGTTACAAATACTTCTTCTCTTCCTGGCTATATTTCTTCTTCTAGTATTTTCATTAAACGTTTTTAAACTTTTGTAGTTGTCCCAGTCCTTAAATATCTTTTTCCTTTTTTTTTTTTCTTTGCTTTCAGTTTGGGCACTTTCTCTTGAGAGATGCTCAAGCTCAGAGATTCCTTCCTCAACCATGTTCAGTCTGCTCATAAGCCCATAGAAGCATTCTTCATTTCTGTTACATTTTCTGATCTCCAGCATTTCTTTTCAGTTTTTACTTAGAATATTCATCTCTCTGCTTACATTGCCTATCTGTTCTTGCATGCCATCTACTTTATTCATCAATGTCCTTAGCATATTAATCATAATTCTAGATTCCTGATCTAATAATTTCAATACCCCTGTCACATCTGAGTAAGGTTCTCATGCTTGTTATCTCTTCAGCCTGTTTTTGCCTTTTAATATGGCTTGTAATTTTTTCTTTTTTTCCAAACACTCAGACTTCAATGAGATGGAATTTTTTCTTAATAGCAGACACGTTGTACTCAGTAAAAGGAACTGCTATAAATAGGCCTTTAGTAATGTGTAGGTAAGGTGAGAGGAGGGACTGGAAAGCATACTATAGTCCTATGATTCAATTTCAGTCTTTTAGCGGGCTTGTGCCTCCGGACTATGAACTTCACAAGTGCTTCCCCCTCCCCGCTTACCCCTACTCCCCCATCCACCACCCCAGTAGGTGAGACAGGATGGCAGAGTAGGCTGAAGTTGGGAATTTTCCTTCTTCCAGGTGGAAAGCTAGAGGGAGCTGAAGTTGGATACTGTTCAGGAGAAAAAACCAAGGATGTGGCCAAAGATTAGTCACCATTTAAACAGAAGACAGGGCCTATCATCCAAGACAATGGAAGAATGAGCCCAAAGGCAACTGAGAATTCATCAGGGCTGCTACTCCCTTCACATACCCAGAGTGCCCAAAGCCCCAGTGTGCATGTGGTCACTGCAGGGAGCCCTTGTTAGGGCGATGCTCAGCAGATTCACGGCAGCCTGGCTACCCCTGTGACTTCAGGCTAATAGACTCACCAGTGTCCAATTCTAGCTCTGGGGAACTTCAGACACATGACCCAGGCACACAACCACCTTGGAGGTGGGCACCACACAGAATGCCAAAGCCATGGGGACAAGGTTGCCAATCCCATAGGTCCAGAAAGCAGGACCCCTGCTCCAGGGGCCTGGAAGGCAAATTATCAAATTAAAGAAAATTATTCTCACACTTTACCAGGTGTGAGAATAATTACTCTGGTAAAATAGTTTCTTCTGAGGGTAGACCTTGTTGAGAACAACAGACTACTCTGATATATTTTCAACTAGTTCCTTTTATCCTCCCTCTGCTGGAAGCGTAAGCAGATTTTTCTCCAATATTCACTGTGAGAACCTGGTGAAAGTAAAGATTCTCACACTTTAAGATTTTGGACTTACTTGGGATTTGTCACTGTTTTCTTTTCTATTTCTCCATTTTGGAATGGGAATGTCTATCCTATACCTGTGTCATTAATATATTTTGGAAGCATATGTTTGATTTCATGTGTTCAGAGCTGGAGAGCAATTTGCCTCAGAATGAAGTGTAGCTTGAGTCTCACTTATATCTGATTTAGATAATATTTAGATAAAACTTTGGACTTCAGGTTTTTGAGTTGATAATTGGAATGGCTTAAAACTTTGGGGACTATTGTGATGGAATGAACATATTTTTCATGTAGGAAGAACATAAATTTGGAGAGGCCAGGAGCAGAATGTTATGGGCTGAATATTTGTGTCTCCTCAAAATTCATGTATTGAAATCCTAATCACCAAGGTAATGCTATTTGGAAGTGGGACGTTTAGGAGGTGATTCTGTTATAAAGGTATAGCCCTCATTAATGAGATTAGTGCCCTTGTAAAAGAGTCTCAAGAGAGACCCACGCTCCTTCCACCATGTGAGAATATAAAGGGGAAGATGGCCATCTATGAACCAGGAAGTGGGCTTTCATGAGACATTGAATCTGCTATTGCCTTGATCTTGGACTTCCCAGCCTCTAGAACTATCAGAAATAAATTTCTGTTATTTAGAAGCCACCCAGTCTAGGGTATTTTGTTACAGCAACCTGAATGGACTAAGACAAATATTTTTCTTCTTCCACAAGGAAAGTTAAAACTTGCTGAAGTTGAATATTTCTCTTTCCCCAGGTCAGTTAGGCTCTGATAAAATCCCAGCAGTGTAGGCTCTGGTAAAATAGTTTCTTCTGAGGGTAGACCTTGTTGAGAACAACAGACTACTCTGATATATTTTTAAATAGTTCCTTTTATCCTCCCTCTGCCGGAAGTGTAAGCAGTTTTTTCTCCAATATTCACTGTGAGAACCTGGTCAAGCTCCTGGAGGAAAAACTCAACAACAGTATGGGGCCCCCAGTGACTGAACCCACACCCCTGGAGTTTTTATCTCTCAGACTTGTCCATGCTGAGCCTCCTGTGATTGATCAATTACAATTCAGTTTCCCAACCCTGGTCATGGTTCCTGTGGATGTTCTTGTTCTGGTGAATTGTTATTCTCTTTATCTTCCTGTCTGTCTTTCCAATTCTAAAGGCAGCAATTTGTCCTGTGATATCGTTTCTCTTACAAATTCATGAAGAGTTTTTAATTTTTCAGTTTGTTCAGCTTTTTACTTATTGGTAGGACAGAGTGGCAACTTCCAGACTTCTTACATGCCAGACTGGAAACCGGAAGTCTCTGAATTGGTTTTAATATGTGTCTTAGTCTACTTATGCTGCTACAACATAATATCTGAGAATGTGTGATTTATAAAGAACACAAATTTATTTCTCACAGTTCTAGATGCTGACAAGTTAAGATAAAGTTACTAGCATTGAAATCGCCTTTGCAGAATTATAAGAAATGAGAGGAATCTAGCATGACTAACTCAATCTTGCTTCTAACTTCACAGGCTAAATTGTTTTTTGCTCATTCTAGTGTGGAGCTGAAGATACCTATGAGAGGAATTTAGTTTATAGTTAAACTTTGAGGTGAAGAAAACTGACCCCTCTCCTTGTTCAGAGATTGAAGCCACATTCATAAGACAAGCTTAGAATTATGGGAGTGGCTTGAACTTTGCTAAAGAATAGGCATAGTTAAACAAGAACTTGCCAATGCTTAGCTTGCCTTTCTATAAGTTGTTTTCTGCCTCAGATCATTTATCTGGAGGTCACAAGACTTATAACTTCCCCAACTACTCCTATAGATAACACCATAATTGTAAAACCTGAACCATCAGTCTTTGAGATATTATTCAGATTTAGTATTTCAGCAAACCTAGAGATGCCACCTTGTTCTGAGATCCCCTCCAAGAAACTGACTCAGCTGCATGAAGACAGTTCAGACACCTCTGTGATTTGATCCCCAGCCAATCAATTGTTTCAGTTCCTTAGCCCCCTGCCTGCCAAAGTAACCTTAAAATCCCTAGCCTCTGAATTCAGAGAGGTAGATTTGAGAAATACCCCCTGTTCTTCTGTTTGGCTGGCAGATAATTATTAAACTCATTCTTTGCAGCAATACTGCTGTTTTCAGTGTATTGGCTTTTCTGGGAAGCAGGCAAGAAGAACCTATCAGGCTTTGACACTAACCTATACATCCAACAAATGACAAATATCCAGAATTGACAAAGAACTTAAACAAATCGAAAAAGACAAACAATTCCATCAAAAAGTGGGCTAAGGACATGAACAGACAATTCTCAAAAGACAATATACAAATGGCCAACAAGCATATGGAAAAATGCTCAACATCACTAATGATCAGGGAAATGCAAATCAAAACCACAATGCGATACCACCTTACTCCTGCAAGAATGGCCATAATCAAAAAATAATAGATGTTGGCGTGGATGCAGTGAAAAGGGAACACTTTTACACTATTGGTAGGAATGTAAACTAGTACAACCACTATGGGAAACAGTGTGGAGATTCCTTAAAGAACTAAAAGTACATCTACCATTTTATCCAGCAATCCCACTACTAAGTATCTACCCAGAGTAAAAGAAGTCAGTATACAAAAAAGATACTTGCACACACGTTTATAGCAGCACAATCCGCAATTGCAAAAATATGGAGCCAACTCAAATGGCCATCAGTCAATGAATAGATAAAATATGATTTTATATGTGTGTGTGTGTGTGTGTGTGTGTGTGTCATGGAATACTACTGAGCCTTTACAAGGAATGAAATAATGGCATTCACAGCAATCTAGATAGAATTGGAGATTATTATTATTCTAAGTGAAGTAACTCAGGAATGGGAAACCAAACATCATATGTTGTCACTCATATGTGGAAGCTAAGCTATGAAGACACAAAGGCATAAGAATGATACACTGGACTTTGGGGACTCAGGGGAAAGGGTGGGGTGTGGTGAGGGATAGAAGACTACACATTGGATACAGTGTACACTGCTCAGGTGATGGGTGCACCAAAACCTCAGAAATCACCACTAAAAAACTTATTCATGTGACCAAACACCACCTGTTCCCCAAAAAACCTATTGAAATAAAAAAAGTCATTAAAAAAAATCAGTGGTGAAAGGTGGCAATTTATATGTTTCTCTGAACCCGTGAGAAATAACTACAATATAATAAAAATTTTATGTTAAAATCAGAGAAATATTTAGATAAAAATTTAATAATTGCATGGCTTGAAATCTATCAAGTTGGGTAACATTGGTGGGAAAAAGGGAATTTAATACTGATAATTCTTAGTTCTTATTTCAAAGTTATTTTATAATAAAATATAAACATAATGAATAATATTTGTATGGAGAAAAAAGAGACTACCTTAGTATCTGTCAGTAGAAGTCCATTTGACACTTCTCAGCTCAAAGTATTAAATGGTTTTTTGCAAAGGAGAAGCAGAAATAATGAACCATTATACATGTGTATAAAAGAAAGTGAAAAACATCCCCTCCTGGACACAGAAAAGGAAACTGCCTGCAACTTCCTCACAGTTGGGACACAGTTGTAGTATAATTTCCCAGGAAAGTGGTTTATGCTATTTAGGCTACAATTATATTGTTGCTATTGAACCAATACAGAACAGTTCTAGCTACAAGTCACCTGACTATATCACAGTTAGACTACTCAGCTCTCAGAGCCCCTTCTCCTTCTATCAGACATCCGTCAGAAAACATTAATAAATTAACAACAGTCTGAGCTCTTATTCCACAATTTAAGACCCATTCCTCCCAAATCTGACCCTTTTTCAAAAATAGAAAGAAAGAAGCAAGGATGAGCACTTCCCTTGCTCTTGGTGCTCCTGCTGCGGACTTACTAGACAGTTTTACATTTTAATAGGATTTACAGGTTTATAGATCTTTCTCCCCTGAGTCAGCATCAGCTCCTAGGACTGGTTCTTGGCACATACCACATATTTGTTGAATGAACAAACGGAAAAATAAATGGAAAGATGAGAACTAATTTGCACATCTGATAGTCTCCCATATATAATTTGAAAGGAACTCCAAATGTAACAAGTTTACAGTTTTTAAGGAGAGTTTGAGTTGCAGGAGTTCCCTTACACTGTGTTGCAAGGACCTTTGCATTTTGTTATGTCATGAGAGGTAGCTTCCGGGAATTAATTTTACAAATTAATTCAGAGATAGAAGAGCCACAGGAAAGAGTCATACTAACTATAAATGTAGAAGAATCAAATTAGGGTAGAAAAATGAAATCATTTCACAGGGACTTCCTCTAACTAGGTTGGTTCTACAGCCTCCCCCAACTCTCTCTGCTAACAGAAAGAGGAACTCACAACTTGGCTATGCAATCGCATTACCTCACACTGCCGTGATGGTCCAGGGATGGACCCAGGGCCAAAGCCAGGGCAGCAGACTGCATCCCAGCCTCATTCAAACTGGCACTTTCTCCTTGGCCATGGCTGTGAGACTGTTCGGTGAGAAGCTTCTGGCAGCTATGCTCTAAGAAGACAGTCCACTTTCATAAAGAAGCAGAGAAGTGAACTAGAGAGCTTTGTGTCAATGTTGCGCCTCCACTTCTAGTAAATTGCAAAAATACCACAGTCCTTTCATGTTAAATGAGCCCTCGATCAGCTACATAATCTGCAGGGCCAAGTGCACAATGAAATTGGGGAGTCCCTTGTCCAAAAGCAGGAAAAACATGCCCTTAAATACTATTAAAACATAACGTATTTTCCTTTCTTCTGCGGTCTTCTGACTCGCCAAGTGTTTGTTGTTGCTCTTGTTGTTAACTAGCTCTTGCAGGCCGTGAGGATACTGACTGGCCAGCCCTGAACGTCATGCTCCTAGGGCCAAGACTTGGTGCACCTGAAGCTCTCCATGACAGGGGTCTGAGCCAGGAGTTTCCCCTTCCCAATGTGGACAGGGGGCCCCCAAAGGCATTGCACTTCCCCTCCAGGCCCACAGAGGTACCTAAATGAGAGATGGGCAACACCTTCGCTCCCTGACAACTCACACCATGATCCCAGCCTGGAACTACCCAAGGCCATGTGTAACCCAACCCTCCTGGTACTTCACCCAGGCTGGCCTGCAGCTGAGGGCCACAGAGGGTGGCTAGGTTACCCAAGGCCATGTGTTACCCAGCTGAGGGCCACAGAGGGTGGCTAGGGTTGGAAAGAGGGGTGCCAGATAAAATATGGACACTCAGCTAAATTTGAATTTCAGATAAACAACATAATTTTTTAGTATATCCCGTACAATATTTGGGACATATATTATTTGAAAACTATTTACTGTTTATCTGAAATTCAAATATAATTGGGCATCCTGTCTTGTTCTTTGCTTTTGTTTGTTTTTGCTAAATCTGGCAACCCTAGACCTGGGCACCAGAGGCTGGAGAAGTAGTCGGTGGAGAACCCATGCAGCCGGGGGAAGGAGACCTGTGAGCAGAAGCACCGAGCCTCTGGTCCATGCTCCCTTGTCCCATCAGACTTCACTTACACATTCAGAGATAAAATTATTAAGAACATCAAAATGGCAAGCACAGAGCATTAAACCCCAAGTGCAAGGCCTCTCTGAGCTGAGTTCCCTGCCCCCGGATACCCCATTCCCTCCTGCAGCTACCTGAGTCACACCACATGACACCTCCCCAGTGAGCCATCAGAACTCCTTTCCTACATAAGCCAAGCTGGTCTGAGACTATTTCTGCTACTTGTTCACAAGAAGATTCTGATTAACACACCAAGATTCATATTTGTAAACTGAAAGGCTAAAGTTATGCATTTACGGAGGCAATGGAACTGGTAACATCTACAGTTTCATGATAAATTTTTATTCCCTGCCCTAGGGAAAATATTTCTTCCTAAGCCACCTGGATCTCTACTGTACTCAAGAAATATTGAAAAATTCTTACTCACCCTTATTTCTTTTCCAATCTCCATGCAGAATATCACCCTCCTGTCTTGCCAATAATAAATGTCATCATTAATTAGGCCAAGTTTATTAAATTATATTTGTATTACCTCCTTGAGAATTTTTTCATGTGATTTAAAGGACTTCCTCCTAGTCTCATCAGTAACAAATTATCTCTGAAGGTGATTTTCCCATTTTCATTTCTCTGTCAAAGCCTAAGTGTACACCCTATTTGTGGTATACATCATTCTTGCACAAAATATAGATTCTGCCACAATGTCATCTACAGGAATTTGCAGGTGGAAAGGCTGCCTCTCCCATAGTTCATCCCTTCAGGGATAACTGATTATGAAGGAAAATACTGGGCTGAACTAATTTATCAACGTAAGCAACATATAATGCTAAGTGGAAAATTCTGCCATAAAAGAAGGGGGATTTTTCCCAGTTCATTGTCCAAGGGAATAGCATTATTGACTACTCAATAATTGTCCTTTGATTGCTTATCTCCATTCTTAAGATGGATTTCTAGACTGTCGAAATCAACATACCCCCCTAAAGTTTATAAGGGAGCTCAATATTGCCGACCTTGAGCCTTACTGGTCACATAGCACTAATGACAAACAAGGGGAATTAGGCAGTGGAAAAGAAGAAAAGAGCTCTTCATTTCCTTGATTTAATTCCCTGGGGACTAAGGACTGATATTGAAACTATAAGAAAATAATCAGTAACGTCAGATTAAGCACATTAATAAACCATCTCCAATAAATTTGATAGCTCTATTTTTAAGATTAGCAAAATTTGTGAATAACAAGAAGACAACAGATGTTCTCGTTTGAAAGTTCATTAGTATATCAAATATAACAACTTTACAAAATGTACTTTCAAAAATTATGACATTAATTAATGATACCATCAATCATTGAAAGATACTGAAATGACCATGGCTCTACCACCAAAAACAATTGGATGACTCATTAATTTGAAGAAAAAAATTAGTTGTGTTTTTTAATATGCTATTTCTGGATCATTGTTTAGGTTTTTTTATTAGGGAACATTCATACCAGCCACCTCAACATTCTTCTCAAATGATCACTGGTGTATATTATCCGTCTGTTTTTCAACCTGGCTAGACAGTTTCATCAACTAACATTTTCCCTTGATTTTCAGTTGCACTCCACTTAGTGGGGATAGTTAACGAGTTGCTGGACAAGTCCATCTTTACTTTAAAAGGAGGAAAAAAACCTGTATCTTAGCTCAGACTGCTGTAATAAAATATCATAGACAAGGTGGTTTAAACCAGGGGTCCCCAACCCTGGTGCCTTGTATCAGTTCATGGCCTGTTAGGAACTGGGCTGCACAGCAGGAGGTGAGCAACAAGCAAGTGAGCATTACCACCTGAGCTCTGCCTCCTATCAGACCAGCAGCAGCATTAGATTCTCATGGGAGCATGAACCCTGTTGTGAAGTGTGCATGCAAGGTATCTAGGTTGCGCACTCCTTATAAGAATCTAATGGCTGATGATCTGTCACTGTCTCCCATCGCCTGCAGATGGGACCATCTAGTTACCAAAAAACAAGCTCAGGGCTCCCACTGATTCTACATTACAGTGAGTTGTATAGTTATTTCATTATATGTTACAATGTAATAATAATAGAAATAAAGTGCACGATGAATGTAATGTGCTTTAATCATCCTGAAACCACCCCCCAAACCCCCACAGTCTGTGGAAAAATTGTTTTCCACAAAAACAGTCCCTGGTACCAAAAAGGTTGGGGATCACTGGTTTAAACAAAAGACATTTACTTCTCATGGTTCTGGAGGCTGGGAAGTCCAAAGTCCAAGATCAAGGGCCAGCCAGTTTGGTCTTTGGTGAGAACCCCCTTCCTTGTTTGCTCACAGCCACCTTCAGACTCTATCCTCATATGGGGGAGAGAAAAAAAAGCTATTAGGTTGGTGCAAAAGTAATTGCTGTTTCAGACCTTGAATTTTATTTATTTATTTGTTATTTTTTTATTTTTTTTATTTTTGAGACAGAGTCTTTCTCTGTCACCCAGGCTGGAATGCAGTGGAGCAATCTCAGCTCACTGCAGCCTCTACCTCCCGGGTTCAAGTGATTCTCCTCCCTCAGCCTCCTGAGTAGCTGGAACTACAGGTGCACGCCATTATGCCCAACTAATATTTATAATTTTAGTAGAAGTAGGGTTTTACCATGTTGGCCAGCCTGGTCTCAAACTCCTGACCTCAGGTGATCCACCCACCTCAGCCTCCCAAAGTGCTAGGACTACAGGCATGAGCCACCATGCCCAGCCCAGACCCTGAATTTTAAATCATTATAGCTGGGCTCAAACACATCTTTATTAAATAAAACAGGAATAATTATAATCAACACATTTTTGCCAATGAGAAATAAGTTTGTTTACTCCTGTAGCATAAACATTCATGCTTTCTGATTCAACAAACTCTTGGAAAGCATTTTCTACATCCTGCAGGTTGTGGAAGCATTTTCCCTGCAAAAAGTTGTCAAGATGCTTGAAAAAGCGAGAGTCGGTTGGCAAGAAATCAGGTGAATATGGAGGGTGAGGCAAAACTTCATAGCCCAATTTGTTCAACTTTTGAAGCATTGGCTGTGCAAGGTGCAGTTGGGCGCTGTCATGGAGAAGAATTGGGCCCCTTCTGTTGACCAATGCCAGCTGCAGGTGTTGTAGTTTTTTATGCATATCTTCAATTTGCTGAGCATACTTCTTAGATGTAATGGTTTTGCCGGGATTCAGAAAGCTGCAGTGGATCAGACCAGCAGCAGGCCACCGAAGAGTGATGGTGACCTTTTTTTGGTGCAAGTTTGGGTTTGGGAAGTGGCTCTCTTGGCAGAAACTCTACAAGCCAGAAGAGAGTGGGGGCCAATTTTCAACATTCTTAAAGAAAAGAATTTTCAACCCAGAATTTCATATCCACCCAAACTAAGCTTCATAAGTAAAGGAGAAATAAAATCCTTTACAGACAAGCAAATGCTAATTTTGTCACCACCAGGCCTGCCTTACAAGATCTCCTGAAGGAAGCACTAAATATGGAAAGAAACAACTGGTACCAGCCACTGCAAAAACATGCCAAATTGTAAAGACCATCGATGCTATGAAGAAACTGCATCAACTAACAGGCAAAATAACCAGCTAACATCATAATGACAGGATCAAATTCACACACAACAATATTAACCTTAAATGTAAATGGGCTAAATGCCTCAACTAAAAGGCACACACTGGCAAATTGGAGAAAGAGTCACAACCCAATAGTGTGCTGTATTCAGGAGACCCACCTCACATGCAAAGACCCAAATAAGCTCAAAATAAAAGGATGGAGGAAGATCTACCAAGCAAATGGAAAGCAAAAAAAGCAGCAGTTGCAATCCCAGTCTCTGATAAAACAGGCATTAAACCAACGAAGATCAAAAGAGACAAAGAAGGACATTACATAATGGTAAAGGGATCAATTCAGCAAGAAGAGCTAACTATCCTAAATATATATGCACCCAATTCAGGAGCACCCAATATAGGAACACCCAGATTCATAAAGCAAGTCCTTAGAGTACTACAGAGAGACTTAGACTCCCACACAATAATTAATGGGAGACTTTAACACCCCACTGTCAATATTAGACAGATCAACGAGACAGAAGGTTAACAAGGATATCCAGGACTTGAACTAGCTCTGCACCAAGCAGACTTGATAGACGTCTACAGAACTCTCCACCCCAAATCAACAGACTCAGACTATACATTCTTCTCAGCACCACATTGTATTTATTCTAAAATTGACCATGTAATTGGAAGTAAAGCACTCCTCAGCAAATGTAAAAGAACAGAAATCACAACAAACTGTCTCTCAGACCACAGTGCAATCAAATTAGAACTCAGGATTAAGAAACTCACTCAAAACCACAGAACTACATGGAAACTAAACAACCTGCTCCTGAATGACTACTGGGTAAATAACGAAATGAAGGCAGAAATAAAGATGTTCTTTGAAACCAATGAGAACAAAGACACAACATACCAGAATCTCTGGGACACATTTAAAGCAGTGTGCAAAAGGAAATTTATAGCACTAAATGACCACAAGAGAAAGCAGGAAGATCTAAAATCGACAGCTAACATCACAATTAAAATAACTACAGAAGCAACAGCAAACAAATTGAAAAGCTAGCAGAAGGCAAGAAATAACTAAGATCAGAGCAGAACTGAAAAAGATAGAGATAAAAAAAAACCTTTCAAAAAAATCAATAAATTTAGGAAACGATTTTTTGAAAAGATCAATAAAATAGACCACTAGCTACACTACTAAAGAATTAAAGAGAGAAGAATCAAATAGACACAATAAAACATGATAAAGGGGATATCACCACTGATCACACAGAAATACAAACTACCATCAGAAAATATTATAAACACCTCTATGCAAATAAACTAGAAAATCTAGAAGAAATGGATAAATTCCTGGACACATACACCCTCCCAAGACTAAACCAGGAAGAAGTTGAATCTCTGAATAGACCAATAACAGGCTCTGAAATTGAGGCAATAATTAAGAGCCTACCAACCAAAAAAAGTCCAGGACCAGACAGATCACAGCCGAATTTACCAGAGGTACAAAGAGGAGCTGGTACCATTCCTTCTGAAACTCTTCCAATCAATAGAAAAAGAGGGAATCCTCCCTAACTCATTTTATGAGGCCAACATCATCCTGATACCAAAGCCAGGCAGAGACACAACAAAAAAGAGAATTTTAGACCAATATCCTTGATGAACATTGATGCAAAAATCCTCAATAAAATACTGGCAAACCGAATCCAGCAGCACATCAAAAAGCTTATCTACCATGATCAAGTCGGCTTCATCCGTGGGATGCAAGGCTGGTTCAACATATGCAAATCAATAAATGTAATCCATCGTATAAACAGAACCAAAGACAAAAACCACATGATTATCTCAATAGATGCAGAAAAGGCCTTCGACAAAATTCAACAGCCCTTCACTCTAAAAACTCTCAATAAACTAGTTATTGATGGGACGTATCTCGAAATAATAAGAGCTATTTATGACAAACCCACAGCCAATATCACACTGAATGGGCAAAAACTGGAAGCATTCCCTTTGAAAACTGGAACAAGACAAGGATACCCTCTCTCACCACTCCTATTCAACATAGTGTTAGAAGTTCTGGCCAGGGAAATCAGGCAAGAGAAAGAAATAAAGGGTATTCAACTAGGAAAAGAGGAAGTCAAAATGTCCCTGTTTGCAGATGACATGATTGAATCTTTAGAAAGCTCTGGCCGGGCATGGTTTCTCATGCCTGTAATCCCAGCACTTTGGGAGGCCGAGGTGGGTGGATCACAAGGTCTGGAGATCGAGACCATCCTGGCTAACATCGTGAAACCCCATCTCTACTAAAAAATTACAGAAAAATTAGGGCCATGGTGGCAGGTGCCTATAGTCCCAGCTACTCAGGAGGCTGAGGCAGGAGAAAGGCATGAACCCAGGAGGTGGAGCTTGCAGGGAGCCAAGATTGCACCACTGCACTCCAGCCTGGGTGACAGGGCGAGACTCTGTTCTCAAAAAAAAAAAAGAAAAGGAAAGAAAACCCCATTGTCTCAGCTCAAAATCTTCTTAAGCTGATAAGCAACTTCAGCAAAGTCTCAGGGGACAAAATCAATGTGCAAAAATCACAAGCATTCCTATACAGCAATAGCAGACACACAGAGAGCCAAATCATGAGTGAACTCCCATTCACAATTGCTACAAAGACAATAAAATACCTAGGAATCCAACTTACATGGGATGTGAAGGACCTCTTCAAGGAGAACTACAAACCACTGCTCAAGGAAACAAAAGAGGAAACAAACAAATGGAGGAACATTCCACGCTCATAGATAGGAAGAATCAATATCATGAAAATAGCCATACTACCCAAGGTAATTTATAGATTCAATGCCATCCCCATCAAGCTACCAATGACTTTCTTCACAGAATTGGAAAAAACTACTTTCAAGTTCATATGGAATCAAAAAAGAGCCCGCATTGCCAAGAAAATCCTAAGCAAAATGAACAAAGCTGGAGGCATCATGCTACCTGACTTCAAACTATACTATAGTGCTACAGTAACCAAAACAGCATGGTACTGGTACCAAAACAGATAAATAGACCAAGGGAACAGAACAGAGGCCTCAGAAATAACACCACACATCTACAACCATCTGATCTCTGACAAACTTGACAAAAACAAGGAATGGTGAAAGGATTTCCTATTTAATAAATGGTGCTGGGAAAACTGGCTAGCTATATGTAGAAAGCTGAAACTGGATCCCTTCCTTACACCTTATACAAAAATTAATTCAAGATGGATTTAAGACTTTAATGTTAGACCTAAAACTATAAAAACCTTAGAAGAAAACCTAGGCAATACCATTCAGGACATAGGCATGGGCAAGGACTTCATGACTAAAACACCAAAAGCAATGGCAACAAAATCCAAAATTGACAAATGGGATCTAATTAATCTAAAGAGCTTCTGCATGGCAAAAGAACCTACCATCAGAGTGAACAGTCAACCTACAGAATGGGAGAAAATTTTTGCAATCTACTCATCTGACAAAGGGCTAATATCCAAAATCTACAAAGAACTTAAACAAATTTACAAGAATAAAAACAACCCCATCAAAAAGTGGGCAAAGGGTATGAACAAACACTTCTCAAAAGAAGACACCTATGCAGCCAAGAGACACATGAAAAAATTCTCATCACTGGTCATCAGAGAAATGCAAATCAAAACCACAATGAGACACCATGTAACGCCAGTTAGAATGGTAATTATTAAAAAGTCAGGAAACATCAGATGCTGGAGAGGATGTGGAGAAATAGGAACGCTTTTACACTGTTGGTGGGAGTGTAAATTAGTTCAGCCATTGTGGAAGACAGTGTGGTGATTCCTCAAGGATCTAGAACTAGAAATACCATTTGACCCAGCAATCTCATTACTGGGTATATACCCAAAGGATTATAAATCATGCTACTATAAAGACACATACACACATATGTTTATTGCGGCACTATTCATATCATTCTCAGCAAACTATCACAAGGACAGACAACCAAACACTACATGTTCTCACATGTTCTACATGTTCTCACAGGTGGGAATTAAACAATGAGATCACTTAGACACAGGGTGGGGAACATAACACACCGAGGCCTGTTTGGGGGGTGGGGGCCTGGGGGAGGGATAGCATTAGGAGAAATACCTTATGTAAATGATGAGTTTGTGCAGCAAACCAACATGGCACATGTATACCTATGTATCAAACCTGTACATTGTGCTCATGTACCCTAGAACTTAAAGTATAATAAAATAAATAAATAAATAAATAAATAAATAAATAAATAAATAAAAAGTTGTTAATATGAGCAGCAATACATTGGATAACACAAGGTTCAGGATTTCTCGGACTATAGAATTTTGAAGCACCTGGACAAAGCCCTTGTAGAAATGATTTCTCCAGAATTATGTAGTGAATGTAGTGAATGTAGTGAATGTAGTGAATTCTCCAGAATTATGTAGTGATTTCTCCAGAATTATGTAGTGAATTTCAACCAATCTAATGCCTGTCTTCTTTGTCATTTAGATCCTGAATATCCATGTGCTTACACGGGATATTCCCATTATTTCCAATATATATATATTTCCATATATTTCCATATATATCCCATTATTTCCAAACTATCAACATCAAAGGAAGATTGGGCATAGAATCCTCCTGTTTTATTCTTCAGAAAAAAACTAGGAGTCTAAAAATTATTATTATGTTTTTTTCTCTATCCTTTCCCATGAGTGGTTCTTGGGTTTCTTTCAAATTTTTTCTGGATTTTCCAACCATTTATAAAAAAGGCTCAGAATGCTTATGTAAGTAGGTATCTTAATCACCCCAAGTCAATAAATATGAGCTTTGAGATACATTATTCTCATTTTGTGTGTAATGTTTTTGTACTTAATAGAGAACTCTGTTCTTGGCTTGAATATTTCACTGAGAGTCTAAAAATAAGTTATTTTTTAGATCCTTTTCTTTCTTATGATTAAAATTGGTGTTTCCAAACACTTCATGCTCTGTCTCCACACATTAATTTCACATTATCTCTTCCTAAGAGTTTAACATAGGCTTGGTTTTGTTGTCCTAAGAATTCTTGATACCAGGCAGTATGTGACCAACTGGGGAGGGGGACACAGGGAGGAAGGGGAGGCTCAGGTGGGGAAGAAGGTAGTCCTATTTGCAGTATTTAATTTAATCTTCATTAAAAAAATATTATTATAACCATTTTGCTGATGGTGAAACAGACCCATAGAGGCTCAGTGACTTGGCCAATACTAGGCAGATAAGAAGCAGCAGAACCCCCATTCACATCCAGGGTTGCCTTATTCTAAAGCCTGTGTTCAGACTGCTCAATCCTGCTTTTTCTCAAGCACCTATCACTGGTCAAAAATCTGGAGAGCTGATTTCTTCAACCAACCTATATGGCTCTAACTTGTAAGAGGGGGGAAACCGTAATACTTGACAAAGAAGGAAATCTCTCTTTCTAATCAGGGGCCTATTAGGGAGCAAAATGAGCAACCAAAAACTGCTTGATGAAGGGATAGCTCTGGAATCAGAATGGTGCGATGGAACCTAGCCTGCCCTCAGACTTGATGCTTCTATAACCTGATCTGAGACCACTCACTTAATGCTGAAGACACATGGCCCCAAACTTCATCCTCAACTCTCTGTACTAGGTGCATCCAACCCAGGGTTGCTAAGTCTAAGAAAACTGCTTATGGGGCAACCTAGTGGACATGTTTGTGTCACCTAATAGTCTGTCTGGTTCCATTCTGCTGGGGGAAGAGGACCCTCTCCTACACTTTTCCAGGCACAAAGTCTTTTGGAAGTGATTTGGCATGGAAAAAGACCTTCATGTTTCCTACCCTCATGGCACTAACAGTCAAATGGAACAGAGACCATTAGAAAAAAAAATTCATATGATTACTGCCAGGAAAGAGTAATCACCAAATGCTATAAAAATTCATGACTGAGAAATTTAACCTGAAGTGAGCTGGTTTGAATAGAAAAGCTAAGAGGTTTGAATGGAAAAGCTAAGAGAGTCTCTGCTGAATGGTTATTGTGGGTCCCTCATGAGCCCTGCTCTCGGTGTTCATGGTGTTGCATGCTTGGCCACCCATTCACTTGACTCTGGGCTTGGCTCTATGACTACTTTGGCCAACAGGACATTAGTGTGATAGAAGCAGAGGCATTCATGCACACTGGAGCTTGTCCTCTGGGGACAGCCCCAGCTTCTTAAAACCCCAAGGAAGAGGAATAGGACCTCTCAATCTCCAGTCATGACTAGTTGTAAACATACCAGCAACTCTGGCAAGTGGGGGCCAAGCCAAATGTATTTGATCTAGAAAAATTAAAAAATACCCGTTTCCTTTTGTCCCAATATTATGGAACAAAATTATATTTGTCACATTTATAATCAACTTCCACTTAAACATCTAATTCCATGAAACAATTTGATTGAATCTGTGTTCTTTGCAAACAAAATACTCCAAATAAAACACACTCTTTTTAAAAAAGGTCAAACTGCCCCTTCTGATCCTGTGATCACATCGACAATTCTACCAAGAAGTTTATGATGAGTTCAGGAGCAAAGCTTCTAGTTAGCACTAAACAGCTTTCCAACAGCAGGTGGAGCATTCACCTCAAAGATAAAAGAAGCATAACGGGAGGAAGGATACTGTCAGGGCCATATAGAAAAGCTGTTTCTACTCTTATTCAGCATGTTCCATTTCCAATGCTATTCTAGTCTTTAAAGGAAAAATTAAACTCACTTATTCCTGTGCTTCTAAATTCCTAAGCTTTGTTCCATGAGCTTAGTCCAAGGAAAAAATGACAGAGAACATCAGCTATAAGTGAGAAGTGTACAGCAGCTTGGTAGACACAGATATGCTATGGATGGTGACTATGCTCTGTATGGTTTCTGTATTCATTTCCTACAGTTGCTGCAACAAATTGCCACACACTTGGCTTCAAACTGCATAAATTTATTATTTTACAGTTCTGGAGGTCAGAAACCTAAAATAAATCTTAAAGAGCTAAAATCAAGGTGTGGGCAGGGCTGGTTCCTTCTGGGGGTTCCAGGGGAGAATCCGTTCTGACTCTTCCAGCTTTGGGAAGCCACCTGCACTTCTTGGCTCAGCTCATGGCCTTCTTTGCATCCTCCCAACCGCTTACCTCCATCAGTGTACCTCTGCTACCTACTCTGGTCTCCTGCCTCCCTCCTATAAAGACCTTTGTGATTACACTTGGCCCATCTGAAGAATGTAGGGCAATCTCCCCACCTCAAAATTCTTAACCACATCTGCAAAGTCCCTTTTGCCATATAAGATAGCATATTCACATGTTCTGGGGATTAGAACATGGACATCCTTGGGGGCCACTATTCAACATACCTGGGTTTCCAATACCCACCCTAGTATAGATACAACTGAATAAAATTAAATAATTTTACCCAGCTTCATGAGTGTAGAGAAATAAAGCTAGCCCAAGGAGTTCACATCATCGATAAGGAACTTATCCCACCTGTGTTCTGTGATAAAAATTCTATGCAAATGTATTGCACTTTTATTCCCAAGAACAGCTATTGGAACAATTTTAGAGACTTATGAGAATGAGTACCTGGTCTACAATGACTCAAGATGATGAAGATATTTCAAATGAGTCCACAAGTCTCTCGAATATGTCCACTGTATAAAAGATATACTGGTAGCTGTCAAACTAGACACTTCAGCAGCCTCTAGAAACAGAATAGTTGATAAGGACTACGACTAAAGAAGATTTGTCTCCAATTATTGACCACAATGATTTTTGTCATCCATGACTTCTCTAAATAAGTAAAAACATTGCCCTACGTACTTTATTATTACAGGCAGCCACTTTATTTTCATTACAATAAATATTTACTTGGCTACCTTATCCTGTTGGAAAAATTGTGACTTCTGAGAACTCAGGAAAACTAGAATCTATTTAGGGTTTACTCTGTACAAGTCCCCATGCCTAGACAGGTGCCATGGGGAATATGAGGATGAATGGGGGCTGTCCAGAGGCTCAGAGTCTTGTGGAAGAGACAAATGCAAAACACAAAAATACAAGCAAATCTAATGCAAGGTTTCTGTGATCTGCAGTATAATAAACACATTAACAAATGCAACAAGAAGGCTGGAAGAAAATTAATGACTGAGGAATCTGGGATATACTATTAGAAGAGCAATATTTTGTGCAAGGCCTTAGGGCTAAGAAATATCTTTAAAAGGAGTATAATTTTGACAGATGGAAAAGATATGGCTTTTAGAGGTTCACTAAGGTGAAAAACTGTAAAAAATCAGTTTCCTTTTAGTGGCATTGATATTGTTAAGGTATAACCCAAAGCTCCTTATTTACAAACCAGGGTAATAACTTTCTTTCCAAAAAATTCTGCTTGCTTAATTGCCAAGAAACATGATAGGCAATAGGCTTTGGTTGATTTAAAATAGTGGTTTCCTTTCTTTTCTTCCCCCATCAGGAACTTTTGTTCAAACAAATTCTATTCAAATGCCAAAAGCCTCCTTCCAGTGCCTGCCCGGCATCCACCTCTCCTCACTGCAGCTCCCAAAGGAGCTCCCTGAAGCAGTTTGTAAACTCTGAATATAAATAAAAACGTGCTGCACAGCTCGATGCTCAGACACAAACACTAACATTGCCTTGCTTGTGGATAGAAACATTCCCCAGAGCTCACACCCAGAGTGCGTTTCTGAAAACAGCATGTGTCACAGAAGGTAGCAAATGTGGTGTCACTGTTTCAGCAAAAAGGAGCTCTTCCTGGAATGTACATCTTATACTCTAATGAGTTATTTGCTCTTCGGACTGAATTTTGAGATAATCAGGGTTACAGTGGCCTCCTTCTATCCCAAGTTGATCAGTTAGGGTCGGCTTGCATCAATCGCTTGGAACGCAAGTCAGAGAGCAAAGCATTGTTTTCCCTTTCAGGGTGTCCTATCAGAATCAAGCAGCCCTAGCTGCTTCCGGCAGAGAAATTGTTGAAAATTCAGTGGGCATGGGAAAGAAATGCAGCCAATGGCAGCCATTGTAAAGAAGCGGGTATTAAACATCTCTGCCAGAGCACACTAATGGAATTAGAAGCAATTTCAAGAAGATGAAGCACTTGTCTTGCCTACAAAGATACCTTGGAAAAATAAATGCCTGGGCTGCCTTCTCCAGCCTTCATGCAAGTGAGCAGAACCCTGAGCTAATGCCATTCAGTCTGTTTCAGCTGTCCAGAGCTCTACAACACGACAGGAGGTCTTTGTACCATTGTCAAAAAACATGTCAAAAACACTGAAGCTGCAAGGAATAGTTTGTGCCTACTTTTTCTCCTCTAAAAATATCTGAGTTTATATCTACCTAGAATTCCCTGTGCATGGAGAGCCCTTTAGTTAATATTTTCATCAAATGCATTTCTTCCAGGTCTTTCCCCAGTCTCACGGCACACGTGGCCTTTCTCCGCCCCATGTTCCCTGCTTTCTCCTCTCACTCCTGCCTCCAGAGAATACACAGTTCTCCTTTATTCATTCATCTCTGTCTCATTTCCTTTTGCCACCTCCAGAGCCTTCGGCATCAAAATACTCTTTTGTGCCTCTCTGATCCTTGCAACTATACAAGACCTTTTAGTCTTTCTTCCTCCCTAAAATATTCCCTCATGTCATTGCCTTCTCCACTCCAGCCACCTCACCCAACAGCCATCTCCCTTTCCCTCTCCATCCCCTCTTTCTCCTCACCAATGACCCCCTAGTCCTCAAATACAATCGTCTCTCAGTGCGCACCCTCCTTGAGCTCTGCCTGAGTAGATTCAGCTGATATCCACCTCTTCTCTCTTGGATCTGGAGATGTAGTATTCTCCTGGTTCTCATTTTTACTTCTGAGACCCTGGTCTCTGTGTACCGCTTCTCACTGTCCTCCTAAACCCTTAATGTAGGTATTTCTAAGATCTCTCTCCTTGGATATTTCTTCTTAAAAAATAACCTATCTAGTATCTACCCAAAAGAAAAGAAATCATTATATTAAAAAGACACCTGTACTCATATGTCTATTGCAACACTATTCACAAAAACAAAATCATGGAACCAACCTAAGTGTCCATCAGCAGTTGACTGGATAAAGAAAATGTGGTATATATATATATATCTTGTGGAATACTACACAGCCTTAAAAAAGGAATCATATCCATTGCAGCAACATAGCTGGAAGGGGAGGCCATTATCTTAAGTGGGCCAACTCAGAAACAGAAAACCAAATATCACATGTCCTCACTCATAAGTGGGAGCTAAACAGTGGGCACACATGGACATAAAGATGGAAATAATAGACACTGGGAACTCTAAAAGTGGGGAAGGCAGGAGAGGGGTGAGGGTCAAAAAAATACCTATTGAGTACAATGTTCCGAATACAAATACTACCAAATACAAATAGTATTTGGGTAATGGGTCTATGAGAAGCCCAGTCCCCACCAGTATGCAATATACTCATGTAACAAACATGCATATGTACCTCCTGAATGTAGAAGATTAAACTAAAAAAAATAATTTAAATCATGACTGGGCTATCTCCAAGACAAACCCAAGGAATGGTGTCCCAACCTTCCCAGACAAAGCGTTTCCTTGGTTTTGGTTGGACGAGGTGCTCTGAGCTTGTCACAGGAGCCAGGGTGTGAGGGCAGGGAAAAGATGAGTGGCTTCCTTGTTCAGTGCTCCACTTACCCCTCAGATTTGCCCTGGTCCTTCCCCATTTCTTCAGTGCTTTGTTTTAAAATATTTTGTCCAGTATAATTTATTATTTTCAGAAGAAATCTTGAACTGAGTAAACTAGCCTGCCATTACTAGAAATAAAATTTCACTTAGAGCACTTATCAATTTAAAATTAATTTTATATAAATTTGCAAGAAAAAACACCAAACAATCCTATTAAAAATTGAGCAAAGGACATGAACAGACAATTCTCAAAAGAAGACATTGATATAGCCAACAAACATGAAAAAAAGCTCGACATCACTGATGATTAAAGAAATGCAAATCAAAACCACAATGAGATACCATCTCGCGCCAGTCAGAATGGGGATTATTAAAAAGTCCAGAAACAACAGATGCTGACAAGGTTGTGGAGAAAAAGGAACACTTTTACACTGTTGATGGGAGTGTAAATTAGTTCAATCATCGTGGAAGACAGTGTGGTGATTCCCCAAAGATCTAGAGGCAGAACTACCATTTGAACCAGCAATCCCATTACTGGGTAGATACTTAAAGGAATAGAAATCATTTTATTATAAAGATGCATACATGTGTATGTTCACTGCAGCACTATTCACAATAGCAAAGACATGGAATCAACCCAAATGCCCATCAATGATAGACTGGATAAAGAAAATGTGGTATATATACACCATGGAATACTATGCAGCTGTAAAAAGGAATGAGATCATGCCCTTTACAGAGACATGGATGGAGCCAGAATCCATTATCCTCAGGAAACTAATGCAGGAACAGGAAACAAAACCCCACCTCTTCTCGCTTATAAATGGGAACCGAATGATGAGAACACATGGACACATGGTGGGGAACAACACACACTGAGGCCTGTCAATGGGGAGGTAGGTGGAGGGACAGTATCAGGAAGACTAGGTAAGGGATGCTGGGCTTAATACCTAGGTGATGGGTTGATGTGTGCAGCAAACCACCGTGGCACATATTTACCTATGTAACAAACCTGCACATCCTGCACATGTACCCTGGAACTTAAAATAAAAGTTGAAAAAAATTAGTTTTATAATTATTGATTTATAAGCAATATTTTCCATTGGAGTAATTTGAAGACATGGGTTATATTCCCTCTAACTTGGCATTTTCCATAGTACCTGAAATAAAATATTGCACCTGCTAGGTGCTCAGTGAAAACAGTCTAAGTAAAGAATAAACTAGTGTGACCTTCACTCTAGTTTGGAACTACAGCTCTAGTCCAGGCAACCTGAATAAATGTTTAGATTCACCAAAACAGCAGCAAATTAAACCAGAACCAAAAGCATATCAGCATTTGGACTTTGACCAAACTAGCCACCCTCTCCGTAAGATAAAGAAATTTAGCATTTGGATTTTAAAAAGTGACTGACTGAAATTGCACAGCAATTATAGGAAAAAAACCCAGAAACTTTGGAAAAATAAGGACCACTTTTCACCCACCTCCTTTCAAGACATGCCCTTTGCATAGAGGGTGCTCCCCTAGGCAGGGCCTCCACCTCTGTGGTTGAGACCTTATTAGATTGTCAGGGTTTCCACAATAAAAGCCACAAACTGAGTGGTTTAAAGAACAAAAATAGACTGTCTCCCGGTTCTGGAGGCCAGGAGTCTGAGATCAGGGTGTCATTAGGGTGGTTCCCGCCGAGGGCAGGGAGGAAGAATCTGTTCCCCACCTCTCCCCTGGCTTCTGGTGGTCTCTGACACTCTTTGGTGTTCCTTGCCTTGTAAAAGCATCACCCTGATTCCTGCCTTCATCTTCACAGGGCGTACTGCCTGTGTGTGTACACGTCTGTCTCTGAATTTCCCCTTCTTATAAGAACACAAGTAGTTTTGGAATTGGGGCCCACCCTCCTCTAGTATGACCTCATCTTAATCAATTACATCAGCAACAACCCTATTTCCAAATAAAGTCACATTCGGAGGTACTGGGGGATAGGACTTCAGCCCATGCCTTTTGTGAGGAGACGATACAATTCAACCCATGAAGACACCTATAATGTCTACAAAAGACTTTTTAAAATCTATCTCAAGCCTGGCACTTGAAACCTTTTTTTTTTTTTCACTACAAGATTCGCATGTGCTTAAAGCCAATAGTGCCTGGGGCTCAGAGAGAGTTGTAGTGTTTCGTATGGGAGTCCCAGACTACTGAGCCTATGCAGGGATAACACATGGTCCCCAGACCTGCAGGGCCTCCACACTCTTGGCTTACCAGAAGAATCTTCGGGGAACATTCCCACTCTTCCACTCCTTCAGTGACATTAAGAACCATATCTCCTCTCCTTACAGCCAAGAAAAAGAAATTAGGGCCTGATTCAGTTGCGTCATATCAAAAATTGACACGCTGCTGTACAGACCACCAACATTTTTGTAAACTGGGCTGCTCAGTGTGAGGCACAAAAAAAGGCATGTTGCAGTGTTCTCTGCAATCACTGGGTACAGCATGCCGGGTCCAAAGGCAAGAAGAACCCGAGATCTAGGCAACAATGACTTATCTCCTTGCCTCAATAACTAACTGGAAAGGAGGTACATTCTGCGGAAGACTGACCACTGCATCCAGGCAAACAGCAAGCACATTGGAGACTTGTTTTTTGCTGTGAGCATGATTTTCGTCTGAATTGTGTGATTCAGTTATCTCAAAGTCTGAGCATTGCTGGATGAGATAACAACTGGCATCCAGACCTATATAGAACACTAAGAAAAGACAGATGGGGAACCAAAGTGCAGTGAAGCCTCGGAACCAAGCTCCAAACACTTCTGAGGGCCGTGTCTCCAAGGCTTCCCTGTTGGATGCACTATGACAGCTTAAGGCCTGTCACAGTCTGGCCTTCATCCACTTGATTCTCTGCTCCTGCCCCCATATTCTCCTCTGCAGAACTCATCCCGTCCCTGACCAGGACCTGCACTTTGATATGCTTTTGCTCCTGCTCTTCACTCCCTGGAAGGCCTTCCACTCTTCTCCCAGCATCTCCACTGCTCTGTCTGCCTAACATTGCAGACTTATCCTAAGGACAATCTTTCAAACTCCTCCTAGGTAGATACTTCCTCAACACTCCTGCACAAACACACTGTTTTTCCTTTGAAGTCCAAGTACTTTGTTGACATGGATCATGACACATAATTGCTCACAGCTTGATCTTATTAAATAAAGTGTGAACACTCAGTAATATTTGAACAGAACTGGACAACTAGAAAAAATGAATGCATTCTTAACAACCACCTTACTTTTCACAGACTGCAGAGGAAAATTTCAAGAGCTGGTTCCAGGCTCTGCAACCCTAAATGGATTTGCAACCCAAACATAGGGCCAGAGCATCACATCCGCTGAGCTCGCTAGCATGCTACAGCGTATGATATGCAGTACTTGCACTTTTTTGTAAAAGGTCCTATCTTGTTTTGTGCAGAGAACCAGTCTACCTGTGATCATTTTATCACTGAAGTCACTATTTTAATAACATACTAAATGTCTCAGTTTTTGCACACATTTCTACATAGGCAGGTACTTGTTTTCTCCTCAAATCCTTTTCAGAAAGAAGCGTGCTGACATTTCTTACACATCAGCTGCAATTGTTTTTAAGTATTCACTCACTATATTTACAAGTTTGCAGCTGCAGTAAAACCTGCATGCTTTGGGATTTTTCAGATTGCTTCCCATACTTAATCATTGCGCAAGATGTAAAAGCGGCACCTGGTTTTAGAATTGTAAATATCTTAGTGAATGTGATTTTAGGAACAAGGAAAGAACATATTTAGGCTTAGTGGAAGTACCTAGATGATATCATTACCTTAGATAAAACTGTTCTTAATAGAGAGATTATAATTTCTCTGAGGTCTAAGAAATCTTACAAATTCTCTGTGCCAGGGAATGTTCTTCTGTTCTCCTCCCCAGAAGCATCTTCCTGTAGAGACAGATGCAGACAGACGGCTGGTGTGGGAGACTGCAGACTGGGGTGTTAGAACCAGCACACAGCAGGAGCTGCATGACGTAGAGATGACACTGAGTCTGGGTCTAAAATTCCTTATAAACAAATCAGGAGTTTCACTTGACATCCTTAAGGTTATGTGACAGGGTCTGTTAGAAGGTGCCTAGATGTTGTTTGGAAAACTAGAAGCCAATACTTGAAAGCAATAAAATAAAGAGATAATGACTGATTTTTCTAAACCTTCGTCATGAAAATTGAAATGTATATTACATTTATTCTTTCCATGCTTTACATGAGAAATTGTGTTATTAATAAGGATATGAAACATCAGTCTTCCTGTCACTGACAGCTTTTCTATAGCATAGGTTTACATTTCATGTTGTGATATTGCAGTGAATCATTAAAGTTTGGGAAGTAAAAGGCTTAAAACCTTAATATAGTTATACTTGCATTTTTTTCATTTATTCACTAGGATACTTGAAATGACAGGAAAAGGCTTTACTTTTATTTTGATATTTTAAAAACTTCGCTATTTCTGTGTAAATTTGTGGGCATTTTTTAATCTTGTTTCATTGACAAGTATTCAGTAGAGATTGAACTTTGGGCCTTCTCCTTTAGCTGAGGAAAAGGCCCTTTTTGACTCCTTTTAGCAGCGTCACTGACATTGTCTTTTGGGGCTCATTCAGCTCGTGGGGACCAAGGACATTTTATAATAGCAAGGCCTGCAGTGGTAATTTTTTCCTGTGAACTCTAAGGGAGTGAGGACAGCTATTTTTGTCCCCAGATATGTTAAAGTTGCAGTTAGAAAGGAGATGGCAGCTCACTGCTGAATGAGATGATAGGATGACCAGTAAGGAGGATGAGTCCACAGCCTTCCTATACATGGCTTTATTCCTTAGCAGCATTCAACTCTCCTGTTGTGTTTCTGAATTTCTTTGGCAAACATTTTCCAGGTTGTAGGACCAATATACAGATATTTCCATCTTTTATGAAAGTAGACTATAGGAAACTTCTGTAAAATAAGGGTGTGTTTAAGTTTCTTTATGAAAATCCTGTGATTAAAATTACTTATTCATATGCCCTTGATCTCAAATTTAATTAGCTCTGAATGAGCTAGGCTTAGGTATTCCAAAGGAAAACTCAAATCTCCTTTAATATTTCCATTACGTTTCCACAACTCTTCACGAATGTCTCAGGTGCATGGCTGTGCTATATACATCTCAGGTGACACAGATGTGTTATACACACCACAGGTGGTACATGGCTGCGTTTATACACACCTCAGGTGCATGACTATGCTTACACACATCTCAGGTGACACAGAGTGTTATACACACCTCAGGTGACATGGCTGTGTTTATACACACACAGTGCTCTACACACCTCAGGTGACACAACTGTGCTATACACACCTCAGGTAACACAGCTGTGTTATATACACCACAGGTGGTGCATGGCTGTGTTTATACACATCTCAGGTGACACAACTCTTTTATATACACCTCAGGTGCATGGCTGTGTTATACACACCTCAGGTGTCTGGCTATATTTATATACATCTCAGGTGACACAACTGTGTTATACATACCTCGGATGACATGGCTGTGTTTATATACATCTCAGGTGACACAACTGTTTTATATGCACCTCAGGTGACATGGCTGTGTTATAAACACCTCAGGTGACATGGCTGGTTTATACACACTTCAGGTGACATGGCTGTACCTCAGATGACTTGGCTGTGTTATACAGAACTTCAGGTGACATGGCTGTGTTATATACACCTCAGGTGGCATGGCCATACCTCAGGTGACATGGCTGTACCTCAGATGACATGGCTGTTTTATACACACCTCAGGTGACATGGCTGTGTTATACACACCTCAGGTGACACGGCTGTACCTTAGGTGACATAGCTGTGTTATACAAGGCTTGGATGACATGAACCTTTGACCTTGCTGACAAACAGCAAAGGAGAACCAAAGGAACTGGCAAAAGTCAGGGCAAATGAAAAAAAAAAAACCTATTCTTCATAGAAAATGATATTTATGTATCACAAGTTATTTAGTAGACAATATTAACATTATAATAGTAATAGTGTCATTATGGGACATTTTCTCTGCAGGACTCTGAGCACTGAACACTCTTGGCAGGTTTCTGAGGCCAGATTGCCTGAGTTCAAATCCTGGCTCCACCACTTATTCTCTGAGCAAATGTGAGCTAGTTCATTATCATCTCTGTGTCTTCTTTCATCATCAGTTAATGGGGATATGAGTAATCCTGACCTCACAGGATGTTATGGACTTTGAGGGGACACAAGTTCTCACCCCCAGTGCCTCAGAATGTGACTGCATTTGGAGACAGGGCCCTTACAGAGGTGATTAGGTTAAAATGAGGCCATTAGAATGGGCCCTGATCCAATATGACTGGGGTCCTTAGAAGAAGCGGAAATTGGGACACATTGAGGGACATCAGGGATGTGCACACACACACACAAAAGGCCATATGATGACACAGGAAGAAGGCAGCCATCTGCAAGCTAAGGAGAGAGGCTTCCGGAGAAACCGATCCTGCTGGTCTGTTGGTCTTGGACTTCTAGCCTCCAGAACTATGAGAAATACATTTCTGCTGTTTAAGCCACCCAATCTGTGATATTTTTCTATGATACAGGATTATCATGAGGTTAATAAGGGTTCATGAGTCTCACCATTACTATATTTGTAGGATTTGTTTTCTTGTCCATATCTTAAATTTGTCATGAACATCAGCTAAAAGTCTACTAATTATATCATTCTGCTCTACCAAAAGCGAGCCATTTGCCATCTCTGCAAGCCATTTGCTACCTTTTTTGTTTATTTTTTTTGAGACAGAGTCTCACTCTGTCACCCAGGCTGGAGTGCAGTGGTATGATCTCGGCTCACTGTAACCTCCACCTCCCAGGTTCAAGCAATTCTCATGCCTCAGCCTCCTGAGTAGCTGGGACTATAGGTGCCCACCATCATGCCTGGCTAATTTTTGCATTTTTAGTAGAGATGGGATTTTGCCATGTTGGCCTGGCTGGTCTTGAAATCCCGACCTCAGGTGATCCACCTGCCTTGACCTCCCAAAGTGTTGGGATTACAAGTGTGAGCCACCGTGCTTGGCCTGATTTGCCATCTTTGAGTCTCAGTTTCTACATCCATAAAATGGGGAGACTGCCTTTTGTGATCTCTAAGAAAATCATGTTGATCTAAAAATCAGTGATTTAAAAATGGATTCCGGTTTGATGGAAGAAGCTACTGTGTCCAGCAGCAAGCAGTGAGGCCTGAGCTTCTGGGAAGACAAGCAGGGGGAGGATGGTCCTGGGGACTCACCAGCACACTTTGGAGGCGCCAGTCCAGCCTGGGTCCAGGTGAGGTGAGGAGGAGAAGCTGTAGCAGGACTTTTGCTGCTAAGCCGAAGGAAGGACAAAAACCAAAACCAAAAATATATAACGTGGGAGTGGGTGGAGTGCATAAGACTTCATTAGACAATCCCTGAAAGACATCAAATATCACAAAGGAACCCTAGCCAAAGGAAAAAAAGAGGATTGGAAATTGTTTCAGGAGCCATAGCCCAACAAAATGTTGGGAAAAAAGGACGTAGAATAGACAGAGGCAAGAGAACGCAGAGAACAGATGGCAAAAGTAGAGCATTTTATAAATAGCCACGTGCAATGCAGACTGTTAACAGCCAATATACTTAACTCGGGCCACAGATCTTGACTTCTTCCTGGAATAAGATACGTATTTTTGGAAAACGGGGCATAAGAAATTGGCTCATGTGAAAGAAAGCTGTATGCATTTGTTTTACACTTTAGCACATTTTAAACTGCCTTTCACGTAAATAGAAAATAATTAACACAGATATATATCATCCAAGTAATAAGCATGACATGGCAGAGATTAAATTTTTTTATCCAGATTTAACCTTTGGAAGATAAACATGGGCTCCGAGCTGCACCCTCAGTTATTCTTCATCAATTTTAATTTAGAAGGTATCTGTCTCCTCTTAGCTGTCTGAAAATATTATCCAATATTTTTGGTGTAAAGTGAGTATGCATTTGGGATACATAATGCATAATGCTTGCCCCCGTAGCCAGCTGTCAGAGGGATTCACTTGCAAACTTCTACTCCATCACTGTGGAGAGAAATATAAAGTTATCTCTAGAACTAACGATCATTGGTTGGGGAAACTGTGACTCCAGGGACACCTCATTCTTCTCCCTTCACTACTCAAAGTGCTATTGCTGCCAAACAGAAATGAAGCCAAGTTCTAGCTCTCTCCAGATGGTAGAGGATGTTTTATCAATGGAAACAATGAAAAGCCTAGGGAAAGTGGGGTGCAATTCTTATAAAATGTATGGGTTACCATTACTAATTTGGGTAAAGAAAAAAACTGTTCTAAAGTTCTACTGTTATGCTTCAACTCCTGCTAACTTACTGAGTAGGCTTTAAATGAAGGAGAAACAACAAAATTTTCAGATCTGGTACATTTTCCTTTTTTTTTTTTTTTTTTTTTTTTTGAGGTGGAGTCTTGCTCTGTCACCCAGGCTGGAGTGCAGTGGAGCGATCTCGGGTCACTGCAAGTTCTGCCTCCCAGGTTCACATCATTCTTCTGCCTCAGCCTCCCGAGTAGCTGGGACTACAGGTGCCTGCCACCATGCCCGGCTAATTTTGTTTTTATATTTTCAGTAGATAGGGGGTTTCGCAGTGTTAGCCAGGATGTTCTCAATCTCCTGACCTTGTGATCCACCTGCCTCAGCCTCCCAAAGTGCTGGGATTACAGGCGTGAGCCACTTCACCCAGCCGGTACATTTTCTTTTAATGTGGACTTTCTGTGAAAAGTTTAAAAGGGAAGGACTAGGAAGAACTGAAGTTTCCCGCACCTTTACTTCAAAAACAAAATCCCTCTGCTAATGATTTTAGAAGGAGTGATGCATAACGTAGTGGAAAGAAGATTCAACTGACAGACAGGAGACAGGTCTTGTCTTGACTTTGCCACCAACTAATTCTATGATGTTAGCCAGGTCACTTAAATTCCAACAAATTCAATTTCCTCTTCTATCAAGTAACAAGTTAATCTTTAAAATGTCTTCCAACTCTAACAGTCTTGATTCTGGGCAACAGGATGTTAGTCCTTAGCTATATATCCCTCCTTCCATTTTAGCTCACATTGCTATAACAAAAATACCATAGACTGGGTGTCTAAAATAATAAACATTTATTTCTGCAGGTCTGGAGGCTGGGAAGTCCAAGATCAAGGCACTCACAAATTTGGTGTCTGGTGAGGGCCCACTTCCTGGTTCACAGATGGTAATCTCCTTGTGTCCTCACATGATGGAAGGTGCAAGAGAGCTCTGAGGGTCTCTTTTAAAAGGACACTAAACCCATTCATGTAGGCTCCACTTCTATGGCGTAATCACCTCCCAAAGGCCGCATCTCCTTATACCATCTCACTGGGGGTTAGGGTCACAACATACAAATTCTGGAGAACACAAACCTTCAATCCATAATACCTTCCAAGTTTCTCCCTTCTTGGTTAACTGCCTGAGCTCTGCACCAGATAATGCAAAATACAGCCACTTTTCTACCCATGAGTGAATTACTGCTTAAAAACAGATGACAAGTCCTTTTGTCCAGAAGCTCAAAGTGAAGTTATCCATATGTTTAATATGTACACATCTATGTCATCTGTGAAAAGTTAAGTTTCAGGAAAGAACTGTGGAATAAATGTGCAAAACCAATGAGGAAAATTCTTCTAAAAACCAAGAACAATGGGAGTAATCTAGTCCCTCCAAGGAGTTAAATATGGTATAAAGCTATAATAATTAATAAACCATACTGATGTATAAATAGAAAGGAAAATTGGAACAGAAGAGAGAGTCTAGAAATAAATCCACATACAGAGGAGCATTTAGTATAGAAAAAAGGAAGCTTTGCATATCAGTGGAGGCAAGGAGGATATATCCGTAAACAAGTAGCTATTGGGAAAAAATAAACTGGATCTCTAACTCCCTCTTGACACCAAAATTAACTCCAGATACCTGAAAGATCTCAATATTTTTTAAAAAGAAAAACAAAATAAAAACCTTTATAAGAGCATTAGAGGAGCTCTTGGGAGAGTGTTTCAATGTAGGAAAGACTCAAAATCCAGAAGCCCATGTAAAAAGGGAAGAAGAAATTTGACTACATAAAACATTTTTTAAATGTCTGCATGAAAAAAACTCATAAAGTCAAAAAATGGATGATATTTCTAAGTCTACTACCCTCAAGTAAGCAAAATGACCTTGCCTTGTGGTAGAGTTGCAGCTCATGGAGTTGAGTTCAAATTAGGCTGGGGGCTCTGCTAGTTCTGAGCAAGTGTCTGATCCTCAAGTTCCCCATCTCTAACATGGGCATGAAAAATGGCTCCTTCTTCGAGGTTTTCATCAAGATTACATGCAGCAGTACCTGACATGGAATGTTCACAGCCATGCAGAGTAACTACTAGGAGTTCAGTTCCTGCAGGTGGTCTTTGCTCTACCTCTCAATTTCAGTACAGCGCAATGAGAAATGCTTTGAAAGTACAGAAAAACAGAAGTCACGCCCAGCGGGGAAATCAAGAAAGGATCCTGAGCATGAAGCATAGGACCAACAATCAGAGAATGAAACCACACGACATAGGCAAGCCCAAGTCCCACGGAGAGCACATCACATCTCCAAACAGGTGCCATGGAGGACACTGTGAGACACAGCAGGTTAGCACTCAAGACAGTCCCCCAATTCACCCATGAGGCATACCATCAGCACATCTCTATTTGTAAATGGAAATTCTTTGCCCCTGTAGTCTATATTTGGTTTTGGAATTGTGCAAATTGGTAGACTCATCACAGAAAGATCAGTGCCGACCAGATGCCAGCTATGTGATTCATCAGCTTTCTGTAATCCCAGCATATTAGAGCTGGAATAATAAAGAAAAATGACTACCATTTATTTAGCATCTATTCTCTGCCGGGCACTATGCCGGGCATACCTATCCACATGCAGTCAAATATTTATGAAGCACTTCTCAGGGCTCGTTGCTGTCACAGGAGCTGGAGAGAATCATACCTGACACTGCCCCTGACTGTAGCTCTCAGAGCTCAGCAGGGTATATGGGCCAGCAGTAAAATGTGATGAGTGCTGAGGGGACACAAAGAGGGCACCTAGCCATGCCTGGGGCTCAGCCAACACTTTCAAGGGGCAGTGCCTCAATGCTGGGGGCTGAAGGAGGAAGAGGACAATGGAGGAAATAAGATGACCTCAACAGAGGGAGTGACAGCTGAAAGGGAGTGTCTTCAATTTATTTAATGTAGTTGCTGCCTCAACATCCATTTTTAAGCCAGGCATAAGTTGTCTAAAACTCAGTTGTACTCTGCCACTTTTGTCTACTTTCCTTTCTTTTATTTATTTATTTATTTATGTAATAAGAGAGTGCATAGAGCTGACCTGCCACGTTTGACCTAGTTAAAACATCCCCTCCCCATGTGGTTGTTTGTGACATGGCCCTCTTGTTCCTCATCCCACTGACCCAAAACACAACATATCCCACAGCTACTGACCATGATACAACCTAATGGTCAATGCCAGAGTCATGTAAATAAGTTCCCCCTCATGTACATATTTTTTTAAGTAGCCAATCCACACCCCTCTTGGGAAGCCTAAGAAATAATCCCCATGAACCTTAATAAAGCTTAATACAGGCTCAATGAAGGCATAGTTCCACAGGTTCTCCTCTCTCTCTCTCTCTCCACCACTAGTTGAGCTCCCTGCCACCTCCAGATTTCTCGTCTGCCTCCAATCAACACCTCTGACCTTGCTGGGACCTGCGAGTAATAAATTTCTTCTGTTTCATGAATTTTGGATTCACTTCCTCATTGTGTCTCACCTGACACACAATTACCAAACAACTTTCCTCCTGGCCAGGGCAGAGCTAAAGCTTATGGCCACTCTCCAGAAAGCAACCTCAAGACCAAATTAGAAACAGAAAAAAAGTCCTAACAACAGGAATCACAACAGGAAGCACAGTAGGTCAAGGAAATCAAAGTCCCTTAGTCTGGCGAGAGCCGTGAGTTCAGGGTTGGTGGGAAGAAATGAGGCCTCAGAGGTCAGGAAGCCTGGCTCCATCTAAAGGTCACTGGGGAGTTACTGAAATGTTGGAATCAGGAAAGGGGCATGTTTAAAGTTGGGTTTTGGAAAGACCTCTTTGGGCCTTCCAAAAGTGGAAAATGAAATGGATGGACAGAAGCAGCCTTGGAGGGTGGGGAGAAGTGGGTGTCCTGGAGACAGCAGAGATGGGGTTTGTGAGGAAGAGGGAGGAGTCACAGTTAAGGCCAGGGCCTGCCTCCTTCCTCCTGCCCTGGACCTAGTCTAGGGGCACTATTTAAGAACTACCAGCTTTGGAATCTGACAGAGGAGGCTCAAATCTCATCTTCACCATCCTCAAAGTGACCTCAGGCAGGTTCTTTTTTGTTATTTTTTTATTTTTGAGATGGAATTTTGCTCTTGTTGCCTAGGCTAGAGTGCAGTGGCGTGATCTCGGCTCACCGCAACCTCCGCCTCCCGGGTTCAAGCGATTCTCCTGCCTCCACCTCCTGGGTTCAAGCGATTCTCCTGCTTCAGCCTTCCGAGTAGCTGGAATTATAGGAATGTGTCACCAAGTCCAGCTAATTTTTTTTGTATTTTTAGTAGAGACAGGGTTTCATCATATTGGTCAGGCTGGTCTTGAACTCCTGACCTCAGGTGATCTGCCTGCCTTGGCATCCCAAAGTTCTGGGATTACAGAACTTTGAGCCACCGCGCCTGGGCAGGTTCTTAAAGCTTAGACGAGTTCCTAAAATTGATAATACTTTTAGTATTGTGCTATATCATAGTTCCTCTCACTATTAAACACATAGCAAACATCCAATAAATGATGGTCATCATTATATTTATTAATCAAAACTATGCACATATGTTTTAAAATCAATATACATTTAAATACTCCAAATATGATTTATATTCATATCATTCTACATATTACATGTATTAGGAAGTATACTAATTACAATAAAATTGGCAGCTTTGAAAGGAAAACAGCAGTCACAGGGGTCCCGTGGGTGTGGGTTGAAGGAAGCACGTGCTCCCTTGTCCAGGTGTTAGTGGGCGGGAGAGACCAAGGTTTGGTGCTGAGAATGTCTCCGAGCACTGCAGCCACCACTTTCCACAACCTCTCCAGCATCTGTTCCCCACCTCATTTTCTTCCCAGTTCCACCCCTCAGCCGGTCATTTATAGGTGGATGCCTCATATTACCTCTCTCATAAGACCATGTTCTGGGACTGCACAAATAGTTCTGGTCCCCTGGGCCTCTCCATGCCACAGTGGTAATGCAGTGGGGGCACAGAAATGGGCTCAGCTGGAGGTCCCACGACCTCCTCCTTCCTTCACTCTTTAAGCCTCTGTTTCCTGATCTGTAAATGTGGCCAGTAATGACCTCATAAGACGGTACTGAGCACTAACCACAAAGCTCCAAAAGCCATTCTGGGAACATAGTGAGTATTCAGCAAACGTTAACTAGTCTCACTTGAAAAAAAAAAAAAAACCAGGTATCTACTTATGCCTGTAGTCCCAGCATTTTTGGAGGCTGAGGCACGAGATCACTTGAGACCAGGAACTCAAGACCAGCCTGGGCACCATAGCAAGACCCCCATCTCTACAAAGAAGGTGAAAATAAAATTAGCCAGGTGTTGTGGCTCGCCCAGTAGCTAGCAGTCTTAGCTATTGGGGGGTCTGAGGCTGGAGGATCACCTGAGTCCAGGAGCTCAAGGCTGCCATGAAGTGTGATGCCACTGCACTACAGCCTGAATAACCGAGCAAGACCCTATCTGTAAAAAATAAAATAAAATAAAATAAAATAAAATATCTAATCTCCAACTTTAACAGCTTTATATTTCAGAAGAACGAGGCACTGAGCTTTTATTATGCATTTTAAAAATGGAAATAACTTAATGCTGATATTAATTATCTACGGAATGAAGTAAAGGAATTTTCCCTCCACGTTAACTGGAACTTTCCACTCCACGCAAAGCATAATGAATTTAGCCTTTACTCTCCAGCCTGCAGTGATGCTGAGAGCTCTGGCTTCAAAGGAACAAACCGAGTCCTCATCACAGCTCTGTCCGTGGCTAACAGCTCTTTCTGAGTCTCAGCCGATACCATCTTTCAAGTGAGGGATGTGAACTAAAACGGTCACACGTGCAAGGCCACACAGCCCTAGCACACAATGGGGGCTCTGTACGTCCTTCCTGAGGAAGCAGGCAAATCTCAATGTGTAGATTTAAACAGCGAGACACAGAGAAGTGAAGTGATTGAGACAAAATCAAGGAGCTCTCAGTAACAAGGCCAGGATGAAAATTCATGATCCAATCTTTGGTTTCCTCTTTGGCCCTGTCTTTAACTAACTCACCAATTCTTTACTCTAAAACCCATAGTCAGAAGAAAATGGAAACAGGACAATGCATTTCCTTTGGCATCAATTGCTTTTTTATCTCCAAGCACCATTTAGTTCTGTTTCCATAGCTCCTGGACATTGACGTTTTGATCTGAAGTAGATCTTAACTCTCTGTTCCTTTTCTAAACCAAATGCAAAGTAACAATTTCATGGCTCCGGTCTTTCTTTATCATCTGAAATAAGCCCTTGAAGACCACTGCAGTGAAGCCATGCTATTTTTTAACAATATTGTGTTTAGTGATTTGAAAACTCTTCATTGAGACAGTTTTGGCAGTGTTCATTTTTTATTTCTTTGAGCTCTAACTCATTCTCCCCCTGCTTCTGATCATTCTCATAGCTGTCTCAGGCCTCCTCCTTTGCAGGTCTTTTGTGTTTTGTAGGCATCCCACCAGATTGTTCATTTCTCTTCCTGCCTAGATGGGTTTCTGCAGCTTCTTTATACCATTGTTAAGAACACTAGTAGTTTTATTTCTATAGTTGTGTTTTCTCTAACTTTGTAAATTTTTTTGATAAATGTGGTTTTGCTTTGTCACTCTGAAATGATGAATGGACCAGGATGAGATGTTATTTCCCTAACAAAACAACTTACCTTTTTTTCCGGGATTTGTTTGGAAATCCATGAACAACATCCATAAAGCAATAAAAGAGAAATTAAATTAAGTAGTTCCACTATTTAGGCATTTTTGTTTTATTTTTATATTTATTATTCTCATTTCCAATGTGCTAAAAATTAAGTGTTTACCTGTTGCTGAAACAAAATCATTCATGATTACACTAGATTCTTTTTCACTTAATTATTATTTTTGGATTGCTAGAATCTCTCTTGAAATAAACAGGAAGTGAGGCCCAAACTTCTGCTGCAACTGGATGACACAGAGGCTTCTTATCCCAACCTGCCACCTGGACACCTTAACAGAATCAAAAGCCATGAGCATGGGGTTGTGGCCAGTTTTTATGAAGTTCTGCTGGGAGCCAACACCCTCTCTGGGAGACCATCCTGGGGAGTGGATATGTCAAGAAGGATCCCTAATTTTCTGAGATAAGGAAAACAAGAGTACTAGCAAGTTTGGTTTGGGGCAAAGGTAAATTGTTTGGCGCATGTTGAGATTGGGAGCTTGTGGGACAGCCAAGCATGGAAAGTTGAGTGTAAGAGCATGGAGTTGAGGACAGAGTTGTGGGTGGAACATATGGACATACCATCAACCATGATACAGAAGATAAGGGAAACAACAGGCAGACAGATGCCCGGAGGTGGAGCAGACCCATGACAACACTCTGAGGACCATCAATATTGCTTTGAGGAATGAATATGGAAATAAGAATAACCAATGAAAATCTAAAAGGATGAATCTGAGAAGTCGAGGTAAAATCAGAAGAAGAATGTATCAAAAAGAAAAGCAGAAGAAAGTGAGTCAAGAAAGAAGGCATTAAGAATGAAAAATGCAACAGAGAGAAAATAAGGACTGAAAAGTATCAACTGGTATTTTTATTGAAATATAATTCACATAGCATAAAATTTACTCTTTTTTTTTTGAGACACGGTCTCACTCTGTCACCCAGGCTGGAGCACAGTGGCGAGTGGCATGGTCTTGGCTCACTGCAACCTCTGCCTCCCAGGTTCAAGCAATTCTCCTGCCTCAGCCTCCTGAGTAGCTAGGATTACAGGCGTGTGCCACCACACCTGGCTAATTTTTGTATTTTTTCAGTAGAGACGGGATTTCACCATGTTGGCCAGGCTGGTCTCAAACTCCTGACCTCAAGTGATCTGCCTGCCTCTGCCTCCCAAGTGCTGGGATTATAGGGGTGAACCACCATGCTCAGCAAAATTCACTCTTTTAAAGTTTACCATTCAGTGACTTTTTCTATATTCACAATGTTGTATAACCATCACCACAATCTAATTCCTGACTATTTTCATCACTCCAAAAGAAAACCCATACCCATTTACAGTCACTTCCCATCCCCTCCCCTATCCCACCACCCCACCTCCCTGCAAAGCTGCTGGCAACCACTAATTTATTTTCTGTCTCTGGATTTGCCTGTTTGGGATATTTTATGTAAATGTAGTCATACACTATGTGACCTTTTGCATCTGGCTTCATTCCTTTAGCATATTTTCAGGATCCATCCATGTTGTAGTGTATATCAGTACTTCATTCCTTTTTATGGTTGAATAATATTCCATTGCATAACAACTTATTTTTACAGTTGTTATAGTGTATTTGCTCGGTTATATTCAAGAAGGTGTGAAACCCCTCCCGAGGGTATAAAAGAGAAAAGTAGGGAAGTTTATTCCTCTTCCCTGAGTTCTGTTTCAGCTACCTGCTACAGAAAGCTCTGCTCTCCACTGCCTACGTGGAGACGGGGTCAACAAAGCAGTTGTCAGCCATCACATCCAATAGGAGCATACATAGAGCCCATAGGAGGATTCAGAGACTTCTGAGGGCACATATCATATGTACCCTTTATGGTTTCTCATTTTTGTATTGTTTAGACATTATTCTGTCAATGGTTTTTTATTATTATTTTTTAAGTTCTAGGGTACATGTGCACAACGTGCAGGTTTGTTACATAGGTATACATGTGCCATGTTGGTTTGCTGCACTCATCAACTCGTTATTTACATTAGGTATTTCTCATAATGCTATCCCTCCCCCAGCCCCCCACCCCACAAGAGGCACCGGTGTGTGATGTTCCCCACCCTGTGTCCAAGTGTTCTCATTGTTCAATTCCCACCTATGAGTGAGAACATGCAGTGTTTGGTTTTCTGTCCTTGTGATAGTTTGCTGAGAATGATGGTTTCCAGCTTCATCTATGTCCCTGCAAAGGACATGAACTCATCCTTTTCTGTCAATGGTTTTTTTAGGTTCTTTTCAGTTTGAATTTATTACGAATAAAACTGCTATGAAAATTCAAATACATGTCTTTTTGTGGACATTTAATTTCTCTGGTAAGTACCTAACAGTAGAATTGTTGGGTCACAGATAGTGGTATGCTTAATTTTATAAGAAATTGGTGCATAGTTTTCCAAAGTCGTTGCATAATTTTTTCCTCCCACAGCAATACAGGAGTTCTAGATCCTCCAGATCCTTACCAACACTTGGTATCACTGGTTTTTAAAATTTTAGTAAAGTGGTATCTTGTTGTGGTTTTAATTTGCATTTATCTAATAACTAGTGATGTTTGATTATCTTTTTGTTTGCTTATTGAACATTTGTAGTCTTCATTTATGTATCTGTTCAAGTTTTTGGTCATTTTTTAAAAAAATAATTATCTTATTTTTGAGTTCTAGGCATGAGACCTTTGTTATACATATGCATTGTGAATATTTTCTCCCAATCTATGGTTTGCCTTTTTATTGATTTAATGGTGTCCCTTGAAGAGCAGAAATTTTTAATTTCGATAAAGTCCAATTTGTACATTTTTTTCTTTTATTCTTGGAGTGTTTTGTGTCTAAAAAATATTTGCCTATCCCAAAATGATGAAAATGTTTGCCTATCTTTTTCTCTTTGTTTAGCTTCTATATTTAGGGCAATGATACATGTCAAATTAATTTCTGTACATAGTGTGAGACATGGGTTGCAGTGCATTTCTTAAAAATTTCGTTAAACCAGCTCTAATTGCTGAAAATATTCTTTTTCCACATTTATTACTTTGGCACTACTGTTGAAAGTCAGTTGATCATATATATGTGAATCTATTTGTGGAATCCACTCTGTATGTGTATTCTAACACCAATAGTAAGGCTTGAAATCAAGTAGCTTAGATCCTTCTACTTCGTTATTCTTTTTCAAAATTATTGTGCACTTACAAACAGATGTTAGAATCAGTTTGTGAATTTCTACCTTCCCCACAAAATAAAGCATTCTGGGACTTTCAAAATCGGGATTATGTTGAATTGATGGATCAATTTGGGGAAATTTTGCATCTTATCAATATTGAGTTTTCCAAAACATGAACATGGTATACCTCTCCATGTACATAGGTCTGTTTAAATTTCTCCTAGCAACGTTTTATAATTTTCAGTATAGTGGTCTTACACATGTAATGTACATTGACTTTTGGGAGTATTTGATTCTACTATGAAAGATGAAAATGTTTGTAGTTGGTAACATTGGCAAAAACTTTAAACATTAGCAAAAACTTTTAAAGTGTTTTAAGTATAGATAGCATAATAAGCAAAATCTTTGTTAGAACAGACAATTCACAAGAGGTATTATACAAGATAAGTAGTTACAAAGTAAAGCATGTGCGTACCCAATGTAAGAAGAAAAGGATGGAAGGTGCAAAACATGCCTAACATTCATGAGGCACCAGGATACTAAATATTCATGATACACCAAATGTCATGGAGGTGTATTCAGGATACACCTCAGATAAATATTCAGGAATTATTAAATATGTATGAGACATATGCAGTGCTAAATATACAAACAGCACAAACTATTCAGGATACATTAAATATTCATGAACACTCAATATTCAAAAGGTCTTGATTTACCACCCATTAATGACATCCATTTTGGCCCCAAGAAAAACAAAACCCATGGCTGTTCAGCAAACTAATAGCAAGTTAAAACTGTGGCCAGGTTTTCTTGTGCCTGCATCTCTCCAACAGAGCAAGCATGTGTTACTAGCCCAGGACACCTTCTGTCTTTTCCCCTCTTGCTCAAACTTCAGCTCTTGTCCCTCTAATCATATCAGAGGGGAAGGCTGATTAAGCAACAGGAGAGACAGGACAAGTGAACATAGCATGGCCCAGGATCCAGACAATATGGTTCTTCTACTTACTTGCCTCCTCACCAAAGTATATTAAAATACCCCAGATCTTTCTCCTTGATTTTTTGGTTTATGTTATTAATTAACTAAACAAAGCATGTGATTTGGGTTTTAACCTAATGTTTTAATTTGGCCTGTGAACACTTGTTTTGTGATGTCTAGGACAGCATCAGAGTCATTTCCCAAAAGACAGTATATCTTTTGCTAACTTATTCCTAAGTGTTTCCTGGGTTTTGATGCTATTATAAAAGTAGTTTGTTATTTCATTTTCCAATTACTTGGTGCCAGTACATAGAAATACAGCTAGTTTTTATACATTGATTTGTGTCCTGTGACATTGTAAAATTCACTTATTAATTCTAGAAATTATTTTGAATTTTTGTTAGATCTTTTTAAGGATTTTCTATGTATATAATTATGTTATCTGTAAAGATGGTATTACTTTTTACTTTCTAATCTATGTCTTTTTTATTTCCTGCCTTATTTCACTGTCTAGTCATTAGTTTTAAATAGAAATGAGTAGAGTGCACATCCTCACCTTGCTTCCTGTCTTAAGGGGAAAGTGTTCAATATATCACCACTAAGATGTTAGCCATATCAAATTGAGAAATATATTTTCTGCTGTGACGTGGCAGAGAACATTTCTCATGAATGGGTGTTAAATTGTATCAAGTGCCTTTTCTGCATCTATTAAAATGAGCTTGTAGCATTTCTTTTTTATTCTATTAATATGATGAGTTGATTGGTATTTTTCAGTGTTGAATCACCTTTCCATTCCACACTTCATGATGTATTATCATTTTATATATTGCTAGAGTACACATGTTAAAATTCTGTCAAGGATTTCCACCTCTAAAATCATGGAGAATATTGGTCTGTAATTTTCTTTGCTGTAGTGTGTTTGTCAGATTTTGGTATCAGGCTTGCATCATTTAAGCTGAATCTTATATGAAAAGTAGAAGTTCTTCAGGCTTATGAGGAGAGTATGAACATCCCTGACACCTTAAGAACACCTACTATATTACAGTCATCTGACTTGCAATATCTCCACCTAATTCCTCACAAAAATCCTATGAGGACTCTATTGGTATCTACCTTTAATACATGAGGAAAATGGGACGTAGAGAAGACAGGCAGTTTATCCAGTGTTACCCAGTCAATGAGGGGTGAAAGCTGGTTGTCAGACTTCAGAGCCAACATTCTCCTCCTATGACATGCTTCTTCCTCAGCTTTATCCTCCCAACAAGCCTTTGAGGCAAGTTTCTGAGGCTCAGGATGGCAAATTACCTGATCAAGTACCCAGTGTGTAGGTGTTTGACCCAGGTCCTTTTGTCTTCAGAAATAGATGACATCAAAAATAATCAGTATCTGGCCTGGTACAGTAGCTCACGTCTGTAATCCCAACAGTTTGAGAGGCCAAGGTGGGTGGATCACTTGAGGTCAGGAGTTCGAGGCCATCCTGGCCAACATGGTGAAACCCCATCTCTACTAAAAATACAAAAATTAGCAGGAGAATCGTTTGAACCTGGGAGTCAGAGGTTGCAGTGAGCCAAGATCGCACCACTGCACTCCAGCCTGGACGACAGAGCGAGTCCGCCTCAAAAAACATAAATAAATAAAAATTAGCCAGGTGTGGTGGCACATGCCTGTAATCCCAGCTACACAGGAGGCTGAGGCAGGAGAATCGCTTGAACCTGAGAGGTGGAGGTTGCAGTGAGCAGAAATCGCACCACAGCACTCCAGTCTGGGCAACAAGAGCGAAACTCCATCTCAAGAAAATAATAATAATAATAATCATTATCAAATGAAGCCCACTTCTACTCCATGCTCTAGTCAAAATAATTATTTCTTTATCAATTTATAAAAACATGTTCACATCTGTGACTTGAGTGAAATTCCAGAAACTCTTTGCACCTATTGCCACTGATACATTATGAAGGCAAAATACATCCCGGGGATGTTTTCTTAACTACATTGTTAGTACTGTAGATGGGTAAAATTAATGCAGCCGATGTCATTTCATTTTTTTTCTTTCATTATTTGTAATCATCCTGATGGTTGAGTAATACAGAGTATAGTCTAGACAGCAGCTGCAAAACATGCACACACATATACACACTCCAGAACATGTGGCTTCATTAAGGAAGTAATCAATACTCATCAGCATTCATTGCCCACTTATCACTGGGACATATTCTAGGAAGGCAGGAATTATCCTGCTCTCTCCATATCCATTTTTTGAGAAACTTCTTACTAAGCACACCAACTGAGGACATAGAAAAGGATAAAATATTACAGTAGAGTGGAAGGTCATGCCCTGTCTACTAATAGCATCAGGCTAAAAGATTCCCTACTGGGGGTAATAAAATGAAGAAAGATGAGAGGTTTATTAATTGAATCTCTTCCAGGATGTGAGTACAGCTGCCTCTTGGTGATGAACTTGACTTCTCTGTTGCCTGTGATGCTCCAAACAAAGAATGATTACTAGGTGTCACCTGGCACTAAGTTTAAAGCAGACAGTAAACCTTGATTAACCAGAAACATAAACCTATCAGAACTTTTTATAGCTTATGACTTCAGGGGAAAAGCATGGGTCATAGGGAAACTCAATTATTTTAAGATTTACTCAAAGAATGTGCGTGTCATGCCCTGGAGTCAGGGCAGACTCAACTGTATTTCCTATGCGTTGTCCAAAAGAAACCAGGGCAGGGGTCTGGATGTTATGATGTTCTCAAGGCATAACAATACTTTCAACCTCCAAAGAAAGATTTCATTTTGTTCAAAATATTAAAGTTGCTGAGTTGCTGAGGCAGAGAGGTTGAAACACACATTTTTGGATAGATGTTACAGCAACAAAAAGCATTCAGACTTTCCCATTAAGTAAGGAAATAATTTCATCAAAACATCTCAGTTCTTCCACTTTCTGCCCATTATCTCCCAAAGGAAAATAAAATGTCTATGTAGATGAAAGATTAGCAGTGCTAAGTGAGTGGTGGCCTTTATTTCACTGTGGGTAGAGCTTGTGCTGAGGAAGTCTCCTCTCTCCTCCTCCTTCTCCAGTTATCATAGTCCATCAGGACTCTGGTACCACTGCTGGTTTACAGTCAACATTTTCAATATTGCTTTGATGGAGCTGTATTGATTATATATCATCTACTTATTTGTGACAAACACCTTCTGAGCACGCACTCTGAACATAGAGAGCAAAACACAGAGAAGTTCACCATGCAAATGAGGATATAGGTTTACGGTGAGATACTCTCCAATTCACTGGGACGGGCAAGGACAGAGTACTTGGGGTGCACAGAAGTTGTGCAAATTCACAGTACCCTTGGGGTTGGGAATCAGGTGTGCTCAGGGAACATTTCATAAAAAGTCATTTGGGCTCAGAATTGGTCACCAGCCTACCCCAGCCCCACTCTCATCAGGCAAAGTCACCTTGCCTTTGTGTTCCTCAATTTCCTACTCTAGGCAGATGGTGAGATTATTTACATGCATTGTCACCCCTTTTTACCATTTTACCTCTTTTCAATGGAAATGTCTTCCTGGAATAGGAAGAATGTAGGCATGATGATGTCCCTACTGTAGTGGGGAAACCCTGCAGGCCACAGGCTAATAATACAACAATCAATGCTGGGGCTGCCTTTTGGTCAGTTTCCCTCCAGCATTAAAAGAATCCAGGAACTTAGGGACATTTCAGAGGCCTGCTTAGAGGGGACAAAACAGACAAAATAGTAACTCCTCACATTGGTCTGTAAATAGATTCACAGGATGTAAAACAGGACATGCCTTAGAAAGTTATCAGTTTCGTGGGGCCCCCTGATAAAACACAGACTCTGCCCCCATGGCGCTATCTTCTAGAAAAGCTGCATATTTTTAGTTTTAGATACTAGTTTATGCAATTTGTTAAAACCCCTGCCTTCTCGGTGTTACATAAGATTGGCTTTGGGGGTACTTCAGGGGCTCTACCAGAGGGAATCTTAAATCAATTTACATACGTGAAAGATAAATGGGAAAAAATGTATTGGAGGCACTGGTGGGAGCTGAAGTTGAGGTGAGGGTTGAGGGACAGAGGTTGGTATCATTCCATTGTCAGGACATTTGCACTTACTGTTCCCATTTCCTGTGGTGCCCTTCTCTTGGGTCTCATCAAGGCTGGTGCCTTCATACCCTGGGATTCACCTTAAATGGTACTGATATGAACAGGAGGCAGCGAAATACAGGGTAGAAGAGGAGGGTTCCCTGGCAAAGGCCCTACCCTCAAGCCTGGAAACCCATGGCCCTAAATGAGAACAGACATTCCTGTTTTCATGCCCAAATATTCCCTTTTGGCCCACCACACCCCTTATGCTGTACCCATACAAACCTCAAACCCAAGGCTCCACAAGCAGAAGAGTGGCAGAGTGGCAGAGTGGCAGAGAAGGAGAGAAGGGAAGGAGCATCTGAACATTGAGAGGAGTTTGGCTGGGGAAGGTCAGAGAGGAGTTTGGCCACAAGACAGCCAAACTCCAGGGAAAAATCATCTTCCCACTCCATCCGCTTTCCAGCTCCCCACCCATCCAGCTGAAAGCCACCTCCATAACTCAATAAAATTCCTGCATTCACCATCCTTCAAGTTGGTTTGACCTGATTCTTCCTGGACTCCATAAAAGGACCTGGGTACCAAGAGGGCAGGGTATAAAAAGATGTCACCCTGACTCTCCACTGAGCTTGTTAACACTTAGCTGTACACAGATGGCAACTGCTGAAAGAGCATTAATTGTAACACACCCCTAGATGCTACCGTCAGGCTGGAACCCAAAAGCACTCAATGTGGCTCCTGCAGCTGCCTGTGTGCATGCTCCCCCTTCCATAAGAGGTTTGATCAAAGGGTCCATACCCCTGTCACAAGACCCCTGAGGGGATCAAGGAACTCTCTCATCTCAGTACCTCCTCAAAGGAGCCTTCCCTTACCATCACCATACGAGTTAGGTTACAAAAATAGCCTTCCCTGACTACCAGCACTCTCCCTGTATCCAGAAATTATTCCTTCCCAGCACCTTGTGTCAACCACATCATTATTGTATAATGATCTTGATTGAGGGGGCTAAGTTGCTTTTGCTGTGTGTCTCCCATTAGATTGTAAATTCCATGGGGTCAGGCATATTATCAGTCTCCTTCACTGCTAAAAGCCAGTATCTTGTAAAGTGCCTGGCACATGGTAGAGACTGAATCAGTACTTGACAAATGAGCATGTATTAGTGTGTTCTCACAATGCTATAAAGAACTACCTGAGGCTGGCATGGTGGCTCACACCTGTAATCCCAACACTTTGGGAGGCCCAGGTAGGTGGATTGCTTGAGGCCAGGAGTTTGAGACCAGCCTGGCCAACATGGTAAAATCCCATCTTTTAAAAAAATAATTTAAATAAAAATTTTTAAGAAGAACTACCTGAGACTGGTCAATTTACAAAGAAAAGAGGTTTAACTGGCCCATGGTTCTGCAGGCTGTATAGGAAACATGGCAGGGAGGCCACAGGAAACTTGCAATCATGGTGGAAGGTGAAGGGGAAGCAGGCATGTCTTACATAGCTGGCAGGAGGAATGGGGAGGGGTGCTACATACTTTTTAAACAACCAGATCTTGGCAAAACTTTATCATAAGAGAGCACTAGGGCAATGGTGCTAAACCATTAGACACAGCCCCCATGATGCAATCGCCTCCCACCAGGCCACTCCTCCAACACTGGGGATTATAATTCAACATGAAATTTGGGCAAGGACACAAATCCAAACTATAACAGAGTATCAGTTCAAGGAAACAGTCCAGGGCTTGGGAGGAGAAGATTTAGGGCCCTGTCCAGCATGGTGAAGCTGGCACAGCAAACTGAGTTCATTTCACATAAATGGATTTCTAAACCAAAATGTAACTCCATCACTCACTGCTCTTTATGCTCCGAAATAAAGATGACATAAATGTTAGCCAAAAGGAGCAATGCAAGACATTGTTCAAACTGGTGTTTTGAAGAGGAAGTGAGGCCCTTTCTTCATACACATTTCATCTCTACTGGTTGGTTACAGCTACTGAACCCATGTTTTTATTTTTGTAGAACATTTAATGATAACCTGAGTCTGCTAAGTACAATATAAATACAAAATTATACTGAATCTAAGGGATGAGACGATTATTATAATTTAAGAACCATGATAAAATAAAATGAACATGGCATTAAAGAACTACAACTGAAGTTATTTTAGAGATAATACCACTGGGACTAATGAAGGTTAAACTTTAATTCTGTTAGAAGGACAACTTTTGAAACCCTGGAGCAAACACTTATCTATTAATACACACATTGCTGAAGGGAGTGAAATACAGTTAAAGGGGCCTTCCTTTAAGAAGATACAAGTGTTGCCTTACACTTGAAAATAAGAGCTCCCAAAAAGCTTCCTTTTGTCAGTCTCCTCTTTGGTGCAAGCACCTGGCTCCCATTTAGATAAATGAGAGGAATGTATGCTCAGCCAAAGGCTGTCTGCATCTCTGTGAATCAACATTCTGGACACTCTGCTTTTAAGTTGGCTTTTTTGAATGTTCGCTTACATATAAAATGTGGTGTGGTGTGGGAAGGGGGAAGCATTATGATATATTCAGCTGATTCCTCGGCTTCAAAGTGATTAAGTGAACTGAAACTAATTCAGGGCTCCACTTTACATTTTTGGCAAATGAGCAAATATGCAGATTCATACCAAACAGATGTATCAGCCAGTTACCCCAGTAGCAGTTCAGAAGCCAAGGGTCATTGAGTTAGTGTTCCAATTAGTGAGGACATCGTAACAAGTATATAATTATTCTGCAACCTGTTGAGTTTTCATCTGTTATCAATTTCATTGCATTTAAGCCCAATTCAGACTGAACTTGCAGTGAACTCAGTCATTTAAAATAGAGATCTTGGATTGGCACAACTTTTGCGTCTGGCATGTGTTTTGAGGTGGTCAGGAAACTGCCTTTGAAATGGTGAAAATTTGCATTCAAATGGTCTCTCTGATTGATTAGAACGCTTTGTTGGCACTGTGATTGTGATTGTAGTAGTACTTTTCCAATATCACCATAGTAAATTGCTTCCAATGAAAAATGTGAATCCCAAATGGGAGGTGGTAGGGAGCCTGATAGATACCTTCCTTGTATTATTACTCAGTTCATTCGTTCAGCTACTCAGTCCATCCCAGAGCCCTAGGCCCTGTGCTGAGAGCACAAAAGTGCTAAGATGTGGTTTCTGTGGCTGTGGAATTTTTTTATTTTGAGACAGAGTCTTATTCTGTCACCAAGGCTGGGGTGCAGTGGCATGATCATAACTCACTACAGGCTTGAACTCCTGGGCTCAAGAGATCCTCCTGCCTTAACCTCCTGAGTAACTAGGACTACAGGTGTGCATCATCACATTTGGCTAATTTATTTATTTAGTTGTTTTGTAGAGACAGGGTCTCACCATGTTGCCCAGGCTGGTCTCAAATTCCTGGCCTCAAACAATATTCCCTCTTGCCTTGGCCTCCCAAAGCCCTGGGATTACAGGCATGAACCACTTCACCTAGCTGTTTGTGGAATTTCTAATAGGAGAAGTAGAGAAATCCAGGTAAATTATAGCATAATGTGGGGAGCATTAGAGTGGGAGAATGAACTGGATATTCTGAAAACACTGAAGATTCAGCAACCAATTACGCCTGGGAGGTCAAGAAGACTTCCCGGAAGAGGGGATATTTGAGTTGAGTCTTGAAGGGTGAATAAAATTTTCCTGGAAAAAAGGTAATGGCAAGAAAGAGGATCTCCAAGTTAAAGAGGCACATGCAAGGGCATGGCCTTATGAAAGGGTGGGATATGTTACAGAAATAATGAGAGTTTATTGGCAAATATTAGAAATTGTAAAAACATGATACTAGAGCAAAGGTTCTGAAACTTCTTGGTTTATTGCAGCCTTCAGTCCTCAGTTTTCTCATGGCACCCCTGGAGTCAAAAGAAATACCTAAAAGTTCCATTTATTGAGTAGTTAGGTTCAAATAACATGTAAATCCCAACAAAGCTTATTTTGGGGATATATTTCAGTTGGGCACTGCACAGCTTCTCAAACCTTTGAATCAGAACGGACACAGCCACCCTCACTTCCCGTTCCACATTGACTTTCTTTTTTTCTTTTCTTTTTTTTTCCTTTTTTTGAGACGGAGTCTCCCTCTGTCGCCCAGGCTGGAGTGCAGTGGCACGATCTCGGCTCACTGCAAGTTCCGCCTTCCAGGTTCATGCCATTCTCCTGCCTCAGCCTCCCGAGTAGCTGGGACTACAGGTGCCTGCCACTATGCCCGGCTCATTTTTTATACTTTTAGTAGAGACGGGGTTTCACTGTGTTAGCCAGGATGGTCTTGATCTCCTGACCTCACAATCCTCCCACGTCCACCTCCCAAAGTGCTAGGATTGCAGGCGTGAGCCACTGTGCCTGGCCTTTTTTTTTTTTTTTTTTTTTTGAGGTGGAGTCTTGCTCTGTCACCCAGGCTGGAGTGAAATGGTGCTATCTCAACTCACTGCAACCTCCGCCTCCCGGGTTCAAGTGATTCTCCAGCCTCAGCCTCCCGAGCAGCTGGGATTACAGGCATGCACCACCACACTTGGCTAATTTTTGTATCTTTAGTAGAAGGGTTTCATCATATTGGCCAGGCTGGTATCGAACTCCTGACTTCAAGTGATCTGCCCACCTCGACCTCCCAAAGTACTGGAATTACAGGCATGAGCCACTGCGCCGCGGCCTATGTTCCACATTGACTTTCATGTAGTACTTGCTTTCCATCAGAGACACTGCCAAAATTCCAGCTTCCCAAAGATATTACTTCAACAGAATGTATCACTATCTAATGTTGAAACTGTAACCTACCCTTGTCTAACAGTACCTAGTTTTGAGTACCCTGAACTCAAAAATATAAAATATCCTGACATGCTCCTGTGATTTTCTTGTGGTAACCTTCTTGAGGGCACCTTGGCACTCAGTTTGGGAACCATCAAGCTACTGAATATGTTGTCAAATTCTAAAAGACTTTATGTATCAGGAGGCATTTCTGAAATAAACTGTGAAATGTCCATGACAATGAAGACATAATCAGCCAATAACATCACTGAACTAAATTTCTAAAGGTAATTTGAAAATATGTAGAAGACACAGGCAGATAGATATTTTCTCTTCCCATCCCTGACACATAACAAAGTAAACCGAGGTTCTTTTATTTCTTACTCCCAAAATGCACTGGCTCCTAGACTAGCCAGACAAACTTAAAGTCTAGCATAAATGAATCTTCACTAGTCTATTTGCATGGTTCCAATCAAATGAGCTCTCATGAGCATGCACTTTTAAAAATAGAAAACTTGCCCACAGATGTTCATAGCAGCATTATTCCTAATAGCCAAAAAGTAGAAACAACCCAATAGTCCATCAAATGGACACACCCACCTCACTGGCGCTCCAGGAAGTGAAGGCAGTAGCCAACATGACTGATGAAAATCTCTTCTGCTATTTCAATTTCCTGACTTTGACATTGTTCTATAGCCATATACGATCTTACATGGATAAACAAATTCTAGTATAGACATACAGTGGAATATTCTTCAGTCATGGAAATAAATCAAATACTGAAAAATGCTACAACTTGAAAGAGCCTTGAAAGCATTGTGCTAAGTGAAAGAAGCCAGGCACAAAAGATCACATAGTGTTTGATCCTATTTGTTTTCAATGCCCAGCATAAACAAATCCATAGAGATTGAAATGCTCCAGGCGCTGGAGGGACGAAGAACTAAGAATGGACTGCTACTGGGCAAGGGCTTTCTTTTTGGAATAATAAAAATATTCTGGGATTAGACAGTGGTAATCATTGTACAACTTTGAGACTATACTAAAAGGCACTGAACTATAGTTTTTAAAAGGGTGAATTCTATGCAATGTGAATTATATCTCAAGGGAAAAAATACAGATGGCATCAGTTGCCCAAACCCTCACTTTCCACTCCAGCTTCCTCAAAGTCAAGGATTCTCTGCTGTCTAGATGAGGCTGAAATAAGTGTGATATTTGTTTTCCCTCTTGGACATGACAGCTGCTAGACACATCCTCCAGGATACAAGACCAAATTTTTTAGGGGCTCCAAATGTATCAGGGCTTGTATCCTGGAGGATGTCGTGAGGGGCCTTGAGATGATTCAAGGCACAACAGTGGCTGCTCTGACCGTGTATCGTCATCGTGCTCCCCTCCCTTCATGTCTTGTCCCCTCACAGCCTCCCCAGGACCTCCTATGTAGTGAGGACACTCACTGGCGCTCCAGGAAGTGAAGGTAGTAGCCAACATGACTGATGAAAATCTCTTCTGCTATTTCAATTTCCTGACTTTGACACTGTTCTATAGCCATGTAGGATCTTACCACTAGGGGAAAAAGGCAAAGGGTACAGGGGACCTCTCTGTACTAACTTTGCAATTTCTTGTGAATCTACAGCTATTCCAAAATAAAAATATTAAAGACATGTAAGTAAGTACTCGGTTATTTGATTCGAATATGCATTGTATCTGCCACTGATTGCTGTTAAAAATGAGGTTCTAGAATATAGTCCTTGCTTGCTTTACCAAAGAGAGTTCTGGAACATTCCACCACAAAAATGAGCTCATCCTGCACATTTTTTGTTAAGGCTATCCCCAGATATTTCCTATGCTTGAATAAATTTTGGATTCTCATGGCTCATCCAAATTGCATTGAATTCTATACTTCTAGAATGTTCTGAGGACTAAGTTCTAGACACTATTAAGTATTAAAAATATAACAATGTGGGTCTTACTAGGTGCAAACAGAAAAAAAAGTTTTATCATATACAGTGGACCCTGGAACAATGCATAGGTTAGGAGCACTGACCCCCATTTAAAGTCAAAAATTCACAAATGACTGACTCCCCAAAAACTTAACTACTAGTAGACTATTGTTGACTGAAAACTTTAATGACAACAGAAACAGTCAAGTAACACGTATTTTGCATGTTATATGTATTGTATACGGTATTCTTTTTTTTTTTTTTTTTTTTTTTTTTTTGAGACGGAGTGTCGCTCTGTCGCCCAAGCTGGAGTGCAGTGGCGGGATCTCGGCTCACTCCAAGTTCCACCTCCCAGGTTCATGCCATTCTCCTGCCTCAGCCTCCCGAGTAGCTGGGACTACAGGTGCCCACCACCATGCCTGGCTAATTTTTTGTATTTTTAGTAGAGACGGAGTTTCACCGTGTTAGCCAGGATTGCATACTGTATTCCTAAAATAAACTGAGCTAGACAAAAGAAAATGTTATCAAGAAAATCAGAAGGAAGAGAAAATATGTTCATTAAGTGGAAGTGGATCATCATAAAGGTCTTCATCCTCACTGTCTTCACTTTGAGCAGGAAGGAAGAGGAAGAGGAGGGGTTGGTCTTTGTTGTCTCAGGGGTGGTAGAAGCGGAAGAGGTGAAAAGGAGGTGGAGCTGGTGTGGTAGCTCCTACACATAATCCCAGCTACTCAGGAGGCTGAAGTGGGAGGATTGCTTGAGACCACGAGTTTGAGTCTGCAGTGAGCTCTCATAGCACCACCACACTCCATCCTGGGTGATAGATACCCCTACCTCTAAACAAACAAACTAAAAAAAAAAAAAATGACAAGCAAAGAAAAGGAGGTGGAAGTACAGGCAGGAGAGACAGGCACACTTAGTGGAACTTTTCCTGAAAAAAATCTGAATATAAGTGAACCCATGAAGTTCAAACGCATGTTGTTCAAAAGTCAGCTGTAATGTGAAAAGGGCTATCATAGAAATAGTTGCAAAGTATCATGAGAGCAAGGAAAGAAGTGACTGATTCTTCTTCAGCAGGTGAGAGAGCAGTCACAAAAGAAGAAATAGTTGACCTATGACTGAGGAATGAGCTTGCATTCCATGGGAGGGGAAATGGAAAAAAGAAGCCCAGGCAGAGGAGAGCAGAAAGCCAAAGGCACCATCATCAATCAAGATTTTTTTTTATTTTCAGGATGAATTTATTGGGCCAGGCATGGTGGCTCACACCTATAATCCCAGCAGTTTGGGAGGCAGAGGTGAGCAGATTGCTTGAGCTCAGGAGTTCATTTGAGACCATCATAGGAAACATAGTGAGACCCTGTCTCTACAAAAAAAAAAATTAAAAATTAGCCTGGTGTGGTAGCACATACCTGTAGTCCCACCTACTTAGGGAGCTGAGGTGGGAGGATCACTTGAGACTGGGAGGTAGAGGCTACAGTGAGCTATGATCACACCACTAGAATGCATCCAGCCTAGGTGAAAGAGCAAGGCACTGTCTCTAAAAAATAAAATAAAAATTTTAAAAAGATGAATTTATTTTTTAACTAGATTCTATTTCCTGTTAGAAGTAACTTCCATATAGTGCTTGCAAGAGAACTTTCCAAGATGGCTGAATAGGAACAGCTCTGGTCTACAGGTCCCAGCATGAGTGACACAGAAGACAGGTGATTTCTGCTTTTCCAACTGAGGTACCGGGTTCATCTCATTGAGACTGGTTGGACAGTGGGTGCAGCCCATGGAGTGTAAGCCAAAGCAGGGTGGGGCATCACCTCACCCAGGAAGCGCAGGGGGTTGGGGAATTCCCTTTCCTAGCCAAGGGAAGCCATGACAGACGGTACCTGGAAAATCAGGACACTCCCGCCCTAATACTGAGCTTTTCCAACGGTCTTAGCAAATGGCACACGAGACTATATCCCGTGCCTGGCTCAGTGGGTCCCATGCCAACAGAGCCTTGATCACTGCTAGCACAGCAGTCTGAGATCGAACTGCAAGGTGGCAGCAAGGCTGGGCGAGGGGCCTCCACCATTGCTGAGGCTTGACTAGAAAACAAAGCGGCCAGGAAGCTCCAACTGGGTGGAGCCCACTGCAGCTCAATGAGGCCTGCCTGCATCTGTAGACTCCACCTCTGGGGGCAGGGCATAGCTGAACAAAAGACAGCAGAAATTTCTGCAGACTTAAACGTCCCTGTCTGACAAGTTTCAAGAGAGCAGTTGTTCTCCCAGCATGGAGTTTGAAATCTGAGAACAGACAGACTGCCTCCTCAGGTGGGTCCCTGACCACCAAGTAGCTTAACTGGGAGACACCTCCCAGTAGGGGCCGACTGATACCTCATATAGTCAAGTGTCCCTCTGAGATGAAGCTTCCAGAGGAAGGATCAGGCAGCAACATTTGCTATTCTGCAATATTTGCTGTTCTGCAGCCTCCGCCAGTGATACCCAGGCAAACAGGGTCTGGAGTCCAGCAAACTCCATCAGACCTGCAGCTGAGGAACCTGACTGTTAGAAGGAAAACTAACAAACAGAATGGAATAGCATCAACATCAACAAGAAGGACATCCACACCAAAACCCCATCTGTAGGTCACCATCATCAAAGACCAAAGGTAGATAAAACCACAAAGATGGGGAGAAACCAGAGCAGAAAAGCTGAAAGTTCTAAAAACCAGAGTGCCTCTTCTCCTCCAAAGGATTGCAGCTCCTCACCAGCAAAGGAACAAAGCTGGACAGAGAATGACTTTGATGAGTTGACAGAAGTAGGCTTCAGAAGATTGGTAATAACAAACTTCTCTGAACTAAAGGAGGATGTTCGAACCCATCACAAGGAAGCTAAAAACCTTGGAAAAAAGATTAGATGAATGCCTAACTAGAATAAACAGTGTAGAGAAGACCTTAAATGACCTGATGGAGCTGAAAACCATGGCACAAGAACTACGTGACACATGCATAAGCTTCAGTAGCCAATTTGATCAAGTGGAAGAGAGGGTATCAGTGATTGAAGATCAAATTAATGAAATAAAGCAAGAAGACAAGGTTAGAGAAAAAAGAGTAAAAAGAAATGAACAAAGCCTCCAAGAAACCTGAGACTATGTGAAAAGACCAAATCTACATTTCATTGGTGTACCTGAAAGTACTGGGGAGAATGGAACCAAGTTGGGAAAAACACTCTTCAGGATATTATCCAGCAGAACTTCCCTGACCTAGAAAGACAGGCCAACATTCAAATTCAGGAAATACAGAGAACATGACAAAGATACTCCTCGAGAAGAGCAACCCCAAGACACATAGTTGTCAGATGCACCAAGGTTGAAATGAAGGAAAAAATGTTAACGGCAGCCAGAGAGAAAGGTCGGGTTCCCAAAAAAGAGTAGCCCATCAGACTAACAGGGGATGTTTTGGCAGAAACTCTACAAGCCAGAAGAGAGTGGGGGCCAATTTTTAACATTCTTAAAGAAAAGAATTTTCAACCCAGAATTTCATATCCACCAAAACTAAGCTTCATAAGTGAAGGAGAAATAAAATCCTTTACAGACAGCAAATGCTGAGAGATTTTATCACCACTAGGCCTACCTTACAAGAGCTCCTGAAGGAAGCACTAAACATGGAAAGGAACAACTGGTACCAGCCACTGCAAAAACATGCCAAATTATAAAGACCATTGATGCTTAGAAGAAACTGCATCAACTAACAAGCAAAATAACCAGCTAACACCATAATGACAGGATCAAATTCACACATAACAATATTAACCTTAAATGTAAATGGGCTAAATGCCCCAATTAAAAGACACAGACTGGCAAATTGGATAAAGAGTCAAGATCCATTAGTGTGCTGTATTCAGGACACCCATCTCACATGCAGAGACATACATAGGCTCAAAATAAAGGGAGGGAGGAAGATATACCAAGCAAATGTAAAGCAAAAAAAAGCAGGGGTTGGAATCCTAGTCTCTGATAAAACAGACTTTAAACCAACAAAGATCAAAAGAGACAAAGAAGGCCATTACACAATGGTAAATGGATCAATTCAACAAGAATAGCTAACTATCCTAAATATATATGCACCCAATACAGGAGCACCCAGATTCATAAAGCAAGTCCTTAGAGACCTACAAAGAGACTTAGAGACTTAGATTCCCACACAATAATAATGGGAGACTTTAATACCCCACTCTCAACATCAGACAGATCAACGAGACAGAAAGTTAACAAGGATATCCAGGACTTGAACTCAGCTCTGCATCAAGTGGACCTGATAGACATCTACAGAACTATCCACCCCAAATCAAAAGAATATACATTCTTCTCAGCACCACATCACACTTATTCCAAAATTGACCACATAGTTGGAAGTAAAGCACTCCTCACCAAATGTAAAAGAACAGATATCACAACAAACTGTCTCTCAGACCACAGTGCAATCAAATTAGAACTCAGGATTAAGAAACTCACTAAAAACTGCACAACTACATGGAAACTGAAAAACCTGCTCCTGAATGACTACTGGGTAAATAACGAAATGAAGGCAGAAATAAAGATGTTCTTTGGAAACAATGAGAACAAAGGCACAATGTACCAGAATCGCTAGGACACATTTAAAGCAGTGTGTAGAGGAAAATTTATAGCACTAAATGCCCACAAGAGAAAGCAGGAAGATCTAAAATCAACACCCTAACATCACAATTAAAAGAACTAGAGAAGCAAGAGCAAACAAATTCAAAAGCTAACACAAGGCGAGAAATAACTAAGATCAGAGCAGAACTGAAGGAAATAGAGACACAAAAAAACCCTTAAAAAAATCAATGAATCCAGGAGGTGGTTTTTTGAAAAAATCAACAAATTAGATAGAGTGCTAGCAAGATTAATAAAGAAGAAAAGAGAGAAGAATCAAATAGAGGCAATAAAAAATGATAAAGGGGATAACAACATTGATCCCACAGAAATACAAACTACCATCAGAGAATACTATAAACACCTCTATGCAAATAAACTAGAAAATCTAGAAGAAATGGATAAATTCCTGGACACGTACACCCTCCCAAGACTAAACCAGGAAGAAGTTGAATCTCTGAATAGACCAATAACAGGCTCTGAAATTGAGGCAATAATTAAGAGCCTACCAACCAAAAAAAGTCCAGGACCGGATAGATTCACAGCCGAATTCTACCAGAGGTACAAAGAGGAGCTTGTACCATTTCTTCTGAAACTATTCCAATCAATAGAAAAAGAGGGAATCCTCCCTAACTCATTTTATGAGGCCAGCATCATCCTGATACCAAAGCCTGGCAGAGACACAACAAAAAAAGAGAATTTTAGACCAATATCCCTGATGAACAATGCAAAAATCCTCAATAAAATACTGGCAAACCAAATCCAGCAGCACATCAAAAAGCTTATCCACCACGATCAAGTGGGCTTCATCTGTGGGATGCAAGACTGGTTCAACATATAAAAATCAATAAACATAATCCAGCATATGAACAGAAGCAATGACAAAAACCACATGATTATCTCAATAAATGCAGAAAAGGCCTTCAACAAAATCCAAAAGTCCTTCATGCTAAAAACTCTCAATAAATTAGTTATTGATGGAACATATCTCAAAATAATAAGAGCTATTTATGACAAACCTACAGCCAATATCACACAGAATGGGCAAAAACTGGAAGCATTCCCTTTGAAAACTGGCATAAGACAGGGATGCCCTCTCTTGCCACTCCTATTTAACATAGCGTTGGAAGTTCTGGCCAGGGCAATCAGGCAGGAGAAGGAAAGAAAGGGTATTCAGTTAGGAAAAGAGGAAGCCAAATTGTTCCTGTTTGCAGATGACATGAATGTATCTTTAGAAAACCCCATCGTCTCAGCCGAAAATCTCCTTAAGCTGATAAGCAACTTCAGCAAAGTCTCAGGATACAAAAACAATGTGCAAAAATCACAAGCATTCCTATACACCAACAACAGACAAACAGAGAGCCAAATCATCAGCAAACTCCCATTCACAATTGCTTCAAAGAGAATAAAATACCTAGGAATCCAACTTACAAGGGATGTGAAGGACCTCTTCAAGGAGAACTACAAATCATTGCTCAATGAAATAAAAGAGGACACAAACAAATGGAAGAACATTCCACACTCATGAATAGGAAGAATCAATATCGTGAAAATGGCCATACTGCCCAACGTAATTTATAGATTCAATGCCATCCACATCAAGCTACCAATGCCTTTCTTCACAGAATTGGAAAAAACTACTTTCAAGTTCATATGGAACCAAAAAAGAGCCCACATCGCCAAGTCAATCCTAAGCCAAAAGAACAAAGCTGGAGGCATCACACTACCTGACTTCAAACTATACCACAAGGCTACAGTAACCAAAACAGCATGGTACTGGTACCAAAACAGAGATATAGATCAATGGAACAGAACAGAGCCCTCAGAAATAATGCCACATATCTACAGCCATCTGATCTTTGACAAACCTGACAAAAACAAGAAATGGTGAAAGGATTCCCTATTTAATAAATGGTGCTGGGAAAACTGGCTAGCCATATGTAGAAAGCTGAAACTGGATCCCTTCCTTACACCTTATACAAAAATTAATTCAAGATGGATTAAAGACTTAAATGGTAGACCTAAAACCATAAAAACCCTAGAAGAAAACCTAGGCAATACCATTCAGGACATAGGCATGGGCAAGGACTTCATGACTAAAACATCAAAAGCAATGGCAACAAAAGCCAAAATTGACAAATGGGATCTAATTAAACTAAAGAGCTTCTGCACAACAAAAGAAACTACCATCAGAGTGAACTGGCAACCTACAGAATGGCAGAAAATTTTTGCAACCTACTCATCTGACAAAGGGCTAATATCCAGAATCTACAATGAACTCAAACAAATTTACAAGAAAAAATCAAACATCTCCATCAAAAATTGGGCAAAGCATATGAACAGACACTTCTAAAAAGAAGACATTTATGCAGCCAAAAAACACATGAAAAAATGCTCATCATCAGTGGCCATCAGAGAAATTCAAATCAAAACCACAATGAGATACCATCTCACACCAGTTAGAATGGCGATCATTAAAAAGTCAGGAAACAACAGGTGCTGGAGAGGATGTGGAGAAATAGCAACACTTTTACATTGTTGGTGGGAGTGTAAACTAGTTCAACCATTGTGGAAGACAGTGTGGCAATTCCTCCAGGATCTAGAACTAGAAATACCATTTGACCCAGCCATCCCATTACTGGGTATATACTCAAAGGATTATAAATCATGCTACTATAAAGACACATGCACACGTATGTTTATTGCAGCACTATTCACAATAGCAAAGACTTGGAACCAACCCAAATGTCCATCAATGATAGACTGGATTAAGAAAATGTGGCACATATACACCATGGAATACTATGCAGCCATAAAAAATGATGAGTTCATGTCCTTTGTAGGGACATGGATGAAGGGGAAACCAATGTAAACGACCAGTTATTGGGTGCAGCACACCAACATGGTACATGTATACATATGTAACAAACCTGCATGTTGTGCACATGTACCCTAGAACTTAAAGTATAATTAAAAAAAAGAAGTAACTTGCATATCGCACAACAGACAAACAAACAAAAAACAGTACAGAAGGATTCAAAGAGAAAAATAAAAGTTTTTCCTTTCTTAGCTCCCCCCACAACTCCCAACCCTACATCCTAAGGATAAATGATTCAAAAATGTCCTATATATTAACAGTAAGAGGACCACCCACAAATAATAGGATTCTTCCTTAAATATTGTTCTGAGACTTGCATTCATAGCAACATATCTTTTATATCTTTACATACATATAGAGGCAGTCAGGTCATCTTCTCTCTTTTTAAAGGTGGCAAAAATAAAGCTGTATAATAATCTTTTTATTGAGACAGAGTTTCTTTCTTGTTATCTAAGCTGGAGTGCAATGACGTGGTCTTGGCTCACTGCAACCTCCGCCTCCTAGGTTCAAGCGATTCTCTTGCCTCCGCCTCCCATGTAGCTGGGATTATAGGTGCCCACCACCACATCCGGCTAATTTTTTTGTATTTTTAGTAGAGATGAGGTTTCACCATGTTGGCCAGGCTGGTCTCGAACTCCTGACCTCAGTTGATCCACCCGCCTCGGCCTCCCAAAGTGGTGGGATTACAGATGTGAGCCACGGCACTCAGCCTAATAATTTATTTAAACAGCCCCTTACTAATTGATCCATCAGAGCTTTTAAGCAGGGACAAACTTGATCAGCCTCTTTCAAAAACAAATTCTGTGAAATATCAAAAAAGAAAGAGCATATTGAACAGGTTGTTTTAACAAGTTACAATAAACCATGATGCTAACATCTTCACTCTATGTGCCTCACTTCACACCTGCAGTCACAAATTACAGTCCCACAACCCTAGAATGAGGACTTTAGGACTCTATTCCTCTTTCTTCCACATACTTGTAATATTTCAGAAAAGCTTCTCGATATTTTGGGGTCTTTACTGCACCATCTGGGGAGAAGAGATAAGATTGTTTTTATTGGCTAGGAGTCCTTCATAAAGCATTTTTATTCTTCAGTAAAGAACTGGAGAGAAGCCCTACAAATGTAAAGAATGTGGCAAAGCTTTTAGACGGTCCAGAAGCCTGAATGAACATAAGAATATTCATACTGGAGAGAAACCCTACACATGTCAAGAATGTGGCAAAACTTTTAACCAATCCTCCAGCCTTATTATACACAGGAGCATTCATTTTGAACAAAAACTTTACAAATGTGAAGAATGTGGCAAAGCCTTTACTCAGTCCTCATCCCTCAATAAACATAGGAGAATTCATACTGTTGAAAAACCCTACACATGTGAAGAATGTGGCAAGGCCTTTTATAGGTCCTCAAACCTTATTGAACATAAGAATATCATGCTGGAGAGAAACCCTACAACTGTGAAGAATGTGTCAAGGCCTTTTGTAGATCCTCACACCTTACTAAACATAAAAGAATTCACTCTGGGCAAAAACCCTGCACGTGTGAAGAATGTGGCAAAGCTTTTACTTGGTCCTCAACCCTTACTGCACACAGTAGAATCATACAGAAACTCTCAGACTCCAAATGGTCCTGCAACGGGAATATCGACCTATTTTCCTCCCTTCTGGACAGCCATGTCCCTACACATTTCCTTTGAACACTGCAAGTTAAACCTTCTGGGAGAACATGGAGGAAATCTTTTTCTGACAAAGAGCAAGAGAATGAGACAGTGATGAGTTCTTTATCTCATGTCAGCAGGAAGTAGTTACAGAAGACCCACAGTGCCCCTAGACTCAAAGATTTTTAGAGTCTCAATCTATTGAGGAGGCAGTTTTAGAGTAGTCAGTTAGTTAGATGGGAGCAGGAAAAAAAAGACCCCCTGGGGGAGAAAAATCTCATGGTCCAAAGACAACCCAAAAGATGTATGCTAAATTTGATCAGAGAGGAGCGGAAACACCTATGAAGAAAGTGTACCCTGAAACATCCCTTAAGACACCCAGTAATTGCTCCTACTGTGGTTAAACTGTCAGAATGTAGCTAGCTACATGCTGATAAAAAGGGGGAAAGGGCAAAAGGACAATTCCTAAGAGATATGCAGGCACAATAAGCACAGATTTGACTGCTATATGATTTTTCTAGGGTGGTAGTAATGAGCAATGCTACCATTAAGACTCATTGGTCATTGGAACTCATACATGTACATCAGCTGACAGTAAGGAAGCATCTCACAGACCTGGGCAGAAACTCAGTGGGAATAAAAGAAGAGATTTACCAGGAAGCAGGAAACTAGACAAAGGAAGACACTTAAGACAGAGGTGGGAATTTTTTTTAAGTCTATGATAATAAAAACTGCAACATGTAACTCTCAAGGCTGTTTCCAGCTGGGCCAGCCCACTCCTCTTTTGGTGTGTACTTTATTGTCCATTAATAAACTCTTTGCTTGCTTCAAAAAAAAAAAGTAGATGGAAAGCAAGGCATTTTACAAGTTCATTCAATTGCTGAATTATCTCTAAGTATTGTTCCGCAAATACTGCATAGTTGTGTATTCTCAAAGCTTATTTTTAAATGATCTATCTGCTGGCAATGCAATCAGGTTCTTCTTCAATTTTGTTGTAAGCCAAGAATTGGAAACCACGTGACTTAAAAAGGAATCGCTAACCACTCAGTGGAGCCCATCACTTTCTTAAGCCCACACCATCATTTTAAATGAGCCCTCTGTTCCACGATTTTAACACTACTGGGCAATACTCTATGGTAAAATCTGGGGCCCGGGCGCCATGGCTCATGCCTGTAATCCCAACACTTTGGGAGGCCGAGGTGGGTGAATCATGAGGTCAGGAGATCGAGACAATCCTGGCCAACATGGTGAAACCCCGTCTCTACTAAAAATACAAAAGTTAGCCACGTGTGGTGGCACGCGCCTATAGTCCCAGCTACTCAGGAGGCTAAGGCAGGAGAATCGTTTGAACCCGGGAGGCAGAGGTTGCAGTGAGTCGAGATTGTGCCACTGCTCTCCAGCCTGGGCAACAGAAAAAAAAAAATTGGGCTGAGGGGAAAGGCATACCTGTCTTCTGTAAAGTAGGAAAGGGAGCTGTTATGAAAGGGAAATAGGAGAAACACCTTGACCACAGTGGCATTTTCAGACAGATCAATTAATCTGCAAGTTGGTGATCTTCAAATTGATTGATAAAACTCTCCATGCTCACAAAGCAGGGAACACCTTTTGCAGAGCCACATCCCCAATTCTCTGGGTTGTGTAGCCACTGGGTGAGGAGAGGGAGAAGTACTGAGCCACAAGGCTGGCACCTGTTGGAGAAAGTGGCCAGTGAGAAATTCCTGTGGCAAGCAGGCGGCTGAAGGACATTTAAGAACAGGGCCAATGATCAATGTTAAATAAGTTGGGATTTTCTGTCCGTAAATTACCCCTGTCTCCCCATGCCTTGCTAACCACAAGTGAATCACAAGAATGGGTTTGTGGAAATTAGCCAAAGAAAGTGAGTTCCCCTTTCAGACAGCACATGGCAGAGAACAGAATAGCAGAAGGAGAGAGACAGGGAGAGGTTCAAGAACCCCACTAAAGCAGAAACTCTGAGCCGGAACTGACTGTGGGAACAAAAGCCTTCAGGAACCATGAAACCCCTGAGGAAGACATTGGATTTCACCCAGCAGGTGAAGCAAAAGTTTGTATTAATTTTGTCTTGATCTCAGAAGACAAGATGATCTCAGCTAAGAGCTGAATTACTGAGGACAAATTAGTGTCTGGAACAAGGGGCAGAAGCCAAACAAAGTACTGTAGCCACTGGGTTCTTGCCAACACCTAAACCAAGGACTTGGCTCTAAGATATGTGCTCAAAACTCTGCTCTCTGTTTTACCCTTGGTGACCTGGAGATGTCAGTGCCCTCTCTAGGGCTCAGAGTCTTTATCTGTAAACTAAAGATATTGGCTACACCCAGCTCATTCATTCCTTGTGAAGATTAAGTACGATCAAGTATGCGGCATGTAGCTCACAGTCCCTGTCAGCTGCCGTAACTGTTAGTAACTACTGGTTCTATTCTTTTGTCCTCTGCTAAAATAGCAAATGTCCAGATTTTCTTTACACATCTTCTACAATTCACCACTCATTCATTCAACAAAGATTCATTAAATGCCTTTTATGTGCAGAGCACAAGGAGAACAAAAATTTGTTTATGTATTATTGTTTTTATTTACTTATTATTACATTTATATCTTCATTCCTAATAGATTTTGAGTCAAAAAGTACGTACCAGGACAATTAAAAATTTTACTCCACAGTTGAAAAAAAAATCATAGCAAAGTAAGAATTGGTGTTACATAATGAGATAAAAATTAAAAAGCTAATATATAGATATTAGACCATAATGGTCTACATGACTAGTTATTGAAAGTGGGCTGTGCTGAACTGCCTAATTACCAAAGCAAAGCCAAAAACATGACAGTTACAAAATCTACATTAACCATAAGGTGGTACAAATGTTATTTATTGGACAGGCTACAGCTACCAATAGTTGTGAGACCCAAGGGAAGTTATCCCAGGTAACAGTGAATGAGGTACTATGATGGAGTGATACAGTGGATGACATCCTGAAGAGTATTTCTACAACTACAACAATATTGCATTTCTGTTTAATGACTACCATAAGATGATTAAGATAAAAAGGAAACTGGAGACTTCTTCAGGGACCCAATAGAGAGTAAGAGAGATGAATCCTGGCCAAAAAGGAGGGTTAAGCATTATGATTTATGATTGCTCCCATTCCAGGCAGGGTCCTGTCCACATGGACAGTGGAAAGCAGGGAAGGAGGGGTTGTATCACAGCCACCGTGCCTCAGAAAATTGGATGCTGTCTCTACACAATTGCTCTTCCCAAGGCCTCTGAGGACTTTACACCAGAACACATTTTGGTAAAAATGATTCTGTGATCTGGCTTGGTCCCAGGTAGATTTAGAATGTGGACAGCTTGGGCTCACGATTCAGGAGCAGCACCACTTATTTCATTGCAGACATCTTTGCCCCATTCCAGAGATTGGAATTTTACAGTTCCAGGGTGGGGCTGGGGCCTTGACATTTTTAAGGAACTCCCCAGTGATTCCTTGCTGATAACCCATGGACCACATTTTGGGAAATTTAGAAAGGATGGATGAATCCTTCTTTCTGCCTAAAATATAGCTACAGAGAGAAGTAAGTTATGGTCATTTGCTGGCAAGAGCCCAGAGGACATACTCTTGCTGCAAGTTTCTAAAAGAAATATATTTGAATAATCTTATAAAAATTAAGAATATAACCAGACTTCTGTCAGACTAGTAGATGGACAAGGAGGAATATTCCCAGGTTAGAGCCAACATTTCTTCAAACAGAATTCTGTGCCTGCTTCAAGGCTGGGTCCAGAAATCCACACTGGAGGACATCATTGGTATCACTGAAAAAAAAATTAAAGCACTTATGAACTGCTCATCATTGCCTTTTAAAAATATCTCAATGATTCACCCATGAAACAACTAATTTTAAACTCTCTTGATGAAGCTTCCAGGGCAGAATTAGTTGGAAAATGCACCCCTGGGCATCTGAATGAGCTGAGCCCCTATACCTAATTGTTGGTTATCAGCTAGCTGAATTTCGAAGGGCATTTTTCCATAAATGCTGGTCTAAAAGGTTTTAGAATCTCTGGTTTTAAGTCATTCTTTCTGACATTACTTACAGAGCAGGCCCACTTTGAGACTTTTATTTGTGATTATAAACCCACATGTTCAGCAAACGGGACCACGGGTGTGTGATCCTAACGCATCTAAAAACAGTTCAAATCATTAATGTACATTTTTTATGAGGCGCGACAGGGGAGCAAAATACACCCCTCTTTTAAACTGCTTATACTTACCTAACCTCTCAGTATACTGTTCTTCCTGCTGATTTTGAACCTCACAGTGTACTAATTTACAAGTTTTGTGCACACGTCAGTAACTGGGATGTATACTCAATTCCTTTCATCTGATTCTGACCAACTCTTTTTTTATTATTTTTTCTTTCCTTTGCACTACTGGAAAGCTAGATTGTGACTGATTTATGTTCAAGATCAAAGGCAACGAAAACTGTGAACAATCTAGTCCTTGATCTACTTCTCCATACCAACAGTCAACAGTGGAATAAGCTCTCAAAGCTCACTTAGCAGCCTGAGAAACCAAACTGGCAATTCGTCGAGGGACAACTGGTACCTGCAGATGGACTGTTCCAAATGTCTCATTAATTTAGGGGGGTAAAGAATTTTCCCGTTTGAATATGGGACAGACTAGCATGTTCTTAGGTGGAATCATATGAAAGAGAATGGCCAGGAAGTCGGGGTCCAAGATTCTCCCCGCACTGCTTGACCACAATAGCTCTGGTTTTACCTGTTTTCTTTGGCTAGTCTTTAAAAAGTTGTCTTGTAAAAGGTTTAAATATAACCTAGAGACCTTATCCTGGGTCTATCCAGAGAGGACACTCCGTTAGAGTTACTACAAATAAACAAAATAATCCATTATAATAGACCATGAGGAATTCAGGTGGCAAGAAGTATTCATCAGGTGTTTTAATTAACTTTAGTATCTAATTAACTATATTAATGAGGACGCATTATCAGACCCAATAAGTTCAGGCTATTTTGTTCCCTGGGTTATAAAACCAGAATAAGACCAGAATAAAAAATTCTAGATTTCTCCAATTTTGCTCACAAAATTTATAAACAGGTATCTTTCCCCATTATTGTGACATTAATCTCATTTCCAATGTCCAACTTAGAGGCTCTCACATGGAATTTGTTAATAGTGGAGTTTGGGGCAAGTGATAGATTTAAAATATAATCAGTGATGGGCTCTTCCAAATTCTATTTCATATGACACCTCATAACCAGGTCAATTTGGGAATCTGTTTTATTTGTCTCTTTGTTCTCTCATTTTTAAGTTAACAAAGAGTCCTTGTCAAGCAAAATTTGGAGGAAAAAGATTTACAATTTTCCCAGCTGTGAAAGTGATAAAGCCAGTTTAATTTGTCCACAATTTGTTGAAAATAAGAGAAACTTATCAAAGATTTTGAGGTTTAGCTTCAAGATCTTCAAACAGTAAAAAGTTAGCAATAAAATTAGAAGGCACCTCATTTCACCTCACTCTCTACAATCCCTAATCTTATTGGTCACATTTGTAGAACATACAGTTAGACGATGAGATAAAATTGACCACTCAGGCCAAGCGTGTGTCCCAGGGAGGGGAATAAGTAGGAAGACACTAACCGTTTTGTCTTTAACACTAGCTTCAGGGTAGAAATCAGATTTATCCTGTGCTATCCTGCAGATATAAGGTTTTTTCCCCCCAAAGAAATATGGTTAATGTGATTGAAGAAAAATAATATGGTCATTTAAATTTTATTATATTTTTATAATAAAAAGGAGAGTGATGTGCTAGTGAAACCCTATGAGGTGTATACTATCTCATATACAAAAAATCATGGGCTCAAAGGTGTTAAAAAAATCAGTTTGCTGGCCAGGCATGGTGGCTCACGCCTGTAACCCCAGCACTTTGGGAGGCCAAGGGTGGATCATGAGGTCAGGAGTTCGAGATCAGCATGGCCAAGATGGTGAAACCCTGTCCCTACTAGAAATACAAAAATTAACCAGGCGCAGTGGCAGATGCCTGTAATCCCAGTTACTGGGGAGGCTGAGGCAGGAGAATCACTTGAACTCGGGAGGCAGAGGTTGCAGTGAGCTGAGATCACTCTGCTGCACTCCAGCCTGGGCGACAGAGAGAGACTCCATCTCCAAAAAAAAAAAAAAAAAAAATCAGTTTGCTTTGAATTTTAGAGTTAGAATGTACCTTTGAAGTAAGCAAGTCTAACCAACCACTGAATGCAGAAAGTGCATCTCCAACTGTGGTTATTTACTCAGTTTGAATACTTTCTATGATTCTAGAAAGCTCATTTTATTTTTGACGATACTAATTATTACAAAGTTCTTTCTCATATGAAGGTAAAATCCAATTCTCCATGAATTTCTCAATGGGCCTTAGTTCTGTGCCTTGTAACTCACAGAATAAATCCAACCCCTTTACACATATAACTCTTAGAATTTTTGAGGTTTCCATTTTCATTGATGGCTTTCACCCCATTATAATTCTAGTCATCCTTTTATGGAGACATTCCAATTCATAAGGAGCTCTCTAAAAATAATAATCAGGCCAGGGGCGGTGGCTCATGCCAGTAATCCCAGCACTTTGGGAGGCCGCAGCAGGAGGATCACTTGAGTCCAGGAGTTCCAGGCTGCAGTGAGCTAAGATCATGCTGCTGCACTCCAGCCTGGGCAATAGAACAAGACTCCATCTCTTAAAAAAATAATAAAATTTTTAAAATTAAAAAGAAACATTTAAGTAATGATCACAATGGATCCAGCCTTTTCGATGTAATAGTAAGTGTACAACGTGAAACCAGCAGATCCCTTAACCCAGACAATATCACTGGTCGTAATGAACCCCACTTTGGTATTGCTTTTTTTTTTTTTTGAGACGGAGGCTCGCTCTGTAGCCCAGGCTGGAGTGCAGTGGCTCAATCTCAGATCACTGCAAGCTCCACCTCCCGAGTTCACACCATTCTCCTGCCTCAGCCTCCCGAGTAGCTGGGACTACAGGCGCCTGCCAACATGCCCGGCTAATTTTTTGTATTTTTAGTAGAGACGGGGTTTCACCGTGTTAGCCAGGATGGTCTCAATCTCCTGACCTCGTGATCCGCGCGTCTCGGCCTCCCAAAGTGCTGGGATTACAGGCATGTGCCACCGCGCCCGGCCGCTTTTTTTTTTTTTTTTTTTTTTTGAGACAGAGTCTGGCTGTCTCCCAGGCTGGAGTGCAGTGACGCGATCTTGGCTCACTGCAACCTCCACTTCCTGGGTTCGAGTGATTCTCTTGCCTCAGCCTCTTGAGTAGCTGAGATTACAGGCATGCGCCAGCACGCCCCGCTAATTTTTGTATTTTTTGTAGAGAAGGGGTTTCCCCATGTTGGCTAGGCTGGTCTCAAACTCCTGACCTCAAGTAATCTGCCTACATCAGCCTCTCAAAGTGCTGGGATTACAGGCATGAGCCACCGCGCCCAGCCTTGTGTTGTACTTTTTAGAAAAACTATTTACATCCTACAACCTCTACATCTTTCTTATGTGAACTATGTTTAAGTTACCATTAAGCAATTGATTTCTTAACAGAGTTCACAACAGTTATTCTGTTACTCTCTCATTTGTATTAGTGATAAATGTAATGTGTCAAGATATTTTTATTTTAAAACTTGACCATGTCATCTAACATATAAGTTATTCAAAACCTTTTCATCCACATTTTTATACGCTTTCTACATGCTTACCTAATTCAATGATAAAAATATTGATAAGATGACTTATAGAAGCTTCCTAAATTAATTATCATTAACAAATGGCCTTTAGAGACCAGTTATTGTCTCCACCTGAGGGTATGTAAGCTTGCCCATATGCCTGTTCTAAAAATGCAAGCTTTATGATCCTGTTATGGCGAGGCCAAAGATAGGAGAGGATTGCCATTGAAAAGTTTGATTTAACTTAGTAATTCCACAATGAATCCATATACTATAATGTCACATTGTATCCCACAAAGATACACAATTGTTATTTGTCAATTAAAAATAAAATTTAAAAAACAAAAAGATAGTTTGTTACTCAAAGTTCCCAGGAAGAGGCGGCTCACCACGCCAGGCAGGCCACCGGGCAGTAACCAGCTGTCAGAAGGCAGCAGGAGCCAGAGGAGCACATGGGAAAAGCCTTTATTGTGATTTTTCTAGGGCAGGAATGGATGAGGCAGAACTAGCAGCTGAACCGGTTTAGAATTACATTGTTTGTATAATGTCAGCGGGCTCTGGGGTATAGGGATATCCACTAGTTGTCTGGTGCCTGGCTCTGGGTGCTTCAGGGCAGAGGGCGAGAGTCCCAGGCTGCAGAAGTCTGCTGATAGGAGAGAGGTGGGCACGTAAATCAGAACTGATTGATTTGCATCTCCAAGACAGGTGCGCAGGCAAATTGTTTGCTATGGCTAAGAATTAGTTAGCCCTGGGAGGGGCAGCCTCTCTCCATGGTCAGTGAGGCCCCAAATGCCAAAGAAAAAAAAAAAGCAGAAAATAAGAAAATATAGTTAATATGATGTCCCCAACGTATCTGTAAGGATAGTGCCCTGCTGTGACCTAATTATGGTGTGCCTGTGGCATTTACTGAGCCATCTGTCTAAGCTTTTCTCACTTATTAAGAATGCAGATTTCCAAGACACACTCTAGAGCTGCTGAGGCTAAAAACCTGCAGGGAAGCAGGGAGTGGACAGTGTGCATGCAGCAAGCAAACCAATCTCCTGTAAGGCCCCTTAGCACGAACAGCCGCCAGGGAACCACAGGCCTCGGGCAGCTTCCATGCTGCAGGAATGGCTCTGCAGAATGCCTCCTTCCTGAAACAGATTTTCTAGTTCCTCAGGCAAGGGAATTTGACTTTCAATTGCCTGACATTTCTTATTAAAACCTTTCCTGACAAGCTAGAATATCATGCTTACAAGCTGTAGTGCTATGGTACGTTTTCCAGGTTTCCAGGCAGGGACGTGCACTAAGAAACCTGCCAACAGTCTGAATATTCATCTGTGCTCTCAGCCAGCAGAACTGCTGACACAAGGGTTACAACTGGGATGGTTCTGCCTGTAAGAATCTGAAAGGACAGGACGTGTTTAGAACCTCTCAAATTTCTCTACTTACTGACCCCTTCATCTATGTAGACACAGCCCTGCAAAAACACAGCCAAAGGCATCAAGGACAAACTCAAATTGTCGCATGCCTTCTCTCTTCCGAGTAACTTCTATAAAAATCTGGAAAGGCAGAAAACAATAGGCAGAATAAAAACCATGAACATCCTCACTTATGGCTCATTCTGGAGCTGATTCACTGACTTGCTGGCCACTGTCAGAAAGGAAGGCAGGGATAGACTACATGCGTGTACACAGTAAGGCTGGGGGCAGCCTAACTGGTGTTTCCTACTGGTGACGTCACCTCCCACCTAAAATCTTGGTAGTATTGAGGCTTTGGTGAATATCATGTCTACATTTCTTTTTCTTCCTAAACTCATAAACCTGGAAATCTGGGGTGAGGATGCCCATTGAAAACTCCTCATAAGGTCTCCCTCCCCTCCCCACTCTCCAACCAAAGTGGCAGCAGAATGCTCCCAACTGTGAAAGATGCAAAAATGCTATCCTACTGTTCGGGGAGCAGGGCAAGAGGAGATAAAAAAGTGTACAACTCACTAAGTTAACTTCTTTGATTTCCCAGAGCCAAGATGGACCTCACACCAGAAAACAACACTGCATGTAGCTTTGACAAGCTCTAAGAAAAGCGAGGTTCAAATTCCACCTGGCCCACTAGTTGGGTAACCTCAGGTGAGCTATTCATCTCCTGGAGTCTATGTTTCCACATCTGAGGAGCCAGAACACACATGATACCCACCTCAGAGGGTGTCATGAGGGACACAGGAAGTCAGGCGTGTGAAAGCACTTCACAAAGTGCCCAGCACCCATGGGGTCCTCTCATCTCACAGGGGACGAAGGACTTCATTGCCTGCCCTGTGATGGGGGCCGAAGGCACAGAGGACTCTTTATAATGGCACATGAGCTGCAGGACCCATAGGGAACCGATCCCTCTGCTGCCTCCCTTTCACACACACCTCCAAAAAAAATGTTCTAGTGAAAATAGTGGAGTTTCAATCTGCAGTGAAAGAAACCCAAGAAGTTCATGTACTCCATTGGCCCCGCTCCACGAAAGCGGAGACCTTGTCTTTCCTGCTCAGCACTGCAGCTCACTGTTGAGCCCATCTTCTCAGTGTCAATGCTCAGAACATCACCAGTCGGTGAGCATGACTTTCTGCTAGTGTTATCAACCATGTCCTTTATTTTCTGGGTTCTGATGCTTTGGCTTCTAGGGCCTTGCTGACCCAGAAGGTACTGCCCTTTCCAGGGTAGCCAATTCCTAGAGTGGGGAAACAACTCACCTGGGAGCTCATCTTTCAAATGCAAAGCAACCAATCCAGACTCTACTCCCACCACCTCCTTCATTGCCCTCTCACACTCTGGGCCACTATTTCCCTTCTCTAATTATCCTAAGGCCAGGTACCAGACAACCAGGAACAGCCCCTATGCCCCAGAGCCCACTGAAATTATTTAAGCCAACCAATTCTAAGCCTGTTTACCCTGCCTCACCTGTTCTGGCTCATGGAAACTATAATAAAGGCTCTTGCACATTTTTTCACTCCCTCTGCCACCTGACCAACCCTGGTGCTTCCCCATCCTCCCTTTGGCCCCATGGAATGGTGTGCCTCTTCCTCTTGGGAACTGTGAGTAACAAACTATCTTTTCAATGGCAGTCGTCTTTTGAGCCATTGGTCTTGCCATACCTAAATAAGAATAAAACCTATATTAAAACAGCTGGGCATTGAGAGTTCAAACAAGAAAAATATATCCCCTCATGGTATTTTAAAATCAGAGCCACTTTAAGCAGCCGACCAGGCAATCAGTTACCCGGAACTAATTTCTAGAGACATGACAGCATCCCTAGAATAACTCACAAGTTCAGTGTGGGGCAATCCAGGATTCCCCACATGGCAGAATATAAACCTGCCCCACTTCCTCTGAAATATTAGGCTGGTACAAAAGTAATTGCGGTTTTGGACCACGAATTTTAAATCATTATAACAAGGCTCAAACACATCTTTATTAATCAAAATAGGAGCCATAACAACCAAAACATTTTTCCCAACGAGAAATAAGTTTGTTTATTCCTGTAGCTTAAAAGTCCATGCTTCAGGATTCAATGAAATCTTGGAAAGCATTTTCTTCATCCTGCTGGTTGTGGACCCCTGCAAAACGTTGTCAAGGTGCTTGAAGAAGTGGTAGGTGGTTGGCGAGAGGTCAGGTGAATATGGTGGATAAGGCAAAATGTCATAGCCCAATTCATTCAACTTTTGAAGTGTTGGTTGTGTGACTTGCAGTCAGGCGTTGTCATGGAGAAGAATTGGGCCCTTTCTGTTGAACAATGCCAGCTGCAGGCATTGCAGTTTTCGGTGCATCTCATCGATTTGCTGAGCATACTTCTCAGATGTAAGGGCTTTGCTAGAATTCAGAAAGCTGTAGTGGATCAGACCAGGAGCAGACCACCAAATAGTGACAGTGTCTTTTTTTGGTGCAAGTTTGGCTTTCGGAAGTGCTTTAGAGCTTTTTCTCAGTACAGCCACTGAGCCTGTCATCGCTGATTGTCATATAAATTCCACTTTTTCTGCACGTCACAATCCGATCAAGAAATGGTTCATTGTTGCATAGAATAAGAGAAGGTGACACTTCAAAATGATAATTCTCTTTTATTTTCGCTCAGCTCATGAGGCACGCACTTATCGAGCTTTTTCACCTTTCCAATTTGCTTTAAATGACAAACAACTATAGAATGGTCAATGTTGAGTTCTTTGGCAACTTCTCCTGTAGTTGTAACAGAATCAGGTTCAATGATTTCTCTCAATTGGTCATTGTCAACTTCTTATGGCCCTTCACTAAGCTCCTCATCTTCAAGGCTCTGGTCTCCTTTGAAAAACTTCTTGAACCACCACTGCAGTATATGTTCGTTAGCAGTTCCTGGGCCAATGCATTGTTGATGTTGCAAGTTGTCTCTGTTGCTTTATGACCCATTTCGAACTCGAACAAGAAAATCGCTCAAATTTGCTTTTTGTCAAACATCGTTTCCAAAGTCTAAAATAAAGAGCAAGTAATAAGTCATTAGCAAAAAGCATAAAGAGAGAAGTGCCCATTAAAATGATGTATAACATAACCACATTTATTTAAGAATGTATTCCAATATCAAACAACAAATTCCAACAATGCAAAAACTGCAATTACTTTTGCACTCACCTAATACATTCCTGTAGCAGACCTGCAGGTCAGCCCATAAGCACTGAGGCTGTTTGACACACACATACGGTCACTGCACAAGGAAACCACAGTCATGAAGACACCCTGAGGCCGGACAGCTGAAAAAGGCAAAAGATAGCAAAGACCTTAGAAATGCGAAAATCAATGGTATAGACAAAATTTGTGTTCCACAAAATTCATATGTGAAAACCTAATGCCAATGTGGTGGTATTTGTAGCTGGGCCCTTTGGGAGGTAGCTTGGTAGTGAGGATGAAGCCTTCAGGTATGGGATTAGTGTTCTTATAAGAAGGGACAGGAGAGCTTCCTGGCTCTCTTTCCACCATGTGAAGATACAATAAGTCAGCAGTTTGCAACCTGGAAGAGGGCCCTCGGCAGAACCTGACCCTGCAGGCACCCTGATCTCAGACTTCCAGCCTCCAGAACCATGAGAGATAAATTCCTGTTGTGTATAAGCCCCCCAGGCTATGTACTTTGTGATAGCAGCCCAAACTGCCAAAGACAATCAATTGTGCATAGCCTGGTGCTTTCAGTGAAGACCACGACTGATTTTTCTCTCCAAAATGTAAACCCTTTAGTGTGATGATCAAGAAGTCTTCTGATTCAGAGAAATTGCAGGAAAAGTGTCTCCAATGTTTTCTGGATTTATGACCTTAAAAAAGATACTCAAATTTAGAGTTTCAGCTTCTTCAACTATAAAATAGGAATGCTAATATCTTTTTTCCAAGGTTGCTGTGAAGATTAACAAAAAGGAATTTAAAGCACCAGGCAAATGACAGGTATTGTTATTGTTATTATAATTATTATTTATCTCTCTGTGGCCCATTTCCATACCAGGGAACAGCATTCAGATTAGTAATCTGGCTTACAGAAACACTGATACCATGATGCAAAGCACCTTGTATGTCACACACAAATATTCACATCTCTGCTGCAGATCAATAAATTAACTTTCTGGTGCACACTGGACTCTTGTGAGTTTGTTAAGCTGGTCAGTTCTAAAACACTAGTAAAACAAAACTTAATTTGCTGTAACATTGAGGTAGACTCTACCATGGGACTGCCATCTGGTGAGGCCCTTTCTAAGCGGCTGGCTGCCAGAGCTGTCCTGCCCTGATGGTTCTGCCACATGCTCGTGTTCTAACTGCAGCATGCACAGGATAGGAGAGTGAGAATTTCAGACAAAGCCATTGTGCTCCCATCTTTCCTCATAATGCACAAAATATTTGGTGAGATCAAGTGAAGCAAATTATTACAATCGCTTCCCTTAAATAACTTTAAATGTAGGATACCATTTGATTCTAGCATGAACTTTATGGACATAGAGAGGACAGTGAATCATAAAAAGAAAACCTAAAACTTCCTACAAATAACAACTATAAACTCTAGATGAAATATAAAAGCAACTACCTGAAGGTAGAAAAGAACAAACAAAGGCAGGAACATAGTAGAAGGGGATGGACACATGGAAGATGGGAAGACACGGAATGAGATTCCCATTTTTATGATTGTTAGCCTTGAGGAGAGGTATCAATCTATACCACGTGGGGTGGCTAAACCAGGGAGTTAAAAAACAATTTTAAGTATTACTAGCTTGAAGAAAAAGATAGCTGAGATTGGGAAGAAACAGTAGTTGGAAAATGAGAAGGGAAATATCAGAAAGGAGAGAGCCAGAGAGGCAAATTCTGTCCAAATCCCTTGACAACCTCTGAATCACACTTGCACAGCCCAGCTCCAGGTTAGAGCAGAACAGGGAAGACAGAGTTTGCAGTTTGAGTTTATTAAGTTAACTGCCTGTACAAACAAAACAACAACACTTTTTGTGATAGCATAACAGAATCCAGAATCTATATAATAGATCATTTACAATATCCAGGGCACATTCCAAAATTCTCTGATATACAAACAAACAGGAAAATGTGACCTATACTTAAAAGAAAAGACAATCAGCAGATACTAACTCTGAGATAAGCCAAAGGTTAGAATTCGCAAAGATTTTAAAGCAGCTGCAATGACTATATTCTACGACGCAGAAGAAAATATACCCATAAGTGATGCAAAGAGAGAATATCTTGGCAGCAAAATAGAAAACATAAAAGAAAAAGAAGGGAATAACAAATCTAGGACAAAAGTATAATACCTGAAATTCAAAATTCATGGGATGGGTTTAACAATAGGTTGAAGATGTCAGAATAAACAAGAAAATAAAATAGAAATCATCCATCTGAAAAACAGAGAAAAAAGATATTTTTAAAAGAGAGCAGAACCTCAGTGAACTGTGAAATACCCAGATAAAAACAGCATCTAGCAGTTCATCAATATTGGTGGTGACAAGTAATTATTCCAATGTGATCGATTAGTCAATGTCCCAAAGATGAGACTAATTCCTCATTCACTTCTAGCTGTAAAAACTCTGGATGACCTTGTTAGATATAGTGCAAGACACCCATAAATTTGCAGTTGTACTGAGAAATCAGGTCATAATGGATATATAAGCTTGGAAATGCAGAACATGCGAAAGTTAGAGAATATATCACTTCTTGGGAATACATAAAGCTTCAGGAACTAAAAGTCTTGTGAAAGACATGGACTTAAAAGTCTCATTTATATAAAAAGGGAAACTGACTTACAAAAAAAGCACTGAGCCTCGTTCATGTTTAAAAGTCTTGGCCTGCACAACGAATGCTGGGTCCTAACCAAGAATCAATTTCTTGAAAACTGTATCCTGCAACCTCAGCTAGTCTGAGGAGGTGTTTTCTTTGTTGTTGTTGTTTTGTCTATTAGGTCTTATAAAACTCTCTGCAATCCTAAGGAATACAATCACAGGAAGATAAAATCAATCAATCAATTTATCCATCCATGGCATTAGCACATTTGTAACTGGTATTAGTAAATATAATCAGTTTTGTAATTGTTGCTACACTGCTGTGCTTTTTTTTTTTTGCTTTTTAATGTGTGTGAAGTATTAGATAGATTAGATTTGTAATTTTATTTGATGTTTAGAAGGGTTTGATTAAGTTTGCAATCAATGCTTAAGCATTTGGGTAATTCATTTCTTAAATGTATAAGTTTTGACTTATTCATTTTAAGAGCATGTAACTATGTAGAGGAATATTAATTCTTTATGCTTAATGTTTGAAGGAATGTTAATTGTTTTAAAAATGTACAATATCAATAAAATGGACATTAAATAAAATATAATTAACTGTTGGTGTTCTTTACAAATCTCCTTAAGCTGATAAGCAACTTCAGCAAAGTCTCAAGATAGAAAATCAATGTGCAAAAATCACAAGCATTCTTATACACCAATAACAGACAAACAGAGAGCCAAATCATAAGTGAACTCCCATTCACAATTGCTTCAAAGAGAATAAAACATCTAGGAATCCAACTTACAAGGGATGTGAAGGACCTCTTCAAGGAGAACTACAAATCACTGCTCAATGAAATAAAAGAGGATACAAACAAATGGAAGAACATTCCATGCTCATGGGTAGGAAGAATAAATATCATGAAAATGGCGATACTGCCCAAGGTAATTTATAGATTCAATGCCATCCCCATCAAGCTACCAATGACTTTCCTCACAGAATTGGAAAAAACTACTTTAAAGTTCATATGGAACCAAAAAAGAGCCCACGTTGCCAAGTCAATCCTAAGCCAAAAGAACAAAGCTGGAGGCATCACACTACCTGACTTCAAACTATACTACAAGGCTACAGTAACCCAAAGAGCATGGTACTGGTACCAAAACAGAGACATAGACCAATGGAACAGAACAGAGCCCTCAGAAATAATGCCGCATATCTAAACCATCTGATCTTTGACAAACCTGACAAAAATGAGCAATGGGGAAAGGATTCCCTATTTAATAAATGGTGCTGGGAAAACTGACTAGCCATATGTAGAAAGCTGAAACTGGATCCCTCCCTTACACCTTATACAAAAATTAATTCAAGATGGATTAAAGACTTAAATGTTAGACCTAAAACCATAAAAACCCTAGAAGAAAACCTAGGCAATACCATTCAGGACATAGGCATGGGCAAGGACTTCATGTCTAAAATACCAAAAGCAATGGCAACACAAACCAAAATTGACAAATGGAATCTAATTAAACTAAAGAGCTTCTGCACAGCAAAATAAACTATCATCAGAGTGAACAGGCAACCTACAGAATGGGAGAAAATTTTTGCAATCTACTCATCTGACAAAGGGCTAATATCCAGAATCTACAATGAACTCAAACAAATTTACAAGAAAAAAACAAACAACCCCATCAAAAAGTGGGCGAAGGACATGAACAGACACTTCTCAAAAGAAGACATTTATGCAGCCAAAAAACACATGAGAAAATGCTCATCATCACTGGTCATCAGAGAAATGCAAATCAAAACCACAATGAGATACCATCTCACACCAGTTAGAATGGTGATCATTAAAAAGTCAGGAAACAACAGGTGCTGGAGAGGATGTGGAGAAATAGGAATACTTTTACACTGTTGCTGGGACTGTAAACTAGTTCAACCATTGTGGAAGTCAGTGTGGCGATTCCTCAGGGATCCAGAACTAGAAATACCATTTGACCCAGCCATCCCATTACTGGTTATATACCCAAAGGATTATAAATCTTACTGCTATAAAGACACATGCACAAGTATGTTTATTGTGGCACTATTCACAATAGCAAAGACTTGGAACCAACCCAAATGTCCAACAATGATAGACTGGATTAAGAAAATATGGCACATATACACCATGGAATACTATGAAGCCATAAAAAAGGATGAGTTCATGTCCTTTGTAGGGACGTGGATGAAGCTGGAAACCATCATTCTCAGCAAACTATTGCAAGGACAAAAAAACAAACACCGCATGTTCTCACTCATAGGTGAGAATTGAACAATGAGAACACATGGACACAGGAAGGGGAACATCACACACTGGGGACTGTTGTGGGGTAGGAGGAGGGGGAAGGGATAGCATTAGGGGATATACCTAATGCTAAATGACAAGTTAATGGGTGCAGCACACCAACATGGCACATGTATACATATGTAACAAACCTGCACATTGTGCACATGTACCCTAAAACTTAAAGTATAATAATAATTAAAAAAAGAAAAAGAAAAGAAAGGACAGGTCCTTCTCTTGAAAAAAAAAAGTATAATATCAATAAAATGGACATTAAATAAAATACAACTAGCTGTTGGTGCTCTTTACAATTTTAGGTGATTTTGTTCATGGAGAGAGATCTAGTCAACAATTTTAAATAAAGTTCTATAGCAAATGCAAACAAATCCTAGAAGAAAATCAATATTTTATGCATATGTTCATAATATCATGTTGTATACTACTCAAATTCCAACTTAAATAATCTCCAACTTTAGTGTTCTAAATTCCATTTTCAGGAAATCAGATTTAATCCTATTCTGACAAAAGTAATAATATAATATTGTCTCAACAACTACAGCTACAGATCAAGAAAAAGGTCATTTTTGCATTCCTGGCTGAGATTCATGCCCCACAAAAAACACATTTGATGTTTGATCATTTTTCTTTTGAGTGGCCATATCTAACCTCATCTGTTAGGCTGGCAAAAGACCTACATACAAGGAAATAGCCAGGTTTCAGTGAAAATAAATACCAAAACATGAAGGCCAAAAAGACAGATCCTTCAAACTAGCTGCAAATGGTATTTGTCCCTACACATAACTTTTTTTTAAAAAAAGTTATTTTACCTTTATTTACCAGTTGGCAGAATAATGAGCTAATTAGTTTCCTAGCAGTATCCAAAAATGATTAATAAGTGAGAATTTTTTAGCATCATAAACTTATCAATTTTAAGATGGCATATACATATATTAACTTACTGCAATAATTATTCTTTTTGATTGTCAAATTGCCCTTTCTAAGCATCTCTTATGTCCTTTGGAGATGACCCTAGTAATGTTTTAAATTGGGGTAAAATATACATGGCATAAAATTTGCTATTTTAACCATTTTTAAGTGTACAGTCCAGTGGCACAAAGTACATTCATATAGTTGTTGCACCCATCGCTATTAACACCTCCCATTCCTACCTCCACACAACTCTTGGTAATCACCCCTCTGCGTTCTCTCTCTATGAATTTGACTAGTCTAGGTGCCTCATATAAGTAGACTCGTACAGTGTTTATCTTTGTGTGACTGGGTGATTTCACTTAGCACAATGTCCTCAAGGTTCATCCATGTTGTAGCACATCAGAATTTCCTCCCTTTTTATGGTAGAATGATATTCATCATAGTGTTACTGAAAGTGAAAAACTAGAAGGCATGTTTGCTAAATTCTAAATAGCTAATTCATTAAATTATGGTACAGCCATATAATGGAATGTTGTTATCCAAATCTAAAATAATAACGAACATCAATATCTACTGTAAAGAAAATGCCTATGTTATTTTTTAATTTTTTGGGGGGGTTAGGGGTACCTGTGCAGATTTGTTATATAGGTAAATTGCATGTCACAGGGGTTTGGTGCACAGATTATTTTGTTACCCAGGTAATAAGCATAGTGCCTGATGGATAGTTTTTTTATCCTTTCCTTCCTCCCACCCTCCAGCCTCAAGAGGGTCCCAATGTGTTTTTCCCTTCTTTGTGTCCATACGTACCCAAGGTTTAGCTCCCACTTATATGTGAGAACATGCAGTATTTAGTTTTCTGTTTCTGTGTTAGTTTCACTTAGGATTATGGCCTCCAGCTCTCTCCACGATGCTGTAAAGGACATGATTTCATAATCCCATTCTTTTTTTGGCTGTGTGGTATTCCATGGCATATGTATACCACACTTTCTTTATTCAGTCTAGCATTGATGGGCCTTTAGGTTGATTCTATGTCTTTGCTATTGTGAATAGTGCTGCAACAAAATATGTATTCATGTATTTTTATGGCAGAATGGTTTATATTCCTTTGGGAATATACCCATTAATGGGATTGCTGGATCAAATGGTAATTCTGTTTTAAATTCTTTGAGAAATTGCCACACTGCTTTCCACAATGGCTGAAATAATCTACTTTCCCATCAATGGTGTATAAGCATTCCTTTTTCTCCACAGCCCTGCCAGCATGTTACTTTTTGACTTTTTAATAATAGCCATTCTGACTGGTGTGAGATGGTATCTTATTGTAGTTTTGATTTGCATTTCTGTAATGATTACTGATATTGAGCATTTTTTCATATGCTTGTTGACCATGTGTAGGTCTTCTTTTGAGAAGTGTCTGCTCATGTCCTTTGCCCATGTTTTAATGGGGTTGCTTGTTTTTTGCTTGTTGATTTGTTTAAGTTACTTACAGTTTCCGGATATTAGACCTTTGTCAGATGCATAGTTTGCAAATATTTTCTCCCATTCTGTAGTTCATCTTTTACTCTGTTGTTAGTTTCTTTTGTGGTCCAAAAGCTCTTTCATTTAATTAGGTCCCTGTCAATTTTTTTGTTGTTGCAATTGCTTTCAGAGTCTTCATCACAAAACCATCTCCAGAGTCTATGTCCAGAATGGTGTTTCCTAGGTTATCTTCCAGGGTTTTTATAGTTTCAGGTTTTACATTTAAGTCTTTAATCCATTTTCAGTTGATTTTTGCATATGGTGTTAGGAAGGGGTCTAGCTTCAATCTTCCACATATGCCTAGCCAGTTATCCCAGCATCATTTATTGAACAGGGAGTCCTTTCCCCACTGCTCATTCTTGTTGACTTTGTTGAAGATCAGATTGTTGTAAGAGTGTGCCTTTACTTCTGGGCTCTTTATTCTGTGCCATTGGTCTATGTGTCTGCATTTGTACCAGTACCATGCTTTTTTTTTTGTTACTGTAGCCTTGTGGTATAATTTGAAGTCAGTTTGAAATCAGGTAATGTGATGCCTGAAGCTTTGTTCTTTTTACTTAGGATTGCCTTGGCTATTTCAGCTCTTTTTTGGTTCCACACGAATTTTTAAATAGTTTTTTCTAAATCTGCAAAGAATGTCATTGGTAATCAGATAGGGATGGCACTGAATCTGTAAATTGCTTTGGGAAGCATGGCCACTTTAACAATATTGATTCTTCCTATCCATGAGTATGAAATGTTTTTCCATTTGTTTGCGTCAGCTCTCATTTCTTTGAGCAGTGTTTTGTAATTCTCATTGTACAGATCTTTCACCTCCCTGATTAGCTGTATTCCTGGGCATTTTACTCATTTTGTGGCTATTGTGAATGAGATTGCATTTTTGTTTTGTTGAGACACGGTCTTGCTCTGTCACCCAGGTTGGAGCACAGAGTGATCGTGGCTCACTGCAGCCTCAAGCTCCTGGGCCCAAGTGATCCTCCCACCTCAACCTCCCAAATAGCTGGAACTACAGGTGTGTGTCACCATGCATAGCTAACTTTTATATTTTTAGGAACAAGTTCTTGCTACGTTCAGCCTAGGCTGGTCTCAAACTCTTGGGTTCTAGTGATCCTCCTGCCTTGGCTTGCCAAAGTGCTGGGATTACAGGCCTGAGCCACTGCACCTGGCCTGGGATTGTGTTTTTGATTTGGCTCTCAGCTTGGACGTTGTTGGTGTATAGAAATGCTACTAATTTTTATCCATTTGTTTTGTACCCTGAAACTTTGCTGAAGTTGTTAACCAGACCTAGGAGCTTTTGGGGAGGGACCATGGAGTTTTCTGGGTATAGAATCATATTGTCTGCAAAGAGAGATAGTTTGACTTCCTCTATTCCTAGTTGAATGCCTTTTATTTATTTCTCTTGGTCAACTGCTCTGGCTAGGGCTTCCAATACTATGTTGAATAAGAGTAGTGACAGTAGGCATCCTTGTCTTGTTCTGGTTCTCAAGGGGAATGGTTCCAGCTCTTGCCAGTTCAGTAAGATGTCAGCTGTGGGTTTGTCCTAGATAGCTCTTATTATTTTCAGGTATGTTCCTTCAAGGCCTAATTTGTTGAGGGTTTTAACATGATGGGATGTTGAAAATTTTATTAAAAGCCTTTTCTGCATCCATTGAGATAATCACATGGTTTTTGTTTTTAGTTCTGATTATGTGTTGAATAACATTTATTGATTTGCATATGTTGAACCAACCTTTCTTCCCAGGGATAAGCCTACTTGATCATGATGGATTCACTTTTTGATATGCTGCTGAATTCAGTTTGCTAGTATTTTATTGAGGATTTTTGCATCTATGTTCATCAATGATATTGGCCTGAAGTTTTCCTTTTTTGTTGTGTCTCTACCATGTTTTCATATCAGAATGATGCTGGCCTCATAGAATGAACTAGGGTGGAGTCCTTCCTCCTTGATTTTTTGGAATAGCTTCAGTAAGAATAATACCAGCTTTTTTTTTTTTTTGAGTCAGAATCTCTCTCTGTTGGCCAAGCTGGAGTGCAATGGCACATTCTCGGCTCACTGCAACCTCTGCCTCCTGGGCTTAAATGATTCACCTGCCTCAGTCTCCTGAGTAGCTGAGATTACAGGCACGACCCACTGTGCCCAGCTAAGTTTTGTATTTTCAGTAGAAACGGGCTTTTGCCATGTCAGCCAGGCTGTTCTCAAACTCCTGGCCTCAAACGATACACCCTCCTCAGCCTCCCAAAGTGCTCCAGGCATGAACCACTGCACCTGGTCACCAGCTCTTCTTTACACAGCTGATAGAAGTTGGCTATGAAACTCTCTGGTCTTGGGCTTCTTGTTGGCAGGATTTTTATTACTAATTCAATGTCAGAACTCATTATTGGTCTGTTCAGGGATTTAATTTATTCCTGGTTCAATCTTGGGAGGTTGTATGTTTCCAGGAATTTATACATTTTTTCTAGGTTTTCTAGTTTGTGAGCATAGAGGTGTTCATAGTCATCTGCGAGATTTTTTTGTATTTTTGTGGTCGGTGGTAATATCCTCTTTGACATTTCTACATGTGTTTTTTCAGATCTTCTCTTTTTTCTTTATTAATCTAGCTAGTTATCTATCAATCTTCTTTATCCATTCAAATAACAAAGTCCTGGATTCATTGATCTTTTGTATGCATCTCAATTTCCTTCAGTTCAGCTCTGATTTTGGTTAATTTTTTTGGCTTCTGCTAGCTTTGGGGTTGGTTTGATTTTGGTCTCCAGTTCTTCTGGTGTGTTGTTATATTGTTAATTTGAGATCTTTCTAACTTTTTAATATGGGCCTTTAGCACCATTAACTTCCCTCTTAAAATTGCTTCAGCTGTGTCCCAGTGATTCTGGTACGTTGTATCTTTGCTCTCATTATTTTCAAAGGATTTCTTGATTTCTGCCTTAATTTCATTGTTTACCCAAAAGTCATTCAGGAGCAGGTTATTTAATTTCCATGTAACTGGTTTTGATCAATTTTCTTAATGTTGATTTCTATTTTTATTGTGGTCTGAGAGTGTGTTTGGTATGATTTTGCTTTTTGAATTTGCCAAGGATTGTTTTATGGCCAATTGTGTAGCTGATTTTAGAGTATGTGCCATGTGCAGATAAGAAGAATGTATATTCTTTTGTTTTTGAGTGAGAGTTCTGTACATGTCTGTTAGGCCCATTTGGTCAAATGTCAAGTTCAGATCCCTAATATCTTTGTTAGTTTTCTACCTCAATTATCTGTCTAATACTGTCAGTAGGGTGTCAAAACCTCCCACAATTATAGTGTCATTATCTGTCTCTTTGTAGGTCTCTGAGAACTTGCTTTATGAATCTGGTTGCTTCAGTATTGGGTGCACATATATTTAGAATAGTTAGGTCTTCTTGTTGAATTGAACCATTTACCATTATGTAATGCCCTTCTTTGTCTTTTTTATCATTGCTGGTTTGAAGTCTGCAATTAGAATAGCAACCCCTGCTTTTTTCTGTTTTCCATTCTCTTGGTAGATTTTTCTCCATCTTGCTATGTTTAGTTTATGGGTGTCATTGCATGTGAGGCAGGTCTCTTATAGGCAGCATAGAATTGGGTCTTGCTTCTGTATCCAACTTGCCAGTCTGTTGCATTTTACGTGGGGCATTTAGCCCATTACATTCAAATTTAATATTGATATGTGCAGATTTGATCCTGTCATCATGTTGTTAGCTGGTTTTTATGCAGACTTCATTGTGTGGCTACTCTATAGTGTCAGTGGTCTATGTTCCTAAATGTGTTTTTGTGGTGGCTGGTGACAGTCTTTCTTTTCCATATTTAACACTCCCTCAAGGACCTCTTGTAAGGTAGGTCTGGTGGTAACAAATTCCATTTGCATCTGTTTGTCTGAAAAGGATCTTATTTCTCCTTCACTTATGAAGCTTAGTTGGCTGGATATGAAATCCTTGGTTGGAATTTCTTTTCTTTAAGAATGCTGAATGTGGGACCCCAATCTCTTTTGGCTTATAAGGTTTCTGCTGAAAAGTCTGCTGTTAGCCCAATAGGGTTCCCTTTGTGAGTTACCTACCCCTTCTCTCTAGCTGCCTTTAACATTTTTTCTTTCATTTCAATCTTGGAGCATCTGATGACTGTGTGTCTTGGGAATGGTCATCTCGTATAATATCTCCCAGGGATTATCTGCTCTTCCTGGATTTGAATGTTGACCTCTCTAGCAAAGTTGGGAGAAATCTTCATGGAAGATATCCTCAAATATGTTTTCCAAGTTGCTTGCTTTCTGTCCCTCTCTTTCAGGGACACCAAGGAGACATGAATTGGGTCTCTTTACATAATCCTATATTTCTCAGAGGTTTTTTTTCATTCTTCTTTATTGTTTTTTTCTTTATTTTTGTCTGACTGCGTTATTTTGGAGAACTAGTCTTCAAGCTCTGAGATTCTTTCCTCAGCTTGGTCAAGCCTGCTGTTAATACTTGCAATTGTACTACAAAATTCTTAAAGTGAGTTTTTTGGCTCTATCAGTTTAGTTTGATTCTTTCTTAAAATGGCCGTTTTATCCTTTATCACCTGTATCGCTTTATTGGATTGCTTGGATTCCTTGGATTGGCTTTCAACTTTCTCCTGGATGTCAATGATCTTTGTTCCTATACATATTCTGATTTTATTTCTGATACTTCAGCCATTTCAGCCTAGTTAAGAACAATTCCTTAAGAACTAGTACAGAGGTAAGAAGACACTGTCTTTTAGAGTTGCTAAAGTTCTTGCACTGGTTCTTTCTCATCTATGTGGACTGATGTTCCTTCAGTCTTTGAGGTTGCTGTCCTTTGGATGGTCTGTTTAAAAATTTTGTCTCTTTTGATGCCATCAGGGGCTTGATCATGGTGTAAGGTAGGCTCAGTCAACTGGCTTCAATTCTAGACCACTCCTGGATCTTGGAGGAGCCCCCCTTCCAATTTCTGTCTCCATGCCTGAGTTTCTTTTGTTGGGTGTTCTGGTCCACAGAGTTCCCTCAGACAGGGGCCACATTTGGCAGAAAGGCCATATCCTTGCCAGGTCAGCCCTAATTGACTATTGAAGTGCTTTACAGGGGAACACACGGTTGTACCTGCCTGCAGAGTTCAAGCAGAAGCAGGACCACTGGGCTGGAAACTACAGTGGGTGTGGCCCATCTGGCTATAAAAGGCAGGGTTTGGTGGAGTTGCCTGCCCTGGACTTCATGTGTTTCCAGGGCAACACAAGGCTGTGCCTCTCAGAAAATTCAGGCAGAAATAGGACCACTGGGCTAGAAGATCTAATAGGTGTTGCTCACCCGGCTACCAGTGGTGAGAGTGAGTGGGGTTGACCACCCTGCAGTCCAGGTGCTTCCTGGGACAAGAGGCTGCACCCACTGACTGAGTTCACACAGAAACAGGACCACTGGGATGGAAGCTGTAGCAGGCATTGCCTACCTTGCTGCCGGTGGCAGGGCGGTGGGGTTGCCCACTCTGCAATCTGGGTGCTTCCTGGGACAACAGGAAGCTGCTCCTGCCAGCTGAGTTCACACAGAAGTGGGAATGCTGGGCCTGGAGCTCTAGCCGGTATTGTCTGCCTGGCTACCTGTAGCAGTCATGGGTGGAGTCACATGACCTGCCATTCAGGTGCTTCCTGGTACAACAGGAGGCTGTGCCCTCCAGCTGAATTCACACAGAAGCAGGACTACTGGGCTGGGAGCTCTACATATGATGCCTGCCTGGCTATCAGTGACAGGGGCGGGTTCACTGCTGTGTGGGTGCTTCCTGGGACAGCAGGAGGCTGCAGCTGCTGGCTGAGTTGAGGCAGCTATGGGACTCCTGGGCCAGAATCTGGTGCCAAGCCTTGTCCAATGAGGGGGTGTTGAGCAATCATACTGCTCCCAGGCATCATGACTATGGCCTCTATTGAATCTATGGCTCTGGTGCTGATCTGCTCCAGGGCCCAAGGCTTGCAGAGGTCCCCCTGTACTCACGAGTTGCTCCCACAAAACATTTGGGTTGCTCACTGCCTCACTCTAGAAGCATGGTGGGAGTATGGGAGTAGGGGGCAGGGTGATTATCTCATTCCCAGTGTTTCACAGGTCCCTGCAGACAGTGTGAATCCCGAGGGAAGATCTCAGTCATTTGCCCTTTCCCATGTTAGAGAGGTTCTCCTGGCTCCAAGCTGACCCAGAAAGGCTGGTGCACAGCTTTGCTCCTCTCTGCTCTCTATGTCCCCCTTCTGCCTTGATGGATCCCAAAGTGTTTTCTCAGATGATCCACCTGCAGAGTCAGTGTTTACTTGCCCTTTTGTTTTCTCTCCTTGAGAGTAGCACACATGAGCGCTTCTAGTCCATTATCTTTAAGTTTCCACATTGTTTAAGGATTACAAAACAATATGTATAATATAATCATATTTTTATATATGCATAGAAAAATATGGAAAGCACACATCAAAGTGTTAATAAGAATGTCAGCAATTGGAGAAGCAGGGAGCATTAGGCTCTCATTCTCTCACAATAACACTAAGTTAACAACAATAAACAGACCAGAACACCTTCATGAGAACTTTGGAGACCAGACAAGAATATTATAGCACCCTGACGAACATAAAACCAATAAGGAATTCCAGCAAAAAAGGATAGGAACATTTTGTACACCCATCCTTGTCATTTCCCGATCCAGCCTAGCATAGCACAACCAAGAGAAAACCTCCCACACCAAGGATTCTTCCTCAGGACCGAAACAAAAGGGTAGACCAAACATCCACAGCTCTGGTTAATCTGAGGGATGCCTGAAGAACTGCTATCTGTCTTGCCTGACTCAGATCACTGATGGGACCGGCGACTTTGGAAGCTGCTGAGGACAGGATAACCATGATGTGTTAGAGGAGCAGTTCCTCAAGCAGACACAAGGCAAAGAAAGATACTACAGGCTTCTGAGAAAAAGCAGAGATATGCTTCTTAGGGAACTGTAGATGACAAAAAGTACACACAAACGCAGAGAAGATACATCCTCAGAAAAGGTTTGAAAGGTCCTAGAGAGAGTCTGTATTAGGGTTGATCAGTCAAGGTCTTCTCCTACATGAAGTCAGTTCATAGAGACTTGGAGAAGTCACGTTTGTTTGTTTGTTTGTTTGTTTGTTTGTTTGTTTCAAATACCGAAGTCTTTTTTTTTATTATTATACTTTAAGTTATAGGGCACATGTGTACAACATGCAGGTTTGTTACACATGTATACATGTGCCATGTTGGTGTGCTGCACCCATTAACTCGTCATTTAACATTAGGTATATCTCCTAATGCTATCCCTCCCCCCTCCCCCCACCCCACAACAGGCCACAGTGTGTGATGTTCCCCTTCCTGTGTCCATGTGTTCTCATCATTCAATTCCCGCCTATGAGTGAGAACATGTGGTACTTGGTTTTTTGTCCTTGTGATAGTTTGCTGAGAATGATGGTTTCCAGCTTCATCCATGTCCCTACAAAAGACATGAACTCATCCTTTTTTATGGCTGCATAGTATTCCATGGTGTATATGTGCCACATTTTCTTAATCCAGTCTATCATTGTTGGACATTTGGGTTGGTTCCAAGTCTTTGCTATTGTGAATAGTGCCACAATAAACATACGTGTGCATATGTCTTTATAGTAGCATGATTTATAATCCTTTGGGTATATACCCAGTAATGGGATGGCTGGGTCAAATGGTATTTCTAGTTCTAGATCCCTGATGAATCGCCACACTGACTTCCACAATGGTTGAACTAGTTTACAGTCCCACCAACAGTGTAAAAGTGTTCCTCTTTCTGCACATCCTCTCCAGCACCTGTTGTTACCTGACTTTTTGATGATCACCATTCTAACTGGTGTGAGATGGTATCTCATTGTGGTTTTGATTTGAATTTCTCTGATGGCCAGTGATGATGAGCATTTTTTCATGTGTCTGTTGGCTGCATAGACGTCTTCTTTTGAGAAGTGTCTGTTCATATCCTTTGCCCACTTTTTGATGGGGCTGTTTATTTTTTTTCTTATAGATTTCTTTGAGTTCATTGTAGATTCTGGATATTAGCCCTTTGTCAGATGGGTAGATTGCAAAAATTTTCTCCTATCCTGTAGGTTGCCTGTTCACTCTGATGGTGGTTTCTTTTGCTGTGCAGAAGCTCTTTAGTTTAATTAGATCCCATTTGTCAATTTTGGCTTTTGTTGCCATTGCTTTTGGTGTTTTAGACATGAAATCCTTGTCCATACCTATGTCCTGAATGGTATTGCCTAGGTTTTCTTCTAGGGTTTTTATGGTTTTAGGTCTAACATTTAAGTCTTTAATCCATCTTGAATTAATTTTTATATAAGGTGTAAGGAAGGGATCCAGTTTCAGCTTTCTACATGTGGCTAGCCAGTTTTCCCAGCACCATTTATTAAATAGGGAATCCTTTCCCCATTGCTTGTTTTTGTCAGGTTTGTCAAAGATCAGATGGTTGTAGATACGAGGCGTTATTTCTGAGGGCTCTGTTCTGTTCCATTGGTCTATGTCTCTGTTTTGGTACCAGTACCATGCTGTTTTCATTACTGTAGCCTTGTAGTATAGTTTGAAGTCAGGTAGTGTGATGCCTCCAGCTTTGTTCTTTTGGCTTAGGATTGACTTGGCAATGCGGGCTCTTTTTTGGTATCACATGAACTTTAAAGTAGTTTTTTCCATTTCTGTGAAGAAACTCATTGGTAGCTTGATGGGGATGGCATTGAATATACAAATTACCTTGGGCAGTATGGCCTTTTTCACAATATTGATTCTTCCTACCCATGAACATGGAATGTTCTTCCATTTGTTTGTATCCTCTTTTATTTCATTGAGCAGTGGTTTGTAGTTCTCCTTGAAGAGGTCCTTCACATCCCTTGTAAGTTGGATTCCTAGGTATTTTATTCTCTTTGAAGCAATTGTGAATGGGAGTTTGCTGATGATTTGGCTCTCTGTTTGTCTGTTATTGGTGTATAAGAATGCTTGTGATTTTTGCACACTGATTTCGTATCCTGAGATTTTGCTGAAGTTGCCTATCAGCTTAAGGAGATTTTGGGCTAAGATGATGGGGTTTTCTAGATATACAATCATGTCATCTGCAAACAGGGACAATTTGACTTCCTCTTTTCCTAATTGAATACCCTTTCTTTCCTTCTCCTGCCTGATTGCCCTGGCCAGAACTTCCAACACTATGCTGAATAGGAGTGGTGAGAGAGGGCATCCCTGTCTTGTGCCAGTTTTCAAAGGGTATGCTTCCAGTTTTTGTCCATTCAGTATGACATTGGCTGTGGGTTTGTCATAGATAGTTCTTATTATTTTGAGATATGTCCCATCAATACCTAATTTATTGAGAGTTTTTAGCATGAAGTGTTGTTGAATTTTGTCAAAGGACTTTTCTGCATCTATTGAGATAATCATATGGTTTTTGTCATTGGTTCTGTTTATATGCTGGATTATGTTTATTGATTTTCATATGTTGAACCAGCCTTGCATCCCAGGGATGAAGCCCACTTGATCATGGTGGATAAGCTTCTTGATGTGCTGCTGGATTTGGTTTGCCAGTATTTTATTGAGGATTTTTGCATCAATGTTCATCAGGGATATTGATCTAAAATTCTTTTTTGTTGTGTCTCTGCCAGGCTTTGGTATCAGGATGGTGCTGGCCTCATAAAATGAGTTAGGGAAGATTCCTTCTTTTTCTATTGATTGGAATAGTTTCAGAAGGAATGGTATAAGCCCCTCCTTGTACCTCTGGTAGAATTCGGCTGTGAATCCATCTGGTCCTGGACTTTTTTTGTTGGTAAGCTATTAATTATTGCCTCAATTTCAGAGCCTGTTATTGGTCTATTAAGAGATTCAACTTCTTCCTGGTTTAGTCTTAGGAGGGTGTATTTGTCCAGGAATTTGTCCATTTCTTCTAGATTTTCTAGTTTATTTGCATAGAGGTGTTTATAGTAGTCTCTGATGGTAGTTTGTATTTCTGTGGGATCTGTGGTGATATCCCCTTTATCATTTTTTATTGTCTATTTGATTCTTCTCTCTTTTCTTCTTTATTAGTCTTGCTAGCAGTCTATAGATATTGTTGATCTTTTCAAAAAACCAGCTCCTGGATTCACTGATTTTTTGAGGGGTTTTTTGTGTCTCTATTTCCTTCAGTTCTGCTCTGATCTTAGTTATTTCTTGCCTTCTGCTAGCTTTTGAATGTGTTTGCTCTTGCTTTTCTAGTTCTTTTAATTGTGATGTTAGGGTGTCAATTTTAGGTCTTTCCTGCTTTCTCTTGTGGGCATTTAGTGCTATAAATTTCCCTTTACACACTGCTTTGAATGTGTCCCAGAGATTCTGGTATATTGTGTCTTTGTTCTCACTGGTTTCAAAGAACATCTTTATTTCTGCCTTCATTTTGTTATGTACCCAGTAGTCATTCAGGAGCAGGTTGTTCAGTTTCCATGTAGTTGAGCAGTTTTGAGTGAGTCAAATACCCAAGTCTTAATCCCTTTTCCCCCATTCCCCACCAAAGATCACAAGGCATACAAAAAGAAACATGAGAAATATGGAATATGGCCCAATCCAAGGAATAAAATGAAAGTCCAGAAACCAACCCTAAAGAAACATATATCCATGAGATGTCTGACAAAGAATGTAAAATTACTGTCATCAGATACTCAATGAGCCAAAAGAGAACACAGCTAGACAACTTAATAAAATCAGTAAAATGATGCATAAACAAAATGAGAATATCAAATTTTAAAAAGTATTTAAAAATACCAAAAGGGAGTTTCAGATTTGCAAGATTAAAAAGTTCTGGAGATCTGTTTGACAACAACGTGAATGTGTTTATTAGTACTAAACCATACACTTAAAAATGGTAAAGATGGTAAATTTTATGTTGTGTGTTTTTGAATAAAAAGTGAATATAAATTTTTAAATATTGATAAGATTTCTCTCTGGATCATGGAATTAAATGTATACTTTATTTTTACTTTATAATTTTTTGTATTGTCTGAATTCATTTCTATTAATTTGTATTATTTTAATACAAAAAATAAAGCTATGTTTATTTTGAGAAAGAGTTTAATAAAGAAAAAATAGAAATGAAAAAATGGAAAAATAAAAGCAAGGCTCCAGGGCAAAGATGCTGATAGATTTGATGGATTCATTGGGTTGGATGTTTAAGCTGAATTGATGGGCTCTGGCCACCTGATTCTCATGCTGTAAATAAAGACTCCTCTCGAAGAAGGGAATACATTATGAATGAGGCAGCCACTCCAATTTTTTAATATTATGCAGTTTCAGCAAGTTTATCAACACCTGAGAACAACCCTTTGGTTCCCAGGTTTAGACCAGAAATTCTAATTATAGCTACACATTAGAAACATTTGCAACCTTAAAAAAAATCCTTACCCTGCCAAGATTATGATTTAACTAATTGGGGGTAGAGCCCGGGCATATTATATTTTAACCATCCCACGTGATTCTAATATGTAACCAGGGTTGAGAAATAATGATCTAGCCTGGGCACCTTGGCTCATGCCTGTAATCCCAGCACTTTGGGAGGCCAAGGTGGGAGGATTGCTTGAATCCAGGAGTTCAAGACCAGCCTGGGCAATATAGTGAGACACTGTCTCTACAAAAAAAATTGCAGAATTAGCTGGGCATGGTGGTGCATGCCCGTGGTCCCAGCTACTTGGGAAGTGGAGGCAGGAGAATCGCTTGAGCCCAGAAGTTTGAGGCTGCAGTGAGCCATGATTGAACCACTGCACTCCAGCCTAGGCAACAGCATGAGACCTTGTCTCTTTAAAAAAAAAAAAAATCACCCCTACCAAGGTATTAAAAAAAAAAAATCTAAGCCCAGAATGAGAATTCTTGCTCTGGAATTAGCTACTATATGCCCTCGGACTGAGGTTCTCAAACATGGAGAACATGTTAGAAATGCAGATTCCTTGGCTGTAACCCAGACATTCTGATTTAGGAGGATAAGGTCTAGGAATCTGAATTATTTTTTACTTTTATTTTAGGTTGGGAGTACATGTCCAGGTTTGTTACACAGGTAAACTCCTATCACAGAAGTTTATTGTACAGCTTATGTTGTCACACAGGTCCTAAGCATAGTACCCAATAGTTATTTTTTCTGCTCATCTCCCTCCTCCTACCCTCCACCCTCAAGCAGGCCCCAGTGTCTGTTGTTCCCCTTTTTGTGTTTGTTTGCAGGGTCTCATCATCCAGCTCCCACTTATAAGTAAGAACATGTGGTATTTGGTTTTCTGTTCCTGTGTTTGTTTGCTAAGGATAACGGCCTCCAGCACCATCCATGTTCCAGCAAAAGACATAATCTCATTCTCTTTTACAGCCACATAGTATTCCATGGTATAAATGTACCACATTTTCTTTATACAATCTGTCATTGATAGGCCTTTATTTTTTGGTAGAGGAATCTGAATTTTTAACAATCACATCCCAGGTAATCCTGGTAAACATAACACAATAGCTACTGGGCTAGAAAAAGGCCTTCTAAGAAAGGACTGTACAGCTCACAACATACTTACAGTAAACAGTTTAGTATGCCTGGAATTAGTGCAGTCCCTAAAAAGAGACCATCCGAAGTATTTGTACCAAGATACTAATACTGAAAAATATTTAGATTTCAAGAAACTACTCCAGCAGAGGCAATAACAACACTGCCCACAGAGTGCCATAGGATGGATGTTTTTTATTTTATTATGCAAGCAAATAACTTAAGGATACTAGAGCAAGCTGGCCCCAGAATACCACAATGAGTGGAAGAGTTGCTACTAACCAGAACACTGCCTTCTAGTATAAAGAAAATGCCTTGCTTGTTCCAGCTGCTACTCAAATAGAGTGGTTTCCCCTTTTAACGACTCTTCTCTGTTACCTCCAAAAGGCTAACAAGCTAAGAAAGAAAGCAATAGTCCTATGACCTAATGAAAAACTTGAAATATGCTAAGAATTGGATGAGGAGTAGGTTAGAAACTCATTTCTTAGGAAATTCTTCTTCTAGAATCTTTCAGTGCTGAGTCTTTTCTGGAAAAACAGCTTTAAAAGAAAATTATGGTATACTGGCTTCCCAGTGTACTCCATTGACCCAAGCTCCTGTTAGTTTCCATCAAGAACACTCAGAGGAGAAGATGGCCAAGTAGGAATAGCTCCGGTCTGCAGCTCCCAGCATGATCAATGCAGAAGACAGGTGATTTCTGCATTTCCAACTGAGGTACTGGGTTCACCTCACTGAGACTAGTTGGACAGTGGGTGCAGCCCATGGAGGGTGAGCTGAAGCAATGCAAGACATCACCTCACCCACGAAGCACAATGGGTCAGGGGATTTCCCTTTCCTAGCCAAGAGAAGCTGTACCTTCACCGAAGACAGTACCTGGAAAAATGGGATGCTCCTGCCCAAATACTACACTTTTCCAACAGTCTTAGCAAACAGCACACCAGGAGATTATATCCCATGCATGGATTGGTGGGCCCCATGCCCACAGAGCCTTGCTCACTGCTAGTACAGCGGTCTGAGATCAACCTGCCAGGCAGCAGCCTGGCAGGGGGAGAGGCATCTGCCATTGCTGAGGCTTGAATAGGTAAACAAAGCAGCCACGAAGCTCAAACTGGGTGGAGCCCACCACAGCTCAGCAAGGCCTCTGCCTCTGTAGACTCCACCTCCGGGGGCAGGGCATAGCTGAAAAAAAGGCAGCAGAAAATTCTGCAGGCTTAAACGTCCCTGTCTGACAGCTCTGAAGAGAGCAGTGGTTCTCCTAGCATGGTGTTTGAGCTCAGAGAACGAACAGACTGCCTCCTCAAGTGGGTCTCTGACTTCCACATAGCCTAACTGGGAGACACCTCCCAGTAGGGGCTGACTGACGCCTCATATAGGCGGGTGCCCCTCTGGGACAAAGCTTCCAGAGAAAGGATAAGGCAGAAATATTTGCTGTTCTGCAGCCTCCGCTGGTGATACTCAGGCAAACAGGGTCTGGACTGGACCTCTAGCAAACTCCAACAGACCTGCAGCTGAGGGACCTGACTGTAAGAAGGAAAACTAACAAACAGAAAGGAATAGCATCAACATCAACAAAAAGGACATCCACACCAAAACCCCATCTGTAGGTCACCAACATCAAAGACCAAAGGTAGATAAAACCACAAAGATGGGGAGAAACTGAGCAGAAAAGCTGAAAATTCTAAAAACCAAAGCACCTCTTCTCCTCCAAAGGATCGTAGCTCCTTGCCAGCAGCAAAACAAAGCTGGGCAGAGAATGACTTTGACGAGCTGACAGAAGTAGGCTTCAGAAGGTCAGTAATAACAAACTTCTCCAAGCTAAAGAAGGATGTTTGAACCCAATGCAAGGAAGCTAAAAACCTTGAAAAAAGATTAGATGAATGGCTAACTAGAATAAACAGTGTAGAGAAGACCTTAAATGACCTGAAGGAGCTGGAGCTGAAAACCATGGTACGAGAACTACATGATGCATGCACAAGCTTCGATGGCCAATTCAATCAAGTGGAAGAGAGGGTATCAGTGATTGAAGATCAAATTAATGAAATAAAGCAAGAAGACAAGGTTAGAGAAAAAAGAGTAAAAAGAAACCAACAAAGCCTCCAAGAAATATGGGACTATGTGAAGAGACCAAATCTATGTTTGATTGGTGTACCTGAAAGTAATGGGAAGAATGGAACCAAGTTGAAAAACACTCTTCAGGATATTATCCAGCAGAACTTCCCCAACCTAGCAAGACAGGACAACATTCAAATTTAGGAAATACAGAGAACACCACAAACATACTCCTCGAGAAGAGCAACCCTAAGACCCATAATTTTCAGATTCTCCAAGGTTGAAATGAAGGAAAAGATGTTAAGGGCAGCCAGAGAGAAAGGTCAGGTTACCCACAAAGAGAAGCCCATCAGACTAACAACGGATCTCTTGGCAGAAACTCTACAAGCCAGAGAAAGAGTGGGGGCCAATATTCAACATTCTTAAAGAAAAGAATTTTCAACCCAGAATTTCATATCCAGCCAAACTAAGCTTCATAAGTGGAGGAGAAATAAAATCCTTTACAGACAAGCAAATGCTGAGAGATTTTGTCACCACCAGGCCTGCCTTACAAGAGCTCCTGAAGGAAGCACTAAACATGGAAAGGAACAACCGGTACCAGCCACTGCAAAAACATGCCAAATTGTAAAGCCCATCGATGCTAGGAAGAAACTGCATCAACTAACAGGCAAAATAACCAGCTAACATCATAACGACAGGATCAAGTTCACACATAACAATATTAATCTTAAATGTAAAAGGCTAAATGCCCCAATTAAAAGACACAGACTGGCACATTGGATAAAGAGTCAAGACCCATCTGTGTGCTGTATTCAGGAGACCCATCTCACGTGCAGAGACACACATAGGCTCAAAATAAAGGGATGGAGGAAGATCTACCAAGTAAATGGAAAGCAAAAAAGAAAGAGCAGGGGTTGCAATCCTAGTCTCTGATAAAACAGACTTCAAACCAACAAAGATCAAAAGAGATAAAGAAGGCCATTACATAATGGTAAAGGGATCAATTCAACAAGAAGAGCTAATTATCCTAAATATATATGCATCCAATTCAGGAGCACCAAGATTCATAAAGCAAGTCCTTAGAGACCTACAAAGAAACTTAGACTCCCAAACAATAATAATGGGAGACTTTAACACCCCACCGTCAATATTAGACACATCAACAAGACAGAAGGTTAGCAAGGATATTCAGGACTTGAACTCAGCTCTTCATCAAGCAGACCTAATAGACATCTACAGAATTCCCCACCCCAAATCAACAGAATATGAATTCTTCTAAGCACCACATCACACTTATTCTACAATTGACCACATAATTGGAAGTAAAGCACTCCTCAGCAAATGTAAAAGAATAGAAATCACAACAGACTGTCTCTCAGACCACAGTGCAATCAAATTAGAGCTCAGGATTAAGAAACTCACTCAAAACTGCACAACTACATGGAAACTGAACAACCTGCTCCTGAATGACTACTGGGTAAATACGAAATGAAGGCGGAAATAAAGATGTTCTTTGAAACCAATGAGAACAAAGACACAACATACCAGAATTGCTGGGACACATTTAAAGCAGTGTGTAGAGGGAAATTTATAGCACTAAATGCCCATAAGAGAAAGCAGAAAAGATCTAAAATCAACACCTAACAACACAATTAAAAGAACTAGCAAAGCAAGAGCAAACAAATTGAAAAGCTAGCAGAAGGCAAGAAATAACTAAGATCAGAGCAGAACTGAAACCCACAGAGACACAAAAAAAACCCTTCAAAAAATCAATGAATCCAGGAGCTGGTTTTTTGAAAAGATCAACAAAATTGATAGACCACTAGCTAAACTACTAAAGAAGAAAAGAGAGAAGAATCAAATAGACACAATAAAAAATGATAAAGGGGATATCACCACCGATCCCACAGAAATACAAACTACCATCAGAGAATACTATAAACACCTCTATGCAAATAAACTAGAAAATCTAGAAGAAATGGATAAATTCCAAGACACATACACCCTCCCAAGACTAAAACAAGAAGAAGTTGAATCTCTGAATAGACCAATAGTAGGCTCTGAAATTGAGGCAATAATTAATAGCCTACCAACCAAAAAAAGTCCAGACCAGACGGATTCACAGCTGAATTCTATCAGAGGTACAAAGAGGAGCTGGTACCGTTCCTTCTGAAACTATTCCAATCAATAGAAAAAGAGGGACTCCTCCCTAACTCATTTTATGAGGCCAGCATCATCCTGATACAAAAGCCTGGCAGAGACACACACAAAAAAGAGAATTTTAGACCAATATCCCTGATGAATATCGATGCAAAAATCCTCAATAAAATACTGGCAAACCGAATCCAGCAGCACATCATGAAGTTTGTCCACCACGATCAGGCTGGCTCCAACCCTGGGATGCAAGGCTGGTTCAACATACACAAATCAATAAACATAATCCATCACATAAACTGAACCAATGACAAAAACCATATGATTATCTCAATAGAGGCAGAAAAGACCTTCGACAAAATTCAACAACACTTCGTGCTAAAAACTCTTAATAAACTAGGTATTGCTGGAACATATCTCAAAATAAAAAGAGCTATTTGTGAGAAACCCACAGCCAATGTCATACCGAATGGGCAAAAACTGGAAGCATTCCCTTTGAAAACCAGCACTAGACAGGAATGCCCTCTCTCACCACTCCTATTCAAAATAGTGTTGGAAGTTCTGGCCAGGGCAATCAGGCAGGAGAAGGAAAGAAAGGGTATTCAATTAGGAAAAGAGGAAGTCAAATTGACCCTGTTTGCAGATGACATGATTGTATATTTAGAAAACCCCATTGTCTCAGCCCAAAGTCTCCTTAAGCTGATAAACAACCCTCAGAAAAGTCTCAGGATACAAAATCAGTGTGCAAAAATCACAAGCATTCCTATACACCAATAACAGACAAACAGAGAGCCAAATCATAAGTGAACTCCCATTCACAATTGCTACAAAGAGAATAAAATACCGAGGAATCCAATTTACAAGGGATGTCAAGGACCTCTTCCAGGAGAATTACAAACCACTGCTCAATGAAATAAAAGAGGACACAAACAAATGGAAGAACATTCCATGCTTATGGATAGGAAGAATCAATATCGTGAAAATGGCCATACGGCCCAAATTAATTTATAGATTCAATGCCATCCCCATCAAGCTACCAATGACTTTCTTCACAAAATTGGAAAAAACTACTTTAAAGTTCATATGGAACCAAAAAAGAGTCCAGATTGCCAAGACAATCCTAAGCAAAAAGAACAAAGCTGGAGGCATCATGCTACCTGACTTCAAACAATACTACAAGGCTACAGTAACCAAATCAGCATGGTACTGGTACCAAAACAGATATATAGGCCAAGGGAACAGAACAGAGGCCTCAGAAATGACACCACACATCTACAACCATCTGATCTTTGACAAACCTGACAAAAACAAGAAATAGGGAAAGGATTCCCTATTTAATAAATGGTGTAGGGAAAACTGGCTAGTCATATGTAGAAAGCTGAAACTGGATCCCTTCCTTAAACCTTATACAAAAATTAATTCAAGATGGATTAAACACTTAAATGTTAGACCTAAAACCATAAAAACCCTAGAAGAAAACCTAGGTAAAACCATTCAGGAGATAGGCATGGGCAAGGACTTCATGACTAAAACACCAAAAGTGAGGGCAACAAAAGCCAAAATTAACAAATGGGATCTGATTAAACTAAAGAGCTTCTGCACAGCAAAAGAAACTATCATCAGAGTGAACAGGCAACCTACAGAATGGGAGAAAATTTTTGCAATCTACCCATCTGACAAAGGGCTAATATCCAGAAGAACTTAAACAGATTTACAAGAAAAAAACAAACAACCCCATCAAAAAGTGGGCAAAGGATATGAACAGACACTTCTCAAAAGAAGACATTTGTGCAGCCATCAGACACATGAAAAAAATGCTCATCATCACTGGCCATCAGAGAAATGCAAATCAAAACCACAATAAGATACCATCTCACACCAGTTAGAATGGTGATCATTAAAAAGTCAGGAAACTACAGATGCTGGAAAGGATGTGGAGAAACAGGAGCGTTTGTACACTGTTGGTGTGAGTGTAAACTAGAGTTCAACCATTGTGGAAGACAGTGTGGTGATTCCTCAAGGATCTAGAACTAGAAATACCATTTGACCCAGCGATCCCATTACTGGATATATACCCGAAGGATTATAAATCATGCTACTATAAAGACACATGCACGTGTATGTTTATTGTGACACTATTCACAATAGCAAAGACTTGGAACCAACCCAAATGGCCATCAATGATAGACTGGATTAAGAAAATGTGGCACATATACACCATGGAATACTATGCAGCCATAAAAAAGAATGAGTTCATGTCCTTTGCAGGGACATGGATGCAGCTGGAAACCATCATTCTGAGCAAACTATCACAAGGACAGAAAACCAAACACCGCATGTTCTCACTCATAGGTGGGAATTGAACAGTAAGAACACCTGGACACAGGATGGGGAACATCACATACCAGGGCCTGTGTTGGGGTGGGGGGCTGGGGTAGGAATAGCATTAGGAGAAATACCTAATATAAATGATGAGTTGATGGGTGCAGCAAACGAACATGGCACATGTATACCTATGTAACAAACCTGCACTTTGTGCACATGTACCCTAGAACTTAAAGCATAATAAATAAATAAATAATAAAAATAAATTGCTGATTCATTAACAAGAAAAAAAGAAAACTCAGAGGGAAAAATGAGGAAGATATGGTGAAAGAAGCAGGAAATCTCGAGAGTGTCTAGAAAATTAAAAAGATTTCATATTGATGGCGGCAACTAGCCACACACATTCATATTTTAGGTGGTAAATAAGTGGAATGGTGGTCCACAATGGAGAGGTATAGTTCCCTTTCCTTCCTCCAACCTCAGGCACAAACATATCACAAAGCTGAAGCTTTCTGATTCCTTTGATTGTCTAAAATCAAAATTAAAAGAAATCATCAGGATAACAACATGAGCTGTGCTGGACCTTTTCCTGGTCCCTTCTTTGCTTTTGGGAGGTCATGTTCGGTCCATCTGAGGGACAGTGAGGGAATGTTTCCTTGAGGTTAGATGTCCAGCATGTGAGTCTCTAATATTTTCTTTTTCTTTTTTTTTTCTACTGAGACAAAGTCTCACTCTGTCACCCAGGCTGGAGTGCAGCAGCTCAGTCACAGCTCACTGTAGCCTCAAACTCCTGAGCTCAAGTGATCCTCCCACCTCAGCCTCAAGTAGTGGGAATTACAGGCTCACACCACTTTGACCACTAACAGGTGAGTCTCTAACATTTTTAGCTCAAATTCCAACTCTGCCATTTCCCAATGTGTGACCTTGGGAAACTTGCTAATCCTCTGTAAATCTCAGGTCTGTCATCTATAAAACGGGACTATGGACAGATCACAGCAGTTTTAATGTGAGGATTCAATAAGATCATACATGTTAAACTGCTATCATGGTGCCTACATCAAAACAGCCACAGGACGCTTAGGGTGTCACTTCGCCAGCTGGAAACCTCTGTGGCCCACAGTGCCTCTGCTTGTTCTGTTTGTTTGTTTGTTTGTTTTTTTGTTTTACTTTAAGTTCTGGGATACATGTGCAGAAAGTGCAGGTTTGTTACATAGGTATACATGTGCCATGGTGGTTTGCTGCACCCATCAACCCGTCATCTACATTAGATATTTCTCCAAATGCTATCCTTCCCCCCCAACCCCCTACCCCCTGACAGCCCCCAGTGTGTGATGTTCCCTCCCTTTGTCCACATGTTCTCATTGTTCAACTCCCACTTACGAATGAGAACATGTGGTGTTTGGTTTTCTGTTCTTGTATTAGTTTGCTGAGAATGATGGTTTCCAGCTTCATCCATATCCCTGCAAAGGACATGAACTCATCCTTTTTTATGGCTGCATAGTATTCCATGGTGTATATGTGCCACATTTTCTTTATCCAATCTATCATTGATGGCCATTTGGGTTGGTTCCAAGTCTTTGCTATTGTGAACAGTGCCACAATAAACATACGTGTGCATGTGTCTTTATAGTAGAATGATTTATAATCCTTCGGGTATATACCCAGTAATGGGATTGCTGGGTCAAATGGTATTTGTTTGTTGTTGTTGTTGTTGTTTTCTTTTGAGATGGAGTTTCGCTCTTGTTGCCCAGGCTGAAGTTCAGTGCCACAATCTCGGCTCACCACAACCTCCTCCTCCTGGGTTTAAGCAATTGTCCTGCCTCAGCCTCCCAAGTAGCTGGGATTACAGGCATGTGCCACCACGCCCGGCTAATTTTGTATATTTAATAGAGACAGGGTTTCTCCATGTTAGTCAGGTTGGTCTCGAACTCCCAACCTCAAGTGATCCGCCTGCCTCGGCCTCCCAAAGTGCAGGGATTACAGGCATAAGCCACCATGCCCAGCCTTCAAATGGTATTTCTAGTTCTAGATCCTTGAGGAATTGCCACACTGTCTTCCACAATGGTTGAACTAATTCACACTCATACCAACAGTGTAAAAGTGTTCCTATTTCTCCACATCCTCTCCAGCATCTGTTGTTTCCTGACTTTTTAATGACCGCCATTCTGACTGACATGAGATGGTATCTCATTGTGGTTTTGATTTGCATTCCTCTAATGACCAGTAATGAGCATTTTTTCATGTTTGTTGGCTGCATAAATGCCTTATTTTGAGAATTGTCTGTTCATATCCTTCAACCACTTTTTGATGGGGTTGTTTTTTTCTTGTGAATTTGTTTAAGTTATTTGCAGATTCTGAATATTAGCCCTTTGTCAGACGGATAGATTGCAAAAATTTTCTCCCATTCTGTAGGTTGCCTGTTCACTCTGATGATAGTTTCTTTTGCTGTGCAGAAGCTCTTTAGTTTAATTAGATCCCATTTGTCAGTTTTGGCTTTTGTTGCCATTGCTTTTGGTGTTTTGGTCATGAAGTCTTTGCCCATGCCTATGTTCTAAATGGTATTGTCTAGGTTTTCTTCCAAGGTTTTTATGGTTTTAGGTCTTACATTTAAGTCTTTAATCCATCTTGAGTTAATTGTTGTGTAAGGTTTAAGGAAGGGATCCAGTTTCAGCTTTCTACATGTGGCTAGACAGTTTTCCCAGCACCATTTATTAAATAGGAAATCCTTTCCCCATTGCTCGTTTTTGTCAGGTTTGTCAAAGATCAGATGGTTGTAGATGTGTGGTGTTATTTCTGAGGCCTCTGTTCTGTTCCCTTGGTCTATATATCTGTTTTGGTAAAAATACCATGCGTTTTGGTTACTGTAGCCTTGTAGTGTAGTTTGAAGTCAGGTAGCATGATGCTTTTGATTGTGTCCACTGGGCTCATTCTGCCCATTCTGCCTGGCAGGCTGCACTCGGCTCCTGCTACCAGCCTGGATCTCACGCCTGCCAAGGGCATGGAGTGGCAAGGGGTGTGCGAGGGAGCAAGTGCAGGTTCTGGTCACTGCACACAGCCAGGTGCACCTGCTGCAGTGGGGTGGACAGCTCCAGACTCCGGCTCAGGTGCCAGCTGTGTGTAAGGCTGTGGCTAGACTAGCTGTACCACAAGCGGCTTCCACTGTGGGCACTGGGGAATGCTCTGGCACCCAAGAGCTCGGAGATGCCAGGAACTACAGAGCCCCAAATAGGGTGTTACAGTGTGTCAGAGCCCAGTCTCAGGGAGCCCTAAGGTCTGGACTCCTAGAATGGCTGCAGCTCTTTTCTCCTTCTTGCCACCTGCAGCATTATCATTGGCCAGAGAATGATATTTTCTATAAAGATTTGCCTCAGGAGGTGGGATCTGTACCCACCAGGGTCCCAGCAAATGTCACACTCAAAAGGAGTGATGGAAGAGAAATCAATGACGGGTCTCTTTACCAGGGTGTGGGCAGGGTTAAGAGTAACCAAAGAAAACAAGTAAAGCACCTTCAGGCTTGTAGCAGAAATCATTACCACCCGGAGGCCTGAAGGGGCCAAAGGAAAAAGTGTCCCCACCTCTAAGAAAGGGTCGCCAGCAAGAGGTGTGGCTTAACAGAAATTCAGAGACTCATGGCTGGGCACAGAGGAGCCGGGGGTGAGGGGGAATGAATCAGCTGACCTTCCTCTCCTACCACACCCCAATCTCCTGCTGATGCATTCTATTGGTCAAAATGGTCAAAACTCCTCCAGAAGCCAGGGAAAGGGAGTGGCTTTCCAGAACAGAGTTCAGGCAGGGAAGTGTGGAGTACGAGACAAATGGAGGGTCTGGCAGAGGTGCGGGCATTCTCCTTGACAGAAGACAGGCACCCTTCTTCACTAAAATAAGATGAGTGGAAAATGTCTGAGTAGAGACAGAGACATTCGAGGGTGGTAGGATAGGAAGCTGAGTGAGTTCAAACATGAGGAAGGGATGGAGGGGAACATCATAGAAGTTAAAGAGTTTGTATCAGCTACGACAGCATCCCCATACTGGACCTAGTGTTGAAATGCCACAGCAAACTCAAGGGGTGTTCAAGGAAAGCACAGTGACACTGGGTATCTTTCAGACACCACATGAATTACAAGCTTGATATAGTTGACAGTTTCAATGTCAGATCATGCTATTTCCTTTCAATGGCATTATATCTTTGCAAGGCTGAGTTTTCTACAATTGTTGAGAAAGCAAGTGCCATGGGAAAATCAATGAGAACAAGAAATGACAGCGGGGCATCCAATCATATTCCAAGGTCTGAGAATTCGTGTGTAGCCCAACAGGCACACACAACCCATTGTGTTATTTCAGAATAAAATTAAAAATAGTAATTTTTTCCAATTGATATGTAGTATTTTTTCAAATGGCTACTAAGTTGTTCAGGTATGAATACGTATTAAGTTGTTTAGACCTAACTATTTCATGAAAGGAGTTGTTAGGTTTTTGTTTTTTTGGCCTAGGGGTCCCATGAAAAATTTACTGAGATGCTAATGATACTGTGAAATCAGCAAGTTTGGAAACCTCAGAACTAAGGTGTTTTCAACTACACTAGGGGAAAAAAAAGCTCTACTCTTTTCAACAAATGGTGCTAGGAGAATTGGCTATCCATATGCAAAAGAATGAAGCTGAGCCTGCACTTATACTATATGCAAAACTTAACTCAAAATGGATCGAAGATTTAAACGTGATAGCTGAAACTATAAAACCCTTGGAAAAAAATCATTGGGAGAAAGAATCATGACATTGGAATTGGAAATAATTTCTTGGCTACAACACTAAATACACAGGCAACACAAAGAAAAAATATATAGGATTCCATTAAAATAAAAATTTGTGCATCAGAAGACACTAACAACAGACTAAAAAGGCAACCCAAAAGAGGGAAAATATATTTGCAAATAATATATCTTTTAAGGAGTTAATATCTAGAATACATAAAGAACTCCCACAACTCAACAACAACAAAGAACCTAACGATCCAACTCAAAAATGGGTAAAGGACTTGGATATTTCTCCAAAGATATGCAAATAGTCCTTAAGCACATGAATAGAGTTCAACATCACTAGGCATTAGGGAAATGCAAATCAAAACCACATGTGATGGCACCTTCAATCTTACTACTTCCATGTTAGTGGGCTATTATCCAAAAACAGAAAGTTAGAATTGTTGGAGAGGATATGGAGAAATTTGCTCATTGCTGGTGAGAAAGTGAAATGACGCAGCCACTATGGAAGATAATATAGTGGTTATTCAAAAAACTAAACAAATCCCAGCACTTTGGGAGTCCAAGGCAGGCAGATCACAAGGTCAGAAGTTCGAGACCAGCCTGACCAACACGGTGAAACCCTGTCTCTACTAAAAATACAAAAATTAGCCAGGCATGGTGGTGGGTGCCTGTAATCCCAGCTGCTCAGGAGGCTGAGGAAGGAGAATCACTTGAACCCGGGAGGCAGAGGTTGCAGTGAGCCAAGATCATGCCACTGCACTCCAGCCTGGGTGACAGAGTGAGACTCCACTTCAAAAAAAACAAAAAAAAAATTTAAACATAGGGTTACCATATGATCCACTAATTACAATTCTAGGTATATATGCAAAAGGGTTGAAAACAGGGACTCAAAGAGATATCTGTACACCGATGTTCATAGCAATATTATTCACAGTAGCCAAAAGATGGAGGCAACCCAAGTGTCCATTGACAAGTAAATGGATAACAAAATGTTATATATATATATTTTTATATATATATATTTTTATATATATATTTATATATATATATATTTATATATATAGGAATTGGCAATAATTTCAATAATATAGTGATATATATATATATACACACACACACATACACAATGGAATATTATTCAGCCTTAAAAAGAAATAAAATTTGATGCATGCTACAACATGGATAAACCTTTAAAACATTATGCTAAGTAAAATAAGTCAGACACAAAAGAACAACTGTTGCATGATTACACTTACATGAGACACCTAGAACAGTCAAATTCATAGAGACAGAAAGTAGAATGATGGTTACTAGGAGCCGAGGGGAGGGAGGAATGTAGAGTTATTAATTAATGGATAGGATTCCATTTGAGATGATGGAAATGTTCTGGGGATGGATAGTGGTGATGATTGCACAATGTGAATGTACTTAATGCCACTCACTTGTACACTTAAGATGGGTTAAAATGGTAAATTTAATACAAAATATATTTTACCACAATCTAAAACAAATTTTAAAAAGATCATAGCATATGCCATTTGGCAACTATCACAGTAATAATTGATTCAGACAAGAATCATCAATAGATGCTAATATTCATGGATAAAAGCTTAATGAAGAACAGAAAGTACAGTATCAAAGTGTCTCCCTACAGGATAATAATTTATAAAAGACAAAATAGTGACTTTACAGTGGACCAACCAGGCAGACACTCTCTCAACTAAGTGATCAAAGTTAGCCTCACTAATAATGGAAGCATATCTGTTCCTCCTGATATGCTGCACTGAGAAGAACACAACAGAACTCCACATCACTGGTACTTCTGCCAAAAAGCATAATCTGAATCTCATTATGAGGAAATAATCAACAACTTATGAATCACAATAAGAAGTAAAAAGAAAACCTTTACTCAACTGGCTTACTACAGCACGTGTAATTTCTTCTTTTGCTGTGAGATAGGATGACTCTAGGTTTATCTGATTTAGCATTTCATCATTTGTTTTTGTTTCTGTTCATTTTTTGCTCTGCCATCCTTTACTTTTCAGGTTAGCTCCCATGATTGCAAGATGGTGGCCATGGTTCCGACATTATGTCCAGACATAACAATGGGCATGGGAGACAATAAGATATTTTTCATATTTATCACTTTTAATCAGTGAAGAAAACTTTTCCTAAAAGCCCGTAATATAGGTACTAATGTGGTTTGGCTGTGTCCCTACTGAAATCTCATCTCACATGTTGTGGGAGGGACCCAGCGGGAGCAAGTCTTTCCTGTGCTGTTCTCATGATAGTGAATACCTCTCATGAGATGTGATGGTTTTATAAGGGGGAGTTTTCGTGCCCAAGCTTTCTCTTTTCCTGGGGCCATCCATGTAAGATGTGACTTGCTCCTCCTTGCCTTCTGCCATAATTGTGAGGCCTCCACAGCCACATGGAACTGTAAGTCCACCAAACTTCTTTCTTTTGTAAATTGCCCAGTCTCAGCTATGTCTTTACCAGCAGCATGAAAACAAAATAACACAGTGAATTGGTACCAGTACAGTGGGGCACTGCTGCAAAGATACCCAAAAATGTGGAGGCAATTTGGAACTGGGTAACAGGCAGAGGTTGGAAAAGTTTGAAGGGCTCATAAAAAGAAAGGAAAGTGTGGGAAAGTTTGGAACCCCCTAGAGACTTGTTAAATGGCTTTGACCAAAATGCTGACAATGATATGGACAATGAAATCCAGGCTGAAGTGGTCTCAGATGGAGATGAGGAACTTGTTGGGAAATGGAGCAAAGGTGACTCTTGTTATGTTTTAGTAAAGAGACTGGAAGCATTTTGCCCCTGCCCTAGAGATTTGTGGAACTTTGAACTTGAGAGGATATCTGGTGGAAGAAATTTCTAAGTGGTAAAGCATTCAAGAGGTGACTTGGGTGTTGTTAAAGGCATTCCATTTTAAAAGGGAAACCGAGCATTATAGTTTGGAAAATTCGCAGCCTGACAATGCAATAGAAAAGAAAATACAATTTTCTGAGGAGAAATTCAAGCTGGCTGTAGAAATTTGCATAAGTAACAAGGAGCCGAATGTTATTCATCAAGAAAATGGGGAAAATGTCTCAGGGCAAGTCAGAGACCTTTGGAGCAGGCCCTCACATCACAGGCCGAGACCTAGGAGGAAAAAATGGATTCACGGGCTAGGCCCAGAGTTCCTCTGCTGTGTTCAGTCTAGAGACTTGGTGCCCTGTGTCCCAGCCACTCCAGTGACTAAAAGGGTCCAAGGTACAGCTCAGGCTGTAGCTTCATAGGGTGAAAGCCCCAAGCCTTGGCAGTTTCCACGTGGTGTTGAGCCTGTAGGTGCACAGAAGTCATGAATTGAGGTTTGGGAGCCTCCACCTAGATTTCAGAGGATGTATAGAAATACCTGGATGCCCAGGCAGAATTTGCTACAGGGGCAGGGCCCTCATGGAGAACTTCTGCTAGGCAGTGCAGAAAGGAAATGTGGGGTCAGAGCCCTGACAAAGAGTCCCTACTTGAGCACTGTCTAGTGGAGATTTGAGAAGAGGGCCACTGTCCTCTAGATCCCAGACTGATAGATCCACTGACAGCTTGCACCATGCCCCTGGAAAAGCCACAAACACTCAACACCAGCCCATAAAAGCAGCCAGGAGTGGGGCTATTCCCTGCAAAGCCACAGGGGTGGAGCTGCCCAAGGCTGTGAGAGCCTACCTATTGCATTAGCATGACCTGGATGTGAGACATGGAGTCAAAGAAGATCATTTTGGAGCTTTAAGATTTGACTGTCCCACTGGATTTTGGACTTGCATGGGGCCTGTAGCCCCTTTGTTTTGGCCAATTTCTCCCATTTGGAACAAGAACATTTACACAATGCCTATACCCCCATTGTATCTAGGAAGTAACTAACTTGCTTTTGATTTTACAGGCTCATAGGCAGAAGGGACTTGCCTTGTCTCAGATGAGACTTTGGACTGTGAGTTAATGCTGAAACGAGTTAAGTCTTTGTGGGACTGTTGGGAAGGCATGATTGGTTTTGAAATATGAGGATATGAGATTTGGGAGGGGCCAGGGGCAGAATGATGTGGTTTGGCTGTGTGACCACCCAAAGAAAATCTTGAATTCCCACATGTGAGAGGGACCTGGTGGGAAGTAATTGAATCGTGGGGGCAGGTCTTTCTCATGCTGTTCTCTTGATAGTGAATACATCTCATGAAATCTGATGGTTTTATAAGGGGGAGTTTCCCTGTACATGCTCTCTTCCCTTGTCTGCTGCCATGTGAGACATCCCTTTCACCTTCTGCCATGATTGTGAGGTCTCCCCAGCCATGTGAAACTATAAGTCCATTAAACATCTTTCATTTGTAAATTGCCCAGTCTCGAGTATGTCTTTATCAGCAGCATGAAAATGGACTAATACATGTACCCTCCTGGGACTTTGGCCAAAACAATCACATGCCAACCCCTAAACAAATCACTAAGGAAGAGAAAGAGATTGCCAGGACTAGCCCTGGAGTACTCAGGAGCTCCCTGCAAGCCATGGAGAAGGATGGACACCCAAACCAAAGTGTGGCTCTTCAACAAAGAAGATGAACAAAAGACCTCCATTGTTAAGGCCAGCTGCAACACAGAGTGTGAGATGATTTAGTTATATGGACATTGAAGGGGACTGCTATGGTTTTAATGTGTCCCGCACATTAGGTTTCATGTATTGAAACTTAATCCCCAATGTAACAATGTTAAAAGGTGAAATTAAGAGGTGATTAATGGTCTTATTATGGATGGATTCTGTTATTATGGGTGTGAATTTATAATCTCAGAAGTGGGTTCCTGATGAAAGTACAGGTTTGGGCCCCTTCCCCTCTCCCTCTCACATGCACTCTCTTGCCCTTCCACCTTCTGCCATGAAATGACACAGCACAAGGTCCCTCACCAGATGCCAGCACCATGCTCTTGGACTTTCCAGCCTCCAGAACCTTGAGCCAAAAAGTCCCTGCTATTGTTTATAAATTACCCAGTCAGTGGTAGTCTTCTTATTGCAGCAGAAAACAGACTAAGAAAAGGACCCAGAGTCACAGTGAGGGGAGGGCTAAGGAGGAGCAATTACATGTAGGGGTCAGAGATGGCAGCAGCAAAGACACATGAAGGATGCTGTTAGTGGAGGGAGGAACCTGAAATAAATTTTGGGTTTTTCTTTTTGTTCAGATGATTATAACAGCATCAAAGTGGAAAAAAACATGGCAAGATGAAGTGTATAAATACTCTTATAACCCATCTATTTTATGAAAACTAAAGACATCTTCAATTTAGTAAGTGGGAAAGGGAAATGAGAGAATTTATTTTCAAATAGTGTGACTTGGGTGGATGAGACAAAATAAAGATTTTCCAGGAGACTATGAATGGAATGTGGCTTTTATGTAGTAAACACTCCCCTGGATTTACAATCTCCCTGTCTAGCATATTATAGTGCTTTACCACTTTGAGTCTCAAGAAACTTAATCAATACCACTGTTGCCTAAATTGAAGGCCAATTATTCTTTTTCAGTCTTGAACACACATGAACTACAACTGTTTAGCATCTGCTTATTTCCAGAAGTTATTTCACACAGATTTCACAAAATCTATTTAATTGTATCCTGGAACACTTAGAGGACACCTCTTTATGGCATTTCATGAAGGCAGTACTAATCAATAAAAATGAACAATTCCTAGATTTTATTTGCAAAAAAATACAATACATTTTACAGAGAGGTTCTTTTTGTTATATCTATATTCTAGGTTCAGTGTAGTCTTCAACACTGATCATTAAAAAAGTCAAGTTCTCTATTGATTCATCAATAGAGAAAAGCATTTCTGAACTGATTCTAATTTCCTAGCTAGCAGGTCTTGTTGCTTGGAATTTAAATACATTTGGGCATTTTTATGAATCAATTAAATTGCTTTTTAATATAAATTCATCAAAATATTTTTATCACAAGAAAATGTTTTAATTTTTTAATACACTTTAATTTGTTTATTCACTTATCCAACAAATATTTATAACTTGGCATGTATTATGGAAGGAACCAAGGGCACAATGGTCAGTGATTCAAACCACTGCCAGTATTAACAATATGGAATGTACTCAGTGTATACGCTAGGCACTGTGCCAAGTGTGTAACAACAGTTTTTTTATACAACCACCCTATCTGGTGGTTAATATTACCATCATCTCCAATGTACAGATAGGGAAACTAGGACTTAGGAGAGGTGAGATAAGTTATCTAAGCTATTACAGCTAAGAAATGGAAGAGGCAAAAGGCAAGACCCAAGCCCAGTTTGGCTGTCTCTAGAACCCAAGCTCTTAAACCACAGTGCTATAGTGCTTCTGGCAGATTATGTGTGTTAAGGAATCACAAATGTGATAAATGAAAGAGGATAGAAGGCACCCATCCTTGCGGGAGGGTAAAGAAGACCCTCATGGATGTGACATTTTAGCTGAACAGGAGTAGGCCAAGAAAACCTGGAGGGGTTGAGGGGATTGTACAACCAAGCAGAGGAAAAGTATGTGCAAGGTGCAGAGAAACTAAGAGAAAAACATTTTGTATGGCTGAAACCTACTGATGAGAGGAGGGTGAGAGGCAAGTAGTAAGACTTAGGCTTAACAAGCAAACTTTGTTAATGTTAGGCCATTCTTGCATTGCTGTAAAGGAACACCTGAGACTGGGTAATTTATAAAGAAAAGAGGTTTAATTGGTTTACAGTTCTGCAGGCTGCATAAGCATGGTGCCGGAATCTGCTCAGCTTCTGGGGAGGCCCCAGGGAGCTTTTACTCATGGCAGAAGGGGAAGTGGGAGCAGGCATGTCACATGGCCAGAGCAGGAGCAAGAGAAAGGAGTGGGGAATATGCCAAACATCTTTAAACAACCAGCTCTCATAAGAACTCACTATCACAAAGAAAGCACCAAGGGGATGGTCCTAAACCATTCATGAGAAATCCACCCCCATGATCCAGTCACTTCCTACCAGGACCCTCCTTCAGCATTGGAGATTATATTTTAATATGAGATTTAGGGGAGACAAATATCCAAACTGTATCTGTTAGTAATAGAGGACTTCATTCTAAATGCAAAGGCACACAATCACACCACCTAAATACCACTTTCCTCTATTCTATTTTCTTGCATATTTTTGACATTTTCATTAAATTTTTCAATGTTTTAAATTATAAATTGAATACATGTAAAATAATTTTCTTCAATTTTTAATGTATCAAATTCAAAAAGAGACATGACTCGGGTTACTGGACTGTTTTTTTGGTTAAAATGTCTTCATTTTTTTTTTTTTTTTTGAGACAGTCTCACTCTGTAGCCCGGCTGGAGTACAGTGGTGAGATCTCAGCTCACTGCAGCCTCCACCTCCTGGTTTCAAGCGATTCTCCTGCCTCAGCCTCTCAAGTAGCTGGGACTACAGGCATACACCACCCCACCCCACTAATTTCTTTGTATTTTTAGTAGAGACAGGGTTTCACCATGTTGGCCAGGCTGGTCTCAAACTCCTGACCTCAAGTGATCCACCCGCCTTGGCCTCCCAAAGTGCTGGGATTACAGGCATGAGCAACTGTGCCCAGCCTCCTTTAATGATTTCTAATCATTCTTCTTGATTAAGGACCTTCAATGGGAAAGTATGTTTTCACTAGCTTTGCAGATGTATTTGAGTAGGAAGAGGATTCTAGCATTTTCAGCTACTTGAAAGGCATAGACTTTATCATCAGTGGATGCTCTGTTTCGGGAGTTTAGGTTTTTGTTTTTTTTAAGTTGGGGCTCTCACTTTTGCCCAAGCTGGTGTTCAGTGTCATGATCCCAGCTCACTGCAGCCTCAAATTCCTGGGCTGAAGTGATCCTCTCTTGCATCAGCCTCCCCAGTAGCTAGGACTATAGGCATGTGCCACCATGCCCGGCTGATTTTTTTTTCTTTTTTTTTTTTTTAGACATGGGGTCTCACTATATTGCCCAAACTGGTCTCAAACTCCTGGCCTTAAGCAATCCTCACGCCTTAGTCTCCCAAAGCACTGAGATTACAGGTATGAGCCACCATGGCCTGACATTTTGTTTTACTGTCTACACTTTGACAACTGGCTAGCAGGTAGGGCCCCAGCTCCTGGAAGGGACACTGAGACCAATAGTCTGTCCATCTTTGCGACTCAGAACTTGTGCTTCCACTTTCAAGAGGTAGCTCCTTGACGGCACTTGCTTCTAATAGAGATCTGTTGCATCAAAATTAAAATTCTAATACAGACACAAGAGCAAACTTTTGCATCATTTGAAAGCAATCAGCACATGGAGAACATCTGCAGCTTTTTCACTGGTATTTGCAGTTCCCCAGATATCTGAACTTCGAGGAAAGAATGGTGGTTCTTGAATCTGCTAAAGCAGCCACTCTACATAATTTTCAGGTTTTTCTTAAGTTTCATTTTGTATATTGCTAAGGTGTTTTTCTTCACTTGTGAAAAAGTATGCCTTGATCTCTTAAAATGTTAGCATGCTGGGGGAAAAACCACATATGAACAATGATGCCTTGGATGTTATATTGACACCATTCCTCTATTTGCCAATTGCACATGAGCTAATATACCTTGAGGAAACACACATGGTGGTGGTGTAGGCTGTGCTGATTAAAATCTTATAAAACAAACCAGGTGTGGTGGCTCATGCCTGTAGTTCCAGCTACCCCAGAGGCTAAAGTGGGACGATTGCTTGAGCTCAGGAGTTAGAAACCAGCCTAGGCAACATAGCAAGCCCTGTCCCTGAAAAACAAAATGTATACAATAAATAAGCAGCCATTTTACAGAATATGAAACCTTAACACATGAGTTGAACTAGTTTGAATTGTGACAGAAAATCCCAAATAACAGTGGCTTCAAAACATTAGAAGTTTATCTTTCTTTCACTTCAAATAAGCGCATGTCTTGGACCCTTCAATCATGATGCATTGCTGCCCTAAGTCAGGCTATGGTTCCTGCCACGGCTCGTAGTCCCACTTGCATTGTAGTCCAGACTTCAAGAAGGAGGGCAGGCAGAAGGCAGTCGCCCTCTCTTTGAAGACTTTCTGGAATTTTGCACACAAGACTTTATCTTATATCTCAATGGCCAATACTTACTGACACAACCAAATCCAATCGCAAGAGAGGGTGGTGGCAATGTGCCCAGCTAAAAATTAAGCTTCCTACTAATGAGGAGAAAGAAAGGACGTTGTGATGCAAAAAGCACCCCTTGCCCCAGCCACCTTGATGAAAGCACAAGGTGAGAACACTTACCCAGATGACTGTGGGCTTGCAGCCTGAGCCTAACTCTCAGACTAAAGGAGGCGGGGTTCAAGATGTGGAAATGTTGAGGAAGGGAATCCTTGGAAATAAGAGGTTTTGCTTGCCCTGGGAAGCGTGATAAACTAAGGCACACGATCCGCTACAACTCTAGCCTGAGTTAAACTGAACAAGGAAGGGAAATGAAGTCCAGTTCTTAATTCAGAACCCAGAGGTTTGCAGGTGGTCAAAGTCAGTTCCCATGAGGCCCTTGAGAGATTTGAGTTGAATGAGGGAACTGTTACCAATGGAGCCATGGGAAATTTTAAGAGGACAAAACTGGGCCCTGGATAGGAGGCATGTCCTGAGAGCAGGAGAACACTCAGCAGGAGCCCAGACCAAGCTGAGCCATTTCCACAAATCAAGATGTACACACAGCACTGGGTGGGTTAGGTCCCTGCCCCAACCCCAGAGATGTACTTGGATTTTATAACGGAAGTAACAGGAAAAATAGAAGTCTCTAGGGCAAGTTTTTTTTTTTATTTTTGATTAGAACAAATTCTTCCTGTTAAGTCCTATTTAGTAGATTTCTAAAATACAAAAGTGAAGGCTGCTCTTTGTGATGAATGAGTCCAAAGGTATGGAAAGAAAACTATTGATTATACCTGCACCTCACCCTGTATGAGCCTCCGAGGTATGCAATTAGCTGCCTGACATGCAAACATCTTCCCCTCCCTCTCCTCATATGTACGCAAGCATATTCAAATATATACATGCATGTAGATGGCACTGTTGTCTTCTGGAGTTTCTTGGGGGTATGTTTTGTTTTATAAAAATAGGATTTGATTGTAAATATTGTCTTGAAACCTGCTTTAAAAAATATGTCTTGAACACTCACCCAAATGAATGAATACAGAGTTGATTCATCCTTTCTAACGTGTAATGTTCCATAATATATTTACCCTTTACTGGCGGACTGTCAGGAACTCATTCCACAGTTAACTATATTAGGACATCTCTTTTCAACAAAAGAGGCCTGAAGATAAACTCCAAGTACTAAGTTAGTATGTGAACCTCAGAAACATTAAAATTCTCCATGTCTCCCTTAGTTTGGGAGTCATAAGAAGATCCAGTATTCCACTGAGAATCTGAGAAGAGAAAAATACAGGTTGGTACAAAAGTAATTGCAGTTTTTGCCTTTACTTTTAATGACAAAAACCGCAATTACTTTTGGACCAACATACACTATCAAGGCATCAAAGGATGTGAAAGTATTAATTATATGACAGTAAACTATTTAAAAATTTTGAACTATAAGAACATCAACAAAATGCCAAAGAGGACAGCACATTGCTGTCAATCTTTTCATGGAAGTAAACATCAAGTTAATTAAAATGACAATTGGCCGAGGGTGGCTCAGGCTTGTAGTCTCAGCACCTTGGGAGGTCAAGTCAGGAAGATCATTTGAGGACAGGAGTTTGAGACCACCCTAGCCAACACAGCAAGACCCCATCTCTATTTAATTTGAAATAAAATAAGATGACAATTTTGCTGTTAGTCTGCATAGAAATCTTTGTGTTGTTAACCAAGAAGAGAAAAATCACCTAAAAGCCATATCTCCAGGACAGAAATTTAAAAGATACATTTAAAAATCACTAGACATTGGCCTGACTTGGTGGTTCACGCCTGTAATCCCAGCACTTTGGGAGGCTGAAGCTGGCGGATCATTTGAGCTCAGGAGTTTGAGACCAGCCTGCCCAGTATGGTGAAACCGTGTCTCTACTAAAAATACAAAAATTAGCCAAGTGTTGTGGAAGATGCCTATAATCCCAGCTACTCGGGAGGCTGAGACAAGAGAATCACTTGAACCCAGGAGGCAGAGGTTGTAGCAAGTCAAGATTGCACCACTGCACTCCAGCCTGGGTGACAGAATGAGACTCCGTCTCAAAAAAAAAAAAAAATATATATATATATATATATTTATCACTAGACATTTCTATAAGTAAATAATAAGCCTTCACTACCTGGGGCTCTTGTGACTCATGACCCAAGGCTGTGCTGTGCTGTAGGTGTGTCAGGCTCTCTTAATGATGCTCATTCATAACCATCTCCCTCCATTTCAGTGGGTGCCACACTGACCAGCAGCTAGACCTTCCCTTGTAGTATCAGGCCACCCTGTTCCAAGGCCTGGACAACCTTCTCTAGTAGCCTGATGATGCTTCTACAGCTTAATTTTAAACACCGAAAATCAGTGAGGATCCCAATGCATTGAAAACAGACAACACCTGTGAAGTACTCATCACATGCCAGGCACTGCTTCAAAGCACAGTACATGTCTTCCTTTTTGAAATCCTCATAACAATTCTACAAAGTCTTGTTAAGCGTCTATTATGTGCCAAAGCATTTCTATATGCATGGAGGATGCAAAGGAAATTTAGAGAGTCACAGCTCTGAAGAGGTTTATATTCTACTTAGGAAGCCAAGATCAAAGAACAAAACAAAAACAGAGCAGGACAAGCTGGCACAATATTTAATTAAATGATGTGGTGGTGGCTAAACGTGCAAAAGGAGCTTGGAGAAATGAAAGCTTCAAAGGGCTAGAGCTGTCTTTTCAGTATGAAATGTCTATAAATTCTGTTGTGGACAGAATTAAATGATTTTGCTAAAGATCCATTATTCCTCATTTAATGTTTCAGTTTAGATTTTAAAATAAAGCAAGAAATGCTAGAATGATAAAGTTAAGAGAAAGCATAACTATTGTCTAGATGATTCTTAGCATACCTTTTGATTAGCCCATGTGAATCTGCTGACCTGCTTTCCTTTCCTGATAAGAACATGACGAGGATTAGGAAAACACACGTTTTCTTCAGCCCCCCAGTTGCTGGTGCCCATATGAGACTGTCTGTCCATTTTCCAACCAGTTAACAGTCATTTATATTATTCTTGATCCATTTAAGAGTTAACAGTCATGTATATTATTCTTAATCCATTTAAGTTCAGGATCTCAACTTTCTCCCTGCCTCTGAACTTTGTGCCAGAAGTATAGCTTTATAAATCCTTGCTGTTCAGATTTATTAATTTATAAATTCACAGCACCAAAACCATATTTTGTGGAAGATTGACTTTGTTTGGAATCTCTGTTAGGAGTAAATGGCAAGCTGTCTCTTTTTTCTCTGTATTTCCAGATGGATTTGATATGGAAGGGAGTTTCACACTGGTCCATCATGCAGTTGTGGACCAGAGTAAATTCACTGGGAGGTGTTGGCCTAAAATCCTCCTCTTGCTTTTGGCTCATCTAGGTATTGCACATTTAAGAAGACAGAGGCTGACACTGATTATATAAGCGTGTTTTTAAAAAAGTTATTTTCTTCATAACTTTAAAAGCAGGGTCTCTTTTAATAACGAAAGATAGTCAAAATTCTGAGATCCTTGGGGAGATTTACTCAGAAAACTGATGAGCATGTGTTTGCCTGTTCCTCATAAAACCCACTCTTTTCTGTAAAGCAGTGCATTTAGATCCTCTACAACACAGAATCTGAGGTGAGGATTAGGGTGCTAATACTTTCTTTGAGAAATGTAAGCCCAGGGCAGTCAGTGAAGGTGAAGTAAAAAGAAGTGTGAGGCAAGTGGAGCTGAACCACAATGCGATGGAGTGTGTTAGTAGCATTGCAGGGCCTACTGCTTCCATTCAGTGTCAGACAAACACTGCAGGCTGCTCTGCAGCACATTCACTCATCACACATGATTTTCCAGAAGGGTTGCAGAAAGGAACTGCATTTCAGTTCACAGCAGAGAGAAAGGAGGGGAATGTGGGCGCCAGCTTCCACTTATCTCTTGTTTTGCCATTGCCAATGTTCAACATTATAGGATTCTTCACAAGGGTGGTGGAATGAAGAATCCTACAACACAGAACAGGTGCACAAGGACAGTAATGTCAGAAGCAGATTGCTTGGATTCCCACATTCCCTTGGTTACTGCACATTTTCTAAGTTCAGGAATCTAGACTTTCCATTGATTATGCAAGCTATCCAATGTCCTTACAAAAAGTCTTCTGCTTATGTTAACTAGAATTGGTTTCTGTTGTTTGCAACCAAGAACCCAGACAGATTCAGCATACTTAAACAAGGAAAAAAGCAAACCCAGGAGGAAGTAACGGAATTCAAGAAAGAGTAGTAACAAAAATAATATGTTTCCTGCAGTGACATTTGGCTTCCCCATACGTGCTCAACTCTATCAATAAGCATTAGAGAGGAGCTGTGTGCACTCAGGTTCAATGTTGTTTCTTTGTCACCTGGAGTCAAAGTGGAGACCACACACTGGAATATGATCATGTGGAGCAGACAGATACAGGGGAAGGCAACGTGAAGACAGAGGCAGAGATTGGGGGGATGTGGCCACAAGCTAAGGCAGCTGGGCAATGGCCAAAAGCTAGAAGAAGCAAAGAACCATTCTTCCCTAGAGCAGCCTTGCCAACACCTTGATTTTGGACTTCTAGCCTAGAGAATTTCTAGCCTAAAGAATAAATTTCTGTCGTTTGAAGCCATCCAGTTTATGGTCCTTCATTATGGTGGCCCTAGGCAACTAAGACACCCATCAATCCTACTCCCAGGTAGTTACCCAAGTGAAATAATAACCTATGTTCACCTAAAACTTGTAGGCAAATATTTATAGAAGTTTTACTCATAATAGCCAAAAACTGGAAAAACTCCAATGTCTTTTTACTGCGGAATGCTTAAACACACTGATAGCTTTGTACAATGAAATACTGCTCAGCAAGAAAGGAACAAACTAGTGAGGCCCTAACAGCATGGATGAATCTCAAATGTATTATGGTAAGTAAAAGAAGCCAGACCCAAAATGCTACATATCATATGACTCCATTTATATGACATTCTGGAAAAGGCAAACTTTGGGGTTGGCAAACAGAAGAGTGGTTACTAGGGGATGGAGTTGGAGAAGCGTTGACTGCAGAAGTGCCTCTGAGGAATTTTGAGGGTGGATGATGCAACAGTTCCCTATCTCGCTTGTGGTGGTGATAGGTTCATGCTGATGCATTCAAAACCTATAGAACTTACATCAAAAAGAATGAATTATATTGTATGTAAACTAAAAATATGTTTAAAAAATTTTTAAAGAGTACCCTGATAAGTTATTATGCAGAAGCTGCTACCAAGTACTCAGGAAGATCACTCGGATGTGCAGTCCGCAGGTCAAGGGGAAACTTGTTTTGCTTCAGAAAGATCATTGAGGAGCAGATACATTATTTTTACTGTCATTTAATGACATCAACCAAAAATATTTATTCAGGGATAACGTTTACTTGAGACACGCTAAAAAGTAGATAAAAGGTTCTTAGAAGGAACAGTCCTGACTGGGCGTGGTGGCTCTCACCTATAATCCCAGCACTTTGGAAAGCTGAGCCAGGAGAATCACATAAGGCCAGGAGTTTGAGACCAGACTGGGCAACATATCCTGGACAACATAGCAACATAGTAAAGACCAGCCTGTCTCTACAAAAATTAAATAAACAAACAGTCTCTGCTCTTAAGGCACTAAAACCCTAAAGAAAACTAATATGAGGTAGAACACAAATATGTCATTATGACAAGCTGAAGGAAATGTGATCTCAAAATTTGCTCCTTATTTTTTACTTCTGTGCATTTTATAGCTTTTCTTTCCTTCTCTCTTTTTTCTCTCTTTTTCTTTTTTTCTTTCTGTCTCCTTTTTTAAGAAAAAAGTGTACTTCACAGTATTTTTTTAAAAGAGCTTAGAGTAACAGAAAAGAGAATGAAAGAGAGGAGATTTTATAAATTAAGAAAATTCAAGTAAAGGAGGAAATTTAAAAAACACACCCTCCTACCCAGAATGGACAGCAGTCAGTGGAATGTGAAAACTGCTGAGGATCTCACTTGACCAAAAAGAACAAACAAATAAAATATGCAATTTATAAATCTTGACATGCCTTGAAGTCAATTATATCCCTCAGTCAATAGAGGAAGATAAATTTAAATTGTTATTCTAACTCAACTGTGAAAGAACTGATTGGAAAGGTGAAAATTGATGAGATCTTAAACAGAAAGCTAAGTGAGGGAATTTTGAGTATAGTCCCTTCTGACTTTAGATAAAAATAGGCACAAATCTATATCTGGAGGGTCTAAAAAGAAAGACGACTTGAAAGGAATGAGGGATTCAAAACATAAGTTCTCACAATATCAGCACCAAGTATGGAGAAATGGAAAGGCATATATCAAAACCTATGTAGTTATATAAGTTGCCCACTGGTAATCTCAGTGTTTAATAGAACATTTATGAAACACGGAAGAAAATGGCAAATGTCCAACAAGTTCCAAAATGGAACATGGAACTCTAGATCAGCATTCTGAAGCACCAAACGAGGCAATGATGCCAAGGACAATGTGTTAGGGCTCTCCAGAGAAACAAAACCAACAGGAGAGAGAGAGACAGAAATAGAGAGAGAAAGGGAGAGATTTATTATGAAGAACTAGGTCATGTCATTACAGGGGCTGGGAAGTTCCACAGTCCACCATCGGCCAGCTAGAGACCCAGGATTACCTGTTGTGTAGCTCCAGTCTGAGCTAGAGGCCTGAGAACCGGCAGAATTGATGGTGTAAGTCCCAGTCCAAGTACAGGAGAAGACCGATGTCCTGGCTTGACAGCAGTCAGGCAGAGAGAACAATGCTCCCTTACCCCACCTTTTGTCCTATTCAGGCCTCAGTGGCTTCGAGGAGGCCCACCCACTCTGGGGAGGGACAACTGCCTTGCTCAGTCTACAGATTCACGTGTTAATCTCATCCAGAAAGACCCTCACAGACACACCTAGAATAACGTTTGACCTAACATCTGGGCACCTAATGGCTCAGTCAAGTTGACACTTAAAATTAACCATCACAGACAATAAAAGAGCCTTTTTAAACATCAAGAAGAGGAGAGGGACAGACTCATGCTTGGTGGCACGGTGACGACCAGTATGCGATAGGAAGGGAGACAGATCTGGGGCAGGCAGAGAGGGCTGAAGCTGGAGTCTCCCCTGGGTTCCCAACTACTGACAGGACCATGCGTAAGTTCTTTAACCTTTGGGAGCCCATTTCTGTTTCTGTATAGAAATGTAATCATCCCACATATTTTGCAATAGAAATGATCACTTCTACTTCATAGGATTACTAGAAAGGGGTCATGTCTATAAAGAACTTAGCATATTAAGGTACCCATGAAGTAAGTAGATACTAAAGTTTTCATAACAGAGCATTAAATAACAAACTTAAAACATTTAAAGACAAATGAACATTTAATAACAGAGCAAAACAACTTACTTTTAATTTAGATTTCATCATCTTCATCAGAAAATGGGACTGGGCAGCTGGGCATGGTGGCTCACACCTGTAATCCCAGCACTTTGGGAGGCCAAGATGAGAGGATTGCTTGAGACCAGGAGTTTTAGACCAACCTGGCCAAATAGTGAGACCCCCACCTAAAAATATCTTTAAATAAATTTTAAAAATTTTAAATTAAAAAAGAAAATGGGGCTGGGTGCAGTGGCTCACTCTTGTAATCCCAGTACTTTGGGAGGCTGAGGTGGGAGGATTCCTTGAGGCCAGGAGTTCAAGATCAGTCTGGTCAACATATTGAGACCTGTCTCAAAAAAAATTGAAAATATTTTTTAAAATAAATATATAATTTTTGAAATTAAAAAAGAAAATAGAGCCAGGCACAGTGGCTCATACCTATAATCCCAGCACTTTGGGAGGCAAGGCAGGATGAGTACTTGAGGCCAGGAGTTTAAGATCAGCCTGGGCAACATAGTAAGACCCCATCTCTACCAAAAAAAAATAAAAATTAGCTGGATGTGAAGGCACATGCCTGCAGTCCCAGCTACTTAGAAGGCTGAGGCAGGAGAATTACTTGAGTCCAGGAGTTCAAGGCTGCAGTGAGCCAGGATGATGCCACTGCACTCCAGCCTGGATGACAGAGCAAGACTCTGTCTCTAAAAAAATAAAAACAATAAAGAAAAAAAGTCTTAAAGCCGGGCACGGTGGCTCATGCCTGTAATCCCAACACTTTCAAAGGCCAAGGCAAGCAGATCACTTGAGGCCGGGAGTTCGAGACAAGCCTGGCCAACATGGTGAAACCCTGTCTCTACTAAAAATACAAAAATTACCTGGGCATGGTGGCTGGCGCCTGTAGCACCAGCTACCTGGGAGGCTGAAATAGAAGAATTGCTTGATCCAGGAGGCAGAGGTTGCGGTGAGCCGACATTGTGTGACTACATACTGCCTGGGCAACAGAAAGAGACTCTGTCTCAAAGTAAAATAAATAAAATAAAATAAAATAAAATAAAATAGGCTTAAAACTAGAAAAGTATTATAAACCTTCTTGAAAGGATTTGATGCTTAAGATACATTTGTAAAACATGATAATTTCTTATTGCTTTAGATATTTTCAAGTCTCCAGGTCCCAATGAAATAAACTTATAATTTACTAATATCCCAGGAACACTGGGCAGCAGTCCAGGGATCAAATTTCCAAGGGGAACTTCCATAATTTTCAAAAATGGGCAGAGGTGGATTCCGAGAACATAAGAACAATTAAGAAAGAAAATGCAGATATTGAGTGCCAAGTGAGTCATTTTAACATGTAGAAACCCTGCTTAGAATACTTCTAGCTCTGTTGATCAAGCAGATGGTTTAATCACTTAAGGAAGGAAGAGGTGATCAGCTAAAACCAGCATCAACTCGCTATGGAGTTATATATACCATACTCATCTCACTTCTTTTTTTGGAGGATGTTAAATTAATAGCAGATCTGGGAGAACCATATGCCAAATCAGGAAGCCTGGGAGCAGACAATGTTCGTGGCTCCAGCTGGTGGGCGGGCAGTCGATCCACAGGTACCTGAGGTTGAAGGTGAAGGATAAAGAAGGGACTCAGGATAGGGGACTCCATGTTCAGAACTAGGGTATGTGGAGCCTGGGTCAAAGCTGGAAATGGGGTACACTCACAGAGCTGGGCAAGCAGCCTGACAGGTTTCTGAGATGGAGATTAGCATGCAGAGGGTTACGGGCTCTTGATCATGAGGGAGTGAAGGAGGAGATGTTGAACTCGGAGGAAATGTTGAACTAGAGGCCTCTACCTCCTGATCCCATGGGGAGGTCTGGAGTGGGGTGGACTTTTAAGGATGTCTTAAATTAAGGAAAGAGCCAGGCCTTTGCTCTGCTCCCCATGGACCAGTCGCTGGGATATGAACTGCATGCCTAGGGAGTGCTGTGCCCTTGGGTAATGCTGCAGCCCCTCAGCAGAGAGCACGGTCAGGGAATCTGCCCAGCTCTGAGCCTGCAGCAGCTGGGGGCAGGAGCTCCTAGCCCTTTAGGGGATTGGTGTGCCTGATGCTGGATCTCCACAACACCCAGGAAGGTCATCTACAGCCCTCCTAGGCCACCAGCACAACTAGAATTAGAAGCAGCATTGGTAGTGGTGGAAAAGTCACAGCCTTTTGCAGAGATCAGCTCTTTGCTAGCAAGTTGTTCAACCTCTTTGAGCTTCAAGTTCCTTCTGTGTTTACAGAACACTTAGGGTGAGGATTAAAAGGCATAACACATAAAGCACCTAGCAATGAGCCTAGCATACGTCAGGTGCTTAACGAATGTTAGTTTTCTTCCCCCAGACTCTAAAAAGGGTAGAACCTGCAAGTGGAAATCAGGTGACTTGGGAAATAGAGAGAAGCAGGATACAGGGGCTTGAAATCAGGTTGGGGCAAATAACATTCAAAGGAAATCTCTACTGGCAGGATGAAGGGGCCATACCAACCCTTTTACTAACAGCTTGGAGTGAGCTCAAGAGGACATGTGCATATGAATCTTTAGATGAACCAAAACTTTAAGAAACATCACAATCAAAAGCAAGATGTTAAAATAAATACATAAATTATATTCAAGAAAAGAAATTTCAGCATGTTGGACGGTAAGAGTCAGAGAGATCACTACAGCTTGAAATGATAGGGTGAAAAAGAATATAAAACATAACCCAGAAAAAGTGAAGTGCTTAATATAGGTCCAACAGTTAAGCTGCACATTCTCGCACACATATACACACACACGGAAGTGAATAATAATAGCTGAAATGTACTGAGTACCAAGTGCTTCTCATGAGCCTGGCCCTGCACTTTGTGCTTTGTGCATCATGCAGCTAGATAGCATAAAGCACTAAATCCTTTACATCAGGGGTCCTCAGTCCCCATTCGCTGGCCTGATAGGAACTGGCTGCACAGCAGGAGATAAGCAGCGGGCTCCACCACCTGAGCTCCGCCTCCTGTCAGATCAGCAGCGGCATTAGATTCTCGTAGCAGCTCGAACCCTATCGTGAACTGCGCATGCAAGGGATCGGGGTTGTGTCTCCTTATAAGAATCTAATGCCTGATGATCTGAATGATCTGAGGTGGAACAGTTTTATCCCAAGACCATCCCCCACTCCTCCCACCACAAACAGCCCCCCAGTCTGTGGAAAAACTGTCTTCCACAAAACTGGTCCCTGGTGCCAGAAAGGTTGGGGACTGTTGCTTTACATAGATGACTTCATTAATCCTCTCAGCAAATCTGAAACAGGAACTTTTATTACCCTTGCTTTTCATAGAAGTGACCTGTGGCTTGGAGGGTAAGTCATTCTGCCCAAGGTCACACAACTTGGAGGAGGTGAAGCTAGGAAACTATCTGGGAACCTTGAAATGCAAAGCTCACACACACAATCACCACACCATGCTACCACCATCATGTCAGAGGGAAAGAAAACTAATACATAACAACTAAATGTTATACCATTTGATAGCCACATTAGTCAGGACATGTGTAATTAAAAAAAAAAAAACAACCTTCAATCCAAAAAGGTTTAAACAAGACAGAAATGCATTGGCTCACATAGCTAGAAGTCAGGGTATAAAAAGGCCTAGAGGGTTGACTTATCTCTAGGCCTTATCTAGACTCAGTAGGTTCAAATCCCAATGGCCTTATCTCTATTTCCCTGAAATCTCTCTGCCTGGCCTCCTGTGGTAATGCAAGCTTCATCCCACGTTGGGGATGACATGTCCACAGCGGATCCAGGGCTCACATCCACGTGCAATAAATCCAGAGAAAGAAAGGGTCATTTCCAGGAGTTCACCCAGAAAAGGGAGGAAAAGCTTTCCTAGAAGGGTCCAGCCCAGCTCTACTTCCATCTCCTGGGCCAAAATTATTTGTTAATGAGTCAAAGGCACAAGATCGCCTTTTGATCAATCAGGCCACCCTTGGAATTGCAAGTGGAGCCAGCATTTCTTGAGACACACAGGGTTCCTGGAGAAGGGGCAAATACCTGCAAAAAAGTAGGGTTTGTTAGGAAGAAGAAAAGAAAAGAATGACTCTGGGTTAGACAATCAACAATATCTAGTACAATTCTCAGAGAAATGAAATCTCATTCCCCTTTTGCAGGTGACCTACGGGTTTAAAACGGTTCTTGTGAAAAGATCTGAGATTCTTTTTTTTTTTTTTTTGAGATGGCATCTCGCTCTATCCCCCAGACTAGAGTGCACTGGCATGATCTCAGCTCACTGCAACCTTCACCTCTCAGGTTCCAGCGATTCTCCCGCCTCAGCCTCCTGAGTAGCTGGGATTACAGGTGCCCAAAACCACACCTGGCTAATTTTTTGTATTTTTAGTAAAGATGGGGTTTCACCATGTTGGCCAGGCTGGCCTCGAACTCCTGACCTCGTATGATCTGCCCACTTCAGCCTCCCAAAATGCAGGGATTACAGGAGTGAGCCACTGTGCCTGGCCTAAGAGCTGGAATTTTTATCTTGACTATAGACTTCATATGAGCCAATTGTGTCAGGTGATTAGTGCAATCTTGAGTTCATTAAAAAGAACAGCCAGGTCAAGAAAAGACATAGAGTTATTGTATTCAGTACCAGTCCAGTCATATTGGGACTATGGTATCAACTCCAGATACTGCATTTTAAGAGGACTGTCAAACACAGATCATAGAAGAGGTGGAAGTATAACATAGTCATAAGTGGCCAGACACGGTGGCTCACGCCTGTAATCCCGGCACTTTTGGAAGCTGAGGTGGGTGAATCACCTGAGGTCAGGAGTTCGAGACCAGCCTGAACAACATGGAGAAACCCCATCTCTACTAAAAATACAAAGTTAGCCGGGCACGGTGGCACACGCCTGTAGTCCCAGCTACTCAGGAGGCCGAGGTAGGAGAATCGCTTGAACCTGGAAGTCAGAGGTTGTGGTGAGCCGAGATCACGCCATTGCACTCCAGCCTGAACAACAAGAGCCAAATTCCATCTCAAAACAAACAAACAAAAAACACATAGTCATAAGTGTGGGGACTCAGTAGGTTCAAGTCCCAAGTCTGCTCTTCTGCCCTTGTATGGACTTTAGAAAATTGTGTAAACTCTAAACTTCAGTTTCCTCATCTGTAAAATGGAGATATAGCTAATACCTACCTTGCAGAGTTGCTAGGAAAGTTAAGTAAGACAGAAACCTATGAATTCCCACAAGTACAATGTTTACTTGGTGATCATAGTCTCCAGACTCTAGCTTCTGCTGAATTCATTCAATTCAACAATTTCTTTGAATGCACATGCAGCCTCAGCTACTCAGGGAGCTGAGGAACAAGGATCTCTTTAGCTCCAGAGTTTGAGGCCATCATCTTTAAAAAAAAAAAAAAAAAAAAAAAAAAGAATTGCCTGGAAGTCCTATGTGTGCTGTCTGGGCTGTGCCTCTAGCCCAGCTAGACATAAATCCTGGCCCCTTTCCTTGATTTCCTCAGAAAACAAACAAATCCCATATCCCTAACCCCCTAAAATCCCACTCACATCAGTGGTGAGTGGTCTTACTAAAATATGGGGGAGATGAACAGGGTTTACTTCTAGGAAACTTTAACACCTTAACATTAAATATTGGGCATTCTTGTTTTCCTTTTTCATAAAATAAATGCATTATCATAAATTCAAGCAGTATAGAGTGTGCAAAGAAAAAAGTAAAAGTTTCTCTCCCACTATTCCCATTCCCCAGACTAACCACTGATAATATTTTTCGTGTATTTCTCCAGAAATGTTGTATACACAACAAACACGAACATGTATTATTAGATATGTCTTTAAAGAAGGGGAGAAAAACACTTCATTATTTTGTAACATGAACTTTAGGCTTCAGCCTTGAGAACTGATCCCTGTATTCCTCAAGGAGAAAAAGCACGCACAGCAGTCAATCAAATACCTACACCGATTTCTTCCAGCCTTGGGCAGAACATTTCAGTCCTTTCAGCTCTATTACCAAATTCCGTTTCAAGTCAGGCCTCCCTTTGCAAATCTAGGCTCTCAACCTGGCAACGGCTGCAAGTAAAGGTCCTGGGACAAACTTCTCCAAGAGCCCGCCCTTCCCGGACTCCATCCGGCTGCGCGGGGCAGAGTTCTGCATTGCAGAGGCCGGGCTGTGGGGACCCAGGCCAGCACCACTCAGGGAGCAGCTTGGTGGGCCCCGTTCCCGGGTGTGAGGGCAGGAAAACTGGCTGAGGAGTCGGCACTAGAAGCCTTGACAGGGGGCGGGCTCCAGGTCCAGCCTTGTCGGAGTTGACCGAGGGCTTAGGCCAGAGATGAGGAAGAAGGACCCAGAAGGTCCCGGGCGGGCACAGAGGCAGCGCCCAGGGAGGTACGCGCTGGCCGATGAAGCCAGTGGGTTGTCAGGCGCTGTTATGGTTTGGCTGTGTCGCCTCCCAACTCTCATCTTGAATTGTAACTCCCATAATTCCTTCGCGCTGTAGGAGGGAACCGATTGGAGATAATTGAATCATGGGGTCGGTTTCCCCCATACTGTTCTAGTGGTAGTGAGTAAGTCTTAGGAGATCTGATGGTTTTATAAGGGGAAACACCTTTCGCTTGGTTCTGTTTTCTCTCTTGTCTGCTGCCATGTGAAACCTGCCTTTAGCCTTCTGCCATGATTGTGAGGCCTCCCCAGCCACGTGGAACTGAGTTCATTAAACTTCTTTTCCTTTGTAAAGTAACCAGTCTTGGGTATGTCTTTATCAGCATCATGAAAACTGACTAATACAGGTGCCAAATTAAATATTAACAGGGAAGCCAGAGATGTGACAGAAGGCAGGAGAAAAGGAGGCTGTATTCTGTAGAAGCTGCGCTGGAAACGTCTTCCAGAACAGGACCCATTGTCACCCAGTTTGCCTATGTCCCTTACTCTCTCTACCTCGATTTTGTAGGACACCCCCCATTCTCCCATTCACATTTCAAGAAACAAATTAAGAAAAAAACACATCTTCTCATCTAAGAAGGAAGGGATGTGGGTTGGCAAATGCGAAGACCCTGCTCAGATCCCAACACTCAGTGTTTATAGTTTTCGCAGTTTGAACTTCATGTGTATGGAAGTACAAATTTTAAAAAGACTCTTGGTTATTATATTGAATCTGGGGTTGCTCCTTCAGAGCGCAGGAATCTAGAAAGTATTCTCTCTATCTCATTGCTACCACGAAATTCCTCCCGTTTCAGAACTGAATTTTTTTTTTTTTTTTTTTTTTTTTTTGTCACCGTGGGTTCGTCTGGTCCCTGCTGTCTTTTTTCCTCTCCACCCTTATGTCATTCACCTCGACCCTTTCCTTGACTTTTTATCCACTGGTACCTTTTCATTACCAAGTTCACTTTCAGTCCTCTGGAAGAAATCAAAACATTTGTGTGATGTCGAATTAAGTTTGGCCTAAAGGCTTCTCCGTACATAGCAAATTACAACTTAACTTAGTGTGGAAACTGACTGAATCCAAGCCTGGAGTGTGCGTCTCAGCCAGTCCCAGGCAGCCAGCTCTTCCAACTGTGTTCCAGTAAGACAGACACCAAGCTGACCGATCATCATGAATCTGGCTGTCTCCCTACCTCACTTCAGTTTTGCGCATATCACGTTTTTCCCTCTGGCTATTAATATAATCCCCACATATGGTGGGGTGGGGCGTTCTGAACCATTTTTGGTCCAAACTGTTTCCCAATTTCTGAATGGCAATTAAAGCCGATTAAGATCTGCAAAACTAGGTTTATTGTAATTTTGTCTTTCAACAGTTTTTGCCATCTAAAATGTCTATTCTAGTCACACCATTTCATAAAAGTAGAAGGGCAGGAAAAAAACAGTATGGCAGATCCTTAAAAAAATTAAAATTTCCATATGATCCAGCGATCCGACTTCTGGGCATATACCTAAAGAATTGAAAGCAGGGTCTTGAAGAGATATTCACACACCCATCTTCATAGCAAGATTATTCACATTAGCCAAAAGGTAAAAGCAATCTAGGTATCCATCAACAGATGAATGAATAAAGAAAATGTCGTATATCAGTACAATGGAATATTATTCAGCCTTAAAAAAGAATGAAATTCTTACACATGCTACAACATGGATGAGCCTGGAGGACATTAAGTGAAATAAGCCAGTCACAGAAAGACAAACGCTATATGATTCCACTTATATGAGGCACCTAAAGTAGTCAAACTCTCAGAAGTAAAAACAGAATGATGGTTCCCAGGGTTAGAGGAAGGGGAGAATGGAAAGTTAGTGTTCAATGGGCATGGAGTTTCAGTTTTGCAAGGTGAAAAATTTCTACAGATAACACTACTAAACCATATGCTTAAAAATGGCAAAGGTGGCAAGTTTTATATTATGTGTATTTTACACCCTTTTTTTTCAAAAAAGAAAAGAAAAGTAGAAGACCAGTGGAAGGCTCCCAGGTAAGACAATGACTCTGACTGGGGAAAGGCATGAGGATTCCTAAAAGGTTGCACTTAGGTAGGCCTCAGCCCCACCAACAATGTCCTGGTTACTCTCCCAACTTCCTTTCCCTCTGCCACTTCCTTCTGCTAGAAGAGAGCGTTGCTGGAGTGCCTGCACAGTGGTGTGTGGTCATCTCCATCTGTCTGCCACACCACCCTCAAGTGCCGCTCTCATGCTCTATCTCCCTTGTGAGATCTTCTTTCTGTTTTCCTCCTGAACCACTGGGGCTTCTCCTCTTCCCCGCCCTTAAGCAAACTCATGATTGTCACTGCTTCTTCTAGCTGGTCCCCAGATTTAAGTCTCCAGAGTAAATCTGCTGAGCTGAAAATGAGCTCCAACCACCTACAGACATCTCCTCTTGAAGGCTCACAAACAAGACACCTGCAACTCAGCACATGCATGTGGCTTCAGTTCTCCTCGCTGTATTCATCATGTCTTCTTTTTATTTTTTATTTTTTGCTGTATTTTGATGCCTTGACATACTGGGGTCTTGCTGACCCTGGAGGCATTTTTCCTCTGAGGGTCACCTAAATCCTGGAGATACCAAACAACTCATCCTAGAGCACACCCTTCAAGTGCAAACCTATCAACTCATAGTGCCACCACCTCCTCTAGCAGGCTCTTACTCAGGACTACTATTCCCCTGCCATAATCACCCAGGGCCAACTACAAGACAACGAGGGTTAGCCCGGTGCCCCATAGCGCACTGAAATAATTCAAACCAGCCAATCCTAAGCCTGCTTACTCTGCCTCACCTGTTCCTTCCCTCAAAAATCATAATATGGTTTCCTTCCCTCAAAAACCATAAGACTATGGACTCTTGCCCATAGTCCCCATCCTCCCTCTGCCTCCTGATAGACCCTGGTGCTTCTCGGGCATCCTCCCCTGGTGTGGCGTCCTTCCTCCTCTTGGGATCTACAAGTATATCAAGCTCTTTTTAATGGTAATCATCTTCTGATCTGTTGGCCTCACCACATCTGAATAGTAATATAACTACATTTTAAAGCATCCTCATCAGTTTCTCCTCCTCCTATAATGCCTTTTTCCACAAATGGCAGTTGTAAGAGCTATCTAGAGTCATCCTCTGTCACCTTTTGTAATTTGTACCATTTCTACCTTTTTAGCCTCTCTCTCATGTGCTCCTCCTTTCTCTACTTACTGCAACTGTCTAGATCTAGATTCTAAGCATCTTTCACCTGGATTGCCAATTCTAAAAATAATTAAAGAGGAATTAAGCTACAATTTCCCCCACATGACTCAATATTATTATGATCTTAGTTAAGATTTTATAATTTAAATGACTGTTGGAATGTTAGAAAGGACTTTGTGAATCCTGTACACCCTGAAAAGCACAGGTTTAAAAAATATTCTTCCAAAGGATGAGTTTGCAGCTCCCGGTGCACTTATACCCAACAGATTAATTCATAATCTCTGCTCCCTCTTAAAACTCCAGAAAAATGACAGTAATGAAATGTTTTTAAAAGTATAGAATGAAAGGTAAAGAGAATGGGAGATGTCAGTGGAAGTGCCATGTCCAAAAATTGGGGGAAAAAGGGTGATACAGCATCAGGGAAAACTCATCCTTAAATGCCCTAGAGAGTGATGTCCACAGAGAGCACCCTGAGTCCCACAGCAGAAACCTAAAGATCAGGACTAGGGCTCCAAGTGCCTTAGAAAGCAGGGTTGGGGAGTGTGGCCAGAGAGTGGGATTCATCAAGTCCTGGGAAGGAAAAATTTGGTTTACATCCTAGGGAAAGTGAATCAGAGAGGCTCTTGTTTGGACATTTGACACAGCAGCAAGGAGGGAGACACATCGTTCTGAAAATTGCGAGTTAATTGCAAATTTATTTTCCACATACTGAGACTACTCCCCAGTCCCTACTCTTCACTTGGCATAAATAACCTACCATTCCAATGTTTTCAGTTTGTAACCTCTTATTTTGGATGTTTTTACAAAATATGTACTATTTTTGAATACATGTATTGCATAACTCATTATGTTCCTTATTCTTTTTTTGTTCAAAGGGCCATTCATATTGCTTTGTTTACATCTAGACAGTTTCTTCTGTTTTGCAATATCATATGTACACATGCACATTTTTAGAACACAGACAATCAGGTTAGCATCACCTCTGCTCTACTGTGAACAACACTGTAATGAACTTACTCTTCTATGTCCCCTTACAGAACTGTGTGAGAATTTTTTGGAGTATCTGTCTGGGAGTGAAACTGCTGGGTCCCTAGGTACACACATGCATAATACAATTGGGTACTAGCACGTTGCTCTGTAGAACTGCCGGAGTACCTAAGGTTCCTATATTCCACATCACTACAATCCTGCCCATTCTCCACCTTTCTAATTTTTGCCAGTCACAAATAATATATCATTATTGGTTAAATTTGCATCTTTGGTGTTAACTAAAAGATTTAAACATCTCTTCTTATGCTTTTGGCCTCTTGTATTTCCTCTTCTATAAACTGTCTTTTGTTTTGATATTTGTTTTTTTCTTTTCTTTTCCTTTTTTTTTTTTTTTTTTTTTTTTGGGACAGGGTCTCACTCTGTCACCCAGGCTGGAGTGCAGAGACATGATCACGGCTCACTGCAGCCTCGACCTCCCAGGCTCAGGTGATCTTCCCACCTCAGCCTCCCAAACAGCTGTGACTACAGGTATGCACCACCACACTCGGTTATTTTCTATATTTTTACTAGAGACGGGGTTTCACCGTGTTGTGCAGGCTGGTCTTGAACTCACTCCTGGGCTCAAGTGATCCTCCCACCTTGGCCTTCCAAAGCGCTGGGATTATAGGCATGAGCCAGTGCCCCCTGGCCTGTTTTTTTCTTATTTTGATTTGTTGAAGTTTCTTGGATGTGAAGGTACTGGCCCTTTGTCAATTTCAGACATTGTAAATAACTTCTCTCAGTCTGTTAACGTCATCCTTAATTTTGTTGTGAGCAAAACCATCTTTTTTTTTGTCTTATGCTATAACTTTTTGAGGTTTTGTTTAAGAAGTCCCTTCCTACATTTTAAAAATTAACTTGTACTGTTCACATTTAGCTCTTTAATCCATATAGAGTTCACCTTTGTAAGTGATGTGAGGTAGGAATCAATTTTAGTTTTCTTCATATTTCTGCCAACACCATTTACCCAACACCATTTACCAAATAATCAGTTTTTCCCATTGATTTATGGTGTCTTTTATTTTACCTTGAGTACCCACGTGCACATACATCTTTCTGTGATCTTCCTATTCTTTCTCGTGTTTGCTTGACTGTTCTTAGGCCAACATCTTAGCATTTGGCCAAAGTTCATTTGACTTTACCTTGACCCAAGAGTAAATAACTGAACACCTATCTGGCATCTCATGAATTTGTGTGTGACATTTTAGATTAAAACCTAATCAATACAATAACATTAAGCAATAACAAAGGTATTCATATTTTTATTGAAATATGGTATAGATTACATATAATAAAATACATAGGTCTTAATTGCACAGCTTGATAACTTTCTAGACATGCATAAATCCTTTTAAGCCATACCCAAATCAACATAGAGAATATTTTCAACATCCCAGAAGGCTACACCCATATTCTTGCACTCAATAAACTCTAAAGGTAACCATCATTCTGACATCTGTCACTGTAGATTGGTTTTGTCTGTTCTTGATTTTCACATACATGGCTCATACAATTTTCAGCCTTTTCATTTCTGACTTCTTTCATTTATCAATAGGTCTGTGATATTTATCCATGTTGGTGCATAAAGCAATAGTTTATTTTTTTCCACTGCTTGATTGTATAAGTATACTAAAATGTCCTTATACATTCTCCTATTGAGAGACACTACTGTTGATAGGCAGTTTGGGGATTTTATACTAAACTGCTATGAACACACCTATTGGAGGACATAAGCCCTCCTTTCCTATTTCATGCAATGTGTGAATGTTCAGCTTTAGTAGATGCTATCAGTGGGTTTTTGATTCAGATATTGTCAATATAAAATAAATGTAGGTAACTATTTTAAATGTAACCAGGACTGAAAGTTTTCTTTAAGTGCATTGTGAGTGGAAATATAAGTGTATATTTTTATTGTAAGAGTAAAAGCACTTGATTTATGAATAACAACTATTATAAAGAACTTTAAAATAGTTAAACAAGGAAATCAATTGACAGCTAAGGAGAATGTTAAGAGACAGCACATCCACTAGAAAATTTTAGGAAAAACTTTTTCATAATTTGAGTCAAAAATGTTTATAAATATGTAAAATAAACATCAAAGTATATTGTCTTATCCTTATAGATTATTTAGTGTATAGGTACCATAACATTAAACAAAGTAACCTCTGGGAAATCAATTTGTCTAGGTTAACCAGCTAAGAAATAAATCTTACAGGAAAGAAACATATTTGCAAAACATTTACAACTTGTAAAAGTGAATTAAAAACAGACTGTCAACTTTACAACCTTAAAATTGTATGAAGAGAAAAACTCCAAAATCACTTTTAACAATGCTATGTATAATCGACTTCACTTTAACATGAAAATGCAGATTATGTTTCTCTGGCAGAAATACCGTATAAATGATGTTGTTTTCTTTCTAGCATGTCACATCACATCAGGAGGCATATAATGTTGGTTTGTGTCATTAGTCGTGGTGGTAACTTTGATCACTTGATTAAGATGTCATCCACCAGGTTTCTTCCCTATGAAATTATTTTTTTCCTTTTATAATGAATAAGTACTTTATGGAGAGATTCTTTGAAGCTATGTGTATATCTGTTTCTCATCAAACTGTCACTAGTTTCTTTGTTCTTCACTGTACAGGGCACAGGAAAAAACTCATAAGTCTTCCAAAGTGAGAAAGCTGCAGCCCCAGAGGGTAGCCACCCTCACATGACTCGACATGCTGAAGGGGGCAACCTTTTTGTCTTAATCTTGATACTGGGAGACAGAAAGAAAATTATCTTAGGATATGTAAACACAAATTGGCCTTAACTAGGGTTTTGGTTGGGTTGGGTTTGCTTTTGGGGAAGGTGGTAACATGGAGCAAATTGACATATTACATGTGGTCTCAAAAAAACCCAGGCTGAGAAATCAAAGTTGTTCCAGATGGTAGTGTCCTCAGGCAATTGGCAGTAGCTAATCATCCATGGTGGAAAACAAACTTCAACTACACCTATCAGAATTCCTATAGACAAAGCTCCAAGGTAAGCTCACATTCAAAAGCATAAATCACTGAAGGAAACAAAGTATCATGGATTTCTCAACCATAACAATATTGGGCAGGATAATTCACTGTGTGGTGCAGTGCTGTGCATTATAGGATGTTTACCAGCATCCTTGACCTATACAGAGTAGACATAAGAACTACCCTCCCACCTCCCCAGCTGTGACAACCAAAATGTCGCCAGACTTGTCTAAATGTCCCCTGGAGGGCAAAATCAAACAGGTTCAGAGGCAATGAATTAGAGCAATGAGATAAAACTCACAGTGGAATCAGACATTCAAAAACTTCAGATTTGGGGGTTTTCTGCATATTAAATTCAATAAGTGAGATGTTTCTACTAATTTAAAAGGGGCTTTGAAATGTAATCTGGGTCAGCAGTCCCCAACATTTTTGGCACCAGGGACCAGTTTTGTGGAAGATAATTTTTCCACGGACAGGGGCGTGGGGGTTGGGGGGATTTGGCATGAAACTGTTCCACCTCAGATCATCAGGCATTAGTTAGATTGTCATAAGGAATGCACAACCTAGATCCCTTACCCACAGAGTTCACAGTAGGGTTTGCACTCCTATGAGAATCTAATGCCACCAGGGATCTGACAGGTGGAGCCCAGGCCGTAATGCTCGCTGACCTGCTGCTCACTTCCTGCTGTGCAGCTAGGTTCCTAACAGGCCACAGACCAATACCGGTCCATAGCCGAGGGATTGGGGACTCCTGATCCTGGAGCCTTATTCTGAAGGCTTCTGTGTATACACGTTAAATACATTTGTATCCCTTTTCTCCTATTAACCAGTCTGCCTCATGTTAGTGATTGTTCAATGTTTAGGGGGCCAAGGGCCTTGACCCCCACAGTTATGGTGCAGTAAGCAGGGTCACCAAAGTTGCTCTGTTCTGAAAGCCACAATGAAGAGAACCCAAGAATCTAAAAACTGGCAAAAAGGTAAGAATTTTTTACCAGTTCGTCTCCCAGACTCTCTCAGTGTAATCTGGTTGAGTGGACAGTAAAAATCCATTTGTCTCCTCTGCAAGGTTTTGATTAATGGGAAAAAAGGTTTTGTGTGACTTGTCCTGGGGGTTAGCTACTCTGATGTACTTTTTGGTACTTTGTGTTATGGATATTCACATTGTCTAATTCGTTTTCTCCCAGAAATAGTATTTTCTTTTGTCTGTCCTTCTGTGTTGTCCATAAAGAGAGGTACCAGATAAAGTTCCCCATTGTCTTGTTTTATGTCTTCGAGAGCTAGATTTGTGACCAATCTAGATCTGTGACCACTCTCTCTTGGTCTCTACCATCCAGGGTATCTGATTTCCAGGTCATGTCAAGTGGCCAGCCTGAAAATGGCTGGGATCTTGAGATTTTTTTTGTTCTGAATGTGCCAAGCTCTTGGGAGAGTATGTCATAAGAAGTCCTATCCATAAGGGGATTTTGTCATCTCAATTTTTGTTGCCTAGTGAGTACTGAGAAAGTACAATTCAGGAGGCTCTACCCTGTGTCACAGATTAACGGGTCTATGAGTGGTGGCCTCCTCACAAATTTGTGGGTTACTGGAGGCAAACACAATCCTTGACTGTCTGTGGCAACAATTGTTTTGCTATCTTAGCCTCTTTCTGGAAAATGGCATCCTTGGGATTGCTTCTTCTCTGAAGAGGCTGCTGGATTGGGTCACTATTGAAATTAAGTTCACCATGGAAAATCCAATGGCCAAAAGATGGATCCTGTAAATTACACTGCTAAGTTAAAAAAAAAAATGAGACCTCTAATTCCAAACAATTGATGAAAAGATAAAAATCAAATAAAGGTGTCATAGCTAGTCTTAAAAAATATCTTCACTAATTAAAGAGCAAAAATATAATCTAAAACAAAATTACACTTAAACTGCCCACTTTGGATTCCATGTAGGATTAATAATCAAGGTTGCTCCATTTGAAGTCCAGTAGTTAAAATTCCCACTGTAGCCTGGGTACAGTTCCTGATAAGAGAATCAGTCGCTTCTGGTTTTCATTTATTGATCCTTTTCCCTTACATAAACAGCTTTTGATTTCCTGCCTGATTCCATCTTTGGAGCACCTGGGGCTTTGGGGCCATTGTGAGTAGACATTCAGCTGAGAAGCTGAGACCCTAGAGAATATGGCTGAACAGAAATGTAAGTTATACCCCATTTATGGCTAGTGAAACTTTCCTTTCTTTTAGCTATCTTTGGGATGGTTCTGGATCTTGTGCAAAAGCCAGAAGTATCATCTATTTGTCCTGGCTAAAATCTGGTAATAAGAGATTTGGGGCTGGGCATGGTGGCTCATGTCTCTAATCCCAACTGTTTGAGAGACCAAGGCAGAAGGATTGTTCGCTTCATACTGTCTTTATTAGGTCTTATGATTGTTTGAGAAACTAAGTCTCCTCTCTATCAAGTGGTAGGATTTTTGCTTTTTGAGTTATTTAAATTTTCACTTTGGCTAAATGAATGGTTTATTTTACAGTTGTGTGAGTTTATTTTGTGATATCATGTGTTTTAAACCTTTGATATTTTACAAACTCTCCAAAATCAAACTTCAAATTCTAAATTGGTTTTTTTTAAACCACAAATGAACTTTTTGACCATTAGGGCCCCTGAAAGACCAAGAGAGACATATTTGGCTTATTTGGTACATAAAATCATATAGGAAACATTGTCAGATATGAAATTGTGCTTAACTTGCTTTGGGTTTTATTTATGTAAATGTCTTATTAACATGTGTTCCAAAATTGTAAGAGATTCCTGCAATTCTGATATGTCTTAGTATATATTATCCATAGTAATTATGATTATTACATTAAATTGTTGTATACCACAGAAATAACCAAATCTCTTTGTCAATTGTGTCTTTAACCATGGCTGTTCTAAGACTTTTGTCTTCCACAGACAATTTTTGTTTTACTCTGATTCTTCTCAAAAAGCAGTCTATAATCAACTACAATCCAAAATCTGTTTTTTCTTTAAGGAAAATTATGGAAGAAATCTTACAAGTACTCTTAAATACAGGTTTCTGATAACTTCAAAGATCATACCATTGAACTAGGGAAAAAGACCTCCAGGACTCTAACTTAAATGTTGATGAGGATTGTTGATGATGAGGATCACTAACCCAACACTAAGCAGACAAGAGTTATTACATGGGGTTGAACTAATACAAGACTGAAATAATTTTTTATGTCTTTTTTTGAAACATTGCTAATTCTTTTTGTTTTGTTTTTCAGAGTGAAGAAAACTTTTTTCTTTTGAGCTATTTATAGCTTATGGCAAATTGGGTAAAGTATAGTTTTGTGAGCAAAATTTGAATCATTTTTCTTTCTCTCTCTGCCTGCTTTCTCCAGAATTTGGAAACTGTGATTTTTTTTTTTTTTTTTTTTGGATAATGGAATTATTGAGTATATTTGTGAGTGTTCTTAATTTATGGCAATATAGTTATATATTACATAAGCTCAACATAGTTGAATATTGCATAAGTTCAATAGAATCTGTTTTCATTTCTAACAGGACACAGCTGGAGACGCTGGTTATTTTACCAAGGCTTTCAGTGGATTAGCAGATTTTCAGACATATCAGACTGCTTTGAGGAATTAAGGCTGACATTATAGAGCTGGTAAAAAGCCCCTTGGAAAGACTGGCCTCGTATCTTGTCTATGCAATTCCTTTACAAAGTTCCTGATCTGTGATATGTAAAGAATGTTACTTTCTGAAAGTCTCAGGCACCCCAAATTATCTTGGGACCTTGGGAAGAGAGGAATTGAGCCCATTCATACAGGTATCTGCAGACACAGATAAATCTTTGACTTGGCTCCGGAAGCTTTCAAAAGTCTAATCTGAGATTTCTTAGGAAAAAAAGTTGCAGCAAAGCCAATTTTAAAAGAGCCTAACAGGCCGGCCGCGGTGGCTTCACGCCTGTAATACCAACACTTTGGGAGGCCAAGGCGAGCGGATCACGAGGTCAGGAGATCGAGCCCATCCTGGCTAACACGGTGAAACCCCGTCTTTACTAAAAATACAAAACAATTGGCCGGGCGAGGTGGCGGGCACCTGTAGTCAGCTACTCGGGAGGCTGAGGCAAGAGAATGGCGTGAGCCCGGGAGGCGGAGCTTGCAGTTGCCGAGATCACACCACTGCACTCCATCCTGGGCGACAGAGCGAGACTCCGTCTAAAAAAAAAAAAAAAAAGCCTAACAGAGCCAATAAGTATTCTTGCTGTGGCTCACACCTGTAATCCCAGCGCTTTGGGAGGACAAGATGGGAGGATTACTTGAGCCCGGGAGTTTGAGACAAGCGTGGGTGAAATAACAAGATCTTGTCTCTGCAAAAAAAAAAAAAATTTAGTAGGCTGGGCATGGTGACGTGGTCCTATAGTCCCAGCCACTCAGGAGGCTGAGGTGGGAGGATCCCTTGAGCCCAGGAGTTTGAAGCAGCAGTGTGCTCTGATTGTGCCATGACACTCCAGCCTGGGTGACAAAAGAAGGCCTTGTCTCTAAAAAATATATATTTTTTAAAATTGCATTTTATACAAATAATCAGGCCAAGTATAATAAAACTAAAACTTATTTTTGCAAATAAATTAGTCCTGCTATGATTTATCCTTGGTAAAAATGGCAACTGAGGAGAGAAAATTATATTTCAGAAGAAAATTATAGTACACCCATTATTAGATTCTAGCCTTGTCCATCATTTCTGGGTTTTTATTATCTGCCTATGATTTGATCTGAATCCCGAATTCTTTCCTGGCTACAAGTCTCCAAACTACTGGTTTCACATTTTTCTTCCATTTTTCTGACTTGGACTCAATGAAATTGCTACTACCATTTTCTTGAGGCCCTGCAAGCTGAAGCTCATACCGTGTGATACAAACAAGAAAAACTAGTCAAATTGCCACTACCTTTTTCCAGTTTGACTGAAGATGCTTTGAGTCCAACATTTGGACACCTCAATTGACTGCCCTCCAGATTCTAAGGAAACTGGCTTATAGATTGTAGTCAACATTAACCTTTGTTTTTATTCTGTTTGAAAGACTAACTTCAATGACACACATGCTTAATGGAACTGGCCTATTCCCAGAAATGGGAGACTGGTTTAATGGGATCCTTTACCATTCAGCTTTTAACTCAATTTTTCTCTCCACAGCCACCAACTCAGCTTTTAGTGTGTGACACTTCTAGGGAAGTTTCAGACAGAGGAATATTGGGGCTCAGAAACTGAACAACCCAAAATATGGCATTTTGACATGCTAGACTGAAGAGGCCTCAAAGTCCCTCTGACGTTACACACCCTCAACCATACCACTGTCTCTCCCAAAACATAGGCCATTATCTGCCTAAGATCCAGACCCTCCAAAAAGAACAGTAATTTTTTCTTCCCCTCCTCATAAGACCAAGAATGTAATCAGAACCTGTTGTGCCAGGATGTTATATACACTTCTGAACCTCAATGGGAAATTGGGGCTTCATTCTGAAGGGTCCCATGTATATACACATTAAATAAACTTTTATGCCTTTTCTCCTATTAACAAAAATAAATAATCTAAAAACAAGAGACTATACATTCCGATCAAGCAGAATTTTTCTGAAAAAAGCAAAAGAATAGAAATATAAAAGCAAAATATAATACTGAAATTATAAACTCAATAGATATGTTAAATAGAATGGACACTGCTGAAGCAAAAACTAGTAAACTAGGTTATATAGCAGAAGAAACTGCTCAGAGTGAAGCACTGAGGAAAAAAAATGGAAAATATGAAGAGGAAATAAAGGAGCATGGAGGGGAGAGTGAGAAGGTTTAACCTATGTCTACTCATTTCTGGAAGAAGATAAAAGAAAAGAAAAGAAATAGATGCTTAAAAATATTTGATTAATGCAAAACAAGACAACGGAAAAGAAATTAAGGAATATAAAACAGGAGGGAAAATTTAAAGGAAGAAAGTAAGTTTACATACATAAGCCCAAATATACCAGTAATTATGTTAAATTTAAATGAATAAAATGAAATACATCAGTTACAAAAAAAGACAAATTGTTAGACAGAACTACAAAACAAAACCTAACTATATTGCTTTCAAGTAACACAACATTAATATAAGAATATAAGACAGCTGAATGTTAAATAATGAAATAAGAAGTAAACACTAACCAAAAGAAAGCTGGTATAGTTATACTAATAGCAAAGTTGATTTTAAGGCAAGAAATACAACTAGAGATAAAGTGCTCTTTCATAGTGATAAGAAAAAACACTTCATCAGAAAGGTATACAAATTCTCAATATGAATACACTAAAAACATAGCTCCTAAATACATAAAGCAAAATGGAGCTAAAATGAGAAATAAACCAATAGAAACAGGAAATTGGAACAGCACAGTTAACAAAGTTAATGACATATATAGAACATAGAACTAAATGACATATAGAACACTTCATTCAATTTACTCTTTCATTCAAGACTGAAAGAGTAAAAATTATTTGTAAGGGCCCATAGAATATCTGACAATATTTGCCATACGCTGGACCATAATATAAATCTCAAATGATTGAAATCATTCAAGTATGTTCGTTGATCACAGTGGAATTAAACTAGAAGCCAACTAAAAACAAAGAACAACAACAACAAAACGCAGACACGGGCACACACCTGTAGTCTTAACTGCTCTGGAGGATGATCTGAGCCCAGGAGTTTAAATATAGCCTGGGCAACTCTCTGAGAAAAAACAAACAATAATAACCCAACAACAAATTAAAAAAAAAAAAAACAGAAAATTCTTAAAGGTATGGAAATTAAGCAATATACTTCTAAGTTACTCCAGTATCAAAGAAGGAAATAAAGCAAAGAAGAGAGACTATTATAAGAATTATGTATATTTTTAATTGAATGATTTAAAAAATGGCATCAAAATTTATGAGATACAGTTAAAGCAGTGCTTAGAAAGAGATGTATGACTTTAAATGACTATATTATTGAATCAACCTATCTTAATACTAAAAAATGCTTACCATGTAAAATATATACACATGCCATGAACATAAATATCCAAGCGCTCTGTTGATTCTTTGTTATCTGTGTTTTTCTAATACTTTTTCATCTCCAGAGCTTCTACTCATGGTTAAGTGTTCACCTCTAGCCTGAGGAAAATTGAGTACAAATTAAACATGTCTAATCTGAAATTTTCACTAAATTCCTTTTTAATTTTAAATATGATTGTCTAAAACATTAAATACTCATCACAGATAACTTTTGCCATTAAACGGTATAGTTCTTAACTAGAAATGTCCATGTTTCCTATTAATCTTGATATCATGTTTGTGATTGCTAAATGTATTGTCTATGAAGAAAATGCCTTAAAAAACTTGTAACAAAAACATTTCTAATACTTTGATGTCAGAAAACACTTCAGTAAAATGGTAACACATTTTCAAAAGCCGATGGCATAAGAATACAGCCAATGAAAAGATACTTTTTTTTTTTTAAACTGTATTTTTGACTTCAAACATTTTATTGATATTTCATTGGGTTTCAATCTTTCTATGTGTGGCTAAAAGACATCAGTGAATACGAACTAGCATTTTTGTGCTTTATGTCTTTATTGAATAGATTCAAATATGAAGACATTGTTGGTGAAAAAACAAAAAACAAACATATAGTGGACAAGAAATAATAGTCACCACAATCATCTTACTTTTTCAACCTAATGCATTTATGAATAATACATAAGCAATTTTTACAGTTTCAATTTAAGCTTACAATCATTTTTTATTCTACCATACTGTCAAATACTTGTGAAAATAAATAAAAATACAATACAAAAAAAAAAGAAAGAGATGTATGGCTTCAAATGCATATATTAGAAAAGAAAAAAGGCTGAAAAATCAATAATCCAAGTGTCCACCTTAAAAAGTTATAAAGACAACAAATTAAATGTAAACAAAGCAGATAAAAAGAAAATTATAGATAAGAGCAGAAACTATTGAAGGAAAAAAACATAAATAGGAAGAAAAACAACAATAGCAAAAACTCTGAAAAGGACAATGAAACTAAATTTTCTACAGCAGGGATTGGCAAGCAACAGCTTATGGGCCAAATCCAACTCAATACCTGTTTCAAACACTTGTTTTTTTATGGTTCACGAATCAAGAATGGTTTTTACATTTTTCGGTGTTTTGGGGAGGAAATCAGAAGGAAAATATATTGTAGCACATGAAATTCAAATTTCTGTATCCATAATGTAGTTTTATTGGAACTCATGCTTATTTGTCTACATATTGTCTATGGCTGTTTACATGACACAATAGCAGAGTGGTCACAACAGAGACTGTAATGTCTAAAATATTTTCTATCTGGCTCTTTATAGTTTTTTGACCCCTGACATATACCAGTGCATGAGTACATATACTTAAAAACAACCTGCTGATTAATAACTTGAAAAATAAATAAACAACCAATCAGTTTACAGACTTTGAACTTCACTGTATCAGTTAGGGTTATAGTCCACAGCACTTAAAATATTAACTGTAAAGGACCACCTTTATAGAAAAAGCTTGACAGCCCCTGTTCTGTGGTATCAAGGCAAAAAGAGAAAGAAAAAGAGAGATTGAGACAGAGACAGAGAGACAAAAACATTCCAAGACAGAAAGAATGAGAAAGCATAAATTACTAATACTAGGAATGAAAAAGAGGAATATCACTACAAATCTTATATCATGAACAGCTTCATGATAATAAATCAAAACTTTAGAAAAAATGGACAGATTTCTAGATAAATATCTTCTCAAACTTATCAAGAAGAAACAGAAAATGTCACCAAGATGAAAAACCACATCCATTACAGAAAGTAAACTTGTAAGTAAAAACTTTCCAGAAAAAAAAAAAAACACTCCAAGGGTAGATTGCCTCACTGGTAAATTCTTCTGTTTGTTTATGGGAAAAAATCAGTGATAGAGAAAATCTTCCAAATTATAGTAAGGGAGGAGACCACCTCTCATATTTTCTTATGCCAAATTTCTGCCTCCAAAGAAAGAAGAAGTAAAAACTAAAAGGTAGAAATGAAATCCACAAGCAGACAGCTCGGCACCACACCCTGGGCCTGGTAGTTAAAGATCGACCCCTGACCTAATTGGTTATGTTATCTATAGATTACAGACATTGTATAGAAAAGCACTGTGAAAATCCCTGTCCTGTTCTGTTCCGTTCTAATTACCGGTGCATGCAGCCCCCAGTCATGTACCCCCTGCTTGCTCAATGGATCACAACCCCCTCATGTGGACCCCCTTAGAGTTGCGAGCCCTTAAAAGGGACAGGAATTGCTTACTCAGGGAGCTCGGTTGCTGGAGACGTGAGTCTTGTGGAAGCTCCTGGCCGAATAAAGCCCTTCCTTCTTTAACTCCTTGTCTGAGGAATTTTGTCTGCAGCTTGTCCTGCTACATTTCTTCGTTCTCTGACTGGGAAGTGAGGTGATTAATGGACGGCCGAGGCAGCCCCTTAGGCGGCTTAGGCCTGCCCTGTGGAACATCCCTGTGGGGGACTCCAGCCAGCTTGAGCTACATGGATCCTGAAAGCCCTCCCGGGTAGGCAATTGCCCTGGTGGAACGCCTCGCCAGAGCAGCGCGTGGCAGGCCCTTGTGGAGGATCAACACCATGGCTGAACACCGGGAAGGAAATGGCCCTTGGAGTCCGGACATCTGAAACTTGGTAAGACTAGTCTTTGGAACTTGCCCACTCCATTTAAGTGGAAGCGTGGCCTGATCACCTACGGCATGCCCATACCACCACTTGGGTTTTTGTGTTTGACTTGACTTGGATTGCTTGATACTTTAGTTTTGGTTTTGACCTGGCTTGGATTTCTTGATACTCTGATTTTGGTTTGATTCTGGTTTGGTGTAAACTGTAAAAGTGTGTGTGTGCCCTTTTTACACATTCTTTGTTTTGTGGTGTGTGTGTGGTGTGAGCATGGTGTTCTGTCTTGAAGAAGCATGGGTCAGGCACAAAGTAAGCCCACCCCACTAGGAACTATGTTAAAAAATGTCAAGAAAGGATTTCAGGGAGACTATGCAGTACTGTGACACCAGGAAAACTTAAAACTTTGTGTAAGATAGACTGGCTGGCATTAGAGGTGGGTTGGCCATCAGAAGGAAGCCTGGACAGGTCCCTTGTTTCAAAAGTATGGCACAAGGTAACCTGTAAGCCAAGGCACCCAAACCAGTTCCTGTACATAGAAAATCAATGAGAGAAAGAAAAAATGAAAGAGAGAGATATACAAGTAGTTTAAAAAAAAACAACAACAGCGTACCCTATTCCTTTAAAAGCCAAGGTAAATTTAAAACCTATAATTGATAATTGAAGGTATTCTCCATAACCCTATAACACTCCAATACCACTATGTTGTCAGTGTAAACAAGGGCATATCCCAAAAGCACTGAGGCCTTCCTATCAAATATCCTCAACCCAGTAATCCGTAGATGGCCCAAATGCATTCAATCTGTAGAGGCAACTGCTTTGCTAACAGAAAAAAGTAAAAAAATAACTTTTAGAGGAAACCTCATTGTGAGCACACCTTACCAGTTCAGAAGTATCCTAAAGAAAAAAAAAAAAAGTATGATTTAACATTAACCACTGAAAATTCCCTTAACCCAGCAGGTTTCCTAACAGGGGATCTAAATCTTTTTTTTTTTAATTTTTATTTATTTTATTTATTAATTAATTAATTCATTTTTAAATTATACTTTAAGTTTTAGGGTACATGTGCACATTGTGCAGGTTAGTTACATATGTATACATGTGCCATGCTGGTGCGCTGCACCCACTAACTCGTCATCTAGCATTAGGTATATCTCCCAATGCTATCCCTTCCCCCTACCCCCACTCCACCACAGTCCCCAGAGTGTGATATTCCCCTTCCTGTGTCCATGTGATCTCATTGTTCAATTCCCACCTATGAGTGAGAATATGTGGTGTTTGGTTTTTTGTTCTTGTGATAGTTTACTGAGAATGATGATTTTGTTGTGTTGGTTGTAGTGTTGGAAGTTCTGGCCAGGGCAATTAGGCAAGAGAAGGAAATAAAGGGTATTCAATTAGGAAAAGAGGAAGTCAAATTGTCCCTGTTTGCAGATGACATGATTGTATATCTAGAAAACCCCATTGTCTCAGCCCAAAATCTCCTTAAGCTGATAAGCAATTTCAGCAAAGTCTCAGGATACAATATCAATGTACAAAAATCACAAGCATTCTTATACACCAACAACAGACAAACAGAGAGCCAAATCATGAGTGAACTCCCATTCACAATTGCTTCAAAGAGAATAAAATACCTAGGAATCCAACTTACAAGGGATGTGAAGGACCTCTTCAAGGAGAACTACAAACCACTGCTCAATGAAATAAAAGAGGATACAAACAAATGAAAGAACATTCCATGCTCATGGGCAGGAAGAATCAATATCGTGAAAATGGCCATACTGCCCAAGGTAATTTACAGATTCAATGCCATCCCCATCAAGCTACCAATGCCTTTCTTCACAGAATTGGAAAAAACTACTTTAAAGTTCATATGGAACCAAAAAAGAGCCCGCATAGCCAAGAAAATCCTAAGCAAAAAGAACAAAGCTGGAGGCATCACACTACCTGACTTCAAACTATACTACAAGGCTACAGTAACCAAAACAGCATGGTACTGGTACCAAAACAGAGACATAGATCAATGGAACAGAACAGAGCCCTCAGAAATAACGCCGCATATCTACAACCATCTGATCTTTGACAAACCTGACAAAAACAAGCAATGGGAAAGGATTCCCTATTTAATAAATGGTGCTGGGAAAACTGGCTAGCCATATGTAGAAAGCTGAAACTGGATCCCTTCATTATACCTTATACAAAAATCAATTCAAGATGGATTAAAGACTTAAACGGTAGACCTAAAACCATAAAAACCCTAGAAGAAAACCTAGGCATGACCATTCAGGACATAGGCATGGGCAAGGACTTCATGTCTAAAACACCAAAAGCAATGGCAACAAAAGACAAAATTGACAAATGGGATCTAATTAAACTAAAGAGCTTCTGCACAGCAAAAGAAACTATCATCAGAGTGAACAGGCAACCTACAGAATGGGAGAAAATTTTCGCAACCTACTCATCTGACAAAGGGCTAATATCCAGAATCTACAATGAACTCAAACAAATTTACAAGAAAAAAACAAACAACCCCATCAAAAAGTGGGCGAAGGACATGAACAGACACTTCTCAAAAGAAGACATTTATGCAGCCAAAAAACACATGAAAAAATGCTCATCATCACTGGCCATCAGAGAAATGCAAATCAAAACCACAACGAGATACCATCTCACACCAGTTAGAATGGCAATCATTAAAAAGTCAGGAAACAACAGGTGCTGGAGAGGATGTGGAGAAATAGGAACACTTTTACACTGTTGGTGGGACTGTAAACTAGTTCCACCATTGTGGAAGTCAGTATGGCAATTCCTCAGGGATCTAGAACTAGAAATACCATTTGACCCAGCCATCCCATTACTGGGTATATACCCAAAGGACTATAAATCATGCTGCTATAAAGACACATGCACACATATGTTTATTGCGGCATTATTCGCAATAGCAAAGACTTGTAACCAAGCCAAATGTCCAACAATGATAGACTGGATTAAGAAAATGTGGCACATACACACCCTGGAATACTATGCAGCCATAAAAAATGATGAGTTCATGTCCTTTGTAGGGACATGGGGATCTAAATCTTAACTACCATACAAAGGTCTGACCAGACCTAGGAGGAACTCCCTTCAGGACAGGATGATCGATGGTTCCTCCCAGGTAATTGAAGGGGAAAAAAAGCCATCTATACCAATTCTAAGTTAATTTAGACAAAACAAGGTCTTATTAATAGCAAAGGATAATTAAAATCCCAAACTTACAAGGTTTTCAACAAAAGTAAAGTTTGCTAAAAAGTAACAGTGTAACATGTATTATACTAACTTCTAATCTTGTGGCCTTAGACGGTCTAGTCCACAGACATAAAAGAAGTTCACTTTGAAAAAGAATGGTTATCATCTTCAGAAGAAAAAAAGGGAAAAAAAGGGCAGGGCAGAATTTATGTAAAAAGAGTGTTATATGATAAATTCTTGTCCTGAAATAAATTAACTGGTAGTTTAAAGAAAGAAATGTTTGTAATAAGTCATAAAGTAGAGACATGTCGAAGAATTGTCTGAGAAAGTCATGAAAGAGAAAAATGTTATAAAAAAAATTTATGCAAGAAATGTTGTATAATTTAAAAGTAACTAGGCCTCCTAACTGTGAAACTACTGGGGGAAAAAAAAACAGTTTATGTGCAAGGTATATAAGGAAAGTAAAATACACCTTTGGTAAAAGGATTATAAGGAGGCATAAAAATGTAAATTTTTACCTACATTAAGAGGTTAAAAAAATTGTTTTGAAGGTTTAAGCAAGTTTTAAAACGTTAATTATAAAAAAAATTCTGTGTGTAAACATATTAGCTAAAGTTAAAAAGGTATCATCCAGTTTTTCTGTGAACTGGACATTAAAGTAAAAACACAATGGGTTTTTCTTAAAGCACTAACCTGATCTTTAACAAAGATTATAAAAGGTTTAAAAGAGTTTATAAAAATCTTACGTTATGGTCCAACATTAAAAATTGAATAAACATGTATACAAAGTTTTACTAAAACTAAGTTTAACATTAATAGCACAGTAATAGAAAGGTGAAATTTAGCTTATCTGGTATAAAAATCATACAAGAAGCATTATTAAATATAAAATGGTGTTTGGCTTTCTTTGGTCGAAAAACTAATAAAAATAGGTGCTAAAGAAAATTTCTCAGTAAAAAGGCACCAAAGACTATAAAGTCCACTGTTGGCCAGGCACCGTGGCTCAAACCTGTAATCCCAGAACTTTGGGAAGCTGAGGTGGGTGGATCACAAGGTCAAGAGATCAAGACCATCCTGGCCAACATGGTGAAATCCTGTCTCTGCTAAAAATACAGAAATTATCTAGGTGTGGTGGTGCATGCCTGTAGTCCCAGCTACTCGGGCGGCTAAGGCAGGAAAATCACTTCAGCCCGGGAGGCAGAGGGTGCAATGAGCCAAGATCGCGTCACTGCACTCCAGCCTGGTGACACAGTGAGACTCCATCTCAAAAAAAATTAATTTAAAAAAAATAAAGTCCACTGTTGAAGTCCCCACATTTAAAACAAAAAGTCAATTCCTTAGAAATTATATACTTGGTTTATCTTCCACTTTCTGTTCCCTCAAAACTAAAAGTCTTTTAGCACAGGTACCACCCCTAGAATTTCCAGTAAACCAGCACCAGCCTGAAGATCACCTTCTTATCAAAGGGTGGAAAGAAGAAAAACTCGAGCCAGCCTGGGAAGAACCCTACCTTGTGCTGCTAACCACTGAGACTGCTATTCGTACAGCAGAAAAGGGATGGACTCATCACATCCAAGTCAAAGTGCCACCCCCTCCAGAGTCATGGGCCACAGTCCCAGAGGAAAACCCTACCAAACTAAAGCTAAGAAAAATTTAACTCTTTCATCTATTCTATTACTCTTTCTTCTTTCCTCGCTCTATTGCTGACCGTCTGGTTATTAACATAACCAAGTCAATTTCACCTCAAACTATTGCATTTAATGCTTGCCTTGTTATATGCTGTAGGGACTTGCCAAGTCAAAGACAGCTCTCTATTTCAAAAAAGTACCTCTGTCTCTCCTGACTCTCCTCAGACTGGGCATTAGTAAATTAGAACCATTTAATCTGAGGAAATTTCGGTAAAGACTCCAGTGTCAACCAGGAGTCTTACCCCCCAATGTAGAGCTTTTATGCCGTAGTTAGTCCAACATTCTGTGGACCACTAAAGAGCAAGGATGGACTGCCCCAACAGGTTTTTGTAATTTCCTAAAATCATACATTCATTTTACTAGAGGATCATAGAAGTTAAGGACTTAAAACAAACTTTGGCAATTAAGACAGCATACCAAGATGCAAATGCCTGGTTGGAATGGGTCAAATATTCCATCCGCATGTTAAACAAAAGCAATAGTTATGCTTATGCACATGGCAGGCCAGAGGACCAGATTGTCCCCTTTCCACTAAGGTGATCCTCCAGTCGACCAGGTGTGGGCTGCATGGTAGCTGTTTTCCAGGATTCTATGGCCTGGAGTAATAAGTCGTGCCAAGTTCTCTCTGCTATATCCCAAAGTCCAGCACCCTGCGAGTCCGCACCTGAGGGCCATCCAGCCTCCATCTCCCAACACTAAGTTCACTTCATGTCTCTCATGACAAGGAGGAAACTTAGCATTCCTTGGAGACCTGAAAGGATGCAGTGAGCTTAAAAATTTTCAAGAGCTTATCAACCAGTCAGCCTTTGTTCATCCCTGAGCTGCTGTATGGTGGTGTTGTGGTGGACCTTTACTAGGCACTCTGCCAAATAACTGGAGTGTCACTTGTACTTTAGTCCAATTGGCTATCCCTTTCACCCTGGCATTTCATCAACCAGAAGGAGGAAAAATAAGACATCGTAAAACGAGAGAAGCCCCTTATAGGTCTTTCGACTCTCACGTGCATTTAGACACAATTAGAGTCCCACGGGGAATACCAGATCAGTTTAAAGCTTGAAATCAAATAGCTGCAGGATTTGAGTCAATATTTTGGTAGGTGACAGTTAATAAAAATATAAACTGGATAAACCACATCTATTACAACCAACAGCAATAAGCTTTTCATGAGTTAAAAGAAAAACTCATGTCGGCCCCAGCCCTGGGGCTACCTGACCTGACAAAACCCTTTATAGCCTATGTGTCAAAAAGAGAAAAAATGGCAGTTAGAGTTTTAACCCAGACTGTGGGGCCCTGGCCAAGGCAACTGGCCTATCTCTCAAAACAACTAGATGGGGTTTCCAAAGGTTGGCCCTCATGTCTAAGGGCCTCGGCAGCAACCGACCCTGTTTGCACAAGAAGCAGATAAACTAACCCTTAGGCAAAACCTGAATATAAAGGCCCCCCTATGCTGTGGTAACTTTAATGACTACCAAAGGACATCATTGGTTAACAAATGCTAGATTAGCCAAGTACCAAAGCTTGCTATGTGAAAATCCCCGCATAACTATTGAAGTTTGCAACACCCTAAGCCCCGCCACCTTGTTCCTGGTATCAGAGAGCCCAGTTGAACATAACTGTGTAGAGGTGTTGGACTCAGTTTATTCCAGCAGGCCCAACGTCTGAAACCGTCCATGAACTTCAGTAGACTGTGAGCAGTACGTGGACGGGAGCAGCTTTGCCAACCACTCCAAAGTGACTCCAAAGAAGACGACAAGCCCTGCTCCAGTCACGCCCAGAAGCTGACTGGTCGACGCATGGCCAAAGCATGAGAAAACTCATCGCAGGACTCATTTTCCTTATAATTTGGACTTGTACAGTAAGGACTTTAACTGACCTTCCTCAGACTGAGGACTGTTCCCAGTGTATACATCAAGTCACTGAGGTAGGACAAAAAGTTGCTACAGTCCTATTATTTTATGATTATTATAAGTGTACCAGACTCTAAAAAAAAACTTGTTTGTATAATACATACCTATGCAAGGTGTGTAGCCCAGGAAATGACCAACCTGATGTGTGTTATGACCCATCTGAGCCTCCCATGACCACAGTTTTTGAAATAAGATTAAAGACTAAGGACTGGTGAGGGCTCATAAATGATATGAGTAAAGTGTTGGCTACAACAAAAGAAAAAGAGGTGCCCAAACAAGTCACCTTGAAGTTTGATGCCTGTGCTGTCATTAATAGTAACAAGTTAAAAATAGGATATGGTTCTCTTAATCAAGAAAAAGGCTATATGGCAAAAAATAAGTACATTTGTCATAAATTAAGACTATGATAAATGTAGATACTGGTCTTGTGTCACTTAGGCTACTTAGATAAAAAATAAAAAACATCCTGTCCACCTTCAGAAAGGGAAAAGTGGCCCTTCCCGTACCAGTGGTCAGTGTAACCCCTTAGAACTAGTAATAAACAACCCCCTTGATCCTCGCTGGAAAAAAGGAGAGCATGTAACCCTAGGAATCAATAAGGCTAGACTGGATCCTCGAGTAAATATCATAGTTTGAGGAGACATTTATAAATGCTCTCCTGAGCCAGTATTTCAAACCTTCTATGATAAACTGAATGTGCCAGTACCAGAAATTCCAGGAAAAAGAAGAAATTTGTTTTTGCAATTAGTTGAGCATGTAGCCCAGTCTCTCAATGTCACTTCACGTTAAGTATGTAGAACTATAATAAGAGATCAATGGCCATGGGAAGCCCGAGAATTAGTACCTACATACCCAATTCCTGATGAATTCCCAGCTCAAAAAAATCACCCTGATAATTTCTAGGTCCTAAAAGCCTCAATCATTAGACAATACTGTATAGCAAGATTGGGGAAGGACTTCACGCTTCCTGTAGGACGACTTAGCTGCCTTAGGCAAAAACTGTATAATAATACTACAAAAACAGCCACCTAGTGGAGTTCAAACCACACTAAGAAAAATCCGTTTAGTAAATTCCCAAAGTTGCAAACTGTGTGAACCCACCCGGAGTCCCACCGGAACTGGACAGCCCCCACTGGATTATACTGGATATGTGGGCATAGAGCTTGCACCAAATTACCCGACCAGTGGGCAGGTAGTTGTGTTATTGGCACTATTAAACCATCTTTCTTCTTACTGCCCATAAAGACAGGCAAACTCCTAGGCTTCCCTGTCTGTGCTTCCTGTAAAAAGAGAAACATAGCTATAAAAAATTAAAACCATAATAAATGGCCCCCTGAGAGAATCATACAATATTATAGGCCTGGTACTTAGGCACAAGATGGCTCGTGGGGATACCCAACCCCCATTTACATGCTCAACTGAATCATACGATTACAAGCTGTCTTAGAAATAATCAATAATAAGACTAGCAGAGCCTTGACTATTCAGGCCTGGCAAGAAACTCAGATGAGAAATGCTATCTATCAAAATAGATTGGCTCTCAACTACTTGCTAGCAGCTGAAGGAGAGGTCTGTAGAAAATTTAACCTTACTAATTGCTGTCTACACATAGATGATCAAGGCCAAGTAGTTAAAGACATAGTTAGAAATATGACAAAACTGGCACGTTTGCCCGTGTAAGTGTGGCATGGATTTGATCCTGAGACCATGTTTAGAAAATGGTGCCCAGCGCTAAAAAATTTAAAACTCTTATACTAGGAGTTATAACAGTAATAGAAACCTGCTCACTGCTCCCTAGTTTGCTTCCTGTACTTCTTCAAATGATAAAAAGCTTCATTGCTACCTTAGTTCACCAAAATGCTTCAGCACAAGTGTACTATATGAATCACTATTGATCTGTCTTGCAAGAAGACATAGGTAGCAAAAATGAAAGTGAGAACTCCCACTATTGAGAGTCTCAAAGGGGGGGAATAAGGGAGGAGACCACCCCTCATATTGTCTTATGCCCAATTTCTGCCTCCAAAGAAAGAAGAAGTAAAAACTAAAAGGCAGAAATGAAATCCACAAGCAGACAGCCCGGCACCACACCCTGGGCCTGGTAGTTAAAGATCAACCCCTGACCTAAGTGGTTATGTTATCTATAGATTACAGACATTGTATAGAAAAGTACTGTGAAAATCCCTGACCTGTTCTGTTCTGTTCTAATTACCAGTGCATGCAGCTCCCAGTCACCTACCCCCTGCTTGCTCAATCAATCACAACCCTCTCATGTGGACCCCCTTAGGGTTATGAGCCCTTAAAAAGGACAGGAATTGCTCACTCAAGGAGCTCGACTGTTGGAGAAGCAAGTCTTGCTGAAGCTCCCGGCCAAATAAAGCCCTTCCTTCTTTAACTCGATGTCTGAGGAGTTTTCTCTGCAGCTTGTCTGCTACAATAGAAAAGCTCGTTTTTATATTTTTATAAAATAATATTGATACTAAAATCTGATAAAACATGAAAAGAAAAAATACAGTCAGAGGTACATATGCATTATAGTTACATTGAGATAAATTATATATTTCACAATTTAAACATTTAAAGACTAAAAAAACAAAGGAATAAATTTTCAGGTTAAAAGAATCTATCAAATACTCATTTCATGTTAGAGAAGAGGTAATAATAGGATAAGCAAATAGTTGTTAGAGCCAATTAAATGGGATGACCAACACAGAACTGTTTCGTAGATATTGAATTGAGGTTTAAGATCATCATGGCAGACAAGAGGCAAGACTAGATTGCAGCTCTGGACAGAGCAGTGTGTGGGGGCCTGCATTGTGAATTTTAGCTCCAGATCAACCGCAAGAACAAACCAGCAATCCCAAGAGGACCCACACACCCTCTGAAGGAGGCGGACTGCTCCTGCAGGACCTGGGACACCCCCCCCAAACTATGAGTGCCCCAACCGTGGAAGTGGGCACACTTCCCACTGGAGAAGTCGAAGGTCTTTACCTGCAGAAGTTTCTGACTTTACCTGGAGCTGAGTCAATTTGGAGAGCTGAGCAAAATACAGGGATAGAGGAAGCAGCAGATAGGCCCTGTGGGGGGAGCTCACTGGGTCCCCTAGCAGGCCAGTCCTGCCTGGCACCACAGGGATCCAATGGGAGAGGAGCAGAGGGTAAAACTACGCAGGAACAAGTAAATCTCTAGCTTAACTTCGTAAAAATTTGAACGGGGTGAGAAGCCTCCTGGCCAGAACTCAGGGGAAGGCAAAAATCCAGTGGGCAGACTCCACAGCAGGAGAAGAACCAAGCCCTTTTCTTTCACAGCTAGGAAGCAGGTAGCCTGGGGCAGGTTTTCAAGCCCATAATAGCTCTCCACCTGGAAATGAACTGGGGGCTATTGATGGGGGGTGGGGGTGGGGCGCAGTGAGAATGAGACCAGCCCTTCAGTTTGTGTGGGAGCTGGGTGAGGCCTGGAACTGCTGGCTTTCCCTACAACCTGCCTGACTCAGCAGAGGCAGCCATAATCCTCCTAGGTACACAACTCCAGTGACCTGGGAATCTCATCCCTATTCTTCACAGCAGCTGCAGGAAGACCTGCCCAAGGAAAGTCTGACCTCAAAATTAGCCCCACCCCCACCTGATGATGGTCCTTTCCTACCCACCCTGGTAGCGGAAGACAAACGGCATATAATCTTGGGAGTTCTATGGCCCCACCCACCACCAGTTCCTCCCCATGCTACTGCAGCTGATGTTCTCTGGAAAGTGCCACCTCCTGGCAGGAGGCCAACCAGCACAAAAATAGAGCATTAAACCACCAAAGCTAAGAACCCTCAGGGAGTCCATTGCACCCCTTCCACCTGCCATCTCTACCAGAACAGGCACTGATATCCATGGCCGAGAGACCCATAGATGGTTCACATCACAAGATTCTATGCAGACAATCCCCAATACCAGCCCGGACCAGGTATACTCACTGGGTGGGTGGCTAGACTCATAAGAGAGACAACAATCCCTGCAGTTCAGCTCACAGGATGCCACATCTATAGGAAAAGAGGGAGAGTGCTACATCAAGGGAACACCACTTGGGACAAAAGAATCTGAACAACAGCCTTCAGCCCTAGACCTTCTCTCTGACAGAGCCTACCCAAATGAGAAGGAACCAGAAAACCAACTCTGGTAATATGACAAAACAAGGCTCTTCAACACCCCAAAAAAATCATACCAGTTCACCAACAATGGATCCAAACCAAGAAGAAATCCCTGATTTACCTGAAAAAGAATCCAGGAGGTTAGTTATTAAGCTAATCAGAGAAGGACCACAGAAAGGTGAAGCCCAATGCAAGGAAATCCAAAAAATGATACAAGAAGTGAAGGGAGAAATATTCAAGGAAATAGGTCACTTAAAGAAAAAACAATAAAAAATTCAGGAAACCTTGGACACACTTTTAGAAATGCAAAATGCTCTGGAAAGTCTCAGCAGTAGAATTGAACAAGTAGAAGAAAGAAATTCAGAGCTCAAAGACGAGGTCTTCGAATTAACCCAATCCAACCAAGACAAAGAAAAAAAATAAGAAAACATGGACAAAGCCTCCAAGAAGTCTGGGATTATGTTAAATGACCAAATCTAAGAATAATCGGTGTTACTGTGGAAGAAGAGAATTCTAAAAGTTTGGAAAACACATTTGGGGGAATAATCAAGGAAAACTTCCTCAGCCTTGCTAGAGACCTAGACATCCAAATACAAGAAGCACAAAGAACACCTGGGAAATTGATCACAAAAAGATCTTCACCTAGGCATATTTTCATCAGGTTATCCAAAGCTAAGATGAAGGAAGGAATCTTAAGAGCTGTGAGACAGAAGAACCAGGTAACCTATAAAGGAAAACCTATCAGATTAACAGCAGATTTATCAGCAGAAACTCTACAAGCTATTAGGGATTGGGGCCCTATCTTTAGCCTCCTCAAACAAAACAATTATCAGCCAAGAATTTTTTATCCAGTGAAAGAAACTAAGCATCATGTGTGAAGGAAAGATACAGTCTTTTTCAGACAAACAAATGCTGAAAAAATTCACCATTCCCAAGCCACCACTACAAGAACTGCTAAAAGGAGCTCTAAATCTTGAAACAAATCCTGGAAACACATGAAAACAGAACCTCTTTAAAGCATAAATCACACAGGAACTATAAAACAAAAATACAAGTTAAAAAGCAAGAACAAAAAAAAAAGTACGCAGGCAACAAAGAGCATGATGAATGCAATGGTACCTCACATTTCAATACCAATATTGAATGTAAATGGCCTAAATGCTCCACTTAAAAGACGCAGAACCACAGAATGGATAAGAACTCACCAACCAACCATCTGCTGCCTTCAGGAGACTCACCTAACACATAAGGACTCACATAAACTTAAAGTAAAGGGGTGGAAAAAGGCATTTCATGCAAATAGACACCAAAAGTGAGCAGGGGTGGCTATTCTTATATCAGACAAAACAAACTTTAAAGTAACAGCAGTTAAAAGAGACAAAGAGGGATGTTATATAATGGTAAAAAGGCCTTCTCCAACAGGAAAACATCATAATTCTAAACATATATGTACCTAAAACTGGAGCTCCCAAGTTTATAAAACAATTACTAATAGACTTAAGAAATGAGATAGACAGCAATGCAATAATAATGGACTTCAATGCTCCACTGACAGCACTGGACAGGTCATCAAGACAGAAAGTCAACAAATAAATAATGGATTTAAACTATGCCTTGGAACAAATGGACTTAACAGATATATACACAACATTTCATCCAGCAACTGCAGAATGCAAATTTTATTCAACAGCACATGGAACTTTCTCCAAGATAACCATATGATAGGTCATAAAACGAGCCTCAATGAATTTAAGAAAATTGAAATTATATCAAGCATTCTCTCAGACCACACTGGAATAAAACTGGAAATCAACTCCAAAAGGAACCTTCAAAATCATGCAAATACATGGAAATTAAATAACCTGCTCCTGAATGAGCATTGGGTCACAAACAAAATCAAAATGAAAATTTAAAAATTCGGCTGGGTGTGGTGACTCATGCCTGTCATCCCAGCACTTTGGGAGGCCAAAGTGAGTGGATCACCTGAGGTCAGGAGTTCAAGACCAGCCTGTCCAACATAGTGAAACCCCATCTCTACTAAAAATACAAAAATTAGCTGGGCATGGTGGTGTGCGCCTGTAATCCCAGCTACTTGGGAGGCTAAGGCATGAGAATCACTTGAACCTGGGAGGCAGAGGTTGCAGTGAGCTGAGATTGCGCCACTGCACTCCAGCCTGGGTGAAACAGCAAAATTCCGTCTCAAAAAAAAAAAAAAAAAAAAAAAAAAAAAAAAAAAAATTCTTCAAACTGAACGACAATAATGACCCAGCCTGTCAAAACCTCTAGGATACAGCAAAGGAGGTTCTAAGAGGAAAGTTCATAGCCCTAAATGCCTACATCAAAAACTCTGAAAGAGTACAAACTGACACTCTAAGGTTAACACCCAAGGAACTAGAGAAACAAGAACAAACCAAACCCAAACCTATCAGAAGAAAGGAAATAACCAAGGTCAGAGCAGAACTAAATGAATTGAAACAGAATTAAAAACAAAAATCACATGATCATTTCAATAGATGCAGAAGAAGCATTTGACGAAATCCAGCATCTCTTCACGATTAATACTCTCAGCAAAATCAGCGTACAAGGGACATACCTTAATGTACTAAAAGCCATCTATGACAAACCCACAGCCGACATAATACTGAATGGGGAAAAGTTGAAAGCATTCCCTCTGAGAATTAGAACAAGACAAAGGTGCCAACTGTCACCACTCTTCTTCAACATAGTACTGGAATTCCTAGCCAGAGCAATCAGACAAGAGAAAGAAATAAAGGGCAACCAAATTGGCAAAGAGGAAGTCAAACTGTCACTGTTTGCTGAAGATTTGATCGTTTACCTTGAAAACCATAAGGATTCCTTCAGAAAGCTCCTACAAATGATAAAAGAATTCAGCAAAGTTTCCAGATACAAGATTAATGTACACAAATCAGTAGCTCTTCTATACACAAACAGTGACCAAGCAGAGATCAAATCAAGAACTCAACCCCTTTTATAATAACTGCAAAAAAATAAAATAAAATACTTAGGAATATACCTAACCAAGGAGTCAAAAGACCTTTACAAGGAAAGCTACAAAACACTGCTAAAAGAAATCATAGATGACACAAACAAATAGAAACATATCTCATGCTCATGGATAGGTAGAATCAATATTGTGAAAATGGCCCTACTGCCAAAAGCAATCTAAAAATTCAATGCAATTCCCTTCAAAATACCACCATCATTCTTCACAGAATTAGAAAAAAACAATTCTAAAGTTCATATGGAACCAAAAAAGAGCCCACATAGCCAAAGCAAGACTAAGCAAAAAGAACAAATCTGGAGGCATCACACTACCTGATTTCAAACTATACTATACTATAAGGCCATAGTCACCAAAACAGCATAGTAGTTGTACAAAAATAGGCACATGGGCCAATGAAACAAAAATAGAGAACCAAGAAATAAACCTGAATACTTACAGCCCACTGATCTTCGAGAAAGTAAACAAAAATATAAAGTGGGGAAAGGACACCCTTTTCAACAAATGGTGCTGGGGCAATTGGCTAGCCACATGCAGGAGCATGAAACTGGATCCTCATCTCTCACCTTATACAAAAATCAACTCAAGATGGATTAAGGACTTAAAACTAAGACCTGAAACTATAAAAATTCTAGAAGATAACATTGGAAAAACCCTTCTACACATTGGCTTAGGCAAGGATTTCATGACCAAGAACCCAAAAGCAAATGCAATAAAAGCAAAGATAAATAGCTGGGACCTAATAAAACTAAAGAGCTTTTGCACGGCAAAAGGAACAGTCAGCAGAGTAAACAGACAACCCACAGAGTGGGAGAAAATTTTCACAATCTATACATCTGACAAAGGACTAATATCTAGAATCTACAACAAACTCAAACAAATCAGTAGGAAAAAAACAAACAATCCCATCAGAAAGTGGGCTAAGGACATGAATAGACAATTCCCAAAAGAAGATATACAAATGGCCAACAAACATATGAAAAAATGCTCAGCATCACTAATGATCAGGGAAATGCAAATCAAAACCACAATGCAATACCACATCTCTCCTGCAAGAATGGCCATAATCAAAAAATAAAAAAACAGTAGATTTTGGGATGGATGCGGTGAAGAGGGAACACTTCTACACTACTGGTGGGAATGTAAACTAGTACAGCCGCTATGGAATACAGTGTGGAGATTCCTTAAAGAACTAAAAGTAGAATTACCATTCAATCCAACAATCCCACTACTGGGTATCTACCCAGAAGAAAAGAAGTATTATTCAAAAACACACTTGCACGTGCATGTTTATAGCAGCACAATTCACAATTGCAAAATCATGGAACCAACCCAAATGCCCATCAATCAATGAGTGGTTAAAGAAATAGTGATATATATATATATATATATGTATATGTCACATATATATATCACATATATATCACATATATATCACATATATGTCACATATATATGTCACATATATATGTCACATATATATCACATATATATGTCACATATATATGTCACATATATATCACATATATATGTGACATATATATCACATATATATGTCACATATATATCACATATATATATCACATATATGTCACATATATATGTCACATATATATCACATATATATCACATATATGTCACATATATATCGCATATATATGTCACATATATATCACATATATATCACATATATATATCATATATATGATGGAATATTATGCAGCCATAAAAAGGAATGAATTGCCAGCATTTGCAGTGACCTCGACGAGATTGGAGACTATTATTCTAAGTGAAGTAACTCAGGAATGGAAAACCAAATATTGTATGTTCTCACTGATATGTGGGAGCTAAGCTATGAGGACACAAAGGCATAAGAATGATATGATGGACTTTGGGGACTTGAGGGGAAGAATGGGAGGGGGGCAAGGGATAAAAGACTACAAATATGATGCAGTGTATACTGCTGGAGTAATAGGGGCAACAAAAGCTCACAAATCACCACTAAAGAATTTACTCATATAACCGAATACCACCTGTACCCCAATAACTTATGAAAAATTTTTTAAAAAGAAAAAAAACTGCTTCATAGATATTCAGTTGAAATCTAAATTAATATGATAAAGTCTCTCAGAGTACCAAAATAACCCTAATACCACAGCCAGCCTGATGTGTAGACGTTAATATGTGCAATATGGAAGAGATTTATAAGTTCACATCTTATTATTTTAGTTACATTCACACAAATAGGCATCATCTCTGAACATAAAAATATGGCTGAGCATGGTGGCTCATGCCTATAATTCCTGTGCAGGCTGAGGCAGGAGGATCGTTTGAGACCAGGAGTTCAAGATCAGCCTGGGCAATATAGCAAGACTCTGTCTCTACAATAAATAAATAAATTAATTTTAAAAAATTAATTAGCCAAATGTGGTGGCTCTACAGCTGGAGTGCCTTACCCTAAAAAATAAACGAAAAAAAAAAATGCGGTGGCACATGCCCATATTACTGGCTACTCAGAAAGATGAGGTGGGAGGATCCCTTGAGGCCAGGAGTTCAAGACTACAGTGAGCTATAATTGTGCCACTGGTCCCCAGCCTGGATGATGGAGCAAGAGCCTGTTCTAAGAAAATAAAAATATAAATACATAAGTAAATAAAAAATAATCATATAAAACTAATTATGTGTGTCTTCATCATGTCTATTCAACAAATTCTAGGAAATTCTAGTCAGAGCTAATGAGGCAAGCATGAGAAAGAAAATGTATCCCAATTGGAAAAGAAGAAGTAAAATTGTTAACAAAAATGGGTTCCAATCCAGACCCCAAAAGAGGGGTCTTGGTTCTTGCACAAGAAAGAATTTGAGGCAAGTCCATAGAGTGAAGTGAAAGCAAGTTTATTAAGAAAGTACAGAAACAAAAGAATGTCTTCTCCATAGACAGAGCAGCAGCATGGGCTGCTCAACTGAGTATAGTTATAGTTATTTCTTGGTTATATGCTAAACAAGGGGTGAATTATTCATGAGTTTTCCAGAAAGGGGTGGAGGATTCTTGGAACTGAGGGTTCTTCCCCTTTTTAAACCATATTGGTAGCTTCCAGACATTGCCATGGCATTTGTGAATTGTCATGGTGCTGGTGGGAGTGTCTTTTAGCATGCTAATGCATTATAATTAGTGTATAATGAGCAGTGAGGATGACCAGAGGTCACTTTCATTGCCATCTTGGTTTTGGTGGCAGCTTTTCTGCCATATTCTGTTTTATCAGCAGGGTATTTGTGGTCTGTATCTTGTGATACCAGTCCTGCCAACCTATCTCATCCTGTAGCTAAGAATGCTTAACCTCCTAGGAATGCAGCCTAGCAGCTCAGATCCTCATTTTACCCACCCCCTATTCAAGATGAAGTCACTCTGGTTCAAACGCCTCTGCCATATCCCACCCCAGCTTTTAAAAGGGGACCCTTAAAGGGTTGTAGAGGGATAAAGATCCATCTTCTGTGAATTCTTCAGGTTGAATAGGGGCAATGATATTCCTGCCTAACTACCAGGGTCCCTTGTATTCAGGGTAGAGAGGAGCTCAGTCAGCATCAACATGGTGAGAGCCATTCATAACTCTGAGTCTTTACAAAAGGTGACATCTGGAAGATGAATATATGTTCCATTTAAGAAAATTTTAGCAAGCTTATCCTGCATTCTTACACAAAGAGTACAACAGCAATATATTCCACAACAGTAAAGCAAAATAAGTAAAATTATCCCAAAGTAAACTAAATAAGGCTTTCCATGAGCTGGACAATTGATGGAACCATGCTGATACAGAGTGACTAGCTGACTCTAGTATGTGCCCAGAATTAGATTATTGATCCGATTTTTACATTTCCCATCCCTCTTATTTCCTCTGAGCTGCAGCCAGAGATCACTGGTTGGTTCACAGGAATAAGCAGGGTCAGTCTAAATTTCAGAAAATCTCAAAATGGATGAGACTAGAATCTAATAAAAAATGTACCATAGTTTTTGAAACATAATTTTTCTCTCTCCAGTCCCCACTTTTATTAAAAACAAAGTGCAATAGGATGGATTTGTTTGCAAAATAAGTTTTAGTTTTATTATACTTAGCCTGATTATTTGTACAAGGTGCAGCAAGAATAATTACTTTCCACATAGGATCTTTTTGAATTGCCTTTGAAGGAACTTTGTTCCGTAAGGAATCTCATATTGGACATTTGAAGCCTTGAGCCCAGCGATGAGTTTCTCTCTGCCTGCAAATACCTATATGAATTGGATAAATTCCTCTCCTCTTGAGGTCTCAAGATAACCTGGGGCTCCTGGGCCTGTCAGAAAAAATTCTTTACTTACCACAGGTCAAGAATCCTGTACAGGGAATGCATAGGCAAGGTATGAAGCTAGTTTTTCCAAGGGGCTTTTATTAGCTCTATAAGTCAACTTTGATTCCTTAGAGCAGGATGTTTATATGTGAAAGCATGCCATTCCAGTCAAAGCCTTGGTAAGAAAAAAAACAAAAACAATTTCTCCAATTGTGTCCTATTACAAAAGAAAACAGATTCTTATTGTACTTTTGCAAATAACTATATCATCATACAAATACTCACAAATAGTTTCCAAATTCTGGAAAAATCAGGTGGAGAGAGATATGCTCCAAAATTTATTTATAGGAGTATACTTTACTTAACTGCTAAAAGCCATAAATAGCTAAAAAGAAAAAAGTTTTCTTGACTCTGAAAACCAAAACAGAAAGGATCAGCAATGTTTTAAACAAAAAGTCATAAAAAGATTACTTTGGCCTTTTATTAGTTTAGCCTATGCAGTTAATTCCTGTTTTGCTCGACATTTGTGAACACATTCGTTTTCCAAGAGAATCTTGGAAGTTCTTTCCTCTTTATTTTAATAGCACACTTTCCAAAATTATCACAGACTATGTTTAGGAGTACTCATGAGAGTGGTATCGCTAATTATAAACTGTCTTTTGAAGGAGGATCAAAATAAGAAAACAATTGTCTATGGATGACAAGAAGTCTTAGGGCAGTCACAATCAAAGACAAAATTGATAAGAAAATTTGGTTACTTCTGTGGTACACAACAATTTAACATAACAATTATATTTATTCCTCAAAACATATACCAAGTCATATCAGAATTACAGGGGTTTCTCATAATTTTGGAACACATACCAATAACATACTTATACAAATGCAACCTAAAGAAAACCAAACACCATTTCATATTTGACAATGCTACCTGTATGATTTTAATATACCAAAATAATCCAAATATGTCATTTTTGGACTTTAGGGGACTTAGTATCTATAAGGTTAATTAGGTAAGAAAAAGACATCACTTAGAATTTGATTTTGGAAAGTTTGTCAAGTATCAAAGTTTTAAAATACTTGTAAAATAAAATTTCATGTCACCATTAGTCATTTAATTAGCCAAAATGATAACTGAAAAATTTTTTAAAGGCAAAAACCTGTATTCATTGATAAAAGGAAGACTTCATTTTCCAGACAATCTGTCTCTTTTCTCCCTTCTTTTTCTTGTAGTTTATTCAAAAGGCAAACAGAAATCTTTCATTATCTTTTAATATTACATGAAAATTTTGTTTGAGAGAAAGCCAAATTTCACCTTTGCATTAGAGTACTATCAATGTCAAATCCAAATCTTAATAAAACCTTATAGACAAAGTATTCAACCTTAATCAGTTTGACCATGAGGTAAGAGTCTCATAAACCTTTTAACAATTTTCTGTTAAACAGCAGATCTGGCCAGGCGTGGTGGCTCTATATTTGTAATCTCAGCACTTTGGGAGTCTGAATGGGCAGGTTGCTTGTGCCCAGAAGTTCAAGGCCAGCCTAGGCAAAATGACAAAGCCCTGTCTCTATGAAAAATACAAAAAATTAGCTGAGGCCAGGCACAGTGGCCATGCCTATAATCCAACTACTTTGAGAGGTCAAGGTGAGTGGATTCCTTAGCCTAGGAGTTGGAGACCTGCATGGGAAACATGACAAAACCCCATCTCTACAAAAAAAATGCAAAAATTAGCCAGGCATGGAGGTGCACACCTGTAGTTCCAGCTACTAGGGAGGCTAAGGAGGGAGAATCACTTTAGCCCAAGAGGTGGCGGCTGCAGAGGGCTGTGATCGTGCCACTGCACTCTGGTCTGGGTGATACAGTGAGACCCTGCCTCCAGAAAAAAAAAAAAAAAAGAGAGAAAGAGTAGATCAATATTCTAAGAAAACCCTGTTGTGCTTTTATTTTGATGTTCAATTTATTTAAAAATTGAATAATATTCCTTTAACTTTAGTCAATAGGTTCACATACAGAATTTTTTTACAAGATTAACTTCTCACAAACCTTCCACATCTTGCTCAACTGTTTAGTTCTAGACTAACTTTCTAAACTAGGCACACACAAAAATTCCATATTCCCATGCCTTTTTAAAATCTTGTACTAAAACACATTTTACTTTCCTTACACACCTTGCATGTAAAACTATTTTGCTAGTAGTCTCAATTATATATGTTTCAGTATTAACTCTTAGCAACTTCTATGTTGGTAAAAACTCTGGCAAGTAAGTGATTTTATTTATGTACCAGATGTGGAGCCTAGGACACCAGACAGAAGTACAGATAAGGTCTGAGTCTTTCCAGCATAGTTAGGGGGCATAGCTAACTCCACATGTCCCCTGCCTTATCTGGAATTTAGTGGCTCCAAGGCAAGTAATTTGAACAATTATCAAATTAAAGAAGTAGTTTATGACATTAAGGCATTTATCAAATCTAATATGTGACCTAATTTAGACCAACTGTCTAAATTTTGAAAACATTTTTACTTTACTAATAATCTTTAAAAGTGTCTTTATTTCCTAAAGATTACTAAAGTCACATGAACTAAAAGGCATTAAAGTCTTTATTTTTCTGAGAAAATCTTTGATACATAAGTGCTTATTTTTAAGCCAATTAATCAGAGCTCTCATATATAAACATCACACACATAATACATAAAAATACAGAAACAGAAGAGAATCCAGTACTTGTAAAATTTTTCATTTCCCAGTTTTTACATTTTTTAATTAGATTACTGGCTTCTGGGTAGAGCCCTCCGACAAACAGGGCCAGGAAGCATGCAGTTTCTATGGCCAAATAAGAAGGCACAGCTGGAAGGCAAAAACAGATTGCTGAAAATTGAGGGTTCAATTCTTACACCAGGTCCTGGATACCAAAAAGAGGGACTTCAGCTCATCCTCCATGGGGATCTTACTTTTCAGTGGCAGTGGGTAGGGATGTATCCATACCTTCTATGTGGCGAAGAGCATGCTTCCCTGATCCAAACAGGCAAAAAGCCGAGTATCCCCCCATAATTGCCACTAGCCATCCCTAAAAGTATATTTCCTACCTAGTTATTACCATTAAAGCTCTCTCATAATGCACAGTAATTTCTGATACCCATCAACATCAAAGATGTCAGGTAACTCAATGCAAAACAGAACAGAACCTTAGATTTTGAGAGGGATCCATCCACTTTCACTTCTTGGGGTTCCATGAGGAAATCAGAAGTTTTTCCAAAATGGAGTCTGTGGCTCCTCCTCTGCTTTTCCCCAGGAGTCCCAGGCTGTTAGAAATTATCTTAGGTCCTCTCATTTGGGTGTCAACAGTGGCAAGAAGATAAAATGGAGAAAAACAATTCAGTCAACTGAGAAGAAAATAGCTTTTTTTTTCAGAAAAACAAGATTCAACTGGGGCGTGGGGGTGGTGGGGAGCCATAAAGACCTTTTAAATATATGTATAGCTTGGATAATCTGCTTTAACTTAAGCTGACGTTTAACCAGATCTCTTATTACTAGACTCTAGTAAGGACCTACAGCCAGTATTTCTGGCTTTTGAACTTTATTAAAGGTAGCTTCCTAGGTGAAACAATAAGCCTTAACTAAGTTTATGACTTAACCATGAGTGTATGAGGTATTTTCAAAGAGGTGGTAAGCAGTTTTTACAAGATCTAGAGTCTTCAAAGGTAGCTCAGAGAAAGGAAAATTCAAGCTGGAAAGTCAGAAGTTGTTCATGAAGGTGAGGAGAATCAACAAATGGCAAAGATCACACAAATATCAAACAGAAAGTACATTCTCTAAGCTGGGAATTGAACCCAAGTCACCATTGTGAAATGGCAAAGCCTTAGCTTCTGAGCTACAGCACTGGACAGTGTTTATTGCCCTTCCTAGAAGGAACCTAGAGCAGCCAATTTTGAGCTTACAAAGGTTTTTAAGAGCCCAAGATACTAGGTTCATGCAAAAGTAATTGTGGTTTTGGCCAAAATTTTCAGTGGCCTATAATTTTTAGGCCAACTGTTGACATGAACCCCAAAATTTTCACCCTCTAGATAGTGGAGACCAAGAGAAAGTATCCCCATATACTCACAAGGTCAAGCTCCCAAGGACATAAAACAAGACGAGAAGGAAACTTTACCTACTTTTTGTTTCAGGAATCTGCAACAAACTTTGTAACTGGTCAGTTTGCTGGTACAGCTTAAATAGAAGGCTTATAGGTAACCCCTTTTATAACAGAACTACACACAAAGACAAATTCATAGTGCAAAGTACACCAGATTTGCTACAGCCTAAGACTAGTCTCACAAATCCTTTTTCCCATTAATCAAAATTTTATAGAGGAGATAAATAGTGATTTTTACCATTCATTCAACCTGTTTGCACAGAAAGAGTGAGAGAGAAAACGAGAGAGAGAGAGAGATATTGAGAGGCCAGAAGTCTGACTGGTAAAAAATTCTTATGCTTTTGCCAGCATGCCAGGTTTCTGGGTTCCCTTTCCCTGAGTGGTCCTAGCGACCCTGCTCGCTGCACCATGGCCATGTGGGCCAAGCCACATCACTAAGGAAAAACATATTTTTCTGTTTCATGGAACCATAGGCAAAAGCCTCTCAATTTTGCAAGATGCTGCCCAATGGGCTGCATGGGGGAACCAAATTAACATTTTTTTAATCCCAGCCAGAACAAAATACATATGACAAAACATAGACACTTAGCCACTCCACTCAGCACCCAATATAGACCTGGCAAGGTTCAAACTTGCCCCCATTGGTACCCCATTATCTTTAATCCACTCAAAGTGGGGTGGAATGATCTCCACCGACCGGGAGTTTCAACTTTTGGTATCTGAGAAAGATGGAAGAGTGGACAGTCACCCTGAGTAACAGAAAAGATAGGAAAGTGAAAGGAGAGAAAGGGAGAAAAGCATTGCCTGCAGCAGGGTAGGGAAGGCGAGCAGCCCAAAGGGGTCAGAGAAAACCCACCCCTCATAGCGACACTGAATCAAATGTTCAGGCAGCTCCTTGTCAGTCACAAAGGGATCTTTTCCAGTGGTCACATCAGCTCTCGTTTTCCCCTCTGGGGAGAAAAAAGATCCTCATGTCCCATGATCAAGTATATGCCTAATCCTGTCACCTACAGCCACTAGCAAAGAGCATAAGGCAGATTAATTCAAAGAGAAAAGCAATTAGCATCCCATAGTGACAAATTTATTTTATTTTATTATTTTATTTTATTGAGACTGAGTTTTGCTCTTGTTGCCCAGTCTGGAGTGCAATGGTGCAATCTCGGCTCACTGCAACCTCCGCCTCCTGGGTTCAAGTGATTCTCCTGCCTCAGTCTTCCAAGTACCTGGGATTATAGGTATGTGCCACAGGCCCAGCTAATTTTGTAATTTTAGTAGAGACAGGGTTTCATCATGTTGGTCAGGCTGGTCTCGAACTCCTGACCCTAGGTGATCCACCTGCCTTGGCCTCCCAAAGTGCTGGGATTACAGGCATGAGTCACCACAACCAGCCCCAAATTTATTTTGAACCAAGAAGGACTTTACTGAGGGGAGTGGCGGGGGGGCCTCTAACCCATTAAATCTTAGGAAGGACTCTAACTTCCTAAGTTGGCAGTCTAACCTAATTTCAGACAAGCATCTTTGCCCTTTACTAAGAGGGACTTTAAACCCCCTGTTTCTTAGGAGGGACTCTAACCCTTTTAAGTTGGGCCTCTAACCTAATTCCATTCTCTACCCAGGATTAAAATACCCAACCATTTAGACCAGGTAAGGTGGCTCACACCTGTAATCACAACAATTTAGGAGGCTGACACAGGTGGATCACCTGAGGGCAGGAGTTTGAGATCAGCCTGGCCAACATGAAGAAACCCTGTCTCTACTAAAAATGCAAAAATTAGCCAGACGTGGTGGCACTTGCCTGTAATCCCAGCTACTCGGAAGGCTGAGGCAGGAGAATCACTTGAACCCAGAAGGTGGAGGTTGCAGTGAGCCAAGATTGCACCATTTCACTCCAGCCTGGGCAACAGAGTGAAACTCCATCTCAAAAAAAATCAAACAAAATATCCCATCACTTAATCCAAAGTTGGCCAATTGGGGCTGCAGTCTATTTCCCTTTTTTTTTTTTTTTTTAAGACAGGGTCTCACTCTGTCACCCAGGCTGGAGTGTAGTGGCACAATCTCAGCTCACTGCAATATCCACTTCCCAGTCTCAAGTGATCCTCCCACCTCAGCCTCCTGAGTGGCTGGGACTGCAGGCACGCCCCACCACACCTGGCTATTTTCTTGTATTTGTGATAGAGATGTGGTTTTTGACATGTTGCCCAGACTGTTCTCAAACTCGTGAGCTCAGGCGATACACCCATCTTGGCCTCCCAAAATGCTGGGATTACAGACATGAGCCACTGTGCCCAGCACTGCAGTCTATTTCCTTTGGGTTGGGGGTTTCTCCAGGATCATCCTTTTGCAGTTCACTAGAAAGATGTTACCAGAAAGGAGTCCCAATCCAGACCCCAAGAGAGGGGTCTTGGATCTTGTACAAGAAAGAATTTGGGGCAAGTCCATAGAGCAAAGTGAAAGCAAGTTTATTAAGAAAGTAAGGAAACAAAAGAATGGCTACTCCATAGACAGAGCAGTGGCATGGGCTGCTGAACTGAGTATACTTAACGATTATCTCTTGAATATATTCTAAACAAGGGTGGATTATTCATGAGTTTTCACAGAAAGGGGTGGGGAGTTCCCAGAACTGAGGGTTCTTCCCCATTTTAGACCATATAAGGTAGCTTCCAGACATCGCCATGGCATTTGTAAACCGTCATGGTGCTGGTGGGACAATTTTATCCTGGGTAAAGGATGGGATTTTAGCATACTAATGCATTATAATTAGTGTACAATAAACATGAGGACAACCAGAGGTCACTTTCATTGCCATCTTGGTTTTGGTGGGTTTGGGCTGGCTTCTTTACCATATCCTGTTTTACTGGCAGGGTCTTTATGACCTGTATCTTGTCACACCAGTCCTGCCAACCTCCTATATCATCCTGTGACTAAGAATGCCTAACCTCCAGGGAATGCAGCCCAGCAGCTCACATCCTCAATTTACCTGTCCCCTATTCAAAATGGAGTCACTCTGGTTCAAATGCCTCTGACAAAATTATCTTTGTTCACAGATAACATTATATTAAAAGTTACAAATCTGCAGATTACACACACACACACACACACACACTGTTATAGCTAATATACAAACCACACACACACACACACACACACACACACAAACTGTTACAGTTAATATACGAACAAACTTGGCAAAGTTGATGATATAAAATTAACACAGAAATCAGTTGTGGCTGGGTGTGGTGGCTCATGCCTGTAATCCCAGCTCTTTGGGAGGCCAAGGCAGGAGGATCACTTGAGGCCAGGAGTTTGAGACCAGCTTGAGCAACACAGCAAGACTGACTCCACCTTTACAAAAAATTTAAAAATTAGCCAGTTGTGGTGGCATGCACCTGTGGTCCCAGCTGTTTGGGAGGATAATGTGGGAGGATTACTTGAGTCCAGGAGGTCAAAACTGCAGTGAGCCATGATTGTGTATTGTGCCATCACACTCCAGCATGGGTGACAGAGCAAGACCCTGTCTCAAAAGAGAGAGAGAGAAAAAAAGAGAGAGTGAGAGAGAGAAAGAAAGAAAGAAAGAGAAAGAGAGAGAGAGGGAAGGAAGAAGGAAGGAAGGAAGAAAGGAAGGAAGGAAGAAACTAGATATTCCATTTACAATAGCATAAAAAAGGATACAATATTTAGGAATAGACTTTACCAAGGAGACAACAGACTCGTATGCTAAAAACTACAAAACACTGCTTGAAGAAATCAAAGATGTAAATAAATGAAAAGATATCCCATGTTTATGGATTGAAAGGCTTAATATTAAGATGGCAATACTATCCAAAGCAATCCACAGATTCAATGCAATCTCTATCAAAATCCAAATGGCTTGCATTTTGGTTTTGCAGAAATAGAAAAACCCATGTTAAAATTCAAGAGACACCAAATAGCCAAAACAATATGGGGGGAAATGTGGTGCGGGGGGGAAGAAGTGTTCGAGTATTAAAAACAAAGTTGGAAGACTCATACTTCCTCAGTTCCAAACTTACTACAAAACTACAGTAATCAAGTCAGTATAGTATTGACACAAGAACATAGAGACCAATGGAATAAAATAAACAGCCCAGAGCCAGGTGTGGTGGATCACGCCTATAATCCCAACACTTTGGGAGGCCGAGGCGGGTGAATTACCTGAGGTCGGGAGCTCGAAATCAGCCTGACCAACATGGAGAAACCCCATCTCTTCTAAAAATACAAAATTAGCCGGGTGTGGTGGCACATACCTGTAATCCCAGCTACTCAGGAGGCTAAGGCAAGAGAATCGCTTGAATCCAGGAGGCGGAGGTTGTGGTGAGCCGAGATCACACTATTGCACTCCAGCCTAGGCAACAAGAGCGAAACTCCATTTCAAAAAAAAAAAAAAAAAAAGGATAAACAGCCCAGAAATAAACCCTTGCATATATGCTCAGTCGAATGCCAAAATCATTCAGTGTGGAAAATATAGTGTTTTCAACAAATGGTGCTGGGAAAACTGGATATTCACCAGGAAAATAAAAAAACTGGATCTTTATTTTACATCATATACAAAAATTAGCTGAAATGAATTAAAGACCTAAATGTAACAGCTAAACTTAAAACCTCTCAGAAGAAAACATAGGGGAAAATCTTAATAAAATTGAATTTGGCAATTATTTCTTGGATATGACATCAGAAGCATAGGCCCAAAAAAGAGAGAGAGAGAAGAAGAAGGAGAAATAGCTAAATTGGATCTCATTACAATTAAAAACTTTTATTAATCAAGGGACATTATTGAAGTATAAAAATACAACCTACAAAGAGGAGGAAAATATGTGCAAATTATATATCTGATAAAAGATTAATATCCAGAATATATAAAGAACTCCAAAACCTCAACATCAACAACAAAACAATCCAATCCAAAAATGGACTAAGGGCTTGAATAGATATTTCTCCAAAGAAGATATGCAAATGGCCACTAAACACATGAAAACATGCTCAACATCACTAATCATTAGGGAAATGCAAATCAAAACCACAGTGAGATACCACTTCACCACTAGTCATAGGGTGGCTATTGTCAAAAAAAATTGAAAATAACAAGTGTTAGTAAAGGTGCATCGCTGATGGGAATGTAAAATGATGCAGTCTCTGTGGAAGTTTGCTGTGTGAGCACAAAAGTATCTGAGACAGGTCTCAATCAATTTAGAAAGTTAATTTTGCCAAGGTTAAGGATGCACCCATGAACAGCCTCAGGAGGTCCTGATGACATGTGTTCAAGGCGGTTGGGGTACAATTTGCTTTTATACATTTTAGGGAGACAAAATACAATCAATCAATACATGTAAGATTTACATTGATTTGATCTGGAAGGTCAGGACAACTAGAAGTTGGAATCGGGGGGGTCATATGTAGATTATTAATTTTTCTGATGGCAATTTGTTAAAAGAGTTATTATCAAGGGGCCTCAGAAATTTATTTTTGGTTTACAGGTGGTTCCTACAAAAACTTAAATGTGGAATTGCCATATGAGACAGCAGTCCCACTTCTAGGTATATACCCAAAAGAATTAAAAGCAGAGACTCAGACACGTTTGTACACCAATCACCCCAAACATTCATCAACAAAATGTGGTGTGTATCTGTGTGTGTGTGTGTGTGTGTGTGTGTGTGTGTGTGTGTGTGTGTGTGTGTTTCAGCCCCATCCCCATCCCTACCTCAGGAGAAGGGAGAGGAGCTACAGATTGAGTTTAATCACCAATGGCCAATGAGTCAACGAATCATGCCCCAATTATATTTGAGGGAAAATACTTGTAAGTGATAAATAAGTGAGAAATGTTGTAATAAATACAGGTGGCCAGGCACGGTGGCTCACAGTTGTAATCCCAGCACTTTGGGAGGCTAAGGGGGGCATATCACTTGAGCTTAAGGGCTAGAGACCAGCCTGGGTAATATGATGAAACCCCATCTCTATAAAAAATACAAAAATTAGCCTGGGGGTTCAGCACATGCCTGTAGTCTCAGCTACTCAGGAGGCTGAGGTGGGCAGATCACCTGAGCCTGGGGAGGTCGAGGCTGCAATGAGCCGTGGTCACACCACTGCACTCCAGCCTGGGCAAGTGAGATCCTGCCTCAAAAAAAAAAAAAAAGAAAGAAAGAAAGAAAAACTAAGGGTATGGACATAAAAGTGGAAACAACAACAGACACTGGGGACTACTACAGGGGAGAGGGAAAAAGGCTAAGGGCTGATATACTATCTGTTGGGTCCTAGGTACTAGGATGAGATCATTCATACCCTAAACCTCAGAGTCATGCAGTCACACATTATACCCATGTAACAAACCTGCACATGTACCCTCTGAATTTAAAAGTTGAAATTATTTTTAAAAGCCTAGGGGTGGGGGTGGGGGGGCACGATACTGAAATTGGAATGCTCTTTCTTATAGAATGCCGACTACTACCAGCCTGGCCAACATGAAAACCCCATCTCTATTAAACATACAAAAATTAGCCAGGCGTGGTGGCGCACACCTGTAATCCCAGCTACTTGGGAGGCTGACACATGAGAATTGCTTGAACCCAGGAAGCTGCAGTGAGCCGAGATCACACCACTGCCCGCAGCAGAGTGAGACCCTGTCTCAAGAAAAAAGAAAAAAAGAAAAAAAAGAATGCCAACTAGTAAATATAGGATATGAGAAAATCACACTCTTGAATCCCTAGTAATAATTTATTCACACAAGAATCAATTCAAAAGATGCTAAAACAAGTTAACTAGTTAAGGTTTGATGAGGAACAGCTACATGCAGTTATGTGCTACATAGTAACGTTTCAGTCAACAGTGGTCCCATAAGATTATAATACCTTATTTTTACTGTACCTTTTCTAAGTTTAGCTGTGTTTAGATACACAAAATACTATTGTGTTGCAATTGCCTACAGTATTCAGTAGTCACATGCTGTACAAGTTTGTAGGCTAGGAGCAACAGGCTATACCATACAGCCTATTTGTGTAGTAGGCTATACATTTAGCTTTGGGTAAGTATACTTTATGATGTTCACACAATGACAAAATCGCCTAACGATGCATTTCTAGAATATATTCCCATCATTAAGCAATGCATGACTGTAGACAGTCTCAAAGAATCTCAAAATAAGCTTCCTTATTACAAAGGGAAAAAAATAACAACTACAGGGAAGGAACCTGGTGAATGCCATCTCAGCCAAGTGATCAAAGTTATTGCCACTAATGACACAAACCAACATATGTGCCACCTGATGTGACGCCCTGGACAGAGCTGCAGCATCATTCATGTTGTATTTCTAAAATAATGCATAGTCTGAATCAACTTGTAATGAAATGTGAGGCAAAAACAAAATGAGGGCTTATCTGCAAAATAAATGGTCCCCCCTCTCCAAAAAGGTCACTATCATTGAAGACAAAGAAGGGCTGAAGAATCATTCCAGATTAAAGGTGACTAAAGAAATAGGAAAACTAAATGCAATGTGTGATCCTTCCTTGGATGAATCAGGAAGAAAGATTGATATAAATTATATTACTGAGACAACTGGTGAAATTTAAATACAGTCTATAGATAATAGTATTATATCAATCAAGATTTTCCTGATTTTTTTTATCATTGTCTTGTGGTTCTGTAAATGGATGATCTCACAGTCCAGGTAACAGTAAGGGGCATGGTATTTGCAATTTACTATCAGATGATCTAGGAGAAAAAGTATAGATACATATGTGGAGACAGCGAGGGCAACAGGAGTGTGAAAAGAATAAAACAAATGTGACATGTTACCTTGGTGAATCTGGGTGAAGAGTGTATGGGAGTACTCTGCACTATAATTGCAACTTTTCTGTAAGCTTCGAATTGTTTCAGAATGAAAGTTTTTAAAAATGAGCAAGAAAAACTTCCCATAAGTGCGCCATGTTTACACTTCTGGAGAGAGGCTCTTCATACTTGCATCAGGTTCTGACTGTGAACACTCCTCAAAAAAGGGTCAAGACACATGAATAGAAGTGATAAGAAGGGAAAGAAAAATTATGAAAAAAAACTGATACACCTTCTTCCCATTACTTATATTTCTTTTGTTTTAATTTTTTTTTTTTTTTTTTTTTTTGAGACAGGGTGTCATTCTGTTGCTGAGGCTGGAGTGCAGTGGCACAATCATGGCTCACTGCAGCCCTGACCTCTCCAGGCTCAACCTTCCACCTCAGCCTCCCAGGTAGCTGTAACTGCAGGTGTGCACTACCATACCCAGCCGATTTTTGTGCGTTTTCTTGTAGAGACAGGATTTCACCCAGGCTGGTCTTGAATTCCTGGGCTCAAGTGACCCAGTTGCCTCAGCCTCCCAAAGTGTTAGGATGACAGGTGTGAGCCACTGAACCCAGCTTAATTTAAAAACAAAAAAATTTTATTTGATAAGAGGTCTTGTTATGTTGTCCAGGTGGTCTCAAACTCCTGGCCTCAAGCAATCCTCCCAAAGTGCTGGGATTATAGGTGTGTGCCATCATGCCCAGCCATATTTCTATATTTAGTCATATTCTCTGACTCTTATAAATGGGAATTAAACTCAAATAGCAAAGATAAAGATCTGAAGCAATGATGTTAGTCTGAATATCAGGGTTTTAAAAAAAGGTTTTAATTAAAGCAGTAAAACTTAAATATTGTAAAAATAATAGCTTTTGCCACATTAGCAATAAATGCTGTTCTTTCTTTAGTCTTTATTAATAGAACCATGGGCTTGCTCTATCACTCAGGCTGTGCAGTGGCACAATTGCGACTCACTGCAGCCTCGAACTCCTGGGCTCAAGCAATTCTCCCGCCTCAGCCTTCCAAGTAGCTGGGACTACAGGTTCATGACACCACTCCTGGCTAACTTCAGTCTTTAAAACTCAATAGTTGACCCAAAACAAATTTCTCATTCATTTTATATCATTTATTCATTCATTCTGAAATATTTCATCAATTTTGAACCAAACACTGCTCACTGGTGGGGGGAGGAAACTGCAAGTAATCATTAATTGACTCTTCTCATTGACCACAAAATTAAAATATATTTATTACACTGGAAAGTGAAGTTTCTTCATTGTGGCTAGATCAAAGAATATGATTATAGGTGAGAAATGTGTAAAGAGTACAACAAAAAAATCAATTTAAAATGACTATTTAGGGTGGGCGCAGTGGCTCACACCTGTAATCCCAGCACTTCGGGAGGCTGAGGTGGGCGGATCACTTGAGGTCAGCAGTTCAAGACCAGCCTGGCCAACATGGTAAAACCCTGTCTCTACTAAAAACACAAAAATTAGCCAGGTGTAGTGGTACACTCATGTAATCCCAGCTACTCAGGAGGCTCCTTCAGAAGACAGAAGGAGCATTGCTTGAACCTGGGAGGCGGAGGTTGCAGTGAGCCAAGATGGTGCCACTGCACTCCAGCCTGGGAAACAGACACAGCGAGACTCCATCTCAGAAAAAAAAAAAAAAAGATTTTTAAAATGTCACATGTAATTTCTCAAGAAAATTAACTGCAACTCAGGTTTATTTTCACATTGTTTAATTTTATGTACATTTCACATATCATAAATACACACAATACAAAAAGCTATACAAAAACCCTACTAATTCAACATTTAAAAAAGGGAGAGGGAGATACTGCATTTGATTTCTGACACTTTTCTGTTTAAATAATACTTAAATTCAGTTTTCAAGAAGACAACAAATTGAAAATCATTAATTTTTCAGAGGGCTTTGTGTTCACATAAATTCATCATTCAGGCTGGGCATGGTGGCTCACACCTGTAATCCCAGCAAGTTGGGAGGCTGAGGCAGGTGGATCACCTGAGGTCAGGAGTTCAAGACCAGCCTGGCCAACATGGCAAAACCCCATCTCTAAATAAAAACAAAACAAAACATAAATAAATTCATCATTCAAGTATATTTTTATTGAAGCAATAAACCACTTCACTGGCTGTAGAGTCAAACTGGGTAAGCCTCAATATTGAGCAAAAGTAGAGAACTCTTGCTTTCCTCAGCCTAGAATCAGCTTCTAACACACGAAATGCAGAGCACAACAGTGATTTTTAAGCTGGCATTATTAAGACCACAGTATAGGGCTGACAATGCACAGCACACCCTATATTGTTTGCCTATAGACTCTTGTTAAAAATATCATACTAAAAATAATAATTAGAAATTTTATTTTTCCTAATTTTTTATTCAATTTAAAAAATAATACATCTTTTTCATTGTGCTTGGCAACTGGACATGACATAATTTAAACACACAATGGAGAAAATATATACATAACTGCTAAAGGATTTTGACATTGTTTAAATTAATTATTTTATTATTTTGGTTCAACAGTTATCAATCACAGTAAATATAAATAACAAAATAATATCATTCATCATACGATCATGTTTTTAAAAAGTGAATTGTTGAGGCACAAAAACATTACGTGACTTGCCCAAGGTCATGAAGGGAATGAGGGGCAGACAACAGCATGTTTTTTCTAACTTAAACAACTATACTAACCCCTAGCTTATACCATCTTTCAAAATCAGCTCAGGGCGACAGATACAGAAATTTAACGCATTATCCAGGAATGTTTGTTTAACCTAAACTGCTGTTATTAATAAACTTAAGAATCTATATGTTTAGCATAAATTGTTAGGAATTTACAAATAAGACATCTTTTTCTGAATTACTAGGTGTGTAATTTGTTAGTATTTGACACAATTGCAAAAACAAAATTGACTATTTTAAAGAAACGAATTCTGTGAAAGATGCTTATTAACATGATTTTTTTAAAAAATACTAATTATAGGACCTACAAAATTCAGAAGACAGTACCTTAGATACAAACATTTAATATAAATGTACTAAATCATCTTCTAGTTGACCCTTTGTTATCAATGAAAACGTTCTAACAAAGCACTCATAATGTTTCCTGGTATTCTTTGGTGCTTATCAATCAAAGCTTGAACAGCATTCTTCGTCTATTAAGAAAACAAAAGAAAAGCTATTGTTAGTAGATCTTAATATAGACTGATTTATCTCCCATTACCCCTCAGAATTAATGATTTCCTTCTCAGTACACCTGAAGCTTATATATTTCTCTTTTTTATAGAGATGGGGTTTCACTATGTTTCCCAGGCTGTTCTCGAACTCCTGGGGCTCAAGCAATTCTCCCACCTTGGCCTTCCAATGTGCTGGGATTACAGGCATGGGCCACTGTGCCTGGCTGCAGCATATTTCTTATACTTATTTTATTAAGCCTTCAATTATAGTTGTTGTCCACGTGTCTATTTTCTATATCAGACTGTAAGCTCCTTAAGATACATCTTAGAATTTCTCCAGCATTAAGCACAGCAACACCTTGCACATGATAAACACTAAAGGGGACTTAAAGAGGAAAAAAAATAGAAAAATTTCGAGTAGGCAAATGGAAGACTTAGTCCTTTCCAGCTATTAGTAAATTCTAATGTATATTTTCTTTTATCACCATACATACTGAACAATTATATCAGGGTCTCACTGTGTTGCTCAGGCTGGTCTCGAACTCCTGGACTCAAGGGATCCTCCTGCCTTGGCCTCCCAAAGTGCTGGGATTACAGGCATGAGTCATCATGAACTATGTATTTACATACATATATACTTCCTTTTCTAGACTTTAACCTTTAAAGAAAATAAACACTAGGCCAAAGATGTATTATAAAAATACGCCCCTTTGGCTGGGCGTGGTGGCTCACACCTGTAATCCCAGCACTTTGGGAGGCTGAGGTGGGTGGATCACCTGAGATCAAGAGTTCGAGAGCAGCCTGACCAACATGGTGAAACCCCGTCTCTACTAAAAATACAAAATTAGCAGGTGTGGTGGCACATGCCTGTAATCCCAGCTACTTGGGAGGCTGAGGCAGGAGAATCGCTTGAACACAGGAGGCGGAGGTTGCAGTGAGCCAAGATCGCGCCATTGCACTGTAGCCTGGGCAACAAGAGTGAAACTCTGTCTCAAAACAAAACAAAACAAAAAACACCCCTCTAAACCACAGTTTTCATACCTGTAAAATGAGAACTACTTCATACAGTTATAAGGATTAAATGAAACTGAAGGGACATCTTCAGGTACTTAACACAGTGACTGCCACAGAGGTTGTGTTCCGTGATGTGTATTAAGTGTATCTCTAGAATTTTATTTATTCATTCGAAAAATATTAGATGCTTTGGAAATTATAATATTAGTGAAACAAATCTCTAATCTCAAGGAGCTCATAACTTAAAACGAAGAATCAAGTACAAAGTAACTAAAATGTGAGATCATTGGTGATGCATACCATCTGAAGTGTGAAAAGAAAGTGTTCAGAAGTTCAGACCTGAGAGCCCACTGGGTAGGCAGTGAGCAGGGGAGGACACATGAACAGGGTATTGTTTGGTGCGGGTCTCCAGGGACCCATAATATTCCAATAATGGTAAAGGAAGGAGCATGAGAAGAAAAGAGTCCAGGAAAACCACTGTGTAAGGAATGGTGAGTTAGCCAGTTTTACTGGAGTTTCAGGTATTCAAAAGCTGGGTAAGGTAAGGCTTTAAAATTAATTTCAATTAAATCATGAAGGGAGTTAAATACCAAGTAAAAAAGCATAGACTTTGAGTATATAAAGTAAAAATGTATAGACTTGTACCAAGTAAAAAAGTACAAACTGGTGGGGCATGCCTGTAATTCCAGCTATTTGGGAGGCTGAGATACGACAATCACTTGAATCTGGGAGACGGAGGTTGCATTGAGTCGAGACTGCACCACTGCACTGCAGCCAGGGTTACAGAGTAAGACTGTCTCAAAAAGGAAAGAAAGAAAAGAGGGAAATCCTATCACGTGATACAACATAGATGAACCTTGAGGACATTATGTTAACTGAAATAAGTCAATGACAAAAAGACAAATACCGTATGATTTCACTCATATGAGGTATCTAAAGTGGTCAAAGTCTTAGAAAAGTAGAATGGTGGTTGCTAGGAGCTGGAGGAAGGGGAAATGGGAAGTTGGTGTTCAACAGGTATAGTCCGTTTTGCAAGATGAAAAAATTCTAGAGACCTGTTGCTCAATAATGTGAATGTACTTAACAGTACTGAACTGTATGCTTAAAAATGGTTAAGATAGTACATGTATGTGTTTTTACCATAATTTGTTTTACTATGTTTTACCATATTATGTGTTTACCATATGTTTTACCATAATGTTTTTACCATAATTTATATTTTAAAATATAAATCAGACTATATATATACCAAAGACTATATAAAAGTCATAATCAAAATATAATCATCCCATTTTATTTTTTGAGAGACAGTGTCTCACTCTGTTGCCCAGGCTGGAGTGCAGTGGCACAATCATAGTTCACTGTAACCTTGACCTCCTGGCTTCATGATATCCTCCTACCTCAGCCTCCCAAGGTGCCGGGATTACAAGTGTGAGCCACCAAGCATGGCCCATTCATCCCATTTTCTAAGTGATTCAGTTAACATAACATTTATTGCATTTAACAAGAATGGGGTAAAAAAGAAAAAAAGGAGAACATGACATTTGTAGGGTTTTTTTTTTTTTGTAGTTTTATACTCTCTGAAAGTATAATTATGAGGCAGGCAGGCTTTTCTCCTCTTTATCCTCCTTCATCTCTTTGCAAAAACTAACATTACTGACCATTCCCACTTTTTACTAAAACCTCACCTGCTGACTTCTGTCACACAAATTTACTTGTTCTCTTACCTCTCTGCCAGTTCTCTTTCAGTCAGCTCTGGCACTTCTTCGTTGGCCTTCTCCTTCAGTGCTACATCTCCTGAAGTCTGTTCTCAGCACTTTTCTTTCTTTCTCACCTGCCTTGTAAAGCTCATGGCTTAAGTAACTGTCTCAGTGCAAATGACTGAAATCTCCATCATCAATTCTGACTTTCTCCCAAACTCCAGTCCAATATTTCCAAAAACCTATGCATAGGAATATATTCCTATCCTACAAGTTACCATAAATTCTATCACTGGCCCCCACCCACTAAATGTCTGTAGCACTCCCCTCACGGCCCCAACTCCTGCCTGTAGTGACAATAAGTCTCCAGGGATTAGCAAATGTTCCCTAGGGTATACAATCACCTCTGGTTGAGAACCACTGACCTAGACATGCTTGTAGAATATAAAAATAAATCAATGAGATTCAAAATATAATAATTGAAAATAAAAATCTGTCCTAAAACTAAAAAAGAAAAAGCAATTTACCTTTTCAGCTAATTCTTCCGCTGTTATCTGTGGGTCATACGGAATGGGGTCGCCTAAATAGGTCCGTAACTTCACTGGAAAACCTCCATACATTGGAGCAAATGGATAGCGGAATTTTTCATAAAGCCACCTAAATAACCCTGTTTTAGAGTAAATACAATCATTTTAACTTGTTAAGTATTCTGACCATGTAACTGTAAACTTTCAAATTAATTATGTAGGACTTACAGGAAGGTGGCAAAAAGTATCACTTCTTGGCAATTAATACAATTTTTTTAAAAAGAAGAGCTTTTCATCAATTTTAACAAATATATCACACCAATGCAAGATATTAATAATAGGAGAAACTAGGGGATGGTGAGAAGATTTATGAGAACTCTCTGTACTTTCTATAAACATAAAAATGCCCCCCAAAAAAGTTTATTAATTATTTTTTAAAATGAGCTTTTAAAGTACAGGAATTAAACAAAAATAAGTAAACAATGAATAAATAAAAATAAAATACAGTAATTTTAAAAGGCAAACAAGTTACTATTATTGCAAAACAAAGGCTAAACTGCTACCAAACTACTAGAGGTGAAAAAGTCTATAGAGTCTCACAAATAAGTAACTTAGATAAATAAAAGACCAAAAAAAGGAAGAATAAATTTATGTAAATATGAGACTATAATGCAAAATAAACTAGGTAAAGACAAAATAATATTATGAATTAGGAAAAACACATCAAAGCAAATAACTACTAATACTAATGACCAAACATGAAATTTACCAGGATTAAATAAAAGTGGTAGTAATATAAAAACAAACTGACAGACTAAATTTTTTTTTTTTTTTTTTTTTTTTGAGACGGAGTCTCGCTCTGTCGCCCAGGCTGGAGTGCAGTGGCACGATCTCGGCTCACTGCAAGCTCCTCCTCCCTGGTTCACGCCATTCTCCTGCCTCAGCCTCCTGAGTAGCTGGGACTATAGGTGCCCGCCACCACACCTAGCTAATTTTGTTTGTATTTTTAGTAGAGACGGGGTTTCACCACGTTAGCCAGGATGGTCTCAATCTCCTGACCTTGTGATCCACCCACCTCGGCCTCCCAAAGTGCTAGGATTACAGGCATGAGCCACCGCTCCCGGCCGCTACAAAATATTTTTAAAAACAACAAGAAGTGACAAATAAACCAAAGCAAATGCTATTTCCTTAGGTAGTTAATCTTAGTTCAATATCATATTTTCATCCATTTTTAAAGCTGTAACTTCTGGGGTGAGTTAAAAAGATTGTTGGGATAGTTTGTAAATGTATTCTAAACCTTGTCACCATGGTTTAAAACAATAAACTAGCTAATTCACTGTGAAGTTTTTAAAAGCCCATTTGAAGAACTTCAGTGTGTATATGTACTCTCAACAAAAATTCAGCATTAAGAACTGTCATTACGTAGAACTAGTTATCATTTGGACTTTAAACAGAAAAACGTCTAAATAGTATATCCATTTTCTAAAGATAATAATTCAAAAGGTTTCCTTGTAGGGTTCAACAGCCCAAATATTTTAAAAATTACATTGTAATTTAAAACCATACAAATCAGAACTTACTTGTTCCTCCAAGTGATCTAAATCCTTCTCGAATATTTTGTGTAAACATAGGAATAATGGGCTAAAGAAAAGGAGAATTTGAATTAAAAAGTAAATAAATTAATCCATTCAATGTCTCCATTAGAGTAACTAATGCAAACTTTTTTTTTTTAAGAAAGAGAAAAGGCACCTATGGCCATGCCACCCTGAACATGCCCAATCTCGTCTGATCCCAGAAGCTAAGCAGGGTCGGGTCTCGTTAGTATTGGCATGGGAGAAAGAGAAAAGGGGTACAAATTCATTAGCATGGGGGCGTGAGGGGATCACAAAGTGATTATGCAAACTTTTGAGGGCCTGTTTGATATTATGAAAATAAAATATTTTTAAAATAAAAGCACACGATTAGTCTATCAACTAAATTCAACTTGATCATTTGTAAAAATAGAAATTGGAAACACTACCCTCCAGTGGTAATATATAATATTTCATTGACCAGTTTTCCTAACATTTCACATAAAACCTTGAAACTCAAAATAGAGATTACAGTAATCATTAATTTCACTAAATAAAATGAATGTGGTAAACTGAATTGTCTTTAGTGGGCTACTGAATAGTACGCTCACTGGAGAAAAGTTGCAAGCAGGGATTCTAAGGGTAATTTTTCGGGGGGAGTTGGGGACAGAGTCTCACTCTGTGGCTCAGGCTGGATTGCAGTGGCGTGATCACGGCTCACTGCAGTCTCAACCTCCCAGGTTCAAGCAATCCTCCAACCTTAGTTTCCCAAAGTGTTAGGATTACAGGCGTGAGCCACTGCACCTGGCTCCAAAGGGAAATTTATGTATATTTAAATGACAAGTTTTGGCAAGATGCTGTCGTGGAATTGGTAAAATTTTTTGTGAGTCTATTAAATCTAAAATACTCAACATCAATGAAAAGTAACTATAAGACTCAACCACACAGACAAAAAGGAAAAGCACATATATTAAAGAATTTGGCCAGGTGCGGTGGCTTGTGCCTGTAATCCCAGCACTTTGGGAGGCCAAGACAGGTGGATCACTTGAGCCCAGGAGTTCGAGACCAGCCTGGGCAACATGGCAAAACCCTGTCTCTACAAAAAAATGTAAAAATTATCCAGTTGCGGTGGTACGTGCCTGTAGTCTCAGTTACCTGGGAGGCTGAGGTGGGAGGATTGTTTAAGACCAGGAGGCAGAGGTTGCAGTGAACCAAGATCACACCACTGCACTCCAGTAAGGGCAATAGAGCGAGACACTGTCTCCCAAAAAAAAAAAAAAAAAAAAAAAAGAATTCTCCATAATTGATTGTAGAGAATTTCTGCTAATAAGTTCATGATTTTTATTCTCCAAAAATATCAATGATTCAGTATATTTTTAATAATGAAAACCTTAAATACATATAAAATAATGAAGTATTGATATGTAAAGAGGTTATGCCACTGTGAATACTAAAATAGATAAAAAATTGAATGAAACACTTAAAAATATACATAATATACTGAATTAAATGATGTTTCAGAATAGATAAAATTTTGGTTGGGGGAGTATTACATTACTTACAGTCAACCATGAGTAAATGCCTAATATAAAATTACCTGCTTAATAGGTGAGATATTTAAATAAGCTTAAAAGTTATTCCTACTAAGCTTTGGAAAACAGTAAAATACAGTGGACTAAAGGAAAGAGACTACAGGCAAAGCCTTCATAAAACCTACTACTTCACATATAACTAACCAATCATTTGTTATATCTCTCCTCTCGCCAGAAGGAAGACGCCTAATATACTGCAAGGACATTGTTTTGTTCACTGTTGTATAGCACCTAGAACTGTGCCTGGAATCCACTAGGTGCTAACAGAAAGTGAGATGGAGGAATTAAACAAACAGTGAGTAAACAGAGCAAAGAGACAATGCTTCTAAATGAATTAATTTGTATTCTCTGAATACAAAAGTCAGAAATAGACAGCAGCAATCTCAAAATCAGTTAGGAAAAGGGGAGAAGTTAGGTAAAGAAAAGAAGCGCAGTCAGGGCCGGGCATGGTGGCTCATGCCTGTAATCCCAGCACTTTGGGAGGCCAAGGCAGGTGGATCACTTGAGGTCAGGAGTTCAAGACCAGCCTGGCCAACATGGTGAACCCCATCTCTACTAAAAATACAAAAATCAGCCAGGCGTGGTGGCCAGCGTCTGTAACCCACCTACTCGGGAGGCTGAGGCAGGAGAATCACCTGAACCCGGGAGGTGGAGGCCGCAATGAGCAGAGATCACGCCATTGCACTCCAGCCTGGGTGACAGAGCAAGACTCTGTCTCAAAAAAATTAAAAGTAAAAAAGAGCAGTCAAATGAAGAAATTAAAATTTGATGGAGTTAACTCATAAAGCTAAAACACAAGAAGATAAAGAAGACAAAATACACTGAATTATTTATACATATAAGTAAATATAGTTTATTTGCTTGTTTTTGTAGAGATGGGTTCTTGCTTTGTTGCTCAGGCTAGTCTTGAACTGGTTTCAAGGGATCCTCCTGCCTCAGCCTCCCAAAGTGCTGGGATTACAGGCATGAGCCTCCATACCTGGCCTTTAATTATTATTATTATTATTATTTTGGTAGCTTCCACAATACTCAGACACTGAATTCTTCAGTAAAAAATTCAGACTGTTATCTGGAAATCACTACTAGTTTTGTAAAATAAAACTAGTTTTGTAAAATAAAATATTAGTATGGCTGAAATCCTAATGTTTTAAATAGTTATAAAATGTCTTTATAGTTGAGAACCTAAAATGTCCAAGAAGAAACAGAAATATTTCAGCTCATGCATATACCATTTGCCACTTCCAACCAGTATGGCTGGATTTATATCTACTGACTGGCATGATCCCAGAATTCTGTATTGATGTATGCATTTAAAGACTTTCCTGTTGAAATATCATTCCTTAAATAGCTACCTCTCTAGAAGCTGGACATTTCTAGGGCCCACTAAATAAAAGAAAGCTTACCCTAGCAGGCTCAGTATTCCTCACTATAGTCTGGGAATATGGTTTCTACACTGGCACGCAAGCTTTCATCCTTAAAGCCACAAGCATTACTTTATCCCAACTTGATCTTGCAATATAATTATTAATTCCTCTTATTTAAGGTGGAGTCTTGCTCTGTCGTCCAGGCTGGAGTGCAGTGGCATGATCTAGGCTCACTGTAACCTCCGCCTCCTGGGTTTTTAAGCAACTCTCCTGCCTCAGCCTCCCATGTAGCTGGGATTACAGGCATGTGCCACCACACCCGACTAACTTTTTTGTGTGTTTTTATTAAAGACAGAGTTTGACCATGTTGGCCAGGCTGGTCTGGATCTCCTAACCTCAAGTGATCTGCCCACCTCAGCCTTCATTCCTTCTTTCATGCATACTTTGTACATGAAGGAGTTGCATCAGCAACCTAGAATTCAATTGCTTACATATATAAATGTGTGTCTGTATGTAATGTATGTGCATGCATGTGTGCAAGGGAGAGAGGGAGGGAGGGGAGGGAGGAAGGGGGGGAGAGAGAGAGAGAGAATATATATGTATAATTTTTTTATTTTTTGAAGCAGAGCCTTACTGTCGCCCAAGCTGGAACACAATGGTGCGATCTCGGCTCACTGCAACCTCTGCCTCCCAGGCTCCAGTCATCCTCCAACCTCAGCCATCTGAGTAGCTAAGACCATGCCCAGCTAATTTTTGTACTTTTAGCAGAGATGAGGTTTCACCATGTTGCCCAGGCTGGTCTCGAACTCCTGGCCTCAAGTGATCCTCCTGCCTTGGCCTCCGAAAGTGCTGGGATGACAGGCATGAACCCACATGTCCAGCTGAGAATGTACATTTTTAAAAACTATTACTGGGGTCTTGACATCTTAACTCTGTCACTAAAAATGTGGGAGACATTGTGAAAGTTACTTACCATGTTTAAGCCTCACTTTCTTCATGCATCAAATGGGAATAAATAATAATTATCTCTATCTCAAAGTTTTTATGGATAAAGTGAGATAATTCATATAATTTTATTGAAACAAAATATTTTCTTTTATATCTGCTATTTACTTTACAATTACAGTAAATGGACTAGTTATCTCCTCAACTTATGTAGACATGAAGTTATCTAAAAGTTCTTACCAAAGTTGTAAGTCTCAAGAATTCACAAACCAGGGTGATTTGTATTATATCAAAAAGTCTGTCACTTTCGAATAAACCTTAATATTTTCTACCAATATTTTGTGAACTTGCCTTGACAATCAGGCTTTTTCCCCTTTAATTTCTATTACTATGTTACAATTTAAATGTGGTTAATCCTGTAACAATAGCCTTAAATTTTGTTCACAGCTTATAATTTTGTGAGGCCTATTAAGGGATTTTCCAGAGGGGATACTTGTGCCACTTACAACTATACATATATACACATATATATTACTGAAAGACTTCCCTCACGTATCTGGGAAGCCCCTTCAGTCTTAGACGTCAGCAGACTCACTGTGCAATGTAGTCAGGAATGGCAACAGTACCGGTTGCCTCGAGTTCTGAACTGTGTGCTCTGCTCTACTGCTGCCTTGCTGAATGACCAGATCCCTTCCATCCCTCCATCTCTCTGTGCCTGAGTCTCCTCATCTGCAACATTGGAATAATTATATGCATCACCTCCTTACTGAATAGGAGTATAAGATAAAGTGTTTAAAAGTGCTATGAGATGTTGGGGTGGCACAATATTTATCAAACTTATAAGATTTCTGTTTGTTTTTAAACTTATAAAAAGGTATTTCTTAAACTTTCTAAAGTTTTATATAAAAATCTCAATTAAATTATCTAGTTTATTTAAATTAATTATCTGGAAACTCGAGGATTAGAAAGAGTTATTTTCTCTGCATCATTTATCTCTTTCAGTCCTTCTTCCAAGCAATATGTTGCCGAAAATGTAAACTTAAGGATGAGGAATTGGAATCCCATGGCATATTTATGTGATTTTAAATCTATTTTTGTCATCTTTATCTTAAACTTTTGAAAAAACAATTCTTTCAAAATATAAACTTGAAAGTTGAACCATCTTTGATTAGGATTTTAGTTTTTATCATTGTTTTCATATACATTATATTGATTATTCTTAATTTTTGTATAACTGCATATATCCTTTTGTATTCTATATTATTCATATAGTCTAGGTTTTTGTTTTCTATGTCAGTGCTTAAGACTGGGAAATAAGTAAAATGTGCCATAATTCATTTTCTATACAACTAAAAAACTAAGTTACTGACAATATTCTCTAACTGGCCTGGAAAAAGAACAATACTCTATCAAACGTAATTTCTTTTTCTGACAATCAGAATTAAAATAAACAGAAAACGAAGCAGAAACTTTCCATAGGTAATAGATAAGTGTTTCATAGGCTAAAGTACAATATGGAGACCAAAAGGCTGAGAAATACTTTCCGAAGGCAAAGTAAAAGAACAAAATGACATTCAAATTCTCCAGTCTTTTTTTTTTTTTTTTCTGAGACAGTCTCACTCTGTCACCCAGGCTGGAGTGCAGTGGTGCGATCTCAGCTCACTGCAACCACTACCTCCTGGGTTCAAGCAATTCTCCTCCCTCAGCCTCCCGAGTAGCTGGGATTACAGGCATGCACCACCATGCCTGGCTAATTTTTGTATTTTTAGTACAGATGGGGTTTCATCATGTTGGCCAGGCTGGTCTCAAACTCCTGACCTCATGATACATCCACCTCGGCCTCCCAAAGTGCTGAGATTACAGGCGTGAGCTACCACACTCGGCCTACATACTAATTTTTAAGGTATTGCAGCGAAAGTGTCTAAGTTCTTATACAATTTGGCTCATTACTTAACCATTTATTTTAAATTTGACTAAGCTTTACTTCAATAATTAATTTTATATAACTCACCACTTTTGCATCAATTGCAACCTGAGCAAAGCCTCTGCGATGACCCCATACGATGTTATAAGTTTCATCACTAATTAGGGCTTCTCGAACTCCACCTGGTGAGATAGCTAACAAGTGGCCACTCCTCAGAATTTCAACACATTTTTCTCTTGGTCCATGTAGAGCACAAAACACATCCAGTAATAAACTAAACCCTGTAAGAAACATGAGTATGAAGTTACAACATAAGTATTTCTTGTTTAATTCTTCAAAAGAAAAATCTTCACAAACTACATAGTGTACTATTTATACTTAAATCAGTAAACTTTTTTACTTGTTAAAATCAACAAAAACTCTAAAGGTTAACTTAAGCTTGATATTAAGCTTCTCTGGCTCAAATTCTTAAGTAAAACTCACAACAATCTTGACAAACAGGTATTCTTCTCCCCACTTTACAAATGAGAAAACTTGGGCTTACAGAATAATAGCTTGCTCAAAGTCACACATCTAAGAAGTGGCAGGGCAGAGATTCCAGAGATAGGATTCTAATGGGATTCAGAAATGATATCCCATCAGCAATCAGAAATCTAATCTTCCATTAACCCTATAAAAAAGAGAATCACTCAGGAGAATGTGAATCAAACTACGCTTAGCTCTTCCAAAACTGGCAAGACCATGATCAAATCTATTTAAATTAAAAGTTAGATAATGCTAATTCTATAATTAAATTTTTAAAATAGCAAACATCATTAAGAGATTTTAATAAAGTGAGAGTGCTTGACTCAAGAGCAGCTAATTCCAAGTCTTAATATTATACAGCTTTTCAAATTACAACTGTTTATGGATGAAAGAAATAATCCTGTTAGTAATTAAATATTTTAATCAAATCCCATACTGGAACTTCTGAGGACTGATGTTAGTATACATTATTCCCTGAGAATGGGAAATATAGCGATGCATTTGATGTTAAAAACTACGCAGACTGGTCAGGCACGGTGGCTCACGCCTGTAATACCAGCACTTTGGGAGAAAGAGGCAGGTGGATCACTTGCGGTCAGGAGTTCAAGACCAGCCTGGCCAATGTGGTGAAACCCTGCCTCTACTAAAAATACAAAAATCAGCCTGGCATGGTGGCACGTGCCTGTAATCCAGCTACTCAGGAGGCTGGGGCAGGAGAATGGCTTCAACTCAGGAGGGGGAGGTTGCAGTGAGCCAAAATTGTGTCACTGCACTGCAGCCTGGGCAACAGAGCAAGACTCTGTCTCAAAGAAAAAAAACAAAAAACACTATGCAGACCAACCAAACTTCTCATTAAAGATCTGAGGCAAGTTTATAAATAGCATTAAGATTAAAATAATTGTCAGACCGGGTGTGGTGGTTCACACCTGTAATCCCAGCACTTTGGGAAGATGAGCGGGCAGACCACCTGAGGTCAGGAGTTTGAGACCAGCCTGGCCAACATGGCAAAACCCCATCTCTACTAAAAATACAAAAATTAGCCGGGCATGGTGGCGCACGCTTGTAATCCCAGCTACTCAGGAGGCTGAGGCAGGGAGAATTGCTTTAACCCGTGAGGCGGAGGTTGCAGTGAGCAAAGATCAAGCCACTGCACTCCAACCTGGGCAACAGAGCAAGACTGTCTCAAAAAAAGTAAAAGAAAAGAAAATAATTGTCACCCCACATTATATTAAATGTTCACTGATTCAACTAGATGCATTCTCATAATGAATGAATGAACAGGGAAGGATTCATACATAATAGGATAAAATATAGGATCCCTTTTTTTTTTTTTTTTTTTTGGAAACAGGGCCTTGCTCTGTCACCCAGGCTGGAATGCAGGGGCACAATAGTAGCTCACTACGGCCTTGCTCTACTGGGCTCAAGCGATCCTCTCACTCAGCCTCCCAAGTAGCTGAGACTCCAGGCACTGTGCCACCATGCCTGGCTGATTTTTTTATTTTTATTTTTAGCAGAAACGAGGTCTTGCTATGTTGCCCAGGGTGGTTTCAATCTTCTGAGCTCCAGCAATCCTACTGCCTTAGCCTCACCAAGTGCTGGAATTACAGGTGTGAGCCATGGCACCCACCCTAAAATCTCTCTTGTGCTGAGAATTATAATGATTTTATTCCTTCAGAAAGCAAAGAAAGACTTAAGGTCTTAGTGTCTTAAGGTCTTTAATGATCTTTATGATCATTAAAAAGATCATAAAGAGGAAAATTTTTTGAAAAAGGCAAATGCTAAAAATATTCACATTTTATTATTGCTAAAAACGAAAAAAGTAGAAGCAACCTAATGCTCCATTAGAGAAAAACAGTTAAGTAAATGTTCTAGTCATACACTAAACGTTTTTCTTATAAAACATGGTAAAAATATTAATGCTAACATTAAATCTTAAAAAAAAACCCCACAAAACTGTTTGCCTATGTTACTGTAAGTAAAAAAATGAAGTAAAATAAATCAAAATGAAAACATTATGTTAAGATGGTAAGATTATAATGATGTTCTGTTTTTTAGTTTCCAAATCTACTATAGTGATCATGTTAGTTTTTAACAGAAAACATAGCCATAAACAATATGTTTATACACAAATGGCTTTTTAGTGACACATGGATACCCAAAGCATTAACTGTTTATAGGCACTGAAGTAGATCATTACTTAATTCACTGTTTGGTTGTGTTTGTCTGGTTGATGTGTCAGCTTTTGCTTTTATACCAGAGAACATACTAACAACTCTCTTGGCTTGTTTCTGGTGATTCAGTGACAGAAGAAAATAAGATTTAATCTCAATGAGTTTACTCAAGAATGATTTTTGAAAAACTCTAAACCATTTGGTTAATTAATCTTTTTTTAAAAAAAATATAAGGTCGGCTAGACGCAGTGCCTCACGCCTGCAATCTCAGTACTTTGGGAGGCCAAGGCGGGCGGATCACCTGAGGTCAGGAGTTCGAGACCAGTCTGGCCAACATGATGAAACTCCATCTCTACTAAAAGTACAAAAATTAGCCAGGTATGGTGGCAGGCGCCAGTAATCCCAGCTACTAGGGAGGCTGAGGCAGGAGAATCACTTGAACCTGAGGGGCGGAGGCTGCAGTGAGTCGCGATCGCACCATTGCACTCCAGCCTGGACAACAAGAGCGAGATTCCTTCTCAAAATGAATAAATATGTATATACACACACACACACATACACACATATGGCCAGCTAGGCATGGTGGCTCGTGCCTATAATACCAGCACTTTGGGAGGGTGAGGCGGGAGGATCACCTGAGGTCAGGAGTTCAAGACCAACCTGGACAACATGGTGAAACCCTTCTCTACTAAAAATACAAAAATTAGCCAGGTGTGGTGGCGGGCATCTGCAATCCCAACTACTTGGGAGGCTGAGGTACAAGAATCGGTTGAACTACTTGGGAGGCTGAGGTACGAGAATCAGAGGTTGCAATGAGCCGAGATTATGCCACTGCACTCTAGCCCAGGTGACAGAGCAAGACTCTGTCTCGAATATATATATATATATATATATACACACACACACACACACACACACACATACATACACACACACACGTGTATATATATATTTACATATACTTATATTATATATATAATACATACATATTATATATTTATATTATATAAAATACATATATTATGTAATATATATTTATATTATATATAAAATACATACATTATATAATATATATTTATATTATATATAAAATACATATATTATGTAATATATATTATATATGAAATACATACTTATATATATATTATATATAAAATACATACTTATATATATATTATATATAAAATACATACATTATATATTTATATTATATATAAAATACATATATAATATATATTTATATTATATATAAAATACATATATTATGTAATATATATTTATATTATATATAAAATATATAGTATATATTTATATTATATATAAAATACATATATTATATATTATATATTTATATATATTTATATATATTTATACACACACACACACACACACACACACACACACATAGCCTTTATAAACAGATTTTTTTAAATGTAGTCTTCACGGCTGGGTGCAGTGGCTCGCACTTGTAATCCCAAAACTTTTGAAGGCCACAGTGGGAGGATCACTTGAGGCCAGGAATTTGAGACCAGCCTGGGCAACATAGCAAGACCCCATATCTAAATAAATAAACAAATATAAATAATGTAGTACTCAATCTTATTGTTATAAATCTTATCAGGCAAGTTACACATGATAAGAGACATGATGTATGTACTTTTTAGGGTAGTATAATATTACATGAAGACAAAATATATCTTTTTTTTTTTTTTGAGACGGAGTCTTACTCTGTTGCCCAGGCTGGAGTATAGTGGCATGATGTCAGCTCACTGTAACCTCTGCCTTCCGGGTTCAAGTGATTCTCTTGCCTCAGCTTCCCGAGTAGCTGAGCCTACAGAAGGCCTATTAGCCACCATACTGGACTACTTTTTGTATTTTTAGTAGAGACGGGGTTTCACCATGTTGGCCAGGCTGGTTTTGAACTCCTGACCTCAGGTGATTTGCCCACCTCGTCCTCCCAAAGTGCTGGGATTATAGGCATGAGCCACTGTGCCCAGCCAAGACAAAATATATCATGACTTTTTTTTTTTTTTTACTAATTTTAATTTGCTATCAAACTGAGAGTTATCAAACTCTAATTATAACAAAATTAAACTCCAAAAATCAGTATTTCATGAAAAAATTCATTATGTGAAAAATCAACTATGCGCTAAATCAAAATATAAATTGGCAAAAATCACAATTTGCTTTTTAAAAGTTACAGTTCAAGATACAACTTAAAAAAATAACAATACCTGCTTATAAAGGAAAAAGTTACTAATTGAGAATATTCAGACTTCACCACTACACAATATATGCATATAAGAAAGCTGCACTTATACCCCTTTAATATATAAAAATATATTTTTTTAAAAAGGAAAATTTAAAATTATTTTTTAAAAACATTATATTGTATGCCATAAATACAATTTTCACTTAAAAATAAACAATTTTAAAATGTATAAAATAAAAAATGAGCTAACATTTTTGGCCACAATGTCTTTATTTTTAGATATATTGCCTAAAAAGGATAATTAGATATTCCCATATTAGAGTTCCAAGAGTGTTATACACACCCTAAAAGGCAAAAAGCTTTTTCAAATGACGTTAGAGAGCTCAGGATAGAGACGACCACATAACTTGGTTTTGTTAATAAAACATTTTTACATTACTATCTACAGTGAAAGTTTACCTGGAATTTTAAAGACAAAGTGATCAGCTACTACTCGGCAAGTTCTGCCTTTGTGTATAAATATTTTAGCCATGAAATAGTAAAAATCTATAGGAATAGCTCCATGATAAAAAATTATAAGTGCTGGTCCATCTTCTGGTATTTTTTCCATTCCATGAACTTCATAACCTGTTTGAATGACAAAATGCAAATACTTAAAATATATTCATTAATTCGTTTACAGTAAAGGATGGTTGGTAGCTCAGTCTTTTCTCACAAAAGTACACTAGTCTTCCTGGTTCTCTTCCCCTTTCCCCCTTCTTCCCTCTCTTTCCTCTTCTCTTTCTTTCTTGAACAAATCAGTCCTACAGCCATTAGGTGGGCCACAGTGAAGCAGACAACCTGTGTGGAGAGGTAGCCTGGAGTGTTGGCGCCAGACACTAAGGAAGGCACTCACACAGGTGGTGCGGAGTGGGGAGTCAGAACCAGAGCAGAGTCACGAGGGCACTGCACAGAAGAGAGCCTATCACAGGTTGGGGGGCTGCTGAGGGGGAAGAGAGGAGGCAAGGGTCACGGAAGCTTGGGAGTCAGAGCCTGAGTGAAATGGGGGCATCCACAACCAGCAAGCAGCCTGGCAGGAGGGGCCAGAGCCCGAGACAGGTGGCCTGGTGTAGGGCATCACAGCCTGAGCAGCTGGACAGGGCACTGTACAGAGTGGTGGCCTGGCACAAGCAGGGACAGGGCATCCATGAGTTGTAGGGGAAGGCAGCAATGATGGGAGATGGGTTACACACAGGGGGACTGATCAAATGAGTCAACATAGTAAGAATAACGGGAGCCAGGTTTCACTGTTAGAGGAGGGGGTTGAAAACATTAAAAATACTGTACAGTATTACTAGTAAGAGAAACTCTGTAGCCACAAGGGAACATCACTCCCACCCTACTGATGAGAAAAAGCCTGAAGTACAAATCTTTTTTTCTTAAGCATGTCAGAGAACAGAGGTCACAAGGCAACCAGGCGAACTGAACTTCAAAGGGTGATAAACCCCTCTAAGGAAAGACAAAAACTGAGAATGGGAGGAAGAGGCAGATGCCATAAAAGAGGGTAAGAAGAAGTGACATATTACAAAATACTTAAAGTCCCACGGTAGGCTAGTATTGAATGTAGAATCTCTGGAAGCCCCAGATAGTCACTCTCTAACTCTTCTCCACAGACCTCAGTGTGTGCTCACAAGAAAGATTAGGGGTGAAGCTGGAGAGTAAAGAGAGCCCCTGCTAATGGTACAGGGAACAAAACCCCACTCACTTCCTGGAAGTTTATCTCATAGAAGAAAACCTGTCAGGCGCTGGGAAAGGGGCAGGAAACCCTTTCACTCCCTCTAAGAAAAGGGTATATGCAAAAGGCATGTAATGCTGGGAGGGGCAGAACTCCACTCCCCTGCCCCACACACTCCTCCACCCTCACCAGCCCAGTGTCAGGCAAAAGTCCACTATTCTAGAGAAGGGGAAGAAGCAAAATATCTACCACTGGGCAGCGGGGGTGGGTGGCAGGAAAGTCTAAGGGGCCCAGAGTCCTTAAGTGACATAAAGCAGATATCTACCACGGGGGCAGTGGCAGCAAATTTGCTTCCATCACAAAACCCCCAACACAGGGAAAAGGGAAAGGAACACAGAAAGCCTCACCCCTAAGCCCCAGGAATACAGAGCCCCATAAGATTTTAGCTAAACCTGAAAACTGAGGAGTGCTATACCCCAGCACCAGGGGGAATGAGGGCAGGGGCATGAACAAGGGGTGTGAGGAGTCCCCAAGTACCCCCATGTGGAGTTATAAGCAAAGGCGACCTTTTCCTGGGGTCGCAGGAGGGGCGTGAAGAGACTCTTCCTGTGGCAAAGGCATACAGGACTGAAGGTGGAGCAGAAACAACCAAAAAATCCCTCTACTTCAGGCCCTACACTATGCACAAGATAACAGTAGGAGTCTGAAGTCTGTGCTGAACTGAAGGTAGCTGTAGCGCAGCAATAAAAGCCAAATCCAGTTCACTCAGTAGATTGAATCCACCTCCAACCGACCACCAATGGCCTGACAGATTCTTAGTCATAAATCCTATTTATGAGCCCAATTCTCAGTCATAAATACTATTTACCTCAGTTGTCATTCTTTTACAAACAATGGCCAGAATTCAATAAAAAATATGACATAAAATAGCAAGAAAAAAACCCACTGTCAAGAGCTAAAACAATTAACACACCCAAATGTTGAAACTATCAGATGGAAACTATAAAATAACTATGATTAAGTTAAAGGGGAATGCAGTGGCTCACGCCTGTAATCCCAACACTTTGGGAGACTGAGATGGTAGGACTTTTGAGCCCAAGAGTTAGAGATCAGCCTGGGCAACATGGCAAGACCCACCTCTGCAAAAATGTAAAAAAATTAATTGGGCATGGTGGCATGTGCCTGTAGTCTCAGTTACTTGGGAGGCTGAGGTGGGATGATTGCTTGAGCCCAGAAGTTGAAAGCTGTAGTGAGCTATGATCGTGCCACTGCACTCCAGGCTGGGTGACAGTGCGAGACCCTGACTCTAAAAATAAAAATAAATAAATAAACGCAAAGGATCTAGTGGAAAAGGTGGATACATGCACAATCAGATTAGGAATTTCAGCAGAAAGATGGAAACTATAAAAAAATAGAGTCAAATAGAAAGGCTGTAAACTTAAATGAGCTCTAAAGATTTGATATTAGTAACATAACAATGTTAATTTTCCAATTTTAATGGGTTTACTGAGGTTAAGTATGAGAACATCCTTATTTGCAGAAGCCATCAAGTAAGTTACAACTTCCCTGAGATAACATGACCTACAGTAAATTTAAAAATGAGTCATAAAATAATTCATCAATAAAAGCAAAAAAAGTAGGCCAGGTGTGATGGCTCAAGCCTGTAATGCCAGTTCTTTGGGAGGCCAAGGCAGGAGGATTGCTTGAGGCTAGGAGTTTAAGATCAGCCTGGGCAAATCAGTGAAATCCCTGTCTCTACAAAAAAAAAAAAAAAAAATTAAGTAAATACAGTCCGGGCACAGTGGCTCGTGCCTATAATACCAGCACTTTGGGAGGGTGAGGCGGGAGGATCACCTGAGGTCAGGAGTTCAAGACCAGCCTGGCCAACATGGTGAAACCCCATCTCTACTAAAAATACAAAAATTAGCCAGGTGTGGTGGCATGTGCCTATAGTCCCAGCTACTCGGGCGGCTCAGGCAGGAGAATCGCTCGAACTTGGGAGGCGGAGGTTGCAGTGAACTGAGCTCACACCACTGCACTCCAGCCTGGGACACAAGAGTGAGACTCTGTCTCAAAAATAAATAAATAAATATAAATAAAACTAAAAAATACATATTTTTAAAACAGGAAAAATTATTAGTGACTGAATGTAAAATAAAATACCATTTACACTGTTATATATACACAGATATCATAATGCTGTAAACTTTAAGTTCATTCACAAACATAAGACTTCATTTTTATGTATTTAAACAATTCTTTAGAAATTTCCTCATTCTATTCATGAAAAAAACAAACATGATTTTGTACAATCTTATTACATGTGGGGGAAAAACTTTAATCACAGATTTGAACTAGACTACAAGAAAATCTCTGTCCTGTAGAAGCGAGATCAGAGGCTCATGCCATCCCTGCCCCTTCCTTCCACACTGCAAGCCCTATTTTATGTCTCTGTAAACAGAAGAAAGGGTTTCAGTAGTGGGAGTAAATGACAGGATGAAAGGTGGTGGACCTGGAGAAGGGATGACATCTGGAAGCTTCCTGCTAACACAGCCTCAGTTCCAGGCTGGCTGTTTTTTCTCCTCCCTTAGCTAACATTACCTGCCTGCTGTTCTCTATATGGCTACCAAGGCCAACAAATTTACTTCTTACAGCAACGCTGTGCTGTTGGCAGTTAGTAGGGAATAGAAAAGACTTAAGTAAGATCCAACTATGCCTCAGAGGAAAATCACAGAAGTTGGGAAGTCAGGATATTCTAAGGAGTGAATAAAATGGTGATCATGGCACTAGCCATAAGATCCACATTCCCTTCCCATGTCACCACTGTCAGACACACCATTACAGACCACAGCCTCCACGGGTCCTGGCAAAAAGAAAAAAGTGAGCATCCAGAGATCAAGGGCAGAATCAGGCTCAAAGAAAAAGCGTGAAAAAGAAGGAAATCTAGAGTGGTTGTAATAGGAAAGGAAAGTAAGTTCTTAGGGCCATATTCCTCCACATAGAACAGCTGTCTCAAGAAAGGCTGCCACTTGTATAGAAGACAAAAGTAAAGTCCAGAATATGGAAATCTGAAAATATTAGTCTGTTTCTTTCCTTAAGTGTATTCCTGTCTGATCAGCTACGAAATAAACATTCAAAAAATAAAGACTTCAGTCTAAATTCCAGAGCAGAAAATACATTTCTAAAGTAGTTTATAAGGTCTTCACAAAACAGATTAAATTAAGTATGATAACTGTGATTCTAGTATGAAATAAGCTACTCAAATGGACTTGAGAATGTTTTGAAAAATAATTTAATGATATTCCAAGATTTTGTATGTTTCCATATTATATCATTTCTTTCCAATTACATAATTCTAACTCAAGTAATTCAATTTACTTTAAGCTCTACAAAACAGTCACTGAGTTTGAGGATCAACTGTCCCATCAAATACATTTTCTGAGCAATAAAGAAACTCCTTTGAAGGATTCTATACAGAATATTACCAAGGTTCTCTCTGGTTTTACAGAGTATTTTTTTAAATAATAAACAATTGAACTACTCACATAATACCAAACCACCTGGTTGAAAGCAGAAAAATCCAACTAATCAAATATTTAAAAAAAATAGTTTACTATAGTGCCAGTAAACCTTAAAACCTAGGGCTATTTAACTGTGTCACTCTTAGAGCAGATGTGATCATACTACTCCCTGCTGAGAAAGTATCAGTGCATTACCACTCTAGTCCAACATTTTCAAGCCCCTTGAGGCCCCAATTGCCTATAAAGTGACATTACATTATTTCATGTATCATATGAACTAACTGTGGCTCCCAGAGTACTTTTCCACCTTTGTGCTTCTGCTCACATGGTTGCTATTACTTGGAGCACTTCCAGTTCATGTTTCCCTGTCTAGCAGTAGAAATCTTACTGGACTTTAACTCCTCCTCCCTCAAGACTCTACACTCAGTCCCCAAGTTCTGTTTATTTTACCTCCAAGAGCTCTCTCAAATGTATACTCCCAGGTATCTGGGGTTGTAACCTGGCCCTATTCCTAGTATACCTTGGGCAAATAACAACCTCTCTGTGCCTCAGTTTCCTCATGAGTATAATCGGGGTACCACATAGACTCCATTATGTTAATGAGATTTAAAGCAGTTAATTTATATTAAGCAATTGACAGTGTCTGGCATAGGTAGGTGCTCAAAAAAAATTTGTAGGTTCGTTAAGTATGTATGTAGTATTAAAATGAAAATACATTAGTCTAATAAGCATGTCACTGGTGATTTCTGCTAATAGCAGCCTAATAGTTCAGTGATATATATCCTCAAGTGTCTTTTAAAGTCTGTGCTTCCTTCCATGTCCTTCTATGAAACCACTGTGATGCTCAACAACATAATACAGAAAGCCAATGTTTGTTACCTGCCTATTGAATCTTCAGTATTTTTGTGTAGTCTAAAAACAAAAGAGACCAACAAACTAGATATTGTTGGAATAATGAAGTAAAAGTTGGTAGAGTGAAACACTAACCACTTAAAAATAGGCCACCAGAAGGCAATTTTCATGATGGCCAAACAAAGAAGAACCACCAATCATTAAGTATACAACATCAAAATTTCTCGAGTAATAAAGAAAAGAATGACTATCCTGGAGAGAAATCTATTGCTATCTTATTTATTCAGAAAGACACACCAACCTCAGGAATGAATCAACAGAAAATGCATAAATTTTGGTATGCAAATTATATTTAATGTAATATTATTTAATATTTCATTTTTTTAAATCCACACTGGTAGAGTCAAACTTATTTTGAACAGAAGTAAATGCTAAATAATTGAAGCATTTTTAAAGCAGTTTTCTACAGCTTTATTTAGTCTCTTACTCTTTTAGATGTTTTAAATATAAATTTTCTTATTTCAACTTATAGTCTACAGTGCTGCGTGGTTCTTTGTTTAATGGAAACCAACGTCTATGGGAAAACTCATTTTAAGAAAGACACATACATATGCACAATGCATGCAAACAGGTAACAGGGAATAGTAAATATCACTTCTATTATATTTTTCAGTATCTTCTCAATCAATAAAATGGAATGGTAACACAGTTCCAATGCAGCACACATGAATGGCAACACAAAGGTGAAAGTATCCTTGCTTACCATGCCAAACGGCTGCATGTCCATCCCACAGAGTTGCCACTGTTTTCCTTGCACCATCCCATAAATTATGAGAGTAGGCTTCTTTCAATACATTCTTTCTCTTATAAATGTGTAAGAAAATAATAGTAAGGTAGAGAAGAAAGATAGTAAAGTAAGGAAGTATTAAAAGTATTAGTGGTGTAAAAACCCACAAGAGATAGTTTGCAAAATTCAAATAGTCCTCCAACTGCTCCACACCAAACCATTCTTCGAGTATGTGAATCAGACAAATCATATAGGGCACAGAATCCTGTCCTACACCACAGGTTTGATTTTTGTCTATCATTTTTCTTCAGGTGAAAATGACAAATTCAGTTTCTTTCTTCATTGCCATAGCAGGTCGCTAATTTTGACACTAGAAGGGAAAAATAATCCAGTATTATTTTCTCCACAGCTATAAAGTTAAATGTTTTACTCTACTTAAATAGCATATAGAGTCATTTCTTAATACCCAAAATGAGTAGATGGTTAATGGTTAACTTTGTTGCAGATTTAAATGTGAAAATTATAAGGTTTCATCTGTCTGCTCATGAAGTATGTCGTGTTTAGCTTTTGAAATAATTCACTATAATTGAGAGAAGAAAATAAAGCTATAATTAAGAGAAGAAAATAAAGCTGATGAGGAATATAATTTCAGATTGATTTTAATAATTTGACTCACATCTTAATTGGATCATGTTGAAAAATTAGATCTTAAACCAGGTCACATTGAGATAATTTTTTTTTCTTCTTTGAGATGGAGTCTCACCCTTTTGCTCGGGCTGGAGTACAGTGGCACGATCTCAGTCACTGAAACCTCTGCCTCCCAGGTTCAGGTAATCCTCCTGCCTCAGCATCCCGAGCAGCTGGGACTACAGGCATGTGCCACCATGCCTGGCTAATTTTTGTATTTTTAGTAGAGACAGGGTTTCACTATGTTGGCCAGGCTGGTCCCAAACTCCTGACCTCAAGTGGTCCACCCACCTCAGCCTCCCAAAGTGCTGAGATTACAGGCATCAGCCACCATGCCCAGCCATATTGAGATAACTCTGCACAAAAGAAAACATCAATATCTACCTAATTCAGTAAAAGTAACCCAATTCTTTACGAAATGATTACATACATTAATGGATATTGTTTTTTTATAGAGAAACAGATTTACAAAAGTTCATTATGCAATAAAAATTTATCAGTACTGTTTTTATCTTAAATCTTAAATGACTGAAAATATAGCTGTATAATTATTTTACAAATTCACTCTCTAAAACAGTCATTGGACTTACCAGAAGTTAGATAAATATCTTGTCCCAAACTTCAATGTCTCTATTCTGGAAAGCACAGTAAACAAATGTAAGAAATAAATTACTAAGAAAAAAAAAGATAATCATTAATACCTAGAGTTAGCATTTCTATAAAATAAACAGCAAGAGACATTCATAAATGTTTAAGAAATATGATTATAGGCCCACACTGGTATATTACAATTAAAAAGTACACTCATGCTACCATTGCTTTGGTGAAGACAACTCTACACTGTTTAGTGCCACTATATAGAGCCCCACCTAAGAATTTATTTTAAACAAAGTTTTCAAAAGCTTTGTTTCTTAGGAGAAAAAGTATGAAGATATATAACTGACTATGATTCTTTTTAGTAACTTTGCCAGATAACCTGAAGGTGAAACATAACATTCAATTATACAATTATATTAGCCCTATGATAATATTTTCCTACAAAAGATTTCCTTTCTCCATACTTTGATTGTATTCTTAGAACTATTTTATCATTATTCCATACTATATAATCTTACTGAAAATTATCTCAAGTCCTTTGTAGCTGAGGCAAAAAATGAATAAATGAAAGCAAAGGATGAAAGGAGAGGAGGAGATGTACATATAAGAAAAATGTATTGTTTTTATTCTAAGATTATCTTGCTAACTGGCTTATTAGGAGGGCAGGCACTGACTTGTTCTCCCAGGAATGAAACATTTCATCTAACTTCCTTGTAACCAATAGCATTTACTTGTGAGAAATCTGGTCTGTTATGGTTACAGGAGATGAACATAGCAAACATTGAGCCCACAACTTGGGCTTTATTTACATCATCATCTAATCAATCCATATAAAAAGTCAAATCACCAGCTGGGCGCAGTGGCTCACTCTTGTAATCCCAGCACTTTGGGAGGCCAAGGCAGGTGGATCACCTGAGGTCGGGGGTTTGAGACCAGCCTGACCAACATGGTGAAACTCCATCTCTACTAAAAATATAAAATTAGCTGGGAGTGGTGGTGCACGCCTGTAGTCCCAGCTACTCGGGAGGCTGAGGCAGGAGAAACGCTTGAACCTGGGAGGCGGAGGTTGCAGCGAGCCGAGATTGCACCATTGCACTCCAGCCTGGACAACAAGAGTGAAACTCCGTCTCAAAAAATAAAAATAAAAAAAGTCAAATCACTATAATTTACCCATGTTTGATCATTTAGAATGCAACATAGCAACCATCCATCAGAACTACTAAAAAGGTCTTCCTTATACTTAACTTCCCCGTAACTTTTCCCTACTGGACCTAGTTTTGTACCACAGACCCTCTTCCATTAAACAACCTTGTAAGTTTAAAAACAGCTGCCATGAGCCACAAAATTCCTTCTCCAGTCAGAATCCTTAATTCTTTCAACTACTTCTCAGCCCCTGGTTTCTTAAGCTTTCAGCACTCAAGACCACTCCGAGTTGCTGACTCCAGTTATCTGATACTGACAACACCATGTACGGTAACCCCTGTGCCTCCGTTTGCTAAAACCTATAAAACTAGGATAATAATCCTAACTACCTCATGAGATTACTGTGATTACATGGGCTAATCTGTGTAAAGAGCCTAGAATACCTTACATGTAATCAGTGTTACATGTTTGCTATCGCTATCATTCATAGAATCACAGCAGCTTTTTTGGTAACTCGATCATACTGACTCATTCAGCTAAAAATATGCTACTATTTTCTACATCTCTACAAACTACACTTGAAAAAAACCTTTTTGAGCCCAGCAAAGATTATACATCTCATCTGCTTATTAACTTTCATGAGGTGGGCTAAGACATAGCCTATCCTTTCAGTCTGTTTCGGGAACACAGTGGATGACATGAATGGGCTTAGGAGCCAGACTGAACATACTGGAATACTGGCTTTACAATCTTAAGCAAGTTACACCTCTCTGTGTCTCATTGTTTCTCTGAAAATGAAGATGATAAATCATTCTATAAAGACCTATTTAGCACCTATGTACCCTAATATGTACCACCCATTTCCTCAGCAGCAAATAAAGCAAAGTCTACAACCTCAAGTGACTTACATCCTAGAGGGGGAAGATAGACAGTAAACAAAGAACTAGTAAATACATGCTAGGTCAGATGATGACAGGTGCTAGGGAGAAAGATAAACAGCAGTGTAAGAAGAATATGGAGTTCTATGTCAGGCACGGGAGTAGGGGAAAGGAGGAGGTTGCTATGTTATATAAGGCATTCTGGGAAGACTTCTCTAAAAGATATTTTTCAGCAGAAACCTGAGGGAGGAAGGAAGGAAGCAAACTTCCTAGCTAAATGAACAGCAAGTGCAAAATATGTGCACTTGGTGTGGCCTGAGGAGCAGCAAGGATGCCAGGCTGAGAAAGTGACAGGGAGGGCACTTGGAAATGGACCAGAGAGGCAACACTGTAGAGCTTTCTATGCACGCTTTTTTTTTTTTTTTTTTTTTGAGATGGAGTCTGGCTCTGTTGCCCAGGCTGGAGTGCAGTGGCGTGATCTCCACTCACTGCAATCTCCGCCTCCCGGGTTCACACCATTCTCCTGCCTCAGCCTCCCGAGTAGTTGGGACTAAAGGTGCCCGCCACCACGCCCGGCTAATTTTTTGTATTTTCAGTAGAGACAGGGTTTCACCATGTTAGCCAGGATGGTCTCGATCTCCTGAACTTGTGATCCGCCCGCCTCGGCCTCCCAAAGTGCTGGGATTACAGGCATGAGCCACCGTGCCCGGCCTCTATGCACGCTTTTATCTAAGTGAGATGGAGAAGGCATCAGAGGGCACTGAGCAGAAGGGTGAGGTTGCCTGGCTTGGGTTTTAAGTGGCTGCTGTGTTGAGAATATACTACACAGGCAGCAAATAGGAATATTTGCAATAAGTGATGAAAGTGGCTTACATACATGTGGCAGAGGGAAGGCAGTAGGAAATGGTCAGTTTCTGGATATATTTTGAAGATAATGCCAACAGGATTTGCTAATAAATTGACGTAGAATCTGAGATAATTATATGGTGTTTTGGCAACCTGAGTTTGTATCCTGGGAGGCTCTGCCACTTACCATGTGACCTAGCAAGTACTTAAATATCTTTCTGCCTCAGTTTCTTCATTTGTAAAATAAAAATAGCATCTACCTAATAAGACTATCGTGAAGATTACGTGTAAAAAAACCTAGCAAGTACTTAAATATCTTTCTGCCTCAGTTTCTTCATTTGTAAAATAAAAATAGCATCTACCTAATAAGACTATCGTGAAGATTACGTGTAAAAAAACTCTTAGAAGAGTGCTTTCTACCATATAAGCATTAACTATTGCTATCATCATTATTATTCACTTATAAGCATTAACTATTGCTTATAAGCATCTAAGCATAGTTAATGCTTATCACATATAAGCATTAACTATTGCTATCATCATTATTATTCGCTTGCTTGTGAAAAAATAAGAGTTGCAGGAAGAACAGGTTTGAGGGTGGGATGGAGATCAGGAATTCCATTTTAAACATGTTAAGTTTAAGATGTCTATTGGACATCCAAGTGAAGACATTAAGTAGGCAGCCGGACATCAGCAGTTTAGCAGGAAGATCAGGAGGAGGATACAGGGTATAAGTGGATGGCCCTGATATAAATCTAGGAATTGGTAGCATATAGACAATATTTAAAACCATGGAACTAGAGAAGATCCCTCCAGGGAACGAATATAGAGTAAAAAAGAATTTCTGGCCAGGCACAGTGGCTCACACCTGTAAACCCAGCACTTTGGGAGGCCGAGGCGGGAGGATCACCTGAGGTTAGGAGTTCGAGACCAGCCTGACCAACATGGAGAAACCCCGTCTCTACCAAAAATACAAAATTAGCCGGGCGTGGTGTCGCACGCCTATAGTCCCAACTACTTGGGAGGCTGAGGCAGGAGAATCGCTTGGACCTGGGAGGCGGAGGTGCAGTGAGCCGAGATCATGCCACTGCACTCCAGCCTGGGCAACAACAGCGAAACTCAGTCTCAAAAAAAAAAAAGAATTTCCAGGACTGAGTCTTGAGGCACCCAACATTTTAGAAGTTGGGAAGACAATGGCAAGCCAGCCTCCTCCTTGCAGAAGCAGTATCCTGGAAGTAAGAGCTTCAAGAAGGAAGGCATATTCTGCTGTTTTAAATGCTGTTGACAGGCCTAGTAAGGTAAGAGATCACTTCCTTCCTGTAGGAGACAGCTTTAAAAAAAAAAAAAAAATGATAATTGATCACTGGATTTTACAACACAAAGGAAACTGGCAAACCCTGGTAAGAGCTGTTTTTGTATAGTAGGAAACAAAACACTTTGGACAGGAGAGGACAGAAGCAGCTCCCCTTTACCCTTGAAGTTCAAGAATGAATGGGAGAAAATGAATTGGAAACAGCAAATATAAAAACTCACAAAGGAGGAAAGAAACAGGTGGGTATCTAGAAGGGAACACAGGTGAGTTGTTCCTTGCTGCTGCTGCTGCAGCTGTTGCTTTAAGACAGAGGCCAGGCATGGTAACTCACACCTGTAATCTCAGCACTTTGGGAGACTGAGGCAAGAGGATCGCTTGAAACCAGAAGTTCAAGACCAGCCAGGCAATATAGTAAAAACTCATCTCTAAAAAAAAAATTTAGGCCAGGTGCGGTGGCTCACACCTGTAATCCCAACACTTTGGGAGGCCAAGTAGGGGCAGATCACTTGAGGCCAGGAGTTCAAGACCAGCCTGGGCAACACAGTGAAACCCCATCTCTACTAAAAATGCAAAAATTAGCCAGGTGTGGTGATGCATTCCTGTAATCTCAGCTACTCGGGAGGCTGATGCACAAGAATGGCTTGAACCCAGGAGGTGGAGAGTGCAGTGAGCCGAGATCATGCCACTGCACTCCAGCCTGGACAACAGAGTGAGACTCTGCTCAAAAAGAAAAAAAAATTAAAAATTAGCCGGGCATGGTGACATGTACCAATGATCCCAGCCACTTGGGAGGCTGAAGGGGGAGGATCACTTGAGCCTGGGAGGTAGAAGCTGCAGTGAGTAATGATCAAGCCACTGCACTCCAGCCTCAGTGAAAGAGCAAGAGACTCTGTCTTTAAAAAAAAAAAAAAAAAAAAAAAGGGCCAGGCACAGTGGTTCATGCCTGTAATCCCAGCACTTTGGGAGGCCAAGGCGGGTGGATCACTTCAGGTCAGGAGTTTGAGACCAGCCTGGCCAACATGGTAATGCCGTCTCTACTAAAAACACAAAAATTAGCCAGGCATCATGGTGCATACCTGTAGTCTCAGCTACTTGGGAGGCTGAGGCACTAGAATTGCTTGAACCCGGGAGGCAGAGGTTATATAAGCCGAGATTCTGACAGTGCACTCCAGCCTCAGGGACAGAATGAGAATCCCATCTCAAAAAAAAAAAAAAAAAAAGATAGGAGAAAATACACCCATGTTCAATGTCAACGATAATTCATCAATGGGAGTGAGAAACAGATGATGTAGGAGAGGAGATAATTGTTAGAGCTCTGTCCTTGACTAGGCCAAAGGGGACAGGATACAATGTACAAGTGGATGGCCCTGAGAAGTTTGTGCCAGATACTATTCTAAATATATCAGTAAATAAAATAGTTATCTAAGAAAACATACGAAAAACACTTACTTTCTGGCACATAGTAGGCACCTAACAAATGCTGGCTAAATATACAACTGAACTGTGTTCGTCTAAAACTTTTTTTTTTTGAGACAGAGTCTCACTCTGTCACCCAGGCTGGACTGCAGTGGCTCGATTTCAGCTCACTGCAACCTCCACCTCCCAGGCTCAAGCAGTTCTCATACCTCAGCCTCCCGTGTAGCTGGGACTACAGGCAAGCACCACTGCACCCAGCTAATTTTTGTATTTTTAGTAGAGATGGGGTTTTGCCATGTTGGCCAGGCTTGTCTGGAACTCCTGGCCTCAAGTGATCCGCCCGCCTCCACCTTCCAAAGTGCTCGGATTGCAGGCGTGAGCCACCCTGCTTGGCCTCATCTAAATCTTTAACAGAAATCTGGATCAAAACAGTATCCTAAAACCTGCTACTAGAGAACTATCAGAGGAATTTGAATAAAATGCCTTTCAGTAGATAAAATGTAGCACTTACTTTTGATAATATGACAAAGTGTCTTTAAATCTCAATGCAACCCCTTAATTGTGCAGATAACAAAAAAAGTAAACACAGAAAGCCAAGTTTGCTTGCTTAAAATTACTAAATTAATTCAGTAAAAGCCAAGAACTAAAATTAAAATCTAGTCATCTTACCTCCTGGTCTGGCTTCCAACACACTTTCTTTGATATATCTCTCTTTTTCTCTCTTGACAGAAAGAAAATATTAAGATTGCAATTTCTGTCTTCCCTATACTTCTGCCTGGCCCTTCCCCTTCCCCCTGAATTTACCTGGGGGTGTAACTGACTTCTTATCACTTTATTTTAATCCAAGAAAAATGACATGGGCCAGGGTGGCTCACGCCTGTGATTCCAACAGTTTTCGAGGCCAAGGTGGAAGGACTGCTTGAGTTCAGGAGTTTGAGACCAGCCTGGGGGCAACATACTGAGACCTTGTCTCTACCAAAAAAAGGTTCGCCAGGCATGGTGGCACGTTCCTGTAAGTTGCAGCTACTTGGAAGGCCAAGGCAGGAGGACTGCTTGAGCCCGTGGAGTGAAGACTGCAGTAAGCTATAATGATCACACCACTATACTCCAGCCTGGGCAACTGAGCAAGACCCTGTCTCGGGGGCAGGGGGGAACTCTATGTACTAGAAGATGTTTTGGGGGAAATACAATATTTTAGTTCTCAAAATTCCAGGTTATTTTCTACAGCCCCCTGCTCCTAAAAATCTAAAATAAACACAGTCTAATGCATCACATATAAAGTATCTTAATTTCCCTATCTGGAAATCACGTAACTTTTGTAAAAACAAGTAGACAAGGCCACGCGCGGTGGCTCATGCCTGTAATCCCAGCACTTTGCGAAGCAGCGGCAGGAGGATCACCTGAGGTCGGGAGTTCGAGACCAGCCTGACCAATGTGGAGAAACCCTGTTTCTACAAAAAATACAAAATTATCCAGGTGTGGTGGCGCATGCCTGTAAACCCAGCTACTCAGGAGGCTGAGGCAGAAAATCGCTTGAACCCAGGAGGCGGAAGTTGCGGTGAGCCAAGATCGCACCATTGCACTCCAGCCTAGGCAACAAAAATGAATCTCCGTCTCCAAAAAAAAAAAAAAGTTGACAAGCTCAAATATCACCATATTGACATTGATGGTGAGGATATGGACCTTACAGATGTTTAAAATCAGAGTATTTCAAAAACTAATAAATCAGAACAGAGAACTTTTTGGCTTTCAATAAAACCTTAAGAAAGTGTATCTATTTTAGGCTGGGCTCAGTGGCTCATGCCTATAATCCTAACACTTTGGGAGGCTGAGGCAGGCAAATCACTTGAACCCAAGAATTCAAGACCAGTCTGGGCAATATGGCAAAACCTTGTCTCTACAAAACACACACACACACACACACACACAAAATTAGGCAGGCATGGTGGCATGCCTGTAGCCCCAGCTACTCGGGGGGCTGAGGTAGGAGGATTGCTTGAGCCTGGGAGGTAGAGGTTGCTGTGAGCCGCGATCGCGCCACTACACTACAGCCTGGGTGACAGAGCAAGATCCTGTCTCAAAAAAAATAAATAAATAAATAAATAAAGTATATCTATTTTGAACACCCATTACCAGTACTTTTCCATTTTACTTTTAGTATATAAGTCACATTGAGAACATTCTGAAAATGCCAATTAAAAGATATAGTCACTGAAAAACAAGTTTTCCTGTTTCCTTTCTGCATATTTAATAATGGTTTAACAGAGATACAGCACTGTTTTACTGAATAGGACTTCTACTTCAAACCATGAATAAAGCTGCAATTTAGTATTTGTCAAGATAGCTGGTAAATCTAATCCTTTTAGCTTTAATACTTTTTTTATTTCAAGCTTTAAACTCGAGGTTCTGATACAAATTACCCTTCAAGACTTTTCTTTAATCCTAGAATGCCCAACTTCTAGCTAAAATCTTCCACTCTGTTTCATAATTACTGTTCTACCCTTATTATCGTAACCCAGCTACTCATCCCAATAATGCTGCACATCTATACTGGTATATCTGTAACCGTGCAGCACTCTTACCTTCTTGAACCAACAAAATCAGCCTATCTCCGACCTCAAAGTAGGGCAGCAGTAAGGAGGTGGGAATAAACATTTGAAAATGAATATTTCCACTAACTAGTAAATGTGGCCAAAATACTATTGAAAATACCATTCAAAATGCATGAATTTTAGCTCAGTTTTTATATAGTTCTGAAGAAGTACCAATACTATTTTGGCATTTCGTAGCACCAACCACGTCCGAAGCGCTCCAACTTTCAAGTCTGAGCTTGTCTCTGAAGAAGTTGCCCGTGCAGCCTCCATGAATACCACACACCAAATACTAACTGCTTTTTAACAGATCCAGCAACGCTGCTGTTTCCATTTTCTCCATCCTATTTATGCCCACATGAACTTTTTTCTTATTAGATAATTAGTAACTTGAAGGCAGAGACCTGTTTTACAGGCTGCAAACCCCAGGGACCGAGACAGCACTTAACGCCTACAAGGTCCAAACCGACGCCAACGATTAAGCGCACAAAGGAAAGGTGTAATATACATCATTTCGTTTAGTCCTCCCTGCAGCCTCATGTAGTAGTTACTATTAATCAACCCCATTTCACAGGTGATCAAAGGTAAGCTCAGAAAGGTGAAGTTGCCTGCCCAGGTCACAAGGTAGGACCAGGATTCCAAGCCTGATCGGTCTGGATACGAACGCTCTACCCACGCGGCTTTCCCCCTACACTCTCGGGATCACCACACACTTCCCCTTGGCTTTTACACCGGAGGCTCGACCTGGGTCCCGGAACCAGCGAAGCCACTGGGCAAGCCTAGAGGCCTCTACAGAGGCTAGAGACGCCTCGCCCCACCAGATGCATTAGGATGAAACGCGCCGAACCGAAGGTTTAGAGCGCCAGGGGAGAAGAGGGGCGGGGAGAGCAGGCTCTTTGACCCAGAGGAGGGAGGATCTCCACACCCGGCCACTCTGGCGCTGGGGCGCAACACTGAGGCCGGCGGGAAGCCGAGCCTGCCCGCGAAGAGACTGGGGATTCCGAGGCGGCTCCTGGGAGACCGGACGCGCGCGGCCTCCGCCGCTCCCAGTCCCGCCAGACCCGATGCCGGGCTGGAGAAGCGCGGGGGCCGACGCACCTCGGATAGGCGGGGGCAGGGGCAGGGGCAGCTCTCCTTTACCCTAGAGCGGCGACAGAAGCTCTTCGGGGGATCAGTGGCCAAGGGGGCGGACAGATTTGCACGGCGGATTCCTCCGAAGCAACCCGTGTGAAAGAAGCCAAGCGGCGGCTGCAGCCCGGGCCGCGATGGGGGTGACACCGCCCGTGGTCCCGCCCCTTCCCGTGGCCCCTCGGAGCCACTTCCGGCGGCAGCGTCCGGGCTAGTTCCCGGCGCGAGCGGCCGCGGGCCAGTTTCTATCTCCTCATCCAGGGCTTGCGGGCGAGGCCTGTTTTAAGTCTCCAGTAACCGAGCGGAGGCCCGGCAGGCGCGACCCGGGCTGCGTACGTCAGAGCTGCCTCCGAAGTGGTAAAATGTGCTGCGAGAAGTGGAGCCGCGTGGCGGAAATGTTTCTCTTCATTGAGGAGCGGGAGGATTGTAAGATACTGTGCCTTTGCTCCAGGGCATTTGTGGAGTAAGTAGAAAAGAGAATCTCTTCATGTTCTAGCACAGTCATTACCCAGAAATGTAGGTATTGCAAACGTGGTTGTAATTGATCCCTGAAAGCAGCCAGAACATCTGACCCTTGGGCACGGTGATGTTTAAGAAAAACAAAACCCTCAGACATGACGGAGTGGTCGCCCACTGCCATTATTTTTATGTGAAGGACTACATCTACTTGGTAGGCTGCTATGAAAAAATGTCGTAGGTGCTATATGTCATCTCATATTTGTAAATCGAGGGGACATTTAAAAATTGGGGGAAAGCGACATGTAAAATGAAATCTCTAGTAGATATGATGTCATAAAGTGAAAGTTTAAAGTTGAGTGACTTGCTTTGGTTAACGTCTTTTTTTAAACCTAAAAATCTACTTAAGCCCAAATGCACATAATTAAAACTTCAAACTAGTTGAGATAAAAGACTTAACCATATTTACATCAGTTTTTGTGATATCTTTATTTTGGGGAAATCTTTGAATCAGGTAAAAATTGCCCCACATGAAAAATAGCTAGTATGCAGGAATAATACCGCCAAGAGACTTGAATTCTAGGAATTGTTTCCTTTATATTAAATGCGTGAGTTAAACCACTTGAACCTTTTTTTCATCTCTATAACGGGTATATTTAATCTCACATGCTTATTTTGTTAGAGTTAAATCCTTGTGGAAGTGAATTTTATGTGATAGACTTTTAATATAGTTTAATATAGTAGGATTTAAGTTTGAAGGAATTCATTTTTCTCGTGTAATTTTGTGGAGTAATTTGAAAACGCAAAAAGAAGTTAAACTTGTTAAATTTAATGTAAAAAGTATTGTCGCCTTTTTAGTCAGGCATGCATGTAGTCATACAATCATTCAGAAAATGTTTTTTGTGCTCTTGTATATCAAGTATGCTGGTAGGCACTGAGGTACAAGACATTCTGTCCTTACATGTATTGAGTTTACTTCCTAGCAGAGAAGATCAATATTAAGATAACTGGTTACATTATTACTTGGTTGATTATAGTTATAAGTGCTATGAGAGAGAAGTGCAGGATGCTGTGAAAACAAATAACTTTCCAAGGGTCACAGAGGTTTCTTTGAGGAAGTAGCTTTTGGAAAGAGGTCTAAGGGGGATAAATTGGGGTGAGTTTCAGTGGGAGAAAGCGTTCTCTGCAGGCTGAACTCAGTAAAGGCCTTGAGGGAGCAAAAGAAAGCCTGGGAAACTGAACAAAATGGCTGGGAGGGAGGGCACGGTGGTGCACACCTGTAATCCCACCACTTTAGGAGGCCGAGGAGTGAGGATCACTTGAGCCCGGAAGTTGGAGACTAGCCTGGGCAACATAACAACACCTCATCTGTACTGAAATTTTTTTTTAAAATTAGCCAGCTGTGGTGGCACATGCTTGTAGTCCCAGCTACTCTGGAGGCTTGGGCCAGATGCTCTCTTGAGCCCAGGAGATCCAGGCTGCAGTTAGCCATTGTCGTGCCTGGATGACAGAGCAAGACTCTGTCCCGAAAAAAAAAAAGAAAAGAAAAGAAAGAAAAGAAAAAAAACTGGGAAAGAAAGAAGATAGGGTGTGCACAGTAGGCAGGGTCAAAACCCGCAGGACTTTGTAGACTATAGGAAAACCTTAAGCTGGGGAATGACATGATCAGATTTGCATATTTAAAATACTACTCAGGCGGCAGTGTGGAGGATTGTTTGGAGGAAGAGAACCACTTAAGACCATTGTTTAGGCAAGAGATTATAGTGACTTGGATTAGGATAAATGGCAGCAGAAATGGAGAAAGAAAGAAAGATGGGAGAAAACTTGCTGGGGGTGGGGACTGAATTGTATTGCTGCCTTTCACTGAGGTAGGGATCACTGGAGAATCATGAATTTTATTTTGGGTCAACGGAGAAGAGATTATGAGTTTGATTTTATACATTTTGATTTGGGGGTATCTATGAGATAACCAAGAGTAGATGGTATAAGCAGTTAGATATATTGATTTGGAGCGCTGGAGAAGTCTGGGCTAGTTTTAAAAACTTGAGCCATTTAGCCTTAGATAGTGATTGAACCCATGAATGAAGGGTGGGGGAGGGGGACCCACCTTTGAGGAATTCCAGCACTTTTTAAAGACAAGAAGAGATGGATTAACTAGGAAACAGACAAGCCTAAGTACACTGTCACCAAGTGTTTCAGTGAAGGTGTAATCAACATTGGAAAGCTGCCAAAATATCAAGCAAAATGAGGACTAAAAGTATCCACTAGAATTGACTAAATCCCTTGGATCGATTGACTGTAGCAGGAAGAACCGCAGACAAAACCCCTCAGACACCAGGTTAAAGAAGGAAGGGGTTTATTCGGCCAGGAGCATCGGCAAGACTCCTGTCTCAAGAGCCGAGCAACCCGAGCGAGCAATTCCTGTCCCTTTTAAGGGCTCACAACTCTAAGGGGGTCTGCATGAGAGGATCGTGATTGATTGAGCAAGCAAGGGGTACGTGACTGGGGGCTGCGTACACCACTAATTAGAAAGGAACCGAACTGGACAGGGGTCTTCACGGTGTCTTTTTTTTTTTTTTTTTTTTTGAGACAGAGTCTCGCTTTGTTGCCCAGGCCAGAGTGCAGTGGCGAGATCTCTGCTCACTGCAAGCTCCACCCCCTGGGTTCACGCCATTCTCCTGCCTCAGCCCACCAAGTAGCTGGGAATACAGGCGCCCGCCACAATGTCCAGCTAATTTTTTGTGTATTTAATAGAGACGGGGTTTCACTGTGTTAGCCAGGATGGTCTCTGTCTCCTGACCTCTGATCCACCCGCCTTGGCCTCCCAAAGTGCTGGGATTACAGGCGTGAGCCACTGTGCCCGGCCCAGTGCCTTTTTTATGCAAATAACCGATTAGGTCAGGGGTGGATCAGTAACTACCAGGCCCAGGGTGTGGCGCCGGGCTGTCTGCTTATGGATTTCATTTCTGCCTTTTAGTTTTTACTTCTTTCTTTGGAGGCAGAAATTGGGCATAAGACAATATGAGGGGTGGTCTCCTCCCTTAGATGACTTATTAAGTGCCACCACTAATTGTTCTACATTTTGTACTGACAGAGACTCTCCTTAACCAGACTTTACACAGGCTCTGAGTGAGCTCTCCTTTTGATTAGGCCTTGTCATTTGGGACTTGTCTTCAACCTGTCTGGTCCAGTTTTAACAAGAATCCTTCTAAGTCCATTAGTTTTTTTGTTTGTTGGTTTTTTTTTGGTGGTGGCGGGGTGGTTCTTGGGTGTTTTTTTTGTTTTGTTTTTTGGGTTTTGGGAGGTTTATTTTGAGACTGGGTCTCACTTTGTCACCCAGGCTGGAGTGCAATGGTACAATCACAGCTCACTGCAGCCTCAACTTCCCTGGCTCAAGCAATCCTCCTACCTTAGCCTCCTGAATAGCTGGGACCACAGCTATGCACCACCATACCTGCCTGATTTTTTTATTTTTTGTAGAGACAGGGATCTCACCTTGTTGCCCACACTGGTCTGGAATGCCTGGGTACAAACAGTTTTCCCACCTCAGCCTCCCAAAGTGCTGGGATTACAGGTGTTTTTTTTTTTTTTTAGCCAGAATCCTGCTAAGTCCATGTAGCAAGATCTTCCCACCCTTCGTATCTGATCGCTCTGGCCTGCCCTCAGCAAGAATACTGTTGGTATAGCAACAATCCCCCCATGCTGGATGTCTCCCCTTAGTAATTTTCCATCCACTGACCACGCCCCCTGAATTTTGCCCATTGGCTATCTTCAGCTGTCTTTGCTATATTTGAAGTTGAGCAAAATTTCTCTCCATTGCCATTATCTTTTTTTTTTTCTCTTTTGAGACAGAGTCTCACTCTGTCGCCCAGGCTGGAGTGCAGTGGCATGATCTCGGCTCACTGCAACCTCTGCCTCCCAGATTCAAGCAATTCTCGTGCCTCAGCTTCCCAAGTAGCTGGGATTACAGGAGTGCACCACCATACCCGGCTAATTTCTGTATTTTCAGTAGAGATGAGGTTTTACCTTGGAGGCTGGTCTCGAACTCCTGACATCAAGTGATCTGCCCGCCTTGGCCTCCCAAAGTGCTGGGATTACATGCGTGTGGCTACCATTATGTTGATTACTATCGCAATTATCCTAAATAAAGCCTTTCTTTACCATTTTAACAAATGTCAGAATAATTTAAATTTTTTTTTTTTTTAATTTAAGCCTTCTAGCAGCCCCCTGAGGTATGTCTTGTTATCCTCACTTATTCAAGTAGAAAATTGAGTCTTGGCTGGTTGTGGTGGTTGACATCAGTAATCCAAGTACTTCAGGAGGTTGAGACAGGCAAATCGCTTGAGCCCAGAAGTTCAAGACCAGTCTGGGCAACATGGCGAAACCCCATCTCTACTAAAAATACAAAAAATTAGCCAGGCATGGTGGGGCACTCCTGTAGTCCCAGCTATTCTGGAGGCTGAGTCCAGGAGGTGGAGGCTGCAGTGAGCCATGATCGTACCACTGCACTCCAATCCGGGTGACAGAATGAGACCCTGTCTCAGAGTCTCAGTAGTGGCCTAAAAAAAATCACATAGCCAGTAAATGGCAGCCTTAGAATTCTACCGCACATCTGTATGACATGAGAGCCTTTCTACTATGCTACCAGTTGGCATAGAACATGATTTCATTGAATCTCCCTCATTAAGGTATTTAAGTAGTCTAAAGTCACTAGAACAACTGATGTTCTGTTCAGACACTTTAACATTAATATAGATTCGTGGAGATAGAGGACTATTCTGGAAACTGAAGAGCCTATATTTCCCTCTGATCATACTCATGTGACAGTGTCTGATGGTGATCTCTAGTCTTTCATATATGATACAACGAAATTGTTTGATATGTTTTCCCCCCAACAGGTTCCTGAGTCAGAATTTAAAAGAGTAGTGACCTTATAGACAGCATATCTGTGTGCTTTTACAAAACTCAGCTGTGTGGCCTTAGGCAAGTCACATATTATTTCTGTGATCCCCTTTTAACCTTTCAGAAAGGGCTTCCTTTCCATTTTACTACTTGAAAATGAAGCTGATTCACAGTCCCTTTGCAAAAGAGGAATTGCTACTTGTACTTCAGATATTGCTAAGAATCTTATATTCAGCATTTATTTCAGCCGCCCGAGTGTCAGGTGCTGCAATAGAAAGATGACTTAGGCATCATAGTGATGATTGCTATATTCAGAGGTATGAGGATAAGAATTCAGGTGGCTGCTTAGGGCTCTAAGGAGAGCAGTATCTTAGTGGGATTACTACAATCCAGGTTGGGTCTTCTGCTTTACAATTCAAGTCAGTAGTTAAGATTTATTTAGTCCTTACGTGTGCCAGGTCCAGAAATTACAACAAATCTTCTATTTTTGAGGCCATCAATTCATCCAGAGTCATTATGCTCTGTGGATTAAGGTACACTAATCAAACTCAAAGACAGCTTTATAGAGACTACTTAGCAAGTATAATGGAAATTCTTCAAATGCCAGGCATTAGAAATACATCATTCCCGGTGATGAATGCTCTTGGAGATACTTGAAAGTTTTAAGTAAGAAACAGTTTTCATAAAAATATAACAGCTGGTAATCTCTTGTTGCTGATCTTTCTGCCTCAAATTATCAGCAGCCTTGGAACATACGGTAATAACCTTGGACATCTGATTTACCTCTCACCCATGAGGAAAGGCCTTTCTGCCTCTTTCTCAGGACCTGACCTGTTAAGCTGGGCCCATCCTCCAGAAGGCTTACAGGCTAGCACTGTGGTGGGACCAAAAAGCTCACTAGAAAAAAATACCTGGCTCTTTGTAGGAGATGCAGGCCAGGAAAGGAAAGTCACCTTGCAGTCAGTGGCAGCCCAGGCTACATGCTTAATTCACGGCCCACAGTATGATCGGGTACTGATGCTACTTTTAGGAAGCCCTCCTTCTAAAAGAGAAGAAAGAATATAAGTTATGAAATATAAAAAGTTGAGAAGATTTCTCAACTCACACCTCTAGAAAATAATACACAATTGGATTTGAATCAGAATGACTTTTAAAACACTATTTAATGACCATCTTATCAATTCCATTGAATTTCATCTTTTTGAACTGAAACATGTATGCTTTTCATTACAAATAATTTCATATGTATTCTTTTTTTTCCTTTTTTTTTTTTTCTTTAAGACAGAGTCTTGCTCTGTCGCCCAGGCTGGAGTGCAGTGGCAACCTCCACCCTCTGGGTTCAAGCAGTTCTCATGCCTCAGCCTCCCAGGTAGCCAGGACTACAGGCCCACACTACCACACCCAGCTAATTTTTGTATTTTTAGTAGAGACAGGGTTTCACCATGTGTGCCAGACTGGTCTCAAATTCCTAGCCTCAAGTGAGCCACCCACCTCAGCCTCCCAAAGTGCTAGGATTATAGGCATGAGCCACCATGTCTGGCATGGCTTTTTTTTTTTTTTTCTTTTTTTTTTTGAGTCAGAGATTCGCTCTGCTGCTGAGGCTGGAGTGCAGTAGTATGATCATTGCTTACTGCAGCCTCAGCCTTCTGGGCTCAGGTGATTCTCCCAGCTCAGCCTCCCATATAGCTAGAACCATAGGTGTGCACTACTACACCTGACTAATTTTTTTTGTTTTTTCTAGAGGTGGGGTCTGACCTTGCATAACCTGGGTCTGTCTGATGTTTCATCAGGAATAGTTGGGTCATGCCTTAGCAGGAGTGCCACAGAAATGATGCTATGCCCAGCTCTGTGTGGCCTCAGGAGGCACTTTTTGTAGACAGTATACCATCATGGGTGATGTTGCTGAATGCCAGGTTTTCTACTGTAAAGTCACAATAGTTCCCTTTGTATTAATCAGTATTTTGTGGGGGCATATTCCAGTGTTATATCAGTATCCTGTTTTCCAGTAAACCCACAAGCCTTGGCCTTCATTGATAACTTCCCCCTGAATCAGCTACCTCTGTGAAGGATGCCAAGGAGTAGTTCTTGTCTTCTTCGCTCCTACTGCATTTATTAGTTAGTATTCTGTAAGGAGCGCTTTCCCTTCTCTCCCCATGTATTTATTCATTTATGTTAACATGGAATCTAGATTCTTAGTTTACTAACAGGTTATATTCCATTGCTAACATTAATTTGGTGCTGATATTGTCTCTGATTTGGCCAGAGTTCCCAGTGGGGAACTCTTTGAAGTGGCTCCTGTGTCCTTTTGGTATTTCTAGTGTTGAGTGCTTCCTAATCTTCTGGCATAAGATGACCCAGGTTTATCTTTTACAGTTCATGCTCCAACCTGGAATTGTCATTTCTCCGGGCAACTTGGTTCCTTTCGTGGAAAATAGTATTTAGAAACCAAAAGCTGGCTGCTCATTGTGCTTATTGCTCCTGTGCCCTCTTAGTAGAGAGAGTTGAGCAGTGTTATATATGTGTGTTTTACACGCATACATGAATGTGTCTGTGTATATATACACACATATGTAACACTTTTAAAAACTATTTTTATGTCTGCTGTGTATATAAACTTAAATGCCATGAGTTTATAACAGTACTTCTAATGTTGGCCCAACACCTGAGGGTTCTTTCTAGCCTTCCTTCCTATCAGATAATGTCTTGAGCCCACCTTGCTTTTAAATAACCTTCTTCATTTCTATTTAAAAAAAAACCAAAAATTTTTTATTTAAAAACATTAAAATAAATTTTAAAATAATAAAGTAAATAAGTAACCTTCAACAAGGGGAATCTTGGCTAACATTATCTTCAACACATTTACATATTTGCTCATTATAACCAACTTGCAACCAACCATACTGGTCCTCTCCTCCACCTGACACTTCAGTGCCTCATATCTTTAGGTGCTGGCGGGCAGACCAGTGATGCCCCCTGTGCAGCTCCTGCTTCCCACCCCCAGTGCCCATGTTCCTGGGGACCAGTTGCTGCCAAAGCACATTTGCACGTCACCCCCTTGCCTGTTCATCATCCTGCTGAGTCACCACCTACTTTACATTTAATATAGTATCTCCAAAAAAGAAGCAAGAGGATGTGAAATAGAGCAAGTACACTAGAATTTTATTTAGTTAAATTTATTGTAGCTCCATTAGAAAAGTTATGTTAGCTTCCACTTGCAATTGGCCTTCTTGTGGCAGTTACAGTGGAGTTTATTACAGCTGAATTTATAGTCAGGAAGATATTAAAAGCAGAGTCTTCCACTTTTTCTTAAGTATTCTGTTAGGTTTATTTTGGTAACCTTTGCTCAGACCATGAATACCTTGTCTACTGTTCACAATGGATAGTTTGTCTTATTAGCAAATGGATTAGTGTCTGCATATTGATTTATATGTATGTAAGCTAAATCTCTCCACTGTTATTCACAACAAAATTTAGAGAACACCCCATTGTTTATGTATCATAAGGAATATCAGATGTCCAGAAGAACTTACACTTTATTTATTTATTTATTTATTTATTTATTTATTTATTTATTTATTTATTTTGAGATAGATTTTTGCTCTTGTCGCCCAGGCTAGAGTGCAGTGGTGTGATCTCAGCTCACTGCAACCTCTGTCTCCCGGATTTAAGCAATTCTCCTGCCTCAGCCTCCCTAGTAGCTGGGATTGTAGGCGCCTGCCACCACGCCCAGCTAATTTGTGTTTTCGATAGAGATGGGGTTTCATCATGTTGGCCAGGCTGGTCTCAAACTCCTGACCTCAGGTGATCTGCCCACTTCAGCCTCCCAAAGTGCTGGGATTACAGGTGGGAGCCACTGTGCCCAGCCTTAATTTTAGTAACTAGCAGTTATAGTAATAAATGCTACCATGTATTAAGCATTGTGCTAAATATTTTACATATACTATCAGTCCTTACAACAACTCCATGACAAATGTATTATTGCCTCTACATTATAAGTGAGGGAAATGTATTAGCAGATTGCTTTTCTGTTTCATAAGCTTTTTATTAATTAATCTATGATGGCTCGAGATTTCTTTCCCTCTAAACTGATGGCTTAATTCATTTCAATATGAACTGCTTAATCTGCTTCGCAGGGATCGAAAATTGTACAATTTGGGATTAAAAGGCTATTACATCAGAGACAGTGGCAACAATTCAGGTAATATAGTATAAAATTCTATAAACCTTTTTTGCTGAAATTAGCCATAATGTGTTAATTTATGTATAATTTGTTATAATATTGTATTGATTTGTTAGCATAAAATATAAATGCCAAATAATTCTGTAATCAGACAATTTTTATTTTCTTTTATAACATGGTTCTGGAATCTCTATGAAAGCAGATCTTTTATTTTTCTATAGCTCCTGTGCTGACTTAATGTAGCCTCTTTTGCTGTGTGTAGTGTTCCTTCCTGAGTTGCCACCATTAGATAAGAGCAACCTGGAATTTAAAGCTTTGAAAAGTAGGGAATATGTGGTTTCTGGCTGGACGTGGTAGCTCATGCCTATAATCCCAGCATTTTGGGAGGCCAAGGCAAGCAGATCACTTGAGGTCAGGAGTACGAGACCAGCCTGGCCAACATGGTAAAACCCCATCTCTAATAAAAATACAAAAATTATCCAGGTATGGTGGTGGGCACCTATAATCCCAGCTACTCAGGAGGCTGAGGCAAGAAAATCCCTTGAACCCAGGAGGCAGAGTTTGCAGTGAGCTGAGATTGTGCCACTGCACTCCAGCCTGGGCAACAGAGTGAGACTCCATCTCCAATTTAGAATATGTAAATTCTAATCATAATACACTTCATGAGAAGTGTATTATGTAGGTAAATGCTGCAGGATAAAAAAATGCTACGGGATAAAAATTCCAGGTGAACATCTATAGTCTTTTGCCTGAAGTAAAGAGACTGTCATCTTGGTTAACTTTCCCAAGTAACAAATATAATTTATACTGTACATTGAGCCTCACTTTGATGTCTCAAACTTCCCTACTGCATTTGTCCTTCCACATAGACCTTTTGTGTTCCTAGACACAGAGAAAATTACAGCGTGGAGTTAGAAGCCAAAGTCAGCCCAAGTACAGTGTCATAGTTACCTTCGGAAACCCTTTAACTCTCATGGCGATGGAACAAATTACTGTTTCTTCAGTTGATCACTGGATGGAATGTTTGGTTTGTGTTTCAGTGCTATGCTATACAAATAAAGTTCCTATAACACTAGGCTCCTCGAGCATAAGAAAATATGCATACAATGAAAGGAACATAAAACTTAGCTTACTCATTTTCTCCATTTTGCTGTCTCCTGAGCTTTCGTAAGTATATTTGAATGGAGTAGTGAGTGGAATCCCCTTCATTATTTAGAAAGGTATCTTTCTCCCTCTTGTAGCAGAATTTGCACACAAGAGATTTCTCTTTATCAGTCTTCATTTTGGCTATATAAGATTTACTGTTCTGTTGCCTGAGACCATCAAGCTGGAGTGCAGCCCAATGCTAATTGAGTGTGCTAATACATAAAATGATTTTTTGTTATCTCACATTTTAAAGTTAATAGAGCACTTGAATGGCATATGTTCAATTAATGGTATAATTACTATTAGATAACCATATTGGTGTAAAGTAAAACTTACTTTGTTGTAATAAATGGTTTTTCTATAAGAATTAGATTCAGAGAGCTTGAAAAAAATCTTCCAGTTTAGGGGATTTCAAACCTTTCTCTTTTTGAGAGAGAGAGAGGGTCTTGCTCTGTTGTCTGAGTGGTGATCGCTTAAGCATTCCTCTCACCTCAGCCTCCCAAGTAGCAGGAACTACAGGCACCACCACACCAGGGTAGTTTGTTTTTTGGTTTTTGGTTTTGTTTGTAGTGACAGGGTCTTGCTGTGTTGCTCGGGCTTATCTCAAACTCCTGGCCTCAAGCAGCCTCTCAAAATGCTGGGATTAGAGCCATAAGCCACTGTGCCCAACCCCAGGATTTCAAACTTCTAATAGCAGAATCCTTTTGTTAAATCAGCTCTTCCACAGAATCCCGGAACCTAAATCCCAGTTGTATTGAAGTGTCTGTGAGGGGCATGAAGACATGCTTCTCACCCGCTCTTGTTAATACCTCCTAAAATAACTTCACAAATCATGATTTTTAAATTCACTGTCTTAGTTCAGTAATTTTGCAGATAAAGAATGTGAACATATAAGTATTTTCTCCACGTACCAGGGTTACATGGCCTGTTCTGTCTTCCTTCCATCCTCAGTATTTTGCACAGTGCCCAACATAGAGCAGATGCTCAATAAGAGTAAGTTAAATGGGCAGCTGGATGAATAGTGGCAGGCAGAGCCCAATAAGAAATTGATTCTTCCGTTGATTCTTCATTGGCTTTTTTTGTTACTACTCCATATTACTGTCAATTGGTGTTTTTTGTTTTTTGTTTTTTGTTTTTTTTTTGAGACAGAGTCTCGCTCTCTCACCCAGGCTGGGGTGCAGTGGCACAATCTTGGCTCACTGCAACCTCTGTCTCCCAGGTTCAAACAATTATCCTGCCTCAGCCTCCTGAGTAGCTGGAATTACAGCCTGGGCCCAGCTAATTTTTATATTTTTGGTAGAGACGGGTTTTCACCATGTTGGCCAGGCTGGTCTCAAACTCCTGACCTCAAGTGATCCGCCTGCCTCAGCCTCCGAAAGTGCTGGGATTACAGGTGTGAGCCACCGTGCCCAGCATACCGTCAATTGTTTTTTTGTTTGTTTGTTTTCTTTTTTCCTTTAAAAATTGTAACTTTGCAGGCCAGGCAAGGTGGCATGCAACTGTAATCCTAGCTGCTTGTGAGGCTGAGGCAAGAGGACTGACTGAGCCCGGGAGTTCAGAGCTTTTTAGTGCATTATGATCACACCTGCAGATAGCCCTTATACTCCAACCTGGGCAGTGTTGTGAGACCCCCATCTCTAAAAAATAAAAAAAATTGTAACATTTGCATACCTTTATTTTGGGCGGGTCACTCTGGATCTCAGGTTTTTTTAAATGAGAATAAGAAAACCTGCCTCTTAAGTTTTCCTTAAAACTAAGCTAATAAATGGTGTCTATAGGAGACCAGGCGACAGAAGAAGAGGAAGGTGGTTATTCCTGTGGTACTGCAGAATCACATGACAGCAAAGGCATAGGCCTGGATGAAAGTGAACTTGATTCTGAGGCTGAACTCATGAGAAGTATGGGATTGCCACTTCAATTTGGTAGGATAACTGCACATAAGGATTTTGAGGTAAATATTAATTTACTTTTATTATTTCTCTCTCTTCGTTTTCTTTATAAAATATCGCAAGGAATTACTTTTTATCAGATTATATGCATTCACGATCAGCGCTCTCTACCTCTTTTTAAATGTATGTATTTATAAATTAACCAGAACTGAAAGTTGTAATATGTCCCAAGTGTGACTGTTCCTCCTCTTGGAAACTTAGATAGTATATCACTTGTTTGTGGAGCTAAAAGCCCATAGTGGGGCTTTAGAGTATTTTGTTTAATTTAATGTCAAAATAGACTTGGATTCTACTTTCTTTTATAGTTCATAAAGTGCATTTTATATTCAAGTTATTTATCTGATATAGGTATCTATGAATACTAGAAATAAAGTTAAAATAAAAAAGAAAAAACATCAAAAGAAATACTTAGATGAAATTGTGCAAGAATCTTGGAGAAAAGAATATGAAGAAGACGACATTTTGGCTTCAGATGATCCATCTTCAATTGAACAGTATGAGAACACCAGAACATATGAACTTCAAAGCAAAAAAGATACTGAGACAGAAAATCCTCCAGTTGAAAACACATTATCTCCAAAGCTAGAAATTACAGAGAAATGGGAAAAGTATTGGAATGAATATGGAGGAGGACTATTGTGGCAAAGTTGGCAAGAAAAACATCCGGGTCAAGCACTATCTTCTGAACCTTGGAACTTTCCTGATACAAAGGAAGAATGGGAGCAACATTATAGTCAACTTTATTGGTATTATTTGGAACAATTTCAGTATTGGGAAGCTCAGGGTTGGACTTTTGATGCCTCGCAAAGCTGTGATACAGATACTTACACATCTAAAACAGAAGCTGATGACAAGAACGATGAAAAATGCATGAAAGTTGACTTAGTATCTTTTCCATCTTCACCTATTATGGTTGATAATGATAGCTCTGGTACAAGTGATAAGGATCATAGTGAAATACTTGATGGAATTAGTAACATAAAACTGAATTCAGAGGAAGTAACACAGAGCCAATTAGATTCCTGTACAAGTCATGATGGTCATCAACAGCTAAGTGAAGTTAGTAGCAAAAGAGAGTGCCCTGCTTCCGGCCAAAGTGAACCACGTAATGGAGGAACCAATGAGGAAAGCAACTCATCGGGGAATACAAACACAGACCCACCAGCTGAGGGTAAGATTAACCAAGATTTATTCTGCCATGTAATGGTTAGCAAAATGAATTCATTTAGCAAAATAACTACTAATCCTTTATTGTAGAGTTAAATAATACCAAGTACATTTCATATAATAATGAAATGATTTAATCCATCCTGTTTTCATATCACAAGTTATCCTTTTCTATTAATAAGAATATTTGCATGCAGTTCTCAAAAGTATCATTCCTTCTCTTGTACTTTGGTGGCTAATGAAGGAAAATGTGGAATCTCTTGAGAAATCTAATATAAAGTGAGCTTGGAACTTTTAGTTTTCCACAGCAAATGAATTTATAAGAGGCATGTTAGAAAGCAATTGAGAATGTACATTTGACATTAGGCAAATGTCTTATGAGTCATATGTGGAATTCACTTAGGACAAGTGAAGTCTTGCTGTGAAAAAAAGATCTCAATGGGGCACAATATTAATTTATAACTGGAATGGTTAATTTCAGGATTCTCATCAATAAAATATCCAGGATAAGGAACTTGATTGATTCCTGAATAACTGATCCAAAAAAAGCTAATTGTGCAAACTGGTGCCACTCAGGACTAGAGAATGCCAATGAGAAGTGTTTTGAAAGGAGTTAATCTGAGTACGGTGCGATGAGAATGTTTACTTTGCATTGCTGTAAAGGAATACCTGAGACTGAGGAATGTTTAAAGAAAAGAGGTTTATTTTGGCTCACAGTTTTGCAGGCTGTACAGGAAGCATAGTCTCAGCATCAACTCCTGGTGAGGGCCTCAGGAACCTTCCAATTATGGCAGAAGGTGAAAGGGGCATAGGCATGCCACATGGCAAGAGAGAGAGCAAGAGAGAGGGGGGAGGTCCCAGGCTCTTGTTAGCAATCAGATATTGCAGTAACTCATTACCATGGGGAGGCACCAAGCCATTCATGAAGGATCTGCCCCATGACCCAAACACTTCCCACCAGACCCCACTTCCAACATTAGGGATCACATTTAAACATGAGGTTTAGAGGGGACAAACATCCAAACCCTATCAGTGCTCTTGCTGGGGAGAGGCTTCTGCCAATTAACAGCACCAGGAAAATGGGAGAGGAGGAAATTTCTGTGACATCTGCATATCCTGAAGTTTTGGCATCCTGATGTTACATGCTGAAGACATCTAGTGTAGAGGAACTTTCTTCTCAGCCTTACTCTTTTGTGAAACAAATGGTTTTGACCTTTTACTTAACAATCAGATTTGCTTTGCTTATCTCAGATTGCTGATAATACTTCATCCAGCTGACAGTTTCTAAAGAGCTCTGTCAACTTGCTTTTTTTCTCTATATTCTTAGATTCTTATAAGTGGAGCCTACCTCAGTATAATATTCTCATTCCTTTCTATTTTGGTGATACATTTTCATCCTTTTTTTTTTTTTTTTTTTGAGATGGAGTCTCACTCTGTCACCCAAGCTGGAGTGCAGTGGCACTATCTCAGCTCACTGCAAGGTCCGCCTCCGGGGCTCAAGCAATTCTCCAGCCTCAGCCTCCCGAGTAGCTGGGACTACAGGTGTGTGCCACCACATACAGTTAATTTTTTTATTTTTTTATTTTTAGTAGATACGGGGTTTCACCGTGTTGGCCAGGCTGGTTTCAAACTCCTGACCTCAAGTGATCCTCCCGCCTCAGCCTCCCAAAGTGCATAGGCGTGAGCCACCATGCACAGCCATCCTTTTTTATCTGAAGATTTTATATTAGTATTCTGATACTCTTCTATACTCTCCTGATACCTTTCTGTACATATTTTGACCATAAAGTTTATAATATACATATTGGGCATTGTTTTGGCCTCTGACTTACAGTCTCATTTACCCTCTTTGGTTCTCCTCCCTCATCTGCCTGCTTTTTTCTTTGGCAGACACAGTAAGTCTCACAGTCTCTGCCTTCTGTTGCTTGTTCCCTTACTTACGTTTATAGATTGTCCATTTCTGTAATAACTCCAGTTTGTCTGCCATCAGGATGAATTTGAGGGTTTTAGATTTTGATTTGTTTTAGATCCTCCCTTGAGTTCAAAATTTAAGGTATAGGTTATGCTTCTATGTAAGTATGTTTTCTACTCTTTGTGGTTGGTGCTTTTCTGAAAGAGTCAAAGCTTCCCACTGTCTACCCTGCAGACATCTTTTTCCTCCTGGTCTCAGCCACCCACTTTCTTCCAGTCTGACAAAATAGAGAACAAAGACAGATTTGTGCCTCAGTTTTTGTCACCATAAGTTAAAGAACTCTTCTTAAAGATAGTATTGTCTTTGTTACTCTCATTATTAATGTTACTTTCATACTATATTAAAGGCAAATGAAGAGAAATTCTTCTTAATCAATGTGATTATGCCCCCTTTACGGTCATTTCAATTAAAATTCCATAAGAATGTGACTGCTAACAGCTATCACAAAGGCAGCTTTGTGGGTTAATTTGTATAGATTTGGGCAGCTATGAAGAAGTAGTTTTAGTTTGTTGTGTTTTTTTTTAAGTAGTTAGATCATGAACATTTTTAAACCTGTTAAAAAACTTTATACAAATTAAATTTAATAGAGTTTAACTGAGCAAAGAACGATTCTCGAATCAGGCAGCCCCAAGAGCCAGAATAGGTTCAGAGCAACTCCAGGGCTGCCACATGATTGGGATAACATTTATGGACAGAAAAAGAAAAATGATGTACAACGTACAGAAGGTGGAAGTGAGGTACACAAACAGCTGGATTGGTTACAGCCCAGCTTTTGCCTTACTTGAACACCATTTGAATAGTTGGCTGCCTGTGATTAGCCAAAACTGTGCTTGATACAAGAGTAGGTTACAGTCTTTTTATACCACCAGTTAGGTTACAGTTCACTACATGTGGAAAAACCTTTAAGCTGAGCTTAAAATGTATACATGGACAGTTTTAGGCTAAATTTAATTTAACAAACCTTATAGTTAAGATTTTTAAAATGCTCAGACTCTGCATGTAGACACAAACAGGTAGATGTGAGCTGGCACTTTGATGCACATGTACAGTTCATTGTAGAAAAGGTGCTAAAATATTTTCATTGGCTTTGCAAATAGCAGAAAAGTTGTCAAACCAAGGGGGAAAAGCTACTGCAATATTTCTGCCTCTTTAGATTCACAGAAGTCTTCAGGAGCAAACACAAGCAAAGACAGACCACATGCCAGTGGTACTGATGGAGATGAAAGTGAGGAAGACCCACCTGAGCATAAGCCAAGCAAACTGAAGAGGAGGTAAGTTACATGAGACCCCTCTCACCAGAGCGTGTTAGAGTAAGCATTTGTATGCATAAGCCAGTGGTTATTAAATGATTGTTATGTTCACAACACCAGTAATCATGTAAGAAGAGGCAGGATCTACTGGTAAGATTCTGAGCCTTTGGACCTGGACCTGTGGTTAAGGCCGAACTCTGCCACTCACAAACTCTAAGTACATTTCTTTTTTTTTTTTTTTAAGACATGGTCTCGCTTTATTGCTCAGGCTGGAGTACATGGTATGATCATAGCTCACTATGATCTTGAACTCCTCAGCTCAATTGAACTTGAACTCCTCAGCTCAATTGATCCTTCTGCCTTGAGTAGCTGGGACTACAGGCATGTGCCACCACTCCTGGTTAATTTTTTAAAATTTTTTATAGAGACAGGGTCTCGCTATGTTGCCCAGGCTGATCTCAAACTTCTGGCCTCAAGCGATCCACTTGCCTTGGCCTTCCAAAGCACTGGGATTACAGGTGTGAGCCACCACACCCGGCCTAAGTACATTTCTTAATTTCTCATCTATAAGATTGGACTGATGCCTTTTTTGTGATTATTGGGTAGACAGGAGCTAGCATGTAATATATCTGACACTTAGTAGCTATCAATGGATCATAACTTTTAACTAATAATTAAATTCATATCTTCTCTCTCTCTCTCTCTCTCTCACCAGTTCTAATGTTTTTCAAAAGTCTGGATATATTTTATCCCAGATTTGTATTGCTGAAAAAGACCTCAAGGTCATGCTCTCATTGTATAGATAGGAACACTGAGGCAAACAGGAATGAGTACCTTGCTCAGTTTTCTTCACAGCAATGGCAGCTCTAAAGCCAGAGCCCAGATCAACTCTACTCGAAGCAGTGCAATTTCTGTTTACCACTGTGAAAGTTGTAAGAGTCAAAACAGAGTCACTTGTGTCAGACACTGGTAAAATGTAGCCAGGGAAGGCCATGAAAGACTCTCATGCACTATTTGCTTGATAACAGGAACTGTCACAAGAAATTTTTCCAAGCCAAAGCATCACACAAAGACAGATAGCTGCTTATACAGGAACATGTGCCTGACACAGTCTCACAAGCCCAATTCGAAACTGCAGAGGCCTAACCATAACTCTCAGTTTACAAGTTTATCTCTGCCCAGAAGTGGCAGTGGTTGTGCCACTCCTGAAGCAGTCCTTTGTTGTAATTTGTAAGTTATTCCTGAATTTGTAGCCTTCAGTCTTCCACCTAACAACCACTGGCTCTCCTAATCAAAACTCACCAGCTGTTTGTTGTAAGATGCTGCCAGCACCAGTGAACTAACTTTCTAAACAACGTGCGTGACCTCTCTCCTCAGTGAAACTCTAACCTTTTCCTCTCTTCTTTGGACATTTCATGAGGCCACCTCATTCTGTGCTTATGTCCCAAACTGCAGTTCTGTTTTTGTGTTTTATAACCAAATAAAAGTTCTTTTTTTTGGTATTCATCTCTACATTTTTTTCTTGAAGGTTTATACACTTGTACACATAATTAAACACGTAGAGAATAATGTAAGGTGGGATGTAGTCAGATGCTAACACTGTAAGTAACAAGGAAAGAATGGATCGTTACTGAACTTGGAAGTTAGCTGGACACTTCATTTCTTTGACTGGATATGGGGTGCTCCACGTAAGACACTTGTACTCCATATAGCTTCTGGAAAAACAAGCGTGCCTCTACTGTGCTACCTCTGTATGGTAGACATTGCTTGTTAACTCCCCAGTTCCTGCTAGTTACTGGAGGCAAAGATCATGTGTGTTCAATGAGCGTAACTTATTTTGAAGGACAAACTTTGTAAGAATTATTTCTCACCATTTTCCTTTACTTGGAATTACGGCCAGGGATGGTCACTGGTTACTAAAAGATCTCTAGTAGGTGGATTCTCCTGGGTTACCTAATATCACTTGTATCACAACCTTATTCTTTTTAGTAATTTTTTTCTTTTAAAATTTTTTTGGATTGTATTGATACTTATCAAACGTTTCCTTGTTTGTTTTTAAGGGAAACCTCTGGAGAAATCACTTTAGGAGATTAATTTAAGGCTGCAGCTTTTACTGATGTTTTTCCAAAGGAAAATTGAGAGATTATATTTGTACCATACCTAGGAATAGAAATCATTACTTGACATGAATTAAGACTGGAATACTTATTGCTGTGTTCCAAATGCTCCTGGGTACTTACCTTATTTGGAAAATTCTAATTAAAGTATTTTTTTTCCTGGTTTCCTGGATTTGTGAACTATGGTTGACTATGGTGTTGGGAAGTTTGCATGGGTCAATTATATTGCCTTTTTTATATTTATCTGAACTAGTGGGCTCTGGTGGTAATGGCTTATCACTGTTTACCTTTTCTTTATTTAGCCATGAACTGGACATTGATGAAAACCCAGCTTCAGACTTTGATGACAGTGGTTCCCTTCTAGGATTCAAGTATGGCTCAGGACAAAAGTAATTATTCATAAAAGCTATTGTTTTCCAGAAGTCCTAACCACTTCAACTATCTTAGAGCACTCTGATACTCAGATAACTAATAAATGATCATGTGTTGAGATGTTATCATTAAATCACTTCTTGTTAGAATTGTGGTAGAGATATCCCTGTACATTTGATGTGTTCATATGCTTTAACTCAGTTGCACTTTATAGCAATCCAGTGTTGTTATTCCATTTCATAGATAAAGCAACTGCAGCTCACAGAGGCTTTGACTTTACTGGAGAGGGAATTTAGGCCCAGCTCTTGTGACTTCTAAGCATGGTTCTCTTCTCACCTAGTGTCTCACATGTGTACATCTGAAGACCATAGCAAACATGCCATGAAACGTTGAAATCTGCAATAACCTCTTTTTCTATTATGAAAGAGTAAAATTAAAACAAACCAAATAACAAGTAAAAAGTAAAAAATATTTTCTTCCAGTCGTTCTCAAATGTAGGCAGTGTTTTAAAGAGTTTGGCACTTTGAGAGGCTGGGCAATATAGGGAGACCCCATCTCTACAACACATTTAAAAATTAGCTGGGTTTAGTGGTGCATGCTTGTGTTTCCAGCTCCTCAGGAGGCTGAGATGGGAGGATCACTTCAGCCCGGGAGGTTGAGGGTGCTGTGATCCATGATAATGTCACTGCACTCCAGCCTGGGTAACAGAGTGAGACTCTCAAAAAAAAGAGTTTGGCATACGTCCCTCCAAATTTACTGTTGTGTGCTATGACTACATACATGTACACACATTTTTTGTTTGTTTTGTTTTGTTTTTTGAGACAGAGTCTCACTCTGTCACCCAGGTTGCAGCACAGTGGTGCGATCTCGGCCCACTGCGACATCCGCCTCCTGGGTTCAAGTGATTCTCCTGCCTCAGCCCCCCAAGTAGCTGGGACTACAGGCATGCACCACCATGCCCTGCTAATTTATTTATTTATTTATTTATTTATTTATTTATTTATTTATTTTTTAATTTTTTATTTTTTTTAGTAGAGACAGGGTTGCACCATATTGGCCAGGCTGGTCTCAAACTCCTGACCTCAGGTGATCCGCCCACCTTGGCCTCCCAAAGTGCTGGGATTACAGGCGTGAGCCACCGCGCCTCACCACGTACACACATTTTGCTTCTCTTTGTGTAAAACAGAAAAATTAGGTCATATTATACATACTCTCCAGTTTGCTTTTCTCCCTCAACAATGTACCATAGACACTCTTTCTTGTTGGTAGAAACATTTAGCTAATTCTGTAAATGAGGGCATTGTGTTTTATCAGTTATCCTAATTAACAACATCTAAATTGTTTCCTAAGATCTAAGCATAATGCCCTAGAAGGTCCCTCCAGATTATTACATGTGCCTGCCTGCCTTCCTTCCTTAGGGTCTCGCTCTGTAACACAGGCAGGAGTGCAGTGCTGTTTTAAGTTTTTTCATGGAGATGGGGTCTTGCTATGTTACCCAGGCTGGTCTTAAACTCTTGGCCTCAAGTGATCCTCCCATCTCAGCCTCCTAGAGTGCAGGGATTGCAGGCATGAGCCACCACGCCCAGTCCATTTATTCCTTCTTATTGCTGAATAGAATTCCAATGTATGGATGTACCAAAATTTGCTCAACCATGCAACAATTGAAGGGCATTTGGATTATTTGTGGCATTTTGCTGTTACAAATAAAGCAACAGTGCAGGTGCAGTGGCTCACACCTGTAATCCCAGCACTTTGGGAAGCTGAGGTAAGAAGATTGCCTGAAGCCAGAGGTTGAGACTAGCCTGGGTAACATAGCAAGGCAGAAAATAAAAAAATAAAATGAAATTTCAAAAGTAAACAAAGCTGCTGTGAACATTTGTGTATAAAAGACATAAGATTTCTCTGGGATTAAATGCCCAAGCATTAAATATAAAGGAACATGGGTAGTTGTGTTAGAACAACTAGAGATTTTATCGTACATGACATGAAGACTAAACTGAGTAGGTAAAGCCTGCTAAAGACAGCTTACACCAGTAATCTAAACCATGACTGGGTTCTTTGATGTTTCTAAGGGTTGAGATTTCAGGTCCTACTTATCTGTTTCATAAGTTGTGAAATTTAAGTAGATACCTACACATTATGAAATCAGCAAGAAAGGGACACGAGGAATGTCTCAAAATTGAATTGAATTCAAATTAGTTCAGAAGTACATGTTGACTCTTGTAGTTTCTAAAGATTATCAGTTTTTCTCCCTTAGGTGTTTCAAGGCAATTATAGTTAATATAATCAATAGTTCATATAATCATTTAAGGCTAAGATCATAAAGTTTAGCATGTAAAAAGGTTTTTAAATTCCTGGCAGGATGTATTACTATGCACATGTAATTTTATTGAGGAATCCTTGGGTAGATTTTGATAGTATACACTTGTAGAAATCTATTTCTTTTCTTGCCTGAGACTTAACTACTTAACTACTCTTCTATTTAGAGCACCCAATTCTACTTAAAAGAGAAGGATAAAATATCCTGTTTATTAAAAGAAGTTTATAATATGGCTACAAAGTGAGACCTGATATTTAAACCCAGACTATTCTGGATTTTATAAATGCTAAAGTGTACGTGACACTCTTAAGTCCCTAACAGTTTGTCGGAGAGGGAGTTAATTGAGGCTTAATATAATCAAAGGAGGCTTCATAGCAGATACATATCTTTTAGGACTGGAAAATTTCAGATGGTTAAATCAGGCATTCTCTAATTATTTTGATACGAAGGGTTCGCTTCTTTTGTAAGCTCAGATTGATTTAGATAATTCAAATGTATCCAGAAATGTGTTAAAGAGCTTTGACATCACCCCACCTTGAAAATATTTATATATTTATATTTCCCTAACAAGGGGATAGGGTTTTCGTTTGTTTGTTTGTTTGTTTTACTATTTATTTATTGCAGTCTACTATGTAATTTCTACTTTCTCCTCTATATTAGGTATGTTGCACTTCCCAACTTTGGTGTTACACATTTGCTTTAGAATTAACATGAAAGTTAGACCATCAACTCTTCTGCAAGTTGAACTTGATTTTATCATTTTCATAATTTTAAAAAGGGAATTAAAATGGTGTAAAAATGAGTGAAAATGTTAGTTTCATCCTCTTTTCCTATAAGGAAATATAATCCTAGAATTTAAGTTGTGAATAACTTCTTTTGATCTGTCACAGATATGGTGGAATCCCAAATTTCAGTCATCGGCAGGTCAGGTATTTAGAGAAGAATGTGAAGCTTAAGTCTAAGTACCTAGACATGCGCAGACAAATAAAGATGAAAAACAAACACATCTTCTTTACCAAAGAGTCAGAAAAACCATTTTTCAAGAAAAGCAAAATTCTGAGTAAGGTATGTATAAATTTTGTTGCATATTTGTAGATAGAATCATGTTTTGTAAGTTTGACCTCTTAAAATTGTTGTATTCAAATAGGAAGCTTGTTTCTACCAGGTATCAAGGTACATAATTTTTTTTTTTTTTACTTGCTTCTTGAAGGCATATATTATGTAAACTAAATCTGAAAAAAGGCAAGTTGAGGTAGGGTGAAAAGGAAGTGTTTGAAAGCTACAAAGTACTAGTGTCTGAGATTATTTAAAAAACGCAGCCGTCAGGCGTGGTGGCTCACACCTGTAATCCCAGCAATTTGGGAGGCTGAGGCAGGTGGATCACCTGAGGTCGGGAGTACCAGACAAACCTGACCAACATGGAAAACCCTGTCTCTACTAAAAATACAAAATTAGCTGAGCATGGTGGCGCTTGCCTGAAATCCCAGCTACTTGGGAAGCTGAGGCAGGAGAATCGCCTGAACCCGGGAGGCGAAGGTTGCAGTGAGCCGAGATCGCGCCTTTTCACTTCAACTTGGGCAACAAGAGCAAAACTCCATCTCAAAAAAAAACACGCAACCTTGGCCGGGCATGGTGGCTTACACCTGTAATCCCAGCACTTAGGGAGGCTGAGGCGGATGGATCACCTGAGGTCAGGAGTTCGAGACCAGCCTGGCCAACATGGTGAAACCCCATCTCTACTAAAAATATAAAAATTAGCCAGGCATGATGGCGGGTGCCTGTAATCCCAGCTACTCGGGAGGCTGAGGCAGGAGAATTGCTTGAAATTTGGGAGTGGAGGTTGCAGTGAGCTGAGATTGTGCCATTGCACTCTAGGCTGGGAGACAGAGTAAGACTGTCTCAAAAAAAAAACACAACCTTGCCTATGTAGTAACAGACAAGAACAAGGAACAATTTCTCATCTGTTTTAGGCTAGGTAGGTGTATTAGTCTGTTTTCGGGCTGCTAATAAAGACATACCCAAGACTGGATAATTTTTGAAGGAAAGAGGTTTAATTGACTCACAGTTCTGCAGGGCTGGGGAGGCCTCAGAAAACTTAAAATTATGGTGGAAAGGGAAGCAAACAACTCCTTCTTCACATGGCAGCTAGAGAGAGAAATGAGTGCCCAGCAAAGGGGGAAGCACCTTATAAAACCATCAGATCTCATAAGAACTAACTCACCATCACAAGAAGAGAGTGGGAGAAACTGCCCCCATGATTCAACTATCTTTACCTGATTCCTCCCACAACACGTGGGGATTATGGGAACTATGATTCAAGATAAGATTTGGGTGGGGACACAGCCAAACCATACCAGTAGGATCCTAATAGTCCAAATTCTGATACAGCTTTATATTATAAGCTTTAATTCTGAGTTCTTCCAGAAGTGATCAGTCACAGTTTACACCTTGTAACAAGTTCACCCTGATAGCATGAAACACAGGCCAATTTATTGATTCACATTATTACCTGAAATATTCATATATTGGACTTTGCTATACCTGCCATCCAAGTACCTGGGAAACAAAAGTAGTTAGAAAATTGCTTGGTGTGATGAATTACCTTTCTATATTCTAAGGGGTAAAAAACACTTTCTAATGAGCAGAACCTTCATGTCAATCACATCTCCAGCAGCTCTTCAGGACAGTAGACCATAATCTTAGACTCCATGATGTCTCTGTCTCTGTTGTTCGTTTTTTAAGGCTAGTCAGATGACTCTTTTTCCCCTCAATACAGTGTCCTCCCTAACTTCAGCATACTTGTAAAATATGCTACATATATATAGCTGGTTTTATTTTGTATTACATTTCAGGTTGGTTGGCTGCTGGTGATGTTTTAATAAATATGTTCGTGGTGCTAGTTATATCTGAAACAGACTGCCTAGTATTAGTCCAGTCAGTGCCATAGGACTTTCCGTAATGTGTTGGATATAATAGCCCCTATGCATTCATCTATAGATGAGTGCAGAAACAGCTACTAAGCATTGCTGAGGAAAAAAGATATGTAACTGTTGTGTCTAACTTAGATACCTAATTTATTTATAGGCACATTTCTTTAGAGGAAGATTCTGGGTTGTTGCCCATCATGTCTACCACTTCATTCTAATTTACTCACTCTCAGGAAGGTCATGAAGACAAGATAGGAAGAATATTCTTGTTACAGAAGATGCAAAGAAGTATATGATCTGATGCTGAGCCTTGTTTACATTCCAAAGAACAAACATTTGCTGGGACATATCTTACTGGCTCTACTGTTGCATTAAAAGGCAACTTTGATTTTTTTCCAAGGTAGACTGCTTCTATTCTTACAGAAGAATTGGCCCTAAATCTTTTTAGGGTTCGTCTTTGATGCTAAGTAACATTTACATAGATTGTAGCTTGACCATTGCAGAAAGGTCTATATAATTTGAAAAACTAAAATTAATGATTCAGTAGTAAGTAGGTACATTTGTAATGTAGCTGTAGCACAGTTAAATTGTTAAGAACCCTTATGGAAAAGCCACTGGGACAGTTTGGCTTTATCCTCTTAGTATTTATTGATAGCAGGAAGTATTTAATCTGATATTTTTTTCCTTTTAAAGAAAACTTTTAATAAGGTCATGGCATGCCCAGATAGCATTCTGATTAGGTCAGAATTACTTACTATTAAGCTTGTGTGATGCAGTCTGCTTTTCAGAGCCAATAATTTTGACACAGCTTTTCAGTCAAGTCACAAATTGTAATAGGTAGGAAGATTCTGTGTAGTTTGGAATTAATTCCTGCTCATGATGTCATCTTAAAATTTAAGGTAGAAAAATTCCTCACATGGGTTAATAAACCAATGGATGAAGAAGCATCACAGGAATCATCTTCTCATGACAATGTGCACGACGCTTCCACAAGTAGTGATTCAGAGGAACAAGACATGTCTGTTAAAAAAGGTGATGACCTACTGGAGACTAATAATCCAGAACCTGAAAAGTGTCAGAGCGTATCTTCAGCTGGTGAACTTGAAACAGAAAACTATGAAAGAGACAGCTTGCTAGCAACTGTTCCAGATGAGCAGGATTGTGTTACTCAAGAAGTGCCAGACTCCCGCCAGGCAGAAACTGAAGGTAACACTAAATATGCTTCAACTTGCTAATGGATTTAGATAAAATTTTTTTTGTTAATATGTTTTTTCTTAGTTTTCACTTGTGAATCTTCTGTACCTAAGGAGTCACTGCTACTTATTTTTAAGTGAGAGAAGGCATATTAAGTGTACATGTTCTAACTGGCTATGACTTAGCACCCACAGCACTCCTCACTCTTGGCTGAGTGAACATGATCAAGTAGAAAAGGAAAGACTGTTGGGAGCATTGTGTCTGCAGACCACTGTCTGCAGTTCAACTTGGCCTCTGCTGGTACTCAGTTCCATGGGCTAAAGGTGACCATCCTTTGCCTTCTTCGTATGTGGTGTAGCTTTGGTTTACTTCTTCCTTTTTTTGTGTGAGACAGGGTCTCATTCTGTTGCCCAGGCTGGAGTGCAGTGGCACAATCACAGCTCACTACATCCTTGACCCCCAGGGTTCAAGCAGTCCTCCCACCTCAGCTTGAGTAGCTGGGACTACATGTGCATACCACCATGCCTGCTTAATTATTTAATTTTTTTTGTAGAGACACAGGGTCTCACTATATTGCTGAGGCTGGTTGCCAAAGGCTCAAGCAGTCCTCCCACCTTTGCCTCCCAAAGTGCTGGGATTACAGACATGAGCCACCATGCTCAGGCTGGTTTCCTTTTGGTGTGTTTTTGTGTGTTTGTGTGTGTGTGGTTGATGATGGTCATGTGTTTTTGATGGCACGTTAATATAAAAAGTATTCAGAGCAGTTGGCTCTAATGAATAAACTGAGTAACATTTTCAATTTATGCACTTTTGTATTCGAATTTTTATAGCAAAAGTTCTTATATAGTTTAATAATGGTATTATGAAACCATTATATTTATTGTGATCCTTCATCATATTTCTTTATTACTATGGAAAATAACTTATTTGAGTCTTGATTTTTTTTTTCTTAGTGCAAGTGTGGGTGTATGTGTATGTGTGATCTTTTTATCACATATTTCTTTACATTCTAAACAGCATACCTACAGTAGTTTACATTTATTTTATTATCAATGTTATAATAACCGATGTTCATATGACATTTGTAGGTTTGTGAAATGCTTTTATGTGTCTTATTCTCATTTAATCTGTAAGGTAGCCAGGGAAGTAGGTGGAATTATTTTCCATTCTGTAAATACAGAAAGTAAAGCTGAGAGAAATTTAAAAATTAGCCCAAGTAAGTGGCATAGCTAGGACTCATTACCAGCTTCTCCAATTGCTAAGTCCCATTTTCCTGCACTATCCCACTTCCATAAACACCAATTCTCATGATGCTGGTTATTTTTACCTGGGGTAGTACCACCTTCACAAGGGCATTTGGAAGATGCTGGTTGTTAGAATGACATTTGGAATTCTGGCATTTAGTACTCAGTTACTTAATGTTAGGTCATGTACAGGATGGTCTTGCACAACAAAGAATTATTCCACCCACAATGTCATTATACCCCCTGTTGACAAATAATCACCTTACTTTGCTATTGGTAACACTTGTTTGGGGATGGGGAGATCTGACCTTACTGAATCATGATGACACTTTTTACTATTTACAATGATCAGATGAACATATTAGGACATAGCCCTATCCTTGAGGACCATTTGAGTGTGTAATGGAGTCTTATTCTTTGTTAGCCATCACCTCTTGTTTTTATACTTAACTGTGAAAAAAGTCTCATCTTTCTATGTTGTTGCTTCTAATTTGCTGAAGACTGAAACCAAATAACCAAACTGATAAAAATTATTTAAGGAAAAAATCACTCTCTGAATGAATGAGATCCTTTTCCGTGGAATGGAGCTAGTGACCCTTGTTTCAGTTTCTCAGATGCCATGTGACTTCAATGTGGCTGACAGCTAGAGCCTAATCTAGTCCTTGATAGAAAGGAAATGTTTAGATTTCTATAATTCACCACATAAAGCAGTGTCTTGGCTAACAGAAGTAATAACTTTTATGTCTATAGCAGTATTTCTACATATGTCCTGTCACTGCTGTGAATTAAGTTAGTAAAACACCACTCACTAACTCATTCATTCATTCTTTATTTTTTAGACAGAGTCTTGCTCTGTTGCCCAGGCTGGAGTGCAATGGCGCATTCTCAGCTCACTGCAACCTCCGCCTCCCAGGTTCAAGCGATTCTTCTGCCTGAGCCTCCCGAGTAGCTGGGATTAGAGGCACCTGCCACCGTGCCCAGCTAATTTTTGTATTTTTTTTTAGTAGAGATGGGGTTTCACCATGTTGGTCAGGCTGATCTTGAACTCCTGACCTCAGTGATCCACCTGCCTCAGGCTCCCAAAGTGCTGGGATTATAGGCATGAACCACTGCGCCCAGCCCCATCGTTCTTTTTTTTTTTTTTTTTTTTTTTTGAGACAGAGTCTTGCTCTGTTGCCCAGGCTGGAGTGCAGTGGTGCAATCTCAGCTCACTGCAAGCTCCGCCTCCCGGGTTCACGCCATTCTTCTGTCTCAGCCTCCCAAGTAGCTGGGATTACAGGCACCTACCACCACGCCTAGCTGATTTTTGCATTTTTAGTAGAGATGGGATTTCACCATGTTGGTCAGGCTTGTCTTGAACTTCTGACCTGCCTCAGCCTCCCAAAGTGCTGGGATTACAGGTGTGAGCCACCTCGCTCAGCCCACTCATTCCTTTTATAGGAATTAATAATTGGAGTTTAGGCCAGGCACAGTGGCTCATGCCTGTAATCCCAGCACTTTGGGAGGCCAAGGCGGGTGGATCACAAGCTCGGGAGATCAAGACCATCCTGACTAACACGGTGAAACCCCGTCTCTACTAAAATACAAAAAAATTAGCCGGGCGTGGTGACGGGCGCCTGTAGTCCCAGCTACTCGGGAGGCTGAGGCAGGAGAATGGTGTGAACCCGGGAGGCGGAGCTTGCAGTGAGCCAAGATCGTGCCACTGCACTCCAGCATGGGTGACAGAGCCAGACTTCGTCTCTAAATAAATAAATAAATGAATGAATGAATGGAGCTTAAAGACCCTCGGTTACTTTCCCAAGCTTACAAAGCCAATAAGTAGCAAAATGCTGGTGGTGATTGAAGCCAGTGGCGTTTCCATCAGGCTCTCCTGTTTCTCTGGGCGTGTCATTATATACATGTTCTGCTTGTAATTATTTGATGTGGCTTCATTTTTAGATAAACTCACCTGTGATACTAATTTTTTTCTTAGTGAGCATCTATATTCTTTGTATTTTATTTTAGCTGAAGTGAAAAAGAAGAAGAACAAGAAGAAGAACAAAAAGGTGAATGGTCTGCCTCCTGAAATAGCTGCTGTTCCTGAGCTGGCAAAATACTGGGCCCAGAGGTACAGGCTCTTCTCCCGTTTTGATGATGGGATTAAGTTGGACAGAGGTAAAGTATATATGTATTTTTTAGCTTTATTTTGAAACCACTTCAAACTTAAAAAGAAAGTTATAAGAATAATACAGGGAATGTTCATATCCCCTTTACCCAGATTCAGCTATTTTCAACATTTTGCCCCGTTTACGTTCTCATTCTCTCTCCATATGTATGTGTGTGTATCTTTTTCTGATCAGTACTTAACACACATCATGCTCATACTTCTTAATACTTTAGTGTATATTTGCTAAGGACAAGTATATTTTTGTTTAAAATAGTGAATTATCAACTTAACATTGTTCCAATATTTTAATCTACAGTTTATACTCTAATTTCATTAATTGTCCTAATCTTGTCCTTTATCACGTTTTTTTTTTCCTTCCAGTATAGGATCATGTATCATTGCGTTTATTTTTCAAGTTCTTTAGTTGCCTTTAATGTGGAATGTTTCCTTAGCCTTTTTTGTCTTTCATGACTGACATTTTTCAAAGGATCAATGGCCATTTATTTTATAGGATGCCCTTCAATTTGGGGGGGTGTGTGTGTGTGTGTGTGTATTTTTAAAATTTCAGACTTGGGTTTAATCTGTATTTGTAGCACGTTAGGATAGATAGCAAAAGCAATTGATAAATTATTAAACAGAAAACCTGATGAAGAAATATCTAGTGCAGAAGGATACAATTTAATGAATTAACTTCGCAAATTTTGAATTCTTTCTCCAGCTTTCCTGCTGTGATCTGCAACAGCTTACTTAACTCAGTCTTGCAGACTGATGCTCGTTTTCATATTGGGGTTACCTAAATATTGGTTTTTATTAACTATCAAAATCAGAAGTTCTTGATCTATGATGGAATTTCAGGGGTTCTCTGACCCTTTTAAAACAATTTGCAAAATGCTGTGTATTGGAAAAAGTACGTAGGAATTTGTAAGGAGAAATAAGGCTGGAAAACACTTGCAATTCTATAAAAGTGTATATTCTTATTTTTCCAGTATTGAAGAGCCATTTAAAGTTTTGGTAAGGGGAGACAACAGGAAAATTAACGCACATTATTTTTATTTATTTATTTTTCTTTTCTTTTCTTTTTATTTTTTCTTTTCTTTTTTTTTTTATTTTTTTTAGACAGGGTCTCACTCTGTCACCCACGCTGGAGTACAGTGGCACAATCTTGGCTCAGCAACCTCCACCTCCCAGGCTAAAGCAATCCTTATGCCTCCGCCTCCTAAGTAGCTGGGATTACAAGCAAGCACTACCATGCTTGGCTAATGTTTTGTAGAGACAGGGTTTTGCCATGTTGCCCAGGCTGCTCTCAAACTCCTGTGCTCAAGTGATCCACCACGCCCAGCCCAGCACATCATTTTGTTCAGATAATTGTCTTTCTGAAAAATGTAAATTTTTTCTACTAGGAAAGAAGGAGGTCAGTATTCTCTTTACTCTAGAGTGGACACAGGACCTCATTTCTGACAATGATGAGGGCTCTGCTATTCCTCCTGTACTTCTGCAACCCTATGGCCTTTTGCCATCCAGTTCCTTGCTTTTTCCGACCCTTTAAAAGCATGCAGTTTTGGCCAGGCATGGTGGCTCATGCCTGTAATCCCAGCACTTTGGGAGGCTGAGGCAGGCAAATCACTTGAGGCCAGGAGTTCAAGACCAGCCTGGCTAACATGGCAAAACTCTGTCTCTCCTAAAAATACAAAAATTGGCTGGGCATGGTAGCGTGTGCCTGTAGTCCCAACTACTCAGGAGGCTGAAGCATGAGAATTGCTTGAACCCAGGAGGCGGAAGTTGCAATGAGCCAAGATCATGCCGTTGCACTCCAGCCTGGGCAACAGAGCAAGACACTGTCTCCAAAAAAAAATGGAGTTTTTTCTGGAGTGTCCAATACAAATCCAGGCTATTGCTTCAACCTTAGGAGTGAAATAATTGGGAAACTCAGCGGAGTGTGGGGGAGCTAGCCAATTAGAGCAGCTAGTTCTCTATTTTCCACAGGAGTCAGTAGTTAAAGCCTCAAAGAGAAACATCAAAATTGTAAATTCAGTTATTGGAAAGATGGAGGTATACAGTATTACAAAAGAATTAGGTTAAGAATTGAGGTCATCATTTCTGTGGAAATTGGGAATGGTACTGCTTTTTATAACAAGCTTTGAATTTTTTTCTTTAAAACTGGGTGATTTATAATTTTTTAAAAAGGGAAACTAAGCTTTTTAAAAGTATGTAAGATATAGTAATGTTTGCTATGTTTATGCTTGCCTTGGCTTCTTGAAATTGAACATGCTAACACAAATACTCTTCCTTTGCAGAGGGCTGGTTTTCAGTTACACCCGAGAAGATTGCTGAACACATTGCTGGCCGTGTTAGTCAGTCCTTCAAGTGTGACGTTGTAGTAGACGCATTCTGTGGAGTTGGAGGAAATACCATTCAGTTTGCCTTAACAGGAATGAGAGGTAATTAGCCATCAATGGAAGTGAACTATTTTATGTCCAGTTAATTCAGTAAATGTTTCCATTTTGCTACAGCCTATCTTACTGAGATTTAATATATAATTAATAATTTAATATGAAATGATATAAAATAATAGCTAGCATATATTAAGCATATACTTTGTATTGCATACTGGTGTAAATGCTTCCTACAGTTGACCCTTGGACAATACAGGTTTGAACTGTATGAGTCCACTTACACCCAGATTTTTTTCAGTAAATATATTGGAAAATGTTCTGGAGATTTGTGACAAAAAAAAGAAACTCGCAGATGAATCCCTTGTAACCTAGATACATCGAAATAATTTAAAAGGTAGGAATGTCATGAATGCATGAAACATAGGTAGATACTAGTTTGTTTTATCATTTACTACCATAAAATATGCACAAATCTGTTATAAAAAGTTAAAATTTGAGTGGGCGTGGTGATTCATGCCCATAATTCTAGCAATTTGGGAGTTAGAGGCAGGAGGATCACTTGAGGCCAGGAGTTTGAGACCAACCTGGTCTCTAGAAAAAATTTTAAAAATTGGCCAGGCGTAGTGGCTTACCCCTGTAATCCCGGCACTTTGGTAGGCCAAGGTAGGCGGATCACCTGAGGTCAGGAGTTCGACACCAGCCTGGCCAACATGGTGAAACCCCGTCTACTAAAATTACAAAAATTAGCTGGGCATGGTGGCATGCATCTGTAATCCCAGCTACAGGAGGCTGAGGCAGGAGACTCGCTTGAACCTAGGAGGCAGAGGTTGCAGTGAGCCGAGATCATGCCACTGCACTCCAGCCTGGGCAACAGAGTGAGACTCCATCTTAAAAAAAAAAAAAAAAAAAAAAATTTAAAAATTAGCCAGGCGTGGTGGTGTGTGCCTATAGTCCCAGCTACTCAGGCTGAGATGAGAGGATGACCTGAGCCCAGAAATTGCAGGCTGCAGTGAGCTGTGATTGCACCACTGTGCTCTAGCTCGGGCAACAGAGTGAGACCTAGGCTCTTAAAAAAATTTGTAGGCCGGGCACGGTGGCTCATGCCTGTAATCCCAGCACTTTAGGAGGCCGAGGCAGGCTGATCACCTGAGGTGGGGAGTTCAAGACCAGCCTGACCAACATGGAGAGACCCCGTCTCTCCTAAAAATACAAAAATTAGCCGGGCATGGTAGCGTGTGCCTGTAGTCCCAGCTACTCAGGAGGCTGAGACAAGAGAATCGCATGAACCCGGGAGGTGGAGGTTGCAGTGAGCCGAGATCATGCCAGCTGCATTCCAGCCTGGGCAACAGAGCGAGACTCCACCTCAAAAAAAAAAAAAAAAAAAAAGACAAAAGAAAAAAAAAAACCTACCTTATCAATAAATATAGTACTGTAAATGTAGTTTCCTTATGATTTACTTAGTAACAATTTTTTCTCTGTTTCTTTATTTTAGTAATACTACATATAATACATACAATGTACAAAATATGTGTTAATTAACTGTTTACATTATAGGTGAGGCTTCAGGTCAACAGTAGGCTATTAAAAGTTAAGTTTGGGGAGTCCAAAATTATACAGATTTTTGACTTCACAAGAGATCAGGGCTCCTAATGTCTGTCTTAAGGGCCAACTATATGTATTAATTTATGTAATCAACAATCTTGTGAATTATGTCTTACTGTCTGTGTTTCACAGATAAACTGAGACATAAAGAGATGAAATAACTTGCCCAAGATTATACTGGCACACCTAATAACTTGAAGCCAAGGTCATAGTATTTTATAAAACCAAAAATACCAAAACAGGAGAGTATTGAACAGTGGACAGGGACTTTGGCACTCACTATCTTTATGACTTTGGACATCATTTAACCTTTATTTATTTATTTATTTAATTTTTTTTTTTCTTTTTTTTTGAGACGGGGTCTCACTCTGTCGCCCAGGCTGGAGTGCAGTGGCGCGGATCTCGGCTCACTGCAAACTCCGCCTCCCGAGTGCATGCCATTCTCCTGCCTCAGCCTCCCACGTAGCTGGGACTACAGGCGCCCACCACCACACCCAGCTAATTTTTTGTATTTTTAGTAGAAACAGGGTTTCACCATGTTAGCCAGGATGGTCTTGATCTCCTGACCTCATGATCCTCCCGCCTCAGCCTCGCAAAGTGCTGGGATTACAGGCGTGAGCCACCACGCCCGGCCATTTAACCTTAATTTAAAGGAGACCTTGAATTTAGATGACCTCTGTGACACCTTTCAAAAAGCTTTAAATTTCAGAGACTAAATATTATTTAAATATTACCTCATCGTCATATAATATTTGTTGCTTGACTTTGGGATCACAAGAAAGAAAACCCCTCCCACTGTGTAACTGCCAGTAACTGTGTCAAGTAGGTAATCTGCTTTTCCCCAGGGAAAGAAATGGGTTGAAGAAGTTGAACATTCTGCCCAAACTGATATAGCTGGGTCATAAAGCAGGGGTTTTTTTTTTTTTGCTTTTTTCTTGTTTGTTTTGTTTTTGAGACAGGGTCTCACTATATCACCCAGGCTAAAGTGTAGTGGCATGATCAGGACTAACTGCAGCCTTGACTTCCCGGGCTCAAGTGATCCTCCCATCTCAGCCTCCCAAGTAGCTGAGACTACAGGCACGTGCCAGTATGCCCTGCTAATTTTTTTTTTAATTTTTGTATAGACAGGATCTTGCTATATTCCCCAGGCTGGTCTTAAACCCCTGGCTTTAAGCAATCCTCCCCTTGGCCTCTAAAAGTGCTGGAATTACAGGCATGAGCCACCACACTGAGACAAGAAGCAGAGTTTTCATTTAGTTTTCATTCTGAAGATGCATATTTTTAAATATCTTCATATTATACCTATCAATGATAGTTTCATTTCAACAGATTTCTACTGAATCTTACTAATTTATATGAAGTTAATGTTAAGTAGGAAAGCGTAATATGATTTTGGAAAGCACGTAGTAGCTGTAGAAAAAACAGACTCAGTCCTTGCTCGGTCTAGTCAGAGAAACTGACTTTAATCAAATTGCACTGAAAATGATCTTATCGCCTTACCATTACATAGATTTTTAAGGTCAGTGCTGATGAAATGTGGCCCGTTTTAATACTCCTATGCTCCAAGGCATGATATTTGCTAACTTTACATGGTCTCCTGATAGCCTAGAGACAAGCTACTTTCATATTTACGAGAGTAGTGGTTATTTTCCTTTTTCCTTGAATTCACTATTTACTATCAAAGTTCTTCTCAGACTTTGCCAGATAAGCCATTCCTATGGGCTAAAATCAATATTTATTGCCTAAAAAATGATTTTTCCTTAAAAGTTGTAAAATGTATCTTCATTTTGGCCTTACATCGTAACACGATGATTAAAACACCTGCTCCCTGATAAAGTAGCAAAGAAATCTGAAAATTTTCTCAGATTACTCAAACCGTCTATATGTAGATATATAGTTCTTTCTTTTTCTTTTTTTCTTTTTTTTTTTTTTTGAGATGGAGTCTCACTCTGTCGCCCAGGTTGGAGTGCAGTGGCACATTCTCAGCTCACTACAACCTTCACCTCCTGGGTTCAAGTGATTCTTCTGCCTCAGCCTCCCATATAGCTGGGACTGCAGGGGCCTGCCACCACGCCCAGCTAATTTTTTTATTTTTAGTAGAGATGGGGTTTCACCATGTTGGCCAGGGTGGTCTCGAACTCCTGACCTCAGGTGATCCACCCAACCTCGGCCTCCCAAAGTGCTGGGATTACAGGCATGAGCCACCACCCCTAGCCTGTAGTGGGGTCCCATAATTTGCCCCCCAAACCAGAAGTGGTAATTCACAGGTGTTCCATGAATGGCAGTTATCAATACTCCTCCTAGTATCCCCGTAGGATAGTTGAGCTAATGACATTATGGCAAGGAATTCAAAACAGTTAAAGTATAATTGACTTAGTGTGTTTGTGTATACATATGTAAGTATACACATATAATCAATTACACTTAACTGTTTTGAGTTCCCTATCATAATGTATGTTCATGTGTGCTTATATACACATTCATATAATCAATTATGCTTGAACTGTATGTGTATTTATACATTTACATATATACGCAACATACATACAAAAAGATGGCATTGCATATAGTTGAGGTTATTCCTTTGTGCCAGATTTATTTCCACTCAGATATTTGCTGTCTGTGCATAACTAAAGGGTTAGGGAATCTGTAAAGTTTTGCATATTGCTGTTGTTAAAGATATCTTTCCCTTTTGTATGTGTTCCAGTAGTTTAGCAACAGTACTGCGTGGTAGAACTCTTTGTGATGACTTATATGTTCTATATCTGTGCTGTCCAATATGATAGCCAGCTAGTAGCCACATGTGGCTATTAAGCTGTCGAGGTGTGCTAGTGTGGCTGAGGATTAACATTTGTCAGCATTTTTTTTTTTTTTGCAGTTGTGGGGTGCAGGTGTTTCGCTCTGTCACCCAAGCTGGAGTGCAGTGGCACAGTCTCAGCTCACTGCAATCTCCTCCTCCCAGGCCCAAGTGATTCACTTAAACCTCCTGAGTAGCTGGGACTGCTGGCACATGCCACCCCACCTGGCTAATTTTTTGTGTTTTTGATAGAGATGGGGTTTCGAACTCCTGAGCTCAAGGGGTCCACCCGCCTCAGCCTCCCAAAGTGCTGGGATTACAGGCATGAGCCACCGTGCCCAGCCAGCATTTCTTTTATGTGATAGATTGAATGCTTCCATTCTTATTAGGCCTAAAAACAAAGTCTGCCTCCAAAAGAAATACAGATGAAAATAGGATTAACTGAATCGATTTGATGTTGAAAGTCACTTTTTCTTTTGAATTTTTAGTATCATCAGCATATCTTTCCATCTGTCTCTGAACTATAAATGTAACAGACTGAGCAACTGAAAAGAATTTTTTCTCTTACAAATGTGAATGTTTATTTAGAACAGGAAAAACACCATTATAAATGTATGATTTTGCAATATGTTATAATTGGTGCTTATATTTATTGTTCAAGTGATTTAGCACATTATTTCTCAAAAATGTTAACAAATTTGGAAACTAGCATTTTCTGGAAAACAATTTCCATGACAACCACGCCGTAAGCGTAACGGTTACACTTAGCCCTTTCAAATGAAGAATACTGCCATTAACACAGTAGTGCACATGCAAGTATACTGAGTAGTTTACTGCAAAACATGGATAGGCTAAAATTAAATTATGTCTATGTTGCTAATTATAAAATTGGAATAAAGTAAATGAAAGTCCATTTGGTGAAAACATAATATCTGTTTCCTCTACCTAAAATGTCTCATTAAACATTATCGGCAGGTGTTTTTACATTTCTTCTTCATCACTTGGCTACATAAGTTTGTAAAAATGTGTTTTATTTTGGTTTTCCTTAGAAGTTGTCGAATTTCTGTTCATTTTGGGCATTGCTACATTTTGAAGAAGTTTGTCTTTTCCAAAACCTAGCATTACAGGCTGTCCATACAGTCAGTGACCTTTTCCTACTCAGGCTGTAGCACAGCACAATGGTGGCCACATATTTGGCACTCAGTAGATATTTTGTGGCAAGTATTGCCACTTGGTTAGGAAAAGCTGTAGAATGAGACAAGAAAGCCAAGTCCTTCAGTCACATTTTCTTGGTACAACACAGTGAATCTTTCTAATTTAAATAAAAAATTTAAACTGAAGTCTGTATCTCGGGTATATGTGGCCAAATGTCTCCTCCTCTTTATAAAGAGTTCTTATACAGAAGATGACAGACTATTCGAAAGACAAACTATCCTATATAAGTAATAATCAGTGTCAATTAACTCATTTTTTTCTTTTCCCACTTTTAGTGATTGCCATTGATATCGATCCTGTTAAGATTGCCCTTGCTCGCAATAATGCAGAAGTTTATGGGATAGCAGATAAGATAGAGTTCATCTGTGGAGATTTCTTGCTGCTGGCTTCTTTTTTAAAGGCTGATGTTGTGTTCCTCAGCCCACCTTGGGGAGGGCCAGACTATGCCACTGCAGAGACCTTTGACATTAGAACAATGATGTCTCCTGATGGATATCCTTTGGAAGTCTTAAGAGTTTACTGAAACAATGATTGTGGAGAGAAAGGAGCATGAGAGTGAGAGAGGGAGTGTGGGTGGGTGGGCAGGGTGGCTCACATTTGTAATCCTAGCACATTGGGAGGCTGAGGCAGGTGGATCACCTGAGGTCAGGAGTTCGAGACCAGCCTGGCCAACATGGTGAAACCCCGTCTCTACTAAAAGTACAAAAATTAGCTGGGCATGGTGGCACATGCCTGTAATCCAGCTACTCGGGAGGCCGAAGCACGAGAATCACTTGAACCCAGGAGGCAGAGGTTGCAGTGATCTGAGATCGCGCCACTGCACTCCACCCTGGGTGACAGAGCGGGACTCTGTCTCAAAAGAGAGAGAGAGATTGGCCAGGCACGGTGGCTCACACCTGTAATCCCAGCACTTTGGGAGGCCGAGGCAGGTGGATCACGAGGTCAGGAGATCGAGACCATCCTGGCTAACACGGTGAAACCTCATCTCTACTAAAAATACAAAAAATTAGCCGGGCATGGTGGCACGCGCCTGTACTCCCAGCAACTCAGGAGGCTGAGGCAGGAGAATCGCTTGGACCAGGGAGGCCGAGGTTGCAGTGAGCTGAGATTGCGCCACTGCACTCCAGCCTGGGCAACGGAGCGAGACTCCATTTCAAAAAATAGGGAGAGAGAGAAATTAGTGAAGAGAGGGAGTATTACCTAACAGCATTTGATAAATTCTAGTTTATTTTACATAAAAAGCAGGTATGTAAAAATTATGTGGGGATCGATCTCCAAAAGTAATGACAAATATGAGGTCATATTTCCGTTGCTTGCTATTCAATTTTACCATTATAAAACAAGGACTAGAACACATACATTGGACTTATTGTCTTGTGAATTGGGAATTTCCTGAAAAAGTATCCCTGGAGTTTGTCGGTAACCATTCTGTAACTCTTCAATTCACACTGATGCTGGCTAATTTGCTGTGTATCTTCACATTTTTCCTGTTACTCTTCCAAGACGTCGAAGCAAACCCTTATTTCATAGAGTAACGTTTGTTATTTGTCACTTTCGCCACCTGCCTCTCCACCGTAATCATCTGTTTGACTCTTAACAGGAAAGATATTTCTAAATTGCTATTAAAATTTAGAGTGTACTCCGGGATATGCTGGGTCACGCCTGTACTCCTGGCACTTTGGGAGGCCAAGGCGGGCAAATCATTTGAGGTCAGGAGTTCAAGACCAGCCTGGCCAACATGGCTGAACCCCATCTCTACTAAAAATACAAAAATTAGCTGGGCATGGTGGTGGGCACCTGTAATCTCAGCTACTCAGGAGGCTGAGGCAGGAGAATAGCTTGAACCTGCCACTGCACTCCAGCCTGGGTGACAGAGCAAGACTCTGTCTCAAAAAAAAAAAAAAAAAAAATTACAGTGTAAATTAGCTGGGCATGTGGTGGTACATGCCTGTAATCCTGTAGTCCCAGGTACTCGGGAGGCTGAGGCATGAGGATCTCTTGAACCCAGGAGGAGGTTGCAGTGAATTGAGATTACGCTACTGCACTCCAGCCTGGGCAGCAGAGCCAGACCCTGTCTCAAAAATAAATAAGCAGAGCCAGACTCTGTCTCAAAAATAATAAAATTAAAAATTAAAAAATAAAATTTAGAGTGTAGACTGCAATGGCCATGGTTACTTTATTCTGACTCTTGCCTAGTACCTACCACTAGGATAATTGAAATCGATTCAACTGTCAGTCTTTGAATTATGGAGACAATATTTTGCTGAATTACAAAATTTTGTATGTAATTCTCTTTTAGGTTCCATTAGAGGGTTTAAGTTTTTGCCTTTTAGTTACATTTTGAAATACATTTGAGTTATGATAAGTAAAACACATCTCTTTCTGATTAGAAATTAGCTGCTGTTTTCATTATTTTTCCTTAACTGCTGTCCACCTTTGAAATTTTCAGACTTTCTAAGAAGATCACTAATAATATTGTTTATTTTCTTCCAAGAAATGCTGATATTGACCAGGTAAGCCATTACTGAAAAACTTCCATGAGTGTCTGTCTTAACTGTTACAAGTACGGTAAAAGATACAGGACATATCCTTACCAGAGAATGTGTTTATGAGAAGTCCCTGACTCACTGACTATTCTTAGAAAGCTGGAAGTATCTGGAAGTTAGATCCATGTCTATTACATCGTCTTCATTTCCATAGCTCCTGGCATACATAGACACAAATAGAGCACTCTAGGCTTTGACTAGACATATTGAAAGGATGATTGAATGTGTTGTGCTTCAAATGCTGCATAGTTAAACTAGCCTTTTTTTATTTGTTTCAGCCTGGGCAACAAAGTGAGACTGTCTCAAAAAAAATAGAGAGATTTGATGATATCTTCATTTCATGTTTTTGTTGATTTTTCTACAAACACTTACTACATATCTGCTTTGTGCCAGATACTCTTGAAAATCTTTTATCTTTCATATTCTGAATTTCACTGTAATGTTGCTAACTGGGTTTTTCCTTTCTCTCTTATTTGATACTATCAGAACTAGCCCTAGTATTCTGATGTTTTTTGTGTTTTTTATTCAGGAGATGCTATCTCCATTATTTCTTCAACTATGTTCTCATTGTCTTTTTTCCTTTCTCTGGGACATCTATTATAAGAGAATGTTAGTCTTTCCTATCTATATTTTCTAGTGTTTGTCGCTTCCTTTTTCCTTCTACATTACCTCTATCAGGTTTTCCAACTCAGGCATTTCTATTCTATTATGAAGTCCAATTTATCTTTCTTCATTGTGTTGCCTGTGCTTTAGAGTTTTATAGTTTTTGCTGAGTAGCGCTTTTTTTGTTGTTGTTTTTGTTTTTGTTTTTCTTTTGAGACCATATCGCTCTATCACCCAGGCTGGAGTGCAATGGCCCAAACACGGCTCACTGCAGCCTCAACTAACTGGGCTCAAGCAGTCCTCCCACCTCAGCCTGCTGAGTAGCTGGGACCACAGGTACACAGCACCATGCCCAGCTAGTTTTTTTATTTTTTATAGAGATGAGGTCTCACCATGTTGCCCACACTGGTCTCAAAATTAAAGGCTCAAGCAATCCTCCTGCCTCAGCCTCCCTAAGTGCTGGGATTATAGGTGTGAGCCACCACGCGCAGCTGAGTAGCTTTTTAAAAAAACTACTGATACTGTAATCCACTGGGAAAGATTCTCTGTTTTCTAGGATGAGGCCCGAAAGTTAATTTTTAAACTGCCCAAAGTGGTTGTAATGTTCTCCAGAGTTGAGATTCTCTGGGTTAAAAGAAGAGTAAATGAAATTAACAAGCCTGAGCTCTTATTGTTAAGCAATGAAATTAGATCTTGCTGCCTTTCATCCGTTTATGATCCATTGTGTCTAAACATTAGGCCTCCCAAAATATTAATAGTATGTGTTATACCAGTTATAAGAAAAAGGGGCTGGGTGTGATGGCTCAGACCTGTAATCCCAGCACTTTGGGAGGCCAAGGCAGGCAGATCGCTTGAGGCCAGGAGTTGACCAGCCTGGCCAACATGGCAAAACCCCGTCTCTACTTAAAAAAAAAAAAAAAATATATATATATATATATATATATGTACACACACATACACACAAATTAGCCGGGCATGGTGGCGGCGTGCCTGTAATCCCAGCTACTCGGGAGGCAGAGGTTGCAGTGAGCCGAGATTGCGCCACTGCACTCCAGCCTGGGTGACAGAGTGAGACTGTCTAAAAAAAAAAAGAAAGAAAGAAAAACGAACCATCTCTTTGCTTCATGAGTTTTCTGAATTAAAGTTCATATTAAACACCAGGTATTTTATATCTACTTCTCATATGATTCAGAGCTGCTTTCTAGACTGCCAGATAAGGTTGAGCCTAACAATTCCATAATTTCTGTTTTTCTCATATATGAATATTATGCTCTACATCGTCTCATCAGAGACGATGTGATCCTTATATTAAATGTAGACAGCCTCATTTGAGTACTTGAATAACGAGAGGAAATTCACTGTTTATCATGCAATTTATGCTGATTAACTTTTTCTAGTTACATTAACACTTTCACAAAGAGAAAGTTAACTTTTTAATTTGTGTTTTTGGTTTATTTCAAAAACTTTCCAGAATTGGAGTTGGTGATTCATGTTTTTTTGCCTCTAGAGGGAGTAATGACACTAGGGAATAATGAAACCAAGAAAGACTGATGAGATTTCAAGTGTATTAATTTTTTTTGCTATCAAATTTTGATCAGATTACAGTGGGAAATCAACTTTTTTTTAATGAAGAAAATGTATCCGTATGTAGGACCTTTTTAATGAGAGGAGACAGTACTAAAAATTGAGAGAAATCACAGTTGCAAAGAAAATTAACTTTTTTTTGTTAAGGAACTTTTAGAATGTTACAACAACCTGAATTTGCAAATGGTTTGGGATCCCAAGTGTGTCACTGTCTGCTGTTTGAAACTCAGGCTGCATTTTTCTCATATGAAGGACAGTTAATTTCCCATCCAGGGAGATTGTACTCTTAGATAATATTTATATCATCCTAAACAGCATGGATTCAATACAAATACAACTTATCTCAAATATTTCCATGTAAGAGGTGATGCTAATTGTTTCCTGTATCTAGTGAAATGTTTTCCTAGGTCCCTTATTACCTCAATCTTCTATTCCTTTTTTCTATTTGGAGATGATTCCAAGACATGCATTTCTTGCTAAGAACTGAGTAATTTAGAAAAATATCTTTTTGTGAGAGGCTCTTTGGAGGTAAGGTATATACCTTACTCTTGAAATTGCTGTTGAAACCCAAGGACTAATTTTTATTTATTTATTTATTTATTTATTTATTTTATTTATTTATTTATGGAGATAGGGTTTCTCTCTGTCACGCAGACTGGAGTGCAGTAGCAGTAGCATGATCATAGCTCACTGCAACCTCAAATTCCTGGGCTCAAGTGATCCTCCTGCCTCAGCCTTCTAAAGTGCTGGGATCTCAAATCCAATTCAAAAAGCCCAGAGTAAGCATATTTTATCTGCTTGATGCCTGTATCTTGCCATGCTTTCCTTTCTTTCTTTCCTTGGACAGCCAGAGAATTCCAGCTAATTCTAGCTTTGGATCTACCATGCTTCACAAACATGAAAGGTTTCTCTCTTAAGTGGTAAACCTATTGAACATATTAATAGATGGAAATCTCTGAACAGACAAGGACTTAGTCCTTCCCAAAGGAAGATGCAGGCAGCAATTATCAAACACCACCTTTGTGTGAAATCCTTGTGGGTGGAATCTCTGACATAAGGAGTCTTGTCTCTTAGCCCAAGGCAGGAATGAAGAGAGGAAGTCTGCTGGTCTGTTTGATATGGCAGCTTCTCATCCTTGTTTAATTTTATAATTAGACATAAAACATCTAGTCTCAGAAAAGCAATAGCGTTTGTACTTTTCAGGTAAGATAAGTTAAGTTACTTATCTTTGTCATGGTATGTATCTTACCAATACAGAGAGCAGGGCAACATTAAGCAACATCCCTAAGAATTATGTTTAAAAAATGAACTGTATCATGTTAATTCCTGGCCTTTGTCTGGCAGACATACTCCACCCTTCCATGGCTTCCCCAGGCACATGTCATGTAACATTTGGGCAAGGCAAATCCTACCTTTTTTGTTTCCTCATAAAGCGGAGAAGTTTACAAATTAACTAATACTTAAATAAATGCTAAGTATAAAATTGATGTTAGATTTAATAATGGAATTCATCTCTATTTTATTTATTTTTTTTTTTTTTGAGACAGAGTCTTGCTCTGTTGCCCAGGCCAGAGTGCAGTGGTGCGATCTCGGCTTACTGCAACCTCTGCCTGCCTCCCGGGTTCAAGCGATTCTCCTGCCTCAGCCTCCCAAGTAGTTGGGACTGCAGGCGCACACCACCACGCCCAGCTAATTTTTGTATTTTTAGTAGAGACAGGGTTTCACCACGTTGGCCAGGATGGTCTCGATCTCTTGACCTCGTGATCTGCCCGCCTTGGCCTCCCAAAGTGCTGGGATTACAGGCATGAGCCACCACGCCTGGCCCTCATCTCTCCTTAGTTGGCAGAGTACTTGAGGCTCCAATTGTCTTTTTATATTTTGTTCTCTGATGTCTAGGAAGGGAAATGTTCCTCATTGTAACAGTCACTTCTAATACTTTATTTTGGTAGGTAGGTAAGTAGATAGATAGATAGGTCGATAGGAATGAGGTACTTATTTATAGGTAATATTTCTAAAACTTACCATATATAAGAATAGAGTTGTAAGTATTTGAATAATGTATTTGAATTTGAATAAATATGAAAAACTATTAGGTAATATTGTTATGTGGAAAATGTTTTAAATATAACTAAATTCAGTTTATTAGCATTTGTAGTGGTTTTGGCTAAATACAATAAAAATTTATCACAGATTTCTTTGCAAATATTCTAAGTAGTTATAGTATCTGTGTATTTAATAAATAGAAGATTGGGTCCTAACTGGTTTCTAAATACTAGATTTTTTTAATTTGTGTCAAATTTTTCTGAATTAAGTTAATATAGTGGAAATCTAATCTAATGGTAGCTCTCTCGTAGAGGTAGAGAACATTAGTCCAGGTTTAGGAACCAGAAGCATGAGAGAATAAAAAGAAGGCTAAGAACTGGATTGGGCTTCTGGTACATGTTGGAATAGTAGACTCCAAACTAGTTACTTGAAAATAGCCTTTACAACTCAGAGCACTCACAAGTGCATTCATCCTACTACACTAACAATACCCTGCATTCATACACTATACATCTACAGCATAGGAGCTGGCACACACACTTAGGGTGTACAGTGTCCTCTTAGCCATTTCATTGACTCATCATGACATTCTGGAGCAGTGTGTCTCTGGAGCACCTGATTTCATTGAAGGCTATGGAGGTATGGTGATTTGCCTGGTCATTCTGCCACACAGCGACAGTCTTATTACACCTTGCTGTCTCCCACTGACACAATGTTCATTACCAAGAAGAAACAGATTTATCTGTTATCACAATATTAGCTCACCATGAGATTGGAGCAATAAGTAGAATTTGACTCTTTCAGTAACTGGTTACCAATTTTTTTTTTGAGACAGGGCCAGGCTGGAGGGCAGTGGTGTGATCACTGCTCTCTGCAGCCTCCCAGACTGAAACAATTCTCCCACCTCGGTCTCCCGAGTACCTGGGACTACAGGTGTGCACCACCACACCCAGCTAATATTTATATTTTTTTGTAGAGATGGGGTTTCACCATGTTGGCCAGCTATTCTTCACCTCAGCATCCCAAAGTGCTGGGATTACAGGTGTCAGCCACCACGCCCAGCCTGATTCCCAGTTTTCTAGACCAACTCTGTTCTTGGTGAAATCAGTGCTTAATCATACACTGCAATTCAGGATAAATATATGATCAGTTCCTAATATTTACTAGCCAGCTTTTCCCTTGGGAAGTTTGCTGCTGCACAATTAGAGCAGAATCGTTTGTTCTTAAACCATATATATTGTCATGCTCTAGAGGGGTTGTGGAACTGATTGGCCTCATAGTTGACTTGGGAAGACACAAATGCAGCTTTGCTGAAATGCTTCTAAATATAGCTTGTATCTCCTTCACTACTGTGGGTAACTTTTCTCCGTAAATGATGGAGATAGAAATTAGAGGGATATCCAGCTCTTCTGGGCCACACATAGTGCTACCTGCCAGTCCTGTGCTGATAGCCTGTGCTTTCTGTAATTTGTTGAATTGAACAGTCTTCATGTTTCCAGTATCTGGTTCTGAGAATGAGTGAAGGACAGAGCTTAGTGAACTGGTTGTTTTTGGGTTTTGGTGGGGTTTTTTTCTTCTTTGGAGACAGAGCCTCGCTCTGTCCACAAGGCTGCAGTACAGTGACATGATCACAGCTCACTGCAGCCTCAACCTCCCAAGCTAAAACAATCCTACCTCAGCCTTCAGAGTAGCTGGAACCATATGCATGGGCCACCATGCCTGGCTAATTTTTTTATTTTTTGTAGAGACAGGGTTTCACCATGTTGCCCAGGTTGGACTTCTAGGCTAAAGCAATCTTTCTACTTCAGCCTCCCAAAGTTCTGGGATTACGGGCATGAGCCACCGTGCCCGGCCTGGTAGCCTCCTCTTAGGACACCAGTGTAGGTTAGCTTGTGATGCCTGGGAGATTTTTTTTTTTTTTTTTTTTTTTTTGAGATGGAGTTTTGCTCTTGTTGCCCAGGCTGGAGTGCAATGGCCTGATCTCAGCTCACCACAACCTCCACTTCCCGGGTTCAAGCAATTCTCCTACCTCAGCCTCCCAAGTAGCTGGGATTACAGGCATATGCCACTATGCCCGGCTAATTTTTTTTTTTTTTAGTAGAGACGGGGTTTCTCCATGTTGGTCAGGCTGGTCTCGAACTCCCGACCTCAGGTGATCTGCCTGCCTCAGCCTCCCAAAGTTCTGGGATTACAGGTGTGAGCCACTGTGCCTGGCTGCCTGGGAGAATTTTTTTGACCTGCCACCAGGTGCTCCTGTTGATGATGGTGGCTTTAAGATTTATTTACGGAAGCATAGAAATCTCATTTCTGTTTACCATGTGCAGAGAAATGGAACTAATTTAATGAATATTTTTAAGTTTGAATGATGCCTGATTTTCTGCTGACTAAAAAATATTTTCTTCTTTCACCTCCCAGAGAACTTTTAATTACCAGAAATGTTTTGCCAACTTTGTTTTATTTTCATGTGGTTATTAGTTGGATCTAGCAAAAGAAAAGAGGGACAAAAATAACTAGTGGCAAAGCACTTTCTTGGCCTGTGTGACATTAGGTTTGTAGTCACAGCCAGTATTTCAGATGCTTGCTGCTGCTAGCATTGTATTTGACACAGATCTGAAGGCCACATAAAATGCTCTTTATTTTTACCTGGTACAATTATCTTCTAACCACATTTCTGCGTATCATAGATATAATCTCTTCCATGTAGTAATAGGGCATTTTTCAGCGCTCTGATGTTTCTGTGTCTTTCTTGTAATAAAGTGTATCTGTCATTAGTAATTATTATCTATTCTTCCAGTAGGATGCAGTTGGGAGGTTATTTTCTCTCATTCGGTTATCGTGCACTTTTACTTTAAATCCAGTTTCTCTTGAAAAAATGCAGTTTTGCTCCAGGCGCAGTGGCTTAAGCCTGTAATCCCAACACTTTGAGAGGCCGAGGCGGGCGGATCACCTGAGGTCAGGAGTTTTGAGACCAGCCTGGCCAACATCGTGAAACCCTGTCTCTACTAAAAATACAGAAATTAGCCAGGTGCGCCAGTAATCCCAGCTACTCGGCAGGCTGAGGCAGGAGAATCGCTTGAACCCAGGAGGCAGAGGTTGCAGTGAGCCGAGATCATGCCACTGCACTCCAGCCTGGGCGGTAGAGCCAGACTCGTCTCAAAAAACAAAACAAAACAAAAAAAAAGTGCAGTTTTGAATGTTTACCTTTTTATTTGATGCTTAAATCTTCTGTGCTTTAACACCTTCATTGTGATCTTTTCTGTTTCTCCTTTGCCAGTCCCCAAAGAACAGCTTTACTGCCTGATGTCAAATCTAGTCAAGAGTTCAGTCCTTAATTCTAGTTCTGGTCCAAATTAATTGGGATTTATTTTGGTAAAATTAATATATTTAGGTAATATGCCAAAAATGTGGAAAGTAATCCAGAGCTGCTAATCTTTATCTGTTTGTACCTGCCGTTCTCCCTCTCTCTGTCCTTCCTACCCTCTCTTCCTCTCACAATTTACTAAATTCTAAGAAAGCGGAGGGAACCAAATAATATTTTGTCAGCTAAACCTTCTAGTGAAAAATAAGGACAGCTAGAAATTAATGGCATTCATTAAATTTGCCTGAAGCAAAGTTATTTGCTTGAACTACTAAATTTATAAGTCTTTCCAACTCCAAAATTCTAACTTTTAACATATATGTAGTTGTGAAAATGTGAAAACGTACAAAAAGGCTAAAGTTAGAAATTATTCGTAATCAGAACACTTGAAAGTAACATGTTAAGTTTTTAAAAAAAAATTGTTTCTAAACACTAAGTACATAAGAGTTTTCTCACTATATTTTGTCACATAGATACACCACCTTCTCCATTATCAGGAACAATATTTGTTTTATTTGTCCGTCATCTGACTCTCCCAGCCAGAATGTAAAATTCATGGAGGTGGGGATTTCTTGTTTGTTTTTTGCTATACTGCACTGCCTAGAACAGATACCTATAAGCTCTCAATAATAGTTATTGAGTAAAGTAATTTATGAACTGTTTTGCACAGACTTCAGAACTCATGATTTCTGAGAAAACCCCCATCTTACCTCCGTTTTTTATTTTAATCCCAAGCACCCACATCTAGACAACCCTCTGAAAGGTATTAAGAAAAACAAAACTACCCTACCTTCTCAGAAATTGGTTTTTATGGAATTCTATTTATGGCTTATATAAGAAATAATAACCATCGGCCAGGCACGGTGGTTCACGCCTGTAATCCCAGCACTTTGGGAGGCCGAGGTGGGTGGATCACGAGGTCAGGAGATCGAGACCACCCTGGCTAACACGGTGAAACCCTGTCTCTACTAAAAATACAAAAAATTAGCCGGGTGTGGTGGCGGGCGCCTGTAGTCCCAGCTACTCGGGAGGCTGAGGCAGGAGAATGGCATGAACCCAGGAGGCAGAGCTTGCAGTACTAGCCGAGATCACGCCACTGCACTCCAGCCTAGGCAGCAGAGCGAGACTCCATCTCAAAAAATAATAATAATAATAACTATATTTATAGTACCTTTATTTTTTTTTTCAAGTAAACTTCAGAAATGGTTTTTCTTTTCTTTAAAATGCTCTTTTAGGGAGATAGACAGTATTCATATTTTCGGATTTAGAAAGCCAAAAAAAGCCTATTTTAATGGCTTTCTTAACAACAACAATATTGGCTTTTTTTTCTTTCTTTCTTTTTTTTTTTGAGGCAGAGTCTCACTCTGTCGCCCAGGCTGGAGTGCAGTGGTGCGATCTCAGCTCACTGCAAGCTCCGCCTCCTGAATTCACGCCATTCTCCTGCCTCAGCCTCCCGAATAGCTGGGACTACAGGCGCCCGCCACCACCCCCAGCAAATTTTTTTGTATTTTTAGTAGAGACGGGGTTTTACCTTGTTTGCCAGGATGGTCTCGATCTCCTGACCTCGTGATCCACCCTCCTCGACCTCCCAAAGTGCTGGGATTACAGGCATGAGCCACAGCGCCCGGCCTAAAAATGGCTTTTTAAATTAATGCAGCAAATTATTGGTAGAACTGGGGATTTTTAAGTTATTTGTTAAAGGGCACAGCAGAAATGCTACATTTGAGTTATATCTCAACTCAAAGAAAAATTATTGTGAAAAAATGATAAACTGTTCAAAATGCCTTTTATTGGCTAAAGACAAAATACCTTTTTTTTTTTTCCCCCTTTCTTGTAAAAAAACCAGACTGGCATAAAGATACCAAAATAGAATTTAAAACATTTATTCCTAATAATTGCTACTCTGAGACTACTTTGCTATTTTTAAATTTCTAGTTTTACTTTAAGTATTCCTTACAAAAAAAAATAGTGGGGGGGGTGCTTTTAATCATTATAAGGAATACTGTATTTGACTTATTTTCACATAATAAGGTACCATAGAATGACTGGTTGCTTCTTCCCTATTTCTGTGTCTGACTTTTTACATACTCACTGGAAATGCACAATAAATCTTCCCTTCTACCAGAAGCTGGGGTGGTATGCATAATACCACTGAGATTACATTCTCTCAACCCTTAAAACCAAACCAGACTGACTGCCTCTCTTTACAAAATACACAACTATAATTTTGCTGATTACAGTTACAGAAAATGCTTGTTTCTCGTTGTTTATGCCTGTCCCTAATACTTTGGGTGTCCTTTTTTCTATTGCTGTGTCTTCTATTCTCTGATTGCCAGGACTCTCCACTGCATTCTCTCTTCTCTTGATCTTTCCTCTTACTGCCCTGAAAAACTGATCTCTGGTGAAGTAATCATGAGTTAGAAAGTAACGTATTTGCTATTTAAAAGATTTCTGAGAGGTTGGGTGAAGAAAGTACTGAACCAAAACAAAACCTTATCTGTATAAGAACTTAGGGTAAAACATTTCTAGTTTACAATGTACCAAGGTGAGTGCAAGCATTACTGTCTTGGAACAAAAGAATCTTTAGCAGCTAACTGCCCCATCCCCCTGTCAAATGCTGGTCATTTGGCTAGCATCCTTTTGATGCTAACTGTGGAAGTGGGGAGGGAGCAATGCTTTCAGCTTCCTAATAAAGGAGTTAGTCACTATATTCTAGTAGACCTCATAAAGAGCAATATATTTTTACCACAATTGTTGTAGAAAGCATTTAAAATACACAAAAGGGCAACAGGTAGAAGAAGTGATCCAAGGTGGGAGAAAAGAAAGGAGACCAGTGAGAGAAGGAAAAGTCACTAGAGGCTAGACTCCTCATGAGAGTAGGGATCCTGGCCTGGATCAGAGCTAGGATTATGTAGCAGGAACTCAGTAAATACTGTTGAATGAATGAGAGAGAGGGTGAGATGCAGATGGTAAGATGAACAGGACAAAGGCTTTCAGGAAAGGGAAATAATCTTTAAATATTTTTGTTAAGAAATAAACCTGGGGAGGAGGAGGAAGGAAGGTGAGAAAAATAGTAATAATATTTTAAAAATAAACCTAGGCCGGGCACGGTGGCTTGTAATCCCAGCACTTTGGGAGGCCGGGCCGAGCGGATCACCAGGTCAGGAGTTCGAGACCAGCCTGGCCAACTTGGTGAAACACCATTTCTACTAAAAAAAATACAAAAATTAGCTGGGCATGGTGGCATGTGCCTGTAATTCCAGATGCTCAGGAGGCTGAGGCAGGAGAATTGCTTGAACCCGGGAGGCGGAGGTTGCAGTGAGCCGAGATCGTGCCACTGAACTGCAGCCTGGGCGACAGAGTAGGACTCTATCTCAAAAAACAAAATAAATAAATAAATAACATGACTTTGGGAGGCAGAGGTGAGAGGAATGCTTAAGACCAGGAATTCAAGACAAGCTTGGGCAACACAGTGAGACCCTGCCTCTAATGTTTAAAAATAAAAATAAAAATTTTTAATAAACCGGATGTTTGGGAAGGATTTGTTCATTTTTTTCTTCCTTTGAGTTCTTTAGCTATGGCATTGGAGAGTTCAAGTCCTATACAACAGCATAGCACCATGAACTTTCCCATAATATCAAAAGGATCTGAAACAACAAGTATTCCCACCTCCAAATATTGCATCGATGCCTGGGAAGTAGCAGTGAACATTTGAGATGCCTCATTATTCAAAGGACTTAAAAGCCAGAGTCTTCCTATTATTTGATAAAGCAGTACAAGTGAAAGACTTTTGAAATTATGCTTAGGTGTGTGTGTGACTTTCTTCTGTTCATCTTTTTAGGTGGCATCCTTAGCTGGGCCTGGAGGGCAAGTGGAAATAGAACAGAACTTCCTTAACAACAAATTGAAGACAATCACTGCATATTTTGGTGACCTAATTCGAAGACCAGCCTCTGAAACCTAACTATGCAGCAGTGCGAGGACAAAAGATCATGGAGTGGTCAAAATATTCAGATGAGACATTTGGCATGTCTTCCTTTATTCACTGATATTTTCTACCCATGGTCTTATATCACCGTATGAAATGGAAACTTACAGGACTTAAATATCAGTGAAATATTTTGAGATCTTTGAATAATTCCTTTAGAGGAATTATACAAAATTAATATATATGAGTCCTTTGTAATTTATTTTTTTTTGAGACAGGATCTCACTTTTACCGCCCAGGCTGGAGTGCAGTGCCATGATCACAGCTCACTGCAGGTTCAGCCTTCTGAGTTCAAGCAATCCTTCTGTCTCAGTCTCCTCAGTAGCTGGGGCTTTAGGTGGGCACTGCCACACCGTACTAATTTTTGTATTTTTTGTAGAGACGAGGTCCCACCATGTTGCCCAGGCTGGTGTCAAACTCCTGGGCTCAGTCAGTCCCCCCATCTCACCCTCCCCAAGTGCTGGAATTACAGGCGTGAGCTACTGTGCCCAGCCTTACGGACATCCTTTTGAATTATCTTTTTCACTCATAGAATATGAATACATTTATTTAGACTTTTTCTAGAACTTTCCTGTTTTCATGTCTTTGCTTCATCTGGAATTGGCTTAACACCCTTTTATAAAGTTTGTGTTTGTAAAATTTCCATTGTGACATCAATACGCAATATATTTTGTAATATAGGAGTTTCTATTTTTTTATTAAAATGGCAATGAAAGCAAGAGGGATATGTGTTGCTTAATTATTCATCTAAAAAGTTTGTTCAGTCATTTTTACAAGTAGGCAAAAAAATAGTGACATACAACACTTGTCCATTGAAGGTTAGACCTGGGACTTCTATATTTTAATAATATGAGCGTGTTAAACATTAAACAGAACATGATACTGGCTGGGATAAGATTAGAGAATTGAAACAAATTTGGGGAATTTCCAATAAATACTAGAAAATTAGACTAGAAAAATAGCTGTTATATAAATAACTTTGTTGGAATATGCTAATTTTAGTGTCTTGAAAGTTTACAATTTATCTGATTGCTCTGCAGTACAGTAGCAACTGAGCTGATCAATAAAGGTGAAATTACTTTTTCATTAATTCGCAATTTCAAAATCTGTCCAAATGTTCTTGGTTTTTAAACTTTATGTAGCATTCTTTTTTTTTTTTTTAGACAGAGTCTTGCTCTGTCGCCCAGGCTGGAGTGCAATGGCGTGATCTCAGCTTACTGCAACCTCCACCTCCTACCTCAGCCTCCCGAGTAGCTGGGACTACAGGCACCTGCCACCACATCCAGCTAATTTTTTATATTTTTAGTAGCTATGGGGTTTCACCGTGTTAGCCAGGATGGTCTCGATCTCCTGACCTTGTGATCCAACCACCTCAGCCTCCCGTAGTTCTGGGATTACAGGCGTGAGCCACCGCGCCTGGCTTTATGTAGCATTCTTAAAGTCACTAGGGAGATGGCAGGTGAAGTAAAGGCAGATTTCCAAAATCACTAATTTTTTTTAGTTTTTTGTCACTTAACCTTTCTTGCATATACTTCTTTCCACAGCTCATTTTCTTACTTGTATATTAATAAAGCTAACTCATCTTCCTGAATATACATGATTTTACATGAGAAGAGCAGGAAGCTTAGGCTTGGTTAGCTAAAACTAAGATATTGCTGCCCACTAATCACACAGGGATAAAACTAATAGACTGTTAAGATTGTCAGTACTCAATAGGATTTAAGAAGTGTTCTAGTCTATTGTGTGAATCAGGTTCCAAAAAATCTTAAATACATAAAATGGATAAAAAGGCTGGGCGCCGTGGCTCACGCCTGTAATCCCAGCACTTTGAGAAACCCAGGTGGGCGGATCACCTGAGGTCAGTAGTTCCAGACCAGCCTGGCCAGCATAGTGAAACCCCGCCTCTACTAAAAATACAAAAATTAGCCAGGCATGGTGGCACATACATGTAATCCCAGCTACTCAGGAGGCTGAGGCAGGAGAATCGCTTGAACCCAGGAGGCAGAGGTTGCAGGGGAGCCGAGATTGTGCCACTGCACTCCTGCCTGGACAACAGAGTGAGACTGTCTCAAAAAAAATAAAATTGTTAAAGTACTCCCACATTTTCATTCCCCTGTGAGACCCCTATCTCAAAAAATAAGTACATAACCATAATTGGTTAATGTTTACAGCAATTCTCATATATTTGTACCATGTCTATTAAAAATGATAGTACAGATTGATATGTATGTATTTGGAGATGGGGGCTCACGCCTGTAATCCCAACACTTTGGGAGCCCGAGGTGGGCAGATCAACTGAGGTCAGGAGTTCAAGACCAGCCTGACCAGTGAAACCCCGTCTCTACTAAAAATACAAAAATTACAGTGGTGGCGCAAGCCTGTAATCCCAGCTACTCAGGAGGCTGAGGCAGGAGAAATTCTTGAACCCGGGAGGCGGAGGTTGCAGTGAGCCAAGACTGCGCCACGGCACTCCAGCCTGGGTGACAGAGCAAGATTCTGTCCCAAATAAAAATGCTTTTGATTTTTGTGTCTTTCAGTCATCTTACTGACCTCGTTTAATAATTCTAGTAATTTTTGTTACCCCCTCCCTCCACCCCATAGTTTAGTTTGTTTGTTTTTGAGACTGAGCCTCACTCTATCGCCCAGGCTGGAGTGCAGTGGCGCGATCTCGGCTCACTGCAAGCTCCACCTCCCAGGTTCACGCCATTCTCCTGCCTCAGCCTCCCGAGTAGCTGGGACTACAACGCCATTCTCCTGCCTCAGCCTCCCGAGTAGCTGGGACTACAGGCGCCCGCCACTGCGCCTGGCTAATGTTTTGTATTTTTAGTAGAGACAGGGTTTCACCGTGGTCTCGATCTCCCGACCTCGTGATCCGCCCGCCTCGGCCTCCAAAAGTGCTGGGATTACAGGTGTGAGCCACAGCACCCGGCCCCCCACCCCCCGCCCCATAGTTTTTTGTTGTTTTTTTTTTTTTGAGACGGAGTCTAGCTCTGTTGCCCAGGCTAGAGTGCAGTAGTGCCATCTCGGCTCACTGCAAGCTCCGCCTCCCGGGTTCACGCCATTCTCCTGCCTCAGCCTCCCGAGTAGCTGGGACTACAGGAGCCCGCCACCACACCCAGCTAATTTTTTTGTATTTTTGGTAGAGACGGGGTTTCACTGTGTTAGCCGGGCTGGTCTCGATCTCCTGACCTCGTGATCCGCCCGCCTCGGCCTCCCAAAGTGCTGGGATTACAGGTGTGGGCCATCGCGCCCGGCCACTCCCATAGTTTTTAATTGATAACACACTTTGATTTTCTAAATAAGCAGTCATGACATCTACACATGAGTTTTTCTCTTTGCTAAAATGTAAGCCTCTTAATTTTTATCCTTTTCCTGTTGCATTGGTTAGGATTGCCAGGAATATTGTAATAACAGCACTTGTTCCTTTTTATTTTGCAGTGAGAGGTTAGAAGCATTTCTATTAAATGTTATGTAGTTCACATCAAAATTAAGATATTGCCTCTCCTATTTTTTTTTTTATGTTAGGCTTCCTCAATCGGGTTCTACTTTCTTATTTAATGTAGGAAAGTCTAAGTTACTTTAAAATTTTCAAATTATTTAAACCTATTTGTGTTCCTTTAAATCCGACTGTACATAATGTATTAAATAGTTCACTACTGGATTTCATTTGATACATTTGCTTTGTTTTGTTTTGTTTACGTTTGCTTTTGAGCACCTTGCCTGGTTTTGGCATCCAAGTTAAACTATTCTGGCAGAATGCTTTAGTAAGTCTTTCATTATTTTCTTCCCCTCCCCCCCCCCCTTTTTTTTTTATAATTTTCATTTCACAGGTACATGTGCAGGTTTGTTACATGGATATATTACCTGATGTTGAGATTTGGGCTTCTACTGATCCCATCACCCAAATAGTGAATATAGTGCTCAATAGAGTTCTGTGTCCTAAATAACATTGGCAATGTCTGTTCACTGAACTCTTGGTGGGACTGCATGAAGATTGGGCCTGGTAACTTTCTGAGCAACATGTTTTGATTGCAGCTTTTTTTTTTTTTTTTTTTTTTTTTTTTTTGAGATGGAGTCTTCCTCTTTCGCCCAGGCGGGACTTCCGTGGCGCTATCTCGGCTCACTGCTAGCTCCACCTCCCGGGTTCACGCCATTCTCCTGCCTCAGCCTCCCGAGTAGCTGGGACTACAGGCACCCGCCACCACGCCCGGCTAATTTTTTTTGTATTTTTAGTAGAGACGGGGTTTCACCGTGTTAGCCAAGATGGTCTCGATCTCCTGACCTCGTGATCCTCCCGCCTCGGCCTCCCAAAGTGCTGGGATTACAAGCGTGAGCCACCGGGTCTGGCTTTTTTTTTTTTTTTTTTTAAGACAGGGTCTTGCTCTGTCACTCAGGCTAGAGTGCAGTGGTGCAGTCACAAGTAACTGAGTCACTGCAGCCTCGACCTCCTAGGCACAAATAATCCTCCACCTCAGCCTTCAGAGTAGCTGGGACCATACGCACATGCCACCATGTCCAGCTAATTGCTAATTTTTTTTTTTTTTTTTTTGGTAGAGACAGGGTCTCACTATGTTGCCCAGGCTAGGAGTGTAGCTTTTTTTTTTTTTTAACTTTTTCTTTCTATTTATTTATTTATTCTGATTTAGTCAAATGCCAGCATTTTCTTTAATACTTTCTTTTTTTTTTTTTTTTTTTTGAGATGGAGTCTCTCTTTGTCACCCAGGCTAGAGTGCAGTGGTGTGATCTCAGTTCACTACAGCCTCCACCTCCCAGGTTCAAGCAATTCTCATGCCTCAGCCTCCCAAGTAGCTGGGGCTACAGGTGTGTGCCACCACGCCCAGCTAGTTTTTTGTAGTTTTAGTAGAGATGGGGTTTCACCATGTTAGACAGGATGGTCTTGAACTCCTGGCCTCAAGTGATCCACCGGCCTTGGCTAAAGTGCTGGGATTACAAGCATGAGCCACCATGCCTACCCAGAAAATAGCTGTTTATTTAGATTTTGACTTAATATAAAGTTAATACATTATCTCATACTTGCTTTAATTCTTTTTTTAACTTTTCATTTTTGAATAATTTCTGACTTATAAAAAAGTCTGAAAAATAGTACACAGAATATCTCCAACTACTCAGAAGTAGACGCAGTAGTTATCTGCTGCCATCATCATGTTGCCATGTCTGTGTCAATATATACTGTTGTTTACTTAATTTTTAAACTTAAAAGTGATTTGTAAAGGAATTACAAATACTGCCATAAATAAGAAATCACTCTCTTAATATTTGCATATTAATATGAAAAATGTTCATTAATTTGTTATCTAAAAGAACACTGCAGGCCAGGCGCAGTGGCTCACACCTGTAATCCCAGCACTTCGGGAGGCTAAAGCAGGTGGATCACCTGAGGTCAGGAGTTCGAAGCCAGCCTGTCCAGTATGGTGAAACCCCGTCTCTACTAAAAATACAAAAATTAGCTGGGCATGGTGGCACGCGCCTATAGTCCTAGCTACTCGGGAGGCTGAGACAGGAGAATTGCTTGAACTAGGAGGTGGAGGTTGCAGTGAGCCGAGATCACACCACTGCACTCCAGCCTGGGCAACAGAACCGCCTCCGTCTCAAAAAAAAAAAAAAAAAAGAACAGTGCATACCACACTTCAGGGAAACTTGGAATGGGCGATGGACAATAAAGATAAAGACCCATATTGTTCCCTCCAGGAGCCGTGTACATGAAAAGTCTGCCCTTTGAACTGTATGGTACATTATCATAGGAGACTGTAGAAAGTTTCCAGGTTAAAAGGTTGGGATAAGACATTCCAAGGAAGGAAACAGATTTAGAAGGCACAAAGGCAAATGAAGGCTGAGCATATGTGGGCATCAGTAAATGCTGAATTCACTGAGAAGTCACCGAAGTTATGGCTGATGAGATAGCAGGGTCTCCTGTGCTGAGCGGAGGAGTGAGTACTGGCTGCCTCCTGAAGGCAGTGGGAGGCTTTCAGGCTTTGAAAGCTTGGTGAAGCCTAAGGGCTCCAAGTCAGAAAAAAAAATAAAATTAGGCCGGGCACAGTGGCTCACGCCTGTAATCCCAGCACTTTGGGAGGCCGAGGTGGGTGGATCACGAGATCAGGAGTTCAAGACCAACCTGGCCAAGATGGTGAAACCCCATCTCTACTAAAAATACAAAAGAATTAGCCAGGCGTGGTGGCAGGTCCCTGTAATCTCAGCTACTCGGGAGGCTGAGGCATAGAATTGCTTGAACCCAGGAGGCGGAGGTTGCAGTGAGCCGAGATCTCGTCACTGCACTCCAGCCTGGGCGACAGAGCGAGACTCTGTCTCAAAAAAAAAAAATGCTTTTAAATGCATAGAATAAGGCCAGGCACGGTGGCTTATGCCTGTAATCCTAGCACTTTGGGAGGCCGAGGTGGGCGGATCACTTGAGGTCAGGAGTTCAAAACCAGCCTGGCCAACACAGTGAAACCCTGTCTCTACTAAAAATACAAAAAAAAAAAAAAAAAATTAGCCGGGCATAGTGGTGGACGCCTGTAATCCCAGCTATTCGGGAGGCTGAGGCAGGAGAATTGCTTGAACCTGGGAGGCAGAGTTTGCAGTGAGCCGAGATCATGCCATTGCACTCCAGCTGGGGTGACAGAGCAAGACTCCATCTCAAATAAAATAAAATAAGTAATAAATAAATGCATAGAATAAAAGCCTAGAGGCCAGGCGCAGTGGCTCACATCTGTAATCCCAGCACTTTGGGAGGCCGAGGCGGGCGGATCATGAGGTCAGGAGTTCGAGACCAGCCTGACCAACATGGTGAAACCCCATCTCTACTAAAAATACAAAAATTAGCCAGGCGTGGTGACAGGTGCCTGTAATCCCACCTATTTGGGAGGCTGAGGCAGGAGAATGGCTTGAACCCGAGAGGCAGAGGTTGCAGTGAGCAGAGATCACGCCATTGCCCTCCAGGCTGGGTGACAGAGTGAGACTCCGTCTCAAAAATAAATAAATAAATAAGAATAAAAAGCCTTAGCTATGAAAATGTCAAGAAAATGTGTGGTATAATAAATGTGTGCTTTTTCATTAACACATTAAATAACATCTACTGGAGGGTCTACTAGTACTACAATTTCAGTGGTGGTATTACAGCAGCTAGAATATTACCCTAAAATATCTACCTTTCTGTCAGTGGCAAAGCAGAGATACTGCTAAAAGCTGCTTTTTTGTTTGATGTGTTGACATCCACGTTCACAGACAGCCTAAATTCTGTCCATGATCCTCTTAGTGGTTTGCAGTTTCCAGGTAAAGAGCCCCCTCTTAGAGAGGTCACTCTAACACAAAAGAATTAGACCAGAGGAGAAGCAGGGAGACCATATGCACCCTGAGGGGTGCTCAGCCAGCCCTGGGGAAGGAGGGGAGGGGCAGATTTGAGAGAGGTTCTGGAGGCAGAGCTCACAGGAGAGAGGCAGATTTGAGAGAGGTTCTGGAGGCAGAGCTCACAGGAGAGGGGCAGATTTGAGAGAAGTTCTGGAGGCAGAGCTCACAGGAGAGAGGCAGATTTGAGAGAGGTTCTGGAGGCAGAGCTCACAGGAGAGGGGCAGATTTGAGAGAGGTTCTGGAGGCCGAGCTCACTGGAGAGGGGCAGATTTGAGAGAGGTTCTGGAGGCAGAGCTCACAGGAGAGGGGCAGATTTGAGAGAGGTTCTGGAGGCAGAGCTCACAGGAGAGGGGCAGATTTGAGAGAGGTTCTGGAGGCAGAGCTCACAGGAGAGGGGCAGATTTGAGAGAGGTTCTGGAGGCAGAGCTCACAGGAGAGGGGCAGATTAGCATCAGCCCCATGGGCAATGCATTACTCTTCCCAACCCATTATCAGTTTCTTGAAACCTGGTAAAACAAAGCTATCTTTTCAGCAAGAGAAAATAGGTTGATTCTCAAGCTTTGAATGGGATAGGCATTCTGTAATTAAGTGAGGTGCCTAGTGAAAATACTAAAGAATATTAATGGAGGCCCCGGGCACAGTGGCTGACACATATAATCCCAGCACTTTGGGAGGCTGAGAGGGTCAGATCACTTGAGGTCAGGAGTCTGAGACCAGCCTGGCCAACATAGTGAAAACCCATCTCTACCAAAAATATAAAAATTAGCTGGGTGTGGTGGCACCTGCCAGTAGTCCCAGCTACTCAGCAGGCTGAGGCAGGACAATTGCTTGAACCGGGGAGGCAGAAGTTGCAGTGAGCCGAGATCCCGCCACTGCACTCCAGCGTGGGCGACAGAGTAAGACTCCATCTCAAAAAAAAAAAAAAGAATATTAATGGGAATCATCTATATCTGCACTGTTTGATAGGGATATAATGTGAGCCATAAATGTAACTTTGAATTTTCTTTTTTTTTTTAAATGTAAAAATCAATGGTTTGTTTTTTTTTTAATACTTTAAGTTCTAGGGTACATGTGCACAACATGCAAGTTTGTTACATATGCATAAACATGTCATGTTGGTGTGTTTGGTATGCTGCACCCTGAGTTTTCAAGTAGTCACATTTAAAAAATTAAATAAGTGAAATTAATTTTAATAATATATTTAACTCTACCCAAAATATCATTTCAACATGAAATCAGTATAAACAATTATTAATGAGAGATTTTACTGTTCTTTTTAAATAAATTTTTGATATCCACTATTTTTTTTTTTTTGGTGTTTTTTGTTCTTTTTTTTAGGCAGATTCTCTCTCCGTTGCACAGGCTGGAGTGCAATGGCGTGGTCTGGGCTCACTGCAACCTCCGCCTTCCAGGTTCAAGCCATTCTTCTGCCCTCTGCCTCCCAAGTAGCTGGCATTACAGGCGTGCACCACTATACCCGGCTAGTTTTTTTTGTTTTGTTTTGGTTTGGTTTTTTATTTTTAGTAGAGACGGGGTTTCGCCATGTTGGCCAGGCTGCTCTCAAACTCCTGACCTCAGGTGATCTGCCCGCCTCAGCCCCCCAAAATGCTGGGATTACAGGCGTGAGCTACCGCGACAGGGCTTTTTTTTTTTTTTTTTTTTGAGACAGCGTCTCCATCTGTCACCCAGCTGGAGTGCAGTGGCACAATCTTGGCTCACTGCAACCTCTGCCTCTCAGGTTCAAGCGATTCTCCTGCCTCAGCCTCCTGAGTAGCTGGGATTACAGGCAAGCACCACCACGCCCGGTTAATTTTTGTATTTTTAGTAGAGACAGGGTTTTGCCATGTTTGGCCAGGCTGGTCTCGAACTCCTGACCTCAGGTGATCTTCCTTCCTCGGCTTCCCAAAGTGCTAGGATTACAGACGTGAGCCATCACATCCAGCCAATATGCGCTATGTATTTTAAACTTACAGCACATCTCAATTTATACCAGCTACATTTCATATTTTCACCAGCCACATGTAGCTATTTGCTAAAGAATTCCATTTAGATAATGCAGATCTAGATTTCTGGAGAACAAAAAGCATGCTATTTTGCATTTTGAGGCTTTTGCTACTTTATAATTAAAGCTACAATGCTTAGGAATTTGGACTTCATCCTTGGGTGATAGGGAACCACAGGACTTTAACCCAGAAAGTGAAATTACCAAATTTGCATTTTACAGCATGGAGGATGAAACACTAAATCCTCCTTAGACCTAGGAATATGAAGATCAGTCTTTTCCTGTATTTAAAGTAAGAGTTTAGGAAGTTCTAAATTAAGGTTGCAACAATGCCCAATTTACTCCAGTCCCAATTGAAATTAATTCATGATTTTTTTAATCCTTCAAATAATTGAGAATTATGTAACTGACATTTAAAATAGTAAATGTATATGCTAAAGGTTTTGTTAAACAGTAGTTTCCCCATTACCTGTGGTTTCACTTTCCACAGTTTCAGTCTCCGTCAATTGAGGTCAGAACATAGGTGAGTACAGTACAATAAGATACTTTGAGAGAGCGACCACATTCTCAAAACTTTTATTACAGTATGTGTTATAATTGTTCTATTTTATTATTAGCTATTGCTCTTGATCTCATCCAGTTCATAACTTATAAATTAAACTTTATCATAGATGTGTATGTAAAGGAGAAAAACATAGTATATATAGGGCTCAGTACTATCCAAGGTTTCAGGCATCCACTATGGTTCTTGGAACTTATCTCCCACAGATAAGGGGGACTACTGTAATTGTTACAGCCATTTCTTTTTGGATGTAGACTGGATGTGGGTCTTGGATGAATGAGCAAATGCTAGTCTATTATGATAAAAATCATTCACCCACTCACTGGCCATGCTATCACAAGTGCCTTTTGCAAAAGCTATGCAAGATGGCTGAGAGCTCTTTAAAGCTCACTTCCAAACCAAGCCTGTGGTCACAGCTGGAGGATCCAAGTAGGTATCTTTCATTCTCATGCAGTTTCTTGTCTGGTGTCCCTGGCATCTGTCTGTTGCCTTGTCCCTACTCGACTCTCCACAGTGATGCATTGATCAGACTGGCTACCGAGCTGTCTATTTCCAGTTAGCCTCCAGACACTGACTTGATCCATCCTGGCCTCTTGGTCTTTAGCCCTTGGTCCAGTCCAGCCTCAGTCCGACAGCCCAAATGTTCCATGGAGAGGTACAGCTAAGTAAATTTTATTACCTCCATTCAGTGCAGTGTTATGTAGTCCTTACACAGTATGACTATTAAGACTATGAAAACAAGACTGGGCATGGTGGCTCACTCCTGTAATATTAGCACTTTGAGAGGCCGAGGTGAGAGGATAGTTTGAGCCCGGGAGTTTGAGACCAGCCTGGGCAACATAGCAAGACTTTGCCTTTACAAAAAAATCAAAAATTGTCTGGGCATCCTGGCTCACACCTGTGGTCCCAGTTATTTGGGAGGCTGAGGTGGGAGGATCGCTTGAGCCCCACAGGTCGAGGCTGCAGTGAGCTGTGACCACACCACTGTCCTTCGGTCTTGGCAATAAAGTGAGACCTGGTCTCAAAAAAAAAAAGATTGTGAAAACAACATGCTTTTTTTTTTCGAAATGTTTACAGTTCAAAAGAATCTCTAAGGCATATTCTATGGCACGAAGTAGAGCACTCTATGGCCCCTTTCTTATGTCTGGCTACCACCTCATGCTTGACCAGAGCGGGTCCTGTGATTACTGTCTGCTCAGTTTTGTAGGGGCCAGCACATCTATATTGTCCTACTCTGTCCTTGGTTACCTCAGACAAACATGAGAGGCCCCAGGGGAGCCAAGAGTGGTCTGAAAAGGGTAATTTCAAGGTCTACCCGTTAGGACCCCAGCACACTCAGGCAATTTGTGCTCTTTGTGCCCCACTGCAGACTTACTACGTGTATACATGTCCACAAAAGTTAACACCTATGCTAGGAAAGATACTGTTCCTTGGAATAGCCCTATACTCTTGTCTTGGAGAAAATGCAGACCAGTTTGAAACAACTGTGGCTCATCTCCCCAGAACTGACTTTCACACAAAGGGCTTTTAATTTTTTTTAATTTCTTATCAGATTGCTAGTGATAGTAGCACCATCTGGTGTCAAAGTTCTCTCTAGAGAGAAATGTTTTCTAGTTGCATTTTACCAGACAACTATAACAGGTAGGACACCATCTGATTTGAGATTTTGTATTATATGAAAATAAAACCATCACACAGTATATATAATATGAAACGAAGCATAGAAAAAATGGACAAAATACTACACAGGGTATGAAAGGTAGATATTTGAACTGTCATCAGATATTCATTACTGCTTCTTAGTAATTCCATTTATGAGACATTAAAATGTAATTCGCATTTTATCAATTATTTTTTGAATTTTGCATCATTTTGAAAAATATCTTCTAAAATCTTTACTAATTAATGGATGACTTAAGTAAATGATATCTTTAATGTAAAGCATAGGCCGGGCACGGTGGCTCACGCCTGTAATCCCAGCACTTTGGGAGGCCAAGATGGGCAGATCATTAGAGTCCAAGAGTTTGAGACCAGCCTAGGCAACATGGGGAGAGCTCATCTCTTCAAAAAATACTATAAAAAAATCAGCCAAGCCTGGCCAGGCGCAGTGGCTCACGCCTGTAATCCCAACACTTTGAGAGGCCAAGGTGGGGATGGATCACCTGAGGTCAGGAGTTCGAGACCAGCCTGACCAATGTGATGAAATCCCATCTCTACTAAATACAAAAAAATTAGCCAGGCATGGTGGTGCATGCCTGTAGTCCCAGCTACTTGGGAGGCTGGGGCAGGAGAATCGCTTGAACCCGGTAGGCGGAGGTTGCAGTGATCCGAGATTGCGCCATTGCGCTCCAGCCTGGGCAACAAGAGCGAAACTCTGTCTCAAACAAACAAACAAAAAAAATTAGCCAAGCCTGATGGTGCACGCCTGTAGTCCCAGCTACTCGGGAGGCTGAGGTGGGAGAATCACCTGAGCACTGGAGGTCAAGTCTGCAGTGAGACATAATTGCATCACTGCACTCCTGCCTGGGTGAGAAAGTAAGACCCTGTCTCTAAATAAATAAATATGGCCTGGTGCAGTGGCTCACGCCTGTAATCCCAGCACTTTGAGAGGCCGAGGCAGGTGGATCACCTGAGGTCAGGAGCTCAAGACCAGCCTGGCTATCATGGCAAAACCCCGTCTCTAATAAAAATACAAAAATTAGCTGAGTGGTGGTGCACGCCTGTAATCCCAGCTCCTTGGGAGGCTGAGGTAGGAGAATCGCTTGAACCCGGGAGATGGAGGTTGCAGTGAGCTGAGATCGTGCCACTGCACTCCAGTCTGGGAGATAGAGCGAGACTCCATCTCAAAAAATAAATGAATAAAAAATAAATAAATAAATAAATAATGATAAATAAATAAAGAGCTAGTTAGTAAGTATGGTAGCCAGGATTCATACCGACGTACTCTGTCTCCAGAATCACTATGACTTCTGCCCAAATGAGACTTGAACTGATGACCCTCTATGCCTTAGACCTAAGGGATACAGAGGTGAGTCTAGAAATGAGTCTCTCTCTCTCTGTGCCTTGGTTTCCCCATCTGAAAAATAAAGATAATGACACCTGTCTCATAAATGGTCATAAGGATTACGTGATTAATGTTTGTAAAGTGCTCTGTGTGTCTGGCACCTGGTAAGCACTCGCTAAGTATTAGCCATTATAAAGAAAAAATGAGGGATCAAAGACAGTTGCAAGAATGCTAATAAGAAACCTTCCATTTTCATTATGTGAAAACTACCTTCTTAAGAATTTTATGATTTCTTTTTGCAAATTAGTATTTAGAGGCATTCTATTAGAGTTGTGGTGTCTTAGAATGTGGTGAATGGGAGAGAACAACCGGGAACGGTGGCTCATGCCTGTAATCCCAGCACTTTGGGAGGCCGAAGCAGGCAGATCACTTGAGGTCAGGAGTTTGAGACCAGCTGGCCAACATGGTGAAACCCTGTCTCTATGAAAAATTTGAAAATTAGCTGGGCAGGCCAGGCGTGGTGGCTCACACCTGTAATCCCAGCACTTTGGGAGGCCGAGGCAGGTGGATCACGTGAGGTCAGGAGTTCCAGACCAGCCTGGCCAACATGGTCTCTACTAAAAATACAAAAATTATACCAGCGTGGTGGCACGTGCTTGTAATCCCAGCTACTTGGGAGGCTGAGGTAACAGAATTGCTTGAACCCAGGAGGCAGAGGTTGCAGTGAGCTGTAGATCCTACCATTGCACTCCAGCCTCAGCAACAAGATCGAAACTCCGTCTCAAAAAAAAAAAAAAATTAGCCAGGCATGGTGGTGGGTGCCCATAGTCCCAGCTACTTGGGAGGCTGAGGCAGGAGAATTGCTTCAACCCAGGAGGCGGAGGTTGCAGTGAGCCAAGACTGCACCACTGCACTCCAGCCTGGGGGATAGAGCGATACTGTCTCAAAAAAAAACAAACAGATGAAAGGTGGAGAACAAGAAAACCAAGAGAAAAGGTAAAAAATTGAGTTACTGTGTTTTGTTATTTTGAATCCTAAAACCTTCACCTTCCTGATCACATTGTTTTAATCATAAACACTTCTTGATATTGGGCTTGGGGCTTTAAGACTGTAATTTGATCCAGTTTGGGCACTTACTCTATGATTTTCGATAATTCATTCAGGGTCTCTGACACTTTGCTCATGAAAATATAATCGGCCGGGCGCAGTAGCTCACGCCTGTAATCCCAGCACTTTGGGAGGCCGAGGCGGGCAGATCACGAGGTCAGGAGGTCGAGACCATGCTGGCTAACACGGTGAAACCCCGTCTCTACTAAAAATACAAAAAGTAGCTGGATGTGGTGGCGGGCGCCTGTAGTCCCAGCTACTGGGGAGGCTGAGGCAGGAGAATGGCATGAACCCGGGAGGCGGAGCTTGCAGTGAGCCGAGATTGTGCCACTGCACCCCAGCCTGGGTGACAGAGCAAGACTCTGTCTCAAAAAAAAAAGAAAAGAAAATAGAATCAACAATTCCCGGCCAGGCGTGGTGGCTCATGCTTATAATTGCAGCACTTTGGGCGGCCAAGGTAGGCAGATCACGAGATCAGAAGTTCAAGACCAACCTGGCCAACACAGTGAAACCCCATCTTTACTAAAAATACAAAAATTAGGCCAGGAGCAGTGGCTCACACCTGTAATCCCAGCACTTTGGGAGGCCAAGGTGGGCGGATCACGAGGTCAAGAGATTGAGATCATCCTGGCCAACATGGCGAAACCCCATCTCTACTAAAAGTACAAAAATTAGCTGGGCATGGTGGCACACGCCTGTAGTCCCAGCTACTTGGGAGGCTGAGGCAGAAGAATCGCTTGAACCCGGGAGGTGGAGGTTGCAGTGAGTCAAGATCGCACCACTGCACTCTAGCCTAGCGACAGAGTGAGACTCCGTCAAAAAAAACAAAAAAAAAATCCCACTTTACAAAATAATCAGGAGGATAAATTAAGAGATTGTGTAGTATGGTGCTTAAAAACTTTAGAGTCATCAGCCAGGCGTGGTGACTCACGCCTATAATCCCAGCACCTTGGGAGACCGAGGCGAGTGGATCACTTGAGGTCATAAGTTCAAGACCAGCCTGGTCAACATGGTGAAAGACCATCTGTACTAAAAATACAAAAATTAGCCAGGTGTGGTGGCACATGCTTGTAATCCCAGCTACTTGGGAGGCTAAGGTGGAAGGATCGCTTGAACTTGGGAGGCAGAGGTTGCAGTGAGCCAAGATCGCTCCACCGCACTCCAGCCTGGGTGACAGAATAAGACTCTATCAAAAACAAACAAACAAACAACTTTAGAGTCATTAATACCTGTGTTTGTGGTTCAGTGTCTCCCTGAATCTCCTCTGCTTAAACCGTGACATGGTAATGATGCTGTACTGGCATGGAAGTGCTAAGAAAACACAGCTTATTGTTCCTGTTACTTCCTAAACAACTTTTAAGAAATGGGGGCTGGGAGCGGTGGCTCACGCCTGTAATCCCAGCACTTTGGGAGGCCGAGGCGGGCGGATCATGAGGTCAGGAATTTGAGACCAGCATGGCCAACACGGTGAAACCCCGACTCTATTAAAGATACAAAAAATTAGCTGGGTGTGGTGGCATGCACCTGTAATCTCAGCTATTCAGGAGGCTGAGGAAGGAGAATCGCTTGAACCTGGGAGATGGAGGTTGCAGTGAGCCGAGATCGCGCCATTGCACTCTAGCCGGAGCAACAGGGCGAGACTCTTTCTCAAAAAAAAAAAAAAAAAAATAAGAAAAGAAAAGAAATGGGACTCAGTGCAGAGCCAATATGAAGGGCAGTTAAGGGCCCCATCCATGGGCTTGTTCATGAATAGCTCCCCTGCCTAGGAAGCCTGCTAGTTTCCACTGTACATTCAGGGTGGACAAGCTCCAGCTGTGGTCACCGTATCATGTCCTCAAGTAGAAATGTTAAAACATTCATTGGTATGTACTGCTGCTTTTTTAGTTTCACTACCGGAAAAGCCTGCTTGGATGGAAAGATTTCATTTGCTATGCTTTCTGCCTTTGCGTCTGGGTAGCATTGTAGGCAGGTGTTCTTTCACTCAAAACATGTTGTGGCCCTTGTTGAAAGCTGTCATGCAACAGGCCAGTGCAGCCAGGGCACCCAGCAGGTCCAGACTCACCCATGGCCATCGCCAGTCTCTAGAAATACTTACAACAAGAAGCTTCACCCTGTGGCTGGCATGCCATATCTTATATACCTTGCACCAAGCAACCGTCCTTCCATTTCTTGTAACTAAGCAGAGCATAGCAGTAAATTTTTCAAATTTCTCATTTCTAAGTCAGGGATTAGCCAACTATGGCCCACAGTCTGAGTCATTGCCCAACAGTTTTTTTAGATGGCCAGCAAGTTAAGAATGGTTTTCACATTTATAAAAGATTGAGGCCGGGCGTGGTGGCTCACACCTGTAATCCCAGCATTTTGGGAGGCCAAGGCAGGTGGATCACCTGAAGTCAGGAGTTCGAGACCAGCCTGGCCAACGTGGCGAAACCCTGTCTCTACTAAAAATACAAAAATTAGTCGGATGTGGTGGCACATGCCTGTAATCTCAGCTACTTGGGAAGCTGAGGCAGGAGAATTGCTTGAACCCAGGAGGCGGAGGTTGCAGTGAGCCATGATTGCTCCATTGCACTCTAGCCTGGGCAAAAAGAGCAAAACTTCATCGCAAAAAATAAAAATTAAAAAAATAAAATAAAAAGACCGAGTCCAGGTGTGGTGGCTCACGCATGTAATCCCAGCACTTTGGGAGGCCAAGGGAGGGGAGGGGGTGGATCACGAGATCAGGAGTTCGAGACCAGCCTGACCAACATGATGAAACCCCGTCTCTACTAAAACTACAAAGATTAGGCGGGCATGGTGGTGCATGCCTGTAATCCCAGCTACTCGGAAGGCTAAGGCAGGAGAATCGCTTGAACCCAGGAGGCAGAGGTTGCAGTGAGCCAAGATCATGCCACTGCACTTCAGCCTGGGACAGAACAAGACTCTGTCTCAAAATAAATAAATAAATAAAAGTAAAATAAAATAAATAAATGTCCACTGAGCACTCTTTTGAGTCAAGAGTTGAAAATGGCCTAGATACCCCAAAGCCATGATTTTTTTTTTTTTTTTTAATAATCTTACCCATTCAGGCCAGGCGTGGTGGCTCATGCCTATAATCCCAGCACTTTGGGAAGCTGAGACAGGCAGATGGATCACTTGAGGCCAGGAGTTCGAGACCAGCCTGGCCAACATGGTGAAACCCTGTTTCTTCTAAAAATACAAAAATTAGCTGGGTCTGGTGGTGGGTGCCTGTAGTCCCAGCTACCTGGGAGGCTGAGGCAGAAGAATCGCTTGAACCCAGGAGGTGGAGGTTGCAGGGAGCCAAGATCGCGTCATTGCACTCTAGTCTGGGCAATAGAGCCAGACTCCATCTCAAAAACAAAAACAAGGGCCAGGTGCGGTGGCTCATGCCTGTAATCCCAGCACTTTGGGAGGCCGAGGCGGGCGGATCACGAGGTCAGGAGATCAAGACCATCCTGGCTAACACGGTGAAACCCCGTCTCTACTAAAAAATACAAATAATTAGCTGGGCATGGTGGCGGGCGCCTGTAGTCCCAGCTACTCAGGAGGCTGAGGCAGGAGAATGGTGTGAACCCGGGAGGCGGAGCTTGCAGTGAGCCGAGATGGCGCCACTGCACTCCAGTCTGGGCGACAGAGCAAGACTTGGTCTCAAAAAATAAATAAATAAATAAATAAATAAATAAAATAAAAATAACAACAATAATAATCTTACCCATTTAAAGTTTGAGAATAGGTTGAGATCATTTTGGCCCCAGGACCTCTAATATTAACTTTACTGGATAAAACTGTGTGGGTTGGGTTTTGGGAGAGCACCAACTATCCTAAGGGAAACTTCTGAGGGAACCAGCTAGTAGATGGCTCAATTAGTCTTTCACCCCTATACCCAGGTCGGACGATGGATTTGCACGACAGCACTGCAACGGACCTCCACCAGAGTGTCCTCTGGCTTCGCCCTCCTCAGGCACAGTTCACCATCTTTGGGGTCCTAACACGTGCACCTGTGCTTCACTCCCCCATACCAATTTCCCAACAAAACCATGGATTTTTAAATAGACTGTGGTTCATCCACGTGGAGCAATACTATGTAGAAGTACTGTAGAGATGCTATGTAAAACTCAGTGGAGAACTTCTGTGCAGTCATAACAACAATCTGGCAGAAATGAATTTCTGAATATATCAATCTATTGGTCCCCAGTTTAAGGGCCACCTCCTCTATTAAGAGGTTCCACGCCTCTCCTACCCCTCGGTTCAGCATTTGTAGTCTGTGGCTGTAGTTACCACAGCCCATTCGTGGGCAAAAATCTCCACAGCCCACGGGGCCTCCTCATTCCAAAGGAATAAGGGAGGGAGAGAGGGAAAAGATAAAAATAATTAAGTTGCAATAAATGTATTGTTTTTCACAAGAGAAGTAGTTTATTCAAATGATGATTTAAATATTTTTATTCAATTTGAATATTTAATACAATATCCTGTAGACGTAAAAATAAACCAGGATTTATTGAATTTATTTAACTAGAAGATAGCCAAATTTGTAGCACTAGTACAAATAGCTCTAACTTATAGTCAGCCTGTCATCAAAAGCACCCAAGAAGGATTGCATGTTTGGCTCTTTCTGTAAGAAAACTCCCCTGACAGCATCTAAACCTCTGGTTTGGTAACGATTATGCGCTGAATTCTGTCTCCCCAAACATTCATATGTTGAAATCCTGACCCTCAGGACCTCAGAATGTGACTGTATTTGGAGATAGGGTCTTTAGAGAGGTAATTAAGTTAAAATGGGGTAATGAGGTGAGCACTAATCCCATATAAGTGATGTCCTTATAAGGAGAGGAAATTTGGATACAGGGGGAGCTACTGGGGCACACAGAGGAAAGACCCTGTGAAGACAGAGAAAAGATGGCCGTCTACAAGCCAAGGACGGAAGTGTCAGGAGAAACCAATCCTGCTAACACGTTCAGCTGAGACTTCTGGCCTCCAGAACTGTGAGAAAATTAATATCTGATGTTTAAACCACCCCGTCTGTGCTACTTTATTACGGCACTCCTAGCAGACTAACGCAGTAATTAATCATTTGCTAAGGAGAGACCTCTTCCATTCTTCTTTCATAATTTGACATGAGTGCCATTAAAAACTTCGAATGTGTTTTGTGTGGTTTTTCCCAACTAGATGGTAAGGTTCTTGACGGTGCTGAACATAAACCAATTAGCTCAGTGTCTTGAGTAGAACTCACTAGATGTTTATTGATTAAATTTAATGACAAGATGTGTAGCCTGGTTCTGTGAAAAAGAAGAAGTGAGAAAAGAGGGGAAAGTTAGTTGGGGGTAGACACTGACATTTCTATGTGAGTGCTCCTTTCAGTTAATATTTAATGAAAGATTGAAATGGTGCTTTAAGGGTTTACAAAGTGACGTTCATAGACCTGATCTCATTCACGCTTCACAACGCCGTCATTGGCTACATTTTGCTGAGGAGGAAACTGAGCTCAGAGCTGTTGCCTCCCGGGCGCGGTCACACAGGACCAGAGGCGCCTTAGAACTAGGGCATAGGCTGGCTCCTCTGTGGGATTCAAATGCTCTCCTGCTAAACCGCATTCACTGAGCTCACCCCCGCTCTCCTTAAACACCAAGTTGAAGAGGACTCACAAATCGTGCACTCTCAACTAAGCCCTTTGTAAGACTCCGGACCTCGGGCTAGCACAGGAGAGAGGTCGCTGCAATTAAAATACAAAGTATGTGCATGTTTTTAAGTTCAGGTAAAGAAATTAAGCTCTGGTACGGATATTGTGCACTTACTGCAAGTTCTCAGAGTTTCTCGGGGCAGTTTTTCTTTTTCCATTCGCGGTTTTCCGGCCACGGTCAGGGTGGCTGTGCACTTAGTTACTTGGCTGAAACGTTCTCACTTCTCTCTTCCCCGGGCTTCCTCCTGAGTGACCAGCTGGCTAACAGCTGGCCCGTTCTCAGTAGACCTGCTAAGGCGCTCTTTATGCGAAGGCCAGGGGGCGGGCAGCCCCCAGCTCTACTGGGTCCCTCCCGCCTTTCTTTGGGGCTGCAAGCCCTCTTTTCTCTCATCACAAACTCAGTAAACAAATGAGAGTAGCTGCTAAACACTTGAAGTCAGAAAGGATTTATATGCCAATAAAGGGATTTTTTTTCTCCAATAGTTAAGTGTTTGGGAAAATAAAATTAGATCTCAGCCTCCGTGGAAGCCCCCACACCCACCCGAGACACTGAGAAGACCTAGCACCACTTCCCTCCCCACTCAGGGTTGGGTGATGCAAACTAAAAACAATGCTGAAGACAGAGAACACTCTAAATATAACTGCCCAAGGGGTTCACGTTGCCCGCTGCCTAGACAGAGCCGATTCATCAAGATAGGGGAATTGCAATAGAGAAAGAGTAATTCACGCAGAGCTGGCTGTGCGGGAGATCGGAGTTTTATTATTACTCAAATCAGTCTCCCTGAGCATTCAGCGACCAGAATTTTTAAGGATAACTTGGTAGGTGGAGGGAAGCCAGTGAGCCAGGAGTGCTGATTGGTCAGGGATGAAATCACAGGGAGACGAATCTGTGTTCCTGCACTGAGTCAGTTCCTGCGTAGGGGCCACAAGATCAGAGGAGCCAGTTTATCAGTCTGGGTGGTGCCAGCTGATCCATCAAGTGCAGGGTCTGCAAAATATCTCAAGCACTGATCTCAGGAGCAGTTTAGGGAGGGTCAGAATCTTGTAGCCTCCAGCTGCAAGACTCCTAAACCATAATTTCTAATCCTGTGACTAATGTTAGTCTTGCAAAGGCAATCTAGTCCCCAGGCAAGAAGGAGGTCTGCTTTGGGAAAGGGCTGTTGCCGTCTTTGTTTAAACTATAGATCACAGTCAGGAGTTCCAGAACAGCCTGGCCAACATGGTGAAACCCCCTCTCTACTAAAAATACAAAAAAATAGCCGGGCGTGGTGATGTGCGCCTGTAATCCCAGCTACTCAGGAGGCTGAGGCAGAATTGCCTGAACCCAGGAGGTGGAGGTTGCAGTGAACCGAGATTGTGCCACTGCACTCCAGCCTGGGCGACACAGCAAGACTCTTCAAAAAAAGAACAAAAACAAACAAAAAAAAACCGCCGGGCCCAGTGGCTCATGCCTGTAATCCTAGCACTTTGGCAGGCAGAGGCGGGTGGATTTCCTGAGCTCAGGAGTTTGAGTCCAGCCTAGGCAACATGGCAAAACCCTGTCTCTACTAAAAATTAAAAAAAAGTTGCCGGGTGTGGTGGTGCATGCTTGTACTCCTAGCTATTCGGGAGGCTGATTCAGGATAATGGCTTGAACCTGGGAGGTGGAGGGCGCAGTGAGCTGAGATCATGCCACTGCACTCCAGCCTGGACGACAGAGTGAGACTCTGTCTCCAAATAAATAAATAAACAAACTATAAACTACAAACTAAGTTTCTCCCAAAGTTGGTTCAGCCAATGCCCAGGAATGAACAAAGACAGCTTGGAGGTTAGAAGCAAGATGGAGTCGGTTAAGTTAGATCTCTTTCATTGTCTCAGTTATAATTTTGCAAAGGCGGTTTCATAACCTTCAGGAAGATAGCTGATGCTTTTAAAGAACTTTCAAATTCGTTGCCCCCCACCCCTCATTGCATTGTTTTGTCTTGTTTCTAATTTGGATGACCTTGTGGTTATTATTAAATTACCTTTTGGCTGGGCGCAGTGCCTCATGCTTGTAATCCCAGCACTTTGGGAGGCTAAAGCTGGAAGATTGCTTGATCTCAGGAGTTCAAGACTAGCCTGGTCAACATGGCGAAATCCTGTCTCTACAAAAAATACAAAAACTAGCCAGGCATTGTCCCAGCTATTCAGGAGGCTAAGGTGGGAGGATCCCCTGAGCCCGGGAGGTTGGGGCTGCAGTGAGCTATGACTGCACCACTGCACTCCAGCCTGGGTGACAGTGAGAGACCCTGTCTCAAAAAAAAAATAAATAAAAATAAAAAATAAATTACCTTTTAGATGTCCAGCTTCAGTCACTAGCACCTGATCTTAAGTACCTTGCATCTTAAAACAAAAATCCAAAACTGCTCCTCAACTTCTAGCTTAGAAGTTTCTACTATATTCTGTAATTACCCTACCTTTATCTTTCCAACCTCACCAAAAATATGTTATGTACCTCTCTAGGTATATCTGCAATGCAACAGCACACCTACCTTATTTTTACTTTATCTAAGGTGCATTTTTTTTTTTTTTTTTGAGACAGAGCCTTTCTCTGTCGCCCAGGCTAGCGTGCAGTGGTGTGATCCCGGCTCACTGCAACCTCTGCCTCCCAGGTTCAAGCAATTCTCCTGCCTTAGCCTCCTGAGTAGCTGGGATTACAGGTGTAAGCCACCATGCCCGGCTAACTTTTTTTATATGTTTAGTAGAGTCACGGTTTCACCATGCTGGCCAAGCTGGTCTCAAACTTCTGATCTAAAGTGATCCAGCTGCCTCAGCCTCTCAAAGTGCTGGGATTACAGGTGTGAGCCACCACACCCGGCCCTAACGTGCACATTTAACCCTAAAACTCTCCGGGCCCTTCTGTTGGTGGATGAAGTGCTGTCGTCCACCCAGATAGAGCGAGAGTCATCTTTGTGTCCCCAACGCCTAGCAAGGTATCTAGAACAAAGTTGACCTCATGAAAGGCACTGAGTGAATGAAGTCCTCTGAGCAAGAAATCAAAGTGTCTGTGGGCTGTAAAAAATGATCCCATATCCCTTTCCATTAAGCATCTGTCTCCATGTGCAGATGTAGAATATTTTACCGATAAGAAGTGGACGCTTTTTTGCATAATTAAAGTAAAACCTATATACATCTACACATATACGTGAAATGTGTAGCAATATGTTTTAACAAAGGGGTAATTACACAGTCTGAATTCTTTTTTTTTTTTTTTTTTTTTTTTTTTTGAGACGGAGTCTGGTTCTGTCCCTCTGTCCAGGCTGGAGTGCAGTGACGCAATCTCTGCTCACTGCAGCCTCCGCCTTCCGGGTTCACTCCATTCTCCTGCCTCAGCCTCCCGAGTAGCTGGGACTACAGGCGCCCGCCACCACGCCCGGCTAATATTTTTGTATTTTTAGTAGAGACGGGGTTTCACCATGTTAGCCAGCGTGGTCTCGATCTCCTGACCTCGTGATCCGCCCACCTCGGCCTTCCAAAGTGCTGGGATTACAGGCGTGAGCCACCGCGCCCGGCCCACAGTCTGAATTCTTAATCTCCCCGCCTCAGGCTGAGTCATGAGGAATCGGGGCAGGGTTGGAGAGATAGTGAGGAGGAAGATAGTGGCTCCAACTGCCATACACTCTCCAGAGAACCCTGTGATGGCTTCAAGGGACAGGGTGGGGGCCCCAGGAGATAAGTGTAGGTTTCTGAATGCCTTTCATGCAGCTTCTCTTCCTTCCAGTCATCTCATTGATTGCTGTTTTTGGTCTCAGACCATAGGAAGATTTCAAAGGGAAACCCCAGTGGGATATCACGGTATCCCGGCCATCCCTGCCAGCTTCCCATTGTAACTCGCTTAACGAGGCTCTGTTGTTCCCCGTGAATGTGAACTCAGGGGAGTTCTGCGGAACGAACAGAGGAGAAAAACTCCACAAACCAAGGGAAGCTTCTCCTGGGGAGAAGGGCAGGGCATTGTCGGAACCTGAGCTCTTCTCTGAGGTTTGCAGGAAAGCTCACTGACAGACCTGCATGCAAGTCCCGGTGCTGAAGTCAAAAGGGCAGGAGGTCTCCATTTGCTCTGCTAGCGACTGGGGGCTTTTCGCTGGATTGGAACTTCTGAGCAAGCTGCCTCAGTTCTAAATTGCTGTTTTCCAAAAAAGTGCTCTCATCCCAAGGCCTGCTCCCCAGAAGCACTTTAAATGGCTGTTTACAGTTTATGACGTTTTCAAATGCCTGGTCTGCAATGAAGTTTGGACAAAAGGATTTTCTTTCTAGGATTATATTTTTTGTTTGTTTTGTTTTTATACACTAAATTACCTGTGAGCCTATTTTTGATTACCGGGGGAGGTGTCAAAAGCTTTGCTCAAACAATTGATTAGTATAATTATTTCCTTTATTGTTGGTGACAATAATCCTAGGTGTTTTGCAATTGCCAGGTCACCCTGTGTTCATTCACACTGAATGGTCCAGAAAAGCCCAGGGGGCTGCTCTGCCCTTCAAGAGGGTTTCTTTTATTGTAATTATTATTATTATTGTGGTTTTTTTTGTTTTTTTTTGAGACAGAGTCTCACTCTGTCACCCAGGCTGGAGTGCAGTGGCACAATCTCAGCTCACTGCAACCTCTGCCGCCCGGGTTCAAGTGATTCTCCTGCCTCAGCCTCCCCAGTAGCTGGGATTACAGGGGTCCACCACCACGCCTGGCTAATTTTTGTATTTTTAGTAAAGACGGGGTTTCACCATATTGGCCAGGCTGGTCTCGAACTCCTGACCTTGTGATCCACCTGCCTCGGCCTCGCAAAATGCTGAGATTACAGGTGTCAGCCACCGCACTTATTATAATTATTGATCTTATTATGTATTATTATATATATTATTGATCTACCTTTGATGATTATAATTATTGATCTACCTTTCTCTTTTCTTTCCAGTGGTTTGTAGCATACTCTGAATTATTTGTGCCACATTGAGCAGCAGTCCCGGCATGTGGCTTCTATTGGCTTTGTGTTACTATTAAGCTTGCTGTTTCTGGGTCTTTATCTTCCATCAATTACCATTTATTTTATTCCCCTTTCCCTCCATGTTCCTCTATTTCCATGTCCCACTTATCTGATCTCCTGGAAGGGCATTGATTTGGCTGCTCTCCTGGGCTTCCACTGAAAATGCTGGAAGAGCCCCAAGTAGGCAGGGGCCAGGAAACCTCCAATGAGGCTCAGAATCCAGTGTGTCTCTCTGGGATTCCCTCCTCATCCACCCAGCATGTCTGCAGCCCGAGGCTGCTTCTCTCTACATTATTTGAAGTATTCCCATGAAAAGTTCATACAATGAACTCCCAAGATTTACTCAGCACAACACAGCAGCCTGGCATTTATAAAACAAAAAGGAGGGCAACCAAAGGAGGAACTACTTAAAGAGTAATTACAGGCCAGGACGCAGAGGTCATGCCTTTAATTCCAGAGTTTTGGGACGCTGTGGTGCGTGGATCACTTGAACCCAGGAGTTGGAGGCCGCAGTGAGCTATGATCATGCCACTGCACTCCAGCCTTGAGCAAGACCTCGTCAAAAATAAAACGTAACTACAGTCCAAAGAACCAGGTTTCTGATAGTACTAATGACATAGTCTCTGCTTTCTGCTTCCAGAAGAGGAGCTGGAAGCTCAGGGTTACAAGGGTGGTCACCTCTGCCCCTGGAATAGCCTGCCTGTAAGGACAGCTAAAGCCACATGCAGCTAAGGGCAACATGTGGCCAGTCCAAGACAAAAACACACACTCAGGGCCGGGCACTGTGGCTCATGCCTGTAATCCCAGCACTTTGGGAGGCCAAGGCGGGCAGATCACCTGAGGTCGGGAGTTTGAGACCAGCCTGACCAACATGGAGAAACCCCGTTTCTACTAAAAATACCAAAAAAATTAGCCGGGTGTGGTGGTGCATGCCTGTAATCCCAGCTACTTGGGAGGCTAAGGCAGGAGAATTGCTTGAACCCAGGAGGCAGAGTTGCAGTGAGCCAAGATCACACCATTGCACTCCAGCCTGGGCAACAAGATTGAAACTCCATCTCAAAAAAGAAAAAAAAAAAGAAAGCACACACTCGATTTGAAGTAATGGTACAAAAAATGAGTGTAAAATATATGAATATTAATAATTCCTAGCCAGGCATGGTAGCTCATGCTTGTAATCCCAATACTTTGAGAGGCTGAGGCAGGAGGATCGCTTGAGCCCAGGAGTTCGAGATTAGCCTGGGCAACATAGTGGGACTCCATCTCTACCAAAAAAAAATTATTATTATATTAATAACACATTTCATAATAATATTTTAGGTGTTTGGGGGTAAATATATGGTACAATGAAAGTAGCTTCTTTTCCTTTTTTTTTTTTTTTTTTTTTTGAGATGGAGTCTCTCCGTGTTGCCCAGGCTGGAGTGCAATGGCACAACCTGGGCTCACTGCAACCTCAGCCTGCCGGGTTCAAGCAATTCTCCTGCCTCAGCCTCCCAAGGAGCTGGGACTACACGTGCATGCCACCATGCCCGGCTAGTTTTTTGTATTTTTTAGTAGAGACGGGGTTTCACCATGCTGGCCAGGCTGGTCTCGAACTCCTGACCTTGTGATCCGCTCACCTCAGCCTCCCAAAGTGCTGGGATTACAGGCCTGAGCCACCGTGCCCGGCCCGCGCTTCTTTTCCGTTTTTTTTTTTTTTTTTTTGGAGATGGAGTTTCACTCTTGTTCCCCAGACTGGAATACAATGGTGTGATCTCAGCTCATCACAACCTCTGCCTCTCAGGTTCAAGCAATTCTCCTGCCTCAGCCTCCCTAGTAGCTGGGGTTACAGATATGCATCACCACGCCCAGCTAATTTTTTTTTTTTTTTGTATTTTTAGTAGAGATGGGGTTTCTCCATGTTAGTCAGGCTGGTCTCAAACTCTCGATCTTAGATGATCCGCCCGCCTCAGCCTCCCAAAGTGCTGGGATTACAGGCATGAGCCACCGCTCCCGGCCACTTCTTTTCCTTTTTTAACATGGCTATTAGAACATGAAAAATGAACCAGCCTAGGCAACATACTGAGACCCTGTATCTACAAAAAATTAAAAATTTGCCAGGCGAGGTGGCACATGCCTGTATTCCCAGCTACTTTGGAGGCTGAGGTGGGAGAATCACTTGAGCCCAGGAGTTCAAGGCTGCAGTGAGCTATGATTACACTACTGTACTCCAGCCTGGCAGCCAGGGTGACAGAGCAAGACCCTGTCTCAAAAAAATAAAAGAAAAGAACATGAAAAATGGCATGTGTGGCTGGTGATATATTTCTGTTGGATGTTGCTGCTCAAACAATGGCCTTATCTCCTGCCTGGCCTTCTTCAGCAATGTGCCTACTTCCTGGAACCACAGGGACAAAAATCCTCTGATTGCGCCCCCCACCTCCCGATCTGTTCTACTCTTCATTTGGAGGCAGTCACCTCATTCACAGCCAATCAGATAGACGGCAGTGATCAGCTACAATCTACAAGGGAGGAATGGTCTGCCCCTTACAGGCCGGCTTCACTGTTCCATAATCTCCAAAGCCCTACCATGAGGATTGTAACATCTCCTTCCCCCACTCAAACTCCATATCCCTTTCAGGTCTTTTCTGAGGAAAATGCAACATCCAGGATGATTGTTTATTGCTGGATAGTTAAGGACCCCATTCTACCTACATAGCCTGTGCGTGTCTACGTAGAAGAGCCACAGGGCCTCGGAACATCCTTCGGCACAGAGCTTAGGAGAGCAATGGCGACCTCAAGGAGCAGGCATCTCGGCTCTAGCCTTGTCTGGATTTCTGTCTAAGTTGTACTGTTTTCATTTTTCAAAGTATTTTTAGAGACAGGGTCTCACTCTCTCGCCCAGGCTGGAGTGCAGTGGCTGGATCATAGCTCACTGCAGCCTCAAACTCCCAGGCTTAAGCAATCCTCCCACCTCAGTCTCCCAAAGAGCTGAGATTACAGGCACAAGCCTCCACATCTGGGCTATCTAATTCATATTTTTTTGGTGCATATAAAGGAGGAAAATTAACTTCATATTCTTTTGGTGCCCATAAAGTGTAATCTTTTTACTATGACTTGCCCATGGGATAAGATTTTCTCTACCTTTTAGGGGGTTAGAATGCCTGATGATAAGAGACAGAGAGATAACTGACATGCTGTTAGGACAACAAGCTCCTCTTAGGATGCATCTACATGATGCTGAATAGCTGGGCGTCTGGGAACATCTGAATGGTCCATTATGTCTACCAAAAAATCTGATTAAATATTTCCTTGCCGGGTGTAGTGGCTCATGCCTATAATTCCAGCACTTTGGGAGGCCAAGGCGGGTAGGTCACCTGAGGTCAGGAGTTTGAGACCAGCCTGGCCAACATGGTGAAACCCTGTCTCTACTAAAAAAAACAAAAATTAGCCAGGCATGGTGGTGGGTGCCTGTAATCCCAGCTACTTGGGAAGCTAAGGCAGGAGAATTGCTCAAACCTGGGAGGCAGAGGGTGCAGTGAGCCAAGATCATGCCATTGCACTCCAGCCTGGGCAACAAGAGCGAAACTCCATCTCCAAAAAAAAGCTTTCTTTTTAAAATTATTTATTTATTTATTATTCTTTTCTAGAGAGGAGATCTCCCTATGTTACCCAGGCTGGTCTCGAACTCCTGGGCTCAAGTGATCCACCCGCCTTGACCTCCCAAAATGCTGGGATTATAAGCGTGAGCCACCACATCTGGCCTGATTAAATGTTTTAACTTTTCATTTACCTATTTGGACCTGGTATAAAGACAGCTGTAGATTTATTAAAGCAGTATAGTCTGAAAAGACTGTAGGAAACTAGATTTATACCGACCACAGACAGCGCAGCACAGGCCGAGGCAGTTCCTGGTCATAGAAGCGTGAGGAAACAGACAGCAACACCCAAATACAGATGGCTCCTGATAATTGACCGGCTCCTTTCCAAGTGGCCAAAAGTTATTTCCGGAATGGAGCACAAAGCAAACCATCTGCTAAGGTTTTGGGAGAGGCTGCAGTTGGTCATACATGGAGAAGAACACAGCATCCAATCCAGAGCCCTCTCCCCGCCACCTCCTTTATTAAAGGGCTCTCACACTTGGGGCCATTATGTACCTGTTCTAATCACCCAGGGCCAGGGACCAAACAACTATGGAACAGCCCATATTCCCCAGGCCCCTGAAATCATCCAAGCCAGCCAATCCTAAGCCTGCTTACCCTGCAGGGCCCTTCCATGGAGAGCGCAGTAAAGTGGATTAGGCCCAGCTCAAGTTCAGCCACAGGACCTACCAGAAGTCTCCCAACCCCCAGGCTGACAGCAGGGTGGGGGTGGGGTAGGGGTGGGGTAGGGGTGGGGTGGGGATGTGGAATCTCCAGGAAAATGTGGAAGTCTCTTGGAGGAACTGGTTCCTCAATGGGGAGCCTGCAGGATGGCTGCAGTGACAGAGGGAGGTCTGCCAGCCAGCCCTCTCTTGCCCTGTGTGTCTTCAGGACATGCTACCTTGCTGTCTGTTTTCAGTCACCACAGGGCTGTAGCTTTTCCCCAAAAATTGTTTCAAGGAATAGTGTCTCACATTCCTAGTTATATAATCACACACATCCTGCAACAGTTAGACAAGGCAAATTAGACAAAGATCATAACACCTCTCAAGTAGCTGTTTAATTTTGCAAAGTCTTGAAGACAGTGAAGCTTTTCCAATATTTTTTAAAACCTGTATCCCAGGTGTAAAGTTCTATTTTGAAATGATTGAAAGGCCAAACTGAAATTTATTTTTTGTAGAGACAAGATCTCACTATGTTGCCTTGCCCAGGCTGGTCTCAAACTTCTGGGCTCAAGTGATCCTCCTGCCTCAGCCTCCCAAAGCACTAGGATTACAAGCGTGAGCCACCGTGCCCAGCCTGAACTGACCTTTGTAAACATAAACCATGCCTTGCCAGGTCAGACAGGTGGACATCTCCCTCACTGACAGGGTCTGTCCCTGGTGGCTGCATTCCCTTCTCCTTTGGTCTGCCCCTCAGCACACTTCACATGTGGGGCAAAACCCAAGGGATAGAAGAATAAGCCATAAAATACAAAAATATATGTATGCTGAAACAACATACCTTCATTCTAGATATTCTTTTTTTTTTTAAGTAGAGACAGGGTCTTGGTATGTTGTCCAGGCTGGTCTTGAACTCCTGGGCTCAAGAGATCCTCCTGCCTCAGCATACCAAAGTGCTAGGATTACAGGCGTGAGCCCGCTTGCCTGGCCTAGATTTTCTGATTGTTAAATTCGAGGTAATGCTTTCCCTCTCTTGCTTCCCACCTTCTATTTCCCTTCTTTCTGCCCCTCCCTACTTTGCTCATGGCCCGTGCACCTGCACAGGCTGCCTGGTGAGTAACCCAGCTTTGGCCTCACCTTCAAATATTCTTGCATCTCCGCACTCTTTAACTTCCTACATAGTTCATTATGGTTCTACCTTCCATGAATGCCTCTAAAGTGACAAAATCATCTATCCACACCCCGCCCCTCATACAACATTCCATTCATCAGTTTCTGTCATTCTTGGTATCTCTGAGGGTGGCACAAGGGCCCCTGATTAGCTGTCTTCCGTGTCCCAACCTATGGTCATCTTTGAACAGTAACCGACCAGGGAGCAGGGTCCCAGCCAGATGGCTTTCTGACCCCAGGGCTTCCTTTTCTTTCCCATTCAGCTTGGGGGTGTCCTTCCTTCTTCTCCCCCTTCTCCCTCAGTCCACAACCATCCTCAAGACCCATAGAGGATTGGTCACTGGGAACGGAACATGATGTCCCTCCCTGGGCACACCTTCCCTTCCTCCTTCTGTCAGCCTCAAAGCTGGTCTCATGGCAGCCCTCCCTGCTCCACGGAGATTCTGTTCCATAGCATATGCAAGAGACGCCACTGCAGCTCCTGTGATACGATGACCAGATGTGACAGAAAGTCCCAATTAAAATGTTTCTTTTAAAATTTTATTTATGGGCAGGTGTGGTGGCTCACACCTGTAATCCCAGAATTTTGGGAGGCCAAGGCAGGCAGATCATCTTAGTTCAGAGGTTCGAGACCAGCCTGGCCAACATGGAGAAACTCCGTCTCTACCAAAAATATAAAAATTAGCTGAGTGTGGTGGCACATGCCTGTAGTCCCAGCTAGTGGGAGGCTGAGGCAGGAGAATCACTTGAACCTGGGAGGCAGAGGTTGCAGTGATCCGAGATTGTGACACTGCACTCCAGCCTAGGCGACAGTGAAACTCCATCTCCAAAAGAAAATCATAACAATAATAAAATAAAATTTTTATTTATTTATCTATTTATTTGTTGAGACAGGGTTTTACTCTATTGCCCAGGTTAGCATGATCATAGCTCAATGCAGCCTCAAACTCCTAGGCTCACTAATGTAAAATTTTCTGTTTGCCAAATGCTAACTCTCATTTGAGAAATTATGGCCACTTGTCCAGTACAGAACAGAATGAAAGGCTGCTATTAACACCCATAAGATTAAATCTGATTTTGTACTTTTTAGGGTCTAAGTAAATGTCCAGTGGCAAAAGAAGAAAGAGGGAGAATCAGAGTTACGACAGTTTTACAATTTGACCTCTTGTACTTGCTAGAGACTTTGTTTTTTTTTTGTTTTTTGTTTTTTTTTTTTTTTTGGAGACGGAGTTCTGCTCTTGTTGCCCAGGCTGGAGTGCAATGGCACAATCTCGGCTCACTGCAACCTCTGCCTCCCGGGTTCAAGTCATTCTCCTGCCTCAGCCTCCTGAGTAACTGGGACTACAGGCATGCTCCACCACACCCGGCTAATTTTGTATTTTTAGTAGAGACGGGGTGTCTCCATGTTGGTCAGGCTGGTCTCGAACTCCCAACCTTAGATGATCTGCCCACCTCGGCCTCCCAAAGTGCTGGGATTACAGGCGTGAGCCACCTCGCCCAGCCTAGAGAATCTTGAAAAACTAAGTAGACTGTGATTTAGGAGAAAACCCCAAGCTGTGACACCAAACTGTCCACCACATGAACAGAGAGAACAGAAACTGGTCAGGAGCTAACCACACAGAGTGAACAGCAAGACCTTTTTTTTTTTTTTTTTTTTTAGACAGAGGCTTGCTCTGTTGCCCAGGCTAAAGTGCAGAGGCGCAATCTCGGCTCAGTGCAACCTCCGTCTCCTGGGTTCAGGCGATTCTCCTGCCTCAGCTTCCCGAGTAACTGAGACTGCAGGAGCATGCCACCATGCTAGGCGAATTTTTTTTTTGAGACGGAGTCTCGCTCTTTCGCCCAGGCTGGAGTGCAGTGGTGCGATCTCCGCTCACTGCAAGCTCCGCCTCCCGGGTTCACGCCATTCTCCTGCCTCAGCCTCCCAAGTAGCTGGGAGCATAGGAGCCCGCCATCACGCCCGGCTAATTTTTTTTTTTTTTGTATTTTTAGTAGAGACGGGGTTTCACCATGTTAGCCAGGATGGTCTCGATCTCCTGACCTCGTGATCCACCCGCCTCGGCCTCCCAAAGTGATGGGATTACAGGCATGAGCCATCGTGCCCGGCCTCGGCTAATTTTTATATTTTTCAGTAGAGACGAAGCTTCACCGTGTTAGCCGGGATGGTCTCAATCTCCTGACCTCATGATGTGCCCACCTCGGCCTCCCAAAGTGCTGAGATTACAGGTGTGAGCCACTGCCCCTGGCCTGACCTTTTCGTTTTCTCACTGATGCATTCACTCTTTTGTTCAACCCTTATTGAGTTCACGCTATGTGTTTGAAAGTTCTGAGCCCTTGGGGAATGCAGAGTGAACAAGACATTCTCCTTGCCCTCCAGAAGTTAAATATAGCAGAGAAAGTGGGTACAGTCGGAAATTATTCTCTCTCTTGTTTCTTTTCTTTTTTTCTTTTCTTTTTTTTTTTGAGATGGAGTCTTACTCTGTTGCCCGGTTAATTTTCGTATTTTTAGTAGAGATGGGGTTTTGCCATGTTGGCAAGGCTGGTCTCGAACTCCTGACCTCAGGTGATCCGCCCGCCTTGGCCTCCCAAAGTGCTGGGATTACAGGCATGAGTGATCATGCCTGGCAGTTGGCTAATTTTTCTTTTTTGGCGCAATCTCAGCTCATTGCAACCTCTTCCTCCCGGTTTCAAGCGATTCTCTTGCCTCAGCCTCCTGAGTAGCTGGGATTACAGGCAAGCCCCACCACACCCAGCTAATTTTTGTATTTTTAGTAGAGACATGGCTTCACCATGTTGGTCAGGCTGGTCTCGAACTCCTGGCCTTGTGATCTGCCCGCCTCGGCCTCCCAAAGTGCTAGGATTACAGGCTTGAGCTACCACGCCTGCCCTAATTTAAAAAATTTTTTTGCAGAGCTGGGGTCTCGCTATGTTGACCAAGGTGGTCTCAAACTCCTGGACTCAAGTGGTTCTCCCACCTTGGCCTCCCAGAACACATTACAAGCATAAGCCACTGCACCTAGCCAAAAAACTCTTTGTCTCCTGATCTGTTGCCCTCATTATACCTAAATAAAAATGAAACCTGGCCAGGTGCAGTTGATCACAACTATAATCCCAGCACTTTAGGAGGCTGAGGTGAGAGGATTGCTTGAGTCCAGGAGTTGGAGACCAGCCTGGGCAACATGGCAAAACCCCATCTCTACAAAAAACACAAAAATTAGCCAGGCATGGTGGAGTATGCCTTGGAGTCCCAGCTACTCAGGAGGCTGAGGCTAGAAGATCACTTGAGCCTGGGAGGCAGAGGCTGCAGTGAGCCATGATTGTGCTACTGCACTCCAGCCTAGGTGACAGACGGAGACTCTGTCTCTAAATAAATAAATAAATAAATCCTATTTTAAAACGCTATCACCCTTTAATACTTTCTACACAATTCCTACAAAACCACAGAACAAGGATAAAAATTGGGTAATTAACACTGATGTATTACTTCCATCTAATCTTCAGATACCCTTTAGGTTTTGCCAGTTGTCCCAACCATGTCCTTTAGAGCAAGACTTCCAGATCAGAGTCAGGCATTGCATTGAGCGAAGATCTCTTCAGTATCATTTAGACTAGGACAGTTCCTGGGACCTTTGGAAGATTACAGGTCAGTTATTTCGAAGAAAGTCCCTCACTCAGGCCTGTCTGATGCTTCTTCTTATGATTGACTCAGGCTCTGCTTCCTTGGTGATGCCATGTCTTTCTGTGTGTCCTAGAAGATGGTAGCAATACCAGTTTGTCTGATGATTATTTTGACCCCTTGAAATTGATGTCGGCCAGGTTTTTCCACTGAATGGTTAACTCTTTTCCCCTTTATAACTAAGTATTTTCTGAAGAGAAGCTTTGAAAGTAGGTAAGTATTCTGTTCCTCATCAAGCTTCCCATTTAAATGTCAGCACAGGCCAGGCGCGGTGGCTCATGCATGTAATCCCAGCACTTTGGGAGGCCAAGACAGGCAGATCATTGGAGACCAGGAGTTGGAGACCAGCCTGGGCAACATAGCGAGACCCCTGTCTCTACTGAAAATAAAAAAAAATTAGCCAGGCATGGTGCTGCGTGCCTGCAATCCCATCTACTCCAGAGACTGAGGCATGAGAATCTCTTGAACCTGGGAGGTGGAGGTTGCAGTGAGCCAAGATCACGCCACTGTACTCCAGCCTGGGCGACAGAGCAAAACTCTGTCTCTAAATAAATAAATAAATAGAAGTAAATGTCAGCATAGACTTATGATTTGTATTTTCTTCTACAGGTTACACTCCATTATAATTTGCTACTTACATTATTTTATAATTTAACCAAAGCTGGTTAAATTGACCCAGCTTTGGCAAGTGGGAGCTTTTTTAGGGTAGCCCTGGTATGCTTTTGGGACTGTTCCCATCATGTTTTGAGTCCTCACTTTCAGCCTCAACTGGGTGTTCCAAGCTCATCTTGTACCTTCCTGGCCCCAGCCCTAGCATTGGCCTCTTCCCCAGGGAGTCCTGTATCTTCTTAGAAGTCAAGACCTGGGCACTGGGTGTTCATTTTGATTGAGGTGCAACATCTCCTAGGGCCTCCTTGTGAGCAGAGGGAGGGTGTGTCTGTACATGCACTACATTTACAGTTGTGTCTCCATCTGTGTATTTTTATCCTGGAAGAAGGACATGATAGGGGAGATGCTGCCACTGGATTTGGAATCCTGTGCATTTAGTTCTTTCCTGGTTTTTTGTCTGTTTATGGGTTGGTTGGCATATTGGTTTCTAGGGCTGCCACAGCAAAGTATCGCAGACTGGGCCATTTCTCCAAATACGGTCACATTCCAAGGTACCGGGGGTTAGACTTCAACATAGGAATTTTAGTCAGACATTACTCAGCTTATAACATTTGGTTTACCAGAAAAATCAGCACGCAATTTGGCAAAAGTCTGTGTGTTCTAAATCCAGAGGATCTAGGCTTAAAAGAAGCAAACAATAACAAAAATTAAGAAACAAACAAGATTATGATTCCCACCCACCCCGATGAGTGGGGAGCCCAGTCTAAACTGTGCAGTGGGTCGAGCTCACCCTCAATTCATGACCTCTTTCCCTTCCAGGACATCCTCAGGCCAGCGGCAGCTTTATTTACCATGGTATGTATAATGTGCTTATAGTCAACTTATAATTTAAAATTTTACTTTTAGCCAGGCACGGTAGCTCACACCTATAATCCCAGAACGTTGGGAGGCTGAGGCAGGCAGATGGCTTGAGCTCAGGAGTTTGAGACCAGCCTGGGCAACTGAAAATAAAAAAATTAATTGGGCATGGTGGTGCACACCTGTAGTCCTGGCTACCTGGGGGGCTGAGGTGGGATGATTGCTTGAGCCCAGGAGGTAGATGTTGCAGTGAGCCATGATCACACCACTGCACTTCAGCCTGGGCAAAAGAGTGAAACCCTGTCTCAAAAAATATAAATAAATAAATAAATAAATTTAATATCCTGAAAAGTGTCCTCTTATAATTTGTTAATTTATTAAAAATTTATTACTTTGACCCTCAAGCTAAGCAGATACAGTACTGAGAGAGTTCAAGTTCTCAAAAATTGTCTTCTTTGTTTCACAGTATTGCCAGTTCTACATTTAATCCAAAGTTTCACTTTTAAAAAAAACATTTAAACCAGATCAGAAACAAAATTTCTTCTTCATTTATTTTCATCTGACTTTTTTTAGAAACTAGTATTCATTAGACTGAAACTTGTCAGCAACCTCAAAGTCAACCAGAAAGTTATTTTTAGAAAAAAAATTATCTTCTAATGAATTTATAGCTTGATTTGATGGTTAACCAGATACTTTGTTTCTTTTCTTTCCTAGTCTCTCTTTTCTCCTTGTGTCACGGTGTTTGAAAAAGACCAAAGAGTATTCCCTCCCGCTTGGGTTTCTGTATCCTAAGGAGGCAGTATGTAGTGTAGAGACTGTTACCCTATAACATTATATTATATAATGTTATAAAGGCAGCTGCAGAGGTGTCTTGTTTGGGGATGTCACCACATTCATTTGCATTTCACACTGGATAACACAAGTGTGCAAGTGTGTTATTTGATCTTCTGGCCAAAGCTAATTTTTGTTTGTCAGGACAGATTTTTCACAAAGTTTCTGTGCATCAGGTCAGCTGACCAAGCTGGGGGTGGGGTGGGATGGGGGAGTGCTCAGTCGATGAGCTGGGCTGTGAGCTGGGCTGTGAGCTGCACTCTCACCTGCCAGCTGTGTTGTTAGCGGCAAGTTGCTCAATCTCACCGACATTCCATTTCCTCTGCTACAAAACGGGGATCATTTCTACCTGTCAGAGCACTTGGCACACAGCAAACACTTAACAATAACTTCACGTTGAATAAATATGGGAATGAAAAAGAGATAATGTATGCAAATACTTGGGCACCTTGCCTCTAGGATGCACCAGGTCTTCTTGCTGTGTCCTCACTTGGCAGAAAGAGGGAGGGACAGAGCTCTGAGGTCTCTTTCTTTTCTTTTCTTTCTTCCTTTTTTTTTTTCTGAAGCAAGGTCTTGTTCTGTCACCCAGGTAGGAGAGCAGTGGCATAATCACAGCTCACTGCAGCCTCGACCTCCTGGGCTCAAGCAATCCTCCTGCCTCATTTTATGATTTTGCTAAAGAGACAAGGTCTCATTATGTTGCCCAGGCTGGGCTTGAACTCCTGGGATCAAGTAATCCTTCCGCCTCGGCCTCCCAAAGTACTGGGATTACAGGAGTGAGCCACTGCACCTAGTGAGGTCTCTTTCATCAGGGCACAAATCCCATTGATGAGGGCTCCACCCTCATTACCTAATTACCTTCCCAGACCCCACCTCCTAATACCATTACACTGGGATTAGGATTTCAATATATGAGCTTTGAGACAACACAAACATTCAGTCCATAACAATAGATAAAAGATAAAGTAACTGCTATAAGAGCATAAGGTAGAAATTGGAGGAACTACAGTCCATTTCCTGTGGACAAACACTCCCCTATCCTTATCCTGATATGATAAGTCACACAGCTGTCATTCTTTCTTTTTATTTCATTTTGCACATAGGGCTGATGTGGAGTTGTGGAGCCGGACTCTTTGTCCTGCAGTTGTATTTGCATTTCCTCCCCCCATCAGTGAGCTGCCCCTCACCTGCCATGGCTGGAAGACAAAGTCTGAGTGGACAACACTCCACCCAAGATGGGCAGCGAGTGCCATCCCACGTGAATAGAAGGGCATTTCCTTCCCTTCTGGAGTTCCTTGAGTATGAGTTATATTGAGTATTATTCCACGCAGACTGGAGGCATTCAGACTCTGAGGCTGAATTAGACACAGTAGGAATGGTTTGAAAGGTTGAAAACAGAATGCAAAGTTCTTTTCTCTACCCAAGTGAACCATTCCTTGCAAGTCCCTGTATTTTCTCCTCTTCCCTTCTACCTCCTCTCCTTCTCCTTGGAGAAGTTCCCATGAGCCAAGCTACGTTAAGTCCTTTATGTGTAGTATCTAATTTAATCCTCAGGCCAGTCTTATGAACCCCAACCCCATGAAATCCAAACCCTCAATGCCCAGGAATAGTGCAACCCTAGTGATGCCCCACGATGATTCTGATAATCAGTCCCCTCCCTGCCCCTGCCAGCCACCAGCAGTGACTCTCCACTGCTCATTAAATGGCATGTCAACTCCTTGCCTCCATATCGAAGATTCTGCACAATCTGGCCTCCCACCTGTCACCTTTATTTTCTAATTTCACCTCAATCCTTTCCCATGGCTGGCCCACTTTTCAAAACTTCTTTCCCAGACATTACACTCCACACACACACACACACACACACACACACACATCCTTACACACATACACTGGTATCTGCATGCACTCAAACCTACATATACTCATATAACACCTCCCACATACATCCTTGCATGCCAACACTCCTGCATGCACACATACAAACACCCTTACACACAACACAGCCCTGCACACACACACTCTTACCCACACAGGTATTCTACATACACCTGTGTGTGTATATATATATCCCTGTATGCACACTCCATACACACAGCTCTGCACACGTACCTGTATTTGCACACAAAATACCATATACCTACACACATACAAATACCATCCCTACACCCCTAAACACACACTCTACATACACACACATACCTGTACAGATACACACAAACACACACACACAAATATGCCAATATTTGTTTGCGTAAGGATGAAAAATGGAAGAAACTAGGGCCAAATATTATCATTTAACAATCCCAGTGACTAAGGGAAATCTTTCTTTGTTAAATTGTTTGTTTCTTTTTCTTTTTTAAAGAGTTGTTTGGCAATAAATGTACACTGAAAGGAAAAAGATTGTTTGAGCTAAGGTAATTGGGAAGCATTTATGCAGAGGAGACATTTTAGGCTCCCTAAATAAGATGGTGTAAACCGATATTAAAAAAACAAAAAAGAGGCTGGGCACAGTGGCTCACATCTGTAATCCCAGCACTTTGGGAGGCCAAGGTGGGCAGATCACTTGAGGTCAGTAGTTTGAGACCAGCCTGGCGAAACCTTGTCTGTACTAAAAAAAAAATTAGCCAGGTGTGGTGGCGTGTGCCTGTAATCCCAGCTACTTGGGAGGCTGAGGCAGGAAAATCACTTGAACCTGGGAGGTGGAGGTTGCAGTGAGCCAAGATCTCAACACAGCGCTTCAGCCTGGGCAACAGAATGAGATTCCCTTTCAAAAAAAAAAAAAAAAGAAAGAGAAGAGGGAAGGGGAGGGGAGAGGGAGGGGAGGGAAGAGGAGGGGAGGGGAGGGGAGGGAAGAAAGCAGCCCAGCACAATGGCTCACACCTGTAATCCCAGCATTTCACAGGAGGATCACTTGAAGCCAGGAGTTTGAGACCAGTCTGGGCAACATAGGGAGACACTGTCTCTACAAAAAAACAAAACAGCAGCAAATTAAATTAAATTAAATTAAATTAAAAGTAAACAAAAACAGCTGGGTGTGGTAGTGCACACCTGTAGTCCCAGCTACTCAGGAGGCTAAGCCAGACGATCGCTTGAGCCCAGGAGTTGGAGGCTGCAGTGAGCTATGATTGCACCACTGCACTTCAGTCTGGGCAACAGAGCAAAGTCCTGTCTCTGAAAAAAAAGAAAAAAAAAAAAAGAGGAAGATAACAGATGTATGTGTTCTTCATTTTATTTTATTTTTTTTAAAGGATTCAGAAAACTGAATGCATGGAATTTGTTTTGCTTTATCACAATGTGAAAGTGTTGCCATTCCTTTTCATGTGAAGCTGCTCTTATTATTATTATTAGATTACTGATGAGTTTTTGCAATGTATCACTTTTGTATGGCTCAAGGCTAAAGAGGTTTTTCAATAGAGCGAGTGCTACCCCGACTTTGCCAAACAATGGTAAAATATATCAATTTAATCAAGAGACATCTTCCTCATATCATTTATTATCATCTACTTAAGAAGGGGTAATTACGAGAGTTTCTGAGAGTTCTGAGATAAGGCTTGACTGGATGCTGTGTATACTTTCTGAGTTATCATTGCATAGAATTAACTTCTCACTTCAAAAAGAATTATAGCAGACACCTTTATATTTGGACAAATATAACTTGTTATCCTCAAATCTATGTGTTTAATATTTGTGAAGAGAAAAGTACCATGCACAATAAAACCATTTCCGACGTGTCAAGTTTTATAGTGAGTCACGGGTCTGTCTACTCAGATAAATGCAACAGGACATCCTGTAGTCACTGTGCAGTTTTTCCAATGCTTCTAATTTTTTCTTTTGGCCCTGTATGAGATGCAAAGGCAACCACATTTTAGCCAAAGACTAAAACGTTATAATTATAGTTGCAATTTTGCACAAAAAGAAAGAATTTTAAACGCACTGTTGAAGGATACTATTTCTGATAAAATCCCCACAAACTAGATTTTTATTTTAGAGTACAAATCCTCTTTTTATTGATTTTTTGTTCATTTGTACTCTCCTCACCTCTCAGTCCCACTCTTTATTACTATTATTTTTGAGATAGAGTCTCACTCTGTCACCCAGAATGGAGTGCAGTGGCATGATCTTGGCTTATTGCAACCTCTGCCTCCTGGGTTCAAGCAATTCTCCTGCCTCAGCCTTCTGAGTAGCTGCAACTACAGGTGCGCACCACCACGCCTGGCTAATTTTTGTATTTTTAGTAGAGATGGGGTTTCACCATGTTGGCCAGGCTGGTCTCAAACTCCTAACCTCAGGTGATCTACCCGCCTTGGCTTCCCAAAGTGCTGGGATTACAGGAGTGAGCCACCGCATCTGGCCTCACACCCACTCTTGACATTGGTTTTGGCTATTACTTTTTGTTTTTAATGGGAAAATAGGTACTTCTCTAAAAAGCTAAAAGGTATATACTTTTGTTTTGGTAACATGCTATTTTACTCAGAGTTCTCATATCGATTTTGATATGATTTTCTGTTTCTTCCCAATAGAATGGTGAGAGAATCATCAGATAAATAGGCAACAGCTTACTGGGCTACCAGCCAAAATGGTAGAGGATTTGCAAGAATAGGACAAAAGTCAGCTAATATGTATAGAAAGAAGAAATAATTAACAAATTAATGAATTATTATTTTGGTTTTGCTTAAAGAATTAAATTTGTGGTTTCTTTAGCTAGTGATGATGATAGAGACTTAATAGTCTTAACAATTAGGTTTCACTTCACTTTCACAAGTGTTCTCAAATTTCTTAAGCATTTTATTTCATACCAGAAAGTTACATTCACCACTCTAATCCATAGGACAAAGGATGAATGCGTAATCAGTTCACTGTGATTAAACATTTGACTGTTGATATTAATATATTACACAAAGGCAATACATGAATTTGAGAATTATTTTTTCCTGACAATTACTGGCTGTGTGATATTTGGCAAGTTACTTCTCTGAGCTTTACTTCCTCATCTGCAACCTAGGAATTAACAATACCAATTACAAATCATTGTGTGAGAAGAAAATACAACAACATAGAGCAAGTATTGTGGTTGGCACGTAATGAGAAAAAGCAAGCATGTGGTAACTGGAGGATCATGAGCTCTGGGGTCAAAAAGGCATTGGTGGCTCACGCCTGTAAACCCAGCACTTTAGAAGGCCAAGGTGGCAGGACAGCTTGAGCCCAGGAGCTTGAGACCAGCCTGAGCAACATAGCAAGACCCTGCCTCTACAAAAATTAGCCATGCATGGTGGCACATGCATGTAGTCCTAGCTACTTAGGCACCTGAGCAGGAGGACTGCTTGAGCCAAGGAGTTGAAGGTTGCAGCAAACCAGTCATCATGCCACTGCACTCCAGCCTGTACAACAGGGCAAGATCCTGTGTCTCTTTCTTTTTTTTTTTTTTTTTTTTTTTTGAGACAGGGTCTCACTCTGTCACCCAGGCTGGAGTGCAGTGGCATGATCACAGCTCACTGCAGCCTCGCCCTCCCAGGCTCAAGTAGTTCTCCCACCTCAGCCTCCTGGGTAGCTGGACTGCAGGTGCACGCCAATATGCCTAGCTAATTTTTTGTATTTTTAGTAGAGACAGGGTTTCACCATGTTGCCAAGGCTGGGATCCTGTCACTTAAAAAAAAAAAAAAAATGCTGGCGTGGTGGCTCACGCCTCTAATCCCAGCACTTTGGGAGGCCGAGGCAGGTGGATCACGAGGTCAGGAGTTCGAGACCAGCCTGACCAATGTGCTGAAACCCTGTCTCTACTAAAATACAAAAATGAGCGAGGCATGGTGGCACACACCTGTAATCCCAGCTACTCGGGAGGCTGAGACAGGAGAATTGCTTGAATGCAGGAGGGGGAGGTTGCAGTGAGCCGAGATCTCACCATTGTACTCCAGCCTGGGTGACAGGGCGAGACTCCGTCTCAAAAAAAAAAAAAAAGGCTATATTCCATCCCAGAACAACAGATTTGCTAGTTTAATGATATCAGATGAGGATATTTTACATCTCTGCACCTCAGTTTCTTTATAGTGAGAAGAAACAAAAAATGAGCATGTGAAGCACCCAGTATCCACCTAGCTGTGGTGGCAGCTGCTGTGTTCCTTCTCCTGCACTTTCTTAGCTCTCTGATTCTCTAGCTATGACATTAAAGTGAAAAATGGCAACAAAACAACTATTTTTATTGGAAAGAAAAAAATAAGTTGTAGTATTATCATACAGAGATTATTTCAGTCTGTGAGAGGAACCACAGTATCCCCCCAAATAAATCATAGCTTCAAACAGATGAAGCTTATATTAAAAAGAGGTGACATCTAAGAGCTTTGTGTGGCAAATGCAGAATAATTATGTACAGAAAGGGTCTCTGATATTTGTAGCTTCCTTTTTTTCCTTTCCTTTCTTTCTTTCTTTCTTTTTCTTTTCTTTCTTTCTTTTTTTTTTTCTTCAGGGTCTTGCTCTGACACCCAGGCTAGAGTGCAGTGGTGTGACATCAGCTCACTGCAACCTCCACTTCCTGGACTCAAGTGATCCTCCCACCTCAGCCGCCCAAGTAGCTTGCACTACAGGCCTGTGCCACCACACCTGGCTAATTTTTCTATTTTTAGTAGACATGGGTTTTGCCATAGTGCCCAGGCTGGTCTTGAACTTCTGGGCTTAAGGGATCCTCCCACCTCGGCCTCCTGAGTACAAATACTGGGATTACAGACGTGAACCACACAGCCTGGCTGATATTTGTAGCTTTCACTTACTTCCATTTTATCACCAACCCTATAGCTAGTTATTAGCCATTCAACATTGTTTATGTTGGCTAGGCCACCGTTCGATTAGTACAATGCCAGGCATGCAAAATGTGTAAATTAATGAAAAAGCTGGAAACAATCCAATTTTCTGAAAACATGTAGTGTCTTGGAATTCTCTGCTTCTTGACAGAAGAGCTTTGCCAATTACTGCCTCGGACTTAAAACCTACTGCTCAGAAACTTAGTCTGAAGCCTCCAGCTATTTCCAATAGAGCCTTCTCAGGGGTCCCCATTTCTTATTCCTGTTTCCACACTTAAGTGACACATGTATCATCATACGTGGATGTATATGTGTATATCTATATATACATACATAGTACGGCCTCTTTAATTTATTTTAATACATTGTCCTAAAATTTGAATTTTTTCCCCTCAATCTGTGTTTAGCATAAGGTATTTGATTACTATAGCTTATTTGATTAGTTCTCAATCCTTTCCTGAACCCATCTCTCTGGGACACCTTTCTCTTAGGGTTGAAAACTGGGTACTGCCAAAGGGATAAGTTAAAATTGAAAAATACTCTCTTACAACAGTTTGCACTTTATCAGAAATGTGCCTTATTCAGCCATATATTTTAGCAGTATTCTAAGTTTTCAGGTTCAGATCACAAAATATTCTTCAAGGAACTTCAGAAGATTTCATATTAGTTTTCTAGTCCCTGTAAGATTTTCTTTTGTTTAGCATGGGTATCTAGTTGGAATGGCTCATAAAGGATGGTGGAGGTTTAAGTTTCTTCATCCTGGCAAGCTTCTTACCCCTTTTTTTGTATGCAGATGCCCCTCAAGTGTTTTTCCTTATTGAAAAGCAGCCTCCGAATTGGCCTAAGCAAAATTACTGCTTTACACTGCCCAGTTCATTGCTCCAGGGCATGGTGAATCATTTTCTTAGGTAAAATGCCCTGAACTGGCAACGAAAGTCCTCACACTCAGTGCTCCTCTAAGAAGTATAGCATTTGAGACCTGGAGGTTACTACAGATGCCATCCGGACCAACCCCACCTCTTAAAAATGAGCAAATCTGGGTTTCACAGATAATACATGGTGGAGCTAGGGCCAGCACTGACATCTTATAATTCCCATACAATATTCTTTTACTCAGAGAAAGGTTATTTTTGTGGCTAACTGACACCCTAGAGAACTTAGCCTTTAATCAATTTATAAAACCATAAAATTATTTTGTTTATAAAATTAATCTTTAATACATTGAAAAATGCATTCATCTAACAGACATTCACTGGACACCTTTGTGCCTGGCACCGAGCCAGGCACATGAATGTAAAGGTGGGCAAGGGTCTGTCCTCAACTTTAAAAGCTCAGGATCCTCTTGGATGTGCCTGTGAAACCCTGACTTGGGATGTGGCCATGTGCATGTGCATGTGAGATAAAGAGATGACAGATGAGGTGGCTCATCTTTGAACGATGGCACAGAGACTGTTGGGAAGCACCCTGGTTCTGGCTCAGGAGGCCTGAATTGAGGCGCAGCCCCTCACTCACCAGCTATGTGACCTTGAGCAAGTCTTATCATTTTATCCGTAAAATGAGGTACAGAGTAGCCACACTGGTATGGCTTTGAGGATTAAATGACATACATGTAATGCCCCTTGGATGATACCTATCACACAATAAATGTTAGTTACTTTCTCCCTTGTTGAAAAACTGGGTGGAAATCACATCCACCCTCTCGGCCTTGTAGATTTATCAAAATTATTGAAATTATACATTCTAAAATAATTTGTAAAATATTAGTCTCTTTTACCCCAATATTATTACAACCACCATCTTACTCCTTGTTTCTTTCCAGCCCAAGCATTCCAACCACTTAAACAAAATCCATCTGTGTGGCCCCAACTAGCCTTAAAGCCCACCAAGACCAGAAAAATAAGAGGTAGGAGTTTAAACCAAGTCAGAAGTTGTGTTTCTATGTTCCTGACCGTATCTCTATTGGTCCAGTCAATTTTTCATTTACTAAGCTCCAACACAGATTACATAGTAATTGAATTTCATCATCAGTCTACTTTTGTCAAGATTTTATTTTTGTTTTATTTCTCAGGGAGCTTATTCAAAGATTGGCCTATATTTATAATAAAAATACATTTAGCATTAAGTACAATACTTTTGTACTATGTTGAACCATGTACATTTGCCAATGTTCAATTATTTTTAACCTGTAAAAATGACAGTTGTGGTGCTTGCCCTGAGCCGAATGAGCTCAGTCCCTGAGGCATGTCATGGAAGCTCTTGGAATCTCAGGTTCTCGTGCCCAACCATAGAAGCTGGCACGAATGTGTTCCATTCCTGGAGCTTACAAGAAGAACACTGACCCCATTCCCTACATCATAAAAGGCCCTGCTCTGCGTAGGCCCTCCTGTCAGGAGAGAAGTCTGTGGATTTGTGTTCTTCTGGAGCTCATGAACCTTCCCAGGCCATGCTCTATGCACCACAAACCCCAAAGTCCCTGCCCATGTGTTCATGGGCAGACCAGGTATTTTGTAGATGAGATTAACATTTAATTCAGTAAATATTAAGCAAGGCAGATTACCCTGCATAACGTGCGTGGGTACAATCCAATCAGCTAAAGGTTTTAAGAGAAAAAGACTGAGGTTCTGTGAAGAAGAGGGAATTCCGTCAGTAGACTGCCTCTGAACTTGAGTTGCCACATCAACTCAGCCTTGGGTCTCCAGCGTGCTAGCTTGCCTGGTAGATTCCAGACTCACTACCCCCAAAATCACATGAGTCAATTCCTTAGAATAAATCTCTCTCTTCTGAATAGAGATATCTCCTATGGATTCTGTTTCTCTGGAGAGCCTTGACCAATAAAAAGGTACATTTAAGGCTGGGGGCAGTGGCTCATGCCTGTAATCCCAGCACTTTGGGAGGCCAAGGCAGGCAGATCACTTGAGCCCAGGAGATGCAGACTAGCCTGGGCAACATGGTGAAACCCAGTTTCTGCAAAAAATACAAAAATTAGCTGGGCCTAGTGATGTGTGACATGCACCTGTAGTCCCAGCTACTTGGGAGGCTGAGGTGGGAGAATCACTTAAGCCCAGGAGGTTGAGGCCGCAGTGAGCAGTGATTGCACCACTGTACTCCAGCCTGGGCAATGGGCGTGAGACTCCATCTCAAAAAAAAAAAAAAAAAAAAAGGGTACATTTGTCCAAGTAGAAGGATAGACCATATTTTATTTAATACTTTGTCACTTGAAGGCCAGGTGCGATGGCTCATGCCTGTACCCAGCATTTTGGGAGGCCGAGGCAGGTGGATAACCTGAGGTCAGGAGTTCAAGGTCAGCCTGGTCAACATGGTGAAACCCTGTCTCTACTAAAAATACAAAAATTAGCAGGACATGGTGGCAGGCGCCTGTAATCCCAGCTACTCGGGAGGCTGAGGCAGGAGAATCGGACCCAGGAGGTGGAGGTTGCAGTGAGCTGAGATCATGCAAGAGTGAAACTCCGTCTCACAAAACAAAACAAAACAAACAAACAACAACAACAAAACCTTTGCCACTTGATATACACAGATGAGACACATGGTACTTGGACCTCCATTTTTACTCTCAACAAATCGCCCCGCAAGTATTAGGGTTGAGCCTGAATATTTCCACAGTTCCCACTTTATGGAATACACAGGACGTATGTATGAGTGCTCTCAAGGTAGCTAACATCCCAGAAAGCTCCAGAAGAATCTGTACAATGGAAGGAGATGAGGAGAGGGAGTGTGGCAGCACAGCAGAAAGGCCATAGGCCTGGCCAGCTAAGCCCACAGTCAGATCTTGACTCGATCACTCACTAGCTGTGAGTAACCTGTGTGATCTCGGAAAACTTTCTTAACCCTTCTGTGACTCAGTTGCATTGAAAGTAAGACAGGGTTAATAGCATGTTCCTCAAAGATTACTGTGAGAATTATGTGTGTGTATAAAATGTACAGAAGTGACTTGCCCAGCCCGTGAGGCAGATTGAAGACTCAATCACCATTAGGTTTTTCACCACAAACCAAGCAAAATATTGCCTCTCTGGGTTCCGACACAGTAGGCGTTTCCCCTTACACCATACTAACCTTTCATTTAGCAAACTCGCTCTGAGTACCTTCTGCTTACGTGCACTGCACTTAATGCTTAGGGTAACAAACAATAATAAAAATGAAACCAAACAGACAGGCCCAGATCCTCATTCAGGAGTTCACCATCTGGTATTAAGAACTCTGTGTAGATAAATAACAATACTAGAATAAAGGTATAAACTGACAAGTGTCAACAAGAACTAGACATCACTTTCCATGGGATTTCTTTCTTTCTTTTTTTTTTTTTTGGAGTCAGAGTCTCGCTCTGTCACCCAGGCTGGAGTGCAGTGACATGATCTTGGCTCACTGCAACCTCCGCCTCCTGGGTTCAAGTGATTCTCCTGCCTCAGCCTCCTGAGTAGCCCTCCTGAGTGGCTGGGATTACAGGCATGCACCACCAAGCCCAACTAAATTTTGTATTTTTTGGTAGAGACGGAGTTTCACCATGTTGGCCAGACTGGTCTCGAACTCCTGACCTCAAGTGATCCACCTGCCTCAGCCTCCCAAAGTGGTGGGATTATAGGTGTGAGCCACAGCGCCTGGCCTTTTGTATTTTTTGTAGAGATGGAGTTTCACCATATTGCCCAGGCTGGTCTCCAATTCCTGAGCTCAAGGAATCCTCCTGCCTCTGCCTCCCGAAGTGCTGAGATTACAGGTGTAAGTCATTGTGCCTGACCTTTCTGTGGGATTTCAAGGAAGGAAGAGATATGCTGTGTCTGCTGAAGGCCTCCTTGGTGAGGTGGCATTTACACTGTCCTTGAAAGATGGGTAAGACCCAGCTGTGTGAGGATGGAGGTCAAGAAAGGCAGTGAGTGAAAACAAAGGCATAAAGGTGTCTGTCGTTGTGGCCGGAGCCACCCCAAAATACTCTCAATATCGTGTATACTCATAGTATTAGCCAACCTCCTACTCCTGCTTCCACCTCCTCCTCCACCTCATGCCATCACTTTTCTCCTTAGATTGGGAACACTGGGCCACTTGGCTACCTTCCCAGCACCTGTGTGAGCTAGATGTGGGTCATTTTATAGATGAGCAAACAGAGTCCTGTTGAGTAGTTTTTCCAGTAATCACAGGTACAGAAAGAACCTCTTCTGACATCCTTGGGTCATGTAAGCAAGCAATTCAGGTTCAAAATCATATGAGTTCAGTCAAAACTCTCCTGCTGGGTTGGAAGGTAAATGAATACAGCTCCCTTTCTGACTTTATGAGTGCAAGTTTTTCCACTTGTAACTTTGCATCCTGTCCACAATCTGATTTGAAGAATCCCTAACTAAGAACCAAATACCATATGTCATAGGACAGTTGTATTTTTTAGGATAGTGGTATTCTTGGAGCTTAAGAATAACTAATCGAGATAAACAGGACTTCCGTGGGACAGACACACATAAACCATTCAGATCAACGAAAGGACGTGCCCGGAGTCAGAGAAAACCGTAGCCTACCCTGGGATGAGCTTTACTTTGTAGAGTGTGGCTGAGATTTTACTGAGTCACCTGGAGCAATGCTCTGCATTTTCTGGACTTTTCTGGAGGTGGAAGTAAGGAATGGAAAGTGACTATAATGAAGCCATCAAGGTGTCCTTAGCACTGTTGCTGGGCACATGCTATCACTAGCTTATGGGTCTGGGAAAACCAGCCAATGAGGTTCATATTAAAGCATACCTACACCTCTTTACCCATAATTCAAGCTGTCTTACGGGGTATGAACATCCAGCATTTCTGAATTTAGTTTGGGGTGACGGTGAAGTAACAACCAGCTTGGTGGCTCTGAGAGGTCCTATTGATTTCTGTGAAATATCTCTTGTCTTACAGCAATGCTGGCCACATACAAGAAGTGGTAATAACTACATCATACTATGAGGCTTGAGCACTAGGAGGGATTCAGCCAATGCCACCTGCCAAGCCAAAAACTAGAAGCAGCATTTGAAGCTGCGTTTATTCAAAGGCAACATAGATAGACAGGCCGGGTGCAGTGGCGCATACCTGTAGTCCCAGCATTTTGGGAGGCCAAGACAGGTGGCTCATTTAAGGTCAGGAGTTAGAGACCAGCCTGGCCAACATGGTGAAACCCCATCTCTACTAAAAATACAAAAATTAGCTGTGTATGGTGGTGCATGCCTGTAATCCCAGCTACTCTGAGGCTGAGGCTGTAGAGTCACTTGAGCCTGAGAGGTGAGGTGAGGGTTACAGAGAACCAAGAGCACTCCCCACTGAGTAACAGAGTGAGACTCCATCTCAAAAACAAAAAAAACACACACAAAAAAACCCATAGACAGAAACTGAACATCCAAGATGGCCACCAAACCAGACGCATACATACATGAAAACAACATAACATCAAACAAGGCAGACAATGTTACCAGAACATAAAATCATTATTAGTATTACACAAACATCCTCATCTGGCTCCATCACCATCTGATGGCTGTTACCAAACTGTTTTTGTAGAATTGAATATGGGACCCCATCTTGTTCCTGGCACACAGGGGGTGATGAGTGAATGGAAACATAGTCTGGCTCACATGGCCAAGGAATAAATGGGAGGCAATGGCCTTGACTGGGCCCTGAAGGGTCCCCGATGGTTCATCATGAAAGGTTACTTTGGACAAGCTCCATCCCCACAGAGTGATGTAAAGCTCAATGAAGGAGGCTGGGTTTGCTGTCATACTGGGAAAGGAGTGCAGGCACCCACATTTGTCACTTCCATGCTCACGATTTAAACTATTTCACTGTCAGCCAGATGCAGTGGCTCACACTTGTAATCCCAACACTTTGGGAGGCCAAGGCGGGCAGATCACCTGAGGTCAGGAGTTCGAGACCAGCCTGGCCAACATTGTGAAACCCTGTCTCTACTAAAGATACAAAATTAGCCAAGAATGGTGGTGCGCACCTGTAATCCCAGCTACTCGGGAGGCTGAGGCAGGAGAATTGCTTGAACCTGGGAGGCAGAAGTTGCAGTGAGCTGAGATCATGCCATTGCACTCTAGCCTGGGCAAAAAGAGTGAAACTCCATCTCAAAAAATAATAATTGTAATCCCAGCACTTTGGGAGGCCAAGGCAGGCGGGTCACAAAGTCCGGAGTTAGAGACCATCTTGGCTAACACGGTGAAACCCTGTCTCTACTAAAAATACAAAAAAATTGCCTGGGCGTGGTGGCACACGCCTGTAATCCCAGGTACTTGGGAGGCTGAGGCAGGAGAATCCCTTGAACCCGGGAGGTGGAGGTTGCAGTGAGCCAAGAGGGTGCCATTGCACTCCAGCCCGGGTGACACAGTGAGACTCCATCTCAAAAAATAAATAAACACACACACACACAAAACTATTTTGCTGTGATGCCTATGCCAGTGGCCAAGGCAGCAGCACATCAGCGAGCACAGTTCCAGGAGATCTGCTGGTGCCAGGTGGCAGTGATGCATGACATTCCTGCCCACTCTCAGCTGTCTTACGGTGTATGAACATTCAGCTTTTCTGAATTTAGTTTAGGGTGATGATGAAACAACGGCTAGCTTGGTGGCTCTGAGAGGTCTCTATTCACATCAATAGCTGTGTCTTCTGCTTGACAGCTGGTCCCAGGTGCAGCTTTCAGCAAATCCATCACCTGGGTATATGATCTGGGACAAAAATACACTTAGCTCCTTCATGGAGATTGACAGTGACATCACTGTGCTACAAGGAGCTTTGTGAGACTGGGTTCAGCTCAAAAAGTTGCCAAACCTACTTGACCATAAATACTTTCTCCATGTCAGACCTGTTTTTTTTTTTTTTTTTTTTTGAGACGGAGGCTCACTCTATCACCCAGGCTGGAGTGCAGTGGTGCGATCTCTGCTCACTGCAAGCTCTGCCTCCCGGGTTCACGCCATTCTCCTGCCTCAGCCTCCCGAGTAGTTGGGACTACAGGTGCCCATCACCATGCCCGGCTAATTTTTTTTTATATTTTTAGTAGAGATGGGGTTTCACTGTGTTAGCCAGGATGGTCTCGATCTCCTGACCTCGTGATCTGCCCGCCTCGGCCTCCCAAAGTGCTGGGATTACAGGCGTGAGCCACTGTGCCTGGCCTGTAATACCGGTTAACATTGGATAAGTATTTAAGAAAAAATCTACCTTGTGGCAATTTATGTATAAATAATATTTCATATAGTTGTTAAAATTTTTTTGTAGCCTAAAATAATTCTTAGCAATTTTTGTTTTTCTTTATTAATTCCTTGTATCTATAATCACTTGTGCTAAAGTCACCCATTTTCCCCAGTAATACAGGTTTAATATTCTCAATCCTTACCACTTTACCCTCACACAGAGGCATATATCCATGCTACTTTTTTTTTTTTTTTTTTTTTTTGAGACCGAGTCTCACTCTGTTGTCCAGGCTGGAGTGCAGTGGCGTGATCTTGGCTCACTGCAACCTCCACCTCCTGGGTTCAAGCAATTCTCTTGCCTCAGCCTCCCGAGTAACTAGGACTACAGGTGTGAGCCACCACACCCAGCTAATTTTTGTATTTTTAGTAGAGACAGGGTTTCACCATGTTGGCCAGGCTGGTCTCAAACTCCTGATCTCAGGTGATCCACCCACGTCAGCCTCCCAAAGTGCTGGGATTATAGGTTTGAGCCACTGCCCCTGGCCACATGCTACTCTCTTAAAGACAGAGGACCTGGGGGCATGAGGGCTTGAGGAAGGTGGACGTTGTTCAGAGAGGTGAGCTCCAGGCTAGGGGAGGGCGGAGCACACTCCACCAGTGGTTCCCAAACTTGGCTGCTCATTGGAACCACCTGGCAAGGTTTTCAGTCTCTGATAATTGGGGTTCCCCTCACCATCCCCATCCCCCAAAGACTTTGATTTAACTGGTCTAGGTAGGGCCTGGGCATGGAGATATTTTAGCAGCTCAGGTGATTCTAATGTGCCCCCAGGGTTGAGCACCACTACTCTGTATTATTTGCTACTTGGTAGTTAGGTCTGTGGCCAAGTTGGCAAGAGTTAGGTGGAAGAATACTAGAAGAGGCAGCAGGGGCAGCCCACACAGTGGCAGTGGGATGGGTTGCAGCACAGATGATTTGGTGGACCAACATGAACAGGTGAGCAGCATGACCAATCCTGGCCTCAAGCACCATGACCACGCATGAGATGATGATGGCGGTGCTAATGAAGAAGTTCCTAGAGGTCAGATATTTCATTTTCCCACAGTGGATGATGGGATGCTCTTGTATGCTGCGTCCCATTATTTGTGGTAGTTATGTTCTATAGTCACTGTGAACACTGAATTAGCGAATACCGAGTCACTGCTTCTTAGGTTCCTGTGAGTCTCTGGACACAACATTTTCATTACATTATGATTAATACATAACCTTATATGGTGTGTGTTTCTGTTTAATGGACACCTTATTTAATATATGGCTGATTCATTACATTGAGTTCACAACCAATAGCACAGTAGCTCCTGCCTGCAGGACGGTTCTCCAGTGGGCACGCCACAGCCTCTGGTGCTTAGCAACAACAGACAGCACTTTAGCAAGCTCTACGCTTCGGGCCATTTATTTTTATTTTTATTTTTTTTAATTTTTTTATTGTGGGGGGGGTCTCACGATATTGCCTAGGATGGTCTTGAACTCCTGAGCTCGAGCAATCCTCCCACCTCGGCCTCCCAAAGTGCTGGGATTACAGGCATGAGCCACTGAGCTCAGTCGCTTGGGGGCCATTTTAAACAGCAAAATCACCAACAAAAAGCACAGAAGTGTGGAAAGCATAAACTAAATGGACAGCAAAAAGAATACAAGAAGGCAGAGCATCGCCTTGTTCCACTATAGCTGGGAGGGTGTGCGTGGGGCAACTCAAGATTTTTACTGCTCTGGGATGTGCATATCTATGAGTGACTGGGAAAACACCTCAAGTATTGATTTTGAGATTACAAATACATTTTAGCAAGTAGATAAGTTCACAAATATGATATCTGCAAAAATGAGGATACACTGTACATAACGTATTTACAATACCGCCTTCTCTTGCCCCGCCCATCGTATTCCTTCCTTTCTTCAAAGGCCCATCTATCCTGTCAAGGAGCCTTAATTGATTTGCACCCTGCCTCTGATCACTGCCTTCTGTGCTCAATTTAGAGAAAACTGGTGAGATAAATCAGTCATCAATCAATTAACCAATCAATCAATACTAATGAACTATTTTAAAGCACCCAACATAATTTCTGGGAGGTAGAGTGGGGAATAGATAAATATAAAAGGCAGTGCCTTCCCAAAAGGAGTTTACCAGTAGTTGAGGAGACAAGCCTAACATGGGCAAACAATGCTAAAAAGTACCTAGGTCTAGTTTAAAATAATGTTGCACACCATACATGCTACAGATGCTTTAAAAAGTTGCCTATCAATAGGAGCTTTAAATAAAACTTTCCTGAGAAATAGAACTTTCATGGGACATTAAGAAGGAAAGACAGATATGGAGAATGATTGAATGAAGTATTCAGCAAGTATAAATGCAGCCTAAGAAGTGGAAATTAGCATCGTATCGTTTTTTTCCAAATAAGAATGAAGAGATGAACTTAGTGAGGACAATTTTGTGAGGAGTTAGGGAGTTGGGGATCTGGTTGCAAGCTCAGGTAAGCCTGATGATGCTTTGTTCCTTACCCTGAGAGACATTTTACCAAAAACACTGACAGACATTCCTGATAGATTAACCAATACCAAACGTTTTTGAATCCTATTCTTATTTGCCACACACGTTTAGTCAGGATCTCAAGGATTCATCAGTAGCAGCAGAAACTTTAATGTAGGGTTAATATATTTGAGAGGTCATTCTTAAGAAAAGTCTAGGCAATAGGCCCTCAGGTAGTGAATTATTCTGTAGGATTCATTGTTTTTTGTTTCATTTTGTTTTGTTTTGTTCTTTTTTCATTTTTCTATTTTTCTCCATAGGATTCTTGATAGGTTTCAATCACACACCTTCCCATGGGTATTTCCATGGGCAACCCACCCCTTCTCTTCAGCAGTAAACTAACAACTACATACCAGTGAACATCACAGGTATAAACCACCTTTCTTCTTTTAAGGAATTAGTATGCAAACTTTAGTACTCTTTTCCTAGTAACAAATAACTGCTGTATCAGATTGTGTCACAAGGCAGCTGCTTTGACTTATTGCTCTGTAGCTGGGGTCAGCCTCTTCAGAACATTGTTAATGAGAGAAAGGAAGTGCTTTGGGCAGTGTCTGGCCCATCAGGCCCTCTGTAAATGTTTGCTATTAATGCAATGCTGAGATCCCAGTGAACAGAATCTGGCTTAGAAGAAGTGGGTATCCACGGTGCCCGAGCCTAATCTTACATCTTGGATTTGTAAGTGGCATTTATTGAGTTGAACATGAGCTTGAGCACGCGGTCACACATTCTTTCAGCAAACACTGGTTAGGCACCAGCTGCTACGTGCAAGCACTGCCCTACATGCTGGGACGCAGCTGTAGTAGGAATGAAATAACGCCAGCATTCCTGCATGCGGGCAGTGCGGGCCCTGTACAGAAAGGTACACGAGATAGGCATCCTCACATCCATTGTCCTGGGAGGAAACTGAGGCTTTGAGAAACGGAGAACTTGCCGGGCCATTTGACTCTACGTCATCCCCTCCCCCATCAATGCCCTGAACAGCCTCCTGTACACCCTTAAGGAACTTACTTTGTAATGATTATTAAGAACTCAGCGAGACCCCGAGCATCACCTCGGCATATCGCATCCTTTCTCTAGAGAACCCCTAATGTTGGAAGGGATCAGAGCGCACCTCCTCCGCTCCTGGGAGCACCCCCTTCCTAATAATACCTTGGGGATGGGTCGGAAGGAAAGGAAAGGAGACGCGAGAGGTGTAGTCGATGTGCCTGCGAAGCCCAGGCTCCTCTGGAGATCCTTCCGTCCGTCCCTACAGGAGAAGGCTGGCCCGGGCTGCTCCACTCCCCGGAGCTGCAGACTGAGTCGCCAGGTTTCTGTGCCTTCAAAGCCCTGCGCGACGGCCACACCAAACACCCAAACCTTGGGCAGGGACCAAACGGTCACTTCCCCGCCCTCCGGGCTCAATATGCAAATCCGAGCACCAGGAAGTAGCTGGGACCTCTCGGCCGAGCCCAGAGACAGCCAGTTCCTCTCCCGCCGCGCCGGGCCGCGCTGCCGCTCGCTCCCCGGCCGTGGCGCCTCCGGGCCAGACGCGCTGCAGCCTCCAGCCCGCGGCAAGCGGGGCGGCCGCGCCACCCCCGGCCCCGCGCCAGCAGCCCCTCGCCGCGCGTCCAGCGTTCCCGGCCAGCAGCCTCCCCATACGCAGGTCCTGCTGGGCCGCCCCGTCGCGCCCCCCACTCTGAACTCAAGTCACCGTGGAGCTCCGCCGCCCCGAAACTTTCACCGCGAGCGGGTGAGTCCTCTGCGCGAGCCCAGGGGTGGGCGCGGGCACGCGGGCAGTGGGTGCAGGGGCCGCGGCTGTGCCACCAGCCGGAGTCCCGGGCGCAGGGTAGACTCGGGGCCGGGGGCATCGGCGCGGCCCGCGGCGGCTTCCTGGCCGCACCGCCTCTGGGCTCCGGCGGCGAAGGCTCTTAGATGTCTTCAGCCGACGGGTGACCGGGCCCGGGGGAGCCAGGGCGCGGGGACTGAGGCTCCGCAGGTGTCCGCCGCGGAGCCGCGCAGGGGAGCGGTGGGAGGTGCGGGCGCGGGGGCGGGCTCACCGCGTGTCCTTCCCGGTGAGGGCCCGAGGGCCGGCTGCTGTCCCTGCTCCGGCCGCTTCTCGCACACAGTGGGGAAGCCGCTGCCCTTGCGGAGCGGGCGCGCGGCGGGGATACTGGAGAGGACTCCTCGGATTGTGCAATCTGATCTCCCCTCTGGACCCTGGGTCTCCTGGCAGTGGGAGATGGGGCTCGGCCGGCGCCCTCTCGAGGCCCGCGGACAGTTGCCCTCCCTGGTGGCCCCGGGCAGGAGCGTGACGTCGAGGGGCTGCAGCGGAGGCTGGAACTCACCCTCCCGCTGCGGCGCCTCTCGGCCTGCCGAGGAGCAGTCCGGTGCTTTTGCCGGCTGAGAGGAAGCGAGAGTTATTTTAAGAATTCAGGGGTTGCCTTTCCTTCGCCTTGGGGGAAGGGCGTAAGAGTCAGTTCCCACTTTCCTGCATTCTCTGGGCCCATGGTGGCATCTTTTGCTTGCGGTGCATTCGTAACTTTCCAACAGCCTGCCTGTCATGTGGATTAGCGGTTGTGTTTTTGTATATCCGAGTGTGTTAATTATCCCAAATTCGCCCTTCTTCGCCAGCTCAGAATCTAGGCCTTGCACTTTTCTGGCTGTATATTTAGGGGACCGATTATTGAAATTCCCTGTTTGAGTTTCTTCATCTTTGAGAGAGCATATATACCTCAGGGGCTGTTTAGTACACACAAAGCCCCTAGTACGTACCAAGCATTTCATAAACGATGTTACTGTTATTTATTGCAGTGAATTCTATTCATATAAATGAGGCTTCTTGGTTCTTTGCAGCTTGGTGATGTTGAAGCTAAGACTACCATGTCAGATTTAGCCATCTGACCTTATTAGTAAATCTGCTTAATAAATACATGAGGGATTTGCTGTCCCAAAGCAGGGCCCAGTAGTCTGACTTTCCCTAAAGAACTAGCCAATAAACTGGTGGGCTACAGGGATGTTTTCTCTGTACAGCCAACACCTAAAGCCATGCCCTGGGGAATAGGCACTGCAAGAACCCAGGCCTTACTAAGCCCTTCTCTGTAAGAGTAAGCTTTGTTGGGAAAGGGTGGGATCCAGTTAGTCCCTCCATTCTCATTTGGAGGTAAGCAGGTAAGCGCTTTGAGGCCTGAATAAATTTCACTGGATCATAGAGTCTTTGGTGACTGGGCCTCTTTGGATGTAAATGTGTGGCCCTTTTGCTGAGTGAAGGATAGAGGGCAGCAGATGTAAGGGGAGAGAAAGTAGGAGCCAGGAACCTTGAGTTTTGGCCTCTTCCATCATTTAATATGCTGTGATTTGGGATAAGCCACTTGGGCCATTTATTCAGCCAAGATTTCCTTTATAGCAGCAGCCAGAGTTATATTGATTTGTCTGCAGGTTGATAGTCTGTATTAACCATTACAGTGGAAGCTCCATGAAAACTGCTTCATCTGTCTTGTCCAAAATGATAGCCCCAGTGCCTGGTACATAGTAGGTGCTCAGTTCGAGATTACTTGGAAGAAGGAATGAAGGCCTCCTGTGAGCTTGCCCTATGCAAAACTGAGGACATAGGGAGATGAAGAAATAGAGCTGGTCCCTAAGGTGTTTGAAGCCTACTGGCCCTTTCTGTTGTGGTTTCTAAAACGGGGATTTGAGAGGCTTTGTTGACTGTAAAGTTACCCAGCACTGAGTTACCCACATTTAGTGTGGGTAACTAAATGAGAGTCTCCACTCAGCACCGCTCTTCTCTACTTATTACTGGAAGAGAGGTCCTGATGTGGGGTGGTTAAGATGTTTCCTGCAAAGGTAGTTGGCCCAATCCAGAAGACCTACATTATTTTAGAGTCATTGGTGTTACAAAGGTAGGTCGAAACTTTGTAATCCCGCCCCTGCCCTCCAATAGCTTTCTTTTAGCAGAAAAGTGGTCCAGCACTGTTCAATGACTTTGAAAGCCTTTTACTTCTATCTGCAATATTTGTTTTTAGATAAATCACCAAAAACATCTGAGATTCCAGTTGGTTCACATGACTATGTGGAGTTGTAACTTAACAAAATTAAATCATATTATTCATGTACAAACCCATACTAACTTTATAAATAAGGACACCATGTATACATGCCCACAGCAGGGAACATTGTTATAAGCTCACTCCTACTGATGATCTCAGTGATGCATGGATGAGTGTTAACATTGAAAGGCCACCACAATCATTAGTCAGGACATTGATCAATGTCACATTGATAGCAGAGATAGCCTCAGACCTTTACTGGCTCTTCCTAGTGATGATGGTGAAGGTGTTAGCACCTTTCATTTGTTCAGGGCTCTGAAGTCTTCCTGAACTCTAATTTCATTTGAACCTCTTGTGGCTCCTATAGGATGGAGAGGGACAGATACAGAAAAAGATTCAGGGGGTTGTCTAAGGTCACAGGCTTGGTTAAGCGGTACCATTAGGAGTAGTAGGTATGTTTTTTGGCTCTTTCTACTTGTCCACCTTTGGACTTGTAGTGTGTGCTCAATTACAAATGCCTCTCAACTTATGATGAGGCTGTGTCCCAATAAACCCAATCGTAAGTTGAAAATACTGAAAGTAGAAGATGCATTTAATACACTTAACCTACTAAACATTATAGATTAGCCTAACCTACCTTAAACATGGTCGAAACACTCACATTAGCCTACTGTTGGACAAAATCATCTGACACAAAGCCCATTTGATAATAAAGTGTTGAATAGCTCATGTAATTTATTGAATACTGTATTAAAAGTGAAAAATGAAATGGTTGTATGGGTACTTGAAGTACAGTTTTTATTGAATGCCTAATGCTTTTGCACCATCGTAAAGTTGAAAAATCATTAAGTTGCAGACCATCTGTGCTTAAAAGCAAATAAATAGGTCATTTAACAAACATTTTAAAAGTGAAATCATGAGTTAATTTTCTTTTATCACTTGGTAATTGTCTGAACTAAGTGGCTAACTGCTCAGGACATAGCAGATGCACCATCAAGCTGGGCACTTCAAGCTGTCTTCTAGAAATGAATTTCTGTGCTTTTTAGCACTGCTTTTTGCTTGGGGGTGGGAAAGGGTGGTCTCCAGTAACTGCTAAGATGACACCTATACTGGCTGCTGTCCGAGCAGCCCTAGTGACTGTCTTGGGGGCAATCAGTTGCTTAATGGTTAATACAGAAGTACCTGAGTAATACTTTGCAAAAGGACTTTCCCCGACCTGTGCTGGGAGTGTCTCCCTGTAAACTTTGCCAACCTCCTGGTTGTTTTATCAGTGAGAGCATCATTTAAGTGAAAATATAAATTAAGGAGACAGGGCTCATAGGACGCACATTAAAACACCTGATCATTTTGAGCACCTGCTGTGTGCAAGGCACTGTTCTAGGCCAACAGTATAGATATACATTGCCTCCCATCTTTTAAGGCTGATAATGAAGAGAAGAACATGGAAGAGGAAGTTGTTGGGTTTTTTTTTTCCAGTCAGAAATACTGAAAGATTTCTTACAGCTGTCTGGTTTCCTGATACTTAAATTGTGAAACTTTAAGTTCACTCCATTATCATTTCTAAAATTTATTTTGAATAAGTTCCCTTTCGGGGGAGATACCCATGTGTAGAGAATGGTATGGAAATCTGCCAATGGAGGGATTAGAAATTTTGTCAGTTTAAAGACTTGGACCTTTTGAGATTTTTGTTGTTGTTGTTTTGTTTGTTCTTCTTTTCTGAGATGAAGGCTCACTCTGTCGCCCAGCCTGGAGTGCAGTGGTGCAATCTCAGCTCACGGCAATCTCCGCCTCCTGGGTTCAAGCAATCCTCCCTGCCTCAGCCTTCTGAGTAGTTGGGATTACTTACAAGCATGTGCCACCACACCCAGCTAATTTTTGTATTTCCTGTAGAAATGGGGTTTCATCATGTTGGCCAGGCTGGTCTTGAACTCCTGACCCCAAGTGATCTGCCCGTCTCGTCCTCACAAAATGCTGGGATTACAGGTGTGAGCCACTGCGCCTGGCCTTTCTGGGGTATATTTGGCTTAAGTTAGTTGGAAGGGCTCTCTTTATTTTTTATTCTGCCTCCCACTGAAGAGACAGAGTTCGCTCTTGTCACCCAGGCTGGAGTGCTTTGGCGTGATCCCAGTTCACTGCACCTCCATCTCCTGGATTCAAGTGATTCTCCTGCCTCAGCCTCCCTAGTAGCTGTGATTACAGGCGCCCGCCACCATGCCTGGCTAATTTTTGTATTTTTAGTAGAGATGGGTTTCACCATGTTGGCCAGGGTGGTCTTGAACTCCTGACCTTAGGTGAGCCCGCCTCGGCCTCCCAAAATGCTGGGATTACAGGTGTGAGCCACCGTGCCTGGCCCTGTCTTGTAATTTAGAAGAGCAAGTTTAAATACTTGGGATGATGTATTAAAAAGCCTCATCCATGCTGACAAGAGCAGGGCCTGTAGTAGCCTTTGTTGTTTATCCCCTTCATCCTGTTCTGTACTTCATTTTCTCTCATTACTGAATTAGCTGGCAGCATTCCTTATTTGCCACAGAGCTATTTCTTAAAAGCTGTACTTACACTCAGGATACAGTTTTCCTTGGTATAGAACTCTTCCATGGCATTGCTCTTTCACTGAGCTTTATTAACCCTCAGGCTTCCAGTACCCCTTCTTCTGCTCTCCCCACTTCATTCCCTATCATCTTACAAAGGCTTCTTCAACCAGGAATTGGCATGAGCTGACCGTGTATGGGAAGAGATTGTCAGTTAACCTCATTATTGTAAATGCTCAGTGTTCAGAATGCTGCTACTTAAATGACATCCTATAGAACTGCATGAATCGGGATACATTTAAATAATCCAGTTAAGTGGCTGTTTCTTGATGGTTGAGGCTCTGCTTTTGGGTTGTAGAACACTGGGAAGAAGTCTTCACAGCTCAGATAGTTTTTTAGTTGGTCTCATTTCCTTTCTACAGTCCATGCTTCAGGCAAAGTTACATATTGCCTGCCTGCCCACACCTTTCTGTGAGCATCTGAAATCTTGCTCACTCCTCTTTATTGACACCAGACCATACTGGTTGGAAGCTTCTTTCCAGTCCCCGCTTTCCTCCCTCCATTGGTAAAACATCTGGTGGGGAGGTCTTCGTGTGGTCTTTGGGCCTACCCTTGGGCGCTGGTACAGTGAGACTGGAGAGATGGGTGTGTATTCATTCTGCCTCCCACTGAAGCAATGACGTCTTCTTGGTGTTTGGGTCTCTGGGTGCCCCCACTCTTCCTGTAAATGTTAACCCCCACGGAGGTGAGGGGAATGGAGAAGCTTATCTCAGAGAGGCTCTCTGGAGAGGGAGGACCACTTCTGCTTTCCAGGGGGAAGCTGTGTCACGGAGAGCAGAACTGTAGCCCGATGCTGGAGAGAAAAGGCCCCAGAGGAGGCAGGCAAGGAAGTGATACTTCCTCCACCCCAGGCCCCTGGGTCATTTGCCTGCAGCCCCACCTTCCTTACCACCCAATGCTGCGTTTTCCTCGGGGTTCTTTCTACCCTCTGCTGCCCTCTGCATTTTCGGTTTGCCCTTAAGTGAGGGGTGGGGCGGGGTGGGAGAGAGGAGCAGTCTAGAGTCTTAAGGGCAGAGCCTGCTTTGCGAAGCCCACCCTGGCCATGCCTGACTTTTTCAGCAACGGAAAAATGTACATTTTGAAATTCCCCGTCATGGAAAGTGTTATGAAACTCTTGGGTAGACGTTTCGAAATCTTTTAATGTTCAGGCTACATAATAATTTTTAAATACTAACTATAATAATTCAGGACTATTTTAAAAATTGTTAAATTCCTTGTTAAATTCTTGGGATAGAACAGTGGCTGTCAAACATCTTTTTTTTTTTTTTTTTGAGATGGAGTCTCGCTCTGTCGCCCAGGCTGTAGTACAATGGTGCAATCTCCACTCACTGCAACCCCTCCTCCCAGGTTCAAGCGATTCTGCTGCCTCAGCCTCCCGAGTAGCTGGGATTACAGGCATGCACCAATGCACCACCATGCCCGGCTAATTTTTGTATTTTTAGTAGAGACAGGGTTTCATCATGTTGGCCAGCCTGGTCTCGAACACCTGACCTCAGGTGATCTGCCTGCCTCGGCCTCCCAAAGTGCTGGGATTACAGGCATGAGCCACGCGCCCAGCCTGTCAAACTTATTTGACCACAACCCATAGCAAGAAACATTTTACCTTGTGCTCAAATACACATATCTGTAGGCAAAACAAAATAGAAAAAGGAAAATACAATCTGGTGGAACAGCCCCTCCCCTTAACTTGCAGGGGAATGTGGCCTGGAGCAGCTTTTCTGAGGTAGGATTGGCCAGCTCCATCAGAGTTTGTTTGTTCTGATGCATAATAGATATACATAGTTTCAGGGCACATGTGATAATTTAATACATCATATAATTTGTAAAGATTAAATCAGTATTTGCGATAGCCATCACCTTAAATATTTGTTTTCTTTTTAAATGCTGAATCTTTTGAATTCTTCTAGCTGTTTTGAAATGCACAATAGTTAATGGTGAACTCTAGTCACCCTACCAGGTCTTATTTCTTCTATCAAACAGTATATTTGTATCCATTAATCAACATATTTTCATCCCCCCTTCCAACGTACAGAGATGGGCAGTCCAATAGGGAGGTTTATTAAACAAACACAAATTAAGTCACATTCATATAATGGGATACTTTGTAAATATCTTAAAAGATAAAACATTCAATTACAGTTACTAATATGAAAAATTTTTTTTCAAAAGCTGAACACGGCCAGGCGGCCAGGCGCAGTGGCCCTTGCCTGTAATCCCAGCACTCTGGGAGCATGAGGCAGGAGGATTGCTTGAGCTCAGGAGCTCGAAATCAGCCTGTGCAATTTGTCTCAAACAAACAAACAATAGCAAAAGAGCTGAACACAAACTAGTAGATGACATGATACCATTTCTGAAATAAAATATTCATATATGGACACATCATCTATAAACTGCATTTCAAACAATTTTTATACTAAGATCTTAATAGTGATTATTTCTGGGTGACAGTTGAGTGCTGTTTTTACTTCTGTACGTCTTTATATTTAAAAGAATGAGCATCCCATATATACATAAATATATATATAAATCCCACATATAAATATATACATAAATCCCATATAAAAATATAAATATATATATATATATATACACACACACACACACACACACACACACATATATATATATTTTTTTTTTCCTGAGACAGAGTCTTGCTCTGTCACCCAGGCTGGACTGTGATGGTGTGATCTCGGCTCACTGCAACCTCCACCTCCCGGGTTCAAGTGATTCCTGTGCTTCAGCCTCCTGAGTAGCTGGAATTACAGGCACACACCACCATGCCCAGCTACTTTTTGTATTTTTAGTACAGACAGGGCTTTGCTGTGTTGGCCAGGCTGGTCTCGAACTTCTGGCCTCAAGTTATCCGGCTGCCTCAGCCTCCCGAAATCCGGGGATTACAGGCATAAGTCATTGCGCCTGGCTCCTTATATGATTTTAAAACGGCAGGATATAAGGAGCAATGGAATGAAGCCAGTGGGACTGCAGAAGGCAGGTGGAAGCAGACAGGGAACTTTGGAGCTAGAGTGACTTGAAGGACGCTTGATGGATATAATTGTAAGAGTCCTGTCTCAGGAGAGCTGATGCGCTGTAAATGTTGTAAATAGAACATTTTCTTAAAGAACCTTCCACTGCTATGTTTAGTATTCAGTTTAGCAAACTTTTCCTGGGTAGCTACTGGGAGTCCCGCACAGTGTTAGGAGTTGGGGTACACACCTGCCATGTTGGTGGAAATCCTGAAGGGAGTGGGCCACACACCCTGGAAGAAGGGGCTTTCCTGAGGAAGGACAGCCTGACTATGCAGGGGTCATTCCACATTACCAGAGCTTGTTCCAGAGAGGCAGTGGGAGGCTCCACAGGCAGGCTTGGAGGGTGCTTGGCCCTAATACTAAATGTTGGACTTCATGGCATTAACGAAGGGGAATCACTGGAGCCTTTTAGTATGAAGCTAATCTTTTTGTCCATCACAGGCAACTTCTTGCCTACACTCTTTTACAATATGGCATTTATGACATAGCCAAGAGCGAAGACACGTTGAACACTGACTTAATGCTTTGAGTAGGTGGAGAGTTGAATGACTCAAGGCTACTTCTCTAGAGATTAATTTGAAGCTAGAAAGTAACATTTATTTCTGTTTTCTGTGACAGCAATAGGCTTCAGCTTGTAATCGTCATCTGCAAGTAGGTACTTGACACCTCCCCTAAGTGACCTGGAGAGTGACAGATACAGTAATGGGCACAATCCTTGGTTTTTTGTTTTGTTTTGTTTTTGAGACAGAGTCTCACTCTGTCATCCAGGCTGGAGTGCAGTGGTACGATCTCACTCACCAGGGATTTGGCCACCACGCCTGGCCGAATCCCTGGTTTTAAGCAAAATTTTAATATGGAGTTTATGGTTGTTGGTATAATGAAATGCGGCACCATAGCAGTTGATTTTTGTCTTTCAGAACCACACTGGCTTTTTGTATTATTTCAAATTTGATAGATGCCCAATGTATGTAACAAAAATTTTCCCTCACGTGTATTTCTTTCTTTATTTATTTGTATGTTTTGAGATGGGGTCTCACTCTGTCGCCCAGGCTGAAGTGCAGTGGTGCTATCTCGGCTCACTGCAACCTCCACCTCCCAGGCCCAAGCCATCCTCTCACCTCAGTACTGGGTAGCTAGGATTACAGGCCCCGCCACCAGGCCTGCGTAATTTTTTTGTTTTTTGGGAGGCCAAGGCAGGAGGATAATTTGAGCTCAGGAGTTTGAGACCAGGCTGTAACCCCAGGCAGGAGTACAGTGGTGCAGTCATAGCTCACTGCACCCTTGACCTCCTGGGCTCAAGCCATCTTCCCACTTCAGCCTCCAAGTAGCTGGGACTACAGGTGTGTGCCACTATGCCTGGCTTATTTTTTGTAGAGATGGGGTTTGGCCATGTTGGCCAGCCTGGTGTCAAACTCCTAAGCTCAAGGGATCCACCTGCCTCAGCCTCCCAAAGTGCTGTGCTGGGATTACAGGCGTGAGCCACCACACCCAGCCCAAGTATATTTATCGAGTGCTGTATGTCATGATAGTGGGTGGTTTGGGGGAATACCAACATAAATAAGTGGGAGGTTTCTATCCTAGAGGAGTTTATTGTGCTCTGTTCTCTCTGGATTGTTCACAAACCAGAATGCCGATCAAAGACTTTGCTAGGGTTGTGGGTGGGCGACTTGCTCAGGAGATCCCTGGCACCCAAATGAGTGCCCAGAAATCACTCTGAATGGTCAAAAGTAAGGCAGGGCAGGGCGGTAGAGCACAGGGTGTCGAATTAATTTCATGTGGGGGCTGAAATCCCAGGTCTGTCCCTTCCTAACTGTGGGCTGCTGCTGGCAAGGTGCTGGCCTTGCTAGCCTCAGAGTCCTCATGTTTAAACCTCAGCAGTTTGTTGTGAGTGTTCTAGGTTACAGTGGATTCCAAACTAGCCACAAGTGAAGCACATGGCTAAATGGTAGTCATTGGTATTGTTATCAAAAGCAAGTTGCTTAGCTGGGTGAAGTGGCTCATGCCTATAATCCCAGCACTTTGGGAGCCTGAGACAGGTGGATTGCTTGAAGCCAGGAGTTCAAGGCCAGCCTGGGCAATAAAGTGAGAACCTGCCTCTATAGACAAAAAAAAAAAAAAAAAAAAAGAATAAATAAAAACAAATAAAAATTACTCAGAGTGCAGTGATGTAATCCTATAGTCTCAACTACTCAGGAGACTGAGGCAGGAGGATTGCTTGAGCCCAGGAGATTGAGGCTGCAGTGAGCAATGATTACACCACCACACTCCATCCTGGGTGACAGAGCGACAGCCTGTCTGTAAAATAATAATAACAATAATAAAAAGAAAGTTGCTTAGGATGGCTACTATAAAAAATGAGAAATCATGATGAAATCATGTCATGTTAAAAAAGAACACAACAACAAAAATCAGAAAATAATAAGTGGTGCCAAGGATGTGGAGAAATTGGAATCCTGTGCTTTGTTGGTGGGAGTGTAAAATGCTACAGCTATGATGGAAAATCATATGGTAGTTCCTCAAAAAATTAGACATAGAATTGCCATATGATGCAGCAATGCTGCTTCTGGGTATATACCCCAAATAACTGAATGTGGGGTCTCAGAGATGTTTGTACACTTGTGTTCATAGTAGCATTATTCACAATAGCCAAGAATTAGAAGTAACTCATGTTCATCAATGGATGAAATAAAATGTGGTTTATATGTACATTGGAATTTTTTTTTTTTTTTTTTGAAACAGGGTTTTACTCTGTCACCCGGGCTAGAGTGTGGTGGCACCATTACAGCTCACTATAGACTTGACTTCCTGGGCTCAGGTGATCCTCCCACCTCAGCCTCTTGAGTAGCTGAGACTACAGGTGCATGCCACCATGCCTGGCTAGTTTTTTGTATTTTTTGTAGAGATAAGGTTTTGCCATGTTGTCCAGGCTAATCTTGAACTCCTGGGCTCAAGCAATCTACCTGCTGTGGCCTCCCAAAGTGCTGGGATTGCAGGCATGAACCACCGTGCCCAGCCATACAATGGAATGTTATTCAGCCTTTAAAAAAAGGAAATGCTGGCTGGGTGCGGTGGCTCATGCCTGTAATCCCAGCACTTTGGGAGGCCAAGGTGGGCGGATCACCTGAGGTCGGCAGTTTGACACCAGCCTGACCAACATGGAGAAACCCCATCTCTACTAAAAATACAAAATTAGTCGAACATGGTGGTGCATGCCTGTAATCCTGGCTACTTGGGAGGCTGAGGCAGAAGAATCACTTGAACCCGGGAGGCAGAGGTTGCAGTGAGTCGAGATCCCGCGACTGCACTCCAGCCAGGGCAACAAGAGCGAAACTCCGGCTCAAAAAAAAAAAAAAGGAAATGCTGACACATGATACAACAAGGACAAAACTTGAGGACATCATGCTAAGTGAAATAAGCCAGACACAAAAAGACAAATACTGTATGAGTCCACTAATGTGAGGTTCCTCAAATAGTCAAATTCATAGAGACAGAAAATAGAATGGTGTCTTCCAGGGGCTTGATGGGGGAGGGAATGGGAAGTTACTGCTTAATGGGTACAGAGTTTCAGTTTTGCAAGATGAAAAGAGTTCTGGAGATGGATGGTGTGATGGTTATACAAGAATATGAATGTACTTAATGCCACTGAGTTATATACTTAAAATAGTTACGATACAAGTTTTATATTGTGTTTATTTTACCACAACTTTAAAGAATGAAAAAAAAGTTGCTTGATGAGCAGATACGTGTACAAATAGACAGAGGTGTCCTTGAGGATATTTCATTAAGTTTGATAAATTGCCCTTCTTCTGGCTGGGTATTTACCTACCAAGCAGACGGGTGTTCACTTTTTTGGCAGAGAGAGGACAGGATCTTTACTCTTCGTCATTTAATACATGGCCACGTGGATTGCTGGCTGACAGTATATTGAAATGGCTGTGATGTGGGAGAGGGAATGATAATGGAGAAATTTACAAAGGCAGAGATTGTGGATTACAAAGTAAGGAGAAACTTCTAACCATCAAAGCTGCCTGCATGGGTCCTGGAGAAGGGTCCTTCTCCATCATTAAATGTTTGTCAGCAAAGGCTAAGAGATTCTTACAAGACCTTTTAGAAAAGGTTGCATTAAGGCCAGGGCGCAGTGGCGCACACCTGTAATCCCAGCATTTTAGAAGGCCGAGGCAGATGGATCACGAGGTCAGGAGTTCAAGACCAGCCTGGTCAACAAAGTGAAACCCCATCTCTTCTAAAAATCCAAAAATAGCCAGGTGTGGTGGCACACACCTGTAGTCCCAGCTACTTGGGAGGCTGAGGCAGGAGAATCACTTGAACCTAGGAGGTGGAGTTTGCATTGAGCTGAGACCACGCCGTTGGACTCCTGCCTGGGCGACAGAGCAAGACTCCATCTCAAAAAAATAAATACATAAAAAAGTTGCATTAGATGGCTGTAAAAGGTGCTTCCTGATTTGATGATACAGTTATATTAATATTTCTAGCCATGCACTCATTAACTCCAAATTACATAATAAGAAAGTATCTTTCTTTTTTTTGAGGCAGGGTCTTGCTCTGTCACCCAAGATGGAGTGCAGTGATACCATCATAGTTCATTGCAGCCTTGAACTCCTGGGCTCAAATGATCCTCCCATCTCGAGATCCCAAAGTCCTGGGATTACGAGCATGAGCCATTGTGCCTTGCCAAAGAAAGAATATTTCTGACACAGTTCTTTCTAACAGGATTCGAGGGAATTTTTTAAAAAGTTTTCCCAATGCAGGAGTGTGTGTGTATGTGTGTGTATGTGTGTTTAAAATTTAAGTATAACACTTACATAGAAAAGTGCAGAAAACAGAAGAATCTAGCTGAATGCAAAGCCTTGTGTAACCACCCCCATGATCAAAAAGCAGAATGATGTTGACCCTCCCCCAAGCAGTACTCCCCTGAAAGGCATCTGCCATTCTACTTCTAGTTTTTGTTTAGTTTCCAGTGTAGGCTTCTAAACAATAAAGTGTAGGGAATTGAAAAGCAGTACAAAGCCATTTGGTTTGGCAAATAAACAGATTTTCAAGCTGTGGGTTTGGCTACCACCGGCATCTCTCTGTGTGTGGAATTTACTTGCAATTCAACTGGAGAGCAAGACCTCGTCCTGTTTTACCCTGGCGATTCAGTTGCTAAAATTCTCACACATGAGTTTGATCTGAGCCTTATTTAAATACCTTTTTATTCATCCATTAATTAGTAAAATTAGCTGGCATAAGCTATATATAGCTGGTTTTTCTGCACAGCCAAGTCAATTTATAAATGCAAATATGTGGGTGTGATAAGGGTGGTTTCCACTGACCCACATGTAATCAAACATCCTGTTATATGACACAGTGCCAGTCTGTGCATAGGCATTTGAAAGTACTAACTGGGTTTGTGAATTCAGTGATGCTGTTCTTCAATAAAATAAAGACTCATTTTTCTGATGTTAAGGAACACAGCACCTTTGTTACTGACTGTTATTTCAACTTCTGTTTCATGTAGTTTTGATATTTATTTTTGTTGGGGGTGACAGAGAGAGGCATAATTGACCTGTGGCATTTGTTAATCCATGAAGTCATGCTTCACTTATGCATCATTCAGAAAACACTTCTTGGATACTCACTACTCATGAATATGCATGCATATGACTTGCAGTCAAAGCCATGAGTTCTCAATAGCAAAACTGTTCCAGATATACTCAGAGAGTTAAAATGTTTAAAAAACTTTTTTTTAAAGAAAATTTTCCTTTTATTTTTGTTGTTTTGTTTTGTTTTTTTTTAGAAGCAAGATCTCACTATGTTGCCCAGGCTAGAGTGCACTGGCCATTCACAGGCACGATTATCACTCACACACTATGGTCCTGAGATCCTGGGCTGAAGTGATCCTCCTGCCTCAGCTTCTCGAGTAGCTGGGACTAGAGGCATGTGCCACTGCACCTGGCTTAGAGTATAAATTTTTGTGTCACACAAGATATGAAGAACATGCACAGGCACTGGACCCATCTGTGGGTTCATCTTTCTGTGGGACCCACTAAGGGACCCATCTTTCTGTGAAAAAGTCACAAGTGAAGTCCTGGCCATGCAAGGAATAACCATACCCCAAGAGATCATGCTGAGCCTGTAGTTTGCCTGTCTGCATCCCCCAACCCCCCCAGCTTATTTTTATTTTATTTTTTACTTTTTATTATTTTAGACAGGGTCTTGTTCTGTTGCTGAGGCTGGAGTGCAGTGGCATGGTCATGGCTCCTGCAGCCTCCACCTCCTGGGCTTAAGTGATCCTCCCTCCTCAGCCTCCTGAGTAGCTGGGACTAGAGGTGCATGCCACTGTGCCAGATTAACTTTCTTAATTTTTTTTTTTTTGAGACAGTGGTCACTCTGTCACCCAAACTTAAGTGCAGTGGCTCAATCTTGGCTCACTGCAGCCTCAACCTCCTGGGCTCCAGGGATCCTCCCACCTTAGCCTCCCAAGTAGCTGAGACTACAGGCATGTGCCACTACACCTGGCTAATTTTTTTTTTTTTTTTGACGGAGTCTTGTTCTGTTGCCCAGGCTGGAGTTCATTGGCGCTATCTTGGCTCACTGCAACCTCTGCCTCGTGGGTTCAAGCTATTCTCCTTCTTCAGCCTCCTGTGTAGCTATTATTACAGGCACCTGCCACCATACCCAGCTAATTTTTTTGTATTTTTAGTAGAGACGGGGTTTTGCCGTGTTGGCCAGGCTGGTCTCAAACTCCTGATCTCAGGTGATCCACCCGCCTCAGCCTCCCAAAGTTCTGGGATTACAGGCGTGAGCCACCATGCCTGGCCTGCCTGGCTAATTTTTGTATTTTTTGTAGAGATGGGGTTTTGCCATGTTGCCCAGGCTGGTTTCAATCTCCTGTGCTCAAGTGATCCATCCATGTGCTTCAGCCTCCCAAAGTGCTGGGATTACAGGTGTGAGCCACAGTGCCAAGCCTAAAATTTTTTGTATAGTTGGGGATCTCACTATGTTGCCCAGGCTGGTCTTGAACTCCTGGTCTCAAGCGATCTTCCCACCTGCTTCAGCCTCCCAAAGTGCTGGGATTACAGACGTGAACCACTGCAGCCAGCCCCAAAACCTCCAGTTTATTTCCTCCAGCCACAGTTCCTGATGCTTGGCATCTCTGCGTTTTAACTGCTTGTCTCTGTTAGCAACTGCTGGATGCTACAGAGGATTTGAACAAAGAGTGAATCCTGAGAATGGAGGGAATATTGGACTAAGGAGACTGACCAGAGCAGAACAGTTTCCAAGTGAAGAAGTGAGTCCCTTAGTTGGAAATAAAGTAGGAAGAGATGGGGAAATAACTTGGCTGGATTCCTTACTAATCTTGGTGAATAATATAGGTATGGATTAGTAACACTGTAGTAGCTAATGAAAAATATTCCAGGTTGTGAACTTTGGGGTGTCTGAGGAGCAGCATGATGTCGTAGTCATAAACTGAGAGTCATGAATTGGTTTCTGGGCTGGGTGTGGTGGCTCACACCTGTAGTCACAGCACTTGGGGAGGCCAAGGCAGGAGGATCACTTGAGGCCAGGAATTCAAGACCAGGCTGGGCATCATAGTGAGACCTCATCTCTACAATTTTTTTTTTAAAGGAATTGGCTTCTAGTCAATGCTTTGTCAAATACCAGTCTTGGGACATTAGATGAAGCTCCTTCATCTAATGTTTTTCTAATACATAAAACAGTAATAACAGATTTTTGTTTGGTATCTCATCCAGTTGTTGCAAGGATTAAACGGGGTAATGTACCTGGGAGTTCCTTGAAGAGTCTAATTTTCTACCCAGTTTTGGCTGTTGTTTTGGATTAAACTGTACTACCCCGAGCCTTTTCTTGATTTTGGAGGATCCCTACCCACTCCCTACTCATGGTACCCCTGGCCTGTTCTGGTAGATTCACTCATGCATCATCACCAGTCCTGTGGGGAAGTGGAAATTTGGTGTACATACCAGGTGCACTTTCATTCTTCTCAAAATGTTATGACAAATAGCAAAGAGAACACCTTTTCTTTTATCATTAGCTCATCCTTAAGCATCTCGTTAGGGGTAAAGCAATTAAAAAAAAAAAACAAGTTTTAGCTAGACGTGGTGGCATGCCCCTGTCATCCTAGCTGCTCTGGAGGCTGAAGTGAGTGGGTCCCTTGAGTCCAGGAGTTGGAGGCTGCAGTGAGCTATGATTATGCCACTGCACTCCAGCCTGGGTAGCAGAGCAAGACTCTCATCTCTGAAAAAAAAAGAAAAGAAAAAGAAACAACAACATCAAACAAAGAAACAAAAGCAAGTTTATAAATAAAGAAACAGAATAGCAGGGACATGGATGCAGCTGGAAACCATCATTCTCAGCAAACTAACATAAGAACAGAAAACCAAACACGGCATGTTCTTACTCATAAGTGGGAGCTGAACAATGAGAACACATGGACACAGGGAGGGGAACATCACACACCGGGGCCTGTCGGGGGGTGGGGGGCCTAAGGGAGAGATGGCATTAGGAGAAATACCTAATGTAGATGACGGGATGGTGGGTACAGCAAACCACCATGGCTCATGTATACCTATGTAACAAACCTGCATGTTCGGCACATGTATCTTAGAAATTAGAGTATAATAAAAAAATTTTAAAAAAAAGAAACATAGAATAAAAACCATACCTAATTTAGTAAGAGAGGCATTCCCCCCAAGCTCCTCACGTTTATTTATTTATTTATTTAGAGACAGAGCCTCGCTCTGTTAACCAGGTTGGAGTGCAGTGGCGTGATCTCGGCTCCCCGCAACCTCTGCCTTCCGGGTTCAAGCAATTCTCCCTACCTCAGCCTCCTGAGTTGCTGGGACTACAGGTGCCCGCCATCACCCCCAGCTAATTTTTGTATTTTTAGTAGAGACGGGGTTTTGCCATGTTGGCCAGGTTAATCTCAAACTCCTGACCTTAGGTGATCCGCCTGCCTTGGCCTCCCAAAGTGCTGGAATTACAGGCATGAGCCACTGCACCCGGCCTAAACTTCATTTAAATGATGAGGAAATAACTGCAATGGAATGAGCTGGTTGGAGAACGATGTTACTCACCCGAACGCTGGCTTTATGCAGTTTCAACATCCACAGGTATCTTCTGATTGATCGCATTACAGTCTTGACCTAATTTCTCCTGATAAGGAGCTGAAAATCAAGCAACAGTACATTAGAACTTTGATTCATGTGACGCCTATCATGCCATATAAATGAAAATTCAGAGTTTAGATTAAGAACAGTAAAGCTTTCTCTGTTGTACCTTAAAAGGTACTTCCCTCCTCCTCATAATAATAAGCTACATGCTTCTGGAAGTTTTACCAAGACTTGAGATCAGGAGGGAGCATTCTGACGCTGAGCACACCTCTGACTTTGCACATGGTGGTTTCGAGGGGTTGACAGCAGAAGATCTCCAGAGTCTAGTAACAGTTCTGTCTTACTGTTCAAATTTGCCTTTTCTACCTCAATTTCTCCTCCATTTTAACAGAAAACCTACTACTACTACTTCATATGTATCTAAAATATTTCAAAATCTTTAGTAATGGGATATAAGCACTCTTAGCCATCAGAATAACTTTTAAGGTCAGGTGCAGTTGCTCACACCTGTAATGCTAGCACTTTGGGAGGCCGAGGCAGGAAGATCACTTGAGCGCAGAAGTTTGAGACCATCCTAGGCAACATAGTGAGACCTCATCTCTATAGGAAATTAAAAAAATTAGCCAAGAGTGGTGGCATGGGCCTGTATTCCCAGCTACTCAGGAGGCTGAGTTGGGAGGATTGCTTGAGCCTGAGAGGTGGAGGCTGCAGTGAGTCGAGATCGCGCCACTGTACTCCAGCCTGCGTGACAGTGAGGCCCTGTCTCACAAACAACAACAACAACAACAAAAACTTTTAAAGATTAGTAAGCAATTTTTTTCTTTGGAAAAAATTAAAATGAAAATAGACGATTTTAAGAAAACTTTTTATGTTTTTTAAATCAACTTTAAAATTTTGCTATATAGCTCTATGAATTTTAATACATGTGCAGATTCACTGAATTATTTTCATAATGAGAATACAGAAAAGTTCTGTGACACCCTCCCCCCAAAAAAAAACTTTCTTGTGCCACCCCCAGCCCAATGCCTGGCAACTGCTGACCTGTTGTCTGTCCCCATTGTTTTGTGTTTTCTGTAATGTCATATAAATAGATTCATACTGTATGTGATCGTTTTATTGTCTTTTATAATAACAGCTTTATTTTTACTTTTAATTTTGTTTTGAGACAGAGTCTCCCTCTGTCACCCAGGCTGGAGTGCAGTGGCACACTCTTGGCTCACTGCAACCTCCGCCTTCCGTGTTCAAGCAATCCTCCCATCTCAGCCTCCCAAGTAGCTGAGACCACAGGCACGTGCAACCATGCCTGGCTAATTTTTGTATTTTTGGTAGAGACAAAGTCTCACCATGTTGCCCAGGCTGGTCTTGAACTCCTGGACTCAAGTGATTCACCTGCCTTGGCCTCCCATAGTGTTGAGATTACAGGTGTGAGCCACCCACACCCAGCTGAATAATAGTTTTATTGAGATATAATTCACATATTGTATAATTCACTCAAAGTATACAATTCAGTGATTTTTAGTATGTTCACAGAGTTGTGCAATCATCACCACAATCAATTTTAGAACATTTTTATTACACAAAAAGAAATTCTGTATCCTTTAGCCCTCACTACTCTCTTCCCCTTGTCCTAGGCAGTCACTAATCTATTTCTAGCTCTATAATAAATTTTAGGAAACTGGTTTTAATGATTTCCTTTTTTTAAATAGACAGTTTCTTGCTCTGATGCCTGGAGTGCAGTGGCACAATCACGATCACTGTAGCCTCTGATCTTCTGGGCTCACGCAATCCTCCTGCCTCAGCCTCCTGTGTAGCTGGGACCACAGGTGTACACCACTGTGCTGGGCTAATTTTTTTTATTTTTTGTAAGGATGAGGTCTCCATATATTGCCCAAAGTGTTGGGATTACAGGCATGAGACACTGTACCCAGCTAAGTTTCTTTCTTAGTTGGAAGAGTTTTACAATGATGCCAGCACAGTTACTACCTGTTTTACTTTTGTATCAGGCAATAATTACCTTTCACAGAAAATATAGTAAGAATAGCAATCCTTTATTAAATATTTGTCCTCTGTTAGGTAGTCAATTCCTTAAAAGGTGTAATATTGATATTCTTGTTATTGATAAGGAAACAGATGCTTGGGGATAATAAATATTATGCTCACTTAACTACTAAGTAAATGGAACCCAAGTCAGCCGGACCCCTAAACTGATGTGTTTGTTTTATTTAACTTTGAAAGGTTATTTTTTAAAAAATCACAGTTGTAATATGTGGAACATAATGTCCTTGACTTTAGTTTATCAAGCAGACTTTATACATTAACATAAATGTAAACGCAGGAATAAGACCACTTCTGGGAAATGTATAATAAATATAATGCAGAGAACATTTATTGAGTGCACACGGTATGTCATTCGTTCTTCTAAACACTCGTCAAGATTGTATTCAACCAATCCTTATAACAAGTGTGTGAAGTTGGTACAGTTATCATCCCTTTTCTTTTCTTTTCTTTTTTCTTTTCTTTTTTGAGATGGGGTCTTACACAGTTACCCAGGCTGGAGTGCAATGGCACGATCTCAGTTCACTGCAACCTCTGCCTCCTGGGTTCAAGTGATTCTCCTGTCTCAGCTTCCCAAGTAGCTGGGATTGCAGGCACACGCCACCATGCCCAGATAATTTTTTGTATTTTAGTAGAGATGGGGTTTCACCGTGTTGCCTAGGCTGGTCTGAGCTCAGGCAATCCACCCGCCTCGGCCTCCCAAAGTGCTAGGATTACAGGCATGAGCCACCGTGCCCAGCCTTATCATCCCTTTTCTGCAGATAAGTAAAGATGAATTACCTTGCCAATGTCATGTCACTGTACGAGGTGGAGCTGAACTTGGGCCTAGGATGTTTAGCTCAAGCTTAACTACTGCTCCAGGAATCTAATGCGCTGCCACTCGAACTTCAGGAAGACAAGAGCTCAGACACTGAAAACCAGTCAGCAAGGCCAAAACAAGAGAGCCCCCAGTTCTGCCAACTTGGTGCAATTTTTACTATAACCATAGCTGGGAAAAATGAAGAAGAAAAAAATTCACTGGAGTTGCAATGAATATTTAAACATTGCGTCAAGTTTAAAGCATGATGAGTGTCAAGCCAGTTGAGTTTTCTGCATTAACTTCAGCTGACAACTCAGTTTATATCTATTATAAATGTCACTATTTGTTGGGGGAAAAATAATCTTCCTCTTTTTTATTTTTAATTTTTTTTAGGGATAGGATTTCATTGTGTTGCCCAGGCTGAAGTACAGTGATGTGATCATTGCTCTCTGCAGCCTTGAACTCCTTGGCTCAAGTGGTCCTCCTGCCTCAGCTTCCTGAGTAGCTGAGACTTCAGAGTCACATCACCATGCCCAGCTAATTTTTTTTTTTTTTTTTTTTTGGTGGAGATAGGACCTTACTATGGTGCCCAGGCTAGTCTCAAACTCGTGGCCTCAAATGGTCCTCCAGTCTTGGCCTCCCAAAGTATTGGGATTATAAGTGTGAGCCATTGTGCCCAGTTTAATTTTCTTCTTTTGCCAAAGCAAAGCTAATAATTTTTTTATAGCTAAGATTTAATTATGTTTGGATTAAACCTTCTCTTCAGTATGTATCTCATACTTTTCTTTTGCTAAATACTTATCTAGCTTGCATTTTTTTCCACATTAAGGAGAATAGCTCTTGGAAATCTTATATTCTCCTAACTCTTTATCTTAAAATGCTGCCACAAAATCTTAGACATTGAAAAGTTATTAAGGTTCTAGTTGAGAGTTTACTAACAACAAAAAGAAGGATAATTGGCAAAGAAGACGTGGATTGAGTGAGCCACATAGCCCCTTTCCTGTTCTGGTTTCTTGGTGGCATTTGCAGCAGTGCCTCTATGATGCCTGAGCAAAACTGGTTTATTGGGAAGTGATGTAAACCATACTGCCAGTGCTTTTGCTCAGCACTTGGGCACTTCGTGGCCGTGTGTCTCATATGATGTTCATAATGCTTTTTTTTCCCTCTCCTTCCCCCCGTAATACTTTATGAATAGATGTTTCCACTTCTGAATAGTTCTCCGATTAGAATAGCAGTTACAAAATGGGTAAGACTTCACCTCGTCCTTTAAAACAGGAAAATTGATAGAATTCCTCCACCTCCTTTCATTACTGAGGCTGTCAGATGATTCTTTAAGCAAAACCCCAGTGTTCTCTTGTCTGATGAAGTCAGTGTAAGTGATGGTATTTTTACATTGACTTTAATATGAAAGGAACTGTTTAATTGAACGGTTTCATCTCAAGGCCAGGCTTTAGACTCCTTCTTGGGCTCATGCATGGGATCCTTCTTTTGCACACCTGTGGCCTCCCTGGAACTACTTCTGGTGGTTTCCCTGGACTTAGTATCCCCCAAACCTGGCAGCCCAGGGCCTAGTGACAGGCAGAGGAATGTATTGCTCTTGCTCTGTGGGGTCAGGTAGGGCCGGGGGAGGTCCTGCATGAATATTTTCAGTGCTGATTCAGAAAGAGCATTGGGCATACACTTCAGGAAACCCTACCTGGAAGCTACAGCAGCACTGCTCTATCCTAGACTGACCACTTCAGATATTTCCAACGCGGAGCTGGATGTGGCTAGGAACCGGCTCCCAGCTGAATAGCTTGTGCTGAGTCATTATCAAGTTGCATTTCCTGGCTCAACCAAAGATAAGCAGGGAAGAACCTAAATGAAAAATGACTTTCAGACTGTGATTTGGGTTAGTATACCACCTCAGGGCAGCAATGGAGTCATGACTGCACAGACACGGGAAAGGATCTGGTTGCAGAAACCAAGTGAGTCAGTGATGATGTATCATCATTCTAAAAAACGTACCTGTACTTTCTTTTTTTTTTGAGACGAGTTTCACTCTTATTGCCCAGACTGGACTGCAATGGTGCGATCTTGGCTTACCACAACCTCTGTCTCCTGGGTTCAAGCAATTCTCCCACCTCAGCCTCCCGAGTAGCTGGGATTGCAGGCATGTGCCACCACTGCTTGGCTAATTTTGTATTTTTAGTAGAGACAGGGTTTCTACATGTTGGTCAGGCTGGTCTCGAACTCCCAACCTCAGGTGATCTGCCCATTTTTGCCTCCCAAAGTGCTGGGATGATAGGCGTGAGCCATTGCGCCTGGCCGTAACAGTGTACTTTCTTTCTTTCTTTTTTTTTTTTTTGAGATGGAATTTCGCTCTGTAGCCCAGATTGGAGTGCAGTGGCGTGAATTCAGCTCACTGCAACTTCCGCCTCCCAGGTTCAAGCAATTCTCCTGCCTCAGCCTCCTGAGTAGCTGGAATTACAGGTGCGCTCCACAACGCCCAGCTAATTTTTTTTTTCTAGAAGTTGAATTGTACAAAGTACACTTATATTTTGACACCTGATCCAAAACACAGTCATGTACCACATTACAATGTTTCAATCAATATATAGCATACAAAAAAAAAACAACAACAACAGTAGTCCTATGAGATAAGAGCTGAAAATTCCTTATTACTTAAATGTTATTTTGAAAGTCAACATTTTTCTTCTACATATTTTACTCATAAGCATGGCAAAATGTTACAGGTCTCATTGTCACCACTGCAATATGCATACTGTGATGGAAGCATAACCTATCTCAATTTAGCCACATTAACTATTTTTGGACACCTTGATCAACAGTGCCCATTCTCATCTAGCATGAGGCTTTTTTTTTTTGGAGACGGAGTCTCTCTTTGTTGCCCAGGCTGGAGTGCAGCGGCGCAATCTCCACTCACTGCAACCTCCGCCTCTTGGGTTCCAGCGATTCTCCTGCCTCAGCCTCCCGAGTAGCTGGGACTACAGGTGTGTGCCACCACACCCAGCTAATTTTGTATTTTTTAGTACAGACAGGGTTTCACCATATCGGCCAGGCTGGTCTCGAACTCCTGACTTCGCGATCCGCCCACTTCAGCCTCCCACAGTGCTGGGATTACATGCGTGAGCCACTGCGCCCGGCCTACGCCCAGCTAATTTTTATATATTTGGTAGAGACGGGATTTCACCATGTTGGCCAGGCTGGTCTCGAACTCCTCACCTCAAGTGATTCGCCCACCTCAGCCTCCCAAAGTGCTGGGATTACAGGCGTGAGCCACCGTGCTGGGCCTTGTACTTTCTTGAATGGGAAGTTGTCTTCATGGTGAGCAGCTCTTCTTTGAGGTGTTTATTTGAAGTATTCAAAAGAACAGAGAGATTCCAGTAGGGAACAATGAAAATATTAAGGCTTCTATATCATGCCCTGTGAGGGAAAGTAGACAAAGATGAAATAAACTTCAACAAGAGACTAAAAAACTACTTGAGTGTTTTTGATTACCAACTTTTCATGAGCTGAATAGTTTGAAAATTTGCTGCTTTTCTAAGTTTTCCCTTTAAGATCAGGGATAAATCATTTCCTGGAAGGATATTTTTCACTGTAAGCTCTTTCTGTTTCTATGTTGATAATCTAATCTGAATAATTAAGTTTTATTGAGACCTTCCTTTTGAAAGTAACTTGTTACCTATGTATGATTAACCTGGCTATTATTCTAAATGTAGAATTTAAAGTGTTTTATCCATGGTAGCTCACACCTGTAATCCCAGCACTATGGGAGGCCAAGGTAGGAGGATTACTTGAGCCCAGGAGTTTGACACCAGCCTGGGCAACATAGAGAGACCCTATCTTTACAGAAAATAAAAAGAAATTAGTCAGGCATGGTGGCATGGCCCTGTAGTCCCAGCTAGCTACTTGGGAGGCTGAGATGGGAGGATCCGCTTGAGCCTCGGAGGTTGCAGCTGCACTGGGCTGTGATTGTGCCATTACAACAGAGTAAGACAGAGTCTCAAAAAAAAAGTGTTTTATCATTTATGTAGAGCTTGGAGTTTCAAACATAAAGTAGAATTACTTTATCACTTGTAAAAAATGTGTTCTCTGAAAGTTGATAAACAATGAGGTAGAATGACTCCTGAAATTAAAAAAAATAATAGCAGGACTTTAATAGATAAATCTGAAATAAGTACGATGAACAATTTTTTAAATAAAATATACCCTGAAGCTAATACTTTGTAAATACCAACATTTTCTTTATGGCTATAGTGTAACCAAATTCAGGAGTAAGTAACTCAATTATTTGGCTGTCGGGTTGATGGAATGAAAATAAATTTCTTAGAATATGATATGAAATATGATATGAAATTCAACTTTACTAAACTTTACTGAACACCAGCAAATGTATTTACAATCCTGGGTTCTATTTGTCAATCACAGACCACCCTTTTTTCTGAGCATTTTTTCTGTTCTGAGTTCACATATGGGGTTAGGTTGGCAGTGGATAAATTCCAGTCCCCACCCTTTAATAGGGCATGGAATTATGATGCCACACAAAATAATTTCTGTATGTGTTACCCTGCAGATCATGCACCTATAAAAGATAAAGAAATGGCCAGGTGCGGTGGCTCATGCCTGTAATCCCAGCTACTCGGGAGGCTGAGGCAGGAGAATTGCTTGAGCCCGGGAGGTGGAGTTTGCAGTGAGCCGAGATTGCACCACTGCTCTCCAGCCTTGTAACAGAGCGAGACTCCATCTCAAAAAAGAAAAAAAAGAAGATAAACATAAAAGGTTTCCATTGCTATGATTTCAATTCTAGGGTGGAGCTCAGGGTTTGGCAAGGTTCCCTACATTATTAGACTGCGCATTTTACCCTTTTTCAAAAGCAGGTAAGGTTGTAGTGTAGAGTGTGGCTAGTGATTCTCAACCCTGGCTGCTCATTAGAATCAATGGGGAGCATTTAAACCTCCCCATGCCCAAGCTGTTCCCTAACCAATGAAATGGGAATGGTGGGGGCCTAAGCATCAGTATTTTTTAGAGTTCCCCAGGTGATTCTGCTTGTGTACCAAGGATGAGAATCATTTTACTAGATTCAGCTATGTGGGAATCTTTCGGCTATTTTAGAAAACATGGTGACCTGGCTGGGTGTGGTGGCTCGTGCCTGTCATCCCAGCACTTTGGGAGGCTGAGGCAGGCGGATCACCTGAGGTCAGGAGTTCAAGGCCAGCCTGGCCAACATGGTGAAACCACATCTCTACTAAAAATACAAAAAATTAGCCAGGCGTGGTGGCAGGCACCTGTGATTCCAGCTACTCCGGAGGCTGAGCAGGAGAATTACTTCAACCCGGGAGGTGGAGATTGCAGTGAGCCGATAGTGCCATTGCACTCCAGCCTGGGCAACAAGAGTGAAACTCCGTCTCAAAAAAAAAGAAAGAAAGAAAGAAAGAAAGAAAGACAAAAGAAAACATGGTGGTCAGTGAATTAAGGTGGCCCAGTTAATATCCAGTCAGTTCCCACCTGAATGTCAGATGTCCTGGAGTGCTGAGATGTGTCCAGAATTGCTAGCTACCCAGCTAGAAAAGCTACCGCAAGGTCATCTCGGGAAAAGGGAACCACAAATGTCCCAGTTAAGAGGATGGATAGTTTCCCAGGGTTGGAGTCCTTTCTTTTCCTAGTCACCCCCAAACACTTAAGAGGCCTATGGGATGGGCAGGGGAGCAGGGAGAGCCTCACTCCTCTCCCATCTGTTGGGAGAGCCTCACTCACCAAAACAGCGTTGCCTTGTCTGTGTCATATGCATCATGTGAGTGCATGAAGTCCCTTGCTCCAGGGACTTCCCATTAGGCCTGGAGTGTCTCCCATGCAAAGAGCCCGCTCCTCTGTTCCTGGGACACACCTCTGGCAGTCCCAGAGGTTGCCCATTCATCTTGACTTCTGGAAAGAAGCCTATAGTGAGAAAGGAGCATGTAGTCAGAAACCACCAAGTGCAGCATAGTTCTACATAACTCACAGCATTCAGTAGTTTTGTGTTGTTGCTTTTCTTTCTTTTTCCATACAGTAGTTCATCTGATATGTGCAGTTACGCAGCACCTGTTAAGTCAGAGGGCTGGGATGGTGAGGTCGCCCTGTAAACTCTGGGCAAATTACTCCATTTCTGAGCCATCTTTTGCCATCTGTTAGAATTTCTGATCAGGATTTAATCGGGGTTGGTTGTGAAAGAGTATATGAACATGCTTTGATAAAGAAGAAAATAAGTGGGCCAGGCACAGTGGCTCATGCCTGTAATACCAGTACTTTGGGAGGCTGAGGTGGGAGGATTGCTTGAGGCCAAGAATTCGTTTTTTTTGTTTTGTTTTGTTTTGTTTTGTTTTGTTTTTGACAGAGTTTCAATCTGTCGCCCAGACTGGAGTGAAATCACACCCAGCAATGGCGTGATTTCGGTTCACTGCAACTTCCACCTCCTGGCTTCAAGTGATTCACCTTCAGCCTCCCAAGTAGCTGGGATTACATGTGCCCACCACCACGCCCAGCTAATTTTTGTATTTTTAGTAGAGACAGAGTTTCACCATGTTGCCCAGGCTAGTCTTGAACTCCTCACCTCAGGTAATCCACCTGTCTCAGCCTCCCAAAGTACTGGGATTACAGGCGTGAGCCATCACGCCTGGCCGAGGTCAAGAATTTGAGATCAGCTTGGGCAACGTAGCAAGACCCAGTCTCTACCAAAAAAAAGAAAAAGAAAAAAAAAAGAGAGAGAGAGGAGAGAGAGAGAGAAATAAATGAAATGTATCCCAGTTGAACAACAGTTGAGCTGAGGTGTAAGCCTCCAGATGAAGGAAGAAGGAGCAGCCCTCCTGTAAGCTGAGAGCCCTGTCCTTAATAACCCTGTCCTATTGAGAATGATTTTTCCTCTTCCTGGATCATGAATGCTTGCTCAGTGAGCCATTGCCATCCCTTGCAAAACAGACTGACCAAATGCTGGCAAGGATCAGGGAGACGAGTATAAACAGGTATAGCCACTTGCAGGAAACCCTTTGGTCATTTCTTAGAAAATCTACATACATCTACCTCATGACCAAGGAATTCCACTTCTAGATATTAATCCAAGAGAAAGAAAAACATAGGTCCACAAAAAGACATGTCCAGTTCTATATATGGCAGCTTTATTCATAATATTATGCAACCCTGGAAATATCTCAGATGTTCATTATCAGAAGAGTGGTTCAAAACATTTTGATATATTCATAAAATGGGGTATTACTCAACCAAAAAAATGAGACACTGATATATTCAACACTGATTGAATCTCAAAAACTTTTTTTTCACCTATAACGTATTCTATGATAAACATTATTTTCAATAAAATAAGTCAAACAGATAAGAATATGCACTTCATTTCTGTGAAGTTCAGGAACAGGGTCATGAGAGGGGATGCCTTAGAAAGGAGCACCATGGGCCTGTGAGGTGTCAAGGAAGCTCTGTGTCTGGTTTTGGAAGGTGGTTACGTGGGCACATACATCTACCAGAACTGATGTCAGCACAGTTAGGATCTTTACCTTTCATTGTAGGTGCTTTTTTTTTGGTGGAAAATCAAACTTAGTTGGGCATAGTGGCTCACGCCTGTAATCCCAGGACTTTGAGAGACCCACGTGGAAGGATTGCTTGAGCCCAGGAGTTCAAGACCAGCCTAGGCAACATAGGGAGACCCTGTTTCTACAAAAATAAAAAAATTAACAGGACGTGGTGGTGCACGCCTGTGGTCCCAGCTACTAGGGAGGCTGAGGTGGGAGGATTGCTTGGGCCTGGGAGGTCGAGGCTGCAGTGAGCTGTAATAGGGCCACTGCACTCCAGCCTGGGTGACAGAGTGAGACCCTGTTTCACATAAATAAGTAAGTAGTTTAAATAAATAAATAAATACAAATTTTTAAAAATGTATATCTAAATAAGAGACAGGGCTTAATTACTATTGCAAACATTTTATTACCTTAGCAGATTGTAAGGGTTGAAACCAAAACTTCAAGTTTTACTTGTTTAGAAACTCCAACAGTTCTAATGAATAAAGAGGATTATAAAATCCTGGGAAGGATTAGCATATGCTGCTTGAGGTCACACTGCTCGTTAGCCATACCATGGATGATTTGCAGGCAACCCGTTTTTTCCTCCTAAGCTTGAAAGCTAAAAATAGAATTAAAGGTGATAAGGGCATCAATTCCCAGACAGCTAAGCTGTTTAAACCATTTATTTATTTATTTATTTATTTATTTATTTATTTATTTGAGACAGAGTCTCACTGTGTCACCCAGGCTGGAGTGCAGTGGTGCAATCTCGACTCACTGCAACCTCTGCCTCCCAGGTTCGAGTGATTCTCCTGCTGTGGCCTCCCAAGTAGCTGGGATTACAGGCACCCCCCACCGCGACCTGCTAATTTTTGTATTTTTCGTAGAGACAGGGTTTCACCATGTTGACCAGGCTGGTCTCGAACTCCTAATCTCAGGTGATCCGCCCACCTCAGCCTCCCAAAGTGTTGGGATTCCAGGCCTGAGCCACCGTGCCAAGGCTGTTTAAACCTTTTATAATTGCACATTCCTTTTTAGATATAATTTTCTTTCTTTTTTACTTATACAATATTAAGAGGTGCAAGTGCAGTTTTGTTACACGGATATATTGCAGAGTGGTGAAGTCTGGGCTTTTAGTGTAACCATCATCTGAGTAGCACACATTGTACCCACTAAGTAATTTCTCTCTCACCCCTTTCCCATCCTCTTACCCTCCAAAGTCTCCATTGCCTGTCATTCCACATTCTGTGTCCATGTGTGCAGATTATTTAGCTCCCACTTATAAGTGAGAACATGCAGTATTTGACTTTATAAATTGTTTTACTTAAGATAATGGCCTCCTCTTCCATCTATGTTGCTGCAAAATACATAATTTTATTCTTTTTTATGGCTGCAAAATACATAATTTTATTCTTTTTTGTGGCTGAATGGTATTCCATTGTGTATGTATATATATATATATATATATACACACACACACACACACACACACACACACACACACACACACCCCACATTTTCTTTACTTTTATTTCTTCATTTATTTTTATTTCAAACACTAGTGTCAAGGGCTTTCAGTAGATCATGGCGAATTTGCTTCTCTGCTAAGTAGGAAACCCTGACCCAGAAGCAGGTGGGTCTAGGACCCAGAATCCAGGTTCCCCATGAATGTGTGCCACGTGATGGGCCAGGGTGCGACTGCATTTCCAGCTGCACCCTGTTTCCCAGGAGGAGGGCCTCTCTGCACTGGACCCCAGTCCTGGCATTGGGGAGAGTAGTCCTCTAGTGGGGACAGTGGGGACCAGCCATCCAGGGCCAACAAGGCCCATGGAGGCTCTGTGGCGCTGCCATAGGTTCCACCTGAGTGGGATTCTGACTTGGACATGTTCAGTCATAATCCCACAGATGGCAGATTCGCCCCATTGGCTCCTCAGCACATTTTCTTTATCTAGTCATCCGCTGATGGACATTTAGGTTGGTTGCATATCTTTGCTATTCTGAATAGTGCTCCAATAAACATACAAGCACTTGTTCTTTTTAATGTAATGATATCTTTTCTTTTGAGTAGATACCCAGCAGTGAGATTGCTGCATCAATGGTAGTTCCAGTTTTCATTATTTGAGAAATCTCCATACTGTTTTCCACAGTAGTTGTACTAATTTGTATTCCCACCAATAGTGTATAAGCATTGCCTTTTGTCTGCAACCTCACCAATATCTATTGACTTCTTGTTTTTCCACTTTTGAATAATAGCCATTCTGAGTGGTGTAAGATGAAGTCTCATTGTGGTTTTAATTTGCATTTTTCTGATGATTGGTGTTAATGATTAGTGATGTTGAGGATTTTTTTCATATGCTTGCTGGCTATTTGTATGTATTTTTTTTGAAAAATATGTATTCATGTTCTTTGCCCACTTTTTAATGGGGTTGTTTGTGTGTGTGTGTGTGTGTCTTTTTTTTTTTTTTTTTGAGTTGTTTGAGTTTCTTGTAAATTCTGCATATTAGTCCTCTGTCGAAGGCATAGTTTGCATATACTTTCTCCCATTCTGCAGGTTGTCGGTTCATTCCTGTTGAGTATTTCTTTTGCTGTGCAAAGCTTTTTAGTTTAAGTAAGTCTCATTTGTCTACTTTTGTTTTTGTTGCCTGTGCTTTTGAGGTCTTAGTCATGAATTCTTTGCCTAGACCAATGTCCAGAAGTGTTTTCCCTAGATTTTCTTCTAGTATTTTTATGCTTTCATGTCATACATTTAAGTCTTTAATTCATCTTGAGTTGATTTTTGTATATGGTAAGAGATATGGAGTCCAGTTTCATTCTTCCGCATATGGCAACCAGTTTTTGTAGCACCATTTATTGAAAAGGGTATCCTTTTCCCAGTGTATGTTTTTGTTGACTTTGTCAAAGATCAGTTGGCCGTAGATTTATAGCTTTATTCCTGGGTTCTCTATTCTGTCCCATTGATCTGTGTATCTATTTTTATGCCAGTACCATGCTGTTTTGGTGACTATATCCTTGCAGAATAATTTGAAGTCAAGTAATATGATGCCTCTAGCTTTGCTCCTTCTGGACAAGATTGCTTTGGTATTTGTGCTCTCTTTTGGTTCCATATGAATTTTGGGGTTGTTAGACATAATTTCTAAGATATATTCAGGTTTCACTTTTGTTCTTTAATTTTATGTATTTTCTTCCCAATAAGGCTATAAGCTTAAGTCAAAAATTGTTTTGCTTATAGCTGAAGAGTCCCTGCTTTCAGCCTGCCTTGTGATTTTCATCTTGTTGCAGTTGAATTAGGTTTGTGGCACCTCTGCTTTTTGTAGTTTTCGTATCAACACCTTGGTTTTTGGCTTTTTACTAATTTTGTTTTTTTTTTTTTTTGAGACAGAGTCTCGCTCTGACGCCCAGGCTGGAGTGCAGTGGTGCAGTCTTGGCTCACTGCAACCTCCGCTTCCCGGGTTCAAGCGATTCTCCTGCCTCAGCCTACCAGGTAGCTGGGCCTACAGGCGCCCACCTCCATGTCCGGCTAATTTATATATATATACATACATATATATATATATATACATACACGTATATATACGTATATATATACACATACATATATATACGTGTATATATATGTACATATATATACACGTATATATATATATATACACACACACATATATATATACACGTGTATATATATATACATATACATATATATATACGTGTGTGTGTGTATATATATATATATATATATATATATATTTTTTTTTTTTTTTTAGTAGAGACAGGGTTTCACCATGCTGGTCAGGCTGCTCTTGAACTCCTGGCCTCAAGTGATCTGCCCACCTTGACCTCCCAAAGTGTTGGGATTACGGGCGTGAGCCACCGCACCCAACCGGTTTTTTACTAAATTTTAAAAATTACAAGGTTAAAATACAATGAAATACTCAAGGAATTGCGTGAACCATCTCTTTTGTACAGACTGAGATGACTCTCCTGGTGACCCTGAACTCGTAGGGGCAGCAGGTGGAAATGTACATTCACTACTTGGTGGAAAGAAGTCTGAATTGGGGAAGTATTTATACATATGTGAAATTCCATTGTACTAGGGTGTCCTGTATTTTATCTGGTAACCCTGGGGGCAGTCCTATGAGCTGCGGGGCACCTGCCCTGGAGACTGAGGCAGGGAGTCAAAGCGACATGAGATTGGGGATAGGTTTTGCATGTCCGTGGAAAGGGCTTGCTGATGAATTTGATTTGAAGATTGAGAAACAGAGGAATCAAGGGCGACTTCTTGGTTTTAAACTTCAGCACCTGGTGCCCTTTACTGAGATGGAGAAGATGGGAGGGGAGTGGGTTTCAAGTGTGTTGTGATATGGACAGGTCTTATTGATGGGGTGTGGTGGGCGTCCAAATGGAGATGTGGAAGTTTGATTCTGAGTGAGCTCAATATCGTCGTGGTGTGTTCTACCACGTCCCTTCTAGCCCTTTCCGCGCTTTCTCCCATCTAGTGTTTCCCTGCTCAAATGGAAGGAGAGAGGAACAACTTAGAGCACAGTGTGACTGGGGCAAGCTACCTTAGAGATAATCATTTAAACACCAGCTAGACTGCTGCAAGAAAAGAAATGATGGTAAAAATAAATGTACTCCAAAGGAATTTGACTAAAGAATATTTCACCGTGTAACACATTTCTGTGTGCCCCTTTTGCAATGTATCATTAAGGATGCATTGCTAGGCATAATGAAACAAAATGTTTTTCGTAATGAAGTGGTTATTTTGCAATGAAAGCCAGTCAAGGAAAGAAATCAGGCTTGAATACTCCTAGTCACAACCTTTATAAAATCTAACGTTATGGTTAGACTATACCATGCCTGCGCTTAAGTAGTTTTTGAAATTTTAACCCAAATAAGAAATTCTTGGCTGGGCATGGTGGCTTATGCCTGTAATCCCGCACTTTGGGAGGTCGAGGCAAGCGGATCACCTGAGGTCCAGGAGTTCGAGACCAGCCTGGCCAACGTGGCGAAACCCCGTAGCTACTAAAAATACAAAAAATTAACTGGGCATCGTGGCACATGCCTGTAATCCCAGCTACTCAGGAGGCTGAGGCAGGAGACTCTCTTGAACCTGGGAGGCAGAGGTTGCAGTGAGCCGAGATTATGCCACTGCATTCCAGTCTGGGTGACAGAGTGAGACTCCATCTGAAAAAAAAAAACAAAACAAAACAAAACAGAGAAGAAATTCCTTCATTATAAGGAAAAAAGAAATGCACATAAGCACAGTTACAATATTATATTTCCTGATTAAAAATATGTATTCTTTTAATGGACTACAAATATTATAATTTTTCTTAAAATGGCCCGTGTGTAAAAAGTTTATTCCCCTTTACTTTACTTTTATATAGTAATGAAATTTCATAATTAAATCTATATTTTGTATTATCAATATTTAACCACTAGAAGAATTGATGATGCTACTTATTAAAAATGACAAGTGATGTAATAGAGTTAGTGGGATGTCTGCCTGTTGAAACCATTTTACTAGGTAAGTATTTTTATTACAAAGGGGTTGGATATAAACTGGCCTCATATCCAAAAACCTTTTTGCAAAAATCAAAACTGGATATATCCTGTGTTCGCTTCCTTTTCCCTGGGCCCCTCTGTTAAAATCTTTTAGCAAAAAGATTTTACCAAATAATTCACATTGAAATATAAATAGTTTTAAAGTTTGCTATGTTGCTTTCTTTCCAAAGGTATTCAGATTTTAGTAGGGGACAAAAGTGTCCCCTAAGTCAAGTGAGTATAAGAATTACCTATATTGTTTGCTACAAATGCAAATATCCACAGCCTCCTTGTAAAGTCTCATTCAGGGGCTGCCTACTGCAGGGCCCAAGAATCTATATTTTTAACAAATACTCTGGTCATTCTTGGGACTAGCAAATCTAGAAAACACCAACTTGAATAAAACGATTAAAGTTGTGCTTGCTGAATTTCAACTACATTAAAGGTACCAGTGCTGGAGGAGATTTTTGAGGGGTTGAGGAGAAATAATTACACATAAATTATTTTATTAATGAAATGATTCAGCAAAGTGTAAACGCCCGTAATGGGCTTGGCAGTGTCCTGGGGCTGAAGGTACTGAGTAGAATAGGACGTGAGACAAGTGCTCTACTTGAAATAAGCACAGACGTGGAAGAAGGGATGTGTAGTTTTGTCTGGGGATTCGGCACAGTTTTTATGGAGGATGTGGTCTGTGAAATGGCTGATTTGAAACATGAAGGAGGCTGCTTATGGGATGGGTTATTCTGGGAAGCAAGCAAGTGCGAGGGCACCAGAAGGTATGAAGGGCCTTGGAGTACTGGGCTTTCTTATGGCTGCGAGAGAGGATGAGTTGGAATGAGATGAGCAGCTTATGAAACCAGGAAGACAGGTTATTGTGGAGGAGTGACTTGCTAAGCTCTATCAGATGAGCAATGAGCAGTGAGGAAACAGGGGAGAGATGAAATCATGGCTGCTTTTGGAAAGATAAGTGGACTAGCATGCAGCATGGAGAATGGAGAGGTGGAGGGTTGTTGTTGGTGTGTGTGTGTGTGTGCACGTATGACAGAGAGAGAAAGAAGAGGGAATATGAATGGCATGGGAAATAAGAGAAAGGCAGGCCAGGTCAGAGGGTTTTTAGGATGGCCTGTGAGGTGTAGGAGGGTCTGGAGGTCGGCCGTGGAGTGGAGAAGAGATTGAGGACTCAGGCACTAATCTAAGGGGAAGGGGGACACTGTATTCTAAGGGGGCCAGTCCTGCTGCTCCCTGTAAGCACTTTATGTATTTGACATGAAATATACTGAGATGGCCCCCATACTTTAGGGTGCAAATGCTCCCCTAAAGTGAGAGTGGAAGAAGAAAAAAGGAGAAGGCACTTATTTGCTCATGTGAGCCGTGTACAGTTCCTTCAGAGCTCAGAGAGGCACTATGCAGTGAATCAAGCCAGGTCAGCTGCTGGGACTAGGGGCCTGGGTAGGTCACAGCCCTGCCGGCCATCCACATGCCTTCCAGGAACACCCCAATCTCTGGAACCTTTCCTGAGGCCTCCATTTTCAGGAATTTTGTTAGGAATCCAGATAACAGAATGGCCATAGTGGTGATTATGTTCCTTCTACCTCCTTTTCATCAGCCTCGCTCACCTTACCCTTCCAGACATGAGAAAACAGTTTCACTACAATATCCAGTAGATTTACCTAATTGGTAAAATAAGAAAGGCCAAGGAAGTTGCTCTTCTCTTCACTCCCACCCCTCCTGTTCATTTTGTTTGTAACAATAGAGCCAAGTTTCAAACAAATGTAGAAAAGGTGAGCAATGCTAATGATGTGTTTCAGATGGGATTCAGGGACAACTCAACTTGAAATTGTCTCTTAGCCATCTGTTTGTGTGCCTGGGGTTTCACCTGCTTTGAATTAGGGTAATTTAATAATTGTGAATTAGACTGGGAGAGTACAAATGGTTTTGTTAATTAGATTAAAACGTTACATTTTATAATACTTACTGTATTAACCATGGGCTGATGACGCTGCTTGTACCCTGTGTTAAAGCCTTATCTATTATCTGCTCTTTCTTTTGAAAATCTCTTTTATTTCAGTTTCCATCGCTGTGTTGCAGCTGTCCAACCTCTCTGGCATTCTAGAATGGATGCTGCCTGCCTTCCATATTCCAACGCATAAGGTTCTTTGCCTGATGTCTTGTGAACATACACACCGCAATTCCAGATACCATTAAGCCTCTGCTATCCAGGTTTATTTATATTAACTATAGTTTGTTTAAATATATTTTATTAAACTCTTTAAAAAAATACTTCTGTGAAACCAGAACCAAACAAAGAAGTATTTGAGGTCCTGGATCTTTAAATTTTGTGATCTTGGGCCTGGCTCATGCCTGTAATCCCAACACTTTCGGAAGCCAAGGCAGGCGGATCACCTGAGGTCAGGAGTTTGAGACCAGCCTGGTCAACATGGTGAAACCCCGTCTCTACTAAAAATACAAAAAATTAGCTGGGCATGGTGGCGGATGCCTGTAATCCCAGCTACTTTGGAGGCTGAGGCAGGAGAATCTCTTGAACCCAGGAGGCGGAGGTTGCAGTGAGCTGAGATTGTGCCATTGCACTCCAGCCTGGGCGAGAAGAGCAAGACTCCGTCTCAAAAAATAATAAAAAATTAAGAAAAATAAGTAAATTCTCCTTACATATAAAACATATGAAGCAGTGCTGCCAAAGAGAGAGAGAGAAAGAGAAGGAAAGAGAGAGAGAAGAGAGAAAGAGAGCGAGCGAGCGAGAGACATCGAGGATAAGAGAGAACAAAGATGATGATTTCTGAAAAAAAGGAATGGATATTCAATAAGCCTGTACTTACTATCACCATAAGCTCTAAGATATGACATGAGTATGTTTCTATTTTAATACCTCTAAACTCACAATTAATGGCATCTTAATATTTTAAAGGGTAGCCATTGTTTTAAAAGCATATAAAATAATGGTATAAAAATTAGAGCTATCTTAAGTTCAGTAAATATAGAACTTTGAGTAAGTCAATTTGATAATTCCCCTTTATGGTAAATTATCTCATGATAGTTTCATGTTTAACTAAATCTTCAGAAAAAATTTTTATTGAGATGATCATTGGCTAAAAAAAATGGTGGTATTTGATTGGTTTTAAAGAGACACTTATTTTGTTTTTTGAGGGGAAAGTGAATATTGAGAAAAAATAGTGACTGTGTTCAATGTTACGCTTTTAACATCAGTAAACTGCAACTGACAAGGCTGTTTCCTATTACCTACTGTTAAATGGCCCTGTTTTCTAACTTAAAAATGGTGCTTCTAAGGCTAAACCTTCAATTTCTTCTGGACTTTGTCAGGTTACTTTGGGTGATTTTGAAAGATTTCCATACATAATACTGCTCTGGAAGGGTGCGTGCGAATATGGTTCACAAAAGCAGTGAAGACATGTATCTACACCGAGGACAGCATGTGAGCTACACTGCAACAACTGTTTTAGATGGCCAGCCTGTGTTTGACGATGATCCCTGAGTGCCAGATGTGAAGGAAAATATAAATCCCTCACCATGTCCTGAATTCCACAATGCCTCTCCCTCCTCCCCTGGGAGTGGAGCCAGGCTGACCTCTCTCTGGCTCCATACTGGAAATGTGTGTGGCAATGGCAGCATTGCCCTTTACCCCATGCCCAATACTGCAATGGCACCTTAGGCTGTGTGTGTGTCAGACAGAAAAATAAAACATCAGATTTTTGTTAATTTTGGGTGATGAGTGAGGTCAGGGATAGTTATTATTTTGAGACTGCTATTTTTTTTTCTCTTTTTTAAAAACAGATGGGGCTGGGCACAATGGCTCATACCTGTAATCCCAGCACTTTGGGAGGCTGAGGGAGGTGGATTATTTGAGGCCAGGAGTTCAAGACCACCCTGGCCAACACGGTGAAACCCCGTCTCTACTAAAAATACAAAAATTAGCCAGGCGCCGTGGTGCATGCCAGTAATCCCAGCTACTCAGGAGGCTGAGGCACAAGAATCACCTGAACCCAGGAGACGAGGCTGCAGTGAGCCAAGATCACACTATTGCACATCAGCCTGGGTGATAGAGTGAGATTCTGTCTAAAAAAAAAAAAAAAGAGAGAGAGAGAGAAAGATGGGATCTTGCGCTGTCACCCAGGCTGGAGTGCAGTGGTGTGATTGTAGGTCACTGCAGCCTTGAACTCCTAGGCTCATGTGATCGTCCCGCCTCAGCCTCCCAAGTAGCTGGGACTACAGGCATACACCACCACACCCAGCTAATTTTAGTTTTTTGTAGAGATAGGGTCTTGCTATGTTGCCCAGGCTGGTCTTGAACTTTTGGACTAAACTGATCCTCCTGCCTCAGCCTCTCACAGTGCTGGGATTATAGGCATGAACCACCAAAAACTGCAGTTTAAAAGTGTTTATATCCTGGATACACTAACAGCATTTTGTCCAACTTGTGGAGTGGAGGGAGTAGGGAAGGGGAGGATAGTGCTAATGAACTGTGACAGGGGCTAGCAAGAAAGAAAGAAAAAGAGTTCCCTAAGTAAGCTCCTACTGGGTGTCCTCCACTCACATGGAGACAGGGCCCTGCCTTTTAGGCACTTACTCTTCCAGTGTCTATTGCATAATATGTTCAGGAAGGATCCCAGATTCAAAGATTTATAGAATTAGAGTTAAAAGGGATAGATATCTTGTTTGACCCTGAAAAAATTAAGGAATATGCTTGAGATATTCAATGGCAGAGGCTGGAATAGATTTTCCCAAATCTCCTGATGTGAAGTTCTGTGTTTGTCAAACATGACTGTGTAAAAAGATTAATTTAAACTTAATGACATGTTGTATTCATAGAAGTTCTTTGGGTTTCTGTGGAAACCTCCTCTTGCTAGCTTAAGCAGAAATGGGGGATTTATTGGAAGGAAGCTGAGATATTGCACCAAACTGCACAAAATTGAATGAAGAGCTGACTAAGCAAGGCTGCACTGAGAAGGAACCAGGGTGGTCTGGGCTGTGGTAGCGGCAGCAGCAGCTTGCAGATCTCCCAGCGCTGATGCTGGCTCGACTCAGACAGGTCTCCACTCTCTGCTGTCTGTCTCTGGCTCAGACAGGACACTTTGTGTGGCTGTTTCCTTCCACAAGGCCTCAGTGGGAGCAAGCCAGCCTCCCACAGGCCTCTGAGACAGACCACCCCATTCCTCCCTCTCCTGTTAACCTGCCTTTATTTCCTTAATTGCACTTATCACCATGCAGAAGCCTATGTGTTTGTTCCCCTGTGGAGATGTAAAAACACTGATGCCCAGGCCTAACTCCCAGAGACTCTGATTGAACTGGTCTGGGCTATGGAGCCGGGACATTTGCATTTTTCTTACAAGCTCTAATGTGCAGCCAGGATTAAGAATCATTGCCTTCTGCATCAACAGGACAAATACAAAATGTGCAGCAAAATATATGTTTAAGTGAATCAAGAAGACAGATCTAGAAACGATTGTTAAGGAATAATAATGCATTTTGTCCATCACCACACATAAGTGATGTTGACCAGAGCCCTCCCAGATTGAGTGGTGCCAGGTGTTCGGGGTTGTCTCGGTTAATCCTTACTATGGCCTTGCGGGGTAGGGGGCAGTGTCCTCATTGTCCAAATGAGTCACTGAGGCTGAGGGATTCAGGCTCAGTGTATGCCCACAGTTCTTTGGCAAACCCCACCACTGGGCCAGCCAACTACACGGGGATTCTGATCGGGTCCTGATGGGTGCCCATGATGGGCTGTGCAAAAGTGGTGGTGAGATTTCTCCACCTTCACGGAGGTGGTACCCAGGGGAGGTGGACTTCAGCAGCGAGAATGGGCTGGGTGCAGTGGCTCACAGCTGTAATCCCAGTGCTTTGGGAGTTCGAGGCAGGAGAATTGCATGAGCTCAGTTGTTCGAGACCATGGGAGACCCTGTCTCTACAAAAAAAAAAAAAAAAAAAAAAAAGTGATAGTAGTCAGACATTCCCGACAGGCAGGACTGTTGAATGTTGGTCTGTGTTACCAGGAGATAACACATTTTAAGCAGAAATAATAGGGGAGAAAGAGGATCTCAATTATTTCAAGAAAAGCAGGACTTGCTGGGCTTTCAGGGCTAATTAAAGGAAATAGGAAAAGTGAACATGTGTGAGAATCTAAACCTAACAGTTGTTTATTGAAAAGAAGAGAAAGAGTGGAGAGGGAAATGAAGTTTTGATTTTTGCCTTTTTAGGAAATTGGGATATAATTTAGTGTTCGTACTTTAAGTTAGTGTAGAGTTTGAGTGAGAAGAATGAGGAACATAAATATGAATGCTCTGTTAATATAGTGCTTTTCATAGAAATAATGGAATAGAATACGCTTCACTGCCGGGTCTGGAAACCCTCCCTCTGTCAGGGTGATTTAGAAATTGACTGATTTTACCATGGAGGGATGGGATGGGCCACAGGCTGGGGTTTGAAGAAAGAATCTATAATCCTTTTGGTCTTAACTATTAGGCAAATTTAGCTTCCTGGTCTCAGAAAGAAAAAACACACCCACAAAAAGAAAAACCCATGCCCGTGGGAACAAGTAACTTCCTCCTCCTGGGGCTGCTTGAAAACCCTAATCTTCCTCTCACCAGGCCAAGTCCCTTCCCTTCTCAGCGGGAGGCCAGCTGGGGCATCCAAAAAGCCACAACGGGCCCTGGGGAGGGAGAATGCACCCGTCTGGGTGAGCAGTTGAACGTGCATTGGCTGAGGTGTGAGGCTCGGGAAATGGCTCTCCAGGCAAAGACGCTGCTTGGAGGCAACTTTATAATTCTTTGTACCTGGGAAAGTGAAGGGTTGGGCGGGGGGAGTGGGGGTGGGAGCTTTGTCACGTGACCCCACTCTTTGCTTCTTTGTCTGTCCTCCAACTTAACATGGCTTGAGGCTGAAAAACAGAATTCCTCATTTTTTACTCAGTGACAAAATCAGAGAAAAAAGTCAATGCCAATTGAAAAAGACATCTGCAAACATAGAACTGTTTTTTCTGCCAAATATGTGAGCATGGGCTGTAAATATAGTAAAATAATTCAGCAGATTAATTGTGGGAAGGCCAGTGTGAGTTGGGGAAGAATCTGAAACCTGGACCACTAGAATTCCAGTAAAGTGAAGAGAGGGATAGAATTGAGGTAGAGCTGGGGGACTTGGGGACGCATCAGACATTATCTGGAGTGCTGTGAAAATTACACCGCTTTCTTTGTTAGCAGGATTCCCATTCATAAAGCCTCTTTAGCAATTTTTGTTTAACAATTTTGTTTGTGCAGAATGTCACAGCAACATTTCTTAAGTGTGATCATGTCACTATAACCTGGCTTTCCTTGTTTTGGAGGACGGGGGCGGATAATGGGAAGTAACGCATTGTTTACTTGCTCTGAGAGAGCATTTAACATATGCTATTTCATTTAATCCTCATGGTGACCCCTGATGGAGGACTGTTATCTACCCTTCACAGATGAGGAAAATGAAGTTTAATGAAGTAACTTGCTTATGTTTATATGTCTGTTAATAAATGGAAGAACAAGGATAGACCCAATTTCCCCTCATTCCAAAGTCCTTTGCTGCTTTACTTCAGGAAATTTTTTTTTTGAGACAGTATCTCACTCTGTTGCCCAGGCTGGAGGGCAGTGGCATAAATCTTGGCTCACTGCAAGCTCCGCCCCTCCCCCCCTTGCCCTTCCCCACCACCCCCCCACCGGGTTCCAGCAATTCTCCTGCCTCAGCCTCAGCGGGATTATAGGCATGTGCTACCACGCCTGGCTAATTTTTGTATTTTTAGTAGAGACAGGGTTTCACCATGTTGGCTAGGCTGGTCTTGAACTCCTGACCTCAGGTGATCTGCCCGCCTTAGCCTCCCAAAGTGCTGGGATTACAGGCGTGAACCACCGCACCCAGCCAGGAAGATTTTTAAGTAAAAGATTTTCAGCCCACATTCTTTGAATGATCACAGATTATCAGATAATGGGGGACATTTTGTTTGTTTTCATCGTCTAGATACGTCTGAAACGAAAACAATTTTGGGAGTTAACATTTATTAATCATCTATTATAAACCAAATACATTGTAGCTAATAATTAAAATATATTCTATTACGGAATTGCTGCTGACCACAAACTATGGAATAAGCACGTGGAATTTCTAAGTTCACTTTAATTCAACAACTGGTGCTTTGTTGCTGACTTGGTAACCAGGTGGCCCACTGTGTATGTTTTATTGAAGCAAGTTGTCTGCAAAGAAGCGGGATAGACAGGGTCTGTCCTCAAGGGGTTTACAGTCTATCGAGGAGAGAGCTATACACGTACTAACTGATAGACACCTCTAGAGTTACATAACAGACATAAAGTTGTACATAACAGACATAAAGTTGTACTATAAGAGATGTCCTGGGGCTTGGGACGAAATTCCAAATTGATTGTGGAGAGAAGAAATCTGAGGGGAGAAGGATGTGGGCTGCTGGAGACCAGGCAAGATGGGTTTTGAGTTACGTTTGGAAGACAGGTGAGATTTGCATAAATGGGTAGGAGTGCATGAGCCAAGATGAAAAGGCAGGTGATGCCACCGTGCCAATTAGGAGTCTAACATTTGGAGTAACACAGGTGATGGTGAGGCAGGTTGAGGCCAGCCTGGGAGAGGCAGGGAGGGGCAGGTTGAATATTTCAGGTTTTGTCCTGTTGGCAGGAGTGTTGATAGCAGTATTACAAATGATGGTATATTAGTAATAATAATGTTTAAAATGTATTGAGCATTTACTCCACTGGATACTCTTTATTCCACAGATATTTACAGAGCATTTACAAGTGCCGAACAATGTTTCTTGCACTGATAATACAAGGGTGTGCAAAACTGACAGGAATCCCTGCTCTCATGGAGCTTACAGTAACAGAGGAGCGATGGACAGATGATAAAATAGGTACATTCTTCCGTGGGTGCTGTAGGGAAGCATAAGGAAAGGAGTGGGTGGAGAATGAATGGATAAGGGAGATCACAGTTTCATTTTTATTTTTTCTTTGGGCAGAGTCTCACTCTCACTCAGTCTGGAGTGCAGTGGCATAAACACAGCTCGCTACAGCCTCAACCTCCCAGACACAAGCAATTCTCTCACCTCAGCCTCCTGAGTAGCTGGGCCTACAGGCATGTGCCACCACGCCCAGCTAATGTGTTTAAATTTTTTATAGAGAGGGGGTCTCACTGTGTTACCCAGACTAGCCTCAAACTCCTGGGCTCAAGCGATTCTCCTGCCTCAGCCTCCCCAAGTGCTGGGATTATAGGCATGAGCCACCACACCTGGCTGACATCACAATTTTAAAGCCTGGTTCTATGTGTGCCAGTGTATTAATTTATCTAATCAGGTAAATAATAGGTAGAAGACAGTCTCCGAAGAATTATAAACGTAGGCTGGGTGTGGTGACTCATGCCTATAATCCCAGCACTTTGGGAGGCCGAGGCGGGTGAATTCTCAAGAGTTCAAGACCAGCCTGGCCAACATGGTGAAACCCCATTTCAACTAAAAATACAAAATTAGCCGGGAGTGGTGGCACACGCCTGTAATCCCAGCTATTGGGGGAGCTGAGGCAGGTGAATCACTTGAACCTGGCAGGCGGAGGCTGCAGTGAGCTGAGATTGTGCCACTGCACTCCAGCCTGGGCAAAAAGAGCGAAATTCCATCAAAAAAAAAAAAGAATTTTGAATATGAAGTAACATGAAAATAGAATTCATAAAGATGAGTGTAGCAAAACGGGAGGGTGCCAGCTGGGAGGCAACCTCAGCAACCTGGGATGGTTAGACGTAGCAGGGCTGTTGTAGCAATTAATATTAGGTAGGGTTTAGTAGAGAAAGGAGACCAATATAGGGAAAAGAAATCAAAACTCACTATCTGCTCCATGCCTTTCCGAGCCTAGAATCCAAGTGCAATTATATCGCAAAACTGACAGGGCTTGAGGGAGGGTGGACCTAATGAGTAAAATGTGAAGCGAAAGTGACAGGATGACTGAGGGTTTGAGCCTCGGGTGACTGGAATGGTGAGAAAAAACAATTTTCAGTAAGGAAGATGGAAATTCAATAGAATTGTCTGTCATACTATTTAAGTAATTTAAAAATTTTTTGAAACGAATTGGGGGTGGCCTCTAAGGTACTGATCCTTTCTGAGAGTCAGTAGTTTCTCCTAATGGCAGTGCGGGCAATGTGAGAGATAAAGCAGGTGGGTCCCGGTGCCAGGAGAACTGCTTCCCCTTCCCAGCACATCTGCTCAGTTTCCGCCTCTCTGTCAAGCTACACCTGCTCTGTCCTAACCTGCCATCCACTGCTTCCCACTTCCAAAAATTTCTTGCTTACAGATTCCCAAATATGCTTGCTTCACAGCATTCTGAGTGTCTATAATTTTTTCAAGGCAACCCGACAGCAGAAAAAATACAGGAGAGTTTCAGTTAGTGAATATTTAGGTCAAACAACTTTTTTTTTTGAGACAGGGTCTTGCTCTGTCCCCACAGGCTGGAGTCAGTGGCACAATCTCAGCTCACTGCAACCTCCGCCTCCTGGGTTCAAGCGATTCTCCTGCCTCGGCCTCTTGAGTAGCTGGGATTACAGGCGCCTGCTGCCATACCCACCTGATTTTTGTATTTTTAGTAGAGATGAGGTTTCACCATGTTGGCCAGGCTGGTCTCGAACTCCTGACCTCAAGTGATTTGCCTACCTCGGCCTCCCAATTGTTGGGATTAGAGGCGTGAGCCACCGCGCCCGGCCAAGATCAAACAACTTAATAAATGTTTGTTATAATGACTTAGTGCCATTTGAAAAAAAAAAATACACATACATTGAAAGAAAAATATGTTTTTATATTATTCTTAAATGACCACAGTTATTCTCAAATGGGATGTGTACACCCTGCCGCACAACTTCTCCAACCTTAGAATCATATTGGACACCCACATTCTCACTTTCTGGTGGTACTTGTTTTTTCTTTTTCTTTCTTTTTTTTTTTTATTATAGCAACCACAGAAAACCCAGTTTTACAAATATATGCTGCTGTTGAAAGGAAGATAGCATGATCTAATGTTGAAACAGCACTACCTTGAGTGAGTACCTCTCACGATGTGTGAGAGATGTCATTGTGTTTCCCTTGAAAATTTGAAATATCCCAGGGCACCTCTGTGACTTCACCATGGCACCGGGAGGGCCTCAAAACACAGTTTGGGAATCATGGTACAGGCCTGTTCTATACCATCTGTTTTCCTTCTCAATTTTATGGCACTTCTTGGCATCCTCATTTTTTTTTTTCTTTTTTTGAGATGGAGTCTTGCTCTATGATCCAGGCTGGAGTGCAATGGTGTAATCTTGACTCACTGCAACCTCCATCTCCTGGGTTCAAGTAATTCTCCTGCCTCAGCCTCCCTAGTGGCTGGGATTACAGGCGTCCACCCACCATGCCCGGCTTATTTTTGTATTTTTAGTAGAAACGGGGTTTCACCATGTTGGCCAGGCTGGTCTTGAACTCCTGACCTCACGTAATCCACCCCCCTTGGCCTCCCAAAGTGCTGAGATTACACGCATGAGCCACCGCGCCCAGCTGCATCCTCATTTTTAAGAAAATAACTGGATCCAGCCATGACCTTCCATTTCCTCTTTTTCACCTTTAAACTCCTAGAGTGAGTTTACAGTGACTCTCCAGTTCACTTCTAGTATCATATACTGCAGATATGTCACTTGGTAAGTCACTGCTTTGGCTTCAAGCTTAGTCCAAAGAATGGTTTCCCTTTTGTTTGTTTTGAGATGGAGTCTCTCTGTTGCCCAGGCTGCAGTGCGGTGGTGCGATCGTGGCTCACTGCAGCCTCCGCCTCCCAGGTTCAAGCGATTTTCCTGCCTCAGCCTCCCAAGTAGCTGGGATTATAGACACCCACCACCACACCTGGCTAATTTTTATATTTTTAGTAGAGATGGGATTTCACCATGTTGGCCAAACTGGGGTGATCCGCTTGCTTCAGCCTTCCAAAGTGTTGGGATTACAGGCGTGAGCCACCGTGCCCGGCCTCTTTTTTTGTTTGTTTTGAGACAGGTTCTTACTCTGTTGCCCAGGCTAGGGTGCAGTGGTGCAATCACCGTTCACTGCCCCCTCAAACTCCTGGGCTCAGGCAATCCTCCCACATCAGCCTCTGGAGTAGCTGGGACCACAGGCGTACACCACCATGCCTGGCTAATTTTTAAATTTTCTTTTGTAGAGACGAGTCTCATTATGTTGCCCAGGCTGGTCTCGTACTCCTGGCTCAAGCAGTCCTCCCGCCTCACCTCTGAAAGTGCTGGGATTACAGGTCCGAGCCACTGCGCTCCACCAGAATGTTTTCCAATTCTCATTCCACCATATTTCTTTTGCGTTTAAAATCCTTGGCTAGGTTCAAATTATTGCCTGGCTTTTGACCTTCATACTTTACCACAAGCTCATGAATATGCCAGGCCTTAAGGGAGAAGGGCTTTCTATGTCTTTGTCTTCTGTGAACCCATTTAAACTCCACCACAGCCATGCGGGGATGGGCGTTATTATTACCTTTTTCATGGGTGAGGAAGCAGGCCGCCCGTGACACCAAGGCATCAGAATGGAACGGAAACACCATCTAGAGGTGCTGCCTGTCCACAGTTATGGCCAGGTTCCTGAGGACACCCTGGACGCTGGTGACTGGTATAAATAAGTGTCTTGCTGTGTTTGATTTTTAATTTTTACAACTATATTTTTATAAAAGTAAATCATTATAGCTCATTGTGGACACTTTAGCAATGAAGAAAAAGAAAAACCAACTCACCACAGAAGCATACAAGTGTTTATGTAAAAATTTTTGATTCAGTTTAATTTGATTTTAATATTGCTTCCAAACATTTTTATTATGTAATCATAATGTATATAAAACTTTTTATCTTGTTTTATAAAAATTAAATTATAAGCATTTTTTATTTAATTACACAATTATTTTAGCCATCCTTAAGAAATCTTTATCACTTTCAAGGTGATTCTTGCACATAATTTAAAAACCAAATAACTACAAAGCTTTAACATAAAACAGCAGATTCCTGCCCTACCTTCCTGAAGCCTCTCCCACGTAGATTTACCCCCCAGATCCAACCACTTCCTTATCTTCAACTCAGTGGCTCTATTATATCCATTGAATGGCATCATGCAGTTTGTGTACCTGCTGCCCATCCTGTGTTTACTTAATTGAGTTACTGAATGGTTGATTGAGAGCAATGGTTCTGCAGGATTAGTAAACGCTGATAAAGGCCTGTTGACTATGCATGTATAGATGTGTAAGTTCAGAGCTACATTATCAGATGTACTTTGCCTTGCCATTTTATAAGCCTAATTTAACTGTGCATTTCTTTTATCATAAATGGCTATGGGCGTATTAGGAGTGATGACTTTATTATTAAACATTAATAGATCTCCCAGCTCTTATCAGTTATTTTCTGAACCTAAAATTGAAGAAGTTTGGGAATTAAGCCAAGAAGATCTAATGAAATTCTATTGTATTTTAAACCATAATTATTAAGACACAGCAGGTAACGGCCTGCCCTTGATAATTGTAAAGACTATTGGGTGTTAAGAAGAAGCACATTATGTGGATACATGCAACTTCTTGTAGAAATATTTTCAGGCAGCCCTCTTTTTAAAAATGGAGGATCCCTTTTCAGAAATACTGATTCCCAAGCATGTGGGCTGGTGTCTGTGCTGCCACAATATACTTTTAAAAAAATTAATAGACTTTATTTTTTAGAGCAGTTTTACATTTGTCTGTTTTTTACTGCTCCTTGTGGAGCCCGGCTAACTCCTAGGCAGTGCGCCCAGAGCTGCAGTTTTAGATTCAGATAAATTAGGCAGAAATTACAGATAATTGCCATCTAGCCATCACTGACTTCCCACCCTCAACCAGCTTATTATTAACATATAATTAACTCCTGTAATGAACATGTTACATTAGTGTGGTACATTTGTTATCACTGATAAGCCAATGTTGATACATTAATTAAAATCTACAGTTTTCATTAGGATTCACTCTTGGTGTAGTACATTTCATGGATTTTGACAAGTGTATAATGACATGTATTCACCATTACAGTCATATAGAATAGTTTCACTGCCTTAAAAATCCCCCATTCTTCACATGTTTATTCCTCTATTCCCGAAACC